>NC_000004.12:26822916-29322916 GCF_000001405.40 Homo sapiens
CTTGGGATCACTCTACCCTTCCACTCTCAATAGTGGTCCAGACCAGACTGACCCTGCCCAGGAGTAGACTGTACTTGACTCAAGCTGTATTAGTTTGTTTCCACGCTGCTAATAAAGACATACCCAAGACTGGGCAATTTACAAAGAAAGAGGTTTAATGGACTTACAGTTCCACGTGGCTGGGGAGGCCTCACAATCATGGCAGAAGGCAAGGAGGAGCAAGTCACATCTTACATGGATGGCAACAGGCAAACAGAGAGAGCTTGTGCAGGAAAACTCCCATTTTTAAAATCATCAGATCTCGTGAAACTTATTCACTATTGCAAGAACAGCGGGAAAGACCTGCCCCCATGATTCAATTACCTCCCACCGGGTCCCTCCCACAACACGTGGGCATTCAAGCTGAGATTTGGGTGGGGATGCAGCCAAAACATATCTCAAACCCATCCATGTACCTATTCCTCAGGCCACATTGATTGGTCAGGGATGGGTTTGTGATACAATTTGGGTTAATGAGAGAGGTGACAATAACAGTGTTTCTGTGGAAGATACACAGAAGAGATTCTCTGTTCCCAGACCACACCTAGAGTGAAGTGAAGATGTGGGGTGTGGAATTGCCAGAGCAATTTGCTACCATGGGGAGAGAGCCCAGAGTTGCGGGGGCCTTTGTGTGGAATCTGGAGATGGGTCTGTCACCAGTGGAGAGATGATAAGAGCCATATCCTGGGTGGCTTTGACCCACTAGAAGCCAGTCTTGCCTCTGGACTTCTCAGCTAGGTGAGCCAATAAATTATCTTTGCTGCTTAAGCTTGTTCTAGGTTTTCTGTCACTTGCAACCACAAGAGTCCTAAGTGATTTAAGGTTGCTAACACTCTTTCTAGCCAGACCTTAGGCAGCATCTAAAGAAACTGAAAGCTTGTCGTCAGTGTATTTTTGTTTCTTTGTTATGGTTTTTACCTCTGCAGGATTCCTCCCCTCTTCCTTCTTTATACAGAACCCCACTGACTCTTAGTGAGCCACCCGGGCTGACTGCCTGACCGCTGGCTCCAGTGATGGGCACATGGCCCAGGCATAACTAATAGGGCATTCCATTCACAGGGCTATTTGATTGGATCAGGGATGGGTGCATGATCCCAAGATGGCCAGTATAAATAAGATCCAGGAATTTATTTTAACTCTTACTTAAAAGACAATTGGCTGGATTTGCTGAGGGAAGATTTAAACATCTTTGTGGACATGTTTGCCACCACATGGGGAGAGCATTCCTGAACATGCAGCAATAGAGAACAAAGACGAGAGATAAAGAGATGATAAGAGAAGGACCAAGTTCTAGCAACAGTGCGTGAGGCCTGAATCCAGCCATGCCGGAAGCATGTGAAGCAGTAACTTCGTTCTTATTAAGACAACTGCAGCTGGATTTTCTGTCATTTGCAGTTTCAAATGTTGACTAACACAGATATGAAGTATCTTTTCACAGTAATATATTTCTCTCTATCATAATATTCTTATTTTCTACTAGTATAAAACTAATGAATGCTCAATGCAGAAAATCCAGAAAACAAACAAACAAAAATAAATAAAGCAAAATTCACTTGTAGTCCTATGACTCTGAAATTATGACCGTCAGCTTCTGAGTGTATGTCCTCTGGGTCTTTTTCGTATGCATATTTATGAACTTCTACAACATAGTTTCCACATTATATTACTGCACTACAATTTAGTTAATTCCTTCTTTTTAACAGTGGGGTCATTTTCTTTCTTTCTTTCTTTTTTTTTTGCTATCATTTACTTCTTAGTATTATGAACATCTGTGTTGATACATCTTTGCACATATTTCTGGACATTCCTTAGAATAAATTCACATGGCCATATGCATAGTAAGTTCTTCATTAAACTTTTTCCAATTTTGTATTCCACATAACATTTAAGCAAACATGTTTATGCATTCCTTTGTATAGAATAAACTTCTAGAAGTACAATTGCTGGGTACAGAGCATGCCTGTTTAACGATATACATTGCCAAACTGCTCTGCAGAAGGTTATTTAAATTTATAACAAGGCAGCTCTTCCACACACACTGGATATTCCTGTCACCTCAATTACTAGACGAATGTTTTCTTTTTATGTTTGTTGGCTATCTATATTGATATTTTCTTGATTTGCCTCTTCATTTGCAATAATTTAGGATTTTTTTTTTTTTTGAGACAGAGTCTCACTCTGTCATCAGGCTAGATTGCAGTGGCACAGTCTTGGCTCACTACAACCTCCAGCTCCCTGGTTCAAGCGATTCTCCTGCCTCAGTTTCCCGAGTAGCTGGGACTACAGGTGCACACCACCACGCCCAGCTAATTTTTGTATCTTTAGTAGAGATGGGGTTTCACCAAGTTGGCCAGGATGGTCTCAATCTCTTGACCTCATGATCCGCCTGCCTTGGCCTCCCAAAGTGCTGGGATTACAGGCATGAGCCACCACGCCTGGCTGATTTAGGATTTTTAAACTTTTCTTTCAGGAGTAACTAGGTATATAAGGGCATGCCTCATTAGTCAGTAATTTTTATTTTTTCAATGACATTTTCTTTAATTTTTCAACATTAAGAAAAAAATCCAGGCCATAGTGAATGTAGTTTGGTTGGAAACACTCATTGTTCACTGTTTTGAAGATTTGCTGCCAATTTTCTCTATCAGTGACCTGCCACAAATTAGTTAAGTAGCATGATCTGAGAGGTGCTATTGTGTGGTTATACTAGTTAAGTAAAAGGGGTTTGGAGCCAGACTTTTGGGTGCAACTCCCAGCCCTACCACTTAGTTGTGTGACATCAGAAAAATTACTTAAAAATCTCTGTGCCTCATTTTTCTCAACTGTAAAACAGGGTTAATAGTATCTCCTTCATAGAATTGTTATAATATCAGTAGGATGAATAAGGCCATTGAAACAGGGCCTGGTCCAAGTTAAGCCTGCAATAAACATTAACTATTAGTAATGGCATATGAAAATAGCTAAGCTGGCCGGGCATGGTGGCTCACGCCTGTAATCCCAGCAGTTTGGGAGGCTTAGGCGGGCGAATCATTTGAGGTCAGGAGTTCAAGACCAACCTGGGCAACATGGCGAAACCCCATCTCTACTAAAAATACAAAAATTAGCCAGGCTTGGTGGCATGCACCTGTAATCCCAGCTACACAGGAGGCTGAGACAGGAGAATTGCTTGAACCCAGGAGGCAGAAGTTGCAGTGAGCTGAGATCGTGCCATTGCACTCCAGCCTTGGTGACAGAAAGAGACCTTGTCTCAAAAATAAAAAGTGAAAAAAAAATTCAAAGATCATATTTTTGTAATAAAAGAACAATTTAATTCCCACTGCACATAGGACTTCGCATTCTGCCTGCCCATTGTTTAACTCTAGTATCAGGGAATTCCTGCCCAGCTGCTGGATACATATTCAGTGACAGCAATAATCATGAATAGAAGGATATTTCAAACAGTTTAAAGTTGATTTATATTTGTGCCCTTACTGTCTGCTCATAGTAGGTGAACATTATTTAGAGGGGGGAAAAATAAGTGTCATTATTACTAAGTTTTAAATTCTAAACAAAGAGATCATTCTTATTAAGATATTAGAGCTGTTACAAACATAAAATGCTTCTCATCTCTCTCCAATATACCTTTCAAAATTCTCTCTTTGAAAATCATTGTTATAGATGATGTCCGCGTGTATTTTGTTAGATTGAGTTTAGATCAATATTCCACAACCCTAACAATGAATAGAGTCCAGTAAAGTTTGGCCTAATGGCATTTCAAGGTCTATAACTGTTGGCGAGCAGGAAAGACTACTGTTTTAACTTCATGAGGGTTACTGCCCCGGTGGCGGGTGGATGTTTATAATGGTTCCGGGTGTGGGTGGTGACGTAGATTCAGAGCATGGAGGAAAGTGAAGTGCTATTAGCAATAAAAGATAAACCCTTCCAGAAATAATAACTGTTATGAAACCGGAAAGAACCTCCCAGCCGTGCAGTTCAACCCCCTACTGAGATATGAGGCGAGGCAAGTCTCTCCCCTAAACTGGTTACATAATATTTTTTTCCTCAGGAGGTTTCACTACCTCTTTTATAAACTGTTAATGTGTTTATTGAATCGTATCATGGAGAAAGGAAACTAATGATTAACTTTTAACCATGATAGCTTGGCCTTGCCATGATACTTCTGGTGAACTGATGGAGACTGCTCTTCCATAGCCTTTCCTGGCTCCTTAACACAAATTCAATCACAGTAAGTGGCAAATGCTTATAAAGATGGAAAACACTTTATTTTCATCTTCACTTAATTAAAACAGCCAACTTTAAAGGTATTACTGTTTCAGGAATCTCTCTTCTTCATCACCAAATCTATCCTTTGGGTCAAAATCATCAGGCATTGGCAGGCACAGTGACTCACGCCTGCAATCCAATCATTTTGGGAGGCCAAGGGAGGCAGATCACTTGAGGCCAGGAGTTCAAGACCAGCCTGGCCAACATGGAGAAACCTCGTCTCTACTAAAATACAAAAATTAGTCAGGCATGGTGGCAGACGCCTGCAGTTCCAACTACGCAGGAGGCTGAGGCATGAGAATTGCTTGAATCTCGGAGGCAGAGGTTGCAGTGAGCCAAGATTGCACTACTGCACTCCAGCCTGGGCGAGAGAGCAAGACTGTCTCAAAACAAAACAAAACAAAATCAGGCTGGCACTCACCTACTCAGCCCTAACTTCAAGCAAATGTTTTTGAGGATGGAACCAATTTATTAGAGCTTTCTTTTTTTGTTTTTTGTTTTGTTTTTTTTTTTTTGATAGGGTCTTGCGATGACACTCAGGCTAGAATGCAGTGCCTATTTACAGGTGCAATAATGCACACTGCAGCCTCGAACTCCTGGGCTCAAGCAATCCTTCTGCCTCAGCTTCCTGGGTAGGTGTGAATACAGGCATGTGTGCCGCTGTGCCCAGCTATTTTATTAGGCTTTGAGATTAACGTAGGCCACCTGACAAATCCATATCTGAAAATACTTAAAATAGCTTTGAAATGGTTCCTCTAAGATCTCGTTTGGCAGATGCTTTGACAGCTATGGGGTTAAAGGGTAGATGGAAACTGTCCAGAACCGCCAGTCAGAACTCCCCAGCTCTGGCCCTGACTCTGGCTTTCCTTAGGCGTGTAGTCCCCAGGAGGCTTATGAAGTGCTCTGAGCCTTGATTTCCCCTTCTATTAAATGGGCTTGTCAGAGGACCAACAGGCTGTGAGTTTGAACACAAGGGATGCCCATTCTGATCACCACCCTTAGGTAGACTTAAAGTATGTCATTGAAGAACATGAATTTCAGCCTCTTAGGCTCCAGCTTCAACTGCCTTAGAAGGAGGCAACATGACCTGTGAACTCTAGCTTGGCCTAAAGGAGGCTCTTCTGGTAGCCTTGCTAGAACTCCGTTACTGGAGCAGAGCCAAAAAGAAAGTACTGAGACAACTTTGGCTGTTTCATAGAATGTTGGAGCTGGTAGTTTTGTGTTGAAAGGTTATCAAAAGGAGACCATTTTGTCATTTCCAAATCATCTTTGGACTAGCCTGTGCTTGAATGGTAAAATACTTGATGAAATGACATTTTTAAAACTTCTAAGACACTGCTCCCCAAATCTATGCACGTCCAAGTATAGTGCAGTAAAGTAAAGCGGTTGAGAGTGTGGGCTCGGGAGCACCCCCATCTTCAAATCCTGCTTTTGCCACTTATTAGCTGTGTGACCTTGAACAAATTACTTGACCACTCCGTGCATCAGTTTCTTCATTGGTAAATAGGGATAATAAAAGTACCTACCTTCTAAGACTGTAAGGAAACCCTGATAAATTAACAAATACAAAGGACTTAGCACAGTGCCTGGATGTTGTAAGTGCTGTGTTTAACGTTAGCCCTTACACTAGGGCTTGGTCATTGGTAGGCACTGAGTACATGTTAGATTTTACTGGACTGTTTTAGATGGTGGAGGCTGTGATGCAGGAGAATGGAAAGAACTCAGGAAGGGAGATTAGGACAAATCCATTTAGTTTATATTCCTTAGTCACTGTATTTACAACTTTTATCAAACCAATTATCTTTCTTAAGAGCTATGGACTTTGCTTGGGCATCCACAGATGCCCAGAACTCAAGATTGGAAGGAAACATGAAGCTCAAATAACAAGTAATTAGAAGGAGCTCACTTTGAAAAATATGTTTGCTTTCAAATGGAGCTTTAAATGAGCTCATGGGAAGTTTATTATAAAACGGTTGCCTGCACCAAATGCCTTAATGGGAAAAACCTTATCGCAGTTCAGTTGTTTAAATAATACACAGACCATGTCCCTCCTGAGTCTCTGTTCTCGCTGTGGGAGTCAAAGTTTCTTTGAATGTCCCAAAGTATTCCAAAGCAATCACAAAAACACATTTCAGATTTAGAAGGGAATTTAGAAATCTCTCATCGTAAGCCCTCTATAGCTGAAGAAACATCCCCAAAGGGCTAGAATGATTTGCCCAAGGCCACTTAGCAACTGGCTAAGCTCAAATCAACACCCACTTCTTTAACTCCTATTTCAGGGCCTTTTCCTCTAACTCATCTTCAGTCTTGGGTAGGTGTTAGGGAGGAAAGGAAGCTGCTGCATGAAGATGTGGAATTTTCCCATTTTTCCCCTCTCTCACACAGAAAAAGGGATAAATTGATCACATACCTACAGAAACAATTATAACTGAGCTGAGAAAGTGTCTAGGCTAAGCAATGAATCTGAATCACCAAGTCTTCAAAGTAAAAGTTTATTAGAGGCAGGTAAGGTTTGTTCATTTGTTTTTTACCTCATCAGGACTAAAACCTGTTGCTATGTTGAGTCCTGGCAGCTTTTTGTGATACATGTGGACAAAGAGCATGGCTGACCATCTAGCAGTGGGGTTTTGCATTCCCGGAATGACTTTAGTAAGCAACGTAAACTGATATAGGTGTCAGCCCAGTGTGCTCTGGTAAGACAGGGCTCTCCAGTGGGGAGGCATCTTACCTTCGGGGAATGGCAATGGCTTCTGCACCCCTTCCATGCCTATAAAAGAGTCCAGGAGCCATCAGGAGCTGGATTTGAGGGATTAGGGCCTTAGTGATTTGTCCATTCCATCGGGTTATGGTTTCCTGACCCACAGTGTCCATGGCCCATAAAAGTGTAAGAAGTTGAGCCTACCAGAGCCATACTCAACCTCACATTTGAATTTGGAGGAAGATTACATAACTGTTTACTCAACTTGACTGGCACTTGCAAATTACCCCCCCTTTTTGCCTTTGAATAAGTAATGCGTATATGCAAACAATAAACACCCTTGAATGACCAGGACTCTTGAGCACTGTGGGAGACTCTACTGGGTGGTTCCCAGCTCCCATCTTTAACTTAGCTGGGTTATCTTCATATTGCTTTAGTTCCTTTAAGTGTAGGTGACATCCCACCTCTGCAGACTTGATGTTCCTGCAAAACCAGTGTCATTGCACACTACTAGTGGGGAGATGGAACTGAAAGGGATCAAGACCTTGTAATTAGAAGTGGGGCGGGGCTGGGGTGCTAACAGAACTCTCAGAGTTACACAGTGTTTGCATATTTCTGGGATTTTTTTCCCGTCTGACCTCTGCAGTTATCTTCTGTTACTGGGTATCTCCTAACCACCAGATTGAAGCTTCTACAATTCAGAGGCTCTCAAAGTTTTGGTTTCTGCCTATGATTACAAAGAACCAGGGCCCAAACTGGCATCTTTGACCTGAAAACTCTTTAAGGCTTCGTGTTTTATAAAATAAAGTGATTGAGATGTGATTGTATGAATGCTGGAACTGTCCTAACACCTCCTGTGTTCCTGTCCTCAAACTGGTTAATGCCTGGAGTTCTGCCTATAGAGACTCATCCTTCAGTAAAGGAGTAATTTGCCTGGACTGAACACGCTAGCCTCAGACCTCTGCGAGCTCTTGAAACTATACACACAGTTTGAGTGAAGTGTATATGCCCATTTTTAGCCCTGAGGAGAGGATATTTAGATCTTTGCAGATACCCAAAAGGGTCTATAACTCACCAAAAGCTTAAGAGTGATTGCTTTTTCCAATAAATTGTTTTAAGTGATTTATTATTTAGGTTGCATGTGGACATACACGCAGACACAAATTTCATATATCACAAAGAGGGCCAACTGGAAACTTTGCCTAAGGTTTTCTCTAGGGAAAAAACCTCTATAATCTTATTTTTTTCCTATTTTAATTGAAAATAAAATCTGTATACTTATGAGGGAGATGATCACACTGCAGATGCTATGTCTCCATTTTCATCTTCAAAAATAAGGAGGCCTGGTGCAGGACTGATGGGAATTCTGAAACTGACTCTGAGAAATGCAATCTCTTAAAGCAGCGGTCATCAAACTTTTCTCAGAAGAGTTAGATAGTAAATATTTTAAGCTTTGCAGGACAGGTGATCTCTGCGGCAACTACACAACTCTGCTGTTACAGTAAAAAGAAACAAAAAAGGCAGCTGTAGACAATATGTAAACAGATGAGTGTGATGGGCTTTCAATAAAACCTCATTTGCAAAACCAGGTGGAAGGCCAGATGTGACCCATGGCAGCAGTTTGCTAATCCCTTTATTTTCCTTTTTCTTTCTTTCTTTTTCTTCTTTTTTTTTTTTCTTTTTTTTTTTTTGAGACGGAGTCTCTGTTGCCCAGGCTGGAGTGCCATAGCGTGATTTTGGCTTACTGCAAGCTCGGCCTCCTGAGTTCAAGCGATTCTCCTGCCTCAGCCTCTCAAGTAGCTGGGACTACAGGTGCATAGGTGCATGCCACCACGCCTGGCTAATTTTTTTGTATTTTTAGTAGAGACGGGGTTTTACCGTGTTAGCCAGAATAGTCTCAATCTCCTGACCTCGTGATCTGCCCACCTCGGCAGATCAAAGTGCTGGGATTACAGGCTTGAGCCACCACACCCAGCAGCTAATCCCTTTCTTAAAGGTTTAAGGATGCTATTGATTGAAATTGGTAAGGCTCCCATATCTGCCATGTTCATGATGTGTACCAACTTCAAGCTGCTTTGCAAAAACAAAATACCTGATCGTATTGTCCTGTTGGTTGTTGTGTTGAAATGAAAATAATTTCAACAAATATTTCCACATGCTGGGCAAGCTGTGGGTGATGTTAAACACCTAACAGTTAAAATCAAGAACTCCACATGCCAAATCTTCCCAGGGGATAAGACAAAAATAAAACTATATTCTTTAAACTATGATTTGTCTTTTCATGCAACTCAAGGAAATCAGATTTTTTGGCAAATGAGTGCAGTAAAACAATCCTTTTGCCCTAAGGCCTCACTCTGGGTGGGAAATCCTTCCCTGATCCTCCACAGGTAGAATTCTGTTTTTTCTGGAAACCGGATACCTTTTAGAATCATAGACTCTGGCATTGCAAACACATGCATGTTGGGCCTGCCAGGCTTCAGGCTGTGGCTTGTCCAACTGGGGAGAAAAAAAGAAAATATAATGCTCCAGAAGTCTACAGCTCCTTTCCTTTTCAAGACAAAAGAGTAGAAACACCGGTCCTCTTATTACTTGTCACATTTGGAATAATTAGACATTCTATCTTCCTGTTTAATGTTTAGTTTTACATGCTGTCTGGTTAGAACATTTCATATGTGTACAATAACATCTAGTGAGGTTTTAACAAATGACTTCAGAGGAAAAAGAGGAAGGAGCTGGACTGGACACCAAATGAATGAAAGGCTACCAAAAAGTTCATCAAAATCAAAACCACTCTTCTGGATGAAAACATACCCCCTCGACTATAATCCCATCACTTTGGGAGGCTGAGGCAGGCAGATCACTTGAGGTCAGGTGACCAGAGACCAGCCTGGCAAACATGGCAAAACCCCATCTCTACTAAAAATACAAAAATTAGCTGGGCTTGGTGGCATGTGCCTGTAATCCCAGCTACTAGGGAGGCTGAGACAAGAAAATTGCTTGAGTCCAGGAGGTGGAGGTTGTAGTGAGCCGAGATTGAGCTACCGCACTCTGGCCTGGATGAGAGAGCAAGACCCTGTCTCAAAAAACCAAAAACAAAACAAAACAAAAAACAAATATACCACATAAAAATCAGTGAGTGCTGAGTCAACAAAAGGAAAACAATCAAAATGTAAGTAAGCTCTGCCCACTGCCATCAAGGAGGTGAAATCGTAGTTGCAGACACACACACAGACAAGCGAAGAAAGACTTTACATTGCCAGGTAACAGATATATTTAGGTTGACATGAGGAATCAGACTTCACAAGTGCCAAGCTAGAAGACGGCACAACAGAAAAATCAAGGATGCAATGCATACACAAGAATCAGCAGGAAGAAAGGGGTCCTTTTTTGGGGAGTGTGCGTCAGCTTTATTGAGGTATAATTTAGGAGCAGTAAATTCACCCTTTTTAGTGTATATTTCTATGAGTTTTGATAAATACATAGAGTCATGAAGTCATATTTCTACCAACACAAAAATTCCCTTGCACTCTTTGGTAGTCAACTCCTCTGGCCACTCCCCAGCCCTTGGCAACCACTGTCCCTATAGTTTTGTCTTTTCCAGAATGTCAAATAAATGGAATCATTCAGTCAGTAGCAGTAAAGGTGAGATTTAAATCTTAAGCAAAGAGGAGCTTCTTAGAGCTGAAATGTTTCTAAAGCATCTTAAAGCAGATGGAGCTGTTCGTAAAGGAAGCTTGTGCTACAAAAGCTGCCATGGATAATGGAACTTGTGCAGGTTTGTTACTTCCACACAATGTGTCGCTAAACATTCTGTTGCCTCTTAGTGGCTAGCCAGGGAGTTCCCAAAGCCCCAGCCAGTAGGTGGGTTCACAGAGATTTACTGATGACTGCCTTGTGCTAGGAATTATACCAAGTAGGCTTTAGAGCTGTGGCTATATGTTGGGCTGTCTGCTCAGCCTATACTTTTATGTAGAAATCTTCCCCACTCAGAGGTGGTGATATGGTTTGGATCTGTGTCCCTGCCCAAATCTCATGTCAAATGGAAATCCCCGATGTTGGAGGAAGGGCCTGGTGGGAGGCAACTGGATCATGGGGGCAGAGTTACCCCTGTTGTTCTCGTGATAGTCAGTGAGTTCTTATGAGATCTGGTTGTTTATAAGTGTATGGCCCCTCTCCCCCTTCCTTCTCTTCCTCCTGCTCCAGCCATGTAGGATGTGCCTGCTTCCCCTTTGCCTTCTGCCATGATTGTAAGTTTCCTGAGGCCTCCCCAGCCATGCTTCCTGTACAGCCTGCAGAACCATGAGCCAATTAAACCTCTTTTCTTTATAAATTACTCAGTAGTTCTTTATGGCAATGTGAGAATGGACTAATACAGGTTGGTCTCCCAGAGCCATGTGTGTGCTCTATGATAATGCCCTGTGGTCATAGCTGGTTAGGCCACAGGTGAATCTCTGACTTCATTAATTCAACAAATATTCATTCATTTAACAAATATTGAGTGCCCATTATGTATCATGGACAGTGTTGGGGGTTGGATCAATGCCTAGACTCAAGCTGGGGGCATCAGATTTTCTCTCCTGGAATTTTAAATTGGGCATAAAAGACAATCGTCAATCTGGGCTGGTGGCTATGGGGGGCGGGGGTGGTGCACACACCAATATAGTGAAGGTCTGGTTTGAGGAAAGATGTGCAAAGAAGTGGAGATGGGAGACTCTGGGGTCCTGAAGAGAGACCAAAACTACTCACCCCCAGTCCTTCCTGCCTTTCTGGCTACTCGTTTTCATTCTTCTTCATAGGATTCTCTCCTCATCCATTGAGGGATGATGTTTCTCAAGGTTTTTCCTCTTTTCTTTTCACTCTTAACTATTTTGCCAGGGAGACCCCATCTACGTTCATGTTTTCAATTCCATCTATACTTTGATGATGCTCACATTTAGATGGTCAAGCAAATCCCGCTCCCAAGGTTCAGACCCAGCTATCATGCTTTCTACTCAGCATCACCACCTGGATGTGCCATATTCACAAAGCTCTATGTGTGTAGAACTGAACTGATATTTGAGCCCTTAGCCCTTACTCCCTGTGGTAGGCAGAATAATGGCCTCCAAAGATGTCCACCTCTTAATCACTGAAATTTGTGAATATGTTGTCTTATGTGGCAAAAGGGACTTACTTGGCAAATGTGAATAAGTTAAGGATCTTGATGGGAAGATAATCCTGGATTATGTGAGTGAATCCAATGTAATCACCTGTGTCCTTATAAGAGGGAGGCAGGAGTGTCAGAATCATAGAGAGAGTTTAGAAGATGCAGCTCTACTGGCTTTGAAGATGGAGGAAGGGGCCATGAGCCAAGGAATGCAGGTAGCCTGTAGAAGCCGGAGAACACAAGGAAATGGATTCTCCCCTAGAGCCTGCAGAAGGAAGCAGCCATTCCAACACCTTGATTTTAGCCCAGTGAGACCCACATGGACAGCTGACATCCAGACCTATAAGATAATAAATTTCTGTTAAGTCACTAAGTTTGTGATAATTTGTTACAGCAGCAATAAGAAATGAGTACACTTCCAAAAGCTCACCCTTCTACATTTTCGATCTCAGCAGTGTCACTTCTGTTCATGCAGTTCATAAAGGCAAGGCAGAATCGTAGGAGCCATCCTTGACTCCGTTTCCCAGGTGCACACATCCACTCTCCTTCCTGAACACCTCTCGAATCTACCATTTCTTTCCATTGCCATAACCTAGTCTCAGCCACTATTCTTGATTTCTCTGGCACCTTCCTAAATAGTTGCCCTGCCTCCCTTCACCCTATTCTTTGCCCTGAAGTCAACATGAACTTCCTAAATGAAAACCTGATCATGTCACGTTTCTACTATAAACCTTCAATGGCTTCCCATTGTCCTTAGGGTAAAGTTCAAACTTTGATGTGGCTCACCAGGCTTGTGTTCTGTGATGCCTATTTTCTTCCCTAGCCATTATCTCTCCCCATTCTCTTCTTTCCTGTTCTCCCCTTCAAAATACGTATGCTGCCTATACCACATGCATTCTGGTTCTTGCATGTGAAGTGCTCTCTCTCTCTCTCTCTCTCTCTCTCTCTCTATCACTTCTGGGCCTTTGGACATGATTTTGTTTCTATCAAGAGCATTTCTCCCTGGCCCTTGCCTCTTTGGCTTCAGACTTTGGCTTCCTCTGGAAGCACTTCCTGACCCTTCCAGTTTGGTTTAAACGTCATTCTTATGTGCCCTGACACTTCGACCTCCCCTGTCTTAATGCTCATCAAGCTACATTGTAATTGCTTATTTAATTGTACGTCTCCTCAACTAGACTTTAAACTCCATGAAGTTCTAGAAGAATGGCAGCCAAGTCTGTCTTACTCATAGTTGTATTTCCAGCTTCTAGCACAGTGCCTGGCACAGAGGGGTTCCTCAACAAATGTATTTTAAATGAATTCAAAGAGACCCATGGACAAAATTGAGAAGAGGGAGAAGTCTTTTGAAGCTGATGGTGTTGGAGGGGCAGAGGGAGGTGGGAATCAAGAAACACTTCAGGGAATATGTAGTGTTTGTACTGGGCCCTTGTCCAGCTTTTGAGCTGTTGTCCTGCACCCCCAGCTGCCTTTCTATATTATGCTCTGTAGAGGTACGAACAGGTGTCTGAAAACTACATTTCCTAGGCTCCCTTGCCAGCTGGGTCCAGAGGAAAATCCAAAGGCAGCAGCAGAGAGAAGAGTCCTGCTCTAGTTTTGAGAGTGAAGACTGCTGGAAGTTGCTGGAGCAGCAGCAGGGGTTGCAGGGAGGAGGAGAATTCCAGATTGCAGCAGCCCAGGCAGAGGCAGCAGCTTTCCAGCAGTTCCAGCCATGTCCCTTTGTCTCTCCAGAACTGGCAAGCCTCACAGCAGCAAGTGTGAATGTAGGGACTTCAGCCCAAGGAATTTTAGCTATGGCTTCTTTTCTTGCTCCTTTAACCCCTCTGTTTCTTCCATTTACTCTTCCAAACCTCCCAGCACCTTGGAAATCAATTCACTGTATCAAATTCCCTGTGTTTGAAACATCTAGAGTGGGAGTCTATTTTCGAGCCTGGACCCAGACCCATATTGCCTTGAAGACAGGATAGCGGGAGAAGACAGAAAGGCATTCCATTGGAGAGACTGCCCCAAGCAAGTGTCCAGAATGGGAATGTTTGGAGGGGTTGTGGAGAGTGAAAATCAACCTATTTGGTTAGGGCATAGTGAATGAATAGGAGAGTGGCAAGTCACTAAACCACAGAGGCATAAAAGGTCTATATAATGGAGAAGCTCCAATACTGGGTGGAAAAGTTTGTACTGGTTTTGGTAAGCAATAGAGATTCACTGAGGCCTGAGTCAAGTGCCATAATGGGAGATGGGCATGGAGAAGACCATTTTGCTTAGTGGTGAGTGTGATGAGTTGGAAAAAAAAGAAAGATGCAATAGACTAGCAAATATGTAGTATTTAGAGGCACTGGTTGGATGAGATGAATGAGAGAGGAAAATCAAAGATGGCACCACAATTTTCCCCCTGTTTAACTGGAAGGTAGGGCCCCTAGGAGATGTCAGGAAGATATCAGGAAGAATGAAAGTGGCTTGAAAGCTGTGGAAGGCAGAGAATAATATTTGGCATCTGTATAGCACTTGGAGTTTTCACATATGTGATATCATTTGATTTAAATTCCAATCTCTTAGCTCTTTTCACTAGTCATTGATATTGATCTATAACTGGGCAAAGAAGCTGAGGCTACATAACATGATTTAGCGATCATCTGTATGGAGGAGACAAGCAAAAACAGGACACCGGATGAGATCACTAAGGGCAAGAGTAGAGAAGCCAGACCTACAAGGATGCATGTGGGGTGCGGGTGAGTCTGGGAAGGATGAAATGTTGGAGGTAAGAGAAAGGCTGGTTAGAAAGGAGGATGGTAAGTATTGATAGCAGGAGGACCAAGACAGTTGGTGCTACATAAGCCCAGAGAGAAGGAGATTTTATAAAAAAATTGGACATTTTTTCCCCTAAAAAATGACTGTCACATTCTGCAAGGTGTTAAGGAGAATAAAGGTTGAAGAAAAATCCACTGGGTTTGCAGATAACAGTTTCAATGATTAAGTGGGGACAGAATCTATATTTCTTGTGGCTAAAGAGTGGTTGAATTATAAGAAACAAGGCAATGAGAATGGCTCATTTTCCCATTCTCTTGGCCCCTTTCCCATCCATTTCCTCTGTTTGCCACCAAGTCCTTCCCTCCTCATACCCTCAGCCTACTCACCCATGCAACTTCCGATACCACCTGCATCTGAGTGTAGAATGGGCCAGTTGTTGGACGTATGTATACGAAGCTGGCTCACTGACTTGCAAGTTTGGATTTCAGAGAGACACAGTCTGTGTGACCAGTATCAGCTTACTGTAGAGGCTGAAAGTATTTATTAGTGTCAAAGGTTGGTACTTAAAGTTGTAGACACCAGCTCAAAGTTTTTTATTAAAGACATCTAGCAGTTTATTAAGCAAAGGCTGGCTGACATATATGACTTCATGAAAAACGGGAATAAAAGAATTATACAATTTTCTCCCTTTAAAAAAAAAGCATCGCTTGTGTTCTTACATACTTGACATCCACTAGAAGTCATAAAATCACACCAACACAGTATATATGTTAAAAGCTCCATATCTCCTGAACCCCTGGTGAAGTCTGCAGAACACATTCAAAACAGTTGGTGAGAGTAGGCCACAGCGGGAGGGAGCAGACTTCCTGTACTTTGTCAGACTGGAGGAAGTCAAAGTTAAAATCTGATTACTTCGCAAGGATTCCAAAACCTGATCTAAATCGCCTTTCAGAATCTGTTAACAAATCAAAGAGCATTTCCAGTAGCACCAAGCAAGAGGCCTTATGGCCTGATAATTCTGGTAAGTTCCACTTTTGGGATAGGGAATATTTGACCAAGTTAGATCCTTCATAAAATGCAGAGCCTGTTAAACCCCAACCTAAATATGTTCATAATAAAATATCAGCCTTCCAAATTACATTCTATATGAACAAACAAGCCCACGAAACATCCAAACAACAGTGCAGTAGGTGGAAACAGATGTCATCATTTATTTTAAGATTCGTTTATTCAACAATCGAATGGAGGAATGTTGCTTATTCTATACAACATCTTAGGATTTAAGTAGTTTACCTGCTATTTTGAAACATGCATAGGGCTGTCAAATAGTTTCCTGGGTTTTCAGAATAGCTCCTAAACTGTGCAACTCTGCTTTCTTTCCACAATATAAACAAAAAGGGTTTTTTTTTCCTTAAACTTGCCATAAAAACGATGTCGTCATAGGATAAAAATTTTAAAGCGGCTTTAAAAAATTAAAACCTATGAATTAGTCTCAAGCAGCCTAACTTTATTTTTCTAACCACCAATTCCAACAGTAATAAATACTTATGATTGAGATCTCTGAGTATGATACTTATAATAGGACATAGTAAAAGCCTAGTTAATTTCCACTTCTGGTCTTGAATCGATTTTTTTCTAATGTGTAAAATTTCAAACAGAGCTCTTGCTTCATTTCATGTTACTTTCCTTCTTTATTTAGTTAAAGAAGATGTGTGGGAAGGAGCATGAGGGAGGCATAGGGATAGCAGGGTGGGTTCAATCTCCTTTTCCATCACCCCCCCGCCCTTTCTGTCAAAAAAAAAATGCTGAAAAAATTAGTCTCTACCCTTGCTGGCTCAACTTCATCACCTCCCATTCACTTATCCGCCCACTGCCATCTGGCTTCCATCCCAAAACTCCATTCAGATTGTTCTCATTAAGATCACCAATGCTTTCCTCCTTGCCAGATCCAATGACCTATTTTTAGGTCTCCTCCTGGTTGACCTTCTGCGGCATTGCACATGCAATGCAGACCCGAGGCTCCAAACTCACATGCCCATAGGCTGGCTGCAGTCTACACAGGTGAAGCTGGGTTTGGTATTGCGTAGGGTGAGTCACAGGAAGCCTGTCCAACTGTGGGCATGTGTCCCTTCTAAGGTAGCAGCTGCTGCTGTCTCTGGTTGATTTTGGTCATGGAGGAATGTGGACACCGCATTGATAAATATTTTGATTTTTTTTTTTAAAGAAAACTTGGTTTTTATGAGAATGTTTATAATTCTTCTTTCTTTCTCTTTCTCTCTTCCTCTCTTTCTTTCTTTCTTTTTGACTGAGTTATACTCTGTCGCCCAGGCTGGAGTGCAGTGGTGTGACCTCAGCTCACTGCAACCTCCGCCTCCTGGGTTCAAGTGATTCTCCTGCCTCAGCCTCCTGAGTAGCTGGGATTACATGTGCCCACCATCATGCCCAGCCAATTTTTGTATTTTTAGTAGAGACGAGGTCTTACCATGTTGGCCAGGATGGTCTCAAACTCCTGACCTCAGGCAATCTGCCTGCCTTGGCCTCCCAAAGTCCTGGGATTACAGGTGTGAGCCACTGCACCCAGCCTCTAATTTCTAACTATTGGCTCAATTTTCGTTTAATGCTTGTAGGGAAAGTAGACATCACTGTAGACCTCCGAGGAGAAGACTGTACTGTAGATGAGTCTATGGTTCTCTTGCCCTCTGGGCCTGGTTCTTTATAGGTTCTGCCTATTTGTTTCTGCCCATTTTTCTGCTGTTCCCCTGGCCCCCATACCTACCTCAATCATATTGAGGCTCCTTGTGTTCCTTCTTAGTCCCCTTCTATTTTCTCCTCCTCGTGGGAAATGTTGTAGACCCAGGGCTAGCTTCCTGGGCTTGCAGTCAGTGCAGTTGCCCTGAGCCCCACATTCAGAAGGGCTCCATGCTCATGGGTTAGTGCTCTGCAGCTGCTATCTTGAAATTCTTACGTTATCTCTGAATTTATGTTTTGTGAGTGAAATACGATGGGATAACGAGCATGTGCCAGGGACTTAGCATTTCAGCTCAAGCGCTGTCCTTCTCACTGCCCTTCTTCTCACTTCTCAGCCTGAGAAGAGTTCTTGGCCACCTGTTCCTTCAACCTTCCCCGACCCAGGTCCTGCCACTCTCCTCCTCTAACCCTTCCCCCCAAGACTGCCATTATCCTCCACCCTGGCAGGAAGCTGAGTGCAGGTGTAAGAAGGGTTGGGGTCCTTGCACCTGCATCTCTAGTCAAGGCCTGGCAACAGTGGCTGTCCTCACCCTAGCCTGAGTGCATGAGGCTGGATACAGTGGCTCATGCCTGTAATCCCAGCACTTTTGGAGGCTAAGGTGGGCGGATCACCTGAGGTCAGGAGTTTGAGCCCACCCTGGCCAACATGGAGAAACCAAAAATACAAAATTCTCTACCAAAAATACAAAAATTAGCCAGGCATGGTGGCGTGTGCCTGTAGTCCCAGCTACTCGGGAGGCTGAGCAAGAGAATTGCTTGAACCTGGGAGGTAGAGGTTGCAGTGAGCTGAGATCACCCCACTGCACTCCAGCCTGGGTGACAGAGTGAGACTCTGTCTCAAAAAAAAAAAAAAAAAAGTGTATGACTTGTTGAGGGTCAGCCTGTTACCCCCTGTGATCCAAGTCCCTAGCACATCTTGATGCAGAGGTTGCAATATCCTTGGGATTGCCCATCTGCTATGGGCTGGGACAACTGACTCTTGGAAAGTGGAGATGCCTGACTTGACTTCCCAGCCCCTCACTGAGGTGTGGTGCATGCGAGCTGGTGAGAGGGGGAACATGGCAGCTGTCAGGCTCAAGGGCATATGGAACTTCCAAGTCCCACGGCAGCAACCAGAGCATCTGGGAGAGTCTGAACTTACCCTACGCGTATTTTTGGATCCTTTGGGCCACTCTGTGCCTGTGAGAACCTTTTCTTTCTCCTTTTAGCTTCTCTGAGTCTGGCTTGTGTTCATTTCTTCTGACCAGCTTGAGACACCATCCGGGGTCAAGCCATAAAATATGAATGGTGTGATGTCAGTGATTCTGACAGGAGCTCAATGTTCTAATATTTACATCTAGAACTGGCATTGCACAATATAAAGATGAACAGTAAAATTCATGCCAGTAATTTAAAATCTTTATTTAGAGCAATATTAAATAGTGAATTAAAAACTCACCATGACATGTTGAGAGAGAAAGAGAGATCTTGGAGGAAAGGGAATAGTTTATATTTTAGGACCTTAGTATCTTTAGTCATTTTAATGGCAATTTTCCTGCTCTTTGAACAAAGGCCACCAAATTTTTATTTTTTATCAGGCCCCACAAATTGTATACCTGGTTCTGCCCAGGCCTGCTTTTGCTGATGGTTCCCCACTACATCTTCAGTCTGGATTCTGCATCTCCTCTCCAGACCTGCTGTATCTTGGGGGTTTGCAGGCAACTCAAGCTCAACATGTTCTCACCTGACATCATCCCTCAAGTGTGTTTCTCCCTTTACATTTCCTTGTTTTCCTTTTTCTTTTCTTTTCTTTTCTTTTTTTTTTTTTTTTTTTTTTGAGACAGGGTCTCACTCTGTCACCCAGGCTGGAGTGCAGTGGTGTGATCACGGTTCACTGCAGCCTCCAACTCCTGGGCACAGGTGATCCCCCCACCACAGGGTAGCTGGGACTATAGGCATGCACCACCACACCTGGCTTTCCTTCTCCTTCCTTCCCTTTCTTCCCTTCCTTCCCTCCCTCCCTCCCTCCCTCTTTCTTTCCTTTTCCTTCCTCCCTCCCTTTCTTTCTTTCTTTCTTTCTTTCTTTCTTTCTTTCTTTCTTTCTTTCTTTCTTTCTTTCTTTTTCTTTCTTCTTTCCTTTCTTTCTCTTATTTTTTTGTAAAGATGGGGTTTCACCATGTTGCCCCCGGCTGGTCTTGAACTCCTGGGCTCAAGCAATTTGCCTGCCTCAGCCTCCCCAAATGCTGGGATTAGGATTATAGGCGTGAGCCACAGTGCCTGGCCTATTTCCATGTTTTCTTAATGAAATATCATCTCGACACACATTTGTAACAGAGTAGTTGCTAAATTGTTGAATGGATGAATGAAATCGTAGAAACATTTTCATTTTTCTCTGTTCTTTCACAGAAAAAGGAAGAATTAAGTCTTCCTGGGCAATTAGGAAAAGGCTCTTGGAGGAGGTAATATATGATCTGTGGTTTTAAGAATGAACAGGTCTTTCAGGCAGCATGCATGATACGTTTCTACAGCTATCTGGGTGACTAGAAGTTATTTCTGAGCACAGGCTTGTCATGGAGAAGAAAAGGGGAAGGAGAAGAATCAGGAACAACAATTCTTCCACTGCCAGAAACATAAAACATAACTGAAATTAATGAGTTGCAAAATAATTCCTGTATTAAAAATTTTTTGGAACGTGTTCACATGACACTTTTTAAAGCTTCATGCTTGTTTGGTTAAGGTCCATACATATCAATGTCACATCCAAGTAAATCTATGTCTCCCCAAACTTTTCAGTCACATAATACATTTCATTACGACTCTTCTATATTCACATAATGCTTTTCCCAGTGTCTTACAGATAACCCATCCTTCATCTAGGTATCAGAGGTTGGGATTCAACATCTCAAATAGAGAAAGAAGAGATAGTGCTGACCATGAAGACATCTGGTAAAATGTAGCATTGACATCGGAGACCATTAACGGCATATACTATATTACAATTTTATCAACAGTAAATATGACATCCGAGATAAAGTTGTTAACCCAAACTAAATTTTAAACTTTATTAATAGCAGAGCAAGAGTTCCTTCCAGTTAAAAACAGAATCATATAATCTTGGTAAAGTCAAGACAGATACGATCCTCAACTACCTTTGTGTCAAGCAGTTATTTGTGTTGCTATAAAGGTGTACCCTAGACCAGGTAATTTACAAAGAAAAGAGGTTTAATTGAATCATGATTCTGCAGGCTGTACAAGCAGGGCACCAGCACCTGCTCAGCTTCTGGGGAGGCCTTGGAGAGCTTTTACCCATGACAGAAGGTGAAGCAGGAACAGGCCTGTCACAGGGCAAGAGAGGGAGCAAGAGAAAGAGAGTGTGGAAGTGCCACACACTCTCAAACAACCAGATCTCGTGTGAACTCACACATCACCAAGGGGATGGCACCAAGCCTTTCATGAGGGACCCGGCCCCACGATCCAAACACCTCCTACCATGTCCACCTCCAACACTGGGGAAAATATTTTAACATGGGATTTGGAGGGGACATCCAAACTATATAACCTTAAAATAAAGCAGGTAACTCTCCAGCAATTCCTAAATTAAGTCTTCATATCTTGATTCCATTATTTCAGGTCTAGGCTAAAACATCTGAAGTGTCTGTTAGAAGTGCCAGTACTTCAACGTCATCCCAGACCCACTAAATTAGAATCTTTAGGGGACGAGTTGAGAAAACTGCATTTTAAATCAGCCCTCTGCCCCATCCTAGGTGACCTGTTATGTACTCCAGGTTTTAGGAAAACCCAACCTCCAACATAAATACAAGAATTTTAGATCGTCAAATAAAATAGCTTTTCATTTCTCTTGAATATTATCGGGAAAATGAGAAGTTCTAGCTAAGTGGATTTCCAGAAGAATTTAATTTCATAAGTCCCAAAACTTTGAAATATTTAAAGCATTGTAATGAAAATCCTTCTAAACTGTGTTATAGAATGCTCTGTCTTCTCAAACAAAATATATTGCACAAACTGGACATTTGTATTAGTGACTCAGGATCATTATTACAAATATCCATTATTGTAAGAATAGCTGAAGAAGTTATTCAAGTCTGTAAAACTGCGATCCTATGCTAAATGGCTGCAGCCAGCTGTGTTTTATGGGGATACAGTTGCTTTTTTTGTGTTTTATTTAAATATTTTCCTGTTTTTTCCTTTGCTGTCAGCTAACTTTTATTAATGGTACCACTATTTTTTTCTACTTTCCGCTTTTCTCCTTAATAACCTATGAGAAAGCATGAGGAACTCTTTATGAGTAAAGTTCTTGTGTGGGTGGAAGGATCCCTTGGGATGTTTTCAGGTGTTATAAACCACAGTTCAGATTGGCTGAAACAATGAGGGAATTCATTATTTCACATACCAAGAACCTCTGTTTTGTATAGTTGAAATTAAATTATATATACAAGTCTTATCCTGTTTTTTTCACTTATTATAACAGACCATTTTCCTATCATTAAAATCCTGTATAAATATTCTCATACATAGTGTTTCACCATATTAATGAAATCAACAATTATCTTCTACGTGTCAAGTACAGGAAGGTGGTGGAGATGAGATAGAGAACAAGAACAGCCAAGGTCCCTGATGTCCTGGGGCTGCCAGGTTAGTGGGAATGTGCCATCATTTATTTTACCATTATATTGCTTCTGAGAGTTGTTTTGCAATTATAAATAACTTTCTGATAAACATCTTTACTTAAATTTTGGTCTATTTCTACAAGAGTCATTTCAAAAAGTGTAATTACTGGGTTATTGTAAACTTCTATGTTTTTTCAAGACTTTCCTTATTGTGGTAAAATATAAAATAAATAATATAATATTGACAATTTAAACTATTTTTAAGTGTACAATTTAGTGGCATTAGATACATTCACAATGTTTGGCAACTATCACTATTATCCATCTCCAGAACTTTTTCATCATCCCAAACTGAACTTCTGTTAACAGTAACTTCCCATTCCCTCCTCCCCTGACCTTGGCAACCACTACTCTACTTTCTTTCTCTAGAAATTTGACTATTCTAGGTATCTCATTGTATTAGTCTTTTCTCATGCTGCTACTAAAGACATACCTGAGACTGGGTAATTTATAAAGAAAAAGAGGTTTAATGGACTCACAGTCCCCCATGGCTGGGGAAGCCTCACAATCATGGCAGAAGGTGAAGGAGCAGCAAAGGCACATCTTATATGGTGGCAGGCAAGAGGAGAATGAGGACCAAGTGAAAAGGATTTCTCCTTATAAAACCATCAGATCTTATGAGACTTATTTACTACCATGAGAACAGTATGGGGGAAACTGCCCCCATGATTCAATTATCTCCCACCAAGTCTCTCCCATAACATGTGGGAATTATGGGAGGTACAATTTAAGATGAGATTTAGGTGGGGACACAGCCAAACCATATCACTCCTATAAGTGGAATCATATAATATTTATCCTTTTGTGTTTGGCTTTTTTCACTTAACATAATGTTCTCAAGGTTCATACATGTTGTAGCATGTATCAGAATTGTATTCCTTTTTAAGACTGAATAATATGACATCGTGTATATATCTAAATCTACACCACATTTCATTTATCCATTTAACTGTTGATGGACATTTGAGTGGTTTCTACCTTTTGGCTATTGTGAATATCTTATATTTTTTAATGGCTGTGTAAAATGGATTGTACACATTCAGTTTTACTGATAGAATATAAGTAATTCTGTTTCAGTTCATATGCCATAATTATATTTTTAAACCTTGTTAATAGGAGAAAAAACTTATTGTCTTAATTGGCACTTCATTAGTCAAGTAGATCATTTTTCAACTACTTGTATTTATACTTTTGTGGAATGTTTGTTTACATTTTTACCTTTTTAGGCATCAGAATCTTAAGATTTTTCTTATTGTAAGAGCTTTTTCAAATCTAAAAAATTCTCCCATTGTCAAATGGATTGCACATATTTTTACAGTTTATTTTACCATTTTCATTTTGAGCTTCTTTTTGATATGGATAATGTTTTTCATTTTAATGGAGTCAAATTTATCAGTTTGTAAATTATATAATTTATTTTAAGCTTAGAAAATTATTTCCCATCAAGATTATATTTCTTTATCAAATTTTTGCATTCAACACTTTACCCATCTGGAGTTGGATATATGGTGTAAGATGATCTCCATTTATTTATTTATTTTCTTAAAAACTAAGCAATATCTATGAATACTTTTTAGTGCTAGTCTTAACCTTTCTGCTACACTGGACACTGCCAACCACTCTTATTGAGAGTATGTCTACCTTCTTTTTGCTCACTCTCTCCTGGTTCTCCTTCTACACTCTTTTTACTGATTTTCAGGCTCCTTCATTCTAACTTTCTCTGCCTGCTCCTAAGATGGATTTCAACCCTTTAATCTTCTTTTTGTACATTCTCTCTACTCAGTAACCTGCCACTTGATCACAATTCCAGCTTCCACCCATACACCCATATGTGAATGACATCCCCCTTTTTTTGGCAGAAACTCCTACTTGGGTTTTGAATCTATGTGTTCAGTCATTGATTTGTTTAATATCCACCAAATAGTAACTGAATGCCTATGCTACCACACACTCTTCTAGCCTCAGGGGATAAAATGCCTACCTTGATGGAACTCACATTCTCATGGGAGAGACGGACAATATTATAAGCTCAAGCAATCTATACTATTTTAGGTAGTGATAAGGGCTATGGAGAAGGCCAATGCAGGCATGGAAGTTAAGAAGCATCTGTGGGTGGATGTGAGGGTTACAATTTTAAAGTGAGTTGTCAGACAAGGCTCCACTGAGAAGGGACATCTGTGCAAAGAGCTGAAGGAGAAAGATGAGAAAGTAACTATTGTGAGTATCTGTTCAAAGAACGTTCTAGGCAGAAGGAAAAGCAAATGCAAAGTCCCTGAGGAAAGGTTGTGCCTGGTTTGTTCTAGGACCGGTGATGAGACTAAATGGCTCCAGCAGACTGAACGGGAAGGAGAGCAATAGGAAATGAGGTCAGAAAGGTATCTGGGGCCAGATCATGCAGGGGCCTGTTGATCATTATTGCTTTTACTCCAAGCTGTTTAAGGGTTTTAAAGAGAGAACATGACCTCTTGCAGATGCATCAGAAATAGACACTGGAGGGCACAGGCAAAACAGGGAAAGCATTTAAGAGAAAATCGCAATAACCCAGGCAAGAGTTGATGTTTGCTTGTACCAGAGTGGTACCTGTAAGGTGGTAAGAAAAGATCAGATGACTTTTCTATTTCATTGATAGAGTCAACAGGATTTGGTAAACGTGAAGAAGGACAGAGCAGTCATTGACTAAGATGGGGACTATCAGGAGAAGTAGGTTTTGGGGAAAATATCAGGAGCATGGTTTTTGAGCATGTGAATTTGAGATGCTAATTATGCATCCAAGTGGAACTATCAGTATCCACTATCAGTATGAGTCCAGCTCTCAGCTGCAGTAACGGATTTGGTAGTCATTAAGATACTGTGATATGGTGGTTAATTTTAATATGACTGGGCCACAAGGTGCCCAGATATTTGGTTAAACATTAGCATTGGAATTGGTAGACTGATTAAAGACTGCTCTCCCAAATATGGCTGGGCATCACCCAATCTGTCCAGGGTCTGAATAGAATGAAACGGTGAGGAAAAGAAGATTCACTCCCTCTCTGCATGGCTACTTGAGCAGAGACATCAGTTTTCTTCTGCCCTCAGACTAAGCCATACAACTGGCTCTCCTGGGTCTCCAGCTTGTCAACTACAGACTATGGGTTTTAGCTTTCATAATCATGTAGCCAATTTCTTACACTAAATCTCTGTCTCTCTGTATTACATTTAAATGCTTACTGCACTTTTGCTCCTGCATGTACTAAGGACATGTGCAACTAAACATAACCCAAATTCAATAGATTCTTCTTTTTTATTCTTCACTTGTATCTGTAGAACCACCATTTTCATAGAACAGGAATGAACACTGAGACAAAAGAGTAAACTGTTACATAGGTTTAAGTTTCTACATGGTTATTAAAATTTTACAGCAAAGTTAGCTTTGAGCTCCCTGGCAGCCAAAAAATAAATGCCATTTATCAAATTCTCAGAAGCTCTTTTGCTGTTGTTACTTCTTTCTACACTTTATAACAGTAAGCTGCTAGCTTTTCCAAAGCTCCTGTCCCACCCATTTCTTCTCCTGTTTGTACACATTAATGTAGCTTTCTTTCATCTGTCTAATCACATTGCTTATTATATAGAAATAGGCTTTTAGGCTTACATCTTTCAGATAATATGGTGTACTAGGTGCTTTCCAAGTGGTTCAGTATTAAAATACACAAACAGTGGCTGGGTGTGGTGTCTCACACCTGTAATACCAGCACTTTGGGAGGCTGAGGTAGGTAGATTGCTTGGGTCCCGGAGTTTGAGACCCTGTCTCCACAAAAAATAAACAAAAATTAGCTGGGCCATCATGTTGCATGCCTGTAGTCCTGGCTACTCAGGAGGCTGAGGAGGTGGGAGGATTACTTGAGCCCAGGAGGTTGAGGCTGCAGTGAGCTGAGACTGTGCCACTGCACTCCAGCCTGGATGACAGAGCAAGACTTTGTGTCAAAATAAATGATACACACACACACAAACACACACACACACACACACACACACACACGGGCCTCATAATGCCAAGAAAGATCTATTATCTAATTATTCACATGAAAATGTTGAACACAATATGGCTGTTCTTCAAAGACTGCATATTTACTCTTCTGTAAGAAAGTTTCACTTTATGTATTTAAAAAGGTTCAGATATTACTTCTGATTAGGATATCTTTCCTTCTTCTTTTTCTGGTTAGCCTTTAATTTGGTAATACCTTCTTGACCTTCAAAGTCATCTCAACTGTTATTTCCTCTAAGAAATCTTCCCTAGTGCCCCAGTTGGACTGTGGTTATGTAGCATTCTATTTTTACCCTGATTATCACATTTTTACTGTAAATACTTGTTAATCTGTCTCCATCATTAGATGGAACATATCTTGGGAGTAAGTGATCTGTCTCTTTAATCTCAGACGCCCAGCAAGTGACTGGCATTAGTAGTCACTTGATACATATATGATGAAAGATTAATGCCCTTTGCAAATGAAAGAGCTTTCATTTCAAATTATCACACAGATAAATGAAGATCCTCTTGTTGTTGGGTGAACCACTAAATCCATATTATGCCAACTTTAAATCCTAAATCCATTTCTCAGGTTTTAGGGTCACCCAAACATACTTACACCTGCAACATTTGGTTGGCTCTAAGAGAAAGTAACATTTTCATTATTTTTTATAGCCAACTTACGTAGAAAGTTTTTTTAGGGATTGTACTTAGATTACTATTGGCGGTTAAATCATATTCTCTGCCACTCTACCATTTGATTGGCTGCTATATGCCAGGTACAGGATCAGATACTGTAAGTATCTCATTTAAACCTCAAGACAGTCTTGAGATTTAGGTTTATTGCTTTACTTAGGCATTTTGTGGGTTGTATTGTGCCCCCTCCCAAATTCATATGTTGAAGTCCCAATTCCCCGTACCCCAGAGTGTGACTATATTTGGAGATAGTTTATTTACAGAGGGGTAATCAACTTAAAATGAGGTCATTAGGGTGGGTCCTAATTCAGTATGGCTAGTGTCCTTATATTAATAAAATGGGGAAATTTGGGCCCGGCGCGGTGACTCACACCTATAATCCCAGCACTTTGGGAGGCTGAGGCAGGTGGATCGCTTGAGCCCAGGAGCTCCAGACAGCCTGGGAAACATGGTGAAACCTCATCTCCACAAAAAATAGAAAAATTAGCCAGGCTTGGTGGCACACGCCTGTAGTCCCGGCTACTTGGGAGGCTGAGGTGGGAGGACTGCCTGAACCAAGAGGGGTTGAGGCTGCAGTGAGCCATGATCGTGCCACTGCACTGCAGCTTGAGCGAGACCCTGTCTCAAAAAAAAAAAAAAAAAAAAAAGAAGAAGAAGAAAGAAAAAGAAAAAGGGGAAATTTAGAGACAGACATGCAGGAAGATGATGTAGGGAGATGTTCATCTACAAGCCCAGGAGAGAGGCCTGGACAGATCCCTTGCTCACAGTCCTCAGAAGGAACCAATTCTGCTGACATCTGGATTTGGAGTTGTAGCTGCAGAACTGTGAGACAAAAAATTTCTGTTGGTTAAGCCGCCCAGTCTGTGGTACTTTTATGCAGCCTGTGATGGTTAATTTTAGGTGTTGGCTTGATTGAACTAAGGGACACCTAGATAGCTGGCAAGGCATTGTTTCTGGGCTTGTCTGAGAGGGTGTTTCTGGAGGAGACTGGTATGTGAGTTGGTGGACTGAGTGGGAAAGATCCACCCTCAATGTGAGCAGGCACCATCCAATTGCTTAGGGGCCTGGATGAAACAAAAAGGGAAGGAAAGGGCAAATTCTGTTTCTTTCTCTTCTAGAGCTGGGACACCCTTCTTCTGCTGCCCTTGGACATCACAACTTCAGGTTTCCCAGCCTTTAGACTCTGGGACTGGCACTAGCACCCCTCAATCCAAGTTTGCAGGCCTTTGGCCTCAGATTGAGTTACGCCATTGACTTCTCTTGTTCTGAGGCTTTCAGATGTGGACTGAGCCACACTATCAGCTTTCCTGGGTCTTCAGGTTGCAGAGGGCCTGTCATGGGATTTCGCAGCCTCCATAATGGCATGAGCCAATTCCCCTAATAAATACCCTATCTATCTATCTATCTATCTATCTATCTATCTATCTATCTATCTATCTATCTATCATCTATCCATCCATCCTATTGGTTCTATCTCTGTGGAGAACTCTAATACACAACCCTAGCAAACTAATACAGACATGTAATTCCTTTCTTAATAGCAAGGAGAGTGGACTGATTCCAGGGTTGAACAGTTCCAGAGACTTTTTCTATTACTGTGAAATGATCTCCTTAACACCTCAAACTTCAGGTGGAGGGTGCAAAGGATGTAAACTCAAGCTACTGAATTCCCCTTCATAAACTTACTTTTTGGCTATTAAACTAAACCTTATTTTCTATTTAAATATTTATTTTGTACTACAGTATTTCTATGAGTAGTGATGTCTATAAATGTGTACCTTGCTGTGAGAAGTACGAGTTCTTTTTTTATTTTTTGTTTGAGATGGAGTATCACTCTGTTGCCCAGGCTGGAGTGCAATGGTACGATCTTGGCTTACTGCAACCTCCGCCTCCCAGGTTCAAATGATTCTCCTGCCTCAGCCTCCCAATAGCTGGGACTACAGGCGTGTGCCACCACGCTCAGCTATCAAGTTCTTTTATTTACTTAGTGCATGGAGGATGAGACAGAAAGGGTATGTCTGGGGAAAATGTAAACAATTTAATTGCTTTAAATGTTGTCCATATGCTGGTGACTCCTAAATCTAAATCTCCAGCTTGGGCTTTTCCTCTGAATTCCTGGCCTCTATCCAATTACTTACTGATGTTTCCACCTGGATGCCTATTAGGCATCTCAAAGTGAACGTATGCAAAACTGAGTTTCTACTGTCCTTCTGCCATCACTTGCTCTTCTCACAGTCTTCCACATCTTGGTTGATGGCAACTCCATTCTTCCAGTTGCTTAAGGTAAACATTTCGTTGTTATCCTTGACTTTCTCCTCTCACACGATGTATTCGGTTGGTCTATAAATCCTGTTGAGGCTGGGTGTGGTGGCTCACACCTATAATCCCAGCACTTTGGGAGACCAAGGCGGGAGGATTAGTTGAGCTCAGGAGTTCGAGACCAGCCTAGGCAACATGACACAACTCCTATCTCTACAAAAAAAATACAAAAATTAGCTGGGTGTGGTAGTACATGCCTGTGGTCTCAGCTACTTAGGAGGCTAAGATGGGAGGATCCATTGAGCCCGAGAAGTCAAGGCTGCAGTGAGCTGTGATTGTGCCACTGTACTCCAGCCTGGGTGACAGGGCGAGACCCTGTCTTAAATAAATAAATAAATATCAATCCTGTTGATTCTACCTTCAGAATTTACCAAGAAGTCCACCCCCGCCCCTTTTGTTTTTTGAGATGGAGTCTCACTCTGTCACCCAGGCTGGAGTGCAGTGGTGCGATCTTGGCTCACTGCAACCTCTGCCTCCCGGGTTCACACCATTCTCCTGCCTCAGCCTCCCGAGTAGCTGGGATTACAGGCGCCTGCCACCATGCCCAGCTAATTTTTTGTATTTTTAGTAGAGACGGGGTTTCACCGCGTTAGCCAGGATGGTCTCGATCTCCTGACCTCATGATCCACCTGCTTCGGCCTCCCAAAGTGCTAGGATTACAGGCGTGAGCCACTGCACCCGGCCGGATTCTACCACTTTTAACCATCACTTCTGCCACTATTCTGGCCTAAACTACATCATCTCTTGTCTGGACTGTGCAGCAGCCTCCGCAATGGCGTCCCCGCTCCTACCATGAAGCAACCAGAGCGATCCTGTAAACACATATGTCAGATGCCATGATTCTACTCAAAACCTTTCAGTGTTTCCAAACTCATTCAGAGGAAAAAGCTGTAAGAGCCCTGCATGTTCTGGCCCCTATCACTTTTCTTTCATTATCCACTATTTTCTCTGTCAGATACTCTAGCTAGATCGATCTCACTGGTATTTGTGAACAAACCACATACATCCTTTCCCCAAAACTTTTCTGTGGGCTGAAATCCTCTCTCCCCAGACATCTGTACAATTCTCTCATTTTGTTCAGGTCAAAAGTTATCTCCCCCCTTCCAGCTCCCCACCCACTTAGCACTTATCATTATCTAATATACAACATATTTTACTTTTTCATCTCCCATATTTTCAGCTTCCCAATTAGAATATAAAATTCCATCAAAGCAGACATTTTCTTTTCTTATTGTCACATAGTAGCGGGCCCAATAAATTTGGCTAAATAGCACTACTTTGTCCCAGTTAGAGAAACAACTTTTTTTTTTTGTTTGTTTTTGAGACAGAGTCTCGCTCCGTCGCCCAGGCTGGAGTGCAGTGGTGCGGTCTCGGCTCACTGCAATCTCTGCCTCCCAGGTTCAAGCCGTTCTCCTGGCTCAGCCTCCTCAGTAGCTGGTATTACAGGTGTGCACCACCATGCCTGGCTAATTTTTGTATTTTAGTAGAGATGGAGTTTCACCATGTTGGTCAGGCTGGGCTCGAACTCCTGACCTCATGATCTGTCCAGCTCAGCCTCCCAAAGTGCTGGAATTACAGGCGTGAGCCACCGCGCCTGGCCAAGAAACAACTTTTAAAATCTGATCTTCTTTCTTTCGTATTTACAATAATGCTCTGGGAATGTGCTCATCCGTAATTCAAACATCCACATTTCCAGACTTTCTGTTTTCCTTCGTTTCCATATCAGAAGGCTTGTCCTCAAACTCTCTTTTACTTATTCTTCTTCCTCATTGCAAACACATTCTGAAACACCTTTGTGTAAATATAAACACGTCAAGACAAACGCCTGATTTTACCATCTCCTGGCAGCTACACTATGTGAAATATGAGATCATTTCTTCACTTGACATTAAATTTTGAGGCAAGAACATCTTGAAATAAACTATTTCCTTAAAATGATTTAACTATACCAGAGACTGTGGAACCAGAATTTCATGGTGACAGATATTTTTAAACAATTAACAAAGCATAAATAAATAAAAGAAATACATATCTGTTTGGTGCTATTGTATGGCTGTGAGCTCCTTGGATTCTGGACTAGAAATTATCTTACTAATTTTTGATCTTAGCACCTAATATAGTACCCGACCCTAAAATGCATTCAATATTTGATGTATGAACACAAACGGCTTCTCTTAGTTCACAATGCCTTGGCTCTCCTATGTCTTTGCCATTATCATAAATTTGAACCCAGCTTATGTGCCTCCCTGGATTTACTTGGTAATAGTTTTATGTTGAATGCTACTATTACTATCCAGGAACTTTACACCATAACAGCATCCTTACAGGTTGCAGAAGGGATGTTTCAATCTTCCTTGGAGCGTGACTTGTTGAGCTCTGTGGCTGCCTTGGTGGTAGGGGCCAAGATGTGATGTTCCCCTTGCTCCAGGTCTCTCATGCTGCTTTAGGGCACAACTTTAATAATGCCTGGTTAATGCCTTGAATCTCCAGCCTTTTTTTTTTTTTTTTTTTTCCTCTGGGGCTTCCCTTTTGTTACAGAGGTGGTAGACGCTCCTGGGATACTGCAGGCTGCAGGTGGACAGTGGCACCCATTCACTTGCTGGCTTAGCTCATGCATGGATAATGCCACTGCTGTTCAGGGATCTGGCTTCTCTGGCAGCTGCCTGGAGCGGCAGGTGGCATGACTGAAAAGTGCGGGCGAGTTTGCATCTCCTGCAGAAACCTTTGACTGATGGGAGCCAAAAGTTCCATTTTTCTCCCTTCTTCTCGCACTGTTCCAAAACAGAGTGGTCTCCACTATGGAGGCATCGTGAGAGACTGAGCAGCCAGCTCAGTGGTGCATCACCTGGATATTTTTCTGCCTCCTTCTGTGCGTGGCTCATGTCTCCCTTCCCCTTACTTCTGCTTCACTGGGGTTGAAGGAATTGTTGAAGGAAATCCTACTCTCTAAGGAACTGTTATATGGGCCTTTGCATCGGGTCCTATTTTCTAGAGAACTTTTGACTGTCACTTTAGGCATATGGCCCTGTAAAGACTTCTGTGTACGTACCTTTGTTGTATGTGCTCTTGTAGATTGTTCGTGTATTCTTTTTTTCTACTTTCCTTTTTTGCACAATTCAACTCAAAACGAGCTCTTGTTTTTCATACCTTAAGGGTTTAAATAATAATAGCTAACTATGCACCAGGCAGCTTTACAATCATTTTTACTTTACAACAACCCTCTATCTAGGTATTAGCATAAGGACCTGGTTTTACTGGAACAAAAATACCGGAGTTCCTCACCTTACGAAGGGTTTTCGTTTCAGATGGGTGTACTTGGGTGTACTTATGGCCATTTTTTTTATACATTCAAACTTAAGGAGTTGAAATTTCCAGTCCCTGGATGGATTTTCCACAAAGAAGAGGGAGGTGGGCAGCCCTTTGAAGCTTTTAAACAGGCCCACTTTTCTTCTCCTTGCTGATATATGTTTCTGTGGCATCTTTTTCTAAAGTAGGTGTTTTGTATACTTTAAGATTGAAAGTAGGTAATTCCTTTTTAGATAATCTCTTCAAGTGCTGTAGGGAACCCCTTGGCAGCTTCCTGCCTCATAATTCACAGACATTATGAATGTTTTTAAAATTAATTTTTAATTGACAAATATTGTGTATATTTATGGAGTACAATGTTTTGAGCTATATGTACATTGTAGAACAATTCAACTGAGCTAACATATCTATTATCTCACTGACTTAACCTTTTTTGTAGTGACAATGTTAAAAATCTATCTTTTTAGCAATTTTGAAATAGACATTAACTGTGGTTATTGTGAAGTACAATAGATCACTCAAACATATTCCTCCAGTCTAACAGTAACCTTATACCCTTTGGTCAGCATCTTCCCTTTCCCCATCCCTCGCCCCATTCACACTTACCAGCCTCTGGTAATCACCTTTATACTGTTTCTATGAGATGAACTTTTTTTTAGATTCCACATATGTGGGGTCATACAATGTTTGTTTTTCTACGCCTGGCTTATTTCACTTAGCCTAATGTCCTCCAGTTCCACCCATGTTGCAGTGAATGAAGAATTTCCTTCTTTTTTAAGGCTCTATAGTATTCCACTGTGTGTATATATACCCTATTTTCCTTATCCATTCATCTGTTGATGGACATTTAGTTTGCTTCCATATCTTGGCTATTGTAAATAATGCTGAAATGAACATGAGAGTGCAGATATCTCATTGACATACTGATTTCCATTCCTTTGGATATATACTCAGAAGTGGGATTGCTGGATCATATGATAATTCTATTCCTAGTTTTTTAGGAACCTCCATACTACTTTCCAAAATGGGTATACTAATTTACATTTCCACTAACAGTATACCAGGGTTTCCTTTTCTCCACATCCTCATCAACACTTATTTGTCTTTTTGATAATAGCCATCATTTTCTCACCATTTTCAATTGTTATGATCTTTACTTTAGCTCCATCACAATTCTAGTCCTCTTTTTGTGGAAAATGTCAACATTCCTGCTGCTTCAGCATCTGTCAGTTATCATGTGATCAATAATATTCATGTAACACCTCAAATTAAGCAGTATAGAGCAAACACATCCTATTTAATAATATAAACGACTCACCCCACACGCCCTCTGATTGCACCGGGCTTTAGCGGGCAAAGTTAACTCGCTTCTGTTGAGCGGCTTTTAAAAAACTATGTTAGTTAAATCTAGAGTTTTTAACTCCCTATCCTGGATGCAAGACACTTAAAAAGACTTCCTTCCTCTGCTCCCAGAGAAAGCAGCAATAAAATTTTCCACCTTCACTACACCACTTGAGGACTATCTCATGTTTTATTGGGTTTAGGGAGGAAGGGTCTTGCTAATGAGTTACTTCCACGGTGTCACTTCTATTCCTAGTGCTTTATTAAACAATTTGAGGACCCCATTTTTATGCTAGGGCTTCATTGATCGAATGGAGCCATCACATTGTCTATATCACTTTAGAGGTGTTTCCAAAGTTCTCAGCACCTCGAGTCCCTTGTTAGCGTTTGTCGAGAGTCAGCGGGAAAACTCGATACCTAACAGCGTTTCCACCGAAGGCAGCTCTCTGAGGGGCTTCACCATCAAGAGCAAGCGAACCAGGCTGGACCACCCTGCTGGGTCTGTCCCGACATTCCAGGGCCACGCAGGGAAGTCAAAGACGGGAAGGAGAAGATCAGTGGGAGGGCGAGGCGCCGGAATTCCCCACTTCTATACCTCCACCCCTACTACCGCCCCACGTCCACCACCCTCCCCACTGACAGCCCGCCGCGCCCGCCCACGCGGTGACGCCATCTCGCGGCTGCCGGGCGCCCCGCCCACAGAGTGGGAGCCGGAAGCCGGGCGGGCAGCGGCGCGCGGCGTCCCGGAACCCAGCAGCTTGAGAACTCGCGCACCTGGGGGAAGCCGGCAGGAGGCAGCGGGCATGCGCGGGGCTGCGGTGGCGCAGGCGCCCTGCCGCGCCCGCCAGTCGGGAACCGGTTCTCCGAGTCCGAGCTGGCGGCGCGCTGTGGGCTGTGCGGGAGCGAGGGGAGAAGAGGGAGATAGGGAGCCCGACATTTGGGAAGGGCAGGCTTGCCTCTGGGATGGGGAGGAGCCGGTGCACGGATCCTGCTGTGCCTCTGTGCAGGGCGCGCCCAGTAGTTTGGGATTTGCAAGAAAATGCAATCAAACAACATGGGCAAAGTGCGATGCGTTTATCCTAAGCCAAGAACACGCTTAGAATGCACGCCCAGAGCCAGTTCTCCCCAAGGGATGGCAACGCACCTGTGTGCCGGGCTCCGCGCAAGGGCTTTCCCTGTTTATTCTCCCGCCGCCGCTAACAACCTTGTGGGGCGGGCATGGTTGGATCCCCAATTTAAAAGTGGGGAAACTGAGGACAGATTAACCTGTCTGCACGTAACACAGCTGAAAAGTGGTGGAATTGCTATTTCTTTCAGGTTTGCCTGATTCTAGAGCTCAATGCTGCCCATCAGGTGTTTGAAGTCATGATTTGGTGAAAATGGGACAGTGAAGACGTTCTGAAAAAAAAAAAAGGCATATGATGAGGTTTGGACATTGAGAGGTATAGGCTGGCTGTAGGAGTCGGGTAAGTGCCAAGGAAAAGGGCCTCAGGGTAGCTTTTGAATGGGATTTGGCGACAGGGAAGGAGAGAAAGCTTTGGGGTGGTGAGAACAAGGGAAGGGAAAGGGAAAACAAAAGCGTGGAGGTGGGAAAGGAAACCTGGGGAGAAAGGTAAGCGATTGCCTCATTTGGAGTCTTGTGTTTATGTTTGGCTTGCAAATAGAAGCATATATAATTCTAGGGTTGGGCTTTTCTTGCCAAGGAATGGATTTTCTCCTTTCTGTTCTTAGGTTTATGCTGTGATGCACAGTGACACGTACCTCTCTCTGTTCAGCAAGGTTCATTCCGGCTATTCATTTAACAGCTGGAAAGTTCTATATCTGTGGCAAAGATGATCTGCGGTGGAGGGTTTATTCCTGGCCCCTGGCCTTCCTGGCCTTGGTCTTTTGAGTGCTTGCCGGATCCCTAGTTCCTTTCCGGTTCCAGTAGTGAGAGGAATAAACACTTAAAACTCCAGTCCAATACACTCTCAATGTCAATACCCTCCCTATCTTTAAAAGAAGAAAAAAAAATACTAAATCATCTTTGTTTAAAGAATCCTGGCCCCTGTGATTTGTTAATTTGTTCGTGGTTTTATACTGTTACTACTGTAACAGTTTGCACTACACCATTTAGCAACTGATTACTACTTTGTATTAGCCTCTAATTGTTTAATGGGTGTACATTTTATCTCCTTAAAAAGATTGTAAGATGCCTTAGTCATGGGACTGTGCTGTTTATCTCATAGCCCTGACTGCTGACTTAATTGCCTTTTTCAAGTGTCTCTCTTGCCTAACCCTCACCACTCAGTACTCTGCCTGGCACATACTAGGTACTCAGTAAACATTTAATAAATGAAATGCCTCCTGGAGAGCAGGAACAAGCTTGTTATTTATATTGTTCTGGTCCCCTAGCAGAATTATCTTCTCTGGTGGGCACTCAGCACTCTGGTGTGACTTCATCGCTGTGCCTTTCAGCAGGGGAAATATAATCTCCCGGTTGCCCTATAAAGAATTGCCACCTGAACACTATGCCCACAAGAAGTCTGCTGAGAAATAACTGTTGATAGATTGACTTAGCCTCAAAGACATCCTTGATTCTTTTCTAAAGTGTGCATCTGCCCTTCCACAATAAACGATATTTGTGGTTATCTTGGCCAGGCTACCTAAGAAATACTTTAGGAGAATGTAATTTGAGTATCTTCTTGGCTTGAGAAAGCAAGCAAACAAACCAATAAGCAGAATGAAACCAACAAAACCCAATAGCAAAAGGATCTTCGTGTTTAATAACCCTATCTGCAAATTTTAAACAATTTTGTGCCCCTGGGAGAAAGAATGCCTCCTTGCGTGTGAATTTCCAGGGCTTTTAATTTATAGTGACAGTACATTCAACACTTCCTTTTAAATTTGAAGGGAGGTGGCCTTAAAAATATGCTGGCAACTAGTTTGGATGAGAAAGATTCCGGTTCTTTATTTATTCAAACCAATTAGACCAGGTCTGAACAGGATTTACAACAGAGAGCAGATCTTGGGTGCACAAGAGCTTTGCTTCATTCCAGGTTGGCGAAAACAAGTCAAGTCTACATCATTGTTCTGTCAGCCGGTTCAGGATACAGCACAGAGTCGATGGGATGGGGGTGGGAAGGTGATGAGTTCAGGTAAATGTACCTAGGAGAGTCAGAGGCTAAAGTAAATTCTCTTAAATAGGCCTTTTCAGTGGCTGCTAAATCTCGCTCATTTCCCATGAATTAGCTGTGGGATATTGGGGACAACTTACTTCACATTTCTAGGTCTTAGTCTCTTCATTCGTAAAAGGGGGTAACGATAATTTTGGAGTTATAGCATGTAAATGTGTAAAACGGTTAGAGCAATGCCTGGTACACTCACACATAGCACGCGCTTTGTGAAATGTTTGGCAAGTAAATAAAACGCTAAGCTATGCTAACCGCGTCTAAACAGCCAGCCACTTGTAAGCCCCACCTATATTGAAATTACGGGGACGCTGCTGTTTTCCGATTGCAAGATTTTCCTGATCCATGCAATTACTTTCGCTGCCCTCTACGAGGCTGAAACTCGCCCTCAGGATGTGGGACGTCTGGACTCTTCTCTCCGTCCCCTTGTAGCCCCCCACTCCCCCTCGCGGTGGTACCGTGAATGAGGGAGAGGTACACGTCCCCCTTCTTCCCCGCCTCCTATCTTCGCGGCTCGCTAAAGCGTTATCAGCCGCCCCACGGTACTACCGTCCGTCTAGGAACGCCTCCGGGGCGGGGCTGGGATGCCGCGCACGCGCAGTACAGCAGCGCCGCGCCTGCGCCGTGGAGAGCCTGAGGGAGGCGGGGGATTGGTATGCGAGCGAATGTGCGAGGGGAGGGAGGCGTCCCGGCGGAGCGTGGTACTACGACCAGCGCGGGCCGGAGGGGGCGGGGGGATGCGCCGCGGCGGCGGCGGCGCGGGAGCTGGGGTTGGTGTTTGGCGGCGCCAGAGCAGCGGATCCCGGTCTCGCCGCAGCAGCAGCGCGGGTGTCGTGCACCGCCTGAAGACGCCGTACCTTTCTACCCCCCACCTTTTTTTTTTTTTTTTTTAAATAACCGGAACCAATGAACGCAGCCGGGATCAGAGCTCCGGAGGCCGCCGGTGCCGATGGGACCAGGCTGGCGCCCGGCGGGAGCCCGTGTCTGAGGCGGCGGGGGCGGCCGGAGGAGTCGCCGGCGGCGGTGGTGGCGCCTCGCGGAGCCGGCGAGCTGCAGGCGGCCGGGGCGCCGCTGCGCTTTCACCCGGCTTCTCCTCGGCGCCTTCATCCCGCCTCGACTCCTGGCCCAGCGTGGGGCTGGCTGCTGCGGCGGCGGCGCTGGGCTGCGTTGCTGGTGCTCGGGCTGCTGGTAGCCGGAGCGGCGGACGGATGCGAGCTTGTGCCCCGGCACCTCCGCGGGCGGCGGGCGACTGGCTCTGCCGCAACTGCCGCCTCCTCTCCCGCCGCGGCGGCCGGCGATAGCCCGGCGCTCATGACAGGTGAGGGGCCGGGGGGCGGCGGGCGGGGCTCGGCCGGCAGCGATGGGACCCCCAACCCGTGCAGAGGTCAGCATCTCCGCCGGACGTCCGCTATTCCGCGGCTCCGGCCAGGGCGCGATGCGGAGCCCTGCCTGCTGCTTCGTCGCGGTCCCCTGCACTCCGGACGTCTTTCCTTTTCACCCCGACACCCCGCCCTCGCCGAGCCTCTCGACGGCACTGATTCCCCTCCCTTCAGTCGGGCTCTCCGATCTTCCAAGCTGAGCAATGCGGTGGTTTCTCTTTCGTGCTGCAGAAGTGCCAGCAGGGTCTGCAGGGGACTGGGCTGATTTTTTTTTTTTTTTTTTTTTTGAGGCTGCTAGAAAAAGTCAGCAGCAGCATTGCGGTATTGAGTCTACCTCTGGTGCTGCTTTTGCAAAGGCAGCTGGCAGCGAGTCTCACCGGTTCAAAGCTCCGCTTGAGCACAGCGTCCCAGGGGAGCCTGCTAAAGGGGATTCTTTGAGAGCCATAATACCTAGTGATATTAGTGGTTCCGTGTTAGTATGCAGAAATGCCTAAGTTTACAGTGCATTTTTTGCGGGGTGGAAGGAGGCCGTTTTAAGTGGTGATGGAAAGTGTTTGGTGGTGGGAGCATCACTGGGTGACAAAGGGTGTAGAAACCTCAGCAGGTAACCAGAAATTATACCTAAAATTTGCAAAGTGCAGCATACTCGGGGCTTGCAGCTGGCAGCACAGTTCTGATAGACTGCACTAGCACCTTTTTTTTAATATATAGAACGATCTCATAATTGAAAACTTGGAAACGTGTTTTGTAAGGTTAAGTGCAGAATTGTATCCTTTTTAAAGCCTTCCGGTGTTATGTACAACTGATCAGTTGTGGTTTAAGTAAAAGTTATTATATAAGGACCCTGAAATGATTTCTTTGGGAAAAGTAATGGAGCTAAAATAATGGTTTTTTTTTTTTTTTTTAGTATTTCACTTATTTTTAAAGTAGATCTGTAGATTTCCTACAATAATTGTAAGACTAAAAAGTTTAAAGTGGCAGAAGATGACCCGTGATTAATTTAACCAAAATGATAGTCCTGCGGGCGTCTGGAAGTTACTAACAGCTTCTCTGACAAGTGCTCAGGAACTGTATTCTTTAAAGCCAAGCAGTTTCTCTGATTTCTATGATAGGATATTTACTATTCTAGAGAGAAGAAGGATGTTGGTAAACTTTAAAAGCTTTGGAGGATGTAGAGTATAGAACATAATGGTCAGCATGTTTAACTTTACCCTGAAGCATATCAAGCCCTATTAAATGGAACTTGATACATCAAACCTACCAATTGGGTAACTGGGATAAAGTGATTATAGAATAATCAGTATTAGGAGCATAGTACAGTTTGAGTGAGAAGATAGGTCAGACAGCTTTATGCTTGAATAGTATTTATTCTCCAAATAAAAATGTGGCAAGTAACAGTATAGTGAAGAATAGTGATTATTAGGAAAGTTGATAAATAAGACTATAATTTGAAGATTTAATGCCTCATGCAGGAAGGGAAGGAGCAGGAATATTTAGGCTTCTAGAAGGTATAAGTGGTTCTAGGTTTCTCGAGCAGAAAAATGTGGTTAATACATAATTGGCTAATGCTCTGTGAAAAAGTAATTGGTAAAAAGGCAAGCAATTCAGAAAATTTAGTATTTATTGACTGCTAATAAGTATATTTTATACTGTGTAGATCACATCAAGAAAATTGGTCAGATGGAATTTTAATAAGCCATTTACAATCCCTTTTAAGACTTAAATTTCTCTATACTTATTTAAGGCATGGGGGAAAAAGGTGATTCTTATTGGAAAAAAATCCGATGTATCACACAAAATGAGTTTGTGCCATAGGGCTTTAAAATAAGTTTGCTAGAAGAATACCCTGGAATTATTTCTAACGTTCTTTTACTTTCCTTTTGTCAGAATATTGATTTTTAACAAGTTAAACGTTTCCACTTAAAGTTTAAATCATAAAACTACACAATATACAAATTAAATTGTTATTTTAATAAGTTTATGTAAATACAGTCAATAGCACCCATATCTTGGTAAAGGTAAACTGAAAATCTATGATGAAGTTAGAAAATATTGAAAATTTCTTTGAACTATATGGCCTCTATAGGGCTCTTTCCCATTCTTAAGAGTGTATGAATAGTGCTTTCTTTTATGGTTCTATTTGTAAATGTTATGCAAAGCCTAGAACCTAATTTATTAGCATTAGTGTACACTTCAGGAAGTAAAACCGTAGACTGAATTTACAAAATACTGTGGTGTGGTATCATATTGTAGGCAGCGTTAATGGATAGAGATGGAGTAGAGCATCAGTAATAAGAGAACTAAACGTCACGTGAATTTTGAAAATTGAAAATTTTTGAAAGCATTCTGAGAGAAGAATTGGTCTCTTTGTCTCCTGATTAAAGTTGTGATTTAGCTGTGAGTATTCTCAATAGCTCTGCAAAATGACAGCCAAAATCACTTTTCTGTTTTCTTCTCGAGATTGGCATTTTTAATACTTACCTTTAGAAGCTCCCTAAGAGTTAGCCTTTGACTAATAAAATGTATAAAACATTCTTTTTCACTGCAGCTTGCCTCTCAAGTGTTTTACTTTAGGGATTTAGTGTACTTTAAGAGTAAATTGCCTTTAAATTATCCTGTGTTTATTTGCTCAAATAAACTGTTATTGCTCAAAACTATACAAATCATCCAAATAAACAGACCCATTGTCATAATGAATACAGGTTTATATTTTCTTTTCCTTTTTAAATATTACCTTTTCAGAATTCAGTGTGCAAATGTTTTTGGTGAGACAGAACCAATATTCATAACATTATATAGTAAGGGTTTTAAATTACATATACAGCGCTTATATATTTAGGGCACTTACTTTGAAAGTGATTGAAATTTAAAGCAAGTTAGGGATAGGTGACTGAGAGCTTGGTGATTGTATTCTAAAGCAGTGCTTTAATAACTCAAAACAATAGTTTTTTTTTTCCTTCTTTGTCTAACAGATTTAGAGTTGATGAATTGATCCTGGTAGGGAGTGACCGATCTCATCCAGATAGGGTCCCTGAGAAATAGCTTATGAAAGGGAAACAAACAAACAAAAAAATGCCGAATAATTGAAACATTACATTATTTCTTACGGAATTGTTTCAGAATTTTTGGGAACAAATTTTAACTGAAAATATTTGCCTCTATCCTTTTAAAGAATGAATTAAAGTAACATTCTTTAGTGCCTATGTGAAGGTTTTATCTTAACTGTAATACCATTTCACTGATTTGGCATGTTATTAGAAATAACATATATAAAAACATGTTTCTTGGAAGTATTAAAATCTCAATTAAGATTTAATATATTCTTAGTTCAACATATAATACCACATATAATAGCATTTAGAATGGCCACTTTACCCAGTACTGTTACACACATCTGTGTTGTGGGGCTTTCATTAATTTAGATGGAAATACCTCAAATTAGCATGATTGTCATTGGCAAAATGTGAAACTGAACTTTTAATGAAATCAGTTGTATTCCTTATTTATTTTTATTAGTAGTTGGTTTGCCTGTGGGATATATATGTTGCTTTCAGTAATATTTTACAAATAACTTACACATGTTAATGTTTCCATTGTGACCGTAGACTCAAAGTGGATTCAGATAGCCTGAGAGACCTTTGTTCCTCTTATGACGTTGTTCTTTCTGAACTTCCTAAAGCCATCATTTACTGTATTCTCTTTCTCTTTCCCCTTTAGTATCATTACCAGTGCTTTTCTTCACCAGTCTTTGGTCATTGCTGTAGTTGTATTATTGTTGCTAACTACAGGATTAAAGAATCTCTTCATATCCATTTGATCTAGTCGATTCTGAACATTTAAGAATTGATAGTAATCTAATTGGTCTGGAAACATTGCATCCCTTGGTACTCTTAAGAATACATGGCAGAACTGGCCTCTGTTGGGAATCTCATAGAACAGGAAGCATTCAGAGGGCCAGTTAGAAAAGTGGATCCAAGATTTAGCTTCCTTTTATGCAAAAGGAGGACACAGGATGATTTAGCTTGCCAAAGACTTGCTTTGTGGCTGGATACATGCTAGTATTTTCAGATTAATTTAGGCTCTTTTTGCGTAATGATATCAAGGATTTTTGATAGTGGCCTAATCATTGATGATAATTGTGGTGTGAACACTTTCACAATGATTGTTGGACGTCTGCATTTATGTAATATGATAGTTAATGTATATATTGGCTAAGCTAATACTAAAACTAACTGCTAATAATATGGATAATAAGCCATTTTTTGACATTTACTGGAGTTTGGACTTCACCTTGTTAAGATCTACCTAGGAATTTACTTCTGAATTGATCAGATTTTATTAACTAAATAATTATTAAGTACAAGCAGCATAACACAAAAGAGAAGTGGGAAAGAATTAAAAAAAAGAATAAGATGTAGGTGTGACCATTTTGGACTCAGACTAGGTAATAATAGGCACATTTATTAAACTGTTCCTATGTGTTAGTATTGTGCTAAGTGCTTTTTATATTATACATCACTGTTTTTGATTCTGAGACTAATCCTGTTAGATAGCTACTGTTTTTTTTTTTCCTTCTAACTTTTATTTTAGATTCATTTTAGATTCCAACTTTTATTTTAGATTCATATGCAGGTTCATTGCCTGGGTTTATTGCATGATATTGAGATTTTAGTTACCAACGATCTTGTCACCCAGGTACTGAGCATAGTACTCAATAGTTCAATAGTTTTTCAACCCTTACCCCTCCTCTTACCTCCCCCACAAGTAGTCCTCAGTTTTCTATTGTTGCTGTCTTTATCTTCATATAGTAGATTAGGAAACATGCTGGATGATCTTAAGTAACTTGCCCAAGCTCACTTCTAGTAGGTAGCAGAGTTAGAGGTTGACCAGGGTTTCTCTGGTTCCAAAGCTTGGATTCTTAGCTGGTATGTTGTATGCATCCTTATACAAACAACATGCGATGGATTGTGATTAGCACCACAAGGGACTGCAAAGTGTAGGAGAAAGGAAGAGGCTGTTAGAGAGTATTACCTGGAGGAGGGCAGGATTTGAGCTGGACCTTGATGTATAGGTAGGACTTCTTGTGGAGATAAGTGAAAAGGCTTTCTGGGAGGAGGCATATGCAAGAATAGGGGATAAATACTTTTCTTTAGAGTTAAGTATAAGGTATATGTAGAGTAGTGGGGAATGCAAGAAGGAAGAAGATTGGGGCCAAATTATCAAGAGCTTTACAGTCCCCTAGTGTATTCAGTATGTATCAAAATGTCAGCACATTTAAAACTGGGGTACTCGGCTGTATACTGGCAAGAATGAGACATCCAGGACAAATATGGTACCTTTTCTTGGCATATCCATTTTATTAGATTATTTGAGAGATATAAAACTATTTGAAGGTTTCTAAATATGCACGTTAGGGAAAATGTACATATATTTTAATTTTTAAGGTAAAAGGCATTTTGAACTTTCAGAGTGTTTTGTTAATAAACTCTTGAAGTTGCAAATCTATATCCTGTCATTAGGAGGTGAGAGGCATTGTGGTTTTTGAAGATGGGGGTGACATGTCCTTTGTGTTTGAGAAAGCTAATTCTGGGTGGATGGCAATGAGGAGATAACAGAGATAAGGATATCAGTTAGGAAACTATTTAGAAGGAGAGGTCTTGAGAATTCTAATTATGGAGTGGCTATGAAAATGTTTAGATGAAATTTTATAAAATCGACTTTATTCTTAGCTTAGGAATCTGGCTATTTATATGAAGTTTAAGATATAAAAATTACCTTTAGCATTAAGCATACAGAATTTATAGAATGATTTAAATTAGTATAAGCCCTTGAAAAATCCAAGAAGAAACACACTATTTGTGATAGAGAATCTTCTTTATTTCAAATGTGCCTATTTCTTAATATAAAGATTAGTTTTTAAAAAAATATAATCGGGCTTATGTGATGATTTACAAAGTTGTCGACAGAAAAACAGTTGCAAATGTATTTGCCAGTTGTTTGACAAATAAAACCAAACAACTTTTGATATCCAAAGACAATATATTTGCCATAAAATGCTTATATAAAGCTTTTAGAATTCCATGTATAAAAAGGATAAGTGTTTCCAGATTAAACTAAAGTTATAAGTCAAGAGTCGAAGTCTCTCCGACCCCTTAGCTATGAATAACAATATTTCAGACTACTGGCATATTACTTGTTTCAATATTAACTCCTAAATTTCATTGTTGTGTGAATTTCAAGCTTAATCTATAGATGATGATTTCTAATGCCAAATCTAAAAGGTTTGTTCTGTTCTTTAGCTATCTAGATCTTTATATTAGTATACATTGGATATTCAGTCTTTCTTGACACTGTCTAATTCTACCTTCTGTAACTGTTTTCCTTGACTGGTTTCATTGTTGCTGATTTTAAGGGTGGTTCCCTCTTAAGTCTCTGTTCTCAGCCTCCTCTTCCTCTAGTCTAGCTGAACATTTCCTCCTCAGAGAACTTCATTACTAGGAAAGTTCTAAATTGGGGGTAGGGAACCCCAGGCCAATGATTGATTTGATTTTTGGCTTTATTTCCTTTGGCCCTTGGTGTGCTATAGCACAAGCATCATGGCTGCAGTCCCGAGAGTAATTTCCTTTCTACTAGGCTTTGTCAGCCATATCCTTTAAAGTGAAACAATTTCAGGATTAAGGCTAGGAGCAGTTGCAGAATGTTTAATAATGTCTATTCAGTGTTTTCATAAGATAGTGGTAACTCCCCTCCAGTACACACAGGCTGATTGGAGCCACAGAGCCTGGCAAGCGCAGTTTACTTGGACTAACATTCATCTCAGAGCCCAAGTACCTGTATCTGTCCAAGTGTTTCTTTTTGCGTATGGATTTGTTTTTTTGTGTGCTTATGGATCTTGACCTCTGTGTAACTTTTTTCTCTAGTCATTTTCATTTTCTCTACCTCTTTTTGATCTTCCTAAACTTGACATTATATGGAACTGAAACACCTCAAAAACTGTTTTGTTTAATTAAGTGCTGGGATTTTAATTTAAAAAATGCTTGAAATGAATATCTCATTTATGTGATTACAGAATACTAAACAGCCTTATCATAAGCAGCCTCATCAAAACCCCCTAGGGTAGTGAAAGTGATTTGTAGTTTCTTACAATATTCTCAATAAGTAAAAAGGCTTTTTAAACCCTTGTTTGAAGTTTTTGTCTCCTACTCAGCACACTGCAAGTTGCACAGGCCCATGTTTTCTATTACTGTCTTTTTTTTCTTTTTTAAAAAATCTGATGTTGGATAACTAGATAATCTTAATCCCCCTTCTTTATTCCTATTGTCCAGCAATACATCTCTAACGTTTTCATTAATGACGTGTATGTAATTTTTGCTCTGTTTCCCTGATGCCTTGAACCATTGTCATGTTTAGCTCTTATTTCTGCTTTGCCACACATATTCAGACTGTATTAATCCTCGCCGTTTCTTTCTTCTGGGTACCACATTAAGAAAGAAAAGCTAAAGTGCAATTATAGGTACCCCTGGCTATTTTTGAATTTGCATTTGTAACTATACCCTCTGATGTTTATTCCGTGTTTGTTTGGGGTCGTACGCTGTAGCTTATGCCTGTAATCCCAGCACTTTTCGAGGCCAAGATGGGCAGATCACTTGAGCCCAGGACTTCGAGACCAGTCTGGGCAACACGGTGAAATCCCATCTCCTCAAAAAATACAAAAAAATTAGCTGGGCGTGATGATGTGCGCCTGTATTCCTGGCTACTCAGGAGGCTGAAATGGGAGAATCACCTGAGCCTGGGGGAAGTTAAGTCTGCAGCAAGCCCTGATCAGGCCACTGCACTCTGGCCTGGACGGCGGAGTGAGACCCTGTCTCCAAAAAAAAAAAAAAAAAAAAAGGAAGAAAAAAGTTTGTTTGGTTCTAGGTCTGTTACATATGGGTCCTAAAAAGAACTATAGAGGGTTAAAGTGAGAAAGCCAGTCGTTGGTGAATATGTCTGTGTGTGCATAGAGTTTTAAACATTATTTAGTGACTGTTTTGTGCCAGCTATGGTATGAGTAACTGGAAATATAAAGATGCTGAAATTGACTATTTAAAAACATTTATGTATTTATTTATTTTTAGAGATGTGGTCTCACTCTGTTGCCCAGGCTGGAGTGCAGTGACATGATCATAGCTCACTGCAGCCTCAAACTCCTGGACTCAATCAATCTTCCCGCCTTAGCCTCCCAGGCTGTGAGGCACCACAGATGGCTAATTAAAAAAAACTTTTTAAAATGTAAACCTGAAAATTGCCTGAGAGTGGATTGCATAATCTAAAAATATGAAAATATGTATAAATATTTTGTTTCTTAAAAGGCCACTGCTGTGGTAGCTTATCTAGTATCCTTGCTACATTTACTGAAAATATATGTTAGAGATATCTGCACTGCTATGTTCTTTTCAGCATTTTTCACAATAGCCAAGATATGGAAACAACCTTAACGTTCATCAATGAATGCATAAAGAAAATGTGATACATACGCACTTGCACCATGAAATATTATTCAGCATTAAAAAAGAAGAAAATCCTGCCATTTGCGGCAACATGGATGAACGTGGAGGACATTATGCTAAGTGAAGTAACGCAGCCATAGAAAGACAAATACTGCATGGAATCTGAAAATATCAAACTTACAGAGTAGAATGGTGGTTACCAGGGGCTAGGGAAAGGAGTAAATGGAGAGATGTTGAAACTTCAAGTACAAAGATTCAGTTATGCAACATAAATAAGTTCGGAGATCTAATGTACAACAGTGTGACTGTAGTTAATAGTGTCATATACTGTAATTGACATTTGTGAAGAGGGTAGACCTTAAAAGTTCTTAACACACCAAAAAAAAAAAAAAGGTAAGGATGTGATGTGATGGATTATGTGAATTAGCTTCATTGTGGTGAATATTTCATAATGTATGCATATATCAGATCAAATTGTATACCTTAAATATATCTACTTTTTGTCATTATGCCTTACTGAAGTTATAACAAAATATATGTTAGAATATTTAATGGAAGTTTTTGTTATACATTTGCAGTATTAAAAAATAAGTCTCCCTTCCCCCTTCTTTGGAACAAAGTATAATTATAAATAACTATAATTTAAAAAATTTTTAACTGATATATGATAGATGTACATGTTTTCAGGTATCATTCCTTTTTCACTCTTTTGTATACTTTATTAAAAAACAAGCAAGCAAACAAAAAATTTCAGTGAGTCCCATGTGCCAGACACCAGTTGGGTGTTTGGAATTTCAAGATCAGTAAGATATTCACCCTAGCTTGTAGTCTACTAGAAGGCATACCCACTTAAAGGGTGATGATACATTGTGATAAGGGTAAAAGGGCCTAAGGCTATGTGCTGTATTTTACTGAATTGCAAAGATGGAGTTACTAATTTTGATGTGGAGATGCAGGTTATTAGTAGGTTATTAGTGAATCCTTTTTTTTTTTTTTTAAATATCCAGAGTAGGAAGTATGTGCCGAGAATGTATGAGTTTGTCAGACAGAGAAAGGCATGGTGGAAAACCATAGGTGTGAAGTGAGGAAGCTGGGTGGGGAGTGAGATTATTATAGGCATTGACATTTGAGAATGCTAAATGTGGTTGTGAATTACCAAATACCCAGGATGACAGAGTCAATGCTGGGCCTGTTCGCAGTGCAGCAGCATCCATATTTGCATGTGGGATTTAAATTTTTGCCAGGCATTTTGTATGTTTCATCCAATTTAATCCTTAGAGAATCCCTGTGAGGTTATCTCCATGAGTTAGTACATATAACAGAAATTTAGGATTGCTCTCAAATAGTTCGTACTTTAAAAAACCCCCCTGTGCCAAGGATCTTTATGTTAAAGCATAAGGTATATATGGAGTTGAATCAGGAAATGAGGCTGGAGAAGTAGCAGATACAAACATTGTGATTAATGTTACATTGTAGATCTTTATTGTCCAATGGCCTTATGAGTTTCTCCTTCATTTACTTCTGGTAAATAACAAAATTTTGCTATTAAATATTCTGAAATCTTGGAATATGACTCCTATAAAATATATCTGAGGCCCAATAATTTGTCCTTTTTAAAATTAAACTTTGACTCGATTTGTTCAGTTTGACTCGGCTTTTCAGTAAGTGCGTAATTTCTGTTTGTGCTTTGTTTTCATAAATACAAGGATGACGGAATGTAATTTTTAAGAAGCATAGCATCTTATATCTTGAACTTTTATCTGGCCCATAAGTCTGTTTTCACCCTTTTTTTTTTTTTTTTTTGGTAGAGACAGAGTCTGAGTATGTTGCCCAGGGCTGATCTCAAATTCCTGGGCTTAGGCAATCCTCCCACCTCGGCCCCGCAAAGTAATTAGATTATGAGTGTGAGCTGCCATGCCTGGCCTGTTTCCACTTTTGTATAGTGTGATGAAGAGCATAGCCTCTAGACTAGGGCAGGATTTCCTGAGTTTGAATCCCAGTCTGACAGTGGTTTTGTAATTTTGGGTAGATGATTTAGTCTGTTAGTGCCTAAATTTCCTTATCTCTAAAATGGGATGCAAAGAATAAATGAATTACTCTGTGTGTGCTTAGAATAGAGCCTGGCAAGGGTAAGTATTCAGGTATTATTGACTTAACCATTATTCTTTTTATCTATAGATACAGAGGTAGGATAGTTGTAGAAATGTGCTTTGATTTATTGAGTGTTATTAAGATATTTTATGTTGCATTTAAAAAAGTATGAAGACATAGTTTGAGGCAGTTAGTTGATCTAAATAACCGGACCATGAGTGGTCCGAGATTAGTTAAAACTCTGTAGAAATATGAAGCTAAGTATAGACAGTGACATTGAGAAGCAGTGTGATATTAAAAAAAAATTAGTTGTATCATAAGCCTGAGTCATTTTGTACCTTTATTATTTTATATGATTTAAAGATTTAAAGCATTTTGCAGTTGAAATGTTAGACTTTAAAATCTTTAATTTCTGAGCTTAAAGGTTTACTATAAAAAATTTAGAACATACTGAAAAGTAAATATAGAAAATACATCTACTTCAACAGCTAAAAATAACAAAGATAACATCAAAATTTTGTTTTTTACAATCTTTTATAGATATGTATGCATATTGATATATTTAATAATAGGCTCATAGAGTGATTTTTTAAAAATGTGAAATTACTTAGTAAATATTTGAATGCCAAGTATATTACAAGCATATGATAAGTATTGGGGACACAAAGATGAATGAGATTGAGGTTTTTGTTCTCATGGAGCTTGCATTTCAGTTGGGAAGATAGAAAATACAAATACTATTTTGAGTTGTGAGAAATGCTATTGAGGAACAAGAGAGACATAAAATAGAAAATAATGTGGGGTACTTTTTAATTTAGGTAGGCTAGTTAGAGAAGGCTTCTGAGAAGGTCACATTTAAGGTGGCATCTTGAAGGACAATAAAGAGCCAAGTCTGAAGAATTGGGGAATAGCATTCCACATGGACAAAGACTGTGAGGCAAGAAAGAATTGGAATTATTTGAAGAAATGAAAGAGTATCATTTTGACCCAGCATCTTGAGGGAGGGGGAATGTTGGATGAGATCTGGCTATAGAAAAGGGAAGGGCTGGATGGTACAGAGCCTCATAGACCTTGTTACCTTGTTTGGGTTTAATTCAGAGGGTAACAGGCCGGGTGTGGTGGCTCACACCTGTAATCCCCACACTTTGGGAGGCCGAGGCGGGCGGATCACCTGAGGTCAGGAGTTGAAGCCCAGCCTGGCCAACATGGTGAAACCCCATCTCTACAAAAATACAACGATTAGCCAGGCATGATGGTGAGTGCCTGTAATCCCAGCTACTTGGGAGGCAGGAAAAACTCACTTGAACCCTGGAGGTGGAGGTTGCAGTGAGCTGAGATCGTGCCATTGCACTCCACTCCAGCCTGGGTGACAGAGTGAGACTCCGTCTTTAAAAAAAAAAAAAAAGTCCTTTCCATTCTCATCGCTACTGTGTTAGTTCTGAACTAAATCATTGTGGCTAGATGTGGCCAGAGCAGGGGGGCTCTGGGTCCCTTGTTATTTCCTTGTTAGCAGTAGCCCAGGGTAACTCTGACTACTTTGTCCAGGAAGCTCATGGGGAAGCACAGACATACTGGGTGTGAAGTTTTGGTGATCAGACAGGGCTTGTTTCCTGCAGGGCACTTCCTTAGTCATAAATGAGAGAGACGCTCATGTCACCACTCTCTTCTGCCATAATGGCTTCATCCAGCTCTTGGGACAGCTTCTGGAGATGCTGAATTTCTGCCTCCACAGGCTCTAGGTCACTGTCAGACTCACTGGGAGAGCAGAGGGGCTCTGTCAAGGGGTAAGGGGCTCTACAAGGCAGACTCCCGCCTCAACCGCCGTAGTGGGTGGGTACGTGAACCCATCCGGGCAGAGAGGCAGTGATGCTCCTTCTCCCAGGGGTCTGCGGCTGAGTGGACAGGGGCGCCTCCAGACAGCTGGGTGCTCTTCTGGCTCAGGCTGTGAGTCAGGGATCCACTGCTCTTCTGTGCCCCTCTCTTTCTCCTCCTGGCCTTCACCTGAGTCTCCACCAGCCACTTGGTGTCAGGACTCCTGGATTCTCTGGGACTTGGCACCTGAGGTACTCTTAGCTGAGCGAGCTGCAGCTTGGAGGCTCTGCTGCCCTGGCTCTGGGGTTTCCAAGTGTTTGCAGGAGGGGTCTCCCCAGAGATTGAGGTTGATGGCTGTCAGGGGCAGCCTCCTTTGGAACTGTCTGCACAGGGAACCCAGGGCTGCGGCAGGGGTCTCCTGGATGGCTGGCCACAGGCTGCAGCTCCTTGCTGTTCTTGAGCTGCTCCTGGTACTGGAGAGATCTCCGGCGCACAGAGGCCCCTACACCCTGCCGCTGAGAAGCCATCTGCCTGCCCAAGAGTCTTGTCTGACCACTAGGGCCCAGCACCCCCAACGTCTGCCCGACGCCAAGTACTGTAAAGTACTTTTAGGAAGAACTGTGGCACATCTTTATTGGTGACTGGTAACTTCTAGTGGACAAATGTTATAGGATCAGCTTTCAGTTCTTCATTTACATAAACCAAGCAGTTATTGTTAATATATTACTCATTTTGCTTAAGTATGAACTCTCCTCTTTTAATGGATAATTTCATATCTTTTCGAGTTTAGGGAAATAAAAGAATGGGATTATTTAAAAGGTTACAATTATATTTGATTTATAGTCTCACAGATTTTAAGAACATTAAAAAAGTGCTGGTTAATATGAAATTGGAAGTAGTAAAATCAGTAAGTATTAGGCATAGACTGTGAGGTTACATTGTGCCACTTAGTTGTGGAGGATATTTATTAAACAAATGTTTGAATGTCTGCTGTGTGCTAGACAGCAGACACTTTTTAGGTACCGGAGAAGTAGGAGAAAACTAAACTAATGAAGGTGCTGCTGTCATAATTTTACTTTTAATGCTGTGGTTATTTGTTGGGCAAATGTAGTTTTGCTACATGCAGTATGTGATCTTAGAATAAAATTGGCAGCTTCTTCGTATTATGATTGCTACGCGTTCCAGTACTCACTAGTTTGCAGATTCCTTTAATTGAAGCTGAATGGCATATTGGTTTTATTGATTAATCTTTTAACTCATAGTATCAGTTATACAATTCACAATGATAAATCTCTTTGAGTTTTATACAAAGCATATCCATATTCTTAACTTACTATCAAGTTTAACTTAGTGTAATCGACCTAAAATTAGAACTCAGATCTATTAACTCCTTGTTTTGTGTTATTTTTGCCATATGCTATATAGTATTTTTTATGAGATCTGTTCAAAAATCTTATAGAAATATGCACATATGCCGGTCCTCTGAATGTAACCAAACTTATATATGAATAATCTATGATGAGTTGTTTAAACGTGTTTATAAAATTATCTGGTAACTTTTATAGTGTACTAAAAATTTAGTTTTACGTTTTGAAGTCTTTAAGTTTGTTTTCAAGCAGGTAGCTGGTAGTCATGATAGATTCATCATAAGCCCTAAATATGTTAATAATTAGGATTATTTTTTCTTTATATTCTAGATTAGTAAAGGAGTAGGAAGCCTGTATGTGTCTCAGGCCTCTAATTTATCATATAACAACGTGAGAACACTCTGTAGGAATGAAAAGATAATAAGTCTTTGTATTTTGTCAGTCTTCAAGATTTCTAGACAAATGGGAGCTGTTTTTAGTTAAATACAAATTCCCAAGCAAGACATGACATATTTATAGACAATTCCTTTCTAATTATTATGGGGATGTTCTTGAAAAATCTTATACTAGCAGAATTTCAAATTGAAAAACAGACCTTTGGGAAAAATAGGCTTTAGAGATACTGTAGCCCCACAAAAGCCCTTACTAATATTTATATTCGCTAAAAGAAAGTACCATAGTAATCATTTGCGTGTTCTGAATTAGTAATTCAGAAAAGTTAGTTTCCATTTATCATCCTTTTATTATTAGGAAGAGTTCAGTGTTTCCTTCTGTAGCTTATGAGATGTTTGAAAAACCATTTTCGCTTGTAGTATATAGTATGTACACAAAGGAGCATATTAGTGGCTCAGTATCCAGTCCATGGAAAAGCTAGATGTCTTGTTTTTGTTACTTGGAATTGTTGATTCACATGTCTTGGGGGTCCACACAGTCTCAGACATGTTGACTGATTTGGATGAATCAAATGGAAAAGGTTTGGGGTAAACTTATTTAAGAAGTCTTTAATTTCTCCGCTACTATGGATGAAACCACTTCAGTAACAGGGTATTGGTAAAATTAGAATTCTTCCTGTAGAGCCTTTATATTAAGACATGAAGATGTTAGACAGTCTCTCCTGGCTCTGTTCCCACCACTTAGGTAGGTCTTTGGATCGTAGCACTTCCCACTTTTGAGTCACAGGAATACACTTTTAAGGTCAAGTGGACTTTACCTAGGTTTCCTTTAACTCAGGGTTGCATTTTAAAAGTCTTAAAACTCGCCCTGCCTTGCTTTACTCTTATCAATCTCTAGATCCCTTCTTTTTCCAGTTACTCTAACATAAAAAGTCTCACAATAGTGGAAATGAGAAACCATAAATAAATTTGTGGGTATTAGAATTTTCACAAAGTGGAATTATCATCTTAGAGGATTTATTAAATTTATATATAATAGTTTTTGTAACTCATAACCAAATGCCTTTATTTAATGTACTTGCTGAAAATTGACAGTTTTTTGGCCAAAGCAGTATAGTCAATGTCTTCATTGGTTTAGTGGCTTTTGGCAGAAAACTATAGTATGTGTTTAATTATTGGATTATACTTTACAGTTCAGGTTTTTTCTGTCTCTTACTGTCTTTTTTTCTGTTTTAGACTATTTGAGTTTATTTTCATGTGGAGATGGTAAATAGAATGTCATCTTTTTATAGGTGATAGAAAATATTTTTACATTATCTGTTACATATATACTTTCCAATAGTTATTTCAAGCTGTATTTTTTTGTATTAACCTTTTGCTTTGACTTGCCTGATTTAAGGTAACTATAACTTAACCAATTTTAAGAGGGCTTTCTGACCTCTTTGGATCTTGGTTGTCTTTTGTTAATTTTGGAAAATCTTGGCTATTATCTTTTCAGATAATTCTTTTTTCCTTTGCTTTCTCTATTCTCCCTTTGGGACACCAATTAAGTATATGTTAGACTGTTTGATAATGGTGTTCCTTTATGGTTTCTTTATTTTAAAAAACACACCTTCCCTTTTTTTTCTGTTTCAGTTTGGATGACTTCTGTTGACCTAAGTTCATGAAGAATCCTGTCAAAGGGATTCTCCATCTTTGATAAATTCTTATTTTTAATTTTAGCATTGCCATTTGACTCTCTTACAGTTTTCGTATCCCTGCTAAAATTTCCTGTCTGTTCTTATGTTGTCCAGATCCTTTAACATATTAATCTTTTCCTTTACCTTTTTTAACATATTTATGAATCATAGTTATTTTAACATCTCTGATTAGTTCCAACATCTGGGTAATCTCTGTTTGGTTCTGTTGTTTGCTTTATCTCTTGACGATGGGTTGTTTTTTTTTTTTTCCTTCTTTAAATGTGTCATACTTTTTGAATGATAGAAGAACCTGTGTCTAGAAATGCGTATACCTCCTCTGTCACACTGTTGGTATGGTAGGTTGAGTTAGTTTTGTCACTGCTTGGGCTGGTTATGGCTCTGTTGTTACTACCATCCCCTTCAGTGCACCACAGACCTAAATTTCTCTGGCGGCAAGTTGCTGTTATTTTGTGCTTTAGATGGACTGAGTGGTGTTCCTACTTGCTATGGTTTGAAAATTTGTCCTCTCCAAAACTCCTGTTGAAATTTAATTGCCTTTGTGAGAGTACTGAGAAATGGGACCATTAAGAGGTGCTTAGGCCATGAGAGCTCTACCCTCATAAGTGGGATTAATGTTGTTATAAAATATAGGGCAAGCATGGCTCCCTTTTGTGTCTCTCTCTTTGCCCATCTGCCATGTAGTGATGCAGCAAGAAGGCTGTCACTAGATGCTGGTGTCTTCATCTTGGACTTCCCAGCCTCCAGAACAGTGAGGAAATATAAATGGATTGCTGTGCCTTATAAATTACACTGTCTCAGATATTCTGTTATGGCTGCACAAAGGGACTAAGACACTGCTCTGTTGGCAGCTATCAGCAACATCCTGTTCTATAGTGGATTCTTTTTTATATGTGCTAGGTTTGTGATGGGGGTGGAGAAGTTCTTGGTTTTCCTGGTCTACCCTCAGTCTTAGGTAGGGCTCGTAAGCCTGAGTCTTGAGAGTAGAACCTTTTCGGTCGTCCCTTCTCCCCCTAATCTTTCCCCTCCCATGGCAGCCAAATTTTGCCTTGTGACTGAGGTAGTACTTGGGACAGAGAGTTTTCTGTCCTTCCCCTAGCAGTAGTATACTTCTGATTAGTTTTGGTATGGGATCATGGGTCAGGAGGGTCTCTGTGTCCTTGAAGCATAGTAGGCTTTTACTTCTATCTCTCCCCTAGGAGCAGTGGATCTTTGCCTGGGCCTTGTGGGTGGGAGAGGTAATTACCTGCTTCTCCTAGTCTGTAATTGTCTCTCAGACTCTGACTAATCCTGATTTTTGGTATATCTCTTTTTCTTTTCCTTCCAGGTTTTGTGTTCTGTTCTCTTATTTAGCCACTGACTTGTATTCCCCATCTGTATTAGTTCATTTTCACACTGCTATAAAGATACTACCTGAGACTGGGTAATTTATGAACAAAAGGGGTTTAACTGACTCACATTTCCACCTGGCTTGGGAGGTCTCAGGAAACTTACAATCATGGCAGAAGGCGAAGGGGAAGCAAGGCACATCTTACATGGTGGCAGGAGAGAGAGAGCAAGAGCAAGGAAGTGCCACACTTAAAACTATCGGCTCTCATGAGAACTCCCTCACTATCATGAGAACAGCATGGGGGAAACTACCCCTGTGGGCCAGTCACCTCCCATCAGGATCCTCCCCCCACACATGAGGATTACAGTTGGGGGTCAGATTTGGGTGGGGACACAGAGCCAAACCTTATCACCATCTAACTTTTGACGTTATTTTAATATTTTCTTGCTGCTTTGTCTCCCCTGTCGTGTGCTCTTTTTGTATTGCATTCAGATTGACTCATCAGCCTGTAAGTAGGCCAGTAAACTTTTCAATTACTTTTGTGACTCAGAAACTTACCTATAATTCTAGTTAATCTACTTGACTATGTAGTTACTTAATTATGTAATCGACATGACAGCATAGATCTTCCATTTTTGTATAGTTTGTACCAAAAATCTCTAACGAGGATTTCATGGTTTCACTTAGTTGATTTCACAATCTAATGGTTGTGAAACTGTTAATCTTTTTTTTTTTTACCTGCCTGTGGTGAAGAATGCATAGTTTTGTAGAAGGATTATGGGATTGAGTCAGGTGACCTGGGATATTATACCATTTCTTTTATCTGCTTGTCTATTCAATTACAAAACATTTATTGAATACCTTTTTTATTCTGGGTGGTGAGATATTATTACTATGAATTCTGATAGCTTTACACAGTCATTGTGTTAAGTTTTTCATAGGTTCACATTTAATTCTCCCAACAACTCTATGAGAGCAGTAGGTATTATATGTAGTAATTATTTGAGGAAACCGAAGGACTATGTAAGTATCATGCCCATTATCTCATAGATAGTAAAGAGAAGCAAGCCTTCCACAAACATTAGTAATATTCCATCTCATGGATACTTCATAATATATGTAACTATTCCTTGTCATTAGAAACACACTTTAAGTTTTAGCTTTGTAAGTAATGATTCAGCCAGAGTCCTAAGAGGTATACTTGATTGTTCTGGGCCCTCATCGCCCACATTCTGACCTCCTGCCAGTAAATACTATGGGTTCTAGCCACCACATTATGTCTTGAGTTTCTCTGCTTTTTTCTATTTTCATTGCCATCACTCTGGTCTGGGCTACCATTCCCTCTTACTGGGATTCCTGCAGTACCTTCCTAACTTCTTGTTATCATTCTTTACCTTCTGCAGTCTAATCTCAGAAGTACACATAAGATAATTTTCTCCCCCCGCTTTAGAGGCTTATGTAATTATGATAGAATAGAAACCTTTTATGCTGGCCTGCAAATTGCTGCATGATCTGGCCCCTGTCTACCTTTGTAGCTTCATCTGTTTTTACCATTTCCATCTACCCAGCTTCCTTTCTGCTGCTGGAGTATGTGAAACTCTTTCTCTGTTTCTGGGCCCTGGCGCTTGAGGTTTCCCACATCTTGATTGTTCCTTCTCATCTTTTTGCATGTCTGGATGCAGTATATTTTTGGTTTTGTATTTTTTCAGGACTTTTTTTGGTGACTTCCTATAGGAGCAGGCTCTGTCTTTGCTGTCCCTGATAAACATACACGGTATTTTGTTAATTTCCTTTATAATACTTACAACCAGAAATTACATTTTAATATGCTTATTAACTTGTTATCTGTACTTATCCACAGAAATATAAGCTGTAAAAGGATTGGGCCCTTGTACTCATGTAGTATCTAGATAGTACACAGTGTCTCATAGGTAACTACATAAAACTTTTTGGATGAATGCCTTGGTTCATACCTTTTGTGCATAAACCTTCATATATATAAATATATATGTAAATATATATATAAATATATATGTAAATATATATATAAATATATATGTAAATATATATGTAAATATATATATATGTATATATATATCTAATTTTCTTTTTCCCGAGGATAGACAGCCAAATTAGAATTAAGCTAGAGGAAATATTTAATGCATTTTAAACCAGATACGGTAACTTAAAATGTTTTAGAAGTGATTTTTTTCAAAGATCTTAGAATTCTTAAAATTGGTACTTTGTTATTTTTATTTTATTCTTCTCTTGTATACATAGGTTCTCTTATTTTGAACTTGGAAAATATATGCAAGTGTAGACAAGAGAATAAAACAAATTTTACTCTTCAGAAAGAACCATTTTGGTATTGTTCTTTTCTATATGTATATGTAGTATTATTTTATGTAGTTGTGCTATGTTCTGAATATATGTGTCTCCTCAAAATTTATATGTTGAAACCTAAACCTCAAGGTGATGGTGGTACTAAGAGTTATAGCGTTTGGGAAGTGACTAGGTCATAAGGACAAAACCCTTATGAATGGGATTAGTGCCCTTATAAAAGAGGCCAGACGGGGGCTGGGCGCGGTAGCTCATGCTGGTAATCGCAGTTCTTTGGGAGGCCTAGGCAGGTGGATCATCTGAGGTCAGGAGTTTGAGACCAGCCTGGCCAATATGGTGACACCCCGTCTTTACTAAAAATACAAAAATTAGCCCGGTGTGGTGGTGCATGTCTGTAGTCCCAGCTACTTGGGAGGCTGAGGCAGAATAATGGCTTGAACTCTGGAGGCAGAGGTTGCAGTGAGCTGAGATTGCACTGCTGCACTCTAGCCTGGGCAACACAGTGAGACTCCATCTCAAAAAAAAAAAAAAAGCCACTTTTGCCTTTCCCTTCTGTCATGTAAGGATATAGCAACAAGGTGCCACCTGTAAAGCAAGAGAGCCCTCACCAGACACTGAATCTGCTGGTGCCTTTATCTTGGACTTCCCAGCCTTTAGACCTGTAAGCAAAAAAATTTCTGTTCTTTCTAAATTACCCAGTATAAAGTATTTTGTTATAGCAACCTGAGTGGACTAAGACAAGTTGCAATCCTTTTAGATGGAATTTTGCATCTTTTAAAAATCCAACGTATCCTGAGCTTTTTCTTAACTATTGAATGGAAGATATAAATTATTTCCTCATTGTTGGGTAGATTCTCATTGTTGGATAGTTTTCAGTTTTTCTTTAAAAAATATTGTTGTAGACATTTATTTGCCTAAATCTTTTCTCCACTGTGGATTTTAAGGGCAGCTTCCTAGAAGCATACTATTAAGTTAAAAGATATGTATATTTTACGGTTTAAAAAATATCTATTTGTATGTATTTACTGACAGATTGCTTTCTGGAAGGATTGTGTTTTTGAGTGCCCAATAGTGTTTTTATTGAAACAGAATCTTTGGTATTTTCAGTGAAATGTCATGTTTTTATTTCTTTGATTATTTAGAGTATGATTGGTTTCCCTTTTCTGTGTTGTTAAATACACTGTCCCTTGTAACTGGGGGTTGAGATTGCTCCAGCAAAAGATGTGTTAAACTAATGAGAAGATGAAGACTGATTCTTTTCTGACATTCTCTTATGGTGATTCTTGTAAAAATGTGCTATCATGAAAAGGGTTGAGCTTTCTATTAATAATAAGTTAATTGTGGTTTCATTTTTTCCAGTTTTGTAAAGTTTCAGTTGTTGCTAATTTTTTTTCCCCCAATTGTAATTCTACTCCTGATCTTAGCCAAAAGGCCAAGAAGCAATGCCCCCTTGTAATTCTGGTTTTATCTAGAAACCTAGTTTCTTAAATTTCTTTCTTTCTTTCTTTTTTTTTGTTTTTGTTTTTTGAGACAGGGTCTGGCTCTGTCACTCAGGCTGGAGTGCAGTGGTGCCATTGTAGCTCACTGCAACCTCTGCCTCCCAGGCTCAAGTGATCCTCCTGCCTCAGTCTCCCTAGTAGCTGGAGGTGAATTCAGGCATGTGCCACCATACCCAGCTAATTTTTGTATTTTTTGTAGGGACAGGATCTCCCTATATTGCCCAGGTTGGTCTTGAACTCCCAGGCTCAAGCAGTCCTTCTGCCTTGACCTCCCAAAGTGCTGGTATTACATGAGCCACGGTACCTGGCCCATTAGTCTCTTCTTATGGCTTCAACTACTATATGTAAATCCAGGTGCTATCTGTGTGTCTTTTCTTGTTTCCTTTTCTTTCTTTTTTTTTTTTTATTGAGATGGAATCTCCCTCTGTCACCCAGGCTGGAGTGCAGTGGCGCGATCTCAGCTCACTGCAACCTCCGCTGCCTGGGTTCAAGTGATTCTCATGCCTCAGCCTCCCGAGTAGCTGGGACTACAGGCATGCGCCACCATACCTGGCTAATTTTTTTTTTTTTTTTGTATTTTTAGTAGAGACGGGGTTTCACCATATTGGCCAGGCTTGTCTCGAACTCCTGACCTCCGGTGATCCGCCCACCTTGGCCTCCCAAAGTGCTGGGATTACAGGCATGAGCCACTGTACCCGGCCTTGTGTGTCTTTTCTGCCATGGGGACTGATGATCAGAGAAGCCTGCCCTGAAGCATGAGAAAGAGGGGAGGGTTGGGAGGGAAACAGTGTGTGAAATAGAGGAATAAACTAGGCTTTATAAATAAACTTGCATGTAAATGGTATATTATTTGCTAACTCAGAATCTCTTTGCCTCAATTTCTCCTTGGGTTAAAAATAAAGAGATAATCACTATCTTTCAAGGTCATGGTAAGGATTAAATTGGAAACATATGTATGCACATATATACCTGTCTTATATTGTATATAATTTGGTGTTCAGTGAATTAGGTATTTTTTTCCCTTGGAAAACAGAGGGATTGGCACAATGTCTTGGAATTACTGTATTATAGAAACACAGGAATGAGGTATATTAGTATATGCTGGGACATTGCCTGAGGTGCCGAAAGTGTATAATAAGTTACATTATGGTGGGCAAAGCAGTTTAACAGATCCATTCTTTGTAACACAGCTGCAGTAAAAATAGAATTGTATAATTAAAATAAGATATGAAAAGACTCTTTGAAGGTTAATTTAAAAATGAAAATTTACTGCTGTGTTTATTAATCTCTTTGAAGGAGACTTAATGCTGTATCAAATGTTCCTTTTGTAATTGACAGAAACAAAGCACCATGTACAGTGTTAGAGTGTGTAGCTGTGCTGAGTGAGCCATGTAAATCTGCAAGGTTATGTATTTTGGTATGATGGTGATAGCTTATTTTCATATTATATAGCCATGAAATTGATCCTCAGCATTTATCTTAGTCTTTGAAAAGTTACTGTGAACAGTAGTATTATCAGATTGTTACCTGATTAATACGTCACAAATGGATGAGCCTCTCAGCAAACCAAGGAAGTTATCTCAAATGGGACTGAAATAATGGTATTAGATACCTGAGTTCCTTATATTTCTCTGGAAAAGAAGGTGCTCACTGTAGAACTCACCCAAATGCAAGTTGGGCTTGAGAGTTACAGGCAATCATCTGTATAACGAACCAGTTCCTGCAAACAGTCCTGAGCCCCTTCGATGTGGGAGACTGTGTGTGCCTGGTTAGGAAGGTGAAAAAAATGAAATAACATGTGTTCTCCAGTAAAAGAGACTTAGGCCATTTTAGTCAGGGTGAACAACATACCCACTTAATAGGGTTGTTGTGAGCAATAAAGATCAGTATAGGAAAATGTTTAGTACAGTGTTTGCCACATAATAACTCTTAGAAAGCATTAGCTGTTACTGTATTTTAAAATCCTACAGTTTCCTTCTATGATGATGCTCTGCTCGAAATGGTTATTTAATTCTTAAACCTGTTTGTAATAAAGGTTTAGAAAAGAACCAGAATAGGGCTGGAGTGTGACTTACTGCTTCTACTGCAACTGCTTTAGGAAATTTAAATATAAAGAAAACTAACAGGAAATTGTGTCGTTGTATAGGCAGGGTAATGTACAAGCTATTTTAAGAAGGGGCTCTTTGCATTTCAGTGTTCATCTGTCAGTTGGCTGTAGTAGAAACACCCTGTTTATTTAGCACCATTGGGGGATTAAGTATCCCACATGAGTGAACAGCCATTTATTGAGTACTTACGTATATCAGGCAACTGTTCTGAATGCTTCACATGAAATAACTCATTTAGTCCTCACAAGCTTATGGGGTAGATCCGTATCTTATAGGTAATGTAACGGAGACCCAGAGAGGTTAAACACGAGTTCACAGAACTGGCAAGTGGGTGAGACAGAATTCTCACAACAAGATTCACATCCTTAACCAGTACTCTTGCCTCTTGAGTAATTGAACCTTGACTCCTTTGAATTATAAAACTTGCTTTATTTCAAACATTTTGGAGTCAAATTATTTCTAAAACGTGTGACTTATTTCTCTACTTTCTTAATCAGAATGTATTGGGTACAGTTAATGGGTACAATATTAGGGTTAGTACACATGCAAAAACACAGATACTCTTAAGGATTGTTGATTTGTGTTCCACTGTTCATGTTCAACCTTATTTTTCATGGTTTTGAATTGCTGTAATATCTAGTTTTCCAAAAGCTTTTTACTTAAATACAGTATAACAGTACAGGAAAGGGCTCAAATCATCAGTATACAGCTCATTTCAACCATTTTTAACAAAGTGAATACTCACATGTTATTAGCACCCAGATCGAGAAACATAATGTTGCCTTTACCCAGAAGTCCTTCATGTCCTCTTGAAATCAGTATGTGCCTTTGCCTAAGGTTAACCACTGTCCTTACTTTAATACCATAGATTTGCTTCCCTATTTTTGAATGTGAATAAATGGAGTCATCAGCATATGATTGTATCAGCTTATTTACTGGACAGCTGTCATTTTATTTTTTGGTATCTGCTAAGACTGGAAAATAGGGGTATCAAGGCTTGAATTGTAAATCTTGATGGTATGAAGGATCCTCCTTTAACTAAAGCATGTAGGATTTTAATGTGTGATATTTGTGACATAGTTTTCATTTCTGACTATTTTTTCAGGTTTATGTTTTGCCTGGGTGAATTCAGAATGTAACTTTCAGATATACAAATTGTTTACCTTGGTTACCAGGCTATGTAGTTTATAAGAGCAGTAAAACTGAAAATATAGCATTCAGTGCTAGTTGTATTATGAGAATGAAGCCAAATTTAGCACCTCAGGTTATATATATATATATATATATATATATATATATATATATATATATATATATATGTATATGTCTATTCATGTAAATATGCAGTGTTGATTTATCCTAATTACTGAGACATTCCATTATGGCTTATTGAAAATTACATATAAACCTTATTTTAAATCTGATTTTTAGATACTTGAGTTTTAAGAAGCTGATCACCATGCGCCAGTTCCTCTTATTTGACAAACAAGGAAGTTGTGGCTATGTGAGCTCATAATTTGAGGTTCAGTGGAACAGAGGAGAACTGTGACGGGCAGAACATTTACTTTCATATTCTCTGTAAAACCAAATCAGTGAGAAGGATGCAAGGAGAACTAGGACAGTATATGAACTTTTTCCTTCTTAAAGCTTTTTCTGTGTAGGAGCATATTCATATAACTGAGAAGATTGTTTGAAATTTTAGCTTAAGGCTAATATATTATTTCAATATATACTCATTGAACACTTACAGATATTGTTGTAGGTATTGGAGCAATGAAGAAAACGATGAGCTTAATTTCACTGAGGATAAGACAGTTAACAAGTAGACAAATATTTATCAGGAGATGATAAATGCAATGAAGGAAAATAAAATAGGTGAGAAGGTAGAGAATGTTAGGGAAAGTATATGTGTGTTTGCTGTTATTTAAGGTGGTCAGGGAAATCTTCATAGTTGACATTTGACAAGAGAGAAGGGAGAGACAGAGGGATGAGACCCTTCAGGTGGAGAGAATGGCATGTGCATGGGCCCTGATGGATACCATTGTTGGATTTTTGGAGAAACTTCCAGGAGACCACAGGGCTGGTGTAGAGTAAGCAATGGAGAGAGTAATAGATAGATCAGAGAGGTTGTCTGGGCTAGAATGTACAGTCTTGTAGACATCATCTACAAGATGTGAGGACATTGTCATTGTATGTCATGTACTCTGAGATGGGGAGCTACTGCAGGGTTTTTGAGAAGTGTGACATGATTTGATTTATGTTTGGAAATGATCACTTCAGCTCTTTCACTGAAATGACACTCTAGAAGGTCTAGTCTTAGAGCAGGGAGACCAATTAGTAGGCTTTTGTCCGGGGAGAGAAAGTGCTAGAGCTCCCTTGTTAGCTATGGAGGTGGTAATAGGTGGTATAGGTGGAGCTATATGTGGATGCTAAATACAGTGAAAGCCCTTCTGTTCTGTTGTCCTGAAAATCAAGTTCATTGTTATATGAACTTTATTGTGAAGTAAAGACATAAAAGCTTATGCCTTTATAGGATATAATTTAAAGAGCTAGGAAATTGGAACAACCCGTAGTGTTCAACTGCTGAATGTTACAAGATACAATAAGCACCAAACCAAATAATTAAACTTTTTTTTTTTTTTTTTTTTTTTTGCCTCTTGCCTTGTCCGTGATCCCTTTAAAACTTAGAATTTATTTGAGCTTTTTTTCTTTACTGTTTTGTTTGATGTTGCTTTCATTTTCTACTTGGGTTAAGATGTATCTTGCTAATAATCTAAGATCACACCGTGCTGTTACAGAATTACAGACTTTGATTGAACTCAAGGAAGTGGACAAAGCCTAAAGCTCAAACTGTCTGCTAATTACAGGAACTTCTCCGGTGTATCCCTTATAGACTGTCATTCATTAGCTCCTCAGATACTTTGGGTGGTTGGGAACTTATTGCTCCTGAACAACTTTTCCATTAGTAGGCAGTTCTGGTTTGTGAGAAGTTCTTTGTTGCATTAAACTAAAATCTTTCAGTACTTTCTTTGGGTTCTAGATGTATCCTTTGAAGCAAAGAGTGGCTATTTTTTCTCTTAATGTTTTAAAAGACCCTGTATTAGGGTTCTGTACAGAAATAGAACCAGAAGGAATGAATGTATATGTTCATTATTACAAATTAATAATATAATTTTATATAGTGCATATCTGTAATTATATTACCAATTATTTAGTTGCACTTAAAATACTCAAAGATGTAACTTAAAATAATTAATTGTTTTATACATGTATCTACATATCTACATAGATAGACATAGGTAAAACATAGAGACTTATTTCAAGGAATTGGCTGAGGTAATTGAAAAGATCCAAATCCAAATCCAAAATCCATAGGATAGGCTGGCAGATTGGAAACTCTTGGGCAGGCGATGATGCTGCAGTCGTGGGGCAGAATATTTCTTTCTCAGAAAAGGCTTTCCTGCTGATTGGATCAGGCCCACCCACATTTCCAAGAATAATTTCCTTTGCTTAAAGTCAACTGATTGTAGATGTTAACTGTGTTTACAAAATACCATCACAGTAGCACCCAGGTTAGTGTTTGATTGAATAACTGGATACTATAGTTTAGACAAGTTGATACATAAAACTGTCATAGTCCATCCTTGTCAACTTGGCGCCCATACACATCTTCTTAAATGATACTTAATCTCCAAATGAACGCAATAACAAAGTCATACTTCTGCCTAACATAATATGAATATCCTTCAAACAACTGAAAACATGCCAACCCTTTCCCCAGAAGAGGATGCGGAGTCCCTGGGTAATGTTCATTCTCCCTAATAAGCTATAACTTAAATATCATGATGTAAAGTTAGCTATTATTAATATATCTTATGTCAGATGATAAAGGGATTAAAGAGCAAGAAAACAAAGATATTTGCTAAATATTTGAATACATTCGTTACAAAATAAGACATAACAGTTACAGTTTTCTGTGGCTGGTCACATGGTCGTAGCTGGTTTTTGTTTATGATTACCTTCTTGCACTATCCATTCCATTTTTCCCTTTCCCTTAGCAAGCACCTTAGCTCTTTGTGGTTCTTTGCCTGTTGGGGTGATCCAAAACTTTGTTCCTGAAGGGTCTGGGCATACCCAATTTAAGTAGTCCTTAAATTGGGTTATTGTAGTTTTCCATTGACTTTAATCACAGAGCATGGCAGTAATTACAAGATCTCTTGTATTCCGGACTTAGTCTTTTAATCACAGAGCGTGAAAGTAATTACAAGATCTCTCGTATTCTGGACTTAGTCTTTCATACCTCCATTGTATGGTAGCAGTTGAATTTCTTCTTAGTAACCAGCAACCCTGGTCAGTACACTAACCCTGGGTCTTCTTTGCCTGTTCATTCTGAGGCATGAGGAGTTCAAAGTGGCCAGGTGGTAGTCTTAATGTCGGTTCAGTGGAATCATTCTATCTCCCAGTGGAAACAGTCCTCTTTTTGGAAATAAGGCCTCTAGACCAGCAGAGGATAAGGTTAAAGAATAGGCAACAAAAATTTCGCTAGTGAAACAATAGGGATAATAGTGAGTGGCCCCACTCTTATTTCTCTCTCTGGATTCTGGGATCCATGAATCCTGGCCATGGGAGAAATAGCACCATACATTGGATGCTGATTTAGAGCATACATAGCCTCATGGAAAACATTGCACAAGTTTTTGTCACCTTGCTGACAACGTAACTGAGTCTTCAAAAATCCATTCTACCATTCTATTAAGCCAGCTGCTTCAGGATGATGAGGAACATGGTAAGACCAGTGAATTTTATTAGTATGGGTCCACTGTTACACTTCATGTGCTGTAAAGTGTGTTCCTTGATCAGAAGCAATGCTGTGTGAAGCACCTAGATGGTGGATAAGGCATTCTGTGGGTTTGGCAGAATGCTTGCATGCAGGGAAGAGAAATCCATATCTAGAGTATCTGTTGTAATAAGAACAAAACAGTGCCCCATTCATGATGGCAGTGGTCCAATATAATCAGCCTTTCATGAGATAGTTGGCTGATCACTCTGGGGAACGGTGCCATATCAGGGACTCATTATTGGTTTCTGTAACTGGCAGATTGGGCCTCATTAGCACCTGTAGCCAGGTCGGCCTTGGTACATAGAAGTTCATGTTGCTGAGCCACCTTCCTCCTTCCTATGGCCTCTTCGTTCATGACAGAAGTGGCTAGGGAAAAAAGCTGGCTGGGATCTGCAGAATGAGTTATTCTATCTACTTGATTATTAAAATCCTGCTCTGCTGAGGTCACCTTTTGGTCAGCATTCACGTGGGACACAGATTCCTTCACATTTTTTGCCCAAAGAGGTCTATCTACATTATTTCTCCAGATCCTCTTGTTACCATTTTCCCAATTATGTCCTTCCAATTCTGTGACCATCTAGCTAAACAGTAGGCCACATCCTATGAATTGGTGTACACGGTGGCACCTCTGGCCATTTCTTCTTCCAAGCAAAATGAGAGCCAAGTGTGCTGCCCAAAGTTCTGTCCACAGGAGAGTTTTCCTTCATTACTATCCCTGTCCCAGAAAGGCAGTTAGTGCTACAGCCATCTGCTTTGTGATGGTTTGTGCATATTGTCCACAGTCATCTGTAAACTAGGCCCACTTTTTTTTCTTCGGTCAACTGATAGTAGGAAACTTCCCCTGAGGTCATAGGTGTGGGCTGGGAGAGAGAAGGGAATGTGGTAGGAATGGGGACCGTGGGCATTTGTACAACTTCTTCATATAACTTACTTGAACCTTCAGGGCCTGCTTGATCTTGATCTGTCATATTCCATTTTCATTCAGTGATGGAGTACTGCCATGCATGCCCCACTTTATGAATCGTGGGGCCAGATAGCACCCAGTTCATAATGGGCAGCTCAGGTCTCATGGCAACTCCTTGGCACATTGTTCAGCATTTAGTCTCTAATAAGGCCCCGTAGCAAGCCAAAATCTGTTTCTCAAAAGGAGAGTACTCGGTGGCTCACGCCTGTAATCCCAGCACTTTGGGAGGCCGAGGCGGGTGGATCACGAGGTCAGGAGATCGAGACCATCCCAGCTAAAACGTTGAAACCCCGTCTCTACTAAAAATACAAAAAATTAGCCGGGCGTAGTGGCGGGCGCCTGTAGTCCCAGCTACTTGGGAGGCTGAGGCAGGAGAATGGCGTGAACCCGGGAGGCGGAGCTTGCAGTGAGCCGAGATCCCGCCACTGCACTCCAGCCTGGGCGACAGAGCGAGACTCCGTCTCAAAAAAAAAAAAAAAAAAAAGGAGAGTACTTTTCCAGAGAGGATGGCAGAGCTTTGCTCTAAGATCCTAAGGGTCTTCACTCTGATTAACCTATATGAGCCTGTCAGTAGAGGCTTCACACAGAAGCTCTATCTGCCTCTGAAACTTGAAGCACTATTGGATCTACTGGATCACATGTCCCAAGTGGCACAGCAGCTTACAATGGCAGCCTAGTCTGTTGCAAAGCCTTTTCTTGTTCTGGGCCACATTCAGAACTAATAGCTTTATAGTTCAGTTTGTGTGATGGATAATTTTTTGTGTGTGTCAACTTGGCTGGTCTGTGGTGTCCAGTTGTTTGGTCAAACACTAGTCTAGATGTTGCATGAAAGTAATTTGTAGATATGATTAGTATCTGTAAGTAGTTATGCTGAGAGATTGCCCTTGATGATATGAGTGGGCCTTATCCAATCAGTTGAAGGCCTTAGGAGCAGAAACTGAGGTTTCCTGAAAAAGAAGTATTTCTGCCTTAAGACTGTAACCTAGACATTTTGCTTGAGTTTCTAGCTTGCTAGCTTGCTCTTGTGACAGAATTTGGACTCAAGTAAAACATAAACTCTTGCCTGCACTACAGATTTCAGACTTGTCAGCCTGTATAATCTTGTGAACTAGTTCCTTAAAATAAATCTCTATATTTATACACATATATGTGTGTTTGTGCATGTATATATACATATAAAGATATGTGTATACATACATACACACACACACACACACACACACACACACACACACACACCCCCTTTTGGTTATTGGTTCTGTTTTTCTAGAAAACCCTGACTGATACACTCAGTAAATGGGCTAGAGTAGCACACCCAAATAAGGAATATGTTGCCTTCCAAATACAAAGAGGCCTACTAGACATTCTGTCTGTCTTGATTTTAGGAGGGACTAGCTAAAACAACTTTTACTTCACATTAGAAGGGATATGTCAACATGTACCACATCACTAGACCCTTAGAAATTTCACCGAGGTGGAAGGCTCCTTGTCTGTTCAGGTGATGTGGGTTGGCTCTGTGTCTCTACCCAAGTCTCATCTTGCGGCTCCCATAATTCCTATGTGTTGTGCGAGGGACCCAGTGGGAGATGATTGAATCTTGGGTGTGGGTCTTTCCCATGCTGTTCTCATGATAGTGAATGGGTCTTGTGAGATCTGATGGTTTTAAAATGGGAGTTTCTCTGCACAAGCTCTGTCTGCCGCTATCTGTGTAAGATGTGACTTGCTCCTCCTTACCTTCTGCCATAATTGTGAGGCCTCCCCAGCCATGCAGAACTGTAAGTCCAGTAAACCTCTTTCTTTTGTAAATTGCCCAGTCTTGGGTATATCTTTATCAGCAGCGTGAAAATGAACGAATACATCAGGCTTTAAGAAATTACCAAAGACTGCGTGGCTTAAACATCAAACATTTATTTCTCACAGCTCTGGAGGCTGAGAAATCCAAGATCAAGGTGCTGGCAGATCCAGTGTCTAGTGAGGGCACTCTTCTGTTTTGCGGCCATCTTTTTGTATCTTCATGTGGTGGACAGCAGAGAGAGCGAGTGAGCTCCTGTTTCATAAGAGCACTAATCCTATTCAAGACGGCGCCACCCTCATGACTGACAGACCTCCCAAAGGTCTCAATTCCTATTATTACTTTGGGAGTTAGGATTTTAACATATGAATTTTTTTGGGGGGGGACGCATATATTCAGTCCATGACACCCCTGGATTTTTGTCTTACTCATTTCTTACCTTCTGACATGCATATGTTTTACCAATAAGCTTAGAGTAATTGCAGTTTCTTGCTCACTAGGTCCAATTAGCATAAGGTCATGAATATAATGGGTTGTTGTGGTGTCTTGTGGAAGGGAAAGTTGATCAAGGTCTCTGGATTAAATTATGACGTAGGGCTGGAAAGTTGATATAACCCTGAGGTAAGAGTGAAAGTGTATTGCCTTTCAATCTTGCTAGCTAAAAACAAACTACTTCTGGCAGTTTTTATTAACACACGTTGAGGAAAAAAAGCATTTTTCAGATCCATATTTGCAAACCAGTTACCAGGGTATGTGTTAGTTTGCTCAAGCAGTGAAACCACATCTGGTACAGCAATTAGAATTGGAGTTACCTAGTTAAGTTTATAATAATGCACTGTCATTCTCCAAAATTCATCTGTTTTCTGCATGAGGTAAACAGGTAAGTTGAATGGGGATGTGTTAGAATCACTACCCCTGCATCCTTCAGGTCCTTGATAGTGGCACTAATGTATGCAGTTTTAGAGTGAAACATATTTGGAGTGACATATAAAATACACAGAAGAACATTAAATGTTTATGTAGTCTAATGAATAATAAAGGGAACCATTAAACCACCTTCAGGTCATGAAATAGAACTTCATCAACACCCCTAGAAGTTCCCCCTCCCCATAGTCCCTCTTCTTAATCACAACCTCTCCTACTGCCAGAGTTGTCATTATTTCTGTCATGATACTTTCCTTTCTTTTTACTTTTTACAATTTGTGTATGTTTACCTAGATAATATTATTTAGTTTTGTCTTTTTTGGACTGTATATTAATAAAATCATTGTATGTGCTTTTTGCCTGTCTTGCTTTTGCTCAAAAAAGTGTGAGATTTGTCCATTTTGTTCTGTGTAGCTGCATTCATTCATTTTTATTGCTGTATTCCAATTTTGAATACACTGTAGTTTATCCACTTTTCTTATGAAGCTTTTGTTTCTAGTTTTGACCTTTTATGAACAGTACTTCTGTGACTATTTCTTTATTGCACATTTTTTGAGTGAGTTTTTCAAGGGTGTGTAACCAAGGAGGTTGCTGGGTTAGGTGATATCAGCTTTCCTTAGTAATGCCAAATTATTTGCCAAAGCGGATGTATCAGTTTACTTTCCCAGTGTCACGAACATTGGTATTAAACATTCATTTTTTTTTTGAAGTTGAGCATCATTTCATATTACTAGTTATCTAGATTTCCTCTTTTGGAGATTGTCTATTTAAGTCTTCTGTTCATTTTTTTATTGAGTTGGAGTGTTTTTTTCTTACAGATAATTATTTTTTGAGACAGAGTCTTGTTGTGTCGCCCAGGCTAGAGTGCAGTGGCGTGATCTCAGCTCACTGCAACCTCTGCCTCCCGGGTTCAAGCGATTCTCCTTCCTCAGCTTCCCAAGTAGCTGGGATTACAGGTGCCCGCCACTGCGCCAGGCTAATTTTTATATTTTCAGTAAAAATGGGGTTTCACCATCTTGGCCAGACTGGGCTGGAACTCCTGACTTCGTGATCCACCCGCCTCGGCCTCCCAAAGTGCTGGGATTACAGGCGTGAGCCACTGCACCTGGCCTAATTCTTTATATTTCTGTTATATTTGATCACAATTGCAATATCTCTTCCGAATTTTTGCCTTGTCTTTTTATATACTTATGTGTGTATATATATATATGGTGTATTAATAAACAGAAGTTCTTAATGAGAGTACTGCCAAATTAACTGGATTTTCCCTTTATAGTTAAAGCTTTTTGTGTCTTACTGAAGTAATCCTTTTCTATTCTGTCTTTTATTGTCTTTAGTTTAACTTAGTTTGTATTTCAAATTCAGGTTTTTATTCACTGAGAATTGATTTTGTGTTTTTTGAGAATCAGGTCTGATTTCCATTTTTTTCCTTCCGTGTGGATGTTCAGCCAATTGCAGCACCATTTTTTTTTTTTTAACAAGTTTGAATTTTCCCCACTAATCTGTGGTGCTAGTTGTGTCGTATAGCAAGTGTCTGTATGTGTGTGAGTCTGTTCTGGGCTCTTTATTTTTTCACTGATCTATTTTTCTGTTGCTTTGACAATACTCACAGTGTTTTTAAGTCACTGTCATCTTATATGTCTTAATATTTGGTATAGCAAGTTTTATTTGTTCTTTTTCAAGACTGGGCTATTCTTTGCCCTTTGCATATTCATATAAACTTTGCAATTAGCTTGTGAAGCTGCATGGAAAAAAACCTATTGGAACTGCACTGGTTCTATTAAATTGATTTGGAGGCAGTTGACATACTTATAACATTCAGTCATCCAGTCTAAAAATTTGATAATTATTTCTGGCCGGGTGCGGTGGCTCACATCTGTAATGCCAGCACTTTGGAAGGCCAAGGTGGGTGGATCACCTGAGGCCAGGAATTTGAGACCAGCCTGGCCAACATGGTGAAACTTCGTCTCTACTAAAAATACAAAAATTAGCTGGGCATGATGGCGCACGCCTGAAATCTCAGCTATCCAGGAGGGTGAGTTAGGAGAATTGCTTGAACTTGGGAGGCAGAGGTTGCAGTGAGCTGAGATTGCGCCACTGCACTCCAGCCTAGGCGACAGAGTGAGACTGTCTCCAAAATAAATTAATAAATACATAAATAAGTATTTGATAATTATTTCTATTTAAGTCTGTTTTAGTGGCTCTCATAAAATTTTATAGTTTTTCCCTAGAGGTCTTGCAGCTTGTTGTATTTATTCCTAGGTACTGTATTTATTCTTAGGTACTCTTTGATTCAAAACATAAACGTTTTTATTTTCAAAATGGTTTTGCCAGTTCCCAATGTTTAAAATAACAAATACCATCATGGATCCATACGTTTTGAGTTTTTTTGCATGTTAGGAAGCATGAACTTGCAAATATTTTTCTCCTTTTCCTAACTTTTTTTAGTATGGCTAGAGAAAGGCAAGATTTTGACCTTAAGTTGCGATGAGAAATGGAAGAAACTTTTTTTTATGTTTTTGAATTTGTCCATAACCCAGTTTCATCAGTTTTAAGTCTCCATCTTGCACTGTCATTTATGAGAGCAAACTAGAGTTGCAGTCCCAAACCATGGAACTTCTTTGTGTAGTTTGTTCTCATGAAACATTCAGCCAGAACAGGAGGGCCTAAGTTTCAGACAAATTTTAAATTAGTTTGGAAAAGTAAGTGGATCTATTTTTGGCTTATCTACTACCTCAAAGTCATTCTCTTTGTAAGGGTGTTTGAAGAGTAATAATCAAACTCAGTGTGTTAGTTTTCTACTGCTGCATAATGAATTACCATACACTCAGCACCTCAAAACATCATATGCTTGTTATTTAAGAGTTTCTGTTGGTGATGAGTCTGGGCATGGTTTACCTCAATTCTCAGATTCTCACAAGGCTGAAATCGAGGTGTTGGTTGGGCCATGTCCTCATCTGGAGCATGGAGTCCTCTTCCAGGCTTATTCTGGTTGTTGAGGTAATTGAGTTCCTTGTTGTAGTACTGAGGTCTTCAATTGCTTGATTTGACCACTTGTTGCTCCTAGGAATAGCCTGTTGTTGCCTGATACATGACTCCACAACATGGTAGTTTGCGCCTTCCAGGCCAGCAGGTGAATCTCTTTCACACTTTTCATCTCTTTGACTGCTTTTAAGAGCTCATTAGATAAGGTCATGCCCACCTGGGATAAATTTCCTTTTGAAGTGAAGTCAATTGATTAGGGCTCTGAATTACATTTGTAAAATCCTTTCTGCCATGTAATGTATCATAATCACAGTAGTGATAATCCCATCATATTCACAAGTCCTAAATTATACAGGGTGTATCAACAGGGGACAGGAATCTTGGGAACAATTTAGAATTCTGTCTTCCACACTCTCATCCATACATGAAAATTTCGTATCTTCATATGAGATGATGCCTTGACTCTTCTTGCCTGAATTTTTTTAAAAAACGCTTTTATTTTGAACTAAGTGTATTCTCACAAGCAGTTTTATGTGTACATTGTAATATTGAATCTTCCAATTTTAAAATTGGAAGTTTTCCCCAGATGTGACATCTTACATAAATATAGTACATTATCAAAACCGGGGAAAACTGATAGTAGCATAATACAATTAAGTAAACTACAGACTTCAACTTCACCAGTTTTTGCAGGCATTGGTATTTCTTTGTGTATAATTCTTTGTACAGATTCATATAACCATCACATTTCAAGACACAGGACTGCTCTGTCATCACAAAGGAATTCCCTCATGCTTCCCCTTCATAGTCAAACCCTATTCCTAAATCCTGTTTTCCACTTTTATACTTTTGCCATATCGAGAATGTTGTGTTAATGGAATCCTAGATTATGAAATGTTCTGATGGTGGCCCTTTTCATTCAGCATAATACTCTTAAGATCCATTCAAATTGTTGAGAGTATCAATTGTTTGTTCCTTTTTATTGATGAGTAAATATTTCATTGTATGGAGGTACCTCAGTTTGTTTAACCATTCACCCATGGAAGTCCATTTGAGTTGTTTTCACTATGGGCCTATTTACAAATAAAATGCTTATAAACATTCATGTCCAGGAGTGATGTTTAACTTTTTAAGAAACTACCAGACTGATCTCCAGAGTGGCAGTATCATTTTACATTCCCAACAGCAAAGTATGAGAGAGAGAGTTTCTCTGCATCCTCACCAGCATTTGGTACTTTCTGTATGTTTTACTTTAGTTGTAATAGGCCTATGGTGCTATCTCCTTGGGGTCATAATTTGAATTTCCCTAATGGCCAGCAGTGTTAAACATCTTTTCATATTTTATCTGTCATCTCTGTATCCTCTTTTTTCATGTCTTTCACTGCTTTTCTAATTGGAATTTGATTGGATTTTACTGTGGACATTTTCAGGTAAATACAAAAGACACAGTAGTGTAATAAATTTCTATTATCAAGCTTCAAGAGTTATGACGTTTTTGCTCTTTTGTTTCTTTTGAGTATTTCAAAGAAAATCAGATATATAAATATCATGACATTTCACTTGTAAATACCTCACTATGCATTGCTGTCCTTTATTAGGACATTTGAAAACTGTAACCACAAGGATAGCATCATATTTAATTTAAAAATAATTCCTTAATATCATCTAATACTTAGTCCATATTTACATTTTCTCTCTCAAATATGTATTTTATTTATTTTTTGAGACAGGGTCTTGCTCTGTTACTTAGGCTGGAGTGCAGAGGTGTGAACATGGCTCACTGTAGCCTTGACCTTCTGGGGTCAAGGGATCTTTCTGCCTCAGCCTCCCAAATAGCTGGGACCACAGGTGCACCACCATGCCTGACTAATTTTTATAGAAATTTTTGTAGAGACGAGGTTTGCCTGTGTTGCCCAAGCTGGTCTTGAATTCTTGGGCTAAAGCTGTCTGCCCACCTTGGCTTCCCAAAGTGCTGGGATTATAGACATTAGTCACTGTGCTTGGTCCCAAACATGTATTTTAAAAAATGGTTGATGGAAATGAGAATTCACATAAGATTGATTGCATTTAGTTATGTTCACTTTTCAGACAGCACTTCTTTTTTCCTCAGGCAATTGATTTGTCTTCTGGACTAATTTGGATTTGGCTGATTCCTTCCTTATTTTGTCATTTAACTTGTTCTATCTCATTTCCTCTAAACTGATAGTAAGATTTAGCAGCTTGGTTAGATTTGGTCTTAAGTTTTTAGACAAGAATACCTCGTAGAAGTACTGTGTACTTCTTGTTATATTACATCAGGAGTCACATCATGTTTGGTTTTCCCACTTTTTGAATTACTAGGTTTGATCAGTGGGTTCAGGTATTGTCAACTCCATTCCTCCATTTAAAAAGTTTTCATTTATCCTTCATGTAGTGGCTGTGGTTTTCCATTAGTCTTTCATCTAATCATCACTATTGATGATTGTTGCCTAGATCCAATATATTGGTGTTGCAAAATAGTGATTTTCTGATTTATTCTGCATTTAGTAGCTGGACTGTCAAGAACTTTGATCAGTATTTTGGTTTTCATGAAATACAGTTGATAAAAGGCAGGAGAAATGCTCATTTTTTTCACCCTTATGTATCAATTTTTAGATTAATAAGTTGATATCCTTGCAATCTACAGAAGACACCAATGGGATATTTTTCCTTTCATTTCTTTATGTATCATTTTGAATTTGTAAATTTTTAAAAAGGCATTTTATGCATTTTGATGACATTAAAAAATTCATTTTCTGTCTGCAGGCATTTAGAAATACAATTAATTTTTACACATTTAAAAAAATTTAGCAATCTTTCTAAATTCTTGTTAATTTTATTTCTAGATTATTCCTCTGCAAATGACAGTTTTTTTTTTAATCCCAAGTCTTTATACCTTGGATTTCTTTTTTTTCCTTACTGTAGAATAGAACCTTAGTAAATGTTTGAATAGAAATGAAGATAATACAACCCTTCTCTTGTTCCTCACTAATGGCTGTATTTTGCTATAGATTATTTATCAAGATTAAGGTATTCCCTTATATTTCTATACATTTTATCAAGCATTAATGTTTAATTTTATGGGCTACTGTTTTACGTCTATTCCCATGATTACATGAGTTTTCTACCTTTAACCTGTTAATGTGAATTATGTTAAATTATTTTCTAATGTTAAACCAATCTTCTGTCCCTGGAATGATCTCAACTGTCATGATGTATTATTATCCTTTTTGTGGTTAAATTTAATTTACAAATATTTTTAGAGCTTTACATTTATGTTCATGAATGAGGCTGGCTTTATAATTTTCGTGTCTAGTACTGTTCTGTTGGTTTTGGTATAAGTGTTTCACTACCTTTTTAAGTAAGTTTCTTCTTTCAAATCTCTGGAAGAGTTTGAGAGTGGAATTCTTCTTTCCTTGATTTTTGTTAGAACTCACTAATGAAACAATCAAGGTTTAGAAGTTTCTTTGTGGGAGAAATTCCTAGATAGTTTAGTTTTTAGTTCTTTGAAGAATATAGGGTAAAAGTATCTTTCTTTGATGACAGAGCTGATAATTATAAGTGAAAAATTCAGTCACTGATGAATACTTTTTCCTGAGTAGTTTGAATTGATCTGTTTTGTGTCTATTTTTTGAGGTACATGCTACATACATTTTGTCTGTAAACAACTATTTAGCATATTGAATAAAATTACATTTTAAAAATAGACTTTGTACTATATATCACTTTAATACAATTGTTTAGATTTGTGTTTTAAGCTTTTCACACTTGTAAAATTTCTGAATAATGAATTTTTAAGGAATCTTTGAAGGGCTTTTGAGCTAGGTTCTACTTCTGGCTCTGCCAATTACTGTCTTGAGTGTGTCTCTTATTTTCTGGGCCTCACATTTTGCATTTGTAAAACAAGTATCTATCTATTTCATATAGTTTTCATGAGGATAAACCGAGAAGTCTTTTATTAACCATAAACGGAAAGTTTTGAAATTAGGGAATGTAGGCAAAATGTTCAAAGAGAGGGAGTAGAAGGAGCCTTTGAAATCTGTGTGAGTCCCTCCAGTTTATAGGAAATAGAAGCCACAGAAGCTAGAGAAACGCCCAAGGTTATCTCTAAGTAGCTAGTGTACAGAACTGACCTTGCAACCCAGTCTTCCTGCTTTCCAAAGCAGTGGGCTTTTTCAGTTTTGCCTTTCTTCAAATGAAATACTAGGTAATTGAGAGAAGCTTTGACTTTAGCAGGTACATAGTTGAGTGTATTATCCCCAAGAGTTAAGTAGAAAAGTGTACATGACATTAGGGGGAAAGAGGAATTTTAAGACTTTAGTTTCTTAAGTTACTAATAATTAAAACTGCTGTCAAAGTAATTATTGAATTTTTTTCCCGCTCAGAATCTAGACAAAGAGAGCCTTGTTACACTTTTCAGGGATTAAAATTAATCTAATACAGTAAGAAGTAAAGTCTTGTGTGGTTACTGCATGGCTTTGTACTAGAAATTCAGTTGAAATTTTACTTTAAAAACTATTACTTCAGTATAATTTTAGTAAAATCTTAATTTATAATTGGCATGAAACTTCCAAGCTAATTGTTAGAAATAGTTTCTTGGAATCCAGTTTTTCTACTTAATTCCTTATTTTCTCCAGGTGTACTCTGGAAAATTAATATTGTCTTTAAATTCTTGAAGTCGATACTACAAATGGAAGGGTTTATCATTATCTCAGTATTGAAGGCTCAATATATTGCACAGTGTTTGTAGTGTCTTATCCCCTGGAAGGGGACTTCATTCCTCTCTGTCACTGCTGTAGCTTACTGAAGCCAAGAGCAGGAAAAGGAAATCCCAGACTGCAGACCCCTCTTCCCTCCAGCATTGTCTTTTCTCCCCACACCCTTCAAAAGGCACAGCACATATTTCAGTTGCTGATCCTTGTCCCTTGGTCTGTGTCTGATCTCATTTAAGAATTTCCTCTTTCCTTCCCTTCTTGCGTTTCCTCTCCAGGGTGTTTGCTGCCTGAGAGATGGGGAGACACCTAGGACATGCTACAAGGAGGGGCCCAAGTTTGCAGAGGCAGTTTTAAAATCTCAAGCGTGCTTGTCCGTGTAGCTTTGTAGAAAATATGTTTTGCACATTTTCAGTAAGTTTTAAAAATTTTTACTTAGGTAATTTTCAACACACTTGTAGTTTTTTTTGGAGGTAACACCATCAAATGCTAAATTTGTCAAGTGTTTTGAATAAAAAATTTCTAGGAACTGAGGTTATGTTCTTTCTGTTTAAATACTAATTTCTATGAGGATTCAATAAACATATTAAATTCATTATACTTTTATTGACTTAAAGCTGAAGGGAAGATTTAATGCTGTTTTAGCTGTTTTATAGGCTTGTGACTTTTTTCCTTGGAAAATCAGAACATTTTCTTTTAAAAACATTTATTACATATCCTCATTGCAAAGGTATAACTTGCGTCTGCCACAGAGAAGAGTTTGTCCTTTAAATAAATTTTCCTTTTTGGGCCTTATAGATGTTGTTAGCGATATTAAATCTGTGGTTTTCTAGAACTATTTATTATTCTTTCTTTATTTTTAAAATTTATTCACAGGAACCCATGAGGGTGAATATTTTATGCTAATTTTGTGGTGGAGGAAGCTAAGATCCAAAGATGTTAAGAAGTTTGCCGAAGATTACATCTTTAATAAATAGTGGAATTGCGATTTGAGCTTAGGTCTGACTCCAGACTTGGTGGTCTTTGTGAAATTCTTCTTATCCCTTTGAGAGACTGATTATTTGGAGGAGGATATGGGTTGATAGGTAAACAGTTACTTGCAACTATAATAGTTATGCATAAAATGTTATTAAGAGTGCAGAGTAGGAAGCATCTAACTGTTAGGAAGGTCAGGATGGCTTTATAGAGTGAATCAATGGCGAAGTGATTCTTCAGGGATCACAGTGTGCCTGTATTTCATGCTGTGGAGGTTGGTCTTCATTCTTTTTGGGGGAATGGGAGGCACTGAAGGGTTTCAACAGAAGTGGTGATGTGACCAGATTCATATTCTGAAGAGATATGGTAGCTGTAAAGGGGAATACAATGTAGCGTGGTGGTGCTAGAGATAGGGAGACCATTACAGGAACACTTCGGGAGAAGGGATGAGGTTGTTTCTTAGGGAAGTGGTAGAGAGTGGGAGAGGAGGGAACTGGCTTTGAACTTTTAATAATTAGAAAATATGCAGATGTCGTTCTCACTTATTTTCTCACGCTGTCAGAAATAGTAAGAGCCAAATGTTTGTGTTTAGAAGATTGTCCTAGTCTTGTGATTACCTTCAAATTACTGATCTGCAAAGAACTTTAATCCTAAGTGTTAAGAGTATAGCTACATTTAGGAGAGAAATCACGTCTTTCTTGACAAAGCCGTGTCTCCAGATGGAAGCCAAATTTATGCCTGGATTATGGTAATAATGGAATAAGACTTTTCAGTATAGGACCTACACAGTAACAGCAGTTCAGGAAGCAAAGCTAATATTACTTTGAAATGATCAGCACTGTTTTATGAATGACTTCTTTCATTTTAGATCATTCAAAATCATTTCTTAGAAATTTCTGATTTGAGTTCTGCAGGCAGGAAGAATGCGGTAATTGTCAGTCTTTTGACAGTGTGTCCTCCAAGGCCCATTTCTATCCATTTGATGCCACACTGCATCTTGTCCTTTCCTCATGTCCTGAGCCGGAGGGGAACTATTGCAGAGTTCCAGTCTACTATGTGGTAGGTGGAGTTTTCTTGGATTGTCCGTAAGAACACTCTTCCTGTTGTTTATGGGGCCAAAAATAAAAGTTTGTGATAGTATGTGTTTAGTTTTTAGTATCTAATCATTCATAAATTTAGTTTAACTACCTAGATTTGTCTTTCTCTAATATTACAAAATACAAAGGGAAATGGTAGCCGTCTTTGTGCTTGATAATGAATAAGGTCTTTTCCTGCTCGGTGACATCTCTGTATTATGGAGTCTGCATACTGTAGTGGAACTAGTGAGAGTTCTACGAAATAGTAAAATGTTCCTTGTAAAAAAGTTTTTTTTGGCCTTACCTCATTAACACAGCCTTAGTTTAGACTTTTATTGCTTGGGATAATAAAATAACTTGGCCCCCTACCTCTAGTCTGTTGCCCTTAAATCCATACTCTGCAACTGTATGAATATTTGTTACAAAATACAAATCTGACATTGTCCAACATGTGTCTCCTTGCATCTCTTATTGCTAATGAGTTCTGTTAAATGCTTGGAGTTGTAACCAGAGAGGCTCCTTGGACATTTGATTTTCGTGAAGTCTCACTAGCTGAACGGTTTTGTTATACACACGTGCATACTTGTACTTGATTTTTGCAAAACATTTTAATGAACTAGTTATTTCTGTTTGCTTCAAGTACTCTTTTACTTATTTGCTTGTTTCTTAATGGCATTTATTGAAGTACCTGATACTGGTAAATGTTAATTGAGACAAGAGCATAAAATTATAAAAAGATAGAAAAGAGGATATATAACTTATAATAAATAAGAAAATGGCACAAATCTCTTGACAGCTGTCTTCATAATACTAAAGGCTAGCTCAGCTGAGGCCTGCAAAGAATACTAAGAATAATAAAAGACATTTTCAGATGTTAGGTTTGGAGAAAAAACAAAGAAGGCAGCAGGTTATTTCTGATCCTGTAATGATAATAGATGACAAAAAGTGTCAAATTCGATACCACCCATCTGATTCTTTTTTTTGTTAGGAAAATAATTGTTTAATTGAAAATGGTAGAGCCAAGTTATTGAGAGATAATTGGATGAGAAAGGAGCTAACTGTTCTCAGTGGCTAGGATTTTTTTTTAATCTTAGGGTCTAAAAACAACTTTTTTTTTATTATACTTTAAGTTTTAGGGTACATGTGCATAATGTGCAGGTTAGTTACGTATGTATACCTGTGCCATGCTGGTGTGCTGCACCCATTAACTCGTCATTTAGCATTAGGTATCTCTCCTAATGCTATCCCTCCCCCTCCCCCCACCCCACAACAGTCCCCAGAGTGTGATGTTCCCCTTCCTGTGTCCATGTGTTCTCATTAATAATTCTGTTTTCATGATCTCTGAGCAATCTTGGAGACTAGGAATGGCATGTACAGGCTGGCAGGTTTTTTGTTTGTTTCTTTGTTTTGTTTTTTAAACATTTTTTCAGGTATAATTGACAGACAATAAATGATTCATACTTAAAGTGTACAATTTGCTAAGTGTCAATATATGTATATACTCATGAAGCCATCACCATAGTCAGTATAATGAACATAATTATCATTCCCAAAAGTTTTCTCATGCCCTTTGTTAGAGGTGACTGAGAAGGAGCAGTCAGTAAGGAGAACAAGGCTATTGTGCTGTCTTGGAAATTAAATGAGGAAGAAAATGATCAGCTGTGGCAAATGCTTACTTATAGGCACGATAACATGAGAAATGAGATTGTCCATTGGATTTAGTAATGTTGAGGTTATAGGTGATCTTGACCAGGCCAGTTTTGGTGGAGTGGTGAGAGCAGAGGCCTGACTGGAGTGGATTTTAAGAGAGAAAGGGAGGAGAAAAATTAGAGACAGCCAGCGGGAATATTTTTAAGATTTTCTGCAAAGGGAAGAAAGAAATGGAGAAGTAGTGAAGTGGGGTTGAGAGTGTTTTGTCTTTTTTTTTTTTTTTTTAAAGGATGGGAGCAAAAGCCCAGCATGTTTATATGCCCGTGGCAACAATTCACTGTGAGAAAAATGTAAAGGATGAATTAGTTCCTGGAGTGATACCCTTGAGGGGCTAAGAGATTTAGTTTACAAGTGTAGGGATTGACATATAGAAACTTGGATAATTTATCTGTGTCAGTGGGCAGAGATACAGTTTGAAAGTGTAGACAGTGGATGGTGGTTGAGTGGGTTGTGGGAGTTTATGGAAGTTCTCTTCAAATAGCTTCATGAAAAATATTTTCTTTCAGTGAAGTATAGGAAGCAAAGTCTTCACTGTGAAAAAAGATAGGAAGGAGGCATTGGAGTTGAGGATCAAGAAGATACGAAATAGAATGGGAGAGTGAATAGACCAGAAAGTTATGGTATGTTTGGCTGGCAGCATTAAGGGTTCAGTTGCAGTCTGTGGTTATTAATTTAAAGCATCATGATTAGCCATATTGAGATAAAAAGTAGTTGACGAATTAGATTTAACCAGGTTATGGCTTTGCTAGCCAAGTATGATGAAATAAGAGAAGGGCAAGGAAGTCGAGGGTGTTTGTAGGTGGGTGATGATGAGTGGCCATGGGTTAAGCTGTGAAAGGAAGCAAGAGAGGACATCAAAGGGTGAGGGACAGTAATCTATGCAAGAGGTGTTGGTGGCTTAGTAAAGGGCAGAGTCTGGTTAATATTTTGAAGATAGAGCCAGATTTCCTGAAGTTGGATGGATGTGTGTGGGAAGAATAATCAAGAAAGAGTGTTTGACCTGAGCAGTTTTAGGAATGGAGTTGCTGTCAACTGATGTGCTTAGTCCTTTCTTACAGTCTTGGTCGTGTTTTGTTGATCCTTATAAAAAAGAGAAAATTTTGTAGCATAATTAACATAGAAAAATATAAATCGGCTAAATCCATGGCTATGTATTAAATTTCTATGCTGATTTATTTATTCAGTAAATATTTACTGAGTGCTATGTGCCAAGTGGTGTTCTGGGTAGGAATATAGCACTGAACAAAACACATACATTAAGAACTTGCATTACTTTTAGTTCACACAGAGAAAATAGCATTTTGGAAAATGTATGAGATAAAAGGGATTACTGTATCTTAAATTATATTGTTTTTGTATTTAACTGTTAATAACTGGTTTAGTTGGCTGTTTATGTGTGTGTGTATATGTATATATATACATAAAATATATAGACCTAAAAATACATATAAGGCCAGTTTTATATCTTTAATCCAGAAATTTATGAAGTTATTTTTTGATCATTATTTTTTAAAAATTAAGATATTATAGAATACTGTGCAGCCATAAAAAGAACAAGATGATGTCATTTGCAGCAACATGGATAGAGCTGGAGGCTGTTACCCTAAGCGAACTAATACAGACACAGAAAACCAAATACTGTATGTTCTCACTTATAAGCGGGAGCTAAACATTGAGTGCATATGGACACAAAGAAGGGAACAACAGACACTGGGTCAACTTGAGGGTGGAGGGTGGGAGGGAGGTGAAGATTGAAAAACCACCTATTGGGTGCTTTGCCTATTACCTGGGTATTATGCTAATCTGTACACCAAACCCCTGTGACACACAGTTTACCTGTGTAACAAACCTGCTGATGTATCCATGAACCCAAAATACAAGTTTGTTTGTTTTTTTTTTTTTTTTTTGAAAAGCTATTGCAGAGTTTCAGCAATAGGTGATATAATGATTGGACTAGTGCGATCATAATGAAGATGCAGTGTCATCTCAAAAAAAATTTAAGATATTAATAGTATATTCTAAAAAATATAAAATGTTAGTAAATTTGAGGGCTAATGAATTGGAATTTATTTTACAGTTTGTGGACCACATGAGAATATCTGTTTTTCTTTCCTAGCATGTGATACCTCATTTGGACTGGAAATGATATTCTGTAGATTGATTGCCTGAGCAGTTTCCAAAGTTTAAAGGCACACTGAATGTAAGAAATTATGCTATTATTAAACACATGCAGTGAAACCCCATCTCTACTAAAAATACAAAAAAATTAGATAGGCATGGTGGTGGGCACCTGTAGTCCCAGCTACTCGGGAGACTGAGGCAGGAGAATGGCGTGAATCTGGGAGGTGGAGCTTGCAGTGAGCCGAGATTGCATCACTGCACTCCAGCCTGGGCGATAGAGTGAGACTCCGTCTCAAAAAAAAAAAAAAAAAGAATATGCAGAAAACATTGCATGTGCTTTGGTGTAATTGTTTTGGGTAATTAATGAGTCTCAGGCATTTGGGATAGTGGCTGAGTTGTTGGAGTAAGTGCGGGTATCTTCCTAAGGAGAATTTTTTGAATAGGAAGGGCAATATTAACTTATATGCATATATTTTGATGTATTAATTAAATTATTTCATTATTTTTAGTGTTATTTTCAGTAAAACTTGGTGTTGAGAGAGTGAGTCCCTAAATCATTATCATGGAAGAGTTGAAGTAAACACTTAGAACTATATAGTTCTTAGAACATATAGTTAGAACTATATGGTATAAAAACATTATGTGAAAAAGGATAGGTAGAAAGGACCATAGTGAAGAATGAAGTTAGTGATCTTAGAGTTAGCTGTCACTTCTCTCTTAAACTATTAAACAGATGCTTTGCCTGATTCAGCTTTTACGTGAAGGCTTTTTGCAGGCTGTTAACAAGTACTGAAGTCTCCATTTTCTCCCTCTTGCTTTTGGATGTCTTAAAGAGGGTATTAAAAAAAACTTGGAAAATAGTTTCCTTAACATTGAGAGACACAATTACATTTTCTGCTTTGATGTTTTAATTATCAATAAAGATTTCAGTACACTTTGCAACTGTGCATTACTTTAGAGCCTTGTGTGTTGGAAGCTAAATTATCGTACTTTAATATGGAAGGGTTTTGTAAGACTTCCTCCTCCCCAAACAAAACAAAACAAAACAAAACAGAGGCTTTCTATTTTTGGAGGTTTATTCATGAGAAAAGGGATTGGTTGGCTGTTTCTTTCCATGTTGGATAAGCAGTTCCCAACTTAAAAATACTTAATTTACAAATATCATTGAACATCAAGTCCCTGGTCTGGCCTCATTTCCCTTGCTATGTGGCTGGCACAGCGCACATATGTCTGATTCTCCCCTCTTCCCTTATGATTGTAGCATAGCTTTGTAAATCTGTTAGCTTGGAACAGTACACGGAAGGGGAATTACCCATTTTTGTTGCTGAGACCAAATTGGTGGGACTCTGCTTCTCAGTTGGAAATGTTTCCACTTAGAAACATTAAGAACTTTCTAAGATAATTGTTCAAAAAAAATCCAGTAAACACATAGCAACACTTACGTCTCAAATGAACATTTCCTTTTTGAAAGTAGTGCTTTGGAGGTTATACTTCTGGGAAGTGATAGCTTTAATGAACCTGCTTTTAGAGTTCCTGTTTTGGAATTTACTTTCAGAATATTCTCTTTTGGGTATTTTGAAAACTAGAAAACCTTTTTCTTGACAGGTTGTGAGATATAGGGAAAGATAGAGTTCTTTGGATTTGGACAGACGTGGGCTGAATTTCAACAAAACAGTTAACCAGGTGTTTAACCTTGGGCAAATTGCTTTTCCTATGAGAATCTTGGTTTAGTCATCATGAGAAGTGGTAGTATGAGACTAACACAGCATTTGAATTAGATAATCAAGTAAAGCACCCAGTCATTTTGTTTGTTTGTTTGTTTGCTTGTTTTGAGACAGAGTCTTGCTGTCGCCCAGCCTGGAGTGCAATGGTGCAATCTCAGCTCACTGCAACCTCCGCCTCTTGGGTTCAAGCGATTCTCCAGCCTCAGGCTCCCAAGTAGCTGGGATTACAGGCACATGCTACCACGCCCGGCTCATTTTTGTATTTTTAGTAGAGACAGAGTTTCACCATGTTGGCCAGGCTGGTGTCGAACTTCTGACCTCAAGTGATCCACCCGTCTCGGCCTCCCAAGGTGTTGGGATTAGAGGCGTGAGCCACTGCACCCGGCCACAGTCATTGTTTTATATAATACAGTAAATGCTCTATTTCCACTTTATCCTCTCTCTTTGTATTTTAGACTATATTTGGTTTTGGAATCAGTCAAAAGATTTAGAACAAAGTCTAATTTTCATTCTAAATGAAAGACTGATATTTTTGGGCCAGGCATGTTGGCTCATGCCTGTAATCCCAGCACTTTGGGAAATTGAGGCATGAGGATTGCTTGAGCCCAGGCATTTGAGGCTGCAGTGAGCTATGATTGCGCCACTGTGCTTCAGCCTTGGCAACAGAGTGAGACCTTGTCTCTTAGGAAAATAAAAGATATTTTTGATAACTGTTAAGGTAACAGTAATATAACAAAAAGCTAGACTTAGATTTCAGGAGACTTAGCATTGAATTCCGACTGTGTCGTTTATTAACTAATTACTGTAGGCACCTTACTCCTCTCTGTCCATGATAGTATTTAGTTATCTATTGAGTTACAAATATGTGCCATACTCTGTTAGGTGTTTTATACATTGATATATCATGTAATTCTAACAATAACCTTGCAAGGGTGCTATTATTTCCATTCTACAGGTGAGGAAATTAAGGCAAAGTAGTTATAACTTTCCCGAAGTTATATAGTAAGTGGCAGGGTGAGAATGAATTGAAAGTTCTTTTTTTCTCTATGGAGTATTCAACCTTTCTCATCTGTAAAATTGTGAAACTTACTTTATTTTGCATGATTGTTGTTAAAAGTCCTTGTACTGAGAGAGAAGTAAAACAACGTATTGCACTTGGATCAATGCCTGGAACTAACAACAATATTCTCTTTATTTCTCTAGTGTTGATATAGTTAAGATAGTATTAATCATCTTTGTTCACTGTAGCTTGTGTTTGGTTGTAGCTTTTATTGTGGTAAAATATACGTAACATAAAATTGATCATTTTAACCGTTTTTGAGCATACAATTCAGTAGCACTGCGTACATCATAATGTTGTGGTTGTAGCTTGGAATTACCATATTCTGCCTTCCAAAACAACACAAAATAAATAGAAATAAGCAAAGCTCTTCCGCTGCTCTGTGCTCATAACGTGGTTAATGAAAATGTTAGTAGCATGAGCTAGGGTCTCAAAAGGGCCAGTGCTGCTTGGAATCCTGGTTCTTAATTATTTTGGTCACTTTGGTTTCACTTGTATAAGTCAGTGAGATTTTTATCATCTTTGGAGAGAAGTTGAAAACTGCTTCTGTGATTTTATATATGTGTGTACCCAAATCTTTTGCTTAAGACATTTTTCATTAAATTTTCAATAGCATCCCTGGAAACCAGGAGTCAAGAAATTTGCATGCACCTGTTAACTTTCTTTTTCTGCACCTAGTCAACTATTTTCTAAGATAATGATAGATGCTACAATGTTATATACAGAAACATCATTGTTTTCTAGGAATTTACAGTATAAAACAGTAGAGAAAATTAGAAAGCCGGCTGGTCACGGTGGCTCACGCTTATAATTCCAGCGCTTTGGGAGGCCAAGGCAGGTGGATCACTTGTGGTCAGGAGTTCAAGACCAGGCTAGCCAAACATGGTGAAATCCCGTCTTTACTAAAAAAAATAAAAATTATCTGAGCGTGTTGGCGAGCGCCTGTAATTCCAGTTACTTGGGAGGCTGTGGCAGGAGAATTGCCTGAACTCCGGAGGCAGAGGTTACAGTGAGCTGAGATCATGCCACTGCACTCCAGCCTGGGTGATGGAGTGAGACTGTCTCAAAAAAACAAAAAAACAAAAAACAAACAAAAAGCCAAACTAAAATAAAAAAATTAGATAGCTGTCAGTGAATATAGAGATAAATACAGCTGTATGAATACACCTACTCGCTTATTTAGATACACTGAAGGAGCATATTGGTTAACCATGAATATAAGTGTAGATACTTTTTGGATAGAGGAGTATGTTAGTAAATGAATTGCATATTAATAAGACAGTTGCTGAGGTAGAGGCATTACCTTCTGGTTCCCACCTATAGAGAGGCTCTGAGATCAGCAGGAATTTAAGTTGCTTGGTGGTGGTGTGGTGGGGTACAGGTGGGGAAATATGTAGGAGTGAAATAATCAGAATATGGTAACTTTTTAAATGTCTCTGGAAGGTGGGAAGGGACCTAAGGAATTGAGTTTGTATGATAGTCTGTTTAAAGCATTTGAGGTCGGGTGCAGTGGCTCACGCCTGTAATCCCAGCACTTTGAGAGGCTGAGGCGGGCAGATCACCTGAGGTCAGGAGTTCGAGACCAGCCTGGCCAACATGCTGAATCCCCATCTCTACTAAAAATACAAAAATGAGCCAGGCGTGGTGGTGGGCGCCTGTAGTCCCAGCTACTCAGGAGGCTGAGGCAGGAGAATCGCTTGAACCCAGGAGGTGTAGGTTGCAATGAGCTGGGATCATGCCACTGCACTCTAGCCTGGGCGACAGTGTGTCTCAAAAAATAAATAAATAAATAAATAAATAAAATGAAATGAAATAAAATAAAAAAAATGAAATAAAACATTTGAAAGGTATAGATGAAGTTAGCAATCATTTAGGGGAACTTTTAGCTAACAATCAGGGAAACTACTTTGTTTTTGCTAGGGTCCAGGTAAATTAGCAGGTACTTCTTATGCAAAGTGAGTGATTACAGAGATTCAGAGTTCTAAGAGGCAGTCATCAGTCAGAAGGAGTTTTCACCAAAGGTCCTGTATTTTCTGTTTAGAATAGTACTTAAGCCATAATTAGAGAACATCTGCAGTGGTTTCTCAGCCCTCTGTTGGTAAAGTCTGTCTCCTTTAATTGTTGAACTTTTGAAAAGTCTGAATAGATAATCAGAGATTATCTAGAGTCTTCTTCCTGCATTTTTATAGCATTCCTGGTATAGCATTTGGTATATCTAGTCCAGTTACAACTTTCCCTTTCTTATTTGCTGTTCTAGCATGTAATATATGCTCTCAATAAATATTAGTATTTTTTGAATGCCTATCATCATGTAACAGGTAACATGTATAAAAGGCTGAAACTCATTTTTCTCTAAAAAATATGCAGCAGCTTTTATTATTTATGCATTACTCTTTTTGGAGAAATAGCCATTAATCCTGTTATGTGCTAGGTGTTTGTAGTATGCTAGATACTGGAAATATAAGGGAATACTAGGAATATGAAAAAGACTTTGCCCTAGAGAGGGTATCAGAAGAGAAGGAAGACATTATTCACTTTCCTTTTGAGTTTGAATCAGGTCTTTGATATATTGAAAAATGACACCTGAAAATTTTCTCGAGAATTTACTCTGAAAATACTCACGTTGAATATTTGAAGTATTGAAGTATTTGATTCGGTAAATGCTTGAGCGATTAGTGGAAGTACTAAATACAAACAATACTTATTTAAAAAGTTCTCTCAGTGGTAGTAATGAAGAAAATCCTAATCATGAGATTCACTAAATAGTTGCCAGCGTGGTAAGCCAAGTTCTCGGCGGCATATGCTGTTAAACACTGTTAGTGGGCTGCAGTCCTTAGTTTGTGATTGAGTCACCTGGCTCCCCTTCTTAGTTGTTCTTTTCTGCATGAAATTTGCTGACTTAAATAATATTATAGGAGGGAACCTAGCTCTAAAGACTTCACTTACTTTTTTCAGCTTCATTTCTTTCTTAAGCTCTTAATTTCATAAGTTTCTGAACTGTATTCCCCACATATATCAATTGACTAGGATGACAAAGTATAGAATATGCCATATTTATTCCTCTAGTGAAGGCAAAGGGAATAGCATTTGATGCATTTTGTAATTCTGTGTTTGGTGTGGCTCAGCTAGATAGATGAAAATGTACCTTGTTTTACCTAGGATGACTTTTAGGCCTGAAATGCCAGTCATATTTGTCTGTTTTCTCTTAATATATTTAGTTCTCACTTCAATATGATCTTTTATTTCTGTCCCCACTATCATTTCTATAGTTTATATTCTATTACTTCTTGCCTAGACTGTTGTGATAGGCATTCTTTGGTAGCAAACATATGCTGTAGATTAAAAATGAAATGGACACATTCACCTTTGATTGCTACTTCACCTGTCTTTTGCTGGTGTTTCTTCTTTCCATTGGGGAGTACTGTTGGTATAGCAGAGGACAGTTCTTTGTTGTGTGGGAGTTGTCAGGCTTGTGCATTGCAGTTAACTCAGTATTCTTGCCCTCCACAACACCCCCGCCATTGACCGCCAGTAGCAGCTGAGAGAGGGTGAGTGAGCAGGGAGGCGGCCTTACCACTCTCAGTTGAGAACTAGCCTGCTAGCCAGTCTGTGCTTATTGTGGGTTCCAGAGCTCATCTTATTTCCTGTTTATGTTTATTCTTGTTTTCCCTTTTTCTACTCCCAATTACCAAAATCCAGTTTCACTTTCATAAGGTCACTGAAAATGCAATTGCTTACATGTAAAAGTCAGGCAAAGTATGTATTAGATTTGGTAACATACAATAATAATTTACATATAAGATGTATAACAGTAGTAATTATATATAGTAATATAGTATTATACTATGTATAGTAACTATACATAGTAATATTGTATAGTAATCAATAAAACAGACTTTATTTTCGACTTCATGGAGTTTTCACTCTATCACGAGAGTATGAGAGCCTTAAGCACTGTCTTAAATATTTTAAAGTTCCCCTTGGTTATTTTTGTATGGTATGTTGCATATTTTGTTCAATAAGTATTTAAACAATAATATATGACAGTGAATAGAATTTATACTTTAGGCCTGGGGAATACTGAATAGTTTTAAGCAGAAGAGTAATGTTATTAGATTTCTACTAACTACTTAGGTTTAAATTCAGTGTTAAAAGGTGAGTTTTGTTAATTTCTCCATCCTGCTTTTCTAATCAGCCAAATTATTTCTTGAAAAGCTTTTTTCTTTCAAACATTTTGGAAATCCAATTAGGTAAGTAATTTAGTAAACAACTATATTTATATTGAAAGTCCTGTTAGATAAGTAATTTAGTAAACAAATATATTTTGAGCACTTACTGTGTGCCAGATACTGGTTTAGGCACTGGGCAAAGAGGAATGATCAAAACAAAGCCTGTGATCTCACGGTTGCATTATGGCGGGAGAGTTAGTAAGCAAACGAATCAACTCATATACTGCCCTGTGATAAAGTGCTGTGAAGAAAAATTAAACAAGTAGAAAGAGTGAAGGAGAAGGCTATCTTACATAGGGAAATAAGACAGCCTCTGAGGAGGATCATTTAAGTTGGAATGAAAGGAGTTAACCAACCATGGATATATTTGGAAGAAAGAGCTTTGCCAATGGAGGAAACTGCAAGTTAGGGCTTTCAGTGAATAATTTATTAATGTTTTTTTCTCCTTGATTGTCACTTTAGGATAATCTGTAGATCCCTCCATGATCTGGCCTTCGCTTATACTTTTTCTGTTAATTATCTAATTAAGTGGGAATAATGCCTACTTTGTGGGCAAAGTGAAATGTGTAACACTTAATTTTTATATAAGTATATTTTATGCAATATAAATACAAGGATGCTCCATATTCATAGTTATTATCACCCTTTTGTTATATAATAATCATTAGCTTATGTTCTTGCCTATCCCTGTCTTCCTAGAGAGCACTTGCTCATCTTTCAAGAATCAGTGTAAATGTCACTTTCTCTTTGAAGCCTTTCTTGCTGTGCATGTAGACATGACTATTCCCTTAGTTTTGTCACCATTGTTTATTTGTATATCTGTCATTGTATCTGCCATCTTTATTTATTTGTTTTTACCTTTTGTGTACCCAGCTTCTAACCTAGACTCTGGCATTTAGATATTTGCTACATAAATGAATTGTATTTAGAAGCTAATTCATTTGGCTTCTAATATTTACATATACTTAAACCATTCAACAAATATGTCACTGTGGTAGATACTGAGAATAAAAAATTAATACAATGCATGTTCCCAATCAAGTTTAGGGTAAAGTTACGATACAATATAATATACTTAATATAATGGTTTGTTCAAGGGGAGTGTAAATTAAAGTGGAGATAGATTATCTAAAGGAAAAGTAAGGCAGGAAGTATAGATATGTATTCTAGATTGTGAATATCATTCCACAGGTGTCTGATGATCTCCTTCCACGGGGCACATTTATGCTTCTTGGTGCAGTCAGCTTCTCAGCCAGGTCCTGGCAATATCTGTGATAGCGGTACTTAATTCTCTGATGCTGGTGACACTGACCCATTTATGTTCGTTATACTGACACTTGAGCATAGATTTGGAGTTGTGAATACTTAGAATCCCAGTTGTCATTTCTAGGAGTGTGATCTTAAGCAAGTTACTCATGAGTCTTACTTCCTCATCTGGAAAATAGAGATATTATCTGCCCCATACAGGGTTGCAGGGAATAAATTATGAAGATAAAATAGTATTGGTTTCTAGAATGTAGTGGATAATATTTCTTCCTTTTTTATTTTTTATTTATATATATTTTTTGAGACAGAGTCTCACTCTGTTACCCAGGGTGGAGTGTAGTGGCATGATCTTGACTGACTGCAACCTTCGCCTCCCAAGGTCAAGCGATTCTCCTGTCTCAGCCTCCCAAGTAGCTGGGACTACAGGAGCATGCCACTATGCCCGGCTAATTTTTGTATTTTTCGTAGGGATAGGGTTTTGCCATGTTGTCCAGGCTGGTCACGGACTCCTGACCTCAGGTGATCCGCCTGCCTCAGCTTCCCAAAGTGCTGGGATTACAGGCGTTGAGCCACTGTGCCCAGCCTGTAGTAGATATTTCTTGGTGGGTGAAATAATTTTAATTCATTTTACTTTATTTCTGTAGAACCATACTGAGCATTTGGCTCTAATTACAGGAAAACAAGGTGGAATTTAATAATGGTGTTGATAGCTGACTTGGGTTAGGTCTCATTCTGTTGCAGCTGGTTTCTTTTCCCTCAGCGCAAAGTGCTGCTGTTAATCCAGAGAAAAGAATGCTTAGCATATAATACTCAAAAGCTGTATCACACTATGTTGCATTTAACACAAGGTGAGGGCACTGAGGGGAGGACATTTGTCTTAGTTGTTGCCTTGTGTGCCCAGCACCAAGCACAGAGCCTGACGTATTATAGGCACTGCATATCGTGTTTAAATTAGCGAGTGAATTCTGTTTAGATGAGGAAGATGTACTAGTATGGAGTACCTGATGTCCACTGGGGCATTTTGGGTAGCTAAAGAAAGTGTCTATAAAATATAAGCAAAGGAGAACAATATTGGTAGCAGTTGCCTTTCAAACCATTATAATTATAGGCACAGACCTTTTTTAGCAGGTTGTATATTTTAAAATAAGTATAGGCCAGCTAATTTGAGTTAAAATGATCACATGTGCTGAATTAACTAGAAGGTAAACAACTAAAAACGAAAAGAGACATTAGAACAGGTAATAGAGTTCAGAATTCACAGCTATTCTAAATTAGATTTGTAAAAGCCTTGAGTCTTACTTTAAAGGAAATAAAATTTCATGTGAAGAAATGGATCACTGTTGCCATAACTTCAACTCCTGTCTTTCCTCTGCTGCTCAAACTTGGCAAAACACCAAACCCTAGAGCAGTCTCATCATCTACCGTTTCTGTTCCTTGGAGGCATGGTCTGTTGAGTGCTGCCAGGCTGACTGTCAGCTGTGTCTCTCAGTCTTGTCACCATCCTATTCCACTGTCACCAGAGGGATCTGGTGAATTGCCATCATCCCATTCCATTGTCACCAGAGTTATCAGATTTTAAATGAATCTGATTGTGTTATTCCCCTCCTTGAAATCCATTAATAGCTTCTCAGTGTTTTTAGGATAAAAATCCAAATATCCTGGTATGAGAAACAGAGCTTTTAGAGATCTGGCCTTTTAGCAGTCTCTACCTGATCTTCTTTTTTCTGTATGTTGGTATCTTTGTACTACAGACATATTAAACCACTTGCATTTTTCTTAATGTTTTATGTTTTTTTTTTTATGTCACTGAACGTATGATGCTGCTTCTAGGCATGCTGTTCTCTCTTCTCAAGGTTGTCAGCTACAGATGATTTAAAATTCTTTAAGTTTACCTCTAGAAAACTTTTACCTAACATGATACATTGTAGGAGTCTACATGTCTTCCTTCTCACAAAACTGTGAGCTTTTTTGAGTATGGATACTCTCTTATCTCTTTAATTCCTAATGCCTGTCACTGCCTTGCACAGGATAGAAGCCTAGAAGTTTGTAATTTAGTTAATATATGAAGTAACAGAATTTATCAGAGGCTTAAAATATGTTCAGCTAAAATGGGTATTATGTGAGAAGTGGAGAAACATGGTCCCTGCCCTGTTCATAATCTTAGTTGTGTGGACAAAAATGACACATAAGCAATTAAAGCTTAATCGAGTACAGCATTAAGTGAGGACTTAGGTAGAATGATTAGAAAATGAAGATAAAATCGAAAATTTCAAATCCCTTGACATTTCATATCTGCTTTTCACTTTCCCCTTAAATGTTTACCACTACTAACATGCCTATACCGTTTACTTATTTATCTTGTTAGGTTCATAGTCCCCAGTAAAATATAAGTTTTATGAGGATTTTTGTCTGTTTTGTTCACCATGGTATTTCTGGTGCCTGACATTTGGTAGGTGCTCATTAGATAGTTGTTGAGTGGATTGAATGGAGTGCAGAGAAGGAAGTGATCACTAGGAAATAGTGTTTATGAAAGACTTCATGGAGAAGTATTAACATCTTGAAGTAGACTTGAGAGAGAGTATTTTATTAGATTAGCTAGTGTTTATGAAATACGCCTATTTAAATAAATAATTACCAATTTTATTTTCCTATGACTTTTTCAAGTCATGTTGCTCCTAATTTCTCTTAAAGCTTCCTGTGGTTATATGGTCCTCACTGTTGACTCCTCTTAGAGACTTTCACAACAAGGCCTATTTAACCAGAGTGAGAGATGCTGGCCCTTTCCTTATATACCAGTTGGAATGAACACCTTCACTTTGTTCTTTAGCAGATTAAACTATGTGTAAAAAATAGGTCTGCTGGAGGCAACTACGTATTATATACAGATCTTTACACTATATGTTGTTTTGGTACCTGAGCTCTTATCTTCTATTTTGCATCTTTTAAATAATTGCAAATAAATCCAAACTTACGGGCACATCAGGGTCTTGATTGTTCTGTGAATTAGGGATCATGATTGACCATTATGCCTCCGAGTTCTTGGATTTTAGCAAATCTTGACTGGCGTTCCAAATATTTGTATGTACACGTATTTATATATCACACAGAACTTATAATTGCATTTCCTACTTTTATAGTTTCCTTTCTTTTCTGATTACTTCCCTTCTAAGACTAAAGAAATTAAAATTAGATTTTGAATTAAAACTATTAAAAATGTTAAAACACCAAAATATTTTTTCAGCTGTAATTGGAACATGTTAGGTAATATCAGTTTGACTTTTTTTTTTTTTTTTTTAGAAAATAAAATTATCTGTGGGCCTCAAATATTGGCTTCTCTTCTCCCAGCTTTTTTTCTCCTAAGCACAGAATTAGATATTCTTAGGCCCTTATAGCTGCAATAGATCTTAGTAAGTATCTCTACTTGCTTTATTTTAGGGATGAGGCAACTAAGATGCAAGGACAAGTGATTTGTCCACAATTAACTAATGACAGCTAATTGATAGTAGGGCCAGATGATAGACTATCGATGAGATAACTAAGCTGTGGCTAACCTCTGTCTTATGCTAACCACTTTCAACTTTAAGGCCATACTATTTCTGGAAATATATGTGGTTCTGATGGCATTTTAAAGAAATGTTATTGTAGTGACTTGATAGAAGAGAAGTAAGTTCCTAGAATTTTGTCAGTCCGCCAGTCAGCCAGACTGGGTATAAGTGAAGCTGCGGCAGTACTTTCCCATTTTGGTATATAGGTTGTTAGCTAGTTATGTGCACAGGAAGTAATTTCCATCAGTCATGTTAAGCCATTGAAAAATGTTTCATGCTTTCTAACTTAGTTTTTGACAACCTGAATGTGAGGATTCACATATATTCCATAGGGAAAGGGTTGACCAGTAAATGTGTATTAAAGATAACATGAAGAACAAGATTTAAAAACATCTGGTTAGTCTTTTTCTTTTGTTTGTTGTTGTCATAGTTGAACCTAAGAACTTACGTATTTTGAAAAAAGCTATATGGGTAGACTCTTGGATTATCTTAAATAGAAAAATGGAAACAAAAGGGTCATGTGACTATTTTACATTTCCTTTCCCTTTTTTTGGTGATATTTTCTAGGACTCATTTTGATTAAACTGGATTGTGCAAAAATAGCACTTTGTATTCTGTGATTTTTTAGTGTTTTTTTTTTTTAATGGAAGGAGATCATTTGTTTTTTTGGTAGGGGGAATGATTAGTAAATCATGATTAGTAAATATTCAGGTTGGATAAGAAGAAATGGTTAAAGATGTAGAGATTTTAGATAACCTGAAGTTAGTACTGACATAACTCCTGGTTGTAGTTGCCTGATGTTAATTAAATTGGATTATTTCTTTTTAGTCAGTTGTGTTCATATATTATACTTTTGATGTGAAGAATATTCTGTTAGACGTTTTAAAGTCTCTTAGTTTAACTTAGTCTGAAGTTTAATTCTGTTGGTTTTCTTTTAAATTATACTCTCTAACTATAGCCTTTGTTTTGGTATGGCAAGTTAGTAATTGCCCTTTGTTCTCTTTCAGATCCCTGCATGTCACTGAGTCCACCATGCTTTACAGAAGAAGACAGATTTAGTCTGGAAGCTCTTCAAACAATACATAAACAAATGGATGATGACAAAGATGGTGGAATTGAAGTAGAGGAAAGTGATGAAGTAGGTGGAAAAATGTTTTCCTTGCTATTGTCTTAGAACAGAATGACTGCATTTCTGTTTCTGGTCTTCAATTTTCTCTTTCCTCATGTGGCTCATTGCCTTCATCTTCAACATCTTTAATTTTTCTTTTTACATGTTAATTTTACCCTTAATAAACATTTACATGGTTTTTCTGTTTTTCCCCCCATTTGGATATAAGTCTTCCCAGTTGTATAAAAATTTTCCATCTCATGTTCCTGTATTTCTCAAACATGTATCCTATTCTGACTGTATTTTATCTATTGTTGCTTTACAAACCACTCCAAATGTAGTGGTTTAAAATGACAACAGTTTATTATTTCTCCTGATTCTGTGGGATCACTGGCCCCAGCTGAGCAGTTTTTCTGTACCCTTAGATATGGGCCGAGGTCACTATGGAAGTTGCATTCTCTTGGGAGCTCTGTTGGGGCTGGAGTATCTAAGACAGCCTCTTATTCTGCATAATGTCTTTCTATGTTACCTCTCATCATTCAGGAGCCTAGCTCAAACTTTATTACAGCACGGCAGCTAGTGTTCCAAGAGGGTAAGTTCCCATGTGCAAGTGTTTATCATGCCTCTGCTTGCCAGTGGTTGCTAATTTATTGGCCAAGACAAGTCATTTGGCTAAGCTCAGAATCTGTGTGGAAGAAGATTCTACAAAGATATAGATAACCAGGAAATGTGATTCCTTGGAGACCACCAGCATGGTAATTTACTGTACCCACTGTCTTTAGTTTTTAAGCATTCCCATTTACCCTACCGGTCTGGTTTCTGTCTTAGTTTCTCCCTAAAAGTTGGCTTCTTTGAGTGTTGTCTCATTCTAACCAAATCCCCTGGTCATTTTTCAGGCCTCTTCAGTCCCTTTGTTGGATTTGTCACTGTTGAATTGCTTCTCTTTCAGATTATATTATAGTAAATTACATTATTTTCTACATTATTATCTCGTGATGTAACAGTGACAGTGTCTAGTAACATTGTTATCTAACGGAGACATTCTCTGAAGATCACTTCTTGGCTTGCTATACAAAACGTTTATTTGAGAATGCCCATCTGTTTTCAGATTGCCCTGATTCCTCTATCTCTAGGCCAGTCTAGATCCCTGACCTTTTGCTTTCTGCCTGATGTTTTTAGAGGGCTCTTACTGTTGCTTTAAATTTAGTATGTGTAAAACAAAATCTCAGTTTTGCTATTTTAAATCTCTTGTTGTTCAGTTGCACCTCTGGACCTATTTCTCGATTCTTCTTCTTCTAAAGTAGATGTTGGCAGACTTTTTCTGCAAAGGGCCAAGATATGGGTTGAAATGTGTTCTCTAAAAACATGTTGAAGTCCTAAACCCCAGCACCTCAGAATGTGACCTTATTTAGAAATAAGGTCATTGCGGATGTAGTTAAGATAAAGTCATACTGGAGTTGGGTGGGCCTGTAATTCAATATGACTAGTGTTCTGCTAAGAGAGGAGAACGCCATGTGGAGTCACAGAACAGGAGAGAAGATGACTCTGTGACAGTGGAGGCAGAGATTAGTTTTATATAACTGCAAATCAAGGAATGCTAAGGATTGCTGCCAATACCAGAAGCTAAGAGAAAGGCATGGAACAGATTCTCCCCTAGAGCCTTTGAGAGAGCATGATTCTGTGGACACATTGATTTTGAACTTCTTTCTAGCCTTCAGATCTGTAAGAGAATAAATTTCTATCGTGGTAAGCCATCCAATTTATGGTACTTTATTATGGCAGTACTATAATGAATGGAAACGAATACAGGCCAGTTGGCAAATTATTTAGCTTTAGTGGGCCATGCAGTTGCTGTTGTAACTATTCAACTCCGCCACTATAGTGTGAAGCGGCCATAGACAGTACAAGAACTAACGGGCATGGCTGTTTTCCAATAAAACTTTATTTGCAAAAACAAGCAGCCAGCCATATTTGGCCTGCATGCTGTAGTTTGCCAACCCCTGCTGTAAATTAAGCTCCTGTGTTCTTAAAATATGTTCCTTTTTCTTCCTTTCCCCACTACCTTTTATCCATTCTAGTTATTTGCTTGTTCTGTTCTAATCTAGGTATTTATAATCTTGTGTCTAGATTACTGTCTCTAAGTTTTTCCTTTCTAATCCATCATGATTATCACTTTGAGAGTGTGATAGCTAAGAGACTTAGTGATTTCTAATTGCTTATTAGGTCAGATATTAAATCTTCAGTCTTATAATATCTCTGCATCAGTTGATTTCTGCTATTTATCATGATTAAAATCATTCGATTAGAGCTCAGTCAGTACCAGCGATACCAAAATCATTACTTTCGATTCAAAGTAGATCAATTTATTTATTTCTAGAACCACCGACTATATGATAATTCTATCTTACATAGCTTCCAACTTAAAAAGTATTTGAACTGTATATTCTGTTGGTCATAAGGAAGAGTGAGGTAAAACTGATGGATTATTAAGAGTTTTATTGTTATTGGAAAACAACGTAAACTAGTTGTCATTTATTGTGGGCCGTTTTATTAAAATGAGTGGATAATTCATTCTCTCAACATCATTATCATTACTCCTTTTCTCTGTTTGTATTATATTTTTATATTTATATTTTTATAAAATAGAGGTAATTTATAGAGGTAATTTATTCTCTAAACCAAAGAGATTTTCTAAAATTATTATTGTACATTTTCTTAGTCATTTACAATATGACAGGATTAGCTTTGTCAAACAAATTCCATGTCAACTCTGAGAGTATACAGTGTTAAGTAGATGAATGCTCTGTGCAGTTTTAGATTTTAACCCAAAAACTGAGCTTCTGCAGTTTCAATGACTTGCTAAAATGGCTCACAGAACTCAGGAAAACACTTTACTGGTTTATTTTAAAGTATACAACTCAGGAACATCCAAATAGAAGAAATGCATAGGGCAAGGTATGGGGGCGGTGTGCTCAGAGCTTCCATGTCTTCTTCATTCCACCCTCCCAGCACCTTGATATGCCCACCAGCCTGGAAGCTCTTTGAATCTTGAACCTTGTAACAGAGTTTTTGTAGAGCTCAGTTTTCCTGGAGGTCAGTGGGTGGGACTTAAAGTTACAACCCTCTAATTACTTGGTCTTTCTAGTAACCAGCTTTATCCTGAAACTATTTAGGGCCCTATCCTAAATCACTTTGTTAGCATAAACTCAGGTTGGTGGATGGGGGCAATAGTGAATAACAAAAGACTCACCTATCAGGAAATTTCCAGGGTTTTAGGATCTCTGTGCCTGGAACCTAGGACAAAGACCAAATATATTTCTCATTATATATATTATATATTAACAGTAACCTCTGCAGACTTAAATGTCCCTGTCTGACAGCTTTGAAGAGAGCAGTGGTTCTCCCAGCATGCAGCTGGAGATCTGAGAACGGGCAGACTGCCTCCTCAAGTGGGTCCCTGACCCCTGACCCCCGAGCAGCCTAACTGGGAGGCACCCCCCAGCAGGGGCACACTGACACGTCACACGGCAGGGTATTCCAACAGACCTGCAGCTGAGGGTCCTGTCTGTTAGAAGGAAAACTAACAACCAGAAAGGACATCTACACCGAAAACCCATCTGTACATCACCATCATCAAAGACCAAAAGTAGATAAAACCACAAAGATGGGGAAAAAACAGAACAGAAAAACTGGAAACTCTAAAACGCAGAGCGCCTCTCCTCCTCCAAAGGAACGCAGTTCCTCACCAGCAACAGAACAAAGCTGGATGGAGAATGATTTTGACGAGCTGAGAGAAGAAGAATTTCATATCCAGCCAAACTAAGCTTCGTAAGTGAAGGAGAAATAAAATACTTTATAGACAAGCAAATGCTGAGAGATTTTGTCACCACCAGGCCTGCCCTAAAAGAGCTCCTGAAGGAAGCGCTAAACATGGAAAGGAACAACCGGTACCAGCCGCTGCAAAATCATGCCAAAATGTAAAGACCATCGAGACTAGGAAGAAACTGCATCAACTAATGAGCAAAATCACCAGCTAACATCATAATGACAGGATCAAATTCACACATAACAATATTAACTTTAAATATAAATGGACTAAATTCTGCAATTAAAAGACACAGACTGGCAAGTTGGATAAAGAGTCAAGACCCATCAGTGTGCTGTATTCAGGAAACCCATCTCACGTGCAGAGACACACATAGGCTCAAAATAAAAGGATGGAGGAAGATCTACCAAGCCAATGGAAAACAAAAAAAGGCAGGGGTTGCAATCCTAGTCTCTGATAAAACAGACTTTAAACCAACAAAGATCAAAAGAGACAAAGAAGGCCATTACATAATGGTAAAGGGATCAATTCAACAAGAGGAGCTAACTATCCTAAATATTTATGCACCCAATACAGGAGCACCCAGATTCATAAAGCAAGTCCTGAGTGACCTACAAAGAGACTTAGACTCCCACACATTAATAATGGGAGACTTTAACACCTCACTGTCAACATTAGACAGATCAACGAGACAGAAAGTCAACAAGGATACCCAGGAATTGAACTCAGCTCTGCACCAAGCAGACCTAATAGACATCTACAGAACTCTCCACCCCAAATCAACAGAATATACATTTTTTTCAGCACCACACCACACCTATTCCAAAATTGACCACATAGTTGGAAGTAAAGCTCTCCTCAGCAAATGTAAAACAACAGAAATTATAACAAACTATCTCTCAGACCACAGTGCAATCAAACTAGAACTCAGGATTAAGAATCTCACTCAAAGCCACTCAACTACATGGAAACTGAACAACCTGCTCCTGAATGACTACTGGGTACATAACGAAATGAAGGCAGAAATAAAGATGTTCTTTGAAACCAACGAGAACAAAGACACCACATACCAGAATCTCTGGGACACATTCAAAGCAGTGTGTAGAGGGAAATTTATAGCACTAAATGCCTACAAGAGAAAGCAGGAAAGATCCAAAATTGACACCCTAACATCACAATTAAAAGAACTAGAAAAGCAAGAGCAAACACATTCAAAAGCTAGCAGAAGGCAAGAAATAACTAAAATCAGAGCAGAACTGAAGGAAATAGAGACACAAAAAACCCTTCAAAAAATCAATGAATCCAGGAGCTGGTTTTTTGAAAGGATCAACAAAATTGATAGACCGCTAGCAAGACTAATAAAGAAAAAAAGAGAGAAGAATCAAATAGACACAATAAAAAATGATAAAGGGGATATCACCACCGATCCCACAGAAATACAAACTACCATCAGAGAATACTACAAACACCTCTACGCAAATAAACTAGAAAATCTAGAAGAAATGGATACATTCCTCGACACATACACTCTCCCAAGACTAAACCAGGAAGAAGTTGAATCTCTGAATAGACCAATAACAGGCTCTGAAATTGTGGCAATAATCAATAGTTTACCAACCAAAAAGAGTCCAGGACCAGATGGATTCACAGCCGAACTCTACCAGAGGTACAAGGAGGAACTGGTACCATTCCTTCTGAAACTATTCCAATCAATAGAAAAAGAGGGAATCCTCCCTAACTCATTTTATGAGGCCAGCATCATTCTGATACCAAAGCCGGGCAGAGACACAACCAAAAAAGAGAATTTTAGACCAATATCCTTGATGAACATTGATGCAAAAATCCTCAATAAAATACTGGCAAACCGAATCCAGCAGCACATCAAAAAGCTTATCCACCATGATCAAGTGGGCTTCATCCCTGGGATGCAAGGCTGGTTCAATATACGCAAATCAATAAATGTAATCCAGCATATAAACAGAGCCAAAGACAAAAACCACATGATTATCTCAATAGATGCAGAAAAAGCCTTTGACAAAATTCAACAACCCTTCATGCTAAAAACTCTCAATAAATTAGGTATTGATGGGACGTATTTCAAAATAATAAGAGCTATCTATGAAAAACCCACAGCCAATATCATACTGAATGGGCAAAACTGGAAGCATTCCCTTTGAAAACTGGCACAAGACAGGGATGCCCTCTCTCACCGCTCCTATTCAACATAGTGTTGGAAGTTCTGGCCAGGGCAATCAGGCAGGAGAAGGAAAAAAAGGGTATTCAGTTAGGAAAAGAGGAAGTCAAATTGTCCCTGTTTGCAGACGACATGATTGTTTATCTAGAAAACCCCATCGTCTCAGCCCAAAATCTCCTTAAGCTGATAAGCAACTTCAGCAAAGTCTCAGGATACAAAATCAATGTACCAAAATCACAAGCATTCTTATACACCAACAACAGACAAACAGAGAGCCAAATCATGGGTGAACTCCCATTCACAATTGCTTCAAAGAGAATAAAATACCTAGGAATCCAACTTACAAGGGATGTGAAGGACCTCTTCAAGGAGAACTACAAACCACTGCTCAAGGAAATAAAAGAGGACACAAACAAATGGAAGAACATTCCATGCTCATGGGTAGGAAGAATCAATATCGTGAAAATGGCCATACTGCCCAAGGTAATTTACAGATTCAATGCCATCCCCATCAAGCTACCAATGACTTTCTTCACAGAATTGGAAAAAACTACTTTAAAGTTCATATGGAACCAAAAAAGAGCCCGCATCGCCAAGTCAATCCTAAGCCAAAAGAACAAAGCTGGAGGCATCATACTACCTGACTTCAAACTATACTACAAGGCTACAGTAACCAAAACAGCATGGTACTGGTACCAAAACAGAGATATAGATCAATGGAACAGAACAGAGCCCTCAGAAATAATGCCGCATATCTACAACTATCTGATCTTTGACAAACCTGAGAAAAACAAGCAATGGGGAAAGGATTCCCTATTTAATAAATGGTGCTGGGAAAACTGGCTAGCCATATGTAGAAAGCTGAAACTGGATCCCTTCCTTACACCTTATACAAAAATCAATTCAAGATGGATTAAAGATTTAAACGTTAGACCTAAAACCATAAAAACCCTAGAAGAAAACCTAGGCATTACCATTCAGGACATAGGCGTGGGCAAGGACTTCATGTCCAAAACACCAAAAGCAATGGCAACAAAAGCCAAAATTGACAAATGGGATCTAATTAAACTAAAGAGCTTCTGCACAGCAAAAGAAACTACCATCAGAGTGAACAGGCAACCTACAACATGGGAGAAAATTTTCGCAACCTACTCATCTGACAAAGGGCTAATATCCAGAATCTACAATGAACTCAAACAAATTTACAAGAAAAAAACAAACAACCCCATCAAAAAGTGGGCGAAGGACATGAACAGACACTTCTCAAAAGAAGACATTTATGCAGCCAAAAAACACATGAAGAAATGCTCATCATCACTGGCCATCAGAGAAATGCAAATCAAAACCACTATGAGATATCATCTCACACCAGTTAGAATGGCAATCATTAAAAAGTCAGGAAACAACAGGTGCTGGAGAGGATGTGGAGAAATAGGAATACTTTTACACTGTTGGTGGGACTGTAAACTAGTTCAACCATTGTGGAAGTCAGTGTGGCGATTCCTCAGGGATCTAGAACTAGAAATACCATTTGACCCAGCCATCCCATTACTGGGTATATACCCAAAGGACTATAAATCATGCTGCTATAAAGACACATGCACACGTATGTTTATTGCGGCACTATTCACAATAGCAAAGACTTGGAACCAACCCAAATGTCCAACAATGATAGACTGGATTAAGAAAATGTGGCACATATACACCATGGAATACTATGCAGCCATAAAAAATGATGAGTTCATATCCTTTGTAGGGACATGGATGAAATTGGAAACCATCATTCTCAGTAAACTATCGCAAGAACAAAAAACCAAACACCGCATATTCTCACTCATAGGTGGGAATTGAACAATGAGATCACATGGACACAGGAAGGGGAATATCACACTCTGGGGACTGTGGTGGGGTCGGGGGAGGGGGGAGGGATAGCATTGGGAGATATACCTAATGCTAGATGACACATTAGTGGGTGCAGCGCACCAGCATGGCACATGTATACATATGTAACTAACCTGCACAATGTGCACATGTACCCTAAAACTTAGAGTATAATAAAAAAAAAAAAAAAAAAAAAAAAAAACTTGAATAAAAAAAAAAACTGACTGAACTTAGCCAACTGCTAAACCCTTAAAAAAAAAAATATTATTAATATAATAAAATATATAAATATAATGTAATTATAAAATCTATTAAAAATATGTAATTATATAAATTATATATTAATATATAATTATTATATAAATTATATATTAATATATAATATAAATATATATTAATATATTTCTTAGTCTGGTGCTGCTATAGCAGGGTACTATAGACTGGGTAATCTATAATGAACAGAAATTTATTGACTCACAGTTGTGGAAGTTGGGAAGTCCAACATCAAGGTGCTGGCAGGTTTGGTGATTCTGATTTCAAGATGGCTCCTTGAATGCTGCGTTGCCTGGAGGGAGGACTGTTTTCTTTTTATGGGGTGGAAGTAGAAGGCCCAAGAGGCAAAAGGTGTGTAACTTGCCCTTTTATAAGGGCATTAATTCCTCTCCTGAGGGTTGGGCCCTTATGGTCCTATTACCTCCCAGAACCTCCCTGTTACCTCTTACTTCCTAACACTGCCACAATGGCAAATTTCAATATGAGTTTTGGAGGGGACAAACATTCAAATCATAGCACACCACAATTACAAAAATATTTAAATATGAAAAATAGCAGAAATCCACATTTCCTGAATCATTAAAAATACCTTCAAAGGAAAGAGCAGTTAAAATTGTGCATGATATATACACAGAGAAAGTATCAAGGAAGCTTTTGCAGATATTTGACAGCCTATTTGTAATTGATTGCATTATAATTCTTAGAAGTACAAGTTATTTTAATCTTTTTTACCTCATCAGATATACTTTTTTAATTTTTAATTTTTTTTACTTTTATAGAGATGAGAGTCTTGCTGTGTGGCTCATGCTGGTTTCAAAAGCCTGGTCTCTAGCAATATTCCTGCCTCGGCCTCCCAAAGTGCTTGGATGACAGGCATGCACCAGCGTTTATCAGATATTAAATGCACATGTGCAAAGTGTTATCACCACTCTGCAAAACAAATTAAGCATACATGGCTGTGTAATTTATATTTCAGTGGAAATCTTATTGAGTCTTTTAAATTTCAGTGGAATTTTAGGCATGTTGTAATAAAAGTTAGAACTAAATAAAACTTAGGCTTAAAAAGTAGAGCTTAGAATTCTTTGATATGAGAGGTGAATTTTAATATTTAAAAACAGAAGATGATATCTTTCTGTATTTCTCTTACTATTTAAATGCAAACACAACATGCCTTTATATTTTACTACTACCTAAAAGAATGTAGAAATCCACTGTCCAGTGTGGTAGCCACTAGCCATATTTGGCTATTGAGCATTCGAAGTTGAGGTGTGCTATAAAGTATAAAACACACTTGAAATTTTGAAGGCTTATATGAGAAGAATAATATTAAATATCTAATTTGAAAATATTGATTACCTGTTGGAGATATTTTAGACATATTGGGTTACATGAAATATAATATTAAAATTTACTTCCTTTGTTTTTACTCAGTGTAACTTCTAGAAAACAAAATTATGTATGTAGCTCACATTTTATTTCTATTAGCACTGATCTAGGCTCTGTGTGATGTGTTTGTATGCTTTAAAGGATGAATTATTAATTCTGCAGTTCTTGTACTATAGTCCTTCAGTTCAATATAGGTGCATTTTGGTTTGTATTTCTTGTTAAGGTGTCTTTTTGAAAGAAATAAGCAATAATTATTTTATGGACCTTTACTGGCCTTCACTAGGAGACTTTATACGTTTGATAGGAAACCTTAGCCCAAATTTTAAAGTACTTAATTTCTTGTGATTTTAGCCCAAATTTTAAAGTACTTAATTTCTTGTGATTTTTGTTTTGTTTTGAAATGTTGCTTTTCTAAAAAAAATTCAGAAAAGTATTTAGCATTTGAAAATTCTGTTTAAAAACTTATTTTTTTTTCTCTTTAGTATCCTCTGTTTTGTATTTGGTCATATGAAAAATTCTTTATTTTTATAATTTATTTAATATTGAGCTAATATCTGATGGCCTATTTTATACCAGATACTCAAATAGTTGCTTGGAATAGATTAGGAACAAGATAGACAAAATCTGTGCCTTTAAGTGAACATTCAGGTAGGGCTTGTGGGAAGGAGACTAAACAAAATAAGTAAGCAGGGGCAGGGGGATCATTATCAGTTAGAGATGATGGGGGCTGTAATGTTCTATAGGGTGGCAGGCAAAGTGAGGGTAACACTTAAAGTGTATCATGTGTACAGTACTTGGACAAATAAGAGAATAAATGTCTGATAACTTTCCAGGGCTATGTTAAAACTGAATTTGGAGTACTTTGGGTGCTTCAGATCAGGAATAGGATATAAAGCTTTTGCTGTCTAGGTCATCATCTTCTGGACCAACATAAAAAAGGTTAGATGTCAATGTGTGCAGAATCTGTGATCTGTTAAGATTGAATTGTTGATTGCATTCAAGGCTGCACGGTCTGTCAATTTTAGTGAAATTTTGGAAAGTGTAGGTATTTGGTCAACAAATAATTTAAATAAGAGAAATTAATGGTTTTGTTGCCCTGAGCACAGCAGTGGAGTTCACATTGTTATTGCTCATTTTGTGACTGAAAAGTTTTATCATAGATTCTAGTGTATATGAATTTTGTTTTCTGTTCTTACCTTTCCCTCTTTTTCTTTGAATGAACATTTTTTTCATTCCTTTCCTTGTTCTAGTTTTTCTTTGTTTTTATTTATTCTTTTTCATTTTACCACCTGGAATAGGTAGTTTTAGAGGTTTTTTTTTATCAGTTTGTTTGATATACATATATAAAACAAAATCAACTTTAAGACCTACTTATCTGAAAAGTCCATTGTACCTAGTATTTCAGTATTCCTTATGTTACATATGCTGCCTTCACAATACATTCTTTGCCATGATTTTTATACCTGTTGGAAAGCTTAGTTAACAACACAGATGTGTCTGTGGAGAGTCACTTAAGAAAATAGGCAAAATTAGGATTAGACAAAAAAGAAGGCAATGCATTTTAAAATTGAACAGTGTGTTTTGAATTATGTGGGGTATTGTGTCCAAAAGATTAAATACATATATTTTTTGCTGAAGTTTTCTAAGGTTAACTTTTAACTTATGTGTTAGTTTATTGCTATGTAACAAATGACCCCAAAACTTAGTGGCTTAAAGCAACACACATTTCTCATTTCATGGTTTCTGTGGGTCAGAAATCTTAGTGCAGCTTAGGTGGGTCTTCTGGCTCTGGGTCTTTCACAGGGCTGCAATTAAGATATCAGCTGGGGTTGTGTCATCTCAAGGCCTGATTAGGGGAGGATCCACTTAAAAACCTACTCATATAGCTGTTAGTCTCAGAGGTCCTCAATGGCTGTTGGAGATACCAGTTTTCTGCCGTATAAGTCTCTCTGTAGGCAGTTTATAACATGACAATGGGGTTCCCTCAGCCCACTGTTTCACTCTCTCAGAGTGAGAGGGAGCTCTGAGAGAAAGAGAAGGGGCAGTAATGTGGACGTCATAATCTTTTTGTGACTAATGCTGGAAGTGACGTCCCATCACTTTTGCTGTATTCTACTCATGGGAAGTGAGTTACTAGGTCCAGCCAACCATCACGGGGAGACAAATACAAGGATGTGGGTATCATTGGGAGCCATTTCAGAGACTGCTTACCACAGTTTATTTTGATAATTTACTAACTAGAAATATTTGATGGGAGATTCTCAAGCCATAGAAATATAGAGTATAAAAGCAGTAAAGTTATAAAATTTCCTTTAAAAGGCTTTGTTTTGGAAATGTCCCACAATAAAACCCATTGTGTTCATCTTTGTAATAGGATATGTGTAGAATTTTAAAGCCTGATTAAAAGTTATCTATTGAGTAGAGCTTTGCAGTGAATGGTGACTCTAATTACATGCACAAATGTACCAGTGTAATTTGTTTGACTGAAGGATCACTTGACATTCTTCTGAAAGAACAAGCAGGGCAAAGGGAAGGGAAGGGCATAGGTGCTAGAGAAGTCTTGCTGTCTATTAACTTACAGTTACTGAGGTACTTTCCTATATACTGAAATTTTCATAATTTCATGATTTGTTTAGTTAATATAACGATACCATAAAAATAGAGACTTTAATTCTTTCTGGAAAATAATGGCAATCAGCACACAATTAAAGTAGCAGAGAATGTTAGTAAGTGTTTTATGGGAAAATGGATTACGTGGTCAAAATTGGGAAATGCTGGATTAGTTTTGTAGGACTTCTTAAACTTAAATTTATAGATTTATATACTAAGATAACATTTATTGAGCATTTACTATTTGTTCCATCGTATAAGCACTTTTGTATGTACTATGGTATGGACTCCTTATAACAACTGTATTAGCTAAGAATCTACTCTTATTATCTTATATGCAGATGAGGAAACAGTTTGGTGGATTAGGCAATATGCCCATAGTTACAAGCTTGTAAATGATAGAGTTGAGGTTTTGAAGCCAGGCCAACTCCAGAACCCATGTTCTTGACTTCTAGTGTTTCTTGTTTCTCTGTGTTAATGTAGATTATTAATCTTCAAAGGATGGTGAATCTTAACGTCTGTTTGACAAGGAACTTTTGTAATACAAACTGTCTCTTAAGTTTGGCATAATGTAAGTGGTCAGTCGGTTTTTGTTTGAGTTTTTTTTCCTGAAAATTGATAATTGCTACCAAAATAACACCACACAGATTTTTCAGTGACTTTAACATAACTCGTTAGTACTGACACTAAACTTACTGTAGCATCTGATCAAAGATAAAGTCATTTTAGCAATTGATAAATTGAACATCGTTTGCTAAATTTGATGCTTTTGTTTTGCATTTATTAAATTTTTCATGGTAGTATATCTTGGCTATAAATGTCTAAATAGTACTTAATAAGCATCTAATAAATGTTTGTTTAACGAATGAATATTGGAAAATCAAACTTTTGGAATGGCCTGGGCCTGTAAGTGACCATGGAGAGCCCATGGTGATCATGGGTTAGGAGCACTCTCTGGAGCTAAGCAGCAGCAGCAACTGCTTAGTACTTGTCAACAACAGAAAAATAATTAAGAGCTGAAGAAACTAACTTCGGTTCAGCAGTCTTTTATTGAGCACCTATTGTCTGCCAGACAGTGTGCTAGATGTTGGCTTTGCAAAGATAAACAAAGGCATCTGGTCATTTCATGGAAAAAACACATAACGACTTGTCCTGAAAGAACTGAGAAGTAATAAAGAATCAATGTGTACATGAGAGACTAGAAGTGAGAAAAGACATGAGAAAGCAGCAGATTAATGCTGGTATGATCTGTGGATATCAAGAAAGTAAGGCAACAGTGGAAAACATAAAAGAGCTTGTGGGAGAGTGAATCTGAGGTAAGAGGTCTCTGTACCCCGGATATATTAGCGCTTAATGCAGAGGGCACGCAAGTCATAGGCCAGCACTTCTAGTCTGCAGAACTGCTATTGAGAGCTCAAAAAAAAAAAAAAAAGTTAGTGTCTGGAATTCTTCATTTTTTCATATCTGTTCTTATGAAAACATTTTATCGTACTTAAAGGTAAATATTAAGGGGAAGTTGGAAAGTTAACAGAAAAGTTATTATATGTTGAAGAAAATTATGGATTTTTAGATATAGAAGTGAGTCTTCTGCTGAACAGATTTACAAGTTGAGGAAAAGGTGAAAGATACCTAGTAGATTTGATGCAAATGTGGAGAAACCTGTGGTTCAAATACAGTCCTTCAAATGGCATTGTTGAATCAATTAGCATTTCTGATAGCAGCAAAAAGGAAAATGACTTTCTATAGGTCAAAAGTGGCTCTACTGTCATATTTTTCCAAACTGTTTTTATATTATCATCCTCATATTTTTCCAGACTGTTTTTTATCATATGCTTTGGGTTTTGCAGAGGGTGGTAGCACACACTTGTAATCTCAGCCAACTCAGGAGGCTAAGGTAGGAAGATCACTTGAGCTAAGGAGTTGGAGACTAGCCTGGGCAGTATAACGAGACCTGATCTCAAAAAAAAAAAAAAAAAAAAAACAAGAAAAAAAAGGTTTTTGAGTATGTGCTTCCTGATATAATTTTAAAATAAATAGCTGTATATAAGTAGTGTGTATGGATACATATATAACATATATAAACACATTCAAACTATTGTACTAATGTTACATGTTTTTAAAATACCCGCAAAAATACGGCTGGGTGCATTGGCTCACGCCTGTAATCCCAGCACTTTGGGAGGCTGAGGGGAGAGGATCACTTGAATTCAGGCATTTGAGACCACCCTGGCCAACTTGCTGAAACCTCGTCTCTACTAAAAATACAAAAATTAGCCGGGCGTGGTGGCACGCGCCTGTAATCCCAGCTACTTGGGAGGCTGAGGCAGAAGAATCACTTGAACCCAGGAGGCGGAGTTTGCAGTGAGCCGAGATCGTGCCCCTGCCCTCTGGCCTGGGCAAAAGAGCGAGACTATCTCAAAAAAAGAAAAAAAAATACCCACAAAAATATAGATTAAAAAAATGAGATAAAATTAAATGTAAATGTAAATTCTAATATTTTCTCAAAATTTCAAGTGGATTAGATTATACATCCTTTTTGGGTGTCGGCAACCCAAATTTGGAGACCACTGTGCTAATGAATTGTAAAGCAATGTCATATTATAAGTCACACAGATTTCATTCCATTTTCATAAGAACAGACAATTGTGAGAATTTCTCAAGAAAGCAAGTTCTAGAGACACTTGCTAATGTTAATATTTGTTCTTCTCTAATTTTCATGGCCACTGTTTGCAGGTTTCTTCATCATATAGCACATTAGTTGCTGACCTTTTAATGATGTCCACTGTGCATTTTATGATTAAAATTAGTTCTGATACTTGTGATACCTGTAAGAAGTGGTAATATAAGAATAGAACAAGGCTAGGCGCGGTGGCTCATGCCTGCAGTCCCAGCACTTCGGGAGGCCGAGGTGGGTGAATCTCCTGAGGTCAGGAGTTTGAGACCAGCCTGACCAACATGGAGAAACCCTGTCTCTACACAAAATACAAAATTAGATGGGCATATTGGCACATGCCTGCAATCCCAGCTACTCAGGAGGCTGAGGCAGGAGAATCACTTGAACCCGGGAGGTGGAGGTTGTAGTGAGCCGAGATCGCGCCATTGAACTACAGCCTGGGCAATAAGAGCGAAACTCCATCTCAAAAAAAAAAAAAAAAAAAAAAAGAACAAAGTTCACTTATTTATACTAGTTTAGGGAAAAAAAGCAGAGAATGAGTGAGGCAGAAAGTGTAGATATCATTTTGATAAGGGAAGACATGATTAAACTTTTTAAAATATCTTTTCCTATAAATTTGCCACTATGTCTTTATATTTTAGCTGCAAATTCTATTTTAAAATTTAATTTATATCTGGATTGTGGATGTCTGTTGATCTGAAGAGACCCAGGAAGTAATGATTTTGGACGCCATTGATTAGGAATCTGGAAGAAAGATTCTTATGTAGGTGGAAGTCATCTTATAGGGTATGTGTAAGGTATTTTGGTCTTCAGCAACTCACCAAAGCGTGCTGAGCATTACATACTTGTTTGTCATTTTGGTTACCTCTTCTTTGTTTACGTATATGTAACTATAGTTTAAATTATTCAAAATGAGATAGGCACTCTATACATCTTTTAGAAGCAAGATATTAAATAGAAAAAGGTTAGGGCCACCCTAATACTTCTCATTTAGCTTACAGAGTGAGAAAGGAGGGAAAGAAGTAGATGAAAATGGAGTTGGTGTAGTTCCAAGAAATTGCTCTAAGGAGTAAATAAATTGATGCTCCCTTGACAAGCAGTATTAACTTAACATGAAAACTTGTTAGAAATGCAAATTCTTGAGCCCCACCCCAACCCTACTGAATCAGCAGCTTGGGGATGGGACCTAGCAATCCGTTTTAACAAATCCTCTGGGTGATTCTGATGAAGTTTGAGAACCACTAGACTTTCAGGACTCTGATAGTAGCCAGAAGCTCTTTATCTTGACCTTTTATGAGTAGACAGTATAGTTACAAATCTTACTTTTTTTATGATTAGGTCTTTGAAAATATGGTTCATGACTTACTCTTTGTACCTTGATAAATCTTAAAGTTTTGCATTATATTTTTACAGTTCTTTTAATCTCAGGCACAATATTTATAAATATAAATACTACTGTGATGCTCTTGCAAGATACCTTGTTTTCTGCTCCTGTATTTTGTGACTTTACTTTTGCCAAGTTCAACCTTAAAAATTTCTTTGTATGTTTTATAGGAAGTCATTGACATTCAGTTACTATAAAGCAGGGTTGTATTTGTCTTTTTTATGTGGGGGAGGATCTTTTGGTTTTTAAAGTAAGATGGTTCTGTAACCTAGATGGTTAAGAATCATTGTGCAAGTTATTGAGACAGATTTTAAGAAAACATCTGATGATTTTATATTAGAATATTTCTTACTTAAATTGTGAAACTTCTACCTGGTCCCAGCATTTATTTAGTTTAGTACTTATGTCCTTATGTCCTGACAATTATAGTAACCTATTTACTGGAGTTTCTTCTCTGTCTCTTGCTTTTCCAGTTCATTTACCAACTGCTGTTGAGTTATCTTTTTGTTTATGACATTTGATAAGAGCTGATCCTCCCAGAGCATTTGTGGTCATGTATCTGCTTGTCCCTCAAAGCAACCACAATAGAAAACAGCTTTCTCTTATTCTACTGTTTCTTATCATCCAGACTATCTAATCTCTATGCTTGAGTTCTGATTTATTATTGGGGGTTCCCTCTTGCTGAGGCTGTCTTAGTCATAGGCCATTTGAGAAACACCATTGGTTGTATATAGTTCAGTTATATACAGATTAAATAGGATTTTGTGAACTAGGAAGTTAAACACCATAACATAGTTTCTGTGGAAAGATATGCTTCACTTAGTGGATACATACTCTTAAATGCAACCTACTTATAAACTGAGAATAACTGACTGTAGTATGAGATCTGTGTATGAAGAACCAAAAACTTCTGAAATCATTTCATAGTATGGAGCATCGAAACATTCAACCCAGTGCCTTTTGCCTTTTTTGTTTGAGACAGCATGTCGCTCTGTCACCCAGGCTGGAGTTCAGTGGCGTGAACATGACTCACCACAGCCTTGACCTCCTGGACTCCAGGCATCCTCCCACCTCAGCCTTCCAAGTAGCTGGGATACAGTCATGAGCCACCATGCCTGGCTAATTTTTATATTTTTTGTAGAGATGGGGTTCCAGCGTGTTGCCAGGCTGGTCTGGAACTTCTGGGCTCAAGCGATTTACCTGCCTCAACCTCTCAAAGTGTTAGAATTACAGGCATGAGCCACTGTGCCTGGTGCCTTTTGCTTTTTTCTGGGAGTTGCCACAACCCCTGCTTCAACTAATGACTGTTTTAGCCCCTTTCCCAAATTATTTTTGCTTTCATTAGTCAGACCATATGGTAATTATGTATTTTTTATTAAAAATTATTTCTAATTTCTGTTTCATTAATTTTTAGTTTACTGCAACAAGAATTTCCTATTAAACATTGTTACAGACCGGAAGGGGGCAGAGCAGTGGGAGTAGGGTTGTGAATTAGGACAGGACAGTGTGTCTGCACTTCCCTTTTTCAGTTCCAGCCTGATGGTACTGCCAGTGCTGCCATCTCCCCACTCCTTCCCTCAGCCTTTTCAGCATCACAGCACAGCATTGCATTGATCTAATATACTTTTTTGCGAGTTTAGGACACTTCACATAGTATCTCACCTTAAAGATGTTTTGATGAGTACAGACCTGTTTATTCCCATTTCACAAATGAATTGAATTGTGCCTTTACTGTAACATTAACATTATTAGCCTTGTATTATTATTATTATAGATAGGATGGCCATATAATTTATTATCCCAACTGGCATTTTTTCTGAGTGAAAGAGAGTGTTATTAATAATTACATCCAGACAAAGGGTGTAAACGAGGACTGTCCTAAGCAAATGGGCCATATAATCACCTTCGCCATATGGCTTATCAGCCTGCTTCAGTTGTACTTACCTTTATCTTTGTCTTGCTCCCTCACTAAGTTGTTATTAAATTGATCTAAGTTTTGTGCCAAGATTTCTGCTACTGCTAAACACTGGCTCTACCTCAGTTTGGTTTATCAGTCTGAGTCTTTTTGTATTGTATAGCTTGTTTTCTACTAACATGACGGAAACACTCAGCAACTTTCCATTCCTTTTTCTTTTTTGCAGATAAGTGATTTTTTGTCTTTTTTTCCTCTGGAAATAAATTTAAATAGCTTAATAATTTAAATAGCTTAAATTTAAATAGCTTTTAAAATTTTTAAATAAATTTTAAAAGAAAAATAGCTTTTTCTTATATTAAAATAATGTTGACTCTTTCATTGACTTTTAGAATTTTTTTTTCAGTAGCACATTTCTTGGTTTTCCCAAATTTTCTTTTTTTTTTTAAAACAAAAAAATGTCCCCAGCTTTATTGAGGTATATTTAACAAATAAAGATTGTGTATATGTAAGGTATATGATATGGTGATTTGATATCTTTATACATTGTGAAATGATTATTATCGCAGTCTTATCACCTCACATGTCAAAGGGTACAAACTTTCAGTTATAAGATGAAAAACTCTGGGGATCTAATGTGTAGCTAGTTACTATAGTTAATAATACTGTATCATATATTTGAACTTTGCTAGGAGAGTAGATCTTTTGTGTTTTTACCACAAAAACAAAGGTAACCAAGTTTTCATAACTGAAGAATTTTATATAATAGTCTTAAGTTTTCCTATGAACCTATCCAGCATTTAGCCTGCAGGAAGTTCTCCAAGCACTGACTGCTGCAGTCACTGATCACATAGTCTCAGGAGAGAGTTCTGCTCTAGAAAGCTGTTTGGATTGTCGTAAGGTAAAGTGCTAAGCTATATCAGGGAGGTGTAAGGTAAATAGTTCTTATCCTCAGATAACCTCACATTTAATGCTGTCTCACGTTATCTTCAGCAGTACTTTTTTGAGATGGACAGAAGTGTTCTCTCTTATAGATAAGGAGACAGAGGCTTAAGAGAGATTAAGTTATTTAAGTTACATAGTGTGTGTAAGGAGCACTAGGATTAGAGTCCAACTGTTCCAACTACTGTTCATTCTTCATAACATGTTTAGGCATAATTTCCAGTTTGTTTTTTTTTAAATTTTAAAATTTTTAACTTGTATTCAGTTTTGAGCCGTGGAAGCTGAAAGAGGCTCTCTGCATACATTCTTGAACTGGGTTTCTGTTAATATTGGATGGTCTGTTAATGTTAATATTGGAAACTTCTGGGTATTTAGTTCATTTACTAGGACCTCATACCCTGCTTGTTCCCTGTATTTTGGTTTGAATCTTACCATACTGAGTAAATTAGCACTCTAGGGGCTTGCTTTAGTACTTTTTCCCTGTCCTGCCCCTACATCTTGGCATGTGCTTCCTATCATCTAAACTCGTGAGAACTATTCCTATTTGACACGGTCCATCTTAAGGACTCTACCAAGAGTTATCTTGAGTCTTATCTTGAGCTTGGCTGGAGGATTCACCTTGCCTCTTTCCCCTGCTTACTAAATCTGTATTAGACTTTCTATCTTGGCCTTTCTGGGTCTGGCCTGATATTGTTCTTGACTTAGCATTGGTACTACCAAATATTGATGACATGCTTTGTACCACCCCACTGGCCTTTTAATAATCTTACTGGATCTAAAGGGCTGAATCGGATAAAGATAACTTTTTAAAATTAAAGAATATTTTGCCGGGATCCTGAAAATGTTACAAACAATTGATAATGAATATTTAAGAGCCTTTTACTTTAATTGTCAGTCCTTGCTAACTGACCTTTATTATTTTTTAATATCATACAAGTACCTGAAATGTCTTTTAAGTGTTAATTGGGGATGTTTGAAAATTTTTATGCGTGGTTTTTGTTTTGTTCTCATTTTCCCTTTGTTTTCTTTTCTTTGGCCTCCTGAAGGGCTTGGCAAACAGGTCTAAGGGCATTGTTGACCACTTGGTTAAAAACAAAACACATGTAAGATTTTGAAGTTCTCGTTTATATATTTAGCACTGTACTAAATATGGGGCAGATTGAAAAACTGAATATAGGCCCCATGAGTTAACTGTCTAGTAGGGCATATAATGTCATGTATGTATATACCACAAGGCATGTTACGGCAAACGATGTCCTAGTAATACACATGAATCGTGGCATGCTCTTGTGATGCACATCTGTTAGGGGAGCATCAAACAAAGCTCTGCGTAGAGTCGTTAAGACGAACTTTGTGAAATGGGAATAGTTTTCATGGGTTTAGATGATAGGAAGCACATGCCGTGATGTAGGTGCAGAACAGGGAAGTACTAAAGCAAGCCCCTTGAGTGCTGGTTTACTCAGTAGCAAATCATGCGGTCTGACTGGAGTCTTAATGTTGTTGAGGATAGGATTGAAAAGAACCTGCTTGGTTTTCCTTCTTCCTGCTCTTGCCTTTCCTCCACCATAAGTGTGTATGTTTTCGGTAAGATTTTTATCTTTGGGCCTCTTTCTTTCACTTCCTAGGACATTTTATTCAGGCCCATGGTTTTAATGATCACTTCTGCAAATATTCAGTTCTTTCTTCTGTCCACAATTTCATTCTCATGTTTGGCCTGTGCAGATCTCCAACTCAGTGTCCTAAGTGCTAATGAAATACATTGCTTTCTGTCTGTGCTTTTCTTTTTAGAAAGTCTCATGCTGGACCCATCACTGCCTTCCTTAAAAACACTGATTCTTATTTCTCTTTAAATGTGGTGTTGTTTTTATTAGTGGTATCACTGTTTTACCTACAACGGAGGCTTAGTGCTCCAGCCTTATCTTTGTTTGCTGCTTTGTCTGCCTCTCTGAGTTGAGTTTTATTATTATTATTTGATTTCTAACTAGTCTTGCCATTGCTTATCTTTTCCTTTTTGTAAATCCATTTTGACAATTATTACTTAGTTTAAACATTTTAGAACATAATATTTTGCTATTCTCTCCCCTACTCAAAAATTTATATTAGAGCCCCATAGTCCAGTGGTCTCAAATTTTAGTATGCATTAAAATTGCCAGGAAGACTTGTTAAAACACAGATGGCTGGGCCCACCCTCAGAGTTTGTGATTCTGTAGGTCTGGGATGAGACCCAAGAATTTGCATTTCTAATAGATTCCCAGGCAGTGCTGATACTGCTGGTCCAGGGACCATGCTCTGAGAACTGCTGCCATAGTCTTCCAAATATGGTTTGGGCTTCTTAGTTTGACATTCATGATCTTTTACAGTCTGGTCATATTCTGCCTTTGTAGCCATGATCACTTACTGTGAAGCTTCTTTGTGTGCTCTTTACTTTAACCAAAGTGACCTACTGACAGACAGCTTTTTGTACACATCCTGTATTCTCATGAGTATACAGGCATTTCCCTTAGGATTTCGTTCAGTCTCTTGTTTCATCTTGCTTGTCAAACCATCTTTTAAGATTAATTTAAAGATTTAGTTCAAGTGGAATCTTTTCTCTGTTTCTTGTTTTTTGTATTTTCTTCTATCATCCTTCTTCCAAGCCAAAGTAATCTCTTGCATTGCACTATTCCTTTATGGTATTTGTTGGTTTGTAGTTTAGCTTGACCCGTATTTCCATTTTCCATCCCTTATCCAGTTCACTCTTTGTGTTTTACCTGTCCAACATTAGTTACAGAGCATATGTTTGGTGATGGGGGAAATGAAATTTTCTGTAGATTATAAGCAGAAGGCCTAATAAGCCAGTATTCCCTGAATATTGATAGAGGATTTTCATGTTCAAAGAAATGGGTTATAGTTATTACCCTGAATCTCACTGATGGCAGCGAGATTTAAATTCTTACTTTCTCCCCTTAAAAAAGGACATTTAAAAATTATACTATGTAGCAAATTAATGGGATCTCCTAATTATTGGCTTTCTTAAAGATCCTAAGAGATGAGCAGTACCTTTTAAAGGTAAGTATCTTTTTAATGAATAAAATTGTGCCTATATAACATAATGAATTCCTTCAAATTCTTAATGGCTTAAAGTTTTTTGAGTTATATTTTATATACAATTCAATGTAGAGATTTTAGGTGTATAGTTTGATGAATTTTGAAAACTACACACTCAATTGTATTAATTGAGATTTGATTCTCAAATTTTAAAACTTTCACTTTCTTTTGTAGAAGACAATGAAGAGAAATCTTTGTATTACTGTAAAACCTGTTGTGTATTGTTTGGTCACTAATTTAAAAATAAATTCCATTGCTAGTTTATTTCCCATACTTGGTGATATGTTTAAAATCTTATCCCAGCAATCTAACAACTAACTGTAGATGTTACGATTGGGGTTGGGAAGTTTTTTTCTCTCACTGTCTGTGTCAGATAACCACTGGGGGCTCACCATCTGCATTTGTGTCCATAAGCTTTATCTTCTCTCCTACTACTGTGGATTCACTGTCTGTGTTCTTGCAAAGTGAATTTCTTTACCTGTGTACTTGATCTCATCCCCTATCCCTACTCTAAGGCAGTCCTTTTGCAATTTTTCTCTCCTCAGCAACCATATTTTCCCTTTTCTACTGTAATTTGCTCATGTGTTCAAACCTGGCATTATTTTTCTTACCTTTACACACAACAGAAGAACTTCTTGACTCTCCTTCTCCCTTTGGTTATTGCCTCATTCTTCCCTCCTTTGATTAGAAAACAAAAACTCTCAAAAGGACTTCTGTACTGTTTCTCTCCTCTTGTTTTTTCTTGAGCTCACTTAGGCTTTTGACTTCATTACACCACCAAAATTATTCTTATTGTGCTTATTAGTGATGTCCATGTGGCTATGCAGTGTTCAGTTCTCAGTCTTCATATCACTCACTAGTGTCATGATATGGTTTAATATATTTTCCTTTTTAAAGCAATTTTTTAAAAAACTTGATCTTAGAGAAACCATGCCATCCTTATTTTATTTCTACTATATTGGTTGCTGCTTTTCAGTTTTTTTGCTGGTTTCCCCTTTATCTCCTTGGACTACACGTATTAGTCTGTACATTGCTTTGCTTATTTTTACTGACCCTCTTGGTTATCTTACCTAATTTCAAGGCTTTTACATACCCTGTAACCGAGTCCTGAGCTCTGGCTTCATATATCCAACTGCATCAACATCTCTACTTAGATATCTATTAGTCATCTTAAATTTAAGGTTTAAAATTGAGTCCTGATTTCTTGCTTGACTCAAATCTCTTCTCTCTTGTCTTTGTTTTTTACAATGGAGTTGCTGTTTAAACAGCTGCATTATAACAATCTTTGAGTGGGCCCAAAAATTTGGCATCATCCTTGATGTTTTGTGATCTCATCTGCCATTGTTGATCGTTGCTGGGATTCATTAATTTATTAATGGTTGAAAAAATGCCAGTATTTTAATTCTATCCTTTTTTTTCATTAATTGGAATACTCTTTAAAGAAACATTTTAACACATCAATTATTTGGTTTCCTGTTTGTATAGGAAAGGCAAGAAAAATGATTGATTGAATCCCCTTATTTACACATATTCAAAATAATTAGGTAGTTTCCAAGGATCCTCTAAAGGCAATGAGAGGCAGGCTTGTGTGTATGTTTAGTATCATGAACTCATGATTTTAAATGAGCTTCAGGCTATGTTATCTTTTTTGTTGTTGTTTAAATTGCCCCAGTTTTGGCCAGTGGAAACTTACTTAGGCTCGCACCTGGATCCTTTAGGCACAACCTCGCCTTTGATAGGTTTCTTGCTTTCCGCAGTGACAAAATGTTCCATGTCCAGCTTGTACATTTCTGGCCCCAGAGTTCTGCTTTCTTCAGCTGTTTCTTCAAGGAGCTTTAATTTTGTTTAGTCAGAAACAGTATCTGATAGACCCCAATCCAAGTGCTAGCAGCGCTCCGTTAGTCATTGTTTCTATGTCTTCTCAGTGGATGGGGCTAAGAAATATTTTGTTGTTACTTTTTTTTCAAAGATAATATACACTATGAATTCAGTCTGATATTTATGATTCAGATTTAGTACTACAGGGTTTTAATTTAACTTTATTGGTCTTACCCCTGTATTTTCCTGTAGTCACACTGAAAATTTTGATTCTTAACAATACCAGCATAACTAGTCAGGATAAGAATACTAATGTTAAAACCAGTGGTGTAATTACCAAAAACAGTTTAATTATCTTGGAGTTCTTTTTTTTGTTTATAGACATATCCCTCTAGGCAAATATGATTAAAATCAGTGAGGATAGTTCCTAACTGTATGGTTATACCACTATCTAGATAATGTGGTTAGGTTGAATTGTTTTATTTTACTTGTGATTTTTAAGGATTACCTTTTAAAATTAATTTTGTTTTTATAATTATTGTTTTATACAAATATATACATGGTTCCACAGTCTAATCTAGGAAACAAAGTATATGCAAAAAGTATCACTTCTGTCTTTGTCTCATATACCGTATTTTCTCCATCCCTTTAAAGATAACCTTTCCCCCTCTTATTTTATGGTTTACTTGTTCTTTAATTTTTAAAATACAAGCAAAATATTTAAGTATTTTTATTCCCTATTTCCTTAGCAGATTAACCTTACTTGCTTCGAGTAACAATATACTTTTGATTTGACTTGTTTTCTTAGTTTCTGGGTCTCACATGCTAGGAAGTATGCTCTCTGAGGGTAGGGATTTTTGTTTCTTTTGTCTTGCTCTATTCCCACCATTGGTCCATAATAGATACTCAGTAAATATTTTTGTAAATAATTGCATTGTGCATTCATGGTGTTTTATCTCAATGCAAATTAAAATTTGTTAAAATAGAAGCCATTACTAAATACTCCAATTAAGAGTGACAAGATACCAAGGAGCTCACACTAGTATTGTAAAAGTTTATTTTTTTCTATTGTGTAATAATCTTTTCTAGTAACTTGTGAGAAGCTTCTCACACAAAGTTACAAAATGTTGTTTGTCAATTAACAATAAATGAATATCTGTTTTTCTCGTCAATCACGTGAATAGTATTTTCCCCAACACTATCTGTTAACTCTATGCGTATGTATTCTTATGTACATGGATTTGTGAAGGTGGTTCAATAAAGATTTTCAAATCTAATAGTGCATGGTGAATGTTTAAATGAATAAAGTGTATGTTGTGGGAATAGAGAGTATTTGGGAACTTTTTTGTTTGTAACTTTTAAGTTCAGGAGTACATGTGCAGGATGTGCAGATTTGTTACATCATTAAATGTGTGTCATGGGGGTTTGTTGTACAGATTATTTCATCACCCAGGTATTAAGCCTAGTATCCACTAGTTACTTTTCCTGATCCTCTCCCTCTTTTTACCCCCCACCCTCTGGGAGTCTCCAGTGTGTGTTGTTCCCCTCCATGTGTCCATGTGTTCTCATCATTTAGCTCCCACTTACAAATGAGAACATGCAGTATTTGGTTTTCTGTTCCTGTGTTAGTTTGCTAAGGATAGTGGCCTCCAGTTTCATTTGTGTCCCTGCAAAAGACATGATCTTGTTCTTTTTATGGCTGTGTAGTATTCCATGGTGTAAATGTACTGCATTTTCTTTATCCAGTCTGTCATTGATGGGCGTTTAGGTTGATTCCATGTCTTTACTATTGTGAATTGTACTGCAGTGAACATACATATGCATGTGTCTTTATAATGATAGATATGATTTATATTCCTTTGGGTGTATACCCAGTAATGAGATACACTAGTTTGAATGGTATTTCTGCCTCTAGGTCTTTGAGGAATGGCCACACTGTCTTCCACAATGGTTGAACTAATTTACACTCCCACCAACAGTGTAAAAGTGTTCCTTTTTCTCTACAACCTCTCCAGCATCTGTTATTTTTTGACTTTTAATAATAGCCATTCTGACTGGTGTGCAGTGGTATCTCATTGTGGTTTTGATTTGCATTTCTCTTATGATCAGTGATGTTGAGCTTTTTTCATATGCTTGTTGGCTGTATGTATGTCGTATTTTGAGAAGTGTCTGTTCATGTCCTTTGCCCACTTTTTAATGGGGTTTTTTTTTCTCATAAATTTAAGTTGTATTTGGGAACTTTTCGTACTTTTCACTCAGTGTTGCTGTGAACTTAACAAGCCTGTGAACCTAAAACTGCTCTAGAAAATAAAGTCTCGGAATCCATGGCATGTTTACAACATTATAGTGATGTCAGTTAGATTTGTGCTATGTGTCTTATATGTAAAATTGTTGCATTTGTATATGATGTCATTAATGTTAGTTGGACATGCAAAAATCATTATTTTTCTTCTATTAGTATTAAAGTGAAAAAAGTAAATGGAATATCCCAGAAACAGAACTGTGTATGTTTATGGTTAAGTTGAACCATAGGCAAACATTGATGTCCTACCATGTTTCAGTTGTATAAAGATAGTGTTGCAGATTATTGGGAATATTAAAGTTATTTCAATAAGTAATGCTTGAGTAATGAGTTAAGATTTAGAGAATGAAACTCAATTCTGACCTTTCACCTTATATCAAAAATAAACCAGATATATTAAAAAATTGACAAATGTGAAACTATACCAAAATTAGAAGAAAATATAGGTGATTACTTAACAGAACTTATTGGAACCTGTGATAAGAACCTGTCCGTTCCCTTAATGTAGTCTGATCAAACCTGATTCTTTAAGATTAGTAATGGAGGAAGAATCTGATGAGTGGAACTGCTCAAGTCATAGCTTTGACTCTTACTTCCAGATATCTTTCTTCTCTGTGTGAGGGGCCTCACTATTTGCTGCTGTAGTCACCTGACTAGTTTGTGTGTGTGTGTGCGCACGCATGCGTGCACACATGTATGTCCACATGCTCCTGTATGCTTGCACTTCTGTGCACTCTTTTTTTCTGACTTTCCGATGGCATATCCCTTTCCTTTTGCTTCCTACAAAGCTGAAACAAATTTTGAATGGCTTTATATCCCTTAATCTTTAGAAAAAGGATGCATAGACATAAAAATATGCAGTTGGATAATCTGGTTTATTACATCAGTTTACCAGTTTGGTTTTGTGGTTTCTTATAATTCGCGGTCTCTTGTGTTATTTCCCTGTGTCAAAAACCATCTTTGCTTACTACTGGTCATTAAATGATTCCAGACCCTGTATACTAGACCTAAGATATGGGGACTAGCAAGCTAGAGTTTTATTTGACTATATTTTAGGATGATTTTGGCTGCAAGTAATAGAATACCTGAATTCAAGTGGCTTGAACAATAGGAGTTTAATATTTGAAAATGCATTATCATAAGTGAGGAGCTAAATGGTTTTAAGGTTAGTACAGAGGCTCAGTGATGTGTAGGTCTCTGCGTTAGCTTTTCTTTCATTGGCTTTCTACTCATGGTTGGACATGGCTGCAGTAGCTCCAAGTGTTGTATTCTCCCATGATAACATCAGAACTTAGGAGGTTGGAGGGATGCTGTTCTTCTTTCATCTCTGTCTCTCTTTCTCTGTTTTATTAGAGAGAACACTGACAGATTCCCATATTAAAATAAGTATGGAATAAACATTTTACATACGAAATACAAATAGTTAATAAAAGTTTGAGAATTTATAATCTTAAAATTATAATAAATTCATATCGAAACGTATTACATTTTATTTTTCAAATGGTACAAATATATATATAAAATGATAAAGCTTGTGAAAATGTCTTGATTCAGGTACTCATAATACCAGTGTGGGTGGGGAGTGGGGGAAATTGGCCGGGCCAGGGCTCTCTTTGCAGATTATCTGCAGTCAGAAGTGTGGGACTTGGAGGAGGGGGCTGAGGCCACAGCCGCATCTTGATCAGGCTTTCTCCAGCCCTCCATCAGCCTCACCAGATCTCCATTCTTTGCCACGAGGGCCAACACGTGAGACCCCATCTTCCTGCTCGCCAGCCCTAGACCTGTTGGAGCATAAAGCGCTTCCTCCCCAGGTCTGAGTGTGTGGGGCTCTGCTTTGGCACTGCCCCACGGAAGCCACGGCCTCTTCATTCTGTTTCTGTTGTTTTGTTTTTAACAACTGTACTTTGCACACATGAAAAAAAAATAATAAAAGTTGTTCCAGAGGCAACTTGACTCTGTGTATCAAAAGCCTTATAATCGTATGTCTATCTTTTTCTAAGAACCTATCCAAAGGAAATCATCAGAAGTTGGCAAAAATATATATACAGGGATCTTTCTTTATAATCAGGAAAATTTTTACATGCTGTAAACATTCCATAATAGGGATATTGCAGGTGAAAATTCCATTCTAATTTACAAAAGCAAAAAGGAAATGTATTGGGTCATATAGCTGAACAATCTAGAATTGTTCAGGTATGATTGGATTCTTGTGCTCGAACACCTGTCATCAGAACTCTGCCACTCTCTCTCAGCTTTGCTTTCTTTGCTGGCCGTATTATTCTCAGGTTCATTCTCCCTGTATATCTCTCAACAGCTCTAGGTCAAATCCTGCTAGTTTTCTGTGGCCACAGCAGAGAGAGCTTATTTTTTCCAGGTGTTCCAACGAAAGTGCTGAGTGGGATTCATATTGGTTCTAATAGTTCTGACATGGTCATATGCCTACCTCCAGCCCCTCCCTGTGGAATAGGGATAGTCTTATTGGCTAGGCTTCCTCAATTCAAACATGCATCTCCACAGAGGGGACGAACTGGCAGACCGTGACATGTTTGCAAAAAGAAGTAGTGTTCAAAATGATGGCCTTGTATTTGATCAGGCACAGTGGCGTACGCCTGAAATCCTAGTATTTCGGGAGGCAAGTTGGAAGGATTGCTTGAGCCCAGGAGTTCGAGACCAGCCTAGGCAACATAGTGAGACATTGTCTCTATAAAAAGAAAATCTTAACCCCTCCCCAAAACTTCATATGATAAGGCAGTTTATTTTAGAATGTTTTCCACTAAAATTGCTTAAAATTAGAATGTTTTGGTGCTAAAAGAGGCAGCCTTCAGTATTCTGGAAATGCCTTCATTTTCTGACATTGTGGGATAAATTATGTATTACTAATTCTTTAGTTTTTTTTTTTAAAGGAAATTGTAATTAATATTGCAGTGACCATTAGTAGTCTTGGGATTATTGGGTAACAAAGGGCTAGTGACTTCTCAGAAACCAAGTCTTTGGTTGTTAGAAGATTCTTGTTAGCTTCCTTGAGAAGTAAAAATGAGGAGAACTACAGAATAATGACTATTAAGTGGTGATGATAGGTAAGGCACACCCTAGTGAATTGACACAGTACATACAGTGTATTCATTTTGTTTCTTTGTAGAATATTATTTTTTCTTCAGTCTTAATCTTCCAATATCACTTTTTACGGACTTAGAATAGAATTGCTTTTCTTTTTGTTTAGATAGTCTCTTATTTTTCCTTATCCTATTACATAGTAAATCTTGACAAATTAATTTTGATACATTATATTTTGGGTTTTATTAATATTATCCATATTTATAGCCAGAGTTATTCTCTGAATGCTGAGTGCCACAAAGCTTTCTCATAATTATCAATGTCTGTATTCATTCAAAATATTTCTAAAAGTAGCAACTCCAGAATTTACTTTGGTATGATCTGTCTTATGGTCTAAATTATTGACCTTTATTTTATCTCACAGTCCTCTATGTATTTTAACATAGTTAAGTAGTAAAATTCTTTTATTGGTGACTAGATGAACTATATAACTCATCATTAAAATTATAAGTACTAATGTAAAGTTTCTTTTTCAATGAGAACTATGTGTGGTTTATTATATATATGTATAGTGAAATAAAGGCCCTATAGTGGTTATGAAATTGGTATCCAGCTTCTCTTTCCAAAGAAAGTGGTAATAACCTCTAATCAGTGTGCTTGAGGAACAGTTCTGATACAGTTTTAGGTCTGCTTCCTGTGTCTCACTCTGAAATGCCTCCATCTTACTTCAGGGTCTTTATGGTTGAATTTGCGTATGTGTGTGTATTAACTTAAGCAGGTGCTCACAGTTTAATGTGTAAATATTGTATTTCCTCCTTGGCTCCTCCTCTTATCTTCCTGATGGCCCATCCCATCCCCCATTCATTATCAGTGTTACTGCTTGTGATTTTTCTCCTGTAACATTCTTTATGTTCATAAAATCATATGCAAATATATACATAAGTTTTTACGTTTTTGCTTTATAAAAATATTAATCAAATTGAATACTTAAAATATTTTAATGAAGAATATTTCTAAATTGTATTTTATAAATACAATATAGCTTTCTTTTAAGTGCTTACAGGTACTCACTTAACGTGAAAGTAAGTGTAACACACGGTATTCTCAGTGATGGATACTAGAAATAATTACCTGGCCTTCCATATAACACATAATCTTATCTGCAATATATTTCCACTGTTAGTGCTCTACAACTTAATTAGAGCTCTAGTATCAAAAAGAACCAGTGACAGCTATTTCATGTTTTAAGCATTCAGACTAATTGTAGTCTTTATGTTTTTATGACACAAAACAGCTTTCAGTTGACTCTGTTGAAATTAAAAGCTTCTTCAATATATAATTTTTGTCTTATTGGTATTATCTTATGTACAAAAACTGCATACCTATGGTACAATCTACACACTCCTGTTTTAGATAGAAATTTTGATTCTCTCTTGAACCATAAATTCAGATTGGAAGAAGCATTATGGCTTGAATGTGTTCCCCAAAATTTATGTGTTGGAAGCTTAATCCACAATGTAACAGTGGTGGGTGGTGGGGCCTCATGGGAGGTGCTTAGACTATGAGGGGATTAGTGCCACAATAAAAAGGGCCTGTGGGAGTGGGTGCTCTTTTATGCCCTTTAGCCTTCTGCTATATTAGGATGTAGTAACAAGGCACTCACCAGATGATGCTGGTGCCTTGATTTGGACTTCCCAGCCTCCAGAACTGTGAGAAAAATAAACTTATGTTCTTTATAAATAATCACACAGTCTCAGTTATTCTGTTATAGCAGCACAAAATGGACTAAGACAAAGGTGTTTTTTGATAGAATGCCTCCTTTCATGTGACCCTATGACTCTGGGAATGCTGTGTTGTTCTTGGGAGTTAGCAAGCAGTGCCTTGGTGGACCCAAGTAACATTAGGCTAGAAGTTAAGAGAGAGTATGAAAATGTACATTAGAAGCTTTCATAGGTTTGTTGTTCTTTTTTTTTTAAATGTATCAGATCAGCCATCAAAGCTTCTAATCAGCATGAAACAAATTCCAGAGTGATCAAACTCAACTGATGTAATTTTATTAAATATCAGATAGCTATATTGTAAGCTTTTCTTTTTTATTAAGGGTAAACGGATATACCTGCTTTTACATTTTGCCCTGATGGTGTCATAATTTGTCAAATGTTTATTACTGGTGGGCAGTTTGGATAGTCATAAAATTTTTATTCATAATATTGCAATGAAAACTCTTGAACTTTTTATACAGTTATCTGAGCGTTACTATAGAATAAATTCTGAAAAGTAGAAATTCTTGGTTAAAGGTAATGAGCATTTAACATTTTAATTGATATTGCTAGAATTTTCCCCCTGCAAAGGTTACACTAGTTTGTACTCCCACAGATGTACGAATGTGCCATTTCCCACACAAAGTCCCGTCTTTTCAACTCAGGGAAACTGCGTGGCACTGTTGGGTTCCCTCTTCTTGCACCTTTTCCTAGAAATTCTCTCCAGGAACTCATTTAGGGCAGTCATACGGCACAGTTGTTTGTTTCTGGTCATCTCAGGGATCACTGTTCTTTGTGTTCAGTGCCTTGTGTTCATGCCTTGTGTTCAGTATCTTGAAAACTGTTGTTTGTATATTGTGTCTGTTTTTTAGTTGTTTTTTGAGGGCCTGTGAGTATGGTAAATCCGGTCCCTGTAACCTCATCTTTGCTGGTAATGCAAATTCTGACTTACTAAAGTTTAGCAAATAAAACACAGAAGGAGATTTTTTTCATTTGTTAAATCTGAAATGCTTACCTCTACTTAAAGTGAATATTAACATGAATATTAATGTTAATTCCAAATGACTTGCTATATATATTTTTGATGTAATGGTGATTGGATATAATGTTAACTTATGTGATTGTGTGAGTATTGATCATGTCTAAGTAATGGATGGCAAGAAACACTCAAGTGGGTATTTAGGTATGCAGAGTTCTGGCATCAGAGGCCAAAGCCTAATGGTAGATTTTGGCTGGATCATGGTGGGAGGCAAAAGGACTTCTTACATGGCGGCAGCAAGAGAAAATGAGGAAGATTCAAAAGCAGAAACCCCTGATAAGACCAAGACCATCAGATCTTGTGAGACTTACTACCACGAGAACAGTATGGGGGAAACTGCCCCCATGATTCAAATTATCTCCCACCGGGTCCCTCCCACAACAGGTGGGAATTATGGGAGTACAATTCAAGATGAGATTTGGGTGGGGACACATCCAAACCATATCAGAGGATGAGATCAAGGTTATTAAAACAAAGAATGTCTTAATAGTAACCTCTATCTCTATACAAATTACGGTGTCTTGGGTTGTGAGTTTCAGTTAAGATTTGGTATTGCTGTTGTTTGTAGATTTAATTCTTAGATCAGTGATTATCAGCTGGTGTTTGTAGTACCTCACACTGTCTTCATTCGTGTCCAAGAAATCATACAGAATATGTAAATCAAGGTAAAAATTCAGCTCATTATTTTGAAAAATAAATGATTTACAATAAAATAGTTGACATTGAGTGTCGACTATGTACCAAGCACTTTTTTTTTGCACTTCATGTGAAATAAAGAACTTAATCCTCATAACCCTTTGAAGGTGACCATTTTGCAGGGGAGAAAACTGAAGCACAGAGAGTCAAGTAACTTACTACAGTCATAAAACAAGTAGGAGATTTGAGATATCTGTGTAGTCTAGACCAATTCTGTGCTCTCAAACACTGTGCTATCTGTTTGATAGAACAGTTTTAAGATGAAGAGAGAAACATGGGCAGTTCATGCTTTATTAACATGTTATCACATCTAAGAGTTTAGGATCCATGCATTTATACAGAACATCCAGGTGAGCATGGTGGTGAAGAACTTAGACTTTAGAATTCTTTAAAACTTACTTCCAGAATTGGGTCTCCTTTTAAATAGCTATATGAAATAGAATACATTACTGACTCTCTCTTAGCCTTAGTTTTTTCATCTTTAAAAGTGGGAATAATAGTAGTACTTTTCTTGTGGATTTTTTCCTCTGAGACATTATACTAAGCTATTTTAGTAGTATTTTCAAGACCTTGCAATTGTTTATGAAGAACCCATCTGTTTTACTGACTCACATATCAGACCTTGGACATTGTGTTGTTTTGATGACAGGTGTCGTTTGGGAAAGTCTCTGCTTACATTGTCAGTAAAGAAACTGTGGTGGTTTTCCGCTCCATCCCTGTTATGTATTTTGTTTCAGGATATCTGAAATGGGTGTATTGGGAAACCTTACATAAATGTCTGATATTCCCCAAAACATGTATTAAACCTTCCAATATAATCAGAGTGATGCTCATTTATTCATGTTTTAAACTTTGACATTGATTCAACATGGACATATAAAAACCACTCAAAATATTTTGTCTAACACTTTTGCATATACTATGTATGCCTTTTAATTTAATCTTTGTAACCTTATGTAGTAGACAATTTTATTTTCCTCATTCTACAGAAGAGAAAAATGGGGCTAATGAGCACTTAAATGCTTGCAAATGTCTTATAGTAAGTAGTGGAGTCAGGTTTTGAGTATATGTCAGACTTGAGTCTGCATGCCTATGATGATAAATCACCTCTCCTGAGTATTGACGTCTTAAAATTATGTATCTAAAAATAGAAGGGGAAACAGACTTATGGAAATCAGGATAAAAATTGTGCAAAACAGGCCTCCCGAGGAACTAAAAGTAGAAAGTCACCAAGAATGGAGGCTGTTCCTGGTGCTATGTCTTTCCCTGTGGTCACCTCTGTTCTCTTTCATTATTTTCTCTTTCTGCATATTTATTGGCTTCCTCTGTTTGCCTTACCACCTAGACTGTCTCGACTACTCATAAAATGGTACATTCAACATCAGTGTGTTTATCACCCTAAAAGTCCAGAGCCATGGCCAAGTGGTCCAGTTTTTCATGATCTCAGTTATAATTTACTGTGAGAAGAATCCTGCCATCCTGGCACAGGCTCAGGGTTGTTCTCCTCTAGGTGAGGTGTCTGTCAGTCCTTTGATCAGATAGCTGTGGTTATGGATGATAGATTGAGAGGGGGTGACTAGACACACACAGGGATCTACACTAATGTTGGTGAGTATTTGTCTGGGAAAAGGGTATGGCCTGAATACAGCCCCAGAATGTGTCTATAATAACATATATCAGATTTTATTAAAGTGGTGTCATAAAAATAACAGCACAAATACAACATTTAAGTTACAGGTATGAGAAACTGAAATCAGTTTATTATATGAAAACTAACTTCCCCAAACTGGATATGTAAAGCATTAACTTTCAGTGGTACTAGAAGAGTTTATTTAAAAGAATCGTCTGAGCGAATCTTTTAAAAAGAATATTCAGTAGTCATTTATTTGCTGAGCACTCCCTTATGTACCTTGTCAATTTAGGATTCCCTATAGTAGGTTTGCATATAATTGGGTGTATTTACCAGGGAACTCTACATTATTTGCCGTACATTATTTGAAGACTCACTTCATTGAATTTCAGATCCTATTTTCAGATTTCTCAATTCATGAATTCCAAATAAGAAGTATTTGTCTTTTGACAAATGAATACAAAGAAGAAGTATTTGTCTTTTGTGTATGCATTTTCAGTTATTGGTGACTGTTTTAAAATTTCTGTAGTTACCCTACTTCATTGCTAAAATGAGGAGGGGTTTTTAATAAAGTTTTTGAAAAGTCTGAACAATCAGAATTATATGCTTTTTTCTTTAGGATACTGGGAAAAGGTTCCATAGAACCTGATGATTTTTAATGTGTTTGGTTCATTTAAACATTTTCTAAACAAAAATATTTCTAATTATACTGGTTTCTAGTCACATTCCGTGATCAGCATGTTGAAGATCTGTAAGATACAGAATATACTTTTATTTCATGTGGTTTGTTACGAGTTATTGTGATATCCTGGAGACATACTTCTGTTTTAAAACAGAAGTATTTTTAGATGGTAATTCCAGGGAAAATACAATTCATTGTGTTTATTCAATTTTCACCCAACTTTATTAGGAATTTTATTTCTTAGGAATTCTTTATTATTTTTTCTTAGAAATTTCTTAGAAATTAAATTCCTTAGAAATAAAATTTCTTAGAAATTTTATTTCTAAGAATTCTTAGGAATTCTTAGGAGTTCTTTTATACCATATGAGCTATAGGTATCTTCAAAAGTTTTAAAAAATTAAAAAAATCTTTTATTTTGTTAAGTATGTTTGGCATATATCCATAAGCTCATTCTGGCTTTTCTAAAATAGTTAAGTGGCTAGAATACCACATCTAGTCATGTGGAAATTTGCTTATTTTCTGTAATATATTGATCCTGAAATCACAGAACTGCACGTTTAGATTGTTTGAGTTCATGTAGTAAAGATAATTTTTTAGGACATTGTCTTTAATATATATTACGTAAATGAAACAGTTGCCATTTGTTCCAACTGATTGGACCATTTCCAAGGCAGATTTCCTCCCTGCTATGTCCATTATTATGATTTTCAGTCTAGAATTTCTTTCCAGCTCTTGGACTTTTTCCAAGATAGAGACAACTTCTGAGCATCTCTTTGGTAGTCTCTACTGAATTTTGAAGGTGTCAGTCAAGAAGAGTTGGATGACAGGAGGACTTGTAGCATTCAGGCAGGCCCCCTTAAATATAACTTAAGGCAGCATTTAGTAAAAAGGAGTAAGGCACTATTTAGAGCAGACAACAGATTACATAGATTTTTTTAGTTTAGTACTTTTCAAACTTTTGATGACGAAAGACCAGATGTTTAATTTCCAGTATATATGTACAGGGTGGACAAGGTGAGCATATTTATCATATGCTCGGCCCAGTTGCTGTGGAAGTGTTTTCTAATTGCCATAATGCTGACACTACTCTGCTGAATGACCACATGTTCAACAGTGTTGTTGATCCTAGAACATTGTTTCTTTATTTTGCTCCCAAGGTTGTTGAGCCTCAGAAAAGTTAAATGATTTGCTCAATATTATACAATTGTTAAAATTTTCTTTTTTAGTTTCAGTAGACAGCAACTCTACTCAGGCAGAATTTGGTGTTTTGTCTGAAGGTGATGTTCATTGCCAGTGTAAAAGTCAGAAAAATATGCCTCTGGCATTTGTAGCTGTGGGGGAATTTTCAGTTTCTGCATTGTGGACTTCTGAAATCTTTTATGTGATCTTATAGTTTTGGAACAATAGAAAAAAAAGATACCATATAAAATAACGAGACAAGAAAAATAAAAAATATTGAGGTAGAAAAAGCATAAACAATTTAAAAACTATTAGTTTCACATAATTAGAGTAATGGGTACATATATGAGCAAAGTATCAAGAGATAAGGCCTAAAAGATTCTCAGAGATAAGATTAATAAGTGGTATTAAGCCATAAAATGGAGTTTGCTTTTTATTGTTAGACAATGGGAAATGGTTTAAAAAGTAATATAGAACAGGTTAGTTTTTAGCAAAGATGATTTCAATGCCTTTTTTTTTTTTTTTTAAGAGACAGGTTCTTGCCTTGTTGCCCAGGTTGGAGTGCAGTGGTGCAATCATAGCTCACTGCAGCCTCAAACTCCTGGGCTCAAGCAATTCTCCTGCCTCAGCCTATCTCTCTCTATATTTCAAAGTAAGATTAATAGAAGGTATACTTCAGTTTTGTAAAGTATACTTTAGCTCTAAACACCATAATCAAATGTCTTTGAATTAAAAGTAGTAGCTTAAAAAAGGCAGAAGAACATAGAAATATGATGCAGTAATTGAGAAGATTATTATTTATTATGTTTTGAAACATCGCTGTCACCAAGTATTTGGTAAAAATGAATGCAGTGATATTGAGGCAGTATATTATGCTGTTGAATATAACCAAATGGCTTGCGTTGGAATTTCAGCTCGATATTCATTATTTTTTCAACCTTGGGCAAATTACTTAGCCTCTTTGGGCCTTGGTTTCTCATCTATTGAATGAAGATAAATAATGCTTTCCTTATAGGACTGTCGTAAAGGTAAATGACTTTCTCTGTATGGACAGATATACAGTGGTCCCTTGGTGTCTGTGGGGGATTAGTTTCAGGACTCCCTCTTCCCCTGCGGATACCAAAATTCATGGATACTCAAATCCCTTATATAAAAATGATATAGCATTTGGATATAACCTACAGACATCCTCCCATATAAATTGTTTCTAGATTACTTACAGTACTTAATACAGTGTAAATGCTATGTAAATAGTTGTTGTAATATATTGTTTAGGGAATAATGATTTTTAAAACTCTGTACCTGTTCAGTACAGACACAGCCATCCATTTTCCCCCAAATATTTTCAATCCCACGAATACTGAACCCACAGATAAGGAGGGGGTGACTGTATACACCTATTTGTTATATAACTTAGAATAATACCCGGTAAATAATAAACATTGACTAAGTACTTCTACTGCTGTTGCTGGTGGTGGTGGCGTTACGATTAGTAGCAGAAGACATTTCATTAAATACATTTTACAAACATGTAAGAATAATGTGACTACAATACCAAAAATTTGCCAGTTACTGTTTGAAAATAGTCACCCACTGGATATCAGATTTCATCTTTTTCTCTAGTTGTCAAGACTAAGGTAATGAATTTATATTTAACTTAATGTTTTCTCTTCTATAGTTCATCAGAGAAGATATGAAATATAAAGATGCTACTAATAAACACAGCCATCTGCACAGAGAAGATAAACATATAACGATTGAGGATTTATGGAAACGATGGAAAACATCAGAAGGTAAGACTGCCTTTGTGATCTGGCCCCCTCCCCTTCTGCACATCTAGCCTGCTTAGTTGTTCTCAACTCACTTATAGTATGCTTTTACCAAAAAAATCAAAATAACATTTCTGTGAGGATATTTATATTTTAGTAAATAATTTTCCCTTCTTGTTTTTGATAGATGATTTTTATCTTTCTGAGAGTCATTAAGCATCAGGCTGTTCTCATATAATTATAGTAGAATAAATAAGATAATGCATGTCTGAGAGCCTAAAGTTGTAAAGCATTATTTCAGCTATTACGTGACATTATTATAAAAGGTTTAGCAAATAAACATATGGAAACACAAAGTTTTCCTTTTAGTTGTGGAGAATAGTTCCTAATGTTTTTAGGAGGCTATTACTGTTAAGCTTTTTCTTAAGTAAATCCTTTATGATGTCTCGTAATAGGTGTATGATAAAATTGGATAATTGGTATTTTATTCCCTTTCTACTGTTAAGTTCTCAAGGTGTATTATGGACAGTAATTGTTTAGTACAGGAAAAGTCTGTGATCTAAAAATCTCAACTTGGTTCCATATACTAGGAAGTTACTAAAATTAAAAAAATTTTACAAGTCCCCTAAACTTACATTTTGTTTTCAGTAACTCAACTAAAATTCCTTCTTTCTAATGCTTCTGTTCTTTCATAAAAGTCAGCAATTATATTGTAAGCATATATTTTTCTCTGAAAAATTAAACGAAATTAAAGGGACAGATTACCAATTAAGAGTGTAAAGAAATAATAAAGTTTACTTGAGTCATTATGATAACATTTAGAAGTGGGAAAATAAATAAAACTGTCCCACCAATGCTCAGTATTTTTCTTAGTGTAGAAGATGGTAGATAGCTTGCTTACATGTGTTTCTGTTGAAATACACTTGGGTTGGGGAAGAAAGAAGAAAACAATTATGCACTTAAAAGAAAAATATATAGACTTTTAAAAAAACCTCTCCATTTCTCTTCCCTACACCATTTTAAAATAACATGAGCTCGGATAGGAATAGAAATAAACAAATATCAGTTTCATGAGGAAAAGTGAAAATGGTGGGGAACTCAGCAACAAACTTATTTTATTGACACGACATAGCTCAGCAATCCATAGATACTAAGAAGGGAGGTGGAGATCCATTACAGAGTCTATTGCTATTAGTATTTTTTTAAGGATTAAAATATGTAATACATTGATTGGAACCCACTTGACTGTGTTTGAATGAAGAAAAAAATATTTGACCACTTAGGTCTTGTACTACCTTTGTTCAGCCACCATCGTCTCTTGCCTGGATAATTGTGACAGCCTAATTCATCTCCCTGTGTTTGTGCTCTGCTGTAGTCTCTTCTTCACCTAGCAGAGTACTCTAAAATGTAAATTAGATCTGCTCATTACTCTGTAGTGACTCAGAGTAATAGTCCAAATCTTTACAAAGACCCGTAAGCCTCTACATGTTCTGCCTTCTGTTTCCACCTCTCTCTCATCTCTTACCTCTTCTATTCCATGCATCTCTCTCGCTCACTGTGCTCCATTCATTCTGGACCTGTGGCTATTCAACAAATGCAGGAATGCACACATCCTCATGGCTAACTCCATCACCTCCTTTGTTAAAGTCTTTATCAAGGGTTATGGTCTCAGTGAAACCACTCTGGCCACCCTGTTTAACATTGCTAACCTCCCCTTTTACTCATTTTTTTTTCTGGTACTCTTGATCTTTCTTACTCAGCTTCACACTTTCCTTTTCCCCATCGTGTATCACCTTCTAAGATACTATATAATTGACTTGCTCATTATATATATCTCCCTTTGCCTCACCCCCAAGAATGTAAGTGTTATAGAGCAGGGGAATGTTGTATGTTTTGTTTATTAATGTATCCTAAATAAAGAGGACTCTATTCTTAAACTCCTTTTTGTTTTCCCACCCTAGTGACTTTGGTGAGATCTTTTGTGATCTATGAGAATGTTTGTTTACTTGATTTTTTTTTTTTTTAAGCTAAGGCCTTTTCAAGTTGAATGACGTCTTAAACCTCTTTTTCCCTAGGCTTTCACCTTAATCTGAGATCTAACCATTATGATAATGAGGGATTTCCTCAGTTCAAACAGTTGGCCTAAGTTATCTCCTCTCTGCTTCCTTTTCTCTAAGCCCCAGTTGGCTATATAACCTTACAGAGTCTGGCAGAAGTAGTCTCAGTATTCCTAGTAATGCAGCTGTATGGGATGAAAGAGAGAGGAGTCAAGTGATAATAAACTTTCACTAGAAGCTTTATAATGACCTAATTGATTTTTCTCAACCCATGTCAGACTCTGTTTATTAAAGGGGTCATGTAAGGGTGGGGTATTGTTGCCAGAGCACTGGTTTTTAAAACATTCAGGCTCCAGGAGGAGTCCCAGGGACAGGGCATGTTGAGTGTGCCGGGCTCTGCTTTTATCTGTTATATTTTGTTTCTGTTGAAAATTTCTCTGGAGAAACGAAAAGTAGTTCTTCTGAAAAAGTTTGAAAACTGCTGAAGTAGAGATTAGAATGTACCCCTAACAATAACATGTAATTCAAGGTTGTTTACTTGAATATATACAAAAGTGTGTGTATGTGTGTATATATGTATTTATACAGAAAGTGTGTATGTTTGTGTGTATGTGTGTATGTATATATATGTATATATAAAACACACACACACATACATACACATGCAAATATATGCATTCATTCTTTGCTTATCATTGTTGTGTCTCCCATGCCTAGCACAGTGCATTCACTTTGTATTCAGTAGTAAATATTCACTTTGATATTCAGTAAATAATTGTTGAATGAATGAAAGAGTAATGCCTGATAAGTATTGGATGCTTAGTAATTTAGTTGGTCAAATGTTTTGAGTACAGGCATTTCTGTTATTAGACATTATGTGCATTTCTTAAAAACTTAACGTTTTTTAAAATTTTGGACTTAAAAATGACAGTTTATGGGAAAAATGGGACTGAAGGAGATTACTCAAAACCTGTACAACTTATTAGCCATGGCATTAACAGTATTAATAAAAATACTAGTACAGGCCAGGCGCAGTGGCTCATGCCTGTAATCCAGCACTCTGGGAGGCCTAGGCGAGCAGAGCACCTGAGGTCAGGAGTTCAAGACCAGCCTGGCCAACATGGCAAAACCCTGTCTCTACTAAAAATACAAAAATTAACTAGGCTTGTTGGTGCGCTCCCGTCATCCCAGCTACTAGGGAGGCTTAGGCAGCAGAATCACTTGAACCTGGGAGTGCGCTACTGCACTCCGTCTCAAAAAAAAAAAAAATACTTGTACCGCTAAAAAGAATTTCAAATTCCTAATCAATACATACTATATAGTAGATATAGGAATTTACATTAAAAAATAATGAAGATAACTTTATAGAAGGATGGATGGGGGGTTCTAGTAGAGTTGAGGTTGCTAAAAAATGAAGACAAGGGCAAAGTGCATGAAGATGAGAACCGAGCAACAAGCATTTCCAAGACAGAGGCTCTGGCCAAATTGAGCAAAGATAAAGAAGGAGGGTAAGTAGAAGCTCCTGTTTGTAGCTTGCTGTATTGGCAGTTAGTACACCTTGCATCCATTTGATAATTACTTGGCAATGTGAAATGATACCATGTTTGGAAAAGTCACATGTGAAATGATGTGACTTTTGCGTTGATGTGACCCCTAATTACTAGTGGCACATAAAGTAATTCATGTTACAGCAGCACGTGCAGCAAAATAGACTGTATCTATTAGGTGGTAAACAAGCACTGCATTGGATCCTGGGGATTAATGATGAGTTAAACATGAATCTGGTGTATACAGAGCAAATTGCTGGGTAGGAAAGACAAAGAAAACAAATAATTACACTATAAGGTGATATGTACAATAATAGCAGTAAGTTTAGGGTATGGAGGTAGCTCACTGGAGGGAGTGATTAGCTCACTATTATACACAGAAGGTGGTGTTCGGGTTGACCCAGGAGTTCTAGAAGGAGACAAGAAGTAGAACATAAATGGTAGCTCCCCCATGGCATCTTTTTTTTTTCTTGAAATAGACAAGGTTTTGCTCTGTGACCCAGGCCGGAGTGCAGTGGTGTGATCATACCTCACTGCAGCCTCAAATTCCTGGGCTCAAGTGAGCCACTAGAGTAGTTGAGGCTACGGGCGTATACCACCACGACTGGCTTATTTTTTATTTTTTGTTGGGACGGGATCTTACTATGTTGCCAAGTCTTGTCTCCAGCTCCTGGCCTCAAGCAGTCCTCCTGTCTTGGCTTCCTAAAGTGCTAGGATTACAGGTGGGAGTCACCACACCCAGCCTCCTTCTTTAGTTACCTGAAAATTTGCTAGAAGTGAAAGTGGAGGCGGCATGCTATAGAAAGTATGTAGGCTTTCAAACTATACAGCTTTAAATTCTGGCTCTTCTATTTATGAATAGTGAGGCATTGGACAGATTTTGAAAATTCACTTATAAAATGTAATTCTTGTGTGACATAAATCAGTAATGTAGTGAAAGTACTTGACATAATTTATGGCAACACCTGTTAGGCGCTTAGTAAAGGTTGATTCTCTCATTCAGTAATAATGCGAAATAAACTAAAAAGTTCGGCCATATTCAAAGTTTTGTACTGTTTTTGACTTAGTCTCACAATATTTATTGATAAAATGAACAGACTAAGCTATATATTTACCAGCATTGTGTGCAAACTCTGGACAGTGAAATGTACCCAAGATCTTTCTGGAATGTTGTCAACTGTGGGAAAGTAAAATTGTTTTATGCAGAAGTTGATCCTGACCTCAAATAGAATTTCAGCAATGACTTTAATGCAGTGTGTGTGTGTGTGTGTGTGTGTGTGTGTGTGTGTGTGTGTATGTGTGTCTGTGTCTGTGTGTAGAGAGAATGCTTGGTCAAGTTGCACATGGCAGCTGTCTAATGCAAATGAAAGCCATTTAAAAACTAGTGTTAGATTTCAGATAGATTTTGATAAACTGGATACATTGTGAGAATTACTGAATGTATTTAAATAGTAGCCAGATACCTAATGCAGGAAATTGTACATAGAAAATATTTGTTATATACAAGATTTAGAGACTATAGTAGATAAAAAACTGATTAAGTAAGACACTGTTTTTAAAATGAAAACTCACTGGGTTAGTTATTATAACATGTGACAACCATGAGGTAATCTTTCCATCCTGTTCAGCACAAGTCTTAACCTACCTAAGGTCACTGTTTAATTTTGGGCTTTACAAATTGAATAGACATTTGGAAATTTAAGATAATGTTTATTTATTTAAGGGTTAAAAATTTAAAGCAACTGAAATAGTCTGAGAGAAGAAAGATACAGGCACTTAATAATGGTTATTTTCAAGTGTACCTAAAGGCTAGCCAGAGACTAAATGACCAAGAGTATTTTCTTTTTGTTTAGGACAGCGAAAATATAAGTATTTTATAAAAGGAAATATAAAGAAAAAAATTTCTGGCCATTGATACAAAATTCCTAAAAGTAAGGGAAGTTATAAATATTTTAAAAATATCTAGAACCTTTATATCCATAAGATTTTTCTTCTGGGTATGAAAGTATAAAGGGATTTCTAAATGTTGATAAAATCCACCAGCTCTTTAAAGTGTATGATGTTGGTTGCAATGAGACTAGAATAAAAAAACTGTAAATAGAAAAGTGTGTATTGTTTAGCATTATCAGAAGAGGAACTTAAAACGTAAGCCTTGCAGATCTAATAAGGTAGTGTTATCTTTGTGGCATCCATCAACAAAATATTTATTTGTATATTTACAATATGCATCACACTCATTAGTAGAAAATAAGGAAGTATGAGAGACAACCTTTCTCCTCCAGGAGTTTAACAGTGTTTTGCATGTATGCAGATGAAATGTTAAATAGCAATTCAAGAAGGTTTGATTAAATACTATATAAATGACACGATTGCAGGAATCTAAGAGAATGGACAGATTTATTACAGGGAAGTCTTCATTAGGGAGATGGCTCTTCAACAAGACTTTGAAAGATAAAATTTTCATAGAAATAAGAGAGGGATATACAAGTTAGCACATTAAAATGAGTCCAGATGTAAATGCGAAATCCTTCAAATAAGCATAATTTACACAAGAGATAATACATTTTTAGTGTATGTGAGATAATAATAAACACTTTAAAAATTTTGTCTTTTGCTCTTACCATGTAGTGCATAACCATCTCATGTCTTAGTTCTGTCATCTGTTAAATGGGAGTAAAAGTTGTCTACCACATAGTAAGTGATGAACAGATATCTATTACTACTGTTTTTGGAAGGTAAATCTGACCATGGCACATTTATGGGATATTGCAAACTCATATTGCTGGAAGAGGCAGCTGAGTTGGAGAATACTGGGAGATTGGGTCAGAGAAGGAGACCAGACTGTAGTGAGTCTCTGTGTAAATCTGATGGGCAGCTCCAAGAGTGGCAAGTATGATTCCACTCATATTCCAGTGCTTACCAATCCATAGTGATTCGCTGGAGCACTGTATTAAGGAAGCTTGGTCTGTATCTGTCTTGATAGCAAAAAAGGGTATTATTTTAGCAATTATCTATTAGCAATATTTACTGTGTGGGAGGTGATAGTGTATTTTAGCATTTTATCATCATTGCACTAAGTATTAAGAGCTACTATAGCTTCTTGCTTTAGAAGGCCTGGTAATGTAGAAGAGTTATAAAAAGACAAATTCACTATTGGCAGGAACATTAGCATTGAGTTGAATATAATGTGGCTTTGAGTGGGAAGAATGAAACTTGAATTCTGAGCAGTGTTTTAAAGGAAGATTTGGGTTAACTTTTCCCCTGTGTTTAGAATGAATTCCAGTTTTTTTCTCCCTGTGATTTTTGGATCCACTGGGCTTGGAGGGGGGGTTTATTTAACTGATTCATACAGGAAAAATTTTCTAGTAAATGCTTATTATGAGAAAGCCCTTGTCCTAGGTACAAAAGATACACAGATGAAGAATGTGTTCTCTGTCCTCCACCCATCTACAGTGTGTTGGAGAAAGATCTTTTAACAAGTAATTAAGGGATGTGCTGTGATCTGTAACTGAGATTATGTAGAAGGCACTGTGGGATAATAAAAGGAAAAGCATGTCCATCCACCTACAGAAGTTAAGTAAAGCCAGACGAGCTGCATTAAGGAACATTTACTTTCATCTTTTGTCACTCCTTCAGTGAGAGACGCTGTGCTAGATTAATAGCTAGGAGGATATTTGTACTTAATGTAGAGCATTGAAAAAACACAAGGCTGTTAATATGCTACAAATACCTGTGCTGTTTTAGTAAATCAGGTTTTAACACTTTTCCACTTTCCTACAGTGCTTTTAGCTTTAGGGGAAGCTCTTATTATAGCCACAGTGGAGGGATTGAGTTTTAATTGTTCACAGAAAGCACCTTATGCAAGGGAAGGTCCATTCTTGAGGTAGAGTGTAGTTTCAGAGTAACAGATGTCATCATTTCTACCACTAACAAAAGGTCTTTAATAGTCCGGGTTTCTTCTGTGAAGAGAATAGGTGACACCAGTATGTTGCTCATTCACTCTGTCAACCAACATTTAAGGGAGTTTAACATGGGTTTGCTAGAAAAATAGTGTCTCTCTTGATTAATTTACAAATTTGGCAAACATTGTTTTGTATTAATCATTAGTTATAATTGATTTTTGTACTTCATACAGAGTTTGCTCCCTTTTCCCTTTATTATCAAATAACTTTCTTTTATAAAATTATCCAAATGAGTTCAGAGCACTCACAGTAAGTTGCTGATTGCTCTTAATCATGATCTTATGTTAGCATTTTAGTGTCTCTATTCCCTTCACTTCAAATCTACCCATCAGGGCTGTTTTGGTTTTATTAATTTTCTTCTTTTTCTCTTTCTCTTTTTGTTTTATTATTCTCAGTTCTTCCTCTTTCACTTAAGTACACTTGTGTTTTGGAGATTTTGGATCATTGCATATGCTGATTTGCTGGGATTAATTCTGTCTTTTTAGTTTGTGGAAGATACTTTGAGACAATCCTGCCTTCTTTACATAGATTGTTCTTGGTTTTATTCTGAAATAGAGACCCCCTCTCAGAAGAAGATGCAGAGACCACTACCTATTACATCTCTCTGTCCTGTAGAAAACTTGACAATTCTATTCTGTAGGAACACGTGAAATAAATGTTTTGAGCCTTGTTTTTTCTCACATAACAGGTTTTCCAGTATATAATTCAACATGTGAAGCTTTTCTTATGATTTAAGGAGGTACTATTCTAAGATTGTTTGTGAGTTTGCCTTATTATGGTTTTCTATACACCTGAATTCTACATTTCTCCTCTGCTATGTTCACAGACTCAAGGGATACCTCAAGGTTGGAGTACAGTAAAAGAACCTTCTGCAGAAGGTAAAAATGAGGGCTGTCCACTTTTCACTGTGATGGACTATCTAGGAAACAGTAGCCTTTTTTGGACATCATATTGTCCTTTCTACCCTTTTCCTAGTAGTTGGAAATCAGTTGCATATGAATGTGTGTTACATTTTCCTTTATCCATCTTTGTTTTGGGAAAGAGGTGGGAAGGAGTGACTCAGGAAATAGTTTTAGATTTTGAAATGTATGTTATTGCAGGAGAGTCACTATATTATATTCTACTTTATGTAGAACAAATATTTTATTTGCTGCTTTTGAATAAAGGACTTGTTTGTTGAGAATGACATTGTCTTCAAAGATGGTCAGTTAACTTTTGTTTCTTTCTCAGACAAGTCTTATGCTTACTTAAGTCTTTTTCCCCCCATTTAACTGAATGTTACTTAGCATTTTAATAGCGACTGTAATAGAAATAATGTAAATTACAAATATTAATACAATGAAAACTAAAACTTTCCAAGGTATTAGCCAGCCTTTTGAATTTGAATATGACCTTTGCTCTTTCTAAAAATTCTAAACATTTCTATGATTCTGATATGTATATTTATGTATATATTACATATATAAATGTATAGCTCAGAGGAAATGAATGATAAAAATAGAATAAATCACTTAGCATGTTTTTATATCTTATAATTAAAAACCGTTTCAATCTCTGGATGGTTACTCTGCATAGAATAGAACAAATAAAGCTTATATCTTTCTATCTTTCTCATCTCATCTGGTTTTATATTTTAAAGATAAGAACCTCTTCAATAAAAGGTCCTCAGTAAGCATTCTTCTAACCCTTGGATAATCTTCTGTTTCTCCCTCTCTTTGCATCGACATTAATTCTTTCAGGATGTTGAAAATAATAGACCATTTAGATACTTTTGATTTCAGTGTTTTAATCAGATAATTACTTAATAGTTTGAAATTAAGAATCTATATCAGTCTGACAAAATGAAACAGAATGGCACTTTTCATAGAGGGAAATTTATCGTTTTTATTTCCAGCAACTTTTCTTACCAAGTAATCAGCTAAAAAAATGCAAAACAGGTGTTTATCACTGGGAGATTATAGTTGCATAAGGGCAATGTTCTAAAAGCAAACAAAGAGATTTGTGATTCACTCATGTAAAGGTATAATAATTGAAGTCATATAAATTCAGAGTTCACTAAAAGAAGGAAAGGGAGAGAGTAGCCTTGGGGAAGACTGGCATTAAGGCAAAGGCAAAGAACTGATGAATGAAATCAGTAATGGCCATCAGAGACATGGAGGGAGAATCAGGAAGGCACAGTGTCATGAGCATCTAGAGAGGGGAGTGTTTTCAGGAAGGGATAGACGGTAATATAGTAGGGCGCATAGACTTGCCATATTGCAAAGTGTCTGCCAAGAGTCCTCCTGAATAATTCTTCATTTAGGTCTCAGTAATAAGAATAGATGTACTGCTGAGCAGACATTTTGTGTTTATATTGTGAATCCTGTGACTGATTTTGCTTCCTTCTTTGTCTGCCTTTTTTAACTGTTATTAAGGATCTCATATATTTTGTAAGTGTCTTTACCTCAGCTTCATTTTATCTTCCTGGTCCAGCGACATCTTTCATCTTTTATTCTCTTTGCATTGTATGCATCTTCGTAAGTGATTTCTTCCCTCCACTTTCCTCTTCCCCCTCCCCCCTCCTCCAACAGTGGGGGTTAGAGAGAGGAAAGATGAAAAGTGGCTAGTAGCTTGACACGAGAAATATGATATACGTGAAAAAACCCATTAGATTTGGCAAGAATAAAATCATTATTAACAGGCAGGAAGATCAGTAGTTTGAGACTAGCCTGGCCAACAAAGTGAGACTCCATCTCAACAAAAAATGAAAAAAATTCGCCAGTCTTGGTAGTATGCACCTGTGGTCCCTGCTACACAGGAGGCTGAGGCAGGAGGATCACGTGTACTCAGGAGGTCAAGGCTGCAGTGAGCCATGTTTGTGCCACTGCACTACAGCCTGGATGACAGACTGAGACCCTGTATCCAAAAAAAATCATTAACCTTCAGGAAATTTAAATATTGGTATGGGGAACGGAGTGACATACATGCACACTCACACACACACACTCAAATCTTGAGCAAGATTTAAGTGGAAGCAACCCAAGTGTCCATTGATGAATGAATGGATAAGCAAAATGTGGAATATGCATACAATGGAATAGTAAGAAAATTCTGACATACGCACAACATGGATAAACCTTGAGAACATTATGCTAAGTGAAAAAAGCCAGTCACGTAAAAAATATTGCGGGATTCTACTTCCGTGAGGTACTTAGAGTAGTCAGAATCATAGAGACAGAAAGTAGAATGTTTGGTTGCCAGGGTCTGTGGGGAGGAGAGAACAGGGAGTTGTTGAATGGATACAGAATTTCAGTTTTGTGTAATAAGATGAAAAGAGTTCTGGAGATGGATTGTGATGATGGTTGCACAACAATATGAATATACTTCATACCACTGAATTGTATACTTAAAATTGGTTAGGATGGTAAATTTTATGTTATGGATATTTCACCACAATGAAGGATTTAAGAGAATGAGTATGTACAAAGTAGAAACAGTGGGTGACCTCCTATTTAAGGAATAGGCAAGAAAATGGAGAGAAATGTAATGGTAATTTTAAATGGGTAGTCTGATGAGGTAGAAGGTTTTCTTAAGAACTGGTAGATCTGGGCTGCTTAAAAGACAAAAGGGAAGCACTGGACTGATATTTTTAAAGTTGAACATTAAAAAATAATTCAGCAATTACTTTTTGAACACCTACTATGTGTTAGTGGTAGTCTTATTATATATTTTGTTTTATGTCAGCCTTATTACATATTTTGTTTCATGTCAGCTTTCTTTTTCTTCATGGATAATTGTGTCAGTTTATGGATTGAAAAGATTTTGTTAGGCTAATAAGAAAATAATGTAAGCTCAGAAAGGCAAGAAACTTGCTGACAGAATAATTCTCCATTGCTGGATGGCAGTGACTCACAGGCATATCACTAACAATTTTTAAATCCTTCTTAGAATTCATTTTCTGTGATGAATTTGAGTGACAATCCTTGTTGAACAATGTCTTGAACTTTGTGGAAGGGGATGGAGGCGGGTTGGGGAAAGTGGCAGTGGAGGGGCAAGTAATTAGAGAAGGGAGGCCCAAGAGATTCCTTAACTTTTAAATTGGCTTATGCATTTGTTTGGTTTCTGAATTATATATTGTAAGCATATAGAATTCTAACATCATTATTTTCCCTGTTTTGACCAGTACCAAATATTTTATGGGAGACTTTTAATGATAGTGCTACAGCTCTACTGCAATGAATAATAATAGGTTTCTGTGTGCTAGCTACATTCCCACTGATCCCGAGCCTGTGACCTTAGCAAAGGTAAGCATATCCCAGATTGCAATGTGAGATAGTTGAAGATTGATCTGCTTTGTTAGTTGTCTAAATTTCTCTCATCTGTTTTTAATGAGCATGCTCAACTGCATGAATCTGTTGATGACCTTAGACTGCATTATCTTTTAGATGTGTAAATTGGAAGCTTTTGAATGAGGGAAGGTGAAGTTTTAAGTTAGTGAATATATGCTTTAGGACTGTGTCTGGATTCTGTGAGTGGTTTTCAAGGATGCCCCAAAGAGTAATCACTCTAGATTCTAGTGGAACTGCAGTATATTAAGTATGGGAGGCTGAATTTATGACAAAACTAAACGCTTAATAAATTCCTCTGCATAACTGATTGTTCAACATGCTTTGTTGAGTGGCTTGAAATTACAGTATAGTGTATCTTCTCTTTTAGTACAAAGTTTCATTTTAAAATTTGAGCAGTTTGTCTAAGTCTTTTTTAAATATAAAAGTAATCTTTTTATTTAAAATAGATTATATTTTCCAAAATAAAAAAAATGAGAAGGCTAACATTGTCTTGCATTTTTGCAAACCTCTTCAATGTCTGACTTACTGGAGTGTAGTTAGATTCTCATAGCTGCTTCTGTATCCAATCTGTTTTAGGATATTGTTTCGGTTTTAGTGTGTGTGTATATATATATATATATATATATGTATATATATATATATATATATATGTATGTATTTTTTTATTATACTTTAAGTTCTAGGGTACACGTGCACAACGTGCAGTTTTGATACCTAGGTATACGTGTGCCATGTTGGTTTGCTGCACCCATTAACTTATTTACATTAGGTATTTCTCCTAATGCTATCCCTCCCCTAGCCCCCTACCCCCTCACAGGCCCCTGTGTGTGATGTTCCCTGCCCTGTGTCCAAGTGATCTCATTGTTCAGTTCCCACCTATGAGTGAGAACATGTGGTGTTTGGTTTTCTGTCCTTGTGATAGTTTACTGAGAATGATGGTTCCCAGCTGCATCCATGTCCCTGCAAAGGACATGAACTCATCCTTTTTTATGGCTACATAGTATTCCATGGTGTATATGTGCCACATTTTCTTAATTCAGTCTATCATTGTTGAACATTTGGGTTGGTTCCAAGTCTTTGCTATTGTGAATAGTGCCGCAATAAACACGTGTGCATGTGTCTTTATAGTAGCATGATTTATAATCCTTTGGGTATATACCCAGTAATGGGATGGCTGGGTCAAATGGTAATTCTAGTTCTAGATCCTTGAGGAATCACCACACTGTCTTCCACAATGGTTGAACTAACTTACACTCCCACCAACAGTGTAAAAGTGTTCCTATTTCTCCACATCCTCTCCAGCATCTGTTGTTTCCTGACTTTTTAATGATTGCCGTTCTGATTGGCATGAGATGGTATCTCATTGTGGTTTTAATTTGCATTTCTCTGATGACCAGTGATGATGAACATTTTTTCATGTGTCTGTTGGCTGCATAGATATCTTCTTTTGAGAAGTGTCTGTTCATATCCTTTGCCCACTTTTTGATGGGGTTGTTTGCTTTTTTCTTGTAAATTTGTTTGAGTTCTTTGTAGATTCTGGATATTAGCCTTTTGTCACATGGCTAGATTGCAAAAATTTTCTCTCATTTTGTAGGTTACCTGTTCACTGTGATGGTAGTTTCTTTTGCCCTGCAGAAGCTCTTTTGTTTAATTAGATCCCATTTGTCTATTTTGGCTTTTGTGGCCATTGCTTTTGGTGTTTTGGTCATGAAGTCCTTGCCCGTGCCTATGTCCTGAATGGTATTGCCTAGGTTTTCTTCTAGCGTTTTTATGGTTTTAGGTCTAACATTTAATTCTTTAATTCATCTTGAATTAATTTTTGTATAAGGTGTAAGGAAGGGATCCAGTTTCAGCTTTCTACATATAGCTAGCCAGTTTTCCCAGCACCATGTATTAAATAGGGAAGCCTTTCTCCATTTCTTGTTTTTGTCAGGTTTGTCAAAGATCAGATGGTTGTAGATGTGTGGTGTTATTTCTGAGGCCTCTGTTCTGTTCCATTGGTCTATATATCTGCTTTGGTACCAGTACCCTTCTGTTTTGGCTACTGTAGCCTTGTAGTATAGTTTGAAGTCAGGTAGTGTGATGCCTCCAGCTTTGTTCTTTTTGCTTAGGATTGTCTTGGCAATGTGGGCTCTTTTTTGGTTCCATATGAACAGTAGTTTTTTTCCAATTCTGTGAAGAAAGTCATTGGTAGCTTGATGGGGATAGCATTGAATCTATAAATTACCTTGGGCAGTATGGCCATTTTCATGATATTAATTCTTCCTATCCATGAGCATGGAATATTCTTCCATTTGTTTGTGTCCTCTTTTATTTCCTTGAGCAGTGATTTGTAGTTCTCCTTGAAGAGGTCCTTCCCATCCCTTGTAAATTGGATTCCTAGGTATTTTATTCTCTTTGAAGCAGTTGTGAATGGGAGTTCACTCATGATTTGGCTCTCTGTTTGTCTGTTACTGGTGTATAAGAATGCTTGTGATTTTTGCACATTGATTTTGTATCCTGACACTTTACTGAAGTTGCTTATCAGCTTAAGGAGATTTGGGGCTGAGATCATGGGATTTTCTAAATATACAATCATGTCATCTACAAACAGGGACAATTTGACTTCCTCCTTTCCTAATTGAATACCCTTTATTTCTTTCTCTTGCCTGATTACCCTGGCCACAACTCCCAACACTATGTTGAATAGGAGTGGTGAGAGAGGGCGTCCTTGTCTTGTGCTGGTTTTCAAAGGGGATGATTCCAGTTTTTGCCCATTCAGTATGATACTGGCTGTGGGTTTGTCATAAATAGCTCTTATTATTTTGAGATACATTCCATTAATACCTAGTTTGTTGAGAGTTTTTGGCATGAAGGGCTGTTGAGTTTTTTGAAGCCCTTTTCTTCATCTGTTGAGATAATCATGTGGTTTTTATCTTTGGTTCTGTTTATATGCTGGATTACGTTCATTGATTTGCGTATGTTGAACCAGCCTTACATCTGAGGGATGAAGCTGACTTGATTGTGGTGGATAAGCTTTTTGATGTGCTGCTGGATTCGGTTTGCCAGTATTTTATTGAGGATTTTTACATCGTTGTTGATCAGGGATATTGGTCTAAAATTCTCTTTTTTTGTTGTGTCTCTGCCAGGCTTTGGTATCAGGTTGATGCTGGCCTCATAAAATGCGTTAGGGAGGATTCCCTCTTTTCCTGTTGATTGGAATAGTTTCAGAAGGAATGGTCCCAGCTCCTCTTTGTACCTCTGGTAGAATTCAGCTGTGAATCCCTCTGTTCCTGGACTTCTTTTGGTTGGTAGGCTATTAATTATTGCCTCAATTTCAGAGCCTGTTATTGTTCCATTCAGAGATTCAACTTCTTCCTGGTTTAGTCTTGGGAGGGTGTATGCATCCAGGAATTTATCCATTTCTTCTAGATTTTCTAGTTTATTTGCGTAGAGGTGTTTATAGTATTCTCTGATGGTAGTTTGCGTTTCTGTGGGATCGGTAGTGATATCCCCTTTATCATTTTTTATTGTGTCTATTTGATTCTTCTCTCTTTTCTTCTTTATTAATCTTGCTAGCAGTCTATCAATTTTGTTGATCTTTTCAAAAAACCCGCTCCTGGATTGATTGATTTTTTGAAGGGTTTTTTGTGTCTATCTTTTTCAGTTCTGCTCTGATCTTAGTTATTTCTTGCCTTCTGCTAGCTTTTGAATGTGTTTGCTCTTGCTTCTCTAGTTCTTTTAATTGTGATGTTAGGGTGTTGATTTTAGATCTTTCCTGCTTTCTCTTGTGGGCATTTAGTGCTATAAATTTCCCTCTACACACTACTTTAAATATGTCCCAGACATCCTAGTATGTTGTATCTTTGTTCTCATTGGTTTCAAAGAACATCTTTATTTCTGCCTTCATTTCGTTATTTTCCCAGTAGTCATTCAGGGGCAAGTTGTTCAGTTTCCATGTAGTTGTGCGGTTTTGAGTGAATTTCTTAATCCTGAGTTCTAATTTGATCGCACTGTGGTCTGAGAGGCAGTTTTTTGTGATTTCTGTTCTTTAGATTTGCTGAGGAGTGCTTTACTTCCGATTATGTGGTCAATTTTAGAATAAGTGCGATGTGGTGCTGAGAAGAATGTATGTTCTGTTGATTAGGGCTGGAGAGTTCTGTAGATGTCTATTAGGTCCGCTTGGTGCAGAGCTGAGTTCAAGTCCTGGATATCCTTGTTAACCTTCTGTCTTGTTGATCTGTCTGATATTGACAGTGGGTTGTTAAAGTCTTCCATTATTATTGTGTGGGAGTCTAAGTCTCTTTGTAGCTCTTTAAGGACTTGCTTTATGAATCTGGTTGCTCCTGTATTGGGTGCATATATATTTAGGATAGTTAGCACTTCTTGTTGAATTGATCCCTTTACCATTATGTAACAGCCTTGTTTCTTTTGATTTTTCTTGGTTTAAAGTCTGTTTTATCAGAGACTAGGATTGCAACTGCTGCTTTTTTTTGCTTTCCATTTGCTCAGTGGATCTTCCTCCATCCCTTTATTTTGAGCCTATGTAAGTCTTTGCGCGTGCTGTGGGTCTCCTAAATACAGCACACTGATGGGTCTTGACTCTTTATCCAATTTGCCAGTCTGTGTCATTTAATTAGGGCATTTAGCCCTTTTATATTTAAGGTTAATATTGTTATGTGTGATATGATCCTTTCATTATGATGTTTGCTGGTTATTTTTCCCGTTAATTAATGCAGTTTCTTCCTAGCCTTGATGGTCTTTACAATTTGGCATGTTTTTGCAGTGGCTAGTACCGGTTTTTTCTTTCCATGTTTAGTGCTTCCTTCAGGAGCTCTTGTAAGGCAGGCAGGCCTGGTGGTGACAGAATCTCTCAGCATTTGCTTGTCTGTAAAGGATTTTATTTCTCCTTCAGTTATGAAGCTTAGTTTGGCTGGATATGAAATTCTGGGTTCAAAATTCTTTTCTTTAAGAATGTTGAATATCGACCTCCACTCTCTTGTGGCTTGTAGGGTTTCTGCCAAGAGATTCGCTGTTAGTCTGATGGGCTTCCCTTTGTGGGTAACCCGACCTTTCTCTCTGGCTGCCTTAACATTTTTTCCTTCATTTCAACCTTGGTGAATCTGACAATTATGCGTCTTGGTGTTGCTCTTCTCAAGGAGTATCTTTGTGGTGGTCTCTGTATTTCCTGAATTTGAATGTTGGCCTGCCTTGCTAGGTTGGGGGTGTTCTCCTGGATAATATACTGAAGAGTGTTTTCCAACTTGGGTCCATTCCCCCCATCACTTTCAGGTACACCAATCAAATGTAGATTTGGTCTTTTCACATAGTTCCATATTTCTTGGAGGCTTTGTTCGTTTCTTTTTACTCTTTTTTCTCTGACCTTGTCTTCTCACTTTATTTCATTACTTTGATCTTCAATCACTGATCTCCTTTCTTCTACTTGATCAAATTGGCTATTGAAGCTTGTGCATGTGTCATGAAGTTCTCGTGCCATAGTTTTCAGCTCCATCAGGTCATTTAAGGTCTTCCCTACACTGTTTATTCTAGTTAGCCATTCGTCTAATCTTTTTTTCAAGGTTTTTAGCTTCCTTGCGATGGGTTCGAACATCCTGCATTAGCTCGGAGAAGTTTGTTATTACCGACCTTCTGAAGCCTACTTCTGTCAACTTGTCACAGTCATTCTCTGTCCTGCTTTGTTCCATTGCTGGCGAGGAGCTGCAATCCTTTGGAGGAGAAGGGGCACTCTGGTTTTTAGAATTTTCAGCTTTTCTGCTCTGGTTTTTCCCCATCTTTGTGGTTTTATCTACTTTTGGTCTTTGATGTTCGTGACCTACAGATGGGGTTTTGGTGTAGATGACCTTTTTGTTGATGTTGATGCTATTCCTTTCTGTTTGTTAGTTTTCTTTCTAACAGTCAGGTGCAGGTCTGTTGGAGTTTGCTGCAGTTCCATTCCAGACCCTGTTTGCCTGGGTATCACCAGTGGAGGCTGCAGAACAGCAAATATTGCAGAACAGCAAATATTGCTGCCTGATCCTTTCTCTGGAAGCTTCGTCCCACAGGAGCAGCCGCGTATATGAGGTGTCTGTTGGCCCCTACTGGGTGATGTCTCCCAGTTAGGCTACACAGGGATCAGGGACCCACTTGAGGCAGTCTGTCCATTCTCAGAGCTCAGACGCTGTGCTGGGAGAACCACTGCTCTCTGCAGAGCTGTCAGACAGGGACATTTAAGTCTGCAGAAGTTGTCTGCTGCCTTTTGTTCAGCTATGCCCTGCCCACAGAGGTGGAGTCTAGAGGCAGTAGGCCTTGTTGAGCTGTGGTGGCTCCGCCCAGTTCCAGCTACCAGGCTGCTTTGTTTACCTATTCAAGCCTCAGCAATGGCACACACCCCTCCCCAAGCCAGGCTGCCACCTTACAGTTCAATCTCAGACTGCTGCGCTAGCAGTGAGCAAGGCTTCGTGGGTGTGGGACCGCCGAACCAGGCACAGGAGAGAATCTCCTTGTCTGCTGGTTGCTAAGACCTTGGGGAAAGCGCAGTATTTGGGCGGGAGTGTTCCGATTTTCCAGGTAGTCTGTCATGGCTTCCCTTGGCTAGGAAAGGGAAATCCCCCGACCCCTTGCACTTCTCGGGTGATGCGATGCCCTGCCCTGCTTCAGCTCGCCCTCCGTTGGCTGCACACGTTGCCCAGCCAGTCCCAATGAGATGAACCAGGTACCTATTGGAAATGCAGAAATCACCTGTCTTCTGCATGGATCACGCTGGGAGCTGCAGATCGGAGCTGTTCCTATTCGGCCATCTTGGGAGTCTTTTTTTTTTTTTTTTTTTTAGTGGCAAGAGATGGAGACTCAAATTACCTCAAGTAATGAGAAGTTGATTGTAAAGATGCTTCATCACCAATGATTTGATTGATTGCAAGTTACAAAAATCAGACTCACCTGCTTTCTTTATTTATATATAATCAAAACTTTATGCTGTAATCCCAGCAGTTTGGGAGGTCTAGGCAGGTGGATCACTTGAGGTCAGGAGTTTGAGACCAGCCTGGCCAACATGATGAAACCCTGTCCTACTAAAAATACAAAAATTAGCTGGGTGTGGTGCGCACCTGTAATTCCAGCTACTCGAGAGGCTGAGGCACGAGGATTGTTTCAACCTGGGATGCATAGGTTGCAGTGAGCCGAGATCATAACACTGCACTCCAGCCTGGGTGACAGAGTGGGACTCTGTCTCAAAAAAACAAAAAAAATTATTTTTCCTGTGAGACAGGACAGGCATTATTCTAGGCTTTGGGGATAGAGCATTGAACAAAATAGATATTCTTCCCTGATGGAGTTAACGCTCTTTTAGAGAGACAGTGAACAAGTTTGCATGTATGTATGTGTGTAGCTACATATACACTCACACAACTGCTGGTACAGGTTATTTATGTGAAAAAATAAAGCAGGGTAACAGTATAGTTAGTGAGCAGATGGAACAAGGGCTAGTTAGATAATGTGGTCAAGGAAGAAGTCCCCCAAGAAGAGGTTTTTGGTTATAGATCAGAGTGGCGCTAGAGGGTGAGTCAGGGGACAATCTGGGTGAAGTATATTCCAGGTTTAGGGACCAGCCACACCAAGGCTTACGGCTGACACAACCTTAAAGTGTTTAGGAAACTGTTGGAAGGCTCAAGTAGCTAGAAAGTAGTAAGGAATGGGAAGAGTGGTGGGAGACAAATTGATCAGGGAGACAGACAGGGACAGATCTCATAGGACCTGGTAGGGCCAATAAGGAATTTGAGATTTACTATATGGATAATGTAAGTATATTGCAAGTATAACTCCATTTAGGAGTTTTGAGCAAAGTAGTGATGTGACTTATCTTTCAAAATGATTATTGTAATTACTGTGTGAATATTAGACTCTTGAGGAGAAGGGGTCAGGAGTAGAAGTAGAAGACCTGTTGAGGCTTCGCGTGAACTGGTGAGAGGTGATGGTAATCTGGTGAGAAGGAAATGGCTGGAAAGTCTGATTTCATGATATATTTTGAGGAAATAGCTGGCAGGATTTGCTGTGGAATTGAATTCAGGTTACTAGTGGGGGACAGGGACAGGAATAAAAGTTCATTCTTAGGTTTTATGTGGCATTGAAATTTCTTGGGAATAGGAGTAATTAGGAAAAAACCCAGAAATCTGAAGTCTCATGGGGGAGGTTGTTAATAATGGGGGAAAACATTGAAAAATACTGGTTGAGATCATGGCGCAAAGAGGGAAGGACTGAGTGCTGTGAGGTCAAGAAGTAGAGGAGGACCCTGGAGAGAAGGTGGGGAAGAAATGGCCGGTGAGATAGGAGGAGAGCCAGGAGAATGTGGGGACCTAGACGCTTAGTGAAGAAAGCATTTTAAGAAAAAGCAATGTCACATGTTCCAGAAATCTGAATAAGATGACAACACAGACTTGACAATTGGATTGGCAAAGTCGAAGTTAAGGTTATTGATCTTAACAGAGACAGATTCACTGTAGGAGTAGAAGTAAAAGTCTTTGATTGGAATGGATTAAACAGGAAGTAAGGACAATAAATATTGTTGACTTTAAAAAGGAAGAGCCAAGAAATGGGACTCTGATACATGAAGGGAGATAATGTTGTGAATAATTTTTTTTAAATGATAGGAGATTTTAATCATATATACATATATACACATATATACATATATATTTAAATCATATATATATTTTCATATATATGAAAATATAAATCTATATATATGAATATATATTATATATATATGGAATGACCCAGTTAAGAAATAATTGATACAGGAGAAGATCAAACTATCTTAATTTAAAAACTATCCCTATTTAATAGGAGAGTGCTGGTGTATAGTCAGGGGCTTAATCCACCCTGGCCCAGGTCCTGTCTTTCTCTGTTTCTTTCTGGATTTTGGTGTTATTTTCTCCTCCTGTGTTTCCTAGAGGCTAGTTCTGTGGCTGGTGGCAGTTGCAGGCTTATGTTTTCCTAGGATCATGGCCAAAGAGAACTAGGAGTCTTGCCTGCCTGTTCTAGTTAGAGAAATGCCAGAAAGTAACTGGCTTAGGTCTTGTGGCCAAATCTAGATCTGCTGCTGTGACCTCCAGAATGGGGTCCTGTGATTACTTCTTTCCCCATCTGCCTACTCCGGGTGATTTGGAGTCTTGTCTCCAAAGAAGGAAGAGAGAGAAGGAGTAACCTAGCAGCCAGCCAGCCATTACAGATTAATGACCAAGAATCACTAGACTTTGAGAAGAGCAGGTAGAAGAAAACCTTGAAAGGATGCAGGGTTGGGTGGGTGGTGTCTGGCAGCATGGGTCATGTGATATAAAATATAGCTACTCTTTCAGAACATCTCTAAGTTCCTGAAACTTGCAGTTCAAAACTTTTGGACCATAAATGGATTTTCTGAAAGGCCTCTTTTGGTCCCACTCTGAATTTTACGGTAATTGAGTGTATCACTTCCTAAATAGAGACATTTTATTAAATCCCATTTTGGTATTTTAATGAAATGAGCTAATGTAACTCTCACCACTGAAAACTTCCAAAATCTTCCTGGCTATTACAGATTTTTACTATTGCCTGGTACTTTTTACTTTGAAACCCTAGGTGAGTTTACCTAGAATCTCCAAACATGTCTGTATTGTTAAAGATGAAACATAGGTATTTTTAAAAGCATCAATGGAGGAGGAGAAAAGTGAATTTGAGGCAGCAAAAAGTAGGCGCTGTCTGTGCTGAGTTAGTTTGAAAATCTTGAGAAAGAGATGCTTTCTGAATACTGGTAAATTTGAGTAGATGGTTCTTCATGAGCTAACCACTCTCAAAAGAGAAATAGTAATTGTCACACTTCAGTAATATCTAAGAATACCAACTACTGTTACACTTTGTACTGAAGCTTAAGAACGTGGAAGGTTTTTGCAGTGCCATGTCTTCATACTGTACTAGAGCTCTTGTCGTTTGGGTTACTGGTGAATTTTTGCCAAATGAAGCCTTCTGAAGAGGAAAAGGAACAACTATAAAATTTAGAGGGTATATTTAAGTGAGAATATTTAAATATACTCATTTAAAGCAAATATAATTAAAACATATAAAGGCATCCAGATAATTATCTAGGAGAGCATGCCTTTATGGAATTACAAAGAGTTTTATTAAATTTTAAGTAGTTATTGGTAATAATTTGGTGTTATCAAATATAGGAAAAGCAGTACTTTTATATGACTTCACCTGCTATGAGAAATGGTAGTTTTATAGTTTATTGTGCTGTCTTCATTTTCTATATTTGTTAATGAAAGATTTGGTAGTATGTTTTTGAAAATTCATTTGATGTTATTATGAACATTTTCTATTTTTCTTTTTTATTTTCTTTTTATAGAGATGGGGGTCTCACTGTGTTGACTAGACTGTTCTCGAACTACTGGCCTCAAGCGATCCTCCCATCTTGGCCTCCCAAAGTGCCAGGATTACAGGCGTGAGCCACTGGGCCCAGCCCCACTTTTCTTTAAATTAATAGAATGCAAGGATCATAATTATCTAAAATGGCAAATGGGTTCAGTGTTTAGTGTAGACTAAAGGCATGTATAAATTACAAATAGGTCTTATATTTGTCTTATAGAATATAAGAATTTGCTTATTTTGAAAGTAAATTGTTTAGGCAGGATTTAGAGATCATTTATAGTTTGTCAACACTTCCGTTAAAACAAATAATCATTACTTCCTAGATAATAAAGATTTTGTTTGCATATCACATCAAGTATAAGAAAGGGCAATTTATAATTTAAAAAGGACTCTGAATTTAATTATTTGTTAATAACTTGTTGGTTTGTCTCCAACACTGTTAGACCAGAGTAAGTAGAATACTTTCTTCCTCATTGGCATAACTAGGAGCCTGGAAAAAAAAAAAAGGAAAAAGTTAAAACCAGTTCGTGCCTCTGGATCTGGGAAATCAATCAGTTGCCAGAGAACAAAGAATTACCAAGGAATATAAATGGGAATTATTGAATAGGCAATTAGAAAAAGAAAAATAATCTGAAACAGGTTGAGGGAAGATTGTTGTAAATTCTAGCCCATAAAAGTTGAGAAATGGAAAAGTTTAAGTGTTTTAGGAATTTAAACTAATGTAATCACTGTGTTTCTAAAAAGACTGCTAAAATTTCAGATTATTTCCAAATGCAAACAGAGTCAAGAAAGGAATCAGTTTTCCTTTAAAGGCTAGTTTTCAAAAGGTATCATAAGTATTTTTATAGTGCTTTATTAATTTTTTTGCTAGATAAACATCTTAAATCCATATTAGAAGCTTTTTCAATATTGTGGGTTGACGAGATTACATATTAGAAGCTTTACTTCTAATATTGTGGATAAGGAGCCCTTCCTTACTTTCTGGCACGAAAAGATGTTTGAACTAAATGAATATCCAGCAACAAGTAAACTTAGGTATTCTGAGGCTTCTTAAATACTAATACCTACAGAAACCCCAAGGTACAGCTATTCTTTCCCAGATAGACAAAATCCAAAAGTGAGTAAGAATGCAGAGCTTGACTGCCTGTATTCAAGTCTCTACATAACACTTACTAGATTTGTGACATCGGACAGGACAAATAACTTGATCTCTCTGTCCCTAACTTTCCCTATTTGTGAAATCTCGCTAATAAGTACCCACCCCCCACCTTAGAGGGTTGTGCTGAGGATTAAATGAGTCAACAAGTATATAGAGTTTAGAACAGTATTTGATAGCTAATAAAGCCTAATGTTTGCTGTTATTAATATTGTTAAAAGGCTACCATACTTTCTTGGAGAAAATCACAAGCTACAAAGTAATGGAGAAGCTCGCAATTAGTAGAATTCTCTACCTGCATAATTGAAGAAGAACTGAAAGATTTCTTTTTTAAATTTTAATTTCTTAATTGAAAGTGATTTCAAATTTAGAGAAAAGTTGCAGGACCAGAGCAAATAACTCCCATATACACTGTGTCTAGATACCCTCCGCTCCCCTTCCAGTGCCACCATTTGCCCTAATAATGGCCTTTTATAGCCAAAGGATGCAGGGTGATGCATTGTACCCGGTTGTCCTATCTCTCTAGTTGTCTTCAGTATGGAAAAATTCCATAATACTGCCTGGACTTTTACGACGTTGGCCAGTAATCTTCAAAAACATCACTTTTGTAGTAAATAACTAAATTAGGATTTGTTTGATATTTTTACATTGTTAGACCCAGGTTATGCATTTTGGGCTGGACTATCACAGGAGTGATTCTTTTTATTATATCATTTTGGGTGGCACTTGGTATCATTTGCCTTATTACAAATGGTGTTATCTTTGTCATTTGATGAATATAGTGTCTGCTGTGTTTCCATAACTATAAAGGTATTTACCCCACACCGAACAAATGTGTAATTCTTTTTTTTTTTTGGTGGAGAGATACTTGAAGACTATTTAAAATCACATTCCTCATTTCACTTTTTAGTTCTAGCATCTATAAATTTTTTTTGCCTGACTTAATTATTGCTCACATGGTTGCTAAATGGTAACTTTTTGAATTCCATCATTCCTTCTACTTACTAGTTGGCGTTCTACTATAAGGAAGAGAATTAAACAGAGTGTATATCAACATCTTGTCCGTGAAGATGCTGGGAGATAACAAAGACATATTTTGAAACTAGGAATTTGAGAAAGACTGATTCTCAAAAACTTATGAATGCTTTGAAGATTGATCTTCTGCATTTATTCATTTATATCCTATTTTATTCAGTCAGTTTTGAGTTTGTTACTATTATGATTTTGATGCTCAAATTGTCCCAAATTTAGTTAATGGGAGGCCTTTCTAACTGGCTTCTATATCTTTTTATATCCTTTCTAACTGGCTTCTATATTCTTTAAAATATCCTTTTCTAACTGGCTTCTATATCCTTCTGTATCCTCTTTTAAGGATTAAGGATATTCTTTATTCTTTTATATATCCTTCTATATCCATCATTTTTTGAGCTCTTCCCTACTTATTGGCACAAAAAGTATCCAGGCTCATTGTGTTATGTCTTAACCTCAATCCTGGAAACAGCCATTTCTCCAAGGAACCCTGGTTATTTTTAGCTGAATTGCTGTTTAGAAACCAAGATTTGGGCACTAGGTATGTTCATTGCTACTGAGATATTGTTGTTCCCAGACCTCAGTGGACAGAGTTAAGAAACATGCACACCTTATATTTCTTTTTTTTTATACTGAAAATCATGAATTCACACTGATACCTGATAAACTCCAATTTCAGTCCAACACTTTGGGTTAATTCTAGCTTAACTCCTTTTTCTATTTGTACTTCACTGACAGTGAAAACTTGACTCTGTTATCTTAATATGTTTACGTAGTTGCTCAGTCCCTCTGTAGGTAGCCAGGGTCCTGACCCCACGGGCTGCTACCTCTTTCAGGGGCCTGCCTTATGTGGGCCTCGGCCTTCACAAGGCTGCCACCCTGTTGTCCGCATTATAGAGATACTAGCTGCTGTTAACCTGTCTCATCCCCATGTGGGACCAGATTACTTCTGGGTAATTGAAAGACACTGAAATGAATATGAAAATTGAAAAAAAACTTGGGAGAAAAATCGGAATGCACACTATCCAGTAACTTGGTGGAAATGAATCAGTCTTTTTGAGTTTGATGACTGAAGCACTTTATTCACATTTTGCCTTTCTCATATGATTCTCTGGCTGTTGACAAAGGTCCCCTATGAATGGGGAGCCTATTTAGTAATTTAATCCTTTAACCATTGTGTCAGTACTACAATTAAACAAACTTTTCCTAAAAGTTATTTTTGCCACTGATAATATTAGTTAAACCACTGCTATGTATACCAGCTGAAGGCCAAGTTGGAAAATGTTATATACCAGGTAAATGTAGCTTAATAATATTTGTGAATTATTAGATTTTTAAATGCTAAATGCACTAAGAAAAATCATATATAATTGAAGATCAAACAAATTTCTGAGTACAGTTGCCTTGAAAATATTTCTACCATTGGAATTGGCTAATTTTTCTATTATTGAAGAAATCAAGGTTTACAAGTTCTGAATGTATTGTGTCTTCTTACCTGGAAGTTGTTTGGCAACTAGAGTGAAAACTCAATTTTTAGCTGGCCTTTGATATAATAAAGAAGGTATTTATTAACTAGGCTTTTGTATTCATTTTTTGTTGAACTCCCTCTAAAAGTTAATGCATTTCTTACATCATGCTTTCTGGTAGTCTTGGTAATAACTCCTTGATTCTGATGTTTTATTTATTTAATCCAGTGCCCAAAGTAATTACTGTGCAGTCAGTAAATATTTGCTGCATGAAGGAATTCCAAGTTGCCTACAGAAAATCTTTTGAAGAAACTTTCAAATTCTAAGAGAAAAAAGTGTTAATAGCAGAAAATTAAAGCAAACAGTTGTAAAGCTATAATTGAAAAGCTATAATTGAAATGTTTCTTTATTGTTATACTTTGGAAAATAGCACCCTCTTCATTTTATGAAGCTTAGTCACACTTTTGAAAGTTTGTTGTTTTATCTAGAAATGGTTCTAAAAAGAATCAATGAAAGTGACATTTTCCTTGGCAGTCTTGGTTAACAGAATCATTTTGTCATCCATTCACTCGTCCAATAAATACTAATTGAGTTCCAACTAACTATGTACCTGCCATTCCATGTTTGTTAAGTGCTTGCTGTATTTTTGGCATTGTATAACATGTTGGGAATATAGAATGAATAAGAAACACTATCTGCAGAACAACCATATGATTTTGAGACCCACTATTTCTCCAATTTTTTTTGTTTTTGGAGATGGAGTCTCACTCACTCTGTTGCCCAGGCTGGAATGCAGTAGCGTGATCTCGGCTCACTGCAACCTCCGTGTCCCAGGCTCAAGTGATTCTCCTGCTTCAGCCTCCTGAGTAGCTGGGATTACAGGTGCATGCCACCACACCTGGCTAATTTTGTTTTGTATTTTTAGTAGAGATGGGGTTTCGCCATGTTGGCCAGGCTGGTGTCGAACTCCTGGCCTCAAATGATCTGCCCGCCTCTGGCTCCCAAAGTGCTGGGATTACAGGCGTGAGCCACTTGCACCCAGCCTTCAATTTCTAATTTTAAGATATATCTTTGTTATTTCTCACCATCTTCATGGAACTAGGTATTGATAGTACACTTAGTTTCATTGATAATAAGATTGGAGTTTCTAATAGGAAAGGTAATAAAGCCTTCCCTCAGTGTCCCCTGTACCACTGTTGGGAACAAAACACCTTGGTAATTTTTAAGTTCTGAATGTTCAAACATTTGCCAGCATTTACCTAGTGTCTCTAAAAATTACATGTAATTCTTGCATAATTAAAGAGAAGGAGCTCATGAGCAAAAGTGTATATTTCTCTTTGGTACAATTACTAATATCCGAACTCAAGTTCAGGGTGTTGCTTTAGGTATCCAAATATAGCATGTTGCAGGAATTTACTCCATGTTACAAAGACATGCCCTGCTGACCACTGTGCAAATGAGGAGCTCACATTCTGGCACTGTTCTAAACATAAACCTGTCTTGACTGTGCTGAGCAGCTGAGCATCTAAAGTCTCGTTCAGAAGTGACCCCAGGAAGTCTATAAAATCAACTGAGTTAGGATGAAATGTGAAAGGCCCGAAACTTACTCAACTTTTAGATTTGAAAAGTTATTATTTTCTTTCTTTTATATTAGTTTAAAAATTCTTATTTTTAAATCCCTGCAATACTGAACCTTAGGTTAATTCAGTTTTCCTGTGATAAATTATGTGTATCAGTGTAAAGAGAAACTGAGATTTTTTGTAACTTGTAACACTCAATTGAAATTGGATTTAAAAGTAGTCAATACTGGTGTACACCTGTGTTGTTTTAGAATATGGTATTTTATATAAACATTCCAATAACACAAATATTTTTCAAACTGCTAATAAGTTTTTAGCTTCTATCAACATTTCATATAGCCAACTTTAAATATATTTACTTTTATTAATAATGTTTAGTCTTTCTTCTTCCTGACCCCCTTGCCAAACCTTTTGGTAGATATAAAGATGTTTTCATGCTTTAAGAGAAGGCAGTATATGTTTGTAACACATACTGTTTGTAACAGTCTGTACTGTTTTTAACTCTACTCTCCTGTCTCAGGATATCAGAAGTTGATTTCCCTAAAATGCATTAATTTTCCCAAAGAAACTTTTATGCCAGTTGCTTTTAATTAAAAAAATTATTAACAAGCCAGTTGCTTTCTTAACATTAAGAATGACATTACTAATGTTTTTAAAATCATAAATTTAGGACATAGCAGTTTTAAAAAAGTAGTATGAAAGCTATTAAAAAATGAAAAGCAGAATACATGTAATGTGTATGCTTGTTATATCCAAGGTCTGCCACAGCTGATGGTGAATTCGGCTGTATCTTGAGGTTTGAGGTTTCCTCAGAACGCAGGAGATGGTTAAGAGTTGGCCTTTGAACTCAGTGGGCGTAGTTCTAAATCCTGTTTCCACTACTTACTTGGTCTGTGAATTTGAGCAAGTGGCTTAAACTCTGAGCTTCAGCTTCCTAATCTATAAACCAAGGATTATAATATTACATCTGATACCTACTTCATAGGGTTTTTGAGTTTTATGAGAGGATTCATGTAAAGCATGTAGCAGAGTTTCTGGAAATTGCCAAGTGCTCACAAAATGTTTGGTACTACTATTATTAACATGTCTCTACATACACAAAAATGCTTTATTATTAGAAGTTAGGTTTTCCCCCACAGTATTTAGGTGATTTCACAGATCATCTTTAAGATATTTTGGATAGTATATACTTATATTAAATATAACAAATGAAAAGTTATATGGTAGTACTTCACTAGGCTGTTTTGTATTTTTAGGCTTGTAACTTAATACAGGCATATGGCTAAGTGCTTTGGGTGCATTGGTTTTGTAAGATTGCCTTTTACACATGAAAGGAACAAGTAAATACATATATTTTAATCTTTTAAAGTTTATCTTTTATACTGATTTGTTTATATCAGGTTTGCTTAAAGCAAGGCACACAAATTCTCTTCCGATACCACTGTCGACCACACAACTTTAAATTGCTACCTCCACTATGTTATTTATAAGCCTCTTTGGTTCTGTTCTGGAGCCAAGGATTCACCAGTGCTGCTTTAAAGTGAGATATCAGGCAGACAGTATTATTTATCTTTCACACAATTATGGGATAGCAAATTGATAATTAAAAACAAAACAAAACAAGTTCTTTTATTTAAGGAAGACTAAAAGTCAGTTATACATTCAGCTAATACTTAAATGGCAACTTGGTGTGTTTTCTACAGTCCTTGTCTTATAGCAGCTTGCAGTATAGCAGGAACATAAGATATAAGCAAACAGTTACAAAGTAAGGCAGCCCATATGATGTGCCATTTTGTAGAAATAGTTAAGCAGTATAGAAATTCATGGGAGAAAGAGATTGCTTTCAGCTAGAGTATTTCATTCACTTAAACCTAGTTGTACAGCTGGGATGTACCTATGCATGACTCGTGTCTTTTTTGGAAGGCTGCTTCAGCTGGGTGGCCACAGCCAGTTGCTTTTCTTCTCTATTGGTGGCTATTTTCACCCCTTACAATCTCTTCATTCTCCCTGTGATTAGGACCCCACTGCTGTCAAAAAGCTTTCTGCTCTTAGGCACAGTTTTCATCCCTTTTTAAGTGCTGATCCAAAATAGTGACATGGTGGTGGGACCGAAAGTAGCAGACAGATGGGGAGAAGAAAGGGAAACTGGGTGCAGAATCAGGAACCTCATTCTCTGTTGTAGAAATTGCCCTTTTGATAGCAGCATGGGTGAGGAGTAATGAAAAGGAGAACCCTCTGTTCCTGTGAAAATCCACAAATGTATAGTCCCGCCCTTCCCCATATTTTACCTCCCCATACTCTCTCATCTCCTGGAATTTCGATTCCATACATCATCCTGTCCCCACTTTCCCATCCCCCACCATCTCCTTTGTTCCAGAGCCATGCTGCAGTTCTGAATCTCCTGGCTGTTTGAAATGTTGCCTTTCGAGCTGTTAGAGCCCCTCTTCCAAGTTGTAGGAATCACCTCCATGATGAAGAACTGACGTAGCTCCATTGAGCTTTTCTGTTACTCCCTCCAGGCCTTTAGTAGGCCCCAATGTATACTTGATGTCTCTAGGAGAATCCTGAGTCCATTAATGTAATTGCCTGTGGCAGATTGCTCATATATAATGTTTAACTTTGGCATTACTGTTAGTACTATATGTCTGAAAGGTTTGTTTCTAAGAGAAAATATGTTTCAAGTTTTAAACAGTGAGCTGTTCTAAATCAGCCATCTATATTAGTAGTGGACTTACAGTCAGAAGGTTAGAGTTCAATTCTAGCTCTCTCAGTTATTCTGTGTGACCATGTGTGTGATCACTTGGCCTCTCTTGGCCTAGGTTGTTTGTATAGAATGTAGAGATAATAGATTTCTTTCAAAGATAGTTGTTGGGGGTTAAATGAGAATGTATGTAAAGATGTATAGTAAAATATAAAGCCCCATAGTCCTAAAGGAATGTGGCATTTTTTTGTGTGTTAATCATGACTGTGTTAGGTAAAATAACAAGTTCCTGCCCTCTAAGAACTCATCATCCAGAGGATAAGATGAACATGGACAATTACGTTATGGTATATGATAAATCCTATGGCAGATATAAGTATAGGTGACCAAGGAGCACAAAGAAGAGCAGCTCTAATCTGGAAATGAATGGATAGAGAAAACTTCATGAAGGAGGGAGCTTCTTATCTAAGTCTTAAAGAAGAGCGAGCCTGGCAAAGAAGGAAGAAAGGAAAAACATTCCATATTGAAGGAGAGACAGTGGGGCCTGGGGGAACATTGTACAGAAAGCTCCAAGTATGGCTGCAAGTATGACTAGACCATAAACTATCTGTGGTACCTTATCTGATTATTAGGACCACTTAGCTTATTTTGAAGAGGCGGTGTTCCTGCACAATGTTTAACAACTCTAGAAACAGGTTTGGTCTGAAACTTGGTTTGACCATTTACGAATCTTTTATACCTAATTAAGAACCTCGACTCCATACACTTTTAGATTCAATATGATGATAAAAGTGTCTACTTAAAAGGCTTATTACAATGATCATTTGAAATAATGTTTGCAAATCTCCTGGTATTTAATGAACACTTAATAAATGTTAGCAGTTTTCATCGCTATCCTGAAAGTTCTTAGGGCCATTCTTTCCCTCTCAGTATTCTGTAATCTACTGTTCTAGGCTAACACTTTAGCAATGTTTTATTAATAAATACCAACTCTTGTTTATTATAATGGAATCATAGAAACAGTTTAAATGAAATTTTTCTTTGGAGTGGGGGACGGAGTCTCACTCTGTCTCCCAGGCTGGGGTACAGTAGCGCAGTCTTGGCTCACTGCAGCCTCTGTCTCCTGGGTTCAAGAGATTCTCCTGCCTCAGCCTCCGGAATAGCTGGGATTACAGGTATTTACCACTATGCCTGGCTAATTTTTGTATTTATAGTAGAGACAGGGTTTTGCCATGTTGGCCAGGCTGGTCTCGAACTCCTGTCCTCAGGTGATCCACCCACCCTGGTCTCCCAAAGTGGTAGGATTACAGACATGAGCCACCACACACGGCCCAGTTTAAATGAATTTTAAAGGTGGTCTAGATCAATTTTATTATTTTGCATGTTAAGATGCAAGGACTGTTCAACACACAAATCAATAAATGTGCTACCTCACATCAATAGAATCAAGGTCAAAAACTATATGATCTTTTCAATAGATGCTAAAAAGCATTTAATAAATTCAGCATCCCTTCATGATAAAAACCTTCAACAAATTGGGTATATAAGGAGCATACCTCAACACAATAAAGGCCATATATGACAAGCCCAAAAGCTGTGTGTTTCGTGCCGAATGGGGAAAAATTGAAAGCCTTTCCACTAAGATCTGAAACAAGACAAGGATGCCCACTTTCACCACTTTTATTCAGTGTAATACCAGAAATACTAGCCAGAATAATTAAGCAAAAGAAATAAATAAAAGGCATTCAAATTGAAAGGGAAGACGTCAAATTATCCTTGGTTGAAGGGGACATGATCTTATATTTAGAAAAACCTAGACTTCACCAGAAAACTCTTAGAACTGATAAATGAATTTAGTAAAGTTACAGGATACAAAATCAACCTACAAAAGGCAGTAGCATCTCTATACATTAGCAGAGATCACTCTGAAAAAGAAATCAAGAAAGCAATCTTCTTTACAATAGGTACCAAAAAATATACCTAGAAACGAATTTAACCAAGGAAGTGAAAAATCTCTACAAAGAAAATTATAAAACACTGATTAAAGAAATTGAAGAGGATTCACAAAAAAGGAAAGATATGCTTATGGATTGGAAGAATTCATCTTGTTAAAATGTCTTTACTACCTAAAGTGATCTACAGATTTAATACAATCCCTATCAAAATACCAATTATATCCTTCACAGAAATAGAAAAAAAAATCCTAAAATTTGTATGAAACCACAAAAGACCATGAATATCTATAGCAATTCTTGAGCAAAAAGAACACTGCTGGAGATATCACACTACCTGAATTCAAATTATATTACAAAGCTATAATAACCAAAGCATCATGGTACCGGCATAAAAACAGACACATATACCAACGAAACAGAATAGAGAACCCAGAAATAAATCCATACACTTTTAGCCAACTCATTTTCAACAAAGGCACCCAAAATGTGCATTGGGGAAGGAATGGTCTGTTTAATAAATGGTGCTAGGAAAACTGGATATCTCTATGCAGAAGAATGAATCTAGATCTCTACCATATGCAAAAATCAACTCAAAATTGATTAAAGACTTAAATGTAAGATCTGAAACTATTAGAAAACATTGAGGAAAGGCTTCAGGACATTAGGCTGGACAAGAAGCTTTTTGGGTTAAGACCTGAAAAGCATAGGCAACAAAAGCAAAAACAGACAAATGGGATTGTATCAAGCTAAAAAGCTTCTGCATGGCAAAGGAAACAATGAACAAAGTGAAGAGACAACCTATGGGGTGGGAGAAAATTTGCAAACTATCCTTCTGACAAGAGATTAATAACCAGAATATATAAGGAACTCAAACAGCTCAATAGCAGAAAAACAAATAATCTGAGTAAAAAATGGGCAAAAGACCTGAGTAGGCATAAAGACATACCAGTGGCCCACAGGTATACGAAAAAATGTTCAGCATCACTAATCATCAGGGAAATGCAAATCCAAACTACAATGAGATATTATCACACTCCAGTTTGAATGGCTGTTATCAAAAAGACAAAAAATTACAAATGCTGTTGAAGGTGTGGAGAAAGGGGAACTCTTACATACTATTTGTGGGAATGTAAAGTAGTACAGTTATTAAGGAAAACAGTATGGAGGTTTCTCAAAAAAACTAAAAATAGAGCTAGCATATGATTCAGCAGATTCACTGCTGAATATATGTCTAAAAGAAAGGAAATCATTGTTCCAAATGATACCTGCACTCTCATGTTTACTGCAGCACTATTCACAATAGGCAAGATGTGGAATCAACCTAAGTGTCCATCATCAGGTGGATGGATAAAGAAAATGTGGTATGTATACACAATGGAATATTATTCAGCCATAAAAAAGAATAAAATCCCGTTATTTACAGCAAAATGGAACTGAAGATCATTATGTTAAGTGAAATAAACCAGGCACAGAAAGACAAATATCACACGTTCTTCCTCAGATATAGGAGCTAAAAAAGTGGATTTTATGGAAGTAGAGAGTAGAATGGTGGTTACCAGAGGCTGGGAAGCGAAGAGGGGAATGAAGAGAAGTTGGTTAATGGGTACAAAAATGCAGTTAGGTAGAAGTAATAAGTTCTAGTATTTGATACTAAAGTAGGGAAATTAAAGTTAACAGTAATTTATTGTGTGTTTCCAAATAGCTGGAAGATAATTATAATGGTTCCAACATGGAGAAAAGATAAATGTTTGAGGTGATGGATATCTCAGTTACCCTGATTTGATCATCACACATTGTATACGTGTATCAAAATACCATATGTACTCCCAACATATGTATAACATCAATTTAAAAAAGAGAATCTGAGCTGTAGTTAAATAATGTGGCTATGATATTATCCTGAATCAGTGGCACAGCTGGGAGTAAAATCAGGTCTGTTTCCATTCCAGAGTTCTTTTCATTAGTCTTAGAATAAATTGCCAAAAATCCCTTTGAGACACTGACCTGTAGCACTGGCCACAACTTCAAGCAGAAACAATATAAGTTAACATTTTAGAAGCTGGCATTTCTGTAGCTCTGCAGATTGGGAAAGATACCTTTAAAAGGAATGGTGTATCTCTCTCTGCTTGCCCTCTGATGGAAGTGTTGTTTAGCAACAGCATCTATAAAAGATCAGTGAGAGGCAGGTAATAAGGAACCAGATAATTCTTAAATGAGTAATTCTTTTACCATCAAGAATTTCTTATGTAATGAAAAATCGCTTGTACCCCAAAAGCTATTGAAATTTAGAAAATGTTAAAAAAGAATTTCTTATACATACAAATCCTTGTCTCACCATTAAAATGTAAAATTAGATTTTCATAAGACTTATTAATTAAACATGTTCTACGTCATTCAACAGCATCCAACAAATAATTTGTTGAGTGCCTTTATACCAAGTGCTAGGGTTAGAGTGATGAGCAGAAGACTTATACTTTACTGAAATAAACAGTTGTTGAAGTAACAATCATACAGATAAGTAGTTATAGTTATTTAAATGCTATGCATAAAAGCTACTAAGGGATTAATAATCAGGGGCTGGGTGTGGTGTCTCATACCTGTAATCTCAGCACTTTGAGAGGCAGAGGAGTTCAAGAGATCAGCCTATGCAACATAGCAAGACCCTATCTCTACAAAAAAAGGAAAAAAAAGGTTATATAGTAATGTTCAGAAAGGTTCACTTGAAGAATTAAAGTTTTAGCTGAGATATGAAGGTTTAATGAAACAAAAAGGTGGAGGGATAGCAAAAAGGAGCTTATACTCAGCAAACAGCACGTACAGAGGCCCTGAAGAAGGACATAGTATGATCTGTCCTAAGAAATGAAAGACAACTAGAGTATTTGGAACAGAGAATGCTAATAAAAAATGCAAGTCCTGGTCATGAGAAGAGAAGTGAAGGTGTTTACTAAGTATCACCAAGGAAACCACAGCAAAAGGAGAAGTGAATCTCCCCCCAAAATAAATGGTTCTGTTAGATCTGTTGTTTTAAAGATTCGTTGTCAAGACCACTACAATTTTCAATTTGCTAAGCAGAGTATTACTAAGATTTGGGCAGTTTTAATATGTTCTTTTTCATTTGATTTTTCTTCCTTTCTGTACTGACTTACTGGAAATTGTGGGATGACTTTGATGTGCTGAAGTGTTTAGATCAGGAATTTTCACTGTTGAACAGTCATAGAGAGAATCTTATCTTGTTTTCTTGGCTGGGGATTTTGTGTGGGCGTGTGAGGTACAGCTGCACCATGAGTTTTTTGGCAGTGAGGACAGGGCAATTCTCAATGCAGTTCATCTTGAATAGGAAGAAACTTAAGAGTAAAAAGTCTACTTTGAATGCACTAAATTCAGTGGAAAACACCCAGGGCCTGAACCTTCAGCTGACATCCTGTTACTTGGTTAAATGGATACAGCAGCCTCAGGCCCATGTCCAGGTTTTATGGTAGGAACACATGAAGGGGAGAACAGTCAAGGCTTTGTTTCAATATAAAACTATCAGTTACCACATCTAGTTTTAAATGTTTTTGGTTTTTGTTTGTGGTTTATTTAAGCTTTTTCTCTAAAGAACACTTAATAAAAAAGGCAGATTGATGGAAACCTAGCTTTGCTTGCAAGTATGAATTCATATTTTTATGTAGCTTATCAGAAAGATTTTTTTCAGATTTATTTATATACAGATGGATTCCCAGATCTGCTTTTATTGCTCACGTTTTCTTCACTCTCCCTTGATCTCTTCTGTAGTCTATAAGCATTAACCCTCAAATTAAATGCAGACAGTATAGAACTATTCATTTGTAAGCACACTTACATCCTTCCCTTTGCATAAACTCATCATTACTCTTCATAAGCAGAAACCTCTGAACTGCGTCCAGCGCTTAACTGCTTGTTTATATCTTTACTGTTATTTAGTATTACTACTTTCAGAGTAGTATAAAGTTTTGTTCTGTGAACAGTTTGCCTGAGTTCAAATCCAGTCCTGCTGCTTACTTTGTTGGTTCCATTAGCTTTTTAGTTTTTAACTTCCAAAATAAAGATAATTATGTTAGAACCTCGTAAGTTTTTTTTAAGACTTAAGAAAATGCATACAAAGGACTTAATTTAAAATAAATATCCAGGAGAAGAGATGCTAGTTATTTTATTCTTGATTTAGGTCCAGTCTTCTAGAATCTATTAATAGCTGTCTTTTCTGGTTGATGTCATTTAGTCTAAAGATCATCTGTATGTTGGTGACTTCCCACCAATACCTCTGTTCCTAACCTCACTTTTTCCTAAGCTCCAGACTTGCAGATCTGACTGCTGCTCTATTATCTACACTTAAATGTCAAATGCATACTTCAAACATAACGTGTCTTAAAACAACTTTTGATCTCTGTCACCGGCCCCTGCTCGTTTCCCCAATCTTTTCCTCCCCATTCTTTTCTATCTCAGTTAATGGTAGCACCCTCTGTACTTTTGGCTTTTGTTTAGCTACCAGCCCCTGTCCATTTCATCAGCGCATCTTAATAGCATTATCCCCAGAATATATCCTGAATCTGACTCCTTGTTGTCATCTTATCTACTACTATCATAGTCTAAGATGATGACCCTTTCCTGTCTAGGCAATTATATAAGGAATGGTCTTCTTATTTCTCCGTATTTCATGATAAGACTGGACCATTTTTAGTCTTATCATGAACAATCTATTCTCCACATTGAAGAACAACATTCTAAAAAAAGATTATTCCCCTTCTTTTTATTGAAATTAGAAAACTGTCCAGAGTTCTTGAAAGCCTTTCATGACCTAGCTCCTCTCTGACTTTCTGCCAGTCTCTCAAACACTGCTAGTTCATTCCATCTGAAGGCTTTTTTTTACAGCCTTTTCCTCTCTTTGGGATATTTTTCACCCATGTCTTCACAATGGGACTCCTTGCAATTTTTAGGTCTCAGATGTCAGCTCCTTAGAGAGGCTTACCCTGACATCTTTCCTGCTTTTCTTAAGTTAATCACTATCTGAAATTTCCCTTCCTCTTCTTCCTTCTTTCATAAAGTGCCCCTCCCCAAACCCAAAGGAATTTAAGTTCCATACAAGGACTTTATCCGTTTTATTCACTGCCATATGCCCAGTGCTTAGAATGAAATCTGGTATTCAGAATGTTTTCGGTATTACAATACTATATGGGTGGATGGCTAGATGAAAGAATGAACAAGTATGTATCTGGTAATTTTCTACAACCAGAAAAATGATAGATTATTTCATTCTTACAAACTTGTATAGGTGTTTATTTTCGAATTAATCATGCTAATCTTTGTCCTAATTGCTTTTACTATCACTTCTGTTTTTGATTGTAAGGCTTTCTTCTTCTCATAGAGTGCTAGATACAGTTTTGGTACTTAATGTTGATTAAATTGAAAATGCAATCTAATATCTTTATATTCTCTGAAATTATAGAATATGTATTTCTGAAAGCAGGTGTGTTTAAAATATGCATTCCCCTTTTATCTCCTGCAGTTCATAATTGGACCCTTGAAGACACTCTTCAGTGGTTGATAGAGTTTGTTGAACTACCCCAATATGAGAAGAATTTTAGAGACAACAATGTCAAAGGAACGACACTTCCCAGGTGAGTCTTTGTTATGCAAATGTATTTTCCACTCAGGGAGAATTATATGCTAGATGTCATTTCCCCATACTGAATCTACAAGTTACTTCCGTGGCTGAGGGCACAAAGGAAATATAAATATATCCATTCTTTAATCTTTCTAAATTATGCATTTTCAAGTTTTAATCAATTTTTCTTGTCTAAATAATCAGGCTCTTGGAAAAATTATTTCCAAGGAACATGATTTTGAGTTTCAGAAGATGGGTCAACTATATCATTTGTAAATAACATCAAGGGTCAACTTTTGGCCAATCTAAGAAAAACTTTTTTATTTGATACTGATTCATTTTTATGAACACATCTACTTGAATGAATTAATGTGCGTCTCTTTCTTGTGACATTTTAAATGACAATAACCATCGAATTATGGCGTCTATACGTTATACCTGAATTTTAAAAATGAAATTAATAAAAAATAGCAACCATTTTAAAATGTATGCTACATAGAAGTACTTTATATTATCTCATTTAACCCTCATGATTAAAATGAGGTATATATTGTCCTTCCCATTTTACAGGTTAAAAAAACCAAGTCAGAGACAAGTTAAACATTTTGCCCAAGGCAGCATTTAAACCCAGATAGATTTGATAGCAAAGTCCAGGTTGCCAGTTTATCCCTTAGGTGTCTGAATCCAGTTGTTCTCTAAATTTTATTTTCTAAATTATATCTAAATTGTATCATTTGCAAGTACCAAATGATATAATTTAGAAATTATAATTTTTAATTAATTTAATTAACTTAATAATCTTGAAGGATTTAAATGTCAAAATTTGCAATGATTCTACCAGAATTTTTTACCCTTACAAGATTGCTTCTTAAGTTTTATTTTTCCCTGGATGATTTCCTACATCCAAAAAGACTCTAATCAGTTATTACAATCTAATCATTATATGTAATGAAATATATACATTGTGTCCCTAGTCAACTTCCTTACATGCCCTATTTAGATAAGTATCCTTTGTTGCTTTGAGGTTTGTATTTTGATCAAGTTGAAAGTTTTCAAATCTGTTTTAAATGTATTCTGAACATCAACATTAGTATTTCTGATTTTATTATACACATGACTAGAATGATGAAATTATAGGGATAAGAGTCAATTTGATAAGTACTTACTGAATATCTTTTATGTTCATGGTACAACTAGATGCTTGAAAGAAGACAAAAATCAAATAAAATATAGTTATTTTAATTAAAACAAGTTCTTAAATTAAAACAGAGTCAAACATTAAAATGAGATTAGAATTTATTTATTTATATATGTTGCCCTGGGTATGAGGAACAATAGGAATTTTCTTGTTGCCTTTTGAGAAACTTGTTTGTTTAACAACAACATGAAATAAAATAGGCTAATCTGAGTTTTGACAGTCAGTGTTATAGCTACTCATTTCCTTTGGTTAAGTAAAGATGATCAGAGATGCTTCCAATTCTGGTAAAATTGTGACATCACACACTTGTCAAGATCAACTCCTTAAATAGTGAACATGTTACTATAGAAAAACATTATAACTTCAGTTTTCAGGTCAGCCCATTGGAACCTTTTTTAGTGGAGGAGAAAGGAGAACAGTAAACTCTTCCTTAAGCCCCTATTATATAGTAATGGAAATTAGATGAGTCAACTTAAAGGGGCAATATCAATTAATTTCAATTATTATGTAAGTTCCAGAGCTCTTTGTATGGTATCTGTAGACATAAGAACTAGTTACAAGAATGTATAAGAAAATGTATTACATATTCTATAGATAGTTGGCCTACAACAGTCCATTATGATGTTTCTTTTCTGTGACATTAAAACCCTTTACATTTGCTAAAGGTAGCCAAAACTATGTTTTATGTTGGCTGTAGTGGTTATCTTAAACCTTTCGCTGTGTTTTCTATACTCTGTAATTCTTACTGCCAAACATTATACTAAGGCTGTCTTCACCTGACACATACCACCTCATTTCTTTCAGGCCTATGTGGCCTTCCCTGACACCCTCACCCACTCAGGTGGAATCATTTTTACCTCTGGACTCATATTGAATCTCGCATAAAATTTTGTTATGTATTTTCTTTTTTACTACATCTCATTGTCTTTCTTAGTCTATTGATAGTTTGCTATTAATTCATGCATCCATACCTACATACATTCATTCAGCTATTATACAAACATTTATCAAGCTTCTACTTTTGGCAAGTACTACATTAGGCTTTGGGGATACAGAGATACGACATAGTCTTTGCCTTCATGCAATTTGATAAGTGTCATGTTAAAGGTGTAAGGGAAGCATTATACGAAAGTACCTGTGGAGAAGATAAAGGAAGGCATTTCAGAGAGGGAATGTTACAGTTCTTTGCTCTTTAAGGTTTTATAGAAGCCTCATAGGAGTTCCTGTAATTTTTCCATACTTAGAGAGTACTGATATCTTTCTATACAAAATGTAGTGTTTCAAAGTAGTCTTTGGAATCGTACATATTTGGGTTTGAATCCTTGCCTTACCTATTACTAATTATGTAACCTTAGGCAAGTTACTCAACCTCTCACAAGTATCTTCACCTATAAAATGGAAATACTATTATAAGGTTTTCTTGAGTATTAAGCCATTGGTACAGGACCCAGCATATATTATATGCCTGTGTTTATTGTCATTGTTATTATTATTAGACTTTGTGTAATGAAATCTTTACTAGCATCATACTTGGTTGTTAAGAAATCTTAGTTGAGTACTGGGTTGCTTGTATTTACAGTCCATAATAAAGTGATTTTATTTCCTTATTTTACCTGTGCCTCCTACGTGCTTTCTTCATAGCTAATAAAATGGTTTAGTACTTATTATTATATAAATTCCTCTACCTACCTACCTCAATCCATGAAGGCTTTTTATTTCCCACTTGTGACTTCAATGTACTTTGTTCAATTTTTAAACAGTTAAACATTAGAATGTTAAAAGTATAGATTTTTTGATACTTTTAAAGAAAATCAATATGATCTAAATTGAAAACTTAATTGTTTTTTAAAGTCTGCTATAGATGTTAAATTAAGTTACTTATGGTTTTATTATCCTTTGTGAAAGGATAATAAGTGACAGAAGTAATTAATGACTATAAAATATTTTCAACTTTAGGCTGGGAGCGGTGGTTCATGCCTGTAATCTCAGCACTTTGGGAGGCTGAGGCGGGCGGATCACGAGGTCAGGAGATCGAGACCATCCTGGCCAACATGGTGAAACCCCATCTCTACTAAAAATACAAAAAATTACCCAGGCGTGGTGGCACGTGCCTGTAGTCCCAGCTACTTGGGAGGCTGAGGCAGGAGAATTGCTTGAACCCGGGAGGCGGAGGTTGCAGAGAGCCGAGATCGAACCACTGCACTCCAGCCTGGGTGACAGAATGAGACTCTGTCTCAAAAAAAAAAATTTTTTTTTCAACTTTATAAATTTCTAAATCATAGTAAGTCATAACAGAAAGTAACCTTAGAAAACCAAAACTTTTTCAATGTAGCTACTAAATTATTAACATACAGGAGTCTTTCTACAGCTAAGTTTGCACTGAAGAGGTTTTTGAAACATGTAACAAATTATTAAATCACACATGGATGAGCTCCAACAGTGATCATCAATAATATGTAAAGTGTTAAATGTGTTGCTCAAATATTTAAATTTGTATACTAGAAATATTTTCATTTAATATATATATATATGTGTGTGTGTTTTTCAAATAAACAGGATAGCAGTGCACGAACCTTCATTTATGATCTCCCAGTTGAAAATCAGTGACCGGAGTCACAGACAAAAACTTCAGCTCAAGGCATTGGATGTGGTTTTGTTTGGACCTCTAACACGTTAGTATTCTCTCTCACTCAGAGGATGATGTAAAAGAATATCCTGATCATCTCTGTGTTATTTAAGGAAAGAGAAAAATAAGATAGTAGGCCTCTAAGAAGAATCATCTATTACCTGTGAAAGAAGTGTAATACTACCTTAAAAGATTTATAAGATAGGATTTTCTGTCATTGAAACATGAGTGTGAAATTTTCAAAGCTGGTTACTAATGTAAGAAGTTATATAAAAAACTATATTTAGCTGTTAATTTAGAATTTTTAGATTTAAAACTTTGGATCTTTGGAGGAGTTTTAATGTTGATGTTACTATAATTGGATATTCACTGAGGAATCTCTTAAAAAATAATATAGTCTAACCATCTTGATGGCATGAAGCAATAGAGCCTAACAGTTTTCACTAAACACCAAGAAAATGGATTTTTAGGTATAGATGGAAAGCAAAGACTCACTTGAAGCTTTATAAATTAACAAACTCTACTGGCAGGAGCAAGAAGTAGAAAATGTTATTTGATTGTTTTGAAGAGAAACATTTGAGAAAGTGTTATGCAATATCTGTAAAGAAAATAAACCTTGTATTTATTTACTTTGACAGGAATATTTTTTCCCCAGAAGAGAAATTTAATATGTTTGTTTTATTTAATTTCAATTTTTTCAGAAAGCTTTGGGAGAAAGTGTTTGAAAAGTACACCTTTTAAAGGAATTATGTTTTTTTTTTTTAGTCAAAAAAGTATAACAAAATTAATACAAGAAAAATGCCTTCCACAAGTTATAAAGTAGGAAACTAATGTTTATTCTCCCTGAATTCTTGGAGTTAGGAGATTTTCAGGTTTCTATGATACCATCTTGGGAATGGCCCTTCTAAAAAAGGGTAACTAGAATTGGTTGAATAGATTTTATGACTTTACTGGTGGTTCTTTTTTGGCTTGGGCTAAAAGAGCAGCTGGTGAAACAGCTGGAACTCCCCATATGAGAGCTGGTGGAAATGCACTGTTGGTGGAAATTACAAACCCTAGGAAATAGAACACTACTGAAATGCCGAGCGTTCCATAGAGATGATGCCCTTTCCAACCTTTTCCTTGTCCTCACTTCCAGACTGAATCCATTGGGGGATTGTCTTCTGTGGGATTCTGTCCAATTTTTCTCATGTGAGTGGTTGGTAAAAATAGGAATTAAAGTATAGAATTTGTTTCTATTTACAACTTGATCAGGAATACTCATATTTTATTAATCTTGGAACTAACCCCTTTCTAAGCCCCAAAAATTATATTACCAAGTCATTTGAAAAGAAATCAAACTAGTCTCAAAAAAGATTGTAAACAAATATTTAAATAAACCAATTAAAAAGTTAATGATTTTAAATATGTTTGTCTTAGAATGGTTGAGTGAATGTGCCCCATAGTCAGAACACTTATGTTAGATTTATTTTAAAAACCAGCATTGTCAAATGAACAGAGATACATTTTAAAGTTTTTTTTTTTTTAATCTTTTCCAGTCTGTGGTGCTTATTATTGAGTGTAGGACCTTATTTATCTATTTATTGTTATTTATGGTCAGAGAATAGGGCTCACAGTTGAAGGAGAACCTGAATTGAACATCTCAGTGTGAGGCAGAAATAAAAAATGCTTTTGAGATTGTAGCTTTCAGCAGTACATTTCTTCCCCTACAGGTGGAAGGGTGAAGGTGTACACTCTGGCAATGTGGAGAACTGAGAGTCTCTGACATAGAGCATGCTACATATCACACTACACAAACATAGCCAAACCCCAGACTTGTCAGCCTAGGAACTTCTGTAGAACTCTTTTATGTCACCAAACTTCAAAATATGTTTCTGCCGGAGGCCTGGGCATTTAGGCAGTTTTTCACTGTGAGCTGTATCTCTTTGGAGCATTAAAATAATATATTAGCTATCATTGTGTCTCTGTTCGAGAGAGCCCCGTGAAAATTAGTGTGTACTGACTGGGCTAAATCAGGAAATCTGAATAGTGATTTCTGTGTTTTGTATCACTGAAGGCAGTAGGCCCTGGCTCCTCACTCTTTGTTTTAGACATAAGGCTGGGGGTTAACATCATACCAGTAACCCCCATATCTCTGGCATATAGACACCTAAAACTGAATAATTGTTATTACTATTTAACCCAGGCTTTATCAGCCTTAGCACTAGTCACTCTTTGGGCTGGATAGTTTCTGGTTAAGTCTTTGTCATCCGCAGAGGGGACACAGGGAGGAGGTTGTCTTGCGCACTGTAGGGTGTTCAGCAATACTTCTGATGTCTGCCCACTAGGTGCCAGTAACCACTCCCCCAAGTTGAGACAACCCAAAATTGTCAAATGTCTGCTAGGGGTGGGTGAGGAATTATCACCAGCCTTGAGAACCACTGATTAACCTAACCTAATTAGTTATATAGCTGCCTCCTTGGGGAAAATACATTTTGGTGAGTGATCAGGTTTATAAGTGTGAGAGAAACGTGACAGCTGCCTAGCTTGACTGAAGGAAGGGAGTTGGGATGATGGTGGTGATACTTTTGATGACTCCCTTCACCCCACAGAGGACCATTCTGGCAGCATATGATTGGAGGTGCTGTTGCTTTTTCAAGGGTCCCCATGACTTTGACCACTCCTTCTCCCACCAGCAGGGGCGTGGTGTGTCTATATGGGTTTACCTCTGCCCTTCTATAAGTCTAGTATATCAAAGAGTTACAAGAAGCACAGTCATTATTTGAAGAAAGAATTTTAAAAGGCTAGAGCTTGTGCATGGGAAAGAGATCTCCAATTTTTGGTTTTGTTTTAGATACTACTTAAAAAATGTCTTTTTGTATTGAGGTCCTGTCATACTCAAAGATTAATTTAATCATCTGTAATTCTTTTAATAGGCCCACCTCATAACTGGATGAAAGATTTTATCCTCACAGTTTCTATAGTAATTGGTGTTGGAGGCTGCTGGTTTGCTTATACGCAGAATAAGACATCAAAAGAACATGTTGCAAAAATGATGAAAGATTTAGAGAGCTTACAAACTGCAGAGCAAAGTCTAATGGACTTACAGGAGAGGTAAGTTCAGAAAAATCATAACTCATTTATGTAGGCAAATACAATTTGTAAAAAAAGTGATATGGGCATGTGCTTAAATACTTACATTTAGGTTATTATACACATCAGGAATAGATGCATATTTGATTTCACATTTTTAGAAAAGTATACTTTTATAATTACAGATTTATTATAAATGTGTATACTTGAGAATAAATGAGTAGAAGAACAGTGGAGGTAAGTCAAATATAGTGGAATTAGATGTGTAGTTAAATTTTATTTTTAACTTGATTTAAATAATTAGGAATTTTTGAAAAGCTTTTTGCGGAAGAGTATTTCCCTGCTTTCCCTGTCATTTGAACCCAGGATAACCAAAATAGCTGTATAGTAAGTTGCCTGATATTTGTATTAACCAAACTTAAGGCTAATGAAAAATGCTATGATTTCTGATTGAAATATGTATTTAATCGCTTGACCCAGTATTCATTATTTTGTAAAAAAAAATAAAACTGGAAATTTTTGTGAGGAATTTTTATTTTTATTGTTCTATAAGGCTTGAAAAGGCACAGGAAGAAAACAGAAATGTTGCTGTAGAAAAGCAAAATTTAGAGCGCAAAATGATGGATGAAATCAATTATGCAAAGGAGGAGGCTTGTCGGCTGAGAGAGCTAAGGGAGGGAGCTGAATGTGAATTGAGTAGACGTCAGTATGCAGAACAGGAATTGGAACAGGTATTTACATTAAAAAAAAAATCACTTGTAAAGATGTTAACATTGCCACTCTGAGGAGCCAGGTCCTGTTTTTCTTCAGTTTCCTACATTTAGTTCCACTGTAGTTCCTCAGTTGATAAAAGACTCATTTGTTTATGTTGTTAGCATTGATCAAAGTTCATATAGCAAAATAACACAGTAGTAACTGAAAGATAGTTACCATCATGTTCACTCATTCATGAAATCTTACCTTGCCATCTTCACTGTCTTGAGTAAATTTAAGGTGTTTGTTTAACATCTGTAATATGTTTAAGTTTCTGACTATAATGTAGTAAGATATAAAGTATATCTAATTTTGAACTTCTCTGCAAAGGTAAAGGATCTCTATTAAACATCCATTTGAATCCTGTTAAATAGTTTTAGAACATAATCTGCTAAAAGTTCTGAAGCTCCTTTCCAATACCTGCTTCTCCTGTTCAGTTACTTAAGATAGAATATAGGCATTTAGGCATTGCACGGAGTCCTTTGGAGAAGGTGAGGTGCTGGCAGAATTTAATTATAGACAGATGCATTAGTTTCCTGTTCCTGCTGTAAAAAGAAAAAAAAAAGCCACAAACTTAGTGGTTTAAATAAACAGAAATTTATCATCGTAAAGTTCTGGAGGTCAGAGTGAGTTGAGGCGAGCCTGCAGGACTGTGTTCCCTCTGCAGGCTGTAGGGGAGGACGTGTTTCCTTGCCTTCTCCACTGGTAAAGGCCACCCACATTTCTCAGCTCATGCCCCTTCGTCTGTCTTGAAAGCCCATCATTCCAGCCTCTACTTCTGTGGTCTCATCTCCTCCTTCTGACTTTGATGCTTTCTTTACTGATAATGAAACTGAAGAACAAAATGAGGATTATAAAACTTGCTCAAAATTAGAGGTGACTCAGTTATAAAGCAGGGGCAAGAACTTAGGTGTTCTGCCTCCACTTTGTTTTATGCGCTGTTGCTGCCTTCTTAATAGAGTGCTAAATAAGAAATGCAAATTAAGTGATGAATGACATAAGGTCAACTCATGAGAATACATTACTGTTTCCTTCAAGATTGTCATTTTATGAGAATATGTCTGACTGAACACAGCCATCTTTTTTATAACTGTTAACCACTCCTTCTCTCACACCCCCAGATGTCTGTTTTTTGGAGCTCTTCCCTCTAAGGACTCTTAGATGTATTTTACAGTCATGCCTCATTCAACTAACAAACCATATCAGCACAGAATGTAGCAAAGAATCAGGGAGTTGACAAAAAAGGCCTAGTCGAAATCATACGGTATCCGAGAAGTGGGTACTATGCCCTTTGCACTCCTGTAAGAACTCCCTGCCTTTTTCCACCAAGACATCCAACTCTCGGTTTGTTCTGGTATATTTCTGTCTTTCTAAACTTTGTATATAAAAAAGAGCGAATCAGAAAACAGTAGTTTGGAATTCTTCTACAGAGATATAAACTGATGGTAGTACTTCACAGGTGCCTGCCTCACAGTGAGGGAGAAGAGACAATATAAAAAAAGGGCCCAAGAATTGTGGACATTCTAACTTGAAGCTTTGGGAGAGAGACCATGCACACCTCAGTAGACCCCGAAGTTACCAAAATGTGATGTATTGGTATTATTGGTATGAATAATCTCATTAGATCCTTGGTCAATAAAAGGCGGTTTAAAGGAAGGAAATTGGTATTTTAAAAAGAACACTGTCTGGCATGATCGTATTAATAAGAAACACAATTTTCTGAGGGCTTACTGTGTGCCAGAAGTGTATGCTACACACATTGCCAGTGGTTTGCTCATAAATTTTAATCCTCACAACACATAGGTATTATCTTCATTTACAAATGAGCTGTGTAGAGAGGCTAGATAACTTACTTGCCTTGGGTTACACAGCTATTAACTGGTAAAGGCAAGGTTTTGCGTGTCATATTCCAAAGTCTGTGTCTTCTTATACTGCTATTAAAAGCTTTGCTTGTAGAAATAAGTTTAACTGAGAAATGATGTATAATATGACATAACCCACAATTCCACGTAGTTCAAGGAATTACTGTATTTTGTCTGGAGAATAATCAACATAAATTTAGAAGTCAGGAAAATCTGGTATGTTTTTTATATAGTGTTATTTTTCCTAGAACAGAGACTTTGGGTGACTAATAGTACTGCTTTATGTTTTGTGTGATTTAAGTAGTTTTCACAAATTAATTTCTTAGAAAAAGTCTCAGGAAGCCTTTAATCAGGGCAAGTGATAATACCCCTATTATACGTGAGACAATAAGCCTTAGGAACTTACTGAAGGTTACAGAGATGAAAAATAATACAGTTGGGTCTAGAAAAGAAGTTTTCAGATGTTTAGGCTGTTTTTGTGACATCATGTTTTTACTTACTGTTGTTTTATTCCAAAGATACAAAAATCATGTAAATAATTATTACATTTTAAACAGTTATTTATTGTTTGCAAAAGCTGTTTATTACTCAATTTTTTCTGTGTTCATTCCCCTGTAAACAACAATGTGATTTAAACTAAGGGTTGGGATTTAGATCAAATGAAACATTCATGAGTAATAGCAGAGAAAACAGTTAAATAGTTGCCACTATTGGAAGGTCAGACTTTCCACAGGTTTGAGTCATTATTTGGCAATCAATCTGAACATTGTTCAGCTTCAATTTATGCTAAAAATATGTAAGTAGTTTTTATGTTAAATGTGTTTCCTTTGAGCTCTTTTAGGGGAAATACATTTATGGAAATATTAAGAAAAATCTATGATTAAAGAGAGTAACTTGAATGAATTTTGTTGAGATTCTCTGTATAATTCCTTGGAAGTGAAAATTGTATAGAAATTTTAGCTTTAAAATCTTCTGAGAAGAAGGGCTTGCGGACTTACATTTTGTGGTGTTATGCAGGTCTGCATGAACCTGAGCTTAAATTTTATCTCCCTGAGAGATTAGCAGGGACGCCACACAGCTTACCCAACTGACTTATTAAACACAGTATTGTCCCAAGCCATTGCAGTTAGTTATGTAGGCAGATGTTGCTCGGGATTTGTTTGCAGTGAGTTAGTGCTCTTCCCCTTACTTTAATGTGTCTTTTTGAACTGTCACCTAGTGTTGCATTGTGAATTTTGTTTTTAATTTTGGAATCTTAAAATATATTTTTCTACGTAATTCTTTGTTTTCACACTAACTGACAGCTGTTCTATTTCTTTATCAGAAGTTTGTGTATAGTACTCTTGTTGGTTTATTCTGGCACACTATAAAGTTTATTCAAATAAGTTGGGTTTGTTCAGATCAAACATTCCTTTGCTCTTCAGTGTCCTTAGTTAGCTTTGGGGAAAATTAATCTGCGGGGTGGTGCTCGACACGCAGGATGCTCCGTAGTCGCTCGTAGCTTTGCCTCAAGGTCTTGAGTGTGAGTGTATGTGCACAATTTCATAATTACATCCTGTGTCTTTATATATCTTTAGTTTGAAAGCTCTTGCTAGTTTTTAAGTAAATCATTCCAAGAATGAATTATCTATTCCTTTTGTGTCTTTCCTTAGTGAGGCTTTCCTTATGATACTTTTTCTTAGCACTTATCACCTAACCACCAAGCATTTTTGTTTTTTCTCTGCTTATTGTCTGGCTCCATTAAAGGGCAGGTGGAAGAAATACTATGACATCGTTATACTGAAGACTATGCATAGTTTCTCATGAGAAAAATCAAGTAGACTCTCAGAATCTGTTTTCTCAAAATCTGTACATGCTCTGCAGATGTTCACTTAGCTAGTTTCTGGTGTATTCAAAGCAGTGAATTATGTAGCGGAAGTGGTAAAACAGACAATAATAGGCAGATATACTTGGAAACAGTAAGAAATAACTGGCCATAAAGAGGATGTCATGAAAAACTACAGAAAAATACAATTTTTAAAAAGTGAGTATATAGTGAAGGAGCTACAGTAGGCTCTTCTGGAAACATTAGGAGGAGGAGTAGAACGTGTATCCACCCAATTTTGGACATTTCTTTATATAATACTTCATAAATGAAATATGCATTATGGGAAAAATATGATCAGTTTTAATTTGTATATACCCTTGACTTTTTTTTCCCCCTCAGTGAGTCTGGTTTTCATAACATACAAAACTAAATATTGCAACTTAAGATATAAATAAGCCCTCTCTACCCTCCTTCACAACTTTGCTTAGTGGATTTAAGATGCACTTGAAGCTCAGCCTTCATTTTTTTTTTTTTTTTGAGACGGAGTCTCGCTCTGTTGTCAGCCTTAATTTTAATGCTAGAAATCTACTGTATTTAGACTTTGCAGTTTAAAACGATGTTTACAAAGAGCATAATTAAAATAGCTTTTTTTTTTTTTTAGTTTGGGTTCTAAAAAATATTTTAATCCTTCCTTCCTCCCTCTCTCCTTTCTTGCCTCCTTCCTTTCCTTCTTCTAGGTTCGCATGGCTCTGAAAAAGGCCGAAAAAGAATTTGAACTGAGAAGCAGTTGGTCTGTTCCAGATGCACTTCAGAAATGGCTTCAGTTAACACATGAAGTAGAAGTGCAATACTACAATATTAAAAGACAAAACGCTGAAATGCAGCTAGCTATTGCTAAAGATGAGGTACTCTCTTGTATTTCAAAATTTACTAAATTTGTTTCTTAGGCTGCATTCTTAGAGGGATTACTCAGCTGGGATACACAGATCTGAATAAAAGTTTTATTATTACAGATTCTTTTTTCAAACTGGAACTTATTGTGTAAATAGACTCTAGTAATCATAAGCTTTAAATTAAAATTACTGCATTTGGAGAAGTGTATACTTTTCAAAGTGACCTTAGTGATTTAAACATTATTCTTTTTTATCATTATCATAAAAGTTTTATACAGAGCTTTTTTCCTCTAGGTTGCTGCTTCATATCTGATTCAGGTTAGTAGTTACTGGAAATTAACTTTGACACTTAAATTGTGTGGAATGAGAATAAGTCTTAATCTGAATTCTAGCCAAAAAATTTAAAAGCTTAGTTCACTCACTAGCACCATTGTAGTATAATATAGCTAATGTTCTTCTGTTACTTTTAGTACAAGATTCGGGTCTTCCTGAACCATAGAAATAAGAGAAAAATTCTCCAGAATAAAGTTTTGAATTACATCGATTGGCTTAGGAAAGCACGTTTTCTCCCTCATCTGTTTTCTTTTTTGGAATGCAGGGATATCTTGGCTAGTAATTCTCTACTGGTTTTATGATTGCTAATATATTCAAAACCAAAACAAACTTTATTATGTTATATATACAAAAATGTCTGTATTTTTTTCAAACCTAGCCTTATTTAGTCCTTTTCGGTTTCTAGGCAGAAAAAATTAAAAAGAAGAGAAGCACAGTCTTTGGGACTCTGCACGTTGCACACAGCTCCTCCCTAGATGAGGTAGACCACAAAATTCTGGAAGCAAAGTAAGAATGTTGTTTTCACTTTTATTTGATTTATGTTTATTGTGTTAAAATGAGTAATTTGTGAACAATTTATATTTATCATTTATATAATTACATAATTTACATTAGTTTTAAGAGTGGGTTATTTCTTCTTGAAATTAGTTAATTGCCATGGTCTGTTCATGTATTGCCTTTTTTCAGTGCCATATTAAAGACCTTTTGATGCAGTAAGTAATTTCTTTATTGGCTTTTCCAGGAAAGCTCTCTCTGAGTTGACAACTTGTTTACGAGAACGACTTTTTCGCTGGCAACAAATTGAGAAGATCTGTGGCTTTCAGATAGCCCATAACTCAGGACTCCCCAGCCTGACCTCTTCCCTTTATTCTGATCACAGCTGGGTGGTGATGCCCAGAGTCTCCATTCCACCCTATCCAATTGCTGGAGGAGTTGATGACTTAGATGAAGACACACCCCCAATAGTGTCACAATTTCCCGGTAAGTGGCAATTTCAACAAAAATTGTTGGTACAGGTTTTAAAGTAATTTTCTCCTATGTCCTTTTAGGAATCATGTACTTCGAAATCTGTGAGAAAAAATTGGGTTTATCCTTCATTTTCTCTTTCTTTTTGTTAGTAATTTAAATATTTACTATTTGAGAATACCATATGCAATGCATATATCAATACTTTGTGTATATTTATATTATATATTTATACACACACTTTAAAGAAATCTGAATGCTTTATAAATTTGATTATTAAGTGTTTATTTGAGCAACTGTTATATATAACATTATATTGTTGAATATAAGACTTTTTTTAAAACATTGCTTGTAATTAAATTGAAATGAGGAGTCATATAAAAACATAATTGACAGTAAAGATAGCACACTATAAATGCCAAATCAGTGTGGGAATGAAGTGCTGAGCATTCAGGGAAAATATCCTTTCAAATGGCCGCTTAATGTATAGTAGGAATAAAAATTAGGGGAAGATCTTGGAAACAGGGATTTGAATCCTAGCTCTACCACTAACTAACTCCAGGTATGTACTTGTATTATTTTGCTGGTTTTACTTCTCTGGTTTGACAGCAGACAGTTAATGCAAGGAGAGTGAGGCGGCACTCAACTCTTAAAAGAGGCAGGAAGAGTGGACAGATTGTAAATACAGCAAAACTAGAAGTGTGTGACTGCATTCATTTCACTTGCTCCACACTGCAAGGTCATGACGGTTGCAAAGTTATGTCTAGATCTGGGCCAGCTCTGCAGTTAGAATATTCTCAGTTTGTATTTGTTTATTTGAATTATATGCACTTAAGCTTGCCAAATGCAACACTGATTCATAAGTACACGCTTTTGTTTGAAAACTATAGCTTTTAAAAGTTGAATTTCCTCCTTAAAATCCGTGTTTAATATCTGAATTGTGCATGAAAGTGCATTATCTAGATTAACTAGTTTTTTTCTTTGCTTTTTAAAAAACACTTTTTGGGTTGGGGGCAGAGGTATTGGATATCCATATGTCCGTTAAAAGGAAACAATTGTACTAAATGTGAATAATTATTCTAGTTTTAAGTGATTGTGGAATACAGGCAAATTTAAACTTTTAAATCAGAAAAAAGTACAAGAGTTGATTTTAAATTTAATGTTTTAGAAATGTTGTGATCAGGCCAGGCACGGTGGCCTGTAATCCCGGCACTTTGGGAGGCTGAGGCAGGCAGGTCACTAGGTCAGGAGTTCAAGACCAGCCTGGCCAACATGATGAAATCCTGTCTCTAGTAAAAATACAAAAATTAGCTGGGCGTGGTGGTGTGCGCCTGTAATCTCAGCTACTCGGGAGGCTGAGGCAGGAGAAACGCTTGAACCCTGGAGGCAGAGGCTGCAGTGAGCCGAGATTGTGCCACTGCACTCCAGCCTGAGCGACAGAGCAAGACTCAGTCTCAAAAAAGAAAAAGAAAGAAATGCTGTGATCAGATTTATTATCTCTAAAAAATAACTCATGTCAAAGATTACAATTTGAGAGCTCTGCCTCCACCCAGTGGCACCACAGAGGTACTCCACTCTGCTTAGTTACAAAAGCCTAATTTCTGGACCTGATAAATGGGAAACTCTCGGCAATAGAAGTCTAGGGAAGGACGAAGGCTCTTCATTTCTATACCCTCCTGAGCAGTTAAAATTTTTTTTTTACCATGGATATGTGTAAATTTTACAAGTTTGAAATAATGACAAGGAAACATGCCTGTAGTATGTTAAGAACAAAGTAAAAGGTTGTAACAATATACACAGAATAATATTGTCTATGTGTAATTATATGGAAAGAAAAAACACAGAAAATATCAATGGTTAGCTCTGTGTAGATAGGGGAATGGGTGTTGTTTTCCTATTACTTTTTAAAATGTCTTTTCCTATTCTTAAATATCTGCTAAATGCTTTCCTTGGTGAGAATGTGATAACAATTTATTTAAACTTTCCTATAAAGCCATCCACACACACTTAAAGTGACTGAAAATAATATGCCCACCTACCAAAAAGATAAACAGGTTTTAACATTTTTCTTTATCTTTTTCTCTGAAATAAACTATTACAAATACACTTAAACCACATTGCCTACCCTTCCCCACTGTTTTAAAGTTGTGACTTATGCTAAAGCCTGTTGTACTTTTATTACATACATATATATCCATAACATTATATACAATGGTTGCGTGTTTAGAAGTGTATATAAATGTTATCAAACTAGGTGATATTTTACAACTCTTTTTGCTCAAAAGTTATGTTTCAAAATTTTTTCATGTTTATGTAGAGATGAATTAAAGTCACTGCTTAATGAGTTAACCATAACTTATATGTTTATTTATTGTATTTAAAAATCCATAGTTTATCCGTTTTTCTACTTTCTACTTTCTTGGCCCTTACAAACAATGTGCAACAAGCATCTTTACCTGTATTTCCTTGTGCATAACTTTGAGAGTTTCTCTGTGTGGACACCTAGAAACGGACTGCTGGGTCATTGGGAAGGCACCTTTTACTAGTCATTGTCAAGTTGCTCTCAAAATAGTTTACATACCCACTGTTTTATAAGGGTGCCTGTGTGCCTGTATCCTCATCAGTACTTGGAATAACCTGATTTACTTGTTTTGCAACTCGAATGCGTATGAAATGATACCTCACAATTATGAAAATTTTTATTTCCTTGATGACTGTTGAGGTTGAGTACCATTTCCTTTATTGGCATTTGTTGTTCAGATTTCTTCCTGAGTTGCTTGTTCTTGCTGTGGAATCCCTGCAAGATTCCATACTGATGTGGAAGTGTTCTTTCTATTTTCTGGTTATTTGAGAGTTGCAAATATCTTCTAAACTTTGGCTTTTTGAATGGCAAATTGTGAATCTGATTTGTGTTTTTTATGTCTTTTTCAACAGATGATAGGTTGTTGTTTGCTCTCCTTAGAGTTTTTAAGTTTTTCTTTAATCCATTAGCCCTTTAATCCACCTAGAAGTTATTTTTGTTCATAGTGTGAAGTTGGAATCTAAATATATCTCTTGATATACGGGTAAACAGTTGTCTCAGCTTCATTCCTGTTCTATCCTTGCTGACTTATAATACCACTTCTCTCCATAGATACATAAGTGCTCCCAGCTCTCCCATTTTGTTTCACTGGCCCTATTCTGCTTTAGTTTCTAGAGTTTTATAAAAAGTTTTGATATTTGATAAGACCAAGTCTTCCTTTATTGTTCAAATTCAGAATTTCTACCCTTAACTAATCTTCTGAATTTTAAGATCAGCTTATGAAATTCCATGAAAGGTTCCATTGGGTTTAAAAAATTTTTTTTTGAATTTGTGAATTTATTTGTGGAGAATTATTAATCAATTCCATTTATCGAGATCTTTTCTATCTTTAAGTAAAATTGATAATTTATTTTCTCTGTGCAGGTCTTGCTTTTTTTAAAAAAAGATTAATTTTAGGTACCTTAATAAATTTTTGGTAGGTATATATGTTACCTTTCTTATAAAACTGTATTTCAGATTGCTTGTTGCTGATGAGGAAATGCCGTTGGATTTGGTGTGCTGAATACAGAATACCAAATACAGAAACATATATTTAAGTATTTTATGGTAGTCTTGGATTTTTCATGTTAATACTAGTAGATTTTTTCCTCTTTATTGCCCAAGCTAAGACCTCCAGTAAAATATTGAATGAAAATGGTGACTGCAGGCAATAGGGATTGCCATTTCTGACTTTAAAGAGAATGCTGCCAGAATTTCACCAGGAAGTATTTTTTTTAATGTTTTTGGTAGATTACTTTTAAGTTAAGGAAAGTCATTTCTATTTCTGTCTTGCTAAGAATGGTTTTTTTTGGTTAATCAGTGGATATTAAATTTTACCAAATTATTTTTCTGCGTAATTTGAAGTGATCATTCGTTTTTTATTCTGCTGAATTTTAATCTGTTTAAATAAATCCTTTAAGTGTCAGTGAAACTATATTTGTCACAATGTACAATTTTTAGAATGAGTTGCGTTTGGTTCGTTATTTAGGATTTTTGCATCTTTAATCACACATTGGATTAGCCAGTAATTTTTCTTCCTGACACTATCTTAGATTTTGGTATCAAGATTATATTAACATCATAAAATAAATGAAAGAGTAGTCCCCCTCTGCCCATATATGTGGTTTTGCTTTTCATGGTTTCTAGTTACCTGTGGTCAACTGTGGTCTGAAAATAGTGAGTAGAGTACAATAAGGTATTTCGAGGTGGGGGTGGGGGGAAACCGCATTTACATAACTTTTATTACAGTATATTATTATAATTGTTCTTTTTTATTATCTGTTATTAATCTCTTGCTGTGCTTAATTTATAAATTAAACTTTATTATAGGTATGTATGCATAGGAAAAACATAGTGTGTATAGAGTTTGGGACTATCCATGGTTTCAGGCATCCACTGGGGTCTTAGAATCTATCTGCCAAGGATAAGGGGGAATACTATACTCCTTATTCTTTCATTCCATTCTTTTCTACTTTTAGAGAGGCAGCAATATAAAGTAGGGTTAAGATGTGGAATTCTGGAACAAGATTGCTTGGGTTTGATTCTTTGTTCACCTTGTAGTAATTCTATTACCTTTTACTCAGGACACTGAGTGGGAGGCACTCTCCTGAGTTTCAGCTTCCTTTTCTGTGAAATGTAGCCTACCTTGTGGAGATATGTCAAAATTTAAATTAAGTAATACCTGTAAAACACTTGGAACCAGCCCCTGGGTGGGCTACAATAATCACCCATTAAATGGTATGATTTTATTCTGTACCTTGAAATAGTCTAAGGTATGGATTATTTGTTCTTTGAGGATTTTAAATACATTGCCTATGGATTGACCTTGATGTATATATGTTTTGGCAAGGAACAGAGTTTTAAACTATAGTATTAATTTAACTTCTTTAATGATTAAAAGTGTAGATTTGTGAAGTTACATGTTTCTAGAATATTGTGTTTTATCTGAGTTTTAAAATTTATTGGCTTTAAGTTGTTTATACTGTTTTATATGATGTAAAAAATCTCAGTTACATCTTTAAATTTTTTTGTTCCTAATAATTACTTATCTGTATCTTCTTTTGTGTCCTTTATCAGGCTGACAGTTTGTCTATTTTATTTCACTCTTGTCGAAATCCTGTTTGTTTTGTTAATATTGTCTGTTTATTTCTGCTCTTTTATTTCCTTTCTTGGAATTTACTTTTTTACTTATTGTTTTAATATTTATACACCTCCCACATGAATTTTAAGTCTTTGTTTTCTCTCATATTATTTTAAGGCTATGAATTTTCTCTTTAAGAACCACCTTAGCCACCTCCACAAGTTTTGATATATTAATTTGATTATGATCATCAAATATTAAAAGGTTTTTAATTACTAATATGTCACTTCCTTGAAATATGAATTATCTAGAAGCATATGTTTTAATTTCCAAATATGTATGTATGTTTTTTTTTTTGTTGTCTGTTGGGTTTTAAAAACATCTTTGCCTATTGATTTCTACTTGTGCGTGATTAGAGAATAGGTTAATATGACTTTTTTTGTATTTCCTGATACTTGCCTTGTGACTTAGTATTTATTGGTCATATATTTTAATGGTTCTGTCTATATCTGGAAATTACATTTTCTTAATTGTTAGTTACAGGGTACTATACAGTCTGTTAAATCAGGTGTTAGGATAAAATCTTCTGTATACGTATACATTTTTGTCTGTTCTTCTATGAGTTGCAGAGAGATGTTTGTTAAAATCTCCCATGGTGGTCAGTTTCTCCTTACAATTCTGCCCATTTCTGTTTTATATAATTTGTACTAAGTTATATTGGTGAATACAAGTTCAGGTATAATACCTTCTTTACAGATTTAACTGTTCCTTTTATAGTTATGTGGACACTGCTTTATGGCTATGCTTTTTGCCTTTAAGTTTATACTACCTGATATTGAAATACCTATAATAGCTTTCTTTTGATTAATATTTGCCTAGTGTATCTTTTTCACGTTCTTCAAAATTTTTCCATTATTAGACACTAGATATATCTCTATAAGAAAATAGCAGTAACTGGTTTTATTTTGTATCCTATTTGAGAATATGTTTCTGGCTAAGTTAAATTTAATCCAAATATATTTACTCTCCTTGCTGATCTGTTTGAATTTATCTCTGGAATCTTGTTTTGTGGTTTCTGTTTTTCACACCTTTTATCTTCTCTCATTCTCTTGAACAATTCAGGATCTTCAGAGGCTTTAATTTTAGCCACTGCTCTCGCATCTTAAATTATGTGTTAACGTTGTCTGGTATTTTGTTTTGTTTCAAATGTCTCTCAAAACAGTCACTGTTTTTGTTGTTTCTTTCAGTCATAATTTAGATATACTTATGTGTTTATTTCTCTGTTTATCATTGCATTTTGCTTGTTATTCATTTCTTTTTTTTCTTTCTTAAAAATATGTTCTTCAGTAAAAGCTACTTCAGTGAGCAACTGGGAATGATAAATTCTCTTAGTCTTTGCCTGAAAATACTTTATTTTCAGTCTCACTTGAAAGTAATAATGTAACTAGATATAAAATTCCAGATTAACAATTAGTTTTCAATAATTATTTCTCAGTTATTTTGAGGTTGTCATTGTTGCTGTTGAGAAGTTTGTAGTCAGTCAACTTGGTTCGGGTTCTTTTTAGATAAGCTGCCATTTCTCTGATTGCTTGAAAAATATTCTCATTGTCTTTGTTGTCATATGGTTTCCCTATAATATGATTGGGTGTGGATTTAAACAGTTTTTTTTTTTTTTTGCTAATATTTGGTGTGTTTCTTGAATCTGAAGGATGTGTCTTTTATCAGTTCTGAAAAAAAAACACTAGCCATTATCTCTTTGAATATTGTTTTTTCTTCATGCCTTCTGGAATATTAGTTATGTAGAAATATTAGTGCTAATATTAGTTTATTAGTTATATATTGCATCTTATCTTCCACATTTCTTAACCTTTCTTTTTATAGTCTTTTGATCTATCTATGCTGCATTTAGAGACATTTCCTCAGATCTGCCTTCTAGCTTACTAATTATTTCTTCAGTTCTAGTTTTAACTCATCCTTTGAATTTTTAACTCTAATTACTGTTTTTCATTTCTATTAGTTATCTTTGATTCTTCATCAACTCTATGTTTTAATGCTTTCTTTTCTCATATTTTCAATTTATTGTTATATAGTTTCATGATGTAAAAAAATCCCTATTTTTTAGTTTTCATTTGATAATCCTCTTATTTGATATTCTTGGTCAATTGTTACAGCAGTTTCTTGTGTTTGCATAGCGGATTGCTTTCTCTCTCCTGTTTTATAATGTTTTACTTAGCTATTGTTAAGGAGATTGGCATTATTCCACCCTGGAAAATACTGTGTGAGTGGTAAAGTGCCCCTCAAAATGCCTTTCTTTGCTTCTGGCAGTAGTTTCAAGGATATCACCAAGTTGGGAGCAGTTTTTTATATTAACTCTTTGGAATACAGTTTCATAGACCCTCTGGTAGTATGAACTTGCACTCCAATCTAATATGAGATGTAGGCTCAGAGTATTGAGTTTTTCACAGAAGCCCTTTAAAATGGCTATATTTAGAGATCTTGAAATAAAATAAATTTGCTTGCTAATTGGTTAGAATTTTACCCTTTCACTGAGGAATGTAGCCCTTCTAGGTCCAGGCTTTTATCCAGAGCACTGACTCATTATTCCAATACCTAACGTGGGCCCAAAGCCTAACCTTACAAGTGAAGTTGCCCATGCTGATGATGGGTTGTAAGGGCCAGTAAGAGAGAGAATGTCCAGGAAGTGACTAGTGAAGTGGAGGTGGAAGATTCAGTCATGTCCCTTAATAGTGTTCGCTTCAGCAGGAATGCATTTGTATAAAAGGTTGTAGAAGTAAGGGTGTGCAGACAGTACTGGGGAGCGAAGCCACCCACTTTTTGTTCTGATGCTATAGCATCTGAACCATGCAGGAGCGAACAGCTTCAGCTTGAGAAGGTTGTTATTAGGTGAGTTATGTTCGTTCAGTTAAGAGTAAGAAATGGAATGCCCATTTAGTGAGGATATTGAAGATGTAGGGGAAGTTTGTTTACCCACCTGCATGAGTCTCAACTGAGACTGGTAGCAGAAATAGTTGGATCTAAGACTTCTGTTTAGTTCCACAGTAGTGGGTGTTCAAGAAACAAGTTTTGCTCTGAACTCTGCCTAACCAGCTGTGAGACTGTGCATACAGTAGTTAAGTGATTTCCTTGATTTAAAACTGATTGAGTTCAAAGAACTTGTGATATTTCAAGAGATACCATTGCAGCCTACTTTATTCTGTTGTCCTTTCTTTATGTTAACAGTCATAAAAAATTTGTGATACAATACAGGTTTTTAAATTTAAAGATTTGTTGTCTTAGGTAAATTTTTAAGCCTTTTTGGTTAGTACATTTAGATTTTCTGTTAAAGCCTCATGTTTATGTTCACTTCTGTTTGTTTTTTAAACCTGTTTTTTTTTTGTTTCTATTTCTTAACTTTCCTAGTGTAGGTAGTAGAGAATGGTAATAACTGTACAGTAACTTCAGTAAAGGGAGATGAAACAGTGACATATTAGTGACATCAGTTCTCTTGTGTGTATGTATTTGTGGTGACTGTAAAGGGAACCCTGGACTTCATGAGCATGTTTCTTTCTTGGTGTTTTTCAGGGACCATGGCTAAACCTCCTGGATCATTAGCCAGAAGCAGCAGCCTGTGCCGTTCACGCCGCAGCATTGTGCCGTCCTCGCCTCAGCCTCAGCGAGCTCAGCTTGCTCCACACGCCCCCCACCCGTCACACCCTCGGCACCCTCACCACCCGCAACACACACCACACTCCTTGCCTTCCCCTGATCCAGATATCCTCTCAGTGTCAAGTTGCCCTGCGCTTTATCGAAATGAAGAGGAGGAAGAGGCCATTTACTTCTCTGCTGAAAAGCAATGGTATTGGCAGTGAATAATCTACAGGGCATGTTGGGGCTGGGTTGGGGGTAAGGTGTGAGGAGGGGGCGGGAGGAGTGGTGCATGTTTCCATTTTCTGTTGCTACATATCAAGGTACCACAGACTTTGCAGCCTCAGACATCACCCATTTTTTAGCTCTTAGTTCTGTACATCAGAATTCCAAGCCTGGTGTGACTGGGGTTTTTGCTCAGGGCCTTACAAGGCTAAAATCATGGTGTTGGCCAGGCTGCATTCTCATCTGGAGCTTGCAGTTCTCAAAGTTCATGTGGTTGTGGCGAACTTCATTTCCTGTGGCTCCAGGACGGAGGTCCCCGTGTCTGTGCTTTCTGTCAGCTGCATGGCGGCTGCTCTCAGGTCCTGGAGGCTGTCCACTGTTCCTTGCCACAGGATCTCCCATCTTCAAAGCCAGCAATAGAGAATTTCTCTGCTGTAGATTCCTCCTTTGCTTTGAGTCTCCAACTTCCGTCTCTCTGATCTCTAGACTAAAATGTAAAAGGCTCCCCTGGATAATAATAATCTCTCTATATTAACATCAACTAGTTTGGGGCCTTAATTTTATCTTCAGAATCCCTTTACAGCAGCATCTATTTTTATGTTTGATTGGAAAACTGGAAGAAGGTGTGTGTACACCAGGGGCTGGGAATTTGGGAGCCATCTTAGAATTCTGCCTACCACAGACATGTAGGTAGATATTTTGAGATGTAACTGCTTAGAGGTCACTGGACACGGTTGACTCAGATCTCAGAGCATAAACTTGTCATGAACAATTTTATATGTAAAATGGAAAAGCATGAGCTTGAATATACTTGAACACGAAGAAATATCGGATATGACTGACTTAAAAATATTTGTTGTCACTTAATGATTTATTCTGTTATGTGCTGGTACTTGCTAACACATAAGCAGTATCATATGCCAAAGGTTTAAGAAAATGTCAGGAACTTAGAAAAGTAAATTAGTAACTTAACAAAATGGGCATAGCAGCAGCGTATTTCAGTCCAACTTAATGACATCAGTGCTCCATGAAACTCTTAATTTGAGGAGCTCTGTTCTTAAACCACATTACTCTTTAAAAGCAGTATGGTATTGAGTGGTAGTTTCAGGTATTGCCACTGAGTAGCTATGTGTCCCCAAAGGCTTTACCCTCTTCTATGAGAAGCAAAAGGGAGTGGTCTACACTCTTTATCATGTGACTCTTTAGGTGACATTATCATCAATAATCATTTTTCATTCATAATTATCTAGTAGTAAAAGAAAATTTTATGATTTGCAAGTGATCAGTGCAGCATATTCCTAAGGAGATAATGCAGGCTTTATATCTTCATTGCAGTTGGAGAATCTGATGCGACTTTGCTTGGTTAACACTTTATGACTAGCTTTTCGTCTGTCTTTGCAGTATGATCATAGTCACCAGCAAGATGCCTTTACTGACAGAACTGGTCTTGTGTGGTTTCTGGAAATCAGAAGGAAAACTCGAGAGCTGCACTGTCTAATAAAACTTCCTGCATTGATGGAACGTTCAGTTCTCATTTCAATAGCAATGTCAAAGTTTCATAGCTAGCTCTCATAAATAAGAGAATGATTTGAATTTGGAAAACTTTTCTTCCTCTTCATTTTCAGTCTCTCCTCTATTGAACCACCAGAATCCTTACAAAATAATAATGTTGAATATTTACTGATTTTTTTTTTTTATGAGACGGAGTCTCGCTCTGTTGGAATGTTCTATGCCTTATGCACATATATGCTCATTTAAACCTCATTTTGAGTTTTCTTACATGTGAATTCAACTCCATGTCACTCTGGGGAAAAAAAGAAATAGAAAAAAATAGCATAAGTGGTACAGATAGTTCAACATTCCAAAGAGTATGTACTCTGCAAGAAAATAAAATTTGAACTTGTATTATGTCTTATTATCCAAGTCAGATTAGTTATGCAGAAGAAGCAACACTTTGGATTATTGTCATTACGCAATTCAAATGTTAGAACTAGAAGGTAACATTAGTGATTAATCAAATTTTCTTACTTTAACAGATAGGAAAATTGAGACCTCAAGAGATCAAGTGATTTACTGAGGCTTTTACAACTGATTAATGGTAGGACCATCTTAGGAACCCAAGTCTCCTGACTTAAATCAGTATTCTTTTCACACATTGTTTAGAGTTTAGAGGCTAGTTTTTAAAATACTTTTAGCCTAGCTTAGAATTTCACACACAATGCAGCAAAGCCACATAACAGAAGAGAAAATATTCATAAAATTATAACTGAATCAGCTTCTGACTTTGGAAGCTGAACAGCTTCAGGGAACAGTGATATATTCTGTTCAATTAATGGACAGCCATTCCAAAAAAGGCTTTGCAGAAATGCCTCTATCAATGATTGATTTCTGAGTCTGATCATTTCCTCATATCTGAACTGCTTCTTGCTTTCTGTTAGCACTACCCATTATTGAATTATAAAAGCATTTGAGAATTATGCAGCACACGTAGGTGTATTATGTGAAACCATTAGGTCGTTATTTAGGGGATTTTGTACCTTTCGAGAGCTTGTAGTGCAGTAAAGACGATCTTCATAGACATATGTGAGTAAAGTACATAGAAATGACTAAATTCAGCAATCTGAATATGTATCTAAAATGTGGTATTAACATAGAATATTCATCAAAATTAAGTGCCAGACCTCCAGTAAATGTGTACATCAGTAACATGAAAATGATATTAATCATAGGCCATCTAAGGTAAGAGATCATTTAGTTTATTCATTTTGTAAATATGAATTTAGTCCTTGCTATGAGAGGTGCATTTGCCTATAACATGAGCTGCCAAGACAAGTGAGACAAGGACCTGGCCTAGTTCCAGCTGCTGGGTTATAATCATATGTGCTCTTGCCTTTCTGTTCTGCCTTCAGCTCTGTTCCCTTCTCACACTGTATTTCTTTTGCCACTTTTTACCTTGACTCTCCCTTTCATTTCTCAATCATTTCCTTTCATGGAGTGAACAGTATTCACCTTGGGCTCGGTGCGTGCAAAAGTGAATGAGACTAAGTAGTAAAGCTCTCAAAAAAAAAAAGTGAGTAAGATGTGATCCCTGTTCTTTAATATCTCACTCTGTTCATTCATTCATTCACCCACCCTTCCATTCATTCATCCAACACATTTTTATGAAGTACCTACCGTAAACTTGCCACTCTTCTAGTGCAGAGAAGACAGAAGTTAATAAGGCTCCTTGTCCTTATTTATTTCTTTTTTTCTGGGATTCTGCCTATAAACAAGTTAATATAAAATATCATTTTAGGTTTTGGTAAGTTTTGGGGTTGCAAACAAAGACAGGTAAAAGGAAAGAGAATGCTGTTTCAGACAAGGTGGTTAGGGCAGGCAGCAGTAACCTGCGTACCCTGGAGAAGTAAGCCACGTGGAGATGGAGAGTAGATAACACCAAGCAGAGGGAACAGCAAATGCAGGGCCCTGAGGGGTCTCGAGGTTGGCATGTTACAGGAACACAAGGGAGTGTGCAGTTGGAGACAGCCAGGGACCACATGTACACGGCCTGGTACGCTTTGACAAGGACTTTGGATCTTACTCTGAGTATGAGAGAAAGCACTGGGAAGTTTCAAGTAAGTGAATGATATGTTTTGCTTGAGTTTTTAAAAATCACTTTAATGGCTGTGTAGAGAAGTAGCTGGGAGGGAAGAATGAGAATGAAAGCAGGAAGACCAATTAGGAAGCCGTTGCAATCATTTAGTTGAGTTCCTGGCTGTTGCAGAGGAAGGATGGGAGCAGGGGACATAATAAGGAATGGTGGATTTGAGAGAGATTTGAAGGAATGGGTGATGGCATTTACTATATGTTGGTTTTGGGGTTACAAAATTTATTTTTCCACTGTGGAGAAAAGGAGGAAAACATTCAAAAGTAAGAATGCTGTGAGAATTTACTGAATGTCTGTTTTTTTTAAAAATAGCATCATATGTTTGCCCCTCCCCTCCACTGCCATACTCTGATGTGCCTCGATTCCCTGCCCCCCTTTTAAATTTGGTAGAACTTACATTTTAGTGTAATTCCTTTCATGTATATTTCTTCCTTCCTAACAAAGCTATAGTTCATCAAGTTAATGACAAAGGGAGAGGCAGTGACTAAAATTCATCTTTTAAAATAGCGTTAACTCTGATTTAGAAAGAAAAATAGTATTGAAACAAAACATAAAAGTAGCTGAGATGATAGCTGAATCACCCGTAAAATTTAACATTTTAATTTATTTGACAAAAAGGAGGTGTACCTTATATTGTCTGTAGTTTGTAAGATTTCTTTATTATGGTTTATGTTAAAAATCCAGCATTGAGTTTTGAGAAGCCATATTATTTAAAGAAGTAATGTTCTAATTTTGCTGAAATGTATATAGAATCATATCATTTCCCTCTTTTAAATTTCAAAAAGCAATGAAAGTTGTTTTAGTTAGAATGTCTGCTAGTACTCTTAAGAACATACTGATTTAAAATTTGTACCTTTGTTTGTGTTTCATTCAGGGAAGTGCCAGACACAGCTTCAGAATGTGACTCCTTAAATTCTTCCATTGGAAGGAAACAGTCTCCTCCTTTAAGCCTCGAGATATACCAAACATTATCTCCGCGAAAGATATCAAGAGATGAGGTGTCCCTAGAGGATTCCTCCCGAGGGGATTCGCCTGTAACTGTGGATGTGTCTTGGGGTTCTCCCGACTGTGTAGGTCTGACAGAAACTAAGAGTATGATCTTCAGTCCTGCAAGCAAAGTGTACAATGGCATTTTGGAGAAATCCTGTAGCATGAACCAGCTTTCCAGTGGCATCCCGGTGCCTAAACCTCGCCACACATCATGTTCCTCAGCTGGCAACGACAGTAAACCAGTTCAGGAAGCCCCAAGTGTTGCCAGAATAAGCAGCATCCCACATGACCTTTGTCATAATGGAGAGAAAAGCAAAAAGCCATCAAAAATCAAAAGCCTTTTTAAGAAGAAATCTAAGTGAACTGGCTGACTTGATGGAATCATGTTCAAGTGGCATCTGTAAACTATTATCCCCCACCCTCCACTCCCCACCTTTTTTTTGGTTTAATTTTAGGAATGTAACTCCATTGGGGCTTTCCAGGCCGGATGCCATAGTGGAACATCCAGAAGGGCAACTGTCTACTGTCTGCTTATTTAAGTGACTATATATAATCAATTCATCAAGCCAGTTATTACTGAAAAATCATTGAAATGAGACAGTTTACAGTCATTTCTGCCTATTTATTTCTGCTTTGTTCTCAGTGATGTATATGCAACATTTTGTTGAAAGCCACGATGGACTTACAAGCTTTAATGGACTCGTAAGCCAGCATGGGCTTGCAAAAATTTCTTGTTTACCAGAGCATCTTCTTATCTTTCCACAGAGCTATTTACATCCTGGACTATATAACTTAAAAGAAGTAAAACGTAATTGCACTACTGTTTTCCAGACTGGAAAAAAAAAAAATCTCTGCAAGTGAAACTGTATAGAGTTTATAAAATGACTATGGATAGGGGACTGTTTTCACTTTTAGATCAAAATGGGTTTTTAAGTAGAACCTAGGGTTTCTAATTGACTTGATTTCTGGAAATGAAAACCCGCGCTTTTATTATGGGAAGCTTCTTGAACTGCATTTACTATTGTGAAGTTTCAAGTCCCGCTGTAAAGATCATGTTGTTTTGTTTTCCCCAGGGCTTTCACTGTGATTTACTGCATTGCAGGCTGTATGATAAAACACACATAATTTAAAGAGAGAAGGCTCTTGATTCCTTATGCAAGTGGAAGAGTTGAAACTTGATTGAAGGACTTAAAACATTCACAACCTTAAGCCGAGGTGGGGGGATATGGGGATTCAGGCAATTGTTTACACACTTTGAATAACTGCAAAGGATTTACGGTTTGTGAAAAATGTGTACTGTGGAAAAGATAATAAATTGAAGACATTATTGTGTGGGATTGTGCTGATTTTTGTTGATAACACAAAAAACACTATGTTTTCTGGAGAGCTGTGTAAGCTGTCTTGTTGCTTAGTTGCAATATAAGAAATAGTGATGTTTTGGACGTAAGTTGTCAACAAATTTCTATTTTATATTGTTATATTTTTATGTAGTTTGAAATGTAAAAATGTTCTAATATCAAGATTAACAAATATAAATTTATGGTGCATTTAGATTGCGTTGTATTAATTTATAAAGTATGGTGTTCATTAAATTGGTGGGTTGTATAAGGGTAGCTTTTGTTGTTAAAAAAACAGTAGAGAGTTAAGTTCCATATAGCAACAAAGTATGTTAACATCTAGGGAGTTTCTGCTTATACCACTTTAAAAATATGCAATCATAAGTGATTTGGTTACTGCAATGCAGATGGATGTTTGGATGAACAACTGATACATTTTAGTTAGAATGCTTTTTCAGCATTATGGCTAAAATATATGTCTAACCCAGTGCTATTTAGGTGAAAATGCTAATTGATAAACCAGAAGTTTCTTTTGAGATTTGCTTTAAAGAAATGCTTTAGTAAGAATATGAACAATTTCCTGATGTCTCCTATAAATTGTGATTGTTTATTCTATTACTATTGTTAAAAACTTGAATGGTATTTATATTGGCTGATATTTATATACTTAATAGATTGAGTTCTGTAAGGGCAAAAACGGATTGAAATGAACATAGCGTTTTGCACTAATGATAAGATAACCTGAGAGGTAGGGTTGAGGAACACAGGGTTGAAAGCTGTTGGAGAGGGGAAAAGTTGTGCATAAAGAACTGAAAAGGGTTCTGGAGTGTTCATTCAGAGTGAAGGGAAAACTTTATCCTTCTATTTCTTATAACCAGACAGGAGGAGTTCTTCCCTTTGAAAATTGCAAAAGGAATGAGAACTTTGCAGTTGGATGAATAGAGAAGGGAAAAGTTGCTGGAGCACGGAGTGAAGATGGGAGGAGCTGTTAGCAAGGCCCACTGCTGCTCCTGGGTGAGAAGGGAGCTCTGGAGCAGGACCAGCTGGGGGCCGGCACTGCTGCTTAGAGTGGAGGAGGCTGGCCAAAGAGACTGTGGGCTGTTTTCAGTCAGGGAGCATGTGCATTGTTTGTGCTCAATTTCAGACACTCATTTATAAACAAATTCAACCAAGGGATATTTACTGCTTTATGTTGCTTATGATAATTATTTTGCATTAATACAGTATACACATTTGTAAATTCAACAGGAAATTATTGAGTTTTGGAAAGCTACAGTAATTTCTGTATTACATCATTTATATGTGAAAAGTTGGACATTTCTGTAAGTTTTTAAAATTATCCATTTGTTACTTTAACATTTTAAAATTATGGTGTTTTCCTGATTTTAAAAGCAATATTTTCCTTACTGTAAAAAAAAAAAAAAAAAGATCGATGATAGAAAAGTATAAAGAAGAAAATAGCAAGCAGGTCAAATACTACTATCCAAAATGATCACTTTTAATATTTTAGTATGCTTTCTGCTAGATCTTTTTCTACATATTGAAGTATATTTTACATAATTGAAATCATACTATATATTCAATTTTATATCATGCTTTTTCACTTAATATAAGCATTATCCCAACATCATTAAAACTTCATGAGCAACATTTTAATGACTGTATAATAATATGCTGTTGTATAAATTTACCATAATCTTTTGAAGTATTCTGTCATTAAACATTTGGCTGTTTCTAAATTTCTGATATGTGGAGTAAGAGCATTTCACATTTATTGAGCACTCTATATGCCAGGCACTGTTCTACACTCTTAATTTATATTCTCATTTAATCTTTACACCAACTCTGTCAGGTAGGTACTTTTATTATTATTACCATTTTACTGATGAAACTAAGCCCAAAAAGTCAACTTGCTGATGGTCATATAGCTAGTTAGTGATAGAGCCATGTTCTTAATTTCTAAGTCATACTGCATAAAGTCTAATCAACACTTTGGTTTCCTAGGGCATATAGTTTTAGAAGTTTACAGAAAAATATAAGGATTTTTAGTTTACATTTTAATATATATGTACCTGTGTATGTATATATACACACATGTAGTCTCACAAGCCTTGGACATAACTTTTTAAGGTTTCTTATTCATATAACCATGTTGATAACCACCCTCCATTCAATGTTTGAATGTGTATGAGTGCCCTTTGACTTCACACTACCTTTTCCGAATTACCATTTGGTTAAAACTTTGTTAATTTAATAGGTAAATATAATGTCTAATAAGGTTGGAAGGTTTTTTTCGTGTTTTCTTAGCCTTGTGTATTTTTTATTTTAGTGAATTGTTTGTTTTTGTGCCCATTAAGTTCTTGGGGTCCTACTGTTTTTCTAAATCTTTGGCACAGTTAGCTAGTCTTTGAAATATAGCTATTCTTGTATTCTTCATTTACTAACTATTCAGTGATTTCAAAAAATGATACATGTATTTTTCATAGTGATTTTAAAAGTAAATGAAAGAAAACCTAGATTTAAGTTTTAGTCTTATTGATCTCCTGATTTGGGGTCTTGAATGGGAGAGTTTCACATTGTTTATATGGTCAAGGTGGATTTTCCCCAAAAAATTACAGGCAAGAGACAATATAGGATCTGCTTAACTCATTCAACAAATGTTTAATAGTCTACCACATACCAAGCACCATGATAAACTCTGAAGGTATAACGACTAAGATGACAGGTGCCTTCTTTAAAGGAACTTGCTATCTAATAGAGGAGACAGATCAGTCAAAAGTCCTTGTAATGAGTGGAGTGATAGAAATGAAAAGCGAATATTGGGGAGGTGGGGCCCAGTGGGGAGAGGGATTGTATAGTTCAAAAGTATTTATTAAATCAAGGATAATTTAATGGTGCTGTTTTGTTGAGGACATGGAGAGATTGGCTGTGACAGAAACGTATAGGACCAAGGGCAAGTTAGTTTTAGGGTTTCTACTCACTAGTGGCCTGGTTCTGCCAAATGAGCTTGTAGTTACTGAGCTCCAGGGAAACACCTGCTGCTAGCTGTGGGGGTGCTTATTTTGGAGCAAAGTGTTTGCCAGAAACACCGCATTTGAGCAATCTCATGTAAGCCTGGATAGTACAGATTAAAGACAGTTCATCCCCTCTCAAACAGTGTCTTTGTTGAAAGACACTGTCCTTCAGATTTGTCAGGGTAGCCCTGATGCTATCTTCAATCAGCTGATGTCAAGTGAGCTTCCGGCCAAATTTCAGGATTTGACCTCAGTCCCGTGATTGGGCTTTTCTGGGTATCTACAAAGTCTCTGAAGTGGCTCTCAAAGGGTCCTCTCTAGGGCAGTGTTCCATATAGGCCCAGATAGGAGATCATGGAGAAGCCTCAGTCCACATCTTGATTTCCTGTTAGTGTGATGGGATTGAGACAAACGCCTTACAGTCTTTCATGAGTTGCAGCATTTTGATGGCCAGAGTCTCCAGCAGTGAAGCAATACAATTTTTACTAGATATGTTGCAGTATCTTCATTAACCTCCAAAAGTAAGGGAGAGCAGCCAGCTAAAGGGAAGGAGGGCGATTCACCTTCTGCTGGTGAGAGCTGCTCTGCCCCAGGAAGTCACAGTGGCTCAGCCATTCTCAATCACCAGACCTTGAAGCAACAGCCAAGCATCCGCTTCCCACATGGTGCTGTTTTGCCCTGCCAGGTTCTAGTTCCCTATAAAAGTAGAACTCTAAGAAATCTTATGTGGGTCAAAATAGTTCATCTCTTGCTTCAGATTTGCTCAGTTTGATATGGCTTTTATTGCTAGCAGCCATCCAGTGTTGCAGTTCTCATTCTTAAAAACATCCTCTGTGTACTCCTTAAAGCACCACCTCTTTAATGGAGGCATCTTAGCTCTAAAATATCTACATAAGCTAATTTTCCCATGTGTGAAAACATCAACTGCTGAATTATTTCTACAGACCTCTGGCTTCTTAGGGTGTGGTGGCATCAGATTTTAGGGAAATTTAAGGTCACCAGCTCTGAGGTACTGGAAAACGTTTACAGAATAAGAAATGTGGCTTTTTTGCTTGATTGTTCTCCACAAAAAAAGCTTTCTGTTACTTAAGATGTGTATCTGTAGCAAAAAGTACAATGACAAATTAAAAAGGGGTGTTGGGTGTGTGGGGTGTAAAACGGAGCCTGGGTGCAACAGTGAACTGCTCTACTAGAGGTTGCCTTTGACTTAAAGGTAAGAAAATGAACCTGTAAATAGGCCTGGGCATGAGACCTTGGGAAGGAGAGAGGAGGGGAAGGGTACATTTGTTGTCAACTCACCAAATCTTGTCCATTTCGTTCCCCGAATATCTCAGTGAATTCCCCGCTTCTCTACTGCCCTGGGGCTTTGTTTCTCCATTTCTCATATTATTCACTTCAAAAAGCAAACTGAACCCAGCCTCACCACCCGCTTCATCCTTTCATTGGTGAGCTCTCTAAGTTGCACAGTGGATTTTCTCTGGATACAATTTTTCTATGCCTTTTGTTGCCTGTGGGATAAAATATAAACTTAACCAAGACTAGCAAAGGCCCTTGATGTTCTGTACCCTGCTTACTCCTCTGGCCTCATGGCTTTTGTGGACATAACCTAATCAGTCACACAGAACTTCATGCAATTTCTGAAGTAAGGCAAGCTGCTGCTTTTGCCTGGAACGTCCCCTTCCATCTTAGGCAACTAACGCTAAACCTTTAACTCTGATATCTCTAGGAAGCCTTCCATGCATGCCCCCAACCTGGGTGAGATACCATTTCTGTGATGTGCAGAATTTTTCTTTCCACGCCCCCCCTCTTTTTTTTTTTTTTTTTTTTTTTTTTTTGAGACAGGGTCTTACTCTTGCCTAGGCTGGAGTGCAATGGTGCAATCATGAAACACTGTCCCCTCAACTTCCCTGGGTGCTCAGGAGATCCTCACACCTTGGTCTCCGAGTAGCTGGGACTTCAGGTGTGCACCATCACACCAGGCTTCTTTTATTATTATTATTGGTTTTTTTTTTTTTTTTTTTTTTTTTCTGAGACAGATTCTCTTTCCCCCAAGCTGGAGTGCAGTGGCGCGATCTTGGCTCACTGCAACCTCCGCCTCCAAGGCTCAAGCGATTCTCGTGCCTCAGCCTCCCAAGTAGCTGGGACGACAGGCACGCACCACCATGCCCAGCTATTTTTATTTATTTTTTTTTTTTTGTATTTTAGTAGAGACGGGGTTCACCCTGTTGCCCAAGGTGGTCTCGAACTCCTGAACTCAGGCGATCCGCCCACCTCGGCCTCCCAAAGTGCTGGGATTACAGGCGTGAGCCACCGCACCCAGTCCCCCGGCTTCTTTTGTATTTCTTTTTTGTAGAGATGTTTCTCCATGCTGTCCAGGCTAGTCTTGAATTCCTGTGCTGAAGCCATTAGATATGCAGAATTTTCTGTATTTATTGCGGCACTTGACACATCGTATTGCAATGACCTGTTTACTTGTTTGCCCAACAGACTGAATTACATAAGAGCAGAGACTTTGCTTTGTGTAGCTTCGAACTCCCAAGAACTGGCACTTTAGGCACTGAATACATTGCATGCCTGATGAGTGAATAAATGAACAACAGACAGTATTGCTGCCTTCCACCTCCAGGTTGGTAAAGGCCATTGCAAATGGAATGACCAGAAAACAGTTCAAGAGTATTATCCAATACAAGTGAGTGTTATTTTCACTTGTATATACTCTATTTTCATTGTCTTACAGGAGGATTCCAAGAAAAGAGGAGATCAAAGTGGCATAAAGTGACCAGTATGTCCAGTATGTTTTCTTGGAGAAATATATTTTTAGAGCTGAACACTGAAGGATGAGTGATATCTGAATAGACTCAATAGGAGGAACACATTCTTTCAGGTTTTTGCTTAGTAAAGAGATTTAGCCTATCCACTCTTGGTCTCTACCACCTCTCCTGCACTCAGCATTTAATGGCTATACTACATATCTGATAATTAATGTGATTTCTTACATTATTCAATCTTATTTTAATAATTATTGAATAGTGAGAGAATACAATGTGCTGTGTGCAGGGCAAACAATACAAGAAGCACAGCCCTTTCCTACTTTGTTGAACAAATTCACAAGTAATTAAATTACCATGCTTGTTATTAGTGCTATGAAAAAAGGGTTCACAGGGCTGTGAGACTACTTAAAGGGGGCCTAACTTAACTTGAAGGCAGGGACAGGCTTTGCTGAAGAAGTGGCTTTTTTGCTAAAGAGAGAAGAGTGGAAAGCACAACTTTGACCTCAGGGTTTTTGACAGTATCGCATTCAGCTGCAAGTCACAGAAAACTAAGCAGACTTACCCATCCTGAATTGCCTGATGGCCCAAGGTAACCGCTGACATCACATTCATATGGCAGGAAGAAGAAGGGCAAAGGCAGGATGGTGTGTGCCAGTGATGCTACTCCCTTGTAAAGAGCTTTTTGCGAAGCCTCACCCGACAGCCTCACTTTTCAGCTTGTTGGCCAGAACTGAGATGCCATGTAGTCATCGTCAGCTACAGAAGCTGATAAATATAGCAGGTTAGCACTGATTCATTGCTTGACTGATTGTATGCTTCTGCCCTCAAACACAATTGGGGTTCTACTGATAAGAAAGAAGGAGGGAGTGGGTTTTGAGTAGAGTTAGAAATGTATGCCACAGGCACAAGCCGAGTTCTCATGTTTAGCTTTACCTGGGAACTCTGCTCTTCAGGACAAGTGTGTGTGCGTGTGCATGTATGCACGTGCGTGTGCATGTGTGTGAATGCAGGGGTGTCAATGGACACTTGCTTGGCCTTGAGATAAATTTTAAAATATTTGCGTTTCTATCATGGGCCAGAAATCTTTCTAGATGCCAGGAGTATAGCAGTAAACAAAACAGAAAAAAGCCCCTCACCCTTGGGGCTTACATGCTAGTGGTGCAGACAGTAATCAAACAAAATATGCAATATGTTAGACGAAGGTAATAGGGAGTGCCCAGGTAGTGATGGTGGAGATGGTGGGTCTCAGTTTTAACTTGGGTGGTCAGAGAAGACCTGTGTTAAGTAGATGGTGGCATCTGAGTAATGAGATGAAGGAAGTGAGTGACAGTCATGGAAATAGCTAGAAAAGAACATCCCAGGCAGAGATGGAACAGTCAGGAGCAACAGGTACAAAGGCTTTGGGTTTCCTTTGTATTCCTGGTGTATGTTTGTTTAATGGATTCTCAATTTTTAAAAACATTATGTCTTCCTGTGGACATGGGTACAGTTTTACTACGTGTAGAAGGGAACCTCTGTAGTGGTACCTAGGGCTTTCCTCCCCCTTTGGAAAAAACAAAGTGTCTGAATGCTCATCTTGATAAATCGTTAAGTGCCTTTTCCCACTTCTCTCCCTCTCCTGAATCCTGTTTCCTTATTTTGGGGGGATTATGTGCTGTAGTAATTATGAAAATAGACTTCGGAGTCTGATAGTTCTCAGCATGAGACCCCTGGCGTTTCTTACCTATGACATGGGACAAATAACTTACCTCTCAGAGCCTGTTTTCTTATGGATGAAGTAGGGATGCTAATAATGCTGCTTCACTATTGCTGTGGGTATTACATGAGATGATGCCTGAGAAAGGCTTACCACAGTGCTGGGTCCCTCTCAAGTGTGTCCTTTGCAAGTAAGTCCACTGAACCCTTCTCCCCCTCCCTGTGATCTTCAGCCCTGTGTCACATGGAGTGTCTTGGGGGTAGGTCAAATGCTGATTCTATGAAAAAAGCACCTCTTAACTCCTTACCAGTGTGTGAGAGCTCCATGTCACACTGATGTTCTTCAATGAAGTCGTATTTCCCAGCCTGTTCCGGCATCCCATCCCAAAGTCTTTTCAGAGGTTGAGATAAGACCTTTGTATTACTTGAGTGACAGACACCAATGATGCTCACATGGAAATCTTGTCATCTTCTGGAACTGTCTACCTGTGGACTCATTATACCCAACCTCTTCCTGTGCCTTTTTGGCCAAAACTGCCTACTCTTCCAGGGGGCCACTCCTTTGCTTCCACTTCTTTTCAGCCTTGTCATGGATCCTACCTTTTTTTTTTTTTTTTTTTTTTTGAGACAGATTCTCTCTCTGTTGCCCAGGCCGGAGTGCAGTGGCCGGATCTCGGCTCACTGCAAGCTCCGCCTCCCAGGTTCACACCATTCTCCTGCCTCAGCCTCCCAAGTAGCTGGGACTACAGGCGCCTGCCACCATGCCTGGCTAATTTTTTGTAATTTTTAATAGAGACGGGGTTTCACCGTGTTAGCCAGGATGGTCTCGATCTCCTGACCTCGTGATCTGCCTCGTGATTACAGGCGTGAGCCACTGCGCCCGGCCTCATGGATCCTACCCACGTTTTCTGTGTCCATTTTCCATACACTGGCTTTCCTTCCTATGTTGACCTACCTCAATCCCACAGCACATCACTGCAATCATCCCAACTTTTCCCACACATCCCTGATTTCCCGTCACAGATGAGTACAGCCAACTCTCTTTTTACCCGTACTCCCCGGTTTTTCCAATAAGATCCCTTTCCTGTTTCCATCAGTGAATATTCAAATCCATATGATCTCTTCACATCGGGTGCTGCACCGCCCAATCCTGACTCTCAGTAAGACTGCTCATTTGGTATGAACGTCTTCAAATTCTTGCCCTTAACTTACAAAATTGTGTGTGTGTGTGTGTGTATACACATACAGCCAGCCTTTCTTCCTTTCTTCACTATCAGAGGAAAAGTTATTTTTGTAACCAAGAGTCATCCAGACATTCATGTTTTGAATTTTTTGCCCTCCTGCTCTTTCTGGGATTTGATTCATTAATTGTCTCATCTTTACTGTTTCTCTAACATCTCTCTTTCCATGGCTTTTTTTCACATTATGAAATAAGCTCAAATCTTTATCTTAAAAGAAAAAAATTCTTTACTCTCTTGCTTTCATATCTCATCCAAGCATCTAGGAAGATAGCCAATGATTATATATCTAAGTTGTTTTTTTTTTAAGGGAAGTGATGTCAAAGAATCATTAAACTCATTAATGAAAGGGCCAGCAGCGTGGTAAAGCTGAATTAAAGAAAACCTAAAGGACTGGGCATATAAAGTCATTGGAATAAGATAGTTTAATTACATACAAAATAAACCATAACCTTATAATATTTTTGTTTGCATCTCTCCAGGGATGAGTTTCATTTTCCTTCCTATTGAACAAGAATAACTTATATTTCTATCAGCTTTCTTTCCAATCAATATCCACCCTTACAAAGTTGAAAAATATCCTAAATAGTAAATAGCAAGTCAAATAAAGGCATACACTCCTAGAGAATCAGAACTCTGGGCAGGCCTACTATGCAATGTTCAACACAACACTAAAAGGACATGTAAAAATCTCTTTTGCTTAATTCCAGGTTTTGGACACTGTTTTTTTTTTTTAGGAAAATAAAAAGTTTATTTAATCTAGATAAAAGATAGCTATGGAGCTACTCAGTAAAATGTTCAAATGTGTACCAATGTGGACAGGAGAAAGGTGAGTTGCTGCCACTGCTGCTGATTTTGCACGTCAGTTTCCAGGAAGATCTTAGAAGAAAGTACAGGCGACTCTAGGTCAGAGACCACTAAATGGAAATTCTTCCAAAAGATGAAAAGATGACATGAGGTAAGGGAGAAGGATGGCCTCATAAGCTTCTTTCCAGTTCAAAATTCTCTGAGATGAAGCAACTTGCAAGTTGTTTTATGACTGAAATGTAGAGTTGAGGAGCCACTCCATGAATCCTAGCAGCCAGCCAAAGTCCACTGCTCAATAAAGGAAATCTGAATTCAGACCAACACAGCCACTTAGAGAAAACCGTTTCCCCACCTGACATCCATGTCTGTCCATACTCCAAATTTGGAGGGGGCAGGTGTTAGGCTTCTATGTCAATTTCTTTTTGAAATATATTTTTTATTTCAGTGGGTTTTGGGAGAACAGGTGGTGTTTGGTTACATGTATAAGTTCTTTAGTGGTGATTTCAGAAATTTTGGTGCACCCACCCCCCGAGCCGTGTACACTGTACCCAATTTGCAGTCTTTTATCCTCCTCCACCGCCACACTTCCCTCTGAGTCCCTGTAGTCCATTAAATCATTCTTGTGCCTTTGCATCCTCATGCCTTTGCATCCTCATAGCTTAGCTCCTACTTAAAAGTGAGAACATAGGCTGTTTGGTTTTCCATTCCTAATTACTTCACTTAGAATAATGGTCTCCCTCTCCATCTAGGTTGCTGCAAATGCCATTGTTTCGTTCCTTTTTATGGCTGGTATATATTCCATGGTATATATATACCACATTTTTCTTTATTCACTCATTGTGAGCTGGTTCCATATTTTTGCAGTTGTGAATTGTGCTGCTATAAACATGTGTGCGTGTGTCTTTTTCATATAATGACTTCTTTTCCTCTAGGTAGACACCCAGTAGTGGGATTGCTGGATCAAATGGTAGTTCTACTTTTAGTTCTTTAAGGAATCTCCACACTGTTTTCCATAATGGTTGTACTAGTTTACATTCCCACCAGCAGTGTAAAAGTGTTCCCTTTTAACCATATCCATGCCAACATATATTATTCTTTTGGTTTTTTAATCATGGCCATTCTTGCATCAGTAAGGTGGTATCACATTGTGGTTTTGATTTGCATTTCCCTGATCATTAGTGATGTCAAGCATTTTTTATGTTTGTTGGCCATTTGTATATCTTCTTTTGAGAATTGTCTATTCATGTCCTTAGCCCACTTTTTGATGGGATTATTTGTTTTTTTTCTTGGAGACTTGCTTGAGTTCCTTGTAGATTCTGGATATTAGTCCTTTGTCAGATGCACAATTTGCGAAGATTTCCTCCCACTCTGTGGGTTGCCTGTTAACTCTGCTGATTATTTCTTTTGCTGTGCAGAAGCTTTTTAGTTTAATTAAGTGCCATCTATTTATCTTTGTTTATGTTGCATTTGCCTTTGGGTTTTTGATCATGAAGTCTTTGCCTAAGCTGATATCTAGAGGATTTTTCTGTTATCTTCTAGACTATTTTTGGTTTCAGGTCTTAGATTTAAGTCTTTGATCCATCTTGAGTTGATTCTTGTATAAAGTGAGAAATGAGGATCCAGTTTCATTCTTGTAGATGTGGCTTACCAATTATCCCAGAACCATTTGTTGAATAGGTTGTCTTTTCCCTATTTTATTATGTTTTTGTTTGCTTTTTGAAGATCAGTTGGCTGTAAGTATTTGGCTTTATTTCTGGGTTCTCTATTCTGTTCCATTGGTTTATGTGCCTATTATTATTATTATTTCTAAATTTTTATTTATTTATTTATTTATTTATTTATTTATTTATTTATTTATTTATTTTTGAGACAGAGTCTCTGTTGCCCAGGTTGGAGGGCATTGGTGCCATCTCAGCTCAGTGCAAACTCCGCCTCCCGGATTCAAGAGATTCTCATGCCTCAGCCTCCTGAGTAGCTGGGATGCAGGTGCCCACCACCACGCCAGGCTATTTTTTGTATTTTTAGTAGAGATGGGGTTTCAACATGTTGGCCAGGCTAGTCTTGAACTCGCACCCTCAGGTGATCCTCCCTCCTTGGCTTCCCAAAGTGCTGGGATTACAGGAGTGAGCCGCTGCACTCAGCCATATGTGCCTATTTTTATACCAGTACCATGCTGTTTTGGTGACTATTGCCTTATAGTATAGTTTGAAGTTGGGTAATGTGATGGCTCCAGCTTTTTTCTTTTTGCTTAGTCTTGCTTTGGCTATGTGGCCTCATTTTTAGTTCCATATGTATTTTAGGGTTGTTTTTTCTAGTTCTATGAAGAATGATGATGGTATTTTGATGGGAACTGCATTGAATTTGTAGATTGCTTTTGGCAGTATGGTCATTTTCACAATATTGATTCTACCCATCCGTGAGTATGGGGTGTGTTTTCATTTGTTTGTATAATCTATGATTTCTTTCAACAGTGTTTTGTAGTTTTCCTTGTAGAGGTCTTTCACCTCCTTGGTTACTTATATTCTTAAGTATTTTATTTTATTTTGCAGCCATTGTAAAAGGAATTGATTTCTTGATTTGATTCTCAGCTTGGTTGCTGTTGGTGTATAGCAGTGCTACTGATTTGCATACCTTGATTTTGTATCCTGAAACTTTGCTGAATTCATTTATCAGTTCTAGAAGCTTTTTGGATGTGTGTTTGGGGTTTTCTAGGTATATGATCATATCATTGGCAAACAGCGAGAGTTTGACTTCCTCTTTACCTATTTGAATGCTCTTTATTTCTTTCTCTTGTCTGATTGCTCTGGCTAGGACTTCCGGAGCTATGTTGAATAGAAGTGGTGAAAGTGGTCATCCTTGTCTTGTTCCAGTTCTCCAGCGGAATAGTTTCAACTTTTCCCCATTCAGTATAATGTTGGCTGTGGGTTTGTCATCGATAGCTTTTATTACCTTAAGGTTTGTCCTTTCTATGTTGATTTTGTTGAAGGTTTTAATCATAAAGTGATGCTAGATTTTGTCAAATGCTTTTTCTGTGTCTATTGAGATGATCATGTGATTTTTGTTTTTGATTCTGTTTATGTGGGGTATCACATTTATTCACTTGCATATGTTAAACCATCCCTGCATTCTTGGTATGAAACCCACTTGATCATGGTGGATTATCTTTTTGATATGCTGTTGGACTCAGCTAGTATTTTGTTGAGGACTTGTGCATCTATGTTCATCTGAGATATTGGTATGTAGTTTTCTCTTTTTTGTTATGTCCTTTCCTGATGTTGGTATTAGTGTGATACTGGCTTCATAGAATGATTTAGGGATGATTCCTCTTTCTCTATATTTTGGAATAGTTTCAATGGAATTAGTACCAATTCTTCCTTGAATGTCTGATAGAATTCAGCTGTGAATCCATTTGGTCCTGGACTATGTTTTGTTGACAATTTTTTATTACCATTTCAATCTCACTGCTTGTTATTGATCTGTTCAGAGTTTCTATTTCTTCCTGGTTTAATCTAGGAGGGTGGTATATTTCCAGGAATTTATCCATCTTCTCTAGGTTTTCTAGTTTGTGCTTGTGAAGGTATTCATAGTAGCCTTGAATGATCTTTTGTATTTCTGTGTTATCAGTTGTAATATCTCCCGTTTCATTTCTACATGAGCTTATTTGGATCTTGTGTCTTCTTTTCTTGGTTAATCTCACTAATGGTCTATCAATTTTATTTATCTTTTCAAATAACCAGCTTTTTATTTCATTTATCTTTTGTATTTTTTTGTTTCAATTTCATTCAGTTCTGCTCTGATGTTGGCTATTTCTATTTTTCTGCTGGGTTTAGGTTTGGTTTGTTCTTGTTTCTCTAGTTCCTTGAGGTGTGACCTTAGATTGTCTGTTTGTGCTCTTTCAGACTTTGTGATATAGGCATTTAATGCTATGAACTTTCCTCTTAGCCCTGCTTTTGCTATATCCCAGAGGTTATGATGGATTGTGTCACTATTATTCAGTTCAAGGAGTTTTTTAAATTTCCTTTTTGATTTTAAGATCATTGACCCAATGATCATTGAGGAGAGGATTATTTAATTTCCATATATTTGCATGGTTTTGAGGGTACCTTTTGGAGTTGATTTTCAGTTTTATTCTACTGTGGTCTGATAGAGTACTTGATATAATTTTGATTTTCTTAAATTTGTTGAGACTTGTTTTGTGGCCTATCATATGGTCTATCTTGTAGACCATATGCTGATGTTCTATGTGCTGATGAATAGAATGTATATTCTGCAGTTGTTAGGTGGAATGCTGTAAAAATCTCTTAAGTCCATTTGTGGCAGGGTATAGTTTAAATCCATTGTTTCTTTGTTGACTTTCTGTCTTGATGACCTGCCTAGTGCTGTCAGTGGAGTATTGAAATTCCCCACTATTATTGTGTGTCAATCTATCTCATTTCTTAGGTCTAGTAGTAAATGTTTTATAAATTTGGGAGCTCCAGTATTTGGTGCATATATATTTAGGATTGTGATCTTTGCCTGTTGGACTAGTCCTTTTATCATTATATAATGTCCCTCTTTGAGTTTTTTTAGCTGTTGTTGCTTTAAAGTCTGTTTTTGTCTGTTATGAGAATAGCTACTCTTGCTTGCTTTTGGTGTCCATTTGCATGGAATATCTTTTTCCACCTTTACCCTGAAGGTTATATTTACCTTAAGTTTATGTGAGTCCTTGTGTGTTAGGTGAGTTTCTGGAAGACAGCAGATACTTGTGAATTTCTGTGAATTCTTATCCATTCTGCCATTCTACATCAGTATTGAGATGTGAGATGCTATTCTGTTCATATTACTAGTTGTTGCCCAAATACCTTGGTTTTTTTTTTTCCATTGAGCTATTGTTTTATAGGCCCTGTGGGATTTATGCCTTATGGAAGTTCTATTTTGGTATATTTTGAGACTTTGTTTCAAGACTTAGAGCTCCTTTTAGCAGTTCTTGTAGTGCTAGCTTGGTAGTGGTGAATTCTCTCAGCACTTGTTTGTCTGAAAAAGACTTTATCTTTCCCTTATTTATGAAACTTAGTTTCACTGGATACAGGATGATTCGGTGACAATGGTTTTGTTTAAAGATGCTAAAGATAGGACCCTACTCTCTCCTAGCTTGTAGGGTTTCTGCTGAGAAATCTGCCGTTAATCTGATAATCCTTTATAGATTACCTGATGCTTTTGCCTCACAGCTCTTAAGATTCTTTCCTTTGTCTTGACTTTAGATAATCTGATGACTATATGTCTAGGTGATGATCTTTTTGCAATGAATTACCCAGAGGTTCTTTGAGCTTATTCTATTTGGATGTCTAGCTGTCTAGTAAGGCCAGGGAAGTTTTCCTCAACCATTCCCTCAAATAAGTTTTCTAGACTTTTAGATTTTTCGTCTTTGTCAGGAACACCAATTATTCTTAGATTTGGTTATTTAACATAATCCCAAACTTCTTGGAGGCTTTGTTCGTTTCTTTTGATTCTTTTCTCTTTGTCTTTGTCAGATTGGTTAATTTGAAAGACTTGTCTTTGAGCTCTGAAGTTCTTTCTTCTACTTGTTCAATTCTATTGTTGAAACTTTGCGGTGTATTTTGCATTTTTCTGTGTTTCTTTGTTTCCAGAAATTGTGATTGTTTTCTATTGGTGCTATTTATTTCTCTGGAGATTGTCCTGGTCCATATTCTGTATTATTTAAAAAATTTATTTAAATTGGTTTTCACCTTTCTCTGATTCCTCTTTGAATAGCTTAATAATCGAACTTAGGAATTCTTTTTCTTGCAACTCAGAAATTTCTTGATTTGGATCCATTGCTCATGAGCTAGTCTGATCTTTTAGGGGTGTTAAAAACCTTTCTTCATCATATTACCAGATTTGTTTTTCTGCTTCCTTCTTATTTGGGTAGACTATGTCAGAGGAAAGATCTGGTGTTCAAGGGCTGCTGTTCAGATTCTTTTGTCCCATTGGGTGGTCCCTTGATGTGGCCCTCTCCCCCTTCCACTAGGGCTGGGGCTTCCTGAGAACCAGACTACAGTGATTGTTATTGCTTTTCTGGGTCTACCACACAGCAGAGCTATAGGGCTCTGGGTTGGTACTGGACAGTGTCTGTAAAGAGTTCTGTAATGTGATTCATCTTCAAGTTTTTCAGCGGTGGATATTAGCATTTGCTCTGGTGGAGGTAGCAGGGGAGTGAAGTGGACTCTCTGAGGGTCCTTGGTTGTAGTTTTGTTTCGTGCACTGGTTTTCTCAAATGCTGGTTGTGGTAGCATTTGGTTGGCCTCCAGCCAGGAGGTTTTGCTGTCTTTTTCTTTTTTCTTGAAATGGAGTCTCGCTCTGTTGCCCAGGCTGGAGTGCAGTGGCGTGATCTTGGCTCACTGCAAGCTCCGCCTCCTGGGTTCATGCCATTCTCCTGCCTCAGCCTCCCAAGTACCTGGGACCACAGGTGCCCACCACCACGCCCGGCTAATTTTTTGTTATTTTAGTAGAGACGGGGTTTCACCGTGTTAGCCAGGATGGTCTCGATCTCCTGACCTCGTGATCCGCCTGCCTCGGCCTCCCAAAGTTCTGGGATTACAGGCGTGAGCCACCGTGCCCAGCCAGGTTTTGCTTTCAAGAGAGCATCAGCTGATACAGGCTTGCCCTAAGTTCACCTGGATAGGTATTCAGGTTTCTCAGGTAATGGGCGGGGCCATAGAAATCACAAAAGATTATGTCTTTTGTCTTCAGCTACTACAGCAGGTAGAGAAAAACCATCAAGTGGGAGCAGGGATAAGCGAGCCTGAGCTTCAACTTCCCTTGGGTGGGGCTTGCTGTGGCCACTATGGGAGATGGGGGAATGGTTCTCAGGCCAACGGAATTATATTCCCAGAAGGATTACGGCTGCCTTTGCTGGGTCATACAGGTCGCCAGGGAAGTGGGGGAAAACCAGCAGTGATAGGCCTCACCCAGTTCCCACACAGCCAGTAAGGCTAGTCTCACTCTCGCCACCAGCACCAAATTTATATCCAGGCAGCGGCCGAGCAGGGCTGAGATCTTGCACCAACCTACAAGCCTCCCCACTGAGAATGCAGGCAGGGCTTTCAGGCCCCACCCTTCCCCACTTGTTTCTGTGCTCATATCTGTACTTCCTGTTTGCTGCCCTGGAAGGTTCTGCCCAGGAAGGTTCATGCTCATGAAATTATTACAAAATTCATCTGGAAGTTTCCTTCCGCCTATGGCCCTTCCTCAGTTCTACTGGCAGCCCTCCCCAAGGACCCCTGTGAGACAAAGTCAGAAATGGCTTCCCTGGGGACTGGGAGTGCCCACAGGGCTCTTCTCACTGCTTCTTCTACCTTTATATTTCACTGGGCTCTCTAAGTTTATTTCAGCTCTAGGTAAGGTTAAATCCTTCTCTGGTGATCTGGATTTTCAGGTCCTCTAGTGAAGATGTGTGTTTGGAGGCAGCCTTCCCCTTTTCACACTTTGGGCACTCACAGTTTTATGTCTATCTTAGGGAGCTTGCAGCAGCAAGCCGCTTCCTTCAAAGGGTCTGTGAATTATTTTGGTTTTCCTGGTATGTTCCTGCAGTAGTTCTTGGAGTAAAAGTTCACAATGTGAGTCTCCACACACTGTTCCATCTGTCCAAGTGGGGGCTGATAGTCCTGCCTCCTAGCTGCAGTTTTTCTCCTTTGTTGGATACTTTTTCTAACAGCCATCCTCTGTGATCATAAATAATCCCTGAATATTATCCTTGATCTCAAAAGCTGTTTTTATTTTATTTTGTCCTGTTAGTTAACAATGCAGCAAGACGTGTTAATTAGTATATGTAAATTTCCTTGAACTATGATCATAGTGCCATATAGTGTTAAGCAACTAATAAGGCCAAAAAATTAACCTCTGTCATAAGAACTAACAGGGAATCTAGTGTTGTGTTTTCAACAGGCTATATTATTCCAGAGAACTTTGTATCACTCATTTGTGCTCATGTCCTGAAGCTAGGAAACCAACCCCAAGAAATTAATTTCTACCAGTGTTGCTTAGAGTGCCTGTAAATATTGATGAATTTATTTTCTCGACCTCTTCCTCCTCCCACTTCCAATCTGCTAAGGTACTTAGTCTGCTAGGAAGTCATTCTCTCCTCTAATTAAATATCCAGAACTCCAAAAGCCATAGAATAGACCAATCTCCCGGGAGGGCTTTGTGAGCCTTGGTTCCACATATGAAACACAACTCCTTTTATCAATGGGGACTTGCCATACCTGCTTAAATAAGATTTATTCTAATATAACACTTCAAGGCTTTGGTTATACAATTGATTTTTTTCCTGACTTTATCTTGATTAACGACAACAACAACAAGAGCTTCTTATTGGCTCCTTGCAAATGCTACCCTGTTCTTAAAGGAAAAGAAACTTAAAACTATTTGTCCCTGAATTTTGAGGTGTCAGTGAGAATAAAACACAATTTTAATAATATTTCATTTTAGCATGGGAAAGCATAGTCTAAAACAGGGGTCAGCAAACTTTTTTTTTTCTTTTATTATTATACTTTAAGTTTTAGGGTACATGTGCACAATTTGCAGGTTAGTTACATATGTATACATGTGCCACGCTGGTGCGCTGCACCCACTAACTTGTCATCTAGCATTAGGTATATCTCCCAATGCTATCCCTCCCCCCTCCCCCCACCCCACAACAGTCCCCAGAGTGTGATGTTCCCCTTCCTGTGTCCATGTGATCTCATTGTTAGGGCCAGATAATAAAAGTTTTCAGTTTTTTGTTTTTTTTTTTTTTGAGACGGAGTCTTGCTCTGTCTCCAGGCTGGAGTGCAGTGGTGCAATCTTGGCTCACTGCAACCTCTGCCTCCTGTGTTCAAGCGATTCTCCTGCCTCAGCCTCCTGGGTTCAAGCGATTCTCCTGCCTCAGCCTCCTGAGTAGCTGGGACTACTGGCATGTGCCACCACAATGTTTTCAGTTTTGCAGGCCATGAGTGTCTGATGTAAGATTTATGCTCAAATCCGCCATTGTAACGTGAAAGCAGCCATAGACAGTATATCAAAAGGGGGCATATCTGGATTTTGCCTGTCATAGGCTGCATTTGACCTGTAGTGAGCTGGATTTAGCCCATGGACCATAGTTCAATGACCCTTAGTTTAAAGGCTAGGGATAGGTCAAGAAGAAAGAAAAAGGGCTTCACTGTATGCCTATAATAAACTAGAATATTAAAAATAATGTTAATACACAATAAGTAAATTAAAAATATCACAACCACAATTATATTCATTTTATCAGTTCATTCAGTCTCATGTAATTATTATTTGCACTGGCTCTAGAGACTACATTCTGCTTTTACAAAGTTGCTGCTTCCGTACTCAAACAGAGCCCTAAAAATCCTGACTCCCTTGCTACAATCTGTAGTTGTTTAAGTGGTATCTGCTTGGAAGTCTGTACTCATTTAAGTAATGAGTCTATTAAAGTATTGGTGGGTAAAAGTACCTCGTCCTTTTCATTGAGGTTCTGAGGATGTCTGTCTGTTCAAAGACTACTTTTTAGCTTGTAGCTTGTAGCAGAACCTTCAGGGAAGTATGAGAGAAAAGCCAGAAGTTGATGACAGGACTCAATGGTGGGGGGACTCTTTTTTATTACAGTAATTGATCATACTGGAATGGAAGAGAGCAAAATCATTTACAAAGATGCAATGAATAACCATTTTATAAGATTTGAATCACTATGTCCCCTGAGGGTAAGGACATACTACAGACAGTGAGAACACTGACAACTCTTTGGGACATTCCTAAAATGTAAAACCTCAGAGAAAAAAATTAAGCCAGAGAAGGCTGAGCTCTCTTCCACTGGACAACTCTCCCCATTTAGCTCTCAGGTAGCTCTCATCTTTGTGTTTACCCTGATCCAGTCCTTCACCCTTTTCTCTTATCAACTGTGTGTTTTCCCTGTGAACTTTTACCCCTTGATGCAATATCAAGTGTCCTGTACTAACAGTTTGTATTTTTATACATCCCACCCATTCCTTATAATCTGCCCCCTATACAGCTCCACTCGTAGGTTTCAGAGTCACTAAAACACAACCTGTTCAAAGCATAACATATAGGGACTTCCATTTCTGGCTCTGATAAGCGTAACTGATCTGCCACAAGCAAATATAAAACAGGTCAATAAATATGAGGAAGTTAGTTTCACGCACTGAAAAACAAGTAACGTGAGACCATATTCCTTGAGAGAAGTGAACCACACAGTCACTGCAGCTTTCTGTCTGGTGCAGTTTATGGACTTTAGTGCAGGTAAGGAGGATATGGGTTTCTTACGGGTCCTTCACTCAGGGCTAGGAGGCAGATACACCGAGTGAGGCTTCATGAGGCTTAGCAGAGAGTGGCTTTTGATTGGCTAGGGGTTGTATGGTACTGTGAGACATTGGAGTTTTGGACAAACCAGATGGAATGTTTTCAGTGAATGCTTCAAACCTCATAAAGGCCACGTGCTAGGAGTAGGATCATGTTCTAGGGCACAGGTCAGAAAACTGTGGCCAAATCTGGCTTCTGGGCTTGATTTGTGCACCCCACAATCCAAGAATAATTCTGCATTTTAGAAGCAGCAGCATCAGGAGAAGGTGAAGGAAGAGGAGGAGTGGGGAAAGGAGAGGAAGAAGGAAAATGAGACAGAGACCATATTTGACTCACAAAGGCCAAAATATTTACTACCTGGTCCTATGCACACAATATTTGCCAACTCCTGCAATAATGTCCTGGACTAGGAATAAATGTAAAACAGAACCACCCTGAAAAAGGAATAAAACCAAGCCAGAGTAGGGGAACTTGGCACCAACTGACTGCTTTGCAGAACAAAACTAACATTCTTTAAAGAAGACAACATAATCTAGACTCTTCATAATGTATCACACCTAATGCCCAGCATACAATAAAAAATTTCTAGACATATAAGAAGTTAGAATTATGTTACTCATGATCAAGGGAACAAAACCCAGTTAATGGGAATAGAGTTTTATATGTTGTAAAGACTAAACTGAACTATAGAGTTCAGATGTTGTAAAGACTAAAATTTTAAGATTGCCATTACAAATATGTTCAGAGGTAAAAAGGAAAACATGGCCACAATAAGTGAACAGGTGGAAAACCTCAAATGGAAAACCTCAATAGAGCAATGAGCCTTATAAAAAGAAACAAATGAAAATTCTATAACCGAAAGGTATGCTGTTAGAAATGAAGACTTTACTGGAGGGGTTTGACAGCAGATTGGAGACTTCACAAGAAAAGGTACAGTGAACTTGAAGAGAAATCAATAAAAATTATCCCATCTGAAGAAGAAAGAGAAAAAAGTGGAAAGATGAAAACAATGAACAGAGACTTAGTGATCATGTGAGATTATTAAGTTGTCTAACATCCACATAATTGGGATTCAAGAAAAGGAGAAGGGAGGGAATGGGCAGAAAAAATATTTGAGAAAATAATACCTGAAAATTCCCAAAATTGGGTAGTAAAAAATTAATATTCATCCAAGACGCTCAGTAAATCCCAAACAAGATAAGTACAAAGAGAACTCCACTTAGAAAATCTTAAAAGAAGCCAAAGAAAAAAAGACCCAACACAGGAGAACAAAGATGCATATGACAAATGCCTTCTACTGGGAAGTAATGAGGGCCAGAAGACATATAAGAACTTCTTAAACTCATTGAAAGAAGAAGGAAAACTGTCAGCAAAGACAGGTGTTTTCATGCTAACTTTATCCAGCATGAATATCCTTCAAAAATTAGAATAAAATAGATTTTCAGATCCATTTTTAAAAAGCTGAAAAGATATGTTGCCAGCAGATCTACACTATGAGAAATGCTAACGGAAGTTCTTTAGCCTCCAAATAAATGACATTAGATGAAAACTCAGACCTACGGAAGTAAAGCAAAGACCAGAAATTTTAAATACATGGATAAATATAAAAAATACTGTTTTGTTCTCAATTTCTTTTTTTCTTTATCTTTTTAAAAATTGAGATCAATTGGAAGATGAAAAGTTATTTTATCCAGGGTCTTGTTATGTTGGCCAGGCTGGTCTTGAACTTCTGGCCTCAAGTGATCCTCCTGCCTTGGCCTCCCAAAGTGCTGGGATTAAAGGAATGAGCCACTGTGTCCAACCTTACTTCTCAACTTCTTTAAGAAACATGTAACACTTTGAAGCAAAGGTAATATTGCATTTCGAAATTTACAATATATGTTGAACAAAATATGACAATAGCTCAGGGGACAAAAATGAAACTATACTCTTGAAAGCACCTTGCACTTCACATGAAGTGGAATATTACTCTGTAGTGTGTAATAAGGTAAGGGTGAATGTTCTACTCACTAGAGTAGCTGCTATAAAAAATAAGACATAGCTAAAACCTCAATGGAAGACACAGAATATTAAAAATCTGGTTAATTCAAAAGAAAACAAGCAAGGAGAGATGGAGGAACAAGAACAAACAAAAAAGAATGGAAAGGCTGTGCGCGGTGGCTCATGTCTGTAATCCCAGCACTTTGGGAGGCTGGGAGTTCGAGACCAGCCTGGCCAACATGGTGAAACCCTGCCTCTACTAAAAATACAAAAACTAGCCAGGTGTGGTGGCACGTGCCTGTAATCCCAGCGACTTCGGAAGCTAAGGCAGGAGAATTGCTTAAACCTGGGGGGCGGAGGTTGCAGTGAGCTGAGATTACGCCACTGCACTCCAGCCTGGGTGACCGAACAAGACTCCATCTCAGAAAAAAGAAAAAAAAAAACAACTGGAAAAACACAAAACAAATAGCAAGATAATACAATTAAACCCAGTCATATTAATAATTACTTAAAGTGAACTGCCTAAACTCTTTATTCAAGAGGCAGAGAACTTCTGACCGAATAAAAATGTAAGACCCACAGTGTGTTGCCCATAAATGATGAAATGTAAGTATAAATACACATGTCAAAAAGGAGGGGGAAATTATGTATTACAAAATAGTAGGCATAAGAAAGCTGGTATGCTTATATCAATTTCACACAAAGTAGCCTTCAAGACAAAGATTGTTACTACATATAAAGAGGGACATTTCATATTGAGGAAAGGGTTAATTTACCAACAAAGCACACACATCCTAAATATGTTTATATAAGAAGTACATGATAACAGAGCTTCAAAATGCATGAAACAAAAGCTCATGCAATTAAGGCAAGAACCAGACAAATCCACAATTGCAAGAGTACATTTCAACACTCCTTTTTCATACATTGAAACAATGGAACAAGGAAGAGAAGGGCGAGTTGGGAAGCTGCACCTGCCTCACCTCTCTGACTGCTCATGCCCGTGAACCTTTCCCTCCCGATCTCTCCCATACACGTATTTGAAATGTCCTTCCTTAATCTGTTTATCAGAAGTATGTGGAATCAGATACAAAAGTTGTGATACTCATGTCATGGTTTTCTTTGTTCTGTGACAGTTATAACCCCTCAATTATTTAACCAAGAGGGAAAACGAGCTGGAGCACCTCAGTGCAAATTAGCTGAGAGTGCAAATCAATGGCAACCTCTCAACTTGCTTGGCACTGTGTTCCCTACCTGCAAAAATTTATTTACTCAATAGAGGCACATACAGAGCCTGGCATCACTTTGTACACATTTTTTTCTCTAAGTCTCTTTTGGTTATTTGACATTGTGGCCACTATTAGTTATGATTTTTTTTCCTGGTTCAATGATGTGATTATTTGAAAACATCAGAACAACAGCCCCTGTCTTCTTTGGCAATTTCTGTCTTTGACTTTATTTTAGTGCTTTCTTCTCCTTTCTTTCTCTCCCATTGTGTCTTCCATTAACTGGTGATGAACTCCTGGGGGAGATTTCTCAGGTGTAACCAGGGTAGAGAAAGGACTGGCCTAACCTACTGATGAATCAGCGTGTGAGTGGGGAAACCACTTACTGCATTTGCAGATAGATGGTGCACAGGCCGGGCATGGTGGCTCACGCCTGTAATCCCAGCACTTTGGGAGGCCGAGGTGGGCGCATCACCTGAGGTCAGGAGTTCGAGACCAGCCTGGCCAATGTGATGAAACCCCGTCTCTACTAAAAATACAAAAATTAGCCAGGTGTGCTGGCACGCGCCTGTAATCCCAACTGCTCGGGAGATTGAGTCAGGAGAATCACTTGAACCTGGGAGGCAGAGGTTGCAGTGAGCCAAGATCGCACCCTTGGACTCCAGCCTGGGTGACAAGAGTGAAACTCCATCTCAAAATAAATAACTAAATAAGTAATAATAATAATAATAATAATAATAATAATAATAATAATAAAAGACGGTGCACGGTTTCATTAAGCCTTACACTGCACAGCTGTATAAATTACAGAGGGCAGGACAGCTAAATCCAATGCTGTGTTCGAATCTTGTCTAGACTGGCATTTCAGTGTGGCACATAAGCACTTGACACATTTCTAAGCTGGTAACAGCCCCCTGGGTTCTCTCTTCCTTTCTCATTTGGTCAGTATTCACTGGCAATATTTTTTCTTCTATCCCAAAGATCACAAACTGGCTGTCACAAACTGGCTGTCTTTGAGCCAAAGCTGGTCCTCAGACATGTTTTATTCAGACCGCACAGCTAAATTTTTTAGAAGTTGCCAAATTAAAATATCTGGAGATTTCACACACATGTACACATTTTCAGCTTTCCTTAAACAAACAAACAACCAAAAACACGCAAAAAAAGGAAGGGCAATACTAAGACTGGGCTGCACATGCATTCAGGCTCTTGGCGGGCCTCGTGGAGATCTGAGTTTGCCCCTCTTTTTCTGGTTAACATGCCCCTCCTCAACGTCTCCGACGCCTCAGAGTTCAGGGATGTGAAGAAAAATTTTGAGATCTCTCATCTAAAGATTGCATTATTTGGAACTGTGAGTCTCCCTTCCCCATCGTTATCACATATACCAGCCAGCAAACCCTTTTATTACGCTGCTGATTTTACAACTGGGAAGACGGCAATCAGAAAAATAAAAAAGGGCTGTGGTTTCTCCCAGTTTCCTCTAGATGGCAGTATTGTATTGGTATTATTTCCAATACTCCCGATCCCAGCTGCTTTCAAAATGTTAATTATATAATTTTTCAGTGGGAATAATCTTTGTTTCTAAATTTATTACAGTATTTTTTCAATAATGTCAAATTTATCAGTAAGCAGGTAGAGTCCACAAAGCTGCAGTTTTAAGAGAACAGAACGACCGACTTTTTACCCCTCCTTGGAACTTCCCGAGTTAATGAGTAGAAACAGAACATATTGCAACGTATAATTGTCACGATTATGCGGGCTGTTCATTTAGCGTTTTCGTGTGCACATGCATTCAGCTGCCACATCTGCAGTGCACGTTGGAAAAATAGCCCCTTCTCTGTGCAGTTGGAAACATCGACTGTTTCTCATTTGGAGCAATTTCTTTATTTTGTTTTGTGGATAATGAATGTTACCCACAAATATGGGAAGCAAGGAAGCAGAAACACAGTTTGTATTACGAGGAGGCTCTTAGAGATATCCACATACACAAGTAGACAAATGTGAGCTGCGTGTCGGCCTCATACAAAAACAAAGCAGGTACTGTGAAAGGGAAGTTGTGTGTGTTAATGAGATTAATGGTTTCAGAACAAATCCGTTTCAGAGCAGCTAATTAAATATTTCGTTTTGAGTTATTTGGTGTAATTTTCTTTGGTACTCGACAAATACTAAGTATTTAATTTTATCTTCCAGCACAACCCATTAATATTTCACTGGTTGAATTCTTTGCTGTGGTGCTTTGGGTTTTGAAACACCTTTTGAGTACTGGTTAATCCACTTGACAGCCGAAGGTGAACAGGGACTCTGCAGTTCTCTGTTATGAAAGCCTGGTCAATTTCATCTTGGCCCCATCTAAGTAGGAGTTAAGTTTTGTGTTTTTATCACCTTGGTTCCATCCTAAAACGTTAGAGTTGGAAAAGCTCCACAAGGACCTCTCCCAGCCAGGGTTCAAGTGTTACAGTTGCTGCATAAACTTGCTCAGGGATGGGAATGTTGTGGTTGGCATTGTGTCAACGTAAAGATGGCCCCACTGAGGGGTAGGGCTAACCGTTGGGCCATTTTTCCCCATGGTGAGCCCAGCTCAGCGCAGCGGTGGGAAATGCAGTCAGGGAGGGGAACAGGGCTGTTCACGCAGAGGTCTGTGGGAAATTCTGAGGAGCTGATGTCCTTCTCAGCACAGCCCTCCAGGCAGGTGCTATGATTTCCTCAGAAATGGCACATGAGAGGAAACCTCTCTGCCTCGACTTAACCCAGGTGCAAAGTCTGCCATGACCTGGCCCTTCTATTATGAGAAAGACAGCCTTACTTCTACTGAACCCTGACTCCTTGTAGGTAAGTGCACATGATAGCAATAATTTAAGTGTACCCTGAGAAGGACTCTGTATGGCAGATGCACCTGAATGTGAGTTCTGGGCTAGGGAATCCAGGAGTGGCGAACTCGGAGATTTGTTCCATGTCTATCAGGAACATCTGAGCCCCTGGCCCACGCCATGGAACACGGGGATTCAGGCCCTGAGTTTTGGGTTGAGTGAGGATTGCCAGGTGGAGGTTGTTAGGGAGAAGGTGTTAAGTAGAAATGCTACGTGAACTGCGGGCTTTTTGCAAGGAGCTGTGGTTTTCCTGCCTAGCCGCCACCACTTTACTGTAGGGAAGGCCGATATCTTGCCCAGCCCACGGCCACTGGGCCCTCTCCCCTGTATGTAAGCCTCCAGTAAAATCTCATGGGCTGGGTGCGGTGGCTCACGCATGTAATCCCAGCACTTTGGGAGGCAGAGGCAGGCAGATCACTTGAGGTCAGGAGTTCGAGACCAGCCTTGCTAACATGGTAAAACTCCATCTCTACAAAAATACAAAAATTAGCTGGGCATGGTGGTGCACGCTTGTAATCCCAGCTACTCAGGAGGCTGCAGCAGGAGAATTGCTTGAACCTAGGAGGTGGAGGCTTCAGTGAGCCGAGAGGGCACCACTTGCTCCAGCCTGGGCAACAGAGGGAGATTCTGTCTCAAAAAACCCCCCCAAAATCTCATGTTTTGTTTGCTGGCGCTGGGTCTCCTCTCCAGCCTCTTGAATCTGGTACCTTCCCCACTAGAGTCAATAGGGTTTCAGTGCGACACTCCTCTCTACCCCTAAGTTAAATGCCCTGAATCTTAGATGGTTTTCCCATTGTTCCACTATGGCCATACCCCACTTCCCACAGCCTATATGGACTCTGGCCTGTGGTTCCAGTTGGGCGACACTCATATTAGATGTCTAGAAAAATCTCATTAAGTAACCTTTGCTCTCAGTCATCTCCCCTGTTAGCAAGAGCAGCCCAACATGGAGAAGCAGCCCAATCTTGTCACAGAGTCTCCTCCCTCACCCCTGACCAGGGATCATGCTGACCCATCCACACTGTTCCTGGCCCTTCCAGACGCCCTTCTCACCTCCTCCCCACCACCCTCCCCCTTCTGCATCCTTCAGGACCCATGTCGAATCTGTGTGTCTCTCACCAAGCCTACCTGGACACACCTCTGTCTCCATGACAGAATTTCTCCTCCCACTCAGTGCCTCCAGTGCCCAGCTCCACCCCATTAGCAATCATTCCAAAGATTTCCCTGATAGGCATGGGGCCTGGTGATCTTTTTGTCCAGGTTTTCATAGGCCTCAGCTCCAGGTAAATGGATTCTGAATTCAAGCAAATAAATATCCACATTCTTCTCTTTTTTTTTTTTTTTTTTTGAGACACAGTCTCACTTTATTGCCCAGGCTGGTGTGCAGTGGCGGGATCTCAGCTCAGTGCAACCTCCGCCTCTTGGGTTCAAGTGATTCTTATGCCTCAGCCTCCCAAGTAGCTGGGACTATAGGCACGTGCCACCACGCCTGGCTGATTTTTGTATTTTTAGTAGAGATGGTGTTTCACCATGTTGGCTAGGGTGGTGGAGCATTTAAAATTCTGACAATCTTTCTAGTTACAAGAAAAATTTGAAGACAAGTCACCTTTTATACATAGCATGTATTTTCAACACTATAGCCTTTGGCTAATGAGAACTTGTTATGGGAAGCACCAGATCTTTATTTCCACCTGGGGACAATCTCCTCTCACCTCAGGTCTGGAGGCCCCATGTGAAATCAAGCTCTCTTGTCAAAGTGCTCGCTGTGTAATCGGCAGAATTTGCAAAAGTTGAATGGCTGGAGGGAGCAGGACGGGAAGAACTGGGCTGAGAGGTAGGTCAGTGGAGAGACGTCCTGTGTTTAGACTTACATAGGTATTTTCTGAGAAGATAAAAGAGGCCATTCAGTTAGAGGGAATAGTATACGTAAGACGTGGAATTTGAAACAGCTGTCTAGGTACACCCTTTGCTTCTAGGCTCAGCTACGTTCCTGCCTTTTTCAGAAAGCTTTCCCAGATCATCTCAGGCCACAGTGACTTTCACTGTTGTTAACTGTCTTGTTCTTTTATTTTGAGACAGAGTCGCTCTGTCACCCAGGCTGGAGTGCAGTGGTGCGATCTCGGCTCACTGCAACCTCTGCCTCCCAGGTTCACGTGATTCTCCTGTCTCAGCCTCCCAAGTAGCTGGGATTACAAATGTGCACCACCATGGACGGCTACTTTTTGTGTTTTTAGTAGAGATGAGGTTTCACCATTTAGCTAGCCTGGTCTCGAACTCCTGACCTCAAGTGATCCTCCTGCCTTGCCTCTCAAAGTCCTGGGATCACAGGCTGAGCCACCGCGCCCAGCCTACTTGTCTCATTCTTACCGAGTGAGACACAGGATAGGAGACAGGAGGGCCGTGGAGACTGGTTGCCTCCTCCATATCTGGCCCAGGCCCTGGGATTGTGCTTAAGCACTGCTCAGAGCCTGAGATCCTGAGGTCCTGTGGGGGGAATCCAGGATGAGTGCAATAAGCATTTCCAGGTTGCCAGCTTCTTATAGATTCTGCAGCAAAGGAAAAGATGTTTCTTCTGAAAATGTAAAAGGTGAAAAAAAGTGCTCAAGTTTCTCTTGGTGGAAACAAAGGGGAGTTTGCTCAAATATTATTTTGCCTTTTCGGCATGTAAAGTGTCGTTGTTCTGCAGAATGGGGTTTTTAATATTTGATAAGATGTTGAGAACACCGCATGGCGTCAACTCTGAATTGTTGGGCTCGGTTCAAAGGCTTGTATAAATATTTCTAAAGGAGAGCCATATTAAAGAGTCCGGTTTCCCCGTTTTGTGCTTTAACTTTATTTACACATAAATCTTGAGAAGAATTCTTCTTTTTCAACTTCACGTTCCTCCCAACTCTAATGCCGGCTTTTTTTATGGACGAGAAATCTGGCCGATTTGTATTCCTCCAGTATCTACAACAATAAAACCACTCTCGTTACTGAATAAAATTTAAAAACTATCTCCCAATTGTGCAGTTGGGTTGGATGAAATCTATTATGTTTGCCCTACTACACTGTGATACGTGACAGAAAGGGGGCTTTTGGGGTCCCAGGGGATTTTGACACCCCAAATGCTAAGTAGAGCTGCAACGATGTAAGGATCTCTTATTATTATGGAAAATGTGGAGGTCGCCGAACTGAGGTGGGCACACACCCTTAATGTGACCAGGCTTGTGTTAGCTCAGATTAGTCATACCATGCCTTCAATGCAGAAGGTCACAGAGGTCCAAATTTGCAGAGAAAAAGCGTATTTCTTCATTTATGAATATCTTTAAAGAAAATGTTTCTGATCTGTGCACATGTGCGTGTATCAGAAAGCATGCATTCTGTGTGTGTGTATGTGTGTGTGTGAAGCCCACTCATCTTACCAACAGGGCTATCCTTATTGTGGTTCACACTGCTGAGCGTGTGTATTGCACATGTGAGTATATCTGTAATTTGTGTGTCTGTGTCTCCCTGGTCATATATAAGTACAGCTCTGTGGATGAACAGCTGCTGATTCTTGCTTTTTCTGCTGCTCTCTTTAGAACTGGAAGGTGGTCACCTCCCCACCCCACCACTGGAAGGTGGACACCTCTCCCTCACCACTGAAATGTGGTCACCTTCCTCCAACTGGAAGGTCGCCTTCTAGTGACCTTGTGCTTTGTCTTGCTATCTCACCACTTTTCCTGATTCCTGCTTGGTGAGGGAATGTGTTAAGCTAGGGCTGACTTAGAGTTCGAACATGTTTTCTATCCCCGGAGCCATTACTGTTCTGAATTAAGCCCCAAGACATTGCCACGTGGGGGCAATTAATAATCATCTCTTTTTGATTGCCCAAAGTGTATTTGATTCAAAATAAAATTCAGGTGAAGGTACATTTCTTCCCCTAAGAGCAGGGAATTATAGCAATACTGTTGTGCTGAGCAGGGCTCAGAATGGGTAGATATTTGAAGATTTGCTTCTGGTTTTTCTCCAGCCAGTTACAGGGAAGGGCTGGTGGATAATTTAGGTGCTGGCTAGTCCTTCTCTGGTACTTTTGTGGCTTAGGCACCTGGTTGGTGACTTAGACCAAGAACCTCCCTGCTGAAGATGCAAAAACATTCTTCATGGTGTAAGAAGTGGAGTCGAAAAAGATGTTAAATTTATTACTCTCTTATTGTTTTCCCCAAATAGTCTTATTTGCTCATAAGGGAAGATGTTTTTCAACTTGGTTCATGAAATGGGTGGTCTTTGAAAAATCAGACTCAGTAGATAACTGCTGTCTTATATTGGGTCACTTAATTCTTAACAAGTCATTAACACACCAAATTTGGGAAGAATTCTTGAAAGAGAACATTGGTAGAGAGCTGGCATTTCTGTTTGCTTCTTACAGGATCTCCTTTTTAATGCTTCATTTCCAAATGGGTCAGAAAAAAATGGAGTCGTCTCCAAAAGGTATATGTGTTAATTCATTATCCACTAGTTGCTGTTTCTCAGGTGTCTGCCAAACTTTGCACTCTATGTGGTACATATTTTAGAAACTTACATATACACTAACGTTGGCGGTCACCCGGGGATCCAGCCAAAGCCAGCAAATCCTTCGGCAGTGTCACATGTTCATCCTCTCATGGGTTCTTTGGTTCCACATTTATGTCCCCTTTTGGTAGCAATTTGTTTTATCATCATCCATCAATTACTTTTGTCCCTTGGAACATAGAGTAAGTTTCTTATGTGGCCAATGTCTGGAAGATTTTCTTCTAAAATAGGGTTGTGTATGATTTGATGAATGCTTTGTAAATATTTGAAATTATAGGATTGGGTTATAAACAAATGACTGGTTCTAACTCCCTGGTGAATGTGCATATGCAAATCAGCTATGATTCCCGCCCTGCCCCCACTCCAAGGCTGTGCTTTTATTTCTATCTCTGTTACCTTATAGTCAATATAGATTCTTCTTCCCTTTAAATTATTCATCATCAATGTAAAGGACCAGTTGTCACTAACTTTTATACAAAGCAGCCTCTAACCTTAGTCAAATATAGCTGGATAAGCAACCTGCGGTGGGAACACAGAGGAAGAAGTTGCAAGGGGGATAAAACAGAATTAACATTTACTGGCTACCAACTCTGTTCCAAGTGCTTTATGTAGGTTGTTTCATTTCTTGTTCACAATGTTATCAGATGCAAGCGGTGAAACTCAGAAGTTAAGTCTTTTACCGAGGGCTGTGTGGTCGCAGAGACGAGATTCAAACCAGTAAAATATAGCTTTGGAATATGATCGAGAGGATTTAGCAGGTGAAGGCAGATGGGAGGGACAAGGATGGGCTGAAGATGATAAATTTGAGCCAGTAATGAGCCATTAGTTAAAACACGTGTAAGGACATACTTCCACCTCTCACACACAGACATGCAAGATTAATCTCAGGACCCAGGAACAAAAAAAGCAGTGTTGTGGCTCACAGTGAGGGAAAGTAAGAAAAGATGCTGGTGTAGTCCCGTGGGAATCTCACCATGTGAGCCAACAGCTGCCAGCTGCAGGCCAGTCCTCAGGCACAATGATACACTTGTCCCCTGGCCCTCTAGTGCCCCTGTCTGCCTGAGATCCCCTTTTACAACACGCCATGATCTGGACCCATGGTGGACTCTACTCTTCTAACTCCTGTTCCACCATCATTGTCTTCTTCCTTTGAGACCTGGGGCATTTGGGTCTACCAGGAAGCCTTAATTAGATTGCTTCCTAGACAGTTCTGATTTGCACCCTAAGCTTCTGGGAGTGGGAATCATAAGGTACCCAGGCAGAGCCTGACACTGGGCCTGGCACACAGACCTGAAGAGAGAGAGAGAAAAGGAATTCATTGAATGTTTCATTCCAGGCCGCAGGCTTTGGATCCATCCTCCAAGAGCCCCAGAACCAGGCCTTCAGCAAAGTATGTGCTCAATAAACATTTGATGAAAGAGGGAATGAATGAAGGACAGATGAAGTTCCGTCAGTCTGCACAACCCGAACCGCATCGAATCAAGAGTGTTTCTCCAAGTTCTAAACGTTGCAGAATTTTCTTCCCTCGAGTTGACCCTGAAAGTGACCATGTGCAAGAAGAGCTCCTTACCAGCTCCTGGATTTTTGTGTCCTCTGAAGTGCCTATTCTCATTCACCAGGGGTAGCTGCAGCTGGTTTTGTGCAACTCAGAAGGCTGGCCCTGGCTCTCATTACCTGACCATGGGGATATTAGTTAAAACACAGGTTTTAACTAGACCCCACAGTGTCTAAGTTTTCGATGGGCTTTGTAGCTATTTCGACGTGACAGGTTCTCCCTTCCCTTTACAAAAATAAACCCACTAAGATTGGTTTGGTTTGTATGTGTGGAAAAACACACATTTAGGGAAGAACTCCTTTCGGAAACAGATTGGAAACGGTGACTGAAAGTGATCGCGCAGGCTCCTCCGTGGTCAGGGGCTTTCCCTGAGAATTTGTTCAGCTGCTAAGGGAAGTGGACCCCGGGAGAGCTGCGTGCTGGGGTAAGTGCATTCTGTTCAGAAAAGACAGTCTGCATGTATCTCCTAACTGGATTTTGCTGTGAAAATACGCGGCCCTGGTGGGGACAACACATGCTTCCCTCCTCCTTTCTGAGTCCTGCTTTCGCGTGCGGTGGGCAGCGGCACCCTGTTTCAGCTTGGTGAGTGCATATTCTCCCCGAGTAAGTGACGTCTCTGTGAACAAAATGCAAGATAAGTGCAATTAGAACCAGCTCTTCTTGGACACCCGAACACTAAATTTTCAAATCAACACTAAACCCAAAAGCGGAATAGTAAAAATGAAGCCCCCACCCCACCCCCGGCCCCCCCATGAAATGAAACAGCAAAATCCTCATGGTTGATTCAGTAAACACAGACTTTCCTGAAATGGCCGGAACCCAGCTCCGAGGAATTCCGCTGCCACTGTGAGAGAGGCACCCAAAATGACGAGTGAGGTCTACGGAGCTGGGAGGGTGTCCAGTGAGTTTGACAACACAGTGACCTTGGGCAGACGGTTAATGTCATTTTGTTTTCATTTACCCACTTCACACATCCGTTAAAGATGCGTAATAACCCATCCTCATCTCATGTGGGGGCTGAGGATTAATTAATAAGTGATTCTAAATTACTTGGCTCTCCTCGGAGGAAACGCATTCCATAAGTGCAAAGAATTGTTATTATCGAGCAATTCAGCTAGCTCGGAAGCAATAATGACTTTAGGGAGGCTGTTGAACACATGCTGTGGTCTTTCCAGGCTGGAAACCAAAGGTTAAGGTACTATAGGGCACTTTATTTCCCGCTCCGCCCCGCTATAAAACAAGGCATTCTCCCCCACACAACGTCTACCCCGCTGATGACATTCCATCCTCTCAGTGATTAAAATAGACCTCTTCCTTGATTCAGACTGGAAATTCACAATGGGGCTGAGTGGTATTTCACAGAGATGATTCCCAGAGCAACTGGCCCACAAGATGCCCCAAACCAAAAGGGCTTTGTGGCTACCTAAGTTGTGGGGACCCTACACATTACGCCTTCTTCTTGGAGACTGATCATCTACTTCCTTGTATTAAAGTCCTGCAAGGGGCTTGAAAAACATGTTGAACTTTATTTGCCTTACTCTTTCCCAAAATGTTTGCGAAAGTCGCCATGATTCCACTCTGTGAATGCCGCCCCATTGGAATGTGGGTTTGTGGCTTCTCTCTTCAGGAGCAGAGTCTGTTTCTCTGTCCTCTGAAGTGGAGTGGGCCCTGTGACTCACTTTGTGCAGTAGAATATGGCAAAAATGACATGATAGCAATTCTGAGCCCGGCCCTCAAAAGATTTGGCAGCTTTTGTTTACACCCTTGGAACTCTGCCAGCTTCTATGGGAGCAAGCCTGGGTAATCTTCTGGAAGATGAGAGAAATGTGGCCCAGTATCCCCACTGTCCCGGCCACCAGACGTGCACCCTGAGAAATGGAGCCACCTGACTTATTGGAAGCCGACCACAGACACACAAGAAGGACCAGCTGAGCACAGCCCAAATTGCTGACCTTGAGAACTGTGAGCCAAGTAAACAGTTGTTGCTTTAGGCACTAATTTTTGAGTGGTTTCTTACGCAGCCATAGATTAATGATACAATGGTGGCGGCCATTTTAAAAATTCCCTTTAATAGTCCCAGATCTATACATTGGGATAATAAATTGGTGATGCATATATTATTTACTAATACCATTGGCTGTGGTCAGCTCAATACCATTACTGCGTCTTTGTCCACTCTCTTCTGCATTGCAAGGAAGAATCAGGGACTACTTAAATGCCCCCCAGTTCTTTTTTTTATTATACTTTAAATTTTAGGGTACATGTGCACAATGTGCAGGTTTGTTACATATGTATACATGTGCCATGTTGGTGTGCTGCACCCATTAACTCGTCATTTAATGCTATCCCTCCCCCCTCCCCCCACCCCACAACAGGCCCCGGTGTGTGATGTTCCCCTTCCTGTGTCCATGTGTTCTCATTGTTCAATTCCCACCTATGAGTGAGAACATGTGGTGTTTGTTTTTTTGTCCTTGCGATAGTTTGCTGAGAATGATGGTTTCCAGCTTGGTTTTGGGTTATATTCAGCCAATCAGAGGCACTGGAATGAGGTCTGGAAAGTGGAAGAACAGGTGAAGCTATATCATCCTTCAGGGTTACTGTCAGCAGAAGTGTGGGATCATCATGGGGTTTGCAGCAGCTTCTGGGTGAGCCTGCAGGAATCACTCACCGAACAATACCTGAAAGTGATCGCAAAGGCTCATCTGTAGCCAGTAGCTTTCCCTGAGAATTTGTTCAGGGAAGGAGAGCTGAGTGTTGGTTTAAGTGCATTCTGTTTAGAAAAGCAAATCTGCATTTATCTTCTAATTGGATGTTGCTGTGAAAATACACCTCCCTGGTGGTGACACCAGGGACTGCCTACTGCTTCTCCACGGCTCTGGCACTTCATGGGTTCAGGAACTCAAGCAGTTGCTTCGCTGGCCTCTGCTTCCCCAGGCCTTCCAAAGGGTGTGAAAGCCTCTGGTAGAAAAGACTTCCAATTACATCAGAAATTAGAATGCCATGACTGTTATAATACAGGACCTTCTGGGGTCTAGCGGGCCTCTGTGATTGATGGCCCTGCAGAACCAGTTGGGGGCTCAGCCTTGCTACTTTTTAGCTCAGTGACCTATGGAAATTCCCAGATCTCTTGCATCATTTTTACATATGATTTTCCTCACGTGTGAAATGGGGATGGCAATTCTTTCCCCACAGTGGTTGTCATGAGGAATAGATGAGGTCCATGTCTGCAGTGTTTGTAACACATCCTCACTCTCTAAATAGCAGGCAGTTGTCTATTAGCTCAGGCACGTCTGAATTTTCAGTGAATGGGGTCTAAGTGATTGAGTTGTGCTCTTTCAGGTGGCCCCACTTTGCTCTCTTCACCTTCCTGTCAAATATGACACATTAGCACATCTCAGGAAATATCAGTAACCTTCTGAAAGACTCTCATTTCTGATCTCTGCATCTCATGTATGGCTTGCTCCTGTTGCAAAGATTGTTTTCTAATAAGCAAAAACATTTTACTCAGGTGAATTTGAACACAATCGCTGTGGTATTTCCCAGGGAGCTGTCTTTGAAATCAACAAGCAAATCAAAATGTTTCATTCACCTGCAAAGATCCCAATAGGATTGCATGAGAACTCAAAGGCAAGGAGGGCAGGGTGGGACAGGAACGAGCAAAATAATCATCTGTTTTCCCTTGTACAGTCATCGCTGTTTCCGCGTTGGGAAAGTCCCATGAGGAATCAAGACAGTATTTAAAATGAAAAATCAAAAAATTTTATGTAGTATCTTGATATTCTTCTCAGTTTGCTATTTACTCACTTGGGAGAGGTGTGGGGTGCTGGGCTTCTTGAACTTTCTTTTCTGGCAGGAAACCTCGACTGCAACCCAGAGAAACCAATCTTTTCAGAGATGTTGATGTGTGGTCCGAATCCACAGGCTGAAAGCATGACATTGATTTGATCTTAATGCATATTAATTTTTCCTATACATAATATAGTCATATTTATTTTAATATGGAAACAGTATTTCTGCCTTCATCTTCATACATTACTGATGTTCCGGGAAGATGTGTGTATCAGGTTTATTCCTTGTGTGGTAATACTGTTAAGAGAATAGACTCAGGACTCAGATGGACATGGGTTAGAAATCTGGCTTCATTATTTTATAGCATGTGACCTGGGGAAAATAAATTAATTTATCTGAGCCTGTTTTCTCATCTGAAAAAAAAAACCCAACAAGATAGCAATATTTCTCTGGCATGGGTGTTGTGAAGATGAGAATTACTTGAGATAATGTATGTAAAGTGCCTAACAAAGTAACTGGTAACATGCACATAAGAATTAGCGGCTATTACTTTTATGCTTACTTATTCTTAGAAGGAGGAAAGTGAAGAAATATTTTTAATCTTCTTGATTACTCTAGTCTTAATCATGGCTGAGATCTTAAAATTGGACATTATGAAACTTCTACAATTCCAGGGTCGTTGTTGTGGGGTTGAGCAAGGACCCTGGAAGAGAGAAGAAAATATATATATTTGTAAAGAATGGACTCTATTTGAGCAGTGGCTTTGATTTTCTTCAGTTAATTCTTTCCAGTGATCTGATTCTGAAAGACTGGCTTGCTAATATTTTTATGTGGATCTAAATGTTTACTCAAATAATCATGTGCTTAGAACTGCGGAGGATTTATTGTGCATTGCTATGGCTACCTGTATTCATTTATTTCATCTTATCAGCTTGATTTATTTGTCTGAGCAGATAGATTTTAGACATCCAAAACGCTTTTTCAAGTAAATACCATAGGATAAAATTAGAAGATAATAACCAAGGTTTTTCTTGCTGGCTTTTTTTTTTTTTTTTTTGGCCCCCAAACTATTCATTGTTTCTATGGGAAGAGTGAGATGAAGGGAGCATTAAGATGTCACCAGAATGGGCTATGCGCAGTGGTTCCTGCCTGTAATCTCAACATTTTGGGAGGCTGAGGCTGGCCAATTGCTTGAGCTCCTGAGTTCGAGACCAACCTGGGCAACATGGTGAAGCCCCGTCTCTATAAAAAAAAAAAAAAAAAATTAGCCAGCATGGTAATGCTCGCCTGTAGTCCCAGCTACTTGGGAGGCTGAGGTGAGAGGATGGTTTGAGCCTGGGAGGTAGAGGCTGCAGCAATCTGACATCACGCCACAGGACTCCAGCCAGGGTGATAGAGACAGACTTTGACTCAAAAAAAAAAAGAAAAAAAAAAGATGCTCCCAAATGGTTTTCAAACAGGTTTCTGAATGGAGTTTTAGAGATCATGGTAGACACAATTGTCTTGATAGCCTAGGGTTTTTTGGAAAAGGTGTTTTGAGGCCAGAGTTTGTCATGAGCCTAAGAGTGCTGGGATGTGGTGGTTTTAAGACCATGTCCACACATTCTTTGATACTCCTCCCTTTTAGAAGTGGAGCTCGATTCCCCTTCCTTTGAGTGTGGACTGGACTTCCGACTTTCTTGTAACAAAGAGAACATGGCAGAAGGGACAGGACATCACATCAAAAGCAGAGTATTAAAAGACTGTGGCTTTTGTCTTGGGAGCTGTTTCTCTCTCTGGGGGAAGCCAGCTTCTGTGTCACGAGGCAGCCCTGTGGAGAGAAGATGTGAGTGAGTTTGGAAGCAGACCTTTTGAGACTTGCTGGTAGTCCTGAAAGCAGATGCTCACCCAGTGGAGCCTTGAGATGATGGTGGCAGAGTCAAAAACAGATTGACACACTCTCATGAGAGACAATGAGCCCCAGAGGCCTCCGGCGAAGTCATGCAAAATTCCTCACCCAGAGAAAGCATGAGATCCTAAGTGTTTGTTTTTCTGAGCTGCTATGTTTTGGGGTAAATGTATTATATGTCGATAGATAACTAATACAAGTGCCCAATGCACAATGATGTAAAGCCAGTTTTCTTGTCCAAAGTGGTGAGAAAGACCTGAAGACTTGTTGGTGATAGACGACAGGCAGAGAGAATGTCACTCGGGTTAAGGCAATGATGGTTCTTCATCTTGGGACATAGGCAAATGTCCCTGGAGTCGATGGAAAATCCTGGCAAGTCTGTAGGATTCTGCAAAGTAAAAAAGACTTAAGTCTTGCTTCTCAAGGAAGCAGAAAGCTTCCTAAAGAAAATAGTAGCTACTTCATTGAAATGACAGTAGGTAAGATAACAGCCAGTGTATCTAAGTCACGGGCTGGCAAACTTCTTCTATAAAGAGCCAGATGATATGTATTTTAGGCTGTGGGCCATATAGTCTCGGTTGCAACTCTAGTTGTAGAGTGCGGGCAGCCATGGACAAAATGTAAATGAATGGGCATGACTGTGTTCTAGTAAAACTTTATTTATAAACACAGGGAATGGGCCAGATTTGGCTCCTGGGCAATAGTTTGCCAACCCCTGGTCCAAGGTAGGAAGACTTAAGTCAAACCCCTGAATCTCTAACAGACCCAAGAGAAGCGGGAAGAAGCTGAGACAAACTGCTGGACCTGACCTCTCAGTGAGCGAGCAAAGGATGCAGAGAACCTGGGTGGACTGGAGCGCAGACCAGGATGTGAGCATTTCGCCACATCTGCAGTGGCAGGAGGACTGATGACCAAAGGCTAACTGGAATTGTAGATTTCGACATAAATCAGCATGGATAAACGTGGGAGGTCAAGGATTTCATCTTAGATTTTAATCTCTCCCTTGGGAACAATTTATATAACTTTGGTAATTCTGCATCCAAGTTAAATGCTCTTATATTTGCATTTAAAAGTGGCATTTTACAATACAAAGACGAATAGTGAAATTCATGTAAATAGCGAAAGAGAGAGTATCCTGAATTAACCGAACTCAAATCTCCACATCACTGAGTTTCTTTGAGTTTTCAAAATTTTTTTCCTCTATCATTAAATGGTAAGCGGAGTCTCAAGAACTAAGTATCAGTCATGGAGAAATAAAAAATGTGAATTTTTGCATACCTGAGCATTGTGATTATACAACATTTGTTTTCTATATGAATGTAAAGTTATTAAGAGGTAAAATCAGAAAGATCCAGACTTAGGAGTTGGAGAAGAGCAAAGTTTAGAGCACCTGAGTAGAAACAGCATTTCCTAGAGTTGTTTTTTTTTTTTTTTTTTTTTTGAGATGGAGTCTCACTCTGTTGCCCAGGCTGGAGTGCAGTGGTGTGATCTTGGCTCACTGCAACCTCTGCCTTCCAGGTTTAAGCGATTCTCCTGCCTCAGCCTCCTGAGTAGCTGGGATTACAGGTGCCTGCCAGTATGCCTGGCTAACTTTTGTATTTTTAATAGTAGAGATAGAGTTTTGCCATGGTGGCCAGGCTGGTCTCAAACTCCTGACCTCAGGTGATCTGCCTACCTCGGCCTCCCAAAGTGCTGGGATTACAGACATGAGCCACTGCACCCGGCCCTCCTATAGCTCTTGACTACATAATTTGAAGGCCCAATGCAAATGGAATGCAGGTCCCCCTTTTTAAAAGCAGGGGCAAACATGCTGTTAAAAGTAGTGAAATAGAAAAAGCTGTTTCCTGTTTTCCCTGATCTCTTTTTGAACTTGCCACGGTGTTTCATATTTGCTCTTTAATGTTGTTCTAAGGAAAGAAAAATTAAAATTTGCATTATTTACATGAATTTCACTGTTCATCTTTATATTGTACAATGCCACTTTGAAATGCAAACATAATAGCATTTAACTTGAATGTAGAATCATCAAAATTATATAACTCGTTCATAGTTTGTAAATGCATATATATTTTGTTCTCAACAGTACAGTAGAAATGCTGCACAAAACTAACTCAATTGTTTTTATTTTACTTTTTTTATTTTTTTACTTTTTTTTGAGATAAGGTTTTGCTTGGTTGCCCAGGCTGGAGAGCAGCAGTGGGATCATGGCTCACTGCAGCCTTGACCCTCTGGGCTCAAGTGATCCTCCTGCCTCAGCCTCCTGAATAGCTGTGACCACAGGCACATGCCACCATGCCTGCCTAGTTTTTTGATTTTTTGTAGAGGCGGGGTCTCGCTGTGTTGCCCAGGTTGGTCTTGAAATCCTGGGCTCAAGTGATCTACCCACCTCGGCCTCCCATAGTACTAGGATTACAGGTGTGAGCCACTGTGCCTGGCTATTTCACTGTTTGATATGCACACATTCTACCAACAGTCTCCACATTTTGCTTACTGATGCATAAGGAAGGACAGACAGAAAGGAAAAGGATTTATAGGTCGCATGTCTTTCCCTTTCCTTCTGTGTCATCATTTTCTGCATTAGTGGTTGACTAACAGGGAGGTAATGTGAGGAAGAAAAAATAGTATGTTCTGTATCTGTTTGCTGGGGCTGCCATAACAAAGTATCAACTGTGTGGCTTATACAACCGAAATTTACTGTCTAACAATTCTGGAAGCTGGAAATCGGAGATCAAGGTGATTGCAAGATTTTGCTCCCTCTGAAAGGGATAGGGAATGATCTTCCAGGTCTCCCTCCTAGCTCCTGGCAGTTGGTTGGTTTGTGGCAGCATAACTCTAATCTTCACATAGCATTCTCCCCGTCTGTGTGCTGTGCCCACACTGCCCCTTTTTCTAAGGCCATCAGCCATATTGCAGTAGGGCCTCCTATCCCGGTATGACCTCATCCTGATTTAATTGATCCTAATTACCATCTGCAAAAACCCTATTTCCAAATACGGTTTCATTGAGAGGTGCTCAAGGTTAGGGCTTTAACATATGATTTTTGGGGGAGCAAGGGACACAATTGAACCCACAGCAAGCTCTTTGGTTGTTTGGATGCCATAAAACGCTATTGCTTTCCTTCTGCTCTTGAAGCAAGTTGTGGTTTGAACAGAAAGCATGACTTCTCAGGGCTGTCAGTGTCTCCCGTATTCAGTCATAGACCTGAGTTTTGCTGAAGTCCCACACACCTTGGATGCACTGGAATTCTGTGCTCATTGGGAACCATGAACATTGTATGCAAACGTACTACCAAGGAACAGAGGCAGATACGCATATTTCATGTGTTTCCTGGGCTCTTGTGCATGCTCTACTGTCTCTTTGGACTTCACTTATAAAACCCAAGTTCAGGCCAGGCGCAGTGGCTCACACCTGTAATGCCAGCACTTTGGGAGGCCGAGGCGGGTGGATCCCCTGAGGTCAGGAGTTCAAGACCAGCCTGGCCAACATGGTGAAACCCTGTCTCAACTAAAAACACAAAAATTAGCCAGGCATGGTGGCAGGTGCCTGTGGCAGGAGAATCGCTTGAACCCGGGAGGTGGAAGTTGCAGTGAGCCAAGACTGTACCATTGCACTCCAGCCTGGGCAACAAGAGCGAAACTCTGTCTCAAAACAAAAAACAAAAAACAAACAAACAAAACTCCAAAATCCAAAACCAAAACACAATAAAAAACACCAAGTTCAAAGATAAAATTATGAAGATTGTAAGATAGCAATAATTGAGTATTAAACCAAGTATGGGGATCTTCTGAGCCTGGAGCCCTGTGCAACTTGCCTGGGTGGCTGTATGGCAGATACACCTGACAGCAATAACTCAATCATACCCTGAGAATGACCCTATGGTCTCGGAAGAATGTGTATTCAGAGCTCTCAGCTAAGGAATCCAGGAGTGGCCAACCCAGAAACTCACTCCTTATTTATAAGGCCATCTGAACCCCTAGGGCCCATCCCTTGGAACACATGCTGGACAGGGGATTGAGGCTCTTTGTTCTGGGTTAAATAGAAGTTGCCAGGTGGAGGTTCCTAAGTGAAAATGCCACATAACTTGTATGTTTTTTACAAACAAGAGCAGTTTTCCTGTCCAGCTCGCTGGTCCTGGACTGCACTGTTTATACCCTATATCTCGTTTGCCAGCTCCAGGTCTCTTCCTTGGCCTCTTGGACACGGTGCCATCCCTGCTGGCATCAACAGGGGTCTGGCATGACAGTCGCATATACACAAAGCCAGCTCTGTCAAGAACTGGGGCTCAGATCTCTTACCTGAGCTTCATGTCTTGTTCTATGGTACCCTAGAAATGTGTTGGTGATCAAATCCAACCATTGAAGACCTGGAATTCAGGGAGGGTAAGTGCCCATCCAGAGAGCCCAAGATGACAGGCAGGACTGGAATCCAGGTTTCCAGATCCGTGGCCCACTGCTTACTGTACCGTATCACTTTGCCACCTGCTTAGGCAGCAACCCCATTTGCTAAGAGTTAGCTCAGCATGAATGCCCCACTGCATGGAGAATCTTTGATGCTGCAGGACACTCAGATGTGTGTACGCTGAGGACAGACCTGCTCTGTTTTCTTATATGGAAATTGAAGCAAGTGATGTAATGGCTGCTGTTTCCCTTCTCTCATGAATCTTATGGCTGGGTTTAGGGCAATGAGGCAATGAGCAAAGCTGGGTTATTAGAAGGATGAGTTTTCCAGTTTACTACTCAGAGAAAAGCTTTGAACTTTTGGGGAAGCAAGGCGTCGGGGACCCAGAGGGTGGCTTTATCACATAGCAGGGGCACAATGCTTAGATCTGGCCCAAGGCAAATGGTCCAGTGATGGAATTGGTTTTTAGGATTGCTCTGACATTCCCTGGTGTCCTTCCTGTATCAGTCAACTTATGCTATGTAACAACCACCCCAGAACTTGGTGGCTTAAAACAAGGGCCATCCATTTAGCTCCTGACTCTGCGGGTAATTTGGACTGTGCTCCAGCGTGTCTGGTCCATCTTGTTCAAGCATTTGTGGCTAGAGGCTGGGGCTTGCTGGCTTAGGAAGGATCAGGGTGGTTTTTGACTGCAGTTTCCCCATGAGGTCTTACTCAACTTCCAGCGGCTAGCCTGGCCTTGTTCCCAGGGTGATAGCAGGGTTTCAAGCCCTGCAAAAAGGGAAGCTGTCAGACCTGTTGGGACCTAGGATTGGAACTTGTCCAGTGTCCCTTCTGTCATACTCAATTGCTCAAAGCAGGTCACAAGGACATCTCAGATTCAAGGGGTGGGTAGACTTCACTTCTTTTTGGGAGGGGCTCTGAAGCATTGTGGCCATCTGCAATCTACCAGTGCCTTCCACCCAGGCCTACTAAGAGTACCTGTCCTTGGTCTCACCCATTTTTTTTTGTCTTCTCCCTGTTATTCCAGGGCTCTTTATTCAGGATTTTTTTTTATGGGAGAGATCCAGCTTATTTTAGAAATAATTCGTGCCAGGTAATAGATAATAGAAGTGAGAGTACTAAAGGGTTACTTTAAGACATTCCTGGTAGTAGAAGTTCTGGGCTTTTAAAAACTCTGTGACTTAATTCAAGTCTGTCTTTTTTTTTTTTTTTTTTTTTTTTTTTGAGACTGGGTCTTGATCTGTCACCCAGGCTGGAGTACAATGGCACTATCTTGGCTCACTGCAACCTCTGCTTCCCAGGCTCAAGAGATTCTCCTCCCTCAGCCTCCCGAGTAGCTGGGACAACAGGCATGGGCCACCGTGCCCGGCTAATTTTCTTTTGTAGAGATGGGGTTTTGCCATATTGCCCAGGCTGGTCTTGAACTCCTGAACTCAAATCAATCTGCCCACGTCGGCTTCCCAAAGTGCTGGGATTACCACACCCAGTCATCAAGTCTGTCTTAAATTCTCACTATCATGAAAATTATCTTGGGAGCTTGTTGAAAATATAGATTCCCAGATTCCATCACAGATGTACTAATTCTGTATTTTCTGGAAGAAGCCTGGGCTTCTGTGTATTTTCAAGCTTCCTGGCCATCAGGCCATCAGCTTCCTGTGTTAGTTTGTAAGGATGATGCCTATCCTTATTCAGACCCCTTGAAGTTTACAGGTGCAGTCACCCTTATAATTGCTCATGGACTCACTTCCTGGATGGCTCTTTTGATTAGCTGGGATTTGGAAACACAGGCTTATCTCGAAAGTATAAGAAGCAACCCCACAAGCAGACAGGGGAGGTGTTTGATTCTTGAGGCTCCTGGAGGAACGGACCGTGTTCTATTTATTTCTCTGTTCCCACGGAGCCGGAGAGCTATCATCAGATTTGAGGTGCTTACCATGAATTAATTGGAGCTGTGGTCCTCACAGGGTGGCTCATGTTCCAGTAGCATCTGCTTTCCTGGGAACAAGCTAGAAATGCAAATTATTGGACCTCACCCCAAGCCCTTTGGATTAGACATGAGATGCACATGGGAGGGGGAACTCAGGGCTGGGGAACCTGATAACCATTTGCACACACACAAACGCGAAGGGACCACCCCGCCCTTGCTGGAATGAACATGTTCCAACCAGCTCAACCTGCTTGCCCTTTGGGAGAGTCTACCTGTGGCCGCTGAGATCTTTGAGCAAGGCTGCCCTGCGACCCTTGTCACCTGCGCTAACACACTCCACAATTCTTGCTTCTGAACTCTGGACAGGGCAGCTGGCCCTGCTTATCAGTCAAGGTCTCCGCGCCAATAGCAAAATGATGGTTCCTGCTGGGTGAATAGAGCTTTTAAGTTGGTGTCAAGATTTTTCCTCCTTGCGTGAAAAGCTTAAAAAACTCCTTGCCTTAGGTGGAGTGCTAAGGGCATAGGAATTAAAAGGGAATTGGCGTGAGGGGTCACCATTGCTGCAGAGTTTCAGGCACACACTTAATTATTAAAGTGCATACACACGACATGCACATACACACCCCGCACAGCTGGGGCAACAAGTTCCTTGTTCTTTGAAGCCAAGTTCCACTTCACTGTGGTTTCCTGGAAAGCTCTTAGCAAAGAAGGGCATGGCAGGTCCTTGTCATCCAGACTGGGCACAGGAGTTTTTGTTCCCTGGGCCAGAAGGCCAACGAGAGAGGAGGGATGTGTAAGAAGAGAAAAGAGCTTGGCCTGGACATTCCAGCCCTGGATATGTCACAAATCTTGGAGCGAGTTGCTTCATGTCCCTGACACTCAGCTCCTTCTCTGTGAAATGGAACATATATCCAGATTATACCTTCCCCTAAAACATTTTGGAAGATGCTTATAATTTGAGTACTTGTCAAGTAGAAGTTAGAAATATATAAACAGAAATGAGGAGTTTCTTAGGAGAATTGAACAGAGATTAATGGCAGGGAACTGGATTAGAAAATCTGTACATTAAATTAGATCCTGAGACCTTGGACATCCTGGGAAGGCCTGGAAGAGGTGGACCCGAAAGTTCTTTCTTGCCCAATCAGGTTAAAGAAAAAATGGGAAGAGAGTGAATTGAGGGTGCCGGTGGGGCTTGGGCTAGCCCATGATGACAGAGGGGAAACATGGAGTCACAATAAAACTCCTCCCCTCCAATCCCCATTCTTTCCTGCTATTCATCTGACTCTGAGATTCCCTGAAGTCCCCCTATATGGTGGCTTTGCTTGGCTTTTGTTGGGGGATGCTGCAGTTAAGCATGAGAGAATTCAGACTCCCCTCCTGAATTCTCACTAGTGAGCTCAGGGCATGTTTCACTGCTACGCTGGCGTTGTACTGGTGAATGCAATTCTGCTTATTTATGGGGTAGGTTTTCAGATGGGGCTTCAAATGGGAAACGAATCTTTCAACTTGAAGAAGTACAAAATGACCTACTCTTTGCTTACTGTGCAAATGAAAAGGTGAGGGATGCTCTTAATGGGTTAAACAGTAAAGAAGCCAGAGTGGTGGAGACTTGCTGGAAGAGGCTGAATGGGAACAGGGGTGCCTCCACATTCTAGTCTGTGCCAAAGGCCATGCCTGGACAAGACAACTGTGAAGGGGAAGGACAAGGCGTGGGGTGGGGAGTTTTTCTACCAGATAGCAAGACCGAGGTGAAGCTGGAGTACAGATGAAGAGTGTTGGCGCAGGTAACTAGGTCACTGGCACAGGAGGGAGAGGCCAGACACAATTCCATGCACGCGTGGTGAGCATTACAGAGCGGTGGGAAACTGGGCATTTATCAATAATATGTTTTTATTTCTTGGCAATTGGTTATTAATATGGAGAATAATCAAATGAGATTCCTAACATGTGGCCTAAAGACCTAATTATGGAAAGACTTAAATATGAAACTTTAAATACAGTTATAAGAAAATAGAACATCTTTGTAAACATAATGTTGAAAAGAATTTCATAGTATTCCAAACTTGCAAACCACAGCGAAAATGGAAAAATTTGATTTGCATTAAAACAAAACGTGGTTGTCAAAAGTTACCTTTAAGAAAATAAAAAGATAACTCACAGGAAGAAATAAAGAATTAATATCTAGAATACATAAACAACTTCTTTTATTTATTTATTTATTTATTTTATTTTATTTTATTTTTTTATTATACTTTAAGTTTTAGGGTACATGTGCACATTGTGCAGGTTAGTTACATATGTATACATGTGCCATGCTGGTGCGCTGCACCCACTAACTCGTCATCTAGCATTAGGTATATCTCCCAATGCTACCCCTCCCCCCTCCCCCCACCCCACCACAGTCCCCAGCGTGTGATATTCCCCTTCCTGTGTCCATGTGATCTCATTGTTCAATTCCCACCTATGAGTGAGAATATGCAGTGTTTGGTTTTTTGTTCTTGCGATAGTTTACTGAGAATAATGATTTCCAATTTCATCCATGTCCCTACAAAGGACATGAACTCATCATTTTTCATGGCTGCATAGTATTCCATGGTGTATATGTGCCACATTTTCTTAATCCAGTCTATCATTGTTGGACATTTGGGTTGGTTCCAAGTCTTTGCTATTGTGAATAATGCCGCAATAAACATACATGTGCATGTGTCTTTATAGCAGCATGATTTATAGTCCTTTGAGTATATACCCAGTAATGGGATGGCTGGGTCAAATGGTATTTCTAGTTCTAGATCCCTGAGGAATCGCCACACTGACTTCCACAATGGTTGAACTAGTTTACAGTCCCACCAACAGTGTAAAAGTGTTCCTATTTCTCCACATCCTCTCCAGCACCTGTTGTTTCCTGACTTTTTAATGATTGCCACTCTAACTGGTGTGAGATGGTATCTCATTGTGGTTTTGATTTGCATTTCTCTGATGGCCAGTGATGATGAGCATTTTTTCATGTGTTTTTTGGCTGCATAAATGTCTTCTTTTGAGAAGTGTCTGTTCATGTCCTTCGCCCACTTTTTAATGGGGTTGTTTGTTTTTTTTCTTGTAAATTTGTTTGAGTTCATTGTAGATTCTGGATATTAGCCCTTTGTCAGATGAGTAGGTTGCGAAAATTTTCTCCCATTTTGTAGGTTGCCTGTCCACTCTGACGGTAGTTTCTTTTGCTGTGCAGAAGCTCTTTAGTTTAATTAGATCCCATTTGTCAATTTTGGCTTTTGTTGCCATTGCTTTTGGTGTTTTGGACATGAAGTCCTTGCCCACGCCTATGTCCTGAATGGTAATGCCTAGGTTTTCTTCTAGGGTTTTTATGGTTTTAGGTCTAACGTTTAAGTCTTTAATCCATCTTGAATTGATTTTTGTATAAGGTGTAAGGAAGGGATCCATTTTCAGCTTTCTACATATGGCTAGCCAGTTTTCCCAGTACCATTTATTAAATAGGGAATCCTTTCCCCATTGCTTGTTTTTCTCAGGTTTGTCAAAGATCAGATAGTTGTAGATATGCGGCATTATTTCTGAGGGCTCTGTTCTGTTCCATCGATCTATATCTCTGTTTTGGTACCAGTACCATGCTGTTTTGATTACTGTAGCCTTGAAGTATAGTTTGAAGTCAGGTAGCGTGATGCCTCCAGCTTTGTTCTTTTGGCTTAGGATTGCTTTGGCGATGCAGGCTCTTTTTTGGTTCCATATGAACTTTAAAGTAGTTTTTTCCAATTCTGTGAAGAAAGTCATTGGTAGCTTGATGGGGGTGGCATTGAATCTATAAATTACCTTGGGCAGTATGGCCATTTTCACGATATTGATTCTTCCTACCCATGAGCATGGAATGTTCTTCCATTTGTTTGTGTCCTCTTTTATTTCCTTGAGCAGTGGTTTGTAGTTCTCCTTGAAGAGGTCCTTCACATCCCTTGTAAGTTGGATTCCTAGGTATTTTATTCTCTTTGAAGCAATTGTGAATGGGAGTTCACTCATGATTTGGCTCTCTGTTTGTCTGTTGTTGGTGTATAAGAATGCTTGTGATTTTTGTACATTGATTTTGTATCCTGAGACTTTGCTGAAGTTGCTTATCAGCTTAAGGAGATTTTGGGCTGAGACAATGGGGTTTTCTAGATATACAATCATGTCGTCTGCAAACAGGGACAATTTGACTTCCTCTTTTCCTAATTGAATACCCTTTATTTCCTTCTCCTGCCTCATTGCCCTGGCCAGAACTTCCAACACTATGTTGAATAGGAGTGGTGAGAGAGGGCATCCCTGTCTTGTGCCAGTTTTCAAAGGGAATGCTTCTAGTTTCTGCCCATTCAGTATGATATTGGCTGTGGGTTTGTCATAGATAGCTCTTATTATTTTGAAATACGTCCCATCAATACCTAATTTATTGAGAGTTTTTAGCATGAATGGTTGTTGAATTTTGTCAAAGGCTTTTTCTGCATCTATTGAGATAATCATGTGGTTTTTGTCTTTGGCTCTGTTTATGCGCTGGATTACATTTATTGATTTGCGTATATTGAACCAGCCTTGCATCCCAGGGATGAAGCCCACTTGATCATGGTGGATAAGCTTTTTGATGTGCTGCTGGATTCGTTTTGCCAGTATTTTATTGAGGATTTTTGCATCAATGTTCATCAAGGATATTGGTCTAAAATTCTCTTTTTTGGTTGTGTCTCTGCCCAGCTTTGGTATCAGAATGATGCTGGCCTCATGAAATGAGTTAGGGAGGATTCCCTCTTTTTCTATTGATTGGAATAGTTTCAGAAGGAATGGTACCAGTTCCTCCTTGTACCTCTGGTAGAATTCGGCTGTGAATCCATCTGGTCCTGGACTCTTTTTGGTTGGTAAACTATTGATTATTGCCATAATTTCAGCTCCTGTTATTGGTCTATTCAGAGATCCAACTTCTTCCTGGTTTAGTCTTGGGAGAGTGTATGTGTCGAGGAATTTATCCATTTCTTCTAGATTTTCTAGTTTATTTGCATGGAGGTGTTTGTAGTATTCTCTGATGGTAGTTTGTATTTCTGTGGGATCAGTGGTGATATCCCCTTTATCATTTTTTATTGTGTCTATTTGATTCTTCTGTCTTTTTTTCTTTATTAGTCTTGCTAGCAGTCTATCAATTTTGTTGATCCTTTCAAAAAACCAGCTCCTGGATTCATTAATTTTTTGAAGGGTTTTTTGTGTCTCTATTTCCTTCAGTTCTGCTCTGATTTTAGTTATTTCTTGCCTTCTGCTAGCTTTTGAATGTGTTTGCTCTTGCTTTTCTAGTTCTTTTAATTGTGATGTTAGGGTGTCAATTTTGGATCTTTCCTGCTTTCTCTTGTGGGCATTTAGTGCTATAAATTTCCCTCTACACACTGCTTTGAATGCATCCCAGAGATTCTGGTATGTTATGTCTTTGTTCTCGTCGGTTTCAAAGAACATCTTTATTTCTGCCTTCATTTCGTTATGTATCCAGTAGTCATTCAGGAGCAGGTTGTTCAGTTTCCATGTAGTTGAGAGGTTTTGAGTGAGATTCTTAATCCTGAGTTCTAGTTTGATTGCACTGTGGTCTGAGAGATAGTTTGTTATAATCTCTGTTCTTTTACATTTGCTGAGGAGAGCTTTACTTCCGTGTATGTGGTCAATTTTGGAATAGGTGTGGTGTGGTGCTGAAAAAAATGTGTATTCTGTTGATTTGGGGTGGAGAGTTCTGTAGATGTCTATTAGGTCTGCTTGGTGCAGAGCTGAGTTCAATTCCTGGGTATCCTTGTTGACTTTCTGTCTCGTTGATCTGTCTAATGTTGACAGTGGGGTGTTAAAGTCTCCCATTATTAATGTGTGGGAGTCTAAGTCTCTTTGTAGGTCACTCAGGACTTGCTTTATGAATCTGGGTGCTCCTGTATTGGGTGCATATATATTTAGGATAGTTAGCTCTTCTTGTTGGATTGATCCCTTTACCATTATGTAATGGCCTTCTTTGTCTCTTTTGATCTTTGTTGGTTTAAAGTCTGTTTTATCAGAGACTAGGATTGCAACCCCTGCCTTTTTTTGTTTTCCATTTGCTTGGTAGATCTTCCTCCATCCTTTTATTTTGAGCCTATGTTTGTCTCTGCACGTGAGATGGGTTTCTTGAATACAGCACACTGATGGGTCTTGACTCTTTATCCAATTTGCCAGTCTGTGTCTTTTAATTGGAGCATTTAGTCCATTTACATTTAAAGTTAATATTGTTATGTGTGAATTTGATCCTGTTATTATGGTGTTAGCTGGTGATTTTGCTTGTTAGTTGATGCAGTTTCTTCCTAGTCTCGATGGTCTTTACATTTTGGCATGATTTTGCAGTGCCTGGTACTGGTTGTTCCTTTCCATGTTTAGCGCTTCCTTCAGGAGCTCTTTTAGGGCAGGCCTGGTGGTGACAAAATCTCTCAGCATTTGCTTGTCTGTAAAGTATTTTATTTCTCCTTCACTTATGAAGCTTAGTTTGGCTGAATATGAAATTCTGGGTTGAAAATTCTTTTCTTTAAGAATGTTGAATATTGGCCCCCACTCCCTTCTGGCTTGTAGGGTTTCTGCCGAGAGATCCGCTGTTAGTCTGATGGGCTTCCCTTTGAGGGTAACCCGACCTTTCTCTCTGGCTGCCCTTAACATTTTTTCCTTCATTTCAACTTTGGTGAATCTGACAATTGTGTGTCTTGGAGTTGCTCTTCTCGAGGAGTACCTTTGTGGCGTTCTCTGTATTTCCTGAATCTGAACGTTGGCCTGCCTTGCTAGGTTGGGGAAGTTCTCCTGGATAATATCCTGCAGACTGTTTTCCAACTTGGTTCCATTCTCCCCATCACTTTCAGGTACACCAATCAGACGTAGGTTTGGTCTTTTCACATAGTCCCACATTTCTTGGAGGCTTTGCTCATTTCTTTTTATTCTTTTTTCTCTAAACTTCCCTTCTCGCTTCATTTCATTCATTTCATCTTCCATTGCTGATACCCTTTCTTCCAGTTGATCTCATCGGCTCCTGAGGCTTCTGCATTCTTCACGTAGTTCTCGAGCCTTGGTTTTCAGCTCCATCAGCTCCTTTAAGCACTTCTCTGTATTGGTTATTCTAGTTATACATTCTTCTAAATTTTTTTCAAAGTTTTCAACTTCTTTGCCTTTGGTTTGAATGTCCTCCCATAGCTCAGAGTAATTTGATCGTCTGAAGCCTTCTTCTCTCAGCTCGTCAAAGTCATTCTCCATCCAGCTTTGTTCCGTCACTGGTGAGGAACTGCATTCCTTTGGAGGAGGAGAGGCACTCTGCGTTTTAGAGTTTCCAGTTTTTCTGTTCTGTTTTTTCCCCATCTTTGCGGTTTTATCTACTTTTGGCCTTTGATGATGGTGATGTACAGATGGGTTTTTGGTGTGGATGTCCTTTCTGTTTGTTAGTTTTCCTTCTAACAGACAGGACCCTCAGCTGCAGGTCTGTTGGAATACCCTGCCGTGTGAGGTGTCACTGTGCCCCTGCTGGGGGGTGCCTCCCAGTTAGGCTGCTCGGGGGTCAGGGGTCAGGGACCCACTTGAGGAGGCAGTCTGCCCGTTCTCAGATCTCCAGCTGCATGCTGGGAGAACCACTACTCTCTTCAAAGCTGTCAGACAGGGACATTTAAGTCTGCAGAGGTTACTGCTGTCTTTTTGTTTGTCTGTGCCCTGCCCCCAGAGGTGGAGCCTACAGAGGCAGACAGGCCTCCTTGAGCTGTGGTGGGCTCCACCCAGTTCGAGCTTCCTGGCTGCTTGTTTACCTAAGCAAGCCTGGGCAATGGCGGGCGCCCCTCCCCCAGCCTTGCTGCCGCCTTGCAGTTTGATCTCAGACTGCTGTGCTAGCAGTCAGCGAGACTCCGTGGGCGTAGGGCCCTCTGAGCCAGGTGCGGCATATAATCTCGTGGTGCGCTGTTTTTTAAGCCGGTCCGAAAAGCGCAATATTCGGGTGGGAGTGACCCGATTTTCCAGGTGCGTCCGTCACCCCTTTCTTTGACTCGGAAAGGGAACTCCCTGACCCCTTGCGCTTCCCAAGTGAGGCAATGCCTCGCCCTGCTTCGGCTCGTGCACGGTGCACGCACCCACTGGCCTGCGCCCACTGTCTGGCACTCTCTAGTGAGATGAACCCGGTACCTCAGGTGGAAATGCAGAAATCACCGGTCCTCTGCCTCGCTCACGCTGGGAGCTGTAGACCGGAGCTGTTCCTATTCGGCCATCTTGGCTCCTCCCCCCATAAACAACTTCTTAAATTCAAAAAGTGAAAAACAAACAGTTAGTTAAAATGGGCAAAATGGTTAAGAGATAATTTACTGAAGTGGAAACATCAATTGCTAATAAACACATGTAAAGATGGCTAACCTTACAAGTAATAAGGAAAATGCAAATTAAAGTTAACATTAAGCCAGGCACGGTGGCTCTTGCCTGTAATCCCAGCACTTTGGGAGGCCAAGGGGGGTGGATTATCCGAAGTCAGGAGTTTGAGACCAGCTTGACCAACATGGTGAAACCCCTTCTCTACTAAAAACACAAAAAAATTAGCCTAGCATGGTGACGTGCACCTGTAATCCCAGCTACTCAGAAGGCTGGGGCAGGAGAATCACTTGAACCCAGGAGGTGGAGGTTGCGCTGAGCCAAGATTGCAACACTGCACTCCAGCCTGGGCAACAGAGCGAGACTCCGTCTCAAAAAAAATAATAATAATAAATAAATATATAAATAAAGGAAGCAAGCTAAAATTAGGCATTATTTCACACCATCAGGTTGACAAAAACTCAAACTAAAAAGTATGATGGTACCAAGTTTTGGTTAGGATGTGGGGTAATGGGACCTCTTATCCATTGCTGGTAGAAATGAAAATTGTTACAGCCACTTTGGAGAAAAATTTGGCAACATCCAGTAAAGTTGAAGATATTCATACACTATTACCAAGAATTACACTTCTAGATACATACCTGATATGAATTCATATATATAATGTGCATACATACATATACACACATTCATATAGATATATGTGCATATCCATACATATATCTACATATAGACATATATATATATATATATACACACACACACATATGTCAGGAAACATTAAAAATAATCATAAAAGTATGATTTACAATAGTAAAATATTGGAAACTTCCTAGTGTCCATTCGGGGAGAAATAAATTAAGCTCTATGATGGAATTTTATATCGCGGTGAAAAAGAATGAACTAGAGCTTACATGAATCAATATTGACTAACTCCACAGACATAATGTTGATTAAAGAAAGCAATTTGCAAATAAATATTTGTAGTAATAATATCTACACGAATGTTCAATGTATTCAAAAATTCTGTAAGTTGAGTAGAGATCTTTCTCTCTCTCTCTCAATAGGTAGATAGATGGAAAGAGAGAGAGAGCTATCGAATGAGAGAGAAAGAAGAAAAAAATAAATGCAAATAAATGATAAATCTCTAAAATCAGGACGGGGTTCTTCCTGGGAGGAAAGAAACAGGGGAGGAATCTAGAAGGGTCCTATATGGGGGATTTAACTATGTTGGCTATGAATTAGTTTTGAAGTTGGATGATGAATACTGGGTTATTTATTACGTTATCCTTTAAGCTGTTTTGTATGTCTTAGATATTCCATAATAAATTCAACAGCACTGTTGGTTATCAACCCAAACATGTATCCTTCCTCAGGGACAAATCAGGATTGATTCAATCCAGTCACAGTATTCCATTTCCCTTTGCCACATACTCATTTATCCCTTCTCCCTTTATATATAAGGAGTGGAAAATTATCTATTTTTAGACCTAAGAAGAAGTCAGTTGGAGGAGGAGGGCATGGTTCTGGAAAGCTTTTACTTTCAGATTTAAAAAAATCCTATTGGCTCCACCTCTTCCTTCCTTCTTGGGACACTAACATGAGGATGTGATGTCTGCAGCTGTGGCAGCCATCTTGCAGTCATGAGGTGACAAGCAAGGCAAATGCAAATTCAAAGCAAGAGGGCAGAGAGCCAACACGCTGAGGATGGTAGAAGAAAAGAATAGTCAGAGCCTTGGTATCTGATGACAGCTGAGGCACAGAGTGGACCCTGGAACCAGGTAGAAACCACAGACTCCTAGATTGTTTCTTAAAGAAACTATAATTGTCTTAATGGTTCAGGCAACTTACTGGTGGTATTGCTTTCCATTACTTGTGGTCAATAACTTACCTGATACATAATGCGAATCACTTTCCTTTTAGGCTTATTGTTGGGATTGCCGTCTATGAAAACATTAAGCCCTTTCTCTCCTTCCAATCTCTACTATTTCCTCCACATACAAGGTCTCTTCTCTTCCTGGTGAAATCCTCACTCCTAAAAGCTCTTCCGAAATGTGTTCTCGGTGATGTCTTCTTAGGGTTCTGAAATGAGCAACTCTCTTCCTTGTCTGCAACCCTAGACATTTTCCCTGTGTCTGCATTCTAGCCCTTAGCCTGCACAGCTGCACACTCCACCACTGTCCCGGTGAGGCAGGGCCTGTGACGTTTTCATTTCTGGGTCTCAATGTTGGCACAGTTCAGGGAACATCACAGGGGCCTAACGGAAGCCAGTTAGAATAAATGATTCTCTTGTATCAACATCTTAGAGGGAAAACAATTCAAACACTGAAGTGGGTGGTGAGGAGGAAATGTATAGGGAAAGAGACCAACGGCCTTCCCATAAATAAACACTGCAAAAGGAACGCTTTTTAAAACAGCTCTTAATGCAATATTACATCAATCACATTCACATTTGCTAATGATTTTGTGTGTTCGATAGAATCTCATTTAAGCTCACTAGCCTGTTTAAATCCTGGCTTCCTTTTATTTCCTCATCCTAATCAGATTTAAGTGACAATTGCAAAGGACCTATTTTGTAAGGAGATAAATGAATGCATAGGTGATCCTGGATGCTTACAAAGTGGTTGCTGTCCCCAGGTTTGAACTACGAAAGTGTGGGCAACCTTTACTATTGGACAGAGACCCTTGTGTGCTGGGTAATACAGAGACACAGCAAAGGCACGATTTAATTCAAATGGACTTAAACATGGGCTCTAGTACACTCCTCTGTGTCAGTGCATCATGAGACTAGAACAGGGATTACATGAGACATTTTTTCTGTCTCCTGAAAGCCTTTTATGTATTTTCTTTTTTAAGTAGCTGCTGTGCTTGTGAGTGTGGAAGGGGGTCAGAGATGAATGAATGGCGAAGTGCATAGATATGCAGAATAACCTCCAGACAGCAATCTAGTGAAACGTCTGCATTAACTCTTGATGTAGCCAGGGTGCTGGGGCCATTAATTGGCACAAGTGTTGAAGAGGACAGGCATTAGCTAAGAGAAGATTCCAATTGCAAAAGGAATAGGCTGAGGCATAAAGCCAGTTTGAAGCAGTTCTTCATTCCCAGAGGGTCTTTTGAAAATCCTTATTTACGCAACTGTAGGTGAATGATAATGATATAGCATTCTATTTTATTTTATTTTATTTTTGAGACTGAGTCTCACTCTGTCACCCAGGCTGGAGTGCAGTGGTGTGATCTCAGCTCACTGCAACCTCTGCCTCCCAGTTTCACTTGATCCTCCCACCACAGTCTCCTGAGTAGCTAGGATTACAGAAGTGCACCACCACGTCTGGCTAATTTTTTTGTATTTTTAGTAGAGACGGGGTTTTGCCATGTTGGCCAGGCTGGTCTCGAACTCCTGACCTCAAGTGATCTACCTGCCTTGGCCTCCCTAAGTGCTGGGATTATAGGCGTGAGCCACTGTGCTTGGCCTGATGCAGCATTTTATATAATACCCAGCATTCATGGAGCATGTGTATGCACAGTGCATTACATGGATTATCTCATCTAAATTTACAAAATAACTATCTATTTTTATTTTCATTTGGCAAAAAAGAAAACAGACTCAGTAGGTTGTTTTCTTTGATAGATCCAGGGATCATAGAACCAGTAATGGGAAGACACTCCCATTTTCCTGAGAACTGGTTATAACTATTGCTTTGTGCTTTTGGCAAATGTTGCCTCCCCCTTCAGAGTTCTAGGAGGGAAGGTGCCTGCACAGACAAGGAGTCCAGCTGCCTTCTGGGCATTAAAGCACCCATACCTCAACCTCTGCTGCCCAAAAGTTGACATTCGGGGAGGGCGATTCCAACCAAGGCCCAGGGACAGTGAAGGGCAACAGAGTCCTTGAAAAATTTTACTATCAGGCTGGAGAGTTGGGATCAGTGGGCTGGCCAAGATCAGGAAGGAAGAATCAGGCATGGTCGTCCTGGATCTGAGATGTCATGGTTGCTGGAACCTGGCCTGGAACTTGTATGGGACTTAACAGCATCTTCTGCCTTCCTATTGCAGATGGCAAGAACGTAAGATACATTTTTCCTATGAATCTTTTTGCCTATGTGTTGTCTTCCATGGCCCCATTGGACCTCACAGGTTATCACCTCCATTCTGCACAGCACAGAAGAGGATTCCTGACAGCCAGACTCTTCAGTCTGCCTCAGGGTAGACTCACAACTTCAACCCCATTAGCTCTATCTGTTCCCACTCTCTTGTGAGCACACCCTCTTGTGCCTGCTGACCTCCCATCCTCTGGCCCTACTCCTTGCTCATCCCAATGCATCTGCTTTTTCTCTGTTTCCTTGGGGTCCTGTCTCTTTCCATGTTGAGGACCTTCATTAAGTTTTAGTTCTTTAATTAAAAAGAAGGTGCCAAGAGAATGGGACCCAGAAATTTAGGAGCAAGATATGGGAGCAAGGTGGCTATTTCCAGAGCACCGAACACAACATGGCTGGCACCTTCCTATTCTGTACACATGACACCCAACTATCCTGAGTGTGCAACATGAGACAGAACAGGGCCCGGTGGCGGCTTCTCCTTCTCATCTCTGTGTGTGAAGCCTTCACCCCCAGACAGGCATAATGTAGTAACTTGGCACAAGAGCTCAGCTTGTGTTCTCTTTAGGTTTTGGAGAGGAGCTGATTCTCTGAAGTTCTACCCAAACCACAGCTGCCCTCTGGGAAGTTAATCGGAAGAGAAGTGAGGGAAGTTTGGTTTGGAAGGCAATAGGATCAGTGTGCACCAAATGGATTTGATGACTGGAGTTAACCGTTTAAAATTTTCATTGGCAAAAACGGATATATTAATTTCTATGGACACATTTCCTAGTTCATGTATAGGCCTGGCTCATGCAGCTCATTAGCTAGCTCAACTTGACCCACGATTCCAGTGGCAATGACCGGCTGGAACAGGCTTGGGTTAGGGGTGCTCCTATTTTAATTCAGCAAATGTAGAACAGCTGTCCACCCTGTAGACCTGCCCTAGCTTCTTAGGGAAGGTCATCAAGAGTCAGCATCCTGGGAGGATGGCTTGGGCACTCCCTCAAAGAGCCCCCTCCACTGGCCACTCCTCCCTCTAGTAAGTGTTTGTTAGCCTTTGTCTTCATGCAAAAAAGAACACAGTTGTTTTGTGAAAGAAGCAAAGAGAAAATGACCTTACGGAATATTCTTGTAAACTGACTGTTGTCCTTTCAAAAGAGACTTTGTCATGTGTATACGATGAGCCCTACCCTGTATCAGCAATTAGCAATTGATGAAATGCTCTTCACTTCACACTTACCATATCCCAGGCTGGTTTCAGAGGGAACGACTATGTTATTTCTTGACTACTGCATTCTGGTTTGTTTGGATGAGTTTGTTTGCTTTCTCTTGGTTTTTCTTCTTCCTTTGCTTTAACACTCTTTAATTACCCTCTCTCTTGGTTTTACTCACTGCTGTACGGGGAAAGAGAGGCAATAATAGGACCCACTAGGGACCTGGCAGAGTTAACTTCTAACCAGGGCTTTCTCACTAGCTATTATGAGAGAGGGCAAGTCCCTTCATCCCCTTGGAAATCCACCATCTGTCAAGCGAGGCCCCTGAATTAGATTCCTGTTAGTTTCCCTTTTGGTTTTGACATTTCTGGTTCTGACACTCTTAGTCCCCCTCAGCCAGTTAAGGCATTTTATCTGTGCAAGTTCTTTCAAGAGGACATCTATTTGTTGTAATTTAATGTAGCTTCATTATGATAAGTGCCTCTAAGTAGTTTTCTCTTATTCTGGATTTTTTTTTTTAATGTGGCTTTTCCCTATGGTATAATCATATCTGCAAAAGCCTGAGTCTCTGGCTTGTACAGACAGAAACTAACCTCACTCTTAGTCCTTTGCAAAGGCTTCTGGGGGTTTCATTTCTCAGGGAGGCATCAATTCCAGCATGTCCTCTTGTGGGTCGTGTTTCTTGCACTCTGCACTGGCCAGTTAGCAGTGAGCGTGCCGTGCATGAGGAAATCATCTTCCAGCTTTAGGGCTGGCCTCCAGTTCCTGCTCAGGCTGGTGCAGCTCTGGGTGTAGCTTCCTTGAGATTTCCCAGGAAACATGTCTGCACTGCATGTGCAGCTGTGGTTTGCAGTTATTCAAAGGTAACATGCATAAGTCTGGGTGTATTAGGACTGAGTGCAACCTGACTATCAAAGTCTACTCTCAAGTACTGAATGTCCACCTGTTCACAAGGCTGCTAGCTTGTGAAGGCTGTGGTGCCTCCAGAGACATTAGGCCACCCAGATATTTGCCATATAGGACAAGCTCAGAGTAGCTGGAGAGGGCGTCTACTGCATTACCTGCTCAGTCCCTCTGTTTTAAGAACTGCAAAGGTAGGCTACTCCTTATAGCCATGTTTGCTTCTTTGCCCCCGATTAACAAAAGGTGGACACTTGACCCAAGTTTAACCAATCAGAGATTTTTTCCCTGAGAATTTAGATTGGGATGGAGAAAGAGAGTCACTCTTTCTGGGTAGTTGGATTGCCCCAAAGACAAGGTTTGCTTGGCGGATTCTCCCAGGCAGAAGCAGAAAAAACTTATGTTGCAAGAGAGAAGAAGGAAGCAGCTATGTGTGTGTTTTTTGGGGTGGGGGTTGCTGAGATGAGAGATAGAGCAATAACACTGCTCCCAGTTCCTCTTCCTGGGTCCTCCGAGGTCTGGATCCATTTCTGTTCTCAAGACACTGTCCCATAGCTTGGGTTAGTTTCTCTCACTAGCAAACAAAATAGCTCTTTCCATTAGGGTACTCAATTATTCTACTTAGATACGTATAGGCTGGAGACGTATGCTGAAGAAAATTATTTCTTCCTATACTACTGTGCACTTTACCACTGTTCATTCATTCATGCATGCATCCATCCATCCATCCATCCATCCATCGATTTAACAGAGATATATTGAGCTGTACTATGTGCTGGGAATTGTGCTAATCTCTTTGGAGGGACTGGTGACCAGTGTAGACATAACCTGGCCTCAAGAAGCTTACAGTCTGCGGAAGAGAGATAGTAGATTTGTTGTCTGCAGCTGGCAAGTTAGTTACTACAAACTTGGAGGCTTAAAGCAGCAGAAATGTATTCACTTACAGTTCTGGAAGTCAGAAGTCTGATGTCAAGGTGTCAGCAGGGCCATCCTCCTTCTGAAGTCTCTAGGGGAGAATCCTTTCTTACCTCTTCCAGCTTCTGGTGGCTCCAGACATTCCTTGGCTGTGGCTGCATCACTCCAGTCTCTGCCTCTGACTTCACATGGTGTTTTCCTTTTTCTCTCTGTGTGTCTCCTATAAGGACACTTTATTGAGTTTAGGGCTCACCACAATAATCCAGGATGATCTCATCTTGAGTTCCTTAAGAGAAACATCTGCAAAGACCCTTCTTCCAAATAAAGTCACATTATCAGTTTCCAGAGGTAAGGACATGGACAAATCTTTGTAGGAGCCACCATTCCACCCACTACAGAGGGTGAACACTTGTTAGTGTGGAGAGTGTTACAAAGGGGACTCGTAGGGTGTTCGAAAAATTGGTGGGACAACCTCTTCTTTAGGCATCAGAGGAAGTGGTATCATCTGGAAGCAGAAGGCAGAGTAAGCCCCTGCTAAACTGTAGGCAGGCAGATAGGCTCAAAGAAAGACAGAGGCCCAAGAGAGCAAACAGCTCCCAGGGTAAGAGGCAAGCCCAGCGTGGCTGGAACACAGAGGCTGTGTGGAGTCCGTGGAGGGGCAGAGAGTGGAGCAATACAGAGAGACAGGTGGGTTCTGATCTTGCAGCTCAGCGTGGCTGGAACACAGAGGCTGTGTGGAGGCCGTGGAGGGGCAGAGAGTGGAGCAATACAGAGAGACAGGTGGGTTCTGATCTTCCAGCCCATGTGGCTTTGTGCAGAGCTTTGGATTCCACTGCGGCAGCGATGGGACTTTGTAGTATGGTTTTAAGTGGAGTAAAGTGATCTGCTTTGCATTTTAAAAAGATTTCTTTGGCTCCTGTTTTTTTTTTTCTCCCCAGCCTTCAACTCCTTAATTTTGTAATAATTGCCAACAATATTGTCGGTGGGAAATCCCTGGCGATACAGGGAGGCTTAAGCAAGGAGAGATGCCTAGGTCGGAGCTCATCAAAAGCCTCCCTCTCAGCATCTAATTTGCACCTCCACCTTGCCCCAGATCCCCTTCTGCCTTAATTTTGGTTTTGAAAATTGTAAATCAGTTAGTATTAGCTCAAGGCCTCAGATAGCAAGGACAATTTAATACTATGAAAAAATAAGAGGCATCTTCGCTGTTCTGACATTTATTATTCCCGGACTCGTTATTTTTCCTAATGAACGTTTCTTTCTCTCCTTACGCTTATCGGTTTTAACACATGCCATTTACCACCTCCCACCCGCTGATTAGGGGGCTGGAAACGGGCTTACATCACTGTCAGGGCAGGAGAGGAAAAATTGCAAAGTAAACGGCAAGATGTTGCCGCGATAGCGAGCAGGAAAATCTGCAGTGCTTAGGAGAATGCGGGACCCAAATGAAATTCCGCGTCTCCCCGCGGCGGGTGCCGCAGAGCCACCGGCGAGGGGCGGGCGCCACCACGTGACTGATTATTCAAATGGACCGATGATTAACTCGGTTTATATTGATGCAAATAATCCTGCCGGAGCCTGCAACGGCTAATGCATTTTGGAACTGTGGTTTTTCCATTGATAGCACAAAATATTGTAGAGGAAAGCCATTTTCATAATATTAATAATGGAATTACAGAATCAGGTCACTTAAAGGAACGGCGCTGACTCAGCGACAGCAGCGTGGAGGTTGAATGTGGGGATTAGCACTGAGCAAAACGAATACAAACCTTTTGCAGCGATCTCATTGCATAAAACGCACATCCCCTTCCCTTTTTCTTTTTAAAAGAAAAAGAGCTTCAGAAATGACCGTGGCTAAGTACAATTCTCAGATGAATTTATTACAAAGAAAGAAACTATCCAGTGAGCTTAGGGAGCCCCCAGTAAAATGTTTTTCCTTTTTTCCCCTTTGATTAAATTCCTTTGATTAAATAGTGGGTTTACCTTCCTTGCTGCCCGTGCCCTGGTTTAATGTCCCAGAACAATGTCTGCAAATGCTTTCTAAATGAATGATTCGAATTGCAAATGAAGATCAATGAATGCCCTCTAAAAGAATGAGTATATTTCTCAATGAAGATCTAGGGCTGAGAGGAAATTCTGCGCAAATCTCTCAGGGTCTTCTGCTGTGTGCTGAAGCCGAAGTGAGCTCCTGGGATCCTCGTTGGGTGGGAACGGGGGAAGACAGATGGCAGGGTCCAAGGAGATTGGCTCTTTCTGTAGACACGAAAAAGAGCCTAAAAATATCCAGAGGAGGGCACAAAGATGTATACATGATGATGTTCACTGCAGTGCATTTGTAAAAGTGAACCAACCAGAACATTAAGGCATAATAAGATATAACCAAAAATGGAATATTATGCAGATATTAATAGGAGAAACTGTTCATGATATATTAAGCTAAGAAGCAAATTCCAAACATTTTTAAAGGAAAGCCAGGGCTCCCGTTCTGTGCATTTGTCCAGGCCACATTGGCCCACTATCCTAGGATCTTGATGACTACTCCTAAAATAGTGTGGAAGCCAACCTGATGAAGAGTCAACTGCTTCTCTTTTGCAGTCTAAGGAGGGAACTGGAAAAGACTTACAGGGCAAGAAGGGACTTGGCAGGAATTCAAAGGTGCTTAGTAATGAGTGCATGCCATGCTTTAAAAAATTATGATAAAATACACACAACAGAACATTGATCATTTTAACGATTTTAAAGTGTGCAATTCAGTAGTATTTTACACCTTCACAATGTTGTGCAGTCATCACCACTGTTTAGTTCTAGAACATTTCCATCATCTCCAGAGGAAACCCCATGTTCATGGAGCACCACTCTCCTTTCAGCCCTGGGCAACCTCTAACCACATGGGGCTATTTTCCTTTTTAAAATTCTTGTCCTTCTTCTGTCTCCCATTCCTATTTTCCTTGACTATTAACCTTTCTAGAATTCTTGACTAGCTAGTCACTTGGCATGAAGGCAGTGGGGAGGAGTGAAGGGACCATGGCTAGCTACTCTAGGGCTCCAAATTTAGCATTCTTCCTCCACTTATGGGCAGCGGTATTGCTTAGTGGCTGTGAATAAGGATCCCAGAATCCAACAGCCTTGGTTCAAATCCTGGAACCATATCTTATTTCTAAGTTACCACTCCTCTAAGCCTCAGTTTTCTTGTCTCTAAAATGGGGACAGCAAAAGAACTCACCTCATAAAGTGGTAAGAGCAAATGATTTTTGACTGGTGCTTAGAACATGTTTGACCTAGCGTAAGTGCTTAATCAATGTTTGTTGTTACAGTAATATGAACTTCTTCAAGTAGTTTCTCTGATATCTGGATGATGAGATTGTAATAGCTGGTTGAGACTGAATAAGATAGGATTTGCAAGCTGGTTGTCCCATTGATACCCAACAGGTGTAGGTGTCTTTTGGCAAGAGTTTAAGGCAAAGGCAAGAGAAGGTCTCCTGTCCACTGACTTCGCTGCTTGCACAGGATCAGGGATTATTTCCATTTTTTACCACCCATTCTGCTGTTTAAAATAAGTAGCCTCAGGTATTTGAGTTACCAGAAAGGAGTCCAGATCCAGACCCTGAGAGAGGGTTCTTGGATCTTGCACAAGAAAGAATTTAGGGTGAATCCATACAGTAAAGTGAAAGCAAGTTTATTAAGAGAGTAGATGAATAAAAGAATGGCTGCTCCAAAAGCAGAGCAGCCCCAAGGGCTGCTGGTTACCCATTTTAATGGTTATTTCTTGATGATATGCTAAACTAGGGGTGGATTATTCATGCCTTCTGTTTTTAGACCATATAGGGTAACTCTCTGACGTTGCCATCACATCTGTAAACTGTCGCGTGCTGGTGGGAGTGTAGCAGTGAGGATGACCAGAGGTCACTCTCATCGCCATCTTGGTTTTGGTGGGTTTCAGCCTGCTTCTTTACTGCCACCTGTTTTATTGGCAAGGTTTTTATGACCTGTATCTTGTGCTGACCTCCTGTCTCATCCTGTGACTAAAAATGCCTTAACCGTCTGGGAATGCAGCCCAGCAGGTCTTAGTCTTATTTTACCTAGCCCCTATTCAAGATGGAGTTGCTCTGGTTCACACGCCTCTAACATTTGGACAAGTTTCTCACATGATCTGATTTGTCAGACTATTCCCTGACAACCCAGTAATCTTCCCTGATTGTGTTCTGGTTTATCATTGTCCTTCTTAAATGTGGGGCTCAGAGTTGAACCCAACAAACTTCATCTGGAGCTGCTCCTCGTTCCTTTTGAAAATTTGCATTTTGGTTAATCCAGGCTTCCCCACTTCCTGCCCCATTCAAACTTTATTTGTGATGGAAATCTTTAGATGTTGAGAACAGGGAGTGACAATGCAAGTCACTAAAGGCTCGGCTGAGCAGGACCCTGAGTGCAGTGTCAGAATTCTGGCTGAGGCCTTGACCTAGCCCCTGCCTACCCCTATGTCCCCAGTCCTCACCTCTTACACCCTGCCCCTCTCACCATCCTCTACTCATACTGGTGACTGCTTTTCTCCAAACATGCCACACTCGCTCCATGCTCAGGTCCTCTGCTCTTGTTTGTTCTGCTGTTGAGATGGCTTTTCCCAGTATTCTCATGGTTGACTGCTTTATACTTCATTTAGGCTCTGCCTAATGTCATCCTTTTGGGGACTTCCTCTGATCACAACAATATTATATGTCTCTCTCTAGCCCCATCCTGCTTTATTTTCCTCTAGACTACTTAGTTTTACATGATACTGACCTATGTTTATTTGCTCATTGTTAGAACTGTATCTCTTCCCTACCAGATTACAGACTCCACAGGGCAGGGACCTTGTTAGTCTTCTTGGTCTTGTATTCCTAGTGCCTAGAACAGTGCCTGGCACATAGTGGGTTCTCAATAAATATTTGTTGAATGAATAACTCAATGGTAGTCATTAGTGGTGCTGAGAAAGAAAAATGCAGCTCCTGACAGCCGGAAGCTGGCCTGACACTCAAACAGGGCCACAGTGTTCTCTGTAAACACAGACAATTTCACAGAACATCAACAGCAGACAACACAGCCATGCTGTGACCCTGAGAAATCATGACCAAGACGAGACTGAGAGCAGACAAAGTGAGGACATTGTCCAAACCACAACCAACAACCAATCCTTCCTCATTCCTGGCCAATGCGAGTGATTGCTGTGTCTTTAGGGAACCCTGCTCTTCCTGCCTTCTAGATGAGGACAATCAATCACAGAATTACTCCCACTTCCTGTCACTCTTCTGAGTGGTTCCAGCTCCGATTGACATGGCAAGGTGTTGGGGGAGGGGCAGCGTTCTATACTCCTGTGATTAGATCTGAGTCTTCCAGTGATCCCGTGTCCCTGGGCTGTGAGCTCCACAAGTGCTCCCTCCAGCTGTCTCCAGAGCAAAGCCTGGCTTCCTTGAAACCTTTTCACCATCCCCCAGTACAAACCCCAATCTTAAAACCAGGCCTTTCTATCACTGTCTTGCTGAGATGGGGCATGGTTCTCTGTGGTGTGTTGTCTTTCTCTTTGCAATGACTCGACAGACCCAATCACAAGTGTGTTCCTTGATGGTCTTTGACTACTAATAAAAATTATTATTTTTGTCATTATTGATCTTGGTATCTACCACTGCAGTTCTGGATACCTTGCAAATTTGAGACATTGCCTTTAATATATTCACCTGAGAAAAATCTATCAGAGCCGAAGGCCTCTTAAGCTCACCATTAGAGGTAGTCTGCCGGTCTGCACTGATTACTGCAGCTCGTAGCTGCTTTATCTCATTATAAAGCCAGCAGTAGTCCACAGGTAGAGCCATGTTGCATGAGATCATGGGCCAGATCAGTCTTCTTGGTTGTATCTGTCTCCTTCCATTGTTACCAGTGGTGAATCTGGACTGGTCTGCAGCAACTTGATCCTTGTCTCCTGAGAGGAAAGAATTTGGCCAAGGGGCATAAGGCAGGTTGAGACCAAGGCAGGTTTTAGAGCAGGGGGGAGAGTTTATTAACAAGTTTTAGAACAAGAACCAAAGGAAGTGAAGTACGCTTGGGAGAGGACGACGTGGGTGATGTTGAGAGCTCCCAGTGCCCCATCCTACCCTTGACTTGGGGTTTCATACATTGGCATGGTTTTGGGGTTTGTGTTTCTTCTCCCCTGATTCTTCCCTTGGAGCAGGCTGTCTGCAGGCGTGGTGCCCTGCCAGTGCTTGGGAGGGGCCACACGCAGTGTGTTTACAGAAATTGTGCACGTGCTCACTTGAGGCGTTCTTCCCTTACCAGTTTAGTGTTCCTAGAGGAAGGTCATGTACCAGTTAAACTCTGCCATTTTGCCTCTTAGTGCACATGCCTGGGCACACTTGCCCAGCTCCTGAGATCTTTTTGGGAAGCGGCTGATCACCAGCTTCAGGTGTTTTCTGTCTACTAGGAGACTGCCTTTCCCTGGCAGTGGCAGCAACCAATTATTTTACAGAGACAGTTTAACAACCAACTGGCCATAAGCTCTTGATGGTTGGCTGACATTCCTGGTGGCCAGGGGCTGGCATGGGGGCAGGGCAGGGTGCCTCTTCTGCCCTGCTCATGTCAGCCTAGCCACCTACTCTAACACCATCACTTTTCCCAGGCTGTCACCATGGCCAGATTGCTTAGGGAGAGAGTTGCTTTCTCCCTACCTGTATATGGAGCCCGAGTTGCCCACCTTTCTCTGCTACTGTTCCTCCCTTCTCTGCTCTGGCAACAAATATCTATTGAGCATTGTCTATGGGCCAGGCCTTCTGTGAGGTGCAGTGCTCTTCCTGGACATGGGTGGGGAGAGGAAGTTGTAGTAAATGCCTAATGATTTCTTTTAAAAGGGCACATATGTGAGCAGAGAGTGGCGAATCCTATACCCACCTGGAATGTGTGAGGGGCGTTTGGGAGAGTGGTGAGCAAGCGGGTAATCTGGAGGCACCGAGAGGACAGGCATCTCCTGGAAATATTTCTGTTGGCGTTCTGCACAGAGAGAAAATTTTGCATTAGGGATGCTTTCATCTTTTTAAAACCACCAAAGGCTTTCCTCCTACTTGATTATTGTCATCATGTGGTGTCATTTTGCATTTGTTAAGGCACCTGGTGGGGTGGCTGCACAGAAACTTCCCTCAGCTGTGTTCCTGGCAAAGAGGGGATGCTACTCAACTCCCTGGTAGCTTTGCTAAAGCAAACGTAACCACCTGCAGGATAATGGGAATGTTGTGCTCCTTATTTTTAGCAAGCAGAGCCGAATGCGGTAAGCAAAGGGTGATAAATACCCCTTTACACTAAACGTTTTACAATAATGAAAAAGCAACCTCTGTCTTAAAATTGGCCATTCTTTTTCATGTAATTTTTTCCCCCTTAGAGCCGACAAATTGACTAAGTCAGGGTGGCAGACGTGGCTTTCACCAGCCCTGGATAGATTTAACGGGGGCTCACCCACTGGGGCATGCAGACTTTCTGGCTGCGATCTTCTGTACACATTTATCAGGAGGCAGACGCGGGGAAATGTTGCTGGCAGGAAGCAGCCCCAGAGAAAGTATTCACCTTTGTGAGTAAATAATTCCCAGCCCTGAGAGCGGCTGGGATATAATACAAAGCCCCCACTGGTGGTCTCCTGTGGGCTGGTTCATTTACACTGATTTTACTGCTCATTACGATTAAGGAGGTGCCGGGGCCTCTCTGACCTCAGGGGTGGAGTGCATGAAGGGTGGCCCCACGCCCCCCGAACTTAGTGGTCTCGTTGTGGGGCCACTGTGCTGGGGTCCCAGAAGGGCTGGAGTGGGTGGGCATACACATGTGTGTATTTGCTCAGGTGGGCTTCATTTTTCTGCACAGGGATGAGTATATATTTGCCTGGCTGACATTTAAACTGATTCTTACTCTGATGGGTGAGACCATACGTTCCATTGCAAGGGAAGCTCACCTGGCCAATGCTCCCCCACTTTTTACAATTTAACAGTTTTAGTCTTATAGAAATTCAGCAGAAAATACAGAGATTGCAGCATATTCTCCGTGGCCTCTTCTCTCCAGTTTCCCCTATTATTTTTGTTTTGTTTTTGAGAAGGATCTCACTCTGTCGCATAGGCTGGAGTGCAGTGGCAGGATCACGGCTCACTGCAGCCTCGACCTTCTGTGCTCAAGGTATCCTCCCACCTCAGCCTCCTGAGTAGCTGGGACCACAGGTGTGTGCCACCATGCCTGGCTAATTTTTTGATTTTTTGTAGAGATGGGGTCTCACTATGCTGGCCAGGCTGGTCTTGAACTCCTGGGCTCAAGTGATCCTCCTGCTTTTTTTTTTGTAGATATGGGGTCTCACTGTGTTGCCCAGGCTGGTCTTGAACTCCTGGGGTCAAGCAATCCTCACTTTCAGTCTCCAGAAGTGCTGGGATTAGCGATGTGAGCCACTGCAGCTGGCACTCCTACTGTTAATATCTTGCCTTGGTGTGGGATGTTTGTTACAGTTGATGAACCCATATTAGTACAGTAGTAGTAACTAAAATTATGTTAGAGTTCACTCTGTGTGTTGTACAGTTCCATAGTTCTTATCAAATGTGTGATGTCTTTTATCCAGCATTCCATACAGAAACGAGGGACCTCCTGAGAGCAGGGAGCTGAGCACCTCCGCCAAGCAGCACATTGGTTCTGGCTGGAGCCCTTGTCTGCTGGGTGCCAAGTGTCAGAGAACAATGACGCTTCTCTCTGTGGGGTGGGGAAAGAGCAGAGCTGGCCTCAGACACAAAGAGTGCTGTCACTAACCCCTGAGAGATGTCACTAGGAGAGGTGTGGAATTCCCTATGAAACAAGTAGGGAGGCTTTCTGTCCTCTCATCACCCAGTGAAATGTCCCTGTCCATCAACCTTTGTGTTCCCAGGTGTCTTGGGGTATTCTTGTGTATTCACATGGGGTCTTGGATGATGCCAGGCAGTGCTGTGGCATGGACAGGTGTCACTCTGGCTGGACAGTCAGTGGCTAGGGATCTGGCCTCTCCTGCATTGACAAGAGCCGTAGGGCCTGTGGAGCCAGTGGTCATCGACAGCAGTGAGTTCTCGGTTTCCATGTGGCCACTGGGCCTCCTCTGCAAAGCCTCTGCAGTGGTCATTCTCTGGATCCCCTTACTCAGCTTTTCTTGGGTAGAGACTCCTCTTTTTTCTTGGGTGACAATCTCAAATCAGTTGTCAAAGCGTGTATGTTCTAGGCTGTTGCTCCACCACCGAGGCCTCTTTAGACATTGTCCCTCCATCCTCCAAGAAGTTCTAGTCCCTTTTTCTTTCTCAGTGGAGTCCCCAAGAAGGGACAAAGCTGATGGATTTTGGGGGCAGGGGCAGTTGACAGAGCTGATAGAAACTGAGAGTCTTTTTTAATATTGAGACTTCTTGATGCGTTGCTCAGGCCTTTGGTCAAGACAAAAACACCACAACTTATGCTACTGGTGCTTGCAGGAAAAATAGAAAGGGGATGTCCCATGCTGGGGATACAGAAGAATGTAGAGCATATTGGCTTGAAGAGGCAATTATAGCATGACAGCAAGAGGGGAGCAGCAGAGGTGCTGGCTCAGGGGTCTGAAGTGAGGGCTGCCAAGCAGCAGCAGGGGCTGCTTTTTGTAACATGGAAAGGTTCCCTACAGGCTCTCAGGAATACAATGAGAGAGGAAGCTCATAAAAGTCATAGCAGAGGGGTCAGACTGCATTAGATGAGTATCGAAATGTTATTCCTGAAGTCTGGGGAACGTTGTATGCCTGTTTCACTGATGGCATTTAAACTGAGGTTCAGAGATGTTATGCAAACAATCAAAGACACATACTGCAAAGACCATGTGCTGAGATTCAAACCCAGAACTTTTGGCTTCCTTAGCCTCTGGTTTTCCCATTACATCTTGATGGCTTCTTGCAGCTGGCTGGGATAAACAGAGGCGGTAGAATGATTGTTAGGCTTTAAAAAGAGTTAATGGCTTCCAGCTTCATCCATCCTCCTCAGCAAACTAACACAGGAAGAGAAAACCAAACACTGCATGTTGTTGCTCATAAGTAGGAGTTGAACAATGAGAACGCATGGACACAGGGAGGGGAGCAACACACACTGGGGCCTGTTGCAGGGTGGGGGGTGAGGGGAGGGAGCTTAGAGAACGGGTCAATAGTTGCAGCAAACCACCATGGCACAAGTATACCTATGTAACAAACCTGCACATTCTGCACATGTATCCTGGAACTTAAAATAAATATTAAAAAAATACAAAAAAAGAGATAATTGAATGAGCAATGGTACAGAAGGAGTATGTGATAAAAACAGCCAACATTTGCTTCACCCTTCATCTAATCCTCAAAACAACTCAATAATTTATTATGATGACTAGCATCATCTTCATTTTAATGTGAGAAAGCTGAGTTTCAGATAAGTGAAATAACTTGCCCAAAGTTGAGTGGGTCTAGAACCTTACTCTGAGCTACTCCCAGACCTGGTCAGGGCTGCAATTTATCAGTAAATGTATCTGTTGACTGCGCCCCACTGCACATGGGGGACCCCCCAGCCAGACACCTGCAAACACTCTTAAATTTCATCCTCACCCTCAACTCTGTGAGGGAAGGTATATTTACTCCAGTTTAACAGATAAAGGAATTGAATCTCAGAGAAGTCAAACAACTTATCCCTGGCCACGCAGCTAATAGGTGGCAGAGCTGGGGCTTGACCCCGGATCTTTCTGACATAATACAATCTTGTGCTTTTCCTCCTATATTGATTGTTTCCACACCTGGAAATAACATCTGAACTACCCAGGGAGCATTTATAAAATATAGATTCTTAAGTCTCATCCCCAGAGATGGCTGGGGCAGGCCTGGGAATCAGCATTTTGCAGAAGCCTTTCAGTAACAGGAACTGCTGCCCCACGGCACAGTGCAATGAGTGTGGCGATCCTAAGGCCAGAGGAAGGCTGCAGTTGCCCTGGGCAGGGACCGTGCTCCTGAGAGAGGGTGGGAAGTACAACCCTTCACATTCTTGGCACCTCTGACATTGATTTGCTGTGTGACTGCTGATCAGACAACCATACCATTGGTCGTTTGATTTTCAGACATATAAGATTAGCAGCTAATGCAGGTGTTTCCTTTATTCGATTCTGATATGGAAAGGAGCGACCAAAACAAAAGTCTCATCTGCAGAATGTTTAGATGGCTCTAGACAGTGTGGCCAAGAAGAGGGGCTGGTGTTGGCAGAACCGGCCCACAGACAGGACAGAGGAATTCATGGTGAGTTACCTCCCTGTCTGGTCCTTAACTTCCATGTCTGTAATGTGAGTACGTTGAATGATTAGCACTTCTTAGAGCATGATCTGGAACTTCCTGCACCTAAAACACATACACAGCTTGTTAAAAATGCAGATTGCATTCACTAGAATGTAAGCTCCACAACAGCAAAGGGCTATTTGTTCAATACCATGTCCCTAGGCCCAGAAACAGAGCTTGGCATGTAGTAGGAACTTATTAAATATTTGCTGAACGATTGAATGGAATCTTGGAAACCAGCCCAGGCCTACTGAATTAGCGTCTCTACATGGGGCTAGGAATCTGGGAATCTTTCTGAAGAGCTGCAGGTGATTCTTAAGAGCATTAGCATTTGGGAACCACTGAAACTGGTAGTTGCCACCATTTTTCTGGTTTGACCTTGGACATTCCCTTGGCTTGTTGCCATATCCAACCTACAGCTGAATCCTATGGCAATTTCTCTTAAAAGGGAGAAAAAGAGATAACTGTTGAGAAGCTCTTGTTTTTATATGAAGTCATCAGGAGGGTTTCCCACCAGCCTCTCCTTCTCCATCCTGCAAAGAACAAGGGGAGTGTCCAGGCCTGAGACCTGTGGTGATGGAACAGACGGAGGCCAGGAAATGCTGAGGACAGATGCATGGCTAGGACCTCAGCCTGTGTGGTGCGCCTGTGGCCCCTGGGCTGTTCCCAGCAGCCTCATCAGTATGAGGTGCATTCCCTGGGAGGCACACTGCCCTCCTGAGCATTGCATTCTGGTTGGGGAGGAACCCATACTGCAGCACTACTTTGTGGCCCGTCCCCATTTATCAAATTACCCAGATTATTTGAGTTGACGTGGACAGCTGAATCCTCTTGTGAGCTGCTTACCTGGGAAGCCACTTTAGTGACTTGCCACAGGGGCTCAGGGGATAGGGCATACCGCATGTCCTTCCCTTCTGAATGGCCAGTGGCTTCTGTCCTCCTGCCTGCAGGAGGAGGACCCCAAGGGAACCCAAAGCACATTCCAGAAGAAACTTGGTGAGAGCTTGGTGTCTGGGCAGGGGGCCTCATTTTGGTCCACGTTTCTCAACCAAGGCTGCATATCAGGTTGCTTGAGGGAGCTTTTGAAAGACTAATGCCTGCTCCACCCTAAACCAATTAAATGTGAACCTCTGAAGGTGCGTACTAGAAATGCACATTTTTTATAGTCAAGGTTGCAAACTGTCAATTAGGTGGAGCTGATGTTTAGTTGCCTTTTAAGACCACTTTCTTTGGGTTTTGTTTGCTCTGTCAAATGTTGTTTAAAAATTAACACACTTTTTTAAGAGCAATTTTAGGTTTATAGCAAAAATGAGCAGAAATTAGAGAGAATTCCAATATACCCTCCTCCCTTCTCCCTTTCCTTCCGCAAGCTCCCCTTTCAAATGCTGTTTTCCATACAATCAGCATTGCATGGTTTGCAGTGACCAAGGAATGACTCTCAGATTTCCTCACATCACAAGATGCTCCCTAAAACTGCCTAAGCACAAACCTAGTGTTGGCATAGGTTTCACAATACCTCTTTGGAAAAATGGCGGAATCCCTGGCCTTTTTGTGGCCACAGTGTGTCTGTGGTGGGCTGGCTACTCCCCTCTGACTGGCTGCAAGTCAGCTTGCAAGATTTCTCTGCTGTGCGCTCTGTAGGTAAAACCCTCCTTTCTCAGGGATGAGTCTACAAGGCAACCGGCGTGAGGGTGCATATAGAAAAGGGCTCAGGAATGGATTGTAAAATAATCACGTTCGAATCGCCTTAAAACAAAGCCATCCCTCCACCTCCAATTTGTCCCCATTTTTTTCTAAAATGTTCTTCTGCTTTTTGAAAATCTTATTTTTGGCTTAATTCTCAACTTTTTAAATGTAAAAACATTTCACTAGGGGGCACTTCAAGACTGAGTAAGAAAAAACCCCCAGCAACTTGGTGACAATACATTCCACTTCACCATTAACTGGGTAAACAGTCCTGTACAAAACAAAATATAAAAAATACATAAGGAATTAAAAATGTATTTAGCTGAAACTGTGACTCGATTTCTGCGAGTCATTTTCTACACCTGTTTTCTTCAAACTGGACAGAAGTGGCATTCTTGGTCTTGCTGACAATTTTGACCTGAGTATTAGAATTGTAATAATAATGATAATAATAATAATAGTCTCTTCCTCTGGTTAAAACAGACACTTTGCTTACTGCAGTCATTTGATGCAACTGAGCGTTTAAGACTTTTATTCAGAAATTTATGTTTGAGAAATGTTTTCTTTCTCAACATTAATGGGGAGTGTGAATGTAAGAGCTAGCAGCTTTTTGGTGCGGGATTAGTGGAGGAATTTTCTGCAGCAGAGAGAAGGTCTGCAGGGGGAATCTGGGACCTGAGTTCTAGCCCTGGCTCATTTCTATCCAGCAGTGTGACCTTGGACAAGTTGCTGTCCCTCTTCGGACCTCAATATCCTTATTTGTAAAATGATAGTATCGTACTGGAAGACACTTAAGATCTCTTTCCAGTCTGACCTGCTGTCCCCCAAGCAGTCTCCCTGTGGTGAGAGCGCTCACACTGCATTTTTCCTGAACTGTTGCATGAAAAGCTAAACTCAAGGCAATTCTGGGAGAAAGGCAGAGAGACAGAAGGATACGGGCATGAGTCTTGGTTCTCCCCTTTGGGAGGTGTTATGGGTCTAATCGTGTCCCCCAAAAGATGTTGAAGTCTCAGGACCGGTGAATGTAGCCTTATTTGGTGATAGGGGTGGTGCAGATGATCAAGTTAAGACGACATCATGAGGATGGGCCCTAAGCCAATATGACGGTGTTCTTTATAAAAGGGAAATTTATATGCAGAGATAGACACAGACAATGGGAACATCATGTGAAGGTGAAGGCAGGGACTGGGGTGATGTATCGACAAGCGAAGGAATGCCAGCAGCCACCAGAGGCGACGGGAGAGCGTGGAACAGATTCTCCCTCACAGCACTCAGAAGGAGGCAACCCTGCCAACATCTTGATCTTGGACTTGCAGCTTCCAGACTGTCAAATAATAAATTTCTGTGATTTTCAGCACCTGGTGTGTGGTACTTTGTTACAACAGCCCTAGAAAACGAATGCAGGAGAGTATTTAACCTTAGCCTTCACCCTATAAGGATGTGAGCAATGATTAAATGAGAAGATGTACAGGAAAGCCCCTTGCATGCAAGGCTTGCCATCTGGTAGGTGTTTATCAAATGTTAATGATTGTAAGGAAGGAACAAAGGAGAGAGGAAGGAGAGGATGGAGGAATGAGGAAGGAAACTCTTGATACGAAGCACCTGTTAGGTGCTGGAAACTTTATATATTGATCTTTAATTCTCAGTAACAACCATATTGTTGCTGAGAGACTGGGGCCCCTCAGAGGGACAGCCATTTGCAGAAGGTCATGGAGCTAGGAAGTGACATTAAACTGGGCCCATCTGACTCCAAAACCTGTGCTGTTTCCACACTGCTATGCTTGTTGTTAGGGCCAAGTATTATTTATCCTGCCATGATAAACCACATTCATTCATTCATTCATTCACTCATTCATTCACTTCCTCATCATTCAAGAGAGAAAAGGGGAAGGAGGCAGGTCCATTTCAATGAGCTGATGGCAGACTTGATTCCAAGAAGTCATGGTTTGACTTTCTAGAACAGCTGACATTAATTGTCCACAAGATTGTTTGCTGCTGGATGCCAGCGTGAGGCTGTCTAGGGAAAGCAGATCCCAGAAGCCAAACCAGGAGGACTTGGAGCAAAAAACGGGGCAAATCACGTTACTTTAGTTTCTTCCCTAAATAAATATGTCCACACTCTGTTTTAAAGGGCATTCACGGACGACTCAAAACCAGGTTTATTCCAGGCAGAATCCCTTCAGACCCCAAATCTGTCTTGGTTATTGGCCCATTCCTCATTTGGTATTTCCCCTCTTTGGGCCAGCCCCATCCTCATCCTTGTCATTCTTGCCTCTCCACATCCCCCTACTCCCATCCCATCCTGTCCCATCCTGTCCATCCCATCCCATCCCACCCCAGTTAAGTGAGACATTCACCTGGAGTTTGTCTCAGTTTCTGAAGTTATAGAGGTGAGCTAAAGAGGGAGCCCTGGAAGGCCCCAGGTTGTTGCAATACCATGGGATGTGCAAGTAGGCACTGGATGGGGTTATCCAGGAGGGCTTCCTAGAGGAGGGGATGACAAGCAATGGTATTGGAGAATGCAACAGGACAACCTTCCAGGCTCAGGGAACAGCATGCGCAAAGGCCTGATGCCCAAAATAGCAAGGCAAGTGCAGACAACTGGAAACAATTAGGAATTGGGCATAAAACGTAAGAGAAGGGAGTGAGAGAAGGCTGGAGGGTTAGCAAATTCCGGGTCACTAAGTGACCCTGGCATTTCAGAGCCGCCCTCCAAGGCACCCATTCTGCTCACCATTTCCAGAAGCCCCTCTCTGCTGTGCTTCCTGCAGCCCTCGACTCTCCTCCGCTTAACTTTCTGGGATCTAAAGGGGGCTCCTCTCTTCTCTCTGCTTTTACCAAATCATGCATTCCTTCACAGTGCAGTCATTCAGCTCATTGCTATGGAGTGTCTAGTCTCTACTAGGTCCTGCTCCAGCTCCTGGGTCCCAGTGGGGAAGAGTCATGGCACCAGTGGAGAGTGGTTTATGTGCTTCTTAGCTAAGGCATTTTAGAAATAAACAACAATTTAGTGGCAGGCTGGAGGGGAACTATTTGGGGATAGTCAGCCCCCCTCCTTGGAGCAGACTATGATGCGACGTGGCTGTCTGGGCACACAGCTGTTTGAGCCTCCTCCCTGTTCCCAACCTCTCTGGGCGTTCAACTTCTCTCATCTCAGTTCTTCTGTTGCCTTGGTAAGGCTCTTGGAGACACCTTTCTCGTGGCTGACACTGCCTGGAAACTTCAGGAGGACAGATACGTCCTGAGCACATCCTGCCTGGTTGGGCTTTATTGGTAACCTCAGTGTGGCCCTAATGGGAGGCCTCTTTGGGGCCAGTTCTGAATATCTTCGTGTTCACCGTGATCTCATTGGTGCCACTGAGCTCAGGCATTTCTCTTTTTTTATTCCTGAGCTTCCCCACATGTATCCCTGGGTGCATTCGTGTTGTAGGACTTCCATAACACACTGCTGCAAGCTGGGTGGCTTATAGCGACAGACATGTATTGTCTTACAGTTTTACAGGACTAAAGTCTGAAATCTAGATGTTGGCAGAGCCATCATTTCTCTGAAGTCTCTAGGGGAGAATCCTTCCTTGGCTCTTCTAGCTTCTTGTGGTTGCAGGCAGTCCTTGGCATTTGTTGGTTGTGGCAGCGTCCCTCCAGTCTCTGCTGCCGTCTTCACACGGTCTTTCCCCCTGTATGTCTGTGTGTCTCCCATTCCCTCTCCTTGCAAGGATACCAGTCATTGGATTTAAGGCCCATTCTAAGCCAGGAGGGGTTTATCTTAATTTGATTACATCTCTAAAGACCCTGTTTCCAAATAAGGTCACATTCACAAGTACCAGGGATTCAGACTTCAGCACATATTTTGGGGAATACGATTGACTCCACAATACTGGATGTGAGAAGCAAAGCTTTTCCTTTGGAGCATGTTAAGCCTGACTTCCACTTATCATATAAGAAGCAGGGCCCCAAGTTTCTCCCAGCACTTCTAAAGCTAGAAGGCTTGTTCTGTCAGGGAGAGCTTGGTCCATGACATCAGGTAGACAGTCAGTGGGTGCTGAAGTCTAGACAGAAATGAAAATGGATCTGCTGAATTCCAGAATGTGGAGAAAGACACAGAGAGAAAGAGAGAGAGACAGAGAGACAGAGAGAGAGAGACAGAGAGACAGAGAGAGACAGACAGAGATACAGAGAGAGAGAGAGAGACAGAGAGAGACAGAGAGAGAGAGAGACTGTCTCTAGCTATTGTTCCCACTCCTTTTTTGCAGATCCTTGCTACAGTTTGCTGGTGAGTGGGGTGGGGCACCTGATGCTGGGTTTAACGATCTATTCCCATTCCTGAGTGTTTAGCTCTGTTCTGTGTAACAGTCCGTTCTTATTTTACCATTTAGTTCCCAGTGGCTCCTCAAGGTGTAAGGTAACACGGTAAGGCTTGGTCAGCAGGTCTAGGTGTGGCAGCCTGTTTCCCAACTGCAGATCAGCTTAGGGGAAGCAGAAATTTCTCTGCACTGAGTCAGGACCAAAAGCAGAACATCACAGCTACCAAGTGCAGCCGATCAGACGTGCCTAGGAAAGCGATGATGCCCATCGATTGGTGTGAACTTTCTAGAAACGTCTAGGAAACAGGTGGGGTTGCGTCTGTGGTCTGAAGCGAAATATTTGTGCTCCTCTGAGTCAGGTGTTTATCAGATCTTTTCCATAAAACAAACCTTGTTTGTTTTGAAGCAGTTATCTTTTGAGTGCCTTTCTCTAAACAGATTTCTAGTCATTACGTATTCAGTTGAGAACGGCAATTTCTCTTACCATTTCTCCTGAGCACGGCAGGCCAGTCGTATGTGGAGGGGGGGCATGCAAGTCTGACTCGCCCTTACATCAGTAGCAGCGGCTGATGGGTGAGGAAACGAGCACGTTTTCTCTTAGGGAAACAGTGTTTTAATGTGGCTCCAGTAGGCACTGTCCAGAACTCTCTTTTCCCACCCAGGCTGGCGTGTTCTCCACCAGAGCACTTAGGAGACGTGCTGAGATGTTAAGTACTGAGGGGTGAGGGATGTTTTTGTTGCTGTGCTCGGCAAAGCCGACTGCTTTTTACAAACACATTAAACATTAATATCTACAGAATGGGCAGTTTTATAGTGCACAAGCAAGAGTTTCTTGGACACGGATTTATTTATTTTTTATTAATGTAACCTTAGTATGCCGCATATTTCTTGCAGAGCTCCAGATCTCAAAGGCCTTCGCTGGACCCAGTGAATACTTTATGATTCCATTTAAGACCAAGGGAACCAATAAACTCACCCCAATTTACATTTCAGTGGAGTCTCATAAGTAATGCATGCCTGCATACTGCTGGCCCTCAACTGTCTCCCGGACTGCCTTTAATACCTCATCACACGCGTGACCTTTTCAGGAGGCTGAGAACAGAGGAGTGTTCTCTTCAAACTGTTTTCTTTTTCTTGCCTCAACACGTGAAACCTCTGTCTGTGGCCATGAATAGATAATCCTAAGGAGCTGGTGGCTGGGAGGTCTTGTGCCCTCTTCCCTCTCTCGCCCTTCCTGAGCCCCTCAGGCCCATGGTTTCAGACACCACCTCTAAGCCCTGCCTTTGAGAAGCGTACCTGCAGCCCTGAGCCAGCAGGCCAGCTCTAGGCCTGAATTCCCACTGCTTTTATTCTAGAGGGTTGTACAGTTTTTGTTTCAAAACTAATTTTTCTCTAACAGAATCCCTAAGCCACTCCCCAGGATGATTTCTTGGTTTCTGTCTCATGGCGACTGTGCTCCATCAGTGGGCATGGGAAGCTCAGGGCTGTCCTGCACAGTGCCTCTTCGACTCATCCTTCCCCACTCCTGGACCTGGGAGCTGCTCACACTTGGCAATCCTTCCAGCATACCTCCTCCCCGGCAGCCAGTGCTGTCTTTAAATGGAGTGAAGTGGATCATACTACTCCCCTGCCCAGAATCTTCCAGTGGTTCCCAATCCTCTAACTTCTGCCCAGGTTTCCAGTCTATTGGCCTGACCTGTGAATTTCAGACTTGCCAGCTCCCACAATTGTATGTGCCAACTCCTTAAAATATAACTCTTTATATCTACATATACATGCACACACACATGCATACACATATGCCTGCATATACATATACATATGTATATAGGCTTATATATGTACTGTACATGTGTATCTACATAGATCTGTGCATATATGTATGTGTGTATCATATCTATCAATCTATCAGTCTATCTGTCTATCTATTTATCTATCTAATTTCCTATTGGTTCTGTTTTTCTGGAGAATCCTGACTGATATGGAATTTGGAGTCCCCTTTACTAACCATCTGGTATACATACCATTCTCTCACATTGTTGTCTGTGACATCTACAAATTATTTAGCACGCCTCCTATAAAAAGGTGGAATCCAATTTTCCACTTCTTGAATATGGACTGGCTTTAGTGACTCACCTCTAGGAAGAGAATGCAATGGAAGTGGTGCTGGAGGACCCCTGAGTCTAGATTAGAAGATGCAAGGTAGTGCCAGCCTGCCACTCATGCCCCCTTTCTGTCCCTGTCTCTCATCTATCTTAGGATGTTTGCGCTTGGGATTTACCCACCATATTGTGAGGAAGCCTATACTACATGGAGAGGCCATGTGATGTTCCAGCCAACAGTACCGTGTCAGATGCCAGCTGCCAGCCAGCATCAACTCCAGACAGGTGAGAGAAAAAGGCTCCAGATGGTTCCAGCCTCTAACCTCAGAGCTGCTCCAGAGATGCTGAGTAGAGCTGAGATGGGCTGTCCCCACTCAGCCCCGCCCAACCTGCAGAATCGAGACAAAAAACAAAGGATGATGATTATTAAAACCCACTCTTTGGTGGTTGATATTTATATAATAATAGATAGCAGGAACATTCTCTCTCCTTTTATACTGCTAGCTTTTTAAAAAATTTTCATATCACTATTTGGAATTATGCATCAGCTTGTTTATTATCTGTCTTTTCCATTAAATATAAGTTCCACGAGGGAAGAAATTTTTTCTATCCTATCTATTATTTTACCCTAGTGCCTATAAGAGCACTTGGCACATCGAAGGCACCCAGTAAATATTTCTCAATGAGTAATCCTCCTGAATCTACTGAATTATACTTTCTTATTTTCTTTCTTCCCTGTCTTCCTTTCTTCCTGCTCTACCTCAATCTTTCTTTTTCTTTCAACTTCCTTTAGTTCTTTCTTTCTTATTATTTCCCTTGCTTGTTCCTTCAAAAAATTTTAATACTTTTTAATCACTTAAGTTTCACATAAATACATTTTTATTGTAAATAATTAAAATACTTCAGGTAAAATCAAATCCTTCTTGGCCAGGTGTGGTGGCTCACGCCTGTGATCCCAGCACTTTGGGAGGCCGAGGCAGGCAGATCACCTGAGGTCTGGAATTTGAGACTAGGCTGGCTAACATGGTGAAACCCTGTTTCTACTAAAAATACAAAAAATTAGCTGGGCGTGGTGGTGCACACCTGTAATCCCAGGTACTCAGGAGGCTGAGGCAAGAGAATTGCTTGAACTGGGGAGTCAGAGGTTGCAGTGAGCCAAGATCATGCCTTGCACTCCAGCTTGGGCAACAAGAGTGAAACTCCGTCTCAAAAAAAAAAAAATCAAATCCTTCTTTACTCACAATGCACCCCCAAGCCTGGCCCTCCTTTCCCTTCACCTCATTTCTTCCTCACTTTGCCTCCGTGGTCCAGATTGATCTGGAAGAGATGAGTCCCTTCTGACCTCACTACCACTACTGCAGCCTCCTAGCCTACCCCTCTGCTGCTGGAGCCTCCTTCTTCTGACACTTCCTTCATCTTGCCAGATTAATTGTCCCCAACCTCTACTTTGAGGGAAACATGCCCCTAAAACTCTCCAAGGCTCTCTATTACCTAGAGATCAGGGTGCAAACTCTATAACCTGGAGTTCAGACTTCCATGATCTATCTGAGCTGTTTCTAGGCTTTCGGTTCTTCTCCTCTTCCTTTGTGAATCATCGGTTCTAGCTACAAGGGTTTCCCCCCACCTCAGGGCGGCTCTGGTTTTCCCATGGCTACCTTTTTGCAGAGACTTGAAGAGTAGAGTCTGCATGTTTTCAACACTTTGCCAATTTAATCCACCTTTTCAGATGCTATCTGTTTGCCAAGTCCTCTGGGGATGGTCCCTGCCTCTTCTTGGAAGAGACCTCTCTTCTGTGGGCTTTAACTGCTCACTGCCTTCTCTCTGCTGTTGTCTTTTGTGGGTGCACCTTGGCTTTCTGTGTGTCCATTATCCTTCGTGGGAATTCAGGCTCGTTTGAGAATAAGGACCGTACTGTGTCTGTTTCATGTGCTTAGAGAGCAAGGACAATGAAGAGGCTTCTAGAAGGTTCTGCCATTGCTTCTATGGTTTCACACAGCTGCCCTAGAGAAAGCACATATTTGATGCCATCAGGGCTCATGTATTTGTTTCCTGGAAGTTGTCACAGTGGCCAGGTGGATCATAAGAGTTAGCAGATCAGTAGGTTTCTTCAATAAATTCAACAAATATTTATGGAGCACCTGCTATGTGGCAGGCACTGTACTTTGGAGAGGGCTAGGGATGGCATAGCGAACAAAGCAGACACCTAGCTCTTGTCCTCCTTGCATTTATAGTCTAGTAGGAGAGACAGGTAGATAACTTCCAAGTAAACCATCATAACTCAACATGGTCAAGGTGATGTTTGAGATGAGCCAGGAGACTCTGATCACATAAAAGGAACATGGACTTAGCTTTGGGGAGATAGGGAAAGCTTCCCTAGAAAAAGGATCCTTAAAGATGAGATCTGGGCAGGACGCAGTGGCTTGTGCCTCTAATCCCAGCACTTTGGGAGGCCGTGGTGAGTGGTTCACTTAAGATCAGGAGTTCGAGACCAGCCTGGCCAACACGGTGAAACCCCGTCTCTACTAGAAATACAAAAATTAGTCAGGCATGGTTGCACACACATGTAATCCCAGCTATTCAGGAAGTTGAGGCAAGAGAATTGCTTGAACCCAGAGTGCAGAGGTTGCAGTGAGCGGAGATCATGCTTCCAGCCTGGATGACAGAGCAAGACTCTGTCTCACAAAAAAAAAAAAAAAAAAGAAGAAGTTGAATCTCTAAATAGACCAATAACAGGCTCTGAAATTGAGGCAATAATTAATAGTCTACCAACCAAAAAAAGTCCAGGACCAGATGGATTCACAGCTGAATTCTACCAGACGTACAAAGAGGAGCTGATACCATTCCTTCTGAAATTATTCCAATAAATAGAAAAAGAGGGAGTCCTCCCTAACTCATTTTATGAGGCCAGCATCATCCTGATACCAAAGCCTGGCAGAGACACAACAAAAAAGAGAATTTTATACCAATATCCCTGATGAACATCGATGGAAAAATCCTCAATAAAATACTTGCAAACCGAATCCAGCAGCACATCAAAAACTTATCCACCATGACCAAGTTGGCTTCATCCCTGGGATGCAAGGCTGGTTCAACATATGCAAATCAATAAACGTAATCCATTCACATAAACAGAACCAAGACAAAAACCACATGACTATCTCAATAGATGCAGAAAAGGCCTTTGACAAAATTCAACAGCTCTTTATGCTAAAAACTCTAAATAAACTAGGTATTGATGGAATGTATCTCAAAATAATAAGAGCTATTTATGACAAACCCACAGCCAATATCATACTGAATGGGCAAAAACTGGAAGCATTCCCTTTGAAAAGTGGCATAATGTAGGGATGCCCTCTCTCACCACCCCTATTCAACATAGTGTTGGAAGGGCTGGCCAGGGCAATCAGGCAAGAGAAAGAAATAAAGGGTATTCAATTAGGAAAAGAGGAAGTCAAATTGTCCCTGTTTGCAGATGACATGATTGTATGTTTAGAAAACCCCATCTTGTCAGCCCAAAATCTCCTTAAGTTGATAAGCAACTTCAGCAAAGTTTCAGGATACAAATCAATGTGCAAAAATCACAAGCATTCCTGTACACCATTAACAGACAAACAGAGAGCCAAATCATGAGTGAACTCCCATTCACAATTGATTCAAAGATAATAAGATACCTAGGAATCCAACTTACAAGGGATGTGAAGGACCTCTTCAAGGAGAACTACAAACCACTGCTCAAGGAAATAAAAGAGGACACAAACAATGGAAGAACATTCCACGCTCATGGATAGGAAGAATCAATATCGTGAAAATGGCCATACTGCCCAAGGTAATTTATAGATTCAATGCCATCCCCATCAAGCTACCAATGACTTTCTTCACAGAATTGGAAAAAAACTACTTTAAAGTTCATATGGAACTAAAAAGAGCCCTCATTGCCAAGGCAATCCTAAGCAAAAAGAACAAAGCTGGAGGCATCACACTGCCTGACTTCAAACTATATTAGAAGGCTACAGTAACCAAAACAGCATGGTACTGGTACCAAAACAGAGATATAGACTAATGGAACAGAACAGAGGCCTCAGAAATAACACCACACATCTACAACCATTTGATCTTTGACAAACCTGACAAAAACAAGAAATGGGAAAAGGATTCCCTATTTAAGAAATGGTGCTGGGAAAACTGGCTAGCCATATGTGGAAAGCTGAAACTGGATCCCTTCCTTACACCTTATACAAAAATTAATTCAAGATGGATTAAAGACTTAAATGTTAGACCTAAAACCATAAAAACCCTAGAAGAAAACCTAGGCAATACCATTCAGGACATAGGCATGGGCAAGGAATTCATGTCTAAAACCAAAAAGCAATGGCAACAAAAGCCGAAATTGACAAATGGGATCTAATTAAACTAAAGAGGTTCTACACAGCAAAAGAAACTACCATCAGAGTGAGCAGGCAACCTACAGAATGGGAGGAAATTTTTGCAATCTACCCATCTGACAAAGGGCTAATATCCAGAATCTACAAAGAACTTATACAAATTTACAAGATAAAAGCAAACAACCCCATCAAAAGTGTGGAAAAGATATGAACAGACACTTCTCAAAAGAAGACATTTATGCAGCCAACAGACACATGAAAAAATGCTCATCATCACTGGCCATCAGAGAAATGCAAATCAAAACTACACCATCTCACACTAGTTAGAATGGCAGTCATTAAAAAGCCAGGAAACAGCAGATGCTGGAGAGGATGCGGAGAAATAGGAATGCTTTTACACTGTTGGTGGGAGTGTAAACTAGTTCAACCATTGTGGAAGACAGTGTGGAGATTCCTCAAAGATCTAGAACTAGAAATACCATTTGACCCAGTGATCCCATTACTGGGTATATACCCAAAGGATTATAAATCATGCTACTATAAAGACACATGCACACATATATTTATTGCGGCACTATTCACAATAGCAAAAACTTGGAACCAACCCAAATGTCCATCAGTGATAGACTGGATTAAGAAAATGTGGCACATGTACACAATGGAATACTACACAGCCATAAAAATGGATGAGTTCATATCCTTTGTTGGGACATGGATGAAGCTGGAAACCATCATTCTGAGCAAACTATCACAAGGACAGAAAATCAAACACTGCATGTTCTCACTCAGGTGGGAATTGAACAATGAGAACACTTGGACACAGGGCGGGGAGTATCACACACTGGGGCCTGTCGTGGGGTGGGGGCATTAGGAGAAATACCAAATGTAAATGACAAGTTAATGGGTGCAGCAAACCAACATGGCACATGCATACTTATGTAACAAAGCTGCACGTTGTGCACATGTACCCTAGAATTTAAAGTATATATATATATATATATATATATATATATATATATATATATATATATACATACAGAGAGAGAGAGAGAGACAGAGAGAGAGATCTGAAAGAGAAAGAAGAGTTTTCCAGACAACAGTGGGATAAACAGCAAACAGGGAGGCACAGCACAGTGGATTGGAGGAGAGAGGGAGAGAGAGAGAGAGAGAGGGAGAGAGAGAGATAATAGAGAAGAGGAGAGGGTCAAAGACCTCAGGTCATAACACCCAGCAAAGTAACAGGAAATTGGGACCTGTTTACAAGGACTAGACATAACAGATGGACTTGTTAGAACTTGGACTTGTTCCCTTACAGAACAGAAAGGACAGGCCAGCTGTCCTCACCTTGGACACTTGCAGTGTTGCCCTGCGTGGGCCCCAGCAGGTGCACAGTATGGCATGGCATGCAGATCATTTTCACATCTGTGCGTTGGGAACCTAAGCCAAGTGCTGCCTCCTTTGCCCATGCAGTCAGACTCTTCATGTGCCCCACTCAGACTTTGCCACAAAATCTATTCCCTTCTCAGGCTTCCTCAAGAAGTCCACCCTCCTGAGTGAATGAGGCTTGCTGATGTTTTGTAAAGGATGCAGGGAGTCATGGGGAGAGCTCACATAGTGGAGCCCAGGCACCTCACACCATTAGAGCCTTTTTTCTTCTGGGGCTTCCTTGGAAGTGCCAATGACTTGTTGTCTCCTCCCTCTGCTCCTCAACCTCTCCCTCCTCTCAGGAGGAAAGCAGCCCCACCTGCTCCTCTGATCCCAGCACCAGCTGACCCAAGCCCCTGCGTGCGTTGATCAAAGCACTTGCCTGACAAAACTGGGTCTCTCCCTGGGGGAAGGATTCTCATACCAGCTGCTAAAAGGAAGAAAAATAATATTGTTGCGGGGGAAGATAAAATAAGCCTGGGAACATTGGCAGCTGGAGCATCTTATCCGTATGGACCGAGGGTCTGCTCCAGCTGAGAGCCAGCAGAGGGGAGAGGCATCCTCACTTCTTCTGAACACCCTTGAGTGACTTCCCCTGGGGCTTTCAGTGGCACTTTTGTAGGTAGTGAGCTCCCCTGCAGGAAAGAGATGTTACTTTGAACTGGCATCATCGTCAGCCCTGGATTTTGTCTATTCTGCTCATTTCCCTTTCTTCTACTTCCAGTTTTTTAACCCTTGACATTCAACAAATACTTACTGAAGCCTTTCATGTGTTAGGAATAAAACTAGGCATTTACCAAGGAGAGAGAGATTTTCTGGATGGGTCGAGGGAACTCAAAGGGGCCTCATGCAGACTGTCCCCTTTCTCCTGGGAAAGTGCTTACGTCCCATCACCATGGTGACCACCAACACAGTCATGTCCATCTTGAACCCTCACTTTGAGCACCTGACCCAGGCTAGGTCAATGGATCTTCTCTCTGGGATTTTTGGTCTTAAGAGACATTGGTTAGTCCCCCTCCTGAAGTGGAGGCTGTATGATGTTACGCTCGAGTGCTTGGGGTGGGGGTGCGGAGGGCACGTCCCCTCTCCCCCAACCTCCAACGTGAGGATAAAAGCAGTGTGCATTGAAGAGGAATAAACCAACAGCGAAAGGAACAAAGAAGATTTAGGGGAAAAGTCCTGATGAGATTCAGTCTCCAGGCTTTTCCAGTTTTCATCAAGCTGGGCTGCATGCCTGCTCTTCCCCCGTATCTGCTTTCTCAATTTTTATTTGCAGTAAAGCCAATAAATTTCCATTTTTGCCAAAACTGGTTTGAATTGAGATTCTGTCACTTGCAACCAAACTAATACAAAGCATTCGTTAAAATGAGATACACAAGGTACTTTGAGTAAATGGGTTTCTCTGAAAATAAAGAAAAAGGCAAAAAGATGGATTATTCCAAATCATTACAACCTAGAGTATGTGAGAAGGCCTGTGAGTGCCTAGTAAAGTGTGTGATGCTTAACAGAGCCCCATCCATGTTAGTTTTCATCCTGTCCTCTCATCCCCTTATCTTCTCTTCCTGGAAATCTATTTCAAGTTAGATGCTGGAAAGCAAAAGGCATTTTAAAACAAGTTTTGTGTGTCCTTGTGTCCTTGTAGATTACTAATCTTCTAAGTGGTATGAAGTAGCCCGGGTGATCTAATGCTTCTCTGATGTCCTACTTTTTCGTGGGCTCAAGCTGCAAATGCACTTAACATATAGCCAAAATTATATTGGGAAAATCTGAGTCACGGAGGCATATAAATGGGGAGCTCTGTTACTGGAAAATCATGGCTTTTAAGAGAATAGATTTTCTATAGAACACTTGGGCACACCAGAAGATACACAGGGTCTTAGTCTGATTGCTCACATAATCAGAAACTGCTCGGCTTAATGTGCATAAACTTCACAGGTCACTGCTATGGTCTGAATGTTTGTGTCTCCCCAAAACTAATATGCTGAAACCCAAACCTCCAAATGGATGGTATTAGGAGGTGGAGCCTTTGGGAGGTGATTAGGTCATGAGGGTCCCACCCTCCTGAGTGGGATTCCCAGAGAGACCCTTGTCCCTTATACTATCTGAGGGTGCAGCCAGAAGGTGCCATCTATGAAGCAGAAGATGGTCTCTCACCAAACACTGAATCTCCTGGTAACCTGATCTTGGATTTTCAAGCCTCCAGAACTGTAAGAAACAACATTTTGTTGTTTATAAGCTACCCAGTTTATGGCATTTTGTTATTGAAAGTTTCTTGTATTGGTTCGAACCCCAAGAGCGCGCCAACAGACAACACGAGGCGGTGTGGAGCAACATGCTGTTTTAATGAGCGCCTGGGTGGAGGCGGGCTGAGGCCTAAAATGGTGTCAGCCCCAAGTGAGGACGGGGCAGGGGTTTCATAGTCTCCTGTAAACAGGAAGTGTCCTAGCCTGACATAACTGCTATGTGGTACCCAGATGGCCTGTTTCTCGATCTTCAAGGGTAGGTGTCTTCCAGCCAGGGTATATGTCTTCCAGCCGGCTCTCTTCCAGCTTCTGCTATCTTGCTGGTGCACGCTGCTGGTGCAAGTAGTTTTGCGCCTTGCGACTGGGCCTGAGAAGGGAGGAATTATTCATTCCCTTAAGCTTTCAGCCCCCAGGTAGAATCTTTCAGTTATAGCAGCCCAAATAGACCAAGGCAGTCACTTGGTCTTTGTCCAAAATGATTCTGTGAGTCGTTTCTAGAATATCTTTTAAATGCTTTTTTAAAAGCATTTAAGGCCACATCTTTTAAAATGCTTTGTTTCTATATGGTTTGCCATTTGTTGATGCCTGCCTTCTATTAACACAGCACGTTTTGAATAAGTCATTACACTGACCAAGGTTTGGCTTTGAACTAGATCTCTATCTTGCAAATAGTCGCTAAGTTGCAGACTTCACAATGCAACTGTTTACATTCGGAAAATAAAAATGTATAACAGAAGGGTTAATTGAGAAAAGAATCAAGACTACGTTGGAATGATAGAAGCTATCATACATACATATATATGCAGTATATAAAATATGTACTGCTTTATATATATAAAGAGAGAGTGATGCAGAGAGGGAGAGAAGTGTAGGCTTCTTCTAGGCTCTTGCTGCCAATTCTGAGTGACAACTGTCATCAGAAATTCAGGCCCTTTGATGTCTGCATTGAAATCCCACAAACTGTCATGGTTAAAGCTGTGCAGAAGTTCTAATTACTATGCATAGCTTGCACATAACATAAATAGTTGTAACCTTTCTGCCAAGTGCAAAGTCAGGAAATGTTAATCCATAGGGAAGCCATCCCTAGGCCACGGCTCCAACCTGATCGGTAATTCTTGTTCTTGTTCTCTGATTTAAAAAAAAAAAAAGTGATTCCTCTCTTTACACTAGCTGAGTCTCTATTATGCTGTGTGTACATTAGTAAAATTGATCTCCATAAGAGTTCTTCAAACTGAATTACTTAACAACATCGTTTAGGGCTGGTGCAGAGGGTCAGCAGGACCAGGACTTAAGGAAGTTGCTAACGTGGAGACTTATTAAGGCTTCTATACTTTGCAAAACATGCCTGGCCATCGCTTAGTAGAAGCCTGCTGCACTTTACACCTGACAAGCCCTCTGAGCATAGGCTCTTGGCAAAAATTGCATGAAGACTACTCATTTGGAGGTTATGTGAATTGTATGTATTAGTTTCAATTCACTCCTTTGGTTTCTCAAGGTAATGACACAATTCAGGCTGATTTTTGAGTGGAAAGCTCTTACCTTCCAATTCTGAAGTTTTTTAATTTTATTTTATAAAATTCATAATAGGGCAGGCAAAAAAAGAAAGAAAGAAGAAAAAGATGAAGCAAGTGAAGTCAGGTATTAACACAAACTTAAAAGCTGTTTTCATTTAGTCTTGGAGAGTGAGGCATTTGCCTAAATTTAAGACAGCACTAAAAAACACCAAGAATCAATATAAATAATATATTAACGCAATATTTAAAAAATCAAAATGAATGCAAAAATAATCTATAAGAAACAAAATATAATATTTTAAATAAAGATAGGATCAACCCCTGCACTCAGACAAGTCACCCTCCTCTACCCTTCCCTGCCCTGTCCATGGTGCCTACTTATCAGTGACTGCCACCCCAGCACCTAAGAGTGTCGTAGGTGATAAAGCAGGTCAAAGCTATCTTCTACTCTTCCTCGGTGGTGTTCCCACCTGTATCAGTCCATTTCCATATTGCTATAAAGAGCTGCCCAAGACTGGGTAGTTTATAAAGAAAGAGGCTAAATTGACTCACAGTTCAGCATGGCTGGGGAGGCCTCAAGAGACTTACAATCATGGCAGAAGGTGAAGGGGAAGCAAGGCACCTTCTTTACAAGCTGGCAGGGCAGGAAGGGAAGAACGCCTTATAAAACCAGCAGATCTCATGAGAACTCACTCATTATCACGAGACCAGCATGGGGGAAACCACTCCCATGATTCAACTACCTTCACCTCATCTCTTGATACGTGGGGATTATGGGGATTACAATTCAAGATGAGGTTTTGGTGGGGACACAAAGCCTAATCATATCACCACCTTTTGCTGTAATCATAATGTCTTTGTTCGTGGTTATATATTGTGGACTCATATTCCACTCCAGACACTACTGAGTTCTCTACACCACAAATTCATTTAATTCTAACAGGTGAGGTAGGCAATAGTGTCCATAGGTGCAGAATCTGAGGCTCAGAGAGGTTCAGTCACATGACCCTGGGCAAGTGAAGAGCTGGGGTTCCAATTCAGGACTGTCTGATTTCAAGACTGTGCCCTTCATCAGGGCACCATATTCCAATTCCAGAGTGAGCCAAGGTTCAATCACAGACAGAGGGAATCAGGAACACTGCAAAGAGCATCAAGGAATCTAAGCAGAATTCCCCATGATGCCCTTTTATTGACACACGATTGGTCTACACTTTGCTTGGACCTTTGCAGCAATGGGGAATTTCTTATTTTCTAGGACAGTTTCTCCATTTTGGGGCCGTTCATGCTTTTATGGAACCAAATCTGTCACTTCATCATGTCTACATATTGTTCCCATATTTCCCTTTTGGAATAACTCTTCCTTTGCTGGTAATATCTTTTCTTGCCATCATCTGTTGTTGAAATACCTAATTATTTCTTGAAACCCATATCAAATAACCCCATCTTTATATATCATTGTCGTATTCTCTAGATCAATTGTTATTCCTCCATCTGTGATCTGTTGGCATTTTATACTTGTTTATGTTCTTATTTTTACTACATTTTTTGGATGTAGTTATTTGTTGGCACATTTACCTCTCTGTGCAACTGTGGATTCCTCAAGGGTAGGAACTATGTCTTGTTTATGTTTGGGCCTCAAACACCAGCCCATTGTCCGGCTCACACTGAAAATGCTTTTGTGGAAGTCAGGAGAACTAGACAGATCAACTGGGAATTCTCCTTGCAAGAGTACCCTTCATATGCTGGGAATAGCCTGTGGCTCCTCTCCTGTTACAGAGGAAGGAAGATAGACTTTGGAGTCAACTAGACCCAGGTTTGAATCTAAGTCCTGCCTGTCCTACTTTCTAGATGAGTGACCATGGACACATTATGTTAATCTTTATTTTATTCCCTTCTCTTTTCTGCTTCCTTTTCTCCCCCACCACCCCGATTTTCTCATTTTCTCTCTTTCCACTTTTGCTTCTTAACTATTCACACGCAGCCTCTAGCGGGGCCATCACAGGGCCCAGCGTTTGCCCAGGGCCTGCGTACAGCTCTCCCAGTCCAACTCCAGGCTATTTCTAAAGCCTGAGGGTGACTCTGCAAAGAGAAAATTTTTTGATTATCAGGCACTGCTGCTTAATCTATCAGGGGCACCAATTGGCCCTGCAAAATCCCTCCCAGAGCACAGCATCGATCTTTGATTTTAATGATGTAAAGGGAAGAAAACAGATATCCTTCAATGGTGGGGGCCCCATTAGGGAGGTATCTTCACAGTGATGGGGGATCCCAGGAGCAAATGGTAACCCCTGAGGGCCTGGAGCTCTGGGGGTCAGGCTTGCTTGGCACTGCCATTCACTGAAGTGCAAGTCCTGAAAGCAGGAATATTTTCATGCACCAGCTCTTCCTAAGGTAGAAGATGTCCATCCCCACAGGGCGTATGCCTCCTTAGACAAGAGGAAGATGGAATTTAAACTTTTCCCTCTCTTCTCCCCTCCACATAGTTTCTATTATATGAAACAAAGGGACTTTAAACACTACTACATTTAAAGATTTTAATAGGTAATTCTTGATTATGCCTATGATGTAGAGACTGTGACAAAACACAGAATTAGATGCCTAAGAATCAAATGACATGAAATACTTCAACGAAATCATGGAATATGTGTACCCACGTCTGCAGGCTTTAACTCTGTGCTGAAAAAGCAGATGCCTAGATCTGTGGGGGAACACACAGGGCAGCCCAAATCCTCCTGAGGATTCCAAGCTTGAGTCCTGTCATTTCCAAGGTAAGCATTTTAAAAATTCTGCATTTTCAAAACTCGTGGCCCAGGTGATGAGGGCATGAAATTCAAATCTCTTATTCTACTGTCTCCTGCTGCTTTTGAGCTCAGTGAGAATTTCAGAGCAGCGATCTGTTTTTATGCCTCCAGTTTATTCTGCACCACAACCCAAGGCAATGCCAACATGTAAAGGATGATTCTACAGATTGCAGCACTGTGCTGCTCCCATGTCTGACAAGCAAAGGGCAGTGCAAAGCTGTAGGGGGTTGGGGGTGGGGCTCCAGGAAGAAAGAGAAGGCTGGACTCCAAAGGGACAAGAAAGAGGTGATGAAAAATGAGGCTCTTTTTTGTCACTCTGTACGCATGGTGGAAATATGTTGCTTTTGTTGTTCGTCCAGCCTCATTTTGTTGAATCACTTCTTCTCTATTGTATGTGTTCTGACGGTGCTGATAAAACCATGCACAGGTTACTTCCTTTTGTCCTTCAGGGCCACATTCTACTTTTTCTTTTTTTTTTTTTTTCCACATTCTTTGCCTGAGAGGCTGAGCTATAGGAATCTCATCACCTGGGCTCCCTTCTCCCTGGCTTCTGGTTGGATTCATCCAATGAGAGGCACCGACAGGAGACCAGTGCTGGGAGGATGAGGTTATTTCTCAGGCTCTTTCTCTCTGGGTTGCTCACAGCTCATGCAGGTGCCTGCAACTGCCTCTGGGTTCTAGGAACTGTCTCCCTTATACCTTTCACCAGGAGAAGTAACAGCTTCTGGCTGTTCTTAACCTTGGGGTTCTTCCTCATCCCTTGTAAATTTCCTCCATTCTGCACACCTGTTTGTAAAGAGTCTCTTTACTAAGCTCACCTCAAACATCCCATGAGTGTGATGTCTGTTTCTTATTATCAACTTGATTGATAATACTGTATACCCCATTCCCCCCTCAGTATTCCCCCAAAGTCAAAACCAAACACTGTGGATGGTCCCATGCCCCACGTGGGTCCCTTCATTCATTCAGAGATATTTACCGACTATTTACTGTAAGCCAGGACTGTTCTAAGCATTGAGGAGGACAGGGGCAAAATGGCAGACCCCGCCTTTACCCTCATGGCACTTACATCTCAGTGGGGTAGACTAGAAAAAGACTAATCAATCGCGCACCCTTGAGATCATCTCAGATGGTTGTTCAGACTATAAAGAAAACAAAGAAAGAAAGGTGACAGCGAATAGCTGGGTGGGTGTAGGTGGGTCGGCAACCTCAGGTCATGTGGTCAGAGAGAGTGGTTCTGGGAAGACGACCATTAGGAGGAGTTCTGGATGACAAGAAAAATAGGGAGAAACACAAATTACATGAAAGGGACAGCAAAGGACAAGTATCTAGGAGAAAGAATGAGTTTGATATAAAGAAAAGAAAGAGGGCTGGGCATGGTGGCTCATGCCTGTAATTCCAGCACTTTGGGAGGCCGAGGTGGGTGGATCACCTGAGGTCAGCAGTTCGAGACTAGCCTGGCCAACATGGTGAAACCCCGTCTCTAATAAAAATACAAAAATTAGCCAGGCATGTTGGCACGTGCCTGTAATCCCAGCTCCTTGGGAGGCTGAGGCAGGAGAATCACTTGAACCTGGGAGGCGGAGGTTGCAGTGAGCTGAGATCGTGCCATTGTACTCCAGCCTGGGCGACAAGAGCAAAACTCCATCTCAAAAAATAAAAATAAAAATAAAAATAAAAAAGAAAAGAAAGAGACCAGTGTCCCTGAAGAACAGTAAGCCGAGGATAGGTAATGAGGTTAGGGAGATGCCGGGGCCTGATTATGTGATTAAGTGAACAAAGGACTTAGATCTTATTCTGAGGGAGAGAGGGACATTGTAGGAATTTTACACAGGAGTGATGTCATCTTTTGCACATTTGTTAAAAATCCCTCTGGCTGCCATCTCACAATGGCAGTGGCTGCATGATCTCTTGTCCCCTCCGTATATATATCATTGGCCATCGTCTTTCCCATTGGGGTACCCTGACTTGGGAGGTGGCATCCCATGTACTGTGTGATCAGGTAGAAATCTGGACACCTTCCTTGAACTGCCCGACCTCACTTATACTCTCCATTCAGCAGCTGCACCCATCCTTTCTGTTTCTTTTGCAATTCCCCTGTCAGCTTTCACCCACTCTGTCCCTACTTAGATTGGGAACCTTGTCATTTCTTATCCCGATTCCTTTACCAGCTTCTCTGCCTCCATCCTCTTGTACCTCTGGTCCATTTTCCACTCCACTGCAAGGGCGATTTTATCAAAACCCACTCCCCAGCTTCCTGTCCCTGAATGACTTCTCATTGCATCCCAGGCTGGCCAGTGTTTAGCCCCCACCCACCTTCCTATTCTCCTTGCCTCAAAATACTCTTAACAGATGCCCCATAATCTTGCTTCTTGGACCTCTTAACATGTCAGAGTCTGCTCCTTCTCACCTCTGGGACTCTTCTGCTGCTGTCCCCTTGGCCTGGGGTGCTGATTCTCTGTGGCTCCTAGTTATGCCTGGTGTCAGTAATTGCCTCCTTGGTAAAGCCAGTTATCATGCCCCACCCATGAGGCTGTTGCCCGGTGCTCCCTTCTCTGAGCAGTTCTATTTCTGATCTTGCCACACTGTTTGGTAACTTGTTGTTTACTTCTTTTTTTTTTTTTATTATACTTTAAGTTTTAGGGTACATGTGCACAACGTGCAGGTTTGTTACATATGTATACATGTGCCATGTTGGTGTGCTGCACCCATTAACTCGTCATTTAACATTAGGTATATCTCCTAATGCTATCCCTCCCTCCTCTCCCCACCCCACAACTGAGTATATACCCAAAGGATTATAAATCATGCTGCTATAAAGACACATGCACACGTATGTTTATTGCAGCACTATTCACAATAGCAAAGACTTGGAACCAACCCAAATGACCAACAATGATAGACTGGATTAAGAAAATGTGGCACATATACACCATGGAATACTATGCAGCCATAAAAAATGAGTTCATGTCCTTTGTAGGGACAGGGATGAAGCTGTTTACTTCTTTATCTTCTCCACTAGACTGTGTTCTCCTGCTAAAGAGCATGGGTATGGGAGCCTCAGAGCAGGTCCTGAGGTTCTGGAAGTCTCTTTCTACCTCTTTGGTCGGTGGACTGGGGGTAAGTCCCAGGATCCTGAAGGAGAAGCCCTCGGGCAGGGGTGGCCTGGAGGCTTGGAGCAACAGCAATTCACTAGCTGTTATCTGTTCTCTTCCTGTTAGAATATTGAATGGCCTGCACTTAGCAGCTGCTCAGGAAATCTTTGCTGAATGAATGCATGATGTTCTGTCTCCTCCATGAAGCCTTGCCTGACTTTACCTCTGGCTTACACATATGACCCCTTTTGGAAAAGCATTGAATTTTTGGACAAAACTACATAAATTAGTGTTGAATGATTTTCCACCCCAGTTCAAAGGCAAGGCTTCCTTATAGTAATGCCTTATAGTAAGTACCTTATAATAATAAGGTGCTATACTTATTCCCATTTTACAGATGACAAAACAGAGGCACACAGAGAGAAATAAGTCACCCACTCCTCTCAGCTAAGTCCTGGAGTTGGGATTGGAGCCCAGGCAGGCTGGCCCCAGAGTCCACTCATGTATTGACTGTGACTGAAGGGCACAGGAGAGCATCCCATCATAGGCTGCACAGCTCCTGGGCAGCCCCCACAGCCCAGCCCTCACAGCCACATGGCTGTTGCCTCTTCCTATTGCAGAGAATGATTTGGGGGTTGAAGAGATTAAAAACGCAAAGTGGCATTTGAGTTTGTCCATCACATCATGTTTACTTTAGTTATTCTTTGGAGATTTTTTAAAGTCAGTGCAGGTGACTAGGAACATCACTGATACATCAGAGAGGATACTTTAGCCAAGCTACTTACATCCCTGTGCCTCAGTTTCCCTATCTACCCAATGGGGATAATAATAGTACATGCTTTGTAAAGTTGCAAGAATTAAATGAGTTCATACATGCTAAATGTTTACGACAGTGCTGTATGCATTGTAAGTACCCAACAACTGACTCTTTTTCTCCTCCTCCTTCTCCTCCTCCTCCTCCTATAAGGTTTGGGGCTCAGTTTAAACATCACGTCCTCAGGGAGGCTTCCTTAACCTTAGGTCAGGTCAGCGCTCCTCAATAAGCATTTCTCTAGAGCTGTCCATTCCATTCCATGACTTTCTCTGTGATTGTACGTGTATGTGCGTATTTGTATGCACAGGGGCATAAATATGCACATACACACATTTACACATGCAAATATATATATATGCATTCTTCTAGGCCTGTCTATACTGTTCATGACAGAACCATAATGTCCATCTCAGAGCTTGGCTCCTAGCAGATCCTTAGTAGGTATTTCTAGAATGGATACTGGGTGAGACGTTTAACTACCACCATCTAAGACTGGCCCTGAAATCACCAATTCTGGTTTTCTTTTCACTACAGCACACCACAGGTCTACCCACAGCCCCCTCCAGCCTCTCCCAGAGGGATTTGGAGAAACTGTGTCAGCTATGAGCTAGACTCGGGGCTCTCCTCAATCCTGTTAGGTCTGTCATCTTCCACACTATGAATCTTTTTGATCTAGTTAGCCTCATCCCTTGAGTTATTCTTTCTAGTTTCATCTTCTGCTTCTTTACGTTTTACTTTTGCTTTACAACTCACGTTTTGGGGTACATCTTTTGAGCGGCTTCTTGGGTTAATTATTATCAGAGGGGCTGAACATAAGACACTTTTCTACATGCTTTGGAATATGAAAGTAGATCTTTTCCTTTGGCTTTTATCAATTGAACTTACTCACTTGGACGGCCCCTCTCTCCTACTTCAATTTTTTTCAAGCTCTAATTGACCATGAAACATGCATTTAACAAGAGCTGCAATTGAAAGCCCAGAACCCCAAGCAGCAACGTGCAAGGCTGTGGTCACTACTTGAAAGCAACACAAGAGCAAACTGATTGAACAGCTTAATGCTTTGCCAGTTTTTATTTCCTTAACTGCCTCCCCCACCAAAAAAAAAAAAAAAAAAAAAGAAAGAATCTGTGATTCACAGCAATTCTATGTCCACAAGTTTAATTTTTATAAAGTTTACATTTTTGCTATATTGCTTAAAAAACTTCCAGAAATCTTTCAACCTTCCTTATCTATATGATATCAGTGTTAAATTTTTTTCCTTCTTTATGGTGATTGACATGCTCTGGTCTGTCTTAGCTTTCTGCAGGTAGGTTTATGTCAATGAGAAGAAGGAAGGTGTATTAGTCCATTTTCACGCTGCTGATAAAGACATACCCAATACTGGATGATTTATAAAGAAAAAGAGGTTTAAACAGTTCCATGTGGCTGGGGAGGCCTCACAATCATGGCGCAAGGTGAAAGGCATGTGTTACATGGTGGCAGGCAAGAGAGAAATGAGAGAACCAAGAAAATGAGGTTTCTCCTTAGAAAACCATCAGATCTCGTGAGACTTATTCACTACCAAGAGAACAATATGGGGGAAACCGCCCCTATGATTCAATTATCTCCCACTGGGTCCCTCCCACATCATGGGGGAATTATGGGAGCTACAAATCAAGATGAGATTTGCATGGAGACACAGCCAAACCATATCAGAAGGATAAAAGGGAATTTCTTTTGCTCATGAAGACACTTTTTTTAGGTGTGAGCCAGTGTGCCCAGCCTAAGGACACTTTTACATGGATCTCCTGAGAAAAAAGATTCGAAGGCCTCAACGGAGAATCCCAGAACAAAGTTATTGAACAAATATGGAGGGAGATAGCAGGTGTGGCCTCCAGCCTCATTGGGTTGACTTCCTGGCAGCCAGCAAGATAGAGTCAGGGCTGTTGCAGGCTGAGCTGGAGGTTTGTATGCATGTGGGGTAGGTTGGGGACAGCACCAGATCGAATGGGCTCCTTCCTGGGGCTCAATCCTTCCCAGATTTACTCTTTCCACCCCAAACTGATGATATCAGAATTTGAGATGAGAAGAAAAATGAAACTTTTGAGAAAGAAAACACAGGCTTCCTAGGACACTCAGGTTTGATTCTGAGCCCCAAGATCTTCATGCTTTAGGCTCTTTTCTCTGCTATCCATTCAATCTCTATGAAGCTCTTTCTGAAGCACTGCCCTTGTGCTCTGTTTATTCAAAACACAGTCTCAGTGCAGCTTAAATGAGAACCGAGGGTGATGGAACAGACCAGGACATTTTCTTCACAAAGTTCCAAACAAACTTGAAAGAGGAGAGGAAAAATCCACTCCAGCTTTTATATTTCCTCTAGATCCAGCCTCCTTTTCTTCCTCATTTTCCCCCCATGTCCACATTTAAGAGCAAAGAAGAACATTCTTGTGACTTTTAAGTATTTGAGCTGCCGGTACAGGTTAAGTTTTGGCAAAGCGTGGGCATGCTTGGGTTTGCAGTCAATCTAGAGCAATTTTCAGAAGGCCAGGCCCTTTATGCATTTTTACTTTCTTTCAAATGAAAATAGCTTTATTGTTTTCACTGATTATAGAGGTAAGCAATCTGTCTGGCTTTACTGGCTTAGAATTCAATCTGAGGTCAAATCCCTTCTTATATTTAGATCACATGGCTTGAGCACCAGCTTGCTCTGCAGGAATGTATTGACCTTTCTGGGTTATTTTATTTTTTTCTGTGTCAAGTCCAAGAACTCCAAGGACCTTACTCAGTCCTAGCACTCAGTTTCAGTTACCACAGTCGGAACCGAGTGCACAAGAAGAAACTGGCAGCTGCATAGGAAGACCTGAACTGCATAGGAAGAAACTTGACAGCTTCTCTAGTTTGTGTATTGCAGCCACACAGATTGAGGATCTGAAGAGGATGCTGGCCCCAGTCATGTGCTGCAGTGCTCACAGCTGCAGTGATGGCAGCCGGGCAGGGCTCCTAAGGATGTCTCTTGTCCTGGGACATTCTTCAGCGATGTCTTTTCTGCATAGTGAGGACTAAACTCTGACCTTTTCGTCTCTTGCCCAAATTCCTATCTGAGAGACCAAGGTTTGTCATGCCCTACAAACCATAAAATCTCATCAGATGGGTTTTATTTAACCCTTTATGACATGACTTACTTTCCAACCTGACTCTGGCATAACATCATGTGACAGATAAAAAAGAAAATCAAACTTCTTTATCCCCAGATTTTTTTTGATATATTTTGAAATGACCCTCCAGAACCATCTTTTGTGGGAGAAAATTTGCATCTGTAAAGAATCTCTGTTAAGGTAACTAGATCTTTCCCCTTCCAGGGCCTCCCAATCCTGAAGAGATTGACTTAGAGTCTAGCACCTTTTAGTGGTCTGAATAGGAAACATTTGCCATCTATTGCTTCTGAGGGTGGCCACCTATTGAGACTTCATCTATATAACAAGAATCTCAGTCTCCACAACTTCTTAACTTACCCTAGACAGTCCTTTCTATTGATTCCAGGTTTTTCAATAACTCTTTCAACCAACAGCCAATCAGAAAAATCTGTGAATCCACCTGTGATCTGTAAGCTTCCTCCCTACCCACCCCCACCAAACCATGTGAGGTATACGTTGGTTCAGTCTGGAAAGGTGAGCCTGCCTCTCTGGACCAAACCAGTGTATACCTCACATGTATTGATTGATGCCTTATGTCTCCCAAAAATGAATAAAACCAAGCTGTAAACCAACCACCTTGGACACATGTTCTCAGGACCTCTTGGGACTGTAAATAGGGCCATGGTCACTCATATTCAGCTCAGAATAAACCTCTTTACATATTTTTACAGGATTTAATTCTTGTCAACAATAGGTAACCTGCCCAGTGTTAAACGCCATTTCTCACTCATCTGATTGCTACTGAGTCCCTGCTCATCCCAATTGTGAAAATATGAGCACACACATCTGCACAACACACACACATACCTCCCAGTAGCTTCCTGGTTATACCCATAGGGCACACTCCCTATTCTGTGTTCTTACTCCTCATTATTCAAAGTGTGGTCACCTGTTGAGCAGCCTCAGCATCCTCTGAGCTTGTTAGCAACTCTCAGGTTTCACTCCAGACCAACTGACTTGGAATCTGTATTTTAACGAGTTCCCTGGTGACTCATATACTCTGCCCTCTCCCTGCTGGGAAACCTTCCTTTTTCCAACACAGGGCCTTGAGATGCTGCCTGCCTGTGTCTGGACTGACCCCCAGAGCCTGTAATGTTATGCTTCAGCCTGACTGGTGGCCTCCATGGATGCCCCTGGCCCCATCTCTGAGTTTCTTTTGGACCTTGGAGTGGAGCTGTTCTCACATGGTTAACAAGAATTCTGGACAGAAATATAGTTATAAGCATTAACCAGGCTGCACTTTGACCCACTTCCGTGTAACTGAAAGGCACTCAATGCTAGACACTGGCTATTTGCATCCCCATTGTTTCTGTAGCTAGGATTTCTGATGTTAGAATCCTAAGCCTTTTGTTTCAGAATTGCTTAAGCAGATCCTGAATTCCAGCAAAACAGCTGATGCCAACCAGTTAAAAGACCTTCACAGAGGAACCAAATCAGCATGAGAATACAGCTTCTTTACCTCCTTGACCCGTGACTTAAATCCTTCACTCTCAGACCAATCAATGATCTCCACACTTTGGCCCACTCCAAAACCCTTAAAAACTTTGGCCCCAAACTCCTCAAGGAGACAGACTTGAGGTTTCCTGCTGTCTCCTTGTTTGGTGACCCTGTGATTAAACCTCTTTCTCTGCTACTACTCAATGCCTTGGTGCACTGACTTGCCATGTGCTTCAGGCAATGAACCTATTATGGTTACAATTTACCTATTACAATTATAGGAGAAGGAGTTGTCTCTGTTCCAGACCCTATCTAGCCTTCTGACACCCAACAGTTAATGGAAGTTATTTTTTTTTTTTTTGAGACAAGGTCTCACTCTGTTGCCCAGGCAGAGTCCAGTGGCATAATCTTGTCTCACTGCAGCCTTGACCTCCCCAGACTCAAGCGATCCCCCTGCCTCAGCCTCCCGAGTAGCTGGTACTATACAGGCATGCACCACCATATCTGGCTAATTTTTTATTTTTTAGTAGAGATGAGGTTTTGCCATGTTACCCAGGCTGGTCTTGAACTCCTTGGCTCAAGTGATCCACCTGCCTCTGCCTCCCAAAGTGCTGAGATTATAGGTGTGAGCTACTGTGCCTGGCCGTGATTTGTTTTCAGGTGACTGCTTTGGAGCTCACATTCTGAGGCCTCTCTGGATGCTCCCACGATGCACAGAGTTTAGGGGAGTGAACCTGGGCATCCAGAACAAACTCCCCTGGGGAGCTGAGCCATTGGGCCTTGGCCCAATGTTCTTCTATTAGCACATCTGCCCATATGGAGATCATGGAATTCTAGCAACTACCCCACAGAAACTAAGAGTTTGTATTATTGAAAATCCTTATGTGATAGTGACTTAGCTTTCATCAGAACCCGATTCTCCCTCTGTTTTATGAGCCACATGCTTGGGGCTAACATCTTCTATTGCTGTAGGTGAATTCATTCCCTGAGCTTCTTGCTTTGGTGAGAAAATGTGTTCAGCTGCTCTTAATAGAAATTCAACTACAGTGGCTTAAACAAATAGAGGTTCATTTTCCTCAGCTAAAAAAAGAATTCAGAGGCAGACTATCCAGGGGATGCTCCAGGGGCTCAAAGATGCTCTTGGGAACTAGGTCTCTTCTAGCTTTGAGCTTCACCATCCTTAAGAGGTGGTCATGCCACCTCCGGGCATGGTGACTGTACCATAGGCAAAAACAGGGCCAAGATCTCATATCAGCCAAGTCTGTTATTGTTTATCTCAGGAAAGCAATAGGTTTCTGGGAGGCGCCACCCTGTAGGCTCTCATGTGCCTCTCATTAACCTAAACTGGGTGATGGTGATGTGCAAATAAGGAGGAGGTGAATCGGATTCCACAGGCATCCAGCAGTGGCTCCACAGCTATCATTAGGATGCATTACCAGGTAGTGGTGTTAGAGCTGATTTGATGTGGGAGAGATTGGGGAAGAAGGATAAAGAATTCAGAAGCTACTGTATTAGTCTGGGCAAGAAGTGAGGAGGGTCTGCATGAAGGCAGGTGAACAGCAGGAAGGACCACCATCTCCATGGCTGCCCCCTCTCCAGAGCCATCATCTCCCCCACCTGGACCCCGCAACTGCCCCTATAGGCCTCTCTTCTTCCTTTTGTTCCCTCCAAACGGCAGCCACGGTGATCTTTAAATATATACCCAGATCAGAACAAATCACTCCTTTGTTTTAAACCTTTGAATGCCTTCCAGTTTCGCTTACGAAACCCTCAATCCTTACCATAGCCAACAGGGCCCTAGAATATCTGGTGCCTGAGGAACTTCTCTGCTCTCATCTCTTACCAATTCCCCCCTTTCCCTCTGCTCCAGCCACATAGCTCCTTCTGGTTTCTGAATGTAGCTTGATTCTGCCCCAGGGCCTTTGAACTGGCTGTCCTCCTTCATGCCCCACCTCTCTCCCCCCACATCTCTGCATGGCGGGCTCTCTCTCATCTGTCACATATCACCTCTTCTGAGAGGCCTTCCTTGACCACCTGTGTTTAGTGGTCCAGACACCCATCAACTACCCCTGTCCTATTGGCATTTCTTCTGTCTCCAGTGCTAAACTGAGAGCAGGAATCTTCTGCTTGTGCATCTGAGTCCTAGTGTTCACGATTGTGTGTGACACATGGTAGGAGTGGTGTGCCTATTTGTTAAATGCATGAGAATAAGTGGATAAAAGACTCAGTAGTTACTGCAGAGGTAGAATTTGGCATGCCTCCCTCCACATGAGACATAACAAGCCTGAATATAGAGCGTCAGTGCCAGACATGCATGGATGGGGCTTGATTCTTGGCTGAGAAGTCAAGGGTCCCGTAGGGCAGGTATAAACCTCAGATGGGGAGGTGGGAGCGGAGAGTGGGTCTGGGAAACAGATGAGGTGACTGGAGACAGGAGTCACTTCTTGATGGGAGAACTCATTCCAGGAGATAGGTGTGGTCTGGCTCTGGGTACTTCATGGGTAGAATAGTCTTGTTTTCCAGTTAAGGGTTGTCTCTAACTTTTTATTTATTTTTAATTCTTGAGACAAGGTCTCACTCTGTTACCCAGGCTGGAGTGCAATGGCATGATCTCAGCTCACTGCACCCTCTGCCTCCCAGGTTCAAGCAATTCTCCTGCCTCAGCTTCCCAAGTAGCTGGGATTACAGGCACCCACCACCACTCTGGCTAACCTTTGTATTTAAGGGTTGTCTTTAAAGCCCTACTTTGTGCCTCACAAGCTTCCTTAACTAGACTGTGAGATGACAGGGAGACCCAAAAATGATACCCAAGTTCTCAGCAAGATGATTGAGACTCAGGTGGTTCCGTGGATTGCAGGGGGTCACGCAGAAGTAGTTGGTTTATGAGATAAGGCAATGAGCTGCTGGTTTTTCTCCTGGTGCCTCCTCTAAGCCTCCTGATCCTGGGGATGTATGCATGGTAAGCGCTGGTTGTCCACCTCTGCTGTGTGTCCTACTTTCTTTCCCTTCTCCTCTTGCAGCCTGGCCTAATTACTTCTTTTTCTTCTTTTTCTTCTTCTTTTTTTTTTTTTTGAGATGGAATTTTGCTCTTGTTGCCCAGGCTGGAGTACAATGGCACGATCTCAGCTCACTGCAATCTCTGCCTCCCAGGTTCAAGTGATTCTCCTGCCTCAGCCTCCTGAGTAGCTGGGATTACAGGCACCTGCTACCACGCTTGGCTAATTTTTTGTTATTTTTATTAGAGACAGGGTTTCACTATGTTGGCCAGGCTGGTCTTGGACTCCTGACCTCAGGTGATTCACCCGCCTCTGCCTCCCAAAGTGCTGGGATTAGAGGCATGAGTCATTGCACCTGGCCATTACTTCTTTCTTTTACTGCTGTTTGTCCTAGTGCTTGCCCCTGCTGTGCTCCTTCTGCCCGGTGAGGCCTCATCTGGCCTCTTCTGGCTTCTTCCGCAATAGTTCTGGGAGCCATAGGCTTCTGGATTATATGGAAGTAAAATCAGGAATTTTTTCCCCCTCCAGTTGTGAATACTGGAGTGATAGATTTCCTTCTACAGCAAAAAAATAAAGAGAGCTGATGTAGAAATGAAAACCGACCTTCTGCTTGCCGATGAAGGCTTAATCTTGTATTTGCATAAAGCTGTGCTTGGAGGAGTTTACCAGGCTTTATAGGCTATGCATAAATAATCTTACAGGGCTCTGAAAAGCAAGGGGAGGGCACAGACTTTTGGTCCTAGTGTAACAGATGGAGACACTGAGGCAGTGCTTAGCGTTGCAAAAAAGTCAGTGAAGCAAAGCGATGTCCAAGCCCATATCCTGAGCTAATGCCCAGAATGGAGGGCGAGCACCCCTGAAAGCTGCAGCGCACCTCCCCGGGAACCTGTGGGCCAGGGTTGTGGTTTCCCCACCCCGTTTCTTCTCATCAGGACCCTCAGGCCAGTCCAGCGTGTGGAAATGGGCCAAATCCCTCACTGTGGTGCGAGTGGGCCAGCTTTTAATAGGAGCTTCCGATCTCAAAGAGCTTCTCTTGGTGAAATGCCTGTGTAAAAAGATGGCTCAAATTGAACAAAGATGAGGCAAAAAGCCTGGAGAGTTCATGGGATAGGAAACTGGTGGCACAGTTCAAAGCCGTTTGGTGGCCAGATATTTCTATGTGGAGATCCCAGGAGAAAGCACTCCTTTTTCCTGGCTTTGTGCTCTGCCTGTGTCTGCCCTCAGCTGGTCGCTCTTTGTCCTTTTCCATCTGGCAGCAACTCATTCTTTTATTTATGTATTTATTTTTTGAGACAGTCTCGTTGTGTCCTTTTAGGCTGGAGTGCAGTGGCACGATCTCGGCTCACTGCAACCTCCCCCTCTTGGGGTTCAAACGATTCTTGTGCCTCAGCCTCCCAAGTAGCTGGGATTACAGGCACGCACCACCACGCCTGACTAATTTTCTGTATTTTTAGTAGAGAGGGGGTTTTGCCATGTTGCCCAGGCTGGTCTCGAACCCCTGAGCTCAGGCAATCCACCCACCTTGGCCTCCCAAAGTGTTGGGATTACAGGCGTGAGCCATAGCGCCCGGCATCATTCCTTTTTTTTTGTTTTTTGAGACGGAGTCTCGCTCTGTCGCTAGGCTAGAATGCAGTGGTATCTTGGCTCCCTGCAACCTCTGCCTCCCGGGTGCAAGCGATTCTCCTGCCTCAGCCTCTGGAGTAGCTGGGACTACAGGCTCATGCCACCACGCTTGCCTAATTTTTGTATGTTTAGTAGAGACAGGGTTTCCCCATGTTGGCCAGGCTGGTCTCAAATGCCTGACCTCAGGTGATCCACCCTCCTTGACCTCCCAAAGTGCTGGAATCATAGGCATGAGCCACCATCCCTGGCTGCCTCATTCATTCTTTCAGTCAGCACACATTTGTCTTCTCCGTGAGGATTTCCTGGGCTATGGCTCTGGCTGGAGGGAAATGCACATTCCTGTTGCACAGTTTGCATACTTACCATTCACTCTGCCTGGAAGCTTTTGCACTGGTGTTCGGTGCACTGCTTCACTTCTTCCAGTCTCAGCTCCCACGGCATCTTCAGAGAGGCTTTCTTCGATCACCCTGTTTATATTAGAACCTACACTGATACCCCTCTGGCTTCCTTTTTATTTACAGTAATTTATATTACCCTCTTTCTATTCATCTGTCATTTATCTCATCTATCATCAATGGAGTATTTTTGTTTGTCTCCTCCATGAAAGTACAAGCTCCATGGGTACGGGGTCTTTGGATGGTCTTACTCACAGATGATCTCCAGCACCTCGCCTAGTGTCTGGCATAGAGTTTGTTCAATGTTTGTGTAAGTATTTGTTCAATGAATTAATTAATGGATGCCTGTGCCTTGTGGCCCCATGGCCCCATTTTAGCACTTTCACACATTGGAATTTTCTGTCTGTCTTCTCGCAACTGTAAGTTCCTTTGGAGCAGGGAACACTCCTCTCCTTCCTTTAACACAATTGCTTAGTCCCTTAGTTCAGATTCTGCAAACATGGTCTCAAAATGGAATGGACTGGAAACCACCTGACTGGCTGAATGTCCTGATGAGAGACAAAGAGGGAGCCAGGTCATGGCCATGAAGACAGAGAGGAGGGGCTAGACTCCGGGGTAGACAGAAGCAATTAGTGGCAATTCATATAGGAGGGGAAGGAGCAGGAGGGGCTGTGCTTGACTCTGAGAATTTCAGCCAAAGAGGTTGTGTGGGTGGCGATGATATCAACTGAGATATCAAACCCAAGAGGAGGTGCAGGTTGCTAGGGAATGACTGGGAATAAATAGTCCTAAGTCATTTGCCATATATGACTTCAAATAAGTCACAATCTTTCTGTGCTCTTTTTGCCCACCTCTGAGATACAAATGGTTTTCTCTCTTAGCTGTCTTGTGAGGATGTCATTGAAAGAATTAAATAATGTGTTGTTGAATCAATAAATTATGTCTCAAACTCAAAATGTTGAATGCCTACAATATGCTGAACATTCTGCAAAGACAACTGCTAGAGAAGATGAAGCTGTGCTTTGCACACTCTGTCTCTATTTGAGTATCAGTCCCTGTGTCTTTTCTCTGTGTCTCTCCTTATGAAGAGAAGCTATCACTTTCAGGGTACCATTGAGCATGTTCTCTGCACAGTAAAGCCTCTACGCTTTCTTCGAAGCCCCCATGGGGCTGGCAGGAATTTGGGCTTGGGGAGTGTGACTCAGTAGAGAAAACTGCAGTTGTCTGAAGTGGGCCACTCTGGAGTTGAACTGAAAGGAAAATAGAACTCTTGTCTTCTCAACAGGGGTTTCCCAAGAGGAAATGTGCATGGGTACTTTCTTTCCCAACCACGGTTCTGCAGCAATGGTAAAATTTCCCTTTGGGGATCCTATTGACTGAGTCAATCTTTTTCTTTTCCCGGACGCATTTTTTTTTAGCACAGAATGTATTCAGATTTAGAGGCCAAATAGGCGTAACTGGGGAACTGGCTCAGGTCAAATGCCATTAATCATTTTTACTCAGAGTCCCTTTCACCTAGGTATTCTTTGCCAATGAAGTGCTCCACATCAAATTTCCTTGGGAGAAACTCCATCATAGAAAATGTAGAGGAAAAGCTGTTTGGCTTGGTGCCTCGGTAACCTTAGAAAATTTATTATTCTTCATTCACACTCTAATGTTTGTTTTATTCCCTTTCCCTTGACTCTTTCAAAAACGAAATATAGGTAGAATTGAAATGTAAGAGCATGAAAGAGATGGGAAGCAAATATGAATGTGGCCTCCATAATTATAGTGACTGAGCATCTGATTTGCCTTAGAGCTTCCTGGTCACTAGGCCAAAAAGGGAAAAAGAGCAAATCCACACCTCTCATTATTACAGAGAAGCATTCTGGGTCCTTAGAGGAAATTTAATATTTTCTGGCATAAAATTCTTAGAGAAAAAAAAATCTTGGGAGAAATTTTATATATATGGTGAGAGTTTTATAATGAATTTAGAAATAGAGTTTTATGATGAATTTAGGACTTATGTTTAATTCCTATTTCACTTATAATGATCAAGGATGTCACATAAAAGCTCAGTTCAGCACAACGGTTGTGCCAGATAGGAACCAATAGGAGTTAATTATGTAGCCTTGGGTTTCTCTCACTGGCCTCAGGGATAGAACTTGGATTCCCCAAAACAGCATGCCTCCAGTGGTGATCCACAAACTACCTGCATTCCAGTGACAGGGGAGCTTGTTAAAATGACGAGTTGATGGGTGCAGCAAACCAACATGGCACATGTATACCTATGTAACAAATCTGCACTTTGTGCACATGTACCCTAGAACTTAAAGTATAATTTTAAAAAAATGAAAATCTCAAGGCCCTACCCTGGAACAATATCTTAATTTGCAACCCCTAGGGACAGAGCCTGAGGCAAGCATTGAGTAAAGTGGGGGCAGTGAAGGAAACCCCAGTAGGGGAGTGGGGAAGAGGGCAGAGAAGATGAGTCAGTTGATTTTAGGTATGTTATCAAGCCCCCTATGGCTGGGGCAACTGAAGGTTAATACTCTAGAGGAACTCTGTGCTACAGAACATTTATTACTTCTGAGGGGCAGGGATCTGGGGTATTTACACATCAACTTCCATCACTTCTTATTTGAAGGCGGCTTCTGGAGCATTAATACCCCAGCCTGTAAACTCTGGCAGCCAGGGAAAGGTCTCAGGCAAAGAAATTCAGGACTATTAACCAGGACGTCTGGTGGCATTGACTGTGGTGGGAAAGGAGAGTGGATCAGTTGGCTAGGGCTGCTGTGACAAAGGACCACAAACGGTGGACTACACACAAGTGGATCGTCTCACAATTCTGAAACTAGAAGTCTGAGATCCAGGCGTCGGCAGGGTTGGCTCCCTCTGCGTGCATGAGGGAGAATCTGTTTCAGGTCTCTCCCCTAGCTTCTGATGGGTTGCTGGCAGTGTTTGGTGTCCTTGGCCTCAGCTATGTCACCAGATCTCTGCCTTCATCTTCACATGGCATTCTCCCTGTGTGCATTTATGTCTACATTTTCCCTTTTTATAAGGTGTATAGGCTCTATTATGTTTGCCTTCCCTCTGCCCAATCTATATGTTGAAACTCTAACCTTGGTACCTTAGAATGTGACTATATTTGGAGGTAGGGCCTTTAAAGAGATGATTAAGTTAAAATGAGGTTAGGATGGGCCCTAGTCCAATCTGATGGGTGTCCTTATGTGGAGAGAAAATTTGGACACACGGAAAGACACCAGGGATGTGGGCACACAGAGAGATGGCCACGTGAGGACCCGAAAGAGGTCCACGTGAGAAGGAGGTGCCACTGAAAGAAGCTTCAGAGGAAACTAGGCCTGCTGATGGTAAACTAACCTTGATCTTGGACCATCAGCATCAAGACAGTGAGGAAGCACATTTCTGTTGTTTGAGCTACTCAGTCTGTGCTATTTTGTTATGGGGGCCCAAGCAGAGTAATACGTAAAGGTAACAGTCGTACTGGACTAGGGCCCACCCCTAATATGAACTCATCTTAGCTAATTATATTTGCAGCAACCTCACTTCCAAATAAGCTCACATATTGGAATACCAAAGGATAGAACATCAGCATATGAAGTTTTTGGAAGACACAGTAAAATCCATAACTGTCACCCATGGGTCTGACAGCAAAGACTCTATCAACTGAATCTGAACATTTGAGATGGGCCCTGAGAATCTACATTGATATCAGTTTTTCTAGGTACTTCTGTTATGTATGAAAATTTGAAAATCAATGACCTAGAAGTGGGGCCATTACTTTATCCTACCCAATTACCTATTTTCTCTACTGTAGTTTTGGTAGGAGGGCAGACATTCTGAGGCTTTCCATGGGTCTGGAAGGTCAGTTTTACTGAGAGAGTAAAACTTGGCTGTCAAACACTACCCTGGCATTGTAGTCTATTAATCACATGACCACTATCTTCCATTGGTCTGTGTACTTTTTTCAGGGTAGAGTTGGATTGAATTCATCTTGGCATTGCTTGTTTCTAGTACATTGCAGGTGCTAATGCATATTTGTAGAACAGAATCTGCCAAATAATAGACTGCTATGGAATGCTTTTTAAATGAGTGAAATAGACTAGTGTGTGCCGGCCAATCATTGTCTGTTAAATGAAGGAATAGATATTAAGAATGACACTGAAACTCTGCCTCCCTTTTTTTTCCCCACTAAATGGTATCATTTGGGGGCACAATATCCCCAGAGTTATCATCATTGCCAACTCTAACAGGAGAATCCAGAATTCTGCTAGTGGAATTTATTATACCAGATTTCTCTAGGGAAATAAACTGAGTGGTGACCAAAATTTAATATATTACTAGGCAGTTTTTCTCTGTGTTTACTGGTTAAGCAGGCTTCTGAAAACTGACATCTATACTTAGCACTAAATAGTCCTTGTTAAATTAAGAATGATAAAGAATAAAATGATAAGACTCATGGTCATAGACATTTTAAGTGTTCATAAACTGGCTTTTCTCTTCTTCCTGTTATATGATAGAATTACACACCTCTGATCCACTCAGAGTTAGGTATGGTCAAGTGATTTGTTTGGGCCAATGAAATCCAAGCTCTTTAAGAACCATTGTGGGGGCTGCTCTGCCTATGGTATAGCCATTCTTTATTCCTTTATCTTCTTAATAAACTTACTTTCACTTTGTGGAAAAAATTTTAAAAAAAGAACCAGTGGGAGATTCACTTTACCATGTAGTGTTAATGTTGAAATCACCTGCAGAAATGAAGCCTCCATTAGCCTGGGTCTCTTTGTGATGGCCGTAGATCTCCCCTCACCCTACTTCTATATGTGTAGTAGGAATAAGATATACAATATGAAGATTAAGCCATTGAGACTTTATTTTTATCATACTATTGTAACAAAATCTTTCTTGTTAATTGACAGTGATACAGGATATTTCTTTGTCCCTTTGCCAGTCAGGGACCTCCAGTCAGCAATGCTAGAGGCATGCTACCTGCTGTAGGAGGTGCTCTGTCAAATCATCCTACCCGGGCTGACTCCGGTTTGTGCACTAGTTCCTGAGTTCTTGTCCAGTGTCCAAGAAGAATGAAGATACACTGACAGTCAAAGAGTGGGCAAAGTGGAGAGTTTTATTCAGTGACAAAACAGCTTTCCAGGGAGAGGGAACATGGGGGTGGTCCCTCTAAAAGGCAGGAAAGTACCCCCAATGTGGCTGAGTCTTGGGCTTTTATGGGCTTAGAATAGGGGAGGGGCAGGCCATAGGTAGTAATGGAAAGGCAACATTTGATTGGTTAAAAGGCATTATTCAGAAAGAATCAATCAGGAAAGGGCAGGCAAACACAAACAGAAGTTCTCACTCTGGGTCTGGGTTTCATCCAGGACCAGGAGTCCAGCCTTTCAGCCTTCAGGTTGTTTTTTAGCTTGAAGGTGTATTTCACCAGGGATGTGCCCCATTTGCACAGGCATTTGTCTGCCCCTTGCTGCTATCAGTGTCTAAAGAACCAAAAAGAAAGTATGAGAATGATACTTCACCAAATAGAGAATATCAATAAAGTGATAGAAATTACCAAAAGAAAAAAAAAAAGAACCAAATAGAAATTCTGGAGTTGAGAACAATAATTAAAATGAAAAATTTATGAGAAGTACTAGACTTGAACCAAACAAGGAAAGGATAAGTGAACTTGAAGACAGGTAAACTGAGACTATCCGGTCTGAGAAACAATAAGATAAAAAGGTGAATAGAGCCTTAGAGACCTGAGGGACATCATCAAATGTATTAATGCATGCATAGTAGGAGATCTAGAAGGAGAGGCAGAGAGAGAAAGGGGCACAAAGTGTTTGAAGAAATAATATCCAAAACTTTCCAAATCTGATAAAAATTTAATCTATACATTCAAGAAGCTCATTAAACTTCAAGAACATAAACCCAAAGAGATCCACAACAAACACATGATAACCAAACTATCTAAAGACAAAGACAAGGAGGCCGGATGTGGTGGCTCACACCTGTAATCCCAGCATTTTGGGAGGCTGAGGTGGGTGGATCACTTGAGGCCAGGAGCTCAAGGCCAGCCCGGTCAACATGGTGAAACCCCGTCTCTACTAAAAATACAAAAAAAATATCTGGGCATGGTGGTGCATGCCTGTAGTCCCAGCTACTTGAGAGATTGAGACATGAGAATCACTTGAACCCAGGAAGTGGAGGTTGCGGTGACCTGAGATTATGCCACTGTACTCCAGCCTGGGTGACAGAGCGAGACTCTGTCCTCTGTCTCAAAAAAAAAAAAAAAAAAAAAAAAAAAAAGAAAGACAAAGACAAGGAATCTTGCAAATATCAAGACAGAAGTGACTCATCATGTTCAAGAGATCTTCAAGGAGATTAACAACTCACCTCCTATTGTGGAGGTCAGAAGGCAGTGGAATGACATATCCAAACTGCTGAAAGAAAAATACCTGTCAATCAATAATTCTACATCAAGCAAAACTATATTTCACAAATAAAGGGGGTATTAAGGTATTTCTAGAAAACCAAAACAAAATCTGAGAGAATGTATCACCAGCAGACCTGTCCTACAAAGGAGGGTGGAGGAAATGGGACTGTATTGAAGCAAAGTTTTTCTATACTATTAAAGTTAAATTGGTATTAATGTGATTAGATTGTTTTTAGATGTTAATTGTATTCCTCATGAAAACTACTAAGGAAATAACTTCTAAGATATAGTAAAAGAAACAACAAGTGAATTAAAATGATACACAAGAAAATATCTATTTAACACAAAAAGGCAGTATTAGAGGAATAGAGGAACAAAAAACAGACATAAGATACACAGAACTCCCCTGCCTCAGCAAATGGCAGACATAAATCCTACATTATCAGTAATTAATTAAATGTAAATGGATTAAATTCTCCAATTAAAGGCGGACATTGGCAGACTGGACAAACCCTCTGTGATCCACACGTATGCTTCTATAAGAGACATACTTTAGGATCAAAGACACAAATAGGTTGAAAGTAAAAGGATGGAAAATATATACCATGCATACAATCCTTAAAAGAGTGCTAGAGTGGCTACATTATGAGACAAAATGGACTTTAAGATAAAAATTGTTACTAGAGATAAAGAAAGACATTTTATAATAATAAAAGGGTGAATTCATTGGAAAGATATACTAATTATAAACATATATGCACCTAACAACAGAGCACCAAAAATACATGAAGCAAAAACTGATAGGATCAAAGGGAGAAATAGACAATCTAACAATAATAGTTGGAGGATTTCATAACCCATTCTTAATAATGGATAGAACAACCAGACTTAAGATCCATAAGAAAATGAAAGACCTGAACAAGACTACAACTAGACTCAACAGACATTTATATAGAGCACCACACTCAACAACAGCAACATGCATATTTGTCTGAAGCACACATGGAACTATCTCCAGAACAGACTATATGTTAGGCCATAAAATAAGCCTCAATAAATTTTAAAGGATTAAAATGACAAAAGGATTAAAAGGACAAAAATGAAATCAGTAATAGAAGGAAATTTGGGAAGCTTACACATAAATGGGAATTAAACAAAACACTCCTAAATAACTAATGGGTCAAAGAAGAAATCAGGAGAATTAGAAAATAATTTGAAATGAATGAAAACAAAAACACACGTACCAAAACTTATGGGATGCAACTTAAACAGTGCTTATAAGAAAATTTGTAGCTTTAACTACCTATATTAAAAATGACGATTTCAAATCAATATCCTAACCTTCTAACTTAAGCAACTATAAAAAGAAAAGCAAACTAAACCCAAAGCAAACAGAAGGAAGCAAATAATAAAGACCAGGGCAGAAATTAAGAAAGAACAGAAAAATAATAGAGAAAATAATTGAAACCAAAAATTGGTTATTTGTAAAGGTCACTTAAATTGACAAACTTTAAACTGGCCAAGAATAAAAGAGAAAAGATTAAACTTATTTGAATTAGGGACAGTAAAAGGAAATCACTACTGATTTACAGAAAAAGGTTTATAATGGAATATTATGAATAATTGCATGGCAACAAATTAGATAACCTAAATGAATTGGACAAATACTAATCTCTTTACAGACTTTCCTGAGGCAATTTCAGTAGTTTGTGAATATATGATAAACCAATGAGTTGTAAACTTTAAAAGGGTAAACTTTAGTTGCATGTGAATTACATCTCAATGAAACTGTTATTTTAAAAAAAGTCTGATGATCAATTTTTCCTTCTTGATTTATTGAATGTCACAAAGAGCTAGTGGTAGCTTGAACATTTTATAGGATACATGTAGTTGCCCTTTGGGTATCTGTATTATGGGGCATTTTTATCTGTTTTTTGGTGGCGAGGATAGGCGGAAGGGGAGGATAGGTGAAAGAGAAAATAGGAAAACTTCAGAGGATGCCAATGTCAATTAGTTTTTGTCTATACCTCACATTTGTTTATCATTTGTAAATATCTCTTAGGATCTTCTATTTTTGCTTGTATCATTTCCTATGCCTGTAAAACTTTGTAATTTTATATTTTTTTCTGAAATACATCAAAACTCTGAATACTTTTCAAAATGTTTTATAGTTTTCATCTTAATATATTACTTTATATACCAATTTTCTAAATGCATAGATCACTAAAGGAAGAAATGGCTGCATGAAAGGATTTGGGCTTTTAACCTAAAGATTCACTTCTATATAGTTTACAAAAATAAGCACAAGGCATTATTTCACTGAGGGAGAGTGATCCAGATCATAAATTTCCAATTTCCATTCCTAAGTTAATCATGACATGTTAAAAACACAGATCTTAACTTCCCAATTTTCCACTTCTATGCAGTACAAACTGTTTCCCAGATTTTCTTGTTTCAATGTGAAATATTATTTTCATAAAACTCTGAGGAGTACAATTTCTTTGTAACTCCTTTTCTCTCATCACTGCTGCTGTGTATAATTTATATAGCATCTCTGACATTCTTTGTGCTTTGTGTAGCTGAGATTCCAATGTCAGGTCTTTACCCTGAAGAACTTAGAATTCAGAATCTAAAGCTTCAGGCACTCTGAACAATAAAGCAAGAAATTATGGTGGTGGGTGGAGGTTTCAAGGTCTCTAAATCTGCTCTAAAAAGACTCTCAAATCATCATTGTAATGGGTCCTTTTTGTACTCAATAGCTAGAATTAAAAACAGGACCTTGGGTAACCCCACTTCCTTTTCCCATGGAACTATAATAACTTGTCAGGCTCTATTTTTCTGAAAACTTATCAGAGTGCCAGGTTGTTTAAACCATAACAATGAGTGTCTACTCCTGTGTACCATAATATGTGTTCTATTAACTAGCATGTAAATTTCTTTTTGGAAGAGTCTATGTATTTCATATTTTAAAATTACTTTCCCAGTGTTAAACTCATACTTATGCAAAGTTTTACTAATTCAGTGTGGAGTAACAAAAATCTCCTATCTGAATATGTTTAAACAGCTTCAAAAAAAGGAAATTTATTGACTTAACTGAAAAGTTTTGGGGAGCTCACCTGTAGACATGGCTGGATTTGGGCTCAAATGATGTCACCAGTAATTGTCAGGTCCTGGTTTCTCTCCATCCTTCAGTTCTACTTCCCTTGTTTTATCTCTATGATCACTCAGTTCATGCCTCTCCCTCTGGGTGGCAACCTGGTTCCGATTAATCCAGGCTTCTGGATGACAAGAAAATGAGAAGACAAAACAGTTTCTCTCTGTTTTTTTCTCTCTGTCTCTTCACCTGTCTTCCCAGCAAAAGTCATTGGTTTTAGTTGGATCACTTATGTTGGTCCATCCTGGCAGCTGAAGGATGTAATGTTCTCATCAGCCAGGCCAGGTGTGGGTTTAATATCATCTAAACCAGGGCTCCCCAACCCCCAGGGCCATGGACCAGTACCGGTCCATGGCCTGGTAGGAACTGGGCTGCACAGCAGGAGGTGAGTGGCAGGTGAGCAAGTGAAGCTTCATCTGTATTTACAGCTGCTCCCCATTGCTCACATTACTGCCTGAGCTCCGCCTCCTGTCAGATCAGTGGTGGCATTAGATTCTTATAGGAGTGTGAGCCCTACTGTGAACTGGGCATGCAAGGGATCTAGGTCATGTGCTTCTTATGAAAATCTAATGCCTGATGATCTGTCATTGTCTCCCATCACCCCCAGATGGAACCATGTAGTTGCAGGAAAACAAGTGCAAGGCTTCTACTGATTCTACATTATGGTGAGTTGTATAATTATTTCATTATATATTACAATGTAATAATAATAGAAATAAAGTGCATAAAAAATGTAGTGCACTTAAATCATCCCAAAACCATCCCCACTGCCCTGGTCCGTGGAAAAATTGTCTTCCATGAAACTGGCCCCTGGTGGCAAAAGGGTTGGGGACCACTGATGTAAACTTGTCAAATGAGATTGAAGGAAGGAGTATTTCACTGAACAAAGTTGGGATGTTGTTTCCATGAAAGAGTGAAGGATTCTGGCTAGTCTATCACAATAGGTAGTAGGTAATCATTTATTGATAGATTAATCTGGATCGTTTAAATTTGGGCTATCATTTGGATTTATCAAACCCTCAGCAGAATCTGTTGAGAAGATAAAGCATCACATTCACCTTCATTCAGTCAATATGGACTAAGAATGCCTGAGAAAGCAGGTCTGTTCAGAAGCTTTAGTATTAACGCCTTGTTTTCAAGTCTAAACTAACCGTAAGAAAGTTACCCATGGACACATGCAGCACTCTTGTTTTCTCTTTTTTTTTTTTTTTTTCCTGAGATGGAGTCTTGCTCTGTCACCCAGGCTGGAGTGCAATGGTGTCATCTCAGTTCACTGCACCCTCCTCCTCCAGGGTTCAAGTGATTCTCCTGCCTCAGCCTCCCGAGTAGCTGGGATTACAGGTACACACCACCATGCCCAGCTAATATTTGCATTTTTAGTAGAGATGGAGTTTCACCATGTTGGCCAGGCTGGTCTCTAACTCCTGACCTCACATGATCCACTCACCTCAGCCTTCCAAAGTTCTGGATTACAGGCGTGAGCCACTGCTCCTGGCCTGATAAATGTAAATATTATCCCTTATCAAACTTAGAATTAAAGTTCAGAAAATCCTGTTGCCAGAGATTTTAAGGTTGGGAAATTAAGATCATATATGGCGCCCGGCCTCTTGTTTCTCTTTAATCAATTATCTAGATAAGTGTTACCTCTTTAGCTAGTCTTTTGGGGCAGAATCTGGTTTACTCTTCTTTGTGCAGCAGCCTTCGGGACCTTGTTCATTGTGGTGTCCAACCATGCCATTGAATGAAGATAGAAAGTAGAGGTCTCTAGATTCCCTGCTTTAAATGGGTAGCAAGCAGCACAGTGCAAGGCTGGGGACAGGACATGACATTTCTTCTAATAAGTTCCACCATTTTTGATAGTTTGCTGTAGGGTAAATGAGCTCTCCTTTGCTCTTCCTTCAGGCCAATTGCCTTGGAAAGAAAGACATTTATTTCTGACCTTAAGGCGTCATTACCCGGAGCTGACAGGGCTTGTGGGAACAACCTAGCTTCTCTCCTTTGTGCAGCAATCTCTGAGGTTCCAATTTCCCATTCACTGGTTAAATCCCAACTCTGGGTTAACTGCACCTATTAATTTGTAGACAAAAATAACAGTTAAGTAGCAGGAAGGGAACATGCCCTTAAGGGAATACCCAATGCTGTGCTGGAATCTCACCAGGACCACCTGCATCCATTTGAAAACATTTTTTACCAGCACAGGAAGAATTTTCTGCAAACGTCTGTGTTTGTGAAGCTTGTTTACCTCAGCTGGAAATTGCAGCAGATCGCAATTTGAAGACTGTTTACTTTTTTTCCCCTAAATCATACTCAGTGTAATTATTGGGATCCAGATTTTGCTGTTGTTGTTTGAAAATGGTGAGAAGGAAACTTGGATTGGATTCAGGCTTCTGAGACCTGGATTAAATAGGATAGGTGTGATTCCAAATAATTTTTGGAAGGCGAGAACTCACCTGGAACAGTTCCATGATTTGAGTCCCTCAGGGTGAAGTATTTTCCTCCTGCTTTGGGAGGGCTACTCCTACTCCAAGTACAGTGTCTTGTTAAGAATGATGACCCGGCTGAGGCGGGCAGATCACGAGGTCAGGAGATTGAGACCATCCTGGCGAACACGGTGAAACCCTGTCTCTACTAAAAATACAAAAAATTAGCTGGGCGTGGTGGCGGGAGCCTGTAGTCCCAGCTACTAGGGAGGCTGAGGTAGGAGAATGGCGTGAACCCGGGAGGTGGAGCTTGCAGTGAGCTGAGATTGTGCCACTGCACTCCAGCCTGGGGGACAGAGCGAGACTCCATCTCAAAAAAAAAAAAAAAAAGAATGATGACCCTCAGGTGCCACATGATTCAGAATATCAAAGTTTTTTTTTTATGTTTATATGGCTCCACTTAGTAAGTTACAATGGTCTATAGATATTTCAGGGAGAATTTGTAAAAGGTTTGGTGAAAAATTTCTGTTTTTTGGCCTTTGTCTTGGTCCTGCAACTGAAAAAATATTTCAGTGTCCCAGGATACCATCTTTCCTGAGAATTCCAGGGAATCCTTTTCTTTGTTGAGACAGAGTTTTGCTCTGTCACCCAGGCTGCAGTACAGTGGTGGGATCATGGCTTACTGCAGCCTTGAACTTCTGGACTCAAGCAATCTCCTGCCTCAGCCTCTCAAGTAGCTGGGACTACAGGTGCACATCACCACACTTGGCTACTTTTTTTTTATCTATTTTTTTTTTTTTTTTGTAGAGACAGTGTCTTGTTATTTTGCCCAGACTAGCCTTGAATTCCTTGCCTCAAGCAATCCCTCAACCTAGGCCTCCCGAAGAGTCGGGATTATAGGCATGAGCCACCTCACCTGGCCTCAAAATTTTATAGTACCTGAAAGGAGGGTGGGGGTGGGATGGCTTGCACCTTTGTACCATGATGCCGGAAGTTGCAGTCGGTCTGGAATTAAAGTCACAGAATGCTAGACTTAGGCTGGACCTTGGAGAGCTTCTTCAGTATTCGTGTACTGTAGACATTAAAAATAGTTTTAAAATGTTTTCTTTGCACGTAGTGCTGACATAGAAGGATGGTATGTGGCCCAGATAAAGTCACCTGGTGTACCTATAAGAAGCACAAAAGAAGTTTGCCACAGTTCAAGGACTAAACTTCAAACTTACAATCTTAGTAGCTTCCCTTTTGAGACTACAGAGAAAAGAGTCATTCTTTTTACCCATGTGGATTCATAAGTGTGATAACAAAAGTCTTGCTTACAAAATATTTTATTTACTCCCATGTATTTACCATTGCTCTTGCAATAAGGCAGGGCCATGTGACTAGTTTTTGCTGGCGGACTCTGAATAGAAGTTTTGTGTTTCTCTTCTGGGTTAAGGGATAGAAGAATTGGTGTGAGATTTCTATGTGCTTTCTGCGTGGGTGTGACTGGCTGGGCCCACCATTGCAGATGGTCAAAGAATTTACCAGTACAGTTGTAGGTAAGGAAAAGCAGATTTGTTAGAGAAAATACAAAGATATGTTGCAAGGGTGCATGGCAGAGAAGGGGCTGTTTGCCAAGAGACAGGGGCTGGAGGGAAGTTTTATAGGGTAGTATTGGAGGGGCTATGTGCAGGTAAGTTCGTGCCATTAGGACTATGTGCAGAAAGAGGTATTTGGGAACAGGATGTTGTGCCAGCGGGTTGTCTGTGATTAGCCTCAGAACAATTGTTCTCCCCTACCTGGGGCCCCTTCATTGTCGTTGCTTACTTGTTTTATTAGGACTCCACACACTCTTTTGCTGCTGCCACCAAACATGCTGTGTGTTCCACATAACACATCTACAACATGGTATAATTTCAGTTCTTGAGTGACTGTGTGGATCACAATCTACTAGCAACCCTTGCGGGCATGTAGCATGTCCAGACACTTAGATTTGGGGTTATCACTGTGGTATAACTTAATCTAGTTTGCTAATACACCAAGTGTATGAATGGCTTTAAAGAAATAGAATGTCAACTTAAAAACGTACAATGGTAACATATCTAATTAAGGGCTAGACACTTGAGTCCTTAGGTCAGTGCAATCTTTTCCTTAAAGGAGACCATGCATTAGTTTCCTACAATAAATTGCCATAGAAATTTTGGCTTGGATCAACAGCATTTTTTATCTCATAATTTTGGAGGCCAGAACTCCAAACTGAAGATGTTGGCAGGATCACACTCCTTCCAAAGGCCCTAAGGGAGATCCTTCTTTTTCTCTTCCAGCTTCTGTTGGCTCTGAAATTTCTTGGTTTATCACAGCATAACTCCAACCTCTGCCTCTGTCTTTACATGGCCTTTTTTTTTCTGCGTCTCTCTGTCTCAAATTTTCCACTCCATCCTATTATATTATAAAGATATCAGTCATTGGAGTTAGGGACCATCCTAAATCAAGGATTATCTCACCTCGAGATTTGTAATTTATTTATTTTTATTTTTTATTTTTTGAGACCGAGTCTTGCTGTGTCCCCCAGGCTGGAGTGCAGTGGCATGATCTTGGCTCACTGCAACCTTCGCCTCCCAGGTTCAGGTGATTCTGCTGCCTGAGCCTCCCAAGTTGTTGGGATTACAGGCACCCACCAACATGCCTGGATAATTTTTGTATTTTTAGTAGAGATAAGATTTCACCATGTTGGCCAAGCTGGTCTCAAACTCCTGACCTCAGGTGATCCACCTGTGTTGGCCTCCCAAAGTGATGGGATTATAGGTGTGAGCCATCGTGCCTGGCCTTTATTTACATCTACAAAGACCCTATTTCCAAATAAGGTCATGTCCACAGGTACCAGGTGTTAGAATTTGCAAATATCTCCTTGGGAGATACAACTCAACTCACTACAGATGACATGGGAAAGAAATCACAATAAAAAGACCATTCGGCATGGAATCTGAATTAAGGGAGTTAATTACATGAATTATTCTATTCTTTTTTTTTTTTTTTTTTTTTTTGAGACAGAGTCTTGCTCTGTCATCCAGGCTAGAGTGCAGTGGCGTGATATTGGCTCAATGCAAGCTCCGCCTCCTGGGTTCACACCATTCCCCCCGCCCAGCCTCCAAGTAGCTGGGACTACAGGCGCCCGCCACCACGCCCAGCTAATTTTTTTGTATTTTTAGTAGAGATGGGGTTTCACCGTATTCGCTAGGATGGTCTCGATCTCCTGACCTTGTGATCTGCCCGCCTCAGCCTCCCAAAGTGCTAGGATTACAGGCTTGAGCCACTGCACCTGGCCGAATTATTCTATTTCCTTAAGATAAATTTGCCTATCTCTTTTCTGATTTCTTTTTTATTGGTGTTAAGGTTCTAACTCCAATCTTATTTTCCTTATTTCTAAATTATCTGATAATGTCTCACCAGGAACCCAGGCACCAGTAATACCAAGAATTTGCCTCAATAGTGAGGCAAACTACTTTAACCTTACACCTGCTTCCTTTTGTGCCTAGCCATTTTCTACTGTGTAGATTGAATGGGAACATTTTTTCCTATCCTGAAAAGCTTGCAATTCTTAGAAGAATCTTAATAAGGTGTTAATAAGGTATTAATATATGCGAGAAACACTGTAGAACACCTCCCTTATTTCTTATTTGCATATTATCTGTTGTTACCTGAGAGTTTTAACAATTTGTAAGATAACTTTTTGCCTTTTTCTCTTTATTGCTATGATGATTTCTTCCTTATTTCCTATGGTTTCTTTCTTTCTTTCCTTCTTTCTTTTTTTTATGAGACAGAGTCTTCCTCTGTCACCTAGGCTAGAGTACAGTGGCTTGATCTCAGCTCATTGCAACCTCTGCTCCCTGGGCTAAAGCCATCCTCCCGCCTCAGCCTCCCAAGTAGCTGGGAGGACAGGTATGTACCATCAAACCTGACTAATTTTTGTATTTTTTGTAGAGACAAGGTTTTGCCATGTTTGCCCAGGTTGGTTTCAAACTCCTGAGCTCAAATGATCTGCTTGCCTTGGCCCCCAAAGTGCTGGGATTACAATCTTGAGCCACCACGCCTGGCCCCTACAGTCTTTTTGATATGGTTGCCTCTGATGTATAAACATGCCAATTGTTTTTTCCTACTTCATGCAATGTGAGAGCAAAAGTTAAGAGCAGAAGTGTGGACTAGATAATGGAACTCTTGTCTTGTATTTTATATTCATTATGAGAGTGCTTGCATTTTAACTCCTGGATATTTGTTCGTAGAGTGAAACCACGTGTCCTTTTTCTTAATCTATGAAATTATGATTAATTTCTATATTGGACATATAACTTAGCCAGAAGAAGATAAACTTGTAATGGATTCTATTTGGTTTTGCAGCCCAATAGCCTTTCTCAATTTTCCTCAGAAGCTGGAGAGTGAGGTGGCTCAGGTAGCTGCCTGGTGTCAGCAGTTATGGCCTGATTATGTTGAAGAAAGTGATCACATTGGCTGGGCGCGGTGGCTCATGCCTGTCATCCCAGCACTTTGGGAGGCTGAGGCAGGCGGATCATGAGGTCAGGAGATCGAGACCATCCTGGCTAATGCGGTGAAACCCTGTCTCTACTAAAAAAAAAAAATACAAAAAATTAGCCGGGCGTCGTGGCAGGTGCCTGTAGTCTTAGCTACTCGGGAGGCTGAGGCAGGAGAATAGCGTGAACCCGGGAGGCAGAGCTTGCAGTGAGCCAAGATTGCGCCACTGCACTCCAGCCTGGGTGACAGAGTAAAACTCTGTCTCAAAAAAAAGAAAAAAAAAAAAGAAAGTTATCACCACGGCATTCCCAACATATCCATGTCACAACAGAGGATGAATATAGATATCATGTGAACAAGTGTAAGTTTTCTTAAAGATGACCAACGTTTTGGCTGAAAGTAGAATAGGAGTGATGGAAAAGGCCTAGAGCTACTTAGAACAGTGGATTAATCATTAGTCTGCAAAGTTGGCATTATTCTCCTCCATGATTGCTGTAGCTGCATTCTCACACAGACCAAATGAATGCTTCTTGGCCCAGCTGACAGGAAAGAATGGCCTGTTTCTTATTTGCTCACTCTGGATTGTCGTTATGATTATTATGCAATTCAAATTGGGGCTGCTAAATACATCTGTGGATCATGCCAGTGGACTTCCCACACTCATGACAGAGATTGCTAATTGATCATTGCATTCTTTCCCACTGAGCCTGGACCAGCCTCAGTCTCTTTTTCCCTCACAGCTTCACTTGCCAAGCCATGGTCAATGAGTTAAGGTATATTAAAATTCTAGTGGGTAGACTTTTGTAAGACAATTTATGTGTATAGGTGGGGAGATGGAGGGATGACTCAACCAAATAGGTCTTTACAGAATTCAGTGAAAGCAGGTAAAAGCAGGAGTAGTTATCCTTCATGAGCTCTCAGGGAATGCCAGTTACCACTGCCATGAACACATTGCAGCAACTGGCTATGTGACTTGGATCTGAAATTGAGGAGGAAGACCCTAGATGAGAGGTGGGAACTGTGAAAGAGGTTGGAACTTGTTCTTGTACTACTTCCTAGGGTCAGGATGACAAGAAGGTACCCGAAGGTCACTTTTGAGAGATAGGAAGGGATCCAGGCAATGGTCCTTGCTAGAGGACTTGGGTGCAGTAGCCTGAGGATGAGGAATTTGGGGGGTCATTTTTAGTTGTGATTTACTGATATGCTTAGGATCACAGACCTGTGCTTTGGAAACCAAACTATTTTTACACCATTGCATTTCTGTAATTATTTCCTTTTTCTTTCAGATGTTAATAAAGCACTTTATAAAAATGTCAGGCTGTCTCAGGAAAGAAGTGTTTGTTCATTCTCAGGTCACACTTTTAAAGGGAGAGCAACAGAGCCCTCTTCTGTGGGAGTAGAGCAAAAGTGAGAAAACTTCAAGGAAAAAGAAAAATAAATCCTGTCTTGGATATTGAGAAAGTTTGTTTTTGTAATTTCACCTTGTACTTGCTTTTTGTTTCAGGAATTATCACACCAAACATATATGGGGGAAGATCAGATTTTGTGCGATTCAAGTGTTCTTTTTGGGAGAAGAAAGGAAAGTAACAAAGGCTTGCTTCCTTCCCGGGGGGTAATAGTGGGAAGACAACCGCTAACCAACCAAGTCTCTGAGGCCCAGTGGCCTCTTCTTGGGACCTTATCTTTGTCTGCAGGAAACTTCAATGGTGGAAAGTGGTAGGTAGGGTAAACAATCTTCTCCTATCTGGGTGGAGTCTCAGTCTGAAATACTAGATGGAGATAGAAAACACCTGGAAAACATGCTGCCACCTTGATATTCTGTGTCCTGAGTAGGCACTGCTAATTAGTCCTTGGTACTTTCTCACTGACCTTAGACCAAGCTTCATAATTCTTATCATAGCACTTAGCACAGCCACCATCAACCAATGAGATTTGATATTTGGGGGAAATGTAATTCCATTCCTGAAACAGACTGCTTCTCTCTTAGTTTCCATAAGGACAGCAACCAGATCTTGCCCTGATTTTTGTCTGTCATTGTATTAGTCCATTCTCATGCTGCTGATAAAGACATACCTGAGATGGTGTAATTTATAAAGAAAAAGAAGTTTAATGGACCCATGGTTCCATGTGGATGGGGAGGCCTCACAATCATGGTGTAAGGCGAAAGGCACATCTTACATGGTGGCAGGCAAGAGAGAATGAGAGCCAAGCAAAAGGGGAAACCCCTTATAAAACCATCAGATCTTCTGAGACTTATTCATTACCATGAGAACAGTATGGGGGAAACCACTCCCATGATTCAATTATCTCCCACCAGTCTCCTCCCATAACATGTGGGAATTATGGAAGCAACAATTTAAGATGAGATTTGGGTGGGAACACAGCCAAACCGAATCAGTCATAGAGCATATCTCAGCATTTGCCCTGACATGGCACTCAATTAATCATGAATGGCACTGAACTCAGGGGGGATTCTGAGGATGACTTTCTTGTTGCTTGCTCAAGACAATTGCAACCAGCTCCCAGATGACTGTGAGACTGTCCCCCCGATCCTGAGAATCTAATTTTGGAAAAGGGACTTTACCGTTGCCCATCGTGTCTATACTATACTACTCTGAGGTTCACAGTTACAGAGAAACTATGGAATACTGGGCGCGGTGGCTCACACCTATAATCCCAACACTTTGGGAGGCTGAGGCGAGCCGATCATCTGAGGCCAGCCGATCACCTGAGGCCAGGAGTTCGAGACCAGCCTGGCCAAAATGACAAAACCCTGTCTCTACTAAAAATACAAAAATTAACCGGGCATGATGGTGGGTGCCTCTAATCCCAGCTGCTTGGGAGGCTGAGGCAGGAGAATTGCTTGAACCTGGGAGGCAGAGGTTGCAGTGAGCCAAGATGGCACCACTGCATTCCAGCCTGGGTGACAGAGCAAGACTCTATCTCAAAAACAAAAAGAAAAGAAAAGAAAAGAAATATTATTTGAAACTATTGGCACTTTGTTATTACTAACAGTAACTTCCTACTGCCGAGATAATGGACTTGTCTACTTTTTGTCCCAAGTGCTAAGCTGAAGATGAGTCATATATTATGGTGGTCTGTAAAGATCATTTATGTGTTGGATCACTAAGTCTTTGACCAGCTCTTGAACTTATGATACTGGTAGCCAAATATCTTGTTTCCCCTGAGGGCAAAATGAGAAGAAAATGAATTCACTGCAATGAGAGGTACTTAAGTTAAACTAAGTCAGAATTCCTTGTTAGGGAGAGTGGATGAAAACTGGAAAGGGTTACTGAGTGAAGTTCAGATTTCTATTTTTTGAAACAATTTTTAAGTATATTCTAGCCAGAAGGCCAGAAGAGACTAAACAACCTCTCTAAGTCCCACCAATCCTGGAGACACAATCTTTCTGGGAAAGCAAGAAACCCTGGAGGGCAATGACTGTTCTGAGCAATTACTTACACCATAGGGCATTGTTATCCCATGACCAATGGCTAAATGGCAACAGAGTAAGGACTCTCAGGGGCATCTTGATAAATATAAGTAAAATCTTAAAGGTCAGGGAGTTATATGCATTAAATGTGGTCTCCTGGAGATGGGTGAGTGTACTTACAGCACTGCTAATATTTTATCAAGAATTAAGGACCCATTAGCATTTCTATTTGCAAGAGTAGGTTTGCCTAGATCCTGGTACACAAATGTGGTTCTCCTTGGCTAAAATCATGTGTTTCTGTGTGTGTGCGTGCATGCACATTTATTGGTCTTTTATTTTCCTTTCTCATTCTTAGCCTCAATTTATTAGAATCATTTGTCAAAATATAGCCACTGATCTTTTCTTAATTGACTGTGATTCCTTAAGTGAGAAATCTTATTAAAGGTCAAAGATTGACTGGAAGAAGGAATTGTAATTTTAGTTTATTAATCTCTCATTTGATTTCCTGGTTCCTTGATTGCCTGGATATGTTAGTAATTTTTAAAAAATCATATAGTGGCCAGGTGCAGTAGCTCACGCCTGTAATCCCAGCACTTTGGGAGGCTGAGGCAGGTGGATCACTTGAGGTCAGGAGTTTGAGACCAGCCTGGCCAACATGGTGAAACCCAGTCTCTACTAAGAATACAAAAAAATTTAGCAGAGTGTGGTGGCTCATGCCTGTAGTCCCAGCTACTCAGGAGGCTGAGGCAGGGGAATCACTTGAACCCAGGAATCAGAGGTTGTGGTGAGCCAAGATCGCACCACTGCACTCCAGCCTGGGCGACAGAGTGAGATTCCATCTAAAAAAAAAAAAATCATATATAGGGGAGACTGTCCAGCTGTTCATCAAACCCAGTTCCTCTTCTTTGTTAGCATACAGTTAGACCCTGTTTAGTTGAGCGTGGCTATATTACTGAGTGCTAGCCAACAAAATGTCAGTAGAAGTGGTATACACTAGTGCTATTCAATCTGTGGTTCCCAGATAGTAGGCTCAGCATCACCCAGGAGCTTGTTAGAAATGCAGACTCTTGAGTCCTGGCCCAGGCCTAGAGAACAGACATTTCTGGGGGTTGGGTTGAGGAATCTGCATGCTTGCTTCCCTGGTCATTCTAATGCATGTCACAGTTTGAGAAGCACTGATATATACTGTCTCCAGACCTCCCCCTTAAAGATATTTCCCACATGTGATATTTAAGGTTCTTTCCCCTCTCTTGGCTTGAGGCTGATGGATTGCTACATGGCCACTCGCAGAAGAGTTGCTCATCAATTAGGAACACTATTTTATACTTCACAAGAATGAAAAATAAACATATCTTGTGTAAAGTCACTGAGATTACAGGCCTTTTTTTTTTTTTTTAGAGTAGCTTGTGTTGCTCTATTAAAATGGTGAGTGGGAAAATGACTCATTCAGGAAACTTGAGTGAATTACTTTTAAGGAACACTGTTGTGGGTTGCATTTTAAGCCAGTTACTTAGAATTTACTCATTGTACTTTCTTCTTTTCCCCTCTATTGAGGAAAATTAAAACGTTAAAACATATAATCGTGATGATAGGTTTTTCTATTTCTTCTCTTAGTTCTGTTAAATCTTGAATAACTGATTGATCATATCAGCATGCAGGAGTTCATGCAGCACGTTGGATGTTGGGGAAGGAGAACTACTGGGCTGATCAGTGTCTGAATCCTGGTTTTGTCACTTTCTAGATGTGTGACGTTGGCCAAAGAGCATAGCCTCCCTTAGTCTTGGATTCCCGTTCCTAGAATTCAATGGAGTGAACAAGACAGTTATAGTCCTAGATCCTACACTACTGTCTAGGTGAGAAAGAGGAAAAAAGAACCCACCAATAATTCATTAATGATACATTAATTTTATTGCTGAGAGAAAGGTTGCTGAGAGAGCACACTCATGGAAGGGGATATATATTTTAGGGGAAGTGGTCAAGGATGTCCTCTTTGAAGGGACCTTAAAGGTATGAAGGAGCCAGTTGTGATGATGATGATAGGATTGGTTATTGTGGTGAGGTGGCAGAAAGTAGAAGGGGGTAGAACATCCTTTCTCTTCATAGCTTGCTGAGGTACTTCATTTTGTAAGATCCAGATGTTGATGAAGGGATTCACTGTGGAATGCCGCAAGAGAAGCCTAACTTTCTAGTGTAGCAGTGGGTAACTGAATCTTCCTTGCAAGTGATTTCTGGAAAACAAGGAGTTGTAAGAAGGGAAAACATAGAATGGAAAACTTCCACAAGAAGTGAAGAAAGAAATGGAGAGAAACAAGTCACTTATTTTCAATGTATTAATAAACGAAGTACCTTTGGGAAACAAATCATAATCCCATGTAGAATGTCATTGAACCCCTGTTTTCCTTGAGGCATTTCCCCTTATCTTATTCTTTTCTTTTTCTCTTTACCAGGTATTAAAACCTCCAGCTATGATTATAGATTTGTCTATTTCTTCTTTTAGTTTTGTCAAATTTTGTTCAACGTATTCTGAAGTCTGTCATTAGGTAAATACACATTTAGGGTTATTATATATACATTTTTGAAAGAGTTTTTTTATGATTACTAAAGGTCTCTATTTCTGGTATTTTTTTTGTCTTGAATATTCTTTGTTTTATATTAATAGAGCCACGTTACCTCTCTTGTTCTTTGTGTTTGGATGGCATATTTTTTCTCACACTCTTACTTTTTGCCTATACCTGCCTTTGTATTTGAAGTATGTTTCTTGTCAACAGCATATAATTGAATTTACTTTTGTGTCCAGCTGTACAATTTTTATACTTTACATGGAGTGTTTAATACACTTACATTTAATACAGTCTTTGATACAATTCTATTTATCACATCTATTTTTGGTTCTTCTGTTCTCCTTTCCTGCCATCTTTTGGGTTAAACAGGTATTTTTAAATTTTCCATTTTATCTTCCCTATCGACTTTTTGTAATTTTTTTTTTTTTTTGGTGGTTGCTCTTGATTACAACATGCAGCTTTAATTTATCACAGGCTACCTTCAAATGATAGTATCCCATTTAATGAACAATGTAAAAATCTTACAATGTTATAATTCCATTTATAGCCTCTGAATCTTTTCTTGTCTATCTTGAATCATATATTTGACTTCTATATATTTAAAAAATTCCATGAAACAAAGTTACTGATTTTGGTTTACAAAATTAATAGTTTAAAAAAATGGAAACACACACACACACACACGGTATTTTGTATTTATACACATATTTATAACACTTTTTCTGATATTCATCATTTCTTGCAAATCCACACTTCCATCTTTTATCTTTATCTATAATCCTAAAGAACTTCTTTTAGCATTTCTTTGATGCAAATCTGTTGGATTTTCTTGAACCTCTGGAATATATCTTTAATCATGTTTGGAAAACTTGTAGTCATTATATTTTCAAATATTTCTTCTGCCCTTATCTTTTCCATTTCTTTCTTCTTACATTCTGGGACCCCATTTACTTGTTATTAGACCATTTGAATGTGTCTCACAGATCTCGGGTACTTTTTTCCACTTTTCATCCTTTTTATGTCTTTTTATTTCAACTTGAATAATTTTTATTGAATAATTTCAGACTTATTCATTATTTTTTTCTGTTGTGTATACTTGGCTGTTAAGACCTAAAATAAATTATTTATTTCTGATATTGTAGTTTTCATTTCTAGCATCTCTATTTGTTTTTTTTTTATAGCTTTCATTTTTGGGCTGATATGCCTCATCTGCTCATGGATTTATTAATCTTTTATCAGAGTTATTTTATAATCTTTTTTGTTAATTCTGAGATCTGGGGCATCTGTGGCTATGGTTCCAACTACTATTCTTTTGAGTATGGGTCATATTTCCTTACATCATCATAAGTCTCACAGTTTTTGATTGTCTGCTCATCATGTGTGTAAACAATAGTATATATTGAAGTAAATGATAATTCCCTCCGGAAAAGACCACACCTCCTTCTATCAGGTCAATAGTGCGTGAGACTGAGTTGATTTAATCTTCAGTTGAGCTGTCTGGGCTTGTTGCAGTTTTAGTTAGATCCACTCCATTCTGGTTTCAAATATTTTGAGCATAATATCAAGACTTTCCTTTCCACAGAGCAGGACTCTGGGAATCTTTTCTATGCTTTATAGCTTAGCTTGCTTAGCTACTGCTTTCTGAATTGTGGGGAGCTTCTCTTTGTTTTACGACTTGGCTGCCAACTTTTTGGGTCACTTGGAGTTCTCTTTGCTTTCCAGCACTGCCCTCTGGCTTTATGCATCCGGAAAAATATAAATATCTCTCTACCTTGCTGTTCTGTACCCAACCTTTACCGGACAGTTGCAGTACACATGGGGAAGGCCTGGGACCCTGTCTGAAGCTTTTTCGTTGCATTTCATGGAGGCTTATTGTACCAATGAGAGATTTCTCTCATGTCTCTTGCTCTGCTCTGAGCCTTTGGTGCACTACCTCCATGCACTCAGAGAAGGCCCTTGAGAAAGTTTTGGCATGTGGGTGCAGACTCATTGTATCACTGGGAACTTTAGTATTTTAATCCACAATATTGGCCCATCTATAACCATTAATAGTTCATAGAAAGTTCAGCTAGTCTCCTTATTTTCGTCTTTTGCCAATTCCTCCCCTTCTCATTGTTCCCCCAGGGATGAAGGCAGCTGTGGTGTCTTCTAGGGCTTGGCATTTTATGAAATTTAGTTTATTTAGGTGTTTTTTCATCTTCAGCTCTTAGGTCTTTTTAAACTATGATTTTGTAGCTTATCTGACCTGTTCTTTTTGTTGCATATTGGCAGGATACCCTGTTGGAACTTTCTACTCCATAACAAGAAGCAGCGGACATTCCAATGAGTTTTATGCATAAGTATGACAAAATGTCAATTGCCTGCACATTCCCAAACTTCCCAGTCTGCTGGGTTTACACAGCCCTTTACCATTAGGTTAAATTAGTTGGAATTCCAGTAGCTTAGATGGTGGGAGACCAAGGTTTCCCCGAAATAGCCCAACACAGTCTTGGGAAACTTATCCTTCTTTCTTGTCATTTCTTGTTCTCATTTCATGTTTCTGCTGAAGTCTCTGTTGCTTACATCTCATTTCTTGCAGCTGTTTCTTTTTTTTTCTTCTTGATCCTATCAATGCCACATGGATGTAGGTGGGAGACTTCAATAGAATAGAAAGAATTAAAACTGTGAAGGAATTAGGATAAAGGAAAAGAAAATATCAGATCAAGAAGGGTTCAGCACTCAGCTGGTGTAGGGAGTGACCAAGTGTGGGCTTTATGAAAAATGAATGGGAGACCCCCATGTTCTTTCTCTTTTTAATCATACAAAAGATAGATTTAGATGATCACAGCTATTCCTTTGTACTCTGAGAATTATGATTTTATTTTTGAAATGTTTTAGTAAAAAGCTGCTTGAGCTTTGTTTATGGTCACTCCTTGGAGGCAGTGGTCAAGACAGTAATTGGTGACAAAGATGGTGTGATCCACACTCCCAACAGCTCATCTCCCACTTAATCGTGGGTGAGATAACCCACCTGGGGAGAGGATCTGGTTGAAAAGACAGCACGGCTCATTCCTTCTCTTCCCTTCCTTTTTATATATTGAGTAAGTCTATTCCAAGAGTCTATTCTCCAGGTTTCACCATCCATAATTGCTTCTTTTAACCCAGAAGGCAAAGAGAAAACTTTGCAAGAGAATAACTCCCTTAAAGTAATTCAGAAAACAAAAAACAAAAAACAAAAAACAACGCTCTTTCATCTCAGGGCATAACTGTGCTGCCACTTGATACAAACTCACTGCAGTTATGAAAATATTAAATGTGACTAGAAGATAAGATTAAATCTTGGGTAAATTTCACAAGGGCATCTTCATGAGAAAAAATACAAAGACCAAACCACAACGATGCAGTAAAACAAGACAAAGAAAAAGGAGACAACAAAGATTTTTCAAGGACAGGTTTTGTCTGCATTTCCTTCAATGGACTTTGAGCTGAGAGTAAGAGAAAGAATTGTGTATGTGGCTGGCAGCTTCATCACATTGCATTCCCACCTCTAGACTTCAGTTTATTTACTGTGTGCGTACAGATGTGATTGCTCTAGGAGTTTCTTTTCTAACAGAAGGGACAGCTGCAACACCCAGCTGATGACTCAAAGGCCTCTCAGAGCAGAGAGAGGACATGCACAGTGTTTTCCTTTGTGGTTCTTTGCAGAGTATGCTGCGATTTGCACATTTGCCTCCAGCTACCACTGAAATAACTCATGTCCTCCAGGATACCACAACCCCTCTGTCGAACATTTATCATAGTGTTTGACACTTTGCACTGTAGTATTTGTTTCCCTGCTTTGTCTCTCCTACTAAATCTGCACTTTTTAGAGGAAGGAACTCTGTCTTGTTTGTCTAACATCCCCAGAGCCTAGCATACGACTTTGCAGGCTGCGGGTGCTCAATAAATATTTGCTGGAGGAATGAATGAATAAATGCATGAATGAGAGAAGTAATATATATGACACATGTTGAACATAATCTAGAAATTAAAAATGCAACAATCCCTGCACTGTCAAAAAAAAAAAAAACCCCAAATCAAATGCAAAACAGGATTTTGACTTCTAACACTGATAAAAATTAGGATTTAAAAATTCCTGAAGGTAGTTCACCAATTATATTAGGTAGAAATTTTGTTTGACTGCTAGCATCAGAGAGACAACACAGGAACTTAAATAAATTGGGTGTTAATTTTCTCTTGCAAAATAAAGTCCAAAGTTAGGGAGTCTACACCAGGTAGAGATTTTGTTTCTATGTTTGTTTTTTTCACAAAATTGCTAGGAATACAGACTCTTTCTTTCTGTTCCAATCCATTCTTAGTGTGTTGTTTCTGAGATCTGGCTTGTAGATCTGCATCAAGGCCAAAATTCATCTTGTCAACGTCTAATTCTGCTGCATTTCAGCTAGAAGAGTTGTCAATACCTGGGTGGAACAGAGTTTTCAACCTGGGCCATTGCTCCATGAAATTCCTTCTGGGCCTCAGAAGTTATAGAATCAAGACCAGATCCTCAATAAGACAAAAATCACCCCCACAGGCTCTCAGACTGCTAACTTCCATACTTGTGCTGGCGAGTCTAATCACCCAGCATGCTTGCCTTGAGTCAGGACAAATTCTGTGATGTAATTTATACTCCAGGACACCCCTGATGGTTCAGACTGAGGCTGTGCCTTGACCAGAAATTGCTTCCTTTTTTGGCTTCTCCCCTCATCCTTTAATTCCTTAATTCATTTTCTCCCGGGACAGTTTTTAAATAAATTGCTCACATATGAATCCTTGTGTTAGGGTTTGCTTCTGGTAAACCTGACCAAAGACAATGCCTACTTAGGAAAAGATGAGCAAAGTTCAAGGCCAAGCAAGCATAATCTGCATCCTTAGACAGTCTCTATGCCTGATGAAGGCACATGCATTTGCTGAGGAGAGAAGAGCAAGGCTTGCTTTTGCTAAACTTTGTATGGCCCGTGCTGCGGAGGCCCCTTCCTGGCTGGGGCCCTATGGCCTTTGCCTTTGCTGAGTCCTAGTCCTTTGATGAGACCCAGATACCTTTTCTTTAGACCTTCCATGTGGATCCTGCCATACGGATGTAGGTGCTCTGAGCAATAATGATCCACTCTGGGAAGATGTTATATTTACTATGTCTTGATCTGGCTCTGGCAGTTAAAGCTCTCTGTATATCTGTAACAGGGTTGTATGGATCAAAATAAACATTTAGCAACCACAAAGATCATAACACCCTGTCCTCACATTTCAGGCCCCAAACTAGGGGCTCTTGTACACCAGAAGCTTCAAGAAATCTATAAAGAATTTGTTTCCCTATTTTTACACCTTGTTGATTTTCTGGTGTTCCTTCCATGCATTGGAAGTGCTAACTGTCCCCCTGAATTTGCACATACCTTCGCCACCCAGCAAGCTATAGGCCCTTCCTGCCTGGAGTCCTGTCCCAGTCAGATATGCATAGGGGTACTGCATGCTTTTCAAAATGTTAAATCACAGGGAAGGGGGTGGGGGTGAGGTGTTGGGGTCAGCCTGGCCAATTATCCTTCCAAATTTATGAATCAAATATACAATTCCATTCCCCTTCCCACTGACCTGAATTGAATCAACTTGGGAATAAAGGGGGCCCAGAGTTCTATATTAATAGAGTTCCCTACAACATGGAAGGAAACGTGAGGAGTGGGAAACAAATATTTCTCCTTACATTTTCTAATGTAATTTTATTTTTTAGGTGTCTGTACTCCTCCCTGACCATGTGCTTCAGGAGACGCCAATCCCAGCCCCATTCCTAGACCACAGTGGCGAATCAGTTTGATCTAAGCCAATCATGTTGATGCTATTCTAGTTAGCTGTGATTGGCTGAGGAAGATGTGGGTTGATGAAGATAATCCCCCCACTCTCCACAGCCACTGAGAAGATTAGGTCCTTCTTTGGATTTGAATGTATTTTTCTATTAATATCTATAAATGTTTTCAATCTCCATAACACTATTATACTTTTGTTAGCTCATGTCAAACTTGTATAAAACTAATACCCCTGGATCAATTTTACATGAAGGGTTATTAAACCAGGTTAACTGTCTTCTGTAGCACTGTCTGTGATTTTCTGAACAAAATTCAGGGTTGATAATCTTTCTCCAACTTCAAAATATAGTACAAGAAGTGAAATTTATTTCTGTACACCTGTTTGGTAACTGTTGGAATTTCAGTTCCAGAAAAACAGAATTGTGTGGATTGTGAGTCACTTCTGCTGGGGATAATTAGAAAGAGAGGAAATTGGGAGTTGGGAGTGAAAAGGGGAGATCAAGCAGATGGCAGAGGAAGGATGGAGATTTTCACAGTGAATCCTTGGGGAGACAAAGGAAGATAAAGCACAGTAAACTCATAAGGGTATTCAGGTGACATCTGTGAGGAGGAGTCGAGGAGCCGGGAGTCGAGATATGAGAGAGAGGATTTGATAGACATGTGATCTGGGGAGGGGACAGAAGCATCTTCTGAGTCATGCAATCAAGAAGGCATTGATCATTTGAAAGAGGAACCAGGCAAAGAAGAAAATAAGTAGAATTTACAAGCACCACACCAAAATTTTAAGAAAGGCTCAAAAGTTTCAAGCAAGAATGGTAAATGGCAATTAATATTATAGTATCTGTGTTACTAATTTACACTTATAATGTCTTTATTCTTTTATTTTATGAATGCAAAATATATTTCAAAGGACTTTCATAGATCTGATTTCAGTTTCTCAAATTCTATTTTTTTAAAATGATCTTAATTTCCCAACCTCAAAATCTCTGGCAACAGGATTTTCTGAACTTTAATTCTGAGTTTGATAAGGGATAATATTTACATTTATCAGGCAGGTGCAGTGGCTCACACCTGTAATCCCAGCACTTTGGGAGGCTGAGGTGGGTGGATCATCTGAGGTCAGGAGTTCGAGATCAGCCTGGCCAACAGGGTGAAACCCCATCTCTACTAAAAATACAAAAATTAACCAGTCGTGGTTGTACAGGCGCCTGTAATCCCAGATACTCGGGAGGCTGAGGCAGGAGAATCACTTGAACCCGGAAGGCAGAGGTTGCAGTGAGCCAACATGGCGCCATTGCACTCCAGCCTGGGTGACTGGGTGACAGAGCGAGACTGTGTCTAAAAAAAAAAAAAAAAAAAAAAAAAAAATTTGCATTTATCTCTGCTAAATCTTATTAGAGTTCATAAAAGACAGATTGATTGATTTGGTTACTTGAAATTAACAAACTTCTGCATAGAAAAAAATGCATCATACAGAGTAGAAAATCAAACAATAGATTGGCAGAATGTTAAGAATATCTGCAACACATATGAATGGCAAGGGCTAATATCCCTAATTTTCAAAAAGTTCTTTCACGTTATCAAGGAAAAGACATATGACTTAAGTGAAAATGAGGTAAAGGGCATGAATGGGCCGCTCAGCAAGGATGTAAGCAAGAAAAGCCAGAAAACAGGACACGCTGCTCAGCTTCTCTAGTAATCATGAAAATTCGAATAATAAAAAAAAATGAGACCCTCATACTGGTCAGCAAAGGCAAGAGGTTAAAAAGTTGTGCTATAAATGGAATGTTTGTGTCTAACCCCAAATTTGCATGTTGAGGCCTAAATATTCAACGTGAAAGTATTAGGAGGTGGGGCCTTTGAGGAGTAATAAGTCATGAGGGTGGAGCCCTCACAAATGGAAATGGTGCTCTTATATTAGAGGATGAAGAGACCAGCACTCCCTCCCTCCACCATGTAAGGATATAGCAAGAAGTTGGCCATCAGCAACGGGGAAAAGAGCCCTCAGCAGAATCAGACCACGCTGGCACCCTGATCTCAGACTTCCAGCCTCCAGAACCATGAGAAATAAATTTCTGTTATTTATAAACCATCCGTTCTATGGTACTTTGTAGAGCAGCCTGAAGTAACTAAGACAAGTTGATAAGAACTGGTGAGAATGAGGGGACATGAGACCTTTCATCCATTATCAGTGGGGTTATGAATTGCTATATAATGTTGAAAAAGTATTTAAAAATGGGCCTGGGCATGGTGGCTCACACCTGTAATCCCAGCACTTTGGGAGGCTGAGGTGGGTTCATCGCTTGAGCTCAGGAGTTTGAGACTAGCCTGGGTGACATGGGGAAACCCCATCTCTACAAAAAATACAAAAATTAGCCAGGGATGGTGGCATGTTCCTGTAGTTCCAGCTACTTGGGAGGCTGAGGTGGGATGATGGCTTGAGCCCAGGAGGCAGAGGTTGCATGAGCTGAGATCGTGCCACTGCATTCTAGCATGGGCGACAGAGCAAGACAGTGTCTGAAAAAAAAAATTATATACATATATATATATGTATATAACGTTTTATATATATAATGTTTTATATATAATGTTTATATATATAATATATAAATATATATATTTATATATAGTATATATATATTTTCTTTGACCCAGAAATCTCCCTTCAGGTAATTTATTCCACAAAAATAAAAGTAAACAGTAACTAAAGATATATGTGTACAAAGATGTTTATTGCAGTGGAAAAAAGTTGGAAGCTTCCTGAATGCTCATTTACTAAGGAGTAGATGAGTGAATTATGGGGCATCCATATTACGGAAACTCAGTGAGTTATTAAAAATGATGATGTGTTTCTTGAGTGTATTTTGTGAACAGTTCTTAGAATACTCTTTAGCCAGATACATGCATGGGTCATTTCTTCACTTCCTTCAAGTCTTTCCTTAAATGTTACCCTGTCACAGTGGCCTTTCTTGACCACCTTATCTGAAATCACCACCTGTACCACTCTATCCCCTACCCTTGCTTTATTTTTCTGAATAATACTTACAAATACCTGATGTTACATTACAGATATGTGTTTGCCGGTGGATTGCTGGAGTCTCCTACTAGAACAAAAGCTCCATGAGGGCAGGGACTAGAAGATTTATTCATTGCTATATCCTTAATGGCTAGTGCCTAGCATATAATAGGCTCTTGATAATTTTTTCCTATGGATGAATCTATAATATTGACTTAGAAAAAAAAGTTTTCTTCCTTTCTCTTTCACCCGTGCTGTTCCTGAGAACAGTAGTCAGTAAATTTCCTGCATGCTAGTTTCCATCTCAGTTTGCTGTCTTGAGAACCTGTCCTGAAATAGATTACACACACATACATTGAGAACCTGTCTTCAAAAATATAAAAATGCAATAATGGATTTTTTTCTGCATCTTGTTGGTCTGAAGGATCATCTCAGTTCCAGAACTCCCTGTGGGGTTGGCCGAGACCTTGGTTGAGACTACATTACAAACCAACTTCTCCCTCTGCCTAACACTGGATCCTTCTCTTTCCTTCCACAGTCATTGGCTTCTCTGGGCCAATTTAAACCTTTATTCCACATTTATTCTGTTCATTTTTGTTGGAGTAAATGAGTAGGCAGATGCTTTATTCCAATATCAGCTTTCTGGCCTCTACCTACAAATAACAGTCCCAAGTCACTGTCAACTCCATTTCCTCATTCCAGCTCAGTCTTTGCAAAGGGGCTCTTCCTTTCATGGAATTACGGTCGCATCTATGGAAAAATTGAGCCAAATCCGAGATAGGTTTATAAAGAGATTACATTGATTTTCTACTCTCTGTGATTCTCTCTTCTTTCTCCATGTTGTGGGAGTCCTACATCCAATGTGAAACTGGTGGGGCATAGAGAAAGTGAAATGTAAGGGAGATTTGGGAGTGGGAAAGGGTGCTAAAGGAAGGCCAAGGTCACATGCAGCTTCAGTGGACATGGAGGGGGTCATCATCCATTCTTATCGATGACTGTATTTCATTTCTCCATTAACAAACACTCAAAGTAGATGAGAAATGTATTATCTGCATTCTCCACCACATCTCGCTCAACTCTGTTTCAGCTTGTAGGGCCTGGTGGAATAAAGTGAATAATTGATCTTTAAGGTTTCCTACCTCTATGATATTTTTCCTGTTCATGTTCTATTTTTTTTTGGATTAAAATATCCTAAGAAGCTGAGACACATATTCTGCCAGTAGTTGACTATACATGACCACCCAGCTAAGACAGTAAGTCAGAAAGGTCGAAGGACAGAAAGTTCTTGAATATTCAGTAAGCATTCTTTAGCATGTATGCCTAGTACACAGTCATACTGTTGTCTTGCAAATGACATCAACACTGTATTTACACTTACAAGGAGAACGCTGTTTCAGCATATTGTTAATTAGGACACTACCCGAGGCTAGTGCCGATTAATTTCCTCAAATATGCTTACTGTATAGAGTAATCAAGATTAATTAACACATAATATTGGTCCAAAATGAGAGGATTTGAGGAGAATCTTGCTTTGCTTGTCTCCTGTTAAATAAGCAGCTGAAAATCTTCGAGCCGAGGCAACGTTTTGCACAGTGTCTACTCTTTCATCCTAATAGGTACCATGGTGTTAGGTGATAAAGAGATGATAAATAGACAGCCAGTAATACTCTTTCAATTACCCTTGTAAAGCTGCTACTTACAGCCCTCAAGGGTATTGGATCAAGACACCAGCAGGCTAATGGGCAAGATGCCTATGGAGAGAGCTTGGCACTCAAGAGTTAGAGGAACTTAATTTTGCTGTAATGTCTGGCCACCACTTGGTAGCTGATATTTCTCTCTAAATTTTTACAGTGCTTCCTTCAAGGTGACCCACTGTTATGTTTCCTGGGATCAGTGAAATTATTGTTAGTACTGGTCTGATTTTTATTTTATTTTAAAATATTTCTCAGGCCTCCATGTGGTCATCTTGGACACTGCCTAATTGTAATTGTATGAACTGAACCTGCAGTAGAACTGGCTTTGTGGTCTTCTGCCTTCTCAAGCTTTGTTTTGGTCTGTCCTTTTCTGGATCATACATTCATCTCAGTGTGTCATTCTATAGCCAAATGTTGCATTCTCTGTATGTACTATGCCAGGTGTTTTGTGAAATATTACTATGGATAAGACATATGACAGCCACCAGCAACTCCAAGGGTAAATCTGAGGGGAGCCTTTATTGTACCCATAATTTCCACCACTTTCCCAAAGCTCTGCTAGGCATGGAGCTGTGGGTGGAGACCATCTATGCTGTTAAAATCCAGGTGATGCCTCCTCACCCTTTGAAATTGAAGAGGTAGTGATGAGCTCTGAATTGCCTTTGGGGTCCCTCTTCCCTTGCCTTAAAGAATAGCACGTGTTCTGAGTTGAACAGCATTATAATCTTGTCCTATAAAATGTAAGAAGTCTGACAGTCTTCCTTCATTCTTTTCCATCACTTCAAACTGGCAGTTTTCCTGCTGGGGTGGCTGGTTGAGTTCATGGTTCAAGCCCACACTAATCTCCTTATTAAAGAATTGCTCAGTCACATCCTTAGTGTTCTCTTCCGAACATGTTTTCTCATTTTTTGTGATTTGGATAGGTGGAGCGTTTTCCAAATCTTTACATTCTAGTTCCTTTTTGCTTAACAATTTCATCTTCAAGAGCACTCTTCTCACATTTCACTATAAATGGTCAAGAGGAACCAAGGTGCTCCTTCAACACTTTGCTTAGAAATCTTATCAGCTAAAACCAATTTCCTTGCTCACAAGTTCCACCTTCCACAAAATACTAGAAATGAACACATTTCAGCTAAATTCTTTGCCACCTTATAAACACAAGGATTATCTTCTTTCCATTATCTTATAACCTGTTCCTCATTCCCATCTGAGACCTCATCAGAATGGCCTTTACTGTCCATAGTTTTTTTTTTTTTCTTTTTTTTGACACAGAATCTTGCTCTGTTGCCCAGGCTGGAGTGCAGTGGCATGATCTCAGTTCACTGTAACCTCTGTCTCCTGGGTTCAAGTGATTCTCCTGCCTCAGCCTCCCAAGCAGCTGGAGTACAGGCATGTGCCATCTCACCTGGCTAATTTTTGTATTTTTAGTAGAGGCAGGCTTTCACTATGTTGGTCAGGCTGGTCTTGAACCCCTGACCTGAAGTGATTCCCCCACCTTGGCCTCCCAAACTGCTGGGATTACAGGCATAAGCCACTGCTCCTCCCTACTATCCATATTTCTACCAACATTCTGTTCATGATAACTTGTGAATTCTCTAGGAAGACAGAAGTTTTCTCTATAGTTCTCCTGTTTCCTTTTTGAGTCCTCATTAGAATCACCTTTACAAGTCTCTCCATGATAATCCAGACTTTTCTAGCATGCCTCTCAAAACTCTTTGGGCCTCTACCCCTTACTCAGTTCCAAAACTGCTTCCACCATTTTAGGTATTTGTTATAATAATGTCTACTCTTGGTACTAATTTTTCTTAGTAAGCTTGGACTACTATCACAAAATATCATAAGCTGGGTGGCTTAAACAACAAACATTTATTTCTCACAGTTCTGGAGGCTGGGAAATCCAAGATCATGTCATGGTGAGGGCCTGATTCATGATCCACAGATGGCATTCTTTTCACTTATTCTCACATGATAGAAGAAGAAAGCATGCTATCTCCAGATTCTTATAAAGACACTAATCCCATTCATAAGGGCTTTCCTTATATGACCTCATCTATTCCTAATTATCTCCCAAAGATAGGCTTCAACATAAGAATTCTGGGGGGGATGCAAATCCATAACACCATCCAAAATAAACAAAAGTGGAAGTTAAAAAACAGGAAACCTGCAATGCAAGTAGTTTCAAGCAATTCCAAATAAATAGATAAAATCAAAGTAAAATCAGTGTACCTGCTATAAAAACAAATGCCAAAGTAAGTTTCCAGCCTCTTTCCAATCAGATTATCACGCCCGAATCTTCCCCCAAGTGGAATTCCAGAGCCTCTGTTGGGCCCTGCTCCTTATGGGAATGAGGATCTAGGGGAGGAGGCAGGTAATTCCCAACAACCTCAGTCGAAAGCAGAATGTGGAAAGGACTTTGATTTAGATACGAAATAAATGCTATGAGAGAAGTGAGAGTGGGGAAAGAGTTTTGAGTTTTGTAATAGATAATATCCAAGAGTAGGTGTATCTATTGATCTAAAGTAGAGTTTCCTTCTGGAACAAGAAAAGGGATGTATAATAGAGGACTATATTTTGCTGACTCAATAGGAAAGCAACACAGAAACTCACAGAAATGAGGTTTAACTAAGCCTCAAGGGGTCTGAGCAGCATGTCATCTTAGAACACACAAGGAAAGGCTCAGGGACTGGGTAAAGTTAAACCAGGGGTGAAGAGCTTAAGCCTGAGGTTGCGGCTGTGGACTCATTAGTTGGGAAATAAAGCCTAAAAATTAAGCTGTCTGGGCTTGGTCTGAAGCCCTGGCTTTGACAGTGAGCTAATAGACTCTCCACATGCTGCTGTCAAAAAGGGCCTTGCCTTCAGTGAAAATGGGAGATTATGTCGCTGGGAGGTTATAGAGCTTCTCTTAGGGCAGCAAGTAAATCAATACTGATGATGGCAACTGAATCACATAATTCGGCTGACTTGTAGTCATGTCTCAAATATTATCTTGAGAACCTTCGAGATTTCCCAAGTGGAGCGTGATGTGTGCATGCATGTGCGTGTGTGTGTGTGTGTATGTGCTCATGTGCACAGACACAGACTGTACAAGTGCTGTCTTTTCAGCCTTCCCCTGGTTTCCAGGGCACTTTTTGTGTTTATCACCCCACCATGCCCTTTACTGGACTGTGAGTACCCCAGGAGCAAGAAAAGCAAATTCCTGCTTTTCTTTATAAGACTCATAGTGCCAAGCACTGAGTGTGTACTAGCCAGGCATACAGAGTTACAAATGGCCTTTTAATCTCTTCCCTATTTAGGCATTCAGGTGATAGTGACAAGAAACAGCAAGTATATCTCTAGGATAGATGGATGTAAGTATAGAGAGTTATAGAGGGAGATGGGTATTTAACTCAGCATATATGCTACTTAGTCATCCATGGAAATCCCCTTCAAATTCAGGTAAATCCTTTAGCCCTTCCTTGTTTGGTCATTTATTGAGTCTGGGTTCATTTATAAATAACAGATGCTATTTCACAATAGAAACAACCTTGCGGCAGCATTGCCGTGGTCAGTAAGTGTTATGGACTGAATTGTGTCTCCCCTGAATTTCGTATGTTGAGGTTCCAACTCTCATGGCCTCAGAGTGTGACTGTACTTGGAAATTAGGTTGAAACAAGGCTATTAGGGTAGGCACTAATTCAATATGACTGGTTTTCTTATAAGAAGAGGAGATTAGGACACAAAGAGAGACATCAGGGGCGTGTGTGTCCAGAGAGAAGAAGCCGCGTGAGGACACAGTGAGCAGGTGGCCATCTGCAAGCCAAGGAGAGAGGCTTCAGGAAAAACCAAACCTGTTGACATTTTGATCTTGAACTTCTGGCCCCCAGGACTTTGAGAAAACAAATTTGTATGGTTTAAGGCACCCAGTCTGTGATATTTTGTTATGGTAGCCCTAGCAAACTAACACACTCTACTTTAAATAGATGTTTAGTTTAATATTATCGTAGAGGAAAACAGACATGATTTAGAACAATGTTCTATTATGTTACCAGGTAATATCTCCTATAGATAATTTTGGTTAGTATAAGTGCATAGGAAACCACTTCAAGACTTATTCACTTAAACATTTATTGTTTCTCTCGCCCTCTCTCTTTTGTGTGCATCAACGGGGCTCATTTGGACAGTTCTTTCTTCAGATGTCTACCAAAGTTACAGGCAGATGTCAATGAGAACTGCAGTTATCTCCAGAGCCATCTGAGTTCTATGTCCAAGATAGTGTCTTCATTCCTGTGTCTGGTGCCTGAGCTTTTATGGCTGGAAGAACTGGAGGCTGAACATCTCTTTCCACGTGACCTCTCTATGTAGCTTCTCCATAGTGCTTCCTCATGTCTGGGTGGTCTCAGGTAACTTCTTAACAGGCATCTGGCTTTCCCCAAAATGAGTGTTCCAAAAGACCAAGGTAGAAGCTATGAGGGTTCTTTCAACCTAGCCATGGAAACCCCTTCTGCTGCAATCCGCCGCTCAACAGTGAATCACAGTCTGGTTCAGATGAAAGGGAGGCGATTCCACGGGGCATGAATACTGGGAGGGGTGGTCCATTGGGGGCCATCTTTGATATCAGGTACTGTGTATATCTTGACTGGACCTTTGTAATTAGTTCCTAACCATTTCCTAACCATTTGTGGACATTTACATAATAATACTCATCAGTTCTTCACTTTGTATCTGGATTGGTCTTTTAAATGCATGACAGTGACCACAGAACTCAAAACCTTCCCATCCTTCAGACCCTGCATGATCTAGAGTGGAATTTGCAATCCCATCCTCATGACCCACTACTAGAAGGCAAAATCTGTGTGTTGTACACAATTTTTCCCTAATAAGAGTTTAAAAAGCTGGGTGTGGTGGTGCGCACCTGTAATCTCCACTATTTAGGAGACTAAGGATTGCTTGAGCCCAGGAGTTCAAGGCTGCAGTGAGCTAGGATTATGTCACTTCATTCCAGACTAGGTGACAGAGCAAGACCCCGTCTTTAAAATAATAATAAAGACGTAAGGAACATGAATTTGGGATTTTTATTAGTTTTAGACTTCAAAATGTATTAAGAGATGGTCACAATTTTCTATGATGATGAAGCCATTCTCATTCACTTGTATTCTGACATCCTCATGGGGTAGAGAAGAAAGTGTTGGAGGCCTGGGGAGCACATAAACTGTTCACAGCCAGCTAATTTTCTATGCCCAGCCAGCAGTACATGGCCACCACTGAGGGAGCATCACCAGCTGTGGTGATGAGGTGTCACTGGGGCTCCATTTTGCAAACAGTGCTCAGTGAACCAGTCTTCAGCAACATGTTAATTACATTTCTGCAAATAAATAAAAGCTAATTAAGTAAAAACTTAAAATGGTGGTCTAATTCAAGTAAATATATAATGCATTGTGGTGCCATTGATAATTTGTAACTTTATTGTTAATTTTACTGTTACACATTTTGCTCCTGGATACACATTTAAATGAAGAATACAACTAAGAATGACTGAAGAAAAACTGAATCACACAATCACACAGTACCTACAGTCATTACAGATGAGTGAAAATGCCTGCTTTCCAACCATCCATCAGTTAGATAATCAGAGCAACAGGAAAGGGATATTTGTAATAGACTTATTCCTAGCAAAATGAAAAATCTGAAAATTGTTGCTATTTTAATTGATAAAATCACACATATGTTGATCCTGTGTTAAAGTAGCTTCTTCGAATATGCTTAATAAAATAGTTTTATTTTTATATCTACTTAAATTTTGAGGCAATATTAAGCAGTACAATTTGGTTGTGACATGCTTTTGTACATACCACATCCACAAAGCGAGAAACAAACAAAATTCTGCAGCTCCGTTTGTGTTACGAATTTTTCCGTTTCTATTGTTATATAGCAAACCAGCAAAACTTAGTGGTTTAAAGCAGTAACAGTTTCTTATTTCTTATGGTTTGATGGGTTCGCTGGCGGTTCTCCTGCTGGCCTTGCCTGCTGAGGCTGCTTTTAGCTGGTGGGTCTGCTGGGGGCTGGCTGTTCCAGGATGGTCTCACTTCACTTACATGTTTGGCTTCAGAAGGTCTGGCTGGAAGAGCTGGGATGACTGTGTCTCTGCACATCATCCTCACAGTCTCTCATCCTCGAGGAGACTGGTCTGGTTTTCTCATGTAGTGTCTGGGTTCCAGTGACAGAAACTGCAAGTCCCCTGGAGGGCTGAGCTCCAAGGGTCACAGTGTCACTCCTACTTCATTACAAGGGGACAGACCAAGTACTAAGGCCAGCCCAGCCTCAAGAGGTGGGGACATGGGCTCCTTTTTATGGGAGAAATTGCAAATAACTTGTGGTGATATTTAATCTACCACAGGTAGAAATTTAATTTTCCAGTATTTTGTTTGTATTAGTTTGTTAGGGCTGCCATAACACAAGAAAACAGACGGTGGCTTAAGCGACAGAAATATATGTTATCACAGTTCTGGAGGCTGGAAGTTCAAGATCAAGGTGTTGGCAGGTTGAGTTTCTCTGGAGGGCTCTCCCTTCAGCTTGCAGATGGCCGCCTTCTCTCCATCTCTGTGCATTGTCTTTTCTCTGCGCATGCACATCCCTGGTGTCTCTCTGTGTGTCCAGTTTTCTCTTCTTATGAGGACACCAGTCAGGTTGGATTAGAGCTCACTCCAACAACCTCATTTTAACTTTAATCCCCTGTTTAAAGGCTTTGTCTGCAAACACAGTCATGTTCTGAGGTTTTGGGGGTTAGGACTTCAATATACACATTTTGGGAGTGGAGACACAATTCAGCCCCTAACATTATTTATTTATTCTTTGGTTAAAACCCAGGTATCTCCTGAGAGTGTATGGCACCAGAGAAGGGGCTGACTGAACTGATAAAATGTGCAGGTATATGTTGGTTTTGCTTGTTCTGTGATCTTGTCTCTTCTGATGCAAGCAACTTTCCCTTGGGCATAGCCAGAGTCAGAATGACCCATTCACAGATGGGCACATGACCTTAGGCTTGTGTACTAACTCAGCCCCATGTTTGCATTGGAACTCTTCTTTCTGTGGGGCCTGCTAAATTGGTAGCGTATACATTTGGATTTTCTAGTGAACATTGTCTGGTTACAATGTAGTGAGAAGCAACTGGAGAAGAAAAGCAAAGCAGAAGAAAATAGATATAAAAGTTGGAATAGATAAGCATCTTGATGATGCAATTTTAAGGCTGGGGATACAGCTGTTCCCTTGAAGTTTAGCTCTTCTTGAATCTCCCTAACACAGGAGCCAGTAAATTCCTTTTAATTTTTTTTTGATGTGTGGGGATTGGGAGAAGGGTTGAGTCAGAAAGTTGGGTTTCTGTTGCTTGCAACCTAGAGCTCAACCTGAACTTTGGGTGTGGCCCATTTACAATTTTTGAGTGACCCTAACCTGGAGGATAAATTTCAAGTTCCATTACCTGACATGTAACTTATGCACAATGTATTCCTGACCTATTTTTCTGACTTCTATCAAAATCTGACACCAACTTAGGCCAGGTGCAGTGGCTCAAGCCTGTAATCCCAGCATTTTGGGTGGCTAAGGTGGGTGGATCATTTGAGGCCAGGAGTTAGAGACCAGTGTGTCCAACATGGCAAAACCCTGTCTCTACTAAAAATACAAAAATTAGCCAGGTGTAAAGGCACATGCCTGTAATGCCTGTAATCCCAGCTACTCAGGAGGCTGAGGCACAAGAATTGCTTGAATCCAGGAGGCGGAGGTTGCAGTGATCTGAGATCCTGCCACTGCACTCCAGCCTGGGTGACAGAATGAGACTCTGTCTCAAAAAAAAAAAAAAAAAAAGAAAAAAAGAAATAAAGGAAGTCTCTCTCCTCTCTCTGTCTCTCTGTCTCTCTCTCTCTTCCTTCCAGTTCTGGTTCTCACTGACCCAAACAATTCTGGTTATTATGATAGGCTGTTTTAATTCTTTTATACTGATTTTTTCTGTTAGATCATATTTCAATTTCTCTCCTAGAACTAGTTTTCTAGACAACTGCTCAGGTGACTGAACTCTCCGCAGCCCACCTTCTTTTCCCTTCATGGTTGTTCAGTTCCTCATCTTAACTGGTGTACCATCCAAGTGCTTATCCAAGCCACAGTCCTCAAATCCGCAAGAAGACAGTAAGCAATTGGCAGAAAGGAAAATAGTTGTGTACCCTCTATGGGCCAGACTTTGGATGAGGCATTTGAGTGACATAACCATGAGATTCTGTGGAACAGATCGCCAGTGTGGCTGGCTATCATTGTAGAGGAGTGGCATTGGAGATAAATCTGGAAGGAGGAGGATTTATAGGTGAAAGGAGAGGTTAGCAAAGCAGGAAACATGTTAATCAAGGAGCAACGAGCCAGATAGCAATTAATGGCTGGATTTCTTGTATATTCACAGCATAGGTGTTTTTTTGTGGATGCAAGAGTGGCTCCATCTTGGATGCTAATTTGCCATGTTGACTTATGATTAACTGCAGTCCCATGAATGTCTCCTGATTTCTACTTTATTTGCCATCCCTAGTGTAGGAACATGTACTCACTATAAATTCCACCTTTAGATCAAAGCAATCTTGATGTTATCACACAAATTATAGGTTTTGACCTACATAGCTTTCTGAAGGGTTGCGTTTAACTGTTTCTATAGAGTACGTGTACCTTTCCCTATGGTACATAAGCCCCGGGTCTGGGGAGTATATTGTTGTGGAGCTCTACCTGTCTTATGGCCCCCCAATTCCATTTTCATCTGCAAGTTCCACTCTTTACTGACAAACTGCATTTGTCTGCTTTGTTCTTTGGTTTCTTGGCTCCTTCAGCATTTGTGGGCTACTTTGCATATACGGCCCTTTCATGGAACAATATTAGTCAGGGTTCTCCAAAGGAACAGAACCGATATGATATATATAGACACAGATATAGTAGAGGAAATGTATTATGAGAGTTGGCTCAAGGGATTATGGAGGCCAAGAAGTCCCATCATATGCCATCTGCAGGCTGGAAAACCAGGAAAGCTGGCAGTGTAATTTGGTATGAGTCCAAGGGCAGGGGAAGATGGATGTCCCAGGTCAAGGAGAGAGAAAAATAACTCACCCTTCCTTTAACTTTTTATTCAATCCAGGCCCTCACCAGATTCACCAGATTGGATGATGCCTGCCCACATGGGTGAGGGCAGATCTTTCCTCGGTCTACTGATTTAAATGCCAATCTTTTCCAGAAACCCTCTCACAGGCACACTCAGAAATAATGTTTGACCAGCTATCTGGATATCTCTTCATCTAGTCAAGTTGACACAAGAAATTGGCCATTATAGTAGGTTTTGTCATTAATTCTTGTGTTAGCTAGGGTAAAACTAAGTAGCTGCTACACAGATCTGAAAATACAATGGTTCAAAGAATGAAGAATTTTATTTCTTTCTTATGAGACAGCATTGGTGTGAACAATTCAAGTTGTCAGGGCAGCTACTTTCCGAGTTATTGGTTGGCCATCCTCTAGAGTGTTGCCATTTTCTGCATGGTTGAAGCTGGATTGATGTCCCATCCAGGTTCCAGAGGGGTGAGGGCACGCAGAGGAGGTACATCCCATTCCCTGCAACCCAGACCCACAGGAACAAAATGAGGCTGGGAAATGTAGTCTAGCTAAGCAGCCTGCATTAACCTTCAAGTCCATTCAATTCAACTTAGAAGATTGAGAGAATGAGTTTGGCGGATGAATGATATGGTTTGGCTCTGTATCCCCACCCAAATCTCACCCTGAATTGTAGTAATCCCCATGTGTCGTGGGAGAGACCTGGTGGGAGGTAATTGAATCATGGGGGTGGGTTCTTCCCATGTTGTTCTTATGATAGTGAATGAGTCTCACGATATCTGATGGTTTTATAAAGGGAAGTTCCCCTGCGTAGGTTGTCTTGCCTGCCACCATGTAGGGTGTGCCTTTGCTCTCACTTTGCCTTCTACCATGATTGTGAGACCTCCCTAGCCATGTGGAACTGTGAGTCCAATGAACCTCTTTCTTTTATAAATTACCCTGTCTCAGGTATGTCTTTATTAGCAGCATGAGAGCGAACTAACACAATGGACAACCTGCAGTCTCTGCTGCATTCCCAATGACTTCCTCCACTCCTTTGGGAGTTTATTAGGCATGACAGCGAGGTTGTTGAGGGCAGGGAGGAGTGGGTGGTAGGAAAGAGGAGGGAAAGTCCTGGACCAGCACCCAGAGCCGTGGTATAAGCCTCACACTACATTCCCACCGACCACACTGGACAGAGTGTTGTACTTCTAGGATCAAACAACAGGACATTTTCTAATTTGCAGACATCAATTAAGTTAGCAATTAGATTAGAATGTTTACAACTTAAATTTGCCCTCCCATAATTTTTTTTTTTGTTTGTGTTTGAAATGGAGTCTTGCTCTTTTGCCCAGGCTAGAGTGCAGTGGCACGATCTCGGGTCAGTGCAAGCTCTGCCTCCCGGGTTCACGCCATTCTCCTGCCTCAGCCTCCTGAGTAGCTGGGACTACAGGCACCCGCCACCATGCCCGGCTAATTTTTTGTATTTTTAGTAGAGACGAGGTTTCACCGTGTTAGCCAGGATGGTCTAGATTGTCCTCCCATAATTTTTAATAAAAACCTTGGCCCCCGTTAATGCTTAAACACAGCACAATGTGAAGAGATGAGAAGGTAAGTGACCACATATCCGGAGGATTTTGATGTAAGAATCTTCTTCAGAGGCACACAGCCCTCCTAGGTTGACAGTTTATATTTTTTATTCCAGGGAACTTTGTGTTTCTGGTTGTGATTTGACTTCGCATACGTATCATGAAGTCACATTTTCTGCCACAGAAGTTACTTCCTATTGTGTATGACAGAAGTAAGAACATCATTATTTTGCACAGGTGACAAAACCCTCAGGACACCCTGGTGCTCCTTCACCTGAGAGTGTCTGGAATTGTGGGTTTAGGAGACAGGGATGATCTGCTGTTTCATTTGCTTTTAATCATCCCATCATCTGTCCCTCCTGGCAGGTGATGTGGTGGATGTGCTAGACGAGACTCCCTTACCAAAATGTCTTCTTGGAAATACTGCTAGAATCTGTTCACATGCAGAGGATAGGACACACACACACACACACACACACACACAAATACACAGAGACATTTAATTAATTAATTAATAATAGACATTAAATTAATACATTCTACTTTACAAAGCAATAAATGAAAGCCTAAAAAATGCAAAGTAGATATCACTTGGAAGAGGATTTCAAGCCTGTCTCTTCATTTCCCAGTCATTAAATCATAATTAGATATTGTCTACACTATGGCCTTTTCATATCCATAACAGAATCCCGACTGTGGATGTGGTGGAAGCCTGGGTACCAGATGTTTTGCTCCTTCTTTCTTTCCTGAAGCACAGGCCTGTTTGTGGCAGTTTGAAAGTTTGCACTTAAGAAGCTTAATTTTTTTCCCCCAAAGAGTCTTGCTCTTTGGGGCTGTCATCTTCTTCAGATGCAGCCTGGTGGGAATGAATCCCTGTTAAAATGAGAAAGAGACCATCTCTTATCGTGCCTGCGAGGGTCAGGGAAGGGGCACTCCACTATTCTGCCTTATGAGCTTTTCCCTCAGGGTCCCATCTACCTCATCAAATTCTGCCTCTGACTCGCTGATACCAGCCCCCTGGGAGTTGTTCTCAAAATCCAAAATCAATAAACACGGCTGTCAATCACACCAGGCCTTCTCAGCTCCGAGGTGCTACTTTTCTTGATTGAGGATTTCTGCAGAAGCCCAGAACTCCATTTTCACAGCAGCCTGCTGGGTTCTCAGTGAAGTTTGGTAATTCTCGCGATTAATTGCCTCATTAATAAAGGAGATTCACACAGTATACATGCTTTTATCCAGGTTGTCAGATACTTTTGAAAGGGTTTAATGCCAATAAAACTTTCAACGTTGCCATTAGCTTACTTATGTAAGCATTTAACATGCTCCACTTGGCCTTCGTTGCTTTGGGAAAATAGACAGGTTATCTGCTAATTTCAATATTTCATACACAATAAGAACTTTGATGTAAGTCTAAGGAGGTTGCTGTGTGAGGCTGGGAGCTGTCGAAGAGGCAATAGAAAAATGAAAATGAGTAAAAGCTAGCTCAAATTTGAACATTACCCAGGCAGTAGATAGCCTGAATTTGAGCATGCCATACAGGCTTACTAAGTACTTGGCTCAAGGCTCAAGTTTGAAAGCTTCAGTGCTGAATTTCACTGAGGTCCTTTATTACCCTGTTACATCTTTCCTGCCTTGGGATATTTGCACTGGTTTTTCTTTCTTCATTGATGTTTTCCCTCAGGATCTTGCATGGCTCCCTCTTGAACTTTTTTCAGTTTTCCACTGAAATGTTACCATCTTGGAGAGGTTACTTCATCACTTTAGTAAAAATTACTCTGCCCGTTATCACTGTCTACCTCTTCTTGTTCTTCAATAGCTTACATGATGGTGTGTGTTTATTTGTTTATTGCCGGTGATATGGTTTGGCTCTGACCCCACCTAAATCTCATCTTGAATTGTAGTTCCCATAATCTCCATTTGTCAGGAGAGGGACCTGGTGGGAGGTAATTGAATCATGGGAGTGGTTACCACCACGTTGTTCTCGTGATAGTGAATGAGTTCTCACTGAGATCTGATGGTTTTATAAGGGGCTTTTCTCCCTGCTTTGCTCTGCACTCCTCCTTCCTGCTGCCATGTGAAGAAGGACATGTTTGCTTTACCTTCTGCCATGATTGTAAGTTTCCCAAGGCCTCCCCAGCCATGCAGAACTGTGAGTTAATTAAACCTCTTTTCTTTATAAATTACCCAGTCTTGGGAAGTTCTTTTTTTTTTATTTTTTATTTTATTATTAGTTTTTTAGACAGAGTCTCACTCTGTCACCCAGGCTGGAGTGCAATGGCATGGTCTCAGCCCATTGCAACCTCTGCCTCCTGGGTTCAAGCAGTTCTCCCACCTCAGCCTCCCAAGTAGCTGGGACTACAGGCACCCGCCACCAAGCCCGGCTAATTTTTTGTATTTTTAGTAGAGACGGGGTTTCACCGTGTTAGCCAGGATGGTCTCGATCTCCTGACCTTGTGATCTGTCCACCTTGGCTTCCCAAAGTGCTGGGATTACAAGCGTGAGCCACTGCATTGGACAGTTCTTTATAGCAGCATGAGAACGGACTAACACAGTTGGTCTCCCTGGAGCAGAAGCTCCAAAGCCAAGGCCTGAGTTTGTTTTGCTCATTGCTGTATATCCTTAGAGCTGAGAACAATTCTTGTTATATTGTAACTGCTCAGTAAATATGTGACAATTGAATAAATGAAATTCTAATAACAGCAATGGAAAGAATAATAATAAAAACTTCCCAAATACAAGCTTACGGAAATGAACAACATTCATATTGACAACTCATCATTCCAGATATGATTCTATATCCACTTCTACAAGAAAAAGATACAAAGCTGTTGGTTCTATTGAATATGTAAAGTAAAATGTAAATATAAAATAGTTGTTAAAAATACAACTATTTAAAATTCAAAATTTTAAAAAAAATTTAACTTTATTTTCATTCAAACTGAAGAAATGAAAATGAAGGAAAGGTAAAATTTTAAATGGATTTTCTTTTTTTACAGCAAGAGATATTTTTTCAAAGATACCGCTAAAGAGATTATTAAGAAGAAAACATTAAGAAGTTGACATCAGTATCATTTTTTTTAAAAAACTACATTTGGGATTTGAGTTGCTGCCATAAAAAGTTAATATTTTGACCTATCTGCTCACCCTCTACCTCCCAATTTTTGTTGATTACACCTTGCATAATGCTCGAGGTTTACTTTCTGTTTGGTATATAATTCACACAACTGTCAAGTATTTATATTTAAATAGAGTCACTGCCTACCATCAGTTCTCCCTCCCTCCCTCCCTTCCTTCTTTCCTTCCTTCCTTCCTTCCTTCCTTCCTTCCTTCCTTCCTTCCTTCCCTCCTTCCTTCCTTCTTTTCTTCCTTCCTTCCTTCCCTCCTTTTTCTTCCTTTCTTCCTTTTTCTTTCTTTCTTTCAAAACAGGGTCTCACTCTATCACCCAGCCTGGAGTGCAGTGGTACAATCACGGCTTACTCTATTCTTGACCTCCCAGGCTCGGGTGATCCTCCTGCCTCAGCTTCCCAAATGGCTGGGACTACAGGCATGCAACACCATGCCCAGCTAATTTTTTTGTATTTTTTGTAGAGGCAAGGTTTCGCCATGTTGACCAAGCTGGTCTCAAACTCCTGGGCTCAAGCAATCTGCTCACCTTGGCCTCCCAAAGTGCTGGGATTACAGGTGTGAGCCACTGCATTCAGGCTCCGTCAGTTCTTTCTAATGTGCTCCTCTATTCCTTAGGTTTAAATCTTGATTAGATTTTTATTTGACTGGTTTCTTAGTCTGTTCTGGCTGCTGCACCATAGACTGGGTGGCTTAAACAATGTGTATTTATTTTCCATAGTTCTGGAAGTCCAAGACCAAGGTACTGGCAGATTCAGGGTCTGGTAAGGGGTGGCTTACTGGTTCACAGGTGGTTGTAACCTCATGTAGCAAAAAGGGCAAGGCAGCTCTCTGGGGCTTCTTTTATAAGAACACTAATCCCATTCATGCTCTACCTTCCTGACCTAATCACCTCCCAAAGGCCCAAACCTCCAAATGCCCTCCCACTGGGAATTAGGTTTCAATCTATGAATATTAGGGGTGCACGATCATTCAGTCCATAACAACTGGATTCATTGGCAAGTGGATTTTTCCAGCAGGCCCATAGGGTGGCACTGTAGCACTGCTGTTAAGAGTAGAGTCTCTAGCATCACTACCTAAGGCTAACATCTCAGTTCCCCCGTTTCCTAGCTGTGAGACCTTGGGCAAGTTACTTACTTTCTCTGTATCTTAGTTTCTTTATCTGAAAAAATCAAGATAACAATAGAATCTACTTTATTCTGTTTTATGAAATGAAATCATTCACGCTGTTCAAATAGTGTTTGGCCCACAGTAAGTCTACTTCACCAACTCCCCTTAAAAGAGATCTCATTGCTTGTAGTATAGTCTGCCCAAAATACTTCTCATCCTGCTTAACTGTAAGGACCAAGAGGTCTAAAATTCTTCCCTCCTGAGGCCTCACATTTACACAAATATTGTTGTTTTCTTATCTTGCTCTCTCTTGTGGGTAAGTTCAAAGACTATGATCTCTGACATTCACAGCCATGAAAGTGATAATGGGAGGTGAAGACAGTGTAGCTACAACCAGCCTTAGGAAGCTCAGGAAGCTGGGGGCGGCTGGGCCAGGGGCTGTTGAGCCACTTTGGAATCCTTCTTATGAACCAGCAGCCTGGGAGAAGGTCTGCAGCTAGGAATGCCGCAGCAGCCTGCATCTGATAAGTTTATTTCCATAGTTGGCTGTGATTTGCCCTGGAATGGATATCCCTCCTGCCAAGGTACATGCTGTTTGCTCAGATGTTGGTCACATTTTGATAATCATTTAACCTTTATTTATTCTGCACGCCCTACGGTGTAGATAATCGTCCCTGGCTGCCTCAGGAGCTCCACTGGAGACAGTGCGGAGCTGGAGGACCGCTTCCCGCTGGGAATCTCCTCTAGAGATGGATATGTTCATTTCAATGGAAAGTTCCTCACCAATCTGATTTGTAGACAGAATTGGCATTTTTAATTAACAGCAAATGAGAAAAATGGGACATTTTTTTCTTTAGATTTTCACTTCAGGAGTTCTGATGAAGCCCTCCTTTTTTTTTGTATTGTGATTATTCCTCTCTCTCATGTATTCTTTGACATAAATATGCTTAAGTTCATTTATTTTCATAACAGAATTACGGAGATCAGGAAATGGAGAAGAGTAAAATAGTGCAAAGTCTTTTCAAATTTCATTGATGAACCACTGCATCTATTTATAAATGAAATTTGACATTTTAAATTTAATTTCATTTGTATTATCTTTTATCTGTGAAATATTTTTTAGGCTCTTATATGAAGTTTATGGTGGCTTGATAAAAATAAATTAGAATGCCTTCTCTATTCTTTCATTTTCAGTTTAAATAGTATTTAAATAGTATTAGAATTATGTATTATTTTTACATGATTCCTGAACTTTTTAAAATTAATTCTTTAATTCTGAAGAGAACTTTATATATACATATATACAGTTTTTTTTCCCTAAATACCTAGCTTTTGGAGGTACTTATCAGTTTCCCACAAAAAGTGATTTCCAAAACATGTGCATTGTTCTTAATCAATAAAAATTTTACTTGAACTTTAGACTTTTGCCTGTGAATATTATCTTCTTTAGTGTGCAAATAAAAAACTCAGCCAAGGGAAATATACAGACAGAGAGTGGATTGAAGAGCATTTGGAGAGATCCTTCCATTCCAAAACATCAGAGAGCAGGATGAGTAGACATAATGGCCTTGCCCTTCTGCTTAGCTCTGAGCTGGGCCTTGGCATTATGCCCTCAGCTTACATCGAGAAATTCTCTGAAGAAACGGAGGTTTTGCAGGGGTACTGCTGAAGATACTGTATTCTGTTTTACTCAGTAACCTCTATGTAAAGGCCTGGACACAACTTTTCATTTAGACCTATGCTGTCTGTATGTGACTTCTGAGCAAATGAAATATGGCTAGTGCAAATGAGGAATTGGATTTCATTTAATTTTTAATTAAATCAAATGTAAAAGTGAACACAGCCATGAGAGAACATTTAAGGATGTTAGAACAGTGTGGGTATGTGAATCTACTTTTTCAACAGTCCATTTGTGAAATCCAAATATAGATCAAGTGTTTCTGATAAAAATTTAGTACATCTCCATTGAGATGCACTATGAGTATAAAATATACATCATATTTTGAAGACAGTATGTAAAAAAAGAATAAAAAATCTTAGTAGTCTTATATATTGACTATGTTGAAATGATAATATTTTGGATATATTGGGTTAAATAAAATGTTAAAACCAATGTCATCTTTTTTTAACATTTTTAAATGTGGCTGTTAGAAAATTTAAAATTTCATAGGTGACTCAAATTGTATTTCTATTGAACAGCTCTGGTATAAAGTTCCAGGAAGAAACATCATTTCTTCTAAGAAATTAGTATGCATTTTTTCCTCTTCTCATAGACAACATGAATGTTGTAATCAAATTAATTTATACAAATAGGTAAATCCTTGGCCATCAGAACCTCACAGCTCTATTTTCAGCTCAGCATTATTTCCTCTAAATCATATCACTTTTATATCTTCGCTTAATTTTATCCCCTGATCTTACCTGCCTGACATGTCTATATTTTCCCTTGCCATCATTTAATTTAGTTTCCATTTGTCTAATTTATTGTGTTATATTTGTTCTTGTGGGCAATGGCAAGTCATGTTCCTGAGAACAAGTCTTGCCTCAAGTACTTCTCTGTGAACCTGTTCACATTATCAGCATGGCAAGACATGAACAATGGTTTGATGAAACCCTTTCATTTGAGATGAAAAAGACAGAAGTACAAAGTGACTGGCATTTTGAAAGCCCAAAGCTCCATGCAGTTCAACACAAGTTTCCTATTTCTAAACACCACTCAGGTTTGTGGTCAGTTTTCGAGATCTAGAAATCTTTCCTGAAGTGTTTTCAATAGGAGAACCTGGCATTTCACTAATTGAATGTCGCTGGTTAACTGATAACGTCAGTAGAGCTGAATGTTATCATAAGGGAATGATTTTCTGCTGCTAGATAATGCTGAGGGGAAGTCTAAACATATGAGTGCAACATTAAAGATGTTGATAATATGGCCCCAGAAAGCTACCATGATTGATTGGCTATTATATGGAATTTATTGTACTTCTATCATTTTGTCTGGTGAAACCCAGCTGAATGGTTCACTACAATGATGGTATTTTGGGCTGTGTTAAAAGACGTGATGGTCAATAAACTAAGCTATGCTACTGAAATGACCCTGGACTTTGGGGTCACACAGATGTAGTAGGTTCGAATTCCAATTCTTCTTTTCTACCAGAGTGACTTTTGAGAAATTACATAAAACTTCACATGAATTTAATGACTACCACATCCAATGTCATTTTCCTAGTTGCTAACATATATTGAGTGTTTACTCTTCACCAGACACTTTACTCTTATCTCCTCACACAAGCTTTGAGGAACTGTGGACATCAAAGCTTAGGGAGGTTAAATAACTTGCCTAGGAAAATTATTATTCCTTCTTATTGTTAGAAATAGAACTGAAATTCAAAAATATGTCTGACTCCAAAGCATGTGAGCCTTCCGTCTAACACATTAGTAGCAATTATCCATTAACTTCAGTTCGCTGAAACATTGATTACCAAGAGGGTTCTGAAATTGCGTGGCAGTTCCTCTAAGGAATTTTGCCTGCATTCAGGGAGCAGGCATCCCGTGATCGGTGGGAGCCAACCTGTCTTGTGGCTCAGCTTTCTTCTTTCTGGTGAGGACTGCATTGTATGAGATAAAATTTACTGTTTATTTAGAAAGCAGCACATACATTAGCTAACTGTTGGAAACATAAATTGTCTTAATTACAATGAGGGTCAAAAATTATAATCTATTCAAGCCTTAGTTTATAAAGTAACTAGTATAAGCTCTTCTCTGTAAGTACAACTATAAAAACCAAGAATAAAAGGCTGTGCTGAATTCTTCCCTGTCCAGTGAGTGTTTGATGCTATCATCCATTACAAAGTGTTATAGAGTAAACACCTCTTCAAATGCACATCTTCCATCTTTTAGTAGTAGAGATTTAAAATGACCAAAGTAAAGTAAAACAAACCACGCTAAACCAAAAAATGATTGAAGAAACTGAATTTTGTTTGGCCTTAGATTTTCTTGCCTCACTTTCTCAGGGTTCTTCTATCCAAATGTATAAATCTTTTGTCAAGAGGAAGGACCTTTATTCTAGCTAGTGATTTTGAGAACATAGATTTATTTACTTTTTTATTCAAATAGACATGGTAAAGTTCATCCATTCATTTATACATTCATTCATCAGCAAATATGTGATCACTTTATTTGAATAAATAACCTACAAACTTTATGAGCTGAGCCTGCCTTTAGGCACTGGAGAAAGAGAGATAAAAATGAGTGGGTGTTAGAATTTTTCTGGAAATTAAGTTTTAAGGGAGGAGAGAATAGGTTCCATGCTGAGGTTAGGGGTGGCATGGAGAAGGGGAATGGTGCCTTAGAGAAAGGGCAGATATTTTTATTTTTATTTTTTTGAGACAAAGTTTCACTCTATCCCCCAAGCTGGAGGGCAGTGGCACAATCTTGGCTCACTGCAATCTCCACCTCCTGGGTTCAAGCGATTCTCCTGCCTCAGCCTCCCGAGTAGCTGGGATTACAGGCATACTCCACCACGCCCAGTTAATTTTTTGTAATTTTAGTAGAGACAGGGTTTCACCATGTTGGCCAGGCTGGTCTCGAACTCCTGGGCTCAAATGATCTGCCCACCTCAGCCTCCCAATGTGCTGGGAGAGAAAGGGCAGATATTAGGGAAAAGATAGAGACACCAAAAATCCACTCTTGGATTCGAAATCAAACTGCCTCACATAGGAGACATTCGAATATTCTTTGTTGAATAAACAAATAAATTTTTTTCAGAATTGGTTCCTTTCCAAAAATGCACCTCATAACAAAGCTTATTATTGAACGACTTCCCAATTCCATTGAAAGTATGGTGCCTACATAATGGTGACATTAACACTTCACATTTTTTTCTCATGCGAGGCTTTGAATATCATTGTCAAGGATAAATAAAAAAGTGAGGTTCAGAATATTCTAAAAATGCTCCTTTGTAAAAACTACATGCATAAATATTAGTTTGACTTGCCTGTTGTAAATCTTGGCTTGTTTTAAAAATATGGATTTTGAAATCTGTGTGTAAAGTGTACTTGTCCCAAGTAAGTCTTACTAATACCTCTTTGCTAAGGGGTGCCTCTCATCCAGTCTGGGACAGCAGAATCAAAGTTATTGCTTCCTTCAACATGTTCTGCAAATGCTTACTAACATTCATGTAGGACTGTGGCTTTCACGGTTTTACTTTATAGCCATTTCTTGTTCTCTGTCACATGGTGTTCAGGGAAAAACGTTGGGTTTAAAGTCCTGTCATAAATTACTGGCCCGTTTGTAATCACTATCTTTTTCTAAGTAAAACTCAATGTTTTGTCATTTCGAGAAGACATTTAAGAGTCTAAATATATGCTCTTTCTTACTACAATTGCCACTTTATTGCTTGGGAGAAGTTTATGTAAGATATTTAAAGAAAAACAGCAGATTGATCCCCAAGAGGAAAATAACATTTTTCTGTAAACCATTTTCACTGCAAACCCTGAAGTGTAATTCTTCTGGTGTTGCTTTTACCCTCTAGGTTCCTGAATGAATTTAGACTATATTCAGCATAAGTTGGTTTTTGTCATTTCATGAGATAGTCTCACTCAAACTGAGTTGTATACTCTCTCATCATGGAGAATTTTTTTTTTTATAGATGCTCTTCTGTTACCTGCAATTTTTTTTTTTTATTATTATACTTTAAGTTCTAGGCATTAATTACATCCACAATGTTGTGCAACCATGCTACTGTTTCCTAAGCTTTTTCATCATCCTGCCAGTGCAATCAGAAACTCTATAACCATTAAGCAACAGGTCCCCATTTTCCCCCCTCCCTGGCCCCTGGTAACCACTAATCTTCTTTCTATCTCTATGAATTTGGCTATTCTGGATATGTCGTATAAATAGAATCATACAATATTTGTTCTTTTGTGTCTGGCATATTTCACGTAGCATGTTTTCAAGGTTCATGCATGTTGTATCATCTATGAGAACTTCATTCCTTTTTATAGCTGAGTAATATTCCATTGCATGCAATTAGCACATTTTGTTTACCTGTTCATCTGTTGATAGACACTTTTGTTGTTTTCACCTTTTGGCTGTTATGAATAACGCTGGAATAAACTAGCTTTTCAAATCCTTATTTTCAATGCTTTGGCATATATAACTAGAAGCAGAATTTCTAGGTCACATGGTAATTCTATGTTTAGCTTTTTGAGGAACGGTTGAACGGTTCCTACAGCGCCTTCACCATTTTACTTTCCTTCAACAATGTACTGAGGGGTCCAATTTCTCCATATTCTCTCCAATATTTGTTGCTTTCTGTTTTTTTTTTTTTTAATTATAACCATTCTAGGAGGTGTGAAATGCTATCTCACTGTAGTTTTAATTTGCATTTCTCAAATGTCTGGTGCTGAGCATCTTTTCAAGTGCTTATTGGTCATTTGTATATTTTCTTTCAGAAATGTCCATTCAGGTGCCTTGCCCATTTAAAAAATTGTGTTGCTCGTCTTCTTGTTGAATCGTAGGAGTTCTTTATACATTCTGGAAATCAAACATTTATGAGATCTATGATTTGCAAATATTTTCTTTCTGTGTTTTCTTTTCACTTTCTTGATAATGTCCTTTAATGATATAAGTTTTTTAGTTTTATGAAATCTAATTTATCTTCTTTTTCCTTTTGTCACCCATGCTTTTGTTTTCATATTGAAGAATCCATTGCTAAATCCAAGGTTACGGAGATTTACCCCTATGTTGTCTTCCAAAAGTTTTATAATCTTAGCTTCTCTATTTAGGTCATTAATCCATTTTGAGTTAATTTTTGTATATGGTATAAAATAGAGGTCCAATTTCATTCTTTTGCTTGCGAAAATCTAGTTGTTCCTATTCATCAATCCTTTATTCTCACAAATATCTTTTTTTTGTCTATGTCTTTAAAACTTTAAGAACTCACTTTTACCAACACAGAAAAATGTGACAACATAAACCTTTCATCACCCCACATGTTAAGGGGACTACATTTCTGACATTTATCTATTCTAGAGAGGAGCAGCATCTGCAAATTTCTTTTCCTCAGTAGGAACTGAACAGTGCAACTTCCTTCTCTGAGGGGACTTACATGTGACAGACAGCCTGTTATGGAATATAAACTTTTATGAACAACTTAAAATAGAGGTTCTTCAGTGTTCTTTAGAGTTAGAGAGTCACCTGTATAGTTTTTTCGGGATGTCAGAAATCAGCTTGGCCTAGCTGTTTGGAAGCTACTGATATCATAAGGTTAGTTCAGCATCCAGAAGATAATCAATAAGTGTACACTGATTGGTGGGCTTGAGGAGAGATGCCTCTGGCAGCCTCTCAGTTCCATTCTGAGTTTTTGACAGCTCAGGGACCACGACTGTGTCTGCTCATCTTTCAATACTTTTCTTCGCTCAAGGAAATTTGTGGCCTTTCTTTATTGTTAGAAATTTTTCCTTAATAAAGGGTAATAGTTTCTGTAGGGAAGCTGCAACTAGCTCATTTTATTTCAAGGAAACGTAATAGACATCTATTATAAGTTAAATGTTATGTAAGCATTGGAAATCCCAGGGAGAATAAGAAACAATTCCTACCCCAGGGAAACCTAATGCAGTGAGGGAGATAGATATGTATGCAATTCAGGTATATTAGAACTGTTGAAGACTGAAGCCAGTGCTTTCCAGAAGTGCAAGAGTGGTGATGTGTGGCGACATTTTATAGAGACGGGCTATGTAAGTTTTGAACCCAGAACGCCATGGTTCAGAGACTAGCTCTGCAGCTTATTAACAGTGTGTCATGGAGCTGGTTGATTACAATCCCCGAGCCTTGGCTTCCCATTTGTAAAGTGGGGTAAATCATATCTAACTCAGAGGGTTAGTATGGAAATTAAAAGAGATAAAATAAGTGAATATTCCCGGTTGGCGCATAGTAAATACTCAGGGACTAAGGTTTATAGGGTGTCCCTTACAGTTCTAGTCTCTCTATATGATCATGCCAAACAATCTACAAGGCAGATACTGTCCTCGTTTATAGATAAAATTGACATTTATTAGGTTACTTTGTTTGCTCGAAATCTGTAGCTAGTGAGTAGTGGTAGTGGAATTTGAAGCCAGTCTATTCTCAGAACTTATACTCTTAACCACTATCATATACTGCCTTTCATTGGTGCTAACGAGGTCTTGTGGTCACGTAGTTGAAGGAGTAATTATTTAGAGTTGGGACAATCATAGAAGTCTTCCTGGAGGAATTAGACCTTAAGCTTGCCCTTGAGGTATAATAGAACAACTTTACTCTGTCTCTAAACTCTAGTATAAACATACTGTGTTGTGTGAACACTATATGGATGGAGAACAGTATTTTGATTGTTTTTTTAAATGTCCTGGGGTTAAAACTTATCTGCCAGCTTCCTCCTGATATTTATTAAACCAGACAATGCTAAATTTCTCTAACCATCACCTTTCACTATTCAATACTGTGAATGACAGAGTCTCCCACAAGAGCTGTGGTGCAAAGCACAGGATAAGGCTACATCGAGGTCCTGTCACTCAGGGTTAGTGCTTGCATCACCTTTGGCAGGATGTGAAAACCGTAGGTTAAAAGGGGATAGAAGTTGAATTTGCTTCTTTGGGGCTACCCCTAATTTTTCAATAAATACACTTGATATTGCAGAAATGTCAAAAAAAAACCCCCCAAATTTTGCAATCAAATCAAAATGACAACTTACATTGCCCAAGTGAGAACTCTGCCAAGCTACAAGTCCATCTGTTTACTTGTTGATAATATGCACAGCCCATGATTATGGGAATTAGTTCAATTTGTACCCACTACGATTGTGTGAGCATGTTCTAACGTGATTGACAGCACACAATATATTGAGATCTTTTTATTCCCGGTATTAATATAATATGAACCGTGAGAAGATTAAAGCCTCATTTACATAACCTGAGATAAAAGGAGGTGAAATATTGTAATTATCCTTTCAAGCTAAATTTTCACTGCTATTTAAATTAACCTATGCAAAGAGCAAGTTAACTCCAAAGAGAGCTCTTGCCCCATAAAATCTACTTGTGAAATCAAGAGTGTTTATAAACTGGTCAGTCAGTTAGCCATTTGCTGTTGAGATGCAGACTGCAAGTTGAAAATGATGACAACAAACCAGGGATCGTTGTGCTGCTGTAGGGCATTTTAATTTTTCTCCAATAATGTTCCATCTTTATTTGGGTAAAATGGACAAGATTATTACAGCTGGCCATGCTTTCTTGGTTTCTCAAAGTAGTGAGATAGAATGAGCAATGCTCTGGAATCAGAAAGTGTAGGTTTCTGTCTGAGCTCTGCCACGTGCTAATTCTATAATAGGACCACAGGAGAATCTTTTAACCCCTCTAAGTCTCAGCTTGCTTAATTCAAACTGATGTTTTAGATGTTATCTAGAGACTCTAAAATGCTGCAGTCCTCAAAGAAACCTTATGGGTGCTTACCAGAGAGATATATTGTTAATGTGGTATTTAAAAATCCCACTATATCACGTAATCCTTAAATTATAATATTAATTTTAAAAAACCCCAGAAGCTTCTGAGTTACAAAATCCAGAATGTCTTAATGCTTGTTTTTATTTTAGCATTAGAATAAGTAACAGAAAACAAGGAGGCTGTAGCTTGTCTGATGTTTTGAATTCCATTAACAATTAAATAAAAGGCTGGGTGCGGTGGCTCACGCCTGTAATCCCAGCACTTTGGGAGGCTGAGGTGGGTGGATCACTTGAGGTCAGGAGTTCAAGACCAGCCTGCCCAACATGGTGAAACCTCGTCTCTACTAAAAATACAAAAATTAGCCAGGCCTGGTGCCTCAGGCTTGTAATCCCAGCTACTCAGGAGGCTGAGGCAGGAGAATTGCTTGAACTTGGGAGACAAATGTTGCAGTGTGCTGAGATAGTGCCGCTGCACGCCAGCCTAGGTGACAGTGAGACTCTATCCCTACCACCCCCCAAATTTAAATAAAATATTGAAATAAAAATTTATTTTTTATAATTTTGAAAGTCATGTTAAATCCTCTGGGATTTTAAGGGAAAAGGAGTTCAAAAGGCACTTGTCTTAGTTATGTATTGGTGTGTATCAAATCACCTGAGAAGTTGATGGCTTAAAATACAAATATTGATTTTTTTCACAAATTCTTTGGGTTAGGAATCCGGGCATGGTTTATCTGGGTATTTTTCTTGTTCAACGTCACGTGATTACAGGCACCACATCACCTAGAGCAACAGTCTCATCTGAAGGCTTGACTAGGGGAGGATTCATTTCCAGGCTCACTTATGTAGTTGTTGGAAGGATTTAGTTTCTTGCAGCCTGTTGGAATGAAGGCCTTAGTTAATTTCTGGCTGTTGGTTGGAGGCTTGTCTCAATTCTTTGCTATGTGGACGTCATAGGGCAGGATGAAACATGGCAGCTGACTTCCCCTGGGCAAGTAAGAGAGTGAAAGAGGTTGGGCTGGCACAGTGGCTCATGCCTGTAATCCCAGCACTTTGGGATGCCAAGTTAGGTGGATCGCTTGAGGTCAGGAGTTCGAGTCCAGCCTGAACAACATGGTGAAACCCTGTCTCTACTAAATATAAAAAATTAGCTGGGCCACATGCCTGTAATCCCAGCTACTTGGGAGACTGAGGCAGGAGAATCGCTTGAATCCAAGAGGCAGAGATTGCAGTGAGCCGAGATTGCGCCATTGCACTCCAGCCTGGGCAACAAGAATGAAAGCTCTGCCTGAAAAAAAAAAAAAAAAAAAAAAAAAAAAAAAAAAAAAGATAGTGACTACCAAAGGCACAAGCCACAATCTGTCTAGACCCTGATCCCGGAAGTGACATTCCGTTACTTTTGTTACTGGAAAGGGGTCCCGATCGAGACCCCAAGAGAGGGTTCTTGGTTCTCGCACAAGAAAGAATTCGGGGCGAGCCTACAGTGCAACCCGAAAACAAGCTTATTAAGAATTAAGGGGTGAAAGAAGAGCTACTCCATAGACAGAGCAGGATGTTCCCAAAAGTAAGAGGAGGAACGCCCCCACCCTAAGTATGATGCTTGTTTATAGATAGGATAACAACAGCAACAAAAATCATGGAGAAATGTACTCTATTACAAGGGTTGTGATAAAGGATTAATTTTCTTAATTACTATATTTTGCAAGAATCGATATTATTATCTTTAAAGGAAAATTAGGTATGCTTTTGTTCTCAAGATATCAGGACATTCCTGGGCCTGGATCTGCTTAGTAAACATTATTCACCTGTTCCCTTAGCCATAAACATCTTGAGGCTAGGAATACCTAATCTCCTGGGAATGCAGCTTGGCAAATCCCAGCCTCCTTTTTCCTAGCCTCATTCAAGATAGAGTCACTCTGGTTTGAATCCTCTGACATCTTGACAATATTCTATTAATTAGAATCAAGTCAGTGAGTCCAACTCATCCTCGAGAAAAGGGGACTAGGGGGCAGGTATCTCTGTGGACATCTTAGAGGCTGTCTGCAATAACACTAACTAGTTTTTCACCTTATTTATTTCAGGAAAATAATTATAGGTATTAATATTTATTCAGTGTCTTTTACTAACATGGAAAAAATAATCTTTACATGAGATGCCATTTATTTAAGGATGGCAAATTCTAGTCCTACCTTGAAGTATGTGAAATATTGGTAATTTTATTGACTTTAGGGGATGGTGGATGAATGAATATTAATTATCAAATAATGTTAAGGTTATAAGTAGAGTAACAAAGGGGGCTTACCTTGTAAACTGAGGTAAGTCTTCTAGGTTGGCTATAGGTAGATGGCAATCATAGTTAACAATCTTCTCTTTGTTAAGGAATCACATGAAAACCTGTATCTTTCACCTGGATTGTCACTGTAGCCATGTCTATACTAGGCATGGCAAAGCATGGTGTTATTTCTGGGATAAATAGCTAAGTGGACACAACCACCTCTGTGTTGCCTGTATTTCTGCTTCTTGTTTCTCTTCATCTCTGCCAATCCCTGCTGGCAAGAGAAGATTTGAAACCAGTGACTTGTAGTCACATCCAAGAATTAACTCATTCGGTGAGATTTGTATTATAAGTCTGGCTTTGTGGAATGACAAGCTTTGTCCTCTGGTGAAGGCATTTCAGTAAACAGGTGGGAAAGAGGAAAGATCTCTGCAGAGGGAAAAGGCCTCGGTTCACATATTTAATAGGCAATTGCTCCCCCTTCTAAAGGTAAAGTCACACTTCTATTTCAAACATAAACAAAGTGTCATGAAGCAGTGGTGCTGAGCTGAAGGTCATTACGTTTCTGGGACACAGCAGACATGACCTCTGTTTCCTTTAAGAAAAACATAGTGTGTAGTTCTTATGTATTTTGGAGGACAGGAGGAAGAAACAATATTTAACTGCTGAAGAAGAGCACTAGCCTTTCTTTTATTTAGCTGAATGGAGAATTCTGAGAGGGACAAACATTGTACGAAATAGTGAATAAGGTGGACTTGACAATGGGGCTAGAAAGGTAGGAAACTGACATAAATTATATGCTGTGTATTGCACATATATATATATATATATATATAGATATATAATTTTTTTTTTTTTTTTTTTTTTGAGATGGAGTCTCGCTCTGTTGCCCAGGCTGGAGTGCAGTGGCATGATCTCGGCTCACTGCAAGCTCCACCTCCCGGGTTCATGCCATTCTCCTGCCTCAGCCTCCCGAGTAGCTGGGACTACAGGCGCCCACCAGCACGCCTGGCTAATTTTTTTGTATTTTTTAGTAGAGACGGTTTCACTGTGTTAGCATATATATTTTTTAATTTTTATCCTTGAGAAGCAGATATTATTATTTCCAGTTTTTAAATCAGAAAACTTGGGCTTAGTGAGGTTGGGTGATTTTCCACATCCTTACAATGAAGATAATGGTAGTTCATGTCTTATAGGGCTGTTGTGAGAATTAAATGGGTTAAAAACATAAAAGTGCTTGATAAATGCCACCTTTGTTATCATTATGATAACTGCTATTTCCCAAGGTCACAGCGCCAGAAATTAGCTGGGAAAGAATATGCATTGGGATACCTGACTCAACCTTTCCTGTTTCTCCTCAAACCGGTAATTTGATAGTTAGGGATGGGAGGTTCATTCAGGTGGGTGAGAGAGCAAGAAAGGCAGGAAGAATTGCAAGTTGTGGAGGCAAGAGGGCTGCGAGGAGGTTCATGTGACAAGAGCAGCTGAGGAGCGTGGGAGTTGATGTAGGCAGACACGAATTGCTTGAGGGTTTTAAAGTCAACTGTGATTTATTTGAATTTGATATAATATTGAGTGCCAAGGGAGGATCTTGGGAGGCCACATTATTTGGTCAAAGCAGGGGCGAGTAAAAGGTTTTAGAGGTGACATTCTCAGCTATGATGAATAAGAAAGAGAGGACGAGAAGCTTCTTTCAAGAATAAACCAAATCCTGGAATGGGAGGAAATAGCAAGCAGAAAATAACTCAGATGGGGCTGAATAGATATTGGGCTACTGGCTGCTGCCTTCGTTCCTGGCCATTTTTCCCCCTAGACATAGAGTCCTTGGTGGGTTTTGTAGAAAAAGCGTGGTTGTCACCTGGGGATGGGACATCAGCACTGTGGGAATGAATGATTTTGCAGGGAGCCAGAAATTCACAAGACTTGCCAACACATTTTCCTGGTCTTATATTTGCCAGTAATGAGAACCAAATGAGGCGCAGCTTCCTCCAAAAGGCTGCGTCAATGGCACAGATGAGGGTTCGGAAGCATGGAATTACCCTCAGCGGTTGGATGGTTGAAAGTGTGGTGAAAAACCCTAGGGTTCATGACTTCAGGACTTGTACTGGGGCAGGGATGGATTAATGTAAATTGGAGGCAATGGAAATCACTGCAATGGAGAGGGAGGATGCCTGAAGCCACCGAAAGTCCTGAAGGCCCGTGAAGGGGTCTTTACACCAAGCGACAAGTTTGGGCTTTGTGTTGAGGGAGAGAGTGGTAAATGCTATGCTCCTGTCCTCTTCTCTGATTATGGAACGGGATGAATAGGGGCATGGTCCCCTGTTTGCATGTACTAATTGTGTCCTGTAAAAGCGAACTAAATATGACCTGAGAGGGACTCCATACTTCTATTATCTGAGTCCTTGTGGACAAACTGTAACCTAACTTAATACGTAGATAAGGTTGAAAACTTCAGTTGGGAGTGTGTGCCAGTAACAGTGGCTGGGGCTTGGCCAATCCCAGCAGCCATACATCGACCACTCATACACTGCCGAGTGTTCAAACTGTGTTCAAATAAGGCAAATGCTGAGCTGTAACCAATCTAGTAGTTTCTGTACCTCACTTCTGATTTCTGTATGTCACTTCCCTTTTTTTTTTGCCCATCATTCTTCTTCCACTATGTGGCTGTGCTGGAGCCTCTGTGAATCTGCTGTGATTCCGGGGGCTGCCCCATTCGCGAATCGTTCATTGTTCAATTAAACTCCTTTAAATTTAATTTGGCTGAAGTTTTTCTTTTAACAGTCCTTTCCAAGGGGACGCCACCTTCTTTCAGCAGGTCAACAATTTTCAAGATGCTAGGCCATGGGGAAATGTATGAGGTTTGCCTGTGCCTTCCTGAGAGTCTACTAGACTGAGTTGGTGATCTTCCTCTTTCACTGCTATGGTCTGAGTGTTTATGTTCCCCTAAAATTCGTATGTTGAAGCCCTAATGCGCAATGTGAAGGTTTTAGGAGGTGGGGTGTTTGGGAGGTAATTAGGTTATGAGAGCAGAGCTCTTATGAATGAGATTAGTGCCTTAGAGCAGAGACCCCAGAGAGCTGTTTCGAGAGACAGTGCTATCTACGAGGAATGGGCTTTCCACACATGGAATCTGCCAGTGCCTGGAGGTTGGACTTTCTAGACTCCAGGACGATGAGAAAGAAATGTTTGTTGCATACCCAGTTTACAGTACTTTTCATTGTAGCAGCACAAATAGATCAAGATACCCACCCTCAGATCCTGGCAAATTCTGAGCTGATCCTGAACTGGGTAGAAAATGTGTCAGCAACCTCAGCTCCCCTGCATGAGGGGGTCTGGAAGAAGCCTTGCTGCTATGGATACAGAGTCACAAGCAACAAGAATGAGCCCTGCCTCAATCCCTCTGAGGGACCGTGGTTGCTTATCTCTCTTGCTGTATGTCCTGTGAATTGATGGATTACCAGGAACCTGCTGGAACCCTCAGTGTTATTTTCAGTGGAAGCATTTGCTTTTGTTACTTGATGCTCTGTTAGATCCCTTCAGATATTGTAAACTGCTGGGACAATCTTATTTCATGTAATTTTCTAAGTTCTTGACACTCCAAAATAGGCTTTCTTGTCAATTCAAGGGTTTAGGTTTGCAGAAGTTTCCATATTCCGAAGGTACCAGAGCCCACTGGCATCATGGGGAGAATGACAAGGAATGGGAATAGTTATCCCAGGCTTCCTAACCTCGTTTATATCATGATACTGTTTGCACTGTCCAGATATGCTGGAAAAAATAAACGAATTTACCTAGAGGTTCTGGTCTCCTGGCCCCATCCTTGAGAACTAAAGGGATTAACGTCATGCTACATTTCATACTGGTTAGGAAGTTGTGAACTACCTTATCATGGGTAATATTTGACTTATTTGAAGACTGTGGCCCAAGGCACCTAACAATTTTCCCATTGAATGTTTACAGGTTTGGGCTGTGGTGGCCTCTCCCTTTTTTAGTCACTACTGCCTGCTTTTTCTGAATGCATCTTGCTTAGTTCATTCTTCTTTCTTTTGCTTCTTTAATTCCCAGTTCTCAACTCCTCTCCACCTGTCCACCACATCCTAGTCCATTTCCACTAGCTTCCATTAGGAGTGCATTCTCTCAGTCTCTCTTCCAGCCCACTCTGCTCACGTGGGAGCTCTTGGAGGGCTGCATGGGAGGGTGGTGTGGCCCAGTGGAAGCAGCCAAAGATTTTGAGTCACACTACCTGAAACTTAAATCTCAGGTCTGCCGCTTATTAGCTTGGTGAACTTGGGCAAATTACCTGTGCAATGGAAAAATAACAGTTCTAAAAGAGATCATGTAGTTAAAATGGTAGAGACCACTTAGCAAATATCAGTTATTATTAATTACCCATCTTCCTGTCAGTGGTTAACACTGTCTTGGACTACAGCTGTTATTCAGACTCTGATAGAGGTTGAAATCCTGCCTTTGCCCTCTGTCCCCCACAAAAAGATCTTGGGCGATTGAATTGCCGTTCCCAAGTCCATGCGTTAAAGTTCATGATACTGACTTACATAAGAGATCTGAAGTGTTTTTAAACTTCTCTAATTCTAAGTACCACAGTGAGTTGGTGCCAGTCACAGTAGAATAGAAGCTGTAAACCAGGAGGGCAGCAAAGGATCGGCCAAATGACACCAGCAAGATCCTAGAGGAGGGAGGAGCCAGAAAAATGTCTAGCAATTTGGTGTGAGAACTGTGATAGCTGAGACCATAGTTTTGGCTGCAAAGCATGTTGGGACCACAATGGCTGACAACCTGGAAAGGAGAAATTGGGACCAAGAGGGTTTGGGGTAACAGAAAAATGTGCTAGGATCTATGCAGTGTGGAAAGGCCAATCTCAATTTTCTCATCCAGCACGTGCTTGGTAGTTAGTGTGGTCCCGAATGGCTGTGCTGGTGATGGGTGTGGAAGCAAGGTGACGAGTCAGAAACATCTTTGAGTGCTGCTCTTGTGCGTATCCCACTGGATCCTTGCAGAAATATTGTTAATGTACGTATTTTCCAGATGAAGACACTGAGGGTTAGGGAGCTTAAATAACTTTGTTTAAGGTCAAATGTCTTGTGAGTGGAAGAAGGAGTAGTTCCTCATGTCAGTCTGTCTTTAAACTCCAGTTCTTTAATTTTTTATTCTTTTGAGACAGGGCCTTGCTCGTTGCTAAAGTCCAATTCTCTATCGCTATATCATGCTATGTCTCTGGAAGCAGCTGAGCCATCAGAAATAAGTGAAATTACATTCAATGAACTCTGCTTGATAATGTAGGCAAGCAGGCAATATCCTTTAGGAAAACAAAAAGCTAACAATCAAGCCTTAGGTATCTGAATAAACCACTTAGGTGGAGTAAACAGATAGAAGAAAGGAAACATTGAAATGCTTTATCATATCAGGACTTTTAGTTTTGTAGGGCAGGCAGAGACATCAGCTTTTTGCTTCTCTCTTGGTAGACATCCATTCCCTTGTTCCTGTTTCGGTGCAGAGCCTCCAGTTCATGGTTTGGATCCAAAACTTACTGTGTTTCCACAGTTTGTGGACTTTAAGGTCATGATGCTTTTTCTTAAAACAATATCAAGGATATCAAAATTTTTGTAAATGATGGTTTATAGATCCAGATCTGTGATTTCTGCAGGACAATGAGAATGCCTTTGAAATTGATCTGTGAAGGATTAAAAAACTGTGTCTAAGTTTATGGAGACTTATTCTGATTTTTCTATCTGATATCATTGGTTGGTCACTTCTGTTCTCTCAACCCAATTTTTCCCTTAAGTTGTATACTTTTTTCTGGCATAACATCAATTTCTTCAGATTGCATTTTTGATTTGTCCATGGAATGAATGCCTGTGCTCCTAAGTAATACTTCAGAATATGATTCTTTTTTTGGTATAAAATGCTTTGTTTCTGAAACCATTCTGAGACTCTATAATGTGCTCGTTCCATTTGTCTATGGACACTAAGATAATTTTCTGAAAACACAGAATGGTAAGAATGGTTACAAACCCCTACAATTTAGCTTTAAAGCTGGCATCAAAATCCAAATTCTGCTCAGATGTATTTTAAAGAGTATTTATATTGACTGTTAAAATAACAAAGCATATTATTTTAAAAACAGCCACTTTACTTTTGAATGCTGTATTTGAGCCTTTGTCTCCTTCCTTCCCTTCCTTCCTTCCCTTCCTCCCTCCCTCCCTCCCTCCCTCCCTCCCTCCTTCCCTCCTTCCTTCCTTCCTTCCTTCCTTCCTTCCCTGCTTCCTTCCTTCCTTCCCTGCTTCCTTTCTTCTTCTTTCCTTCTTTCAATTCTCCTTCCACAAACAGTCATTAAATACCTACCCTCTGTCAAACCTGTTCTAGGCTCTGGTATGTTTGAAGAAAAACAAGGAAGCCACCATATCTGGAGCAGAGTGGGTGAAGGGGAGATGGTAGATGAAACCAGAGAGATGGAGAAATGAGAGATAACAACATCCTACAGGCCATTGCAAAATGTCAGCTTTTGCTCTGATAAAATGGAAGCTATCAGAGAGTTTGAGCAGAGGAATGACATCATCCCACTTACAGGATCGCTCTGTTAGTGTACTGAGAATAGACTGTAGAGAGAACAGAAGTAGAAACAGAAAGATAATTAGGAAACGTTTGTAATAGTCTCAGCAAAAAATAATGGACCTTGGACCAGGGTGGAGTTGGTGAGAAGTGGTCAGATTCTGGATGTATCTGGAAGACAGAATCAATAGAATTTGCAAGTAGAGTGGCAGTGAGGTATGAGGAGTCAGGGATAATTTCTAGGAGTTTGGTCTGAGTAACCACAAAAAAGGAAATAGTTATTATGATGTGAGGTAGGAATACTAAAAGTTCAGTTTTAGACATGTTGGGTTAGAGATGCTATATGGCAGATGCACCTGGCAGTAATAACTTAAGCATTACCCAAGAACTACCTTGTATGGCAGACCCACCAAAATGTGTGTGCCAAACTCTGAGCTAAGGAATCCCAAAGTGTTCAACCTAGAGATTCATTCTTTATCTATGATGAACATCTGAGCTCCAATACCATCCTGTACATGGGATGGAGGTCCTTTGTTTTGGGTTAACTAACGGTTTTCAGGTGGAGGTTGTTAGGAAGAGGGTGCTAAGTGAAAAATGCTACATAAACTGCATGTTATCTGTAGGCTGTGTTGGTTCTCCTGGCCAGGAAGCCACCACTGGACTGCTCTGTATGTAAGTTCCCTTCAGTAAACACTATGTTATATTTTCCAGCTCCGAGTAGCTTCTTCAAGGCTTTGAACCTGGTGTCATGACTGTTGTAGCTAACAGGTGTCTGGCAAACAGATGCCTGTTAAGTGTCCAGGTGGAGATGTTATCTATGCAGTTGTATTTGTAACTTTAATTGATGGGTGAGTTTGGATTAAAGCTAATAATTTGGAAGCCTTCTGTGTATAGTTGGTATTTAAAGCTAGGAGACTAGATAAGATTTCTAAAGAAGTGACTGATGAGTGGGAAGGAAAGAAAGTTCAAGGACTGTGTGGACGCACTTATGTTTGCAGGTTAGGGAGATGAAGAGAAACCAGGCAAGAAGACTGAGAATTGGCTGAATGAAGAAGAGAGTGTTTCAAGAAGAAGAGAGCAATAAAGTATGCCACATGCTGCTATTAAGTCCATTGAGATAAGTACTGAGAACTGTTATTGGACAATTAATATAGGGAGTGGATGGAGATGGCAAGAACAGACAATTGTATTGAGGTGTGTTGCAGGGAAGAGGTTCAGAAAAGTAGGCTAGTTGCTGGAAGAAGATAATAATTCAAGATAAATTGATATTTAACTAATTATCTCATAATGAACTGTAGTGGAAGGTGGAAATACAAGTGACCCAGAACATCTCAACTCCCTTTCATATTTTCTGAGAAGACTGAATATCCTATACACATTCTGTATTAACCATCTGAGAGTCACTGATTATAAACTTTGGGTTTTCAGGTCTAGGAACTTTTGTGACAAAAGAATCTAAGAGAACATTTCTATGCTTAATTAGATTACTTAGAGCTCAATCTAATTAGGACTCTGATAAGAAGTATTACATACATTTCAGCTATTTCTACTGACATATTTTCATTAAATTATAAATTTACTTGCTTAAAATATTTATTGAACACCTACTATGTATGTGTGAGTCAGTTGCTATGAACTGAAAGGTGGGTGAGGTGTTATCCTGAAAGGGTAAACATGTAAACAAGTAATGACAGCACAAATCAATTTAGGCTATACTGGAAATACATTCAAAGTGCTGTAGTTGACACAGACCAATGGAACAGAATAGAGATCTCGGAAACAAGACCACACATGTACAACCATTTGATCTTTGACAAACCTGACAAAAACAAGCAATGAAGAAAGGATTCCCTGTTTAATAAATGGTGCTGGGAAAACTGGCTAGCCATCTGCAGAAAACAGAAACTGGGCCCCTTCCTCATACCTTATACAAAAATTAACTCAAGATAGATTAAAGACTTAAAGCAAAACCCAAAACTATAAAAACCTTAGAAGAAAATCTAGACAATACCATTCAGGACATAGGCATGGACAAAGATATCATGAGGATAATATCAAAAGCAATTACAACAAAGGCAAAAATGGACAAATGGGATCTAATTAAACTTAAGAGCTTCTGCACAGCAAAAGAAACTATCATCAGAGTGAACAGACAACCTACAGAATGGGAGAAAATTTTTGCAATCTATCCATCTGACAAAGGTTTAACATCCAGAATTTACAAGGAACTTAAACAAATTTACAAGAAAACAACCCCATTAAAAAGGGGGCAAAGAATATGAACAGACACTTCTCAAAAAAAAAAAAAAAAAAGACATACATGTGACCAAGAAACCTATGAAAAAAAGCTCAACATCATTGATTGTTAGAGAAATGCAAACCAAAACCACAATGAGATACCATCTCATGCTTGTCAGAATGGCAATTATTAAAAAGTCAAGAAACAACAGATGCTGGAGAGGCTGTGGAGAAATAGGAACACTTTTACACTGTTGGTGGGAATGTAAATTAGTTCAACCACTATGGAAGACAGTGAGACGATTCCTCAAAGACCTAGAACTAGAAATACCATTTGACCCAACTGTCCCATTACTGGGTATATACCCAGAGGAATATAAATCGTTCTATTATAAAGGCACATGCATGTGTATGTTCAATGCAGCACTATTCACAATAGCAAAAACTTGGAATCAACCCAAATGCCCATCAATGATAGACTGGATAAAGAAAATCTATTCCTTGTAGATTCTGGAACACCATAGTATTTCAAGGTACATATATACCATAGAATACTATGCATCCATAAAAAGGAACAAGATCATGTCCTTTGCAGGTACATGGATGGAGTTAGAAGACATTATCCTCAGCAAACTAATGCAGGAACAGAAAACCCAACACCATATGTGGGAGCTGAACAATGAGAGCACATGGACACAGGGAGGGGAATAACACACACTGGGGCCTGTCAGGAGGGTGAGGTGAGGGGAGGGAGAGCATCAGGAAAAATAGCTAATGCATGCAGGGATTAATACCTAGGTGACGGGTTGATAGGTGCAGCAAACCACCATAGCACACATTTACCTATGTAGCAAACCTGCACATGTATACAGGAACTTAAAATAAAATAAAACAAAATATTTTTAAAAAGTGCTGTAGTCACAGTAAGTAGCAGAACACAGCAAAAAGGGCAGCAGAAAGACTTATAGGGCCACCAAAAGAAGAAATAGGATTTAGACCTCCAATAGGAGGTTAGGCTGGGTAATGCTGAGAGGTCATGCAAACTTGACCCTATGAAAATCATCAATGCAATTCTATCTCCAGGCATGAGGAGTCAGGCTCACATATCTATGGGAAAGTGGTTATCATGATACCGGAGATAGAGAGGTTGTAAACTCCTATGGATATTTAACAGGGCTAGCATATGGCCAATTGATGCCCTAAGCACTGTCCAACAGTGGCTCCTCCTGGGCCCTGCCACTGCTTAAAATCAAGAGCTTAAGGGTCTGTTACACAAATCAGCTGATGAGTTAAGTGCTAGCCAGATCCAGTCAGTTGTGTTGCACTGGAAGGGAACCAGACACTCTCACTCCATGAGATTAAAAACAAATGTGATATCTGATGACACCTTCAAACCGAAGTTTTAAACTTTAGTTACTCATCATGGCCAAGAAAACATTTCCTAAGCAATGGAAATTAAAGTCAAACACTCCAAGGAGATAATAATAAAAAATTCTGGCTGGGCGTGGTGGCTCACACATGTAATCCTAGCACTTTGGGAGGCTGAGGCGGGCGGATCACGAGGTCAGGAGATCGAGACCATCCTGGCTAACATGGTGAAACCCCGTCTCTACTAAAAATACCAAAAGTTAGCCAGGCATGATGGCGGGTGCCTGTAGTTCCAGCTACTCGGGAGGCTGAGGCAGGAGAATGGCAAGAACCCTGGAGGCAGAGCTTGCAGTGTGCTGAGATCACGCCACTGCACTTCAGCCTGGGCGACAGAGTGAGACTCTGTCTCCAAAAAAAAAAAAAAAAATTCCAATGAAGTTGAATGTGACAGTAAAAGAGTTAAAAGCATGCACCTAACTAGCTTTTTCTCCTAACTAGGGAGAAAACTACCAGGTGTCCCCTCCCTTCCCTTCCTGTCCTAAGCACAGACTTACTTTGCTTAATGGCTAATCCAGGGCTCGTGTTAGCAATGCCAGCTGGTAAATAGCAACATGATTCAGATTTGAAGCATGGTTTAAGGAACAGTTATTACACACGGTTGAGCCTAGAGGGAGAGTCAGAATAATCATGGTGTGGGGGTAATTTGAAAGAGTGCAGATCTGGGTAATGATAAATCATATTCCCCTCTTGTATGCTAAGAGCTCACATCCTGACAGTTACTCCTTTGGAGGACAATGACCACCACCGCCAACACAACAACACTACAACTATAGAAGGAGGATAAATTAACTCTTTAAATAGAAGACTTACTATATATTTGACACCGTGCTAAGAATTTATTATGAATTATGCCATTGAGTCATGTTAACATTTATGATATAAGTAATATTGCTAGACATACTTTGCATATGAGAAAATCGAGATTCAAAGAGTCAAATGGAATTGGGATTTGAATCCAGGTGGGTTTGGCTCTATCTCCATTCCACAAAGATATTTATGTCCATAATATGTCTTTCTTGCTGCAGTATAAACTCAGTAGACCATGTGCATCTAGTTGACCCTGGCAACCCTCCTGATGCCACCATAGGGCACGGCAGGCAATAAGTTTATTGAGTAAATGAGTGAATGAATACAGCCTGCATCAATAATTACAGACACCTTTTTTTTATAATTCCTAAAGTATTTCATTTGTAATAAAACTCTTGCAAAAGGACAATAATAAAGTCATAAAAGACTGGCTATCTAAAACATTACTCTAGCCATCATCTTATTCATTTTCAATATCAGCCTGGGATTTCTCATTTAAAAAGGGATAAGTCTCATTAAACAAGAATCCTGAGACAACCAGCGTGCAATATATATGAGTATATATGCATTTTCTTTCATGTAGTGATGATTTGTGTGTTTAATTTTTTATCTCTAATAAAGAATTAAATTGTTTAGTGACCTGAAAATTGAAAATTTTCCCTGTACCAAGACAAAAATGATCATTTCCGGACTGAGTGTGAATAAATGTTCCCTGGTTATCACTTTAGTTCTTCACCAGTTGAATGTCAGAGTTGTGTATTTTCCTGATTATTAGTCTAGGAAATGACTATGTGCTGTTATGCTTCACAATTAATACTCAGACTGTTTTGAAAGAAAGATAATTTGGTGTTTTGAAAGGGAGATAATTTTGTGTTTTCTGGCTCATTCTTCAGGGATAAAAGTAAAGTGGAGAATATGCTCTTCTAGTCTTTATTGCAGTGGAGACAGAAGTTGATTAATTAAGTTGTCACCTAACTATAAAAAACCCATGTCAGTTATTTTACAACTTTAATAAAGTTTTTAGAAATTTACATCAAAATTTTAATCAACATTACATGTATTATTTATAATACCCGGATAGTATCACTGTGGTATATTTATAAGCATTGTGCACTGGTGCAGAATTTCAAACTTGATTCTTCATTAAATTTTAATTCCTGAACTTAGCTCCTCTAGGTGAACACAGATAGGAAATAACAAAGTCCTCACCCATCTTGGAAAGGAAAATGCTTTCCAGGCATTTCACGGCTTCCTCAAGCCCAGGGGGATATGCCTAATGGGTGTCCCCCACATTCCCCAATGACTTTGACACTTCCTTTCCATTTTTGCCTGTTGAATTGCTGAGTTTACCAATATTCCTGTACACTCAGCATTGTTCCAGCAAACCAGGGGTAAAATTACTTAAAAAAAAAAACACTGAATATCTTGGAGGAAATAGATTTTCCAAAGTAAAAGCATGATGGGGGAAAAATGCAGGAAACAGCAGGAAGGGATTGAGTCGGTGGAGGAGTATATCTGACACGTAAAAAATTCATGCTGAGCCTTCCTAAGCTGCTCAAATGAAAAGTGATTAAGGCAAAACTAATGTCTGCATGTCATTTAGAGGAGGAAAGACACACTTTTTAGAGCTGACTTTAATTTTATTCTTAGAATTTATGTGAAGGGAAGGGAATGTGGGAAATGCAATTAAAATAAAATTTTTGTTCAACATGTGCTGTTTAGATTGGCACTCATATTAATTCAAAGAAAGGGAAAATTATCATCAAATATTTAGCATCCTTTTGTGTGAGTATAACAAGTTCAGTAAACACAGTCTCTAACTTTTTGGAATTATCGCTTTAAGGCAGAATTAAGATATGGTAGGCAGAAATCTGACCGTTTAGAGACAGGGACAGTATTCGCTATGGCTTGAGATAAGCAGAATAAACAAATATCTACTTATGCAGGAACTAGGCTTCAGAGTTTGAAAAGCAGAACTTTAAAGCCTGCATGTATCACAAGCACTCTTTCCACGGAATAATTGTTCTGTTCATTTTAAAAATAGCTTTGGAATGACTAAGGCCCCTTTTCAAATATTATTGACACCTTAGTTAATATTTGCTAGCCCAAAAAAAAAAAAGTTTCTCAAATTTGCCAATGGGCAAATGGCTCACTTTCAGATTAAATGATGAAAGCTTTTCCTAAAAAGGTGCAGCATAAATAATGCCTTTGCTCTTTGTCTAATGCAACTGATTAGCAATCACCAAATGCTCTAAGGACATAACAATTCCTTCAAATTTCCAGTGAGGAGGCTAATTATACATTGGCCACTGGCTGGCCACATGGCCCTGGAGATATAATTTGTTTGGTCCATAAAGAATTATTGTTGATTTTCTTTTAAAATAAACATTTAATAATTGGGAAATTTTATCTAAATATCTACATTTATGGTTTCTTTTAAAAATATGTCTCTGCCATATTTTCACATAGCCACAAATCAGTTGCAGCTGAGAACATCTGCCCCTTTAGATTCCAAAGTTCTCCAGTTTCTTGATGTTTCTCAACATTTTTATCATTATCATTAACCTAAGAAAGTTTCTTTTGAGGATATTTTTCCCCTCCTAATTGCCTATCCATTCCCAGAATATTTTAATAACGTAAACACACTGTGTATCGGTTTATCTATGGTGGCCATTTGGAAGACCACAAGCCATTGTACTACCTAAGGATTTTGCACTTCTCAGTAAAAAATTTTTGCCCCCTTGTGAATGATATCACCCCTATGGAGAATGCATGCTGCTCTAAACCTTGTGGTTCGGCAACACTGAGACTGAGTGTGTTTTGTGGAACTAAAAATAAAGTATGAAAAAATTGGAGGACTATAAATCTTATACCTCCCTTATTTTAGTCCTTAAATGCCTGCCCCCTGTGGGCATTTAAGTTTGCAGTCTCTGATCCATATGGGATAGAGAGAAATCATCTTTACGACCTCTAAGGGATTCTAAGTTGAGCCTCTTGTCTGTGAGTACTCTGTCCTGGATGGCCACAGCCTTCTGTGCTGAGCTGTAGGAACCGTTTCTTCAATGATTTCCTCAGGTGAATGCAAGATGAGTGCTTTTTAATTCAGAAAGGAGATGATTGAGAATGTGCTCTGGTCTTGATAGACTGAATTCGTCATTTATCTGATCATGGTTTGTGCTCAAGAAATATTTATTGAAACTTACTCTTATATCTAGCACCGTGCTAGGTCACTGACACCAGTAGAACTCCATAGGCATCATGAACTGAACACAGTGATGATTTTGATCATGAGATTCCTTTGATTTCCTAGTCTCATGTTTGGGGTATTTGGTAAAAGTTAGTAATGAGGGATTTTAAATAATCAATCTTTAAATACTGAAAATGGAAGTGTGAGCAAAAGTAGGAGGAATCTACCGATTTCCTGACCATTGATGCAGGTTGGTATGTCAGTGCAATTTGCCTGTGACATAGTTTTCCTTATGAATGAAGCTTGTATGTGTATTAAAACAGAATAAGAAAATACAAAGCTGTAAGAGGCTGACAGTAGGAATTTTGATACAGGAAGATGTATCTTTTGATCTCATGAAAACAAAGGTAGGGTTCAACTGTTGGGTTTCATTTGATAATTAGGAGATAGGCTGGATTGAGGACTAGTTCTGGGCTGAATGCATAATTCCCATCAAGAGGCTTTTGGTAATTGCTGGAGACCAAATGTTTGTGTCTCCCCAAACTTTATACATTGAAATTCTTACTTCCAATGTGATGGCATTAGGAGGTGGGGCCTTTGGGAGGGTAATTAGGTTGTGAAGTGGAGGTTGATTAGTTCCCTTATAGAAAAGTCCTTGTAGAGCACCCTCATCCCTTCTGCCATGGGAGGACACATTGAGAAGACAGACATCTGTATTAGTCTGTTCTTATGCTGCTAATAAAGAAATACCCGAGATTGAGTAATTTATAAAGGAAAGAGGCTTAAGGGACTCACAGTTCCACATGGCTGTAGAGGCCTCACAGTAATGGCAGAAGATGAAGGACAAGCAACGGTACTACCTATGTGGTGGCAGGCAAGAGAGCTTGTGCAGGGGAACTCCCACTTACAGAACCATCAGATCTCGTGAGACTTATTCACTACCACAAGAACAGTATGGGGGAAACCGCCCTCAGGATTCAATTACTCAACCTGGCCCTGCCCTTGACATGTGGGGACTATTACAATTCAAGGTGAGATTTGGGTGGAGACACAGCCATATCACCATCTATGAACCAGGAAGTTAGCGCTCATCAGACACTGAATCTGTCAAAACCTTGATCTTGGATTCCCAGGCTTCAGAGCTGTGAGAAATAAATTATTGTTGTTTATAAGCCATCCAGTCTATGGCATTTTGTTATAGCAGCCTGCATTGACTAAGACAGATATTGGTGCTAAGACATTAACAGTATCAATTCTTGGGTCCTGCTCTTGTAGGTTCTGATTCTGAGGTCAGGTGGGGCCAGAACTTACTGATGTGGAAATTACTGGACTAGATGAACTCTTGAGACTACAAGTGTCAGCCTCCAAAAAAATATATTTTAGGACCTTAAGTACCAATCCGGGTGGAAATTCATCAGGTTTTGGAACTAGCCGAATATCTCATACCAGTTGATACATGGTACCAGCATATTTTAATGCTTAGTGTCTGTAAAGAGGTAAGCAATAATATTTGGAGAGCTTTTTGGTCTATGTATAGTACTATATCTTATGGAAGTGTTGGTGGCAGTATGAGTGAACCAATGATCAGTTTTAAATAGAATAAATGTAGGTCGACTGCTACTGCAATTAAATACTATAAAAGGACTCATTTAGTTGCTAGTGGCAAAAAATCAATTCAAATGGTTTGAACAAAAGGGGATTAGTTAGTTCACATTTTTGAAAAGGAGACTTTGGATTCAGATATTAAACAATTAGGATCTGTCTTTCTCTATTTTTCAGTTCTGCTTTTCTTTGTAATTTGCCACTACAGACACTATGAAATCCCTTCATTCTTGGGTAAGGTCCATCAGTGGGTGGCAGGATGGCCTCCAGCAGCTCTGGATTGACAAACCTCCTGGGTTAGCAACTCTAGAGTACAGAGAATTTCTCTTTCCCAAGACAGACAATAAAAGGACCAGGGCAAGTTTTCACTGGTCTGGTTGGGTCATGTGATGATCCCAAAACAAATCACAATAGCCATGGGAAATCTGACTTTGATTGGCCTGGAAAGGGTCACATGTCTATTCTTGTTGTTAAAGCATTGTATCAACTCAATCTGAAACACAAGGGCTGAGAATAGGGATTGTTCTCCAACTAAGAATGGGGTACAGTCACCAAAAGTAGGGGGAATGATTGTTGGACAAACAAAACCTGCAGATACCATAAAATAATAGCAAATATCATCAACAGTATTTTCTGAGATAATAAAATCCGCCTTTAAACTCAAAGAGAACAAATTAATGTATGGGTGAGTAAGACTGGTTTTAATCCTTTTAAATTGTCATTAGTGAAAGATCATTTCAGAATGATGGATTTACCTGAGAAAAAACAAAGTTTTCATATTCCAAAACAATGATCAAACTTACTAAGAAACTGTATTTGTGTCTGAAAATATTATTAACATCTTGTTGGTGGTTCTGAATTGGAATGAAAAGACACGCTTTCATTTCTTGAAAGATGATCAGTATAAAAACCGAGAAGTCTGATCCTTAGAGAAAAATGAGGGCCTGAGATGTCAAGCATGTCAAGGTCTAGAAGATACTTGAGGAAGCCAAGAAGCCATGACTCAAACACATCAAAACTTTCTGGAAAGATGAAAAATAACAGCTGGGTGTAGCGGTTCATGCCTGTAATCCCAGCACTTTGGGAGGCCGAGACATGTGCATCACTTGAGGTCAAGAGTTCAAGACCAGCCTTGAAACCTTGCCTTTATTAAAAATACAAAAATTAGCCGGGTATGGTGGACCACACCTGTAATCCCAGCTACTTGGGAGGCTGAGGCAGGAGAATCACTTGAACCTAGGAGATGGAGGTTGCAGTGAGTGGAGATTGTGCCACTACACTCCTCTCTGGGCAACAAGAGCAAGACTCTGTCTCTAAATAAATAAATAAATAAAAGATGAATAATAACGAAAAAGCAGATGGTCACCTATTCAAAGAGATGACAGCAGGGCAGTTAGAGGACAATAGTGGGAGACAGTTTGAATACCTTTTTATATTTTTGATGTTTTCACTATTATGTATTTAGAAATTTGTAAATAGAATTTAAAAAATTATTGGGCCATGACAAAAAAAAAATTCTTCAAAAGCTGGGCATGATGACACATGCCTGTAATCCCAGCTTCAGTGAGGCTGAAAGGAAGGAGGATCACTTGAGCCCAGGGTTCGAGGCCAGCCTGGGCAACATAGCAAGATTCTGTCTCAAAAAAAATAAAATATCCTAAAGTCATCATGTAAGCACAATACAATCTAGCATCTCTGCTGTGCTGGTTTTCTGATTCCAGTTGTGCCTCTCCCTGCTTTATAGGCAAGCCTCAGACTGGCTTCTGATCCATTACAGGGTTCCTCTGGATGGGACACACCAGAAACTTCCAGTTCAGCCTTTCTGGGTATAAATCTCCAACTCCTTTACCAAGATGCTTTCTTCAAGGAGAACAGAATGTACAGAAGGCTGGATGGCAACCTGGTGAGATAAACTACACAGAAAAGAGAAAAATGACATCACCTCATGGACAGATCACAAAACCCTGGCCTTAGAAGTTCTCCAAAATTTGAGGAATTCTTCAGCTTACAGCCATCTATGCTTTCCCTGACTCATGAAATTCTTCCTCTCCCATATGAATTTCTCCTGACTAATGCTAATTAAAGTAGACAGAAGACCCCCTTCCCCCACAGAGCACTGATCTGTATACTTTATGTAGGAAAAATGTTTTTAAAATATTTCTGGAAAACTGAGGCTGATAGGAAAGTCTGCTCACATAAAGGTCCAGCTTTTAGTTATGCAGAAACTTTGTCTAACATAAGAATTCATTTGGGAGGATTCCGGGAAACTGAGGCTTTCCTGGAAGCCTGGTTACTATGGTTTCTTGGGCATCCTTTGATGTCCTCTGCATTTGAATCACTGGCATTTTAATTCTGTGGGGACCATTGTCTGACTGCATTTCTCCTTCACCTTTCCCTGATATCTTGTACTAAACACCAGTAATGCAAATTGATGAATGAAACGAAAGCAATTTGGTGGAAGAGGCAAGAAAAACCTCCACTCAAATTAAATTTGTGCTTGTAAAACGTACATTGATGAGGAAGAACCTGCTGGCTCAGAAACCTTCCTGGAGTTGTGCTGATGAAGGATGGAGTTAACCTTGCTTTACCTTTTTGAGGCCTGAAGAAAGCCTCATGACCGAGAAGTCATATTTAATTTTATTTTCTATTCAGAGCTGATACCTCCTTCTCTCTGTCTTTATTTTGCAGGCTCTCTGTTGATCTGGCACAAGTGTGCAGGTTTTTAAAAACGATGATGTTATCTGTTTACTATTCAAATGCAATTTTAAATGGTTCAGCTCAGCACATTTGAATAAAAAATCCTATTAAAGATGCAATATTCCTCTGCTACCTTTTCGCTGAGTGCATTTGCATGGCATTCCTTTCTCAATTGGAATATAATACTATATACCTGTTCAGAGTGATGTGATTTCCAGCATTGAATTTGCAGTCGTGAAATAGGCTGTTCACCTTCTTATCATGGAAATTTGGTATTCATGCATAATTTTCTCCCTTACATTTACAAAATACATTATTAGCCACGTGTTTGTGCCCTTGCTCTGCTCTATAGCGTTTTCATTTGAAATCTTCCAAATTCTTATTTTTGCTCCTACCATTTGATAGAAATCATGAAATTGCTGAGTTAAGATAAGCACCCTTTCTTTCTTTCTTTCTTTTTTTTTTTTTCTCCTAAGCATGATTGGGGATAGATAGGAATGAGAGATGAAGAAAGCAATGAAGAAAGAGCAAATTGATCATTTACTTTAAAAAGTTCTGACCACTGGCTTGATGAGAAGCATCTTTAATTTTAAATATTTTGCATCTACTTAACTGCCTAATTGCATGGTTAAATGAGCTGTAGGAGAAAGATCGCAGCTAAAACCTTTGATCAATTTCAGCCAGTTCTAGAACACTGATGGTAACACCAGGCTGTGTTTCTCCTCTGGTAATTTTGAACTTCTTCAGAGAGCCCTGTTTATTAAGCAAGGCAGACTTTCTGCTTGGGCAGCATTTTCCAATTACAGAGCCTTCCCTGCAGTATCTAGAGATGGAATCAGGGACCACAAACGTGTTCCGGGCAATGCCGGGCAGCCCAAAGTCAGCAAGTCCAATGCTCAGCCTCACCTTCTCAGTGTGCTGCAGCCTAGTGTTGTTTCCGAGTGCATTTTGACATGTGTTCTGTGTGGTGAATAGGTGGGAGCAGGCTGTCTGCAATAATTGGCCAGCCGGGATTGCCTGGGTGAAGCTCCTGGAACTCGCCCTCATCAATCGCATCCATTGAAATACAGTTACGTTGCTGCTCATAAAGACTGAGTGTGTGTGTGTGCGTGCATATGTGTGTGCATGTATGCTTGTATTCATGCACATATCTGTGGATACTCAGGATGCTGGTTTTTTGGAACTGGTAATTATTTAGAAATCTTGGACTAAGTCATAATGATAATTCATTAGAGGAAGAAAACCTGTCTAGGTTGCCTTGAGATATGGGGCAGACTGTGGGTGGGGGTATTCAACATTCCATGGGTATTGGCTGAGCAATCCCAGTTGTGCTAATTATGAGAAAAACAAATATAGTAACACAAGAAATGTATCAATAAGAATAAAACCCAGCCACCACAATGAGTGTAGCACTAACGGGTGTGCCAAGCTGTGCTGAGTTAAGTCTTCCATGAAAACAATCTCATGCAATGGCAAGAGCATAGATTATGGAGCCAGTCCCTCTACATTTGAATCATGGCTTTATCATTTACTAAAGTTATGTGATTAGGCGTAAATTGATTAACTGCTTTGTGCCTCTGCCTCAGTTTCATCAACTGTAAAATGGGTATATGAATTCTACCTAATTCTACCAGATCATTTGTTCTCAACTTGATGCATCTTTACTGCCTTCTAAGTCTCCCCTGTACTGTGGAGAAGCCAATAACTATGGTTCTTAGAACATCTTTTTGTGTATGGCTTTGTGTAGAGTCTGCCAAGGAGAGGGACTTGGGTGAGATTTTCCTAAAATGAGAGAAGCAGCAGCCATTATGTTTTAAGGGAGTTGGTTGCAGGCAAGTGTGTGGGCAGGTAGATAACAGATTTATAATGGCTTTCAGGTAAGCCTAAGAATCACCTATCTCAGGAATGCTGGCTGAGAAGCCAGAGAGACCCTCCCAGAGGCCCTTAAGGTGTTCAGTGGCCTCTGGGTGAGTGTCGACTCCCACTTGCATAGATACAGCAGCAGGCAGAAAGGTCCTGGTGGCTTCCCTGAATTCATTGCTAAGTCTTTCCAAAAGACTGCAAACCTCTAATTTCCTGCATTAGAACTGTGGATACTTAGAACATGCAAAATACCTTTTGTTTTTGTGACCAAATGCTGACGGACACACTATCTCATAGGGTTGTTGTACAAATTGTGTGGGGGGTTTCAAACAAATGCTTGGACTAGTGCTTTCCACTGAAATTTGCAGCTCATAAGTGCTTGTTACTTAGTTCTCACCTCAACTTTAAGAGGTGTTGGTGGGTAGGAAAGTAGTGAGAGTGTAGTTTCTAGGGTCGGTGTATCTAGGTTTGGAAATTACAGTTAATTTACTTATGAGCTACATGGTTGGACAAATTTATACATACATCGGGGATAGAAGTAGCACTTGCTTGATATGATTGTTGAGAAGATGGAGAGTTAATAACACATAAAGTAAAAGTACCTGCTACAGAGTAAGACACTATGCTTATTAGCATGTTGACAACTTGTTGAGAAGACTGGGTTCTCAGAGATCAGGTTTCCGTTCATCTCTCTGGAAGTGACGGTGGGGGGGGCGGTTGCCTCTGCAGACCATGCCTCGGTTTCCCATAAATGATCCCGGAATTGCCTCTTGCTGGTGTTTGCCTTCCTATCAGACTGGCCTCCAGTCTTTCCTGTTGCCACCTGCTCTGCATTCACTGGGCCTCCCTGCTGGTGAGTGGCCTTGCCCTGATGATCTGCCATTGCATGCTCCCGATTTCTGGCTCTTCTGGTCCAGCTGAGCTTCCTCCAAGTTGTCTGTGATATGTGAGACTGGCCAGGGGACAAAGAAATACTTATTGCCCATTGTCCAGTCACTGCTCCATGTAGAACCCTTTACGGGGAAATAGCTTACTGAACAAAGCAAGTTAAATGAATGTTTTCCCTAGCTGGACCTTGGGCCCCAGACCCAAGTGTAGAACTCCAGTGAGCCTGGCTGTACCAGGGGGAGGATGCTTTTATTTTCGTAAGGGGAGTCAGCTCATGTGACCTGGCACCAGTGCAGGCCCAAGGACAGATCCAGAATTTTGTGTCACTCTAGTCCAATCTAGGGAAAAGGCAAGTACACTTTCCACCTCATCGCCTCCTTCATGATAAATGTGGACACAGTGAATTGGCACTGAGGCTGATACAAAAAGATGGCTGAGCTTCGACTGACAAGACGTTACACCAGGACAAAGGTTGAGCCAAAACTTTAAGAAAGAAGCTTTTACAATAACCTGGCATATCAGATCCCTTTCCAAAGGCAAAAAGACAGAGATTGGCATGGTGGGACATTGAGAAGTAGAATATTTGGAATCAGAAAGGTACAGGCTAAGATACTGGCTGAGCCACCTGCGTGAGTCTGCTAACTTTTTAATCCTTCATCTTTCTCTTTTATGAACATGCAAATCACCATATTTATTTTCAGAACTGTGGTCAGCATCTGAAAGATAATGTGAAAAAGTTGAGGGTCTAGTATATGTAGAATAAATGGACTTCTCCTTCTATTTAAACAGTTTGCCCAAATACCCTCTCTGACAGCAATAACATTTTGGTTTGAGGAGTAAAATATGTGTGTATACATGCTTAGAGCAGGTCCTGGGACACCAAAAGTGCTATGTGGGTGTTAGTTAGGTAAGCATTTTAATTCCGTTATTAAAAAAGAAATACATTTGATAATACAATATAGACAATTCATAATGATAAATTTTAGAGGTTTAGGGATAGATCTTGAGGCCTCACTTGTGTGACAACATTAATAATGGTGCGAGCATTTCTAAATTACATTTTTTTCTAAAAATAGAAAGTTGAATAAAGTCTCCTCCAAAATGAAACCTTTGCAATTAAACTGGAAGGATTTTTGCAAATGTCACACTCTTGCCCTAAGGCTTCCTTTGAACCAAGTCAATAATTTTAGAGATTCATGGGTAGTTGTGGAATTTATATCATGGTATAAAAATTCAAAATGGTGGTTGGGGCACAGATGATTCTGTGAAAATCCCTGAATTTTTGTCATTTCCGATGGTGACATGTTTCAAGTGACATCCCTGTAAATACTGAATAATAATATGTTCCAGACAGAGCCCTCAGGGGACAGGAGAAGAAAATGAGAATGGAGCAGAATTAAAACTGACAAGAGTGAGAGACGGCATGGAAGATAAATAGCAAAAGTGTGGCTCTGTCAGAGGAGCAAGGGCGGCAGAGCTGCTCAGATGATTGCATGATTGATGGAATCAGCTGTGGAGGAAATGTCCAGTAATGTAGGAACAGATCAGTATTGAGAGATAAATCATCCTGCAATCATACACCGCTATCTCAACACTAATGGGGTTGAAAAACAGCACAGTTTTGAGGGAGGTCTTGAGATCATTGTTTTCTAACAACCTGTTCCTGTGTATTGGCAAGAAAGTTAAATCAAACTTGGGACAGCCTTGCCATGCCACGGGTATAAGGGTGTAGGGACTGGGGGAGCAATATACTTTTACCATTGAATTGAAATTTCAGCAGCTCATGGGCTACTCGCCAATCTAAAGGCAAGGGAGCCTTTTTTCCTTGCAAATAGAATTCAGATCCCAGTGCGAAATTGCCACTTTGCTCTCCTATCTTCCTCTTGAATTTTCCCTGTTAATTCCCAGAGGAATATCCTGGTTGTCAGCCTATGGCAGGTCTTCCTGGACATCAGGAAAAGCTTTTTAAGAAAATTTTTTTTAAGACAGAGTCTCGGTCTGTCGCCCAGGTTGGAGTGCAGTGGTGCGATCGTGGCTCACTGCAAACCCCACCTCCCAGGTTCAAGCGATTGTCCTGCCTCTGCCTCCCAAGTAGCTGGGATTACAGGCACCCACCATCATGCCCGGCTAATTTTTGTATTTTTAGTAGAGAGCGGCGGGGTGGGGGGGGTGGGTGGTTCACCATGTTGGCCAGGTTGGTCTTGAACTTCTGACCTCAGGTGATCCGCCCGCCTCAGCCTCCCAAAGTGCTGGGATTATAGGCATGAGTCACCGTTCCTGGCCAGGAAAAGCTTTTTTTAAAGAATGCTAACTGTGCCCTAATTTGAGCCAGTGATTACGTAGGAAGAAGAAAGTATTGCAAGGGAGAACAATGCTTTATTGAGTACCTACTGCATGAGTGGTAGGCATGGTGTTTAGCACATATTAGCCTCAGGAATCCCAAAGAATGCAATCAGATGGATCAATGATGAACTGAATCTGGGAAGATGCATTAAATAAAGGCAAAATGGCAGGATAAAAACCGTAGGTGCTCATTAGTTCTCTGTTCCCCACTCTGCTTAAGCAGGGTCTGGGTGAGCATTTTTCCAAGTCAGAGAAAGCATCACCAGAGTAGGGCATCTGGAGGCCTTTGTTAGCATGAGATTCTATAGATCACAAAATATTCTTAGGTTGCTGTTTGTCTCCAACAATTTAAGGGAAAATGCTTCTCAGAGACATGGAGGGGAGCTCAGCGACACCTTACTTCCTATTTTAATCTGGGAGACTCTTGGGTTAGCCAAAAAGCAGATCTGGTGGGACTTGAAGGAGCTAAACATAGTGGTTCTGCTACTTAATCTTGTACAACATATCCCTCTAGATTTGCATGGCCTTTTCGGCATTTAGAAATGCTGTTCATATCAAGGACTGTTGCAGTTGGACAGTACGTATTCTCTATTCATGTTTTTAGAAGCATTTTATACCGTTGACCCTTTAACTGCATGGGTCCACTTATACATGCGTTTTCTTCTCCTTTGCCACCCCTAAGAGAGCAAGACCAACCCCTCCTCGTCCTCCTCCTCCTCTGCACCTACTCAACATGAAAATAATGAACCTAAAGGCCATGCTCCACTTATGATGATCCACTTCCACCTAATGAATGGTAAAAATATTTTCTCTTCCTTATAATTTTAATAATATTTTCTCTATTATAAGAATACAGTATATAATACATATAACACATAAAATATATGTTAATCAGCTTTATGTTATCAGTGAGGCTTCAGGTCAACAATTGGCTATCAGTAGTTAAATTTTGGGGGACTCAAAAATTGTATGTGGATTCTTGACTGTGTGGGGTTTGTGCACCTAACCCCTGGGTCGTTCAAGGGTTGACTGCCTATGTAATTTTTATATATATATAAAAATACATAATTAATTTATATATACTATATAACATATATAAGTTATATAGTATATATAAATTATATATAATGTATAGCATATATTATATATAATACAAATTCTATATAGGTTTATATATAAATGAATTTTATTTTGTAAATCCTTCAAGTTATATATTATATATAGGTTTATATACAAATAAATTTTATTTTATAAATCCTTCCTTATGTTTTATATGAATAGTAGTGTATATATAGTAGTTTTTATACATATATACACAGTATATATAATAAAGTATGTGTATATATTACATATAGTGTATATATATATATACACACACTATATGTATAAAATACATGTATAAAATATAAGGATGAATTTATAAAATAAAATTTATTTAGGGCCGGGCGTGGTGGCTGACACCTGTAATCCCAGCACTTTGGGAGGCCGAGGTGGGCGGATCAGGAGGTCAGGAGATCGGGACCATCCTGGCTAACACGGTGAAACCCCGTCTCTACTAAAAATACAAAAAATTAGCTAGGCGTGGTGGCAGGTGCCTGTGGTCCCAGCTACTCAGGAGGCTGAGGCAGGAGAATGGTGTGAACCCGGGAGGCGGAGCTTGCAGTGAGCCTTGATCGCGCCACTGAACTCCAGCCTAGGCGACAGAGAGAGACTCCGTCTCAGAAAAAAAAAAAAAAAAAAAGAACAAGTTTACCCTCACACAACACTGGGAAATATGTTTTTTTCTCATTTTATAGATGAAGCTATTAAAGTCCAGGAAAAGTAAAGTCTTTGTCTAAGTTAGCGTTAGAATTTGAATCAGGCTGCATTCCTCTCCCCATCTTCCCGTCTGATTTCTTGTGATTCTTTCAAAGATGTGATTATTCACGTGGTCTGTGCTCCTTAATTCCCTCTACAATCTTACCCATAATGCAAAAGCACCTAATGGCAACAAAAGTCTATTCAACCTGAAATACTATGAGATGATCACCCTGCTTAATTGCTTAAGGAACCCAGCTGAATATAATTTTAAGCTATTTATTATGGGAACAGACTCTGGGATTCTCTGTCACAGTTTCTGAATAGAACTTTTTCTGTGCTGAGCTAAGTTTATCCAGGCATGGAGGCAAAGAACGCAGATGTTTAATTAAAAGGAGTGGCTTAACTTTAGATTAGATCATTGTAATCTTGGGAATCTAGCCGGATTTTAACACAATGTTATTTTTATTTGTGGATAGATATTTCTAAGGAGCTCCTGATATCTTTATAGCCTCTCCAGAACCCATTCTAATTCTAAAAACATTAAATTCACTCTTAGAATACCGAAGCTGAAGGTAATTCTTAGAGATAATCTATTCTTGTGCCTTTATTCTACAGATGTGGAAACTGAGGCCTAAGGATTTAAAAAAATCATCAAAGATCACACAAAAGATTGTCAAAGGTCAAATACAACTTATCCCTATTTTCCCAGGACTTTCTCAGTTTGAAAACTGAGGCAGGGCATGGTGGCACATGCCTATAATCCCAGCACTTTGGGAGACTGAGGCAGGAGGTTCCCTTGAGCCGTGGAGTTCAAGACCAGCCTGGACAATACAGTAAGACATTGTCTTCACAAAAAATTAAAAAATTGGCTGGGTGTGGCAGTGCACACCTATGGTCCCAGCTACTTAGGAGACTGAGGCAGGGGGATCACGTGAGCCTGGGAGGTCAAAAGGTTGAGACTACAGTGAGTCATGATCATGCCACTGCATTCTGGTCTGGGCAAAAACAAAAAACAAAAATCAAAAAAATCCTGGAAAGTCCTATGTCCCTGGGACTCCCTTAGTTCTGGGCAAACTGGGATGGCTGTCATCCTACCTTGCGCTCTATTTATTTATTTCACTGGCATAAATGCAAAATGGACAGATTTGGAGGAGAATTGCATGCTGCAGTTACTGATAGTATTCTAGAAACTGGACAGACAGAACCCAAATGTACTCTTTGGAGTGTCTGGCATGAGCAAACACTCAACAAACATTCATTGAATCAATGAGTGAATGAGAATGCAAGTCACTTAAAGTAGGTGTCATCGCTAGTTCATTTTTCTCAATGTTGCTCTAATTCCCATTGAGAGGGTACCAATGATTTCTTGCTTTTTAACCTGCCTACATTTTGTTCTGGAGTTCCTAGGTAAGATTAAGCTGCATGTAACCTATGGAGCTGCTGTTTTGCAGATGGTCGTTCCCAAGGTGCTTTTCACAGTGTTTTTGAATTATCTTGCCAAAATTTCAGGAAAAGCAGCAAAAAGAAGGGAAAGAAAAGCTTTCATAATGAGAAATGACAGGAAAGCAACTCCCTCATGGGGTTGTCAAGGAAAGAATTGTTGAATAATTCAAATAACAGATTTGTTCATTTCTAAGCCATTTCCTGCCCCAGCTTTGGAAATCTGCAGAAAAGTTCTGGATTAGGAATTATCCAAGACCTGATTTCATTGCTGCCAAGGGATCAGTTGAAGGGACAAGCTCCTTCAGGCGGCTTGGGGAAATTACCATAGTTTGAGGTCACTTACAGAATGTTCTGGGTTGGCAGGCCCTAGGTTGCTTTTTCCTTGCGCCAGGAAAATATAGACAGGGCCAGCACCACATCTCTGAAAATAAAATGTACTGAGTTCTCCCGGGTAGCTCAGCATTAGGTATGGCAGCTGCCCCAGCAGACTTACTTGTTCTTGTTTTGTTTGTTTTCTTTTTTTTTTTGCAGCTGTATCTAGGCATGGGAAGGGGTAGGAACTGGTGGTGAAACTCATGTAGGTTATGAGTCCAGGTGAAAGTAATTTGGCTCTTTTTAAGGAATTTCTGCAAAAGTTTAGAGGTCCTAATTGGGAAAAGTTATATTTTTGGATAATCTGCGAAATCCGTTTATCCGTATCATCCCTGGCCTTGTTATCACAGGTCACTGAGGGTTGGCTATACTTGTTTCTTATCTGCCCCAAGAGGACCTGGCGAGGATTTATTATCTCTTGCCACTAAATCCCTGACCATATGTGTATCAATTTACCAAACAGCCTTATATGTGCTTGGGGACATCCCTCAGAGATGGTTCAGTCATGAGAGCATTTCATAAGTTTTTACTATTACAAATACTACCTCACATTTGATAAGCTTTTACCTTTATTTTTCAGGCTAATCTTACAGTTATTATATTTTTATCCACAAAACTCTTCAAGGGAGGTAAAAGTGTTATTAATGTCCCCATCCCTGACAGATAAGAAAACTAAGTAATGGAGAAATGAGGTGATTTTCCAGAAGTTATTCATGTCAGAGCTGGTCCTGAAACCCAGATCTCTTACAGAAATTCAAATATTCACCTTTTTCTACTCTTCTTTGCAAATGCCTCTACTATTATTGATTGAATGGTAAACACTTTGAGGAAATGGGTTGGATGAAAACTCTTGCTTTGTTGGACATTCTTACTTGAAAAGTCCATCAGACTTAAACAAAGACCAGCTTATTTTGAATCTTAAAAAATGTAAGGCTACTCAAATTAACCTGAAGAGGGATTTGTGTTTTTTAGCAATTTCAGATGCCAGTCACTGTGACAAGTGCTTCTTATTCATTACCTGCACTAATGCTGGTGAGATGTTTGCACCAGCATCTGTTTGGTTTTAAGCTAGATAGTGATATATAGATGATGCCTAGGGCAGTGCACAGCTACCAAAGTACTAGGTATTGTAAGTTTCTTGGTTTGAATACAAATACATACTTGTACATACATACTCAAGAGATAAGCTAGTTTAAGTAAAATTCAATAGATATTAGTTGAAAATCACTCATTGTTCTGGGCACTGAATAAAACATAATCTCTTTCCTTCAAGGAGTTTGTGGTCCAATGAAGGAAACAGGACACTGATTAAAATATGGGTAAAAAGACTATGAGCTAGCATCCATGTGGTAGAAATAGTCTATAAGAAGGTAGGCTTCCCAAGGGCAGGAGTCCGTATCTCCAGAATTTAGTTGCTTCTTAAAGATTTGGTGAATGAAAAAAAAAATGAATGGGTGAATAAATAAATGTTCTAGGGAAGCATGTAGGAAAGACAATTGAGCTGTTCTAAAAGAGTTGTGGGAAGTTTCATAGAAATTGATGGGTGAGCTTCATATTCAAATATAAGTAAGATTTCAGTATATAAAGTTGGGAATTCTTGGCAAAGAAAAGAGCTAACAGAAATATTTGCAAGTGCACAGAGCATTTTGGAATTCAAGGGATGACAAATAATAAGTCTTGTGGGTGGGATTTAGACAGCTGGAAGTGATGAAGTGGAAGTCTAAGAGAATAAGCTAAAGAAGTAGGAAGTACCAAACTAAGGCTTTGACTCATTTATGCCCCAGGGAGGCATCATGTATTTATAAGTAGAAAATCAGCCTCTAATTTGTGCTTTAGTAAAGCCATCTCTTGTGTCCGTGTAGGAGAGTCCTGAGGTGGAGAAGGGCTGGGATCAAGCCAACCACTCACCCACTTAAGAAGTAATGAGATCTTTAATTGCCTTTTCAGCAGTAATGGGGGTGGAGGTGGGGGAGTAAATTCCAAAATCATTAGAAAAGTAGAATGGGTTGAGTTTGTTGACTCATTAGATGTGGGTGGGGAAGAGAGGGCGAAGGTAAAGATGACTAAAGTTTCTAGTCAGGCACTTGGGTGGATATACCAAAACTGTACATTTACATAGTCTGTGGGTTTCTGAACAACCTAACAATTTTAAACCCTCCTAACTAGATGGAAAACTCTTAAATTAGAAGTGCAATTTCAATCCCAAATTCATAAGTACTTTCTCATACAGCTTTGTTATCTTAGATTTCTTTTAGTATATTAAAAAAAAAGGTCAAGATGATGGCTTTTTTCATTCTCGGAAGAAAGCAGAGATGATCGTAATTTTTGCTTTGACATTCGCACTGTTCAGGCATGCCTCATAACTAGCTTTTAGGGCTTCAATAAGTAACGCAGTGACCAGAAGCTCTAAAATGGGATTTAGAAGTTTCCAAATGATACCCAATTAAAAAGTGTTCCAGGCAAAAAAGCAGCAAACCTTGCTTTGAAAGGTACTCACAGTTCCATTTCCCTGAGATGAGGAGGGAGCTGCAACTCTGGGCTGATGGTTAATGCTGAAAGCATTCAACTGCAGCTGTAATTACTGACAAGCAAACTATGAACCAGAATTAGGATTATTAGTAATTACTTCCTATGAATCAGGGCATGATGGGTTCATGGGTTTCTGTCAACTGTTTTGCTTGAGGCAGACGGATATCTAGAGTGTCAAACTTAAAAAAGTTCAGCACAAAGGAATAGATTAGGGAAGAAATTGCCTCAATGAGCTACATGAAAATGTAAAATTAGGTCTGTCTAAAGACAGTTGGTTGCTAACTTTGCTTCTTATCATGAAGGTTATGCTGAGTAAACCAGAAACTCAGGGTCATAAAACTTTGTTAGGATCAACTTTAGAGTTAATTTATTTTAGTCATTTTACTTAGGAAACTGAAGCCCAGACTAGGCAAGAAAGTTGCCCATGGTTACACAGCTGGTCAGTGATAACACTGAGACAAAGTGGTAGTCATTCTAGGTTGCAGGTGCAGGCCTTATCTAAAATGGTTTATCCAATTGTAATTTGTTGACTGTACATTTCGATGCATAGGTATGTGACTCTTGCTGGCATAATTTCTTTTTTTTAATTGTAAAAAACACATAAGATGGGATCTACCCTCTTAACAAATTTGTAAGTGGATTGTACAGTATTACGGTATTTACTATATGTGCATTAATTTTTTTTTTTTTTGAGATGGAGTTTCGCTCTTGTGGCCCAGGGTAGAGTGCAGTGGCATGATCTCTATTCACTGCAACCTCTGCCTCCCGGGTTCAGGTGATTCTCCTGCCTCAGCCTCCCGAGTAGCTGGGATTACAGGCACCTGCCACCATGCTTGGCTAATTTTTGTATTTTTAGTAGAGATGGGGTTTCACCATGGTGGCCAGGCTAGTCTCAAACCCCTGACCTCAAGTGATCTGCCTGCCTCAGCCTCCCAAAGTGCTGGGATTACAGGCGTGAGCCACCATGCCAGGCCTATATATGCATTGTTGTACAGCAGATCTCCACAACTTTTTTGTCTTGCATGACTGAAACTGTATTAATAAATAATACCTCAATTTCCCCATCCATAGCAGGGCAGCCATCATTCTACTTTCTGCTTCTATGAGTTTGACTACTTTAGATACTTCATGTAAGTGGAAAATTGAAGTATTTGTCCTTCTGTGACTGGTTTATTTCACTTAGCATAATGTTCTCAAAGTTTATCCATGCTGAAACAAATCATGGGATTTTCTTTTAAAAGACTAAATAATATTCCATTGTGTATATATATCACATATTTCTTTATCCATTCATCTGTTGACAGACAGTTAGGTTGTTTCCCTTCTTGATTGGTGTGAATAATGCCACAATGAACATGGGAGTTCAAATATCTCTTTGAGATCCTGCTTTAAATTATTTTGGATACATACCTAGAAATGAGACAGATGGATCATATGGTATTTTTATTTTCAGATTTTTCAAAGAACTTCTGTGCTATTTTCCATAGAGTGCCTGTATCTTGCTCCCCAATGGTGTGCAAGGGTTCCAATCTCTCTACATCCTCACCACCTCACAGATACTTGATATTTTCTGGTTTTTGGGTTTTTATTTTTTTAAATAATGACCATCCTAACAGATATGAGGGATATGGTGATATCTCATTGTGTGTTGCTTTTTTTTTTTTTTTTTGAGACAGAGTTTCACTCTGTTGTACAGGCTGGAGTTCAGTGGTGTGATCTTGGGTCACTGTAATCTCTGCCTCCCAGGTTCAAGTGATTCTCCTGCCTCAGCCTCCTGAGTAGCTGGGATTACAGGCGCCCACCACCATGCCTGGCTAATTTTTAGTAGAGATGGGGTTTCATCATGTTGGCCAGGCTGGTTTCAAACTCCTGACCTCAAATGATCCACCTGCCTCGGCCTCCCAAAGTGCTGGGATTACAGGTGTGAGCCACAGTGCCTGGCCACATTGTGGTTTTGATTTGAATTTCCCTGATGGTTAGTGATGCTGAGTATCTTTTCCTATACCTAGTGGCCATTTGCATGGCTTCTTCAAAGAAATGTCTATTTAATTAAGCTGTTTGCCCATTTTTAAATTGAGTTACTTATTTTGCAATTGGTTGTAGGAGTTTCTTATATATTTTAGAAATTAACCCCTTATCAGCTATATGATATGGAAATATTTTTTTCCAATTCATAGGTTGCTTTTCATCCTGTTGATTGTTTTATTTGCTGTGCAGAAGGTTTTAAGGTTTTCAAAGTCATCCCTTCTGTCTATTTTAGCTTTTGTGTCCTGTGCTTTTGATGTTATATTCAAGAAATCATGGAAAAATAGTTATAGTGCTCTTCTCTTATGTTTTCTTGTAGTTGTTGTATAGTTTCAGATTTTACATTTAATTTTATAGTGAATTTTGAGTTGACTTTTGTGTGTGGTGTAAAATAAAGGTTCAATTTTATTCTTTTACAACTAAATGTGCAGTTTTCCCTGCACCATCTGTTGGAGAGATATATTTCCCCATGATGTATTCTTGGCATCCTTGTTGAAGATAAGTTGACTGAATGTGCATAGGTTTATTTCTAGGGTATTTTTCCTGTTCCATTAATCTATAGGTTCATCTCTATGCCAGTACTATACTGTTTTGATTACTGTGGCTTTGTGATATAATTTGAAGTCAGGAAGTATGAGACTTCCAGCTTTGCTCTTTCTCACAGTTGTTTTGGCTTTTGGGGGGTACTTTGTGGTTCCCTATAGATGTTAGGGTTATTATTTCTCTTTATGTGAAAAAGTCTGGGATTTTGATGGGAATTTCATTGAATCTATAGATCACTTTGGGTAATGTGCACATTACAGTATTGAATCTTTCAATTTATGAACATGAGATGTCTTTAAATTTATTTGTGTCTTCTTTAATTTCATTCACCAGTGTTTTGCAGCATTCAGTGTACAAGTTTCTGGCCAACTTAGTTAAATTTATTTCAAACTATTTTTTTGGTGTTGTTATAAATGGGATTATTTTCCTTAACTTCTTTTTTTTGGATTGTTAATTTTTAGGGTATAGAAACATAACCAACTTTTTATGTTAATTTTGAAACCTGCCACCTTGTTGAATTTGTTTATTCAACAGGATTTTTTTTTTCAGAAACTAAAAGAACTTTAGGATTTTCTACATATACATCTGCAAACAGAGATAATTTTACTTATTCTTTTCTTGATTTGGGTAAGTTTAATGTATTTTTCTTGACTAATTTCTCTAGCTAAGATTTCCAGTTCCATGGTGAGTAAAAGTGGTGAGACTGGACATCCTTGGCTTGTTTCTGATCTCAGAGGAAAAGCTTTCAGTTTTTCACCTTTGAGTTTGGTGCTAGCTCCATTTTTTCTTTTTCATATATGATCTTGATCATGTTGAGGTAATTTTCTTCTACTCCTTGTTTGTTGAGTGTTTTTATTATAAAGTGGTGCTGAATTTTGTCAAATGCTTTTTTGGTGTCTATTGAGATGATCGTATGATTTTTATTCTTCTATTAATGTGACATATCGTATAGATAGATTCATACATTGAGCCATACTTGCATCTCAGGGATAAAACCTGCTTGAATGTGATATATAATAGTTTCAATTTGTTGTTCAATTAAGTTTGGTAGTGTTTTGTTGAAGATTTAAAAATTTATATGTATCAGAGATATTGGCTTACAGCTTTCTTTTTTTATAGTGTCTTTGTCTGGCTTTGATATTAGGATAATGCTGACTGCATAAAATGAGTTTGGAAGTATTACCTCCTTTTCAGCTTTTTGGAAGAGTTTGAGAAAGACTGACATTAGTTCTTCTTTAAAAGTTTGGTAGAATTCACCAGTAAAGCCCTTTAGTCTTGAGCTTTTCCTTTCTGGGAGGTTTTCGAATGTGGATTCAATCTTCTTATTCATCACTAGCACATTCAGATTTTCTATTTTTTTCATGATTCACTCTTGATACTTGTATGTCTTTAGGAATTTATCCATTTCTTCTTGGTTATCTGTAAGTCTCCTAGGCTTTCTTCATGCTTTTTATTCTTTTGTCTTTTTGCTCCTCTTACTGAGTAATTTCAAATGACTTTTCTTCAAGTTCACTGATTTTTTTCTTCTGCTTCATCAAGTCTGCTGTTGGACCACTCTAGTAAACGTTTTTGTTCAATTATTGTATTTTTCAGCACCAGAATTTCTATTTGACTTTTTTCTATATTTCCTTTTTTTTTGCTGATATTCTAATTTTGATTTTTTCTGAGCTCACTAAGCATCTTTATGGCTGTTTTTTTTTATTCTTTGTCAAGTATCTTACAGGCTTTCATTTCTTTAGGGTTGGTTTCTATAGATTTATTTTGATTCTTTGATTGGGCCATGCTTTCCTATTTCTTCGTGTGCCTTGTAACTTTGTGGGGGGATTTGCACATTAAAAAAAAGTCGCTTCTCTCAGTCTTTATAGAATGGCTTTAGACAGGGAAAGACCTTTCCTATTCAGCCTGGCTAAAGATTCCAGAGGCCTCTCAAACTTTTTCTGTGGATGCATCTTTTCTGGATTTGTTCAAGTACATTCTCAATTAGAGACATTTGCCAGCTTTTCTTCTTTTTTTCAGGACCTCTTAATTTCTTGCATCTTTGGTCTCTCTTTGTGGTATTTCAGGTTCTCTGGCTTTTAAGCAAGCCACCCGGTTCTTTTTCATTTGCAGTGATCTTCTGTGATCTGGAGTATGCTGGGTCACATCAGCACTCTGAGACAAGAGAGACAGAAACCAGTCCTTCAGGCAACACCTAAAAATCCTGCACATTGGATGGATATTTTAGTTTTCTCTTGCTTTCTCCAAGGAGAAGCCAGAAATTGACAGTTTTCCTCCAATTGCACTACATCGAGCTATGGGGCTCAATGGCAAGTGAGGGGTGTGGCAAGTGGGTGCCACAAATTTTCTTACTGACTTTGACGCAGTTGGTTTTGCCCTGACCTGGGGTGCAGGGACCTCTCAGTTTCTTTGGATTTCTTACAAAGGGAATTGGTCCATGTGTGGTTGAATAGGTTTCTCTGTGGGGAAAGGGAACATCCTGGACTTTCTATTCTGTTATCTTGCTTATGTCATCTCCCTCTCCACTCTTTAAAATGACAAATAATTACTCCTTTGTTAATAATATTCTTTAAAAAAACTTTAAGTGCTATTCAAGTGCAGTAGTGAGAATGGGGAACACAGTAGAACACGGAGTTTGATCTGTAACTGATTGAATTAACTGAGATAGCTCATTGTCTTCAGAAAAGTCTGCCCACTGCATTGCTAAGAGGAGTGGCTCTCTACTATTCTCTTTGTACTACTTGTCTTGGGTTGGGTTCCCCCAGAAGCAGATGGAGATTTGAATCACATAACTTATTTTGAACATAGTGCCAAGAAACACTAGAGGAGGAATGAGGAAATGAGGTGGAAAAGGAAAAAGAATCAACATAGTGAGTGTTAATGAGCAGGTTACCCCTGTGGGCAACTATGGGTAATTTCTGACAAGCGCCTCTGAGAGATAGTGCAGAATATGCCTCAGTGTGGTTCCACCCAAGGGGTAAAGTAGCCTCGGGTATTATTCTCCAACTTTCATCATTAAAAGCACTGTCCCTGGGAATGGCATATTCCTTGTCCTTCTGGCCTACACCACTCCTGGGTTGAGTCCTCTAAATCCAGTAGGGGAAAAGTCATAGGTGCTTGTCTTAGGCAGCAATCAACGTTCAAAGAATTGTGAGTTCAGAGGGAACACGGATAATACCCTGCCAGTGTCTGTTCTTCTGGGCTGGCTGTTGCAAACGGCATGCATTTGGATCCGGTAATCCCATATCACCAGATGCTAGAACAGTATCCAGGAAGAATTTGAAGTATTCTAGGAAATTTTAGAAGGTTAGGCAGAGACAGAGTTTTGGAAGTGAGAGCTCAAGCATTTCTTTGGAGAAATCACTAGAGCTTGGTGGAATTATGGATTCACGTATTCCCTGCATTAAGTTCCAAAGATTATAGGTTACATTGAATGAGAGTCCCATGAAAACCAGTACTGAGAACAGAAACATTGCTTGTGGAATGGCTTTGGCTCACAGCAGTATTAGCACTCTCCAGCATTACCACTCTCATCTAAGCCACTATTTTCCTCCTAGCTTATTGCCGTAGTGTCCTCAATGTTCTCCTTGCTTTTCCTGCAAACCCCCAATCCCTCTTTGCCTCTCTACCCTGACCAGTTATTCTCTACACAGTAGCCAGAGGGGCTATCTAGCACTAAGTCGGATTATGTTGTTCATTTGCTTATAATGTACCAGTGGCTTTCCATCTCACTCAGAGAAAATACTCTAAGGTCCTTTCAATGGTTTACAAGTCTCTGTATAATCAGCTCCTGCCTCCTCACCTCTGAGGTGACTTAGCCCCAGCTCCGGTGGCTTCTTTGCTGTCCGAAGACCACACCATGTGTATTCTCTCCTTCGAGCCTTTCCACTTGCTGTTTCCTCTCCCTGGAATGCTCTTTCCCACACCCACATGGATTGCTTTCTTACTTTCTTCAGGCCTCTGCTCAAATATTGGCTTTTATGGTTACTCTGCATGAAATATTCTTTACTCCTTCTTCGCAGCTTCATTTTTCTCCATAGCAATTTTTATTATTTATTTCTACAGCTAGAATGTAAACCCCACAAGTACTTGAATTTTGTTGATTATATTCAGTACTATATCTCCAGTGGTTAGAATAGTGCCTCACTTTCAATAAGCAATCAATGATTCAATAAATATTTGCTGAATAAATGAATGAAAGTATTAATACACGGATGTGGTTGGACAGAAACTGAAGTATACCCAGGGGAAAGTAGTCAGGCCAGGGAAGTCTAAACCATAAGAAATTGTTGTTGACTTCGAATTGTAGTTAATTTTCCTTTCTTACTCCTTATAATCTATAGTATATGGGGATGCTGAATTTGGAGAAGAGAAAGCATGGTAAGTGACTTCAGATTTTGAGGGACTAGTTTATGAAGAGGAGGATGAAGTTATTCCATGAATTACAAAGGCCAAGATCCCAGATCACAGGAAATAAACGACAGAGAAGCATATTTTTGAAGTCAAAGGAGGAAAGAACTCTCTAACCATTTGTACTTCCATAAAATGGAAGGGACTGCCTTTCTATAAGTAATGAGTCCCCCATCATCAGAGGTGTTCAAGCAGAGTAGAAAGTAGAGGTGAGATCCAGAAGATCTTTGAAGACTCTGTCAATCTTGAAATTCTAGAATTCCATAAACATGAGAGAGAAGCAAAAGTGTCTCTCACAAAGCATCCCACTACAGTGTGAATGCCATTTACTGAATATTCATCTCCTATAACATTTTTTTCATACAGCTGGAGAGTATTCTATTACCTGAAAGACTCAAACAAGCCCCCCCCCCAACTTTTTTTTAAAGCACATACCCAATGTTGGACATTTCTTTTAAATTTTTCATACTAAAAACAGAATTTGACCTTAGTTGGTTTCTGCCCTGAAGGGACATCCTAGCAACAGTGTTTGAGCAGACACAAGCTCAGGCGAAACTAAGAGTGGGTTTTAAAAAAAATATTGTTTCTTGGCCGGGCACCGTGGCTCACACCTGTAATCCCAGCACTTTGGGAGGCCGAGGCGGGCGGATCACGAGGTCAGGAGATCAAGACCATCCTGGCTAACACGGTGAAACCCTGTCTCTACTAAAAATACAAAAAATTAGCTGGGCGTGGTGGCGGGCGCCTGTAGTCCCAGCTACTCGAGAGGCTGAAGCAGGAAAATGGCGTGAACCTGGGAGGCGGAGCTTGCAGTGAGCATCGCGCCACTGCACTCCAGCCTGGGCGACAGAGCGAGACTGTCTCAAAAAAAAAAAGAAAAAAAAAACTGTTTCTTAGATCCAACCCTTTGTCTGTGTCGAACATGCAATGGTTAAGCCCCAAATATATCATGATGGAATAAGGAGGGGAGAGAGGTATTTGGGCTCTGAGTTTCCCCCATGTCTCCTAGGTCAGAGCTTCTTATATTTTATGTGCACACAATCATTGGGGTTTTTCTGTCACAGTGAAAATTCAAATATAGTAGGTCTGGGTTGGGGTCTGAGTTTTTGTATTTCTCCTAAGCTCTTGAGGGAAACCAGTCAGTTGACCGCTTTGTGAATATCACAGTCCTAGTTCATATTCCTTACGGGGCTGTCTATGAAATTGTCCCTATTTGGAGTCAGAAGCAGAAAATCTCATCCAAAGCCTAAAAACATTCTGAATCATTATGATGTTTACTTTGCATCAAGAAAAGCAATGACAAGTGGTTACTAATGAAAATAAGCTGTTGAAGGGAACTGCCAATTAGATAGAAACAATTCAGCTTTCATCTCACATCAAGGACAAAATTAATCATGCATGCTATTTCCAACAAAAATGCTTTAAGTAAATTATTTAGTATTTATATTTTGTAGTGATGCATGCCTAATAAAATCAATGGTTGCAGGGCATGATTAACCGGCATCCTTCAGAATCTAGACCTGCTGCCCTACTATAGGACTTGGTGTTTGAAAAATCCTGACCTTTTTGGAGAAGGGACAGAGGTTTACACTACAGTTTCTCTGTGGCATCCCAAAGTGTGACCTGGATATTTGCAGTTATCTAATCCAGGCTTGTTAAAGGTCCGTGTTCTTAGGCAGAAGTCCTGAACTCACTTTTAAAGGAGCAGTTCATCACAATGTATGACAATTGCCTCTGTTTGCTTCTTCCCTTCTAAAGTGGGAGTGACAGGGACAGTGTCTTGTTCACAGCACATGTAAATATTAAGAAACTAAAGACAGCCGGGCATGGTAGCTCACGTCTCTAATCCCAGCACTTTGGGAGCCCAAGGTGGACAGATCATGAGGTCAGGAGTTCAAGATCATCCTGTCCAACATGGTCAAACCCCGTCTCTACTAAAAATACAAAAATTAGCTGGGCGTGGTAACCTGCACCTGTAGTCCCAGCTACTCGGGAGACTGAGGCAGGAGAATCGCTTGAACCTGGGAGGCGGAGGAGGTTGCAGTGAGCTGAGATCGCACCATTGCACTCCAGCCTAGGCAACAAGAGCAAAACTCCATCTCAAAAAAAAAAAAAAAAAAAGGAAAAAAAAAAAAAGAAACTAAAGACATATTTTTTAGATAGAAAGAGTGAAACTTTCTTGAGAAGAAGTTCCATCTGCCAGCCCTGATCATATTGTAGTCTGCCTTGCAGAATTCATCTGAAGCTTCCTCCACTGCCAGACAGATCTTCCTGCATCAGGTCCGGTGCTGCCCCTGACATGAAATGCTCAAGATTTCTAGACATTGAAACACTCTGAAGAATTGAAAGGTAATTCAAAAAGGAAAAATAATGACTGTCCTCAATGTGTGTGTGTGTGTATATATGCACACCTACCTGCCTGTGTGTGCTTGTTTAGATGATAAGAAAAATACTAAGAAAGTCTCGACAATTGAAACACTATGGAATTGATACAAGCCAAGAAGCAGACCCAAATACACGCAGAGAATGAATAGTTTATCCACTAGATGGCTTAGGAAAAAAATGACTACTTAGTAAAACAACAAATTAAGTTAAATATATTTTCATATTACACAAACAGAAAACAAAAAATCCAGATGGCTTATTTAAAGAAATATTAACAAATAAAACAATAAAAGATCTATAATAAAATGTAGGTAAACATATTTTTGGAGTTCGAAAGACATTTTTAACAAAGAAAGAAAACACAAAGGAAAAGAGGAATATATTTGAATGCATACAATTTGAACACAAATTTGAAACTGATTTTCATCTTTTATACAATGCCAGTGAATTTCCAATGTTAGTAGAATGTAAGAAATAAACATTCTCATATAATGCTGGATAGACTATGAAATATACTTACATTACTGAAGTGTGATTTGGCAAACAAGGTCAAAAACCTGTAAGTTTTACATTCTATTTGATGCGGCAGTTGAATTTCTAAAAATTGGTTTTGAGAAAATTATTATAGATGTAGGGAAATATTATTTTGCAAAAAATAAGTAGAAACAATTAAGTATTCAATGGTAGGGAGTTAATTTACCAGATAATTATGCATCAATATGATGGAATACCATTCATCCATTAAAATGATGAATAAGAATATTTAATGATAAAGAGAAATATTGACAATACATTGTTAAGTAAAGCAGAAGTAAAGCTGTACTGAAAATGTGAACCCTACTTTAAAGACTGGGAGTTTATATGTAAAAAATTAATAGTGGTTATCCTTGAGTTTAGGTATTATGGGTAATTTAAAATTCTATTGCTGCTTTCTGTGCATTTTCATATTTTTATCAATAAACATATTTTACTTCTGAAATCAGAAAGAAGTGTTAATAAAAGAATGAAATCCCCTTACAGATGAAAATAGCATTGTTGTCACTATTAAAAATGAGCAGATGCTAATATTAATAATTGTACTAATTTAGGTCATGTTTTAAGTACTGTTAATAACTATTCTTGTTCTCTGTTAAATTAAGTCTCTTAAAGTTTTTACAAAGTACACAAAGGAACATGTTGAACAATATTTTAGTAGTCTAGATACAAAAAATGTCTCTTTATATTTATAAAAATAGACCAAATTATGCTGTGGTAACTAACAACCCTGAACCTCAGTGTTTTTAAATATGAAGGCTTAGTTCTCATTCTGGATGAATTTCTTTTCTTTTCTTTTTTGAGACACTTTCTTTTTTTTTTTTTAATTATACTTTAAGTTTTAGGGAACGTGTGCATAATGTGCGGGTTAGTTACATATGTATACATGTGCCATGTTGGTGTGCTGCACCCATTAACTCATCATTTAACATTAGGTATATTTCCTAATGCTATCCCTCCCCTCTCCCCCCACCCCACAACAGGCCCCGGTGTGTGATGCTCCCCTTCCTGTGTCCATGTGTTCTCATTGTTCAATTCCCACCTATGAGTGAGAACATGCTGTGTTTGGTTTTTTGTCCTTGCGATAGTTTACTGAGAATGATGGTTTCCAGCTTCATCCATGTCCCTACAAAGGACATGAACTCATCCTTTTTTATGGCTGCATAGTATTCCATGGTGTATATGTGCCACATTTTCTTAATCCAGTCTATCATTGTTGGACATTTAGGTTGGTTCCAAGTCTTTGCTATTGTGAATAGCGCCGCAATAAACATACATGTGCATGTGTCTTTATAGCAGCATGATTTATAATCCTTTGGGTATATACCCAGTAATGGGATGGCTGGGTCAAATGGTATTTCCAGCTCTAGATCCTTGAAGAATCACCACACTGACTTCCACAGTGGTTGAACTAGTTTACAGTCCCACCAACAGTGTAAAAGTGTTCCTATTTCTCCACATCCTCTCCAGCACCTGTTGTTTCCTGACATTTTAATGATCACCATTCTAACTGGTGTGAGATGGTGTCTCATTGTGGTTTTGATTTGCATTTCTCTGATTGCCAGTGATGATGAGCATTTTTTCATGTGTCTTTTGGCTGCATAAATGTCTTCTTTTGAGAAGTATCTGTTCATATCTTTGCCGACTTTTTGATGGGGTTGTTTGTTTTTTTCTTGTAAATTTGTTTGAGTTCATTGTAGATTCTGGATATTAGCCCTTTGTCAGATGAGTAGATTGCAAAAATTTTCTCCCATTCTGTAGGTTGCCTGTTCACTCTGATGGTAGTTTCTTTTGCTGTGCAGAAGCTCTTTTGTTTAATTAGATCCCGTTTGTCAATTTTGTCTTTTGTTGCCATTGCTTTTGGTGTTTTAGACATGAAGTTCTTGCCCATGCCTATGTCCTGAATGGTATTGCCTAGGTTTTCTTCTAGGGTTTTTATGGTTGCAGGTCTAACATTTAAGTCTTTAATCCATCTTGAATTAATTTTTGTATAAGGTGTAAGGAAGGGATCCAGTTTCAGCTTTCTACATATGGATAGCCAGTTTTCCCAGCACCATTTATTAAATAGGGAATCCTTTCCCCATTTCTTGTTTTTCTCAGGTTTGTCAATGATCAGACAGTTGTAGATATGCGGCATTATTTCTGAGGGCTCTGTTCTGTTCCGTTGGTCTATATCTCTGTTTTGGTACCAGTAGCATGCTGTTTTGGTTACTGTAGCCTTATAGTATAGTTTGAAGTCAGGTAGCGTGATGCCTCCAGCTTTGTTCTTTTGGCTTAGGATTGACTTGGCAATGCAGGCTCTTTTTTGGTTCCATATGAACTTTAAAGTGGTTTTTTCCAATTCTGTGAGGAAAGTCATTGGTAGCTTGATGGGGATGGCATTGAATCTATAAATTACCTTGGGCAGTATGGCCATTTTCACATTGATTCTTCCTACCCATGAGCATGGAATGTTCTTCCATTTGTTTCTATCCTCTTTTATTTCATTGAGCAGTGGGTTGTAGTTCTCCTTGAAGAGGTCCTTCACGTCCCTTGTAAGTTGGATTCCTAGGTATTTTATTCTCTTTGAATCAATTGTGAATGGGAGTTCACTCATGATTTGGCTCTCTGTTTGTCTGTTATTGGTGTATAAGAATGCTTGTGATTTTTGCACACTGATTTTGTATCCTGAGACTTTGCTGAAGTTGCTTATCAGCTTAAGGAGATTTTGGGCTGAGACGATGGGGTTTTCTAGATATACAATCATGTCATCTGCAAACAGGGACAATTTGACTTCCTCTTTTCCTAATTGAATACCCTTTATTTCCTTCTCCTGCCTGATTGCTGTGGCCAGAACTTCCAACACTATGTTGAATAGGAGTGGTGAGAAAGGGCATCCCTGTCTTGTGCCAGTTTTCAAAGGGAATGCTTCCAGTTTTTGCCCATTCAGTATGATATTGGCTGTGGGTTTGTCATAAATAGCTCTTATTATTTTGAGATACGTCCCATCAATACCTAATTTATTGAGAGTTTTTAGCATGAAGTGTTGTTGAATTTTGTCAAAGGCCTTTTCTGCATCTATTGAGATAATCATATGGTTTTTGTCATTGGTTCTGTTTATATGCTGGATTACGTTTATTGATTTGTGTATGTTGAACCAGCCTTGCATCCCAGGGATGAAGCCCACTTGATCATGGTGGATAAGCTTTTTGATGTACTGCTGGATTCGATTTGCCAGTATATTATTGAGGATTTTTGCATCGATGTTCATCAGGAATATTGGTCTAAAAATCTCTTTTTTTGTGTGTCTCTGCCAGGCTTTGGTATCAGGATGATGCTGGCCTCATAAAATGAGTTAGAGAGGATTCCCTCTTTTTCTATTGATTGGAATAGTTTCAGAAGGAATGGTACCAGCTCCTCCTTGTACCTCTGGTAGAATTCAGCTGTGAATCCATCTTGTCCTGGACTATTTTTGGTTGGTAAGCTATTAATTATTGCCTCAATTTCAGAACCTGTTATTTGTCTATTCAGAGATTCAACTTCTTCCTGGTTTAGTCTTGGGAGGGTGTATGTGTCGAGGAATTTATCCATTTCTTCTAGATTTTCTAGTTTATTTGCATAGAGGTGTTTATAGTATTCTCTGATGGTAGTTTATATTTCTGGTGGTGATATCCCCTTTATCATTTTTTATTGCGTCTATTTGATTCTTCTCTCTTTTCTTCTTTATTAGTCTTGCTAGCGGTCTATCAATTTTGTTGATCTTTTCAAAAAACCAACTCCTGAATTCATTGATTTTTTGAAGGGTTTTTTGTGTCTCTACTTCCTTCAGTTCTTCTCTGATCTTAGTTATTTCTTGCCTTCTGCTAGCTTTTGAACGTGTTTGCTTTTTCTTCTCTAGTTCTTTTAATTGTGATGTTAGGGTGTCAATTTTAGATCTTTTCTGCTTTCTCTTGTGGGCATTTAGTGCTATAAATTTCCCTCTACACACTGCTTTGAATGTGTCCCAGAGATTCTGATATGTTGTGTATTTGTTCTCGTTGATTTCAAAGAACATCTTTATTTCTGCCTTCATTTTGTTATGTACCCAGTAGTCATTCAGGAGCAGGTTGTTCAGTTTCCATGTAGTTGAGCCGTTTTGAGTGAATTTCTTAATCCTGAGTTCTAGTTTGGTTGCACTGTGGTCTGAGAGACAGTTTATTATAATTTCTGTTCTTTTACATTTGCTAAGGAGTGCTTTACTTCCAACTATGTGGTCAGTTTTGGAATAAGTGTGGTGTGGTGCTGAGAAGAATGTATATTCTGTTGATTTGGGGTGGAGTTATGAGACAGACTTTCACTCTTTGTTGCCCAGACTGGAGTGCAGTGGCTTGAGCTCAGCTCACTGCAGCCTTCTTTTGTCAGGTTCAAGCAGTTCTCCTATCTCAGCCTCCCAAGTAGCTGGGATTACTGGTGCCCTCCACCACACCTGGCTAATTTTTGTATTTTTAGTAGAGACGGGGTTTCACCATGTTGGCCAGGCTGGCCTCGAACTCCTGACCTCAGGTGATCCACCTGCCTTGGCCTCCCAAAGTGCTGGGATTACAGGTGTGAGCCACCACGCCCGGCCCATTCTGGATAAATTTCTATTGTGGAATTTTGAATGGAGGTGGGGAAGTGGGAGATCAGCCCATCTTGGTCACTCAGAGATCCACTGTCTTGAATGTTGTCAGAAACTGACACAGTTAAATGAAATGCAACAGGATCTCATACTGGCTCAGAAATGACATAAGATGTGTTTGCTCACAACACATTGGCCAAAATTAGCTATGTGGTCCCATAAATCATAAATGGCCAGGAAGATGGAAAGCCAGAAATATTTGGTGAATAGCATTCATAATTTCCTTCTTTCTTGACTTGGACAGTGGGTCTACAACTAAAATCTGAAGACTAGGAGGCTGTGATCTGGCAATTACCTTGAGAAAAGCTGAAACAATTAGCATAAGCAAAGAAAAAGAGATGCAACAGAGAAAATATTGAGCATATTTCTAGAGGAGCTTAAATTTCCTGCATTTCTCTTTCCTCAATATGATTAACATGAAATTCTATAGGCTACTCTTTGATAATGTGATTCACTTCAGTGATTACAATTAAAAACTGTAGTGTTTTATGTATTTTGAAAGACACCTCTATTCCTCTGCCCACCAGCAGGGTTATACAATGTTTTATCCGTTTATTTCCAACAGAAGCCAGATGTTTACCATGCTGGTAATGTTCTGCAAATATGTCTTGCTGCTTCAAAATGTTATCATGCAGTATTATTATAGTTCCTATTGTAGAACCATCCTCCTATGGCTCATTTTAAGTTTTGTCTCTTCTGAATTCTCTATAGGGAGTTTTGTTTTAAAACGAATCTTCCCAGTTAACAAGGACTGGGTTAAAGTGAGAAATGTAATGACCGTTCTATTGTAAGGTAAAACAGTCTTACAAATATCTGAACCAGTAGGCCAATCTAATTAATTAATCTAATCTAATTACTTAATTGGAGTAGCCAAAAGCAGTATGCAGAGATTAGGACACAAAAGTGGTCTAACTGTGTAGCAGCTGGATCCGAGGTTTGCCAGCGAGCTCTAGTAGGATTCCAGATGTTCCTGTCCAATCCCAGGATGAGAAATGTCAACTGATGTCAACCCTGCCAAAAGATGTTATTTCTTTAGTGCTGGAATATCTCCCATCCATTAGCCTCCAATGAAAGCGATGAGTGATTCTCATTTGCCATTTTTTTTTTCCCTTTCAGGAATGATCCTGAGAAAGCAAAACACACCAACAGCAGGTAGCAAATAAAATAAAAACTGCTTAGCTTGATGCCAAGTAAATTCTATTTTCTTTGCATTCTGGTCAACATAAAATGCAATATTAATGGATAAATTAAAAAGCTTGTATGACTTCAGAGAGGATCACTGGAGTACTAGTCATAAATGGCTAGAGGTTTTAAAAGAGTAAGGATTTGAAGCTTGCAAGATCAGCCAGATATAGCAGAAAGGTCATGGGTATTTGGATGAGACATGTAGTACTTTCAGCCATATATCATTAGTTCAAAAGTTTCTTATGAGCTCCAGACCCTCGTTATGAGTAATTGTCCCACAGATAGTACACATTCAACATATCCTAAGTGGAACTCATGTTTCCCTTTAACCTTTGTCTCCCCTTCCTCCCACTCTTTCTCTTCCTACTGTGGTGGTTGTGGGAGTAAGAACACTGAAACCAATGTGGGCAATAATCTTGATTTTGTCTTGCCATCAAATCCAATCAGACTCTATGGCATACACTCACAGCTACCTACCCAATATCCATTCTTCCTTTCTTTCCTACTCAGAACACTGATTTTGTTTAAGTGCAGTAATATACTCCAATAAAAATACTCACCCCTTGAGACTCTAGGGGTGATCATATAACCCGCTATCGGCCAGTGGGATAAGAGTGGAAGTCTCTTAGAACTTTTGGGAATCCTATCTTTTTCCTGATATTAAATAACAGGCTAAGTTGGCTCAAAGTTTTTGCCTTCCTCTTTCTCATTTCCTTTCCTGAACGCAGAAACAATGCCTGCAGAAACAATGCCTGCAGATAGAACATACGTTTTTCAACCATGAAGATAAGAGCCACATGCTTTAGATGATAGAGCAGGAAGCTAGGAAGAACCTAACCTTTGACGGCTTCCTTGAGTGGACACAGATTCTTGGACAGTCTATACCCAGACTTTTGTAATGTAAGAAAACTAAAACTTATTTGGTTGAGCCATTGCAGTGGATTTCTATTACATGAAACCAAATGCAATTTGCTATGGTTCGAATATTGGTCTGCTTCAAAACTCTTGTTAAAATGCAATCCCCAATATTGGCAGTATTGAGAGTTATGTTTGTTAAGAGGTGATTGGGTCATGAAGGCTCAGCCTTCATGAATGAATTAATTAATTCATGAATTCATGTCATGGGAGTGGAACTGGTGGCTTTATAAGAAGATGAAGAAAAATCTGAGCTAGCACACTCAGTTCCCTTGTTGTGTGATGTCCTGTACCAATTTGGGACTTGGCAGACTAGCAAGAAGGTCCTCACCAGATGAATTCCCTTAACCTTGGGCTTCCCAGCCTTCAGAACTGTAAGAAATAAATTTCATTTCTTCATTACCCAGTTTTAGGTATTCTGTTATAAACAACAAAAAATGAACTGAAACACAACCCTAACTACACAACCCCCATGTTTGTTGTCTTTACCTATGCAATATCTCTCAGACCTCTCTGCTTCTCTCCATCCCCACTGTCTTTTCTCTGGTTTAGATCATTATCCCCTTTTTCCAGAGTTTACTGCAATAGCCTCCTAGTTATGCTTTCTGCCATCAGTACTGTTCTTTTTCTGGATTGTCCTTAATGTGGCCAGAGTGTTCAAAAATTCAATATTAATCTTTTATGCCTTGCTTAGAGCAGTTCAGTGTTTCCTCATGACTTTGTACGTAAACCTGAACTCTTCCTCATGACTTACAGGGCCCTGTACACCTTCCTAACCTCATCTCTTGTCACTCTCTGCCTTGAACTCTGTACTCAAGCCATGTTTAACTTCCAATTCCTTAAATACATCATATTCTTTCTGTTTTTGGATTTTTGCAAATGCAAGTCCTTACTGTATAATCTTCTGATTGGCTAACTCCTACTTATTCTATAGGCCTCAGTAGTTGGATACACAGGGGAATACTCATTTAATGAGATGGAAAAGACTCAAGAAAGAAGCATTTGGTTTTAAATGTATTAAGTTTGGAATATTGATTAATGATCAAAGTTGAGATGTCCAGGATACAGTTCAATACAGGAGTTGGAAGCTGAGAGGAAAAGTCACAGCTGGAGATACACCTTCAGGAGTCAACAACATCAAGATTGTATTTGAAAACATGGAAAGAATGAGAGCAGTTGGTGAAGGAATAGAGATAAGCAGGGTGCAGGACCAAGCAACACTTGGTGGTCTAGGGAATGGGGAGCTGTCAAAGGACAGTCTTTAGTCTACTACATTGTAGTTTTTGTTGTTTGTTTCTTTTTACCAATATGTAGAGCTGGACTCCAAGCTCCATGAAAGTAGTGTCCCTACCTGTTTGATTTACCATTTTATCCTTGGTGTCCAGCAAAATGCCTGCTATATAGTAGCCATTCAGTGTAACTTTCTTCAAGGAAATAATAGACATGAATTCAACTCCTGCCTACATTATTAACTGGAGAACCTGTGCACCTTGTTTCTTATTTCTGTAAGAAGACTAAATAAAATAGTTTTTAAGATTTGTTTCAGTTCTAAAATCCTGATTTTAGAGTGCCTGTGTTCTATACCCAGCAAGCCAACATCCCAGATTTCTGCATCTATCCTGTGATTTGGGATTAGTAAATGTATCCACTGGTAACTTAGAAAGTGAAACGTTTTGATGTGGCTTCTGATATATCATTTTTCCTCTAGGCTACCAGTGTCCTCTTCTCTAAAGTGAGGGATTTTGACTGCAGCGCCCCTACAGCCCCTCATAGCTTAAAAATTCTGCATTCCATTGTAGGGGAGGCTAAAAATCGCACTACCTTAGTTCTTATGTGAGATCTTTGGCTGTGTCTAGGAACTAGATTGATGCAACACAGACTGACCAGAGAAAAGCATACAGGCTTTATCAATTTCACATGTACATGGGGATCTTTACAAGAGAGCAACATCTGAAGGAATAGCCAAAGCAAGATGCTTTTATACTTTGTATACAAATAGTGATACATTCATGAAGAAATGACAGGACAAAGGGATCTCTAGGCTAGGAGCAGTAAATTCTAAGGGTATCACTAGGAGATATATTGGGGGTGTAAAGCTAGTGGAAGATAAGGGTTACTTCAGGGAGTTTATTCAGGCCCACAGCAGCAACAATATCCTCTCTGGTGATCAGAGGTTATTTTTTCACCCTGGTATGGGGAAAGGCACCCCTCCCAAAGGAATTCTTATGGCTTGCTGTAGGAAATGGCAGATCAGATAGCTTTTTCTGCAAGTACACTTTCTCCAATATTTTCTGCATGAAATAATCAATATACAAAGCAGTCATATTTTGGGATGGCATGTGTATTAATCTGTTCTCATGCTGCTAATAAAGATATGCCCGAGACCGGGTAATATATAAAGGAAAGAGGTTTAATTGACTCACAGTTCCCCATGGCTGGGAAGGCCTCACAATCATGGTGGAGGGCGAAAGGAGAGCAAGACACATCTTACATGGTGGCAGGCAAGGCAAGAGAGCTTTTGCAGGGGAACTCCCCTTTTTATAAAACCATCAGATCTTATGTGACTTATTTACTTTCATGAGAACAGCACAGGAAAAGCCCATCCTCAAGATTCAATTACCTCCCACCAGGTTCCTCCCATGACTTGTGGGAATTATGGTGGGAGCTGCAATTCAAGATGAGATTTAGGTGGAGACACAGCCAAACCATATCAGCATGTCCCTAGCTCCTTCACCATATATATTGGAAAGAATATTAATAAGAGCTAACTTGGATTTTCTACCTTTTGTGGGCTTCATACTTTCCCAAGTCATTTCTTGGAAATAATTTCTTTGAATTATCCTCTTATTATGGGCTTCATTGTATCTCCCCCACAATCTGTATGTTGAAGCTCTAACCCCCAGTACATCAGAATGTGACTGGACTTGGAGATAAGGCCTTGTCTTAGACCATTTTTTAATTGCTTATGTCAGAATATATAAGACTAATTTATTTTTAAAAAGAAATTTATTTCTTATAGTTATGGAGGGTGGGAAGTCCCAGGTTGAGGGACTACATCTGGCAAGGGCCTTCTTGCTGGTGAGGACACTCTGCAGAGTCCCAAGGCAGCTCAGGGCATCACATGGAAGGGACTGAGTGTGCTGGCTCAGGTCTCTCTTCCTCTTCTTATAAAGCCACCAGTCCCACTTTCATGATAATCCATTGATCCATTAACCCATTAATCCATTAATCCATGAATAGATTAATCCATTTATGAGGGTATAGCCCTCATGATTACCTCTTAAAGGACCCACCTCTCCACACTGCCATGTTGGAAACGAAATTTCAACAATGAGTCTTGTGGGGCACAAATATTCAACCTGTCACAGGTCCTTAAAGAGGCAATTTAGTTAAAATAAAGTTATTGGGGTGAATCCTAATCTAATATGACTGGTGTCTTTATAAGAAGAGATTAAGAAAGACAAAATAAGAAAATGAGAGAGAAAGGATGAGAGCAAGAGAATGAGAGAGAGAGAGAGACCAGGCATGTGCACACACAAATCACTATGTGAACACATAAGTGAGAAGGCAACTGTGTGAAAGCCAGTGAGAGAGGCCTCAAAGAAATTAAACCTTCTAGCACCTTGATCTTGGACTTCCAGCCTCCAGAACTTTGAGGAAATACATTTCTGTTGTTTAAGCCACCCAATCTGTGACATTTTGTTATGTCAGCTCTAGCAAACTCATACACCACTTAATACATGTAAAAATCTTGTGAGTTTGATATTCTTTTCCTAACCACATTTACAGGTGAGGACACAGAGTTTAGTGAGGTGAAGTGATACAGTTAGCTCATGGTCTTAACCACTACACTCTAATTGAAGCAATGCAAGTGGAAGTGAAGTAAGAAAACCAAGCTTGTAAGCCAATAATAATGAACACCTGTTGAATATTTGGTAGGCATAATTGTATGCAATTTTTATGTATGAATTTATTCTTCATAACGCTAGTTGTTAGCTATTGCTGACTAACAAATTATCACATAAATCATAAATCATCAAACAGTTGCTTAAAACCACAAACATTTATTATCTCACAGGTTTTATGAGTAAAAAAATCTGGTGACATCTTGGCTGGGTACCTCTTACTCTGAGCCTCTCATAAAACCATATTCAAGATCTCAGATGGAGGTGTAGTCCTTGCAGGGCCCTTGCAGGGCTCACACTGTGGTTGTTGGCAGGATTTAGTTTCTTACAAATGATTGGACTGAGGGTTCAGGTCATCACTGGGTGTTGGCCAGAGGCCTCCCTCAGTTCCTTGCCATGTGTACCTCTCCATTGGACATCTCTCAACGTGGAAGCTGGCTTTCATCAGAGCAAGCAAGAGACAACAGAATGGAAGAGCAAGACAGACGTTTCAGTCTTCGTGTAACCCAATCTCAGAAGTGACATCCCCTTGATTTTGCCATATTTCATTGATGAGAAGCACGTCATTAGGTCCAGCCTATACTTAAGTGGAGGTGAATACAGGACATGTATATCAGGAGGTTGGCGAACTGGTTGTCTACTATGGATGAGCGAAGCTGAAGCACAGAAACGTCAAACAACGTGCTCAAAGTCACACAGCCAGTAAATGGCAAATGACAGCTAGTCAACTCTGCGTCCTGTGTTCTTCCGCTTTATGCTACAATGCTTCGCTATGCATAATACATCAAATGCTATCAGCAAATATTGGAAAAAAACCTTTGGAGTAGTGGTAATGGACCAAATCCAGAGTTGCCCTGTACTATTGCAAAATCAGTTATTGTGTTGGGGGCTGAAGGGGGAGCAGTCTGTAGCAGCAGTCAGCCACCCTCTTTTGTAAAGGGCCGTATAGTATTTAAAGCATTGTCCATATGGTTTCTGTGTCCAACTATTCAACTCTGCTGCTGTAGCTCGAAAGCAGACATAGATAGTAGTTAAATCAATGGGTGTGGTTGTGTTTCAGTGAAATTTTACTTACAAAAGCAGGCTGCAGGCTGGATTTGCCTGCAGACTACAGTGTGCCAACTCCTGGTCTGAATCACCGTGGGCACATAGATGTGCCAAGGAATTCTTAATGTTGTTAAAGCTAGGATGACTTGCTGTATTGAGATCTCAGGAGTCACTGAACCAAAGAATGCAGCAGAAACCATTTCAAAGCAATAGAAGCAAAGAAGGTTGATGTATTATTCCTTGGTCCCTATTCCCCTCAAGACACCCCTAGCGTGCATTTAGCCTTTGCCACTCTATGCGCCTTGAACAACTTGTTTCAATTTGAGGGAAGGAATGCTTCCTTGAATTTTCTTTTAGGCTTTCATCCTATTGTATTCTGGTTAGTTCTTTCTTTGCCCAATGCCTGAGTCCTTTTCCCTTCTTATCAAGCTCCTTGCCCTAGGTCTGGCATTTTTCAGGTTGTTAACATCTTTGCATTATACCCAAGGTTTCTCTTGTAGTTCCCATTATGTTCCCTTAGGTGGAAAGGATCAAATTTCCCTGGGAGTTTCCTAAGTTTCCTAACTCCTGAAGAGGAATGCTCGAAAACTCTAGGTGACACCTTGGGCAGAGGCATATCATAGAACTTACCTAAAATTAAGAGTGAGCCCTGGACCCTAGTGAGTTCTAATTTTGAAAGATGTCTCTATCAAACAGACAGGATATAGGAAGCAAGGGATGGAGTGGTTTGCCTCATTTGGGGAGCAAACTCAATCAATATTGTGAAAATGGCCATACTGCCCAAGGTAATTTATAGATTCAATGCCATCCCCATCAAGCTACCAATGAATTTCTTCACAGAATTGGAAAAAACTACTTTAAAGTTGATATGGAACCAAAAAAGAGCCCGCATCGCCAAGTCAATCCTAAGCCAAAAGAACAAAGCTAGAGACATCACGCTACCTGACTTCAAACTATACTTCAAGGCTACAGTAACCAAAACAGCATGGTACTGGCACCAAAACAGAGATATAGATCAGTGGAACAGAACAGAGCCCTCAGAAATAACGCCGCTTATCTACAACTATCTGATCTTTGACAAACCTGAGAAAAACAAGCAATGGGGAAAGGAGTCCCTATTTAATAAATGGTGCTGGGAAAACTGGCTATCCATACATAGAAAGCTGAAACTGGATCCCTTCCTTACACCTTATACAAAAATTAACTCAAGATGGATTAAAGACGTAATGTTAGACCTAAAACCATAAAAACCCTAGAAGAAAACCTAGGCAATACCATTCAGGACATAGGCATGGGCAAGGACTTCATGTCTAAAACACCAAAAGCAATGGCAACAAAAGCCAAAATTGACAAATGGAATCTAATTAAACTAAAGAGCTTCTGCACAGCAAAAGAAACTACCAACAGAGTGAATAGGCAACCTACAAAATGGGAGAAAATTTTCACAACCTACTCATCTGACAAAGGGCTAATATCCAGAATCTACAATGAACTCAAACAAATTTACAAGAAAAAAACAAACAACCCCATCAAAAAGAGGGCAAAGGACATGAACAGACACTTCTCAAAAGAAGACATTTATGCAGCCAAGAAACACATGAAAAAATGCTCACCATCACTGGCCATCAGAGAAATGCAAATCAAAACCACAATGAGATACCATCTCACACCAGTTAGAATGGCAATTATTAAAAACTCAGGAAACAACAGGTGCTGGAGAGGATGTGGAGAAATAGGAACACTTTTACACTATTGGTGGGACTGTAAACTAGTTCAACCATTGTGGAAGTCAGTGTGGTGATTCTTCAAGGATCTAGAACTGGAAATACCATTTGACCCAGCCATCCCATTACTGGATATATACCCAAAGGACTATAAATCATGATGCTATAAAGACACATGCACACGTATGTTTATTGTGGCACTATACACAATAGCAAAGACTTGGAACCAACCCAAATGTCCAACAATGATAGACTGGATTAAGAAAATGTGGCACATATACACCATGGAATACTATGCAGCCATAAAAAAGGATGAGTTCATGTCCTTTGTAGGGACATGGATGAAATTGTAAATCATCATTCTCAGCAAACTATCGCAAGGACAAAAAATCAAACACCGCACGTTCTCTCTCATAGGTGGGAATTGAACAATGAGAACACATGGACACAGGAAGGGGAACATCACACTCTGGGGACTGTTGTGGGGTGCGGGGATGGGGGAGGGTTAGCATTAGGAGATATACCTAATGCTAAATGACGAGTTAATGGGTGCAGCACACCAGCATGGCACATGTATACATATGTAACTAACCTGCACATTGTGCACATGTACCCTAAAACTTAAGTATAATAATAAAAAAAAAAGAATGTGAAGTTTCATAAAACCAAGCCCACTGGGTGACAATATGTAACCTCACAAATGGTCCCCGATAAACTTTTAAAATGTAATCTAAAAAGTTAACTACTTATGTCAGGGTTTCATCACATAGCAAACCAGTAATTCTACTTTTAGTGTGTTTTCTTTCTCACAGGAAAAAATTATCTGCTAGGAAAAAAATATTTGCAGCCACTGCCTTAGTCTTTATATTCTGAGTCATTATATATATAATATTTAATTTATATTAAATATATAATATTTAATATATATTAAATATTATATAACAATTTATATTAAATATTATATAATATTTAATATACTTTACATATTAAAGCTGCTGGTAGCAGCTTTGGTGGTGATATGATCAACAGTTCCCTAGCTATTTGCCTAGGGCATTGTTAGTCTTTTATACTTATTTATTTTTTTTATTTTGTGCCTTGGATCTCCTAACACTTAATAATATAATTTACTTTGATTACACTGCAGATGGGCCTCTCTCGGACTCAGCTTTAAAAATTAATGCATTTAATTTTAGTAGAAGTGTGCAACAAGACAGCAGGTGACACAGCTAAGTGAGAGAAGGGTTCCTAATTACACTTCTAAATCAAACTGTGCTCCGAGTGCCCTTCTGGGGTTAAGTACTGCAGAAATCTAGGGCAATTGTTGATTGCTGACTCAGTTTTCCCAAGCTGTAAAATGGGGAGGGGAGTATATTTTTATTCAAGACATCCAGAATCCAAATATTTAAAATTTATATTCACTACTCTTCCTAAAGCATAGTGTTTAGGGATGCTTAGCAATGAATGACTCCCTTTTTTCCCCTGTAGGCAGTTTTCTGAATTCCACTCAGCATCACCTGCTGTTTTATTACACATTTTCTCATAATTGCTTTTGTGTAATCAGGTTTTGTAGGATAAATAAAAAAATGACTAGTCATATTTCAAGATATGGAATCCAGGGAGCACCTCAGCATTATTTTAAGATTATTTAAAAATGGATTAATTGCATCCTTTTCTTCCTTCTCATAACAATATTTTCTCATTAGGCTGGATTTATTTATCACATTGCTTTTCGTGTTGTAGTTTTTGCCATGTGAATGAATTATAGACTTTTTCAGAGAGACTTTTAAATGACTAGGTGACGATTTCTTCGCTGTGCCATTTGTAAGTGTCACAGTGATGAAGAAAGCAGCTTTTTAATTTTTTTTCTGCATAAGAAATTAAGATATACTTTTGGGAAGGGTGTGGATCATGTTTCAAGGAGCAGGGTCCAATTACTAAATTTCAAGAAGGAAAATGTTTAATTGAGATGAAGCCTTGATATATTTTGACGGAGATGGCATTTTGGAGGCAGTTGACTTTGTTGATTAACATGTTTTAAAATGTTTTGGCACTTGGCTGGAAGTAGGATCTTTTAAGTCTGGAGTTCTAGGCAAGAAAATAAACATGAATGAATTCAGAGATGAACATGAGTTTACCGTAAGAATACTTAACTAAGCACCAGCCTGACTAATGGGGTGAAATCCCATCTCTACTAAAAATACAAAATGAGCTGGGCGTGCTGTCTCATGTCTGTAATCCCAGCTACTGGGGAGGCTGAGGCAGGAGAATTGCTTGAACCTGGGAGGTGGAGGTTGCAATGAGCTGAGATCGTACCAAATGAACTCCAGCCTGGGTGACAGAGTGAGACTCCGTCTCAACAAACACACAAACAAACAAAGTGAAATGTTTTTGCTTAAAAATCCCAAAGCAGGCTCTTGATTTTAAAAGGGGTCCTGATAAGTAATTAGCATTCTATTGTAGGGAATTGAAAATAGAGACAGAGATCATATCGAATTTTCTAAATAGAAACCCTAAGAGTGGTGGAAATGGAAATTCACAAAAGAAGATAATGGATTTCAAAAACACTTGAGGTTCACTATGACCCAGAAGAGATGATGGGGGTTGAAAAGGTATGAAAAGAGGATTCATTAGAGACTTGTTCCCCAGAGTATAGTCCATGAACTGGCAGACACCATTGACATTACCTGGAGCTTGCTAGAAATGCACAGTCTTGGGCCTCACCAGAGACCAAACACATTTTAACAAGATTCTTTTGTGATGTATGTGCACATTCAGGTTTGAGAAGCACTGTTTTTGAGTAAGACACTGAAAATATTTTTTCTTTACCAATAATGCTTTAGTATTTATGGTTATATTTCCTTCACCATGTGTGGAGCCACACTATTTGATTCTACATTGAATAATACTTGCATAAGCACCCAAATGCAAACGCTGTTTTATAATTTTGAGTTGCTGCATAGATGCATGTATAGGCAGAATCTGCTGCACTTGAGGTTAGAGTTACGAAACAGAATGTAAAGGTCATATACATTGACTACTTAACAACAACAAAATGGGGGGTGAGAAGGGAAAGAAAGATAAGGAAAAGGATAAGTAAAGGAAGTAATTTTCTTCTCTTTAATAACAAGTTGTCAATACTGGTTAAAGTTGAAAATTCAAGAAATGGAGTTTGTCATATTCCAAGTTATAAAAATCTAATAATATAATCAACACAAATTGGTGGTTGAGGCAGGAAGGGAAGGTAGAAGGCAGTGTTAATGAACCAAATTATTTATCCTTCACAGCAAAGAGCTAATAGGTGCTGTCCAGGGTTCATAAATCATGAAATAAAGGCAGGAGCATGTAGCAAATATGAATCATATTTCAAAAATCCAGGTATGTGAGAAATGTTACATTTCTTTATTGCTTCAAGTCCAGTTAAATCAAATGACAATCTTTTCCCTGATAATTTGGCAAGAACTAAATTATAGTTGGGATTAGGGATTCCCCCGCAACCTGTACTCATGTAGTTTAAGATTCCGCAACTTGAATAAACGGGAGGGTTCCTTTACATTGGAACTTCATTTTCTTCATCAGTCTGGTAGTGATGCTACTGCTTGTCCCACCCATTTCCCAGAGTTACTATGAATTTAAATCCAATTAAATTTATAGAACATTTACTTAGCACTTAACAACAAGTAGCTATCAAAATAAAGAGACACAAATAACTACTACAAGTTTCTATTTACATGGAGCATAAACTCTAGTAGGCAGAGTAGAAAGACATGTACAAAAACACATGAGTCTCTGTATGTAAAAGAATTTGGAAAACTGTGAAGTATACCACAAGACTTGGGAACAACGATGAGGCATTATTAATTTTCCCTAACATCATCATCTTGCTCCAGACTCTCTAGTTGTTAAGGAGATAGAAATATATTCTTAGTCATGGGTCCTTGTAAATCTCTTAGTTTATCATCAGGAGTAAAAACATTGCTGCAACACTGGCTGCTCCTAAAATGAACAAATGTGCAGGAATGAATTTCTCTTTAGGCTAAAGGGAAGAAATGTGTTGCTCACATTTTCAAAATCCATGTGTTGATTCCCCAGTTCCTGGTCCTACATGTAAGGGTGGGGACTTGGTGTAGGGAAGGGATGAGTAGGTGGAACACAGATGGTTTTTAGGGCAGAGTAACTATTTTGTATGATACTACAGTGGTGGAAGCATGTCATTATACATTTGTCAAAAACTCTTACAATGTACAACATCAAGAGTGGACATTAATGTAAACTACAGACTTTGGGTGCTAGTGATGTGTCAATGGAGGTTCATCAATTGTAAACATGTGTATCATTCTCATGTGAGATGTTCATCGTGGGTAGGCTGTGTGTGTGTGTGTAGGGACAGAGGGTATATGAAAATGATCTATACTTCTTTTATAATTTTGCTGTGAACCTAAAATTTCCTTTAAAACGTTATAATTTAAAAAGTATGTTATAAAATTGTCCTCTCTTGTCAGTTTCTAACACTGAAAGCGTCAGAGACTATAAAAAAGGCACTTTTTTTTTGAGATAGTCTCTCTCATTTCCCAGGCTGGATTGCAGTGGCAAGATCATGGCTCACTGCAGCCTCACACTCCTGGGCTCAAGGGATCCTCCCAACTCAGCCTCCTGAGTAGCGGGGACTACAGGTGTGCACCACAATGGCCAGCAAATACTTGTATTTTTTGTAGAGTCCGGGTTTTATCATGTTGCTTAGGCTGGTCGAATTCCTGAGCTCAAGCAATCCTCCTGTCTTGGTCTCCTAAAGTGCCGGGATTACTGGTGTAAGCCACCATGTCAGGCCAAAGACTAATCCTTTAAAAAAGGATCTTAAGGCTGGGCATGGTGGCTCACACCTCTAATCCCAGCACTTTGGAAGGCCGAGGTGGGCAGACCACCTGAGGTCAGGAGTTAGGAGACCAGCCTGGGCAACATGGTGAAAGCCCATCTCTATTTTTTTTAAAATTTTTATTTTTTTGAGACAAAGTTTTGCTCTTGTTGTCCAGGCTGCAGTGCAATGGTGCAATCTCGGTTCACTGCAACCTCTGCCTCCCAGGTTCAAGTGATTCTCCTGTCTCAGCTTCCCAAGTAGCTGGGATTACAGGTATGCGCCACCACACCTGGCTAATTTTGTATTTTTAGTAGACACAGGGTTTCATCATGCTGGTCAGGCCTGTCTCAAACTCCTGACCTCAAGTGAACCACCTGTCTCAGCCTCCCAAAGTGCTGAGATTACAGGCGTGGACCACCGCACCCAGCCCCGCCTCTACTGAAAATACAAAAATTAGCCAGGTGTGCTAGCACATGACTGTAGTCCCAGCTACTTGGGAAGCTGAGGCAGAAGAATCACTTGAACCCAGGAGGTGAAGGTTGCAGTGAGTGGAAATTGTGCCATTGCACTCCAGCCTGGGTGACACAATGAGATTTGGTCTCAAAAATAAATAAATAAGTAAATAAAAAGGGTCTTAACTTTGCCTTCAGGTTAGTATCAACTGACCACATTTATTTATTTATTTAACATGTTAGGCCTGAATAGATCTCCACACCTCATTGAATTTCACCCAGAGATGGGGCCTTGAGTGCAAGATGACACTACTGGAAAAGTAATATAGGGTTGGACAGTGAAGGGCCTTGTGTGGACGTTGAGCAATGTTCACTTTATTTTCCTGGCATTGAGGACGTGTGGAAGGTTTGGAGATAGAAAAGCACATTAGTTAGGGAAGATGCAAAATCCCATCCCAGATTAGATTCTGAGATTATTGGCTTAAATGTTATTGTGTTGACTTTTTGTCATTTTACACATCTAGGTGGGCATCTTGTTCTATGTGATCATTGAGAATCTCAGCTCTTTCTAAGTCATTCCTTTTTCATCCCCTGAGCATTGTCTTCTGTATACTCAAAGCTACATCCCTGCCACTGCATCCTGGGTTCCAGCCAAGAGGAAGGGGACAGAAAATATAGGAAAGTGTGTCTGTTGTCTGAAATCCTCAACACAGAAGGGACACGTGTCGCTGTTACTCACTTTCCTTTGACAATAAGGCAGTCTTGTGGCCATGTCTAACTTCCGTCTGACTAGAGAGCCAAGATTTGGTGAAAACTTCATTATTAGGGATGATTTTGGTGAACACAATAGGGTAATGATTAGATAGATGTCTAAGAAAGGAAGTTCTGACTCTTAATTTTCTACAACATCTAGCATAGAACTGTCTATGTGGTAGGCATTTCATTAAAAATTGCTGGCTCATTTATTGAATAATAGATTGATATACCCAGGGTGAGGCTTGAGGGCATCTCCTGTACATACAGTGGCATGTGAAGATCTGCTAGTGGAACCAGCCCAACAATGCCTTCTTCAACACAATAGAGGAAAACTGGTTATTGAAGGTCCATTCTGCTCTGTTAGGTTCATGTCTGGGAAGTCTACAGCCTCCATAAGACAACAGGGAATGATATGAGACCCCAAATCAGGAGGTTGGGAAATGATCCAATGTGCCACTCTACCTATTGCCAGGAAGGGGCTGACAACAGTTGCTATATTGCATTTCTACCACCACAGTTTGTAGAGAGGGATTTTATGTGGAAGTCAAAATACGTTTTAATTAATGCTTTTTTGTCTTCCTTTACTCTTTCCAATGGTGAAGAAAATGAATAGCGGTGGTGAGAGAAGCAGGCTCGAATGGGCAGTATTTTATCACAGACATTGTTTAGAACAGCTCTCCAATGATAATATTATAAAGCTGACTAACTTTGTGCCAGTTTTTAAAATCATTATTTTAAAATTCACTACAGATAAGGCACCACCCTGCTGCTTACACTGGAGTGGGCTGCTCCCAACTCCCCACTCCTTGGTGTGCTATTTATTTTCTTCTTCCTTTGTTTTTCTTTTCCCATCCTTCTCCCTTTTCCGTAAAACTCTCAAAAATATGTGTCTGTTCTCACTGTTTCCCACTTCTCTCTTCCCATTCTCTCCCAAAGTCCCTTTAGTCAGACTTTTGCTCCAACCACTTTATTAAATTAGCTGTTGTCAAGGTCACCTGTGACCTCAGAATTGCTAGATCCAATTGTCGATTCTTAGCTCTTGTCTTACTGGACATATCAACAGCATTTATTACCCTTGCTCACTTCTTCCTTCTAGAAACCCTTGCTTCCCTTGACTTCCAGGGCACCATCGTCCCTTGGTTTTTCTCCTTTCTGGTGTCTCTCTCTTTCTCTCACTCTTTTTTCATCTCTCTCTCTCTCTGACCTTTATTTCCTACTATTGGAGAGCCCCAGGGCTCAGTCCTTGGTCCTCTTCTCTTCTCCATCTGCACTCACTGCCTGAGTGATCTCATCCAGTTTCATAGCTTTAAATATCACATACAAATTGGTGACTCCCACGTTTATATCTCTTAGCCAGACATCTCCATTCTATTTCAGAGTCTTGCATCCAACACCACCATTTACATCTCCATGGAATAGATGCTTTGAACATGAGTGTCCCCAGCTGACTCCTCATCTCTCTCTACAATTGCTCCATTGGCAGTTTTCCCATCTAAGTTAATGGTAACTCTAGTTGCTCAGGCCAACAGTATAAAGAATTATACATGACTTCTTTTTTCCACTCTCACATCCAGCCTATTGGGAAATTCTAGAGGCTCATTTTCAAAAATACACCAACACATGACAATTATTAGCAGTTGCACTGCCATTTCCTAGGCTCAAACCAATGTCGTCTTTCACCTGAATTGTTCCTCAGCTTCCTAAATAATCTCTCAGACCCCACCCATTTATCCTACCTCATGTCTATTCTCAACACAGAAGCCAAAGTGTAGAAGTGAGACCATGTTAATCATCTTCCCAAAACTTTCCCTTGGCTCCTTTTAAACTCAGTAGAATTGCCCAAGCTCCACAACCTGCACCTCCACCATGGCCTTCCCAGTGTGATTTCCTGAGTCTTCTCCCTCTGTCATCGTCTTGGCCACACTCTCTTTCTGCTGTCCCTAAAGTGCTCCAGGCATAGGCCTTGCTCAGGGCACTTGCACTGTCTGTCTTTGTTGACACTGATTATCATCCCCCAGATACCTGCATGACTTACTCCCTCAACTTTGCAAGACTTTGTAGAGGCATAATTTCAATGAGGCCTCTCATTACTATGCTCTATGAAACCGCAGCAGTCTGTAGCATTTTCCGCCCACCTCACTCTTTTTTGTATCCAAAGCAGTTATCACTTTCTAATGACTTTTCTAATCATCACTTTTTTTTCAGATGAACATATTTTTCCCCTTTGTTTTATTAATGTGGTAAATTCCACAGATGGATTTTTGAATACATACAAAGTCAGAAAAGAAAAAAATAATGGCACAATCTTTGTTTGTTTTTCTTTCCCACGTATAGATTTATCTTAATTCTGTAGGATTTAACGGTATGAACATAATGTACTATATACTTAGTAATCTTTTACATTATTGACCATCCTTTCCCCACTAGAATATAAGCTCTGTGAGGGTAGGGATTCTTGACTCTGTATCCACAATGCCTAGACAGTGCCTAGCATATGGTAGGAGCTCAGTAAATACTTGTCGAATGAATAAATGAGGGTTCTTCTTCCTGTCCTCTTGATAGTTCATCTTCTTTCCCCATTCCTTGCTTAACTATAACTTTTGGCAAGTTTTCTCTTCGAATACTTTTGAAGTATTCAAATACTTCGAATACTTCAAATACTACTCACCATCCATTCATCTATCCCTCTCTACAATACATACTTAGTGAAAGCATTAGGCTGTTCTTGCATTGCTGTATAGAGGAATACCTGAGAATAGGTCCTTTATAAAGAAAGGAGGTTTCATTGGCTCTCCGTTCTGCAGGCTGTGCAGGAAGCATGTTGCTGGCATCTGCTTGGCTTCTGGGGAGGCCTCAGGAAGCTTACAATCATGGTGGAAGGCAAAGGGGACCCAGGGGAAGCAGGCACATTGCATAGCAGGAGTGGGAGCAAAAGAAAGAGAGGGGGAAGTGCCATACACTTTGAAACAACCAGAATTTTTTAGAACCCATTCAGTAACATGGGGACAGCACCAAGCCATGAGGGATCCACCCCTATGAAACAAACACCTCCCACCAGGACCCACATCCAACATTGGGATTACATTTCAACATGAGATTTGGGTGGGGACAAATATCCAAACTATATCACTGAACATATTCTTTGTTCCCCAAACTGTGCTAAAAATCTAAAGTGAGTAAGAAACAGTTTCTTTCCTCAAGCTCACTCTTCTGTGGATGCCTACAGACATCTTGGAATTAGGTTTGGCCTCTAATGAGTTTCCATGTCAAATGACGGACTGAATCCCCCATTTCCTTATAACTTTCTGGAAGCCATTGTAACTACTTGGGTGGGCAATAGCTCTCAGCTGTTGGGTTGGGAAGAAAGGCTGAGAACCACTTGCCTGTAATGATGGAAGCTGTAAGTGATGCTTCTTCAGGAAGTGTGTGATCTGCTGATTTGGAGCCTCATGTTTGTCATTTGTCACCTTGGTCTGGATGGGACAGATGACAAGGGCTCCCTTACCTTTTTGTTTAGGCCAAGTAGTCACATGTGTACCCCTGGTGAATGTGGAGCTTTTGGGGAGCAACATGAAGAGGCTCTCGTTTGTCCCAAGAAGACTGCACTGTTCCCTGAGCCTCTAGTGCTGTTGAGTTGATGAATTCCACCTTGGCTGAGGACTCTTCTGCTCATGACTCGGCTTCCTAGTCCTCCCTTGTCACCTGCCCAGCTCTGATTCAACCCTGGAGGCTAAAGGGCCTAAAACATGTAAATGGAATGGGAAGCTTGTGCAGGGGCAATCAGTCTCCCCACTCCTTTATCAGAACTTCCCACCCCAAAACTATCTCTTTATTTGTAGGAAATGGAATGCAGGCTTAGGGATAAAATAAGCCCAGGATTGCATGGCAGCCTTATCATTTTCTAGCTGTTTGGGTTTGAGCAAGTCAATTTGCTCACTTTGAGCCTCAGTTTCTCCCTCTGTAAAATGGTGATAATAACAACTGCTTTACTGGATTGCTGAGAGGATTAAACGATGTAATGTTTGTACAACACTTGCTTCAGGGCCTGACATATAATGATCAGAAACTATATGATGGTTATTATTATTATTTAAGGACTTTTATTTTCACATATGTGAAAAGTTGTGTTTGCTGTGCTGGTTGTCAGTTGTTTTTAGACAGAGTCTCAGAGGAACAAGATTTGAAAATATTATTATTGGCACAACACAAAACAAAACAAAACAGAAAAACAACAAACCATTTCAACAGGCTCCCAGGCAGATGCTGATACTCAATCATTGTGGCTACAAAAAAGAAAGACAGGGGCTTTTTTTGCCTTGTGGTGCGGGAGTGTTTGACATGCTTCAAATAGCCTCCTGTAATAGGGGAGCAGAAGGCCACCCCCTATCAGGGCAGGAAGTTTCTCTCATCTGACGAAGGAAAAGAATGTGCTTCTTGGCCTCTGTTCTCCTCATGCTATCTTTGTACTCCCTAGATGCCTTCAACTGCTTTGCACAGCTAGGGACAGGTTCTGGGCACCTGCTCTGTTTACAATACCAGCTCCAAAAATGAGCCCAGATATCTGATTACAGGCCAATGTCTGCAAAAACAGCCTTTTCTTTTTCCCCACTGTGAAGCTAGATTTCTGGGGTTGAGTAAGGAGTATCACAGTTCTTGTAGCAGAGGGACAACTCTGTCCTTATTGTGCCTTTCCACAACTGATATTCCTAGGGTAGTCCCTAGGAGTCCTATGCCCTGGCCTCAGGGTCAAGGAGGAGGAGGGTCTTGTGGACCCTGTCTTCCATTCCCCTCACTAATTCCCTGCACCCCTCCTCTTCTGTCACCAGAATCTTCCACTCTACTTTGCAGCAACATTGGCTTTGAAATGATGTGGTTGTTTTCCAGAAAGTTCACTAGTCCTTCCAGAACTTTTTTTCTTGTTTTATTCAGACTAAAACATTGTTAAATGCAGTGTGATATAGAAGAATGCTTCTTATAGCAACATGCTTTGGCTTTGGCTCAAATTTCAGCTGTATTACTTTCTAGCTGTGTTTCCTTGGGCAAGACACTCAATGTTTCAGAGATCCAGTGTTCCCTTCAGATAAGAAAGGATGATAATATATACCTTCAGGGTTGTTTAAGAATGAAATAAGCTGGGGTTTGAAAGATCTCAAGAACTATTAGTTACTCTTGGTTATTTCTCTAAGACTTTCTGTAAACTAAACTCCTTAGACAAAGAGGAAAGACAGGTAGGTTAGAATAGTGACAGCAGGAAAGTGAGTACAGAATCGAGATAGGCATTGTATTTGTTTACTAGATCTGCTGTAACAAAGTACCACAAACTGAATGCCTTAAGACAATGGAAATTTATAGTCTTACAATTCTGGAGGCTAGAAGTTCAAGATCAAGGTGTTAGCAGGGCCATGCTGTCTCTGGTCGCTTTGGGGAGAACCTTTCCTTGCCTTTTCTAGATGTTTGCTGATAATTTTTGGTGTCCCTCAGCTTGTAGATATATCTATCCTTGTCTTTTCTAGCTGGTATTTTCTGACAGTTCTTAAGGTTTCTTAGGTGGTAGATACATCACTGAAATCACATAGCCATCTTCTCCCTATGTGTCTAAATATCATCTTCTCTCTGTGCTTGTCTGTCTCTGTGTATAAATTTCCCTCCTTTTTAAAGGGCACCAGTCATATTATATTAGGACCTACCAGAATGGCCTCATTATAACTCAATCATCTGCAAAGATCTATTTCCAAATAAGGTCACATTTATAGGTGCTTGGTGTTAGGGCTTTAACATATTTTTGGGGGGACAAAATTTAACTAATAACAAGCATTAATACATTATTGTATTTTATATCTTTTTTTTTGCTAAGTAATGCAATCTTTTTTTTCGTTTACTCTATTTTTCTTGGCAGTGGTTCTTACTTGTTTCTTCTAAGAGATGAAGAGATTCACCCCCTAATTAGGCTATTCTACCCATGTTTCCTAGAATCTATCTATCCATTATCTATCTATCTATCTATCTATCTATCTATCTATCTATCTATCTATATATCTATGTATCTATCTTCTATCTACCATCTATATAGATACGTAACTTTTCTTTTCATATGGAACTTTCATTTTCTTCACTGGTGATAGATATATGTGTGGACTCTATAAAAGATTACATGTATTAGACTCTTTGCTTATTGGATGTTGAAAAGACACCAGAAGTAATAACAGTAGTTAATTTCACAGGAGGAAAACATACTTTCTTTAAATAAAGTAATAACAGTAGTTAATTTCACAGGAGGAAAACATACTTTCTTTAAATAGTGAAAGAGCCTTTTCATTTAAAATATTTGTTTAGTGAAAGAAACAGCTCTATCAGTTAAAACAATGTCTTCTGTGAGAGAATCATTCAGCAACATTTCCTGCTCCAGACAATCGCGCTGGTATATACACAGCAAATCATTTCAATTTACCAACTGTTCTGAAATTATCTGACCAAGCAGAAAGCATTAATTCGAATCCTGTTACAAATGGACATTGAAATAGGGTCATGAACCTTGGAGGAGATGAGGAAGAATCATCTTCTCTCTGATTTGGAATGGTCACGTTTATCATTGTTCAGTGTTTTTCCTCTTTTTATTTGTAATTAATGGCACACTGCAGTTCAGGTCTGCTGGTCTTAATCTACAAACTAGGCCATTAGCAGCACCAGTCTGCATGATGGCATACCAATTAAAATTAGGAGATTAAAGAATAATGTTCCTTGCCTGGGACCAGTTCGCATACCAATGACAATTTCCCTGGCTGTTGAATGAGGAAAGACTTAAATGACAATGAACTTGGTATCATTACATTTAGGGGACATTAAATGGGTAAGGGGAGATGGGAGGGTAAAGGGTGAGTATGTTAGGGTACTGGGAATTAAAAGACAGAGACAGAAGTTTTTTTTGTATTTATTTTACTATTTGCCTGTTTATTTTTTACTTTCCACAAATATAGAAATTCTATCTAAATTAAAAGTGGTTCCTATTGAGGGAAAAGATAGTCAAATTCTGTATTTCTCCATTCCCAAAAGATCTTAGAGTTTTTTTTTTTCTTTTTCTTCTGTAAAATAAGAAAAGGATATCTAGCCTTGTATTACAGCCAGTGTTGGAGAGATGGTACAATAAATAAGTTCAGGATTCAATCTTAGAATTTTTAGAAGATGTCTAAAGAAGGGTTCTGAAACAAGAAATGGAAATTCACGGAATTTAGCTGAAAAATAGAAAATATATTGTAGGCTTAGCCCATATAAATCTAGAGGCCCTCATGTCCTATGTCTCAGTACCCAGCCATTTTCATACCAGCATAGTCCAGCTTCCAAAATATATTAAATAAGAATATTATTTTCTTGGGTCCTCTGAAGAACATTAAAAATAACCTAATTCACAAACCACAGTAATACTTGCACAGATCTCCTACCTGTTTCTCTTGATCCCTAGACCTTTCCAGAGTCTCATTCAACAAGCTACCTCTAGAACTTTTCTGACAGTCAATGCTCCCCCAGTTTTATTTTTCTATTTTGGTACATGTTCTCTGGCTTTTTAAAACCTTTCTGATTCAGGCAAGAATTCTTCCCAGTTTCCTCCCATTTTGCCAGCACTTTACCTAGAACCTCCAACTTAAAGGAAAACTGGCCTGCAAAAATAAAGTTCATCTAAGTATGGATAAAGGGAGACCATTGGCAGAGGCTAATGAGGATAAAGGGGAAGGTTAAGAGCATCCATACACCGATAATTTTTGTCCCTGATGCTCTTGGGTCATTCCCCAAGCAACTGGAAGGATGTCAGAAACTCACCACTTCTATCTTTCTTGTTCTTGAGCCACGTCGTTTATCATTCATGATGTAGATCTGCTTGATTTTTCTCTGACTGAAGCTATTCATCGGCTTGCATATGGCTCTTAAAAATAGACCACCTCAAAATGGCAGCCTCAGTTCCTGTGTTTTTATGATCTTCTAACTGGCATTGCTTTAATTAAGTGATTTCCAGGAGATAATTCCTAGGAGAAAGAATCTAATGGCTCAATTTGTTTCAGACATTTACTTCATGTCCAATAAACTATGGCCAAAGAGTTTCGGATCATGCTGCTTGTGCATTAGGAGATGATAGTGCTTGAGGGCTTGTCAAGGTGGAGGGGAGTCGGGGAAGGGGAAGAGAGTAAATAATGTGGCATATTCAGTCCAGAAGATGTACTTAAACTTCTATAAAGTGTTGTTGTTATTTCAAACTCAACTCGTTTTGCACATCAGTCCATTAGGCTTTGTACTGAGTCCTGATTGTGTAACTGAGTGCCTTTGGACACTATTACCTGGTTTCCCTGGAGTTGACTTAAAAATCTGTTTGGAAGCTTTTCCAACTGAGCAATCAGTGACCTGCTACTTCCTTCAAGATTATGAAAACTTCTGGTGACAATTGCATGGGATTCATCTTTGGAGGATACTTGAGGAGAGAAGACAGAGTTAGTGCAGTTGAAGATGTACTGAAAATCCGGGTAAGCCCCCAGTGATTTGTGCTCTGGAGAAACTGATGGTTTTATTTCTCTTGGTCTGCCAAACATGTCCACTAACCTTAACAGAAAGGCATAATTCTCGAACTACAATCATTGACCTGTTGAATTAAGCCTGACTTCTAAAAGATACAGGTACTTCAAATTCAATAGGCCACAAATTGTACTCCCTATACCCTTCTACATGCACACCAAAACAAGAAACACTTTTCATTCCTCATTTTCCACTATGATTTCATTATTATTATTATTATTATTATTATTATTATTATTATGCTTTAAGTTCTGGGATACATATGCAGAATGTGCAGGTTTGTTGCATAGTATGCCATGCCACGTTGCATAGGTACACCACATGCCATGGTGATTTGCTGCACCCATCAACCCCTCATCTACATTAGATATTTCTCCTAACAGTCTCTCTCCCCTTGCCCCCACCTGCTGACAGGCCCCGGTGTGTGATGTTCCCCTCCCAGTGTCCATGTGTTCTCATTGTTCAACTCCCACTTATGCGTGAGAACATGTGGTGTTTGGTTTTCTGTTTCTGTGTTAGTTTGTCAAGAATGATGGTTTCCAGCTTCATCCATGTTCCTGCAAAGGACATGAACTCATCCTTTTTTTATGGCTGCATAGTATTCCATGGTGTATATGTGCCACATTTTCTTTATCCAGTCTATCATTGATGGGCATTTGGGTTGGTTCCAAGTTTTGCTATTGTGAACAGTGCTGCAATAAACATATGTATGCATGTGTCCACTATGATTAATGTTATCTAATTATTCAAGATAGGAAGTAATTAGAAAGTATCCAAAATTAAGATGATTTTTGCTTGAACTATTCCTACAGGCCCTAACTCTTCTATCTTCTCCAAATGTTATATGTTATCTATTTCTAATCCATTTCTAATATGGGTTAGAAATATCTTTTTGAAAATAAAAAATAAAATTTTATGGCTTCTTATTTTCTAAAGGACAATTCAAAACTGCTTTATAAAAGCCTTTCATTGATCTTATCCTAATCTACCTTCAGAATTTCTGAAGTCTCATTACCTGTCACCTCTTTTCTTCTTGTTTTCTTATTCACTAAAATACCCTCAAGGCTTAGAATGATACCTGGGACATAGTAGGCACTCAATAAATTTTGTTTAATCAATTTCTTTTTACCATTGTCATTGTTATCCTCTTTCTTTGCTTATGAAATTGGTCTTTCTTATTTTCTTCTTTTTTGTATCAGTTTCTAAATCTTTTTCTTCTTCTTTTAATTCTAAATATGTTTGTGTTCATCCATATTCTTCCTGGTTTTCAAATCTATGTGTGAGTGCATCTTCACCTCTGACTTTATCCCTTGAACTTTAATAACAGAGTATTTGATTAAGCCTTTCTTTAGATTCGTGTTACTTTTGTCAAGGAAGATAAAAGTAGTGTGTTCACTTATAAGATCATAAATGTGGTCACACACTGATATTAGTAAGAATGACCCTGAGCCACAGACTAGAAGGGCTAGACTGCAGTATTGGTTGATGGGAATATGGACCTTTTGCCTACTTATTCTGATGTCTCATAGTTTGGCTTCTACTAATGTTCACCTGCTGCTACTATCCTTGCTAGTCTCCATTCAAGGGTCCAGTTTTTAATCTGTCACTGTGGTTTCTGTGGCTGCTAAAGTTAATCTCAACATGCTGGTCATCTTGCTGGTGCAAGGAGAATGATTTTCTCTCCCATCAGCAACTTTGTTCTTCCACTTAGCTTCTTGTAGATTTCAAAATGTGACAATCACTTTTCTTAATTACCAAGAGGTCAGGCTTACTTTTTAAAATTCCTTAGAGCCCCTTGCTGTAACAATTGAGCCCTGTACCCCTTGGGTCAGGGTAGATGTTACAAAGAGTCTCTCCAGTCAAGCTCCTCTGAACTCTCTTTTCAGTTAGGCCTAGACTATTGGACTTAAACATCTATCTTTGCATTATCCAATTTTAGCAAAAATCCTCTTAAGTCAGTTTAGAGAGATCCCTGCATGTAGATATCCCATCACCTTAATATCTGATCAAATTCCTTATCCTCACAGTTCTTGAGGTGATATCTGATCACCCTGGCCTGGCTTCAGCAAGAATCCTCTTAAGTCGGTTTAGCCAGTATCCTCCACAACCCTAATGTTTCCTCTATCCATCCACTGATACCTCACTCTACACCTTGGCTATAAATCCCCACTTTTCCTTATCATAGTTTGAATTGAACTCATTTCTATACTGAGGGCTTTTTTTGTGTGTCCTCTATCACAATGCTTTCCAAATAAAATCCGTTCTTACCACTTTACTGTCAGGTCTGTTTTTTCATCAACAGGGGACATTTTGGATAATACCTTATATGGTTTTATTCAAAGGCGTACCCTACATTTAGTCAACAAATGGAGCCTAAACCTTTTAATTACCTCGGGGTGATTTTTCAGCTCCTATGAGACACTCCCTGACTGATCATCTTTCTCTGTCCTCTAGATTTTGATTGGGATACTAAATCCTATTGAACTGGGCTCAATGACCCTTTCAGTTTTAGGAAGGAGAAACTACTGTGGCTATTTTTTTTTTTTTTTTTTTTTTAGCAGAAAGAGGTTTAAACCTAGGAGCTTAAGAAATCTTTGGAAGTTGATGTGTTTTGGATGTGGCTGGGCCCATGGGAATATCCCTGGAACTAATGCACTAGACTGGTCTCCCAGGGAAGCTGCTTCCTCTGCTAGGAATATGGGGAATTAAGAGGCCCCCCCTGGAGCTGTGGTCCTCATGAACACCCCAGTTTGGCTGTGGTATAGGGCCAGTTTCATGACTTATCCCAACTTCTGTGAGGCACAGGGCTGGATGTCAAATGCTGTGGCAGTAAACCCCAACATTTGCCACAGGAAAACCAAAACAGCAGGAAGAACTCCACCTCATGCTCAACTTCTAAAATCTCATGTGAGTGTTTATAATGAGCAGAAACTAATTTGTATTCAGAAATCTGTCTTCAAGGGAATATGGGAGATATAGCTTTTAACTTTTTGCGGTACAAGAAGGAAGCTGGTGTAGATGACAAATGAGCTGAACCTCTGTAATTCATCACAGGCCCATGTCAAACATCAGGATTAGACCGCTGCTTCTCACTCAGACTCCAGACTTCCAAAGGCATGGCTGGAAAGTGGGCCACATGATCTGCAAGCAGATGTATCCCATGGTATCCCACTTCCCAGGCACTGCTGTTGGGCAGGGAGGAATCTCTGACTGAAGGCCAGTGAATTCATTGCTTCACCAACAGATAACCAGAATCTATCTCTTGGGAATTTGAACTAAGCAGAGGCACATAGCAGAAGGTCTGACTAAAAAGACCAAATTTGAAAGATCAGAGGCTGGGGTCCCCATGGTGGGCCTTGTGTAACATAAGTACACAGAGGCATTTAGGAAGAGAAACAAGAAAAACAGAGCATATAAACAGATACAGAAATAGGCCTCTGAGGAACAGAAAGAGAAGTCTCAGTTTCTGAATTTCCAGAGAGGCCCGACTACGTTTAGTTTCCTGCCTTTGGATATTGTAACAACCCCTACTTCTGTGTTTTTCTTGAACTAGTTTGAGTGAGCTTCTGTTCTTTACAATAAAATTGATTCAAGTAAAAAGGTACAACTTTTGGATGCCATTTACTTATATATTAGCATTTTGTTGGGGAAAAATTCCTCACACATACTTATTATCCTTATATGAATTTTCTAGCTTCTCTACTCCTGAAGAGAAGGGAGTTTAATGTGGGTTAAGAGAGGTATTTGGCCAATCTATATTAATCAATCTATCAATCTATCTATCTATCCACTTACTCTAACAATATCAAAATACTACATATGTGTGCACACATGCACACACACACACATGTCTCAGTTTTCCCTTATGTGTATCTTGAAGATAATAAAAACATGTTAGAAGTCCCTCCTCTCCTCCCCATTATCTGTGGAACATTGACTTCATATTGCTTTGGTGACAGATTATAGGGAGCGTTTATCTAGAAGGTGTTTTGTGGTCTGTCTACAATGATGTAAACTGTTCTGCAAGAGATGCCTGGTTCAAATGTCTAAACTGGCTTTATCCATAAACATGATTAAGTTTCATAATAACCATGAAAACAAAATTTTCAATAGGAGTTAATCGTGGCTTGGATAGGTATAAATGTTAGTGACTGGAACAGATGAGCATCTCCTTTTAAGATAATTGCTTGTACGAACGATGAACAAGGACATCTAAAAGCCATTTCATGGGGAATTTTTTCCATTGACTCTTTGCTTGATTTTAACTACATGCAAAAAGCGCTTTAACCCAGCACCTTGGAAATAGTCATTGGGAATAGTTCATCATCCTTTGCTTGGCAGACAGACATTGTGCTTTAAAGTACAAAAACCTGATCTCTGTCTCCTCTGGGTAGAGCACACTGTATTTTAAAAAATTTATACCCTCCTTTGTTTTTAGGGAAAATAGCATACTTAGGCCCATCTGTGGTGTCAATTACAAAGAAATGTCTGCAGGGAGACGGCCTTTCAGAGATTCTGGAAGGCTAAAGGTAGAGATACTGTTCACTCCCTGTTGAAGATGTGGCCTTTCACAGTGTTGGATGCTGTTGGGAGTGATCCAAGAACCAGCAGAGCCCAGTGTTAGTCAACAGCCTCTTCTGTGGATATGTAGCTTTTCTGAGATAGCAATGAAAAGTAGCATAGCAAGGTGTTTATTTATTATTATTATTATTATTTAATGTAGATAACATCATTGGCAGCTGAATTCCCAAGATCAGAGAAAAACCATGTGAAACCTTCTGCATCTGTAGCCTTTTGTGTGTCCCTTGCTTACCCTCTGATTTGTGTCTGGTGGTGTGTTAGACAACAAATGCATTTGCACTCATTTTTAATCATTGTGGTAGTTGGGTTAATTTTTTCTGAATGTGCTGTTTTTATTGAACTGCACAAGTCTCCAGATTTATAATGGCCAAATCTGCAAGGACTATAGGCTTTCATTGTTTCATTTGTTTGTTATTGGCCAAGTTCTTAGCAGAAAACAAAAAGAATTCTCAGTTGATACCTAACTATAAGGGAAGAAAGAGATTTAAACTGAGTTTTGGGGAATATTCTTGGGCAACGCAAAAACACAGATGACATTATCATGGGTTCTGCTTGCAGGGGAATCAGAAGAATAATGGTAATGATCTTAGTAAATTAAGATTTTAAAAGTTGATTTATCCTTCTTGCCATTTTAATCCTTTTTTAATTTATATTTATTTTTTAACATTTGGGATATATGATATGTAAAAAAATATTCTTTTTCTAGGTAACACAGCTGGGATCTCATTTATGAAATATTTGATATACTCAATAAAGACAGACAATGATTTGCTTAATTCTTTTGCCTTAATGCAAATGGTTCAGTACAGAGCTTTGATACATAATCTACACCTTTGTTTATGTGTCCATATAAAACTATGGAAATCTAGTATTAAGCAAGTCACATTTCTCATACTTAATGTGTTTTAAATAAAACAATTTTTACTTTTCCCAAAGTTTCTTGGTCTTTTCTAACTATATCATCATTTTATTAAAAATAATTGAATGAACTATGATAATGAAGCAGGCTTGTGAAATATCTCTCCTGCCTTGAGTTGTTCACTTGCTTGCATGACTTTAACCTGTTTTGAAGGCATATTAACAATAATTAATAACCTCAAAGGAAAAGGTGAATAATAAGTAGCAAATTTAAACAGATGGCATTATAGCTAAAATGTGTGCAGTAGGAAACAGAAGGGCCTGGTACTCAAGAGAAGATAATTTTGAAACATTTTCTTTCTCTTGGTATATTGTATAACTGAAACACTCTCTCATGATAGGCTTTGAAGAAATCCTCTTAGTTTAAAACCTCTGATAGGAATGCCCAAGTGGGATTCTTTAACCACAGACTCTGAACTATATCTCCTGATTTTTCTATAGAAAAATATCAGTGGGGATTTAATAAAAAAAAAGAAGATTAGAAAGAAATATTTTCTGACATGAGTTGTTTTAACAGAATATGGAGAAACTGGGGCCAGACTGAGGAAGTTCAGCCCCTTATTGCTCTCAAAAACTTGAGAAGTTTTCTGAGGTTCCTGAAGCATGAGTAAAATTACCTCTTTTTTTTTTTTTTTTGCCTGTCAGTCACTGTTTAGTAATAAAAGCACCTGTGATTGAAAATGTCATGGCAATTACTAGCTGGAAAATTCTCCTAGAAGCTTGTTAATAACACTATTATTACATTAAAAATTACCAAAGTGATATTTTTGTTACTTTTTTTTTTTTTTTTTTTTTTTTTTTTACTAATAAAGACAATATAGTCTCTTCTTTTAATTCATTGCATACCTTACAGATAACAAAGAGTAAAGGGTGATGGTCAGGTAATATGTATGAAAACACAGACTGCAATATGTACAGAATATTATTTTATTATTTTCTTTTTAATTTAACAAGCACTTGACAAACTCTGCATGTGACATCAGTTCTAATTCTTAGACCCCAAAACTTACACAATAATTCTGACCATGAAAATGAAGCAAATTGAAAATATTTTATGTCATTCTTAAGAATATGCTTGGAAACATCTTCCAGTAATGAGCCAAAAGAGGCTAAAGTATCAGTATTTTGGCCTTCAGGTTAAAACAATTTAGAATTCTTAGTTTCTTTTCCTTTTTTTTTTCCTGATCCTGGAAACATCTGGGAAGTTAACAGAGAAAGCCTTCAGCCTTCTCTAAATGTGACAGAATTCTTGTCTCGGTTGATTAGGAAGTTGAGCCACAGTAATGAATGAGAACACCTTTGCCAAAGGTGATTTGCACAAGGTCCCTGTAGGTTAGTACAAGTCTCACGGTAAAGAAATGTTCATCTTTGTGGAAGCTGATTCTAAAATATCCCTGAGGAAAGAAGAATGAAGGATCCAGACAGATGAAGGAGGCCATCTGGATCAGGCAAAACAAGCAAAGAGAGGACTTGAGGCTTTCCATTTCAGGCACGTTGCTGAAGAAACTGGCATCCGGCTTCAGAAGTACCTAAAAAAATCAGAGATAAACAACTAGGAAAAGCCACATGTGCCTTGATATTGTGTATTGCACTTATGACAGAATTTAGGAAGGCCTTTCACAGCATCTAGGCCTATATTATTACTGTACAGATAAGGAAACTGAGGATAAGTTCAGAGTTAGGTCTAGAACACATGTCTACCAGCAGATTTCACATTGCAATGCAGAATTAGGGATAAGGGAGTAAAATATTCAATAAAGTATTTCTGCATATGCTGCCCCTGTTAAAGATCAGCCATTATGCTCTAACGAAGTCCAATTGAAGAAAGATAGCTCAGAGAATTTGAGTATTTGAAAACCTTACACATGAGTGTTCAAATGTGATAAGGCTTGGCTCTGTGTGCCCACCCAAATCTCACCTTGAATTTTAATAATTCCTACATGTCAAGGGCAGGGCCAGCTGGAGATAATTGCATCATGGGGGCAGTTTCCCCCATATTGTTCTTGTGATAGTGAGTGAGTTCTCATGAGATCTGATGGTTTCATAAGCATCCGGTATTTCCCCTGTTGGTACATTCTCTCTTTGCCTGCTACCATCCATGTAAGACCTGACTTGCTCCTCCTTGCCTTCTGCCATGATTGTGATTAAGCCTCTTCCTTTTGTAAATTGCCCAGTCTCTCATATGTCTTTATCAGCAACATGAAAATGAACTAATACAAAATGATAAACAGATCTCTAGACAACAAGAGGCCAGATACAAACAAGGAGTCACCAGTTGTCTGAAGTTCTTCTGTGGTTCAAATTCAAGCTAATGCTTGAGTACTGGACTCAAGCAGGGGTCCTGAGAGTTCTGGCTTAGTGTGGGTATGAAGCCAGACTTGCCACAAGCCTGCAGGTGAGGGGTCAGGAATTTAGCATCCTTGGGTTTTGCTGAGCTTTAGAGCCCGTGCCAACAGAATGTGCTAAAGCATCGACTTAAAACTATTGGTCTGAGCAGTAGAAATTGAGTATGAAGCAACCAGGTAGAAACTGGATGCAAGAGAAAGAAAAGCTAGATTAAACAGAAGGTTATGGGGTGACATTCTAGAGACTTTTAAAGGACAGCCTGATGCCATACCAGGTGGTGGAGAAGAAAATCTTCAGGGTGCTAAATCAGTCTAGACTTTATTGTTGGTGATCATTTCAGAGGAAACTGAGTTAGGAGATGAAGGAAGTGTGGTGGGGAATATGTGTTAGAAGGTTTGCTTTGAGGCTTGACTTGGGAAAATGTCCCTGGTCCACTGTGTAGGTGTGAGTCGAGGTGGTTAGAATACAAGACGATGACTGGGAAGAACTGTTGACTGTGCCTTTTTCATTCAGACAATAAATATTCATGAGCATCAATTTTGTGCCAGGCACTGGAGATACAACAGTGCCCATGGCAGAAAGGGCATCTGTCTTGATGGTGCTTATTGTATTTAGAAAATGCCATAAGAAGATAGATACATGAATAAACATAAGTACAGATGTAAAATGAAAGAAATAAAAATGGGATATCACAAGGTGAAGAGTTTTTTCAAGAAGATGGTGTGGGAAGGTCTATCTGAATAAACATAAGTACAGATGTACAATAAAAGAAATAAATAATGGGGTATCACAGGATGGAGAATTTTTGAAGTAGAGGTTGTGGGAAGGCCTATCAGACAAGATGGTGTATAATCAGATGAGAAGCATTGATCTGTTTTAGAAGCAGAAGAAAAGCATTTCAGGCATAGAAAAGAGCAAATAAATAGGGACTGAGGGAGGAAAAGTTTCACGTTGTTCTAGGAACTGTCACAAGACCATTTGACTGGAGCATAGCAGGCATGGGGGAAAATAGCATGAGGTGAGTTTGGGGAGGCAGGCAGGGAGAAGTTTGTAAGGCATTATGGGTCTTGGTAAGTGTGGTAACCACTCTCCTGAATGGTCCCCAATGATACACTGTGTGGTCCTTTTGCACACTTTACCAGGATTAGTCTTTGTTACCAATAGAGTATGGCAGAAATGGTGATATGTGACTTCTGAGATTGGGTTATAAAAAACAATGTGGCCTCTCTCTCTTTCTCTCTATCCCTGTGTGTGTGTGTGTCTCTCTTTCTTAGATCATTTGCTCTGAGGGAAACCAGTGGCTATCTTGTTAATAACCTTATGAGGAGGTTCACCCTGTGAGCCTCACGAGTAGGCTTGGACATAGGTCCTCGAGCCCTAATCAAGCCTTCAGATCATTGAAATTCCAGCCAACAGCTTGATGGCAACCTCATGAGAGACCTGAAGTCATTAAGCTAAACCCACTTCCAGATTCCTGACCCTTAAAAACTGTGTGAGATGAAAAATTGTTGTTGTAAGCTGCTAAATTTGAGGTCATTTGTTACCTAGCAATAGTAACTCATATTGTAAGGACTTTGGATTTTGTTTAAGTACAATGTCCTTTAGAAAAAAAGGAAAGAGAGGTCTTGGAAACTGTCACTAACTTGAAGGTTGACCAAGTAACCTTTTGAGATAGTGTTCAGTGATGATTTGCTGGACCCCTTGCCTTTAGACAGTGATATATTGTCTCCTTGTGTTTAGAACTCTAATACCAATAGAATCAAGAAGTTGTTCTATTTGCAGTCTCCTTGAAAACAAAAGCAGGACTACATTTAAAGCTGTAATAAAATAATGTTATTCTATTCAGTCCCAAATGTTATCCTTCCTAGACACTTGGTACATCATTGTCTACTCTAATCCAATTCAGTAAGCATTTTTAGAGAAACTTTTTTTTTTTTTTTTTTTGAGACAGAGTTTCACTCACTCTGTTGCCCAGGCTGGAATGCAACAGCATGATCTTGGCTCACTGAAACCTCTGTCTCCCAGGTTCAAGCAATTCTCCTGCCTTAGCCTCTGGAGTAGCTGGGACTATAGGCATGCATCACCATGCCTGGCTAATTTTTTTTTTTTTTTTTTTTTTAGTAGAGATGGGTTTTCACAATGTTGGCCAGGCTGGTCTCAAACTCCTGATCTCAAGTGATCCCACTGCCTTAGCCTCCCAGAGTGCTGGGATTACAGGCGTAAGCCACTGTGCCCAGCTGAGAAACTTTAAGAGACAGTTCTGTGTTTAGTGTTGTGAGGCCAGGCCTATGGCCAGAGTCACAGTTCCTGTCCTCTAGTTACTCACAATCTAAGGTGGAATTGGATTATTTTATATTCTGTCCAAATTGGTGCTCTCTCCCTTCTCTTCCCTAACACTTGATTCTTGTTTTTGATAAGGATGCTGAAACTGCAGAACACCAACAGACGAAGACTGGTCTAAGGATTTTTTCTTTCTTTTTTTCCTAACAAATACAAGTACTATCTGTATTGTTTCCAGTCCTATGTAGAAATTGAGATTTTCTGACCTGAGGAGATTGGGTCAGGAGTTTATAAGCTTTCTTGTTATTAAAGTGGTGGTAAGTGGGTTACTCTGAAGCTTGTAGCTAAGTCCTTGTTGAGGCAACTGGTGATTAACCTAAGGTCAGGTCCATTGTCACATCCAGTCACTCTTTTATATTACCATACTTAGGGCATCGAGAGACAAGCTTTACCCTAGTTTTACATACCATAAAAAGCAAGTAAGCATGGTTTAAAAACATGCCTTGAACATCTACATGCATCTCCTTTTGTTGCAGATGTTCTCTCTCTTTTTTTTTTCATCACCACAATTCCTCCTCTGTCCCCAATCTGGCCCCTGGTAACCGCCATTCTACCCTCTGCTTCTGTAAGTTTGAGTTTTTTAGATTCCAGATAGAAGTGAGATTACCTCGTATTTGTCTTTCTGTGTCTGGCCAAAAGTCTCTCTCTTAGTGCTATACAGAGATCTCTACATACCTTCCTTTAGAAAAGTAGACAATGAATACTTTCTCTTAGTTCTTTCTGATATCTAAGAGAAGCAAAAAACCATTGCCTGGCAGTGACAGGATATCTAGGAGAAACAAAAACCATTGCTTGGCAGCATCAGGCTGATTATAGGAATATTTTTTTCCCCAAGGGCCTCCTAAAACACAAACACACCCAGAACAAATACTAATATATGGCAAAACCTGATAGCTGTGCCACTGAAGGTGCATATTTCAAGGTGCCTTTGAGATTTGGGTACCTCATTTTGGAATTCTGAGCAGTCTTCATAGGCAGGTCCATCATCTCAGTGGAGAAGGAGGTCAGCTGGGTGCACCGAGGCAGAACTGACTGGCTAAATTGCCAATGGCCGCAGAATGATCCAGCAACAGTCTGAAGCCAGGAGGACAGAAACAGCTGTATCCAAGAGGCATTGAAATCTGTCTCTAATTACATTCGCCCAATAAAAGCTTGGTTATTTACCATTGGAGAGATGCTCATAACAGCATTTACATCTTTCATCCTTCCAAATAATTTTGCCAGGTTTTTTTTTTTTCTTCCCCTAGGTTTGAAGGGCCAAATGTTGAGAAAGCACATTTCCAGAATGTCCTGTTTTTTGTGTGATGCAATGTAAAATCATCTAGTAATTTCAGATGCTAAGGAGGGATGTCTGCTTCTTGAAAAAGAGAGTGAGTCTGTTCACCAGGACTCCACTGTGTCTGTGTTGTGGTCCTGGGAAGATTAACCAGCCACAGTTCTTCATTTATCTGATGGCAGCTAGCCCGGGTTAACATTCAGAGTGAGTCCTAGTGGTAGAGGTTTCCGCAGTCCAATGGTGCATAAGTACTATTCCATTAGTAGTGGGAGCAACATTTACAGGTCAATAAAGACTTCATAAAATGCTTTATATGCTGATGTCAGCTAGCACCTAGCACACACGGGTAGCCATTAAACTGGTGCGTTTGCTGAACGGAGTTCATTTTCAGAAACTTTTCAATGAGACGTTCCTAAACAGAAGTGTTAGCACAGCACACAGGAATTGTACTGTTTTCTGAAGCCTCAGTCTTAGCCCAACTGCCTGATTGTAATTTGAAAAATGGCATTTAGCAGTTTCTATATAGATAGCATAATGGTTACTATGATTAGCTTCAGAACCAGACAGACTTGAGTTCAATGCCATCTTTGTTTCTTACGTGATGTAAGCATGAGTTCTTTAATCTTACTGAGCCCGGATTTCTGTCGTGTGTCACGTGGGGAGAATATTACAGCTAAAGCAAAAGGAGAATGCCTTTTCACTATTCTTGATTCCAAGGGAGACATAGTCTTGGCTTTGATAATATATGTGAAGTGCTTAGAATATTGTCCAGTTCACATTAGGCATTCCATAAGTGGCCATTATCATTATTGGAAGTTATTCTGACTCCCTGTGTACTAATTGGGAAATTGAGGGGTGGCTGATGTTATTGCCGCTTACTCTATGACTTGTGAGAGAGCAGAGTTAGACACAGTTCTTGCTTTTCAGTCTGATGTGGTTTTCACAGTTCTTATTTACCTTAGATGGCTTGGACTGAAAAAATCCATGTAGGAGGCATCCTTGCAGATCATATATTAACAAAACAAATAGAACAAATTTCTTCTTTTTCTCTTAAAATAAATACTTTGTATAGGCCGAGCTACCCACTCCATCTTTTCTTCCTTCCCATCCTTTCTCAACCCACATAGGCCTAGCTTTCAGTTACCCATTTTTGAGACTGGGGACCTGTCAGTCAATATCTGCTCACCTCACATGCTCCAGTTTTCTTCCATTAGGACACAGAAACATAATTAAATGGTGAGTAGGAATAAAACACAGAATATATTATTTTCTGTTTCGTTTTGCTGCTTAATTCCTTTCAAACTCATTCAGCATATTGGTATGCCTGAGAAATAGGTGACTAGGTGATTAGATCTCATTTACCTCGTCGTCTCTGATCAACTGACAATAATTTTCTGGGACATTGTCTTCTGAAGGATTTTCTGATTATGCGTGTAGGTTCAACAGTGAAAAATCATAGTGGCCAATTTAAAATGACTGCTATGGGTGCAGAAAATGAAGGAGAGGTGGTGGTGTTGGTACCGGGTATTCCATCCATGCCTTAAGATACTGGGTTAACAGCAGCGTGAGAAAGTCTTTCAGAGCAGGAGTCATTGCTGATCCATCTTGATAAATCCTAACATACATTTGGTGCTTTGCATTTTGTTTTTCAGATTTATTTATTTATTCAGCAAATATTTGTTGAGTGCCTACAGCATTCCAGGAACCTTGTTATCCAACTAGAAAAGTGTGTTCCCCTGACAATATACAAGCTGTACTGAATTCAGTAGTTTACCATTTCCTTTTTCTATCTCTTCTTTATTTCATTTCTGAATTTCGTGTCAGTTCATGCCTTCATTATCTTGACCTGAACTGTTATAACCATGGTTTTCTAGGGAAAAACCGAGTACCCCACTCCATCAACTGCCCGAGGTTTTAAAGCACATTTATAAGTTCTCCCAGGGGAGAGAAGAAGCAATAGTGAGGGAGAAGAGAAAGCAAGGAAGGCCAAGTGGTAGAAACCAAGTTGAAAAGTACTGCCATTGAGAGATTACTGGGAGAAAAAAACGAGTTTATTTGGAGATAGTTTTCAAATAACCACAGATACCAAGAAAGACAAATTTTCTCTTGGAAAATTTCTCTTGGAATTTGGTAGATGGGCACACCCACCTTCTTATTTTTATAAGCTGTAAAAGCTTATGACTGTGACAGTCTCCTAAATGGTGTCCTAACCATCATCTTACACTATCCATTCCATCCTGCCCACTGTTTCTAAATAAGTTTTTTCAAGATGTGCACCTCCAGTCATGTCACTCCTCTGCTTAGAGCTCTTTGATGGCTTCCATTGCCCACAGTAGAAGTTTTTGTTAGAAATTATCAATGCATTAGGATAACTTGTAAACTGTGTACCACATATCTGCTATTAGCTGAGTTTCAGTGTTAAAGATTGGGAATAATTTACTTTTTAAGTGTAAATTTTACAATTTTGAATTCCATTATTCTTTGGGGTTGTGAATGATCAGCAGCCAATCTTTTCTAAGTTGTGGGCTACACCATGTGGCATTTCCCACCAGTGCTTGTCATGATGTCATTGTTATTATTTCACTCAGAATCTGGGATTGTCCAGGCATATGTATTCAACATTTCACCATCAACTGTCATAGATTTTGCAGTAGAATAGCCTCTAGCTGATCAAATAAAGTCCAGACTTTGTAGAGGCTTTGTGATGACCCTCTATTCTCATCTTGTTTATCTCTCTAGACAAATCTTTGAGAGTTCCACCTCTTACTCTGTCAAAAATGTTTTTCTACAGCCCCTCCTTCCAATCAATTTAATGAACCCCTCAAATATTTTAAGATCACAATTCAATTCAAGCATTACTTATAAGGTCTACCTTGATCCCTTTCTCCCTGCTTCTGGTAGAATTGAGTGATCACATAATTGCACAATAATTAAAAAAATGAGGACACCTGTCTCTTCATTTCTTATTCATTTCATCAGATCCCAGTAGAAAGTACCTATTGCATCAGTCAGGATAGTCAGGGCCTGCTGTGAGAACAAACAATCCTCAAATCTCAGTGGCTTGCCACAACAAAGGCTTATTTGTTGCACCTGGTTCATGTTCATTGTGAATTGGCTGGCATCTTTCTCTACACCATCATTCAGAAATTCAAGGTGAGTCAGAGTCCACTGTCTTAGACACCGCTGGTTATTGTAACAGAGGAAAGACAGGGTCTCACAGAGGCTACTCCATCCCACTGTTATTTGTATTTCTGATTCATCACTTATAACTATTAGCATGACGCTATTCAAACACACAAAAAAGCCAGGAAACACAGGATTATCCTATGCATGTGAGGCAGAGAGCAAGAAATATCTGGCAAATATTACTTATTATGACCACATTTGCCCAGATAGAAAGCAATCACGGTATTCCCTAGAGTTATGGAGGGGCCTATTTTTCTGGGCACATTTGTGTGACATATATGGACATACTCGGCTGTTCCTTAGCAAAGAAGAATAACTGATAATATACAAGGTGTGCTGTATACAAGGTATGTCTCTGTCACACCTTGTGTCTTCAACTCCTACAGCCAGGTTCAAGGGTTGGGGGTTCTAGAAGCTTCATAGAACACATCCTGTTTCTATTTCTATGGATATCCTAAGTAAGCTTTGCATATCTAAAAACTCTTTGTGAACCATTGTGCTGGGAACTTCATATATAACATCTCACGTCTCGTCCAATAATCCTATGAGGTAGATATTGTTTTCTGGACGGGGAAATAGAATACTAGAGAGGATAAATAGCTTGCTCAAGGTCACAGAACTAAAATGTGGTGGAACTAAATTTAATTCCAGCCTGTCTTCTGAATCTGTAACTTTTATTTTTCTTTTTACCTCTGCAGCATTGTACATGAAACCCAGGGAAATATATTAACTTCCTTTAAAGTTAAATGTATTTTAAACTTGTACCTAGTATCATCTGAGGGTGCTCTAACTCTTGGTATGTTATATTCTGATATGTAAACCACATTTCTTATTGTTTTAAACATTTATCTGTCTGCATTTTTAAGGGAGAATATCAAGGGTTTATCTTCTTACACAGTCCTGTTCTGACAGCATGAGGGCATTTTGTAGTGACAGTGAGTTTTAATTCAGAAAAATGGATGGGACAGTGATTCTCCTGCAGTAAGAGATTTATACATATTTCCTTCTCTCTGTTAACGGGATTTATTCATCAGCTCTGAACAACACTTGCCAAAGGCTGCACTCTCTCTCCCCTCCATCCCCCGAAATAGGTATTGGTATTTAATAAATAATCATTGTTATGACTTAAAACGCTCGTTATAACCAGATGAAACAAGGCAATTGGGTTTTATTTTTAAAGCAATGAAAAGGAGTTAGTTTATTGCATCTCTTTCAGAGAGCTTAGGTGGGGGTTTCAGCCACAATGATGCTACTTTATTATGAATTTCTATCAGTTGGATAGACTAAAATTAACATTTGATGACTTCTTCATTGATATCTGACATTTTTTCATAGGCAGACTCTAATAAAGAAGTCAGTTAGAGCTATTAGACATATTTTAGAAGAATTTTTGGTGCATATCTTCACTTAGATTATGAAATTTAAATCATTGCTGCTATCAGTTTGAATGCTAATGATATAGCCTGCCAGATGGAAACCTTTCATAAATTTTCACTTTTCTCTTACAGTGGGTTGTAAATCTTAAGTAAATGACTTCTTGGGTGAACTATGTTGATGTCAGCTTTAGTGCCTTATGTCCACACTAATTTCAATGTCATAAGTACCTGGAAGGCAGGCAACTCTTAATTAAATGCCATTTTCTTTGTGCATTATTGAGCTAGAGCAGAGTGCAGACTCTCCTTACATTGTCTGTGGCTTACTGGAGAATAGCTCTGCTCTCGCTTTGTCACAAGTGGGTTCTTTTGGAGCTATTTAAATGCTTTGGTGTCATGCAGCTTCTCCTGTCTCAACTAAAACTGTCTCCCTCAATGTGTCTTTCAGAGAGTAAAACACTGTTTCCTTAGCCTTTTGTTCTCCATTTTGACAAAACACATTCTGTAGGTTCTTGCCTTTTTTAACAATTTTTTTCCTCCAAAAATTGATGTTTTAGTTCTCTTCAGGAGTGCTAATCTCCATATGAGAACCACACTGGATAAAACTCCTTTTTTCCCTATGGGGTTATATCAGTATTCAGACTAAATCTTCTGAAGGACTTTTCTACCAGTTATGAAGAGTTCTGATAACTTGTGCCTGCTTATTACTTAGATTTCTTGGGAATTTTTTTATTACAAATATTTTTTTTCATTTAAAACTGAGCCAAATTTTGAAAAATATTATCACTTATTTTTTTTTTTTAAACAGCAGACAAAACATAAAATTAAATGAAAGATTGTTCAAACTTTTTATTCCTTGGAAGCCCAAAGGAAAGAGATGATAAAATCACAAGAAAAATACTTAGGTGAGCCAATAAATATTCCCAGTAGAAATCTCAGAAATCCTACAGGTAAAACAACTTTTTCCAGTTATTGAGTTATTTTCTCAGCAGTTGTTTATTTATTGATTTGTTTTGCCATTAAACCTACAGACCAAGTGATAAATGTGCTTCCTCTGTTGTTACAATGTAATGCATTGAGCTTTTCTTGAAGCTTCATTAAAATTATATCTAAAGCACCGATTATAAGAAAATGATTAATAATACAATAACATAGAGCAACTGTTCTGTGGGGCTGCTTGGAGTTACGAGTTTTTCATCAACTCTGTTTTGTTCTCTGCTTCTATCCATGCAGGGAAGCAAACGCTCGTCACCATGTTTTCTCATCAAGCAACAGGAACCATCATTCTGTAGAAACAAAGGCACCGACAAAACATTTCCAACCATTAAAATAATTTTCCAACATGGTTTCAGTAATTAGTGTATTTCATTTTCAACAACTATAATTAAACCTGACCTTTAAGCTAATTATATCTTGACATTTATGATTTTAAACTGGCTTTCCCTGTGGTGACAGTGTGTTAGATTCGGGTTCTAATGCACAGTTTTGTAGTATTTACCTGTTGTCAAAGGGTCTCTGTGTGGCTCGAAGGGGACCATTTCACCCAGCGTCCTGTTATTGGAGGGCTAATGGTGCCACCAATGGTGCAGAAGGAATATTTTCTTCTACAATATACAGATGATGCTGAATTTTTGTAAAAGTGTTTGGATATAATTACACTCACGGCAGAATCCCTGCTAGAAAATTTCAAAGAACAGGATGAAAATTAACTCAGAGTCTGAGTGTAGATCAAGTGGCCTTTTTTTTTTTTGCATATAACAAGCTGCCATAGAAGAAAAGTTGAGTCAAAGTGAAACTGGGGAGAGAGGAGAACCCAAGATGGCAGGCCTGGTCTTGTTGGTTTCCATTAAGCTTGAGCAATGATGGGAATGTTCACTGTTTTTTTTCCTTTTGTCTCTCCTAGGCTACTTCCAAATTAGCTTTCCTTTTTCCTGATAATAAGAAGAATAGCTAATATTTTCTAAGCCTCACTGTGTGCCAGGCACCATGTTAAACACTTCACATGTCTTATATTCATCCTTTAGCAGTCCTTGGAGGTATGGAATCCATAGCCCCTTGATTTTCTTCAAGTGTCAAATGCCAGTACTTGGTGAAACAAGATGTATTTTGAAATGTTAATGTTCATGTTTCTTTTTCCCCATTTGTCTTATGTGATCATCCACTGTTTGGTCAGAGGCATCCATACGGCTTTTAAGAATGAGAATAAACAGTCAGGTTTGCTTTTCTTACTTCCAAAGTGGGTTCTAAGGGAAGCAGTGCCACAATCAGAGAAGTGGAAAGAGGATAGAGTAAGAACTAGAGAGCCAGGCTGCTCATCGCCTCACCTCCTTGCATGAAAGAGAGCTGGAGCAGGGAGGATAGGTGACCTTAGTGGAGGGGAGGCAGGAGAGAAGTGAGTTCATGGGAAATGTGGTGCAAAGCAAGTGAAGACATGTTGTGGGGTGGGTAATAGGAACAGCCAAGCAGAGTACTAGAGAGTACCCTGGAAGCTCAGCCTTCAGAGGCAGACTGCCAGTGGGGAGAGGACTGGCCATATTCAGGCAGGTGGAGGAGCTGGCTAGTGGAGCCATTAGCCTCATTGCCCTTGTGAGATCTGAACTTTTCATGGAGAGTTGCCTGCAGGTGGCTCATGGATTGTTTGGTAGGAAGATAACTGTGATGAGACTTCATGAGGCTATCAAAAATCTGGGGGCAGTGGGGGTGGGGGGAATTCACTTTTTTTCTGTGGCCTGGGACACACATAAGAGTCTTAAAATATAGGAGGGAGGTCATTACGCTTAGAGAGTCAGGGACATTATGGAAAGGAAAGCCCAAGCTTTATGCTTAGGTAGGACTAGATGTGAAGGGACCCTGTCTTGTAACATGGAAAACGATTTAAGTTCTCACTGGATATTTATTTTTAACAGTGATTTTGGTTAAAAAAATCAAAATCAAGACTCAACCTGGTGGTTTTCTAATGGTGGGATTAGAGGCAGGGGGATAATTGGTTTCAAAAAGGCATCCTGAACTTGTTTTATATTAAACTCAGTGGTTTCTACCTCTTTGCATAATTTTAGGATGCATCTTATTTCTGGGCATCTCATTTCTGGGAAGTGAGATGTGTGCTTCACCACTGTGTGTTGCCAAAGAACAGGTTAGATCAAGTGTGTCCACTGACTGAGCAGTGCGAATGGGCTTGGGGAGTAGGATTGAATAAGGCACAAGATAAGCACAAAGATAGGATGTTGTTAAAGCATTAGGACACAGACCTTGGCAAAGCTATTACAACTTTAAGATTGTTCTGTCGTCTTCTCTAGTTTCGTCTTCTTGGAGATTTGGGGCCTCTGTGTGGACTGCAATAAAACAAGTTGCTGAAACATTGTGTGAGAACACCCTGGCCCTTGCTTCACTTTAGGCAGGTTTCAGACAATGTCGGTTAGCTTCCTTTTACTCCATGTACCTGCATAGAAGGGAACCGATGGTGAATTGGTGATTTTAAAGTACTGGTGGTGAGAAAGGAAGAGAATACTGATTAGAATTTTAAAAAATGTTTTAATTTTTACTTTTATAAATACAGGGAGTACACGTGCAAGTTTGTTACATGGACTAGAAAAATACTAATGAGTAAAAATCGACAGCCATTTGAAGTTAGGGTCAGCCCCAGGGATGTGTCTTAGAGTGGTTATTAGGTGGCTCTGTCATGCATTGCTTATTTTACTTGTCTATCTGACTAGGCTGCAAGTGCTATGAAGTTAGGGCTGATAGTTTTGTTTAGCTTTGTTTTGTTTTTCCACCTGTGTGCTTAGAACTGGTCAAAAATGCTTCCAGATGAGTGGATCCAGCCTTTGGAAAATATTTTCCTCTTCATGAAAGGCCAGTCTATATATGGCCACTCATGCCTCTGTTCTGATCATCATCTTTCTGTCCAGTTCCCAAGAGGAGTCAGTTTCATGAGTTTTGGGGCCAGGGGCTGCAGAAAATTGTAAAGACTTCAAGAGAGCCAACTCCTTGTTCCCTTCAGCATGTCAACAAGGCAGTGTCAGAGAGCTACTCATTCCAGGTGCTGCTACTATGACAGAGAACCCTGGACCACTCCTACTGATGTTGACTTACAGAGGAACTAGTTGGTTGGCCTTGTGGTTAATTTGTTCTCCATCTGGGGCAGGCTGTATAGCCTGTATATCCAACTTCATCTCACAGGAGACAAATAGACTGGACCTATCCTTGCAAGTGTATTGAGTGGGTCAGATGTTTAGCAAGATCCTTATGACTCTAATCTCTGGTAGATTTATTATCTGAGTCTTACAACCCCTTGCTGTCTTGAAGACTATAATCTATATAATGTGTGGTGAGTAAAACATCTAGCCAGAATGCCATTCCTAACGTGTTATTGGCCTGTAACTCTGCCAAGAAGGCTCAGAAAGTCATAAATCTGATGTGAATTTATAGTGGCAGACTTAAGTGTAGTCAATGACAAGAGAGTCCTGTTATTTTACTGACAGGGGATCACCAACACACTGAGACTTACACATCTGGTCTATTATGAGTTAAAAGTAACACTGAATTTAAATTGCTTTTAACACAGGATATATCTAAACATTCACTGTGTATTTATTTATCTCTGCAGTTCAGAGACTTTTCTGACCAAAGTCTTTACATTTCTGTGGTAACAGCTTATTCTTTATCAGTAATGATCTTTCTGGGGCCATTTGATTTGACTGTGCAGTGACACATGATATTTGGATAAACCAGGATTTATTTCCTCTTTAGCTCTGCACATGGAGTTTGGTGACACGTTTACAAGAGATCACCTGTGATGAGGACAAAGGTCGGTGGAAAGCTGTTCAAACAGAGAGACTTGGCCTTGAGGAGCCCATTTGAACCTCAACTCTTGACCTGTTCATTGACTGTGTTGGCTAATTGGGTCTTCAGTGCAAAGCAAGAAACAATGCTCAGCTTTGCTAACTGTCTGTGTAGCCAGAACATGAAAATCAATCTACCGATGACCAAAAGGGCATAGCAAACAACATCCCTGTGGAGTTGGGTGTTTTTGGCCTTGGCGTTCCACAGATGTGACCTGAGAATTCACACAACTTACATGAAGATGCAATTCATATAATTAATATGTTCACTGCATGAAGATTTTATTCACCATAAGTTGGGATGGTGAGAGACGGACAGAAAACACAGAAGCCCGAGGTAAGTAGAAATGTGACCCATGAAAGCAGTTTGGGTTCAGCTGAAAAGATTTTGCACATTCTGATATCATTGAATTGTATTCTTTTTTTTTCCCCCATCAGTGAGATGTGAAGGATTTTACAGCTTGTGAAGGAAAATAAATCATATGAACACAAAACAAAAAAAATCCACCTCTCTTTGGATACATTCCTTGGTTTAACTCCAAAGAAGTAGCTTGTGTGGCTTCTCCTAAAATGTGTGAAATACCACCTGGCTGGGTCCCAGGGAAAAAACCAACTTGGGGGTCCCTGAGTGCTGAAGTCTCCTGGCAGCTCAATCCTTGTTAGTATTTGAGATAAATAAAACAATTGATCTTATCTGAAAACTGCATAGAAAGTAAGAATGTTTTTATTACATTGAAAATGAAAAAAAAAAGCTCTTGACTTTTTTTTTTTTTGATGGAGTCTCGCTCTGTCACCCAGGCTGGAGTGCAGTGGCGTGATCTCAGCTCACTGCAACCTCCATCTCCTAGGTTCACGCCATTCTCCTGCCTCAGCCTCCTGAGTAGCTGGGACTACAGGCGCCCGCCACCATGCCCAGTTAATTTTTTGTATTTTTAGTAGAGACAGGGTTTCACCGTGTTAGCCAGGATGGTCTCGATCTCCTGACCTCGTGATCCACCCGCCTCGCACTCCCAAAGTGCTGGGAGCTTTTGACTTTTTTAAAAAACTTAATGCTGTCAGATCCAAAGGAAGTTAAATAAGCATGCATTTGGATTTAGAATCTTGATTAAAGAAATATCTTGGAAATGAGCCCCATAGCACAGGACCCTCTTCGGTAGAATTTATTAGAAAGATCCCAAGTGGCAAACATCATTTTATTTTCTCTTTCTCATTTAAGGTGGGAAGCTCTTTGCTCTCTTTTAAGATGCTTACTGCTGAAGTAAGTACAAAACAGGTAAGCACATTTTAATCAGGGGATATTTTCAAGGCTTGCAACAGTAAGTTACATTGGATCTATCTAGGAAAGCTTTTTAAAAATCCCCAAACCTATCTCACGTACTTTATTTTTAACAAAGGAAGGGAAGAGATAAAAGAAAATAAAGAAGGAATAAATCGAGTATAATGTGGCAGATGCCTTTCTCACTGCCTATAATTGTGTAAAGAAACAATACAATGCAGTAAAACTCGGCGGATTTTATTTGGTTTATTAGCTCCAACTGCATCTCGAGCTGTCTCACTGTCCCAATTTTAGACAATACATGACATCATAATTGCTTCTGGCATTTTACAGTAATAGATACTGGTGAGAGTTGTCTGAGTTGGTTTTTTTTCTTGCTTCCCCTCACTTTATGAGTACTTCTTTGGAAAACAGCAACCTCTCATTTGCGGCGCATGCACATTTTGGCTAAGATAGTTCTTCACTACGCTGCCTGCAAAGATATTCTGCTCTATTTAAGTTCGAAGGCAGCTTTCTTCAATCCACCAAACAGACCCTTAGGTTCTCCCAGTGATGCCTATCAGCTTACTCAGTGTGGTACCCCTGTCCAGGGTGCTGAACTGGGGAGATTAGCCAAATTAACCAAAACCAGGGCAAAAATCATTCTCAGGAAATCCAGATTCCTAAAGTAAAACCTTGGGTGACTTAATAGTATTTATATTCCACAATATATGTAGAGATTTTCTTTTGCTCTGCATGCATGACCTCTGTTATGTGCTGAAGACCCAGCTAACAAACCAGTAACAGAGAGGTGGCTAAATGAAGTCACCAAGGCAAATGTGAGTTGAAAATTGACCCAAGCACTGGATGACAAGGACATCTTTATAAATATATGAAGCTGATGCAGGCTTTGACTGCCATGCAGCAGATTAGCATTGTTAAACTGTGTCACAGTCCAAACAGTGCCTGGCTAGAATATTTATTATGTTACTTAATCTTGCTGAGCAAACAGACTATATTTATCAGCACAGGGAAGGAGCTCCCCTTTCAAGGGCCAATTTGTCCAGAAAAGTATGAGATAAACATACATTGTTACAGATGGCAGTGTTAGGGGAGATGATTTTAAGTCTCACTTTTATAGGTGAGGGCACGGAGAACCAGAGAAGGTAAGTGACTTTCCCAAGGTCACATAGCTATTATGTGGTAGTGCTGGGACTAAGTTTTTAGTCTTCTGATACCTTGAAAATTGTTCTTCCCATTGAGACAAGCACCCTCATAGCTGGAGAGCAGCCTGCAAACCTATGAACAGTTTCTGCTTTCCTGCAGAGTCACATGGTGATAGTGGTCCTGAGCAACTTTATGTTTTCTCTCTGATATCCCTTAACACTGGCCTTTGGGAGGAATAAGACATATTTCTCCAGGCCTCCTGCTGCCTGAGCCATGATTGGCATACTGTGACATGACTTTCCTATTACTACATTAAAGTGCCTTACAGGCTCATTCCTTCAAGATTCTGCCATCACTTATGACTGAAAATGATGAGGACATAAATAGTTATATATTGCAATGTATGGCAAGAGAGCCAACTGGAAGTAGACACCGTTCTGAAGCTCCCAAACTCTCTATATCTATTGTATGTTTCTTAGCATTTTCTATTTTGAATTATCATGTTTTCATGTAGTATTGTTCTTTATTGTATTGTAAATGTTCAAGAGTGCCATTATTACCTCTGTTTTACAGATGAGTAAACCAGGAGTTCAAAAGACTTGTCTAAGATAAATGAAAACTAACTAACTAACTAGCAGTGAAACAGTGATATCTAGTTTCTATTCTATTCTTATTTCCCTTACCACATAGTTCCATCTCCCTACTATACCTGGCACATAGATAAGAATTAATACACCTATTTTGAATGAATGAGGCCAAATCTGACTTCCACATGCCTTCATTTTCATAATCAGTGATACTTTAATCTCAGGAGTAATGGAATGAGCTTAGCAGCTTCTCCCACAAACCTGCTTTCCAAGCTTTGTTTATTCTTCTTCTTATTTTTTTTAGACGGAGTCTAGCACTGTCACCCAGGCTGGAGTGCAGTGGCGGCATCTCAGCTCACTGTAAGCTCCACCTACCAGGTTCACGCCGTTCTCCTGCCTCAGTTTCCCGAGTAGCTGGGACTACAGGTGCCTGCCACCACACCCGGCTAATTTTTTTGTATTTTTAGTAGAGATGGGGTTTCACCGTGTTAGCCAGGATGGTCTCCATCTCCTGACCTTGTGATCCGCCCTCCTCTGCCTCCCAAAGTGCTGGGATTACAGGTGTGAGCCACTGCACCTGGCCTGTTTCTAATTTTATGAGGAGAATACCCTACCTATCTTTCTTCTCAAAGCAAGTCATTTAAGTTCCAGGAAATTATCCCTTAAGTCTGGCTTTTCTGTGTGTCTCAGTTTCCATTCCTCTCTCCCTCCTGCTACTGTACTAGATCAGGTCCCCATTTTCTCTGATCTGCACTAAAATAATGAACTTCTTATGGACTCTCTTCCTGTGGATTCACCTCTCCTCCAGTGTGGTCCTCACAGAGCTGAAGGTTCTAATTCACAAATCTGATTACATCACCCTCCACTTCAGAACTCCCCATTTTTAAGGTCATAATCTTAACTCATGTACATGGCATGCCATGCCCTTCATGAACTGGCCACTCCTTGCTTTTGTAGAGTTATCTATTGCCACTCTTTACTTCTTACTCCACACTCTACTCTACCATTATTGAACTACTTGTCATTTTGCCCGATGGTCTTTCAGACTTCCAAGTCTTTGCATGTGGCATTCCCTGGAATATCCTCCTGCCTTGACAAAGTTGTACCTACATATATGATATTGTGAAAACACGTAACCAGTTTTTCTACCATTATAGCTCACATTCTTTTGACAATGTCAAAATTGTATTTTAAAAGTGGATTCTGGGACTTTTGCTTCTGGCAAATAAGATATCACTCATACTTACTAAAATGGTTAAAATCAAGAACATCGACTATTCCAAGTGTTGGTAAAAACAGAGAGGAAATGGAACTCCCATACATTGCTGGAGGAAATGCCAAGTTGGTGTAACAACTTTGGCACACAGTTTGGCACTTTCTTTAAAAGCTACACGTGTCTACTACATGACCCAGCCCTTCTGTCCCTTGGTATTTATCCAAGAGAAATGAAAGCACATACCCATACTAAGGCTGCTACGCCAATGTTTGTAGCAGCTTTATTTGTTATAGCCCCAAACTGGAAACAACACAAATGTCCATCAACGGGTAAATGAATAAACAAATTGTCGTATATCCATGCAGCACAATACTACCCAGCAATAAAAGGAATGCACTATCGACACACTTTACAATGTGAAATAGTATCAAAATAATTATGGTGAATGATAGAAGCCAGATCAAAAAACAGTGCGTATTGTATGGTTCCATTTATATATACAGAAGAATCTCTGTATCTGAGGATTCTGCATTTGTGGATTCAATCAACTACAGATAAAAAATATTTGAAAAAATTTTAAAATGCAACATAAAAATAATACAATGCAGTATAACAACTATTTATATAGCATTTATAATGCATCAGGTATTATCAATAATCTAGAGATGATTTAAAGTATAAAAGAGAATGTGGGAAAGTTGTTCAAATACTGCACAATTTTACATAAGGGACTTGAGCGTCCATAGATTTTGATATCCACAGGAATGTCCTGGAAAAAAATCCCTGAGGATACTTGAGGGGACAACAGTAAATCCAGTAAATCCAGGGAATATAACCTAATGCATAGTGACAGAGAGCAGATGAAAGATTACTTGGGATGAGGGTGTCATGAAGAGGGGATGGGAAGGAAAGGGGGGAATGGATTGAAAATGGGCATGAGAAAACTTATGGTTGGGGTGATGCTTTTTTATTATGTTAATTGTGGTGATGCTTTAATAGGTATATACATATGTACAAACATATTAAATTCTTCATTTAAAATGTATGTAGTTTATTGTATGTCCTTTGTCCTCAGTAAAACTGTTTTGAAAAACAAATCCTAAAACTTACAAATAATGATTTTTTAGTTGTGAGAATTTCAGGCATTTTGGTGGGTGCCATGATCCTGTTCGGAGCATCTTTTTGTTATCCCTTGTCTATCAATATGACCTAAGAGTAAGGCTTGTCCCAACTATAGCCATTGGCCATTCCTAGTAAAGTATTTTCAGGACTATTTTTCACTTCTGAAAATAAGAAAAGTAGAACATCTTGCTGAAAAAATGTAAGAAATATCAGACAGCATCATCTGGGGTTCTCTTCTTGTATTAGTTAGGGTAGGCAAACTGTTTCAGCAAAAATACCCAAAACATCAATGACTCAATACAAAGGAAATTATTTCTTACTTTCATGCAGGCCCTATGGTGGTGCTCCACATGATCATTCAGGGATCTTTATCATTTCTGCCCATTGCTCCACCATCCCCTAAGGCCTTAATCTCCTCTCTTGTATCTTGTCAACAGGCAAAGAAAGAATGTGTGAAAAATGAACTTGAAGGTTTAACATGGTCAAAAGCTAGAAGTAGTGGGTCTCATTTCTGCCCATGTATTCACATTTTATTGGACAGAACCCACCCTCAAGATGACACCCAACACCAACGGGAATGAAGGGAATGCATTTTGTAGCCAACCTTCCTGTCTCCATTACAGTCCTCAATACCTACTCTCATTTCAGGTGTTTCTTAATGATCCAGCACTAACTTTTGACAGATATACGCCTTCATTATTTAATAATTTTTTTGTGTGTGTACTTCCTATGTGAGAATACACATCAAACCTGGTTCTGTATTTATTGTAGTGTCATAAAGGGATACAATGTACATAAGAGAAAGAGATAAGAGAAAGAGATATTAAAAAGATAAATTTCTAACTAATTATAATTGAGGTAGATACTACAAAGAGAAAGAGCAGACAAAGGACCCATGGTCTTTCTATGAAAAACTGAACATTCATCCATTCATTTCAACAAATTGAACTCAGTGTGGAGCACTGAGCTGCCATGGTACAGAAGTCCAATCCTGTGAGTTTCAGTGACCCCTGCACTTCCGGAGTTCACAATGAGTTGAGAAAATAAAACACCTATGCAAGGAACTCTATCAAAAGGCCCTTTAGAAGTACCATAAGAATTTGGAGTGGAGAACAACCAGTTATCCAAAAGAACTGTTTTCTCTTTCCTCTGGTAAGAAACTGCATTTCCTATGCTTCCATGTAGTTGGGTGCGGCCGTGAGTGAAATGTGAGCAGAACTGTTATATTCAAGCTCTGCTTCTCTTGCTTAAAAGAAAGTGATTTCCATGGATTTATGCTATTTCCTCTTACCTGAAGTTTTTATGGATATATTTGTGGCCCAGCTTCAACCGTGTGGAAGACAATGCCCCAGAAGATGGCAGAGCCACAAGATGGAGGGAATCTGGGTCTCCATATGACTGGATTGAGCAGAGCTGCTTTCCCAATCTGGATTCCTCATTTCAGGAATCTTACACAGAAAGCCATAAACTTTCATCTTGTTCCTGTCACAATATTTCTGAGTCTTTTTTGTTGTTGTTGTTATAAGAGCTTAGTCTTTTCTAAGTCTCTGTGAGAAATAAAATAAAAACAGAGTGATTCTTAGAGAAGAGCGATCCCCTCTGGCTGCAGTGACCAGGAGATGCTTCATGGAGAAGGTGGCATTTAGGTTTAACATTTTTTAATGGGTAGAAGAAAGGGGACTTTAATAGAGGGATGAGCCTAAGGAAAGGGCTGGGACTAGGAAAGTAGAAATTAACCACAGAATTGCATCATCACACATAGCTCTGGCTAGTTATCTCTTCTCCTTCCTCCTGCCATACAGATGTAGAGTTCTCTAATTTTAGAAGTTCTTTTTCTGTTAATTCTCGTCTAAAGACGTTTAATATCCCATAGGGTTGGCAACATACGTAAAATTATTTTTAAAACTTTTTGGTGAAATTTGCCATTATAATTAGTCTCTTTATAATACAACTCATAATCCCTGTTATATCACTGCAGTGAAATGAGGATAATTGAAATAATTAGTTGTATGATTCAGCTACAGTGTTATGGTGGCCTGGGTAATCTGGAGTGCTTAGAATTTGAGGTATAGGCCAGGCCAGTGGCTCACACCTGTAATCCCAGCACTTTGGGAGGCTGAGGCAGGTGGATCACAAGGTCAGGAGTTCGAGACCAGCCTGGCCCACATAGTGAAACCCAGTGTTTACTAAAAATACAAAAATTAACCGAGTGTGGTGGCTTGTGCCTGTAGTCCCATCTACTTGGGAAGCTGAGGCGGGAGAATCACTTGAACCTGGGACGCAGAGGTTGCAGTGAGCCGAGACCATACCATTGCACTCCAGCCTGGGTCACAGAGGAAGACTCTGTCTCAAAAAAAAAAAAGAGAATTTGAGGTATAAGTGTTCTGAACATCTCCCCTTTGCCTACTTGTATCTACTTTTTGAGGGTCAGTGAGTACAACTAACACTTCCTTTTAAATATATTCCCCACCTCTTATGCTCTTCTCCTAACATGAACTGCAAGATTCTAGTATATTTGGGCTTATGACCATGATAGCTTGCTCTATAGTTTAGAAAGTGCTTGTTATATACATTATGTCATTCTAATTTAGATAACTGTAAGGTAGATTCTGGGCTGGTATTATCCCCCTTTTAGATGAGGAAAACCAAGGTCCAAGAAAGGCGTTCGAATTTTTTGCTGGAAGTTTTGCTTATAGGTAATTGTTAGTCCAGGAGTCAAGCTCATGCTTTCTTATTCTAACTCTAGTGCTTTAAGAGATCTGACCTCTTCTGGCAATTTGTTCCTAGGTGACTTTGTCTGGCAATGTCTCTACTGCAATGTAGAGAAGAAAGTGTTGGTCCTGGAGCCATATGTGTGGGGCTAAATTTTAGTGTGTCACATCCTAGCTGTGTGACCATGGGCAAGTTAGTTAATCACCATGTGCTGTAGAGTTTTTATCTACAAAATGGGAATAAGCATATTACCAACCTGATAGTATTTGGGGTGGATTAACTGATATATGTAACATGCTTACTAGGTGTTGGTTCCAAATGTTATTATTATTATTCTGCTCTATTTTAACAATCTAAGTTTTGAAAACTCAAGACAAAATCTATTCAACTTTTTTGTTGCAAATTCCAAATCAGACCCCATCAGGAATTCCAGGTTCTCTAGGTTCCAATGTTCTCTCATGAAAGAAGAACTGCTAGAGAGATTCCAGTTCCTGTAGGACGTCAATTAATTGGAACTCAATGACCCAAAGCCCTAAATTAACTAAAATTTCTTTCTTTTGCTTTGTTTTTAGGAGAACCAAAAAACTTGAGGCAGTTGACATTCATTCATTCAGTTATTATTTAATGAACTCTTGCTTTGTGGAACATATTCTGTTGTGTGCTGTGAGGGTCACAAAAGTGAACCAGATGCTTAGTCTGCCCTCAAGCTATTTGCAATTTAGTAGCTAAGATAGGACATGTACACATAAGCTTAATAGAATGCATAGATAAAAGATAAAGGAGGGGATGTGAGTATTTTTTTTTAAATTGCAGGCAATGGGAATTTAGCAGGAATTACTTTTTTCAATCAAGGTAGATCACAGGCTCGGTGGATTTGGGGTTCTATCTTCTACTGCCCTGTACAATAAAACCAATGTTAGGAACGCTATCTCTGAGGGCCTGCAGGACCCTCACTTATTGCAGCCAAACTCATGTATGATTTACTAGACTGATACAGAAAAGGTTTTTGATCATATAAATGAAACATATATTAAGCAAAATAATGAAAAGATATTTATTCCCACACTACTCAAAAATCACACCACCAGAATATTCTAATCCTATTAGCTATGCACCTCCTAGACCTCACTAGAGGCCAAACACATATTTGGTGTCTTCAGAAGTTCTCAGTATTCAGAATATATTAGATGTTATACAACGCACTGAATGTATCCTGGAGATTTTCAAGGGGGAGTTTGCAGAATACACTTGCTGTTTGATTAGACAGATTGGTTTTGAAAAAAGAGAGTTTTGATTAGACAGATTGTTTTTTAAAAAGAGAGAGAAAGAAAATAGAAATAATAAATAAGAATAAATACGTTTAAAATCCTTGTTATATCATTACAATAATTCTAAAAGCTGGGGCAATGTTACCATCCCATTTTATAGCTTAAAAAACTGAAGCACATGAAAATCAGGTAACATTCCATATGTCACACAGTTAATATGTATTGGGGCCAGGATTCTAGCTAATTCTAGTAGTATTCAGAGCAAGTTTGCTTAAAAGTATATTATACTCCTAGTAGCGTAGTACAAAAATTAGCAAAGAAAATGAACAGGCAATTCACAGGTAAGAAAATATGTTGACCAGTAGATATATGAAAGAATATTCAGCTTTTTTAATTAATCAGAAAAGTGCAAGAGTTTTTTTAAAGATAATAGTTTTAGACTTAAGTGCCATATACTATCTGTAGCAGCTACTCAATTCTGTTGTTGAAACAAGAAAGCAACCATAGAAAATACATTAAAAAATGAATGTAGCTGAGTGCCAGTAAAACTTTATTTACAAAAACAGGTGGTGGGCCAGTTTTGACCAGCAGGCTGTGTAGTCTTCTGACCTCTGCATTATGAGATTTTATGAATATAATATAAATATAAAAAAGAATGAATATGTGGGAATGTAGGAATATTCTAGATATAGTATTAAGGGAAAAGATGCAAGTTTCAGGGTAATGTGTATGGTACGTCTCAATTGTAAACAGCAGTATGGCAAAATATATATGACAGTTGTATGTTGCAGCCTGTATATGTATGTTGAAAATATCTACATAATTTGGTAAGCGCTGGCATGGACCAAGTGCAAAATGATACCTATTAAACTACTAACTTGGGATTTTTCAGGGGGCAATTGGAATTGGGCAGGTAGAGACTGGTGACATTTTCTACACATGCTCTGATTTGTTTGTCTCTATAAACCATCACAAATTATTACTACAGTTTTTTAAAAAAGCAAATGGTATATCATAAGAATAAGAAAAAAGAAGAAAGAAGGCAAGGAATGAAGAGCAAAAGAAAGGAAGAATGGAGGAAGAAAGAAGGAAGAAAAGAGGGCAGGACTCTTTTCAGTTGATTTTAAGGTTTCCAAATGGAGAAACACTCTGTGGATGGAGCGCCACATGTGCTATGGCACATTTTTTTCATAGGTGAAAGTCAGATCAGGATATGGATAGCCTAACAGAGTATAAGCCCTCGATAAATAGTAGGTGAATGAATAACTTCTTAAAGGTATATTCCTGAAAAAAGAGAAAACTTAGATGACTTTATAAATATTTTTCCTGTTTTCCCCCTAATTTTTATATGAAGGAAGGCAGCTTAGCATCATGGATAAGTCTGTGTTTGAGTCCTTGCTCTGTGCCTTACTGGCTGTGTAATCATGAAGTTTCTTAACTTCCCTCGGCCACAGCTTCTTCATCTAGTCAGTGGGTACCATAAGAATACTTACCAAATAAGAACTGTTGTGAGGACCAAATGAGATGACATATGTAAAGTGCTTAGAGCAAGGCTTATATGGAAAACATTGAACCAAGTAAAATTGATATTGGACGCTGTTTATAAAAACAGCCAGTTAGGCTGGGCGCAGTGGCTCACGTCTGTAATCCCAGCATTTTGAGAGGCCGAGGCAGCTGGATCACCTGAGATCAGGAGTTTGAGACCAGCCTGACCAACATGATGAAACCCCGTCTCTATTAAAAATAAAAAATTAGCCAGGCGTGGTGGCATGCACCTGTAATCCCAGCTACTCGGAAGGCTGAAGCAGGAGAATCGCTTGAACCCGGGAGGCGGAGCTTGCAGTGAGCTGACATCGAGCCACTGCACTCCAGTAGCTTAATATGGTAAAACTCCATAAAAGTTAGATTTTGCTTTACGGGTCTTTGCCAGTCTTAGGGGGTGGGGGTGAATGTTGGGGGTGAGAATCAGCCATGGATATGGGCATAAGGCAATGGAGACAAAATGTGGGCTATGAGACAGGCCTAGGTTTTTACCCTGGTTATATTAACTGTGTGACCTTGGGCAAGTTACTTATCCTTCCAGAGATCCAGTGTCCCTATCTGTGAAACAGGATTAATAATGTACCTCTTAGTGTTGGTAAGAGGATTCCTTAGAAAATATGCTTGCTTCTACATAGTTTGTAATCATGTGCACATGGTTGATATTCACTTACATATAGTCAGTATCAATGGCATATGGTTGATACCCATATGCATAAGTTTTGCATCTACATTCAAATGGTGGGCATTCATGTGCATGTGGTTTGTATCCACACGAACATGGTCAGTATTCCATGTGCACATGGTTGTTGCTTCACATGCATATAGTTGGTATCCATGTGAATGGGGTTGGTATCCACATGCACACAGTCAGTATCCACATGTGTATGGTTGGTACCGCATGTGTGCATAGTTGAATTCACGTGCACATGAATGATATCCACAAAGAGCAGTCACAGTGTGGTTGACCCCGATGCCTGCCTTTCCCATTGGTTTTATGGTTGCCTGTGTGCTCTTCTCTGTTGCTGATAACACCCTCCTGCTTCCGTTTCCATGGGTGAAACACTTCACTATGCTGTTTTGTGGCCCCCCCTTGGGGCTTTTGCTTCCAATCCCAGCTGCTTCTCTTTTCTGTAGGGTCATCTGCCACCCTCTTCCTCTTCTGCCATTTGCAGCTTCTTTGCTCTTAGCTCTGCTGCTCCTATCCCACCTTAGTCTCTCTCCTTCAGTTATTACAGCTCTTATAGAAGACTGACTCTTCATTGTGCAATCTTTTCTGCCCAGGGACTTGGGTCAAGCTCCAGGGGCTGGAGAGCACCAGAGTTATCACCATCCTCAAAAAGTGTCCCTCAGTGACAATCCTAAAACCCAGTGACTCAAGGTAGAATCCAGGTGGCTTGATACTTCTCTCCTTAGTGTAAGTATCTGCCCCATTCGTCATATCCAAGCTCCACATCCTTTTATATATTTTTCCCCCAACACTTGTATCTTCCAGAAATATTTTTTCACATGTCTAAGGATCTAACCATCTTTCCTAAAATTTTCTTCCAGTTTCTCCCCAAAGATCTGTCTGGTTTTTATGCAAAGGGAACTCTAAGCAACTGTTTTAATATGCTGGAATTTTGGAGGAGTATATGCAGCTTTAGCAAATCTCCCCCCATCCAGAGCACACAGACCTTTGCCGTGTGCTCAACTGACTTTCTTGGAGATATGATGGTGGGGTGGGGGTGGAGAAGCTACCCATGAGACCAGATGTATTCTTTTTCTTCAATTTTTAGTGTTTTTGCTGGGGGCAACAGACTTTGCTATGAATTAGAAGTGACTGGGGTCTCAGGCTTGGGAAAACTTCTCTAGATAACAGTCAGAAGATACTAATTCCTTCTGCTATCGCAGCTGCCTCAGGTGGTCTTTCCTATGTGTGAGATTAGCTGCAAAATTCATGTGTGTCTGACTTCGTAAACACTTATATTCCCTATCCATTTCATCAGAAAACAGGAGGTTAAAACTTGTACTTACACCCTTCTAACCTCTCTGAGGAAGTTTGGCTTTTCTTTTGTTGAGCAGGAAGCTTCCTCGGTGGGGAGTAATGATATCTGACCTCAAAGGTATGGATGTCCAGAGATCACAGATCAGGCTGCTTTAACTTAAGAGCATGACATTGAAAATTCATGCTGTGCCCAAGGAAAAGCAAGTTTAAGAACCAAAAATCTTGAACAGATTTTGCTCAGTACTCATCCTTCTAAACAACTCTTTGTTTTTTCCAACTTTTTACCCTAATTCTTCCCATTGGAAAAGTGCTGGTCTTGGAATTCAGATGCTTTGGCTAATTTTGTGTGTAACTTAGGAAAATGAACCAACCTCCTAGAGTGTTAGTTTATTTACTTTTTTTTTTGCACAATGTGAATAATAATAACCAAATCATGGAAAATGGCCATTTACTGAGTCCTGAGATATTCCATGCATTTCATGTTGTAGTAGACTTCTCTCATCTTGGATAGCTATGTAGCACTCATTCTCCTTTCCTAATAGCATTTGATTTTCTCTGGGAGATTTACCTCTCCCCAAGTATGTGTGATCTTGGTGGGAGTGTAGATCCAGGACCCCTGTTTGCCATCATTGGAGCTGATGGGTCCCCTTTGCCAGATCTTTTTTTGCTTCACTAAGTATTGTTAAAGGGCAATCACATAATCCAAGTATGGTTAATTAGACCTTTTGCTTTTGGGATCTTACATATTGAACAAAGTAACTGAAAGCAATGGATAGAGTTCATTCACTGTGTGAGCAACACTACTGACAGGCTGTGGAGTGCTTTCTGCTATGAACACTTCCTGGGAATCTTTAGTTTCTTATCTGGTTAGAGCCTGATCCTCCAGATTTTTCATTAATCTTTCCATTTTCTTCAAACTTATTTTTTCAAGTCTTTTTTTTTTCTATTTGTTTACAACAAAAAAACTTTATTTATAAATGCAAGCATTATTTTGTTTGATTCTGACAATAATCATATGAGTAGGTGCAATAATCATATCCAATATACCTATAAGGAGACTGAAGCTCAGAAATGTTAAGGAACTTAACCCAAATCCTGTAGTATGAAGAGAAGCTAGAGTTTAAACCCAAGTGATGGGTGAAAGATCAAATAACATATAAACATTTTAAAGCATCTTGCATAGTCCTTGACACATAGAAAGCACGTAGCAACATTAATTAATTCTGAATGTTTTTGTTGGTCAAAAAGTGACTACCTACGATGAGGGGGAAAAATAATTAATGCACCCAGTGTGGGAAACTGTAAAACAAAGCTGTGATCCAGTGGCTTATTATTTTATATAGATACTGTTCATCATCCTTGCTTATTTCTCTAAATTGAGCTTTTTAAGGGCAAGGTCTCTGCTCTGGAATCTCTTTGCATTTCCAGAGAATGCTAGAAAATGAGTACTCTTGCTGTATTGAAAAGAGCCTATTAGGAACACGCCACAAAGCCTGGGTTAAGATTTTTTTTTTTGTGGCTTAGTGTGGTCCAGATCTTGACACAGCCAGTGCCACCACAAACATCCTGTTGATGATGCTTTAGTTTTCCTGGAGTAATAAACAAGAACAATCACAGCCTTTCCAATCCCCCTTTGAAGAGCATATAATAATACCAGTCTGGGCAACATTTCAAAACTAATTACTTAACAGAAATTTCGCAGCATAGCAGTGACTACTCACCAGGTATTTGAAACTGGTAAAAATCTAACAGCATGGCAACCATTTTGATCATTTCTGTTATTAAATTTGTCTGGACTTTCCTCTGTATTTCTTAAGAGGCCAGTTTGATTACTTTTTCAGGCATATTTTCATTTGAGCAACCTCAGTTTTAGATTTATTTATTGCATACACTTATTGCTCTACTGATATACAATAAAACCCCAGGCCCTTGAGTGTCGATTGTGCATGAAAACAGTTTTTAATAGAATGAATTCCCAAGGGGAAGTTAAACAGCGTCTGCTCTTTCCTTTCTTTCTTTAGGTATTTTCTACTTTTCCTTCTTTTTTCCTTTTTTCCCCTAAATCCAAGGCTAACACAGAACAGGCTCCAGGCTCCCTGTGGGCGATTGTGTCGAATTAAATCTGACCTTTTCCAAATTGTCATTCTGGTCATTTGGAAATGATGGAGGTTTGGCCGCACCTGGGCCTGCACTTGTTTAGTTCCCTCTGCATCGTGCTCTCTGGCTTCTGTGCAAGGATCTTTTCCATTTACAATAAAGTGGTGTGGATTTGGAAGACTCAGGGATGGCCTGACTTTCTGACTTTTCTGAGTTGGTCAATATGTCAATAATCAGTGGGGGTGCCGGTTCTGTCTAACTTCACCCCTGGCCTTTGCACACTCTCACTCTTCCGCTGAGTCCCTGATCACGCTGGGATTGGCTTTTACATGCACCTCTTGTTAAGGTTGTGGCTGTGTTTTAAAAAATAAGACCGGTCAGAATGGAGTGCTCTGGGGAAGGAGCAGGCTTCTTTAGTGTTCAATAATACTTGGGCTTGGGCTCTGGTATTTTTATTAAGTTCTGCTCTCAGAATTTCACTGCAGTCCGGCCTGCTATAAGTGCTGAATGTCTCCTCTGAGGGAAGATGGAGAGTTTTCTTTAATAGATAGGTATCCTCAAATGTAGTTTCAAGGGTCCTTTTGTGAGGGTCTGCAGGCAGAATCATAACACACGTTTGTCCTCTGATTAAAGGACATCTCTTTGGGGATAATTTATTTTTGGGAAGGAGACTTGAGGAGGTTATGTTCATTCTCCATATAAAGAATAAGTAACATTCCGCAATGATGATCAGTACGGAAAATATGTCTTAAACCAAAATAACATTACTGTCACCAAACTCTAAAGAAATGTTTACAATTTTTCTTATGTTGGGAATTGCAAACATAGATTTTGCTAGTTCTGTCGATTGTTAACTTATTACTGAGTTTAAGGTGCATCTATAGGGACCTGAGGGGATAATTGTACCTATGACATAGGGATTATAGGACATATTTAAGGCATTTAGCATAGTAATCACACAATGAATGTTAATTATTAATATTGCTATTACTCTTTTGAAAAATCAAATATTTGGAGAAATGCAGCTTGATATGGTTTGACTGTGTCCCTACCCAAATCTCACCTTGAATTGTAATAATCTCCACTTGTCAAGGGCAGGGCCAGGTGGAGATAATTACATCATGAAGGCTATTTCTTTCATACTGTTCTCATGGTAGTAAATAAGTCTCGTGGGATCTGATGGTTTTATAAATGGGAGTTCTCCTGCCTCCATGTAAGAGGTGACTTTGCTCCTTATTTGCTTTCTGCCGTGATTGTGAGGCCTCCCCAGCCATGTGGTACTGTGAGTCAATTAAACCCCTTTCCTTTTTTTTTTGAGATGGAGTTTCTCTCATGTCACCCAGGCTGGAGTGCAGTGGTGTGATCTCAGCTCACTGCAACCTCCGCCTCCCAGGTTCAAATGATTCTCCTGCCTCAGCCTCTCAAGTAGCTGGGATTACAGGCACCTGCCACCATGCCCAGCTAATTTTTGCATTTTTAGTAGAAACGGGGTTTCACCATGTTGGTCAGACTGGCCTCAAACTCCTGACCTTGTGATCCACCAGTCTTGGCCTCCCAAAGTGCTGGGATTACAGGCTTGAGCCAACGCACCCGGCCCTAAACCTCTTTTCTTTATAAATTACCCAATGTTGGGCATGTCTTTATTAGCAGCGTGAGAACAGACTATCCACAGCTGAATTCGTTGCTGTTGTATATTCAAATTTTAGACACTAAAATGACAAATTTGGATGAGTTATTGATCACAGCACCCTAGATATTAAGTGAGTTGACCAAAGCCATTGGGGTAACTTCAAAAATGATGTTATAAATTCTTGGACATTCTTCCTCTCAGGAGGTGGCCCCTAATTTCTTTCCCCTTAAATATGGGCAGGACTTCACGGCTAACTTGTACTGAATGGAATGGAGCAGTAGGGAAGCTAGATGACTTCCCAGACTAGGTCACAAAAGGCAGCACTCCTGGCTCTCTTCAGCCCTTGGAATGCTCCCTCTTAGAACCCAGTTGTCATCTGTGAGGAAGTCCAGCCTACATATAGGGATTTGGGCTAACATTGTCTGCTGAAATCTCAGCTGATAACCAGTGCCAATAGCCAGACTTATGAGTGAGGTAGCTTTACAGGTGACTCCAGCCCTAGCCACTGTTGCATGAACATGACTCATGCACTGAGCCCTGTGAGAGTGAATAATAGAAGCAACAAAACACCGTTGTTTATGCCACTAAATTTGGTGTTTTTTAATGCAACAATAAACAGAGCAGATAGTAAAGCATCAAAACTAGAACCCAGTTCCCTTGACTTTTGTCCGTCGCTTTGATCGCTTCATTAAGTTAGTTTCTTGACTTTCATTTGTTTTAAATACGAATTTATAAAATGCTTATATTTCAGTTATATTAAAGGTCTTAGACTATTTTTAGAAGACGAGATGGTTGGAAAGGGTATTATACTATTTGAACCACATTATACAAATGAATAAATTGTACCTCAGAGAGTTCATTATTTAGGATCATTGTAAGTGGTAAAATGCAATGCATATTTAAAACTTAAGTGTCTAAATGTTGGATTGCGAATGGCAATGATGACACTCACAAACAAGGGCTCACAACTAAGCTGTTCCCATACATAATTGAGTAACAATGCATGATTAGCTATTATCAAGATCACGTAATCAAATAGTCTGGGCTTCTGCTTGATTTTGGAAGATTTGAATTATGCTTGAGAAATGAACTTATTTTTTAGTATTCACTTCATTTTGTGATCTGTCAATAGAATCAAAATGCTCACTTAAATACATCCAGAAATGCACATTCCTATGGTTGTTCATTTGTACACTTTCACATAATAGTGTGAAAGCTTTCTTTTCCCCTTTTCTCATGAAAGCTATTGGAAGAAATGGATTAGAAAATTGAAATATAGAAGAGACAGAATCAAGGTGCATGAAAAACAGCGTGTTTGCTGAAGGAGTCAGCCTTCAGTGGTTGGATGAGGAAACACATATTGCTACTGTGGACAGCATAGTGGTCTGGGAGAATCCTGGGGGAAAGACTGCATCAGAGTGATGGGGAATTTCTAATTTTTGCTTTTGCCTACTCTGCATATATCTGCCTGAGGGATAGAAATTACCCAGTTTTTCTTTTTTTTAACTTTTTCTGCTGCAGGCAGTGCTTTTTGGTGGCTGCAGTTCTGATTCACAGAGACCAAGAAAAGGAGAAAGCTGCTGGCTTGAAGACTCCCAGGAGCCACCACTGAGAATTTTTGATACATTAAACATAGAACCAGCCCTTCTCCTCTGTGGAGTGCTCAGCAGTCTGGGTGCAATTTTATTTGTGCCCAAATACCTCTTTCTCTATGACACATTCTTAAATTTCCAAACCTTTTACACTTTTAGATTTAGTTTTTAGTGAATTCTTTTGGGTTTTTAAGCATCTTTTGCTCTTTGGTTAGGATGTTGTTGGATTGATTTGTGATATCCATAGATTGTATGCCCTTTGTACCAGCTGTCTGTTGGGCAAGAAGAGTTGTCCCTAAGAAAGAGAAGACACTGTAACTTTTGATATGTCTTAGCACAGACAGGGATGGCCAAGGACAAGAAGGCTTGGTGTTTCTTCTTTTCTTCTTCATTTTCTTCGTCAGTGACTCATATCAGAGTAGAGGTATCTCTGACTATGAGAAAAGAGTAAGACTAGCTGTCTTTACTCTGGTCCTACAATTCAGGGTTGATTCCTGAAAACGATTCTTCTGTTTTCAGATGCTGAATTATCATAAAGTAAAAGGCACTTTAGTGTCAGAAGACCTGTGTTCAATCCTCACTCTGTCATTTATGAGACCATGGTATGTTACTTAATATCCCAGAGGACCTCAGGTTCCTCAGCTGTAACATGGGGGTAATAATGACGACTTCATGGATTCAATAAGGTACCACTCAGCAGCTATCAATTCAGAATTAGTTGTTGTTTTTTGCTTTTTTTTTTTGATAACATAATCTAGGCTAAAATTTGAATTTAACACACAGATAACTAAGTGAATAAAGAGAAAAGAGGGTAAGTCCATTTTTATTTTATATATAAAATGAAACTTCGAGTTTAAGAAATTTTAACACTGGCTGGGTTCAGTGGCTCACGCTTGTAATCCTAGCACTTTGGGAGGCCAAGGTGGGCAGATCACCTGAGGTCAGGAGTTCTAGACCAGCCTAGCCAACATGGTGAAACCCCGTCTCTACTAAAGATACAAAAATTAGCTGGGCGTATTGGCAGGTGCCTGTAGTCCCAGCCACTCAGAAGGCTGAGACAGGGGAATGGCTTGAATCCGAGAGACAGGTTGCAGTGAGCCAAGATCGCGCCGCTGCAGTCTGGCCTGGGTGACAGAGCAAGACTCCATCTCAAAAAAAAAAAAAAAAGAAAAAAAAGAAAAAAAAGAAATTTTTACTTTAATGAAAACATTTATCTGCCCCAATCTCTTCTGTGTTAAAAGTTCTCTTTCAGAAAGTCCCTTCAAGTGTACCTCTGTCCCCCTCCACGTACTTGCAGTTTCCTGGGAGAAGTAATACTTTAACCCCCTGAGTATAAATTGGTTTCGGATAAACTTAAAACAAGTCCTACTGCCCATGGCACCACTTTCATACCAGAAGGTGAAAGCATATTACTATAGTTATGCTAAATTTTCCTCAAAAAAAGATCTCTTGCTTTTATTACAGCAAACATTCCATTCCATCTGGGGAATGCAGCCGAAGTCCAGCAGCTGTAGGTTCCATACTCTGAGTTACTTGTATGGGCTGAAGATACGATAGTTGTTAGGATCTGAGAAGCAGTGATAAATGTCCCTATTTTCCTTTTCTTTACAAGACTGCAATACTATAAATCATCAAAATGCAATCCAATTAAATTTATGGGTGTGAAATGAGAAGGCCTGATCTCTTGCATTATAGAAGGACTGAAGTTTCTTTCTTCTAGATTACATTACGGGCTCAGATAGGAAACATTGTGACATAAATTCTAAAAAAACACAGAACAGAAGAGTTGCATAAAAGGTGAAAATCCGTTGTTGAGATTATACTTGAAAATCCTTAGGAAGAGAATTCATTGGAGGCTGACATTTGTCTAAGAAAATCCACTGCTTCCAGTTCATCCTCCGTGGTTGGAGCCCATGGCTCTTTCTTTGGTGGAGCACCAGGGGAAGGGGTTGGCTTGCATTTGGGGCCATTTGTATAAAAGCAGCTCTCTGTAATCCTAGATTTGGGGCCATTTGTATGAAAGCAGCTCCCCATAACTCTCTGTGGTGGGGTGAGATGGTCATGGGAATCTGCCGAGAAGGGAGCAGAGACATGACCCAATGTCACTCTCATTTCCAGGCATAGGATCATGGAGGGGTGTTTCAGTTGGAATCAACTACTGCATTTTTTGTGTAATTATTTCTCTGTCTCCTAATCTCTCTAACTCTCTTTCTCTCCTTTACCTGAGAGCATATATTTAAAGTGTAAAAGTGAAACGTGTATATGATGGAGCTCCCTGGGATATGCACAGAACTTCTGTCTTTATTTTTAAATTCCTCTGTTTTCAGACGCTGAATCTATTAACGTTTCTGATTGACTTCTTCCTTTATCCCCACAGCACAGAGTCACAGGTTTGTAGAATCACTGATGCACAGTCTTGGTTCTCTGAGAAATTGATCCTTAAGCGTGTCTGCTCTATACCACAAGGGACCACGGAGCTTTCTTAGGTGTTCTGGGGCTGTCTTTTTTGTTCAGAAATGTTTAATCTTTTCTTCTTTCTTAGTGAATAATTTATTTAATACAGTCAACTACAGTCAGGTGAGAAAAAGTTTATTTGTGTCTCATCAAAGCAGAGACAAATTCTCTATTCATTCTGGTAAAGATTTTTTTTTTGACAGTGCCAACCAAGAGGAGTTGTGTCTCCTGGTTCAGAAACTAGACATTTGATGTGAATCTGTGAACTCTAAAGTTTCAAAGTATCACAGAGCAGTAGAAAGAGCACTGAATGTATAGCCCATTGAATGCAGCTTCTATTCCAGGCTTAACGTAATGAGAGCTGGTACTTACTATAAGTCAGATCCTGTTATAAGAGCTTTTCATATATTAGCCCATCTTTAATCTCCTACAAATCCTATGAGGTAAGGCTATTATTTTAATCTTTGTTTTAAAGTAGTGGAAGTGGAGGCACAGAGATGTTAAGCAACTTGCCCGGGTCACCCAGCTTCAAAGTAGCAGAGCTGGGATTTGAACCTTGGCAATCTGGCTCAGTATCTACATACTTAACTGCTGTTAATTGCTATTTTCCCTCCACCCAAACTTATTTAATCTTAATAACAATTCTGTAATGCAACTACTATTATCCACAATTGGCACAGGAAGTAACAAAATGAGCTCAAATTCACCAGTCCAGTAAGGGAAATATCTAGGGCTTGGATCCAAGTTTCTCCAAAAATCGATAATTATCAGAATCCTGCTTCAAAGAGGGATCTGAGTTTAAGCTGTGGTTATATGCCATGCAAGTCCTGTGACCTTGCATAAGTCCCCTATCCTTCTGAAGCCACAGTCCTTATTCATAAAGCGGAAATGATAATACTGTTCTGCCTACCTCATGGGTTTGAAGGTAGCAGTAGCCAAAATAATATAGGGAAAATCTTGTTTCTCTCCAGTGTTTTTGGCAGTGAATAAGGGAGACTCTTTGGATCATTTCCTCTTTCATTTTCTAAGAGACAATATAGTGCTGCAATCTTGGAAGAGTTACTGTCCTTTCCTAAGCATGGAAGTTACTTCCCAGGAGGCACTTGGGCACTGAAGTATTTGGATCTGCCTCATCAATCTATGTGGTTGATGTTTCTAATTTTTCTTAGACTTTTCTTGGAAGCCCAAGCTTAGGTAGAACCTTGAGGGGAAAAGAAAGGTACTTAAAATAACACCAAATATTTTTGCAAAAACAACAAAATATTTTGAGGAAGAGGAGTGTCTTCTAAAACAAGCTACTATGCCAGTTCCTTTTGATAAAACTTTATGTCAATGACACACTTATAACCTTATAACCTGGGCTGTTACAATACAGGAGCCTGACGATGAATCACATAAGGGCTAATGTTATCTTAAAAACTCATTAAACATTGACTAAATGGTCAAGTATTATGGAAAATCCATTAATAGAATTCTGGGAGTCTTGGAGTGAAGGCAAGTGATGAGAAGAGTTAGACTGTGACTATGAAGAATGAGATTTATGAGAGATAATCTAGTACCAATGGAAGGGAAGCTATAGTGGAAGCCATAGTGGAAGCCTGGGAGGTTTAGTAGATGGGGAGATAGGTTGACTCTAGGTACGAGAAAAAGGGCAATTAAATTGGAACTCGGCTTCATTTGCTCTCAGTAGCATCTGAGCCCATGCTTCTATTAAATTCCTGTTTCAGTTATTTATTGCTCTGTAATGATTCTGTGGGTTTGCTGGGTGATTTTTTTTTCTTTTCTGGTTTTGTCTGTGCACAATCACATGGGTACATTGAGCCAGAAAGTTGGCTGGAGGCTGCATTCAGGTGGGTCTGCTGGGATGGCTGGGATTCTTCCTCCAGTGGTCATTCATTCTCAAGGAAGATGGACTGAGCCATGGTTGGGGTGGGGGGAAGCATTTCAAGAGGACAAACTCCAAATGCATATGCTTTTTTCAAATCTCTATTTGTGTTTTTGTATTAGTCTCTTCTCATGCTGCTATAACTAACTGCCCTAGACTGAGTAATTTATAAGGGAAAGAGGTTTAATTGAGTCACAGTTCTGCAGGGTGGGAGAGGCCTCAGAAAACTTACAATCATGGTGGAAGGGGAAGCAATCACGTCCTTCTTCACGTCGTGGCAGGAAGGAGAAGTGCCAAGCAAAGAGGGAAAAGTCACTTATAAAACCATCGGATCTCATGAGAACTCACTCACTATTAAGAAAACAGCAGCATGGGGATAACTGCGCTCATTATTCAATTATCTCCCCCTGAGTCCCTCCCATGACACGTATGGATTATGGGAACTACAATTCAAGATGAGATTTGGGTAGGGACACAGCCAAACCATATCATTCTGCCCCTGGCCTCTACCAAATCTCATGTTCTCACATTTCAAAACACAACTATGCCTTCTCAACAGTCCCCAAAAGTCTTAACTCATTCCTGCATTAACCCAAAAGTCCAAGTCCAAAGTCTCATCTGAGACAGGTAAGTCCCTTTTGCCTGTCAGCCCGTAAAATCAGAAGCATGTTAGTTACTTCCTAGATACAATGGGGTACTGACATTGGATAAATACACCCATTCCAAATGGGAGAAATTGGCCAAAAAGAAGGGGTACAGGCCCCATGTCTGTCTGAAATCCAGTGGGGCAGCCAAATCTTAAAGCTCCGAAATGATCTTTGACTCCATGTCTCACATCCAGGTCACGCTGATGCAAGGGGTGGGTTCCTATGGCCTTGGGCAGCTCTGCCTCTGTGGCTTTGCAGGGTACAGACCTGCTCCTGCCTGCCTTCATGGGCTGGTGTTGAGTGTTTGCGGCTTTTCCAAGTGCATGGTGCAAACTGGGGTGGATCTACCATTCTGGAGTCTGGAGGACAGTGGTCTTCTTCTCACAGCTCCACTAGGCAGTGCCCCAGTGAGGATTCTGTATGGGAGCTCGAACCCCACATTTCCCTTCCACATTGACCTAGCAGAGGTTCTCCATGAGGGCTCTGCTCCTGCAGCAGATACCTCTGCCTGGACATCTAGGCATTTCCATACATCCTCTGAAATCTATGCAAAAGTTCCCAAACCTCAATTCTTGACTTCTGTATACCTGCAGGCTCAACACAATGTGGAAGCTGCCAAGTCTTGGGACTTGCACCCTCTGAAGCTATGGCTGGAGCTGTACTTTGGCCCCTTTTAGCCATGGCTAGGATGCAGGGCACCATGTCCTGAGACTGCACAAAGCAGCAAGGCCGTGGGCCTGACCCATGAAACCACTTTTTTCTCCTGGGCCTCTGGGTCTGTGATGGGAGGGGCTGCTCTGAAGACCTTTGACATGCCCTGAAGACATTTTCCCCACTGTCTTGGTGATTAACAGTTGGATCCTCATTTCTTTTTTCTTTTCTTTCTTTTTTTTTTTTTTTTGAGACAGAGTCTTGCTTTGTCACCCAGGCTGGAGTGCAGTGGCACGATCTTGGCTCACTGCAACCTCTGACTCCCAGGTTCAAGCAATTCTCCTGCTTCAGCCTCCTGAGTATCTGGGATTATAGGCACCCACCACCACGCTCATCTAATTTTTGTATTTTTTTAGTAGAGATGGGGTTCCACCATATTGGCCAGTCTGGTCTTGAACACCTGACCTTGTGATCTGCCCACCTCGGCCTCCCAAAGTGCTGGGATTACAGGCATGAGCCACCACACCTGGCCTTGCCTCCTTATTTCTTATGCAAATTTCTGCAGCTGGTTTAAATTTCTTCTCAGAAAAAGGGCTTTTCTTTTCTATCACATTGCCAGCCTGCAAATTTCCCAAACTTTTATGCTCTGCTTCCCTTTTAGACTTGTTCCAATTCCAAACCGTATCTTTGTGAATACATAAAGCTGAATGCTTTCAACAGCACCCAAGTAACCTCTTGAACACTTTGCTGTTCAAAAATGTCTTCCACCAGATACCCTGAATCATCTCCCTCAAGTTCAAAGCTCCACAGATCTCTAAGGTGGGGGCAAAATGCCACCAGTCTCTTTGCTAAAACATAGCAAAAGCCACCTTTATTCTGGTTCTCAACAAGTTCCTTATCTCCATCTGAGCCTGGACTTTATTGTCCATATCAGTATCAGCATTTTGGTCAAAGCCATTCAACAAGTCTCTAGTTCCAAACTTTCCCACATTTTTCTGTCATCTCCTGAGCCCTCCAAACTGTTCCAAACCTCTGCCTCTTACGTAGTTCCAAAGTCACTTCCACATTTTTGAGTATCTTTACAGCAGCACTCCACTACCTGGTACCAACTTACTGTATTAGTCTGTTTTCATGCTGCTATAAAGAACTGCAAGAGACTAGATAAAGGAAAGGAGGTTAATGGAATCACAGTTCCGCATGGCTGGAGAGGCCTCAGGAAACTTACAATCATGGTGGAAGGGGAAGCAAACACATCCTTCTTCACAAGGCAGTAGGAGAGAGAAGAATGAGAACCAAGCGGAGGGGGAAGTGCTTATAAAACCATCAGATTGCTTGAGAACTCACTCACTATCATGAGAAGAGCAGCATGGGGATAACCACCCCCATGATTCAATTACCTCCCACCTGGTCTCTCCCACAACACATGGGGATTATGGGAGCTACAATTCAAGATGATTTTGGTGGGGACACAGCCAAACCATATCAGTAATGTTTGTTGATGTATCACTAGCCAAAGAAATTCATGAAGCCAAGCTCTAACTCAATGCAGTAGGAGAATCAACAAGAGCATGTGTCCTGGGATATGTGATCTATTGGGGGTGATTAATCAAACATTCAGTGATAGTCTGCTCTCTGCTTTCTTCCATATGTAAATATGACTACACCTTCTAAGGTTCCCAAAGTTTCACTTACTCATGACACCATAGTGAATTTTATGAATTCATGATCTGAATCTGATCTAGATGTGGATGAGGACTTCGAGTGAGCTTCTCTTGATCTTGAGATCTGTGAACTAAAAAGATAAGACACTTGATCCCTGATGCCTAATACACAATGGTGATACAGAAGAGAGTCAAAATAACCACATTAGATATTTTCATTCTAAAAGGAGAAGGGTAGGAGGAGGCAGATAGTTGTCACTGATCCATAGCACTTCTGAAATTTAGCCAGGTGCATAGTGTCAGGGCTTCTTGTTCTAGGAAAAGAAATGTTCCTTGACTAGGACCCAGTTCTGCTTCTTGAGAATGGTTTTCTAATCCATGGTTCTCTTTGGCTCTTAGCTCTACCATCTAGTCTTCCCTTTTCTAAAAGAAATAGCCTGTGTTCGCATCTAAGTAGCTTTCTCAATCTGCTTCCTGCTTATAGAAAGTTGGAGATCCAGAGCTTCTTTTCATTTTGAACCTTCTCTGCTCCTTGTAGTTCAAGCTAGTACAAAATTTTACACATGCCACTCAGTGGGAATTCTATAAATTTGATTTCATGCCTCCAAAGTCATTCCATAGCCCTTTTTAAGGCAGACCTCTCTCTGTTGTGTCAGGGTGCTGTGGGACATTGTCTTTAAGATTTTAGAAAACTTTAGTTTAATTGAGAGGGGCTAACTAGGTACTCTGTTAAATCTTTCTGAGGTTTTAACTAAAGGTCTTATAGATAAACCTTTGATTTGATCTCAACTCGAGGCTATTTCTTAGTTTTGACTCTTTTACTGACTAAAGACAGTAAAAAATGTGAAATAGTTTTATTTTCCAACCTAGTACATCTTTGATCTTCTATAGTTCCTTGAAATTCTGCTTGCATACTTAATACTTCTCTCTGTATCTAATCTCTCTATTCCTTATACACGAGAGCCAGTTGGCACTTTCAATCTTCTGCCTGGAAATCTCTTTAGTCAGGTGCACAAATCCATTTTCTATCTGCCAAATTAATATAGGCAATACTTTTGCCAATTGATTTTACTACACACCAAAAGCTACTGTCTTTCTAGTCTCCCATAGCAGGTTCCTCACTGTGGCAAACAGAACAATAAACCCTTAAAGATGACCATGTCATAATCTTTAAAAACCGTGAATATGTTACCTTATATGAAAATGACAATAGGGAATTTAACATATGAATAAATTAAGAATCTTGAAGTGGGGAGGTTATTCCGTATTATTTTATGTGGCCAATGTAATTATAAAGGTACTTTTAAGGGAAAGAGAAGAGGGAAGTAGAAGAGACAGAGAGAGGAAAGGAGATACAATGATGGAAGGAGAAAAAGAGAGAGAGAAATTTGAAAATGATACACTGGTGAATTTGAAAACAGAAGAAGCGACAACAACTCAAAGAATGTAGGCCACCTCTAGAAGATGAAAAATGCAGGGAAATGTTTTCTTCTTTAGAGCCTCCAGAAGGAATGTAGCTCTGCCAAACCTTGATTTTAGCTAAGACCCATTTTGGACTTCTGACCTCTAGAACTGTAAAATGAAAATCTGTGTTGTTTGAAGTCACAAAGTATGTGGTAATTTGTTACAATAGGTGATTGGTTCTATCCCATTTAATGAGTTCCAGTAGACAAAAATCTGGCCTTAGATATTCAAAGAGCTTATGGATGTAGGGAAACAAAAGTGGCATTGTCTTTTTTTTTTAAGCCAAAGCAGCTTGTTGGTGTTTCAGAGTTTTTATTAAAAAGAACGGTTGGCATAGTGTATTAGTCTGTTTTCACACTGCTAATAAAGACATACCCAAGACTGGGTAATTTATAAATGAAAGAGGTTTAATTGACTCACAGTTACACATGGGTGGGGAGGCCTCAAAATCATAGCAGAAGGCGAATAAGGAGCAAAGTCACACCTTTCATGGTGGCAGGCAAGAGAGCATGTGCAGGGGAATAGTCCTTTTATAAAACCATCAGATCTCATGAGGCTTTTTCACTATCACAGGATCAATATGGGAAAAACCCACCCCTATGATCCAACTACCTCCCACTGGGTCTTTCCCATGTCACATGGGAATTATGGGAGCTATAATTCAAGGTAAGATTTGGGTGGGGACACAGCCAAAGCAGATCACATGGAGTAGTTTAATGTTTGACTAAAGCTCCTGTGAGCTATTGGTCTTTAGTGGGATACATAAAGTATTTTATAAATATCTGATCTCTATTCAAATTATTCTTTACCACTAAACAAAAGATTTATAAAATATATCATTTAGTAATGCAGCCTGGCAGAGAAAGTGTTAAAATCCATGTAAGCTAGTAGAGCTAAAATTTGTTATTATCTTAGCCATGAAATTTGAATAAATCAATGAACAAATGAGGTTGGTGTGTAGACTTATAACCTGCAAATCTTTTGTCTGTTCGTTCCATGCATGAATGATTATTACCAATGGCTATTTAATGCATTCATGTGGAAAGATACTAATTCACAGCAGGGAAGTAGCAGCTCTCACTTAGGATCTGACTCTGGGGTTTGTGGAACATGAGCCAATCAACATACCTGAATGCTAAGTGTTCACTGGGGGCTGGACATCAGGGACATACTTGCAGGTATATATTATTCACTAACCAGAACACCCAGGAAAGGGTCATGACTATTCTGAAAACCTTAATGGTTTGAGAAATGGACATTTGAGCAATTTATAATAAGCTGCTCAAGAGTTCCTAATTTAATTTCTTATTTTAACTGCTGTGAGAGTCCAGGGTGTCAATGTTTCTTGAGAATATTACAGTGAAAATGAGAACTAGGAGAAGAATTTCATTCTTTTCTTAGGATAGAAGACAATGCCTATCATTCACTAGTCTAAGATTAGTCTTTTATTAATTAGTAAAGAAATACTTTTTGAGTGTTCCTATGAGTGTGTGTGTGGTCAGCTCAACGCTTACCTCTGTACCAGCAGTACTTGGTCAGAGGAGGTGAATTACTGGATTGTGGGCCAGGTTATAAAGCAGTGAGTTACTGGTAAATGATTAACAACTGAGTCTCAGAGAAAAAGAAAATGCCTTGATTAGTAGAGTTTGCCAATTTCATGGTGTAAATACTCCCATCATGACCAATTTAAATTAACTGGATGTCACTGAACATGGGTTTGGGAGGGGATGTTCCCAGTTGTCTCTCCTCAGCTGGTAGAAAGTGATGTCAACACTACATCACTGCAAAGAGATTTCAGGGTATAGTTACTGTAAGAAACACATCATGCTGTAAGATGAAGAATAACTGTAAGACTCACCCAAACATCTTGCAGGGCCTACACTGTCACTTAGAAATAATGATATAAACTGGCCTGGGGATTTCTAATGCTGGCTGGGGATCACTGGGTCTCTTTGACCATGGGACCTAAAATCCTAAGTCCCATTTCTAGAGACAAGCCTATCTCAGTACAGATGTAACTTTCATGAGCCTTAAAACAAAGCTCACCTGATATGGTTTGTCTCTGTGCCTCACCCAAATCTCATCTCAAATTGTAATCCTCACTTGTTGAGGGAGGGACCTGGTGGGAGGTGATTGGATCATAGAGACAGTTTTCTCCATTTTGTTCTCATGATAGTGAGGGAGTTCTCAGGAGATCTGATGGTTTAAAAGTGGCAGTTTCCCCTGTGTGCTTTCTCTCTCCTGCCACCATGTAAGATGTGCTATGCTTCTCCTTTGCCTTTTGCCATGATTGTAAGTTTCCTGAGGACTCCCCAGCCATGCAGAACTGTGAATTAATTAAACCTCTTTCTTTTATGCATGACCCAGCAGGCAGTTCTTTATAGTAGTGTGAAAACAGACTAATACATCATCCTTACAAGAATAGCTTAAGCTCCCTTTATGAACAAAACAAAACAAAACAAAAAACACCTTGTAACTGATCCAGACCAAATACAGGTATAAAAAAGGGAGAAGATTCCAGAAAACTCTGAGAATGGTCTCCAGATGGAAACCCTTCTGGTTAGGCAGTTATCTGGTCCCTGACTGTATCTGGCCTGTGCCACCAGCTTGCTCCTGCTCTCTATCTTGCAAGAACACTGCCAGAATACACTGTCTGAACTCACAGTGCCTACCTAAGTAGGACTCATCTTTGACATGTGCAAATTGGACCAAAGTGGAGAAGTGGCCTCTGGAGAAGCTGGTCAACTAGGACCACGCAAGACCCCCAAACGTGAAATGGGACAGAAGCCACACAGTCATCTACTTTTGGAACTCTTCTATATACCTGCATTTAGACTTAACAACATTGTAGATACAGTGAAGGTGAGTAGTTTAAGGATTTCTCTTTCTGTTTGCTTTTCATTTTTTTTTTCTGCGGAAGAGAAATAATTTAAAATTTCACTTTTTGCATGAAGGACAATGCCATTCATATCCTCCTGGTTGTATTTTATCTTAAAGACCATAGAGCCTAAATCTTGAACCACCTCGAGGGTGGGAGATACTTCATGAAGCAGCTGTGTTAAATGACAAACCCATCTAGGTAATTGAAACACTTGCTGGATTTTTAAAAAATTGTACTGTGATTCCAATTTTAATTTTTCAGAGACATGTTATACGAGAGATTAAAGGACTCTATTTCAGTGATTCATTTAAATCAATTATGAATAAGTTGACATCCCTGGGAAGCCTTTGAATATTTTATTATATGTATGGATGGCACTTCTAATTGGAGATAGTTACACTCACCTACTCCAACTCACTCCTTCTTCAGTACAGATTCCCAAGCCAATCAATCTTAAAGTTTCAATGTTTAAAAAATTATTCCAAAACCATTTAAAACAGAGTGGGAGTAAGAGAACCATATCCTATAATCTCATTGTTCTGAATTTCTTAAGGTAGATGCAGGAAGAGTCAGTTCTGACCTAGATTCATTATAGGTTGGGGTGGAATACAACTCTGGTGGCCTCTAAGGTGGTGCTTACCAGGGTTGCATCAGCTGGTCTGTCTGGGAAGCATGTGGCCTGTGTGTTTCCCATGAAGCAATTGTTCAACAAAAATTTGAGGGTGATGGCAGTGTCAGAGACTCTGAGAATGCCTAGAATGACCCAGCTCCTGGAAAAATTTGGACTGAGTGTGTGGTGCTGTGCTTTCTTTACCCCAGGAAACATCCCATCCCTACATGACCTATCATAAACCAGACATTGAAACCAGGGTCTGGGATGAAAAGGGTGATTAAGCCACATGTCCTACCAGGATATTTAGAACAATGCATATTATCGTATGTTCAAGAATTCTCTTCTCAGTTGCTTACAATAGCTAAAAATTTGGAAACAACACACATGTCCCCAAATTGGAAACTAAATTTTAAATTATGGCTTAGTAATACAACAGGATTCTATGTAATTATTAAAAATATTAGTACATACATTCTATAAAACTTGAATGAATAATGTATAATTATGTTAAAAACATTTATGTTTTATTTATGTAAAACATGCATATTAACATCAACACATATATAGAAAAATGACTGTAAGAATTTGTAAGAATTTGTGACTTATTTCTGTTTTGTTTCTCTATATTTCTTCATTGAACAGACACCACATAATAATGAAATAAGGGCAAAAAGTTAAACATGAAAAAAGACAATTGTTACAAATACTTACTTTAAGAGAGCTGTTTATGAGGCTTTGGCTATGACCCTGTCTTCCTAGACTCATTCCATTTCCCCCATTTCCCACATATACCTCCCCTCCCCCATCCTCCTTTATGGAAGCTCAGTGTGGCAGATTCAACTGTTTTGCTTCTAACCCCCAAGGATTCTCTCAGGACCATATTGTGAAGGTGGAGACCTGGCTACTTGATTTTTCACATAGTTCAGGGAAGCTGGAGCTATTTCAAAAATCCCAGCAGGGAACAGGGTCCCTGTTGGAATCTAGTGGCTGCCATGCCCATGACAGACCCTCTTGGCTGGCGTCATCATTGATTCAGACACTCAGGCCTTCCTGTCTCAGTTTTCCTTGGCTTCTTTTAGAACTACCCCTTCTACTGATGTGCTCCTGCCACAAAGACTGCAGATCCTGGACAGATCCTAAAGTAGCTCATCAGGATGCAGCTGCCCTCTCGGCTCAATCCTACTTAATGTCTATGTCAGCATATCCCTCGTCTCCTCTAAGTCTCAGGCCACGAGCCGTGTTTTTAGCTTTTCTAAATGGAAGCATGTCTCAAGAGGAGGATTAGCTAATTGGCTAAAGAACAAAGAATCAATTTAGTTTAAAATAGTTTCTTTAAAGGTGGTGTTTTGCATCCACAGTGATTTTCCAAGGCACTGTGTGCTTTGTCCGAAATCCTGGGGGAGTCTAGCGTGAGGTCTGCCTGTCACCATCAGGCAGGCAGGATGGCAGTGGACCCCTGCTTTCTGTCAGAGTGAGAAACCGACCCAGAAAGGGATGTAACTTGTAAACCATCTGCAAAGCAATGAAAACTGCTTAGGGTGCCTCTTGAGTGTCATATCTTCAATAAAAAGAATAAAGGAAATTATCAAAAGCTATAGAGAGAAGATAGCTAAAGAATATATAGCCCTACCTCTACACCGACTAATTGATTACAAACAATGATCTAACAATATCTTCTGGTGCTGAAATTTATCCCTAGCACCACATGTAATCATAGCTGATGTTTTAAAGTAAAATAAAAATCTCTCATTGTGTAGTTAATCAAGTCATTTGGACATGTATCTCATTTGAAGTAGAGAACCGTATTTAGGCAACACCATCTAATAATTGAAATCAGGCATAATGCCAAATGTTGCAATACACGAAGAAAGTATTATTTAATACTGCTTTTTTTGTCACTACAAAAATCTGTCTTCCCACTGCCCCTGAGTTTAAATAATACATGCAATTCTAACATTTTTTTGAAAATAAAAATTTTAAGTAGGTTTTGCTAAGAGTTTAAAATGTGAAGTAATACATAACATATGCTGATACAGATGGAAAAGTGAATACCCTACAATTTTCTGAGTAACTACTGAGTGCCAGACACTAGGTATAGGTTATTTAGAAAATGCAATAGTTGAGAAATGTAGACATGATTATTATCCCTACTCATCTGATATTAAAACTGAGGCCAGGGGGTTTCATCTTTTCCAAGACCTTCCAGACTGGAAGTGGTTGAGTCAAGTTTTTACCTTTCTAGCTTTAAAGATGCCTGGCTTTCTATAAGCCAAATGATCTTCCAGATATCTATCTATCTATATGTATATGTATATCTATATCTATTAATCTATGTATACAGAGAGAGAGCATGCACATATTAGAATTGTATTTTAGAATACTTAGAGGTGAGAATGAAATTATTTAAAAAGACTTTGTTCAGCAGGCAAATGTGAAGTGAATGAAGAACATAGGATGGAGAAAGGAAGTGTCAGAGTAATGGAGTATATCCTAAACCCTGCAACATGATGAGACCTCCTGCAACTCAAGGAGAATGGCAAGGTTAGGTGATGAGCAGGAATGAAAGAGTGAGAATCAAGACAAGGGGGTTAGCCATGAGTCCTCTGGAGGCAGGGTCCCTTTTTAGACTGTTTCCTCACTGCTCAGCACAGAGAGTCTTTCTTGTATATCGTTGGTGTTCTATAAATACTTCCCAAATGAAGGCATTGAGTATTTTAGAACATAGATATCAAGTTCCTAGACTGAATCTGAAATTACTGAGATATAGAGTCCAGGTCTTCCTATTCCAGGTAGTTCTCATTCTACCTGGTACCTGGCTTTATTTAACATAGAAAAAACCATTCCAACCTAGACATTTTTAGTGCAGGAGTTCTGAACCAGAGGTTCATGAGTGGGCTTGTTTGGGGGAAAAAGGTCTTTTATATAAGGGGTCTGTTGTAGTGCTTACATATAATCCAGGTTTTAGCATGTATGTACATTTTAATAGGGAAAGAGGATGCATAGCCATTATCAGATTCTGAAGAGGGAATCTAAATTATAAAAATCATAATGATAATAAGATGAAGTGATGAGAGGACAAAGAAGATTCAAAGTCTGTCCTTTCCATTCTAATTCATTTCCTTCTCTCCATCCTCCAGAATGCCAAGGTTATTCTTCATTGCATTCCTTCGCTCTTGCCATCGTAAATGCTGACATTTAAGTGCTGTCATCATGCCAATTTCCTTAAATATCACTTCACCATTTTTTTGTTCAACTAACTCCTCTTCACCCTTTGGAACCCAGAGCATTTTCCATCAAGTCTTCCATGACTACTTTAGGTCCCGTAAGTTTAATATCTTCCTGCTCTGAATTCCTGTAGAACTTATGTTTAGCCTACACAACTTACCATTTAATTCTATAGCATCTGTCCCTGTTGTTTCATGAAGTCAACTTTTTAATGCTAATGGATTAACAGATCTTTGGGTGCAGGTACCACATCATAAATTAGTGGTTGAGAGCACATGCTTGGCTAAGTCTTTCCTCCTTACTGTGTGCCTTTGAGCAGGTTATTCAACTCTGTATCCCTTGAATTTCTCCTCTGTGAAATGATCATAATCTTAGAACCTATACCATTCAGTTGATGGAAGGATAAATGAGATAATGCATAACAGGTGCTTAGCATAGTCTCTGGAAAACAGTAAATTAATCTGAACTATTAGAGCCCACTTATCATTACCTTCTACTTCTAAAGCAGTATGAGAATCTCTCTACTCCCTTTCTTTAACTCTCAGACAACAAGAAAGTCATTTAAGTCTGTTCTGTCTCAGTTCCCCCATCTTTGAAACAATGCTGTAATATCTGCAAATGGGTTTCTTGTAGGGCTCACATTCGACAATGGGAATAGACATGTTTTGGAGCCCTGACCTCGCAACAACCCCAGCCAGGCTGTCAAAAGCCCTTTCCTAGATTTTCCAACTGAAGTACTATTCTCATGTTGTGATGTTTTCAGGGTCTGAGCCTAAAACTGTCAGGAGCAAAGTTATTAAACTTCCTCAGTCGAGTTATTAAACACAGCCTATACCCAGAAAGAGGGAGATCTAGAAGGAGGGAGGTTGGGGTGCCTCGAGACCCTGGTTCCCATAGGCCATTGCCGTTCGTTGCCCTTGGTGTTTACTTGAGTCGAGGCTCCACTGCCCTCCACTGGCTTCCATGCCTTGCTCCCCTAACAAAGCCATTTAGAGCTGAGTGCCCTTCGGGGCTTCTGGAGTTGCCCTCACTAGTACGGAAGAACAAGAGAAAGTCTAGCTATTCAGTAAGAGAAAAGGTGACCAGGACAAGGTGAATTTTTCTCTCTTCATGTTTCTTTTCCAATGAAAAGAGAAACAGAGGAGATCCTAGAAACATTAGAGAGAAGTCGGGAAGCACATATCCCATTAGTGTTTCCTGGCACTGCCCAAACAGAACAGGTGAGAAACCAATACCCTTGTCTTCATAGAATTTGAGGTAAACATGTTTCCCTAGTCCACGGAACACCAAGAAGCTTGGGAGAAGAGTACCAGTGCAGGGCTGGGTTTAGGGTCCAATGGACCCTATTACCCAAGGAGGGTGGCAGCAATTGCAGTGATGTGTGTATGTGTGTGTGCAGCAGGGGAGGGGAGTGTGGATGACGATGGGGGAAGCTTCTGAGGGAACAGCTAGGGTGACCGTGAGAGGTGCAGAGGCAGGGCAGAGCATCAACAAAGAACCGTTTCTTTGACACGGCATGGGGTAACTGCCAGCAGGGAGAGCCGATAATCCACCCCTTCCACAGTGCTGAGAAACTAAAGTTGTTCTTGGCTGTTGGGGAAAACTTGAGCTCCAGCAATTATGCTGATGGGGTCTTATCAAGACATACGAGCTGGGCTCCATGACTCGAGCATGTAATCCCAGCATTTTGGGAGGCCAAGGCAGGTGGATCATTTGAGGTCAGGAGTTCCAGACCAGCCTCAGTAACATAGCAAAACTCCATCTCTACAAAAAGTACAAAGATTAGCTAGGCATGATGGTGTGTGTTTGTAGTCCCAGCCACTCAGGAAGCTGAGATGGGAGGATCTTTTGAGCCTGGTGGTTGAGGCTGCAGTGAGTCATGATCATGCCACTGTACTCCAACTTGGGTGATAAAACAAGACCCTGTCTCCAAATAAAAAGAAATATGACCATTGGAAAAAGGTTATGATGTCTTTAGAATATAGGCTTAGATTGTTTTACTGACCAGGGAACAAATGTTGCTCAACCATCTAAGCCATAGTCAAAGTTTTTGCCCATGCATACACAGATAGATACATGTATAAGGTGTACTGTCTATAAATACGCCATCTGTAGATCACTGTCCCTTGGTAGCTAAAGGATACATAAGAGTTGGCCCCACAGAGCTTCCCCTTGCCTTCCATGAAGATGATGATTTAATAAAGCTAAGGTTGTGATGATCATCGAAAAGGCTGCATTTTATGCATTTTTCACACCTAAAAAATTTACCCTCTTGGTGGCAGAGTCTCAGAGTTTTCTGAGGATACTTCATTGTTAAACAACTTATTTTCAAATAAATGATTATGAAAGTAATAAATGTTCATGTCAGAAAATTTGAAAAAAGTGTAGAAAAGGCCAAAGGAGAAAATGAAAATCACCCATAAGGAGACCTCTTCAGGAAGAAAGGAATCCTCTTGCTATTTCAATATAAAGTCCCTTGCATTCAATTCAGTTCGAAAGCATTCACCCTCCAGACCTCTGTGTTGGGGGTGGAGAGGATGCATATTGGAATAAGACTAAGCCCCTGCCTTGAGGACCCAGCAGTGGAATAGGGGCAATAACAACTCTGCTCATATGAAATGCTGCTCCACTGTGAAGGTTCCAGCATGTTCACACTTGTTACATTTGCCAAGACACTGAGGGCTTTGGTGAACAAAACAGGCTTTTAAAACTCCAATAATAGGCTAAATAAAATGTATGAACAACCTTTTATCCTTTGTTTCTAACATAGGATCCAGATAAAGGAGTTCAGGAACTAAGACAAGACTGCATTGCAGTCAGCATCTAATAGCAAAGGTGCACTAACTTGCTTTTTCATTTGAGTGATGGGGGTGCAGGGAAGAGTCTGTTGCCAGAAAGATCTGATGCAGATTGGGGCAGACTATTAACCAGCTGGGTGTCTGCCACATGTGGGTTGAAACCACACTTACCAAATTGCCTGAGACAGGTTGTATAAAAGCTATCAGCTGTTACTAGCTTTTGACTTGCCACCAGTTTCTTCTAGTCATTTCTTATTATTGTCTTGGTGCCATAAATGCTTCTGTACAGACGACTGCATTTATACTGTGGGTAATACGTGCTCAGGAGGAACTTCTATTTTCAGGGGACAATTTGGGGTAGAAGAGGAGGAATGTGGCGGAGAGGCTACAAATGAGTTTGGCAATTATGGGTGTGCACAAGACAACCATGTTTACAAACATTTCCAGGAAAGCCAGGCAGCACCTGGGCCTCCCGGAGGTTGTTTTACTGTCTCTGTAGCTGGATCTTTGCTTGGAGGCAGTGGTGCTATAGGTGAGACAGGTGCAGTGCAATGTCTCAATGAACAGCCACACCACCCACCCTTGCCCACTAGCATACCTGGCATCAAGCTCCAGCAGAGCAATCAGAGAAGGGATGGAAAAAACTCACCTTAATAAAACAAAACATAAAACACCCTGCACAGTGATGGAGAAGATTCACAAGTTAGTAAGGAAAATTCTCAAGCAAGTGGCTGTAATGATGGGTTTTGGGTCAGCCCCATGCTTTAAATTAAAACCTGAAAATAAATTCCCATCAGTTAAGAAGAGCTAGGCATCTCCTTGTGAATTGTCCATAGCTGTTCACAAGCTGATTGTCTTTCTTTTCTGCAGGGATTTCAGGGAAAATAAGCAAAGAAATGGAATAAACCCAACTGTTGGAAACAGTTCCTTTCATGCTTTGTCACCTTGTCTGCAGGTCTTTATCAACACAAGAGGCTTGCTGGTGGGAGGGGAATTAAACATTTGGGCACATTTACCTGCAGTTTGCTGTAGCCATTTTATTGTATAAAGGTTAAAGGTCAGGAGCTTTAGGAGACTAAGGGCATCTTTCTTCTTTAGGAATCTAGAATAAGACCCTATGACGGCTTGCATTTCTTTTGGCCACAGGACGAAGCTGTGATCTAGCCCTGGTGTCATGTGGCCTTGGTTTGAATGGTGCCATTGTTGGAACATGCATCTTATCTGCTATACATTGAACATTTATGTTACCCACCCCCAAATTTATATGTTGAAATCTAGTGCCCAAAATAATGATTTTATGAGAGGAGGGGCCTTTAGGAGATGACAAGGTCATAAGGATGGAGCCCTCATGAATGGGATTTGTGCACTTATAATAGAGACCCTAGGGAGCTCCTTAGCCCCTTCTATTACTATTTTGAGGTTACAGCAAGAACAAGGCTATCTATAAACTAGGAAGCAGACCCTCAGCAGGTACCAGATCTTCTGGTGTCTTGATCTTGGCCTATCCAGCCTCCAGAACTGTAAGAAATAAATTTTTGCTGTTTATAAGCCACCCAGTTAATAGGGTTCTGTTACAACAGCTCGAATGGATGAAGGCATCATCTTTGGACCCATTCCAGATTACATTCTCCTTGCTTTTTAAGGATTTCATCTTTCTCAGCTTTATTTGGGGATCACTGACTCTGGACTAAGTTGTGGTTGTGATTTTTTTTATAGCCTTTGTATTTTTCTCTCTCCTCTCCTATCTTGGCTTCTTCAAAATATGACATTCAACTGGGTTTCATTCTGGTTCTTGATAATGTACAATGAGAAGCAGGCAATCAGGACCGAGCAAGTCCCAGGAATCACAACAGAACAACTGGGTTCTAGTCACTGTTATAACATACCCTTATCACTTTAGACAACCTATTTGAACTCTTAAAGTGTTTATTTTTCTGTAAAATCGGGCTAATATCTATCACAAGAGGGTTGTGAGGATCAAATATAGTAAGGAATTATTTAAAAGCGCATGAAGATAGAAGTTGTCTGTGTAGTTGAAATAATATGTCTCTACTATCTCTATTTTGATTCGGTTGGTCTTAGAAAGAATGTGGGTTTTTCATAAAGACAGGCCTGTCCTGCTAGGATTTGGGCTTCTAAGATCAGGTTTGAGCACAGTTGAAATGTTGGCTGTCATTAACCACAGTCTATATCACTGCCTTGGATGTGTAATTCTGTAGGAACCTCCTATTTTCTCCTATTATATGAGCCTGGTAAAAATAAAGCCACAGACTGTGGGTAATTTTTTATAGAGTGTACTTCAGACAACTCAAAATCAATAGTTTTTTTTTTCCTGTTGAAGGCACCCAGGAAAGTAGAACATAGGAATCATAGGGGTTTACTATTGCTTTTTGAGTTTGATGGTAAAATTTTATAGTAGCCTCATAAAATGCATGGTTGAGTACAAAGTGCAATTGTATTCCATTATAGTTTATCATTGTCTGATGATGGATAGGGCTACATTTTGCATTTTGTAACATTTGACATCTAGTATATATGTAGTTATAGTGAATTCTTACACTTTTATGTTGCCTTGACATCCATTTTGAGTATGAGTTTAACTTTCTCATACCAGAAGCAGGGCTCAGTCTCTCTTGACACTTTCCAGTTCTACACCACACTTGAGGGGCTCAAGCCGGTGGCAGAGATGAGCATTTAGAGGCATCTCTCCTGCTTAGGCAATTGGGCTCCCGGCTTGCCCACAGCTTCCTTTAAATGGATGAATCGGGCACTTGCCTGAGAACTTAAAGTGATGCACACCCTAGTCCCTTATCTATATTGCTAGTTTCTACATGTGTGCGCTCTCTCTCTCTATTTAATTTGCACCTTCCATTTGAGGAACCAGGGACTATCCCGGGCAAAGTTTCCCTGGGACACCAGGGTGGGGGACACAGGCCTGGCTCCCAACACCACAGCAATAGCCAGGCAGGTATAAACTGTACATGAGTCAGACAAGAGCCACAAGGGCATCTGCCAATATAAACAAGCTCCTTGTGTGAGGAACCTCTGGTCATGGGTTGGACAACTAAGCATTAGCCCTTCCACCAGGTGAAAGAAGCATTACATGAACGGCACGCTGTAAACACCATATCCAGCTCCCATTCATTTTCCATCAGGGCATCATTGCTAGGCATGCTGATACCGGAATCCCAGTTTAGCTGGGGGCTCTCAAAATAGTGGTCAAAACATTGAATTCTGTTTTTCTTCTCCTAGTGGCTTAGGATCTCTAAGGCAGGAAAAGCACCTGAGGGTGGGATTGATGAAGGGGGCAGCAGACGGTGGGAAGTTTTTGGTGGCTTTTCAGAGACCCAAGGAATCAGAAAAAAAAAAAAAAAGGTAACCCCTAGCTTAGAATGCCCTTGGCATAAAGGTGGGTAGGTAATACCAGTGATAATAATATTAGTAACTAATGCATATTACAAGATTCTAGGCTTTGAGCTCATCACCTTGCATTCATTAGCTCATCTGAGCATCTCAGCTTCCCCATGCAGTTAGGCATGGTCGTGTGACTGAGTTCTAGCTAATGGGATGAGAGGGAAGTGATGTCCAGCAACCCATTCAGGACTGGTCTGTACAGTTGCCCACAATCTGTCTTCAAGCTCTTTTCCTGTTTGCTGCCTAGATTTAGAAGACTTTGACCTCAATGAGTGAGAGAGAAACAGGTTGGAAGGGGCCTGGGACCCCGAATGACCATGTGGAGCAGAGATGCTTATCAATGAGGTACACTTGCATTCTAAATTCAACTCTGTATAAGCTAGAAATAAACTATTAAGACATTAAAAGGTTGGTGCTTATTTGCTACAGTAGCTTTTTAACATTTGTACTAATTTAGTCCCCAACCAATATCCAGTATATCTAATTGTACTGGATAGTACAGTGATATCTACTTCCATGTATTGCTATAGAAAGAGGTTTACTTACAAGAAAAAAAATAAATCAATAGATATTACATCTTTTTTTTTTAACTTTAAGTTCTGGGATACATGTGCTGAACGTGCAGCTTTGTTACAGAGGTATACATGTGCCATAATGGTTTGCTGCATCTTTCAACCCATCATCTATGTTTTAAGCTTTGGACACGTTAGATATTTGTCCTAATGCTCCCCTTCCCCTTTCCCCCCACCCCCCGACAGGCCCCAGTGTGTGATACTCCCCCCATAGTGTCCATATGTTCTCATTGTTCAGCTCCCATTTATGAGTGAGAACATGCAGTGTTTGGTTTTCTCTTCCTGTGTTAGTTTGCCCAGGATGATAGTTTCTAGCTTCATCCATGTCCCTGCAAAGGACATTAACTCATCATTTTTTATGGCTGCATAGTATTCCATGGTGTACATGTGCCACATTTTCTTTATCTAGTCTATCATTGATGGACATTTGGGTTGGTTTCAAGTCTTTGCTATTGTAAATAGTGCTGCAGTAAACATACATGTGCATGTGTCTTTATAGTAGAATGATTTATAATCCTTTGGGTATATACCTAGTAATGGGATTGCTGGGTCAAATGGTATTTCTGGTTCTTAAAAATACATATGGTGACTGAGAATCCCATGGTCTTCGTTTTTGGAGCTAAACAATGTGCTTTACTATAACAAACCTTCAGTCCTTTGTTCCTTCCTTTGTTTTATCCTTCTTCTCTTTCTCCCTCTCTCCCTTCCCTTCTTATTAATTGCTAGTTGTGTTCCAGGTATTATGTTACATGAGGAAACAAAAAAGGAAGAAAATTAAATAAATACAGTTCCTGCCCTTAAGGAGCTCAGAGTCAAAGGGTGGGTTAAAATATATCAGTATCTAATCATGCTGCAATGTAGTAGTGACAGAGGATCTGTACTAAAGGAGCACGGAGGAGGGTACCTGACCTAATCAGGGAGGAGTGAAGAAAGCTTAGAGAAGATTAGGGACTAGGGTAGGGAGGAAGTTCCTGAGATGTGGGTTTTTCCATGATAAACCCTAAAGACTTCCAGACAAATCTGAGTGGGTTTAAATGGTGTCATTGTTGGAACTTGCATCTTATCTAGTGGAGGCCTAGGTGGAGGCAAGGTCCTTTTCTACCCTCAAAGGATGAGCAGGGGTTTGGGGAGAACATTCTAGACCAAGGGACATCATGAGCAGAAGCAAAGAGAGAAAGAACACATGGTGCTCTGGGGAACTGTAAGCAATGCAGTCTTGCTGGGGGACAAAGTGGAAGACAGCGCTGCAGAAGTGAGGCTGGAGAGGGAGGCAAGAGACAGACTATGAAGCTCTGAAACCAATTAAAGGAGCATAGGCATGGTTTTTGTTTTTGTTTTTTTTTTTTTAATGCAGGTGAGGGACTTAATGGAAGACTGAAGGCAGGGGAAGAGTGAGGAAGACACTGCAGAGGTCAAACCCTGGTTAGGGTTGAGAAGAGAGGCAGTTTTTAGAAGTCCTCAGAAGGCAAAATCTTCAGTTCTTGGCTATCGAGGAGACGAATGTGTCTAGGGAGAAAGTAGATGACTCCAAGATGATTTGTGCATTTCTAGCGACACCGTGTGGCTAGAGCCCCTGTGGTCGGCTGTCTGTCAGGTCTTCGTGAGGGTCTGTCTTGTCTTCTGGGGAGAGTAACTTTTCCTTCCCAGCCTCTCACTCTCAGCATGGAGCACTTTTCTGTACTGCCTCCTGGCACCACAGAACACTGTGACACTCCATAACAAAGGAGCAAACAAGCTACCTTAGAAAGGCAGATGAGGGCTAAGAAAATGAAAAGGAGCATACCTAAAAGAGGAACTAATATTTGAAGCAGAAATTCATCAAGAGCCTGGTTTCAAGGAAAGGAAATTATTTTGACTTTTGCTTCCTCTTCCCCAAACGTCCCTGTGGAAAAGCATACTTCCATTGCCTTTCCTCTCTAGACTCAAGGTTACACTCTCAGTCACCCATCATAGGAACATTTCTACCCATTGATGGGGAAAAGTTTCTCTTCTAAGCGCTGAAAGTATCAGTAACAATGGGGGCCTGATTCCCATTGTCTTCAGCTGGTATTGGTGGAGCACTTACAAAATCCCAGGCTTTGGACTTGTTCTTTTACATGCATTATCTCATTTGAGCTTCATCTCACAACCTCCCTGGGAAGTAGACACTCCTAATAGGCAATTGCAATCACGAAGATTAATGTAATACTTAAAGTTAAAGCAGTTAAATATTTTTCTTTACCTATGAGTTACTTGAGGTCAGGAATGCTTTTTTATTATTCACTTTCACATCTAGCCCAGTGTCTGGCCAGATGCCTTAGGAATGTTTGCAGGATCAGCGAATAGATTGGTTCCTTGAAGGAAAACAAAGCAAAGGGCAGAAAGAGCACACAGTCTTGGTAGCCAGCTGCCTAAAATCATCTTAAGCACTTTAGTGGCAAGGAAACCCAAGGCCTCTCTCTCCAAGTTTTCACATTTTCCAATATTTGACCTAAAAGATATATAAACCATCACATTCTTTGTTTTGAAAAAATAGCATTTACACAGAAAAGGATCGTCTTGAGGTCTAGCACACTGAGAAAAAGGAAAAAACCCTCTCATGTACAATGAAAACCAATTAAGAATTGTTGATAGTTGCGTATCTCATTATATGACCAAATTAAACCTAGAGCTTGGGTTATTGGGGGTGATATTTGTTTGCTATGGTTGTGTCTGGGGATCTGTCCTGATTCACTCACTCTTGTAGGTTCAATACATCTAGCTCAGTCTGAGACATAAATGGGAGCCTGTTGCATCAGTTCAGTCAATCAATTATTCAATGAAAATATATCAAGTGTCCATGGTGTTTATAGCAACAGGTCAAAAGGGAATCAGATAAACAAAACAAATACCATGCAGGTACTGCCTTGAAGGATACACATTTTAGCTGAGGCCTTGCAGAATTCAATGCATTTATTTGAATAGCTATCTTAATTTGGCTTTTGTTTTCAAATGAATGTTAAAGGGCCAGTCACATATTTTATGGAAGTTTATTTTGCTATATAACTAAATAATATAATTGCGTTAGTTAAAGTTACTTTTAAGCGCATCAAATGCATTTTTTATACAGATGGAGATACTGAGATATAAACCCAATTGGCGCTTTACCCAAAGATCCATGTTAGAGGAGAGGCTAGAACTTTTTTGTTTAAATATTTCTCCCCAGGCATAGTGGTTAAAACACGACTAGCGCTGAAAGTAATGGGCAATCCTTTGGAGCCTGGTAAAATGGTTATGATTGAGAAGTACATATTATCATCAGGTTTGTTGTGTTATTATTAGTCTCTTGTACAGACTTAAAAATGAAAACAAAAAATATATTTTCATTAATTTCAGCCTATGAATCAAAAACAGGAGCATACCTTATGATATTCATAACCATTTTGAACACATATTCTGTTTTGCAATACAAAAACATAATAAAAAAGAAACCCTACACTATCAGAACTAGAAACTAGAAACTAGAAAAAAAAACTGTCCTGAGAGTAAATCATTATGACTTCTGCCAATTGTAGATTCTTTCCTTAGATATATGCAATTTTGAAGGGAGTAAACTCATTTACTTAAAACTAAATGACATATAACATTGGTTATACCTATTAAAGATGAAAATTAATCAGCAAGACAAGTTTCAAACCAGAAATTTCTCTAAATGTGTTTGATTGCTTTTATATACTGAATTTTTTTGTCCTCCCCAAAATTCAAATGTTGAAGTCTAATCCCAGTGTGATGGTATTTGGAAGTGAGGTCTTTGGGAGGTGATCAGGTCATGAGGCTGAAGCTCTTATGTAATAGGATTAGTGCCCTTTTTAAAAAGACCCCACAGAGCTCCCTTGCCTCTTCCATCATTGAAGTTATGGCACAAACATGGCTGTCTCTGAACTAAAAGGCACGTCCTCACCCGATATTAAAAATCTATGTCTTGATCTTATACTTCTCAGTTTCCAGAACTGTGAGAAATAAATTTCTATTGTTTATAAGCCACCCAGTTTATGGCATTTTGTTATAGCAGCCTGAATGGACTAAGACCTCTCCTTTAATCTTAACAATATCCCCATCATGTCAATCTGATTATTACTCCCTTTTTACACATGATGAAAGTGGGGTTTAGAGAACTTACACAACTTGTGCAAAGTTATGTATCTAGTAGGTAGGAGTGATCCCTGGTTGTTCAACTGTCTTCTTAATGTTCCACAATCTACCTTTTATCTTGATCTACCCATAGAAAGAGATGAAGGGGCAGCATGAGTTCCTTAGAAAGGTTAATATCTGCCTTTCCTATTTAAATACACGGCTGTGTTAATTTCAAACTTGTATCCTCAGCATCTGTTATTGTCCCTAGCATATATAAGTTAATGCTTCATTGAATTATGAACAAATAAGAGCCAACATGGACATTCTGTCATTTTACAGTATGTAGAGATTAGAATATGTAACACAGTTATCCTAAGGGGATACGTTTTCTGACTGAGGACAAGAAATCTGGACAAAATGATAAGAGGGCTTATTTTATTTTTTTTCATTGGCCCTGACTTGAATTTTGGTTGTAGTTTTGAGATTTGTCCAAAGAGTCAACATCCAAACAAACCCAATGATCACAGGCATTCTCAATGTCCACCAAGAACTTTTAGGAAACAATACTTTTGAGAAATAAAGCCCAAGACTGATTATTTTACTCACAACTGCACCTATACTTGGTGGAGTGATTCAATCAAGGAAATGTCACACAAAGGTTCCATCTACTGAATCACTTGCTAACAGTGAGGCCCAGTTAACATTGCAGACCTGATGCTAGGGGGAAAAAAATCTCATCAAGATTCTACAGATTTTCGGCGGTGGCAGCGCTCATTCAAGGAGAGTGGCTTTGAGTGCTCTGTCCTGTAATATGAAATATCATGCAGCAAGCTGTACTCTCTGATAATTTTTATAGCAAAACATAACATACTTTTCCAGCAAGGTCAGATATGTCAATAAAAAGGTACAAATGGACTTGCCTGCGTTTCTCAATTTTGAAAACAGTCTGAACTCTTTAGTGCATTGGTGCTGAGGCTTGAAAAGCAAGTGTATTTTCAAAGGGACTCTTGAGGCTGCCTTAGACTTTTAAGCAGGATGCTTGCCTGTGTAGCCAGGATGTCCCAGGGAATAATACAATACTTTGACCTTGGACCAGGATATGTGAGCGCATAGGAAAGGGCTGAGTTGCTACCCCTGCATCTACTTTTAGTTTATGTTTGAGGAGGAAAATGAAAACAAAAACAAACAAGTGAAAACTTCACACAGGACCTGTATTAGATTTCTACTGAGGCATAACAGATTATCACAAATGTTGTGACTGAAAACCACATTCATTTATGATCTCACAGTTCTGTAGGCCAGAAGTTGGGGCAGACTTGGCTGGGTTTTCTTCTTAGAGTCTTACAAGGCTGAAATCAAGGTATTGGCCAAGTTATGCTCTTATCTGTAGGATATGGGGAAGAATCCACTTCTAAGATCATTTAGGTTGTTGGCAGAATTTGCTTCCTTGGGGTGTAGAAATAAATTTCTTGCCGGATGTTGGCCGAGGGTCATTCTTAGCTCCTGGAGGCTGATCTTAGATTGTTTTCAAATGGCTCTGTCCATCTTTAAAGACATCAACTGCATGTTGAATCCTTGTCACATTTTGAATCTCTCTGACTTCGTTTTTTTGCAATCAGCTAGATAAAACTTTCTGCTTTGATAGAGCTTGCATGTTTCAATCAGGCCCATCCAGATAATCACTGTATTTTAAAGGTAGCTTATTTAGACCTTTAATTACATCTGCAAAATATCTTCACAGCAGCACTTATATTTGTATTTAATTGAATAACTGGGCACGAGAAAACTTGAAAGGTCATTCCAGAATTCTGCCTACCAAAGGACCAGTGTGAACCATTTGCTTTGCATATGCTATGTAATCTAAATCTTTCCACAATCTATTAGGAAACAAGTTGATTGCCTAATACCCTCACCCAGTTGGTGATAAATTTGGTCCCAGATTTTCTGACTCTAAAATCGGTGCTCTTTCTTAGTAACAATAATAATGATGTTAATAAGAATAGTAGGCTCTATGTGCCGGAAACTGCCACTTTTTATTTACTAACTCATTTAACCCTCACAGATACCCTGTAGGTGTGTAGTATTATGGTTTCATTTTGTAGGTGAAGAAGCCATAGAGAAGCCAGCAAGTCAGTAAGGCTGTCAGCATAATAAACTGTGCTAGTTAATTTCAACCTCTCTTGTCAATGCAGCATGGAGGAATTCAAAGAGAACTCAGGAATCTCACCAACATCAGCTCTAGATACTCATGGATTTTGTGCCTTGTCACTTCTCTTTCAGTCCCGTTTTCTTCACTTGCACAATAGGAAGTGACACTTTCTAAGACTTTTATTGCGTCGAAGCAAAACTTGTACTGGATAAAATTGAACAGTCAAGGAAGACTTTGAAGGAGTGAAGAATGTGCCATTCCCAAATATACCAAATTGGTATATTGATTATTTTGAGTTGAAAAGCACTGAAGAAATATCAGAAAGGGCTAGATGACCTATCTCTTCCTAGATGCAGCAAACCTTAAAAAATCCTTCATCTGGGAGGGTTACCCTCTCTATACCAGAGAGAAAATAGCCCTTATCACCAGAGACTGGGAAGTTGGGGCTGCAATGGACCTGAATAAATATACTTGCTGAAGTAATCTGTATTTTCCATTAGCTTTACACCCCTCCACACCACCTATACCTCCCAGTGACTTCCATAGAAATTTACTGTCTCTAACCATATCTTCCTTGTCCTGTCAGTTCTTCCCAAATATATCATTCCTTGCCTAAATAGTATGAAAGCATCTTGCTTTGACCACTTCAAGCTTCACTTTTTTTGTAAGATTCCCATGTACATGTTAAACTAATAAAATTTGTATGCTTTTCTCTTATTAATCTGCCTATTGTCAATTTGGTTTCTTGACTCAATTGAAGTGCCCACAAAGAGCCAAAAGGGGGGTTGGATGCGGTCTCTGGGTCTCCTACACTTTAATAAAGAACATTGCAATAGGGAGGAGAGCGCAGAACTCAGTCTAAGCTTAACTCTGCTGAAACAAAGGGCTGAAGAGGTTTTAAAAGCTGAGATGGGGGCATTGTAGGTTATTTCTCTTTGCTAATTGGTTTCACCCAAAGGAAAACTAAACTTCCTCATATCTTCATGATAGAAGAAAGTTTTCCGACTTGGAACAAGGTGCCTGCTAAAGCTAGGCTCCTACCTTTCCATAGGAACTGGGGATAGGAACTCTATTTTCCTTGATGATGTCATTTCCAAGGATGGCTCCCAGATCCTTGAGAAAGACATTCTTGGAGTATAAACCTGGCAAGAGGCTTTTAAGAAGATTTACTTCTCAAAGGGACAGAGGAAGAATTTATAATTACAAGTTTTCTAAAGCAAATGCTCTAAGTAAAGAGAGGTCAGTGACTTAGAGACATGAAGAAGCCTGTCTAAACTTTAGTCAAGCTGAGAGATGTTAAGGCCAATACTGTCTCGGCCAATTGTGAGGACTAAATAAATGTTGTGTTGCCTTGCAATCTGAAAAGTACTATTCAAGAGTCACTTCCTCCTGGAAACTCTCCTCGACCTCTTAAGTCTATTCTCTGAGCTCTTCTTCTCTGGTCCCAGAGTGCCTGATCTTTCCTCCACCATATGTCATGTTATATAGAGCTGCTAACAGCTTAAGTGCCCCTCAAAAGCAGAATAATATAGACAGATAATGGTACATCCATGCACATGGGCACCATAGCCATTAAAGATTATGTTGAAGAAGAAATTTAATAACTTAAATTGTTTAAGTTATTAAAACATAAAATAAAAATGTTTATGGTAGAGTGTTACATTAAATAGGGGCAAATTATAAAACACTATGAAAAATATTGCAATTAAGGAACAAAGTAAATAAACAAACAAAATCCCTTGGAAGGATATATACCAAAAGGACAGCATTTATCTTTGGGTGGTGGGGTTATGGTTTATTCTTATTTACTTCTTTGTGATTTACCATTTTTGTGGATTTTCTACAACAAAAATACATTACTTCCATCACTAGAATGGAAAACACAATTTTATACAAAGAACCATGGACAGAAAAAGTCACCAGGGCCATATTTATGGCTGCCCAGCCATAGTCTAATGGAGGCAGACACAGTGCTTTATAATGTTTTATGAGTAATTTCTTGTCCTCCTTTTGATACTATCCTTCTGGTGGTCCAGACCTTGATGGAGAGCAAGGTGATGAAAAGGGCTCCATTTTTCCTGATCCACTGGTGTGTGAATAGCTGCCAGCCCTGCAGGAGAGAGGGTTTGGGAGAAGTTGTATAACAGGATTGGGGTTATGCTTTCTTGCTCCGGCTTCATCTGCATCCTTAATTGATCAATTCATCGATGGAAACATTTATTTCTATTGTTTGTCCCCACGTACCTTGCCAGGAAGAGTTGTTGAGAAATGGCATGGGCCGCATTGTGATAATGAGTGTGCATTCAAGGGGGTATTCAAGCAAAATCTGAAGGGACACTTGTCAGGAAAACGACGAAGAATCTTCAAGCTTCATATAAACCAGCTGGTTACCTTTGTGGGCTCTGTGGCCTTCCTCCAATTTAGTTTAAAGAGAAGGCGGTTTATTGGTAGGATAACTCTCTTTTAATCCCTGAACAAAAGAGGAAGTACAGCCAGGCTTCCTAGGTACTGGGAAAGTCAGTCACAGTTGAGGAAGCCACTCTGACTTTTAGAGGTTTGTTTTCCGCTTTTCTCTGTGGCTGCATCTTGGAGCCCTAGCTAGCCCTACCTCTAAGCCACAAAATCTCTCCTCCAGTAACTATCAGAAACAGTGGTATTCCTCAAGAGGGGGAAGGAGGGAGGGAGGAAGAGAGAGAGAGACAGAGAGAGATTGAGAGAGAGGGAGAGAGAGAGAGAGAGGAGACCAATCCAGTCATGCATCTGTGTTTGGGGGAGAAAGGATTGACAGGCACTATCACAACAGGTTAAAGTAATGAAAAATATATTGATTGGTAAACATGCACAAACCTTCCTGGATGACATACTTATATATGGGGCAAATTTTCACAGCAGTTTCTATTTACCGGAATCTACTTCATCACCTTTCCTTGGTCAAATTGTTTTACATTGCAGTGGTAACTCGAGAATGCCATTCTACATGGGTGATTAGAAAAACATTCTGGGGTTGGCTCTCTGAATTGTTATTTGAAATACACCATCTAGAATCTAAATGGCTTATATTCAGTTCAGTTACTCTGATTACAGGCATAAACTTGTATTTTTATGTTAATCTAAAGTCATTTCCTATATTTATTCAGTGGGCAGAGCTAGATAACTAGGGAATTGAAGACCTCTTTGAAAATATAGAAACCCTTAAAATATAAAGAAAACACTGGGAGTAAAATTTCCCTCCATTGTGTCACAGCAAGGCCTCAGGTTATGACTGCTGGTTCATTCTATAACCTTCGACAATATCCAGCCTCCCTCATTGTTGCCTTTGCCTGCAGCAGCTAGCATTTCCTTAACAAATTATGCCACGTTTTTCATTTCTATTCACTTCATCATTTAGTCAGCAGAGTTGTAATTCCTCTTTCCCTAATACGTCTTCATTTTCGACCCCATTACCTGCACAGTCTCTGAAGGCTCACCTGTTCCTAGCACGGCGTTCCCATTCTCAAGGTGCTCTCCTGGGTCTCTGACAATCTGCTCCCTGCTAATTGGTGCAGATGGGAGTAGGAGGATAAGCAGAGCACATGAGGGAGGAAGCAGATTTTCCCAGTAAGTAAAGGGCCCTTGGGAGCCAAGGCACTTTGGGGAAGCTGCTTTAACTCTGTCAGGCACAATGAAAGAGGGATTTATGGAGTCTTATTCCAAGACATTTTTCTTGTCCCTAGAAACGATATTTCCAAAGGGTACACTAGTCTTGGCTGATCCTCTTGAGGTCTATACTTAAGCAAGCTCAGAATAATAATAATAAATAATAAATATCACTTATTGAGCCCAACACAATGCTAAGCACTTTGTACATAATCATTCATTCATTCATTCACCATAGGAAACCTATGAGGTGTGTATTATTTTTCCCGCATATCACCTGAAGAACCACAGTCTCAGAGACATTAAGCAGTTTGACCAAGCTGATGCAGCTCGTGGGAGGCTGAGTCAGGCTGAGATGGCAGATCTATCTGTCTCCAAGGAAAGTGTTCCCAGGCATTTACTCCACTGCCTGAAGTAAGTAGAGTTTATTTTTGGATTCTCTTTCTATCCCTTTAGGTAACCTCTTTCCTTACTTCTGGTACTCCTTGTTGTGATCAAATTTCCCAGGGCCTGTGCTGCATTATAGGGTTCCTGGGATTGTTATCCTGCAAGTATTTGGTAAAATAATCTCCATTAGAGTGGCTAAGATGGTGCCCCTCATGTGGATACTCAGCTAGAGTTGAGTGCTCTTGAGGACTAAAAGCTAATGACGTAATTTTTAGTCCCTGTGTCTCAAAGCAGGGGAAATAGTTTTGAAATGGGAGAGTCCCTTTATGCCCCACACAGGATGTGCAACAAGGGTGTGGCTTGTGTGTTCGGCCACCAAGTGCTTAAACTCCCCCCACCCCCACCCTGTTACAGGAGGGGGAGCACACAGACAGGCAGGTTGAAGAGCTGGAGCAAGTGCCTTGGGGCTCCGGCCCCACCATAACTTCTAGGGGTGGGTATCTGTGACTCCCAAAGCCTAAGTGGGCATGTGTTACAGTGTGCTCTTTTAGCTTTGCTGTCCACAGACTGCTTAAGTGTTAATCAACTCAGTGCCCTCTTGGTACCCAGGTCGTTTTCTGGCATCCAGGAAGAATTAGGTCACACAGGAACTTGAAGGATAAATGTGGGGGTTTTATTGAGTGGTGGAGGTGGCTCTCAGTGGGATGGATGGGAAGCTGGAAGGGGGATGGAGTGGGAAGATGATCTTCCCCTGGAGTTTGGCTGTCCAGCAACCAATCTCCTCTCTAATGGTCCCTAGCTGAACTCCTGTTGGTGTTCAGATGCTCCTTCTCTTCTCTCCTCTGCCGTGCTGTTCTGTCATTCTTCTGCTCTTCTGTTCATCTCCTCATCTACTTCTGGAGCCTGGGGTCTGGGGTTTATATGGGTACAGAATAGGGGAGTGTGGTGGGCCAAAGACAACTTTTGGGCTCAAAACCAGGAATGCCTGTTCCCATTTGAAGCCATGGGTTTCCAGGCTTGGGGGTAGGGCCTTTGCTGGGGAACCATCCTTTTCTACTCAATATTTTCCCGTCTCCTATCCATATCAGTTTCTGGTGAAAAGCATTGCCAGAACAACCCATATCATATTGGTAAGGATTCTGTGATGGTTAATTTTACAAGTCCGCTTGACTGGGCTAAGGAATGCACAGGTAGCTGTAAAACAGTATATCTGTGTGTCTCTGTGAGGGTCTTTCCAGAAGAGATTAGCATTTGAACTGGAGAATTGAGTAAAGCTTGTAGCTCTCCCCAGTGCAGTGGGCATCATCCAATTCACTGAGGGTCTTAATAGAACAAAAAGGTGAAAGAAAGGTGAGTTCTCTCTCTGTGCTTGAATGGAGACATCCATCTTCTCCTGCCCTTGGAGGTTTTTGCTCTTCCTGGTTTTCAGGTTTTCATACTTAGACCGGGTCTCATACCATCCTCCCACTTTGCTCAAGCTTGTGGACTTGTACTGAATGATGCTTACCTAATTCTCCAGCTTGCAGACAGCTAATCCAGCTTAGGGACTTCCGTAACTGCCTGAGCTAATTCCTATAAGTCTTCTATGTATAATATATATTTATTATATCTATATATTGATTCTGTTTCTCTAAAGATTCCTGACTAATACAGTTTCTGTTTTGCTTATATAATGACTAGCACATGGAAGGTACTTGGGGAATGTTTATTGAGTTGAATTACAGTGCAATCTCTAGTCTCAGAGACTCCTCAGCATTTGGTTTGCACGGAATCAGGACATCATGGTACACTTTCAGGCATGTGGGCTACAGATCACCAGAGCTTTGGAAAATTGTAGAGCTACCAAGATTTTGGTTTGGAACCAGCCAGACCAGGCTCCAAAAACTGCTTCAAAAGAGTGAATTGCTTTAATAATGTGTAGTCCCGCTAGGACTCTGGGTTGTCATTGAGTTCCAGGGTTTCTGTTTGGTGGACACATGGCACTGGAAGGGGTTAGGAGTGATGGGGTAAGGGTGCAAGAAAGGTTTGCAAGTAGGGTATAGGCATTCCAGCTCAAATTTACTCATGCCTTCATTGATTCCACAAATATTTATTGAGAATCTGGTATCAATCTGACAGTTCTGGGAATTTGAATTAGAGTGGCAAGTCAAGCCGTCATGAGGTTTCCATTCTGGTGTTGGAGACAGGAAGCAAATAAACATGTTATTTCCAGATACCTGTAAGTGCTGTGGAGACAAACAGGTGACGTGTGGAAGACAAAGTGGTGTGGAGGATCAGGGAAGGGTGTTCTGAGGTGGTGACAGTAACTGGGAACTGAATGAATCTCTGGAGTCCAGAGCCTCTGGTACGGGCCTGCTGATTGGAGCAGATCCAGCAGGAGCTGCACTGTAGCAGTTCATTTTATGTGGATATTGCTCTGTTATTAGTCACATCTTAATTCTTCAAATTCAATGATAACACAGGATAAAATTGTTCGTGGGACTTTGACACAGTCAGCCTGTGACATGAGCATTGCCCTTGTCATCCTGGGAGGCTTACATAGAACTAGGCTCAAGGCAACCTATGGGAAGTAAAAGAAAGGTGGTGGAAAGGGCTGGATCATGGAGCCAAAAAAGCACAGTGAGCTTACTGAGAAATCTTGGTCAAATTATTAGGCTTTAGCAATCTCAGAGTTCTCACCTGTTAATTGATAGAAGGGGTTGGGAGAGGTGGACACTTGAAGGAAAGCATCCTAGTTCCTCTCTCTGGTACGTCTGTTAATCCTCACCTGGGTTGATCTGTTAAAGATATTCCCTGATCCATTTACATTTGTAAGAAATAATAAGTCCTGCCATTTATGAACCTCCAAGCCTTATACATTTTATATGTTCTCTTAGCCCCACAACAACTTTACAGAATAGCAATCTTTATTAGGTCAATTTTATAGGTAAGGAAACCAAGGAATAGAGAGATTAGGAAAAGGAAAGGGGACCGACAGTAAACATTCACTATGTACAAGGAACTGTGTTTTGTGACTTTAAGGCGTGGTCTTGTTTTATAATCATACTAACTGCGCTCTGAGTCTCTTAAAGTTCCCACTTTACAAATAGGGAAACTGAGGCTCAGGATAGTCTATGATTAGCTCAATAAATGTAAAGAAAGAGACAGAGCTGAAGTTTGACCCCAGCCCTATGCTGCTGCGAAGGTTCCTTCTTTTTCCACATATCACGTGGGGATGCTGATGGGGGATGCTTCTCTACCAGCAGCAGGGACTGGGGGGCTCTTTTCTGCCCTAGCAGAGATACCAGCCCTGGAGGGCTCTTGATGTCTGTCTAGTTACAATTCTGGGCACTGTTTCCATATTCCTGCTACGTTAGTTATGTGATGACAAGGCCTAATTATACCTGTCAATATCACCGGTGAGGTAATAGTACCACCTACCTAGAATTTTTGTAAAAATTCAATGACAACATTTAAAAATGACAAAAATTATATGCTAGATTTAAAATGCCTCATCCAGGTATATATAGAAGGTACTTGATAAATGGCCTCTGTTACCTTTATTGAGAAATACGGCTTTTTCTTTTCTTTTGGGTCTCCAGACTTGAGCTTAGCATTTTTATGTTAAATTAAATAGAAAATATGTACATTATGAATAAACCAAGCACATATTGATGATAGCCTAATGGATGAAAGAAGTAATCAATTCACAGCTTGGACTTTGGGGACTTGAATTCTAGTCTAGGTTCTGCTAGTGTTATGTGAGATCATTCAGAAATCACTTAACATTTCTGGGCCTGTTTCCTCCCTTGTTTCATGGGGCAGTTGTCCCAGATGATCTCTATGGCCCCCTCTAACTATGGAATTCTTACATTATTGAATTCAGAACCAGTAAAATCTGAATTCATTCCCTGATGTTTGTCACAGCTTAGTGACCCTATCTGATGCCCTATCTGATCCTATAAATACTCACTTTCTTGGTATCCATGTGGGTTTCCATGTGTGGTGTCCGAATACCAAGACTGAGAGCACTGATTCCTGTTATCTGCCCTGGTAGCAGGATGATCAAAAATGGAAGTCTGGGCCTAGTGATTAAACACACACACACATAAAAATTCCCTGGTGTTTGAAAGGATTCGACGGCACAATGAATCCTTTCCTTTTCCTAATCTCTCTATTCCTTGGTTTCCTTACCTATAAAATGGACATAATAAAGATTGCTATTTTGTAAATTTGTTGTGGGGCTAAGAGAACATATATGATGTACAGGGCTTGGTATCCATGTGTGTAGACTGGATTTCACATTTTGGGCTTTAGGACATGAAAGGGTATCTTTCCTTTCCTGTCATGTTGTTTCATGTTCCTGATTTTCAACCAGGGGCAGTTTTGCCCCCTTGGGGACATTTCACAATGTCTGTAGACATTTTTGATTGTTACAACTAGGGGGAGGTGCTACTGGCATGTGGTGGGCAGAGGCCAGGGATGCTGCTCAACATCCTATAATGTACAGGACCGCTCCCCCGCAACTTGTACACAATAAATGCTTAACTGGTGCAAAAGGCAGTGGTAATCAGGATGAGAAACACTGTTGTATGTGGAAATATATTTACAAGAGACAAGAATATCCTAATACCAAGCCTGAGAGCACTGATTCCTGTTATCTGCCGTGGCAGCAGGATGCTCAAAAGTGGAAGTCTGGGCCTCGTGATTAAACACACACACACATGAAAATCCCCTTGTGTTTGAAAGGATTCAAAGGCACGATGAGGGATGCTATTACAGTGCCTCAGACTTCTGCACAGAGGAAACACATTACCTACCTGTAATGAAGGATTTCTGAATAGATAAGGGCTGCAACTTCTACAGGGGAATGTTTTAGCCGGGGGCATGTGGATTTTAGCCGCATGAATAATATCAGCATTAATGGGAATCATTATGCTGCCCTGCATTGGAAATTTACCACCAAATGGATAACAATACCCGACAGTCAGAGGCCACTGAAAATCTGTTTCACTGGCAGGAGACATAGAAAAGTCTTGAGTGGGGAGCACTGTTGGCTGCCAGCTCATGAGTGGCTTCAGGCTGAGTGGTCTGTGTACAGACAGAATGGGGCACATAGGGCAATGTTATTCAATGACTGCATGAACCCAGGGTGGCATTAGGACAGGTCAGTGATCTCGGGTTCACCTCTATTCCCCTATGGAGCTTTTTCTGTTCATTTTGTAGTGCTAGCACTCTGGTCCCTGTCACTTCCCAAGGACCCCAGTTCTCCTGACACCCTCCGGGAAAGTGGCCTGATGGACTAATTCTCTCTAAGGTGTCAAGGATTCAGGTATTACCTTCTGCAGGATAATTTGTGATTTAAAAGTGTGTCATCAACAAATAATCCAAAGCATGAATTTGAGGTGGATATGAAAGCACTGGAGCATAGAAATTTGTGTTTCTGGAGGGTCTGTAACGGTACTCTTATTACCTGCCTCTGCATAAATCCCTCAGATCTTGATTTAAGCTGCTGTGGAGTGTTTTTGTGCATGTTGTAATTTATGGAAGTTCAATATGTAAAGCTGTAAAGAACTGGAGATGCTCTGTTAAAACAAGGCTTGGGGATCCGGGAGTCAGGCCCCTGGGTTCCTCCCCTGCACCACACCATTTGTTCCTGTTTTTTCTAGAAACATTTGGCTCCATGGAGCATAACTCCTCAAGTGATAATAATATTTGTGTAGAATTCAGAGTACTCGGAGAACACTGCTGTAGGCTGGAGACAAAGACCCAGCCACCCTGAGGGCTGAGTGGATCAGTAATTGGGAACAGTCTGCCCTGGAAAGCTGTGCCAGGGAGCTTAATATGAAAATCACTGCCCTTGGGCGACCTTGACAAAACCTGACAAGTCTAAAGCCCTGAAACTGAAAAAAGTAGAAGATATCAGCCCCATTGCTAACTGGCACCATACTGGAGTTAATGGGATTGGATTCATTGTTTAATTCCTTAAGTAAATAACCATGGGTCACCTACTGTGTGCCAGTTACTCCTCTAGCTCCTGTGGAAATAGATGAACAAATCCCTGCTTTCAGGGAGTTCACATTCCAGTGGGATGGGAGTGGGAACAAGTTAACCAAAAATAAATGAATGAAATATATAATCAGTGAGCTTCATAAAATAATGCAAAACGACAGACTAGTGTATATTTGTAAATGTGGTGGTCAAATAAGATAGTCAGGGAAGGCCTTTCTCAGGAGGAGGCCTCTAACCCGGGTGAGACCTGAGTGACAAGGAGGATCCAACTATGTGGTGAGCTTGCAGAAGAGAGTTCCAGACACAGGACACAGTGTGGGTAAAGGTCTTGAGGTGACGCTAGGATCAGCATACGCAAGAAACAGCAAGAAGACCAATTTTTGTCTTTGAAAAGTTTTAAATCCCCCCCAAAATTAGCCATTTTTGGTGCTTTTGATATTTTTGGTACTTGATCCTTACCTAAAGCCTGTGAAGGTTATTGTAGTCTCGCGTTGGCTTTTTCCGAGCACTTCTGAAAGTGAAATGACTTGGTCATACCATGATGTTTGGGAGCGTGGAAGTGGGAGGGCCAAGCACAAAATTCACTGGAATGATGCCGACTCATCTTTACCTAGAAGACAAAGGATACCTCCAGATTTATAGACAGATAACATTTTGGGCACTCCTTTTGAGGTATATTAAATAAATGATTTCATTTATTCTTTATAGCAACCTATGTGGTAGCTGCTATTGTTATTCCCATTTTATATATGAGGAAACGGAGGCACATACATTGCTGGGTAATTGGGCAAAAGGTATACCTTACAAAGAGTGGGGGGGAATAGAGACCAAAGCCTGGTGAACTCACTTCTAAGCCCACATTCTGAAGATGACCAAGATATCCATGCCATTGTGTTCAAGGTGTCTAAGGGAAGTGATGCGATATAACTTTCCCTCACTTGAAGATCAAAGGCTAGGCTCAAACCACTAGTGGGTCCTGCTATCTTCTGGCAGAAAACTGTCACAGCCTTCATGAAACTTTGCAATGCTTCCTGTATTTAAACACAAGTCTCAGTGCCTGTTTTTATCAAGAGACAGTCTTTTCTCCTAGCCATTAGGGAAGTACTCCTCATCATTACTCGGAATGTCACTTAGGCCACTCTCTCCCCACCAAGTCTGTTTATTAGGTGTGTGAGCAAGGGAGGATAGGATGACTTGAACTTCAAAACCCTGGATGCCTCCAGCTGCCGTTGAGCATGGCCCACTAAGCTCCCTGTACAGGTAAGAGATGTTTGCTACGTGCAGAAGTGACAACCTCCCATTCTGCAAAGACCTTTTCTCATTGCTCTTTCACTGTGTCATGGTGGTGACAAATCCCAGCCTTGTGATACCCGGCCTCCAATTCAGAAAATAATTTCCCGAGCTTTCCTATTGCTCAGTGATGAAGGAAGAAACTTCTTTCATTCTTCTTCACCCTTGCTTGTTGTGGGGTGATGAAAGATGAAGTTCCGGTGATGCTTTCCAGAATCTCTTGGGTTTAAACTTCAAAGTCCTAAGTTGGTGACTTTGAAGAAATATACCAATATAGCGGTGTTAATATTAAAACACAAAGGCAGGCACAACCTCTCAGCAATACTCATTAGGGGTTGAATTACTAATAGGAAGTAATTCAGATGATGGAAACAGAAAATAAATGCAAATGTTCACTATCTGAAAATTAAGATGGATTATATTCCCAAATAGTACCCAACACGGTTGGTTATGAACAAATGTGAATTTCATTTTACCTTCCTTTGGGTCTATATCTTTACTGCTGGTGGTAGTTGTCATAGTCCGTTCTGCTGCTATAGCAGAATAACATAGACTAGATGGCTTATAAACAACAGAAATTTATTTCTTGTAGTTCTTGATGCTGGGAAGTCCAAGATCAAGGGTGCCAGCAGATTTGGTGTCTGATGAGGGCTGCTTTCTGGTTCATAGATGGCAACTTGTCACTATATCCTCATGTGGTGGAAAGGGCAAGGCCCTGGGGCTTCTTTCATAAGGGCACTAATCCCATTCCTGAGGGCTCCACCCTCGTGACCTAATGACCTCCCTGAGTCCTCATCTTTTAATACCATCATGTTGGAGATTTTCAACATATGAATTTTAGAGGGACACAAACATTCAGGCCATAGCAGTAGTATTAATGAAATTTATAAAGCACATTAATGTCATTTGTAGGACTTCTTCACTTCTTATTCCCCCACCCTTTTTTGTCGCTTTAGGGAAACTGTGCCTCAGGCCCCCCAAAACAGTAAGTATTTGAAAGACTATGCAAAACTACAAAAAAAAAATCAGCTTATTTCATTTGCATGTTTTTAAGACTTTGCTATAACTTCAAAAACTCTGTCTTTATTTGTCTTTATATTCACAATTTAAAAACTCAGCTGATACTTCAAGCATTTCGAATATGACAGGGCTTTAAATATTAACCTTAGGAGTGCTGATCAGTGGACACGAATACCTTGGAAAGTGATTTGTGTGTCTGGTACTAGTCCGCTTGTTTTCTTCCTTAATGACTAAGTCACTCCTGAAAATAAATGAGCCATTTACAGAGACACATGCAGACTTTCTGGCCCTTGGGGCACTGTTTTAGTGACTGGAGAAAAATAGACTGTGCTGGTATTGAGTCCAACCCAATTCATCTGCTCTGTATTTCCCTTTGGCTATTCAAGTGGTATGAGAAGCAGAATAAGTTATTATTACAAGAGCAGAACTGAGTTCAAAACTTGTCTTCATCACTCACTAGCTGTGTGACCTCAGGCAAGTTATTTAACCTCTCTGAACTGTAGTTCTGTTACCAGGGGATTAGTCTGAGAATTTTGAGAAACACCATCTATAAAGTGGCCAGTAGGGTGCCTGGTTCATAATTTATTCTCAACCAATGGATGACACAGAGACTATTAAGAATAAATTTCTGTTCTGTTCTACAAAATCTATTGTATTCACTTTCCTTTCTACTAAAGATATAGAATGACAATGTGATGATGACAAAGCCAAACCGTTTAAGGCCAGGGATGGTGTTTAATTTGTTTGCCTCCCTGGGGTTAGTAGAGTTCTCTGCACAAAGAATTTGCACCTATTTAATGATAAATGATATGACTGGAACTCAATAACAGATCTTTAGGATGGACTGAAAAACAATTCTGGAATTTCAGACAGTTTTGCAAAAGATTCCACAGAACTTCCACAATATCACAGGGCATAGGTTAAGGAAGAAACTGTATTCAGGAAATTTACAAAACAAGAATCAGCAAGTAAAGAAGATATACAGTCTTGAAATCTCTCACTATCCCCAAGGAGAGGTGGTCTGGGGAAAGGATATGCTGCTGGACAAACCATTTTAGGGCAGGAAACATGTTTCCCATTACTATGGTCTTTATGGTACTAAGGTGAGAAATGGCCTTGTCAATTGCATGCGGCTTTAGGGGAGAAGACAAATATACTACTTGAGCACCAAGTACTCTGGGTTTGGGTGCTGCTGTTTATAGGGGTTGTCTGGGAAAACTAGCTGCCTAGCACCTAGAGATTTTGGGGCCTGTGGCTCATTGCAGCATCTCCTACTAGCTGAGGAGGCCCCTAGACCTCCTCGCAGCTGAGTTATGGGGAGTTCTTTCTAGGAGAAAGGAGAAGTAAGCCCCAGTACCAACAAGCTCATTGTTCAGCCAATTCTGAGAGAACCCTCAGAGTCATTTTTAGACAATCCTGCTTCTCGTAACCACATAAAACTACCTACAGATGACACATATCAGCATAGTATGATAAGTGACAATATTAGTATTGTTACTTTGTCGCTATGATAATAACATTTTATATTTCTTCTTAAATACTTCTGTTTCTTAAATTTTTCTTTTACTTTCTCTGAAATTTTTACCAATACCTACTATTTTTCAAAGCTCCTACTTTCTATCAGTCACTTGACATAAAATTCTCCCAAGAATCTTGAAAGGTAGTCTTGATTAAATTAATTTTTGCAGATGAGACAATGTTTATCATGCAATTGCAATCATGTGTTGAAGTCCTCAGAGCAAGTATCTGGTCAGGTTGGGGCTGAAATTCAGGTCTCTTTGCTTCCAGAGATTGAGCTCTGCCTGTTAGGTGCTTCCCTAGGGATGCTGAAGAGGGAGGAAGAGTTGTGCCTTTGTTGACTTTTCCTTTTGCTAAAGAAAGCAGCAGAATGCAGTGGTTTTCTCCTTCCTCTGTGATGCTCAGAGGAGGGGGATGTTTGATACGCTGGGCAGACTGCATCAGCAGTGCCAGTTAGCTGGCGTGCCCAAAGAGAAGGCAATTATGTCCACTCTGCCTGTGTGCTACAAAGACTAGCAAGAGTGTAGATAGGAATGTTATAGATATCAGCCAAAATTATTCAGGCATACCTGCAGGCCTCATAATAATTCACTAACAGCCCATTTGATTCAGTTGGTCAACTACATTAGCCTGAGCATGCTATCTGTCACAATGGCTTCTGCAATCATTAAGGAGAAAAACTGTAAAAAATTGGATACCCCAAAAGCTTGCCAAAAAAAGTGAGCATTGCCATTTTCACTTAGCACAAATGTTGTCATAAAGAATGTCCATTGTTTCAACCCAATCCATTGCCTCTGTGGAACTTCGAACTGCTTCCTTAACTAGACATTTATCATGTCTTATAATGTCAGACATCTTACCCCAAATCTTGAAATTGCTGCAAAGCCCCAACCTATTATTCAAAAGGCCTGTCATTTAAGTGGGAACCTTTACTTGATGGTAAAGTGACAGGGAAAGGCAAGGTGACCAAAAGATGCATTTTGGGCTTAGAAAGAATTACACATTGGCAAAGCTCTTCTCTGTTCTAACTATTATTGTGACACATAGGGCAGGGAGGGAGGGAGGGAGAGAGAGAGAGACAGAGAACATAATGCATTTTCATCAATATCTCTGAGACCCTCAAACATGCAAAGGCAGAGATAAGAAACTCTTAGTCTCTCAGTCGGTAACTTATTGATTGCACACAATGTTCATTAATGAGCCAACTGTGAGACGGCTAGGACCAAAAAGTTTCTATCCCCAAATGTGCTGACATGTTTAAAATGGAATGCTTGTCTGCAAGAACACCTGTGTGTGAAACTGGGGATAAAACTTTTTGGAACCTTTGACTTATTTCTTGGGCTCACCGTCATCTATTATTCACATTGATAATTAGCTGCAAGGTCTATTCACATCACAAACAAGGAAGGGGGAGGAAGAGTTCAAAAAAAATCCTGCAAGTGCTTTACCACAAGTGAGTGGTTTTTGAAGGGGAGAAGTTTGTTACTAGATTGTTCTGACTTGTGCTCTGCCTGAGGAAGAAATGGGCAAGGAACTTCCTCAGAAGCTGAAGGCTTGGCAAAATCATTGTGCTACAAATGATAAGAGTGACAGGTCACCATCATTTTGCACCATGGATTGAAGAATTCAGTAGTCAGTATTACAGCTGTAGCTGCCAAGGCATAAGATAACATCTTGGCTTTTTCTAGAATCTAAAAAGGTAAGCTAAAACATATACAAAGACACACATATTAATGAGGCTGTCACATAGCAAGGTAACTTGGATCCCATTATATAATTCTCAGAGCGGAGAAAGTGACTCCTTTGATCCATCCCCACTATCTAGGGCTCTCCCAAATTCCCTGCTGTGCTTGTCCAAAAGTAATGAGGTCTCTGAGCAATCAAGAGCGTGGTCCAAGTGACATGTGCATTTTCAGGCGATACATTACATTTTAATGTTCATTTTCTAATTAGTGTCTAATATCAAAGAACATATGATTAAATACATATTATAGTACCAGGCACTGATCAAAGCATTTTGTACTCGTAAGCTTATTTCGTCCTCACCATAGCTCTCCAAAGGAGGTATTGTCTCTGTTTTACACATTAGAAAACAAAAACATAGAAAAGACACTCACTTCCTTTCCGAATCGAAGGCCCGGCTTGGCACTTCCTGGAATGGAAGCCCACTTTTTTTTATGCTATACTGTGCAGACTTCACTGCTGAACTTCACATTGACTCTTGCTTGCCCTCAGACAGCATGAAGACTTCATCATTGCATCAGGTCTTTTTCTGGTGAGAGAGCTATCACTTAAACTACTTTAAGTAAAAATGAGATTTTTGTTCTTTACCTCATATTACTGAAATGTTCAGGTGTACTTCCAGACCTAGCTTCAGACTTACCTGTTTCCAAATGTCCCAAAGACATTGTCAGAATGCTATTAACATCTCCTGTTTTCTGATCCACCTTCTGTGTTGGCTTCATTCTCATGTAGGATGTTTTTCCTGTGGTGACAGACACAGTCTTACCTTTTATCAGCTGAGCAATGCTAGCAGAACTTGCTGAAAATTAAAGTTGCTGTGTTAGTCTGTTTTATGCTGCTGATAAAGACATACCTGAGACTGGGTAATTTATAAAGAAAAAGAGGCTTAATGGACTCAGAGTTCCACATAGCTGGAGAGGCCTCACAATCATGGCAGAAGGCAAAAGGCACATCTTACATGGCAGCAGGCAAAGAGAGAGAATGAGAGCCAAGCCAAAGGGAAAACTTCTCATAAGATCTCATGAGACTTATTCACTACCATGAGAACAGTATGGGGGAAACTGGCCCCATGATTCAATTATCTCCCACTGGGTCCCTCCCACAATACCTGGGAATTACGGGAGCTACAATTCAAGATAAGATTTGGATAAACCAAACCATATCAGTTGTCTTAATAGTTCCTTCCCTCCACAACTTCAGGTGAAATATGGAAAAGAAAGTTATATTGCAAGTCTTGTTGAGGTTGTTGTATTTTAAACATTCATTTGTAAGAGTTCCTTTATGTTTGACCCTTTTCTTTTTTGGCTGCTAATAAAATTAAGACTTAAAGGAGAGGCCTGGTAGGATAAGAAAAAGACCTAAATTTGAGGGTCAGAATCATTTATTAAGTTTCATTTCTAATATATGTGTCTTCGGAGAAGTCTTGCTATATAAATGGAGTCATAATGGAATAGATGGGGTTACATTATTTGATCTCTGAGGTCCTTTCTGGCTCTCAAGCTCTATGGAGCTGTCCAAGATGACTTTCGTAGGGGATCCTGAGTGTTTAATGAAAGGATTTTAACCTATCACCCAGACTTTCTGGTTCCCAAACCCATAGATGATACAGAATCCAGGAACCCTTCTCATTAATAATAACAGGAAGGCTGCTGGTGGGTTTTAGGGATTAAAGTCAGAAGGTATCTCTCTGGGATTGAGAAAAAAATATATTCTGACTGAGTCTGGGGAAGAGAGTGGTGATGAAGAAAAATGAAGGCATTAGGGTCTCATTCTAATTTGTTACCTTCACACTTTTGCTTGAAGGCTGAGTCCTCCATCATCTGAGTAGATTAAAGTAAGGTGAGAAACTGCCCTGTATGGGGGGCAGATGTTAAGGATATATAATTGCCTACTGGAGGGGTGAGGAGACTGAAAGTCAGGGAGTCAGCCTGAAGCTGTGGGGATCAGAAGTGGGAACCCAGGAGTGGGGAAAGTGGGTGGATAGTGGGAAATCTGGAAATCCATGATCCCGAGGGAGAGGCACAGCATACAAGGCTGAAAAATAGAAAATGGTTCTTAGGCAGTTTCAGGTCTCAACTGTTCAGTTATACCTTTATTTTTTTCAATCGTTTCTATAAGCTAGATTCAAATAAACTAACTTAAAAGAGGCAAACCTACAAGCAAGAAAATATCAACTTGAATGCCAATTTAAGTAATTTACCAAGATAAGTTTAACTACCTATATAACTGGACTACAATGCTGGAAAATCTATTCTGGAAGTGATTTTAAAATGAGAGGCTTGTCTGGTGAGCACAGAGGTAGAACAAGGGGAGATAGTCTTAGGACATAAATGTTTAATAACAACGGCTGATAGCCCAGGGTGTCTTCACAAGAGGGACACACGGGGATTGGAAGGCTCAAGATCATGAACTAGGGCCCCACTAACCTGCCAATGCTAGGCTCTCTGATTCTGTTTTCCAAAGTCCCAGGGTGTCTCTTTCCCATCTCTTATCCTTGGCACACTCATTTTTTAGATAAGCTAGTACCTTTTATTATAGAGGATCCATTTTAAAAATCTTGGTTGTTTACTCCAAATCATTTTGTCTCTAAGGCATCTTCTGCATGTATATATATATATATATATATATATATATTTGTAATGGAGTTTCACTCTTGTTGCCCAGGCTGGAGTGCAATGGCATGCTCTCGGCTCACTGCAACCTCCACCTCCCAAGTTCAAGTGATTCTCCTGCCTCAGCCTCCCGAGTAGCTGGGATTACAGGTGCCCGCCACCACGCCCAGCTAATTTTTGTATTTTTAGCTGAGGTGGGGTTTCACCATGTTGGCCAGATTGGTCTCAAACTCCTGACCTCAGGTGATCCGCCCCCCTCGGCCTCCCAATGTGCTCAGATTTTAGGCATGAGCCACTGCGCCCAGCCTCTTCTGCATATTTAACATCATTTAAATTGTGTTGGTTTTATAGCATAATTCTCAGAATTCAAGCTTTATGTTGCTGTCATCCCTGTCTGTTTCTCTCACTTGTAAAGACATTTTGATTTACCAGTTTCCTCTGAGAGTTAATGATGGAAAGAAAAAGAAATTAGCTTTATGTGTTCAGGAATTGTCCTTCCTGCTGCCTGACTAAAGAGAATTTTATGGCCGGGCGCGGTAGCTCAAGCCTGTAATCCCAGCACTTTGGGAGGTTGAGGTGGGTGGATCACTTGAGGTCAGCAGTTCGAGACAAGCCTGGCCAGCATGATGAAACTCCATCTCTAATAAAAATACAAGAAGTAGCCGAGCGTGGTGGTGCATGCCTGTGGTCCCAGCTACTTGGGAGGCTGAGGCATGAGAATTGCTTGAACCCTGGAGGTGGAGGTTGCAGTGAGCTGAGATCGTGCCACTGCACTCCAGCTTGGGCGACAGAGCGAGACTCCATCTTAAAAAGAAAAAAAAATTACTTCTTATATTTACCCGCTGCTCTTTGAAGTGGGTTCTGCTATTGCTAACGGGGCCGCAATGGTCTTTGTGATTCTGGCATCTTTCATTAGACTTTGCTTCTTGATTGGTAAAGTAAGAACTTGGAGCTAAGGGACCTGAAAAGTTTCTTTTAGTCTCAACATGTTACAGTTCTGTTGTTCTCCTTGGGCTGAGTTTCATGACACCCCAGAGGTTGGATGTTGTAATAGAAGGTTTCACAGTGAAATTTTAATGGGTTATTTAGAGAGTGAGACAGACCCATTCTCATAATCAGTTACTAAATGCTTTTCTAAAAATGTCAAGAGCTGCAATTACATTGCAAGGAGTGAGTGTGTGTGAGTGTGAATGAGTGAGTGTGTGTGTAAGAAGTGGGGGGTGTAAGATATAACATTAATTGAGAGTTCATGGAAGTCACTTTTCTTTTTTTCTGGATAGCTGTTTTTAGTAATCATGCTCCGATGAACTTTGGCCTTGTAAACAGAATGATGGCAGTGATTCTATTGAAGTAAATTGGTTTGTTCTGAGACCCCAAAGGATAACATTCAAGTAATGTGAAAGAAATTGTTTTAACAGTTAATTAAAAAACAAACTAAGCTAAACAAAACACCAAAAAACCTCCACCTACATTGGAAGATCAGTGACTTTTGTATTTCTTTTCTATTAAGGGTCTTTTAAAATAGATTTTGCATTTAGAAAATTAACGAGACTTACAGGAACATGTTAAAACCCTACCAGTAACAGTTATGCCCATTATAATAACGCTATTTTAAAATGATGTTGGGGTATTATGTTAATATTAGGTTAATTTCAAATGGCTGTAGTATCCTCTTCCCTGAAGAAGTCATGCCAGCACCCCAAATTACTGCCGCTGATTACAAAATGAGAGCAGATTATTAAAATTTTTGTGACAAGAAAGCTATACATCAATGAATGGAATTAACATTAACATTTTGTATTGCTGCCAAGAATTAAGCCTTGGCAGCAATACAAAAAAGTAAATTCACTTAAAAGTACACACACGACTTCTTTCCTGTGTTCATAATAGAGAAGTAGAAGAACTCAATGGGGAATCCAAGAGTTTCTTCACACTCTTTTGCCTAAAGACTGATTCCTCTCTGATCTGATTGGACTAAAGTAGGGTGAGGAACTGCCCTCGATGGGATGCAGGTGTCAGGGATATCATCCCCATAATTGTCTACTGGAGGGATGAGGAGATTGAAAGCCAGGGAGTCAGCCTGAAGCTGTGGGGATCAAAAGTGGGAACCCAGGAGTCAGGAAGGTGGACAGACGGTGTGAAATCAGGGACATAGCATACAAGGTTGAAAAACAGAAAGTGGTTCTTGGGCACTTTCAGGTATAAACTATTTAGATATACCTGCCAACACTAGGCTTTCTGATTCTGTTTTTCTAAGTCCCAAGGTGTCTCTTCCCCAGCCCCTCTCCATGGCTCACTCATTTGTTAGAGAAACTAGCACAGTCTGTGTTTAATGAGGGGCCAGACAGACTCAACCTGCCGTGTTTCTCCATATGGATCTCCATGGTAGCTGTGAAACATTGCAAAAGTTGCTTCCTCTCCCTTCCCTTCAACTCCCCCTTCCCTTCAACTCCCCCCATTCATAGTACTGAACCAGCAGTCCCTTCCATGGGCAGAGAAGCTATGAGGCTTACCTGATTTTTCTAGAGTGCTATGATATCCTTGGGTGGTAGCCAGTGTCACCAGTGGGCACTATGATGACTTACGGGTGTGCACCTTGAATGGCCCTGAAACTCAGGATGTTTTGTGGAGTTGTGTGCTGACAGATAACCCCTTCCTGTTACTGGGGTGTGTCAGGTACAGAGTGATTTTGGAGACCACAGTGGGATGGGAAGTGCCGATTTGCTCATCCTCCTGACAGATGCAGGCATGAGAGACAATGTGCTTAGATTTTTATCCCTGTGTGCAACTCCTAGAATGGTTTTGAGAGGGAATAGGCAGCTTGCCTTTAGGTAACCATTTTGAAGATTTTCTATTGTTGCTTAAAATTTTTTAGTTAGAAGTAAGCACAATGCCTAATATATTCACTTCATATTTCATTAGTTTATTAAAGGGCAGGGGTTTTACTTTCCACAGAGACCTATTAAGGGGAATAATTTTATTAAAATCCGAATTATTATTTTAAGGCACATAAGTTAATATTCTTATTTGTGAAGTGCTCCCTCTCCCTGCTTAGAATGCTGCATTGACAATTAAAATATAATAAAGATGATTAATAATGAATAAACATAATATTAAAATATCATAAAATATGCAATTAAAAAACACTAAAAACCCTAGCTGAGCAGAATCATTAGAAAAGGCTAATCATGACTAGAAGAGAACTGCTTCAGGAAGACGATGTTGCTAAGCTTTATTTAACCATGGAGAGTCTTCAAAAAAATGCCAAACTCATGACTTATCAGTGAGGATAACGTGAATCTGGTTAGACCCTTGATGCCCTAAATGAGAAAACAAAAGTGACCGGGGTCACTTCCATAATTTGTCCTTCCTGTTATTTCTGTGTCATAAACAGGCCTACCTCAAACCTGAAGGAAAGTAGCCAGATGTGTAGTCAAGCGTGTTCTTCTGGTCATAATACATTTTAATGTTATTTTATGAAATTTAATCCTGTTTACATAAATATCAACACGCATGTGTTATTGAAACCAGCTCTCTAAAAAAATGGACTAGGTAACCTCTGAAGCGATTTCCTGCTTCCAAATTCTACCCCTTATTAAATAGGGGGTCATGAAGTAACAGAAGGCATTGAACAAAGATTTAGGACCCCTGGGTCTTGGCCAATAGCAGTGGGATCAAAAAAGATGGTTTCATATTCAGGGTTTCAGTTTTCTTATCTCGAAAATGGGAATTCCTCATTGATTGCTGTGAGGAACAAATAAAACCGTATATGAAAATGCTTTAAAAGTATATATTTCTAGAAACAATACAAATACTATTTCCTTAGCTCATAAGGTGCTCAGATCCAGAGTTGACATTTAGGATCTGTCACTCTGGGTGATTGCTTTTAAGAGCAAGTTGACTCCATTTTCTCTCTTGATTTCCAATTTTCTGTTTCTTTTTTTTTTAATTGATCTCAAAATTTATGTTGTCTTTGTTTCTTTGCAATCTCAAATTCTTTCTAAAAAGAGATAGAGTGGAAATAAATGAAAACTTAAAAACTGTTTTCATTGTTTTATAAAAATCATTTGGCCCACAGAATATCTAAATTGGAATTATAACTCATTGTACAGGGAATTTTATATTTTTCTATTAGAAACTGATGACTTTGTAGTTTCAAAGGTGGTTTGATTTTCGAGATGCTGCTAGTAAAATGCCCTGGGAGGCAAACACATTTAAGTTCTTGCCTATTCCTTTCATGTATCGGTGAGAGAAATTTTGCTTTCTCACTGAACTGGTATTTGAGAGGGTGAGGCTCTTAGGATGCTGAAAATAACAACTTACCTTGTGCCAGATGTGAAGTGCTCTGTCTAGTCCTTATTACCATCCTGAAACGTTGGCATTGTGAGTCCTCTTGTACACATAGGGAAATTGAGGTGTGGGGAAGTGAAGTTACTCAGGTTTATGGAATTGCAAGATTACGTAGCTGGGAAGCCTGGAAGCTGGGATCCAAATCATAGAGAGAGGAGAATCTATCACCAAAAATTGGGACAGACAGGCATTGTTCAAACCTGTCACGAGTTCGCGTGGGAACATCACTTTTCTTCTCATCTGACTTAGAAGGGCAGAACCCATGGACTGGGGAAAGCCATGGTTTTGCTGGATCGTGTTTCATGGGTATTAGGCCATACTTGTACCCACCTCTCATCACGGTGACCTTTGCTGCTCTGTTCAAGACACAGAAGGAATGAGCTTGTTACTCTCCTCCTCCTTTAACTATCACCTCTGCTTTTACTGCAGAGAGTAAGAACGTGAGATTTGAATCATGCAGCTCTTCACCACTCTACTTCAGTTTCTTTATCAGTGAAATAGGAATAACATGAGATTCCTATAGGAATAACAGTTTCTTTATCTGTGAAATAGGAATAAATTTGGTAAGTCATGTAAGTACTTAATGCCTAGCAAAACCAAGGGTTCAAACTAAACAAGAGAGTTAGAATAAGCAAATAAAGACTATCAGAATGTCTGCAGTTTGGTTAAAAGCTTTGCAGTCTTGGACATGGCTGTGTTGGATTAATAAAAATTTCCATAAAAAAGCACAGTAGCTTAGTACTTCCAATTTCCAAATAAAATCTGAATATTGCGATTATAAAAAAAAACAAGGGTTCAATAAATGTTAAGTGTTACTGCTCTAATATCCTCATCCACTGGGAACAACTAGAGTGTACAACACTTGTGTATTCTGTGATTGAACTCCTCTTAGCTTATGAGCCCTTCCATTTTCCCCTGTGTCAGGAAAAAGAATCTTGAGCTATGAAGTTCAAATGATTTAAAGCTTAGTCTTTTGGTTTGATATTCAGTGAGATTCAAGGCTCTACTCTTCCTTCTCTTCTTCCCCTTCAGGATGGCATCTGGGTTAATGGGGAGAAGGTTTGCATATGTAATTCCTTTCCTAGTGTTTCAGTCCATCCGTGGTGCTATGACAAAATACCATAAACTGAGTGCTTATTTTTATAGCTCTGGAGGCTGGATGTCCAAGATCAAGATGTTAGCAGATTCGGTGTCTGGGGAGCGCCTGCTTCCTGTTCTTGTCTTTTTGTTTTGTAGACTCATATGGCAGAAGGAGCAAGGGAACTCTCTGGGGTCACTTTTCTAAGGGCACTAACCCCACTGATGATGGCTCTGCCCTCATGACCTAATGGCCTCCCAAAGGCCCCACTTCCTACTACCATCGCCTTGGAGGTTAGGATTTTAATGTTTGCATTTTGGGGCGACACAAGAATTCAGTCCACTGCATCTGAGTTTCTACCGGCTCCTAATTTCACATCATCACTGCATTGGTTCCCACTGTTACCATTGTTCAAGGCTGGGTGCAATGACAGCTGGGAGCTGGCAGGGCCCTGGGAGGCATCCACACCTCTGGCTGGCTGGCTTAATGTCAGGGCTCTCAGCTGGAAGAGCGGTCCTGGATGATGTGGTGCACGTAGGCCCCCCATTCCCAGCGATACCCCAGTAGCATTCAGCATTACTTCTGCTTTCTGGTGAGGGAGCTGTCACTTCTCCCTTTGGGCTCTGCCAGCCCTCAATGCCTACCTTCTGGGCTGATGTTCAGAGTGGCTTGCCAGGACTATGTGCCCCTACTCTCTATGCTTCCCCCTTCAGGGGTCCAGAGATATACCAAGTGGCCTTCAGTGCCTCCAGAGCACAGGGAATGGGATGGATGCCCCTCTGTCAGTGAGACAGACTTCAATCTGGGTCCCTCACAGCCCACTGAGGGGGGCTAGTTTGTGAGCCTCTCAATTGCAGACATCTTCAAATAAAAAGTGGATGCTAGTGTCCTCATTTTGAAATTGATCACACCTCAGGGTACATCCTCTCACCAGCACCCAGGAATCACCGGGCAGTGCTGCATGTATTTCTCTTCCTCTCCCTCTGTCAGCTCCACTCAACTCTTCCCCAGGTTCATCTCCGCCTTCTTTTCAGGAGTGGCTGCAGAAGTGAGGTCCACTGGAATGTCTCTACTGTCAGGGTCACAGTCTGCCACCTCATTCACCTGAAGGGGTGTGTTTGGCACCTGAGAGGGATGCTTCTTTGAGTGTGAAGACTGAAGGATAGAGTCCTTCTCTTGTTTTTGTTAGCTTGTTACCATTTATTGGATGCTTACCATGTGCCAAGCACTGAGGTCTGTTCTTCATAAGCAGCATCATGTATCCTGAGAGCTCTTCCTAGGAGGTAGGCATGGGTACTCTGCTGCTTGTACAGAGAATGAAGCTTGGAAAAGTTTAGTGACACAACCAGGCAAAAGAGTGGTGGGCCCGGGACTCCCATCCTGAGGGGTTTGGCCCAAGTGACTCAATAAGTAATTGGGAAGCTGAATATCTCATGAGGGGGAGAACTAGATTGTATGTTTACCCAGCTTATCTCTCTCTCTCTCTCTCTCTCTCTCTCTCCTGCCTTCCTTCCCTCCATCAGCCTCCCACCCCCATTTCTCTCTTCCCATCCATAAGGAAGGTTCTGGTCTAAAGCCACAATTAATTGATAATTCACGGTTGCTTCCTGTCCCTATGTCTTAGTTGTGTTGTTTTTTCTTCCTAGAATGTACTGTCTCTATCTAGAAAGCACCAACTCATTTTTTACTGCCTGTATTTCAAGTGCCACCTCTATCACATCATCCCCCACGTCCTCTTTGGGAGTGGATTGTAAACTCGTGTTGTGTTTCCATGAAGCGTTTTGTGTGTACACTGTTATAACACTTCAGCTGTGCTGTGGTTGCCAGACCTCTCCTCTTCTGATAGTTTTTTGCCTCTAGGTTAGAACAATTCTGCAATGTATATGTATTACATATACATGGAAAATATATAATATTTTACAGTCAACGTGTACATTGAATGTTACATTTCTTTGCTCTGCTTCCCCTCCCTCAATGTTATGTACATGTTTTCTAATAGATAACATGTTCAAATTAGGAAATGTGGTCAGTGCTTACCTTTGAATCTTGCTTGGTGTATTGTGAACTCAGGGGTGCAGGCATAAGTGAAATAATTTTTCACCTCTTTAGTCCCAGGCTCTGGACAATTTGCCTTGCATGTAACAACCTATTGAATAAATGAATAAATAAACAAAAGAATAAATGATGTACCAAAAATAACGTGGTTAGAAGTGAAATTTATTTAACTTACAGCTTCACATGGTGTTCGCCATTTGCTTGGAATTTTCCTTCTACAACTCTCTAACTTGGAATTTTTATTTCGGGGAGTCAGATGAATCTTTACTAACTAAATGTTTGACTTCTCACATACAGTGGCTACTTATTAACTATTACACTTTGTAGGTCAGTCAGTTGAATCTTGATTTATTTATCAGTAAAAATGGGATAATAGTATTTATCTGCTTCCGAAATTTGGAAGGGTTTATAAACTGTCAAGCACTATGCTCATTTAAGATATTTTTCTTAGGATTACTACAATCTTCACATGTTCCAGAGCTAACCTAGGTTGCTAATTTTTCATTGACGCTCTCATTCTGGTTGCTCACACAGTAGCTTCCTCTTCTTCCTCCATCCTAGAAAATTTTTTAAAATTTATTTTTATTTTTTAGGTATTTACCCCTCTCCACGCAGCCATATGCCTCAGCAGAAGCTGATTACAACCCTACAAGGGTAGCAGGGAGATTTCCATTTGTCTTTTGAGTAACGTGATAGGAATAGTCATGGGATCCAATTTTGGTCAATGAGATGTGAGGGGAAAGATTCTGAGAACTCCTTGGAAAAGTTTCTTTGCTGGCAAAAGAAAGGTGCAAATTCTTGCTCTGAGAATTATGTTTGCTCAGGTTCTGGGAGAAAACTGTAGTCAGGGGATTACAAACCTCATTAATAGTAATAAAGAGCATGCATTCTTCAAAGATAAATGAACAACACATACATAAATAAAATAGAGAGAGTGCCATGGGGAGTGACTGCCTCTCCTCTTCCTGTGGGCATTATTATCTGGATGTGACACTTGCTTTAGTCATCATGCTCTCATTCAGAGGTCATATTGGTTCTGAGAACTCTGTAGAGCCAAGGGAAGCAACTTGGATGTCTGATAACATTTTGAGTCACCGAATCATTCAACCCAGAGGCCTACCTGCCCGGGACTACCAGTTACATCAGAAAATATAGCATCTTATTATTTGAGCTAGGCTGAGTTAACATTTATGTTGCCTGCGGCAGCCTTCATTCTCACCTTTATATACCCAAATTGCTACCATCCTCCTCAATAAACAATTTACCTCTTATGTCTCTTCACAGTTTTTCTGCAATGCTAATATTCTCCCCTAGGAAGGGATCTCTTTTCTTTGTAGTGTCATTGAGTTTTCTGCATATGTCTCTCCTATTTGTCTTAGCTTAGCTCTATTTCTTAGGCAGCTCTGGGTCTTTCTGGGCACCTGTATTCTAGTGATTCCTCAACTCATTAGGAGTCTTGGCAACAATGAGGCATAATCTATGGCAGGACACATATGGCTGTATAGTGCCCAACACACTCTTATCTTTTGGCTCTATGTTACCTTGGTGAATGTGTTCATTCCTTCATTAACTTATTAATTTACAAATATATATAGAGAGAGCACCTTCAGCAGTAGATACTAGGTCAGCTTGTGGGGATACAACAAGGAACAAATGGAAAGATCATTTTGGAGTTTAGAGAGGTTTTTTTCTGGCCAACCCAGGAAGAGGATGAGTTCTGAGAGAGTTTAAGAGAAAGGCAAGCATTTCATTTGCTTTTGACTAATGAATGAATGCTGCCTTATCAAAAGCAAAAAAACCCAAGAGTTTTCTCATTATCCATAAAATTAAAAATAATGGCTTAGGTGAACAGTCATCTTTCTCTGGCCGAATGCTAAGCTCATTTCCGTTTTCCCAAATCTCCTGGAGAGAAGAACACCTCTCCAGTGTCAATGCTACCTAAAAATGCAGGAACTGATGACCACAAGGAAGCAGGCACTGATGTCTGTGATGACTTGGATAGAGGAGGTAGGAATACTGGTAAAGAGTTAGAGACTGGAATAGAGCCATCATAGGCTTCCAAAGGCCAATGCTTTGGAGGAAGCCATTCATTCTCTCTGTGTATTACATCTTGAGGAGTGTGGGATTGGATGTTGTCGAAGCTCCCTCTGAACTCCTGCCATTTGAAATTTTATCATTATGATTAATAAAGTTCAGAATCAATCAGGAGGCAATGAACAAATACCAAAAAAAAAAATCACCGTAGGCTAATATAAGGAAATGATTTAGTTGATGGTTAGAGACATTGAAAGAGAAATAGGAACTCTGGAACTTTATAAACTTTGAGAAGTTATTTTAGGTGCAAAAGTCCAGGTTTTTTTTGCAATGGTGGCTCATAAGGCTCATACAGATTCTCAAATCACCTCTTCTTTCTAGCAGTGGCAGCTCACAAATCAGTGCTTATTGGCCATTTTCTCTCTGCTGAGGAGTTTTCTCACCAGGCTTATGGGAGAGAAATGGCTAGAACCAGTCCTTCACTTATGGGCCCATGGATCCTGTTGCTTTCTCTATGCTTAGTTCTTTCAGCATTTCAGGTTTCAAGCCTCTTGAGTGTGGCTATTAAGAGGCCGCTTGAGTGCCGTCTCCCCATGTTCTGCACATCAAGCCATGAACACGTATCCATGGACAGCATGTCCACATAATGAATCATTCCAAACTGGGACACTCTGGAGTGTGCATGAGGACACTATTAATAGTTATGCTGGGGAACCAGTGAAAACTGGGACTTTCTTGAGCAAACTAGACCTTATGCACACCTATCCATTGAGCACTAGCTATTTAGAAGTGAAGAGATTACATATCATAGAAACATAGGTACCTAACCAGGTCACCACTTCTAGTAAGGCACCATTGTCCCTATTTGTCAACATAGCCGTCTACACTCCACCTCCCACAGTCTACAAATCCCTTCAAATGTCTCATTTGCTTGCTTTGTTCGAAACAACCAATGATGGATGGCTAATTGCCTCATAGGAAGTCCCTTCAATTTGTCAATTTGCTAAAAATTAGGTAAATAAATGAATCATCCATATTTTATCCCCCTATCTTATAAAAATTCATTCTAATCTTTGGCATTTTCACTTTCTCCATGATTAATTCTACCATTCAAAGAAAACAAACAAATGAGAAACCCTTTAAAATTAGTGAAATAATTGTGCTGCTCATGCTACTCTGTGAAAAAGGCTGTTGATAAAAAAAACTATGACCTGATCTCAAACATTAAATGGTTTAGAAGTGAGACCTTCATAATCTGATTGAAGGGATCACATTGAGAATTGTTTTTATCTTAGCTTATATGCTTTCCGATGTGTCCTATCTCCCCAGCACAGAGCTTTACTCTTGGAGAATATTAAGCATGGATTTCTACTTAATTAGTTAATACTATGGATAGCTGCAATTTTATATTTTCAACTTATTGTTTCTGGCAATGAAGGGTATTATCAATGAACTTCAGTTTTACAGCAAATAATCTGACTATAGAGATAACCAAAAAAAGTGCTGCAGTAATTGCCTCTATGCATCCAAATCTGTCTTTACCATGGAGGAAGAGGAAATTTCAGGGCATTTCAAGGCATGCAAGTTAGAGGAAAGGGTCATGATTCTTTGGCTTGGAGGGTTTAATCTGCACATTCTGCTTGATCTAAAAATTTTAAGGGCCTTTTATACCCATAAGCTCTCTTCTTTCTAAAGAGGCTATCCCTCCCTGGTGGTGAGTTATTCATAGAAATATTGCATATAGTAATTATAGTAAAAATAGCATTCTACATTTGCATAGCAGATTATAGTTTACAAAGTAGTTTTGCACACTCATCATCTCATATGACCCTCTCCGCAACCATTGAAGAAAGTGTTTTTGGTAGAGAATGTTATTAATTCACAAAACTTGATTTTCTTTTCCTTCTGGGCAAACACGAGCTATTTCCCAGGTTTCCTTGAAGTTAGGTGTGCCCATGTCCTGGCCAATGGAATGGGCAGAAGTGAAATATGCTATGATTTTTTTTTTTTTTTTTTTGAGACAGAGTCTCACTGTGTCACCCAGGCTGGAGTGCAGTGGCATGATCTTGGTTCACTGTAATCTCCGCCTCCGGAGTTCCCATGATTCTCCTGTCTCAGCCTCCTGAATTGCTGGGATTACAGGTGCACACTGCCATGCCCGGCTAATTTGTTGTATTTTAGTAGAGAATGGATTTCACCATATTGCCCAGGCTGGTCTCGAACTCCTGAGCTCAGGAATTCACCTGCCTCAGCCTCCCAAAGTGCTAGAATTACAGGCGTGAGCCACTGTGCCTGGCCATGCTATGCTATTTTTAAGCTTAGCCCATTACAAACTCCTGCCGTTCGTCATGCTCTGATTTTCCCCCATCAACCAGCTGGTTGCAAAGAATCCATAAGATGACTTCAATAACCCACAGTGGAGGGGAGGGGGTTCTAAAAACTAGCGCCAGTTGGTAAAATCTGGCTTGCCACCTGTTTTTGTATATAAAGATTTATTGAAACTAGCCACACTGATTTGTTTACTATTGTCAATGGCTGCCTTTGCACCACAACAGCATAATTGAGTAGTTGTGACATATGGCCTATAAAGCCTAAAATATTCGCTATCTGGCCCTTAACAAACAGTAAAGGGGCTGACCAATACACAAGATTAAAAGAGCCTGATCCCCGAGTCACTGCAGTCCTCCACGCAGTGACTCAGGGATCAGCTCTTTCAATCTTGCAGATTTGAATCCTACTAGAAATATAATCCTAATTGTTATTGGCATCTGTCCATTTGAGACCTACAAACTTTATCTTATTTGGAGGAATGTAGAATTTACACTGTGAGGAGATTTTGGAGGTGAGGAGTCATTGAAGGCAAGGGACATATTGAAGTAGAGCAAGCTAAATGTCCACACTTAACTGTTACATCAAGAAGTGACCTTCCATTGTGTTTAGCCACTGAGGTTTGAATGTATTTGTGTCAATCACTCTCCTACCTTTGTTAACATAATTTTCTTATATTCAATTTATAGATGAGATAATGAAGATCAGATAAATTGTTATTTATTTAAGCTTACTTCATACTAGTTAAGAAACTAGTAGCTGTAGACAATGTAGAAGCTTAACTAACCCAGGTATTTCAATTCCAATGCCAGTGTACTTTTCAACACATCCAAGTTGTCAATACTGAACTTATTATATCAAGAATATTTAATACTATAAACTAAACACAGTACTTAAATGCTGAAAGTTTAGTCAAGAGTAATATGCCTTTCAAAGCATCCAACAGAATACAGAAAACCATATTGGAAAAAGGAATGTTGTAATATCCTCTTTTTTGTTGTTGTATACTGGTAAAATTGGGGCTTGGTGACGTTAGTTGATTTTCAAAAATAGTGATACAGATTATGATAATCAAGTGATAAAAGGTGTTACAGAGGATTAAATGAGGTCTTCGAATTATCATTAGTGTCTGTCTCTTCAGCCAAGTCAACAGAAAGAAAAAAAAATATGAAAAAAAGAAATCTGTAAGGCAGTTGCTACTGTTATTACCAAGAGAAGATTTTTAGTGTAAGAATAAGGCTGTCAGGAAAATCACTGAGGCTTCAACTGCGTGATGTCTGGGTTTCATCATCTTTGAGGAGGGATCTCTGGGATATTTGGTTTAGCGAACATCTTGGTGATTTGCAGACGTGTTGAGGCATTGTTAATGGGTACCTTCTGTTGGGTAGAATCCCACTAAAAATATAATCCTAATTGTTATTGGGGTCTGTCCATTTGGTACCTACAAACTTCCTCTTGTTTAGAGGAACTAAGAATTGATACTGTGAGGCTATTTTTGGAGTGAGGAGTTATTGAGGGCAAGGGGCATATTGAATCAGTGGAGACTTGGACTGTCAGGATGCTGTGCAGAATGGGCAATAAAAATCAGAGACCAAATTATGCAATAATTCCCAGAACACTAGAGGAGATGGGGCAGGAATGTATCCGCTAATTCCATATGACACAGTTGATGTCTTTCTCATTATATACCATATTAGCATAATATGAATAAATCCTGGGACTCTCCCTAGCGCAGTCTCACTGCAGAGTCATAGTCAAAGGACTATAGTCCAACGTCCTGGAGTAATAAGAATGTTATAGTTTTATTTGAATTTATTCAATAACGTCAAACGAGTGCCATTTTATTCCTTTCATTCTCCTAGCTGCTTGCCAGTATCTACTCATTTGTCCCAATTTTTGTTTTCCTTTTTGTCTTTTAGTTTTCTGTGAAATGCTTCTCTACACCCATTTCTGTGGACTCCACTTTTCTTTCCCCATCCCGTTTCTCTTTGATTACCCTGCAAAATGCTTCCTTTGTGGGCTTTATGGGTGTGTGTGTGTTGCGGGGGGAGGGGAGTCGTGAGGGTTAGGAAAAAGGAAGGGGCTGTATATACTTATACATTAATTATTTTTGTCCCTATTGATTTAGAAAGTCAAAAACTAAGAGAAAATATTTGGGGATAAAGTAAAAGTAGACTATAAAATCCCTGTTGTAAACCAACTAGCTTTCGACTGAATAGTAAGCAGAAATCGTTAGCTTTATTAGATCAGGAATCAATAAGCCTTGATCATCTTTACTTTGAGGTACGTGGCCTTTGCAGGGTCCATTGAAGTTTACATTAGGGTTGCCTGAGAACAGATGTTAAACAGACAGTGCTTTTTACTTCTGTAAGCTAATAAGATATTATTAGGTGCATTCTAAAACATCTCTCCACCCATCACTTATTCCTGACCATCCCATCATCTTCCTCTTTTCACTCTGGCATGGAGACCTAATCTAGCCAAATGAGCTAACTGAGAAATAACATTTATTAGAGCCAGACATTAAACAAAGTGACTATGAACAAATGGTGTTGCAGCTGCCTTGCCAGTACCTACTGTCACAAAATACTTGTGGGATAAATAAAAATTAATACAACCTGGAGGTGATATTTAGGAGTCTTGGCCTTGACAATCACATAAGTATACATGAGGAAGTTGCATCCTTGGAGGTAACCCAGTTTAATTAATTGGAGCTTGCACTAGAGAAGAGATCATGAAAAACTCAAGCTAAATGAAATGGTACATAACCATAACAAAAGCTTCTTCTTTTTACCAGCTTGAAAGGAAAGTAGCTTTGAATTTGGGAGTATATTCTGTTGGATCACACATTAGCTCTTTTTATAGGTCGAAAATGGTTGAGTATCAGGAATTTCATGTGGTGTCAGCCTGATGTGCATTTTGCCTTTGATTGAAACAGTTTGTAAGACATTTAGTAGTCATGTTTAAATGCTACATTTGAAATTCCACATTGGTGGGGGAAGAACACTGGTTGAGGCTAGAGCATAGTATGGATTCAAAATCCTGTTTATGCATTTTTTTATTGTACTACCTTGGAGAAGGTAATACTACTTACTTGCCTCAGTTTTGTCATCTGTAAAATGGGAATTAAATGTTTTTTGGCTTTGGGGGAAGGAGGATTGCAATAACGTGTGAGAAAAATGCCTATCTGGCACAGGGCCATCACACAAGAGGGCATGTACACCTTCCCAGAAAAGTGCTTATTTAAGTTAACACAGACTACTGCAATTGAGTCACATACAGTTATTAGAAACAAGTGGGCGGCTCCATAATCAAGCAATACCATATCATTAAATAACATTTAGGAGAGACTTCTATTTGCTGGGCATTGTGTGAGGGGCTAAGGATGGAGGAACACAGTCTTTGCAAAATGTCAATCACTCTGGGTTTTTTTCTTTAGCTTCAAGGAGCACTGGCTGGAATTCTTACACATTGATGATTAATATCTAGGTACTGGGTAGCTAGAAAACGGATTTTAAAAATATCACCAAATTCTGCATGATTTGGCTTTAGAAAGAAGCATTGATTTCAGTGGGGAAACTTTTGTCTCTCAAGGTTATGTTTGTGAGATATTAGGCTACAAAGCATGGGCACGAGGTCACGCATTTTACTCATTTAGGCGTTCCTCAGGTGCAGTACCATGTGTGACCTTGCTCAGCTATCCAAACGAAAATGAAAGATTACCCAAAATCAGATTTGTATAAGAAATTACTTTGCGAGTCATAGCTGATTTCTCAGTGTTTGTTTTTCTCTTTCAGCTGAACCATTTCTTTCTCTTGGTCTGAAATCCCCTAGATGGCACTAGAGAATACTATATTTAAGTGGTTTATATAATACCCTTCAGTAAATGAGGGCAAGTAATTTTTATTTTTCTGCAAATAAACATTAATAAGAAGTTGAACAGGATGAAATGCAATGTGCGAGGTTAGCATTTATTCATTCTTTATTTAAAAGATATAGTAAATGCTCCTTGAAAGTGAATGTAGGTAATTTAAATGTGGGTGCCTCACAATCAGTCTTAGATATTTTAATTAGAATAAAATTCATTTGGTGCAGGCAAAAAGACACAGCAGAGATCTTGAGGCTGATTGTTGGCTCAAATGACATTTATATCAGAGCCATAACACAGTATCAGGGTCTCATAGGAGGGAGTGGGTTTAAATGGGGCCCAGAGCTCACATGGCCCGGGAAATGAGCGGGTAAGATGAGTGAAGAGGCCTGGCTGTAACATTATGGGATGTGATGGTATATGTGGCTACTGGGCCCACACACCAGTGAGAAACAGAGTAGGTCTGGTGTGGCCCACAGGCTTTGAAGTGGCAAGGTTTGTAGATCTAATCCAGATTGTTTTTCAGTCAGAAACTTAAGGCTAAGATAATGTGCCTTATCAAAGATCACAGAGCAAATTTGTGATAAAGTTAGGGTTTAAATTCCATTTTCCTGACTTTACTCTCTCCTCTTTGCCATTGCACCATAATATGCCAAAGATGTCTCCAGCAATGTCTCTAGCACCTCACACTCCCCTAATCTCTTCATTGTTCTTTCCTTATCCTCCTTTCAGAAGTTCAATGTTCTTGTAACCACATGCAAGCTTGGGTGCTCTAAGTTGCTAGTGGGTTGAGCACTCCCAACTTAGGATGCTTCAACAGTAAGGCAGTTTTATTCCACTCTAACAGGAACCTCGAGGTGGGGTGGCTCCAGGGTTTGCTAATTCAGCAGATCAGTGACACTATCTGGGGGCCAGTGTTTTTCCTTTTTTGTACTCTGCATCTTTTCATTCTCAGTTTTTGTTTCCATGGGTGAAAAATAGCTTCTGCAGCACTAGACATCACATGCAGACTTGACCACATCCATCCGTGTTAAAGAGACCATTTCTTCCTTGCACCTCTTTTATAGTGTGGGAAAATGTTTCCCAGAAATCCCCAACAGACCTACTCTCATGTCTCATTGGCCAGAATTGAGGAATATTGCCAACTCTACCAGTGAACAGCAAGGACAACAGACTGCCCCGTGGGGAGGTGCCTCTCCACCAACAGAGGTGTTTGGAAATGTGCAGGGATGTTCTTGGTTTACAAAGTGACTAAATGACAGTCTGGAGTATTTCAGATGAGGACATAGGAATAAGAAGTGTTCTCCAATGTTCAGGCCAGTCCTTTATGATATAAAATAATTTTGTCCAAATGTCAATATGACACCTGTTGAAAAACCCTGGAGGTCAATCAGGACTTCCTACTGAGTCATGGGGGAGGGGATGGACCGCCAAGGCATTCAGGACTCGGCAAAAGTGCAAAAGGAGGTATGATATCTGAGGACACAGTCAACAGTCCCTTTCCCCTTGTTCCTGTTTGGGTCTTGTGTTATCACTTCCTGGAATCCTGCAAAAGTAGTGTAAATGCCCAAAGAAGGCCAGCCTCCCAGGTCTTTTTGTAAAAGACCACAATAAGATAAAAGAGAATATAATAATTACGAAGACTTTACTTGGATAACATGAATTAAGAAAGAGTTGTGATTCCTCTTCAACAGGCAAATAGTGTTTTTATTTGCCCACTGGGGTAAGGATGGGAGGAAGGAGATAACTGGGAAGACAGATGGGCTTGTTTGTGGCTTTGCATTTATTGGGGGTTGGGGAGTTGGGAAGCCACTGGAGCTAGAAATGGGTGCTGTATTTCTTCCCAATTCCCTAAGTGTCGTAGGAGAGAATTAACAGAGGTGAGATAGCAGGATCATTTTCTGGAAATAACTCAGTCTTTAAAGTCATAGCAACCTTGGTCACCAAATCCAGGCTTCTTGTAAACTGTATGATCTTGGGACAGTTACTAAAGTTCTCTGAGCCACAATTATGTCCTCGTTGAAATGTGGTTGGCCAAAAAAAAAAAACAAAAACAAAACAAAACAAAAAAAAAACTACCTGGTAAGTAATTGCCTTAATTACCTGGGAAAGCAGAAGGTGAGTCCCTTGCCAGTGTTCAGTAAATGCCAGTTCCCATCACCTTCGCCTGCAGATGACGTTGTTATTTATTTATCACCCTTTCTCCCTACATAGGATTGTGAGGTGTAGCAAATAAAAATACAGAATTCTCAGTGAAATTTGAAGTTGAGATAAATAACAAATACTTTGTTGATACAATTATGTGCCATGTAATTTGTTAGTGTAAGTCTATCCCAAGTTTCATGGAACATACTTATACCAACAAAGTATTCATTTTTTAAAATCTGAACTTCACATTTAACTAGGTGCCCTGCATTTTATCTTCCAATCCTATAGCCACATTATCTCTCTTCCTTAGGTTATCTGCAGCCACAGAATGAATAAGTCAAGCCTAAATTAAATACCGGTCTTTCATGCACATGTTTTAACATTTGCAGGCACTAGACAAACTCACAGGCTGCACCTTCAGCTTCTTTTAATGAACAAGCACCCTCCACACCCAGGAAGAGAGGACCTTGCCTTGGCTGAGATATGATGAGCAGGTCTCAAAACTCATCTTTGTCTTACAAACTTTGGGGTTGATCTTGCTCCAGAGTGTTTTCTTCCACAGTTGGCTGTTCCGTGTCTGCATAGATCTGCAGTAAATACTGTACTGCACTGCTGAAAAGGGAGGAAAAACATTACCATCTGCATCTACAGCTTGCAAATTACAGCTTGCAATCACCTGCTATTAAATAAAGACACTTTAACAATATTTTGGGTTTTAAATTAGTAATTTACATCACAAGACTCTGAAAATACTAGTCTTTTAATACTGCAATTTTCTTTCTTTTTAACCAGGCACCAACATGTATTGAATTTTTTAAAAGAAGCTATACAAAGTAATGTTTATTTAAACAATAGCCACCAATGGTATGAAACACACAGATGGAAATCCGTAGTTCTTTTCTCACTGGGAAGCATCACTGGGCGACCTCGATGAGGCTGCAACTCTCTAATTTACATCATGGGGCAATCTAGGCATTGACCTTTTTTAAAAAAAATAAAATAACTGCTTGGCCACACCAGGCTATGTGACATCTAAGAAAGTGGTCTCAGGCCAGGAATCAGAGGCAAAGTCTTTGTTTGAAGGAGACTTGAAGCAAAAAGGCTGAAAGAGAGAGAGTTGAAGTGGGAGTATTTCCCTTAGTCACTTGACATCAGGGCTGAATTGGAGGGGATTGGCATTTGTACAAAGCACAGCGGATGCAAAACGAGATGGAATTTGGGAGCCTACAAAGAGAGAAAGATTAAGCAGCTTTGCGCCTCACGGACACTATGTTTATAGACAGAGGGTTATATCTATATCCAAATATAGTGGTTTGTCTTCAAGTTCTTATTATTGGACCTTTATTCTGTCTTTCTCTTGACATCTGAGTGAGCGAATGGGAAAACACCAGGAGCTGGCACACATTGCAAAGAGCTAAGTATAAGCTTTGCAGTGTGAATCACCGGGTTGTAAATTCCTTCACACAAACAAAAAGCATTCTGGAGCATTGTAACTGTGAGCAGGCAGGCTGCTTCCTGTGCGCCTCTGGCTCTCCCATGCCTTCAGCTGCCCTTGATGAACAGCTGTTTCTTACATCTCCTCCAGACCCAGGAGTCACTACTATTTTTTTTTTAAATCCTAAAAAAGTGGACATTGTCTTTTTTTTTGCTGTTCACGCCTTGCCATTTTTGTTTTTTTATAACCCAAGACAGCGGCTTAAATCTTAAACTCTTTCCTTTTCCTGGCGTACTGAATTTTGATTCCTGCACATGACACGTGCTTAGTCAGTGTTAGATATTAGTATTATTGCCAGTAATAGTAGGAAAAGTTTAATGCTGTACCACGCCAAATTCTAATTTGAAAGGGGAAGTATCTTTGAGAAAAACACAGCTCATCCCATGAACATGCAGTGGGTAATTGGTTTCAGGTCATCCCATGAACACACTCATCCCATGAACACGCAGCTGGTGATTGGTCTGGAAATTTGGGTAGTTTTAATCCTTCCCAAGTTCCATTAATTGCGCTCTTCAGTTCCACAGGTTCAGTCCTGAGTCAAACCAAACCTACCTGTGGCTGAGCTGGTTCGTGACCATTAGTGATTTACTTGGAAAAGCAGCCCATTGAATGGTTCTTAGACTTTTCCAGTCCTATAAGGCTTATGGTCACCTTTAATACCATTTATCACCCTATCTTATTATCTCTGCTAAGGTCTAATGTTAGTTCCTCTGTTAAGGATTAAATTGGTTTCAATCTAATCTTCTAAATAGAATTTAGGTGATTTGGGGCCCAGCTCAACTATTTCTTGGTCAGAGGGCTTTGTTCAGTTTCTTTTATTAGGTGCTATTCATAGTACCATTTGCTGATAGAATCAGGGGATAATGGATAGATTTTTATTTCATGTTGATTACATACACGTTCTTTTTAAAGGCTTTTAAAAACTAAATGTACAACTTATCACCAATGCATAACACTGGAGTCACTCTCATTAGCTTAAATGGAACCTGCAAAGAATGAAATGTTTCCTTCAGAAGTACACGCATGCTTAGGTGATAGAAAAGTCCTTGAATGGCTATTGTTAGAATTTCTGGATTCATGGCCTGTCTCATGTCTTTTAATGAATATTGTAAATGTGGTTAGAAAACACTTCAGTGCAATCATTATCTGAAATAAAAACTATCAACATTTTTTGATTTTACACTTTGAGTTTGTCCTTAGTGGTGCATGCTATTTTATTTTTAGTTTTTGTTTTTGAGACAGAGTCTCACTCACTTTGTTTCCCAGGCTGGAGTGCAATGACACCATCTTGGCTCACTGCAACTTCTGCCTCCTGGATTCAAGCAATTCTTGTGCCTCAGCCTCCTGAGTAGCTGGGATTACAGGCGTCTGCCACTAGGCCCAGCTAATTTCTTGTATTTTTAGTAGAGATGAGGGTTTCACAATGTTGGCCAGGCTGGCCTCAAACTCCTGACCTCGGGAGATCCACCTGCCTTGGCCTCCCAAAGCTGCTGGGACTACAGGCATGAGCCACTGTGCCCAGTTGCATGTATTTTAAAAATGTGTGTTGGTCACAGATCCTGAGATATGAAAGAAAGAATACAATTTATCCTCACATTTTCCCAGCTAACTGAACAGAGGTTGCAGTGAAGATGAAGTAAGATAGTTGTAAAAGTCCTTTGCAAACTACGGGTTGCTATTTTTTCTTTAAGTGATTAGAATTACATAGTGAAAGTCGTTCCCAGCATTGATGTCAGGGCCTGAGACCAACATCTAGCTCTGGGAGTCTTAGTCTTTAATTTGTGTGTATTTGCACATGTGCATGTAAAAATCAGGTTTGTTTTAAATGCTTTCATTGAATTTCCCTCCTAAATAATGTTTTCTAAAGTGTCTGATGCATTTTCTTTTCAATTATGAGACTGCTAATTTCCTGTTTCCATGAGATAGTCTTGAACCATTTTGAGAAAGAGGGAGAGAAAGAGAGCGAGCGAGCGAGAGAGAGCAGTCTAGTGAGAGAGCAATTTGCTAACCTTTATTAAGACTTCAAAAACATTTGTGTGTACACTTTCTTAATACTCATTAGCTCACGGCTCCTGACATTTTATAAATCCTTGGATACTTGTTATCATCCTTTGCATCGCTTTTTATGATCTCTCAGCTGGAGAGGGATGGTTTACCTGTTTTAACTCCTTTAAACCTTTAGCTAATTAAGTAAACATCATTTGATGTAATGGGTTTTGCCATTGAGTTTACATTTTAAAGCATCTCTCACAATGTATCCATCCACTCAGGTTTTACATAATGAGTTTGGCATTACAGGACTGTAGCGAAGAAAAGCTCATTTAAGAGCCATGGTGAAAGGGAAGACGCAGAACATTGCATGCCCAATCCTTAGTTTTACTAATGTGGTAAACCTCTTTAGCCCATCTATCTCTTTCAAGAATTGCTAGCAGGGAGCCAAATTGATTGGTTTCCCTTTCACCTTTTAAAAATCTCCTCATGCATCTGCTTTTGTAGCTGGTAATAATCACAGAACAATAAAATTTCAACTTGGAAGGCATTTTAAATGTCATAAAAATCCAATGGTTTATCCCATGCTCGGATCTCTTGTACAATTCTACCCTCTCCCCCATGCCCCGCCAGTGGTTGGCTAGGCTTCCCTTGAATTCCTTCAGCCATGGGGTACTCACTACCTCTTAAGAGAGTTCATTCCATTTTCATACAGTACTAGTGGCCAGAAAATTATTTGTTATTCTGAGAAGAAATTCTTTGTTGACTTGTTCTGTTTTCAGTAGATAGACAAAAACATGTGCAATTTTTCTTTCTTGTTTTTGGATATATTTGAAGAAAACAATCCTGTCCTCTGCCTGTTTCTTTCTTCATGCCAAATATTTGTGATGATACAAGTCTTTATATGAGGTGATTTTGAGTCTAGCCATTCTGCGTACCTCAGCTCTGAACATGTAGTTGGCTGAGAAGAATATGAATGATAAAAATGACCATATTAGCCATTTCATATGTACTAGGTGTATTACAAGCATCATCTTTAATATCCATAGTAATCTGAGTTAAGTAATGTCACCCTCATGTTATAGATAAGGAAACCAGAGTAAAGGCAAGTTGAGGGTCTTTGTTAAGTTTTCATATGTAGTAGTTGGTAGAGCCAAATCTGAACGGATGTCTTTTCTGATTCCAAAGTGCATGTTCTTAACCCTACATCATAGTTTCCTTCATGAGATACAATAACAAGCTTCTCACATGCCCCACAAACTAATCTGAGTGCTCCAGGTCTGGTTTGAGCAACTCAGAGCAGAGAAAGTTTGTCACTTGTCTTGTCCTAGAAGTGATGCCAAACCGAAGAACTGATAAGGATATGGCCAGTCAGAGAAAGAAGGAGGGGAAACAAAGGAGTGAGCTGATTAACAGCATGGCCCAGGAGTCACAGAATAATTAAAAATGGTGTGTTTGGCAGGTGGGGAGGCAAGAGCTACATATGTCATGGCTGAAGTGGAAAGACGGCAGGTAAAAAACACAGGCGGCCGGGCGCGGTGGCTCATGCCTGTAATCCTCAGTAAGTTCTGGTCTTTCCATTGGAAGACCTAGATCAAACACTCTTCTCAGTCCCTGCCTGGATGTAATGTTCTGGGACAGAAGTTTCTCCTCTCTGCACCTGTTTCCCATACAAACAGGAATTAAGTCAACAGTCCTTTAAATATCTTTGGCAATAAGATCCTCTAACTTGGCAGTCCACTAAGTCTACTAAGAAATAAACAAAAAACACTAGGACTTTCCTTTTCTCTTTCATCTCTAATCAATTTTATTTGTTTGCTAAGGACATTTATGATTATTAAGGTATTTCTTTTCCACTTTCAGGTCTCTGTTTTGCCAGAAAAATTATATCCTTCCAGAGATACAGGTACACCCAGAATATGCATAGTTTCAACAACTGTTTCTTTAAAGCCACACCCTCTCCCCAAAGCCAATTGAAATAAAAGCCTGATGGCGAGGAGCCCAGCATACTGATAGGCTGGCAAGACGTTGAGTGCTAACGGGTGGCACCCCCCACCTTCATTGTCTTCATCCCAAAGGCCAGCCTGACCAATATGGTGAAACCCTGCCCTCTCTACTAAAAATACAAAAAATTAGCTGGGCGTGGTGGCAGGTGCCTGTAGTCCCAGCTACTCAGAAGGCTGAGACAGGAGAATTGCTTGAATCCAGGAGGTGGAGGGGGCAGTGAGCTGAGATCCCGCCACTGCATTCCAGCCTGGGCAACAGAGGGAGACTCTGTCTGAAAAAACAAACAAGCAAACAACAACAACAACAACAAAACAAAAAAACCCCACAGAGGCATGGATGCTGTTGCATAAATCCACAGTGTAGGGTCTGATCAGAAATCTAGCTTTGAAAAGCTCACTCTCTGGCAGCATTTTCAGAGCCTGCTGTGGTGCATTGTATGCCTGCCCAGTGCCTTTTTTTTTTTTTTTTTTTTTTTTTTTTTTGAGACGGAATCTCGCTCTGTCGCCCAGGCTGGAGTGCAGTGGCGGGATCTCGGCTCACTGCAACCTCCACCTCCTGGGTTCAAGCAATTCTCCTGTCTCAGCCTTCTGAGTAGCTGGGACTACAGGCACCTGCCACCACGCCCAGCTAAGTTTTTGTATTTTTGGTAGAGACGGCAGGGTTTCTCCATATTGGTCAGGCTGGCCTTTGGGATGAAGACAATGAAGTCTGGGTGTGCCAACCATTAGCACTCAACGTCTTGCCAGCCTATCAGTATGCTGCGCTCCTCGCCATCAGGCTTTTATTTCAATTGGCTTTGGGGAGAGGGTGTGGCTTTAAAGAAACAGTTGTTGAAACTATGCATATTCTGGGTGTACGTGTATCTCTGGAAGGATATAATTTTCCTGGCAAAACAGAGACCTGAAAGTGGAAAAGAAATACCTTAATAATCATAAATGTCCTTAGCAAACAAATAAAATTGATTAGAGATGAAAGAGAAAAGGAAAGTCCTAGTGTTTTTTGTTTATTTCTTAGTAGACTTAGTGGACTGCCAAGTTAGAGGATCTTATTGCCAAAGAAACTTAAAGGACTGTTGACTGAAATCCTGTTTGTATGGGAAACAGGTGCAGAGAGGAGAAACTTCTCTCCCAGAACATTACATCCAGGCAGGGACTGAGAAGAGTGTTTGATCTAGGTCTTCCAATGGAAAGACCAGGACTTATATTCCCTTACATTTAATATTCGTTTGATGAAGCAAGTATTAACTTTTCCATTGAAATGCACTGACACAATGAACAGAGTTACAAGATACACTGGAAGCTTGCTGTGTAACATGATGCAAATTCAGTGACTGATCCATCCTTCTTGGGGATGTTAGCTGAAATTTCCAGGAGGCACTTGTTGCAAAACGTCATTCCAACTAGCATTGTGATTTCCTGTAAGATATGTATGTGTTGCTTTAAATTACTAAGTTTGTGGTAATTTGTCATAGAGATGAAAGAACAAAAGGAAAGTCCTTGTGGTTTTTCCTTAGTAGACATAAGTGCACTGCCAAGTTAGAGGATATTGTTGCCAAAGAAACTTAGGAACATAAGATTTTTTCTTGAGACAAGGTCTTGCTGTGTTACCCAGGCTGGAGTGCAGTGGTGCAATCATGGCTCACTGCAGCCTTGAACTCTTAGGTCCAAGCCATCCTCCTGCCTCAGCCTCCCAAGTAGCTGATACTACAGGCACACGTCACCACACCCAGCTAACATTTTTTATTTTTGTAGAGACAGGAGTCGTGCTATGTTGCCCAGGCTGGTCTTGGACTCCTAGGCTCAAGTGACCCTCCTGCCTCGTCTTCCCGAAGTGTTGGGATTATAGGTGTGAGCCACTGCACCTGGCTATCATAAGATTGTTGATGGTGATCCTGGTTTCAGTCATGGTAAAACACTGGAACCAGAATCATGGAGTTGGGGAGATACATTCATTAAAAATGCAGATTCTTAGGTTTCCCCACAGACAACCAACATTAGAGTTTTCGGGGGGTGGAGGCTTAAAACTGATACCTGATAAACACTCCAGATAAAGCTTATGAATGTGAAAGTTGTGAAACACTTGTTTTAGTCCATTAGTGCATTTGTTTCTTATGCTTGCTGCAACAAATTACCACAGACTTTATGACTTAAAGCAACACCTACTCATTATCTTACAGTTGTGGAGATCAGAAGTCTGATGTGAGTTTCACTGGACTAAAATCAAGGCGTCACCAGGGTTGCATTCCTTCTGGGAGCTCTAGGGAAGATCTGTTTCCTTGCCTTTCCAGCTCCTAGAAGCTGCCTGTAGTCCTTGACTCAGGGCCCCTTTGAGCAGCCTAACCTCTGCTTCTGCCATTACATCTCCTTCATGGACTCTGACTTCCCTGCCTCCCTCTCTCCCTTATAAGGATCTTTGTGATTAAATTATTCGGGATAACCCCCACCTCTCAAAATTCTTTATTTAATTACATCAGCAAAGTCCCTTTGCCAAGTAAGGTGACCTATTTACAGGTTCTGGGGATTAGGACATGGACATCTTTGGGGAGATTAAACTGCTGTATTACTCCATTTTCATGCTACTGATAAAGACGTGCCCAATAATGGGTAAATTATAAAGAAAAAGTGGTTTAATGGACTCAGAGTTCCACGTGGCTGGGAGGCCTCACAATCATGGTAGAAGGTGAAAGGCATGTCTTACATGGCGGCAGCCAAGACAGAATGAGAACCAAGCAAAAGGGGTTTCTCCTTATAAAACCAGCAGATCTTGTGATACTTATTCACTACCACAAGAACACTATGGGGGAAACCACCCCCATGATTCAAGTCTCTCCCACCGAGTCCCTCCCACAACATGTGGGGGATTATATGAGCTACAATTCAAGATGAGATTTTAGAGGGGGCACAACCAAACCGTAACAACCGCCTACCACGTTTGGTGTTAAAACATTTCAAAGAAACAGAAAGGGGTGGAGAATGAAACATTAGGTACCAGTAGTGTCTCCATCCCCCTCCAAAAGTCCTCCCAGTAAGCCTGGGGACTCTGAGGAGCACAGTTTGGAAAAAAAAAAACAATCCTAGTGTCCATGCTTACTTGAGTTCATGTGGCAGATTCTGACCATGAGTCTTCAGTTAGTGTATTTTGCATGACTTTCTAACAGTTTACTTTGCAACTATGATTCACCCTTCCCATATCTTAATTTCTAAGAAACCCCTATTAAACTTACTGCCAAAAACAAAGTGGGACCTTGCTTTATTAGTGACAAAATTGCTAATTTAACTAATTGTAAGAGAAAATGCCTGTCAGGAAGGATAAGGGGCTTCTAAACATTTTTGAATGCCTTGGTACTATTTTCCAACATTTTCATTAGAAAGAAAATAAACAGGAAATTAGTGAAAAGGTATTAGTGAAAAGGTATTTGAAAAGGTATCCTTTTATCCTGTATATCTGTCCCTTGTCTCTTACGTGGTTCTGTCCCTTGTCTCTTATGTGGTGAGGCCCACAGTGAGTTCCTCCCTTCACCCCCACTTTTTCTTGGACTAAACTTGGCATTGATTGTGAAAACTTAATTCCTTTTGGTAACATTTTTCCTTTGAGAGACTTTTGGGCTCTGACAAAAGTTGTAGGTGTTTCTGAATTAATCTAAGAAAAAATGGTTCTGGGTTATGTAGTTCAACCAATATATAACAGCAGTAAGTTGTCTTATGAGAAGTTAACCACAGGCAAAGAATTAATTTTTTTTTCTCAGAAGACATCTTTGTATGCCACTGTATTAGGAGACATTTGGCCATCTGCCCTATAACAATGCTTACTTCACTGGGAAAGAGATGGATTTGACAACTGTTCTTAGTGTCTGAATTAGTCAGCTCAGGCTTACATAGCAAAATGTTATAGACTGGGTGGCTTAGACAACGGAAATCTATTTCTTATAGTTGTGGAGTTTGGGAAGTTCAAGATCAAGGTGCTTTCACAAGAGAAGTTAGGGCTTCAACATATGATTTTTTGGAGGAAAATAATGTAGTCCATAGCAGTGTTCCTAGATCATCACAAGTGTTTCCTGCAAGCCCCTGGACACTTCATCACAAAAGATGGTTTATGTAATTATGACAAGGGACAAAGGAGAAGAATGAACAGGTTATTAAAGCTCCTATCTTTAATCTTTTGTTCTTTGTTTACACACATTAGTCTTGCTTGCTCTTTTACAATATTTCTATTAGAAAACAGAAGAAGTCAGCATTCAGGACCCCCAAGATATAAGAAAAGTTGTAATTGGATCCAATTGCTGTCCATAACTCAGACATCTCCTCTCTTGGAAAGCAGTTATATCATGCCTATAAAGTTTGGCTGTGGGTGATTTTTCTCTGTTCTTTTGCCTTGTAAGATGGGTGGGGTGTGGGCAAGTTCATTTTGCTCAGAATTTTGAAATAAAAAAGAGAACTTACCAAGAGAGTTCTCAAAAATGAATAAAGATTATATTGATCATTATTAATATTATCTTTGTGTAGAAGCTTATTTAACTGATGTTTGTTTCCAGGAGTTTTGAATAAAGAGGGGGAGGCGAGCAAGAAGAGGCAGAGGAAGCCTCCCAGCCATAGTGCAGGCATGACCCCAGGGAGAAAGAGAGGGAGGCATGATGGTCCAAGAGAAGGAGCCTCAGATTGCTGCTCTCAGAGTCCAAGTCAGGCTGATGGGAATTCCCAGAGCAGAGAGTACCTATTGGAGGAGCCCACATTGGGCAGGAAAGGTCAAGCTCCAGTGTCCCTGCTGTGCTCAGTCACTGGTAGGGAGTACCCCCAGGAGAACATGGTCTAGGTGTGAATGCTGCCCTACATCCACAGGTAGGGTGGCTGGAGGCTGTCAGCTGAGCATGCTCCTTTGTAGTGGGTTCCCCCTGAAGGGAGCTCTGAGGGGTGCACCTTCATGGACACCATAGGACGTTTTCATGTTTTACATTTTTAACAGAACCAATTAATTAACTGGAGCATGGCAAAGGAAAAGACATCTAGCTGGATCTCTGGCCAGAAATTCTTGAAACAATTATATCTATTTTCTATTTCTTCCTTCCTCGCCTCCCATCCCTTCCCCACCCCTCCCCTTCCCTTTTCTCACTGCCTCCCTCCCTCCCCAACCTTCTCTCTCTTTCTTATATTTTAGCAGTTGACTATTACAAGGAGGGGACCAAACACCTTGCATGAAATATATTAATAGAAGAGAATGCATCTTCTTATCAATGTAAAATATCTATTTCCTACCCTTAATTTTGTCAGTGTCCAAGGAAATTCTTATTATTAGAAGAGGTTTACCAGACATTCATTAAATTAAACTATTTGGAAATCAATTTGCTGAAGAAATAAAAATGATTATTTAGGAGGATTCCTGTTTGAACTTTCCTATTTTAAAATGTCTTCCTCTTTTATATTCACATAGGCCTCTAAATTTGCTAGAAAAGAGATGTCAACATCACTATTTAAAAACATAACACATGAAGGCAATAAAACTTAACTTCTTGGTGACCTCCTTCCACTTCAAAAAAAAAGTTTCTTTACATTTTTATTCTCATCTCTGTAGTTTTAGTGCTTAGAAACATTTGGAGAATGTAAAATACTATACAAATGCTTGTTGAAATAATAAATAGATGAATAAATAAATAATAAAATAATGAATGAATACATGAATAATAGAATAACTATCTGACAGTATGTTTTGAGTGTGGCTGAAAGTGAGAAAATAGAAATAATTAATTTAGAATTTTTTTCAAAGTCACAACTTCCACTGAAGGAAATCATGAATTGATTCCCAGAGGTATTGTGTCTGATTTCATAATTTACAAATCTCATCCTTATATTCTGAGCAAGAGCCAAAAAAATCTCAATTAATCTGTTTTCTGCTTTTGTAATAAAGTGCCACAGATTGGGTCATATATAAAGAAAATAGATTTATTTGGCTTATGGTTCTGGAGGCTGAAAAGTCCAAGATCATGGGCTGCGTCTCGTGAAAGTCTTCTTGCTGCTTCATAACATCGTGGAAGGCATCACATAATGAGAGAGGGTGAGCATGCGCAAGACAGAGAGGGAATGGGGACCAAACTTGTCTTTTTATCAGGAGCCCATTCCTGTGATAATGGCATTGATCCATTCATGAGGGCAGAGCTGTCATAACTTAATCACCCCGTAAAGATCCCATCTCCTAATACCATCACAATGGCAATTACACTTCAACATGAGTTTTGGAAGGAACATTGAAATCAGAACCTCCGAATCAGAAGCTACGCATTAAAGTCTGGCTCTGCCACTACCCAGACTTATCCCCAGAACAATTCACCTTGCTTTCTTAGTCTCTGTTTTCTCATCTTCTCACTGACAGAGTCAGATTAAGTGGTTTCTGAGTCCCTTAGCAGTCTAGAAACTCCAGGAGGTGAAGTCGTTGTGCTTTATTAGGGTGGGTTGCGGGGGAGCCCTGGAGACTTTAGCTGGGGCCTAATATAAAGAAGCAGGCTTGGAATAATGTGGACAAAGAAAACAATTAAAGACCTACTTGGGGAAATCTTTCAAAAAGCTGCCTAGAGAATCTCAAAGTGATTTTCAAATAACACCCAAGTATTCCCAGGGATGCTTGGGGCAAGACAATGCTCTGCTATTTCAGCAAAGAAAATATGTACTTTCTGTGAACTTGAATACAGTCAAGGACATACATCATAATTGTTTGCCAAACCAGCCTTGTCAGGATAAGGTACTTTCTGGGAACAATTACTTTCTGGAACAAAGCTCCATGAGGTATGCAGGAGCATGCAGTACTTTGAATATCATCCCTATGCTAATGTTAGGTGGTTTTTCTTTTACAAGTTTTGAAAGAATTAAGTTTACATATTAGGAATATTGTGCATGGTGATGGGAGTCTTTGAAAGTCATGCAGCAAATTATGTTTTGGATATTATGGTGAATTCACCAATGTATTACAAATCTCACCTATTCACTAGTATAGTAAGGAAAAGAATATTTCTGATATGCTATGTTCCCACTGTTGATTAGCTGCTGGGACTACAAAGATGATTAAGATATGTTCCCATGAGTATATTTGTGAAGCATGTTCCCACAAGTATATTTGAGATATACTAGTTGGGATATAATATTCCGGTTCCCTCAAGTGTATTTGTGAAGAAAGTAGGTCTAAAGCAGCTACATTTAAATCAAAATGTAAGTAGTCACTCAAAATTTTGTATGTATTCATAAGAAGTGGAGTGATCAACCAGAAGTTTTGGGCTCTTTGATAACCACATTAGCTGCTGTTGAAATCCCAAGAAATAAAGAAAGTCACTACTCATTTTTAGCCTTGCAAGTAGTGCTTTGTGTGCTTTGAAATATAACAAGTTTTACCTACTAAGGCACAAGTTCACAAAACATGAAATCATTAAATCAGAAGTGAGATAGGGACCATGTCACATGCTGTTAACTTGTTCTGTAGACAGTTCCTCTCTTGACTTAAATGAGGTAGGGTCCAGTCATCTCTAGTAAATGATGAACTTAAGTTTATAGGACACCAGTCCAAAGCACCTAGGCTTCAGGGGTTGAAGGCCAGTATTGCTTTCACCTTCTGGTTTAATTCTTTAAAGATTCTGCTCGCAGATTTGAAGATCGGCTTTGGCAAAGCTGCCAGTCCTGTATTACTTGACTTTTTGCTGTTGTCTATTTGGATCATTTCTTTCCTCGAGATTTTTCTCCCTTGGACCTATGGCTTCTCCTTATTCTTCTTTACCTCTTTGATACTTTTCAATTTCCCTGATTCTTCTTCTTTTGTCTCCCACTTCCCACCTAGACACCTGTCTTGCCTTCAAATCTGTATTAGTTTTCTATTGTTGACAAATTACCACAAACATAGTGGCTGAAACAACATAAATTCATTTTTTTGGTTCTCTAGAACAACAAACTGTGAGAACAGGGCTGTGTTCCTTTCTGAAGCCTCTAGAAGAGGACCTGTTTTCGTACACACTTGGTTTTTGTTCCTTGTGATTGTAGAACTGAGATCCTTGCTTCCTAGCTGGGCATAAGCTGAAAGCCATTCCTAGCTTCTCGAGGCCAACTATATTCTGTGGCTCATGGGCCCCTTCCTCACATCTCTTGCAAACAATTAAAATATCTCCTTCTTCTTCCGTCTCATTTCCATTTGAACATACCTGGGAAACTGGGAAAATGTATGTGATTATACTGGACCCATCTGGAAAATCCAGTTTACTCTCCTCATTTTTTAAGCTCCATCACCATATTCACATCTTCGAAGTCTTTTTTGCCAGGAAAGCGACATACTTACAGGTTTAGGGCATTAGAGCATAGAAATATTTGGGGGAACTGTTATTCTGCCCTTCACAGAGTCCAAATTCTAACTTGCTATCAGATTCTGGAGACTATAGCTCCTTCCTGCTTTCATATCAGATGTCTACTGAGTACGTCAAAGTCTGTAGCTTCTAGTAAACAACTTCAGGCATCAGCTGGATGTGTTTGCTTTGTTACATCTCCCCAAATCACTCTGAGTCTAATCAAGTCCTTCTTCTGCCAGAAAACTTTCAGTGGCTTCTGTTGCCCACAGGATAAATTATAAAATCTTTATCAATGCCTAAAGATGCTCTGATTTGTCTTTTCCCTATTCTTTCTTTTTTATTATTTTAAGTTTTATTCTGACACATAAAAAACAAAATATAACAAATGTTGGCAAGGATGTGGAGAGAGGGGAACACTTATACACTGTGGATGGGGGATATGGGTTTGTCCCCACCCAAATCTCATGTCAAATTGGAGAAGAGGCCTGGTGGGAGGTGATTGGATCATAGGGTCAAATTTCTTCCTTGCTGTTATAGTGATAGTCAGTGAGTTCTCATGAGATCTGATGGTTTAAAAGTGTGTGACACTTCCCTCTTTGCTCTCTATCTCTCATATTCTGCCATGATAAGCTGTGCTTGCTTCCCCTTTGCCTTCCACCATGATTCTAAGTTTCCTGAGGCCTCCCAATCATGCTTCCTGTTAAGCCTGTGGATCTATGAGTCAATTAAACCTCTTTTCTTCATAAATGACCCAGTCTCAAGTAGCTCCTTATAGCAGTGTGAGAACAAAATGGTGGGAATGTAAATTAGTATAGCCACTGTGGACAATATAGAGGTTCCTTAAAAAATTAAAAATAGAATTACCATATGATCCAACAATCCCACTACTGGGCGTATATCCAAAGGAAATGAAATCAGTATGTTAAAGAGATATCTGCACTCCCATGTTTATTGCAGCACTATTTCCTATAGCCTATTCTATCTTCCTTCTCCCACATTATTGATCTGGGTTTTGTCATGTCTCAGTGACTTGATTTACATTTCCCCTTCAGTCTGGAACATTGTCTCTCCTTCAATTGCTTTATGAGTGTCTTTCATGTTAAGAGCTCTATGAACTGACTTCTCCCTTGTTTTTGCTGACATCTCTATACCAACGATCTCTCATAGTCCCAACAAAGACTTCTACCATAACGTTGTTTGTACTCTATTATCCTTACTTTCTTTTCCCTGTCTCACTATTTATGTGCAAACTCATGGAGTATAAGGATACAAAGTCACTCACTTTTGTATTCCGACTGTCTGGGAGAGTGCCTGGAAAATATCTGATGTTTAATATGTATTTTTGAATAAATGCACAAATAAGTGAATGAATACAAATAATTTATCCCTTGAGGAGCTAAATTTTTTTTGTAAAAATCAATTAAAGAGTATTTGTTTGTAATATACAGTTTACTAAACACTTATATCCACTAATTTTCTGATGTGTGTATAAAAATTGGGTCATCACTTTTATGAACCATAGGCAAGACAATACATTGAACTGTACTTTCTTCCAAATGCCTGAGGTTTGAAGATAGAAGGTGTTCGATAGATGGCTACAGAATTGAATTTCTGCACTACTTCTCTGGCAGGAAAGACATGTTGGCGGCTGCTGAAATCATGGAACTATGCCTTTCCTGCACTGTCATTATTCTAAGGATGTAGTCAGCTGGGTTTAGAGAGCTGGATTCTTGAAACATGAAAAACCATGGCTGCCAAAATTTGAGGGGCAAGTAATACCAGGGTCCATTAAGCCAGTGTGAGTCAAGGAAAGAGTTGGTTTTCCATCATGCAACAATGTGGCCCTGAACATAGAACATTTCTCTCTTTGCAAGACCCACTGTCATAGAGACATCTGGGCAACCTCCTTTAGAACACGGAGACACTTCAAATCAGTTTCATGACTGTGAAATAAGAAGCAGGTCTGGCAGGAGAATACTCCCAGATGGATTAGTATTTAGGATATTTAAGTTGAAATGAAAGAAGAGCATTCTATACATGTAATTTAGGCTCAAAGATGACATTTTAAAGGTGTGGAAGAGCAAATGTTTAATTCTTGGGTTCCAATCCTGCCTCAGTGAACAGTTGGTTATAGATGTGAGTTTAAAGGTACATGCTATTGTTTGAAGACTGTTTTTTTGTTTTTTTTTTTTAATGTTTTTTTTTTTTTAGTTATACTTTAAGTTTTAGGGTACATGTGCACATTGTGCAGGTTAGTTACATATGTATACATGTGCCATGCTGGTGCGCTGCACCCACTAACGTGTCATCTAGCATTAGGTATATCTCCCAATGCTATCCCTCCCCCCTCCCCTGACCCCACCACAGTCCCCAGAGTGTGATATTCCCCTTCCTGTGTCCATGTGATCTCATTGTTCAATTCCCACCTATGAGTGAGAATATGCGGTGTTTGGTTTTTTGTTCTTGCGATAGTTTACTGAGAATGATGGTTTCCAATTTCATCCACGTCCCTACAAAGGACATGAACTCATCACTTTTTATGGCTGCATAGTATTCCATGGTGTACATGTGCCACATTTTCTTAATCCAGTCTATCATTGTTGGACATTTGGGTTGGTTCCAAGTCTTTGCTATTGTGAATAATGCCGCAATAAACATACATGTGCATGTGTCTTTATAGCAGCATGATTTATAGTCATTTGGGTATATACCCAGTAATGGGATGGCTGGGTCAAATGGTATTTCTAGTTCTAGATCCCTGAGGAATCGCCACACTGACTTCCACCATGGTTGAACTAGTTTACAGTCCCACCAACAGTGTAAAAGTCTTCCTATTTCTCCACATCCTCTCCAGCACCTGTTGTTTCCTGACTTTTTAATGATTGCCATTCTAACTGGTGTGAGATGATATCTCATAGTGGTTTTTATTTGCATTTCTCTGATTGCCAGTGATGATGAGCATTTTTTCATGTGTTTTTTGGCTGCATAAATGTCTTCTTTTGAGAAGTGTCTGTTCATGTCCTTCGCCCACTTTTTGATGGGGTTGTTTGTTTTTTTCTTGTAAATTTGTTTGAGTTCATTGTAGATTCTGGATATTAGCCCTTTGTCAGATGAGTAGGTTGTGAAAATTTTCTCCCATGTTGTAGGTTGCCTGTTCACTCTGATGGTAGTTTCTTTTGCTGTGCAGAAGCTCTTTAGTTTAATTAGATCCCATTTGTCAATTTTGGCTTTTGTTGCCATTGCTTTTGGTGTTTTGGACATGAAGTCCTTGCCCACGCCTATGTCCTGAATGGTAATGCCTAGGTTTTCTTCTAGGGTTTTTATGGTTTTAGGTCTAACGTTTAAATCTTTAATCCATCTTGAATTGATTTTTGTATAAGGTGTAAGGAAGGGATCCAGTTTCAGCTTTCTACATATGGCTAGCCAGTTTTCCCAGCACCATTTATTAAATAGGGAATCCTTTCCCCATTGCTTGTTTTTCTCAGGTTTGTGAAAGATCAGATAGTTGTAGATATGCGGCATTATTTCTGAGGGCTCTGTTCTGTTCCATTGATCTATATCTCTGTTTTGGTACCAGTACCATGCTGTTTTGGTTACTGTAGCCTTGTAGTATAGTTTGAAGTCAGGTAGTGTGATGCCTCCAGCTTTGTTCTTTTGGCTTAGGATTGACTTGGCGATGCGGGCTCTTTTTTGGTTCCATATGAACTTTAAAGTAGTTTTTTCCAATTCTGTGAAGAAAGTCATTGGTAGCTTGATGGGGATGGCATTGAATCTGTAAATTACCTTGGGCAGTATGGCCATTTTCACGATATTGATTCTTCCTACCCATGAGCATGGAATGTTCTTCCATTTGTTTGTGTCCTCTTTTATTTCCTTGAGCAGTGGTTTGTAGTTCTCCTTGAAGAGGTCCTTCACATCCCTTGTAAGTTGGATTCCTAGGTATTTTATTCTCTTTGAAGCAATTGTGAATGGGAGTTCACTCATGATTTGGCTCTCTGTTTGTCTGTTGTTGGTGTATAAGAATGCTTGTGATTTTTGTACATTGATTTTGTATCCTGAGACTTTGCTGAAGTTGCTTATCAGCTTAAGGAGATTTTGGGCTGAGACGATGGGGTTTTCTAGATAAACAATCATGTCGTCTGCAAACAGGGACAATTTGACTTCCTCTTTTCCTAATTGAATACCCTTTATTTCCTTCTCCTGCCTGATTGCCCTGGCCAGAACTTCCAACACTATGTTGAATAGGAGCGGTGAGAGAGGGCATCCCTGTCTTGTGCCAGTTTTCAAAGGGAATGCTTCCAGTTTTTGCCCATTCAGTATGATATTGGCTGTGGGTTTGTCATAGATAGCTCTTATTATTTTGAGATACGTCCCATCAATACCTAATTTATTGAGAGTTTTTAGCATGAAGGTTGTTGAATTTTGTCAAAGGCCTTTTCTGCATCTATTGAGATAATCATGTGGTTTTGGTCTTTGGCTCTGTTTATATGCTGGATTACATTTATTGATTTGCGTATATTGAACCAGCCTTGCATCCCAGGGATGAAGCCCACTTGATCATGGTGGATAAGCTTTTTGATGTGCTGCTGGATTCGGTTTGCCAGTATTTTATTGAGGATTTTTGCATCAATGTTCATCAAGGATATTGGTCTAAAATTCTCTTTTTTGGTTGTGTCTCTGCCCGGCTTTGGTATCAGAATGATGCTGGCCTCATAAAATGAGTTAGGGAGGATTCCCTCTTTTTCTATTGATTGGAATAGTTTCAGAAGGAATGGTACCAGTTCCTCCTTGTACCTCTGGTAGAATTCGGCTGTGAATCCATCTGGTCCTGGACTCTTTTTGGTTGGTAAACTATTGATTATTGCCACAATTTCAGAGCCTGTTATTGGTCTATTCAGAGATTCAACTTCTTCCTGGTTTAGTCTTGGGAGAGTGTATGTGTCGAGGAATGTATCCATTTCTTCTAGATTTTCTAGTTTATTTGCATAGAGGTGTTTGTAGTATTCTCTGATGGTAGTTTGTATTTCTGTGGGATCAGTGGTGATATCCCCTTTATCATTTTTTATTGTATCTATTTGATTCTTCTCTCTTTTTTTCTTTATTAGTCTTGCTAGCGGTCTATCAATTTTGTTGATCCTTTCAAAAAACCAGCTCCTGGATTCATTGATTTTTTGAAGGGTTTTTTGTGTCTCTATTTCCTTCAGTTCTGCTCTGATTTTAGTTATTTCTTGCCTTCTGCTAGCTTTTGAATGTGTTTGCTCTTGCTTTTCTAGTTCTTTTAATTGTGATGTTAGGTTGTCAATTTTGGATCTTTCCTGCTTGTTCTTGTAGGCATTTAGTGCTATAAATTTCCCTCTACACACTGCTTTGAATGCGTCCCAGAGATTCTGGTATGTGGTGTCTTTGTTCTCATTGGTTTCAAAGAACATCTTTATTTCTGCCTTCATTTCGTTATGTACCCAGTAGTCATTCAGGAGCAAGTTGTTCAGTTTCCATGTAGTTGAGCGGCTTTGAGTGAGATTCTTAATCCTGAGTTCTAGTTTGATTGCACTGTGGTCTGAGAGATAGTTTGTTATAATCTCTGTTCTTTTACATTTGCTGAGGAGAGCTTTACTTCCAACTATGTGGTCAATTTTGGAATAGGTGTGGTGTGGTGCTGAAAAAAATGTATATTCTGTTGATTTGGGGTGGAGAGTTCTGTAGATGTCTATTAGGTCTGCTTGGTGCAGAGCTGAGTTCAATTCCTGGGTATCCTTGTTGACTTTCTGTCTCGTTGATCTGTCTGATGTTGACAGTGGGGTGTTAAAGTCTCCCATTATTAATGTGTGGGAGTCTAAGTCTCTTTGTAGGTCACTCAGGACTTGCTTTATGAATCTGGGTGCTCCTGTATTGGGTGCATAAATATTTAGGATAGTTAGCTCCTCTTGTTGAATTGATCCCTTTACCATTATGTAATGGCCTTCTTTGTCTCTTTTGATCTTTGTTGGTTTAAAGTCTGTTTTATCAGAGACTAGGATTGCAACCCCTGCCTTTTTTTGTTTTCCATTGGCTTGGTAGATCTTCCTCCATCCTTTTATTTTGAGCCTATGTGTGTCTCTGCACGTGAGATGGGTTTCCTGAATACAGCACACTGATGGGTCTTGACTCTTTATCCAACTTGCCAGTCTGTGTCTTTTAATTGAAGAATTTAGTCCATTTATATTTAAAGTTAATATTGTTATGTGTGAATTTGATCCTGTCATTATGATGTTAGCTGGTGATTTTGCTCGTTAGTTGATGCAGTTTCTTCCTAGTCTCGATGGTCTTTACATTTTGGCATGATTTTGCAGCGGCTGGTACCAGTTGTTCCTTTCCATGTTTAGCACTTCCTTCAGGAGCTCTTTTAGGGCAGGCCTGGTGGTGACAAAATCTCTCAGCATTTGCTTGTCTATAAAGTATTTTATTTCTCCTTCACTTATGAAGCTTAGTTTGGCTGGATATGAAATTCTGGGTTGAAAATTCTTTTCTTTAAGAATGTTGAATATTGGCCCCCACTCTCTTCTGGCTTGTAGGGTTTCTGCCGAGAGATCCGCTGTTAGTCTGAAGGGCTTTCCTTTGAGGGTAACCCGACCTTTCTCTCTGGCTGCCCTTAACATTTTTTCCTTCATTTCAACTTTGGTGAATCTGACAATTATGTGTCTTGGAGTTGCTCTTCTCGAGGAGTATCTTTGTGGCGTTCTCTGTATTTCCTGAATCTGAACGTTGGCCTGCCTTGCTAGATTGGGGAAGTTCTCCTGGATAATATCCTGCAGAGTGTTTTCCAACTTGGTTCCATTCTCCACATCACTTTCAGGTACACCAATCAGACGTAGATTTGGTCTTTTCACATAGTCCCATATTTCTTGGAGGCTTTGCTCATTTCTTTTTATTCTTTTTTCTCTAAACTTCCCTTCTCGCTTCATTTCATTCATTTCATCTTCCATTGCTGATACCCTTTCTTCCAGTTGATCGCATCGGCTCCTGAGGCTTCTGCATTCTTCACATAGTTCTCGAGCCTTGGTTTTCAGCTCCATCAGCTCCTTTAAGCACTTCTCTGTATTGGTTATTCTAGTTATACATTCTTCTAAATTTTTTTCAAAGTTTTCAACTTCTTTGCCTTTGGTTTGAATGTCCTCCCGTAGCTCAGAGTAATTTGATCGTCTGAAGCCTTCTTCTCTCAGCTCGTCAAAATCATTCTCCATCCAGCTTTGTTCCGTTGCTGGTGAGGAACTGCGTTCCTTTGGAGGAGGAGAGGTGCTCTGCGTTTTAGAGTTTCCAGTTTTTCTGTTCTGTTTTTTCCCCATCTTTGTGGTTTTATCTACTTTTGGTCTTTGATGATGGTGATGTACAGATGGGTTTTCGGTGTAGATGTCCTTTCTGGTTGTTAGTTTTCCTTCTAACAGACAGGACCCTCAGCTGCAGGTCTGTTGGAATACACTGCCGTGTGAGGTGTCAGTGTGCCCCTGCTGGGGGGTGCCTCCCAGTTAGGCTGCTCGGGGGTCAGGGGTCAGGGACCCACTTGAGGAGGCAGTCTGCCCGTTCTCAGATCTCCAGCTGCGTGCTGGGAGAACCACTGCTCTCTTCAAAGCTGTCAGACAGGGACACTTAAGTCTGCAGAGGTTACTGCTGTCTTTTTGTTTGTCTGTGCCCTGCCCCCAGAGGTGGAGCCTACAGAGGCAGGCAGGCCTCCTTGAGCTATGGTGGGCTCCACCCAGTTCAAGCTTCCCGGCTGCTTTGTCTACCTAAGCAAGCCTGGGCAATGGCGGGCGCCCCTCCCCCAGCCTCGTTGCCGCCTTGCAGTTTGATCTCAGACTGCTGTGCTAGAAATCAGCGAGATTCCGTGGGCGTAGGACCCTCTGAGCCAGGTGTGGGATATAGTCTCGTGGTGCGCCGTTTTTTAAGCCGGTCTGAAAAGCGCAATATTCGGGTGGGAGTGACCCGATTTTCCAGGTGCGTCCGTCACCCCTTTCTTTGACTCGGAAAGGGAACTCCCTGACCCCTTGCGCTTCCCAGGTGAGGCAATGCCTCGCCCTGCTTCGGCTCGCGCACGGTGCGCGCACACACTGGCCTGCGCCCACTGTCTGGCACTCCCTAGTGAGATGAACCCGGTACCTCAGATGGAAATGCAGAAATCACCCGTCTTCTGCGTCGCTCACGCTGGGAGCTGTAGACCGGAGCTGTTCCTATTCGGCCATCTTGGCTCCTCCCCCGAAGACTGTTTTACCAATTGTAAAATAAAAATATTTATTACATGGTTTTTGATGCCCTGTCAAATTGTGGTTTGGTAAAAAGAGAGATGGTCTGAACACAATAACGGGTTTGAAGCACAGCCTGAAGCAATGAAAGAATACTCTTACTCACTCTTCGCTTTTATTCTCTCACTTTACCACCTGCGTGAGAAGGCAAGATACTTGCTTTCAGCTTCCTCTTCATACACAGGTGTGCAATGTTGAATCAGGAGGGTGGAAATGCATATTCACAGCAGGGGTGAGCACATGGAGTGGGTGTGTTAGCTGAGTGGCTTGGACTTCCAACAGAGAGACTGGCAGGAATGGTGGTGAATCAGCCTTCTGGAAATAGCCCCAGATCATCGAGGATCAGAAAGACCTCCCTTCCTCTTTCACAAAATGTGAAAAGGGTGTGACCAAAATATATTTCAGAAGCTAAAAACAAATCAAAACAAAATAAAAAACAAGCTTTCTTACTAGCAGCAAGGGAGCAGAATAGATATCAAGGTTTAGAATTGAAAGACAAAATTGAAGATCTGTTCTCACTGAATTACTTAGGCAAATTGAGATTTTCGTGCTCTCCATTTTCTTTTTCTTTTTTTTTTTTTTGTTCATCAACATTTATTTTAAGTTCTGGGGTACATGTGCAGGATGTGCAGGATTACTACGTTGGTAAATGCGTGACATGGTGGTTTGCTGGATAGATCAACCCACGACCCAGGTATTAAGCCCAGCATGCATTAGCTATTCTTCCTGATGCTCTCCCTCTGCCTGCCCCACCTGACAGGCCCCAGTGTGTGTTGTTTCCCCCCATGCATCCATGTGTTCTCATTATTCAGCTCCCACTTATAAGTGAGAACATGTGGTGTTTGATTTTCTGTTCCTGCATTAGTTTTCTCAGGGTAATAGCTTCCAACTCCATCCATGTCCCTGCAAATGACATGATCTCATTTCTTTTTATGGCTGCATAGTATTCCATGGTGTATATGCACCATATTTTCTTTATCTAGTGTATCATTGATGTGCATTTGGGTTTATTCCATGTCTTTGCTATTGTGAGTAGTGCTGCAATGAACATACATATGGGTGTATCTTTGCAATAGAATGATTTACATTCCTTTGGGTATGTATTCAAGGCTTAGAATTGAAAGACAGAATTGAAAGCAATGGGATTGCTGCATCAAATGGTATTTTGACTTCTAGATCTTTGAGGAATCGCCACACAGTCTTCCACAATGGTTGAACTAATTTACATTCCCACCAACAGTGTAAAATCATACCATTTTCTCCACACCCTCGCCAGCATCTGTTGTCTTGCTTGATGAAGTGCCTGATCTGGTCCAGTTTGGTTTGAAAGGAGTACCTAAATGTTTGGGTGACTGGAACGGTGTTTTGTCCATGTCCATAATAAATTCTACTCCTGAACTCAAGTTCTCAAACAACTGTTAAAAATCAGTAAAAGGCTTGAATAGACATTTGTTTAAATAAGATATACAAATATGAAAGATGCTCAACACTACTAACTGCTAGGGAAATATAAATCAAAACCACAATGAGACACCACCTCACACCTGTTAAGATGGCTATTAGTTTCACAAACCAAAAAATATAAAAAGAAAACACAAAAGACAAATATTGGCAAGAATGTGGAATATTTGCATCCCTCATACACTTGGCGGGAATATAAAAGGTGCAGCTGCTATGGGCAACAGTATGGAGGTTCCTCAAAAAATTAAAAATCGAATTACTACATGATCTAGCAATCCCACTTCTGGGTATTTATCCAAATGAATTGAAATGAAGATCTCACCTATGTTCACTGCTGTGTTATTTACAACAGCCAAAATCTGGAAACAATCTAAATGTTCATTGCATGATGAATAGATAACAAAAATGTGGTATACACATATGTTGAAATATTATTTAGTCTTAAAAGAGAGGAAAATCCTGCTATATGTGACAACATGGATGAACCTTGAGGACATTAAGTGAAATAAGCTAGTCACAGAAGAGCAGGCACTGCACGATTCCATTTTTTATGAAGTACCTGAAATAGTCAAGCTAATGGAAACACAGTGGAATGGTGGCTATGAGGGGTTGGTGGTAGGATGAAATGGGAAATTGCTGTTGAAAGGGTGTATAGTTTTAGTTATGTAAAGTGTTTAAGTTCTAGAGATCTGCTGCACAACGTGGTGTCTGTAGTTAACGATACTGTATTGCACACTTAAAATTTTGTCGGCTGGGCGTGGTGGCTCATGCTTGTAATCCCAGCACTTTGGGAGGCCGAGGTGGGCAGATCACGAATTCGGGAGATTGAGACCATCCTGACTAACACGGTGAAACCCTGTCTCTATTAAAAATACAAAAAAAAAAAAAAAAAAAAATTAGCCGGGCGTGGTGGCAGGCGCCTGTAGTCCCACCTACTCGGGAGGCTGAGGCAGGAGAATGGCGTGAACCCGGGAGGCAGAGCTTGCAGTGAGCCGAGATCGCACCACTGCACTCCAGCCTGGGCGACAGAGCGAGACTCCGTCTCAAAAAAAAAAAAAATTGTCAAGAGGTAGATCTCATGTTAAGTGTTCTCACCACAATGTCATTAAAAAAAGGACCTTTTTGAAAGGATGATTCCCAGGTGATTTTAAAAGGATGTTTCCTTTGGGAAAACAAGTGAGGCAGAGCAGAATAAAATGAGAAGAGCTGTGAGTAGGCAGCTTGAGAGAGGACACAGGTAAAGAGGTGGAAACCATTATTATTAGAAGAAGATAACATTTTTCTTCTATAGTTTTTAATTCAACAAAAGAAACCCGATGAGTGACTTTCTTCTTTTGTTGGTGCAGAATGGAAACAGGAAAAAAGAGACTCAAAGTGGTGATAATATTGCCTTTCAAAAGGAAGCCTAGCCAAGGCTTTGCTCCAGGTGTGTGCTTTCTCTGCTAATTTAAATGATCTGTGTCAGGGTCCTCTTATTGGAGCAGATAATTGAGAGCTAAGTGGATTCATGAGATCTTGATGTTAAGCTGCGTCAATTCTACAACCATATCTTTGATAGGAAAAGGAGTAAAAAGACCCTTGATAAACAAAATGATGTGATTTAATAATGTTCTTGGAGTGAGTACTGCATTTTCTCTGGTCAACCTTTGTCCTTGACATAGGTGCTTTTGACTTTCATGGCTACATAAAGTCCTCATTTACTGAAAAGTTTGGGTGTATTGGAAGGTATTACTAGGGAGTCACTGCTCTTCTCTAAGACAACTCAGCCATTCTAGCCTTACAGATAAGAATAGTTTCTATCATTCAATGGCCCCCTCTTCCCCATCCCTGTGGTCTCTCAAGCAGAGAAAGAATTGAATTCTATCTGCCAATTGAAAAAGGTGTTACTCACTGTAACCCAAAGCACTAAGGTTACTTATGTTTCCAACACCAGTTAAAAGCTTCAAGAACAGCAGAGAATGATTATTATTGTGTTTCTCTCTGCTTGGGCTGAAGATAATGAGCCCTTTCCTGCTGCCCTTTCCCATGCATAATGCCGATTGATGTCAACGAGAGGCTCATGGTGTGCAGGGGCCGTTAGATCACATGTATCATCTTGAAAATAATAAGGACAAAGGGACGCCCTTTTTTTCTTAAACTTGGCAAAGAGAGTCTCTATGGTTCCAACCCTCTCTAGATGGTCCCAATTAAGAAGAAATAATTTTCCTAGAGTAGAGTGGCTGCCACTGTTTCAAGGTGAGCTTTTCATGAAGAAAGCAGAGAACAGTTCCCGAGACTGTTTCAGGTTCCCAAAATCACTTCTCCTAGGAGACATGATTAGGAGGTGTTAGCAGTCCCCTCAGAGATTGATCAAAAACATGTAACTTCTATATATTGGAAGGGAAATGAGGAAAGTTAAAAGAAGAAAGCAATAAGAAAACATTCTTTCTCAATTAGAGGAAGAGAAATGCTTTAGAAATTACTTAACTCCTATGGGCTTTGTATTCCCTCTTTTGTAATGAGGGTTTAGGTTCAAATTAGTATTTCCTAAACTTAGTTCATCATTAGTATAACTTGAGGAACTTGTTTAAAAAGAAAAAGGAGAGGTATATGGTTTTCTCCCTGAGAGATTCTGATTTAGCAGTTCTGCGGTGAGTCTAGGAATCTTCATTTTACACAGTTCTTTTCATAATCATGCATGTTTGGAAAATGTAGATTTCTAGTGTTCTGAACATGAGATTTCTCTGTTCTTTTAGTGTTATTCATGTGTTAACACTATGGACTGGCCCAGTCTAGCTAATGACTGGGCAGATGAAGAGAGGTCATGCCCTGGAGCCACGGCTAGTTACTCTCTCAGCTGGGCATTAGGAGGACAAGTTTCAAAGGATGAGAAAATGTCTAATCTGGCCAACAGGACATAATATGAAACATTATAGCCACAGGTAGAAGACACTGGTTCTAGCAAGGTAATGGAGCTTTCCAGAGAGTTAGGTAGAGAGGCCCTACACAAAATAACTCCTGGCTATCTCTGTTATCTCATCTGATGAATTTCCCCTATTCACTCTGCTTCAGCTATGCTACCCTCCTTGCTGTTCTTCCAAAATTCTAGGCATGCACCTGCTTTAAGGCCTTTGCAATGGTTAGTCCTTCTGCCCAGAATGCTCCTCCTACAGATAACCATCCCTAACTCTCTAACCTCTTTTTTTTTTTTTTTTTTTTTTGATGGAGTCTCACTCTGTCACCAGGCTGGAGTGCAGTGGTGCGATCTTGGCTCACTGCAACTTCCACTTCCCGGGTTCAAGCAATTCTCCTTCTCAGCCTCCTGAGTAGCTGGGACTGCAGGCATGTGCCACCACACCCAGCTAATTTTTGTATTTTTAGTAGAGATGCGGTTTCACCATGTTGGCCAGGATGGTTTCGATCTCTTGACCTTGTGATCCACCCTCCTTGGCCTCCTAAAGTGCTGGGATTACAGGCATGAGCCACCGTGCCCGGCCTCTAACTTCCTTTTTAACTCCATTCCAATATCACCTTTCTAAAAGGCCTACTTAGTATAACCTGCTGTGACTTCCTGCCTTGGGCACCCCAGATTCTCTTTACCTGGCTCTATGACTTCCTCGAACACTACATTGCAACATACTATATATAATTAGTTTATATTTTATTATTAATTATTTTGTGATGAATTTTTAATATATTTTTGTTGGTCATATTAGCTGTATGAAAGGAAGAATCTTTTTCAGTTTTATTCACTGATATATCCCAAGAGCCTTGTGAGGAATGCAGGTTTAGGAATAACTGTAGAAATGGAAATGGTGAGATTTCCTAGGAATTTTTTTTTTTCAGGATTCAAAAGGAAGCATTCAAGGGATAGAGTTTACTTGCAATTTCTCTCTTGGGTTTTAGAACTTTGGGGGAATCCAACGGTAGTGGCAGATAATTGTTTTCATAGGAAATTGGGACCCCAAGTGCTCCAGCTACAGGCTCTTGGAATTCCTTTCTGGATCTATCTATTTCTTTACAACCCATCCAAATGGAGTGGCTATGCCAAGTAAGTCCTGTCTAATTGTGTTGTCTTATCCTTCCAATATAGCTCCAAGGAAAAATAATGGCAACAGGCAACATTTATGGAGTACTCATTATGTCCTAAACACTTAATTAGTACTCACAATAATCCCATGAGATAGGTGCAAGTTATTCTTGTCCTTTTTTTGCAGACAAGGGAACTGAGGCACAGAGAGATTAAAGTCAAAGCACTTGCATAAGGTCACATAACTGGGAAGTAGCAGAGCTGTGATTTGAACCAGAGTCCATAATATTAATAGTAACCGTTGTGCTACATTTGCATCTCTTGGAGAAGTGGCTCTTATACTTGTTCATGAGGTAGTAAATACACTTGAGCATCACTTGAAAAATACTGTAACTATTGACATATTTGATTTTTATATAAATCAAGGAACATGGTTTCAAGCAACAGAAACCAAGTCTGGTTTAAAAACAGAAAAATAATTTACTAATATACAGAGTAGCTCCCACAATCTTCTGGACAGGTGGAGAATTAAGCTTGTAGGCTCTACAGACAGGCACAATGGTTGAGTTATGCCCTGGAACAAAAAGACCTGCTGGGCACTGCTGCTGAGTGCTGCTCTCGGGCATAAACATCCAAGCTGGCACTGCCAGTTCTCAGATATTGCACACTAGGCATTACAGACAGAACCATTGTTGCCCCAGCTGTCTCTGCAAGATGGATCTCTACAAGATGGTCACTCCTGGCACCTTCACCAGAAAGGATTCTGCATAGGCCTTGCTTCTTTGTATTTCTAGGAGTCTGGGATGTTGCATTTGAAGGTGAAGCTCAGGGCACATGCTTATATCCTGGTTTCAAAGGAAACTGAGAAAGTGAGAATTTAGCATTTTCAAATTCTATGGGTACACATTTGCCCTTCTTTTACCTTCTCAGTAAAAGAATCCCTTTCCTTCACCTTCTGAATTTGGGGTGCCAGAAGACAAAAGAAAGAGATTTTCTTACTAGATAGCTAAAAAGAATGATACATGGTTACCGAAATCTGTATATTAGCAGAAAGTATGACTACACTGTATATAATGTGATGGAAAATTATAACATCCAATAAACACGAGTGCAGATAGAGAACACCATCAAACTGTACACGATGAGATATTTTGTCAGGGAGCAACTGAGAGCTAGCAATTTTTCAGATTTGAGATTCTCCTACTCATAGATTTATTTTTCTTTTATCAATTAAGCAATGATAATCAAGATTTCATTTTCTCAGTTAATCACCTGGGTTTGGCTTTCAATTCTAGGAGGACAGGAGAAGACAAAGGGAAAGGGGAGAAGGAGTAAGTACCATTAAGATGGAGAGAAGCAGAAGGGAAGTAAGTCTTTCTAATGAGAAAGCTCATCAAAATAATTATCCTGTGGTCTCATAGGTTGCCTATATCTGAGTTCAATCTACAGATGAGTTGTACTTGGTTTGCATAAAGCGACATTAAAATAAATATGGATATTTATTATAAAAATCTGGATTTCTGTTTTTTTCTGGAAAAATCAGAACTGTCTTCCCTGGACATGCTTTGTGTAGGACTTCCCTACATGCTTACACGGGAACTGAGCAACACTAAAAGGTTGGGGCTGAGTAGCTTCTTCCCTGTTTGGACAGGACCACAGTCTCCACTCCTCCCCATTGTCTCCCCGTAACTGAGGTTGTATGTTAGCCACTACATATCATTATGCTTGTATAATTTTTTGTCTTATATCAGAGAAACATTTCTCTACTTATCTCTCTATCAAAATTTGAAAAATAAGTGTTAGATTTTAGACTAAGTGTGTGTTTTAAGGAAAATGAGAGAAAGCATATTTCTTTGTGCAGTTAAGAGTATTTCTCCATTCTTAACAGTGTATTAGTCAAAAATTCAAAGTAAGATGCCTAGGTGAAATAAACCTTAATGAGAATTATAAAAATTATGTGGAAGAGATGCATAATGAAAAGGGTAATGATTTTTTAAAAGTGGGGACGAAAATTTCAATATAAGTTTTTTTTTTAAGTGAAGAAAATAAGTAGATCAGCTTACACTAAGCAGTCCATCTCACTCACCAATGTTTCCTTTTCAGCCTCTGTAGGCAAATGAGTTTATTACTGGTCTTTTCAACTGGAGGCTTTTTAATCCCTGAGATATTTATCTAGATGGTTCTATCCCAGAGGAGAAGGGCAAGGAAGAAATTTTACTTTTTTTTTTTTACAATAATGATGCTTCTTTCTCCTCAAACTGCCACTGACCGGTTTTGTGTGTTGAATTGTGTCCCCTAAAAGATATGTTAAAGTCCTAACCCCCAGTACCAGTGAGTGTGATCTTATTTGAAAAACAAGGCCCTTGCAAATGTAATTAAAATGAGGTCACACTCAATTAGGGTGGACCCTGACCCAATAGGACTGATGTCTTTATAAGAAGAGAAGAGACACAGAGAAAGACATACGCTGCGTGATGAGACACAGGAGAGAACTCCATTCGAAGATGGAAACAGAAAATAGAGTAATGAATCTACAAGCCAAGGGGTGCCAAAGATTGCCAGCAACCTTCAGAAGCTAGGAGAGAAACATGGGACAGATTTTTTCCCAGAGCTTCTGGTAGGAACCAACTGCGCTGACTCCTTGATTTTGAACTTCTGGCCTCCACAACTGTGAGAGAATCAGTGTCCGCCGTTTCAAGCTACCCAGTTTCTGGCAATTTGTTATGGCAACCCTAGGAAACGAGTGCAGTCACCTTAAGAATGCATTTGGATGACTGCTCTTGGCTTAAAGCATCTTATTTATTCTTCTCAATTCTTCATTGTCAATAACATCAATTTATAGCCATAGGCATCATGCTTCCATGTCAAACTGTGATGCTTTTATCCTTCCTGAGAGCAATTTAGAATATTCCTTTTCTTATCCATACACTTTGTGTGGCTTAAAGCCACACAATTTGTGTCCCATGCACAGGATGAAATGTCTCAGCATTGAAAGGGAACTAACCACATTCTCTCTCTCCACCAGGTGCATACTTAAATGTTATGTGCTGTTTGCTAATTTGAAAGACCATTCAAACTTATCTTTCATGGGTATACTGTGATAAAGGCAGGCTCCAAATTGCTTGCTGACCCTTCTAAGCAGGTTTACTTCTCCATTGAAATAATCGTCCTCCGTCTAAAACTGTTGCTTAGGCTCCCACTGCGTTACCATTTCACTCCCTTGGAGGAGATAACACAGTAGGTTTAATCATCTGAAGTCAATTGACTGGAATTATTTCCTCAGTGACAGCTTTGTTGTCATTTTGTAACACATTCTTAGATGTGGATGAACTTGATAAAATAAACAGGGACATTTTCTCTGTCTAAGCGAGAAAAGAAATTAAGTATTGGAAAATGCAATTTTACTTTTTGTTTAATGTCAGACCTCTATCCAAGAGCCATCCCATTTGCCAAAGAAGAGACCTTTACTGAGATCTTAGCTTAAACTTGCCTTTATTTAACTTTCTAAACTTGAGGCTCAGTGAGAGACAACTAAGAAAGGATCTGAGCATCATAATTCATTAGGTAAACTTCATTCACCCCCATGGTGTCCCATAATTATTTCTTAAATTATTTTATTATGCTTATGCAACCTTAACCATGATTTAAGATATCTTAACATTTTCATGTTTTGCTTTATTTTCTGGGTATAAATTATTTAAATTGTCATAAACTGGGCTCCTTTGAAGTGGATTTGGCAACTGGGGGGCTGCCACACCAAGAGAGAACTTTTTGGCAAAACTTCCCTAGAAATTGAAGTCACTCCTGAGCAGATCTAAATCATGATTAATGATTTGTGATTGTCATTTGCTCCGCTGTTGCCATCCTGGCTGTTCACAGGGTATTATGAATGAGGAGTTCTACTGGGAATTTAGGACCAAATGCCTGCACATTTCTGTCTTTTCTTCCTTTATTTTTTGATGCAGTCGTTTCTTTGGTCAATTAATGCTCACATTTATTTATACCTTTAGTCAGTTAACTTTAATAATTTCAAAAGCATGTGTGAACCAGCCATGTGAAACAAGCTAAGACCTTGAAAATAATCTACATCCAACTATGTAGTTCACCCCCTTTATCTTTTCCTCCTGCTGAATACCCTCATTCTAAGGCTTGTGTTCATTCTTTTGCTTCCCCTTTTATTACATCTATAATCATGTATCAAAAATTATGTCTATCTTAATTATTATTAGCTTTTAAATTAAAATATACTGCTCCATATAATAGTTGGAGACTTAGAATTTTACTTAGTATTACATGACAAAGATTAATTTTATTTCTTGCTTGACAATGTAGTTAATTCATTTTCACTGCAATGTAATATTATATCATGTGAATGTGAATATGGCACATTTTGTTTATCCAGTCATCCAGTCTCCAATCTATGGGCAATTGTATTGTTTCCAGGTTTTTGCTATTGTGGATAGTACTGCTATGTATAATCTTGTCTTCTGTCATACTCCTGGATTCCTTTGTGTATATAATAGGAGTTGAATTGCTGAGCCATGAAATATGCAACTATTCAATATTAGACTATAAAGTTAAACCCTTTTTCAAATAGATTGTGCTTATTTATATTACTATCAGAAAAATGTTAAGCTCCTATGGATCCTCTCTGACAATTGGAATCTTCAGCTATCTTGAATTTAATGAATTGAAGTGATATAAAACGGTATCTCATTATGGTCTTAAGTTTCATATGTCATATAATGAACAGCTCTTTAATATGTTTATTGGCTGTATACTGTTTCCTAGTCTGTGAAGGATTCCATATTCCTTTTGTCCATTTTCTGTAATTTTATTTGATCTTGATATTAATTTATAGTGTGTTGTATCTTCTTGATATCGACTTTTTGGTCACCTGGGCTAGATAGCAGTGGTGTGATCATGGCTCACTGCAACCTCAACTTCCTAGGCTCAAGTGATCATCCCACCTCTGCCTCCCAAGCAACTGGGACTATAGGTGCGTGCCACCATGCCTTGATAATTTTTTAATTTTTTTGTAAAGATGGTGTCTTGCTATGTTGCCCTGGCTGGTCTTGAACTCCTGGACTCAAGTGATCTTCTCACTTTGGCTTCCCAAAGTGCTGGGATTACAAGTGTGAACCCACTGTACCTGGCCTTGGTATTGATCTTTGGTTTATTGCTGTATGTTGTAATGTATTATGCAAGTATGTAAACCCTGTTTTCACTATCTTTATTTTTTGATGAACAAAATTTATTAATTTTTATGTAGCCTCATTTATCAGTTTTTAATTTTTTATAGGAAACATTATAAAAAATCTTTCCATATCTCAAGGACTAAAACATAGTACTGTATTTTCTACTAAGAATGTAAAATGTTTACCTCTGTTATTTATGTCCTTAATTCACATGGAATAGATTTTGCATAATTGCATGAGGTAGGGATCTGATTTTATTTTTTATTTTTTCATATTGATAATCATTTTTATCCTACTTTACTTATTGAACAATCTATGATTTTCTCACTGATCTTACACAATATATCCATTATATCATAAATCCATCCATATATGGTCTATTTGTCTACTACGATGTCTTAATTACTATAGTTTTATAATCAATCTTGATGTGTAAAGGAAGAATCTTTCCTCTTTGTGCTTCTTCAGAGATGTCTTGTCTATACTTGGTCCTTTATTTGTCATACAAATCAGAACAACCTTTATAAAGTTCCATTAAAAAATTGTTCAGTTATTTGAAATTTCATTGTCTTTATAGACGAATCTTGGAGAATTGGCATTTTATAATATTATATCTTCTTGTCTACAAACACAGTTTATATTTCTTTTTATTTGGGTCATCTTTAAAAACTCTTCATAGGGTTTTATAATTTTTTCTGTAGAGATATTGAGCATCTTTTTTTGGATTTGTTCTTGTTCACTTGATATTTATTTGATACATTTATATAGTTATCTCTTTAATTGTGTTTTTTAGTCTTGTGCTGCTGGGGAATAGAAATGTATTTGACTTTTGCATGTTAAGCTTATAGTCATCCATCTCGCTGAGTGCTGACATTATTTCTAATAATTTTTCTGAACATTTTTCAGGGGGTGTGTCTGAATGATAATATCTCTAAACAATGATAGTTTGATGTCATCCTTACTAATTCTTGTGACTACTTCTTTTGTTCATTTAATCATTCCAGCAATACTGTCGATTAGAAGTTGTGATAAGTGTGCTCCGTTGTCTTGCTCTTTATTTTAAAGCTAATGCTTTAGAATACTGTATTTTTTTATAGGTACTCTTTATCAGGTCAAGGATGTTCCTTTTAATTTCTAGCTAACTTAGAGCTTATTATCATGAATGAATTTTTCATTTTATCAAATTTCTTCATTTAATGAGATGATTACATAATTTTCTCTTTTAGTCTGTTATTATGGAAAATTACATTAATGGATTTTATAATGTAAACTATTCTTATACTCCTGGAATAAACTCAATTTAATTATAATGTATTAAATATGCAATATAGGTTTTAATGTACTATTGGATTTAATTTTATTCCTTTTTTATATTTTAGAAATTTTGCTTTTATATTTATAAGTGAAGTAGACCTAAAACTATTTGTCTGATTTTGGTATCAGCATTATGTTGGGCTCATAGTTTGAACTGAGAACTTCTTTTTGTTTTTTTCTTTTTCTTGCCTATGAGGATAGGCACAGAAATTTATTAAAAGTTTGGTAGAACTTGCCTTTAAAAAAAAATCAACTTTCACTTTAGATTCAGGGGGTACATAAGCAGATTTGAAACATGGGCACATTTCTTAATGCTGAGGTTTGGGGTACAACTGATCCCATCACCCAGATGGTGAGCATAGAACCCAATAAGTAGTTTTTCAACCCTTGCCCCTCTCCCACCTGCCCTCATCCCTCTGGTATTCCCCAGTGTCTATCATTATTTTCTTTATGTCCATGTGTACACAATGTTTAGCTCCCACTTATAAATGAGAACATGTAGTATTTGGTTTTCCGTTTCTGCATTAATGTGTTTAGAATAATAGCCTCCAGCTACATTCATATTGCTGTAAAGGACATAATTTTGTTCTTTTTCATGCCTGTGTAGTACTCTATGGTGTATATGTACCACATTTTCTTTATTCCATCTACAATTGATGGACACCTGGGTTGATTCCATGTCTTCGCTATTGTGAATAGTGCTGTGATGAGTATACAAGTGCGTTTGTCTTTTTGACAGGCAAAGAATTTACAAGTCCTCAGAAGCAATTGCAACAAAAACAAAAAAGTTGACAAATGGGACCTAATTAAACCAAAAAGCTTCTGCACAGCAAAAGAAACTATCAACAGAGTAAACAGACAACTTACAGAATGGGAGAAAATATTCATAAGCTTTGCATCTGACAAAGGTCTAATATCCAGAATCTATAAGGAAATTAAACAATTCAACAATAATGAAAAAAATCTCATTTAAAAGTGGGCAAAGGACTTGAACATTTCTCAAAAGAAAAAAATACAAGCAGCCAACAAACATATGAAAAAATACTCAAAATTATTAGTCATCGGAGAAATTCAAATCAAAACCACAACAAGATACCACCTTATATTAGCCAGAGTGGTTATTATAAAGAAGTCAAAAAATAGCAGATGTTGGTGAGGCTGTGGAGCCAAGGGAATGCTTACGCACTGCTGGTGGGAATCTAAATTAGTTCAGCCACCATGGAAAGCAGTGAAGATTTCTCAAAGAACTAAAAGTAGAACCACCATTCGACCCAGCAATCTCATTACTGGGTATATACTCAAAGGAAAAAACAAAAAACAAAAAACTGACCATTTAAAAAATCAGGGTGTGGTGTTATGTTTTCAGAAAAATTATTTGACCACTGCTTCAGTTTCATTAGTAGTTACAGAACTATTAAAGATTTCAATTTCTCCTTAGCAAATTAGATTTTTTTCTAGGAATGGCTTAAATTCGTCGATACTATTTTCTCATCTTTTTATGCTTCAAGTTATCTGTGTATATTCCCCCTTTCATTCATAGCATTGCCTCTACTCTCAAACAGATTAGCAGAGGTTGGTTTATTTTGTTGTATACCTCCATAAAGCTGAAAATCATTTTGTTATAATTTTCATTAAATGAATCAGCTTTTTTGTTTGTTTTAAATTGTTTTCTCTTTATAATTGTCTTTAACAATGAAATATAAATACATTTTCATTAAAAAGTCAAATATAAGAAGATGAAAATGTAAAATTTTCCTTTATCAGCTCCCATGCCAGTTTTTACCCATTCCAATCATTAGCTAGAAACTGATTCCAATTCTTTTTATGGATTTATGTACACACACTCACACACAAGCATAAACTCACTCACGCATGCACACTTCTTATGTCTCTGACTTCTACACACCTGTCAATATCCAATATATTCATTCTTGTATGTTGAAACTACAAGCCAGTCTTTCTCTCTGGATTCTGGGATAAATTTTCCAACAGAATCCGTAAGGATCTTTTAGACTATAGTCTAGTCTGGTATTTCCAAAGGCTGCACAATGTAAAACCTTTAGTTATGACCATATGCCCAAGGCATTCCTTATCGGACTTGCAGAACCTTTGAAATAGTTTCTTAAGAAATTAGAGTATTTTTAGATGATGACGCAAGACTAATATTGAAAATCAACATTTTCTTTGTCTTTAAAAATTACCAATTTCTGTTATTTTATTCATTATTTCTTTCTATTTTTTAAAAAATATTTCTTTTTATTTTTATTTTCAGTTTTAGAGATGGGGGCTCTTGCTGTGTTGCCCAGGCTGGTCTTGAACTCCTGGTCACAAGTAATTCTCCTGCCTCAGCCTCTTCAGATGCTGGGATTACAAGCACAAGCCACTATGCCCAATTTTCTGTATATTTTATTTGGGTTTATTTTTGGTTTAGAATGGACCACCTAGCTTCTAGGAATATGTAGCTCATTAATCTCATGCCTTTAAAAAATTTCTATTATAAGTATTTAAGACTATAAAATCCTTTGCATCACTGTTCGATGTATTTCACATGCTTCAAATATGTAATATTGCCATTATCTTTTTAAAAGCCCATTATGATTTCTTTTTTAAACTGTGAGTAACTTAATAAGATGCTATTTACAATGTCTGCTTGAAATGCGGAGTAATTTTTGTTTCCTATGATGAGCCCTGACAGATACACACTCGACTGTTTCCTGATCTGTAAAATTAGGATAATAATAGTACGTGCCTTGTAGATTTACTCTGAGGATCCAGTGAATTAATAAATGTAGACCAGTCAACACAGTGTCTGGCAGATAATAGTCCATCAAAAACATTATCCTTTTTTGCGGGGGACGGAGTCTCATGCTGTCACCCAAGCTCGAGTGCAGTGGTGCAATCTTGGCTCATTGCAACTTCTGCCTCCCGGGTTCAAGCGATTCTCCTGCCTCAGCCTCCGAAGTAGCTGGGATTACAAGTGCCCACCACCACGTAATTTTTTTGTATTTTTAGTAGAGATGGAGTTTTACCATGTTGGTCAGGCTGGTCTCGAACTCCTGACCTAAGTGACCTGCCTGCCCCAGCCTCCCAAAGTGTTGGGATTACAGGAGTGAGCCACCATGCCAGGCCTAAAAACATCTTTCATTATTTTTATACTATATCTTCATGAATACTAATATTTGTCCAAAATTGGAGAATTTAGGGCTTATAAAGATACTATCAAAAAGACAACATATTAAGTAAATTTTATATGAGAAAATACTTTGTGTTTAGTCCCACATTAATGGAAAATAAGAATTTGAAAATGGTGCCAGGTGGTCATATTATTATATTTTGCTATAGCTTAATATGCCTCTTTCTATATATTTAAGGAAAGAATCATGCGCTCTATGTTGCACAAGGAATAATCCAAGTTTAATAGCTATACCCACAAAAATAAAAATTACGCCACACCGTGCCTTAAATGAATGTAAAATATTTCTGAACAAGAAACAGTTATACATTTATCTTAATTGACTAGCTACAATCTGTAATCAGCAAGCAGAAAATCAGAGAATATTATGCTGGTAACAATTCAACACAAATTCACCTGCGTAGGTTTAAGTTGCAGGGTATCTATAATAAAATAGAAAGGCTACCCTTTCACTTTCACAGGTAGCTAATTAGTATCCTCCTTCTAGTGTGAAAATGCTCTTGCTAAAAGCAACAACCCATTCTGAAGAAAATGTACATGTCTTAGCATAAAAAATTTATTAACTATAGTTTTAAAAAATCTTTATATTTTACCATGCTTTATAATTTTAAAGGCATCTTCACATTCACTATCTCATTTGATTTTCACAATTTTTGGTGGGGTAAATGTGGCAGTATTATGATGCCCATTTTACAAACGAAGAAACTGAAGCCCACAGCAGTAAAATGACTCACTCAGGATGGAGAATCTAAGTAAGTGACAGAAACAAGACAAAAGCTGAGATTTCCTAACTTCCCAGTCAGTGCGCTTTTTAGTTACTCTGTTTCCAAATTTACTGTCCTTTCCTTCCCAACATGCATTTTAATACTAATCACATTAGTCAGCTTGCCTTATATATGCTTAAGTATGGTATTCTTAGAGGGCAGGGTCCTTTAGAGGACAAATATGTTTATTTATCTTCAACAAGAGCAGAACTGTATTTTTCTCAGTTGTCAATAGAAGCTACAAACTGTTGAAAAATTGCAATGTCCTGTTTAAGGAGATGGTTTTAATTTACTTGCACATAAAAACACTTGGGTAAAGAATCTGACTCAGTGGCAGTACGTAACTTGTCACATAGTCTGTAAATATTGGAGCCAGGAAACATCTATGGTTAGTCTGATTCCAAAGCCATGCTTTAATCACTGTCTTACTCTACAGCAAAGGAATGAAAGGATAAAGGAATGACTAAACTGAACTTGGTAGTGATGTCATTTTTATGTAGTCTAGAGAAAAACAAAACAATTTTGACCTCAAAGCATTTTTTTGTGAAAAAGATAAAAATAATTATTTCCAGCCATTTACTTTCTGCCTAGAGTTTTATATATATTAAATTTTCACATAGTTACTATAGGGAAGGCAATATTATTATCACTTATTTCCATACATGGAATAATTAATAAACATCGGAAATGTGTTGTAACGTGCTCAGGCAGAGCTTGTAAGTGATTAAAATAGATTTCAAACTCAGTTCTATTCACTACTAAAGTCCATACTTTCACATTCATTCATATGTCTAAATTTATTCTGAAAAGAAAAAATATTTTTACAGCATATTTTGAAAAATAGCCATTGAACAAGATACAAGTTGTATGGTTAGTCAAAATACTTGGCATAGATTCTGGTGTCTTGGAGTAGAAACAAAATATTTTTAATATATGTACATGCATAAAACTATCACTCAGAAACATTTTGGGGGGATACGTTATAATAATATTTCCAGTACCGCGGAACACTTGGTGTTGTGAGAGATCCTCCCACTACAGAACATCCAGATTCTGGAAAGGACAAACTTTTCAATGCATCGCTGATTCCATGAAAGGGAAGAAATATTACTATGAATGTTCCTCACTCCTATCCTCCAATAAATTGAGCTGGGCCTCAGCTGGCAGTCCTGCATTTAGGCAGCTGGGAGGAGAAGATGGTCCTGAGGGAAGACGTCAGGAACAGTGCTGCAATGGCCAGGATCCTGAGTGGTGAGGTAGTGATGAGGGATAGGAGGGAACCATGGCTCCCTAGAGTTGAGCATGAACTTTTACTGTAGATCTACGGTCTATTAATGGTCTATTTTTGCAAAACAGTCACGCTACAAGATAATGGCTTAAAAGAACAATAATAATTTATTGTCTCACAGTTTTTGCAGGTCAGAAATTCAAACAAAGCACAGAGAGGATGACTCACTTCTGCTCCATGATGTCTGGGGCCTCAGCAGGAAGAAATGAAGGCTGGAGGCTAGAATCATCTGAAAGTTTAACTAAGGCTGGAGGACTTGCTTCCAAAGTGGCTCATTCACAGAGGTGGCAAGTTGGTGCTGGCAAATTAGTTCCTTTTCATGTGGGCCTTTCCATAAGTGGGTGTTTCACAAGTCTGCTTGGGTGGTCTCAAGATATAGTGGTGACTTTTCTCAGAATCAGAGATCCAAGAGGGGCCGATATGTTTTATGACCTAGTTTTGAGGGTCACAGACTGTTATTTCTATACTATTCTATTCCTAATACAGGTAAGCCTTCAGTGAAGAAGGGACCTACATAGGGGCTTTTATATGAGAGAGTGATATTACTGGGGACCTTCTCCACAGTGGATGAAGTGGCCCAATTGTTCCTTCGAGCTACTGGCAAAAGTGAAAGCAAATTCTATCTGGAGGATGCCCTGCTCCTTCTTCTAGGCTCCCACGACTCTTTCAGACTAAGATCAAGCAAAATGCTTAAAATCAAGGGTCACTAAACATGCTCTAGAAGATCAATCCAATATAAGGAAGAGTTATCAGAGAAAAATAAGTGATGATTTAGGTACTCAAGAACTTCAGATATTAGAATTTTAATTGCAGAATAAATACTATTATAAAATATGTAAGGTAATATAGAATTTTTATGGGTTAAGTTAGTAGATTAAACACATAAAAAGAGAATAGGAGAGGATAAAACAGCAACAATATTTTGGAAGCCAGGAAGAAGAGGATTGAATGGAAGATAATATGGGAGCCCTAAGTAATCCAGTCCCTAAGAGGCAAATAATACTGAGAAACAGCTGATTTATACAATACACTGTTTCAAAGACTGAAAAACAAGTAACGCCTGGAGGAAGCGGGGAGGTGCTAAAAGGAGTCGTTTGGTTAATAGCTGTTTGGGAAGCAATTATATCCCTAGATCCCTTCCACAATTCAAGCATCTGGGAAAATGATCTTCACCACCTCAGCAGAAGTCTGAAATGGATTCTCTACAAAGGGTAAAACAGAGGGTTTCTGTACTGCAGGATGTCAGGCAGAATTGACAGCCTGTATCTCTTGCAGAAGTACAAGCAGCAAGATTGAAATGGTAATAAAAATTGCCAACAAAAATATTGGTCCAAGACCAGATGGATCCACAGCTGAATTCTATCAGACATTCAAAGAAGAATTGGTACTAATCCTATTAACACTATTCCACAAGATAAAGAGGGAATACTCCCTAAATCATTTTATGAGGCCAGTATGACCCTAATACCAAAATTTGGGAAAGAACATAACAACAAAAAGGAAAATTACAGATCAATATCCCTGGTGAATATAGATGAAAAAATCCTTAACAAAATACCAGCTAACCAATTCCAACAGCATATCAAAAAGACCACCCACCGTGTTCAAGTGGGTTTCATACCAGGGATGCAGGGATGGTTTAACATCCATGAGTCAATAAATGTGAATACACCGCATAAACAGAATTAGTAACAAAAATCACATGATTATCATTATCATCTCAATAGACATAGAAAAAGCATTTGACAAAATCCATTATCCCTTTATGATTAAAACTCTCAGCAAAATCGGCATAGAAGAAACATACCTTAATGTAATAAAAGCCATCTATGACAAATCCACAGCCAACATAATACTGAACAGGGGAAAGTCGAAAGCATTTCCTCTGAGAACTGGAACAAGACAAGGATGCCCACTCTCACCACTTCTATTTAACATAGTACTGGAAATCCTAGCCAGAGCAATCAGACAAGAGAAAGAAATAAAGGGCATTCAAATCAGTAAAGAGTAAGTCAAACTGTCACTGTTTGCTGATGATATAATTGTATACTTAGAAAACCCTGGCTGGGCATAGTAGCTCATGCCTATAATCCCAGCACTTTGGGAGGCTGAGGCAGGCAGATCACCTGAGCTCAGGAGTTCGAGACCAGCCTGGCCAATATGGTGAAACCCCATTTCTACTAAAAATACAAAAATTAGCCAGGTGTGGTGGTGGGCACCTGTAATCCCAGCTACTTGGGAGGCTGAGGCAGGAGAATTGCTTGAACTTGTTAGGCGGAGGTTGCAGTGAGCCGAGATCATGCTATTGCACTCCAGCCTGGGTGACAGAGTGAGACTCCATCAAAAAAAAAAAAAAAAAGAAAAGAAAGAAAAAGAAAAGAAAACCTTGAAGAGACCTCCAAAAAACCTCTTAGAACTGACAAATGAATTCAGCAAAGTTTCAGGATACAAAATTAATGTACACAAATAGTAGCTCCGCTATACACCAACAGCAAGCAAGCTGAGAATCAAATCAAGAACTCAACCCCTTTTACAATAGCTAGAAATCAAATCAAGAACTCAACCCCTCTTACAATAGCTAGAAAAAAATAAAATACTTAGAAATATACCTAACCAAGGAGGTGAAAAACTTCTACAAGAAAAACGACAAAACACTGCTGAAAGAAATTGTAGATGACAAAAACAAATGGAAACATTTCCCATGCTCGTGGATAGGTAGAATCAATATTGTAAAAATGACCATACAGCCAAAAGCAATCTACAAATTCAATGCAATTTCCATCAAAATACCACCATCATTCTTCACAGAACCAAAAAGACAATCCTAAAATTCATATGGAACCACAAAAGAGCCCACATAGCTAAAGCAAGACTAAGCAAGAAGAACCAATCTGGAGGCATCATATTACCTGACTTCAAATTATACTATAAGGCCATAGTCACCAAAACGGCATGGTACTGGTATAAAAATAGGCACATAGAACAATGAAACAGAATAAAGAACCCAGAAATAAAGCCAAATACTTACAGCCAGCTGATCTTTGACAAAGCAAACAAAACACAAAGTGGAGAAAGGACACCCTATTCAACAAATGGTGCTGAGATAATTGGCAAGCCACAGGTAGAAGAATGAAGCTGGATCCTCATCTCTCAATTTATACAAAAATCAACCAAAGATGGATCAAAGACTTAAATCTAAGACCTGAAATTATAAAAAAAATCTAGAAAATAACATCAGAAAAACCCTTCCAGACATTGGCTTAGGCAAAGACTTCATGACAAAGAACCCTAAAGCAAATGCAACAAAAACAATGATAAATAGGTGGAACTTAATTAAACTAAAAACTTTCTGCACAACAAAAGAAACAATCAGCTGAGTTAACAGACAACCCACAGAGTAGGAGAAAATCTTTACAATCTATACATCCGACATAGGGCTAATATTCAGAATTGACAAGGAACTCAAGCAAAGCAGCAAGAAAAAAACAAACAATCCCATCAAAACATGGGCTAAGGACATGAATAGACAATTCTCAAAAGAAGATATACAAATGGCCAACAGACATAAGAAAAAATGCTCAATATTACTAATGATCAGGGAAATGCAAATCAAAACCACAATGTGATACCAGCTTACTCCTGCAAGAATGGCTTTATTAAAAAATTTTTTAAAAACTGTTGATGGGGATGTGGTGAAAGGAGAACACTTTTACACAGCTGGTGGGAATGTAAACTAGTACAACCACTATGGAAAACAGTGTGGAGGTTTCTTAGAAAACTAAAAGTAGAACTTCCATTTGATCCAGCAATCCCACTACTGAGTATCTACCCAGAGGAAAAGAAGTCATTATATGAAAATAATACTTTCACACACATGTTTATAGCAGTGCAATTTGCAATTACAAAAATATGGAACTAGCCCAAATGCCCATTGATCAACGAGTGAACAAAGACATTGTGGTATGTGTGTGTGTATATATATACACACATATATATACACACACACATATATATATACACATATATATACACACAATTATATGTGTGTATATATATACAATTATATATGTGTATATATACACACACATATATATACATATATACATACCACAATTGTATATATACACACGTATATACTATATATACATACCACAATTAAATATATAATACATATATATGCAATATATTACATATGTAATACATACATATACCACAATTACATCTATAATGCATATATATATGATGGTTTGTGTGTGTGTGTACATATACACACACCATGGAATTCTATTCAGCCATAAAAAGGAGCGAAATAATAGCATTCACAGCAACCTGGATGGAACTGGGGACCATTATTCTAAGTGAAGTAACTCAAGAATGGGAAACCAAACATCGTATGTTCTCACTTATCAGTGGGAACTGAGCTATGAAGATACAAAGGCATAAGAATAATACAATGGACTTTGGGGACCTGGGAGAAAGGATGGGAGGGGGGTTATGGATAAAAGACTATAAATTGGGTACAGTGTATACTGCTCAGATGATGAGTGCACCAAAATCTCACAAATCACCAGTAAAGAACTTACTCATGTAACCAAACACCATCTGTTCCCCCAAAACCTGTGGAAATACAAAAAATGTAAACACCACTGTTCATGTAAGTGTTGAAAACAACAAATTGAGAATGAATACTGGTGAACTTTTTTGGGAGCCTTCTTCAAAATTTGGACTTCGCTATTCCATTCATTTTCTATTCTCTGTAACAAATTACAACAAATGTAACAGCATAAAATGATACTCATTTACAACTCATTGTTCTGTAGGTCAAGAGTCCAGCATGGCTAGATTCTCTACTCAGGATATCACATGGCTGGAATTAAGGTTTTGGCCAGGCTGATTTCTTATCTGGAGTCTCTGGGAAGAAATCTACTTCCAAATTCATTCAGATTATTGGGAGTATCCAGTTCTTTGTGACTGAATGACTCAGGTCTCTATTTCCTTGCTAAAGTGATACAGCAATCACTTTAAGCTGTATCACTAAAGTGCAGCCCACATGTTGCCCCCTTCATCTTCAAGCCAGCAGTGATGCATTTAGTTCTTCTCATGCTTTTAATATCTGACTTCTTCTGCAACCAGCTGGAAAAATCTGTACTTTTAAAGTGCTTGCTTGATTAGGTCAGGCCCACCCAGGATAATCTTTGTTTTGCCATACGATGTAACATTCATGGTAGTAATAGCCCATTATATTCAGTTTTTGCTCCCAGTCAAGGCGAGGAGATTATACAAAGTCATCTGTCATGGGGGGTAGTTAGCTTAGAATTCTTTGTACTGTAGCTCTCACATGACAGGTTTTCTACTTAGTATCTCTTATGGCATCAATGTAAATAAGCTGTGACTAAAAGGCTTACATATGTGAAGCAGTTTCTACTTATTCTTAACATCTTTTGTGTAACTTAAGACATAGCTTATTAGAAGGGAAGAAACAGCTATTTCACAGCCTGATGTATGACGATACATTTTTCTCTTTTATAATGGTGTCCTTTGAAAAGATATTTTATGAATTCCAAAACAAAGTAAGATAATGAAGTGATTTTATGAGCGTTGAATACTAAATACTGAGCCCTTCATTGCTTTTCCTTCACTTGGCTACAGAGAATCTGACCAGCCCAAGAAGAAATGCTGGAAAATCCTGACACCATGTCCTGGAGTGACACCCATCATCTTCATTCACACTCCTTTGGCCAGAATTAGTCATAGGACTCCATTAGCTACCAGAGGGCTGGGAAGCATATTAGCTGGCTGCAAGTTACCTTCCCACCACGACTGGCACTACAGAAGAAAAGCACAAATCATTGACAGCTAATTTATGCCATACTTGGTTACAGAAAGTTATATTGTCAAGGGAATAAATCACTAATTAGAATAAGATGTAAGTTGGAATCATTGTAGTTACATAGCATCCTACTGGTGGTACTCCTAGGCCACTCCAAGGCCGTAGCCTCATTGAAGTTCTAACTGATTTTCTTTGGCTTAGAGGGCCAATTAAGAATTCTGCTTTCCATTATCACACTCATAATTCTACTATTGATAAGCCACTTCAATGTGCTTCCTTTTATTGCATTTTTCTCATCTACAAAGCAGACATTGTTGTATGGTTTAACTGAGTAGTGATCATTACAGGTTATCTGAGCCACTTTTGCAAACTCTCCTAAAGTGAGAAGATTTTTAAAAATCAACAGAGTCTCCATATCAGAAATATCAAATTAAACAAATATTAGTAAGATAGATTACATGACATGACATTTCAGAAGCCATGTGACAGTTTTAAAGCAAGGTACCCCAATTTTTTATCACTCTTACATTGAGTGGTGGTATATGTTTTGTTCTCTAGAATTTGGGTGGGCTTGGTAATTCCTTAATGAATAAAATGTCATGACAATAATGTTATGTGACTTCTGAGGTGAGGTTATAAAAGGCCAAGAAACTTCTACCCAGCTTCTTTGGAACACTCTTCTCTGTTGGGATGCTCTCTTTTGGATCCTGCCTACCATACTAAAAGATGCCAAAGCCACAGGGAGAGCTGTGTTTAGGTGATCTAGTTGGCAATCTGAGCTGATCTAAGCTTTCAAATCATTCCAGTCCAGGGGCCAGATGTGAGTAAATAAGTCATCCTGGAAAAGGGGTCCTTCAGTCCTAGTTATCAGAGCTTCCAGCTATTTCAGTCATCCCTGGCTGCTCAAATCTTTCCAGCGGAGGCCCCAAACACCTTGGAGAAGATGCAAGCCATCCCCACCCTGCCCTTTCTGAATTATTGACCCTCAGCATCTGTAAGCATGATAAAATCATTGTTATTTTAGTCCACTACGTTTTGAGATTGTCATTAAGGCAAAAATAACAAGTGGAACAAAATTTGGTATCAGAAGTGGGGTGCTACATAACAAAACCTAAAACATGTGACTTTAACATTTAATGGTGGTTGAAAGCTGGAAGGTCTTGAGGAATTTGTGGGCAATCTGGCAAGCCTCAAGAGCCCTGTTGATGTGGACTTAAAAAAGAGTGAGCAAAATGTTATGGGAACTCAGAGGGAAGGAGACCCTCATTATGTAGCAGTGGAAAATTTTTAATATTGACATTAGTGGAAATTCAAAAACTAGAAAATATACCTAATGAAGTGATGTTTTGGCTAAAGATATTTCCAGAGAAAAATGTAAAATTGTGGTTGCTGGTTTCCTTTACCTACATATCATAAGACAGGATAGAGAGAAATTAGGTAAAAAAGATAAATGAATCATTCAGTTTTCAAGTAGTATTTAGAGGAACTATAAAAGATTCAAAACTTTGTGTTTGAAAGTAAAACTCTTTATCACCCTCTATCTCTCCAAGGAAAGATAAAAAGAGTCCAGGATACTTCCAGGAAAATACGGTCTTAGGATAAAGAAGAAGTCAAATGTGGGACTATAAAACCTTTTGTTAGGACTGCAGAAATGTTTAAAGATAGTGCTTCATGGTTCTTCTCAGCCAAAAAGCTATTTTTATGCATACTCCTCAAAGACCCTCTCTGTTTAACAGTAGGACTTCCAGGAGTTTTAAGGGCATTGTTTCACAGCAACCTTTGTTTCACACCAGACCCCAGGTAAAGAATATCTAATGGCGAGATTTGAGGGTGTGAGTTCTATGCAATTGAATGAATTATAAGTTGAAGAATATAAGACACTGACAAAGTTTTTAAAATGACTATATAGGTAGAAACATCATCAGCTTGGACTGATAGTGAGAGAGACAAAACAAAATAATAGCCTCTTGGATCCCATATTTCAGTGGACAGGGAGGAGACTAAAAAAAGCACTCAGCAAACATAGTGTAATTTTTATGGAAAAGGAAGGGTGCCTAAAATGAAGAATCCAGAGTCTAGAGGTTGGAGCTAAAATCAGTGTAGAACAATTTTCATAAACTAGGAGAGAAATATAACCTAGAAACTGGCAATATGTACCTCCTGAATTTTTGAATTATTATGATCCAGGGATAGCTATGTGCCTTCCATTAATCTTTTATACTAAGAATGTCTATAATGTTTATCCTATGCACATACCACCATGTGCAGTGGATGGTTGGGTGGTTAATATGGTTTGGCTCTCTGTCCCCACCCAAAATCTCATGTCAAATTGTAATCCTGATGTTGGAGGAGGGGCCTGATGGCAGGTGATTGGATCATGGGAGTGGTTTCTAATGATTTCGCACCATTCCCCTAGTACTGTCTCAAGATAGAGTTCTCATGAGATCTGGTTGTTTCAAAGTGTGTGGCACCTCCTATCTCCCCCTCAGCCCCTGCCCACTCTCTTCCTCTGCTCTGCACATGTGAAGACGTCCTGCTTCCCCTTTGCCTTCCATCATGATTTTAAGTTTCCTGAGGCCTCCCCAGCCATGCTTCCTGTACAGCCTGTGGAACTGTCAGCCAATTATACCTCTTTTCTTTACAAATTACCCAGTCTCAGGTAGTTCTTTATAGCAGTGAGTGAATGGACTAATACAGTGGTAGATAGCTGGTCTCTTTAGTTCACCAATTTTTGATTAAGAGGAATCATGCATGGTGAATATTATATAAATCTTGGTTGAGTGACAACATTCTGACTTTGAGTCTAAGACTGATACTATAATGGGATGATCCTTTTAAGCACTATTGAGAGAGTGAGTGTATTTTTCATGTGGAAAGAATGCTAATACTTTGCGGGCAGAAGGCAGAATGTGGTTTTGAAATATGCTACAAAATTCTTTGACACTCTTCCCTCAATAGGTGCTGATTAAAACTTGGAGTTATTGTGGCTTCTGAGGAAAGGGCATTGCAGCTTCTGTCAGATTCTCTTGGAACATTCCCTCTTAGGTGGCTGTCTTGTGGAAACCATGTGTCATGCTGTGATTAGTCTATACCACATGAAAAGGTTGCATGTATTAGCACCTGTTAACATTCACAGCTGAGACCAGCCTTCATGTCCATCTCAGTGAGATGCCTGATATTTTGGTGGACTCATCTTGGAAGTGGATCTTTCAGTCTCAGCTATTCTAGTTCCCACCTCTTGGAGTCATCTCTGTCTATTTTACTTATCCTAGCTGAGGCTAGGAGAACAGAGACAAACCATTGCTGTTGTTCCCTGTTATCTTCATCTGTTTTCTTTTGCTTATAACATAATAATTAGAACTGGGTATTTTGTAAAGAAAAAGAAATTATTTCTTATAGTTATGGAGCCTGGGAAATCTAAGGTCAAGGGAGTGTTTCTGTTGAGAGCCTCCTTGCTGGTAGAGTCTTGAGGTGATGCAGGGTATCACATGGCAAGGAGGCTGAGGATGTAGCTGAGGTCTCTCTTCCTTTTCTTACAAAGCCACAAGTCCCACTCCCATGATAACCCATTAGTCGAATAATGGATTAATCCATTCATGAGGGCAGAGCTGGCATGAGTCAAACACCTATTGAAGGCTCCACCTCTCAAGACAACCATATTGGGGATTAAGTTTCAACATGAGTTTTGGAAGAGACAAATACTCAAACCATAGCACCTATCTGAATTCCTGACCTGCAGAATTCATGAACAAAATGGTTGTTTATGACATTAAGTGTGAGAGTAGTTTGTTGCAAAATAATAGTAACTGAAGCATTACGAAAGGATCATTTAAAAATGTATGTATTCAGAATTTAATAGTAGCAGCCAGATATGCTGTAGGTAACAGAGATTGTCATCAGCATAATTGTCATCTCCCATGAGCTTTGCACATCTAACACCACCATCAAAAAAGATGGTATTTGTAGATATTGTGTAGGTTGCATTTGTGTTGGACACATACAGTGCACACAAACACATACACATATAAGTTTGCTAGGGCTGCCATGAAAAATAGTGGTGGCTTACATCAGATAAATTTATTTTCTCACAGCTTTGGAGGCTAGAAGTCTGAGATCAAAGTATCAGCAAGGTCGTTTTCCTCTGAGGCCTCTTCCCTTTGCTTGTAGATAGCTGTCTTCTCCCATGTCTTTACATAGTTTTTTGTCCGTGCTAGTCTGTTTTCTAATCTTTCTTCTTACAAAGAAACCAGCCATTGGGTTAGGGTTCACTTCAATGACCTCATCTAACCTCAGTTACCACTTTAAAGGCCCTATCTCCAAATACAGTCATATGTTTGTGTTACTAGGGGTTAGAACTTCAGTATATGAATTTTGGGGAAGAACACAGTTATGGCCATAACTCTACCTATGTATCTATCTATTGATATAGAGATTTATAGATATCTATAGATATAAAGATCTGCCTATCTATCTATCATCTATTTTTTTTATCTGTCTGTCTATCTTTCTAACCATCCATCCATCCTCCAACTGGAGAAGCTTCAACATTCTGGCTTAAGTTTTATAAACATATTTCACCGTGTTTCCTCTTGCATTCTCTGAGACACTTATTTTTCATTCTCTAGGAATAATTTCAAGTCTTTGATGAGCATATTATTTCTAAAAGAACAGTATCTATCTAATGGTGTTTCTTCTAATTTTAGCCTTTGAGGAAGGAAACAGGAAAAATCATCTAGCATTCTTCCTGTCTGTTACAGCTACAGATTGGACAACAAGATGTCATCTTGCCAAACAGTTTCTATAAAAATTTAGTAGTGTTTTTATTACAGGGGCACAAGATCTGGTTGCCAGAAATCCTAATTTATAAATGTCAACATTCTGAAACTTTTCAAGTTCAGAGTATACTTGGTGAAATGAATCCAGAGCCTTCAGAGAAAATGTCTGTGCTGTTTTTTTCTATTTAATTGTGAGAGAAGCTCAAAGTATTCACAGAAAAAGAACTGAAGGAGATTAGAAAAAAATTCTTAGAATTGTTTCTTTTTCTACCTTGGACCTAATAAAACAGAAAGAAAAAAAGTGATGTTTTCTGTGCCAGAGGAAGATGCCTATACACTGTAAATAGAAACTGTTTAGATAACAATGCGGAATGACAAATATTGAAATGCTTTTTATATTAGCTGAGAATGTTTCAGAATCACTGGAAGAAGAGGAATTATTTTGTGGAGTAAACCAAGGCTCTGTCTGTTTGAGGAATATGTTGTGTTCTTGCATGGAACACCATTAAAAATAATAAACCACATCAGTGGCAAAGGCTAGAATAAACTTCAGCTGGAGAGAATAAAGTTGGAATACTTTATGTCCCATGACTCCAGGTCAACCAGATCAAAGTCTACAAGGCCAAACTTTCTCTCTGGATCCTGAGATTTTTTTTTTTTTTTTCAGGCTATGGGCTGGGACTCTGTTGCCCACTAAGAATGAATTATATTTTGTACATTAATGTTAGTAGGCACAAGTGGGCTTAGAGGACTTGATGATTCTGGCTTTCATGGATCTCCTGCTGAGAACCACTGATTGAGGTCACCTTGGTCCTTTCCTCATGGTGTTTTAGGAATCTGTCAGTATCTCTTCTTCGCCCCTCCGTTTTCAAAGTCAGATGAATAAGCAAGTTAATCAATACCCCTTCCTCGTGTCCATTTGCTCTCTAGCTTTTCTCAGTGAATAATTTGCATGCGAGATGACATGGATGTTTTTCAGGGCTACTTAATTTTTCCCTGGACACTGTATATTTCCTTGCTGAGGCTCTCCTTGACCATCATTTAAAGGTCTACCTGGGTTCTATTTTCACTGTCAGCATTTTCTCTCTTTCATTCTTGTAATTATAACTAGCAATTGTTTTTCCTCTGGTCTTTGTTTTGACCTACTTACCATATTACAACAGAAGCTTCAAGAAAACTAGGACCATGACTTTGCTGTTCAAAATTACAGTTCTAGAATAAAAATTAGCAATCAATATATATATATATTTATGGAAAAATGAAGGATAATGAGAAAACAGCTACACTGTGGAGTTTCCTTTGAGGCTGTTGTATTTTTCTCACCTACCACATTTAGTGCTAGTCAAAGATTCTGGTTTATCACAGAATTCAGAGTCACAATCTACCTGTGGGTTTCAGACAGAACTTAACATGGGAATCACCTTCCAGTTCAAGTGACTGGGTAAGTCTTAAGTTCTGTAATGAAAAAAGCTTTGTGTTCCCTTCTTTCATTAGTGTAGTCTTTCCTTCGTAGTTTTATTAAATGCTAAAATGCAATTTAGATAGATTTTCCAAAGTTTATCTCATTACATTTAGTGGAAACCTTCGTGTGACTATTTTGGCCTAAATAGCTTAAATGAATGAGATACATCATTGTTGACTATGTCAAGGAAAGTTGATCGATTTTGGGGTTTGCATAACACTTTATAATCAAAAACTGTAAAACAAAATAAAATAAAATTTTACCTAATGTAGACATCTATGTTAAGGAACTCCAAAAATAACTTTTAAGGAAGAGCAAAGCTTATGCTTTGTAGTTTAGATGTCCCAGCTTATGTGAATCCTAAAAAAGTCAAGATTGTGTTGGCTTCATTTTTTTGAGTGTATTTGTTGTGTTTGTCCTGAATTGCACATATCAATTGTGATTATAAAATTCTAAAACCTGGCTTCCACTAATCATTGCAGCTAAGCTATGATGATATCAAGAGGTTTACAACCTTTTTACTCTCAATACATCAGTTCAAGAAGGGATTGTTCATCTGCATGGCAAACGTAATCAAGAAAGTTTTGGTGATATGGATAATTTTATCTCACATCATTCACAAAAATTAATTCAATGTGCAATATAGACCTATAGCTAAAAAGTAAAACAATAAAGCTTTTAGGAGAATATTTTCATAACGTTTGAAAGGTTGATGAAAATGTCTAAACAGTATTCACAAAACATGAACAATACAATAAAAAATGATAAATTGGTCTGTTTATCAAAAGACCTCATTAAGAAAGGCAAAAGGCAAACCACAGTATGGGAGAAAGTATTTTCAAAATATTTATCCAACAGAGGTCTCACATCCAGAATAGATTTGAACATTTCTACAAATCACATAAGAGAAGTACAGAGAATTCTATTTAACAATAGGAAAAGTCTTGAGAAGATGTATGTAGCAACAGAGTGTACTTACAGCAAACACATGTAAAGGTGTTCAACATCATTGCTCAGCAGGGAAATGGAAATTAAAACCATGATTAGACACAAGTACCCCACTACCAGCGTAATTAAGACTGTCAATTAGAAATGTTGGCAAGAATGTAGAATAATGGAAATTCTTGTACATTGTTGGTGAGATAGTTCAATGTTTTAACTACTTTGAAAAATGTTCAGCAGTATCCACCAAAATTACAGATTCACCAACTCTATGATTTAGCAATTTTATTCCTAGATATACACCAAAGAGAAATGAGTACATTCACAATGTGTAATTCCATTATGAAGTTTAAGATCAGGCAAATCTAGTCACAATAATGTTGACCTTGCTGGGAGGGGCAGGTATTAACTGGAAAAGGAGCCAGTGAGAGCTTCTAAAGTTACGGCCGTGATTGAACATTGATCTGGGAGGTGATTCCGTGGGTGTATACAAATATAAATAATTTATTATGCTGTACACATAAGACTCCTTTATTTTACTTTATGCAACTTATAACTCAACAAAACACATGTATTATGTGTTAATTACATTTTCTAATTTTCTGTATTCTTGATGCTCCTGAGGCCTCACTGACTGGGGAGAGACTTTTCCTCCCAGAGCTAGCTAATTCTTAAACATAGTAAGCTTTCATATGTAAATGAAAAATCCAGTTCCCATACTCTGAACCACCTCTTCCATCTGGCTTTTCTACTCTAGGTGGCAATATAATTCTATCCTTATCATTCTAGGGCCAGGTATTAGACAATTAGAGACAGTTACTATACCCTGGGGTTTTCTGTTATTGCTCAAACTAGCCAATCCTAAGCCTGCTGAGCCCTGCCTTGCCTTTCCTGTGGATACCACTACAGGGGCTCCTGCCATTCTTTCCCCTCACTCATCCTGCCTCTTGACCAGTCCTGTGCATCCCTGTATGGCTCTGAGTGACAATAGCATGTCCTCCGCCCCATGGGACATTGTAATAAACTATATTTTCAATGGCAATTATCTCATTATCTGTTGGCCTCACCATACCTGAATAATAATAAAAACTACATTTTAAAACACAACAAGCAAACAAAAATTGTAACACTTAGATGTTTTATGAGTTATTCTTTTGGATAACCACAATTTAAAAAAATAGTTAATTCTATAGTTTGGGTTAGATATAAATAAGTAATTAATCAGTCAATAATAAATAAAAACTCTTAAAAAGACACAGAGCATGTGACTACCAGGCTGGTAGGTGATAGTGGATGGTGAGGCCAAGTGGCATAAATATAAATGAGCAGAAAATTTTTCAAACGTTTTCAAATAGTTTTAATGTACTATTTATAATGCTGTATATTTTAGACATTTCCATGTAATAATTAACACAGAATAATATAGAATAACGTAGCATAATTAGAACTATTTATATATTGCAAGCAACAGAAGGGGCAAATCAAACAAAGAAAGGAAGAAGGGAAGAAAGGAAGGAAGGAAGAAAATTTTCAGGCTGATAAAACTGAGCCTGCATGGGAATTTCAACATTCCAAAATAACACAAACAGCATTATTGGACCCTTTGGGTCAAATAAATCATTTACCAAGAGAAGAAGGAAAGGAATTGATGGGGATAGGAATGAGGGTTGAGGAGCTATTTGGAACAACAAAATGTGTGTTACAAAGTTGTACTTGAAATATCTCTTTTCTCTGTCTCTTCAGATATTATTACTTCTTAGTAGAAAAATCTGGTCTGTGACTCAGACAATCTGACTATAGTATTTTAAAGATATTTGGCCCGGAAGTGGTGGCTGATGCCTGCAATCCCAGCATTTTGAGAGGCCTAGGCAGGAGTATCTTTTAAGGCCAGGAGTTCGAGCCCAGCCTGGGCAACACAGTGAGACCCTGTCTTTACAAAAATTAAAAAATTAAAATAACCAGGTGAAGTGGCACACACCTGTAGTCTGTAGCTCCAGCTACTTGTGAGGCTGAAGTGAGAGGATCAGTTGAGCCTGAGAGTTCAAGGCTGCAGTGAGCCACGATCACATCACTGCACTCCAGTATGGGCAACAGAGTGAGATCTTGTTTCAAATTTTTTAAAAATTAAAACAAGGTATTTGATGATTCATGACTATACATATACATGACAACATCTCTTTTTTTCATTATAGATAACACTGTGGTCTTATTTGTTTTGGACAAGCTAGTTTGAAATGCCTAAAGGTATAGTAAGTTTTCTATACATTTTCTCAGTAGCCTGCCCTTCTGTATTCTCACCATGGTTACTGGCATTTATCTATTTAGTTATTGGGATAGTGGGGAAATTGAAGTTCACAGTCTGATATAGACAGGAAGGATTGACTATCAACTCCTCAAAAGACAGCTAAAATAACTTGCTATTCAAACAGCAAAATTTATTTTTATTTATTTATTTTTTTATTATACTTTAAGTTCTAGGGTATATGGGCACAACATGCAGGTTTATTACATATGTATACATGTGCCATGTTGGTGTGCTGCACCCATTAACTCGTCATTTACATTAGGTATATCCCCTAATCCTTTCCCTCCCCCGCTCCCTCCACCCCACGACAGGCCCCTGTGTGTGACGTTCCCCTTCCTGTGTCCAAGTGTTCTCATTGTTCAATTCCCACCTATGAGTGAGAACATGCGGTCAAATAGCAAAATTTATTGAACCTACTGCAGTAAGGGAGGACATCACCTTGACAGGGTCTTAACAGTGTTTCAGAAAGCAGAGGTCAGGGGTAGAAATTTGCTAGAGTTTGGGCTCTGGGACAGAGTGCTTTAAGACAGGTCTTTCCATGCACACATTTAACTTGAATTGGGTAAAGTTCATGAAGTAATATTTTTGGTTTGATGGACACAGCAAGGCATGACGCTTGAGGGAATTTTGGATTAGTAAACAGTAGTTTGATAAATTAGCTGTTTGACCAAGTGAACAACCCATTGTTCCTAGAGCAGAGCTCTTTACCAGATGAGCAAACTGTTTGTTCAAATCTATTGGCTTTTAGGAAATTCCTGGAGCCAGTAGTGAAGTTATTTATTGGTTTACAGCTTTATCTTCCTGGCCAAGAATTTCTTGGAACAAATAGGAAAGTCATGTTGACACAGTGGCTCCAGATCTCAATCCCGATAAGCTGTGCAGATGCAGGTGGCCTCAGTTCTTAAAATTAAATGCAGAAGATGGTGAATGTCATTTTGTTGTAAGGACACTAAAGCCACTGGGATGTCAAGTGGGTTTGGGAATGCTCAATTAGAAAGAAAGACAATTTCCAGAATGTTTCAGGTGCATTCTAAGATTTAAAACTAGTCTGGAACTTTTTTGAATACGAGAAATATTTTTCACCTCAGTGTATCTATGGTAACTGGTTATGTTTTATTTTATGAAAGCCAAGTTCTTCACTGCCTCAGGAGACTAAGGGTGGAAGCTTTCCATATTCTTCTTCAATTTATGACCATGTGGGAAATCATCTTTGTATCTTTGTTACTTGGTGTTCTGTCTTCTGAGACAAATTATTTATGATTCTTTTGTTTGTGTGTTTTTTCCCCCTATCCTCACACCACATGCATCATAATTGAAAAGCATGGCCTATCCTGCCTTCCAGAAAATAGGCTTTGATGATCCCAGAATGTCATCACTAGGCAGCTGGCCCCTTCTCATAGTTCCTCCTTCCATGACTGAAGGCTGCTTAATCATCATTAGCCTTTGGTCCCCTGTAGGCTATTTGACATAAAAATAAATTTTGGAGACTGGATAAAGGAAAGTAAGTGGCTTCTACCTGAGTTTTCTATAACCTCTTGGTCAAAGCATAGGCCCATGAGTGGAAAAGAGCTGGATTGAGTTGGAATGAGGATACTACATCAGAATTGAAGGGTAGGCAGTTTTTGAGTGGCTAAAGGGCCACTGTTGTAGATGAGGACAAATGCCTTCTGATACAGTTTGGCTGTGTCCCCACCCAAACCTCATCTTGAATTGTAACTCCCACAATTCCCAAGTGTCATGGGAGGGACTTGGTGGGAGGTGATTGAATTATGGGGGCAGGTCTTTCCTGCACTGTTCTTGTGATAGTGAATGAGTCTTATGCGATCTGGTGGTTTTAAAAATGAGAGTTTTCTTGCAAAAGCTCTCTCTTTGCCTGCTGGCATCCATGTAAGACATGCCTTGCTCCTCCTTGCCTTCCACCATGATTGTGAGGCTTCTCCAGCCACATGGAACTGTAAGTCCATTAAACCTCTTTCTTTTGTAAATTGCCCGGTCTTGGGTATGTCTTTATCAGCAGCATGAAAATGGACTAATATAGTAAATTGGTACTGGTAGAGTAGGGTGCTGCTGAAAAGATACCTGAAAATGTGGAAGCGACTTTGGAACTGGGCAACAGGCAGAGGTTGGAACAGTTTGCAGGGCTCAGAAGAAGATAGGAAAAGGTAGGAAAGTTAGAAACTTCCTAGAGACTTGTTGAATGGATTTGCCCAAAATGCTGATAGGGATATGGACAATAAAGTCCAGGCTGAAGTGGTCTCAGATGATGATGAGGAACTTGTGGGGAACTACAGCAAAGGTGACTCTTATTATGTTTTAGCAAAGAGACTGGTGGCATTTTGCCCCTTCTTTAGAGATTTGTGGAACTTTGAACTTGAGAGAGATGATTTAGGATATCTAGCAGAAGAAATTTCTTTCTTTCTTTCTTTCTTTCTTTCTTTCTTTCTTTCTTTCTTTCTTTCTTTCTTTCTTTCTTTCTTTTTGAGATGGAGTCTTGCTCTGTCACCCAGGCTGGAGTGCAGTGGCACAATCTCGGCTGGCTGCAAGTCCGCCTCCCGGATTCATGACATTCTCCTAGCAGAAGAAATTTCTAAGCAGCAAAGCATTCAAAAGGTGACTTGGGTGCTGTTAAAGGCATTCAGTTTTAAAAAGGAAACAGCTTAGAAGTTAGGAAAATTTGCAGCCTGACAATGCAATAGAAAAGAAAATCTCATTTTCTGAGGAGAAATTCAAGCCAGCTGCAGGCATTTGGATAAGTAATGAGGAGGGGTCAAATGTTAATCCCCAAGACAATGGGGAAAATGTCTCCAGGGCATGTCAAAGATCTTCGTAGCAGCCCCTCCCATCACAGGCCTAGAGGCCTAGGAGGAAAATGTGATTTTGTGGGCCAGGCCCAGGGTCCCTGTGCTGTGTGCAGCCTAGGCAGTTGGTGCCCTCTGTTCTAGCCACTTCAGCCATGGCTGAAAGGGGCCAATGTAGATCTCAAGCTAAAGCTTCAGAGGGTGCAAGCCTCAAGCCTTGACAGCTTCCACATGGTGTTGAGCCTGCCATTGCACAGAAATAAAAAATTAGGGTTTGGGAACCTCCGCCTAGATTTCAGAGGATGTATGCAAACTCCTGTATGTCTATGCAAAGGTTTGCTGCAGGGTCAGGGCTTTCATGGAGAACCTCTTTTAAGGCAGTGCAGAAGGGAAATGTGGGGTCAGAGCCCCCACACAGAGCCCCTACTGGGGCACTGCCTAGTGGAGCTGTGATAAAAGGGCCACTGTCCTCCAGACTCCAGAATGGTAGATCTACTGATAACTTGCACAGCACACCTGGAAAAGCCATGGACACTCAACATCAGCCTGTGAAAGCAGCTGGGAAGGAGGCTGTACCCTGCAAGGCCACAGAGATAGAGCTATCCAAGACCATGAGAACCTACCTCTTGCATCAGTGTGACCTGGATATGAGACATGTAGTCAAAGGAGATCATTTTGGAATTTTAAGATTTAACTGCCTTGCTGGATTTTGGACTTGCATGGGGCCTTGTAGCCCCTTTATTTTGGTTAATTTCTCCCATTTAGAAGTGTTGTATTTACCCAATGCTTGTACCCCCATTGTATCTAGGAAGTAACTAACTTGCTTTTGATTTTACAGGCTTATAGGCAGAAAGGACTTGCCTTGTCTCAGGTGAGATGTTGGACTGTGGACTTTTGAGTTTATGTTGAAATGAGTTCAGACTCTGGGGGACTGTTGGGAAGGCATGATTGGTTTTGAAATGTGAAGACATGAGATTTGGGAGGTGTCAGGGGTGGAGTGATATAATATGTCTGTGTCCCCACCCAAATCTCATCTTGAATTGTAACTCCCACAATTCCCAAGTGTTATGGGTGGAACCTGGTGGGAGGTGATTGAATTATGGGGGTGGGTCTTTTCTGTGCTGTTCTCATGTTAGTGAATGAGTCTCATGAGATCACTTGTGCAGGAGTTTCCCTGCACAAGATCTCTCTTGGCCTGCTGCCATCCATGTAAGACGTGACTTGTTCCTCCTTGCCGTCCACCATGATTGTGAGGCTTCCCCAGCCATGTGGAACTGTAAGTCCAATAAACCTCTTTCTTTCATAAATTGCACAGTCTCAGGTATGTCTTTATCAGCAGTGTGAAAACAGACTAATACACCTTCCATTCATGAGTAGTTTCAAAGTGATAGGTGTGTAGAACTGGCAAAGTTTTAATGTTGATCTAGGAGGTGATTCAATGGGTGTATACAAATATAAATAATTTATTATAATGTACACTTAAGACTCTTATTTTACTTTAACTTATAACTCAGTGAAACATATGTGTTAATTACATTTTCTAATTTTCTATATTCTTGAAACTCTGGCACCCAGGGGCTTACTGACTGAGGAGAAACTTCCCCTCCCAGAGTTAGCCAATTCTTAAATATAGTAAACTTTCATATGTATATAGAAAATCCAGTTCTCATACCCTGAACCACCTATTCCATCGGGCTTTTACACTCTAGGTGGCAATATTCAAACTTATCATTGCAGAACCAGGTTCTAGATAGTCAGAGACCATTACTCTACCCCAGAGTCTGCTGATATTGCTCATACTCACCAATCCTACATAATACATAAAAGAAAATATTTAACCAACCCCAGCATTCCCGGGTTTTGTGGATTTTGTTGGTTGTTTTGGGGCTCTTTCACTCTAATACATTGATAACCATATAGTATCACTCAATCCCTTTGTTGTTTAGGATTTGGAACTCACCTTCCTGAGATTTCCTAGAGATTTGTCACAGGGTATTAGGAATGATTCCAGCAAGTGTTTTGAATGAGGTGATATTATAAAGATAATCAAGATATTATCCAATTAGAAAGTAAACCCCCATCCAGGGGATCTACCTGTTGGAGAAAGTGTACAGGTAAATTAGATAGTAGTTGGAATTTGTACTCCCAGCTCTTTCCAGATTTATGACATTGTTATATGCTTTGGAGAATAAACAGGAATTTCAGGCTGCATGCTGGAAGATAGCTTCTGCAACGAGGTCTAAGCTTCAATCCACTACTATGTATGTCCTTATTTAAAGGCATTATGAATAACTTCAACTTGGATTGCTCCCTCCTGAATAGCACATTTTACTTTTCCTATGTTGTTTATGGGAGTACTCTATATCTGACTTCTATCATGGTTATGCATTGTCTTTTCTCATCTCATACAATATTAACATCCTTTAAGCCCACAGACTTGATGCATTCATACAATTTTTAGCAGTTGACAACTATATGACAGTTCTGTGATAGTTACTAGGGAAGCAAAAAGAAATACATCATATCTGTCCTCAGATAACCTATTGAACAAATCTGCATTTTACTCATGGCTCTAGCTTCTTAAGTCCTTTGTATCTTGTCTTATGTACTATAAACATTCCATAAATTAGACATCAAGTCTTTAGAGCCAGATGGAGCCTCAATGTTTCAGAATGTGCAATTTAAAGTCATCATACCTGAGTTTGGATCAGCTATCCAAAGATGAGTTTAGGAACCACTCTAAAGTTCAGTACCCATTTTATATATTTTTACAAATATAAATGAAATATATCATATAAAGTTGTTAGCATTGTATATGGGATATAGCAGGTGCTCTACTAATATAAAGCTTTAATAACTATTATCTGGTTCAGGGGTTGCCAAACTCCTGTAAATACTTTTGGCTTTGTGGTCATATGGTCTTAGTGGCCACTATTCAACTTTCACATTGAGGCACACAATAGCCATATGCAATACGTAAATAAATGAATGTGCCTGTGTTCTAAGAAAACTTTCCAAATGAATACAGGTGACTAGCTGGCTTTGGGACGCGGACCATAGTTTTCTAACCTCTGATATAGTTCATCTTTCCAAATTTATAGAAAGGAAAATTAAATCTGTGGCAGAAAAGTGAATTATCCTGCTTGCCATATATATGCTTGTCTTATGAAAACAAATATATTTATACAATCTTTTCTGACAGTTGAGATGCTGATGGTCAAACTTACTTGGTTAAGTTTAACTAGGCTTAAAGAATTGGACCTAAAGCCTAAGGTAATATCAATATCATAATTATTTGCCTCTCAGATATAATGGACTTTTATTTCAAGACTTAAAAGACTAAGAAAACTAGATTGTACCAAGTAGCAAGGTATTAAGTTCAGTTTTCATTGACCACTGTCTTTAGTGTAGGACAGTCCAGGGTCTTCCAATTTTTCAGGCTAAATGTTACTATGCCTCATTTTATATTTCTCAAATATTACATGTTTCCTTCTCTTTTGATGTAAACATATTTTGTAACTTCTCGGCTTTGGCTGCAAGCAATAATTATAAAAAAGCCTTTATGAGAATAATAAGAAGAAATAAACATGGAGAAAATAACTTCACATTTTAAAAGAGGTCCACTCTGTACTTTTTCCACTGTCATGTTCATGGCAGACTGGTCATATGCATTTTGGTAATGACAGTTTTGTTCTTTTAAAAACTCCTCTTCAAACGTATATAACTAGTTTACAGTGAAAATTACAAACAGACATACCTTGGTATATATGGTATTTAGGGGCAATAATTCCGGCATATGTAAAATGATTTTTTTTTTTTTATAGGGTCTTGCTGTCAACCAGGCTGGAGTGCAGTGGCATGATTGCAGCTCACTACAGCTTCGACTTCCTTGGCTCAAGTGATCCTCCCACCTCAGCTTCCTGAGTAGTTGCAATTACAGGAGTGTGCCACCACACACAGCTAATTTTATTTTTATTTTTGTATTTATACTTTTGTAGAGATGGGATTTCACTATTTTGCCTGGGCTGCTCTTGAACTCCTGGTCTTAAGAGATCCTCTCACCTCGGTCCCACAAAGTACTGGGACTACAGGCATAAGCCACTGTGCTCGGCCAAAGCAATGGTCTTAATATTGACACATTTTGTCCAGATGTTTTATTTTTCCCCTGAAGATATAAAACAATGTCAGGTTCTATTAAGAGTCAAGGTAAAAAAAAAAACAACTGTGTATGCAATATTAACTTTTTAAAGAGGGATGTGTGTGTGTGTGTAGAGAGGAATTGAGAAATTTGTAAGAGTGGTTTGTCTCTCACAAGGCAAACAAAGAAACAGGCTCAGAGAAACTCTTTTTTAATTTTAATTTTAATTTTATTTTACTTTAAGTTCTGGGATACACGTGCTGAACGTGCAGGTTTGTTACACAGGTATCCCTGTGCCATGGTGGTTTGTTGCATTTATCAACCCGTCATCTAGGTTTTAAGCCCTGCATGCATTAGGTATTAGTCCTAATGCTCTCCCTCCCCTTGCTCCTCACCCCCCTGGAGACCCCAGTGTGTGATGGTCCCCTCCCTGTGTCCCTGTGTTCTCATTGTTCAGCTCCCACTTATGAGTGAGAACATGTGGTGTTTGGTTTTCTGTTCCTGTGTTAGTTTGCTGAGGATGATGGTTTCCAGCTTTGTCCATGTCCCTGCAAAGGACATGAACTCGTTCTTTTTAATGACTGCAGTGTTCCATGGTGTATATGTGCCATATTTTCTTTATCCAGTCTATCATTGATGGACATTTGGGTTGGTTCCAAGTCTTTGCTATTGTAAATAGTGCTGCAATAAATATATGTGTGCATGTGTCTTTATAGTAGAATGATTAATAATCCTTTGGGTATATACCCAGTAATGGGATTGCTGGGTGAAATGGTATTTCTGGTTCTAGATCTTTGAGGAATTGCCAGACTGTCTTCCACAATGGTTGAACTAATTTATACTCTCACCAACAGTGTAAAAGTGTTCCTATTCAGAGAAACATTTTCACCTGATTACCCTTTTACAATTTTTAACTGTTACATTGATGTATAAATAATGTATTCAAAAATTATATTTAAAAAACCATGCCCACACCCCAGTGCCTAAGACTCAGCTCAGTCCTACTGATTGTACTGATTGCAATCTTTGAGGATTGGATCCAGGCTTTTGAAATTTTAAACTACCCAGATCATTCTGATTATCGTGTGCATTTAGTAACCACTCATCTACACCACTCACTTGGTTCTTATTTTCTAGTATTAAAGAGAATATACATTTTAACCCCATAATAGGAAGAGCATACAAGAAGTTGTTCTCCTATTTTATTTTTCTTATAATTCCCAGCTCAGAGGGAGTATCTAATAAATATTTGTCAATGAGATTAATGCAGAAGAATAATTTCCATTCCTTTAATGCATTTAATCCCAATGTGAAAGAATTTTTTTAAAAATACGTTGAACATAACAAATTATGAGACTTAAAAATGACCACTTTCAATACGGGAAGGACAAATGTCAACAATTGCTAACTTTAATATCCTCTCACCAAAGGCCATTGGTATAACCAGTCTGTAAAGGCAAGTAGTCAAGCACAAAGCTAAGACTGTAGGACTTAGGGATGTGCCGGGCTTCAAATTTGAAATGAATGAGTAGAAGGAGCACCTAAAGGAAAGTGTGTGTAAATAGCAGGTTCCAGAGAAGCCCCATTTGTTATAGAAAGCACACAAAACCCTTTCCTCATAAGGTACAGTATTGTCTTCCTATTTAGGGTGACATCTGTGGCATTCCCATAGCAGCTCCCAACTTTCTCATCTACCATGAGTCTTATGTTAGTTAAACTGTTTATAAAGACTGCCGATGTAATTGTTAAGGCTGTGTGGTCACCAAAGAACAGCTGATGTCCATCCATTTTTCTTCTTCCAGATGCAATGAAACAATACATTCCTGTTCTATCCTTGAAACCATTTGGGAATTCGAAGAAATTTTTTGGTGGGCTTTCAAAGTCCCCCAGGATCCCAGTGCTGTCATACACTTTGAAGATGACCCTCTTTTTATTCCCAATGATTAACCACCTTATTTAAAGAATAAATATTCTTTATTTCATTTAGTTCAGTTATGTAGGTGAGCACTTCTCTGAGGCTCTATTTGAAAATGTTTTAGTTGAACTTAATTTGCGATGGATATTTTTATAGAATATATGATTCTCTATATGGGTATTTTTATAGAATATATTTTCTATATTTTTCTATATATAATTCTATATTTTTATAGAATTTTAGTAGAATATATGATTCAAATATGAACACTATTTCTCTTTCGAAACCTTGAAAATGTCATTAACTTCTTGGCTGGCTTTTGTAACATCAGTGGATAAATGCCAATCTCATTCTTGCTCCTTTGAAAGTGATGTACTTCTATTACCTTTGCTTATTTAAAAATTTTTAAATGATTTGGTATTTCACAGCTTGAAAATGATATGTCTACATGCTGTTTTTAAATTACTATAATTATATATTTTCTCTTTCTCTCTCTCTATATATATTATATTGTAAATGGTATTTTAAATTTTCATTTTTCAGTAGTTTGTTGCTAGTATATAGAAATAAAAGTTTTTTATACTGACCTTGTAAACTGCAACCATTGTTCAATTTACTTACTTGTTCTAGGAGTCATTTAGGGCTTTCTATTTGAGAATAAACACAAGTTTTGCTTGTTCTTTATCATCTATGTGCCTTTAAAAATTTTTTGCCTTACTGCATTAAGACCTCCAGTACCATGTAGACTAGAAGTTATGAGAGGACACTAATCATTTTTTCTTATTTTGGGGGGAAAGTGTTTATTTCCCTAATGAGAATTATGGTAGTTGTAGTTTTTCCATAGATGCTCTTTATTAGTTAATTTTTTTTGTTTGTTCTCAAAATGCTGACAGTGTTTATCATACATTGGAGTTATTTTTATCAAATGCTTACTTTGTATCTATTGAAATAATTTATTCTGTTTTCTCTCTTTATTGCCAATATGATAAACTGCATTAGTTTCCACATACATAAATCTTCCATTCTTGATAAATCTCTCTTGATCATGATATTTTACTAAGTAAATAATATGTAAAATATTTATAGAGTATATATATTACTGTGTTCAATTTGTTAATGTCTTTGTGTCTCTGAATGTTGGATTTTGTTCCGTAAGTAGCTAAGTTACATGTGAGTGGATTAGGTTGAGTTTTTTGAGTTTATTTTAAATTATTAGGATTTATCTAGCATACTGTTTATTCTAGGGTTAATTTAGCCTTACTACTGAGGTGTAACCATTCTGAAGGCTCTACTAAATATGTCAGAGTCTAACAACATCTATCCATTTTTACTAGATAGAATGTAAACATTTTCTAGCCCGCTGTGAACCCTGAGAACCATTTAATTATTAGCACCTCAGTCATTTTTTTTTCCAGCCTCATTTAGTCTTTCCCTATGCACATATGTGTAGCTTTGTATTTAGAAATAGACTTGATGGATACTTTAGATTACTGGGAACTCTTTCTCTTCATAGTTTCCTCCTCTTTGCCACTCTTCTGCAAATCGAGTTAACTCAATCTGTCCAAGTGCCTGTCCTTGTTTCTTCATCTGTGTGAGGTCTCTATGCTCTGTTTGGATTGTTCCTCCTTATTCTACAGCACTGAAAGTATCTTCAGGCAGAAAGCCAGGGTAATTGTAGGGCTTACCTCCCTCACTTCCCATCTCTAAGAAATCACATTTCTGTGTTCCTTCTTCTTCAGTGTCTAAAAATGTTTCTTTTAAATTTTCTTGTATTTATTAAGTTTGATGACAACAGTGGAAGGATAGAAAATGCATTATCAGTTTATCTCCTATGACTGGGAATGGAAGTCTAATTTTTTTAATCTAGTAGATTTATATTAATTTGAAAAGATGCTCTTCAGTGTGATGGTTCTGGAAAAATCTTTGTATTAAAAGACAACATCCAAACCAAAAAAAATAATAATAATAATTTCCTGCCACATCTGAGTCCTGCCAATGCACCCTGGTGTATGTTTCTGGAATTCTCAGCATTGGTTCAAGTAAACACTGAACTCTATGTCTCACAGATATTTTTGATATTATTTCTAATACCAGCTTATGCTCAAGATTGAGTAAAACTCCATTGTTTCCCTTACTTTTTGGATTGAGATGTACAATTCCACAAAGCTGTTGCTTGACTCCATAAAGATCCAAGCTTTCATTAGAGTTCTAAATAAGAAACTTATCAAGGGCTCTTGCTTTACTCAGTAGTGCTTTTTAAAAATCATATCTCAGAATGATAATCTGTATCTGCCCGAGGAGAGGCTTTTCTAGTTGAAACTGATCTCAACCAGAACTGGGCACATTGAAATCTCACAGTGGGCCAATAATGATTATTCTAACATGTATGATGATGCTTTGGGGGTTTAGTTAAGCTGCTGATGCTGTTGATTTAGTTGGGAGTCCATATTATGCCCTCAGATCCTTGAATACTCTGGAATATAGTCAGGGGCTTTGTATTTGTGTAAAAGGAAAGTTATGTCTGTGTGTCATATCATTTACCATCAACTACAAATATACATTAATACTCTGCTTCAACCTGGCTACCAGGAGAATATGATTCTTCTCTGGTATTCAGTGAAATAATTTACAAAGGCAATGTTGCTTTGTTTGTACAGTATGTGCTATTACATATCAGACATAAAGCTACCAGAAATGTTCTGTTCTACTCAGGACTTCAGTATGAATTGCCATTGTTCTGATTTTCAGGCTGGTGTTATTTTGCTTTTGGGAAAAAAATAAATATCAAATAAATATGTTATAACTTTTCACACTTTTTCTAACTTACTCATTTTCTTGAAATGATAGACAATGTCCATCCAGAGTAGTCCAGTTGACAGTGGGTTCTATATTTTGATGTCGTATGTACATAGTGCAGTTGAGTTGTTCCATCAGAGAAACCTCCAGACAATCTTCATTAATGAGCTAAAAACACATCTGAAAAGATTGTAAATAAACAATTACTTCATATTTATTTATTCTTTAGGGCAGTCATCATAGTAATGTTGGTAACAATGGATACCCACCTTGAAGCATCAGTTCCTTTTGCCATAAATTCCTCTTTGCTTCATTGAGGGTTCTTTTGAGGCCCTATTATTAATGCTCAGGAGAGGCATTTCTCAATTTTCATCTGGCGCCATGCTGCAATATCAGAAAACAGTGTAATCAAGCTAAACCTTTACTCTCTCATTTAGTTTATTCAAGCTACTTTTCAAATATTTGATAAGTGTAACCTCTCTCCATTTCTTGAGCATTAAGGTCAGCAAACCCAGCTTGGTCATATGGAGGTGTCCATGGGAGGAGGTAGAAGGTACCAAGGCTTCAGAATCAACCCCAGGGTGTTGGCTGCCATTATGTGTTGCCTATTAACATCTTTTGTGCTGCCCCACTTACACATCCCCAAATTTACAATTTATACTCAGCAAACTTTATTAAACAGCACTTTCTTTCCTACTTTTCTGATATCAAAGTTGATTGAATTTCGGCATACATGTGGAAGACTGAGCCTATGAGAAACTAATAATTATGAGATACTTGGCAATAATGAAATAATTGTGGTCATAAAAAACTTTGTGTTACCAATCTTACCAATCACTTTCTTTGTCTTTGATGAAGACAAGGAAAGGCAGTGGTGAGAGATTTTCAGATTTGTAACGATATGAATTTTCATTCAGAAATTGCAACATAAACATTTTCATAAAAATGTCTTGAACATCAAGCTACTAACAACTAATGTTTAACGTAAGCTAAGAGATTTACAATGCTTTAATCATTAAGCAGTGACATTTTATCCATGATACTGATTTTTTAATAAAATATACTTTGATACTAATTTAGCTACCCTAGCCTTTTAAACATTGAATATTTGTCATGTTTAACATTTTGGTTCCATTTATCTTTAATAACTCTAAGTTTGGTGCTCTCAATTGTTTTTCAGCTTATTTTCTTGTGTTTCCTATGTGTGCAATGATATCATTGTCTAATAATGTCAATTTTATTTTTTTCCTGTTCACATGTAACATTTAATTTATATCCTTTATCTAGTTTTATAGCTGGTCTCTCTAGAATAATGTTAAATTGAATTAGTAATATTGAATTTCTTTGACTTTAGTGGGGAAGTTCCAAATGTTTTCTCCTGAACCATGGTGTTTACTTTAGTGTTGAGTGAGATATTTCTCTAATTTTTAATTTTTAATATTTGTTGAAATTTTCTAATTACTTTCAAACCTCAGTGAAGTTGATCAAAATATTTTCCTTTAGATCTATTAATGTAAATGCTTAAACAGATTTCATAATATTAAAACATACTTATTACTAGGTTACACCTAAAATATAAAATATTTTTACTCTTTTATGTGTTTCTGGACACTGATAAATTTAGTTTGGTAATTTTAATATAGATACTTATAAATAATATTGTTCTATAGTTTTTCTTTTCCCTTTGGTGTGGTCTTTGAGTATAAAATCAATGTTATTCTTGCCTGCTAAAAGTAATTTGGATTTTTAATTTTTTTATATTTTGGAAAAGTTTGTAATTGGAATTACATGTTCTTTAAATGTTTTATAGAATGCCTACATGAGATAGTCTAGGCTTATATCCTCTCTCTGTCTCTGTTTCTTTTTCCCTCTCTTGTTCTTATTTTCTTCCTTCCTCACTCCCCTCTTCAGACAACATTTTTTCTATGTTGAGTGTTTCATTTTGACTTTTTCTGTCTTCTGATATAAAGTTTGATTAAATGCACTTTTCAGGAAAATTATACGTTTCATTCAAGCATCAAATTCATTTAAATATATTCTGAAAATAGTGTTTTTATGTTTTATTTAATTTTTAAAAATTTTAATTTTCACCCTTATCTTTTATTTATATATTTGGTTTTCTTCTTTTCTTTCTTAGTTACTTAGCAAATGACTTGTTATTTTAATTATTTGTAATGTGGACCTTGCTAATGATTAGTTTATCATTTTTCCTAAGAAACCTATCTTTAATTCCATGTTTATTAATCTTCTTTCCTATTTACTCAGTTTTATACTCTTCATTTTTAACTTTTGGGATTGGATGACAAATAAATCATTAATTTTAATGAAAGGAAGTGTTTAAGACTAATGATTTTCTCTGAGCCCTGTTTTAGGTGTTACTAATATGTTTTTCAGTAGTGTATTATTATTATTTTCATAAAAAAATCCTGTACATACAGCTACTAACCCCAAAGTATGCAATTTTGATTTTGATTTCTCTTTAACTAAAATTTTGTTTAAGAGGGTGTTCTGTTTACTTAGCTTAAAATATTCAGGCAAAAAAAGCTTTTCATTAGTTTGGTTTTTGGTTTATTGTTAATTTCTAGCATCACTTCATTGAGGTCAGTAACCGATTATTTTCCTGTTTGTACTTCCTGAAAGGTAGTCTTTGTAATTTAAATTTTTCGTCCTTTTAATTATGTCTTGTTCCATTTGGGCTGCTATAACAGATACCATACAGTGGATAGCTTATAAATAACAGAAATAATATTTCTCATGTTTGTGGAGATTGGAAAGTCCAAGAGTGGCAGATTTGGTGTCTGGTGAGGGCTACTTCCTGGTTCACAGATGGCCATCTTCTCACTGTGTCCTCACATGGTGGAAGCTGTCTGGAGTCTGTTTTATGAGGTCACATATTCCATTCATGAGGGATTCATCCTCATGACCCAATCACCTCGTAGAGGCCCCCTCTTCTAATATCATCACATTGATGATTAGGTTTCAACACAGAAATTTTTGGAGGATGCAAACATTCATAGCATAGAATATCATAAAGTGAATGACAACAAAACTTATTGATAACAGAGATATATTTTAATAAGAAACTTCCAATGCCATTATAGTTTGGGTAGAATCTTTGACTTTTACATTTCTGTATGCTAAATGTTGGTATTTGTGGTGGTAATATAGTGGGCATAGGCATATATAATAATTTAAAACACAATATCTTTTGAAATCTAATACTTGCTAAATAAGTAAAAATATGTTTCATTCAAAATGGACATTTATTATTAATTTTAAATATTAAAAATATTCTCACCTAAACTGTTTATCAATAATTTAAAAAACCATTTGTAATCTATTTACAATTTGGTGTAATCAGCTCTTTAACATCTGTCTTCCCATGAGAGAAGGAATTATGTTAGTTTAGTTCTCCTAACTATCCATGAGCACATCTTGGCATAAGTCAGAGACATCTGTTAAATGCAGAATGAAGCATGTCCTTTCCTGTACTTCCAGAGGTGAAGTAATCTGTAATTACCGTTCTTTACCTCATTTTTTTTCCTCCCCTTCCCCCGCCCCTCAGACTGCTCCTTCCTATGCATCTATTATCCATACTCTTTCACCCAACAACTTTTTTTTTTTTCAGGAAATTTGTGTTACTTCATGTGGCCAAGCTCACCTTTGGACCCTCACTTGACATAATTACTCATAGTGCTCTCTTCTCCATCAGAGTTCTGGACTCCAGTCAAAGGGAAATGGAGTCCCAGAAGGGATGGGAGGTTGGGAGGGGAGAAGGAAATGAGCCTGACGCCCCAGCGCTGCCTCTCCCAGCCTCCTACACAGCAGATTTCACTCCACTCGGTGATGTGCTCCAGACATCAGGAGAATATCAGGGTGACTCATGCATGCAGGGAAAAAGGAGTTCTCACTAGGGTGGCTTTCTACTGCTTCTTAGATTCTTCTAGGTGGCCCTCCAGAAATCTGGCTTCCATTGCAAAGGCTTCTAATTGTTATCTCACTCAAGACTCAGAATACCTCTGTGTTAGTTATCTTTATATATTAACTATAAAGAAAATAAAGGCTTTTTCAGGTAAGTGAATAAACACTTGTCAAAGAAAACAGCGAGAACAACAAGTAACATCAACTAAGCAGTGTTTGAGACCAGCAGACAACACCAAAATACATTTTAGGGCTGAATTTTAGAGAAAATAATTATGATCTTATGCAGAAGATCCAAATTTTAAAGAAGCAGTAAAGAGATGATAAAGGTAAATACATGAAAAAATGCTAAATGCATGCTTATGAATGAAATACTAAAGATGATAATGATCATCAGTGGTATTTTCAAAACACAGAGTAATGGTATACATGATAACAGTAGCATATGAATGGACAGGAAGGTAAAAAAATTAAAGTGATCTACATTTCTTTAGTTTCTGGAAATAAAGTAAAGGTGTCATTTAAATTTAGACTTTAAAAACTAAATATGTATATTGAAACTTTAAGAATACTGAATCAACCAGAACAGACCATGGCTACCAGTTATAAACAGATAAATTGGTTAAATATAATCAATTCAATAGAAGAAAGAAGAGAAAAAGATGCGCAGAATAGGTAAGGCAATTAGCACCACAGATTGAGATTTAAACGCAAATGTACCACAAATTACATTAAGTATACATAGACGAAATGTTTTGGTTAAATGATAAAGATTATAATACAGAAAAAAATGCAGTGATTTACTATTTATAAAATAACGTTTTTTAACATAAAGATATAGGAATTTGAAAGTAAAGCAATAGGAACATATTTAGCATACAAACTTTAAGTAAAAGCAAGTTAATACAGCTATTTTAACCCCAGACAAAAACAGATGTTTGAAAAAGTACATTAATAGAAATCTGGAAGTCATTTCATAATAATCATTATAGCTCACCAAGAAGATATTTCAGATTTTTATGTGCCTGATGATAGTCTCAAAATACATAAAACAAATTGAAATAATGAAAACAGTAATAGATACATTTACAACATCGTGAATTTTAACAAATCTCTATCAGTAATTGATAGATTAGAAAATCAGCAAATTGAATCCAATAATATGTTAAAAAAACGAATGTACCATGACAAAGATAGGTTAATCCCAGGAATGCAAGTTTAATTTAACATTAAAAAATTATTATTGTTTTAATTAAAAAAATTAATCTATAAATAAAAAACATACTTGAAAAAATTAAAGTTATTCAGGTTTAAAAATTTTAGTCAAAAAAAGGAAAATTCTGAAACTGAGAAAGGATATATTCAAAAAGCCTAAAATGTACATAATAAATAATTCTAAAATATTAGAAACTTTCCCTTTGAGAATGAGTATTTAAAATGGACCTAGAGATGTGGGTCATTCCAGTAAGACAAGAAAACAAAACAGAATATAAGAGAATAGAAAAGGAAGACACAAAATTCTCATTATTTTCATGTGATATATTGTTAATACAGAAAATACAATAGAATGTACAGATAAATTATTCTAGTAGAGCTTAGCAGTAGTGCTACATACCAAAACAATATGCAAAAATCAATTGGATTTCAATACAACAACAAACTAATAGGTAGAAAAAATTTAAAAATATTTTCTTAACAATTGCATCAACAATATCAAGTACCTAGAAATAAGTGGAATAATATGCAAAACTTCTACAGTGAACATTACAGAACTTTATCAGAGATATATAGAATAACTAAAAAACTGACAGATATACCATGTTCATAGATTTGGAGGCTCAATTTAAATATATGGATTCATCTAAAATTAATTGATAGATATAATCTCAGTAAATATCAAAGCATCCAATATTTTTCAAGAGAGACCCTATAATATGATAGTAAAATTCAGATATAAATTTTAAAAGCCTAATTTTTTAAAGTATTGAAGAAAAACAAGCAAGTGAAAGAACTTTACTATGTGTAAGAGCCTATTTTAAGAATTATAAAATGATGTTAAAGGCATTGATTTTAATGTCAATGCAATGTAATTAAACATCTAGAATATATGCATATATATATATATAAACACTTAAAGACAGTGTGTATTTGTACACCAATTTTCATAGAAACATTATCTACAATAGCCCAAAGGTGGAAACAACCTAATTGACCATCAACAGATGAATGGAAAAAATGTGGTATACACATACAACTGAATATTATTCAGCCTTTAAAAGGAAGGTAATTCTGACACATGCTGCAACAAGGATGAACCTTGAAGACATTATGCTAAGTGAAATAAGCCAGACAGAAAATATCATATGATTGTCTTACATGGGATACCAAGAGTAAGAAAAGACATAGATACAGAAAGTAGAATGGTGATTGTCAGAGGCCAAAGACAGCCATAAATGAGGAGTTATTTAATGACTACAGAGTTTCATTTTGGGAAGAGGAAAAAGTTCTGAAGATAGATAGTGGTGATGGTTGTACAATATAAATGCACTTAATGGCATTGAACTATACATTTAAAAATGGTTAAAACTTAGAAATATATATAACATATATGCGACCATAATAAAAAAGGACAGTGATAGCACCATAGAGTAATCGATAGCACTTTTTATTTTTCTTTAATGATTTATGCTAAGAAACAAAAGTGAGTTCCAGGTAGATTAAAAACATATACGAAAGACAAAACAACAACATGTCAAGAGTATAACATAGAACTTTAGTATAAGAAAACAAAACCAGAAATTAAATTAAATTAAAATTAATTAAAAACCAGAAAAAGTGATGACCAAATAGAGAAAAAGAATATTCATTTTCCCGAACTTGTTGAACTAAACATTAACATCTTTACATTGTAATGTATGTAATTGTACCTTACTCCAAAATTAGAATCATTGACTGGGTAATACAGGAAAAGACGAAGTTTTTTTTTGAGTGGAGTTTCTAGAATCAGTAAGTTAGAATGATAGGAGATATGGATCTCAGAGGGAATGCTTAAAATTGATATTTTGGATATGATGCAAATATTGAGAATGATAATCATGATACTAGTTGGAAGCTGAACTGGGCTGGAGGAAAATATAATTGTTAATGAGAAAGTTAAGAAAAAGAGAGATCCAAGTCATGGCTGAAGTATCCAAGTGTATCTCAAGAGTCATCAAGAAAGGTGATCAGGTAAAAGGTGGAGACCGCTATCATGAACGTCTTAATATCTTTTTAAAATAAGAAAAATACCTGGGAAGTTAGAAAATGACATAAACAAGGAAGGGGGTAGTGCTTGTTATATACAATGACATAAACTTCAAAATTTAAGATTCAAATTTTTTGTGTGGGCAAAGGACAGTAAATAGCTTGGAAGTGAAAGGTAGGCGAAGGATAAGTCTGCCTCTTTTTTAGCCCTCAGGTGTTAGGGGTATGAGTGCAAAACAGTCACCCTTTACTTCAGAGGGCTCAGGAGAAGTGGTAGCCTCACAGATGGCCCATATTCAGTCCAGTAGAAAAAAAAAATCAATGAAAACTTCAAAAAAGTTTAGGATTTGGAGCAATTTTGTTTATAAGTCTCTGTACGTTTTTTTTTCTGGGTGTTCAATGAGATTATATTTCTTTTTTTTCTTTTTTTTCTTTTATTATTATTATACTTTAAGTTTTAGGGTACATGTGCACAATGTGCAGGTTAGTTACATATGTATACATGTGCCATGCTGATGTGCTGCACCCATTAACTCGTCATTTAGCATTAGGTATATCTCCTAAAGCTATCCCTCCCCCCTCCCCCCACCCCACAACAGTCCCCAGAGTATAATGTTCCCCTTCCTGTGTCCATGTGTTCTCATTGTTCAATTCCCACCTATGAGTGAGAATATGCGGTGTTTGGTTTTTTGTTCTTGCGATAGTTTACTAAGAATGATGATTTCCAATATCATCCATGTCCCTACAAAGAACATGAACTCATCATTTTTTATGGCTGCATAGTATTCCGTGGTGTATATGTGCCACATTTTCTTAATTCAGTCTATCATTGTTGGACATTTGGGTTGGTTCCAAGTCTTTGCTATTGTGAATAGTGCCTCAATAAACATATGTGTGCATGTGTCTTTATAGCAGCATGATTTATAGTCCTTTGGGTATATACCCAGTAATGGGATGGCTGGGTCAAATGATATTTCTAGTTCTAGATCCCTGAGGAATCGCACACTGACTTCCACAAGGGTTGAAGTAGTTTACAGTCCCACCAACAGTGTAAAAGTGTTCCTATTTCTCCACATCCTCTCCAGCACCTGTTGTTTCCTGACTTTTTAATGATTGCCATTCTAACTGGTGTGAGATGGTATCTCATTGTGGTTTCGATTTGCATTTCTCTGACGGCCAGTGATGGTGAGCATTTTTTCATGTGTTTCTTGGCTGCATAAATGTCTTCTTTTGAGAAGTGTCTGTTCATGTCCTTCGCCCACTTTTTGATGGGGTTGTTTTTTTCTTGTAAAAAGTCTCTGTACATTTTAGAGGGCAGAGTGGAAGGGTGTGGCAGGTGGGTGAGAATAGGTCAGTTAGTCGAATGCATAGACCAAGTGTGGGAATTCGGATGAGGGCGATGATGATAGAGAACTGAAGGATGGGATCTAGTGGCTTCCTGTAGTCACAGAAGTAAGCAGAGATGAGAGCTTTAATGTCAGGTGGTAACTTCCTTTTTTGCAGCTGAGACATAGCAAGCTCTGCCTGGAGCTCTTGCATGCTCTATTCTTTTCAAAATGGGGCAATATCAAAGAGATATCTGTACTGCCATGTTCATCGTAGAATTATTCTCAAAAGCCAAGACATTGAATCAACCTAAATATCCATCAACAGATGAATAGATACAGAAAATATAGTATATATACACACAATGTGATACCATTCAGCCATAACAAAATAATGAAATCCTGTCATTTGCAGTAACATGGATAGAACTGGACGTCATTATGTTACGTGAAATTAGCCAGATGCAAAAGAACAAATTAACGTTGTCTCTCTTTTAAGAAGAATCTCATATAATCAAACATATAGAAGCAGAGAATAGAATGTTGGTTGCCAGCGGCTGGTTGGAGGTATGTATCAAAGAATACAAAGTTTCAGTTATGCAAGATGAAGAAGTCCTAGTGATCTACTGTACAGCATGGTGCCTATAGTTAGCAATATGGTATTGTACACTTAAAAATTTTCTAGGAAGGTAGAGCTTGTAAGTGTTATCACACACGTACACACAATGGCAATACATGTAGAGTGCAGGAGGAAACTTTTGGAGGAGATGGATGGGTTTAAGGCATAGATTGTAATGATAATTCTGTGATATTTACTTCTCTCCAGCCTCCTAAAGTTGTATATATTGAATACAAACAGATTTTTGCATGTCAACCATACCTTATTGGGACAATATCAAAGTGTCTCAAAGATAATGACCAACAAAAGTGCTCAGTATTGTATCTCATGAGAATGTTTAGGGCCTTAAGAATATTGTCAGAATTTTTGATATGTGACATCAGCTGAAAGACATAAACTACGCTATTGGTGCTGGGAAATAAATACCATCAACCTATATTTTAATTCATTGTTTATTGGCTCATTTAGTCTCAGATTTTAGGCTGGGTGTAAGACGGAGAAGTGAATTCAGCAAGTAGCAATGTTGGTTACATTTCTTTTTTTTTTTTTTTTTTGAGACGGAGTCTCGCTCTATCGCCCAGGCTGGAGTACAGTGGTGTGATCTCGGCTCACTGCAAGCTCTGCCTCCCATGTTCACATCATTCTCCTGCCTCAGCCTCATGAGTAGCTGGGACTACAGGCGCCTGACACCACGCCCGGCTAATTTTTTTTTTGTATTTTTAGTAGAGATGGGGTTTCACCATGTTAGCCAGGATGGTCTCGATCTCCTGACCTCGTGATCCGCCCATCTCGGCCTCCCAAAGTGCTGGCAATGTTGGTTACATTTTTAAGCAGGAAAGGGTTAACTATGACTTTGTCTTTATGCTTCTATAATATAACGGAGCATCTGTCCTTTGAGAAAAAGGGTTCTAATTTAGGAGATACAGAAAATGTATAACACTTGTGAATTTTAAGATTTTTACTATTATTTTAAAGCTCTCTTATATTTTTGATATTTTGATTTTGATATATTTTAAAAATCTCTTTTATTTTTGGTAGCTAATGTTGATGAAAGAACAACTAAAGCTGTACTATGCTTTCCTTAATGAGCATTGAAAATGTTGATGAAGCAGAAAATCCTCAGTGACCAAGACATTTTACAGCATGAATATGGAAGGCTGCCACAGTCCTTCTCTATTCCCAGTTTGTCTTATTTTGCTTGATATATCAGCCTATTGAACTTGGTTGGGGAGTAAGCATTTGGATTATTCCATTCTCTTTACATGTTACAATGGTGCCTCTTGAAAGAAAGGGAATGTAGCTAACAGTTTTGGGAAGAGTTCTATGAGTCACTTCCTATATTATTACTTGCAATCTTCACAATCCACTGATGGAGCCATCATTATTGACAACCTTACGGTTAAAGCAATTGAGGCTCAGAAAGGTTAAGTGAATGGTACAAGGGTACTTGTGTAACTCATTGTTGGAATTGGGACTTGAAGATAAAAGGAAATATTTCACTTCTGTATTTTTGGGCTCCCACGAAAAAAATAAAACTTACTTAAGACCCAAGTCCTAAGAGCAAGAGACACCAGCAAACAAAGTCTATAAGTCGGGGGTGCCCTGGCCTCTCATCCAGGATATGCAGATTCTAAATTCCTTTACACAAATGATGTGTACCGTTATACAAATAATTTGTTTCATCAACTGCCCAGGGGGAGCCTGAGAATGCCCTACATGTGTTATAGGATTACCACAAGGATCAAGGAAGATAATTTATATTAAAGTGCATGGTAAGGGATAGGGCCACACAGATGTGGATGCCCTTGGTGGTGGCATTTTCTCATCCCAACTTTCTCAGGGATGAGCTGAGTGAGCAAGTACTGCATATTCTGGTATGGATTTGGCATTTTTATGAAAAGCAGAAATTACTGAGTTGAGATTTCACTGAGTTCCCTAATGCATGTGTGTGTGAGTCCTGGAGGAGGGATGAGAACCTTGCTAATCATCAGCTGTTCATTGTAGAGGTGTAGGTTAGCAGGCACCACAGCCAAACTAAGCTGCTACTCTCTGAGGCATACCAGCAGTAGGATGAGCAAAGGCATGAAGGCTAATTGTTTTTTTTTTGATATTTAATTAGATATTTCTCAAGGGAAGGCTACCCAGAGTCATTTCAAATGATAACAAGAATATAAATATTTATTACATTCTTAATATGTGCTAATTCATATGCTAAGGTATTTTTATGCACTTACTCCCTGATCTCCTAAAACAATTCTATGTGGCAGATACTATTACTGTTTTCCTTTTTTTTTTTTTTCTTTTTCAGAAAGGGAGGCTAAAACTTAAAAGCAAGAAAATTGCCCAGGCCCCCACTGTTAGTGAGAGACAGAACCCAAATTAGGTACCTGACTCTAATACTTGTAGGCTTAACCATTAGAGAACGCCTACTTGTACCAAGTAATTAATTAAATAAGGCAAACTTATACTGAGTGTTTTCTATGCAACAGATATTCTCTTATCAAGGAGAGTTTATCTATTAGGTGTTCAAAGGGTAATTATAACAGAGAAAATTGCAATTAGAGAATAATAAATACCATGTTAGAAATAACCTAGAGGCTGCTGTATCAGTCAGGGTTCAACAAGAGAAGCAGAATATCCATTGATTGATACACTCATTGATGTATTCATTGATTCCTTGATGTGTGTATGTATCTGTGTATGTGTGTGTATGTATTGATTTGTTTATTTTAAGAAATTGGCTTGTGCAATTGTGGGGCCTAGCTAGGCAAATCTGAAATCCATAAAACAGGCTATCAGGAAGGGCTGGCTGGGATTCTTAGGCATGAACTGCTGTCTTCAAATATAATTTATTCTTCATCAGCTCCAGCTCTGCTCTTCAGGCTTTCAGCTGATTGAGTTAGGCCCCCTAGAATATGTAGGGTAATCTTCCTTACTCAAGGTCTGTTGTGAACTTTAATTACACCTACAGAATTCCTCACAGCAACACCTAGAACAGTGTTTGGTTAAATACTGCGGACAATAACCAAGTCTGATTGACACATAAAAGCAACCATCATAGCACCTAACTCAGAGCAGGAGAGAAGGAGTAAGACATCAAGAAAAGTTTTGTGGAAGAATCTATTCTTAAAATGATTCTTAAAAGATAGGTTGAAATTAGCTGGAGTCAAAGTGGAGTCCAGGAGTTCCAGGTTGACAAGGGAATCCACAGCTCTCAAGACTACTAGATTGTAAACCACTTGAGGGAAGCAAGTCCATGTGGCTCTATCGTTCACCTCTGCTTAACCAACACCTAGTCATGAACAAGACAGATTATTCTTGTGAAAATATAAATGGAGTTAAAAAGAACTGTCATGCATCCTGGAGACCTCAAGAAACAGACGGCTTAGAGCCGGGCTTTCCAAAAAAGAATTTAGAGAAGAAAATAAATTTGGGAGGCATTCCAGAGAGCACCCAGTGAGGACTCTGCTGGACTGTGGCTCCACCTCCATGGCTGGTGCAAAGTTTGCTGCCCCTTGGCTGCAAACCCCTCCATAGCTTCCCACTTACATGCCTGTACTTCTGTGTTCCATCACTATGCACCTGCGGCTGCTACCACTACTGCTTCTGCTAATGCTGTCGTTAAAACTGATGGCTACCACGCGTGGTCGATTATGTGCTACGTCTTGTGCAAGGTATTCTATGTGCTTACATAGATGTTTACAATAAGCATGTGAAAAGGTATTATCTTCATTTTACACGTGTGAACTTTGAGGCTGTGTGTGAACATATGTGTTTGTGTGTATTTTTCTTTATTATGTCATTAAGAACCATCAGAAATTTTTCACTTCTCCTGCCATTAGAATCATACCTGTACTAGTAAGACAGAAACCTTATCAAGTGTGAGCCATCAAATTGAGTGAACTTCGTATCGTTTAACTCTTTCTTAGTTCTGTCTTAGGTGTTAGCACACCTGGGTTAAAGTTTTTAGGTCTTCTGCCAAATAGTAGGTTTGTGGTTTTAGGTATATTACATAACGTTTCTGGATCTCACTGCCTACTTTTTTCGAAAAAGCACAGTAATGCTTTCTCTGTCTGTCTTACCAATGAATAGTATTGACATTTTAATAATATTAATTTTTCCGATCTACGAGGTGGAAATATCTTTCCATTTTTTGTGTGCCCTCTTCAATTTTTGTCATCAGTGTTTTATAATTCTCTTTATATAAATCTCTCACTTATTTGGTTAAATTAATTCTAGGTGTTTTATATTTTTTGTAGCCATTATAAATAGGATTACCTTCTTTCTTTTTTTTGATTGTTCACTGTTGGCATGTATAAATACTACTGATTTTTGTATGTTGATTTTGTATCCTAAAACTTTACTGAAGTTATCAGTTCTAAAATTTTTTTTCTGGAGTTTTTGGATTTGTCTAAATATAATATCATGTCGTCTGTGAATCAATAGGTATATGAAAATATCCTCAACATCACTAATCTTCAGAGAAATACAAATCAAAACCACAATGAGGTATCATCTCACCCCAGTTAAAATGGCTTTTATCAAAACAACAGAGAATAATGAATGCTGGCAAGAATATGGAGAAAGGCGAACCCTTGTATGCTGCTGGTGGGAACATAAACTAGTACAGCCACTATGAAAAATAGTATGAAAGTACCTCAAAAAATTAAAAATAAAACTACCATATGATCCAGAAATCCCTCTACTGTGTATCTATCCAAAAGAAGGCAAATCAATATATCAAAGAGATAGCTGCGGTCCTATGTTTATTGCAGCACTCTTCATAATACCCAAAATATAGAATCAACCTAGGTACCCAGTAATGGATGAATGGATAAGAAAAGGTGGTATGTAGGCACACTGGGATGTTATTTGCCGCAAAAAGAATAAAATTCTATTTTTTGTAGCAGCACGGACAGAACTGAAGGTCACTGTGTTAACTGAAATAAGCCAAGCAGAGAAAGACAAATATCACATGTTCTTACTTACAAGTGGGAGCTAAAAAACTGAATCTCATGAAGATAGAAAGCAAAGTGATTACTAAAGGCCTGGAAGTGGGTTGGGGGAGGGATGCAGAATAAAGAGATATTGATTAATGGGTAAAAAGAGACAGTTAGATGGAAGAAATAAGACCTAGTGTTTAATAGATAGATCAGTAGCATGGTTATAGTTAATAGTAATCCACTGTAAATTTCAGAGTAGCTAGAAGAGAGTAATGGAAATGTTACTAGCATAAGAAAAGATAAATATCTAAGGTGATGACTATCCTAACTAATCTGATTTGATCCTTGCTCATTATATGAATGTATCAAAATATCACATGTACCCTGAAAATATGTACATTTATTATGTATCAATATTAACCAAAGGAATGAGATGGTAGATCACAATCATATATTACCACCACCACTATTGTTGAGACTCCACTACCTACAGCACCAAAGCAAAATTCGCTGAGCCTTTGTATAATATGAGCCAGGCACTCTTCAAGTTGCTTTATATCACACTCTGACCTTTGAGGGAAGCCTATTATCCCCATCTTGTAGGTGAGGAAACTAAAGCACAGAGCAATTAAATAAATTGCTCAAGGACACAGGGTTTTAAGTCTTGAGAAAGGATTTTAATGCCTGTAGGTCTACTTGCTGCTTCTTCTCTTCAGCCCATGGAAACCTCTCCCAGAAGACACCATTTTTCTTCTAGGTGAGCACCATGTACTAATTAATGTACCAATGATATTTTCTAGACACCTTTGCATCCTGTTTTAAAAAGAAAAATGCAGCCGAAAGTCCACAGAAGAAAAGTACGGTCGTTTTGCACATTTTGGATGCCTGCATTTTAACCTTTGGCCACAAATAGATAAAACGGTTGCTTGAACTTACTGGTAGCAACTTAGACAGGTGACTCAGAGGACACATGGTAATATTTCTCAAGAAGATGAAAATTGGAACTTGCAAAAATTTATCAAGGATATTCTTCAAAGACTCCGGGATCCTTTTTTGTTATGTGATTTTCACAGTGACTGGCAAAAGAGGGGCCATTTATCTCTAATGCTCTCATTTTGAGAAGTACACTCTGATCTGTAAGATAGCAGATGTGACTTTTTAGTCTTTTTATCCAGGTATATTACACTGACACCCATGAATGCCAAAGGAACAAGTGAAAAAAAAGTATATCTATTAGAACAAAATCAAAGTTTTCTGAAAATGGAAATGGATCTATTTTAGGATTCTCTAGTGAAGGCAGTCACCTTATCAGGGTGCAGAGAAAGAGTTGGAGTTGGAAAAGTTGATGGTGAAACTTTTTAAAGATTTCACCAAGTTTGGCTAGAGTTCTTATTCTCCAAAGATCGTCATTATTAGTACTCCAAATACATTCAGCTCTAACCAGGCAGTTTTTTTCCAATCAATTTCTTCTGTTTAAACTGTAGAAGGGGTCACGTGGTAAAATCTCTCTGATTACTAAAAATGTGCATATGCTTTGATCTAGTTCCTTCCTGGATTTTATCTTACTGACATACATATATGTGTGTTTGAGAATTTAGATACAAGATCATGCTTTATAATGGAAAAATTTTAGAAACAACCTAAATCTTTATCAATAGGGAACACTATAGCTTCAACATGTGTCAAGTAAAAATTGACAGAATTTTAATGAAAAGTTGACTAATTAACAAGTATATCTTCAAAATTTTCAATACTGCCTTTAATAAAAATTGAGCAGTCAAATTACTAAGGCTATAAGTGATTTGAATAGCACATTAAAAGCCTGCTCTGATAAATATTTATAGAACATTACACTCAATGTTAGTGAGCACACACTCTTTTCAAGCACAAATGGGACTTTTGCAAAAATTGACAATGTAACAGAGCACAAAACAGAGCTAACTAAATGTGAAAGAACCAGAGTCAATCAAATATTAATATTTAATACTTTCTCTAACCACAATGCAATAAAATTGTAAATCAATGAAAAAATTGAGAACTGAAAAACCCAACAAAGGATTACTATCTGAAATGTATCAAGAACTCATATACTATAAAAATAAAATAGCTGAATGCATAAATGGACAAAGATTATAAACATCTGATTCCCAGGGAAGGAACCAGAAATCTCTATACTTAAATTAAAGAAATTCTTGATCACACTAATAATGAAGGAAATTAAAATTCCAGTAACAATAAGACATCATGTTACAGATTCACCAACTTGAGTATATCTTATAAGGCCAGTGTTTGCAGAGACGTGGGAGGAAAGAAACACATTCATTGTTGGTGATGTGTTGGTTGGCACAATAAGAAGGGCATGCCCTTTCTAGCCAGCAATACTACATAAACTTTCCACCCCACAGAATGATTTGCCTTTTAAGATTTCCATGTAGAAGAATTCTTACCATGGTACTGTTGATAACAGAGAAAGTATGAAACAACCTAATTGTCCCACAGAAGGGGAATGCTATATTCATACAATGAAGGACTAAATAGAATTTTAAAATAAATATGATATTTACATGCATTGATGCATTCATGTATGCACACATGAAAAATCTAAAAACATAATATTGTCTGAATAAGGAAGCCACAAAAAGATATGGAGAGTATGACAGCATTTCAGTAGAATTTAAAAAATAAGAAGTATTTCTGATGGTTTATATCGAGTGTCAACTTGATTGGATTGAAAGATGCAAAGTATTGTTCCTAGGTGTGTCTGTGAGGGTGTTGCCAAAGGAGATTAACATTTGAGTCAGTGGACTGGGAGAGGCAGACACACCCTTGATATGGGTGGACACCTGATAATCAGCGGCCAGTGTGGCTAGGATAAAAGCAGGCAGAGGAATGTGGAAAGACTAGACTGGCTGAGTCTTTTGGCCTTCATCTTTTCTTAAATTTTTTTTTGAATTTTTTTAATTTTTTTGAGATGGAGTCTTGCTCTGTTGCCCAGGCTGGAGTGCAGTGGCATGATCTCGGCTCACTGCAATCTCCGCCTCCCAGGTTCAAGCAATTCTCTTGCCTCAGCCTCCTGAGTAGCTGGAATTACAGGCACATGCCACAATGCCTGGCTAATTTTTTTGTATTTTTAATAGAGACGGTGTTTCACCATGTTGGCCAGGCTGGTCTTGAACTCCTGACCTCAAGCGATCCACCTACCTTGACCTCCCAAAGTGCTGGAATTACAGGCATGAGCCACCGTGCCTGGCTGGCCTTCATCTTTCTCCCATGCCGGATGCTTCCTGCCCTCGAACATCAGACTCCAAGTTCTTCAGTGTCGAACTCTTGGACTTACACCAGTGGTTTGCCAGCGGCTCTCGAGCCTTCTGCTACAGACTGAAGGCTACGCTCTCGGCTTCCCTACTTTTAGGGCTTTGGGACTTGAACTGGCTTCCTTGCTCCTCAGCTTGCAGATGGCCTATTGTGGGACTTTACCTTGTGATCATGTGAGTCAATACTCCTTAATAAACTTTCTTTCATATATTCAACTATCCTATTAGTCCTGTCCCTCTAGAGAACCCTGACTAATACAATATTCTTATCCAATAAGAAGGTACTCTTATCCAAGAATGTATTTAGTAACAGTTAGAAAAAAATACAAGAAATACTACATATCAAGGTGAGGAAAATGGTAATGTCTGGAGTGGAAATGAGGAGTAATGAGTGAGGGTTAATTTTTTTGTATATATGAAATTTTCCATTTTCCTCCCTTTCTCCTTCCCTCCTTATCTTCCTTCTTCCTTCTTTCTCTTCCTTTCTACATGAGTTCTTAAGCAAATGTGTCACAATTTTAAAACATTTTTTTGTTGATGGACACACAGGTTTTGTTTATATTCTTTACTTGTTTCACAGGAACAGTTATTTTAATATACAATAATACAAAATTAAATGACAACTTTGAGAGTAAGGATTCAAAATAACATTAAAACACAGATGTAATATTTACTTATGTACCAAATATCCTTGGCAAGAAATACAATAATTTTTTGTTTATTGATGGTAGCTAGACATAACTATTTGTACAAAGTCAGGAGATCAAGACCATCCTGGCCAACATGGTGAAATTCTGTTGCTACTAAAAATACAAAAATTAGCTGGACTTGGTGGCATGCACCTGTAGTCCCAGCTACACGGGAGGCTGAGGCAGGAGAATTGCTTGAACCCAAGAGGCAGAGGTTGCAGTGAGCTGAGATCGCCACTGCACTCCAGCCTGGCGACAGAGTGAGACTCCATCTCAAAATAAATAAATAAATAATAAATAAAAACTGAACAATACAGTGAACAATTATTAATTGCTGAAGTTTTAAACATTTCACCCTAATTCCTTCATATTTTTATTTTTTATTTTTTTCTCCTAACCTTGTTTTAGTGCCTTCCCTAGAAATATTTTCCTTTTTTTTTCTAGCTTTATTGAGGTACAACTGACAAATACAAATGAAACATGCTCAGGATGTACAGCATAATGATTTCATGTGCCTACACATTGTGTAATGATTACCACATTAAATTAATGAACACATACATTACCATCGATAGCTACCATGTGTGTGAGCTGAGGTGAGGTGAGTGTAGTAAGGACACTTAAAATCTTCTTTCTTATCAAATGGACAGTACAATATTATTCTTTTCCATATCTTTTAATTGTTTCATAGCTAAAAGTGAAAATTTTGAAAAGATAATTTGACTATGATGCTCTTTTCTGTTCACATTTTCTGGCCCTGACCCAGGCCCTTGTCACCACATGCCCTGTCACTTCTGGAGTCCCCTAGCAAGACCCCCAGCCTCCCATGCAATCTAGCTGGCATATTGCTTCCAGAACCTTCCTAAAAATACCATGAAGTAGCTAGAACAAGCATCAGTAAGTTCTCATTTAGAGACAACCAAAGAGACTCTGATTCACCCAAGATTTTATAGGCAGAGGTTGGACTTAAACCACTCAGGTCTCAGTCCAGTGCTTATGTCGTTATTATGCATCACCTAAAATGATTTCATGTCCTTTCTGCCTTGAAATAAACTTCAAGATTATTGCCTGTGATATATGAACATGGTTAAGAGCAGGAGGGCAAATAGATTTCACCTGTTAAGTCAAGCCAGGTTAGTTAGTAATGATAGTCTGCACTGGGTTTCTAGCGTTCTTTGGGGGTTAGCAGAAACTGGGTCCTGATCATGTCTCAAAAGCTGGAGATCTTTGCTCATACCTTGTATTTGACACCTGGGACAATCACAGACACATGGAAGGTGTTTATTTAATGATGATTCTTGACTACTTAAACGTAAGGTATATTTGTATTTCCTTTTCCATGCATGTTCACAGAGAAACACCCACATGATAAACAGGACTTTTGCGTCTTGCTTGATCTCTTTTAAACCTGGACTGTGACATTTCGCCTGCAGCCTGAGATATTGGGAAGCTAACTCCACATCACTCAGTTGAGTGGAATATTTTATTGATTCCATTGCAATTTCTTCCATCCAAGAGTGCCATTTTCTCCCTGCGAAGTGCTGATATAATTTGCATCAGGCTGAGCTTCCATAGGTGACTCCCTGCATTTCTTGGTAGTTTAAACTCATTCTCGATGCTATGCCAGCCACTTTAAGTAGAACAACAGAAGTCTGCCACAGTAAACAATCAAGCCGTTTCACTTGCATTTTTCTACCATGTTCAATGAATCTTTTCTCCCAGTTAATGTTTCTTAGTATTAACCTAACAGGACCAGTCCTAGCTTTCAGATTGTGTGTGTGTGTGTGTGTGTGTGTGTGTGTGTGTGTGTGTGTGTGTTTCCAAAGATTATATAGAAAGAGGCTCTTAAAAACCTCAGGCTCAGCTTGTCATACAAATGACATGCCACTGTCAGAATTCCTGTGTTAATCTCTGGAAGACAAAGCCAGGGCGGGAGGATGAGGCTGGCTCCGAAGCCCTCCCAGAGAGGAGAGTGCCTCTTGAAATCATCTTGCCTCAGTCAGGAGGTCTTTTACCTCCTAACTCCTCAGCATAAAATCCTGGGTGTGAAACCTTGCTCTGTTGTCATATCCGTCAAATCTGTCTCCATCTATTTCCATTATCACTGCTGAGCACAGATGGGCTTAATGATCTCTTGAAGCAAAATGAATAGAAATAGAAAGCCATGCAAAGTGAGTAAAGAAGGGATTAGGATGTCTTTCCCCATACAGCAAACACTTCATGAAGAAGAAGAAAAAGTAATTTCTTTTTCATTCTCACCATGAAAATCAAGCTAATAAACCACACGTCCTAGATTCTATACAGCGAAAAACACCCCAGAAATTACAGTAATTCTTTATATTTAGAGCATTTCCTCTTTCAACATAGCTCAGAGCTTTTAATAGGCTTTATCTCAGCCTCAAACCCCCCATGCCCTCATAAAGCTTTCTTGAACCATGTGTGAAGGGATTATATTCCTTTATTGCTGCTTTCCTTAGACCCATACTCCTGAAATTTAAGACCTCAAGCATGAGATCCTTCTCAGTGGAAACATTTTGTTTCTACTTATTCATGAGTATTGATCTTTCTACTGCCATGGCCTTTTGGACCCTTCCCTTCATGGTTTATTCTTCTTTAAGAACAATGCTGATGTTCTCTAAGCACACCATGCTGATGATTGCTTAGGAGGCAAGTTCAGATAAATGGCTTCACTATTTACAGTCCAAAGATCTAGACTTGAGGCCCAGTGTTGCCACCTACTCTTTGATCATGAGTAAATTAATTTATTGGACTCTAGTTTCTTTATCTGTAAAATAAGTGGTTGGTTCCTTTCCAGTTGCAACATTTCATGACACAATAACGCCAGTCTAGTTTGCTCCAACTCTGGCCATATTTTTCCGTCATCAATTCTTTTTTTATTATTTTTTATTTTCTTTAAGAGACAGGGTCTCACTCTGTTGCTCAGGCTTGTCTCAAACTTCCAGCCTCAAGTGATCCTCCTGGCTCAGCCTCCTGAGTTGCTGGGATTACAGGCATGAGCCATTGTGCCTGGCTTCCTTCACCAACTCCTATTCCTCTACTTTCACCAGAGCTACTCTTCCTGGGTCATCAATCTCTTGTTCATATGTGTTTTCCATCTAGAATATCTTAAGAGGTTTTTGGGGGTGGCTTTTTATTTGCGCTATTATCTATCGCAAGAAGGAAATAATATTCAACTCACTGATAAATGAGTTAAATAAAAATGATTTAATTTGAATACTTTATTGTGTTGCCGCTGACTAGCATTTAGATTCTCTAACTCCCTTTGGGATGGGGAGATAATCTAGGATTGCCATATGGTGCTCACACCATTTCCCTTATGATTATTGCGGCAGAGGTGCAATGGAGCTTAGTGTTCCATATCTATGTTCTGAGATATTTATACAAACTGAAATTATGACAGAAGACTTCCTCACTGTCTTTAGGCTGTAACTTGGTTTAAAACAGCTAAATTACAAAAAAAGTTTTAAAAACATTTTAAAGTTAGTTCTAGGCCAGGTGTGGTGGCACATGTATGTACTTCCAGCTGCTAAGCAGGCTGAGGCAGGAAGATTGCTTGAGGCCAGGAGTTTAGGCCGGAGTGCGTGATAATTGCAACTGTGAATAACCACTGCACTCCAACCTGAACATAGTGAGACCCTGACTCTAAAAACATATATAAAAATCAATCAATAAAAAAATTAGTTTTATTTTTGTGAGTTTTATTTTTCCTACAAATCCCTTTCTCATATTTTAAACCAACTGTGCTCTTTCTGGAAGGCCATTTCCTTAATATTGCTTTATAAAATATGTTCATGTTGGCTTTTGAGGCATATGCAGAGCACTTGTCTTTGGATAAGAGAATTTAGTAGTTGGCTTTTTACTTTTTCTTTCTTCTCTCCTATCTCATCCTGAAGTGAGGGTTGAAGTCTGGGGGCAAGAAGAGCAAAGCTACCAGATACTTTTGCTGGCTTGGTAATCACATAAAATGGCTTTGTGCACTTTGGGCCTGGCAGATACTGAGCAGCAACACTGCTGTGAGTTGTTTGGAGCCTCCTCCTGAGTCTTTGGGCGAGGACAATGTGTTTTGCTCTGGTTGCTGACTGCCTTTGGAAGTCCTGTTCATACAGACCTCTCTCTACTGGTGTCCTCTTGACCTTCATGCAGTCCTCTTGAAGACAAGACAAGTCTGGACACTGGCTCTCTTTGCTGCATGGCCCACATCTGGTCCATGGGAAATGCTCACCCGTTGGACACTGGCTCTCTTTGCTGTGTGGCCCACATCTGGTCCATGGGAAATGCTCACCCACTGGACACTGGCTGTCTTTGCTGCGTGGCCCACATCTTGTCCATGGTTAATGTTCACACATCGTTTGGCTTGACAAACTCTGGGAGTGCAGGACTATCATCCCAACTAACTTCTTCACTAAACAGCCCGCCAAGCCATCTCTCTTGCCTTCTAGATTTCCCACACATGAATCAGACCTTCCGAACTTGAGGTTACACATAGTAAATTCTATGAGTGGTCCTACTGAAGTGAAGCCCCTCAACTTTAGTGTTGAGGGGTTGAAACTAAAGGAAGTTGAGCTCCCATGCCTCCTTGGTTTCAGGTTTGCGTATGTTTGTGTGTGTGTGTGTGTGTGTGTGTGCGCGCGCGTGTCAGAGAGAGACTCAGCAACAGACTTAGCAGTCCATTCTCTGCAAAGGAATCTTGCCCATAAATTCCATTTGTGCCTTTTCTATCCCCTAAATGGGAAAAAAGAGATCAAAGAAAACTGCAACCAGTTCTCAAATAGTGGCTTTGAAGATTTATCCAGAAGGAACTGTCTTACACTCTCAGAGACATCTGATATGTGCTTTATTTTTGCCTTTCAGTAGAAACTTTAAATTTAATATCATATTATAAATGTCTTCATAAATTTGGCAAGAAATCATATTTTAAAATATCCATCTCTCCTCACATTCAATCTTTTAAGAAGATTAAATATCTTCCAATTACTTATTCTTTTCAAGAACTCGTTCCTAAATAATACCTGATCTCCATAAGATAAAATAAGAAATTCTTCCATTTTGGATGTTCTAAATTACAACATATTAGGATTAATTCTAAGCACCTGCTTTGTGACTATTTGCTATCCTCTGAGAATATGAAAGCCTCCAATAGAAACCTGTGGCGGGAGTAAGAAGGAAGCATTTAACAGAAGAAATGGCTCAGCCTGCTGGAGTCCATGTGGCTTCCCTCCTTCTTGTGGAGTGGCTGTGAGGTATCTTCTTAAATGCTTTAATGATGGGAAAATCACTACTTCCAGGGCCAAGAATTTCTCTGTGTTTTGTATCAGATAGAGGATGCTGTTTTGTTAATTGAACCACATATCAAACCTAGAATCCTTTGCTTTCTTAAAATCTTTGAAATGGCAAATCAAACTCGAAGAGCAGCAGGATGGAGGGTTTTGGAGAGCCCTTGTGCTGCATCTATTGTTAGAGGATCTGAAAATGAAAAGACCAACAGTGTAGTAATTCCAAGCATTTGAACGCCAAAAAGTTTTGTTGGTGAGAACTTTGTTTTGCCATTCTTTTCTAAATAAAGGCTCAAGGTGATGTAATTGAGCTACCTTGGTTTAAACAAAGAAGAAGAAAATAGAATTGATTTGATCCATCATAAAATTGAGTGGCATAAAAGATATGATTTTATATAATTTGAATGTTACTTAATTTTCATCACTATCAGAATTCATTCATGGATTAAACTGTGACAGTTCAAAGACACACTGTTTCAAAAGGGTGAAAGAGAAGTAAATGAAAAGCATTATTATAATTCTTAATTCTTCTCCACTTTTGGAGAAAATTTATATAGTAATAGCTATGTAGCTAATTTATACAACTAATGTTTTATAATAAATATATTGTATAAAAGTATATTTTATTTTATAATTTACATATATTATGAAATATTACTTATATAAATATATATAATACAAAATTGTATAATAACAATAGCTGTGTAAGGTGTCATTCTCTATGTTTTACATTATTAATCATTAATCCAAAACCTACCTGTGAGATAGTATTATCATTTTTCTTAATTCATATATGAAAGAATAGAGGTGCAGAGAGGGAAAAGTAGAGGCAGAAAAATAAATACTTGGGATTCCCAAATTCAAACTTTTAATTTCTCTCAGATTTTGGCTCTGACATCCATAATTTTCTTACTTTTAGAAATTCTCTTCTTCTCTGTCAAAATTGTACCTTTCACTTATAAGTAACAGCCAGCTAATCCACTTGCTAAAGTGTTCAGCAAGTTCTGGTGGATTTGTGTGATGCCTTCCTCAGAATATATTACCACATAAGAATGTCTTTTTAATTGAGCACTAATTATGCACCAGGCAGTATGCTATGTGCGTTATATACAACATCTCTTTTGATCATCACAAAATACTATGAGGTTAATAGATACTTTTTCCATTTCTATTTGAAGAACCCAGAGATAAGAAAGCAGAGGTATTTGACTAAGGTAGGCCACCCAAATGGTGAGGACAGAGTCAGCAACCAGACAGGAATCCCTCACCTTTCTACTACCAACTTCATTTTTTCTCATATATTTCCCATCCCTTACATAACAATATTTTTCCTACTCCTAAAGCTGCTGCTTCATAATGCTCTAGATCTCATCTTCTCTTACCGACTCAAGAATTTGCTCACAAAGTATTCTGTCTCCTGTATCAACAATTTCTCCTACATTGGATACTTTCCCTTAACATACCATCATTCCCTGTGGTACTTTATATTTTAAAAATAGTTCTCCTTTGACCTGATGCCATCTCTAGCTCCATTTCTCTTTTCCTCTATAAGAGTAGAAGTGTATGGAAGATTTGATAAAGACTCTATGCACTTCATTGTCCCCATTCTTTCTTCATCCTTCACTTAAACTTTAAAAGGTTGAGGATCTGCTATTGTTGAAGCCACTATTCATTTTTGTATGTTTGTCTTATTTGATATATCAACTAATTTGTAATGTAACCTCCATCATAAACCAAGCTGCCATGTGTGCATGGGACAGATATTAGCCTTAATTGTTTATTCCATCCTTCTGTTAATACTACATTTTGATTAAAATGATTTTACAGAAATTCTGGATATCTGGTAGATTATCAGTATTTCTTTCTGCTTTTTTGATTGTTTCTTTCTCTTTTCCTTCTTTTTTTCTCTATCTCCTCCTTTTCCTCCTTATGTCCTTCTATTTTCCTTCTATCTTGTCAAATTTTAACTTTATGTTTCAACATTAATTTTAGAATGAGTTTTTAAAATGTGGTGAATCTCTATTAGAATTTTGTGGAATTGAACAAAATAGAGATTATTATGAGCAACATTGCCGTCTTTGTGATTATGCTGTTGCAAAAGGATACCTATTGTCTGAATAGTGTGTTTTCTTGTTCTTGATCGATCATATTACAAGATATGTTTTACTATTCCAAATAACTTTTGTTTATGGAATTTTTTTTCACTGATTTGTGTTGTTTGCATTATATTCATTCTTTTCTCTACTTTATTTCTATGTTATTTTGTCTAACTGTATCATTTGAATAATAACCTCATTAATTTTCAGTTATACTTTTCATATACACATAACATTATGTTTCTGTTTCAATATTTTACTATCTGTACATTATAAAATTTGATATGTAATGTTTTCACTTAAACTCAGTTCTAAATATTTTCTAATACCCATCATAATACTTAACTAATAACTTATTTAAAAACACATGATATACATTTGTAAAAATAGATGATGTTCCTAATTATCAATATTTTATTGTTAATGTCTAATGTTATTGCATTTTTGGAGATTATATTCATTGAAATACACATTGTTGCATCAAAATCCCTGCTCAGGTAAGTCACTTTTCTCTGTGGGAAAGAAACAGAATAAAGAGATGCCACAGATGTTACAAAAATGGTTGATTACTTGAATGAACAGGGAAGAAATGTTTTGAAATGGGGAAGAAGCATTTCCCCAACACCGGGGACTGCCAGGTTATGGAAATGGACAATTCTGCAACTGTATATCAAATCTTTACTGTTCTCCTTGCTTTTGATTTCTTCAGAGAGCAGAAATGTGTGAGGGCAAACAGAAATAAAGCAGGCAAAGTATCCTTGTTCCAACTTTAAAAATTCTCAGTGTGTGGACATGAAGGCATATGTGTGAGGAATATGAATTTGATTTTCTCTTAATGAGCATTGCTTTTTCTCCCCACTGCCTTTCTTCTAGAATGCTACGCTGTCACCTGCAGGAAAGCCTGAGCAGATAAAGATGGCTTCTGCACCTGGAGGAAATGGGAATTTCCAGCGAGACAGGAAGAAAATGATTCAAGTGGGTGAAATTGTGAATTTCTTGGAAGAGAGACTTTGTCTTTATTGTTTGTAAATCAGCTTATTATTGGGAACATAACATACCAGTCAGCCCAAAAATGTGCTGTTTTTTCTTAAACTACTGATGAAGAAGTGGTAAAAACAGGGGCTTCTTTATAGTCAGGTAAGTCTAGGTGGATCCCCTGTTTTTAGAGGCACCTTTGCGCTCCTGTCTGCTTCACCCACAAAACGTAACTTTGACTTAAATTGAACAGGGCTGTGCATACGAATAACTCTATCCAGTGTAATTGGATGCACTAGAGCGTGCTTTCTAAAATTAGAATGCTGGGGTAGAGATCTTGCTTCAACCTAATAATGCCTGAATGAATTTGGCAAACAGAAGTAACTTTCTATGCCTGAATTTGCTATCTTTGAAATGGGAATGATAATAATAGTAGAAAACCTGCACAATTGTTGTGAAATTAAAATGAGTCTATTAAAAAAAAACAAAGTGCCTGCTACATAGTGCTCAAGTATTACTAATATTATTATTACTGCTATCTTTATTTATAATCTCCCTGGTATAAAGGACTCATTACTCAAAATAGAATATATATTCTATTTTGCTTATTCTCCGTCAAAAATAATATCTATGTTCTATATGCAAGGTTATAATATGAGCACAGGATAGAATAAAGTGTACGAAGTATTTTTTTGATAGGTTCACTATTGTGCCATCAGTCATTTTTGCCCAAAAGAAGCAGAAGATAAGCTCATAGTTATTTTTTTCCCAGAAAGACTCAGTTTTGTTTGAAATTAATTAATTAATTTCCATAAATTATTGGGGTACAGGTGGTATTTAGTTACATGAGTAAGTTCTTTAGTGGCGATTTGTGAGATTTTCATGCACCCATCACCCGAGCAGTATATACTGCACCATATTTGCAGTGTTTTATCCCTAGACCCCCTCCCTCTCTTCCCCACAAGTCCCCAAAGTCCATTGTATTATTCTTATGCCTTTGCATCCTCATAGCTTAGCTCCTACATATCAGTGAGAAGATATGATGTTTGGTTTTCCATTCCTGAGTTACTTAGAATTAACAAGGACTCAGTTCTTCATAGGCATTTTTGGCATCTCAGATAATAGATTTTGTCACCGAAGCCAACGGTCCTTTGGAATCACAATTACGTGAATGTATAGATTGCTGAACAAATCTACTAAGACTCCTAATTTGTATCTCACAGAATTTGAAAGCTATAAGTGACCACATTATTCCCACTGCATATGAAGAAATTGATGCACAGGAAATAAACGTTTGAAAATGTAGGTTTAACTATGTTTTTCTTCTGAATAACATCACTCAATACATTTACCTAGCACAGAACACTCTTTAGCACAATTTACATGACCCTAAATAGTTTGGTCTTGGAGTATTCTACGACTCATGTTTTCATGTTCCCTACTTTTTAGTTTATTCAAATCATTTTTCTTCTGATCCTGCTAAAACATTTTTACCATTGCTGAGAATTCATCACCTTTTCTCCCCTGCTTCTGCTACTCCTTCTCCTAGGTCAATTTTACTAATTCTTCAGATCTCAGCTTAAATATCTCATTGTTAGAGAAGGTTTCCTTGATCTCCTAAATTAAATTGAATCCCTGTTGATATATGCTCCACTAGCTGTCATAAACACTTTTATCAGCATTATTGTCTTTGTAACTATATATGCTGCGTAAGATTAGGTGATTTTCACTCTTCTCACTTTTTATTTTAGATATTATGTTATTTTCATCCTAGAATTCCCATTTCGTTTTTCTAGGATTTCTATTTCTTTACTAAGATTTCCAATCTTTTCACTTATGATAAGAATAATTTCCTTTCCTTGAACACAGTTATAATCACTTTTATAAAGTCCTTATGTTAAAATTTTCACTTTTGGGTCATGATAGGGCTGTTCTCTATTGTTTTGTTTCCTTTCCTTAAAAATGTGTCTTATTTTCTTGTTTCTTTATATGTGAATTAATTTTGATTATTTCTGGGACATTGTGGATGATGTTATAGATATTATTCTATATAGATGTTATAGATTCTATATATATTCTATATTGATGTTATGGATGTTATTCTATAACATCTATAAAATCTACTACCTATTAAATTCTATTTAATACCTTTTTTTTTTTTTGGTCCCTTTGTGTTAGCAGGCACTTGACTGGACTCAAAGTATAAAATCCATCTTCCCTTTGGTGGGCAACAGTTTAAATTTTGCTGCTGTTGTTTGTTTGTTTTTGTTTGTTTTGTTGGCTTTACCTGGGGTGCTTGGAATTTAGGCTATGCATGCGTGGTTCACAATTAGCCAGAGATTTGAAAAGAATTTGTTCACAGGTTCTGAGCTTCCCGACTGTTTTCTAGGATTTTCTTTTTTTTTTTTTTCATTTCATTTTCTTTTTTTTTCTTTTTTTAAGTTTTATTATTATTATACTTTAAGTTTTAGGGTACATGTGCACAATGTGCAGGTTAGTGACATATGTATACATGTGCTGTGCTGGTGTGCTGCACCCATCAACTCCTCATTTAGCATTAGGCATAACTCCTAAAGCTATCCCTCCCCCCTCCCCCCACCCCACAACAGTCCCCAGAGTGTGATGTTCCCCTTCCTGTGTCCATGTGATCTCATTGTTCAATTCCCACCTATGAGTGAGAATATGCGGTGTTTGGTTTTTTGTTCTTGTGGTAGTTTACTGAGAATGATGATTTCCAATTTCATCCATGTCCCTACAAAGGACATGAACTCATCATTTTTTATGGCTGCATAGTATTCCATGGTATATATGTGCCACATTTTCTTAATCCAGTCTATCATTGTTGGACATTTGGATTGGTCCCAAGTCTTTGCTATTGTGAATAGTGCCGCAATAAACATACGTGTGCATGCGTCTTTATAGCAGCATGATTTGTTTTCTAGGATTTTCTTTCTCACTTTCTACTGGTTGCATTTGCCCTCAACTCTGCTGTCTGGTTTTTCAAGTCAGTTAAGAATGGAGGTTTTCTACCAGCGTTTTAGCTTTTGCATATCGTGGAGACCAGAGCTTGTTCTCAGGTACAAGTCGTAAATTAGGAAATTCACTCAGGGCTGTTGCTTCCTTCCAGGAGTTGATTTTCCTTCACTATCTGCTGCATCTTTTTAGTCTCCAGACCTTAGTTGGCTGTTTTACAATAATTTTTCCAGGTTTGAATTGCCATTTTCATGAGGACTGGGCCAACTAGGAACTCCCCAGCCATACCAGAAGCAAGGAAATATCAAATTCCACACTGTCATGGAGCAAATAAAAACATGCATTATATTTCAATATAACATTTAATATATTTACAATACTGATTCAGTAACTGAGTTTATGACATTCCATACCACACACCCCACCCCTATAAATATAATTACAACTAATATTATTGGGTGATAATTCTGTGTTAGCCTTACAAAAATACTGTTTTACTGAATCTTTGCAATTTCATTGAATCAACTCTATTAGGCAAATACTATTCCTGTATTATAAATGAGAAAACTAAATCCTAGCAAAGTCGAGTCATGTACCCAAGCTCAAAAATCTGGCCAATGGCAGGGCCCACATGTAGACAAGGATTTCAACTCCAAAGTCTTACATGTTATAATAGCAGGGAGACCTTACATGGAGATATTTGAGGGCCTATTGCAATGTGGAAGCACATTGCTTGTCCTGCTTCTTCTCCTGTTCCTGAATCTATATTTATATTTGAGACATTGCTTATATTTCAGATACTACTTATGTTTTAGACATTGTATTTTAAACATTGTTTGAGTAAGAACTTCCTGCATTTAGTCCTGTCACCTAAAATCTGGTCCAGATTGGTGAATATGTTTCCACCCAGTTCCCAGAACCTCCCAATTAGCCCTCTCCTATTCTTTCCAGTGGACCCTCCTCCTCCTGACTATGTCAGTAGCAGTTTGTATTGCTGCCCAATCCTAATAAGTATTTATTAGGTTGGTGCAAACCTAATTGCGGTTTTTGCCATTACTTTCAATGGCAAAGTTGGTGACTAGCCAAAAAATGATGGTATACAAAAATGTCTATATGCCTTTAATCTACTTTTCTTTTTTTAAAAAAGTTTATTATTTGCTATTCCTAAGTAAATCAATTGAAATTTTTGCTCTGGCTGTTATGTATCTATTTCAGCATCCCAGGTATTGCATTCAGCTAATCAAAATTAACATGATTTTATTTTTATTACGATAGGTATCTAAACACCATTAAAGTAGTAATGATAATAAAAATGAATAACAAATATAGTAGCTAGAGAACTGATAAATAGCATAACTATAGAACATAATTTTTCTCAGTTTTGACATATTCTATCTTTGTATCTTCCACTTATCTCATTAGAATTATCTTGAAATACATAGAAAAATTGAAAAAAGTTTGGGAAGTTGGTTTTATTATCATTAAGCTGTCAAACATTACAATATTTATAGTGGGATGGGACATTAGTTTATAAAAAGTCATAGTGCATTCTAAAAGTTTTAATTGCTTTACTTTCTCTAAAGTTAAATTTTACTAAAGATTAGTTTTACGTGATTAATTTAGAAACCTGGGGCTTTAAGGTATTCACAATTAAAGTATCTGAAGCTGATAAATGCTTAACCCATAAACATAATTTTTTTTAAATAGTGTTTTTCTACTCTGGGAAAACAATGGTGTTTTTCCTTCTTTATTCTATTCTGGAAATATGTATTTTCATTCTGTGGCTTCACACCCAGGGTGGAGAAAAGATTGCCCCTAAGTTTCTACTTTTATGGTATGTCCCTCATAAATCAGTATTTATCTGTTCCACTATCTGCATACAATGGCTAAAAAAATTTCAGCCTTCCTTTTTTGGTTTCTGCTACCATTCCTCTTCAATCTTAGATAATAAAAAATCAACTTGACCCTGAAATGGTCTGTGGTATAGTAGCATGTGGTATTGTAGCTATACCACATGAGATTCAGAGGCTGAATACTAGTCATGTGTCTCTGCTGGATGGAGTGAGTTTGACTTCCCCAACAAAAAGTAATAATAATTTAATCATCAATCAAACCCCGTTGCTATAAGGACCTGAAATGTCCTGGTAGGCCTTGTTGAGGGTTTGATTTCTAAGTTACCATCACGGTATTTTCTTTTTGAGACTATGACATGGGTTGCCATTTTTAATAAACCTGCTAAAAGCAAATCACTAAATTTTAGATTTTAAAAGAGCATAAGGAGCTCATCCAGTCTAACCACCTTTTCACTTATAACACAAGAGCACTTTTGACTTTCTGCTTTGTTTTATCCATTTCTGACAGGGTTTCAAAATGAAGCAAAGATGACTGACAGCATTAACAAAAACTTAATCTTTTTTGTTGAGAAGCAAGACAGAGCTTATGCCAGAAATATGATGTTAAGCTTGACTTTACTGCTGGCATGACTAGCCCGATGAAAGATGAAGCATTATGGTAGCATCTGCCAGTCACAAGTATTGGCAGTTAGAGGTCAGTGCCAGACATAGCAAAGATCTGAGATAGCAGAGAAAGTTAGGGAAATCTCACCATCTACCACTGAGGCTCTCATCTATAAATAATATTTGGCTTAATGTATGTCAAGTGCTGAGAACTCTGTTAGATCTAAGATTTAGAAAAGCAATGAAAAACTTTTGACATTAAGAAAACTACAGTCTCTCTATAAAGACAAGACAACTCCTTGTGAGATAATAATTAAGTACTTAAATATGGGTATATACATATCAACTGGAAGTCTTTATATGAGGAAGAGACAGCTAAGAGGTTTATAAAAATAAGCAAAACACAAAGGCAGTAAGTATCTGAGAAAAATTTGGCATTTGGTCATAAAATTCCAAATATTTAGGTAGTAGTTTTATTATTGTAATATAATCAAGGGATATTAAGAAAACACTGAATTGCTTTAATTCTTTTAATGGTTGCCCTCGGATTTATAGTGCACATCTCCAAAAATAATGGTCTTTATTCAAACAAATACATCTCACATGTAATATAAACCAGTAGAATAGTATATTCCACATTTTTCCTTGGTATTTTTGTGCTATTGTCACTATATGTTTTATGTGTTTATATGGTATAAATACACAATACGCTGCTACTACTTTTGCTTTAGCAGTTTTTTAAAAAAATGTAATTTCAATTAAAAATATATTTTACTTAATCTATTCCATTTCCTGTGATTTTTATTTCTTGGTTTAGATCCAGTTTTTTGTCTGCTATCATATATTTCTTCCTAAAGAACTTTATTTATCATTTCTTGTAGTGCAGATTCATGGCAATTAGCTTCCTCCATTTCATTTATATGAGACAATCTCGATTTATATTTTTACTAAGTACAGAATTATGGCTTGAGAGATTACTTCTTTCAGCACTTTAAAGTTATCCCTTCATTGTTTTCTGTCTTACATGCTTTTTGACAAGAACTCTTTTATAAATCTTGTCTTGGTTTTTCTATATGTAATGTGTCTTTGTCCTATGGTTGTTTTTAATATTGTCTTCGTTTTTTAGCAGTTCAAATGATAGGTGCAAACGAGCTTTTTTGTTCTGTTTTGTTTTTGATTTCTTTCCCTGCTTTGGTATTTACCTTGCTTGGTGTTCTCTTGGCTTCTTGGATCTGGGGTTTGGTGCCTGTCATTGATTTTGGAAGTGGTCTCTTTCTTTTCTTTTCTTTTCTTTTTTTTTTTTTTTTGACGGAGTCTCACTCTGTCGCCCAGGCTGGAGTGCAGTGGCGCGATCTTGGCTCACTGTAAGCTCTTCCTCCCAGGTTCACGCCATTCTTCTGCCTCAGCCCCCCGTCTACAGGCATCTATCACCATGCCCGGCTAATTTTTTTTTTTTTTTTTTTTTGTATTTTTAGTAGAAACGGGGTTTCACTTGTGTCTCAGTGCCAAGGCTATAGTAATTTACAAGGTGTTCTCAGATAAATTATATAGTCTCTCTGGGTATCAGTTCACCTATTTATAAAATAAATTTAGACTAGAGATCTCTGAAGTCCTTTCTAGATTGACAAGATTAATAATTTTTTTTTCATCGGTATATAAGTCAGGAAAGAAATAACTACAAGTAGACTGGCCAGTGGGTATCTACTTCCTAATTTAGGATTCTTATTTTAAACATCCCCTTTTCCAAAAATTATCTCCCACTTTTATAATAATACTTGAGATTTCTAGCATTCAATTTACTTGCTTTACTAGTTAAAATATGTTGGATTATGGGTAAAACAAAAGATAGTAAGATGAAGTTAGTTATAATGATAATAATGATTAGAAGTAATATACAATATATTTCATGCATTTATGCACTTACATACTTGGTATCTCTTAAAGTTTATGCTCTAGGCATTAGTGCATTGAATCCTCAAAATAAATCTTATGTAATAGGTACTACAATTATTAGTTCCAATGTACAGTAGGAAAAAACCAGGTTTTTCAACATGAAGTGACTAGAGATAAGTATTTTCTAATATCAGGATATTATTAATTGTGGCTTTTAAAACCATACAATTAATGACAATTTTCCAAATAGAACATAGAAAAGGGAAGTGAATAAATTGATTCAAAATAAGGTGTCTTTCAAGAAATTTTCCTGACCAGATAAAAAGAAAGACTTTGTATCAGTTTTCTGTTGATGTGTAAAAAGAATCCCTAAACCTAGTGGCTTAAAGCAACAATTTTAATTTGCTCACAGTTCTGAGGGCTGGCACTTGGAACTGGGCTTAGATAGGATGGCTGCTTTCTGCTTCATGGAGTACTGACTAGGCTTATTCATATGTCTGGGACATCAACTAGGAAGTCTGAGATATTTTAGGCAGCTGGACTTCTCTTTATACAAAATCTCTCATTCTCAAGAGAGTCAAGCTTGTTCACATGATGGTATCATTGCAGGAGCATGTTCTATGTCATCTTGAGGTCTATGCTCAAAACTTGTTCATTTCTGCCATATTCGAGCAGTCAAAGCAGGACACAAGGTCAGCCAATGTTCAAGCAGTGAAGGGGCAGATTTCTATCTTGATGGGAGGATGAGAGAAGCTGCATTGCAAAGGAGTATGCATGCTAAAGCAAGAGCAATTCATGGTCATTTACTACTGTGTTCTCTGTGTCCACGAAAGACACACACTTCTCTCACATGTCACATATGCTCATGCTCATCTCAGGACTAAAAAGATTCTCATCTATTTTTGTCATAAAGTCCAAAGTTCAAAGTTTATGACTGCATGGTCTGAACCAGGTCTGGTTGAAAATGAAGCTCTTCGGAGTGTCTCCTTGTGTGAGATCTGTGAACAATAATAATAACAAAAATTATTTGCACTGGGTGGGAGGTTCACTTTAGCCTGGCAGGTCAAGACTGCAGTCAGCTGTGATCATACCACTGCACTCCAGCCTGGGTGACTGAGTGAGACCCTGTTTTGAAAAACAGTAAAAAAAAGTTATTTGCTTCACACACATTCAGCATACAATACAAGGAAACAATGATTACAGTAATCACTGTTATTCGTAAAAAAAAAAAAAAAAAAGAATGAAAAGGAAATAGTCACTAGACCACAGCAATTCTGGAATCCAGCAGGATACAAGTTACCAGGTTCTTCTCGCCTGGAGGCACAGGTATTCCTTGATTAAGGTCTATTCTGCTCCCTTGGAGGGATCCTCTAATGTATTATTCTCAGAGGCTTTTGACTCTGCCTTTTGATTTCTTGGATATGCCTTCTGAGATGCCCTTTCCTTTGTATAAGAAAAGGCGTGGCTAGCAGTTTTTTGCTTGCTTATTTTTTATAGACAGTTGGAAGCCCAAGGCATGAGGATAGTTTGAAGCCAGGAATTTGAGATGAGCCTGTACAACAAATTGAGACCTGGTTTCTACAAAAAAATTAAAAATTAAAAGAAAAATACCTGGGCTGGTGGTGTGCCAATAATCTCAGCTACTAGGGAGGCTGAGGCAGGAGGATTACTTGAACTCAGGAGTTCAAGGATGCAGTGAGCTATGATTGCACCACTGCCATCCAGCCTGGAAGACAGAGCAAATGCTGTCTCTTAAAAATAAAATAAAATAAAAATAATATTAAAAAAAGAAAATTGGGACACAGAGGCCCCTTTTTGTCTTTAATAACCCCAATCTTTTTCAGTCTACATTGTTACAGGTCTTTTAAATACTTTGTGGGTTTCCTGTGCATCGTGCTTTTTATTTTCCTTTTAGGTGATGTAATAATTATGAGTTACAGTGTGACATATCTATAAGTGTATACAATAATTACAAAATGATCAAATCAGTGTAATTAGTGTGCTCACCTCAAACATTTATTATCATTTGTTTGTGTTATGAACATTCAAAATCCTGTCTTTTAATTTTTTAAAATATACAATAAATTATTCTTAACCATAGTTACCCTACAGTACTATAAAACACTAGAATGTATTCCTCCTATCTAGCTGTAATTTTCTATCCGTTAGCCAACCTCTCCCTATTCTTCCCTCCCCTCATACCTTTCCCAGCCTTTAATAATCATATTTCTACTCTATTTCTATGAGCTCTTTTTTTTTTAGCTCCCACATATGCATGAAAATATGCAGTATTTATCTTTCTGTGGCTGGCTTATTTCACATAACATAATGTCCTCCAGGCTCATCCATATCTTGTTTATCATATTATAATCCACATCATCAGTTAAAAACCACACAATTTTCGTTAAGATAGTCCTCTCTCTACTCAGGCATCCCAAGGACACTTATATCTCCATCTTCAGTTTAACCTTTAGCACAAAGCCATTTATTACTGTTAGAACTGTTTACTGGTTTGAAAGACTAAGTAAGAAACAGTTCTATTTTCTAACCCAGCAAGTTCTAGGCAGTCTATATTTTTTTCAAAATTCCATTTGTGAACTGGAACAATTTCTTCTTTGTTCATTTCAACAATCTGCTTGCCAATATCCTTAGCCAAATCTACAACTTCATTAGGTACACATTCTATCTTCCAAATTTGTATAGTTTACAGCTTGACAATTGTTTGTCTATTTCATAAGAAAGGTCACAATTTTTGTGGCCTGTTACAGTTTTCTCACCACTTTTCAAGTATCTGTTAATAGTTTCCTTTCTGCTTTTCCAGCCTCCACCTGGAAACAGGTTCCAAAACCAATGACACCTGTATTAGATGTTTGTTACGGCAGCATCTCACTTCCAGGTAGGAATTGCTGTGTTAGTTAAGTTTTGCTGCATAACAAACCACCAGCAAACTTGGTGGCTTGAAACAACAATCACTTTTTAGCTCACAATTCTGTTGGTTGGCCATTTGATCTGGGCTCAGCTGGGATTACTTATCTCTGGCCCACATTGTACACTTGGCCTTGCTCTTACGCATAGGACCTCAGAGAAGGTGATCGTGATGTCTGGAATAACTGGATCTCTCTAAATGGAAGCTAGGTTGGGCTTTTGCCTATGTTGTCAATATTCTGTTAGTCAAAGCAATTTACAGGGACATTCAGATTCAAGAGGTAGAGACTTCATCCATTGGTGGTGAAGTGTCAAAAATCTCATGGCAAAGAAGAATGCATACAAGAATGGAAAAGTATTGTAGGTAAGTTCTGCAAGAGATTGACGGGAGATAAGTTTTAAGAGACTTAAAAAAAAAGCAGATAACTTTTTGTAAGTGTGGAAAAAATTGTGAATATTCTTACAGATTCAGCCAGAGGGCCAAGAGCCAATAAGAGTTAAAAAGATTTAGGCAAGAGAGTAGATAAATATTGGAGTAAATTTCCAGAGGTGATGGAAGAAAATGTGATAAACAGTATAGAACTGAATACTCTTCAGTGGACAGAAGAAAAAGACTACTGATCTTAGACAGAAGGGAAAAACCAAAGATGTGTGTCCGTGGAATGAAATTTGGATGGGGGTTGATAATTGAAATAATTCTCCCCTGGATATCATTATTTTCCAAATGAGAAAAATGACAATAAAGTTTGCTGAGTTAGTGGAATAGTAACTTACAGGTTATTGGTAAAGATGTAGAATAAACTCTGGGAGCAATGAGAGAGTTCATGGACCAGGGCTGAATTAATGCGTTTTTGCTGCATGTTTAAGGTGCTGTTGAGGCTGAAGACAAATAATTTGTAGTAGCAAGAAATGAAGAGCTGAGAAAGGAGAGTCATGCAGGGAAGATCATGGCTACCTTTTTATTTCTGAAGGATGACAGAGTACTGGCAACACTGTGAGAACTAAACCACGGGAAGACCAGATCAGAAGTAGGAACTGCTATGATGAGGCTGCATAACAAATTTCCCTCAAGCACAGAAGCTTAAAACAGCCACACTAATATATTCATGGATCCTGTTGGTCAGGAATACAGAAAGGGTACAACAGGGACAGCTTATTTCTGTTCCATGATGTCTGAGACCTCAAGACTTAAAAGCTGCAGGTGCTGTGGGTGAATTGATGGCAGGAGGCTGGGATTACATGAAAGCTTGTTCACCCGTATGGCTAGTTCCTAGAATGGGAGGAATAGATGATGAGCACCACTAGCCAGATAACCTATGCGGGCCACTCCATATGGTTCAGCTTCCTTGCAGCATGGCTGCCTGAGGCTGGTTTGACCCCTACCATGATAGCTCTGGGCTCCAGGCATGGGGTGAGTGTTTTAGCAAATAGGTGGAAGCTGAGTCACACTATATGATTCAGCTTTGGAAGTTTCACAGAGTTACAGCATTTTATTACTTACAGGCAAGTCACAAAACCACCTAGATTTAATGTAATGCAAGAAGAATAGTTTGCCCCTGTTGATGTGTGCACAGCAAGTTTTAGAAGACCGTATGGGTTGGGAGATATTCTTGAGGCCATATTTGGAAAACCCAGTCCATCATAGAGAATTTGCAGACATCTGAGCAAACAGAGGGGAAGCTTGGAAAAAAAGGTAGTGATAGCAGACACAGAGAGACAGCCTTGGGTTTGTAATATTCTTGACCTACGTAACTGATGGAACTGATTGCATCTCCTGAATCTTCTTCCTTTATGAGGATGTTTCAGGGATCAGGCATACAGTCAAAAATGCTGTTCACCAAACCTATACTCTGTGTCTTCATAGTTTCACTTCTGTATTTAACCAAATTTTTTAGTATTTTTTCTTCATTCACAGTGTAAAACATTGTAGAGGTCTATAAAGGAAAAGAAGTTATGGTCCTTTACTGCGGTTCCACAGAAGCAATTAAAAAATACAGGGCTAAAGTACCTGAGAGAAAAAATGTTACATATAGGCTCGTTTTTAAAAAGGAAATGTAATTACAACCTTTTAGAATGGCATACATAAATCAGTACTAAGGAGAAGGAAAATTTGAATATTTGAAGAGATAACTGACACACTGGGTTGGGGAAATGCAAATTATTTGGGTGAAATGTAAAACTACCTGGAGTAAAGAAAAACTCAGCCTTTTCTGCAGGCATTTATCTTGTTTCATTTGGAGATTTGTAAATGGAAGTTTTTAATCCCCTTTATTCATCTGGATCACCTGGCATGCCTTTGTGTGTACCTTTTTTAAATGGGCTGATCGCATTTACTTAAAAATCTTTTCTGTTTCCATGGATCTTCCTGATGAAAGGTTACATATTGAATGGGCCTCATGTCTGGAGGACAAGAATCTTTAACTTCCCTTGGATGTTTTTATCATGTGGGGGTTGGTCCATTGTGTACCGCAGTTTTGTCCTCTGAAATAAAAGAAAGAGCCAAAGTCTATTTGAACTTGAAAGACCTTCATAAAGATAACTGGGTGATAATGCAAAAACATTCATATCCTCATTTAGAAGACTTCCTAACTCAGGTGGAGCCAAAAGATTTTTTTCCCCAAGATGGGAATTAGGACCAGAGCTGAGATTTGGCAAACAAAAGTGCCTGTCTTAAAACTAGGAGGGAATCTTTCCTCATAAATATTTACACAGAGATCTCAGGTGATTATAAATCTATAAATGTCATATACGCACGGCTGCCTTGGCTTTCATTTCTTATAATCAAAATAGTCAACTCTCCATACTAATATGATTTCAAAGGGAATTTTGAAAAAGAAATGAATAGAATAGCAAATTCAAAATCAGAATCTGGGGTAGCCGTTTAGTGTTCTGATATTTATGAAAATCATTTATTTGTTTGCCCAGTAGGTAAAGCTAATGCTTCTAGGAGTTTTGTATTTTATCCATTTTGTTTTCTGAAACAAGATTTTTCCCGAAAACAAACATTTTAATAAAGATTATTTTGCACCTTAAAATACGCTAATACAAGTCAGCTGTCGCCTATTTGAGCCTAAAAATTACCTTTCAGAATAAAATTCTTCACAAGATTATTTTCCTCATTCATCTTGAGATGAGTGTTCTAATTTTAACACCGAAAAAGTTACCTTTTTGCTTTTAATGATGAAAGGACATTTTAAAATATTGGTGATTTTTGAATAGCTGAAGGGTCGGTGGAAACTAAACTGTAGGAATATTGGAAGGAGATTTTAATTACTAATCTTGTAACCTTGGGAAATTTACTTAATCTTCAGTTTTCTTGTGAAATTGAGGTAATAATGCTTCTTTATTCTAAGTTTCTTGCCAATGATAATTGATATACTTTTTAAAGATTATATTTTATTGCATACCTTATGGTCTGGGGTAGGGCAGACGGACGGGATGTTGAGCCTGCATTCCAGGCTTACTCTGGTTTTGGGGTTGTTTTTCTTTTTCTACATTAAACAACTGATACTTGTGATGTCACACACATACAGAATCTATGTCACTTACCCTCTGAAACAAACACATTAAATTATTCTATGGTTCATCACTAGGATTTCCATTGTTGCCTTCAAAGAAATAGAAAACACGATTCTTTCTTTAATATGGAGTTTTAGCCACAGATAAACTTAATGTCAAGTGATAGTTGATTGTATATATATATATATATACACACACACACACACACACACACACACACACACACACACAGGTTTCTAGAGTAGATATGTTGTGTTGTTATTTATGTTAACATATTAATGTGCTCATTCTTCCAGGTCCAGAAAAAACTCATTTGTGATCCCTCCTCCTTGTACCTCTCTGGAATTTGCAATCTCTTATTCCTGCAAATCTAAAGTATGGCACTTATTGCATAGTATTTTACTTATTTGTCTGACTTCAAAGGTAGTTTGTTGGATATCCCAGGATCCAAGAGAAGGAAGAGTATAAAAAAGACGTAGTGGTCAGGCACAGTGGCTCATGCCTGTAATCCCAGCACTTTGGGAGGCCAAGGCGGGTGGATCACGAGGTCAAGAGATTGAGACTATCCTTGCCAATATGGTGAAACCCCATCTAAACTAAAAATACAAAAACATTAGCTGGGCGTGGTGGCACACCCACACCCACCTCCTGAGTAGCCTGTAGTCTCAGCTACTCAGGAGGCTGAGGCAGGGGAGTTGCTTGAACCTGGGATGTGGAGGTTGCAGTGAGCAGAGCTCATGCCACTGCACTCCAGCCTGGGTGACAGAGCGAGACGCCATCTCAAAAAAAAAAAAAAAAAAAAAAAAAAGTAGTGACTTACTGAGTCAAATGGCGGTAAGAGGAGTTGTGAATGTGAGTTCGATGAGGTTTGAGAAATAGAAGCCTGAATGGAGTGGATTAAAAGAGAATTGGAGGTAAGGAATCTGGAGAGTGAGTCTAGGTACATATTTTTGGAGTTTTCTTATTAATTGAGGATAATTCGAAAGGAGCTACAAAGAGCCTGAAGCCTGAGAATTTGTTGCTGTTGCTAAGATGGAAGATGGTTACAATACAGTAGGAATGGAAGCATGAACCTTGGAGGGAAGCTGAGGGATTCCATCTATTGAAAAAGGAGGGTGAGCAGAGTGTAGAAATAGAGATAGAGACAGAAACTAGGTCTAATGAAGGGATGATGAAATGGCCTCTTCTGGTGCTTCTGTTTTCTTTGGAAAATAAAATGTAAGGCCAATATCTAAGAGTCAGGAGAAGGGATGTTAGAACTCAGAGGAGAGAGTACAAGTATAGACTTCTTTTTTTGGGAGGGAACAGTGAATTGAGTGCTGGATGTATTAGGACTTCCAGGCAAGTCCAAAACACCCTTACTTGTGATCCTTGATTAAGAGTCATGTGCTTTTCCTTTCATTACCTTCAGCTGTACAGGCTTAGACTTGTGGCAGGATGATTGAATTTAACCAGGAGTAGGATTTCCTATTAAGGGGAAGAAAAGAGGGACAAGGAATTGAAAGTGCATAAAAGGGAATGGAATATTCCTTCCTCTATCCTTGATGATCTTTTCCCATCTCAAGGCCTGAAATGTCATTCTTACCCTGAGGTCTTCCAAGTCCTATTATCATCCCTACTTAGTCTCTAAATTTCATATGCACATTCTCAACTTAGCAGTTGGATGTCTAATATGCATCTCAAACTTACAAAGTTCTAAACTAAAGTCTGTATCTTCCCTCCAAAATTGGCTTCCTGTCTTCCTGTTACATTTTTCCTCATCTCAGTAAATGACAACTACCTCCTCCCCTCCTCATCTCCTCCTCCTCCTCCTTCTCCTTCCTCATCCTCTTTTTCTTTGGGACAGGGTCTTACTCTGATGCCCCCAGGCTGGAGTGCAGTGATGTGAACACACAGCTCACTGTAGCCTCGACCTTCTGGGCACAAGCAATCTTCCTGCCTCAGCTTCCCAAGCAGCTGGGACCACAGGAGCATGCCACCACATCTGGCTAATTTTTTTTTCTTATCTTTTGTAGACACAGAGTCTCGCCACATTGCCCAGGTGTTTTTAAGCATGTAATTGCCCAGGCTGGTCTCAAACACCTGGACTCAAGTGATCCTCCCACCTTGACCTCCCAAAGTGCTGGAATTACATTTGTGAACCACCATACCCTCTGATTTTAGTTTCTCTTTTCAAATGGTGAAGAATATCCAAATACAACTTATTCTAGAAGGACTTATGGCAAAAAAAAGATTCAAAAATTAAAAGCTAAATACCATTCTCAAATGTTAAATTTTAATTTTAAAATACTATTAATATCAGAATTACTATTTTTCCTTTTATTACTTAATCTTAATATACTGTTAACTCAAATTGGATATAAATAATTACATGTATATTTACCTGTTTATTTAATTAACGTTCTTAAAATTTACTTCTGTTTATAAAAGTAATAGTTTTTACATTGTATTAGCTTATCACAGTACTTTCTGTTTCAATAATAGATGGTGGTGTCATGCTATATGTTTAATCCAGGGATCTCCACGTGTTCAGCTATCTCATAGCTCTTCAAGCCCTGTGTTCTTGGATATTTATGAAAGCTTCATGATGTCATCATTCCTTTTAATTCTAACATCAATAGTATTTTAAAATTAAAGGAATGCTGACATTATAAACTTATGTGTGTGTGCGTGTGTGTGTGTGTGTGTGTAGATTTTTGTCCACAGTTCCCAATTCATAACTCCCATAGCCCTTGTAACAGTCTTTTGTTATAATGTTGGGTGTATTCGTGTGCTGGGCTTCAAGAGCAGGCCTCATGAAACAGACTCTTTCTGACCTTCTCCTGCCCAGCTTTCACCTGCCCCAAAGTAGGACTCTAACCATCACTGGCCTTTCTGATTGTGGGTCATAAGACTCTCATTCCAGAGAGGGTTCTGCCCTCTACCCTGGGGGAAGAAATGCTGACATCATGAAGCTTTTATAAAAATCCAAGACGAGAGAATTTGAAGGGCTTCTGGATAGCTGAGCACGTAGAGGTTCCTGGAGGGTGGCACGCCCAGGGGAGGCATGGAAGATCCATGCCTCTTCCTGAATACCTCACTCTATGCATCTCTTCATCTATGTTTTTTGCAATATTCTCTAAAACAAACCAGCAAATGTATTTCCCTAAGTTCTGTGAACCACTCCAGCAAACTCATCAAACTCAAAGAGAGAGATGTGAAAACGCCAGCTTGAAGCTGGTGGGCCAGAAGTACTGGAGGCCCAGACTTGTGACTGGTGTGTAGGGTGGGGGGCAGTCTTGGGGACTGAGCCCTCAATCTGGGGGATCTGATGCTATCTCCAGGTAGATAATGTCAGAATTGAATTGGCGGACATACAGTTGGTGTCTGCTGCAGAATTGATTGCTTTCTTGCTGGTGGCAAGAAATCCCCACATATTTTGAGGTCACAGAAGTCTTCTTCTGTGTTGGTTATTGTTGAGTTGGTGTGAGAGCAGAGGAACAACATGGTTTGAGAATTTTTCCAAAACATTGCTATACAGCAAATGTCTAAAAATTACAACAAGCCCATGGAGTGAATTTCATTCCACCTTAAATACAGAATGCATACTTATGTTTGAAATTGAATATTAAGATATTAATAATAAATTAGAATTTAATTTATGTTAATTTCATGGACACTGTTATTCATATTAAATGTGATGGTAACCTATGTAATTATGTAATAATTATCCATGCAAATATCAGTGACACCAGAAATTATATTAAAGGACTAGTTAGTTACTTAGTTTTTAAGGGTCAAAACTTGAGACTACCAGATTTGGTTCATATGCTACAGCTGAGGCTGAAATTAGGTGCATCCTTATTTAAAACCATCAATATATCATATATGATAGATAATATATAAATATATGTATGTATATATTATGAAGACACAGAAGATATATTTTTACTGTTCACTTATATATATCTCTCCCTACTCTAAGTAATCCCCATAGAAGCAGATCTTTTTAAAAAATTGTGTTTAATTCTCCATCCCTAATACTCAGAGAAATATCTGATATATTGATTTGCTCAACAAATATTTCTTGCACAAAGTAACAATGAATGAATGAGTTATAAGAAACAGCCACTATTAGATCTAAGGAGCAATGTACAGACATGAGAAGGTGAAAGAGAACATGAAAAGATGGTGGGATCAAAATACCAGAAGTCCCTGTGAAGTTCAAATATGTTTGGACATAGGTTAATAGAGGTAGAAAGCTGGATAGGAGGTGATGGTTTTGAAGGTAGAGCAGCTAATGGTAGTGGCACCTAGGCTGTAACATGAGAGTGAATACTTGAGGCTGAATAAGGGGCAAATTTAATTTGAGGCGAAGAGGTTCGGGAACTGAGAAACCAGTCCTCTGAGTGGGAGAGTGTGCTCTGGGGATGTGCTAAGCTATCAATTTTGTTACAATAGCTTTTTGAGATTTACTGAGGAAGGACATATGTCTGATGCTACTAACTGTGTGATGCTTGGACCTCAGACTATTCCAGACTTCTGCTTTCTCTGCACCTATAATTACCTTCCTCACATTTTATGTCTAGTTAAAAATAAATTTATGATGAAGTGACAGAGATGAGTCTTAGTTAGAATACAGATTTAACTCCTCTAAAAATATCCAGCAGATAAAGTGCTTAAACAAGATAGAAGTTTCTTCTTTCTTATGGGATAGTTCAGAGGTAGGTGATTCAGGACTGGTAAAATGTTTATTCCTTGAAGTCTTCTAGAAACCCAAACTATCTCTGCCTCATCACTCCAGCATCACATCAGTCCTGTGCTCAAAATGGTATGCCAGCCATTATGTTTGATAGGCCTACTCAATATCCAGAAGTAGAGAGAGACAAACAAGCTTATGACTGCATGACCTCTAAGGATACCAACTGGAAGTATAATACAGTAATTTTGTTCATTTTTCGTTGGCCACAAATGCCTTAACTACCTGTGAGGGAGACTAGGCATGTGGTCTATAGCTTGACATGTTTCTAGCTAAAATTTGGGGACATAATTACTGAAATAAGGGGAGAATGGATATTAGGCAGTCTTAGCAATGATCTTGTTAATGGCCATGGGAATGATGAGGCCTCAAAAGTAGCAGAAGACAGGAGGTGGTGCTTAACTGTCAGGGGGCCAGAGAGCAGCAATTACCGTACCAGATGGCAAGGTGGAGAGGTAGCTAGGTGGAAATGACCTTCAGAGATGGCTAATAGACTCTGATGTTCCTAGGGGAAGGATAGATGGGCAGCTCATGAGGGTGCTCCCTGCCATCTGCAATCAGAAGAAGGCAAGAATGGAGGATTATGGGGCTGAGAACAGTTGCTGTAATAAAAAATCACGATTCCTTCTTTAGCTCCTGGACTGGATCTATTTTCAGATCTTGACCCAATAAGTGAAGAGAATGCAACATAAAAACAAGTGTATACCATTATGATTTCCCCAAACCTTCTCCACAGAGACCTATGGCTACTTACTCTGGTGTCTGTATACTGTGAAAGAAGACCATCCAGTTATATTGAGGACTGTTAGGCACAGGACTGGAGCAGACATTGAAATCTGAAAACCTAAAACACCTCCATGGGTCCTTTGTTAGAGTGGGGGTCCTTTGTTAGAGTGGGGGCCCTTTGTTAGAGTGGGGGCCTGTAGGGACTAGGTAATGAATGAAATTCTGACTGACATTTATTTTGCTGTGATTCCACTAGGTCCCTAGACCCACTTAGATGTTTTTTGCAAGGTCTCCCAGAGTATAATTGAATTGAGATAGATATACTTGGCAATTGGAAGAATACTCACATTAAGTTTTTGGCCTGTGGGGTAAGAGCTATCATACTGGAGAAGGCTGAGTGGAAGTTTCTGAAAATGCCCTTGACCTCAGCCAAGATAGTGTAAAACCAAAACCAAACCAAACCAAATTAAATATACACAACACACACACACACACACACACACACACACACACACACACACACACAGCAAAACAAAAAGCAAACAAAAAAGCCAATATTGCATCCCAGCAGTAATGATGGATACTAATACCAACCTTTCCTAAAGAATATCTTCATTTAACTCAACATTTAGTTTCCTGCAGACGGATCCTTGAGGATGACTGTAAACGATTCCATCTTAACCAAGTAGTGGTCCCAATTGCAGCTACTATTTTGGACATAGTATTGTTATTAGAGAAGATTATTAAAGTTTCACACACTTCATAAGAAGCCATTGATTTGGAGAATGTATTTTTTTTCCATCCTAATCAAGAGGATTCAGAAACATCTTATACTCGTATGAAAAGAACACCAACATTTATCTGTCATTTTATACCACTATTATGTTAACTATCTCACACTGTCACAACACAGTCTAAAAAGAACATGGCCTTCCTGTCATCTTTCAGAATATCACATTGATGCATTACATGTGTGAAATCATGTTGACTGAACAGGGCAAGCTGGAGGGGCTAATATCCTAATGGCCTGGGTAATACCTATGCTTCCCAGAAGGCAGAAGATAAAATTACAAAGATACAGGTGGGCCCATAGATCAGGGACATGTTGAGATACTCCCACAAAAGTAAAAGAAAAAATGTGCTATTTTGTATCCCATACCATAAAACAAAAAGGAACTACGATCACTAGTAGTTTTCTTTGGGTCCTAGGAGCAATTCATGCCACACTAAGGAATTCCTTTCTGGTACATATACTGAGGAATACAGAAGACTGCCAGATTTGAGTGTTGCTTGAAGCAGAAAAGAACTGCAGCAGATATAGGCAATGATAGAAGCAGTTTTCCTTCTTGGGCCATATGATCCAGCAGTTCTCAGGCTGTTGAAGCTATCAGTAATATGCAGTGGATGGCAAGTACAAATGGGGTTCTGAAGAAGGCTAGGCTATCTGGAATCAAGGAAGAACTGCTGGTGTGTCATTACTGACCATGGAGCACTACATGACAAAGCATCTGGAACTTCCTTTTGTGAGCTGGCTGCTTTTAACTTGCCAAATCATAAAACTTGCTGGACATGCCCAGCAAGCAGTTCATTATAATATTTTAACGGTGGTTTTAGGATCAAGCCTGTGCGGGACAAGAGGGCAGGAGTAAACCCTATAGCTGGAAGCCCCAGAGTTGCCATGCCCCTCACCGTAGTTTACACAGTGCACCTCCACTAGCACATATCTATGGCCACTGGAAGTTTCTGTAAGACTTGGCTTAAAGAGAAAAAGCCTAAACTTGGTTTAAAGCCCAGTAAATTGGTATAGGCCAAAAATGGATAGTAGTTGCATTACAGTTACATTTGCAAATTATCTTGAGAACCAGTGAAGAGAAAACAATCTTCTCAATGGGCAAAGATAAAATAAATGCACCTGGTCATCTACTTTTGTGAAAGCAAAAGTGCTCTGAAGTAGGAATATATACAAACTTCTGGTCAGTGTCCAATCATCTAGCCAAATGCCAGGGTGCCTGGAAGGAAAAGATTTGAAAATTCAAAGACAAGGAAGTCTTGGGTAGATTCATGAGAATGAGCATATGGCAATGTGCCCAAAGTGTGAAGATTTTTGCATCACATAGAATTTCCCTTTATAAAGCACTTATCATAGAAAAGCCACTGAACACATAAGTGTGGACCTTGACCCTGAATCAACAGCCGTCCCAGAACTAGCATAATAGTCATAAGAATGGAGTGGCCATTTGCAGAAATGGTGCCATGGTTTATTACTTACTAAGGCTGACCTAGATAATACTACCTTTGAATGTCCAACCTAAAGCCACAGAGACTACTGCTGATAAAGTCTATTCCTAAACAGATCAGTAGTTCTCTAGGTGGCAAGTTGACTACATTGAGCCCCTCTATCCTGAAGGGGCCAGTGGCTTGTCCTCAAAGATAGATACCTATTCTGGGTATGGGTTTTTCCTTTCTTGCCTGCTGAACCACTTTCCATAGGCTTATGGTTTCTTATGGTAATTAAAGAATGCCTGATCCATAGGCATGAATTCTCAGCAACATAGCAACTGACCAGATAACTCATTTCATAGCCAAATAGAAGCAGGAATAGGTCCATAATTTTGGGGTTCACTCATTGTATCATGTACTAACGCATCCAGAAGTATCTAGCTTTATACAGCATTTGAATGGCCCACTGAAGGCACAGCTGAAGTATGAGCTCAGAGAGGGTACTCTTCAAGCATGACGTCCCATTCTTCAAAGCACGGTATATGCACTGACTCAACCACCTCCATATTGTTCTATTTCCACATGAGCCAGGAACTAAGAGGTGGAAACAGGAGTGACCCCATTCATCATTCCTTCCTAGAATCTTTTGTAGGATTTTATGTTTTTGTCCTTGCAGTGCTGGAATCTGTAGGGTTAGAGGTTCTGGTCCCTGAAAGGAGAGAACTCTTTTCAGTGAAAGAACAATGGCCTTATTGATATGTAAGCTACAGCTGCCACCTGCACACATTGGACTCTTCATTTCCAGCAACCAGCAATCAAGGAGATAAGTCACTGTCTTGGCAGAGACAATTTATGCAGATCAGTAAGGGAAAAAAAAGGGCTCTTTTTACACAGTGGGGAGAGAGGCATACTTGTGGAAATCAGATGATCCACTTGGGCACTATTTGATAATCCTTCACCCAATTATAACTGAAAATGGACATGTACAGCAACCTTGGCTTGAGAAGGTTGTGGTTACCAAACAAAGGCTTGAGTCATACCACCTGTAAGCCACCAAGATCTGCAGAGGTGATAGCTGAGGGTGAGAAGTATTTAGAATGGTTAGTGCAGAAGGGAGACATGAATACCAGTTGAGGTTCTGAGACCAACTGAAACTCGCTTGTAGATCCACTACCCTGGCTAAGAAAAAGACTATTACCAGCACCCAAAAGCCTGTGTTATGGCCCCTCATCATCACTATTCCTCACTCCCCTTCCCCTTCTGAAAGTTTAACCTATATTTTGAGTTCTAACAACACAGAACAGCTTTTCTCCACTTTTAGATTCTTACGTAAATGGAATCATACAATGTGTGCTTTGGGATCTGGCTTCTAATACTCAGTAGTACGTTTATGCATTTTTTTAAATTTTATTATTATTATACTTTAAGTTTTCAGGTACATGTGCACAACGTGCAGGTTTATTACATATGTATACATGTGCCATGTTGGTGTGCTGCACCCATTAACTCATCATTTAGCATTAGGTATATCTCCTAATGCTATCCCTCCCCTCTCCACCCACCATGGTAGCATTTGGCACCAGTTTGTTTGTTTATATGCTGTGCACTATTCATTTTATACACTACCAAAATATATTTTCAAGTTACAGTGATGGGCATTTGAATTTTTTCCAGTTTGAGACTGCTATAAATATTGCTGTCACAAACATTCTTGTGAATAGTTTTTGGTTGAAATGTGTACATCATGCACAATTTCTGTTGAGTATGCATACCCGGAAGTTTAATTGCCAGTTCATAGAACAAACATATGGTCAACTTCAGTAAAGAATTCCAAATGCTTTTCCAAAGCAATTTTATCAATTGACACCTCACCAGCAATAAATCAATATTCTAGTTGATTTTCTTTCTTACCAACACTTATTTGAATACTAATAATAAAAAAACTAATGAGGCTGTTTCCACATGTAAGGAGCTTGAAATTGCCACTTTATCCTAAAAACAAGTAAAAAGCTGAACAAACTGAAAAATCAACCATTCTATTGATCCAGAGGAGAAATGAGGTCATAGGGCTAACTGCTACCCCCAAATTAAGGAGACAGATAGGCAATACAGAGAGTCAAAACTTATGGAAGAACAGACTCATGAACTGAAACCTCCACAGGAACCAGTGTCAGGGTGGGAAAACCTAACTATAATTAACAAATTGTAAGAGGATCAGTAAAAACAATTCTGAGAATTAAACACTCTAGAGGAACTCAGTCATAGAGGTACCTTCACTCTTTTGTGAGTTTTACCCAGGAGCTTGATCAGGTTCTCACAGTATATATTGGAGAAAAATGCCCTTGTGTTTCCAGCAGGGAAAGAGGAGTCAGGTGGTAGCCTCTGCATAGTTGCCTTGGGCATCTGCCTGCCAGGACCTCTGTCTGCTTTCCTAACACAAAGCCCCCTCAGGGAGGGTTCTTCCTCATTGGGTACTAATTCAGGCACCTCCATAGGCTCTTGCTTCTCTCAAGCAGTGTGTGAGGTATTGGATTTTCGGGGGTAAATGTAGATAACTCATTTTTCTTTTTTTTTTTCTTTTTTTTTTTTTGAGATGGAGTCTCACTCTGTCATCCAGGCTGGAGTGCAGTGGCGCAGTCTCGGCTCACTGCAACCTCTGCCTCCCAGGTTTAAGCGATTCTCCTGCCTCAGCCTCTCAGGTAGCTGGGATTACAGGTGCACACCACCATGCCCAGCTAATTTTTGTATTTTTAGTAGAGACAGGGTTTCACCATGTTGGCCAGGCTGGTCTCGAACTCCTGACCCCAAGTGATCCACCAGCCTTGGCCTCCCAAAGTGCTGGGATTACAGGCATGAGCCACCGTGCCTGGCCTCATTTTTCTTAAATGTCTAAATATGTTAAAATATGTATGTGTTATGTTCATAATAAAATAATCAAATAAGTGTTAACAAAAAATGAGAATTATATAATTAGAGCAATAATCCAATTAACACAACAGTACAGCAGCTTTAACAAGAAATTGATTAGACATGCAAAATTTGTAAATGATATTATCTGGAGAATTATATTGGCTCTGCTAACAGATGTCTATTTTTAACATTACCAATAACATCTTTAGATGGAAGATTTAACATAAATCTACGTCTTTCTTAAAAAAGACAAATTTTAACCACTTTGAAGTAAATTTATAAATGCCCATATGTGAAAAAGTAATTTCCATAAAAGTGTCCTTCTTTTACACAATGATTTTTTTATAAATATATTTAATGAATCTGACAATTGCATTGAAATTTCAAATATGATCCCTCCTGACCATTTCAGAAATTAGCTCACCTTCATTTGTACACCAAGGTTAGACAAAATATTTTGCTACTATGCTTTTATTTTACTGTAGAAATTGTATCAAGGTAGTTGAAGAATGTATTGGGGTAACAAAAAGGTTTTAGAATTATTTTAGAGACTACAAGGCAGTTATTCATCTTTATTGATAATCTGCTTTGATGTAATCATTTTTTAGAAAAGAAATTTCTCTTTTTAAACTGACACTATTATATAGCTGATAGAAATAGGAAATTGGTATTGGCTAATGTGAAACTATCATCTTGTAGAGAAAATAAGGAGCAAGCTAAGACTGAAGCTACATTAAGGTTCTTGAGACTAGGCACGATTCAGGAAATAATCAGGCATCCCTGGTCACATAGCTGACTCTAAATTTGACAGGATTATTCACTGATAAGCCCTGCTTGATAGCCAATAAGAGATTATGCTAGGGAAAGCAGTTGCCAGAGGATGAAAATTAGTGCTAAATCAGTAAAAATAGAGTACGCTGCTACATTGTGAAGACGGAAGAGGTTTTATAACAAGCTTTTTAAAAATAGAATATTATGTAGTAAAAAAATTAAAACAGCTATCATAAATCAGGTCTTGTGTAGAAATTGAGATTTTTTTTCAAAAGTTATCTTTTATGTCTAAAACTGCTTTGCATGGAAATCGTGTTAGTAAAAAGACCTAAAAGTGAGCTGTCTAAAGGGGAAATTAAAGTTGGTGACAATTATGTAAGAAATGACATTTAGCTTTGTCTAGGACTGACATGAAATGACCACAGGTGCAACCTTGACTTGGAAAAAATAATTTGACAATCATAAATCTCAGAATTTTAACGTTTAATTAGAGAATAAAAGTTTAAGGTTGTTATCAGGATACTGAGAATGGATGTACTTGCAGTACGTCAATACAATCTGTAACATACAATATTAAGGTATTTACCTTATTGATTAATGAAACAGAGTACTCTGGAGAACTCTTGTAGCTGAATGTTAATATTATTTGTAAAAACATATTTGATATCAAATATATCGTATGGTAGATAAGTAGCACATCCTGACATATAATTTACACATTCAAATAGAAATGTAAATTATCTTAATCTAATCACTGCAAATTTGCTCTGTATTGTTTTATTAATCTTACAACTTTAGACTTTCCCTGATTCTACCATGATTATAGCAGGGTACCAATTTAAACTTTTTAAGATATTCAAACTTTTTATGAGAGCTTTCTCCCAAAATGGGCAAAGTTAAAATGAAGAAGAAAATCATTTCTAGATTATTTAGATGAGTCTGTTGTCATTATAACTGAAATCAGGAATGGAATATACAATTTACTTTTCAAACGTTAGCACTGAACTTACTGGTCATAAAGACAAAAATGAGAATGCTCTTACATTATTCTTACTGATAAATAGTTGGAAACATATAAGATTTCTACAGATATTTTTTCTCTCCTATAACCCTTTGAGTTATTCTATAAACTATAAAGAATAATCCATTCTACCTGACATTTGTGTCAAAATCTATTTTATTCTTACAACTTTTTCTGTATTGTTGTAAGATACTATCATCACAGACTGAGCCTATCTGGGAAGATGAAAGATTTCTTCCAAAGATGATATTCCGAATAGGTCACATCCATAAGCACTGGAGATTCTTTATGCTTGTGTTGCTTAAGATAGCAAGAGAAAATATCCTGGATTTGAATACTTGTGCCGATGATGTTATATTTATAAATTTTGTTGAATTACTTGACTTCACTGAGAATAATGTTCACATTTGAAGTGTGGTACTAACAATATATACCTTGAAGATTTGTTGTAAGGTTTATAACATAGTAAGCTACTGCGATGATCTAAATGTTTGAATCCTCCCAAAATCCGTATGTTGAGAATCTAATGATAATGTGATGGTATTAGATGATTATATTCCAATGACCTTATGAATGGATGGGTTTAATGCCTTTAAAAAGAGGCCTCAGAGAGCTGCCTTGCCCCTTCCCTCATGTGAGAACACAAGGAGAAGGTGCCATCTATGAGCCATAAAATGGGCCTCATCAGATGCCGAATCTGTCAGTGCCTTGATTGCTGAGGTCCCAGCCTTCAGAACTGTGAGAACTTAATTTCTGTTGTTTATAAGCTAGCCAGTGTAAGGTATTTTGTTATAGAGGCCAAAAGTGACTAAGACAGGTACTTAAAAAATACTTGGTGAATCAATGCATCTTTGAAACTTGTATGTAAAATCTTTGGCATACAGTAGACTCTAGAAAAAGGCTATTTGCAATAATGATTCTTTCCTGCTGTGACAAATTTATAAGCATTTAGAAAAAATATCGACCTGTTACCCTAATATAAATAATATTTTGGAGGAGAACAAGCGTTGGGATAATTTCATTTAGTTTTCTTTGCTTAAAGATATCTTACGTTAAGAACTGTGTTCTTCCAAAGAGTCAAGCCCATGATATGAAACCACAAACACTGCTGAGGAATCAAAGGGCTTCCACAGTTTGTTTTGCCATTTTCTGATTGCTTAAGTGATATCAAGAGACCTTCCTCCCTATTTTGTAAAAAGAGCATGAAATATCAGAGAGAGCCCATGTAAAAACATACATCAGCTATCTATAAAGGCAGTCCTTTTCTGAGTCTAGGGATCAAACTGTTTTTTATATTGTTTTGTATGAACTAAACATTGTAGTGTCTTTTGTGGCTTTTTTTTTTTTCCTATGGGCTAAGTGCTCTGATGTTCAAGGAATAATATGCTGGCCCTAGCGCCATAGAGCTCTGTGTATAATTGAATTCTCACTTTAATTTCTTGTTCTCCGTTTTCCGTATGTTTGCAGGTAGCTGTGCTTCCGAGGCTCCATTCAGGTTGTTCAATAACTGAAAGACTCCTTGAGGGATCAAATATTTTTATGCCAATTTCTACTGAGGCTAAAGTTTAAAACGAAATACCAAAACATGAGCTATAGCTTTATTCAGAAATTCACTTGTTCTCAGAGCCTTTAAATTGGCTATAAGCAAGGTCACTAAAACTGCATGAACTTGATCTTGTTACTTCTCAGCCTCCCAAGCCTCACAGTAACCTTGAGGAAAAGTTTAGTGTCTCCAAACCAAGCATTTGATTAGAGTTAATCCTAAATGCAAGGATACAATTATTTTACCTCCATTTAAATTTAAAATTCATTTTAAAACTTAAAAAACTAAAAGTATGTATTTGTTGTCATGTTATCTGCTACATTTGTAACATTGGTCCCTGAGTTATTTCACTAATTGCTTTAAAACCAAGGTTCAGAGTACTGAAATTGTGTGTACAGCTTTATTAATCCTAGTTTTGAGTTGGTCTTTTTTCCTTCCATAGGGTAACCTCAAACCTTGATTAGTTATTTAAAAATCAATATCTTATAAAGAGAAAATTGCTTTTATATTTTACTCTACAGTGTTTTGCTACACATAGCATTATTGGTTTAAACAAAATGTTAACTGTTTAAATCAAAAGCAAACCTTATACATGGCTATGTACGGAAGATTCAGTGGGCATAGGCTACTGTGTGGCGAAGGAAAACACATTACTAAACTAGTTTATCATCTACTGATTCTCCAAAATTCATTTAAAATCTGGATTAATTCTGCCAAGTCTGCTTATTGTGTTCTCCATGTGTCTTTGCATCTGTTTATTTTTTATGACACATGCTTTTAAGGGGTTGGTATTCAAAGACCTTAAACTTTCCAATCAGAAACTACTGATTCCATGATTTTATTAGAGGCTGAAAATATCCTTTGGATGCTCTTCTTTTTAGGAAGAATGTGGAGCCATTTCATAGTCAGTGTGCCCTCGTATATAACATGCTCACAGCAAAATGCTGAATCTCTGGAAGGGCCCATTTATTCTTAAAAATACCAACAGATTAGGCGTTGGAATGGTATTGAAGGATATCATTCCAAGATATTCAGGAAAACATGCAGAATATAATAGAATTAGGTTAATGGATGTAAACACCACCTGTTAAAAAAAAGTAACTTTTAGCCCAGGTGTGGTGGCTCATCCCTGTAATCTCAGCACTTTGGGAGGCCAAGGAGGGAGGATCGCTTGAAGTCAGGAGTTTGAGAACAGCCTGGGCAACATAGTGAGACCCTCGTCTCTACAAAAACAAATTTAAAAATTAGCCAAGCATGGTAATGCGTGGCTGTGGTCCCAGCTACTTAGGAGGCTGAAATAGGAGATTAGGGAAGAGTGCTCGAGCCTAGGAATTTGAGGCTACAGCCAGCTATGATCAAGCCATTGCACCCCAGTCGGGGTGACAAAGTGAGACTCTATTTAAAGAAAAAAAAATTTAAAAACTGACCAGAAGTGTCTTGTTTTCCTCGAACTGAACATATTTTAATGTTTTAAGGTAAATATAATGCTTCTCGAATTAAAGCATGAAAGAACTGCTTGTTGTTCTTTCTGTGAAGCCATTTATAATTATTCTGCTAAATGGTGTAATTTTGTAATTACATGTAAGTAGCGCTGGGTTTTTTTTTTTAACTTAATGTAGAATGTGGTTCCAAGCACTATTTTTTATTTATTGTTTATTTATTTTTTGAGACAGAGTCTCTCTCTGTCCCCCAGGCTCGAGTGCCATGGCGCAATCTTAGCTCACTGCAACCTCCACCTCCCGGGTTCAAGCGATTCTCATGCCTCAGCCTCCCAAGTATCTGGGATTACAGGCATGCACCACCACGCCTGGCGAATTTTTTGTTTGTTTGTTTGTTTGTTTGTTTGTTTGTTTGGACAGTGTCTCCCTCTTTCGCCCAGGCCGGAGTGCAGTGGCGCTATCTCGTCTCACTGCAAGCTCCGCCTCCTGGGTTCACACCATTCTCCTGCCTCAGCCTCCCGAGTAGCTGGGACTACAGGCGCCCACCACTGCAACAGGCTAATTTTTTATATTTTTAGTAGAGACGGGGTTTTGCCAGGTTGGCCAGGTTGCTCTCAAGCTCTTGGCCTCAAGTGATCCTCCTCCCTTGGCCTCCCAAAGTGCTGGGATTATAGGCCTGAGCCATCAGGATTACAGGCATGAGCCACCATGCCCAGCCCAAGCACTATTAAGAAAAGCTTTGGGGGCCCAAGCGCCGTGGCTCATGGCTGTAATCTCAGCATTTTGGGAGGCCTAGGCGGGCGGATCACGAGGTGAAGAGATCGAGACCATCCTGGCCAACTTGGTGAAACCCCGTCTCTACTAAAAATGCAAAAATTAGCTGGGCGTGGTGGCGCACACCTGTAGTCCCAGCTACTGGGGAGGCTGAGGCAGGAGAATCACTTGAACGTGGGAGGCAGAGGTTGCAATGAGCTGAGATCGCGCCACTGCACTCCAGCCTGGCGACAGAGCGAGACTCCGTCTCAAAAAAAAAAAAAAAGAAGGGCTTTGGGTTTAGAGTTAGACTTAGTTAGACTTAGATTTATAACTCAGCTTTAACACTTAACCAGCTGTACGAGCTTGAGCAGAAACGAAATAAACTCTTTTCATTCCGTTATTGCAAGGATTTACAGAAGACAAATTCATGTTAGGAACTTCACATAGAGTAGAAATACAATGGATATTAACTGTCCCCTTTTCTCTCCTCTATTAAAAAATGAATGTGACTTGCTCTTTCAGGGTGGATAGGGAACAGCTGAGATATAACTGGAACAAACTAGATAGCTGATAGGTGTCACTACTCTGGACAGAAGGTACTGGCCCACTGGAAAGGGCTTAAACTAAGCAGAAAATGTCTGCAGTGAAACACCAAAAAAATCACAGTCATTGAAAAAGTAGTAATGTTTAAAAACTTAGTGAATTTCAAAATAATATCAACATGAGATTTAAATATAGTAAAGCTGATAGCTAAGAACAGCTGAGGGGGAGGGAATGAAATGAGTGTTAACACAGTCAGGATATAAGGAAACATCTATGTTGATTTTTAATATTTAAAGGATTTTTTTTCTCTCTCTCTATTTACTACTTAATAGGATGTAATTTATTTATGACTAAAAGGTGAATGTGTTATAATGCTTTTGGAGTCTAGTATTTGGCTGCTTGTTTTAAAATAAGTTTATATGATGGTTATCTTGGGTATCTGGAATTTTTATGAGCTTTCTAGGCTCTTGTAGTAGGAAGCAGTATATGAATTAAAAATAAAGGCATGGTACAAATAAAAATTAAAAAGAAATATGGTCAAAAAGTAAAAATGAATTTTCTAACAGTAATGGTGATAATGTTATACTTTTCCATAATAATAATTCTATAATAGAATATTATGATTATCATACTTTACAGGAGAGAAGGGATTAAGGATGTTGAAAACATGAGTAAGTAGCTGTGTGTAAAATGTGCAGAAGTTTGTCTCATAGGATGTTGTAGAAATAGGAGCGACTATAAGAGACATTTGTAATATAATAGACAACAAATGAACTTGGAAACTCTAGACCATTTTTCAAATTCTAACTAAGTAGGAAAAGGACTTGAAAAAACATCTCTTCAAGGGGACATATAAATGGTCAACTTGTATATGAAATGATGTTCAACATCGCTAATCACTGGGGAGATGCAAGTCAAAACCAAAATTAGATACTAGTTCATACCTATTAAAATGGCTATCATCAAAAAACAAAAAGTGTCAATGAAAGTTTGGAAAAATTAGAAAGCTTGTAGACTCTTGGTGGGAATGTAAAATGATGCAACTGCTATGTAAAACAATGTTAAAATATAATTTCCATATAATCTAGCAATCCCATTTTTGGATATTTATCCAAAGGAATTGAAATCGGAATCTTGAAGAGATACTTACACTCTGATAGTCGTTGTAGAATTATTCACAATAGTCAAAATCTGGAAACAACTTAAATGTCCACTGATGGATGAAAGGAAAAAGAACATGTGGAATATACATACAGTGAAATATTATTCAGTCTTAAAAAGGAGAACCCTGCTGTATGAGAGAACATGAATGAACTTTGAGGATATTATGCTAAGGTAAATAAGCCAATCAAAGAAGGACAAATACTGCATGATTCTACTTATATGAAATATCTAAAATAGTCAGACTTTTAGAAGCTGAGAGTAGAAAGGGATGGTTGTGGGCTGGCAGGGAAGGAAAATGGGAAGTTGCTGTTCAAAGGATATAAAGTTACAGTTACGCAAGATGAAAAAGTTCTAGGTAACTTTTGTACAGCTTGTTTCTATAGTAAACAATACTCTATTATACACTTCAAAATTTAAGAGGGTACATTTCATGTGAAGTGTTCTTGCCACAATTAAAAACACTTTATGGCCGGGCGCGGTGGCTCATACCTGTAATCTTAGCATTTTGGGAGGCCAAGGCGGGCAGACTGCCTGAGCTCTGGAGTTTGAAACCAGCCTGGGCAACAGGGTGAAACACCGTCTCAACTAAAATACAAAAGAAATTAGCCGGGGCCTGGCGGCTTGCCCCTGTAGTCCCAGCTACTTGGGAGGCTGAGGCAGGAGAATTGCTTGAACCCAGGAGGCGGAGGTTGCAGTGAGTGAGCTGAGATTGTGCCACTGAACTCCAGCCTGGGCTACAGAGCAAGACTCTGTCTCTACAAAAACAAACAAACAAAATAAAACAAAAAAAACCACTATATATATATACACACACACACACACACATAAATATATATATGTGTGTGTGTATATATATACACACACGTACACATATACTATATATATTTGAATTGGTCTGAACCAGTTTAAGTGTTTCAGGAATTTTATTACTGTTTCTACATAAATTTGTAGAAATTATAATGCATTTATATATTTGCTTAAACTTTAAAAAAATTATAGCAATAATATGAGTTCGATGTAGAAAATTTGGAAACTATGTAAGAGCATATGTAAAGAAGAAAATAAAAATCACTGATAATTCTACATTAAAGATGTAGCCAGTGCTGGCATTTTGGTGCTTTCAATCTTGATTTGTATTTGGGTATGCATGAACAAAAGTGGAATCATATTGTGTACATTTAACATTATAATCTTCTTCTCATTATGATTGTATCATGAACAATTCCCATGTTATTAAATGTCATTTGAAAGCATTTTTAGTGGTTGTATAATAATTTGCTGTATGTACAAACCACAATGTATTAGACAATTTCCCATTTATTGGATATTTGGTTATTTTCTCTCCCCCAACCCATTATAAATATCTGTAATGGCAGTCCTTAAGCAAATTTGTTTCTGCTCATTAAAAATTTCCATAAGTAAAACTGTTGAGTCAAAAGGTATAAAAAAGTAAAGATTCTTAATAAAAATTATAAAATTGCTTTCCAAAAAATTGTCTTGACTCTATTATTTACTCTCATTACTTTTAATGACAAAAACCTCAGTTGCTTTTGCACCAACCTAACACATACTTATGTAATTTCTCAGCTCTTAGAGTTTCTCCAACTACGAGAAACAGCACAAAAATACATATTTTATTTTATGACTTCCATATTCAATGGTGTCACTGGTATCACACTTCATTCTGATCTTAAACAACTATAAAACTGGACATTACAACTGTTCGCACATATTGAACAACCAGAGATATGGGATTGTGATCTCGGAGAGAAGAAAAACACATGAATTCCACCCCTGGATTGTTCTGGGTGCGCTATCTGGATGTGAGTGCAGAATGGAGAAGCTGAAGCAAAAGGCAGGAGTACAGTTGTGTCGAGAAAGCAGAATTCTGAGTTTGGGCTGCTTTACTATCTGGAATTTGCAGGGCATAGTTCTAGAGAGGAGGCAGCAGCAAAGACGGCGATGTGAGAAGCCTGAGTTGTGGTTCCCCACATGATCCGTAGTCCTTGGCTAACAGCTAGACTACACGTGCATGGGGCAAAACATACGAGGCCCAGTGAAGAGACGCTACTGCAGGACTGGGAGATGGATGGGAGTGTCAGAGGTCATGCAGTGCTAGCAGAAGGTGGAATTCTGGCCCAGCAAAAGTGGGAGAAATAACTAAAAACTTTGGGTGTTCGCTGAGAACCACAATTATAGAAATTGACTTTTGGTATAGAGTCCTGTGATTTTATTTATTTATTTATTTATTTTTGAGATAGAGTTTGGCTCTCGTTGCCCAGACTGGAGTACAGTGGCACAATCTCAGATAACTACAACATCTGCCTCCTGGGTTCGAGCGATTCCCCTGCCTCAGTCTCCTGAGTAGCTGGGATTACAGGCAGACGCCACCACGCCTGGTTAATTTTTGTATTTTTAGTAAAGGCGGTGTTTCATCATGTTGGTCAGGCTGGTCTCAAACTCCTGACCTCAGGTGATCTGGCTGCCTCGGCCTCCCAAAGTGCTGGCGATTTTTTTTTTTATTTATTTTTCTTTTAGAGATGACATCATGCTCTGTCACCTAGGCTGGAGTTCAGTGGTGTCATCATAGCTCACTGCAGCCTTGAACTCCTGGGTTCAAGTGATCCTGCCACCTCAGCCTCCTAAGTGGCTAGGACTACAAGTGTGTGCCACCATGCCCAGATAAGTTTTAATATGTTTTTTTAGAGATGGGGTCTTCTATGTAATAAAATGTCCATGCTGGTCACAAACTGCTGGCCTCAGGCGATCTTCCTACCTCAGCCTCCCAAGTAGATAGGATTACAGGGATGAGCTACCTCATCTGGCTAGAGTCCTGTGATTTTTAACACACATGAATATATATGATCTGCCACCACAATTGGAATACAGAAAATTATATAATAATTTATAACATTATATACTCATGATTATATAATAATGAAACAGATAAAACACATATGAAGATATGATTCATCCACACAATTGGAATACAGAAAATTATATAGTTATTTATAATATTATATATTCATGATTATATAACAAAACAGAAAAAATCAAACAAAAATAGCGTGTATATATTCCAATACTTAAAGGAAAAAATGTGCATAACAAAAAAGCAAATATGAATTCTCAGTGGTGAAATAAAATTTTGAAAAAATAAATGAAGATTTTTAGTATAATATTGAAGATTAAAAAATAGTGAATGGTCTTTATAGCAGATTTAATACTGCAAGAAAAAGGGTTGGCATTCTTGAAGTTAAATTAATATTAATTATCCAAATGGAAAAAATGGGAGAAATATTTAAAAAGTATGCCAAGCCTCAGCTTCCTGTGGAACCATATCAGGCAATGTAACATACATATATTAGAGTCCTAGAAAAGGGAGAGAGGGAGAGAGAGAGAGAGAGAGAGAGAGCAAGAGAGCATGATAAAAAATGTTTAAAGAAAAAATGGCCAAAAATTTCCTAAATTTGGTAAAAACAGTCAAATTATAGTTTAAAAAAAATCAGCGAAGGCTAAACAGGATAAATAAAAATAAAACCAACATAGGGTGAAACTGCTAAAAACCAATGATAAAGAAAATATTTTGTTATCAGCTCCTGCAAAAAGAAGAATACAAGAATTACAAATTTCATCTCATCAGAAGTGGTGGAAGTCAGAAGTCAGTGGGATTACATATTTGACATGGTAAAAGAAAAAAATATTCTAAATTGAAAGTGAATAAACATATTTTTACATACACAAAAGCTGAGATTTTGCCAATCTGAGTTATAAGAATTCATTAATTAAGTTTTTATGCTAAAAATCAGATGGAAACATGATAGAATAAAAAGAAATAAAGAAATAATATTTGTGTAAGTTAACAACAATAATTTTTCTCTTAGTTTCTTTAAAAGGCAAATAATTGCTTAATACAAGATAAATGGTTGTGAGGACTTTATAGCATGAACAGCAGTAAAATGTAGCACAATATAAACAATAGCAAAAGGAGGCAGAAGTCAAAAATTATACCATTCTTATACATTTTTCATGACCTGACCTGGTACATTAACTCTTAAGTAGATTGTCATAGTTAAGAATGTATATTACAATATAAAAGCAATCAATAAAATTATACAAAGAATAATAGCTAACAACAATCAATAAAATTAAAAAAGAATGCTAAAATGAAGGTAGGAAAGGAAAAGCAGAGAAACAAAAATAGATGAAATAAATAGGCAAATACTAGCTAAATGGTGTATTTAAACGCACTGTACTGACAGTGTGAGACAAAGTAACACATAAGATGGATGTTTGCTTATTTCTGCTCACTAGCATACTTTCACCAAGCCCCTGACTCCAGAAGGATGCTTTGAAGACAACACAGGATAGAGCACACAACCCCCCACCTCTCTTGCCTAAGTCACTGCATTTCTTAAATGACCCTAGTACTTACCTTTACCTACAGATAAAATAAATCTCATGGGGTTAGTGATTATGTTCTGTAATTTACAATAGAATGTACTTTTTTTTTCTTTTCTTTTCTGAAACAGGGTCTCACTCTGTCACCCAGGCTGGAGTGCAGTGGCACGACCTTGGCTCACTGCAACCTCCATCTCGCCGGTTCAAGTGATTCTCCTGCCTCAGCCTCCCTAATCACCGGGATTACAGTTGCCCGCCACTGCGCTCAGCTAATTTTGTATTTTTAGTAGAGATGGGGTTTCACCATGTTGGCTAGGCTGGTCTCGAACTCCTGACCTCAGGTGATCTGCCCACCTCGGCCTCTCAAATTGCTGGGATTACAGGCTTGAGCCACTGTGCCCGGCCTAAAATGTACTCTTCCATACAAACCTTGATGTGATACTGCTTCAATATTGCAATAAGGTTTGGTGTGATTTTGCACATGCCGAACTTCCACAACCCATGTATAAACTGTGAGCTAAAGCACTGCACTAGAGCTGTCTGAGTAACTCTCTAAGGGGCTGCTCTCCAGCCCTAGGCCTCAGTCTGCAATCTTCAGTAAGACTTCTCAACAAAATTAACTTTAATTCTTTAAAAGCTTGATGTTTTTCTTTAGTTGACAATAGTCATGTTAATGTAATGCTAAATAAAGGGTAGGAAATTTTAGATTGCATCTAAAGGCAACTTCTTCTGTTTTTAAGAAAGATGTACTTTATATATAAAGACACAAATAGTATAAAACATTTGCAAAAAAGGGTATGTTCTATAAACAGTAACCTAAAAAATGTTTAACATCAAAGTGTACTTCAAGACAAGAAACATTACCCAGAGACAAGGATATTTAATAATGAAACAAGTGGCAATTCATCAGCCATACATGACACTCCTAAATGCATGTGCCTGTAGTAACAGAGCTTTCAAATCCATGTAGCAATGACTGATAGAACTAAAGGAACTATGAGAATCCATAATCATTGCTGAATATTCTTAGATACCTCTCTCAGTAATTTATATAAAAGTAGAATAAGGAACAGAGAAGATAATATGAATTATATCAACCAACTTTACCCAACTGATATTTCTTGAATCTTATACCTCAAAACTATAAAACACACATTTTTCAAATGTACATGGGATGTTCACCAAGACAAGTATACCCTGAGCCTTAAAATTACTCTCTTACAGTGAGTCTTAGTATAAATAAATGTAAAATATTTAAATCTTACAGATTAAGTGAGATTTAAGTTAAATAAGGGGCATAAATTAGAAATAAATAGCAATGAGATATCTAAAAAATCACCAAGTATTTATAAATTAACAGCACACATACAGACACTAGTGAAACAAAGAAAACTTAGGATAAGAAACAGAAAATATTTGGAACTAACAGTAATGAGAACACAACATATCAAAACTTTGGGGTTGCCACTATAGCATGGCATGGAGATGGATACATAGACTTAAATTCTCCATTAGAAAATAATATAGGTTTAAAACTAAGAATCTAAGTTCAACTTAATGGACTAGGAAAAAAAGAGCAAATTAAGCCCAAAGTAAGCTGAAGGAAGGAAATAATATAAATAGGAGCATAAATCTATAATATAAAAATACACAGATCAATAGAGAAAATTAACATGGCTAAGAGAAGATTCTTTGAAAAAATTAGTAAAATTAATAAATACCTAGCAAAACTGAACACGAAAGAGGGAGAGGAAACAAATCATCAGTTAAAAAATAAAACATTGGCTCTCATTTCATCATCTACAGATATAAAAATGAAACTACATTTTGACCAAAATAACTAAAATAGAGTTCCAGAGAACAGCAAAGAAGCAGTAGAAATCCGGTAGAACACAGAGACCAAGGATGGTCACACAGAGAAGAGAAGGGAACACCTTGCCCGTAACACTCCATCCACCTAGTCAGCTCAAAACCAGGGGGGAATTATTTCTGCAGGGAAAAGGCCAAATAGGCACAGTGCCCCACCTACCTGGACTGGACAAGCCCCATGCAATCTGAGCTGCCATCATTGTTGCACTGCTCTCCACCCCCTGGGACTGAAGGCACAGTGGCATCTTGCCATTCCTGGCTCCCTGCTGCCGCTGCACCAGGCCTTAAAGAGTCTGGGTTGTTGCTGCGTCCCTCCCATCCCATTGTCCAGAGTCACCACTGCATGGTACTTCATTCCTTGAAGCTCCAGCTGCCGCTATACCTTGTTGGTTCCACTTCCAAACTTGCAGCTGTGTCCTTCTCCCCGGGGCCCAAGCTTCTGTTGCATCCCATTGATTTCCAGAGCCATGCCAGTTTTGCATCTTGCCCCTAGAGTCAGAACCACAGACACTTCTCAGCCCTCTGGGCCTGAGCCGCTCAGATGTGCCTCAGAGTGGTAGACCCCAGCTTATTGAAAAAACTGCATCCAATGCAACTGTGTCTTGGAAACTGAACCTGCCCCTCAAGTCCCAGATGCTACAGTAGTTTCAAAAGACTCTGAGACAAGAAACCCAGCTCCACAGCTGCTCCAAGCAACTGTGACCTGGTTCCTGATGCTGCTGCTGTTGCCTGAGCGTGGTGTCAGACCTGACATCAAAAGAGACTCCTTCAGCTGAATCTCCCACTGAGAGAAAGAGAAGAAAAGAAAGATTCCTAAAGCCTTTGTCCTAATAACCTACACAGCCACCATCAAGGCCAAATTCCTCCAGCCTAGACCACTGAGGCAGCTGTAGTAATTGCTGACATTTATCACAACTGAAGAAGCTGCGTGGTGCTACACTAGTACTCATTTTTCACTAATGTACTAAGATAAAAGAGCAAAACAAAACTGTAAACTGCTTTTATTTTTACTTCTTATTTTTTTAATTTATTATTATTTTTATTTTTACTTCTTAGCTGCACTGTTTTGTTTCTAGTAGGGCTTTGCTATGTCTTATTAATCTCAGTGTCTGAGATTAATAAGATGTATTGTCTTAATATGTCTTAATATGACATAAAAAGACATATTGTCATTTCTCTGAAAAATTTGTTTTGCATTTCTCCAAGCATACTTGTTGCCAGGTGTTTTTGGGAAGCAATGGGAAATACTATGCTATAATTAGTAGCCATTTTAAATTCTTTTTTTTTTTTTTTTGCCAGAAAATAGTGTTTACTAATAGAACTCAGAGGAAAAATTGTATCTTTGCTCAATGTATCTTTCTGACAAAAGAAACCCCTGTTGTCCCAGAATTCAGATCTCTTAAGACACAAGTCTTCTAAAACTAGCTTTCCTCCAAACTTTCTGCCTTGGTATTATTGTTCTTATTAAAATCAGTGTATGCTGTTATATTCCTGGTGTCTGAAATAGAAGTATTGATGGTGTATGCAAAAATTAGATTATTTTATTTTATTCTGAATTGAACTTTTGTTTCTAGGCCCTTGGGAAAACTACTGATTTGTGAATTGATCCCTAATTAGTCTTCTTAGGTCAGTAGTTTCATTTTTTTCCCTGTTAAATATAAAAGAGTTCAAACAAATGGAAAGATACACCATGTTTGTGGAAAAGTAGATGGCATCAGAAAGAGGTCAATTAACCCACACTGTTTTTGTTTTTTTTTGGTAAATTGAACATGATTTTAATAAACTCACCAGTAGGATGTTTTATTTCTTGAGCTATAAACGTTAATTATGAAGTCCATTTGGGAAAATATGCAAAGAAGGAGCTGGTGGGGGTGGTGTCTAAAATAGGAAAATGAGGTGGGGGATTAGCCCTACCAGATATTCAAATATTTTATAGAGGTTACATAAGTAGAAGAATGTTATATTTGGATGTGAGTAGACAGAAAGCACAATGGAATTCACTAGAATTTAGAAAGAGATTCAAGTATATTTAAAAATTACTACTTGATACAGGTAGCATCTCAAATTCAGAGAAAGGCAGATTTTTTGTTTTTTTTTTTAGTAAATGGTGCTGGGAAAATAGGATTACCATTTGAAAAATTAAACCTAGATTTATACTTCACACGGTGCGCACTAGAATAAATATCAAATGAATCAAATGTATAAATTAAAAAACATGAAACCATGTAAGTTTTAGAAAATATTATTGGTCAATTCATAACCTGGGATTGGGAAAAATCTCCCCAACTATTTTCCAAATTCTGGGGCAATAAGAACGATAAGAAATTCATTTACTTAAACAACAATGACAACACCACTACATCTTTTCATGGTTTAAGAAAAAGAACAGGAGTAAAGTCAACTGACATAACATAAAATGGAAAAATAATATTTGTGACTTACCATAGGCCAAGAACTAATATTTCAAACATAAAGAATTCCTAAGTATGAAAACGAAAAACTCCAACAAAGTGAATGGGATAAGTAGGAAAAAGTAATCAAGGATTTTACATGTAAAAGAAATTCAAATGATTCTTAGTTACACATAAATTACTCATCCTGATTCATAAAAAGAAAAAGGCAAATTAATCTCCATTGAGACATAATTTCTCAATTATTAGGTTGTCAAAAATTCAAAAGTTTAATAAATACTCTGTTGGCAAGACTATGTGGAATCAAAAAGGTGGGAATGAAAAAAAAATGATATACCAACTATGGAGAGGAATTTGGGAATATCTGGTTAAATTACTTATCCTTGGCCCAGGAATTCTACTTCAAGGAAACTATCTCAAAGATGCACTCAAAAAAATATTAAATAACTTCACAAAGTTATACATTAAGACATCTTACTAGCGAAAAGACTAGAAGTGATCTAAATCTTTATTAAAAGAAAATCACTGGATCACCACACAGTGAAATATGCAGTTGCAAAAGGAAAGGGTTAGAACTTATTCTTTGATATGGAAATCATTAGACTTTGACACTTTGGTCTGGCACAATCTCTAGGATACATTGTTAAATGAAAAAAAGGAAACTAGAGAAAGTATAAATAGTATGTTTTTTGTTTGTTTGTTTTTTAAAAGCCAGTGAATATATGTTTACATTTGCAGATAGAAACAATTTGAATCACCCAAATTTGGCTATCAACACCATTCTGGAAGACAAATATCATGCAATCCCAGCCCCTCCCAAAATACTCCATTGGCCAGAGGGATTGATCTCCTCGTTAAATTGTCTTTGGAATCTGGGCCCACTCATGGCATCCCAGGACGTCCCCAGAGGCATGAGTCCTGGAGTAATTTGGGGCATATGATCAATCCCACATGGGTGCAGAGAGTCACAGAACATCTAAAAGGTGAGCAATGGGGATCATGGTACTGCTGGGACCCAGTCCCAGTTAACAGGGGAATCAGGAAATCTCAAGGAAGACATTTCAAAGTACAGTGCCCCATGAAAAAATGATATATGTATTAGGTTATAATATATAATGTAAATGTTACAGTTAAAAACATGAAAGATCATAGCATCAAATATGCTTGAAATCACCTCCAAGCCCTATGAAGAACCGCACTAATGGAGACTCCTATACATCTTGTTCATCTTACCTGAGCTCTATCACAAGGGCTAGAGAATTCCTTTCATTCTTAGATATCAATAACTCCAAACCAATAAACCTGAACTGCAAAGGGTTGTGTCTCTTTCCCTGCTCCAAATTAACTTTCCTGACCAGCCTTTATAAAACAACATTCTCCCCAACCCTGACCCACTGACTTTCCTTATTCCACCAAACTTAGTACTTGTTATCCCTTTTCAAATTGTGAAATATAATGCACAATGAATCTGGGTAAAATATACGTATAATACGATAAATTATTATAAAGCAAAGACTTACGTAATCACCCCAGAAACTTCAGTTTCATTCTAGCCCTTATTACCATGTAACTTCAGTATTTTCTTTCTTTACATTCAGTCTCTTTCCTCAACTCTTATTGTAAAAAGCCATGAGAACAGCACTTTCTGTTCTAATCATTCCTATATCCCCAACATAGAGAATAGAATTAGGCGGGCACTCAATTTTTCTGTGGAATAAATCAATGACTATATGTTACTATTTTTCCAATGAATGCTATTTTTTGGTCATAAATATAATACAGATACATTACAGTAGCTTTTACTTAACTTTGCAGTTTTCACTCAGCTTTCACGAAAAGCATAGCTGTTAGAGTATAGCAGCTAATGTGGGGGGTTCTGTATTAGCTAGAGCTCAACCAAAGAGGCAGAACTAGAAGAACATTTGATAGACTGAGAAAGAGAAGGAGACAGAGAAAGAAAAGCAGGAAGAAGGAGAAGAAGAGGAGGAGGAGAAGGAGAAAATATATAGAGATTTTATTACAAGGAATCGAAGTTTGTAGGACAGGCAGAAGGGAGCCTATGTGGCTGAGTTGAAGCTGTTTTCTGGCCACAGGCGTTCAGAAAAGAAGATGCAGAGAAGAGAGAGCAATTATAGTCTTAGCTGCTATTTGAAGTTTCATTTGCCAGGAAAAAAGCAGTCCTTTTAAAAGGCTTGCCTGATTAGGTCAGGCTCCTCAAGGATGTTCTTCTTAGCTTAAGAAGTCAACTGAATAGGGACTTCAGTTACATCTGCAAAGGTCCCCTTACAGCAGCAACTAGATTAGTACTTGATTGAGTAACTGAAAGGCGGTGTGCAAATGTGGCAAAATGCCTGCTGGTTGTTCATTCCATCTTCATAGTTTTGCTAGTGTAGCTGAGTTGACATATTACAAGCCATTACAGAATCAGAAAATTTTCATAAGTGAAAAATTAATAATCACAATTTCATGCCAATCTGATAATAACTCACTGGGGTCTTTCTGAATATGAGAGCTTTGAGTTTACACTGACTGACAGTTTCAGCCAAAGGTATGGAAGAATCTCTCAGCCTGGTTTCCTATGAAGCAATTTTGCAAATACACATTGCTACTTGGGTGTAATTGTTAGAATGAAACTGAATGAGGAGCCCATTTTCAGGCTTCAAGATATACTGAAAGGTGCCAAGGACTATAGAGTTTAAAGGGAGACCATTGGCCAGTCTAAATTAGATTGATACTATTACTGCTAAACTATTTAAAAATTACTCATAGAATCAAGACTTTTCAGATTGGTAACAAATTACCATGAACTTGATGCTGACAGAATATTTTAAAAAAACAGAGATAAACCACATTTCATAAACATATTATTCTTAGTCTTTCTTCTGATATTGCCACCATAGTGACAATGTCAACTGAAATCTGACAGGACACTTAAATGTCAAGGATATGCTTTTGATACTAAATTTCCATAATGCTTTGGTTGCTGAATTGCATACTGTACTTGCATTGGTTTTCTGAAAGCTAAGCATTGCTGGCTTGCCCAAAATAACTTGCAGGCAGTTGACCAATTAAAGAGAAACCCGATGAGATGATTGCATGTAATGATGGTTTCATTGAAAACTCGATGGCTTAAGGAAGTCTGAATAGAATGAAATTACCTTCCTTGCTCAGTAACTTAGACAATTTTTTTTTTCTCAGTGACATGAACCCTGGAGAAATTTGGTCACAAGAATTACCCAAGTGAGAGAAAAGTTGAAAATCAGCAATTCTGTGTAAAACTAGATAGATTTTGTGACTCCTTTACAGGATAAGTAGCAAGTAAGACTCTAAAATGTAGTTATTTAGAGTCTGACTTTCAGAGGAATTCCTTTATTAGTGAACTCCTATGCACCCAGCTTTCAGCTGAAAATGTCATTATTTTCAAAGGAGTACGTAGCATTGCATACTTATCCTTTATCTGTGGTGATCCTCAGGGTGAAGATACATTCTATTACATAGCCAGGGGTCCATGACCAGAAGATACTTACAATGCTTAGTCAATCGGATTACAAGCTTTCAAGCACATATGTTCTCTTTTGTAGAAAGGCATTTTGTTTCTTTTTTACACTGCTTGGGAGATACAAGGATTCTTCAAAAAGCTTGTGGAAAATGGAATTAAAACTTAAAAACAAAAATATAAACTTTATTTCTCAACATAAATTTTACCAAAATCAAGGCACTTTAGTAAATGATGATATCAGACATTTAGTCCATCCCTAAAAAAAAAAAAGGAGTTCCTTGGAATTTAACTAGGTTAAGACAATCTTTTTTCATTATTAACTAAAGAAAAGTAGGTGCCTTTTAAATATCTTTTAAGATTGGGAAACAAAGAAAGTCTGAAAGAGCCAAATCAGGGAAATCATTAGTCACCCACATTGATCCTGAGAGATCCCAGAATAAGGAGCAGACACCCATATTTGCTGTTCTCTATCCTCCTTGAGTGACATCTCCAGGTGTGGGAGCAAATCAGAGGAATAGGGCCTGAAGTGAACCCCAGCAAACTGCAGCAGCCCTACAGAGGAGGGACCTGATCATTGAAAGAAAAATAAACAAATGGAAAGCAACAACAAAGGCATCAACAACAACAAATAAGTCCCTACACAAACCCCATCCAAAGGTCAGCACCCTCAAAGACTGAAACTAAACAAACTCATAAAGATGAGAAAGAATCAAAGAAAAAATTGCTGAAAATGCAAAAGGCCAGAATTCCTCTTCTCCTCCAGATGATTATAATGCCTCTCCAGCAAGGGCACAGAAGTGGACCGAGGATGAGATGGATAAATTGACAGAAGTAGGCTTCAGATGATGGGTAACAAAAAACTCTGCTGAGCTAAAGGAGCATGTTCTAACCAAATGCAAAGAAGCTAAGAACGTTGATAAGAGCCTAGAGGAGCTGCTAACTAGAATAACCAGTTTAGAGAGGAATATAAATGACCTGATGGAGGTGAACAACACAGCACAACTTTATGAAGCATACGCAAGTATCAATAGCTGAATTGACCATTCAGAAGAAAGGATATCAGAGTTTGAAGTCTACCTTGCTGAAATAAGGCATGCAGACAAGATTAGAGAAAAAAAGGATGAAAAGGAATGAACAAAGCCTCCAAGAAATATGGACCTATGTAAAAATACCAAATCTATGATTGATTGGAGTACCTGAAGGAGATGGGGGGAATGGAAACAAACTGGAAAACACACTTTAGGATATTATCCAGGAGAACTTACTGCCAACCTAGCAAGACAGGCCACCATGCACATTCAGGAAATACAGAGAACACCACTAAGATACTCCATGAGAAGATCAACCCCAAGACACATAATCATCAGATTGTCCAAGGTTGAAATGAAGAATAAAATGCTAAGGGCAGCCAGAGAGAAAGGTCGGGTCACCTACAAAGGGAAGCCCATCAGACTAACAGTGGACTTCTCAGCAGAAACCCTACAAGCCATAAGAGATTGGGGGCCAATATTTAACATTCTTAAAGAAAAGAATTTTCAACCCAGAATTAAATATCCAGCCAAATTAAGCTTCGTAGGTGAAGGAGAAATAAAATCCTTTCCAGACAAGCAAATGCTAAGGGGTTTCATCACCACCAGGCCTGCCATGCAAGAGCTCCTGAAGGAAGCACTAAATATGGAAAGGAAAAACCGTTACTAGCCACTGAAAAAAAAGACACCAAAATATAAAGACTAATGACACTATGAAGACACTGCATCAACTAGTGTGCAAAATAGCTAGATAGCATCATTATGACAGGATCAGGTTCACACATAACAATACTAACCTTAAATGTAAATGGGCTAAATGCCCCAAATAAAAGACACAGACTGGCAAATTGAATAAAGAGTCAAGACCCATCAGTGTGCTGTATTCAGGAGACTCATCTTATGTGCAAAGACTAACATAGGCTCAAAATAAAGGGATGGAGGAAAAATTACCAAGCAAATGGAAAGCAAAAAAAAGCAGGTATTGCAATCCTAGTCTCTGACAAAACAGACTTTAAACCACAAAGATCAAAAAAGACAAAGAAGGGCATTACATAATGGTAAAGGGAATAATTCAAAAAGAAGATCTAACTATTCTAAATATATATGCACCCAGTACAGGATCAAGCATATTCATAAAACAAATTCTTAGAGACCTACAAAGAGACTTAGATGCCCACACAATAATAGTGGGAGACTTTAACACCCCACTGTCGATAGTATACAGACTGAAAAGACAGAAAATTAGCAAGGGCACTCAGGACTTGAACTTAGCTCTGGATCAAGTGGACCTAATAGACATCTACAGAACCCTCCACACCAAATCAACAGAATATACATTTTTCTCAGTGCCACATGGCACTTATTCTGAAATCAACCACATAATTGGAAGTAAAACACTCCTCAGCAAATGCAAAATAACTGAAATCATAACAGTCTCTCAGACCACAGTGCAATCAAATTAGAACTCAGGATTAAGAAACTTGTTCAAAACCACACAATTACATGGAAATTGAACAACCTGCTCCTGAAGACTCCTGGGTAAATAATGAAATTGAGGCAGAAATAAAGAAGTTCTTTGAAACCAATGAGAACAAAGACACAATGTACCAGAATTTCCAGGACACAGCTAAAGCAGTGTTATGAGGGAAATTTATAGCACTAAATGCCAACATCAGAAAGCCTGTAAGATCTCAAATTGACACCCTAACATCACAGTCAAAAGAGCTAGAGAAGCCAGAGCAAACTAATCCAAAAGCTAGCAGAAGACAAGAAATAACTAAGATCAGAGCAAAATTGCAGGAGATAGAGACATGAAAAACCCTCCAAAAAATCAATGAAACCAGGAGCTGGTTTTTTGAAAAACTTAAAAAAATAGACCACTAGCTAGACTATTAAAGAAGAAAAGAGAGAAGAATCAAATAGACACAATAAACATGATAAAGGGGATATCACCACTGACCCCACAGAAATACAAACTACCATCAGAGAATACTATAAACACCTCTATACAAATAAACTAGAAAATCTAGAAGAAATGGATAAATTCCTGGACACATACACCCTCCCAAGGCTAAACCAGGAAGAAGTCGAATCTCTGAATAAACCAATAACAAGGTCTGAAATCCAGTCAGTAATTAATAGCCTACCAATCAAAAAAAGCCCAGGACCAGATGAATTCACAGCCAAATTCTACCAGAGGCACAAAGAGAAGCTGGTACTATTCCTTCTGAAACTATTCCAAATAATTGAAAAGGAGGGACTCCTCCCTAACTTATTTTATGAAGCTAGCATCATCCTCATACCAAAACTGGGGATAGACACAATAAAAAAAGAAAACTTCAGGCCCATATCCCCAATGAACATTGATGTGAAAATCCTCAATAAAAAACTGGCAAAGTGAATCCAGCAGCACATCAAAAACTTACTCACCACCATCAAGTTGATTTCATCCCTGGTATGCAAGACTGGTTCAACATACACAAATCAATAAACATAATCCATTACATAAACAGAAACAATGACAAGAACCACATGATTATCTCAATAAATGCAGAAAAGGCCTTTGATAAAATTAAACATCGCTTCATGTTAAAAACTCTTAAACTAGGTATTGATGGAACATATCTCAAAATAATAAGAGCAGATTACGACAAACCCACAGCCAATATCATATTGAAGGGGCAAAAGTTGGAAGCATTCCCTTTGAAAACCAGTACAAGACAAGTATGCTTTCTCTCACCATTCCTATTCAACATTGTATTGGAAGTTCTGGCCAGGACAACCAAGAAAGATAAAGAAATAAAGGGTATTCAAATAGGAAGAGAGGAAGTCAAATTGTCTCTGTTTGTAAATTACATGATTCTATATTTAGAAAACTCCATCATCTCAGGCCAAAAATGCCTTAAGCTGATAAGCAATTTCAGCAAAGTCTCAGGATACAAAATTAATGTGCAAAAATTACAAGGATTGTTTACATCAACAATAGACAAACAGAGAGCCAAATCATGAATGAACTCCCATTCACAATTGCTACAAAGGGAATAAGATACCTAGGAATACAGCTAATAAGGGATGTGAAGGACCTCTTCAAGGAGAACTACAAACTACTGCTCAAGGAAATAAGAGAAGACACAAACAAATGGAAAAACATTTCATCTTCAGTGATAGGAAAAATCAATATTGTGAAAATGGCCATACTGCCTAAAGTAATTTATAGATTCAATGCTATTCCTATCAAACTACCATTGACATTCTTCATAGAATTAGAAAAAATTACTTTAAATTTCATATGGAATCAAAGAAAACCCTGTATAGCTGAGACAATCTTATGCAAAAAGAACAAAGCTAGAGGCATCACACCACCTGACTTCAAACTATACTACATGGCTACCATAACCAAAACAGTATGGCAAGGCTGTGGAGAAATAGGAACGCCTTTTCAACAATTGTGGAAGACAGTAACACAGTATGGCAATTCCTCACATATCTAGAACCAGAAATACCATTTGACCCAGCAATCCCACTACTGGGTTATACCCAAAGGAATATAAATCATTCCACTATAAAGACATGAACATGTATGTTTATTGCAGCACTATTTACAATAGCAAAGTCACGGAACCAACCCAAATGCCCATCAATAATAGACTGGATAAAGAAAATGTGGTACATGGGTGGGCGTGGTGGCTCCTGCCTGTAATCCCAGCACTTTGGGAGGCCAAGGTAGGCAGATCACCTGAGGTCAGGAGTTCGAGACCAGCCTGACCAACATGGAGAAACCCCGTGTCTACTAAAAATACAAAATTAGCCAGGCATGGTGGTGGGTGCCTGTAATCCCAGCTACTTGGGAGGCTGAGGTAGGAGAATCACTTGAACCCAGGAAGTGGACGTTGCAGTGAGCCGAGATGGCACCATTGCACCCCAGCCTGGGCAACAAGAGCAAAACTAAGTCCCCCCTGAAAAAAAAAATGAAAAAAGAAAATGTGGTACATATATGCCATGGAATACTATGCAGCCATAAAGAGGAATGAGATAATGTCCTTTGCAGGGACATGGATGAAACTGGAAGCCATCATCCTCAGCGAACTAACACAAGAAAAGAAAACAAAACACCGCATGTTCTCACTCATAAGTGGGAGTTGAATAATGAGAGAACACATTGACACAGGGAGGGGAACAACATACACCAGGGCCTGTTGGGGGGTTGGGACAAGGGGAGGGGACTTAGATGATGGGTCAATAGGTGCAGCAAACCACCAAGGCACAACTATGCCTATGTAACAAACCTGCACATTCTGCACGTGTATCCTGTAGCTTAATGTAAAATAAAACTAAATAAAAATGAAGAATAAACTACAATTGAAAGGGGACATTTGCTACAGGAATAGAGTAAAATAAGGGTCATTTATAAAAAAAGACATTCAAGTTAAAATTAAAAGCACTTTTCCTCTTAGGAAAAAACATAATTCTATAACTTCAAACAATATGTCATCATTTTTTGCATTTCTATGCTATTTTTCTCCATATGTGAAATTATATCCATATAAATATGTATATAAACTACTACTGGCATTTTTTCTATTTTGAAGCTAATTTTATTAAATAAAATTGGGAAATTTGGAAAACCATTAAAAAAAGAAAGAAAGAAAGAAAGAAACGAAGTCTTCTATGTTGTCCAGGATGGTCTCAGACTCCTGGGCTCAAGCAATCCTCCTACCTCAGCCTCCTGAGTAGCTGGGACTACAAGCATGTTTGAGCTCTTAATTGTTAGTCCTCTTCAATTAGGGCATAAACAAGATGAATTACTTCATCATAAATTCATGTGGATGATCTTCCACTTCAGGCTTCATCTGCAACATCTTGTCCCTTCTTAAAATGAGTTATTTATTTGTAAATTGCTGATTTCTTTGGGGCATTGTCCCCTAAAATTTTTGTAAAACATCAATGATTTCACTATTCTTTCACCCAAGCTTCACCATAAACTTGATGTTTCTTCTCACTTCAATTTTAGCACAATTCATATTGCTCTGGTAGAGGCTTTCAAACTGTTGTCTTAACCTTCTTGGTACCTCAAACTAGATCCTACTCAGACATGTTATAACAAGTTAGTACAAGTTTTTTTTTTGGTGCAAAAATGTCTGAAATCAATGCTTAGTTTTGTCACAATATACATTTTTCTGGGAACTTTTTGAAGACTCCTCATTTAAGCTAGACTTCCAGGTTCATAATGCAAAGCTAAGTTAGCAGTTTTTGTTTTTGTGAGTGAGAATAAAGTAAAACATGCTGAGGATATTGAAAATGATTGATCCTAAAATTTCAATAACACGTAATCAAGAGCAGACAAATATTTTTCTTTTTAACATTGGTTCAGTTGTCATAAATAGCTTTATAACTTTATTTGCACAAACAAGGTATTAACAGGCCATTGGGTTCTTTTATTTTTTTCCCTTTGAAGAGTCTCGGCAAATGTAAATAACTTTAGTAAGTCATCACACAAACACTGAGAGTTTGTGTGCAGGGAAAAATCCCTATAAGCCTTCATAGGTGGTAGTGATTCTCATGATGAATTTCTCATCATTCAATGTCTGGTTCTTCACCTTGCGGTGTCGAAAACTTGACAGTCAATTCACCAATAGTGAATGTATCTCAAAGGTCAGATTCACATTAACCATGTTCCAAAACTAATACACAATGTCAAAAAAGCCTGTAAACCAGATTCCTGTGAAACTATTTACTCAGCATATTTTCTTCTTGAAGGTAGAAGTAGACCCACATGGGAAGCCAGGCTGTAATGAGAAGTTTGCTGTTGAATATGGAATCAAGATTAAGCACACAAAACGATTGAAGTTTTAATGGCATCTGGCAAAAATTACCATAATACTCAAGGTAAATTGACCACAACTGCTTACAGTCATGGTCACACAAAAGGAGAAACTCATTCTCTCTTTTTGTACAAGAATGGGCCCTTTCAAACTTGCCTCTGTGATACTGCTTTTGTTAGCAATCGACAATGATCACAGTCATCTTCATTGACAACTGCCTTTATATTTGTGTGCAGTCAGATTATAATAGAATCTGGTTGATTTAGGGGACATACTATCTCTTGAAAGCAACTTTGCCTGTATGTTCCGCTCCATTTTGGTATGTAGTTTTAATTTTACAATAAAAACGTTACAATTAAAAAGATAACTTTTTCATAAACTTGGAAGGCCCACCTTCTCACAGTATAATGGGTTTCTGGACCCATTTCCCACTTGAAATTACAGAGATCTGGGATAGAGAGTGAAGACATTTAGAATGTGTGCTTTCTTTCATTCATCGGTTTACTTATCATATCAATACCTTTCATGGTTTTTTTATGTTGGTATTCAACTAAATTTAAGTGAATGCATTACATTCTCTACTATTTTCTGCTAACTGATTACTTGTGTCTCAGAAATGTATATAAACTTAAAGAGCTTCTAAAAAATACAGAAAATATCAGAAAAATCTGATAGACATAGATGCCTTAGAACTTCCAAAGCCATTGTAGAGTCATTTCGGACAAAATATCTAATTTTTCATTCAGATGACGAATTTGTTAAAATAATTATTTTTTAAAAAATTAAACATACATAACTTTATTGTGCAAATAATCGTTTTAAATATTATCATATTATTACTTTTATTATATGTTATTATACTATTATATAGTAATATATTATATATATAACAATATATTATTATTACTATATATCAAAGAACTAATATATATATTACTTTTTCTATATATATAGTAAAAGGAATAACATGATTTATATATACATTACTTTTACTACATATATATAATATATATATGTACGTTACTTTTACTACATATAATAATTACTACATATAATGATTTTGCTTATCAGGGCCCCATCCTCATATTTAAGATCAGATGACTTTCTATATACATAAGTATATATATCTCTCAATTATGGGACAACTTCCTTTGACCCTTTGTGGTTAGTGATTACTTCCAAGAAGACTCTAAAAGTCTTTTGAACAGCAAAGAGAGTAATAATTTTTTATGGAAGACCATTGATCAGAGACATTATACGTAGAGTATTATGATAATTATTTTCATTTACTTATTTTTTAATGTACTCAATTCATCTTGATTGCCTCCTCTGTTCCAGGCTCTATGGTAGGTGTTAGAACTGCACTGTCCAATAAGGGAGTCTACATGTGACTACAGGCACCTGAACCATGGTGATGCAACCAAGGAAATGATTTTTTTATTTTATTTAATTTTAATTAACTAAAATACAAATACTTGAATCATTATAAAAGTTTTAATATTGATTATATGTTGAAATGATAATATTTTGGATGTATTAATTTAAAACACATTATTAAAATAAATTTCACTTGATTCTTTTTACATTTTTAATGTGGCTAATGGGATTTTGAATGCCTATGGCCCATTGCACTCCACCGGACAGGGCTATTTTAGAGATCTGTGGTGAGTAAAATACACATAGTCTTCACCATCTTGGAATTCAATCCATGATTTATGTTTTTACCAAAGTTCACATATTGAATATTTCTTTAGACCACTACATTTAGGAATGGAAATTGAATCAATAATGATAAATAGCCAACCAAATACATTATGAGTCAAAAGTAAAAGTGTTTAAATATTTCTGTCCAAAAATGTTCTCTGAGAAGCTAAGAGGCCTTAAATGTCTAAATATATGAGATTTTACTCTTTTATGTGGTCTAGTTCTATTGTATCTTGTTTTACTATATTAGCCATTATTTGGTTCTGAAGAGAAAGCCCATTACTTTAGAGGATATTTCATTTAATTATTATAATAATAATGTGAAATAAGCATGACTTCTATTTTATGAAAAAGAAAGGCTTAGAGTGATTAACTTTTTAAAATGTGTACAAAGATGATAACCATAGAGAGGATTCAAACTCATATTTGTCTCATTTCAAATTTCATACTCTCTCCTCTACCAAGCATTAGGCCTCTTGAAGTTGAAGAAGAAGCCTTTGCAGTGCTATTTTCAGGAAATAATACTCTACTCACAGCTGTAGTCTAGGACACTCATGCAACATATGAAATGATTTTGTCTTTTACTCCAGAAGGGGAATTTACCCTCTTGTGTTCTGGGATTGTTGGTTATTATAACAAATTAATGCAAGTCATTCAGTTTTCTCACATGGGAATTTTCTTGATTCCTTTTCTCTACTATAAGCTACATTAAAGAAAGTGCCAGGTGCTCTCAGGTTTTTGATACTTTAAGAAATAAATTAATAGAAGCAGGTTTTCTAGTTGGATCTGACAGTGTCACTATGAAAGTGCACCTGCACCAAAGGACTGAGTCATGATTCCAGGATTCTTTTAGTGCGTAAACAGATGGCTTATTGAAAGTGGCCTTCTTAAATCCAGATTAGCAAAACAAAATTTAATTATCTGAGACAAAAATAAGCGATTTAATTATAATTAATTTTCTAATTCTACTTATTTTCAAATAAACATCTGAAAAAAAATCCTTCCATTTTAATTACTAATCCTCAATTTAAAGGTCGTACTTGTATAAATAAAAATGAAACCCCTCAGAATTCAGAAAAAATGTTTTAGAAAAGATCTTAATATAAACTAAAACTAGTAAATCATCAGGGAGACGTAACATAATGTTCTGAAAAAGAAAATAAAATTATATATCTATTGATCTGACAAACTCCTGAAAACAATACTTAAAATATTATGGAAGCTGCCATTATTAAGCATCTTTATTTTTTGTGGCTATATTGTCCTTTATGTACATTCATCAATAATCTGTCCTTCTCACTGAGACATAGTTGAATAAATCAGTTGCAAAGTAGGCCATGCCACATGTCTTGTGTATTTAAGTCTGACAAATCTTTTGTTAAAGAACAAGTATTAAATTTCACAGGTGGTCAAATAAAGCAAAACATCAAATAATAACATCGAATTAGGAATATCACTTAACAAACTTACATGTGCAATAGGGTGGGAGACTGGACGTAAGTCTCAATTATAGCTAAGCAGGGAGGAACAAACCATCTTCCATCTGCAGACTGACAACAATAAATGGGGTCACCCTGCCTTGTTCTCCCCAAAGGAGCTGAGCCACTGAAAAGCTCCTGTCATCCTCCAGCTTGGGCAACAAAGAACGAAATTCCGTCTCAAAAAAAAAGAAAAGAAAAAGAAAAGTTCCTGTCATCGTCTGATTTACTCACAAAAGCATCATTTCTGACTTTTGCAATATTAATGTTGAATCTGTATCACAAACTTTGTAAACCAATTTTCCCTGTTACATGCTTTTGTCTCTGGGTCTTCTCTTTACAACAGGTAACTTGGAGAAAAGCAAAGCTTATCGAAATCCATGAGGTTGGTACATGTAATGAAACTGAAATTCTGCTCTAGTTTTGCTCTGTGGCTTTGACTTACTAGAAAACATGGGTATTTTAACAACCATATAGGAGAAGAAACAGCATTTCAACTATGACAAAGTTAAGAAAAAGGATCCACTTTTCTCTTACTAAAGACTTTTCAATCTTGCTTAGAAAAATGCTGTTTCTTCTCCTATGTGGTTGTTAAAATATCCATGTTTTCTAGTAAGTCAAAGCCATAAGTTTTATCATCATAATTAGAATGGGACTGATAAATAATATTGCATTTTAAAATTTTCTCTTTCACAAATGGAAAAACTAGTTTTCATTGGTCTAAACATGGGACTACTATAAATAAACATCTAAAAATAGCTGTGTTGATATGACTGTGTCCAGCAACATTACTATCAAAAAGCACACATCTTAAGGTGTCTTTCCAGTTCATTATTGCACTGAAACACTTTTATTGAATATGATGCTTTTCAACTAATTCAATGAGTTAAAATTATTTTCATGTAGTAAACATTAATTAAAGATGCTATGTCTGGGCCGGACGTGGTGGCTCATGCCTGCAATCCCAGTACTTTGGGAGGCTGAGGCAGGTGGATCACGAGGTCGAGAGATCGAGACAATTTTGGCCAACATGGTGAAACCCCGTCTCTACTAAAAATACAAAAATTAGCTGAGTGTGTTGGTGCACACCCGTAGTCCCAGCTACTTGGCAGGCTAAGCCAGAAGAATCACTTGAACCCAGGAGGTGGAGGTTGTAGTGAGCCAAGATTGTGCCATTGCACTCCAGCCTGGCAACAGAGAAAGATTCTGTCTCAAAACAAACAAACAAACAAACAAAACAAAAAAAAGTGCTATGTCTTTAAACTATTTTATGATTACATATAGCAAATACAAAAATCTATCTAATCTTTCCAGATTTTCAGGTGGAAAAATTATATTTCATATATTTTATAGAGCATGTAATATGAAACACCTGGAATGAGCATTTTCATGTAATTTCACAAATTAAAGTTATTTGCCCATTTAGAAGTGTTATTGTAGCTCTCTTAACTAGTTAAGACTCTGTAGTACTAATAGTAAGACATGATAATTCTTCTGTCTAATTTTGGATATTTGTGGTGATTAACTAGTTAAGACTGTATTACTAATAGGAAGGCATGATAATTCTTCTGTCTAATTTTGGATATTTGTGGTGAGTGAGAAAAGACATAACAATAACATCAGATCTCATATTGCTTTCATACAGTATGAACAAAAAATGTAATTATTTTCAGTGACAGAGATGGCTTACTTATTATATTCTCAAATTAATCAAATTAAAAAATATACCATGTGGAATGTCACATGTGTACAACAATACAAGTTCCATGTGAATGTTACATTTCTGGAAGGTTTTAATGGAGACCCAGGGAGAACACTTATGAAAATGGAGCTAGAATACCTGCCGAGTGGAACTAAATGAAAACAAAAAGTAACAGTTTCTACAAATTCACATTTATAAACAATCATTACTCAGAAACCCAAATAAAAAGAAATAATAAACTTTCTAATTCTAAAATTACAAATTGTTCTAAAATATAAGTAAAATGTAAATTTTACTAAAAATGTAAATATAGCAAATCATTTCATTCCAGTTCAATGTTATCACTGCTAACTATCCCAATAATTTGAAAAACAATTGATAAGAATGATAATATTGCTTATTTATCCCCAGGAAACATCCTTAGATTGTCATCTCTAGCATGTGTCTCTGTGTAAATTCTGCCCCACTTTATACTCATTCATTCTTTCCATCTTTCCCTCTACAATTCAAAGATATTTATAAAGTGGCTACTATATGCCAGTCACTGTTCTTGGGTGCTAATGTAGAGCTATGAGCAAGAGAGAAAAGCTCAATACTTTCTTGAAGCTTGTCTTCCAGTGGAGGAATTAAAAAATACATAAGATTGTTTTAGTTATTGGTAAATGTTATTTAAAAAATGGGCCATGGCTGGGCGTGGTTGCTCACACCTGTAATTCCAGCACATTGGGAGGTCAAGGCAGGTGGATCACCTGAGGTCAGGAGTTTGATACCAGCCTGGCCAACATGATGAAACCCTGTCTCTACTAAAAATACAAAAATTAGACTGGCGTGGTGACGGGTGGCTATAAGCCCAGCTACTCAGGAGGCTGAGGCAGGAGAATCACTTGAACCCAGGAGGTGGAGGTTGCAGTGAGCCAAGATTGCACCATTACACTCCACTCCAGCCTAGGTGACAGAGTTAGACTCCGTCTCAAAAAACAAAAAAAAAAAAACAAAAAAAAAAAAACTGGGCCACTTGTATCCATTTGCTAGGTCTGCCATAACAGAGTACCACAAATTGAGTGTCTTAAAGAACATATATTTATGCCCTCGACATAACATATATTTATTTTCTCGAGGCTAGAAGTCCTAGATCAAGATGTCAGCTGGGTTGGTTCCTTCTGAGGGCTGTGAAGGGAGAGAATCTGTTCCTTGCCTGTCCTTTAACTTCTGGGAGTTTCTTTGTTATTTTTTTGGCTGGTAGAAGCATCACCCCAAATATCTGTCTCCATCTTCACATGGCATCCTCCCTGTGTGGGTGTCTCTGTGTCCAAATTTTCCCTTTTTGTAAGGACCCAAGTCATGTTGAATTAGGGTTTACACTAATGAGTTCATTTTCACTTGATCACCTCTGCAAGTAAACTGTTTCCAAATAAGGTCACCTTCTGACAAACCAGGGTTAGGATTTCAACATACTTCTTTAGAGGATCACAGTTTAACCCATAGCAGCCGTTGATTAGAGACTGACTGGCAGAGGGGATTGCAGACAGTTTTAGCCTGGTGCCATTGGCCATGTCTTCAAAAGTGGCAGCAGCCAGATGAGAGAAATAGACTCAAAGCTTTTCTTGAAAGGCAAACAGCAAGTGCAAAGGATGCAGGATGGAACAGACTTGCAGGGTCTTAGGAGTAGACAGGGTGCTGTGGCTGGAGTAGCCATGTAAAAGGGAGGAGTGTGTAAGGAAGGAGATCAGAGAAGCAGGCAGGGCTCAGACTGTGGGGTTCTTCAAAGGCCACGAGAAAGAATTTGGAGTTACTGTAATTTTAAGAGTCAGCAGCTAGAAGATTTTTACAGAGGAAGTGATGTGATCTGATATCTATTTTAAAAGATCAGTGTGGCTGACACCTCTCTTGTCTCTCAGGGAAGGCCATCTAATCTTTTCAGCTCTTTGTGATCTCTCTTTTTCTCAACACCTAGATCATTGATAGTTCTCACTCCATGGATCTGTTAGCAGAAGTGAAGGAATCAAACAGTTAGATTTCTATGTTCACCCAGAAGCCTCCACTCTTATCTTTATAAAAGATCTTTCTTTCAAAGCAGTAGGTTAATTGGTTGCTATACTTGGTATCACTTGATTTTATATACATTTAAAAAGCTTAGAGACTAAACTCTTCTTATATTTGTGTGTGTGCATTGCTTGTGTGTGTTTAACACAGAGCTAAAGTTCATCCTCCTAGGTTTAGGCTGAACGTCACCTCTTCTTTGATGCTTCCCTGAATGTCCCCACAGCATTTGTTGCTTCCTTTACAGTGCAAACCTGAATTTTCACACTTTTCATATATTACTGTACTTATTTATTATCTGATGTCCTGGATAGTCTGCAAGCTCCTTTAGGTGCGGAACTTTCATTTTATTTATTTTTCTTCTATTTATAACTGCTAGTTGCACAATCTCTGACGGCAGAAAGAAACAAATGCATTTGGATGATTAGAATACATCACTTAGAGCTGTTTTCCAAAAGAACTACATTTCATCCAACCAGTAAAGTTAAAGGCACTGATAAAAAATAAAATTTTACCACAGACTTGTAGTGGTTTTATCAACAATGAAATTTCAACGACAGACTTGTAGTGTTTTCATTGTATCCATCCGAAACTTTATAGATGAAACATCTTCATTACAAAAGTGACTTACTTTTTTTTTTAATTTGGTGTTTGTCATTCGTACAAACTGGAACCTTTGAATCTTCTTCAGTGGGTTTCTCTGATTCCTGCTTCTCAGAATAACTTTCATTAAAGATCTTCCCTTCCTTCGGTTCCCAATGGAGGGAGTGAGATGTATCCATTATTAAATTATTTATTTAAAACTTTTCAGACCTTCTGTTGATTATGCATATGAAACTTCAAGTTTTGATTATAAACTTGTAAACCTGTGACAATTGTAAATCTTGATACCTACTTTAAGAAGAAGGAGATGGAATTGTGCTGAGTCCTTGCGCTATGATTATTTTGCTCTCTTGGGTATTTTGACATGAATGAGAGTGGCTTTCTGGAAGCATAAATTCTATTGATGCTACTTTTGCCCTGTGAATTGCATGGGCTTTGCATATTTTGCAGCTTGTGTGCCCCTGTCTTTAGTAGCCCCTTTTCTGTCCACAGAGCTGCATTTGTTGTAAAAAATACAATAGCTTGTTAGTAACAACTTAAAAAAAGATAAAGATTACTTCATCCCAAATTCATTGAATTTCTGCAACATAGTAAGCATAAGGAAAGCAGGAATAAATACAGGAGTACAAGTGTGACCAATTCATCCAGGTTTGCCCAGTACTGTCCCAGTTCTGATACTGAAAGTCCCGTACCCCAAGGAACCCCTCAGTCACAATCTAACTGGTCATCCCAAGTCTGAACAATTTAAATTTAATGATAAAAATGAGCTTTTTAATCCTATAAAAATTCCTTTTCCTCCCCAGCTTTTTCTCCAAAACTTATATTGTATAAAAGAAAACCAGATAAAATGTTCCTAAAGTGTACATAAAGAAAATAAGGATAAGGGATATTTAGATGATGTCTGTTTGGTTAAAGAAATGCTGTGATGTTCCATACCTTTTCTTGAAGCAGGTAGCAACTCTGTCACTGAGTCTGTTAGAAGGCCATTGACCAATTGGGGCTTGAGTGGAAACAAGAGAAAAACTGCTGTCAAGGTAAAGAGGCAAAAAATACAGGACAGTCCTGGGTACTACGTGACAGCCTTTACTTTAAGTGCCTCTTCCCCGTGACTTTTGAACAACATCAAGTGTTCTTTTAAAAGGGCATATCAATATTGTGAAAATGGCAATATTGCCCAAGGTAATTTGTCGATTCAATGCCATCCCCATCAAGCTACCAATGACTTTCTTCACAGAATTGGAAAAAACTACTTTAAAGTTCATATGCAACCAAAAAGGGCCCACATTACCAAGTCAATCCTAAGCCAAAAGAACAAAGCTAGAGGCATCACGCTACCTAACTTCAAACTATACTACAAGGCTACAGTAACCAAAACAGCATGGTACTGGTACCAAAACAGAGATATAAACCAATGGAACAGAACAGAGCCCTCAGAAGTAATGCCGCATATCTACAACCATCTGATCTTTGACAAACCTGACAAAAACAAGAAATGGGGAAACGAATCCCTATTTAATAAATGGTGCTGGAAAAACTGGCTAGCCATATGTAGAAAGCTGAAACTGGATCCCTTCCTTACACTTTATACAAAAATTAATTCAAGATGGATTAAAGACTTAAATGTTAGACCTAAAACCATAAAAACCCTAGAAGAAAACATAGGCAATACCATTCAGGACATAGGCATGGGCAAGGACTTCATGTCTAAAACACCAAAAGCAATGGCAAAAAAGCCAAAATTGACAAATGGGATATAATTAAAGGAAAGAGCTTCTGCACAGCAAAAGAAACTACCATCAGAGTGAACAGGCAACCTACAGAATGGGAAAAAATTTTTGCAGTCTACTCATCTGACAAAGGGCTAATATCCAGAATCTACAATGAACACAAACTTACAAGAAAAAAACAAACAACCCCATCAAAAAGTGGGCAAAGGATATGAACAGACACTTCTCAAAAGAAGACATTTATGCAGCCAAAAGATACATGAAAAAATGCTCATCATCACTGACCATCAGAGAAATACAAATCAAAACCGCAATGAGATACCATCTCACACCAGTTAGAATGGCAATCATTAAAAAGTCAGGAAACAACAGGTGCTGGAGAGGATGTGGAGAAATAGGAACACTTTGACACTGTTGGTGGGACTGTAAACTAGTTCAACCATTGTGGAAGTCAGTGTGGCGATTCCTCCCAGATCTAGAACTAGAAATACCATTTGACCCAGCCATCCCATTACTAGGTATATACCCAAAGGATTATAAATCATGCTGCTATAAAGACACATGCACCCGTATGTTTATTGTGGCACTATTCACAATAGCAAAGACTTGGAACCAACCCCAATGTCCAACAACGATAGACTGGATTAAGAAAATGTGGCACATATACACCATGGAACAGTACGCAGCCATAAAAAATGATGAGTTCATGTCCTTTGCAGGGACATGGATGAAGCTGGAAACCATCATTCTCAGCAAACTATCGCAAGGACAAAAAACCAAACACCGCATATTCTTACCCATAGGTGGGAATTGAACAATGAGAACACATGGACACAGGAAGGGGAACATCACACGCCGAGGCCTGTTGTGGGGTGGGAGGAGGGGGGAGGGATAGCATTAGGAAATATACCTAATGTTAAATAACGAGTTAATGGGTGCAGCAAAACGACATGGCACATATATACATATGTAACTAACCTGTACATTGTGCACATGTACCCTAAAACTTAAAACATTAAAAAAAAGGGCATAAAACATTTAGAACCCAGTTCTGTCTCTATACACCTGTGTGATCTTTGCCAAGGTTCTGTTTTTCTCTCTGAATCTTGCTTTCTGAACTATTAAAGGGAGGGTTTGATTACTTATAGATTTGTAGTGAGGTTTAAATAGTATAGCATTTCTGAAAGTATCTGTATTTAGACCAAAATAGGCACTCCAGAAAAGTTAAATATTAAAACGTTTAATATTAGCATGGGGCTCACCCCAAGTGCTACCGTCTCTTTGGCCTTTCCTAACACCCTGGCAAAGTGAACATCCCTTCATTTCCCCTTGCCCCTGTCCATAATCTATCCTGACAATTCCAGGACTTTATTATACTGATTTAATTAGTAGACTCATTTATTTCCATTTCTGCTGCAAGATTCTTGAGAATAGTTGCCAATATTCCATACTTCTGATATTTTACATGGTGACAGGCACATAGTAGAGATTTAACACATTTTGGGACATTTCTAATGGATGAAGACATGGAGAGAATGGCGATGGTAGAGAGACCACTCAAATAAGAAATTCAGATCATATTCTGAATACTTGAGAAAATAATGCAAAAATTGAATAATGCATCACTTTTTGACCAAACTTGCTTGTCTTTATGCAGGATACACATCCATTCATGCTGCCTTCCTACTTCAATGGCCACCCATTGGATACAAGATAAAAGTCCATAGTCTTCACCATTTGAGTCATTCCCCAAAGAGTCCATGCCTTGTTGTTCATTTCACAATGCCTGTTTACTTGGTGATTCTTCTATATGAAACATCTTGCTTTCACCATTTCCAAACTACCAGCTTCCATTCCTGCTCCACCTAACTAAATCTTGGTAATCCTTCAAAACCCAGTTTCAATATCATCATCTCCTTAAAGCTTTGCTGACCTACTCCAACCCTATCTCTCAAGGCCTAATTAAATATATATTTTTTGTGACCCATAGTATCTCATGCAAAATTCTGCCATTTCCTTTATCTTCCTATCTTACTGTTTTCCCTTGAATGTGAAAGCTTATCCATGAGAAACGTTGACTCATTTCTTTATGTTCATTCCTTAGCCAGACCCTGTTATGTAACACATACAAAAATGGTCTTTGAATGAATATCTTTGCAACTGGAATTGGTACTAATAATGTTCCTTCTACTCCATTTCAAACAAGCCACATTTCACCCAGGTTATGCAGAGTGAATTGTTTTACTATAGCTACACTTCTTTCTAGTGTACTATTGCAAGCTTGTGCAACAGTTTATTGATGATAGATTTAGAGTTTATTTGCTAGCAATACACTAGGGTTGTATTGATTTTGCCCATCCTTTTCACTAGATGTCAATTGGTGTCCTATTTTGATTCAAGGTCCATATGGATAGCTCTCATACTGGGGTCAAGTACACCTCCTGATTGAACCATCCTCTACTAACTCAGAAATGGGAACATGAGTAAAAACCAGGTGAATTCTCTATTTTCCTTCCACTGAAGTTTAAGTCATACCTTCTTCAACTAAGGTCAAACTTCCTGCCTGTGAATTATGTGTGTTTCTATTTTACACAGTGTAATCATCTATGTAGACCTAAGTAAAGAGAGCGCTGAACTCAGAGTCAGAGGCCTGTGGTTGAGTCGTGCTTTGTCAGGGATAGCTATTTGATCAGAGGAATGCTGATTAGATTCTTTATTCATTTCCTCATCTGTGAAAGAAAGATAACAATTCCCACCTCAGAGTGTTGTTAAAGGAATTACATAATAATACAGAAGAAACAGAATGTGTGCTTTCTCCATTTCTGGGAATACATCTGATAGATGTGGTCTCTAAAGAGTTATTTTTCTTCCTAGTTAAACACAAGACCTTCCTTTTAGACAGAAAATACTTATTTTTGAGCACATAAAACTGAGCTTGTTTCTTATGGTTTTAATATATTCTGGTCTCTCTGTTTGTCATTTCTCTGTGTAATGGTTATAAGAAAACATCCATCTCTTTTGGTCTGGTTACATTAAGGCATATGGGTTCATTCTCTAATATTTCAGAGCCAATGATGACTCAAAAAATAAAACCTACTCATACTGCGGTAGATAGTCAAGAAACAGGTGGTTAGCAAGATAAGTAACCAAATTTGAGATTGTGTGGTTCTAAAACAATTTTTTTTCTGGTTAGAGCAAAATTACAGGACATAAAACGTCTGGGAGATAAATGAAATAATACAAGCCTCACATTCAGGGGTCCCAATGTTACAACTATACAGCAACAATAGAATGCAGAGATAAATACAAGACAGACTTTCCAAGATTATGAAAACAGAATAAGACAATAAACAGAAATCTCAAATATTGTTAATATTCTATGACTGTAATCAACCAGAAGAAACAAATGATGTGAGAAATAATAATAACAATGATAATAACAGAAATCAGTGGGTGATTATCTGTCAAATGAACAATATGAAAAATGTAAGAAGAATTATTACTATATATTTTTTTTACTAGTATGAGTAAAGGGTTATCATCACTGGGCCCTGAAAAATCCTAGACTTCCAAAGAAGATGATCTAGGATCTACCTGTCATAGCGCCATTTCTATGGACATGATAGAGTTCAGATGGATGAAAAGTAATGTATTCCAGGAGCTAAGGGTTTTCTTATTAACTGTGCAACACCTGACCTATTGGACTGTACGTGTAGACCTAGAATTATGGTGTGTAAGTCAACGTAGGAGTCAAATAGCTCTCCTAATTTGACTTACACACCTTAATTCTATGTAACTGGAAAAAACATTATAGATGGGTAAGAAACCAAGGCAGTAGCTTCTCTATGTCAAAGTGAGCTGCACATACCCAGATCTCATCCCTGACAGGTATATACTTTCTGTGGGTAAGTTGAGTAAGGTGTGATGGGGTGAGAAGTTGTACATGGGTAGCTGCTGGGCCTCCCAAAGAGAAACAAAATGCCGAGTTGCTGGTCCTGTAGTCTACTGCAAAGCTAAGTCAGTGCAGTGCTACATTAAAAGCCTATTGTGTTGTTGCTAGCATGAAGCCGGTGGTGTTTTGGCGGGGGTTTTATAATGGGTGTGAGTTTAGAGACCTTGAGAAGCAGATGGAAGCATTTCATGTAGGTACAAAAGTAAAAATTTTATACTGTAAGATGACGAAAGTAGAGATGCATGAACACATTGGGAAAAGAGTTTGGTTGGGGCCGGTCGCGGTGGCTCACGCCTGTAATCCCAGCATTTGGGAGGCCGAGGTGGGAGGCTCACAAGGTCAGGAATTTGAAACCAGCCTGACCAACATGGAGAAACCCCGTCTCTACTAAAAATACAAAATTAGCCGGGCGTGATCGCTGGTGCCTGTAATCCTAGCTAATTGGGAGGCTGAGGCAGGAGAATTGCTTGAACCCAGGAGGTGGAGGTTGCGGTGAGCTGAGATGGCACCATTGCACTCCAACCTGGGCAATAAGAGCGAAATTCCATCTTAAAAAAAAAAGAAAAAGAGTTTGGCTGGAGTGGAATGGCTATCAAATTGTATTGTAGCTATCTGAATGAGAAAATGTGTACAGGAGGGGGAAGGAGTTCAAGGGGTAAGTAGGGAGGGAGTGTGGAGGAGACTGTAGAAAGAGGGTTCAGCACTGAAAGAGACAGAGGTCTGAAGACAAAAGAAGATTTTGAACAGTAATATGGGAAAATCACTCGTGTTTCAATGGCAAAGCCATTTATTAGAAAATTTGGGTATCTGCATTCTGAGGTCACTAAGTGAGAATTTTATTTCTGATTATCTCTGATATTGTGGGCAAATAAAAATGTTCTTTTGTCTCTACGGTTTCCAAATTTTAACTTGATAGATGATTCTTCAGCTTCTCAGGTGTGGATAAGCAATAGAGAACCTGGTGAGGCTTATTATCTTTGTTCTTTAATCCAGAAATGACAATTGTATGTGAGACTATGTTTTCTTTCAAAGTATTTCTTTTGCCCTTGAATATCTATAATTTCTAATTTTCTTAATTATCTCTAAAGCCTTGAAGGTTACATGAGGGTTCTAATAGTCTAAAAAATAACTGAAAGTAAAGGAAACCCTGGGTTATGATTGGAGTTTATCCCAATGACTATCAAACACGTGCTTATACATCATTAGAGGCTGCAGCTCTGAGTTTATGTCTTTGATGATGAATATATGTGCTGTGCATCTTACTAACACTGCTCTAACTTTTGGATTAATTCCCAAAAATCTTTTGGGCCACAGGGACGTAAAACAGAAGCAATACTTTAGCCCATCATCCATAATTAATTACCTGTCTTTTGGAGGAAGTTCTTTCAACTCTCTGGGATCCTTTTTTTTTTTTCATCTGAAAAATAGGTATACATATTTGTTGCTGTGAAAATCCAAATTGCCTTGGCAAAGATAATGCATTATATGGATACAGATACACTGTCTTTCAAACAATAGTATCAATTTTCATCTTAAAATAAAATTAATCCCATACTTTAAATGAATTATCTATACACATATGCACATATACATACACACAGAGAAATATATTATTTTGACTAATTTAGTTTGATGCTTTTTAATATTAGATATACTAATTGGTTGATTTTCCCCATTATCTTCATAGATTGTACAGTTTAAAACATAAGCTTTGTTCTGCTTTCCTTAATATGAATTGGAGGCTTTTCACTAGGGAAAATGGTTTAACTGTAGATATTCAAAATAAACATTTTCAGCGTGAGGAATGAGGCTGGCATAGTAACCTGCAGATAGAATTGGAGCTGATATTTGCGATGTGTTGATGTCCTTCATTGTAACAATGATTAACAATCTAATAAAACATTTAATAGGGCATAATGAGTGATGGCGTGTCTTGTTTAAGATGTCATGGAATTTACATCAATCTAAATTATAATTTTTTACTAGTATTGAATGTGTATGTTAGCATAATGATTTTATTCTATACTGTGTTCATATTTGGATGGAGAAAATGCTTCCTCATGGGACCTGTCAGTTTAAGCAAATACTTACTTGTTCTGTTTCTAAAATAAGAGGTATAAAATACCTTCCCAATCTCTGAATATGCAGTGTTGCAGTCCTTTCTGGGTTTTCTCATTATCCCTACAGTTGAGGACTTGTGGCAGCCTGCTGGGGAGTAGAAAACTAGAGAAGGAGTATGAAGTAACCATGTGTAACTTCTGGTAGATCAGTTAGATACATTATTTAGCTGTTTTAAAGACAGGGAGAACTGTGTTAATTGGATGGATTTTTGTGACCCCCATGTGGTAGGACAGGCTACTGGCATTTCTTTGCCCAAATCAAAGGAGTTACAAGGGCCGAACCATCAGATATTATTTTAATATCTCTTCGTATTTGTGTATGAAGAGAGGGACAGGATACTACTTGTCTTCCATTAAAGAATAAGTTTAGAAACTAGAAACAGAGTCTTAAATAAACATTTAGTCAATTATTCATTGCTATCTAAGAGGGTTAGACATCATCTCATTCAGGGTCAGAGGATTTTTGAGTCAGAAAATGGAAAAAAAACTAATTTATATTCAGGTTTTAATTATTTTGCTTGTTAGGTAGCATAACTCTGGATTTTGTTTTCTTGTATTTTGGGAAAGAGACTTGAAGGGAGAATAAATTATTTCATTTTGCTGTTCCTCAGCAGACAATTCTGCAGGTAGTTTAGCACTTTTCCCTTCAACATTTGTTCTGTTGGGGTGAGTAGGCTTAAAAATATTTCTTGTAGGCATATGGAGAGTAGGTGTGAAGCAATTCTCACACTATTAACACATTTCTTGACAGAATCTCACATTGGTCAAGAAATGGTAACAATTTTCAAGGAACTGAGAAGTGCATAACCTGGAGGTGATGCATGTTCTAGAGACGATTCAGGAAACGCTCAAGAGTTATATAATATTCTCTTTAAATAACTTGGATTGTTGTCAAAGAGTTTGACTGAATAGAATAACTAGAAGCATATATTTCTATGTCAATTTATGTTGTTTAAAATATTTCCCATCATGGATCAATGCAAATATTGAGTCTGAACTGAGAGAATAAGTTTTTCAAAGACAGAATTTGGTAAAAAGGTTAATTCTAGTGTGATGGGCATCTTTAACATAAAATAGTGAAATGCAATGTCTCATTCAGAAAATATAGATGGCTCTGAGACTGTGGCTTTAAAAGACACAGGAAGAAAATACTATTTCCACCCAACAGGATATTCTGTTGCTATTTTTTTTTTAATCTATCTTTCCTTTTTCATGAGGTCTCAAATATTTATCTGGGAGTAACAGGGGGCAACTTTTGCAGATATATAGGATATCTTTTGTCATTATCAAGTCCTATAAATAGTTTGAAATAAAAGCTTACTCAGAAGAGTTTTGTAGCATTTTTTTTTTTGGTACTATCTTTGGTGAAAACATAAAACAGCTTCAGATTGGTAATTCTGCACATATAAAGGCTGCAGACTGGTAAAGATAGATGTGGAAAAAGTAAACCATTTATCAAAGGGCTGTTTAGTTATTTTTCCTCTTGTTGCTGGGTATTGTCACTGATTTGGTAAAAGAATCTCTGGACACTTAGGTAGTGCATTCCCTTCCAGGGAGCCATTTCTATGAGAGTAAAATCATTTTCTGTCTACCAGTTTGTACAAATAAAAATATACAAAAATATAAAAATGTTCCTGTACCCAGTTTCAAAAATTTAAAAGAAGCTGCATTCTTCCTGGTGGCTTTGTATTAGCAGCTTGGTGTACACAGTGGCATGGACTCATTGGACTAAAAACAGTTGGTTAATCCAGACTGTTCCACTTATTTTCATTGAAGAGGGTGAAATAGTGTGACTATTATACATATTGTGGGCAAGTGCCTGGCACATGTATTCTACAGGTTTGGAGATATAGACGTAGCTAGCAAGAGTGCATACAAAGCTGGTTAAACAAGAAAGCAAAATGGAATCTGCTTCCTCGTGATCTTAAAACATTGTTGGAGAAATAGAGAACCTGTGTATGAAAATAAAAGAAAGTTCTTGAAGTATAACTTTGGCTGTGACTTTCATCAGAAATAGTGACCTGCTAAGTGAGATGTAGGAGCACATTACACTGAGATTTACATAGGATTTTAAACATTTTTTTTCCATTGCCTTGGTTTCGTCATTGTGATACTGGATGTAATATTCATTTAATCTCTTTGGTCTATCAATTGGTGTGAAACGTGTTTTGACTACTAACCTGTCCCGGAATCATGACTCTGGGATGAGGGACATGAATGCAGTACCAAAGAAAGGTGGCCAGCTGGGCGCGGTGGCTCAAGCCTGTAATCCCAGCACTTTGGGATGCCGAGGCGGGCGGATAACGAGGTCAGGAGATCGAGACCATCCTGGCTAACACGGTGAAACCCCGTCTCTACTAAAAATACAAAAAGAAATCAGCTGGGCGTGGTGGTGGGCGCCTGTAGTCCCAGCTACTCGGGAGGCTGAGGCAGGAGAATTGCTTGAACCCGGGAGGAGGAGCTTGCAGTGAGCCGAGATCGCGCCACTGCACTCCAGCCCGGGCGACAGAGCGAGACTCCGTCTCAAAAAAAAAAAAAAAAAAGAAAAGAAAGAAAGAAAGGTGGCCTAGAGATTAGAAAATAACTTTTTTTCCCACTCCTGGTTTCCTAACGCTTCTCCTCCTTTATCTCTAATAGGTTAATATTTTCTTAAGGAGTGTTCTGTTTGATTCTTAGTAGGATAACAATGCCAAACACATGTGCTATATTTTGGTCTTTAAATCCCAATCTTTTCTTTTGATTGATTTAATTGAAACTTTATTCATTTTTAAAGCTAATGACCTATTTACAAATTCTGGTAATATTGAAATGTACAAAAAAAGAAAGTGTTGAGCTTTCAATAGTTTTCATCTAGAAATAAACATAATTTACATTAAAGTGAACATCTTTCTTAAGTCATTTAGACTATTTTTTTCAAGCTATGCCTTCTAACTTATCAAGAGTGATACTATATTGAGTTAGTGGACAGCCAACTTAAAAAATGAAATAGAACAGAACAGAAAATGTCATAAATCAGAATACATGTAACATGAGTAAATGTATTAATGCAACTCGTTTTAATTGTTTGCTTGTGTGTATATGAATGTGTTTGTGTTTGTGTGTCTACCATTTGTTGCAAACTTATTTCTTTCTGTAGTTCATAGTCAAATAAGTTTGAAATCTAATGACGTAGGCAGTGGTTTCAGTGGATGAAATCCAGTCTTAATGAGAGAGACCAGAAATGGAGACCCCAGTTATGAATAATTACAGTTGAAAATAAGACAAGATGAGGGCCTAGAAAGGAAAGAGAGAACAAGGATGAGATAAAGTATGGGAAGAACACAGAGAAAGGAATTGAGATAATATATTTGTACTTAAAGGCTGCTGCTGAAGACACTCTTCTGCTCTTGACTCATTTGAGCATTTGTGACATAAGACAGGCAATGAAAATGGGGAGTTCTACAAGACTAGGGATGGCCTTTACACAGTGAAATGGGAGATGGCCTGAGATATGATTGCAGCATCTCCTCCCCCTTCCAAAAAAGACAGCACAGAGAAATGGACTGTAGGCTTTATTCCCTTTGTAAAGCCTTGTACCCCTTATGAAATACACTGACTTCTGGGTTAGGCTATATCCAAAGTGCACACCCATCATTATTTCTCCCTCTTTGAGCCATTTAACCCCTCTGTGACTCAGGTTTTCCATGATGAAACTGAGGTGTTGGATAACATGCTTCAAAATTCCCTTCTAATCCTTAGAGTCTATGTTTTATATGGAGATGACTGAAAGAGCAACAACAACAACAAATTTTGATAGGAATATAGTGGTAGAAAGTTGGATATAGAAACACATATATAGGTGGGATGATATTGGAGCTCAGAGTTCAAAATCACCTTCCTGCTTCAAAAATTTTCCAAAGTCTGACTGAGAAAAAATATAATACAATACTAGTACCACTTATTAATTATTTGCTATTTTCCAGATGCAATGCTTACCTCTTACATTTTTCATTCAGTCAATACCTTCCAAGTCATAAATATGATTCATATCATAGGTATGAATTTAGCAATAACTTCCATATCATAGATATGATTAGCATTGCATAAATATCTAGGACAGAAGGTAACTAAGTGATTAATTAACAGAGTCAGAGTCCAAATCTAGCTTTGTCTGATTATAAATCCTTTGCTCTTCCCTGTTATATCATGCCAAGTTCATTTTTTGAAGCCTAATTAGGAATAGCTTTTAGGGTATTGAGAATCTGTACTGATTATCTCAATATTCAGAATTTTAAGGCACTCACTTTATAATGGGCCTATGCAGTGACTAATGTAATATGAGGCACAGAGGGTAAACAGTCAGAAAATATGGTCTTCAAAGTCAGTTCCATCTATTATTAGGGAGAGCTTTGGTAAGCTGCATAAACCCCTGGTTACAATTATTTTTTAATCTTTAAAAGACACTAAAAATCAGTTTTTAAAACCTGTTCTATGTGCCTCAGGATTATAACTGTGATAAAGCAAATTCATCTACTTGAAGGCATTTTGTGTTGTATAAAGAAATGGGTAAATGAATAGCATACTATTTAATTAATTCTTGGATTTACTCATGTTCTGCAGCAGGAGAGAAGCTCTATAAAATGATGAGACAAAAACTGTTAAGATTTTTTATTTTAAATTTTGCATCTATATAAAATAATAATAGAAGCCATGTCAGTTGTTAAAATAGAAAAATAGCTGCATTATGAACATTCAAATGAGAAACACTGAATGTTTATATGAGGTGGTCTGAGGAGAGTTGCCTGATGGGCTGTGCTGTGAGATTAAAACAGAAACACAATGAGAATCAGTAAGACTCGGAATGGGAAGATTGAGATCAGGTGACTTGGATGGCCGATGGCAGTGCAGTTTGATAAAAGGCAAGCAAGATAAAAGATACAGAATCAAAGCAGGAACTGTTTATCCTCAAAGATGAGGTGTAATGGCATTTTGACTACAAAAGACGTGGCTGTTGTTATATGGGAAAAAAAATCCATAAAGTCCTTTAAGCCAACAGTGTTATTGTAGGACAAGAGAGAAACAAGTTGTGAATTTTATTGAAAGAGGTTTGAAAAAGAAAATCAATTTTTTTTTATCAAGTGCTGGTTCTCCCTCTCTTTGTATTCTGTGTGAAGTACTACTTATGTGTCTAAACTCTACACAGGGTTATAAGAAGATCAAGCTTTGAGTGCTTCTGTTGGTAGAAGAAGTTGGGCAAATTTCAGCTTTTTTTTTTTAATAAAAATGAAAATTGCCTTGTTAGACTGAATTTTGAAAATCAAATAACCAGGGCTACATTAGATCATTTTTAGTAACTTTAAGAAATAGATACAGAATGCAAAAAACCATGAAGCTTTTAGAAAGTTTTAATGCAAAATGCTTTAGAAATTAAAAATCAGGGTTCATAGTAGGTACAAAGATGGTTTATTCATATTTTAATGGGTAAGAAAAGATACTCACTGGCAAATCAAATAAGAGCATGACATTGACAATAATGTAGCTAGTGAAATGATGTGGCTAATTTATGATAAACATAATATCAGGTGAGAAAAAAGATATTTAGGAGAGCATTGTTTTAAAAAATAATTTTACTACTATAAGCCACTTTTACTACTAACAGATAATTATAATAATATATCAAAAATAGCTCACTTATTATCTTCTGTGTATAACATTTTGTAAAAATATTTTGCATGCATTAGGTCTATTTATCACAACAACACAGAGAACTTCATATTTTTTGTTCATAAAAAAAGTTCGTATCTCTTGTTTACTTCTAATGAGCAACCTGAGGCTGGATCAGGTAGTGTTTTGGTTTGCCCAGTTACATTGCTAGATTCTGTAAATGTCTAAGCCAGGGAACAAAACTTTGTCTCTTTATGTTCAAAGACCATAGGTTTTGTTGTTGCTGTTGTTTTTGCTATATATTCTACTTTCAAAGAAAGCAGAAAGTCACGTATTTGTAAAGAAAGTAACAATAATTTTGTGTATGCAAAGGGCCTGGTGTTGAGGGGCAGGGCCTTAAATGCTAGCCCTGTGTCTTTCCTATAGCTAGTGCTTAATTTGGGTGAATTACGTAACCTCTCTGCAAGAGTGTCAAGTTAACAGAATGCTCTCTGCCCCCAAGCAGTACAAGTGCATAGTTCTAGGAAAAGCCTATTTGAATCATCACATGCATAAACTCACATTTCTGAAACAGGCCTTAGTGATGAGAAAAATGGCATTGATTTCCAGTTTTAAAGTGAAAATATTGCAGAACTTGTGGTTCCAGGTTTATGATAGATAATAAAAACTAACAACCCTCCAGAATTAAACCCTCCGGTACTTAGAAATGTTGCAAAAATTTTAACAAAATGTATATTAAATGTTACCTGAGCTGGAAATAAAGAAAGAAAAGAAAGAAAGATAGGAAGAAAGAAGAGAAACTCTGCAAGTGCCTCAAACCAAGAGAGAAATGAAGGCCAGGGCAATTAGGATTTGAGCTTAGGTTACAGCTGCATCTGGGGTAAAGATGGGTGCATGTGGATGTAACTGTATTTTTTTTTTACCAGTAGGATCAGGTTTTAATGCTGATTTTGGGGACAGAAAACTAAGACACAGACTTATACCAGGTAGGGGGATAAAAGCAAAATCTTTGTGTTTGCACTTTCAGTAAAATGCAGACTAAAAATCCACCCTCCACTTCAAGGAAGTGATTGAAAAACACAGTTACAGCAAATACTTTTTTTTTTTTTGAAATCTGTAATTTATCTGCTTTGCCATTTAGTCAACTAAAAAGAAGTCTAACTTGAGATTTAGAAAACCTAAGTTTATACCTCCTTTAGATCTGTGGTTTGATTTTACACTGTCCGTGTGTTTTTATAACTCTTAGAACAAGGAGTGGGGCAGAGGAAGGAAGAAAGAGACAAAAGGAGAGAGAGAAAAAGGAGAGACTGAGAGAGAGAGGGAGGGTGTCAAGAAGGCAGAGGAGGTAAAATGTGAAACTTCCAAGGGATTAGCAAAAGCAAATAAATGTAAAATTTCTCTTGTCAGGCATTCTCAAAGGGATTCCCAGGCCTAAGAGCTTAATGTAATAGAAATACATTGAGAAAGACAATATAAAGTAAGCAAGCACACAATTATGAAAAAAGGAATTGAAACACTAACATAAGAGAGAATACAATGAATGGAAAACAGATTTGAAAATTACTGAAATAGACTTTCTATAAATTAAAAATATCCTAATTAAAAATGACATGTTGGTGGATCACAGGGTCAGGAGATTGAGACCATCCTGGCTAACAAGGTGAAACCTCATCTCTACTAAAAATACAAAAAATTAGCTGGGCGTGGTGGCGGGCACCTGTAGTCCCAGCTACTCGGGAGGCTGAGGCAGGAGAATGGCGTGATCCCGGGAGGCAGAGCTTGCAGTGAGCCAAGATCGTACCACTGCACTCCAGCCTGGGTGACAGAGCGAGACTCCGTCTCAGAAAAGAAAAAAAAACATGATATGTTGAAGAGTATTAGTGAAATGGAAGTAGATTATACAAAATGAAAAATATTAAAGAAAGAACATATAAGAAGACTGAGGTCCAAGGAATAAAAATTTAGAAGATGCAATGTATTTCTAATAGTTCCAGAGGGAAATATTGTATTCAGAATATACTTCAGGAAATCTTTAAAGAAATCAGAGTTGACAATTTTCCAGAGTTGATAAAAGACAAGGATTTTTCATTACAAAAAAATACCCAGTAAATTCTGAGAAAAACTGATTAAAATCTATTTCCAGACAGTATCAGTGTGCTCCTGCAAACACCAAAGTCAAAGATAATGTTTCAAAAGCAGCCAGAAAGAAAATGCAGCCTACCCATCAAGACAATTATTAGATTGAAAACAGGCATGTGAAGACCATTGCATTCGTTTACAACAGAGAGGCAATGCTATGCTATCCTCAAAGGGACAAGAAAACAAATCTGTCAACTCTATGCAGCAAAACACTTGTTCAGGAAGAAAGGCTTTCTTAGGTTGGTTTCTGAAGTAGTAAGTCCTGGGATAAGGATCCATGTGAAAGTGATTTATTAGGAAGTGCTACCAGGATAAATTGGTAGAAGTGGTAGTGAAAGCAAGCTTTAAAAAATGTTAATAAGCGGGTTTATTATATCCATATACGTAGGAATAATTACTAAACCAGAAGCTAACAGACCTAAATACGAAAGTTAACAAAAAGCTTTGAGAATAAAACATTGGAAAATATCTTTGTATCTTTGGGTGAGTTTTTTAAACAGAACACAAAATGTACCAAATATAAATAAAAAATTGAACACATTTGACTTGAAACTAAGAGCATGCATTCACTGAAAGCAATGACTGATAGAAAGTCGAACTACACACTAGGAGCAAACATTTTCAGGGCTTATCTAATAAATAATTTGCACCAGAATATATAGAACTCCAAAAATCAGTAACACATATTTTTTTCTAAAGACGTTTTTTAAAGCATGAGATGTTCTTCTTCATTATCTCCAGATATATTGTGCAATTTATATCTTATTTGCTAGAATTTAGTCAGATGATCACACAACTACCAGTGCTGGGGAGAAAAGTTCAGTTCACTTTGCCTGTATAAAATTAAACATTTTCTTACAGATAAAATTAAACATTTTCTTACTGGGCAAGTCAGGGAATATATATTGAATTTGATCATTAATAGGCGATGGCTCACACCTATAATCCCGGCACTTTGGGGGGCCGAGGTGGGCAGATCATTTGAGGTCAGGAGTTCAAGACCAGCCTGGCCAACATGGTGAAACCCCATCTCTACTAAAAATACAGAAAAATAAGCCCAGCCTGGTGATATGCACCTGTAATCCCAGCTACTTGGGAGACTGAGGCATAAGAATTGATTGAACCCAGTAGGTGGAGGTTGCAGTGAGCCAAGATCAAGCCACTGCACTCCAGCCTGGGTGACAGAGTGAGCCCCTGTCTCAAAACAAACAAACAAACAAACAAACAAACAAACAAACAAACAAAAAACGTTACTAATCCCTGCACACAATTTGGATGTACAAAGTGCGACAACATTATTCAACAAATGTACTGAAGATGGCTTCTATGCTTCACTTTTTTCTAAGTTCTGGATGTGAGAGGGGTCTTAGAGATTGAAAGCTGAAAAAAGACATTGTCACTGTACTCAAGGAGCTGATAGTCTAGTAGGGAAAGATAAAGATACACAAATATCCCAAACATGTTTTTCACTAAGATGAACTGGTGTATGAGTTCAGAGGTGGAAAAGACTGCTCCCAGAAGAGTGTTGGTTAGCTTCATAAATAAAGACATTTTAAGGTACAGGAAACTCATGGGCACAGTCATGGAGCTGGAAAAATTCTAAGTAGCTATAGAGAAAATTAAGTAGCTCAGTTTGGCTAGAGTGCAATATATGAATTGGGGAAATTGAGTTAAAATCTGGAAGGGTAGAATACGATGTGACTGTAGCAGGTCTTAATGGTCAGACTTTGGCCTTTTCTTACTGTGAATGAGAAACCATAAAAATTCTCAAGCATGATTCTTAATTTTGTTTGTATATGGCAGGGTGGCAGGTTGAATTTGTTATTGTGATGTGTGCACATTTTATACTAGAAGTCATACTAAAAATACCTTTAGGATTAATTAATTAATTTGTGTTTCATACTCCAGGCAAATTTGTGTTTTCACAAATTCTAGAAATTCTTCTAGAAATATACTAGAAGGTAGAGTCCCCAATTATACACACATATGCCTATATGTATATAGTGTATAGTAAATATGTATACACACATAAAAGGGAGGGAAATAAATAAAAAACAACCAGTCCAGTAGGCCTAATATTAATAAATATATTTCAAGACAGAAACAAAGAACCAGTAAAAATAGAGGAGAAGGAAGAATGAATAGTCAACAAAACAGCAGAAAACAAGTCATGGTAAAAAAAAAAAAAAGAAAAAAAGGTCCATCTCTAAACCTAGCCTATGACAATCGTTATAAACTTAAAGATCATATTAGTTTGCAAAGATGTTTGCAGCTTATGACTATTCTCCATATGCTTAACCTTTAGACTTCTTTGTTCTCCGATCTTATTCTTTCCAAGTCCTTTACCTCTCAGCCAAGCCACTCACCAATGTTCATGAGTCTATGTACATTCTAAACAATGGACACTTCTCTTTCCACACAAAGAGGATGGCCAGGTTAACCATCCGAATTGTTGTCCAATAGGGTGATTTCCTTTCACTGCTGTTTTTAGGGCCACCTTGAGAAAGGTTGGAAGGCAGCCAAGTCCATTTAAAAGCAAGTCACTGGTTTAACAGTAAGGGATGACAAGGGTGCCCTGGCCACCAGCTAATACCCTTTTACCCTGCTCATGTGGAATCCTGAAGGTGCCACTTCAATACTGTAATGGATTACTTCTGGATACACCTGACATTATGAAACAGTGGGCCCGGAAAAAGCCAGGTGTGAAGTTCAGTTTTATGTGTCAGCTTGGCTAAGCAATAGTCCCTAGTTAGTTATTCATTCAGAGTATTTTGTAGATGTAATGTAGATTTACAATCAGTGCACTTTAAGGGAATTATTATAGATAATCTGGGTCAGTTAGATTCAATGAATTCAAGGCTTTAAGAGAAAAATTGTGATTCCCCTGAAGAGGAAGAAATTCCATTTGTGGACCAAAGCCTCAGCTCCATCCTGAGTTTCTAGCTTGCCCTTCCTGATAGCCTGGACTGTGGCTCTCTCATCTGTATACATACACAATATATGTATGTATATGTGTATCATACAGACTGGTTATGTTTCTTTGGTGAAACTCTAACTGATATATCACATCATGATTGGAAAATGATGGGAATTCTCACCTCTTGGTAAAGTGGTTTCCTGTGATCCACTACCCTATAACTTTCAGGGCTGGGGATTGAGCAATGGACTGTTTTTCAAGAGGTATATAATTCTCTGCTACAGATGACATGGCCTTTCTCCAGAACTTTGTCTATGCTGTGATTCTTTTTTTAGGGCTTGCCTTACACTCCACACAACTTCTTTTCCCAACACAAATACCTCTAATACTTCCCTACTAGGTCATAAGGCGAAAGTGACAGAGCTTCATGCTTGTCAGTCTGAGAGCATGTTCCCCCTAGGTCCTACTAGAAGTTGGAAGCATTTTAAGTTACTTTGTATATAAATCATAGTGGTATTCCCATAGATAGAATACGCTACCCCTGAAATGTAAAGAGGCCTAATAGGTATTTGTGCTTCATTTTTAGTGGTGGGAAGTGCAAAATGCAAACATTTATCTTTTACATTGGACAAATTATCATGGCATCCCAGGATTCCAGACCTGCCCCACACCTTCCTGATATAGTCAGCTTCCAAATGTTTGTAAGGATTAGTTCCCATCTTCTGAAGTGTATTTGTCTTCTAAGGCTTCCTACGTTTTTGACACTTCTTATTCAACTGGTCCCACTAAGGGGAGGTCGTCTATCTGTGGGACTTCCACACAGTCCTGTTCCCATTGGACTATTTGTGACAGAGCAGTAGTACTATCATAAGCCTGTGACAAAAAGGTGTACTGTTATCTGTTCTAAATGGACACTTGGAAGTACTATTCCTGATCTGCATTTTTACTAGGGATGGAATAGTATATATTTTCACAATCAATGGCTGCAGATCACATATCTGATGCCGTATTAATACGCTTTAGTACAGATTTCTCATTCCACACAACAGCTACAATTAACATTGCTACAAGGTGCAGATGGCAATATTGGATGCTATCCTCCAGTATCCATCTGGCTTTTTTTATGAGTCAGAAACATGAACTGAATGGAGATATAATGAACATCAGCACCCCAAGGATAGCCCTAGCCTCTACCATTCTTTCCAGGACATTTTTTTTTTTTATGTTTCTATTTTGGCTGGTGGAAAGGTGCTTTTGGAAGCTGCCAGTTGACTTTCTCACTATGATGGTTCTTACGCCACACAACAAGGAGGAAATGTGGGGCCTGACATCTATCAACTGTGAGTACATCCATTCAAATTTATGTTCGGGAACTAGGAAAATTATGACTAGGTGAAGTGGACCCACTGTAAGCCACGTTTGGCCAGGATTCCATTTATTACCTGGCCTTCATAATGCCCTCACTCTAACAAAGAAGCCTTATGATGCTTTGGGTTGTTAGTTATAAATGCAAGTGTAGGCCTTGTGTATGACTGTCTTTAATATCTCTGGGCATTCTGCTTTCCCCACTGTATAGTTCCTGAAGTCAATAACTGTGGTTTCCTTTGAGGAAGGAATCGGGGGATAACATCCACATGCACATGTCATGGTGTCACAAAGTCCTTCCTTCTGAAAACTCAACAGCTTTAGTACATGGGTTCTGGGTTAGAAAACTGGCTGAAATTTAGAAACTAGGCAAAGGGTTGCAACTTTTTTTACTGGGGTGACCATTCTTAGATTCCTGATCATCAATCCTAATTTCTTTTGTTTTCATAGTTTGAGAGCCACCTCTCTATCTTGCTCATAGGCACAGCATGCACTATTACCTAATTGCATAGCTCCTCATACTTTATAGAGAAACCCTATTGGGACAGCAAACCTGCTGGTGATAAGAGTTCAACCTTCTTTGATATTCTGCTACTTTTATAATTAAATCTGATTCTTCTGTCTTCAGCCTTCAGAAGATGGGAGTCTCTTTATATGCTGCCAAGTAGAACCTCTTAGGATTTAATTGTTGATTAATCATCTTAGTTTTTCACTCCAAGTCATCTGTTTCCCTTAAAATCCTGATCCAAGTCCATTTGTCTTATAAAGACTATTTTGATGTGCTTCTTAAAAGCCTGATACATTACTTCTGTCAGTGCATTCCCTTCCAGTGCATACCAATTCCTTGCAGTAAACATTTCAACAAATTTCATCACCACATTGTGCCAAGAAATATCAGTGCTCTGCCAGCCAACAGGTGATCCAGTCTGCTTTCTTGGACCACCTCTGGCTTCAACTATTGCAGGTTGTGCTTTTCTTCATCTGAGACAGAGATGTGTGCACAAAAAATTTACCTGGTAGTGCTCATTGGTTGAACACTTGTGAGAAAATGAAGAGTGCAGAAATGAGTAGAGGGAGACCTCAGGTGATGTTAGCACAGCCAAGGTGAGCTCTGGGACTGGGAGGGCCCGGCAAAGCTGTCTCTTTATTGGAGGTGGGATGCTTCCGGGAAAGAAATGTTACCTTTACCAAGGTGTCTCTCTTTATCCTAGGGCAATAGTTGGGAAAAAAGAATTACCTGAGAGTTGTTAGCCATTAACATTTCTAACAGCCCGGAAGAAGGATGCTTAGTCCTACAGTGCACATGTGTGTACGTGCACACACGTTTGTGGATGATAGGTGAGCTGGGTATTGCGCATCCCCTACACCTACTTTTCATTCAGTGAGAAAGTATGTGATGATAAAGTCCCTTGTTACTTTTCACTCTGCCTTATTTTCTGTTTTCTTTCTTTCTTTTTTTAGCTCTAAAAAATTAACGCTTTTAGTCACTGTAAGGCAAGTTTATAAATTGTGGAAAGAAATCTAGAAAGATAAAGAAGGGTGGTTCGGCCAGGCACGGTGGCTCATCTCAGCACTTTAGGGGTGCCGAGGGGGGTGGATCATTTGAAGTCCGGAGTTCGAGACCAGCCTGACCAACATGGTGAAACCGCATCTCTACTAAAAATACAAAATTAGCCAGGCATGGTGGCACATGCCTGTAATCCCAGCTACTCAGGAGGCTGAGGCAGGAGAATCACTTAACCCGGGAGACGGAGGATGCCATGAGCCAAGATCGCGCCACTGCATTCCAGCCTGGGTGACAAGCGTGAAACTCCATCTCAAAAAAAAAAAAAAAAAAAAAAAAAAAAAAAAAAGAAGAAGAAGAAGGGTAGTTCAATTTCCCTAAAATTTTGTACTGCTTTTTGAGGTAGTGGGGTCCATTTTCACTTGAATGTATGCCAGGGTATGGATTCGAAAAAGACAATTAGGAAGGCAAGTTACTCCCCAGATTTTTATTTGATGTTTTATTAAAATATAACTCCATAAAATATTTGGTTTGAAACTTTATGAATATCTAAAAGATAAAAGCTCATATTTAAATTTAAATACAGATGCTCATTCCAAATCCATCTAGAAACATTTTTTAGCTCTTACTGTATCACAGTTCCATTCCATTAGTGTGGACTATTAAGCTCTGAATGAATGTAGAATGAGATACTGGGAATGGGGTGGGGATTGAAAGTCATCAATACTATATTCTATTACCCGAATTGTGTAAACAATATGACATTTTGGAAAGGCTTATTTTAAAGGCATTTTCTGAAATAACAGGAAAGCATTATACCCATCTCTTCCAAAAAAGAAAAGTTGTGGAATAATTTTCTGATGTCTGGAGTTTGTGGATTTAGAATATGGAATTATTTTTAGAAATAGTGTGGATAACAGAGGTGAAAGTGGCCCTAGGCCCTCTTTGGACGAGCTTTTGTTAAAAGAAGTAGGAGGAAAGGTTTCTGCATTTATTCCTTTAATGCAATTGAGTTGCAAACTACTCAAATTTAGTATAAAGATTCACTTGCATTTGCTGACCATGGGAAGTGATACTGACTGCCTCCCAACTTCCATATCTAGACTTGAGTGGGTGAATACTTTCATCTCGAGTGCTGTCAAGTGTATTTGCACCCGTGACCATCTTTTAGGATCTGCCATCAAGTCAGGAAGTTGCCTTCAATGCCAATGGTCGTATTTCATCTTGTTGCTTCCCCACAGTAAATTCCAATCCTTCTTTTGCTTGGCTGTGACCACCTGTTCTCTCACACCTGTTTCAATTTACAAACCATACTCTGGAGTCACAGCTGAGAACCACTGTAGACATGATGGGACTGCTCATAAATATTTCATAAATTCAAAGTTTCCTGTAGTTAAAAAGAATTTGAAGGCATTGATTTTGCTGAAAGCCTCACAGAGACTGGTATGCATTCTTTATCATCATCATTATTTGGGCAAAGAAAGATGAAGTTTACTTCCTTATAATATATATAATATAACCTGTATCAGTTCTAGGATAATATTATCTGGTATTTACACTTTAAAACAAACACTACTGAAGTCTATGGTAAAATAATTCACCGGCAGAAATTGGACTTAAATATACATATGCCCAGGGGACCAAAGTAAACATATGGGTTTTACTTTGCAATCACTACATAGAATGAGCCATGCCTCATAAAAAATCAAATAATCACCAAAATAAATATATGTTTGTATAAACATACATATCAATATCTTAATTTTTTTAGAGTTTAAGTTAAGCAAAAAATTACAAATCATGCTTTTCAAGTAGCAGAAACCTAAAATCAAATTTATTTAAATAAGGAAAATCACCTGGCTTATTAGCTGAATGAACAAGAGGTAGACAGACATTTTGTGCTTAGATTGATTTGAGAGTAAAATAATTGTGAACGGGTTTCTGTTTCTCTATCTCTACTCCTCAGTTTTATTTCTGTAGGGTATGCCTACCTTTACATTTAGAGGTTGAATGCTCTTTTTTCTGGGCTTCCATTTTTTCCTGTGTAAGTCAAATGCAAAACAGTTAATTATAGTAACACCATAAAACATCCAAACAACAATAAAAACCAATGCAACAACAACAAAGAAAAAGACTCCTTTTTCCTCCAGAAGTCTCAATATCCTCTTATCGCATTGATTATAATCTGCTGAAATGACCATTAATAAAAGAAATCTTTTGAATTGAGGAATGGGATATGCTAAAGCAATCAGGACCTACCCCTAGGAATTAATTCCTCTGAGACAACATTCTGGATAATTGAGACCGGTGAATTCTTCAATGGAGAATCAGTATACTTTTGTAGGGAGTAGGGAAATGGATATGAACAAAGTCAGTTTGTATCTCCATCTCTCTATGTGTATATCTATACACATGCACACACACACACATACTTGGAATGATACTGTATTATTCTGTCAAATTCCTCATACTTGATATTTTATCATGTTGTTAGACACCATGTTTTCCCAAAAATCAAGTTTTGTTTTTCCCAACTTTTTCCTGCAGTCTTTACTATTAGATTTCGTCTAGAGCATGCCCATTTGTCTTAAGTACTCTTTATCTTGATTTCTTTGTAGTGACACCTTTCTCCAAACCTTTCCATGCTTGTTATTGAAAACTGGGAAGCATAAGAAACAAAGAACACACAATCATTCATAAGTACAGTCACTCTATTTTGATGCATCCTTCTAGTCTCTGCTGCATCTCTATATTTGCAAGCTGTCCCGTTGTGTGTGTCCATATTCACAATGGAGAAAACATTTTGACTTCATTTACATCATGGATATTTGCCAATTCAAATTCCCAAAGCCACAAGTAGTTTGATTACCAAGGATATACTACACCACAACAAACAGGAAAGAAAGGTATTCCAGCCTTTTCTGAGGACAAAAATTTCTTTAAAAACAAAATGACAACAGACCTGTGGCTATAGATGGTGTCAGAGATACATTTAAAATACTGTATATCCTTAATGTTTAATTTAACATGAGACCCAGAACAATACAGTACTATAAGCATAATGCTCTAAGAGATTCTAAGATGTATGTGATTAAAATATTAGCAAGAAGTTATGTTGTCATTTAGTTATTTTAAAACCTATTCACATAGTATGGCCAAGAGAAATGCACACATTCACCAGTGATTACAGTCAAAGTGTGACCATGGGCACTTCTGCATACACCTCTTCCTTTGTACTTGCATCTGCTGCCAACATGATAAACAAGTTCTGATTTAACTGCTCAGAGATGATTTAACAGTTCCATGTGTAAGACGTTTCTTTTCTATTAAATATAGCAAAAAAGATGTTTTCAAGTTGGTTAATTCAGTAGTTCTATTTTTTATCATACGCTGTCATCTCAAAACATTTAAAGAGCTTAGGTGTTGCAAAATAAAGATAGTACTTTGTCCACAATAAACACAGGCACTTTATAAAAATGCACATATAGAACTGTGGTTATAAAGTGAAACTGTCTTCTAGATATCAAGATACTAGAAAAGAGTCCTTTCTTTCACTCTTTCTTTTCTCTTTGTCCCCACTGGTGGTAAGGATGGTAAATGACCCCTGCTATTGCTTGCCCTGCCTGGGGATACTGTGTTATTTCTTGATGGCATTTCTAAAGCCTTCCTAAAACATTAAAAATTGTTCTTTTATTACACTTGTCTCATATTACTCCAGTGGAGTGCCATGTAGTTACTAATGGAACCGTGACTGATACAAGCTAAAGATTTCAGGTGATGCTAAATATCATGAACAAAAGTCATGCTATTGTTTTAATAGATTGCTATCTTCTTGAGAGTAAGACCAAGCTGTGTTTTGTTCATCAATGTGTCTACATTACTTAGCACTTACAACATACAAGTACACAATAATATTCAATAGTACAGTAGGAAAATTACAGTAATAATTTATTGTATATTTCAAAATAGCTACAAGAATTGTAATGTTCTCCCAAATAAAGAAAAGATGAATGTTTGAGGTTATGGTTATCTCAATTACCCTGATTTGACCACTACACACTGTATACATGTATCAATATATAATATGTACCCCCAAAATATGCACAACTATATCAATAAAAATACAAAAATTAAATGAACACATTTTAAAAATGATTTTTTGAAATTTCGATAGCATTTGGGGTATAAGTGGTTTTGTTTACATGGATGAATTACACAGTGGTGAAGTCTGAGATTTTAGCACATCCATCACTCTACTAGTGTATATTGTACCCAATACGTAATTTTCTATCCCTCATTCCCCTCCCATCCTCTCACCTTCTGAGTCTGCAATGCCCATAATACCACTCTGTATACTTTTGCATACCCATAGCTTAGCTCTTACTTACAAATGATAACATACAGTATTTGATTTCCCATTCCTGAATTACTTCACTTAGAATAATGTCCTCCAGCTCTACTCAAGTTGCTGCAAAATGCATTCATTTATTCCTTTTTAAGAATGAGTAGTATTCCATGGTGTATATATACCGCATTTAAAGAATAAATATTTGAATGAAGAAATGAGGGTTGAAAGCACCCTCAAGTCTTTCAATCCTTTGCTGTTATTTTCAGTAATAATAATAAATGTCCCTCAAGTTATATTCTGGAATTATTTTGATATGAATGGAACATTTATAATCTGTATGACTTGATGTGCATATAGTTATACTGGGTTGAATAATATCCCCCTTGCTTCATTGCAAATTAATGTCCACTTAGAACCTCAGAACGTGACTTAATTTGGAAATAGGGCCTTTGCAGATGTAATTATGAAGCCATACTGGACTAGGGTGGGTCTTTATCTAATGACTGGTATACGTATAAGAAGAGAGAAATTTGGATGCAATGACACATGCAGAGAATAGATGATGTCAAGACATACAAGGAGACCACCATGTGAAGATGGAGGCAGAGATAGGGGAGATATATCTACAAGGCAAGAAACACCTAGGATTACTGGGAACCACTAGAAGCTAGGAGAGAAACACAGAACAGAGTCTTCCTCTCAGCCCTCACAAAAGAGCCAGCCCTGCCAATGCTTTGATTTCGGATTATTGCTTTCCTAACTCTAAAATGGAAAATGTCTACTGTCTTAAGCCACAAGTTTGTGGTAATTGTTATGGTAGTCCTAGGAATCTGACACAATAGTTCATTTATTCTACAAATATTTATGAATCCCTAACATGTGCCAGGCACTAGTCTAGGCAGTGGTGATGTATAATGGTGTACAAGATCAAGAAAGCACCCGCCTTTATGGCCACATATTGTAATGGAATAGCAGCAAACAAATGTAAAAATAAACAAGGATGCCATTTCAGAAAGTGAGAAGAGCTGTAAAAGAAAGTAAAAAGGGTGTGATAAAGAGTCACCAAAGGGCACTGTTTTATATGAAGTAATCTGGGAAGACCTTTTTACAGGCAGTGCTATTTAATGAGAAACTTAATTAACATGAAGAATCAAAATATGTGATGACTTGGAATAAAAGTGTTAAAGAACAAAAGAACACAACTATTAAATCTAGATGCAAAAAACCTTGTTTTTGAAAACAGCAAGAAGACATTATAATAAGCAATATTATAATGGATAAAGCAGAGGAAATGATTTAGGAAAAACAGAATTGTAACGTCACAGAGGGTCTTTTACACCTTGGTACAAATTTTTTATTTTCTTCTAAGTATAATTGGAAGCCATCAAAATTATTTGTATACATGGGAAGGGGTTGATAGACATAGATTGTTTAATTTATATTTTAAAAGTACGATTCTGGCTTCTGTGTAAATAAGAGACGTGTGGAAGTAGGAAGACAAGTTAGAGAGCTATTGAATTTACTTAGGCAGGGTACCATATAGCTCAGTCTACAATGTGAGCAGTGGAGGTCATGAAAATAATTCAAAGTCAGGGCAAATTTTGAAGGAAGAGAAAATAGCATTTGCTGCTAGATGTGAAGATGGCAAGAAGGATGAAAGAAAGGCAAAGAAGAAATATGAATTCTAATTATTTGGCCGAAGCAGTTAGTAAATGATTCTTCAAGTTAGTATAATGTAAAGCAAGAAATATTAAGAGTTTAGTTGACAAGTTGAGGTTGAAATGCTGTCATGCTAGATGCCTGTTAACTTCAATAGGGATGGCACCACGTGCAAGAGGCTGAAGAGGAGACCCAGAGCCAGCAAATGAGACATGGGGTTTTATTAGGGGTAACTAAATAAAAAAATGGTCTAGTGGTAGCGGGCTGGTTAGAAGAGCGGCACAGCCCAGTGTCTGCAGGCTAGACAGGGGAACTATCTCCTGCTTGTAAAAAGCATACAGTTTACAAGGCATTTTCACTTAGCACCCTCTCCCTAACCTCCACCTGGCAACCTTCATATGACCCAAAACAAACGGGCTCGATCCCCTGTTATGTTCCATGGAGGAGGTTGGGGCTCAGATGTTCCTCATAGATAAGGAATGGATCTCCAGGATGGCCACTCTTGGATTCCTCAGCTCAGAACTCCAAACACGTACTTCGGTGCATCTGCCATACAGGCTCATTCTCTTAAATTATAGCAGTAATTTAAGTTATTGCTATTAGGCATGTCTATTCCATAAATGCCTATAGCATATTCAATGTAAAATGTCAAGTGGATAGGTATATATTGAAGTCTGGATCTAGGAATTAGTTTTCCTATAAAGGCAAGCAGAAGAATGGAATAGCAGTTGCAGGGGTAAGTGGTGATTCAGAAATTTAATCACATTTTTGATGTGGGAGATACAACGACATGTTTCTCTGATTATGCAAATAGTCCAGAAAATGGGAACAGATTCATGATGTAGGAAGAACGGGAAAATTGCAGAGGTATTGCCACTGAGGCAAGTGGGGAGGATCCAATGTGCCAATGCGGGGGTTGAACTTAGCTAGAAGCAGAGTCATTGGGCCCACTTCAGCAGAAGAAAAAGACAGAGTAGATGAATATAAGTCCAAGATGTTTGGCCCATTGCTGTTGCTAAATTAAATATTTTTCTTCTAATTGCTTCTGTTTTTCTTAGAGACTAGGAAGGTTAAAATAGGAGCAGAGGAGGCTGAGTCTTGAGAAGAAAAAAATTGTTAAAAAATCAAGTCAGAGAGTAGAAATTAAAATTAACAAAATTAATACACAGTAATTCATAGCCTGCCAGTTTTGAGGACCCATTTTTGACCTGTAGTTGTAAATTTAAAGTGAGACCAGTCAACTGTGTTTTTCTGTGGTGATATTCAGCTGTTTTAGTACAGGTGAGAAGTTAGAAGTTAGAGTTTGGTTTATCTGAATTCAGATTTTGTGAAGCCAATAAAATAAAAAGTCAAGAAAATTAGGTATATATGCAAAGTGCAAAATGCGATGGGCCTTGGAATTAAACTTGTAAAGAAGGGAATAAAGACATCAAGGAGATGAAGGACACTCACTAATGGTATTAAAATGGTATGGTTAACTACTAGAGGTCCTAATGCATAAAAAGTTTGTTAGACTCTGTCTTATGGAGAATTACTCCATAAGACATAGTTAGAGTCTGTCTTATGGAGAATTACTCCATAAGACATAGTTAGAGTCTGTGTTATTTTAGACTCTGTTTCATGCTTCTGTAATAAAAAACTTGGACTGGATAGTTTATTAAGAAAAGAAGTTTGTTTCTCCTAGTCCTGGAAGCTGGTGAGTCCAAGATCAAGGCTCTGACAGTTTTGGTGTCTGATGAGTGCCCAGTCTGCTTCCAAGAGGATGCCTTCAAGGCTGTGTGCTTGCATGGAGGAAGAGACAGAAGAACAAAAGGGCTCCTCTATTTCCCTTCAGTCCTCTTATAAGGTAGCTGATCTCATTCATAAGGATAGAGTCTTCATAATTTAACTACCTTCTAAATGTGCCATACCTTAATACGATCACATTGGTGATTAAATTTCAACCTGAATATTGGAAGGGACACAAACATTGAATCATAGCAAACTCATAGATTCTAAAATAAGTAACCTAGATTAAAATTATTCATTTAAAATCTACAAAAATAAATACAAAACAAAAGCCAATTAAGTTGCACTTAGGAACACAGATGCATTTTATTTAACCAATAAATCAGAAAAATACACTCAGATATAACTTAACAATTTTCCCCAAAATTTATAAAATAGAATTTGGCTTGAAATGAATACTATTTTTCTGAGATTTGATTCATAATGCTTTCTTATTTCCTCTTAATCTAAAGTCTTTTGGGTAAAACTGTTCAACAGCATAAAATGTTTATCTAATACTCATAAGAAATATCCACTCCACACACAAGTGGGCTGTGATTTTTCTGGAATTAGAAGTCTATATAGTTATTGATAAATCTCTTGATTTCATTTTGTCTCCCTGTTGCAATGCAGCAGGAAGATTTAATTTTTTTTATACAACACTATTTCCAGCATGAATCAAAGTAAGTAAGAAGTAACTTATGCATTCTCAGAAATAAGCCTACATCTCATTTTGCTTCAGGCATTTCAAAATTTTTTTTCTTCTCTATTCTCATACTTTAAGAAGAACTTTAAATCTGAAGCCCTAGGACTTAGTAAATATTGCAATGAGTGGAGAAGGAAGTTTATTTTCATTATTTGATACATATGTCATCTCAGAATGCTGAGAGAAATTACATTATTGTGTTTTATATGTGTACTGTGAATTTTTGTCAGAGTTAAAGATCAATTCATTATCAAGAACAGCAAATTACTAGGCCATATATTTTACGCCTTCTCGCTGCCTAATGGTTTATTTATTTCACTGACGGCTGTTTTCTAGACAACTGGAATATCAATATGAGTTTTTAAGATGCCCTTCTTCACAATCATATTTTACTTTTTTCCATTCTCATTAATTTTTTTAATTTGAAACATTCAATAGTTGTTTGCGTTAATAATTTTCTAGTCTTGTTTTCAATAACATAGTTACTTTAAAAAATGTTTTGTTGAGACTTCTACTTTTGCTTAGAATGTAAAAAGTTGCCAAAAATGTTGCTCCCACAACAGCAATGAGAATAATATGGATAATCCACACACAAAAATCAACTTTTTAAAGCCCATCAGAGAGGTGAAGTTGTAAGGAAATGAAAGAACAAAAAAAGGCTCCAAGGAAAGATGGGGACACAAAGGATCTCAGCTTTTGCACGGAACAGAAGAAGGATATGGCCACTGTACAAGGGGTTAACAAAACATCAGCTAAAATGTTAACAAGTTCTTAAAGGCAAAGCGTGGGCTAGTATTGGTTGGGAATGGCCAAAAAGAAGGTCATTATCACTTTCAAGCTCTTCCCCAGAGACCTCCAAGGGGAGTCCACATTAAAGACTGAGGACAGAGCACAGAGAGCCCTCCATGAAGCAGAAGCGAAAGAAGTGATGGTGTCTGTGGGAGAGGAGCAGACCAAGAGCCCCACCTACTTCCCAGTCGCTTCTATCATGTAAGTAAAATCTATAAGCCTCTCGGGAAGGAGTGGCACATGCTCGAATCCATACAGCTTGGACAAAGATCCATTGCTTTTTGCGGAGGAACAAAAGGAAAGTCCCTCTGCTTCTGGTGATCTGCCTCTCTAGGAGTAATAAAAATCCCACTTCTGAGACAAAAAAAATTATTACCATTGGGGGTAGGGTAGAAGCCAAAAACCCCTATTCCCGAGGGAATGGGGAGAACTCTCTTCATCCAGTTTCTACACTGATACCATGTAGAAGTCTATGCAGCTGAGGAAGAGGCCGGAAATTGCAACCAAAGACCAACCACAGATGGGCAGGCAGAGTTTGGATGCCAGGCGGAGAAAAAACAAAAAACAAACAAAAAAAACCCAGACACTGAAAATGCTCTGCCCCTGAGACCTAGGACCCAGGTGCACAGGGTTTGCCTAATACTGAACTTTCAGCAGGACAACAGAGTCCTCTGTCTCTGCCAAGAGACTCTGGACAAGGGGCAAGAGCATGGGGAGAACTCTTCATGGTATACGTGTGAAGAGATAGCTCAAAACTGAGAGGGAGAGGTGGGACTGTGAATAAAGCCCTCTGGTACAGTAGCACTCAGTCTCACCATCAGGTGACAGTTTTCCATCACTAAAGAAATTTGAGGCCTGTTGCACACTGAAGGCAATAGTAGCAATAACAAAATTCAAGCCCAGCCCAACTCTTAACTAGATTAGTTTAACCCCCTAAATTAATGACCTGACAGAAGAGTGATTATTTCCTAAGATAAGATGATGTGCCTGTCTTTGCTGTTCCTTTATTTGGTATATGACATTTGATAAAAAATTGTGAGGCACAAAGAGTGCAAGATAAAAGCAACCCATTGTCACAAGAAAAAGCAATAATGAAAGAAACTCAGAGATGCCTGAGATATCAGGATTATTGGAACTAAATTTTAAAGTAGTTATGATTAATATGATAAAGCATGTGGTTGGAAAAGTTGGACAATGCACATAAACATATGATGGGTTTTATCAAAGAACAGGAAACTATTAAAAAAACACAAAGGAAAATATTATATATAACAATATTTGACATAACAGATGAATAATTCTTTTCATGGGCTTATCAGCAGAATAGAGACCACTAAGCAAAGACTTAGTAAAACTGCGGATATGTCAGTAGAAATTTTGGAAACTGAAATGGAAAAAGGAAGAAAGAAAGAGTTAAAAAAGAGAGCAGGAGCATGTAAGGGTGTAATTATAATATCTAACATATATTGACTGAAGTCCCAGGAGGAGAAAAGAGAGAGGGGGAAATAATAAATTAAATATAAAATGGACAAGACATTCTTAAAATAAGAAAAGATATTAAAATACAAATTCAAAAAGCTTACAGAAATAGAGAAATGGATGCAGGACTAAAAAATTACTGCACATATTGCACAATGAAATACATAAATAAATCCTCAAAGAAAGGCAGGAAAAATGTTATTACATACAGCAAAATAAAGGTAAGAATTACCTCAAAACTATGAAAGTTTTAAGACAAGGGAGTGACATGTTTAAAGTTCTGAAAGCAAAAGCAAAAACAAAATCCAAAATAACATATTCAATTGAAGTATATTTCAAAAATAAAGTATAAGTAAAAACTTTTCTTTTTAAGTCAAATAAAACAGAAAAAAATAAAGATACTCAGAGAAATTATTGCCAGAGGACCTGTAAAAAAGAAATGTTAAAGAAAGTTTTTCAGGAAGATGAAAAGTGATGCCAGATAGAAGCTTGCTATGGAAAGAAACAAAGATTACAGAAAATGGTCAAATAAAGGTAAATATAAAAGTAATTATTTGATTTTAAATTTTTAATCACTAAAACATAAAGGATTGTAAAGAAAAAAATGGAATGAGTATAATGTTAATAGTACATGTAAAGGTCAAATGCATAATTGTACTAACACACAGAATGAGAGAAGCTGGAAATATAATACTGCAATGTTATTATAGTGTATGCAATGTTCTATAATATTATTTTAAGGTCTAGCTGTCTATCTATCTATCTATCTATTGATCTATCTATCTACCTACCTACCTACCTATTTAATTTGACCCAAAGGGAAATGCTAAAAGTAGTAAAAGATATATAACCAAAAAACCAATCACAGAAATAAGATGTAACATGAATAATACAAAAATAATACAGGAAGAAAGAGAGAGAGAAAAAAGCAAAATCAACAGTCAAAGATAAAAAAAAAAACCCTGAAAATATGGTAGTTTTAGAACCAACAAGATAAAAAATTGTATTAAATGCAAATAGGCTAAGTACCCAATAAAAGGCAGGACTCCTCTCCAAAGAAAGACTCAACTATGTACCATCTAAAGCAAGTCTACTTTAAATATCAAGAAATAGATTTAAAAGGTTAAAAAATGAAAAAAAGAGTTTTCATACAAATACTAATTTTAAAACATTCAAATGGTAATATGAATATCAAAATAGAATTCATCACAAGAAGTATTACCAATGATTAAGTGAGACATTAGATAACAATATAGTGGTCAATTGCACGAAAGACCTAACAATCCAAAAAATGTGTGTAATTAAAAAAGATTCAAAATACGTGAAGCAAAAATGAAAAAAAAACTAGATAAATCTACAATTATATTTAGCTATTTTGATATTCCTTTCTGAATAATTGATAGACCAAATACATAAAAATGAATAAGTATATTGAGGACTTGAACAGCACTATCAACCAACTTGAACAATTTGAAATTTCATAGAACACTTCACTCAAAAAAGCAGAATACAATCTTTGCAAGTGCACGTGTAACATTCTCTGTATAGACTATAGGGTATAAAACAAATTTCCACAAGTGTAGAATAATTGACATTGTATAAAGTATGTTCTCTAACTACAAAAATAATAAAACCACAAATCAAAAAAGTATTTGGAAACTCAACTATTAAGAAAAATATTATGCTTTTTATTAACACAAGAGACAAATGAAAGGTCATGGGTTACTAGACAATACACTGAATTCAATGAAAATGAAAACACAACATATAAAATTTATAGGGTACAGATAAAAGAGTGCTGAGAGGAACATTTATAGTATTAAATGTTTATATCAAAAAAGGGCTCAATTAAGTGATAACATCTTCCATGGTAACAAAAAACACTAATTTTATGTAAACTTTTCCAACATATAAAAGAGAACAATATTTTCAATTTATTTTATGAGGCCACAATTACATACCCCAAACAGGAAACTATAAAAAAAACTACTGCCCAATATGCCTTATGAATATAAGCACAAAAAGTCTTAACAAGATATCAGCAATTAGCAAATTAGCAAAATTTTGCTGTATATAAAAATATATATATAAAAATAACATTGTATATAAAAATACAGTTGTATTTAAAATACAGTTGTATATAAAAATAACATTGTAACACAACCAAGTCTGTTTTATTCCAGTAATGGAAAATGCAAGTTTTTTTCAACTTTTGAGTATTAAAATAATTCACATATTGATTGATTAGCAAAGAAAAATATATGTATATTAACATATCTAGACAGAATTAGACAGATACAACCACTCACCCACCCAGAAAATCATGACCACAAATTGAAATTCGTGACCCCAAATAACTAGAAGACAGATACTGTGTTTGAATAATTCTCTAATGTGTTATAGTATCACGAAGAATACAGGAATTAATTCTCTATCCTTGTAGATACTTGGGGAGGTCTCCAATGTGGAAGTGACATTTGACTTGAACGCTGCAGTTTTTAATTGTTCATTAATACCTTAATAGATGTAAATATATATTTTTATGATGCAATATTCCAAGGCATCTTCATATGAATTTGTACATATGTAAGGCGTTTAGAGGCATTATGTGCATTTACAATTTGCAGTACACTTGTGGGTACCATTAAACCCTTTCTTTTCCAAAGATTAAATTGTTTCCATAGTAACAAAAGCATTTCAAAATGAACATGAACATTGGAACCACTCAACTAGTGTTCATAATACACTGGGTTAGCACCTTAGCAGCAGTAGATTCTGCCAAGAAAAATGTTAACAAGCATTTCTTTTCTAAGGCTCTGTCTCTCTATCCATTTGCTTTTCTGCAAGAACATATTCATGAGAAGTGACCCCATCTATGTAGTTACATACATTAATGAGCTAGAAGAGAAGCTTGTTTTCTCATGTATTAGGCAGGCATGGTGGTTCTTTGTCCATGTCACTTGCATGCCATTATTTAATGAATTAATCTAATACATAGTTATGACAGCCAACATGCAGTAGGCATATAGATTTGCATCCTTACAATTGTCCTCGTCATAGGTGTCTTAGTCCATTTGTCCTGTTATAAAATGATACATGAAACTGGATACTTAATAAAGAACAGAAATTTATTTCATACAGTTTGGGAGGCTCCAAAGTCCAAGATTACAGTACTGGCCTGTTCAGTTGTCTGTTGAGGGCTACATCCCCTGGAGGACAAGCACTATGCCCTCACATGGCAGAAGGCAGAAGGGCAAGGGCCAAATGCCATGTGAAGCCACTTTTTAAGGGCCTTAATGCCATTCATGAGAAAGACTTTGTGGTCTAATCACCTCTTGATAGCCAGACCTTTTAATGTTATTACATTGGCCATTTAGTTCAACACCTGAATTTTGGAGGGGACACATTTATACCATAGCATTCTGTCCTGAACCATGCAAATTTATGTTCTTCTCACATGCAAAATACATTTCAAATAGTCCCCAAAGTCTTAACTCATTCCAGTATCAACTCAAAATTCTAAGATTCAGTCTCATTTAAAGTAGCTATGGGTGAGACTCAAGGCACCTTTTATCCTGGGACCGATTTCTCTCTAGCTGAGCTGTTGAAGTCAAAGAAGTTAAGTATTAGGTTGGTGCAAAAGTAATTGCGATTTTTGCCATAATGGCAAAACACAATTACTTTTGCACCAACCTAATACTTCCAAAAACGAGTGATGAAACAAGAATAGGATAGATATTCCATTCCAAAAGGGAGAAGTAGGCAAGAAGAAAGGGAAAACAGGTCTAAAGAAAATCCAAAACCCAACAGGACAAACATCAAATCTTGAGGTTTTAGAATAATCTTTGATTCCAAATCCCACATTCCAGACACCCTGAGGTGGGAGTTAAGTTTCCATGCCCCAGCTCTCCTAGGCTGAAGTTGGGTGCCTGTGGCTCTTTCTGGCTGGCACTGCAATGCTGGTGACTCTGCAGGTCTGGGGTTTTGGTGGTAGTCCTTACCCCAGAATCATTAAGCATTGCCCTAGTGGGAGTTATCTTTGGTGACCCCCACCACTGTGGCAGTTCTCTGTCTGGGCTGCAAGGCTCTCTGAGGCATCTTTTGAAATCTACATGGAGGAAGCCATGCCTCCACAGCCCCTGCACTCTGTGTGCCTATGGAGTGAACGTCATGTGCATGCTGTTAAGGCTTGTTGACCGTGCCCTCTGGAGAAATGGTCCAAGCTGCACCTTGGTCCGCTTGAGCCATAACTGAAGTCATCAAGAAGTGTGGCACCTGAATGTGGAAAGCAAAGGCTTGAGGCCACGAACACTGAACTCTGAATTCCCACAGGAGCCCTGCACCTCTGTCTCAAAACCACTCTTCTCCCAAGGCTCTGGCACTCTGGGCCTGTGATGGGCATGGCAGCCTCAAAGATCTGTCCACCAATCTCCTTATCAAACATCACTTGGCCACACCCTTGGTCTTCTCTCCTTAACATGCTTTTTTATTGTTTACATGGCCAGGCTAAGAAATTTCCAAATCTTTAGGTTTAAATTTTATCTTTAAACATTTTTCAGCTCTTGCATTTTGCTATAAGCACTTAAGGAAGCCATGCAGCACCTCGGACCTCTTGGATAACTTTTAAGAAGACCAAGGTTCTTATGCAGCTATCCTTGTCTTTGGAGCCCTCACCAGATTTGTTCTTAATGCTTCCTTCATGGCAACACAGGCTTTTTCTAGTCTTCAAGGCTCTTCCAGCCTCTATGCGTTATCCAGTTCCAAGGTTGCATCCAAATTTTTAGGTATTTGTTACAGTCATACTTCACTTCTCTGATGCCAATTTTTTTGTTTTGGTCCATTTGTGCTGCTCTCACAAAATACCTGAAACTGGGTAATTTATAAAGAACAGACTTTTATTTCTGACAATTCAGGACACTGGGAAGTCCAAGATTAGGCACCAGTGGGTTCTGTGCCTGGTGAGGGATAGGGTTCCTATTGCCAAGAAGGCACCTTGTTGATGCTTCCTCCGAAGAGGAACACTGTGACCTCACATTGCAGAAGGTAGGAGAGTGACAGATCTCAACACTGTCCAGCCTTTTTAATGAGGGTCAATCCCATTCACAAGTGAGAAGCCCCCTTGGCCTAATCACCTCTTAAAGGCTTCACCTTTAAATATGTATATGACATTGACCATTAAGTTTCAACACCTGGATTTTGGAGGGAATATATTCAAACCATAGTAGTTGATATCATGCATTTTATTTTATACATTAAGAAAAAGAAACAGGGAACTTATATCATTACTGTGATTTTAGAAATCAAGAAGTTATTTGGGTCAGATATGCTGTATATATGTCTCTTGTATCTGACATCTAATATTGCTCTTTTGTTTTTAGCTAGATCCCAAATTTGGCTACGGTTTCAAGGTTTAATATGAATGTATATTATAAATTCAATTATTATGAAATTAAAAGAAGCATTTGTCATTTAAGCTGCTACTGGCTTTTAAAAATGAGAAAAAAGGGAAAATATTGCCTTCTCTAACTTGTGAGTGATTAAAAGTGGTATTCTCCAGGGATTGTTGCTAGGGCTCTGCAGACTTATTTAAGTATATTTTAATATAAAAGCTCTGGAAGGAGGACCACTTAATGAGATGATCAGGTTTATAGATGAAAGTGTGGCTTCCTGGGTTGAGAAGTGCCAAGCTAATGGGAATAAACCTCAGCAATTGCTTAAGAGGCTGTGTGACTGCTGAGAGCCCCGGTAGATAAATTTGAGAGCAGGCAAACATGAAGTTTTATTTTAGTCAAAAATAATTCAGACCAACCAGTTGAAATTAAGACCTCTAAGTGGTGAATATGACCCAGAAAAGGATTCTTTTAATCACTATTGGTCCAGAATATTTTATCTGGATAAGAGAAGTATCCTTAGAGAGAGAGAAAAAAAAATGAAATGAAAATAAAATGAACCCACCCTTTTGCTCTCGAATTCTGCATGCAGCCTTGGTTTTGGTACTTCGAGAAAGAGAAAGCCTTCCTAAAAGCAACTGAAACGACTGAGTTGGAATGATTTTTACTTCTACTATAGGAGTTAAATATAAGCCTAGGCTGTAGAGGAACACTTTAAGTATAACTAGAGAATAAAAATGTGTAAAAGTATGATCACCCTAATCAAATTTAGCTCATTATTTTATAATTAAGCCATATTTTTAAACCTGTGTATTGTATAGAATTTTATACTTGAGAATTTGATAGAAAACAAAAAATTATTCAAAGAATCTTCTATCAGCAAAATAACTCATGCAGTGAGAGAAAGGACTTCTTTCTAACTAGGAATTTTCACCCTGTTCTCACTTAACTTTTCAAAACTCTGGGATGCAGGCATGTCTTTTCCCTTTTGAGAGTTTAAAAGTCAGCTTTTAAGTAGGTTAATTTTCTTCTGATCAAATAGGTCTTCTGATCAAATAGGTAGCCAGAAATATAGCAAAGATTGAGACCCCTTTTTCTGTTCCCAAACCAAAGTTTGTTCTGCACCAAGGGCATTGTATTAAATAAAAGAAAAATTGAGTTCCTAATGCCAAGCTCATTCACTCACTAATCACACCTATTACCTGAAAGGGATACTGTGGTTTATTTAAATATTATAAAAGGAAAGAGCCTCATATAGAGTTTTATCAATATTTTTAGCACTGTATTGGTAAGAAAAGCCTTCCAATTCAAGGATTAATATTATTTATGTACATTAATACTATTAAACAATGCATATGCCTAATTAAATAGTACTAATAGTAATATTTATTGGCATATAAAATGCTTCAAATAGATGATTTCCTTTCTTTCCTTTCCTTGTAGGATTCTTTATAGTAACCCTACAAAGAAGATATTTTTACTAACCAAAAACCTGACAGAATTCCTGACTGCCATTGCTTTCTTTCTGGTATTGCTCAAATCTTTATTCTTTTTGCATTTTCAGTGCTGATACACTGCTTAAGTCTTCTCCCTGAACTGCTTTCATATACTTCTCACATGGCTCCTAACTGCAGTCATGCCCCATCAAACCTTTCTCCACATTCTGTCTAGTCATTTTCCTAGAATGCAACACAATGCCTGCTTGCATAAACATTGCATATAAAATCAACATTCTTTGTCTGGGATTCCACTTCGACTCTTCTCATTTATGTCTTAATGAAGTCCATGAATATTCATTAGTCTTCCAGTTCGATTGGCTGGGTATAGAATGATTGTGATTGAATTTAGATTGATGGGGAGGTAACGCTAATGAAATTCATTGTTATATTTCCCGTTGTGGAACCAGGGTTCAGAATCAATGGAGAGAGAAACATAGGATGAAAATAATTGGAAGAATAAAATCCTGGAGGATTCATAGAGGGATGAATGTAACATTAACAGCTGTGGATATGTGTAGATGCAAGCTAAATGTGTGTAAGAGAAAACCAAAGAATTTTATTTTAAATATGGGCTTTATGTTTTTAATCAGCAAATTATTTTCTAGTGACCAAAACCAATGATGCTGAAACCTCCAGACTAATTTTTAATCATAACTTCACCTGAATATGTAATATATAGGCCCCAAGATATTTTGTTAACTGTATTTTGTATTCCATTTAAAATATTTAATTCTCCTTTGTCAAATGTGTGAAGAGCTTTTGGGAAATTCCTGAGACAGAATGTATGGAGAGCATAAACCCAGAGCCATGGTTTATTACAGCAAAAGGACACACTGAAGGAAGGGAAAAAAAGGCATCAGGCAAATACTGGAGGAGTCCAGGAGTTGGCTAACAAATGTCTCCATCACACAGTGGTAGGGGAAGAGACAGAACACTTCTTCCTCCAGCAATGAAATGCAGCAGCGGGTGTCCAGTGCTTCTGCTGTAGGAAACCTGCTTAAACCTCAGAGTCCAGGGATTTTTATTGGGGGCTGCACGAGTATGCGCTCTTTGCCTGAGTAATCAGCCACTTTCCACTGGAACTGCTACAGTTCCAGACTCCCAGAAGGAAAGCAAGTGTTCACCATAAATCACATCATTTGCACAACATAGAAGGCAGGTATAACCGAATTTAGTGCCCTAGTCACGCAAAACAACCTTATCAATACAAAGCAGGGAACATTGCATGGGCCAAGTTTCTAAGAGAGATCCCAAGCTTCGGTGCCTCCAGAAGATCCTCTTGGAAATAGGGCTTGCTATGTTAACTATTTATCGTATGACATGGATGCCGACAAACGTCCTTTTTTCTACTTCTATACTTGGCAGATATAATTTGGGTACTCAGAGTACTAGGTACTCATTCGAATATTTTGGAACTTCGAAGGCATTTACCCATTCTTCCAGCTTCTAGTGGTTGCAATTGAGAAACTTGATTTCACCCAATTCCTAATGCCTTGAGGGTAACCTGCTTTATGTTTTTAAAATTATTTTTCTTTCTGGAGGGATTAAGTTTTTTGCTGTAATCTCTGTATTCTAAATTCCCAGGTTATATGGATTGTTCACAAATTTTAAAGCTTATTTTTCACAAAAAGTGGCAGCTTTAATCTGGAAAGCATGTCCTTTAATTTAAGGAAATATTTTGTGTCAATTTAAAAATTTTCTCCCCCTCCTCACATTTTTTTTGTTCCCTTGTTCAGGAGTCCTATTATTCAGATCTTGTCATTTTAGAATGGGCCATCTTATTTTCTTGATATTTATCTCATATTTTCCCTATATTTGTGTCTGTATTTTGATGTAAGAGAAGTTTTCTCTACTTTGTCTTCTAGGATCAGGCACTGTTCTGGATATGAGGAATATAGCCGTGTACAAATCAGAAAACAACCCTACCTTTCTAAAGGTTACATTCCAGTAAGACAAAAAACCAAGGTAAATAAACACAAAACATTAAACATCAATACATGCTAAGAAAAAAAGGAAAGCAGGAAAGAAGAAGATTAAAAAAGATAGTAAATGGAGGGGCTCAAATTTCAAGTAGTTTTTAGGGTAAGACATGAATGCACATAAGGAGATAATACTTCATGAGTAACTGTATCTGAGTATATCAGGCTGAAGAACAAGTCCGGATTCAGGACTGTATCTGATGTACATTAGAAAAAGCAAAGTTACCCGTACGACTGGAGTGGAGTGTAGGTAGGAAGGAGAGAGTAGCAGGATAATAGAGGGGATTTGTAATGAGAGACCAGATCAAGGAAATCATAAGAAAAATGTTGCTTTTACTCTGAAAAAGACAAAAAGCTATTGTGAAGTTTAAGCAGAAGACTAATCTGCTCTGATTTACATTTTTCTGTTTTCGACTTTTACTTTACGTTCGAGGGTACATGTGAAGGTTTTTATACAGGTAGACTTGTGTCACGGGAGTTTGTTGTACAGATTATTTCATCATCCTGGTATTAAGCTTAGTACCCAATAGTTATTTTTTCTGCTCCTCTCCCTCCTCTCACCCTCCACCCTCAAGTAGATCCCAGTGTCTGTTGTTCCCTTCTCTGCGTTCATGGGTTCTCATCATTTAGCCGCCACTTATGAGTAAGAACATGCATGTTTGGTTTCTGTTGCTGCGTTAGTTTGCTAAGGATAATAGGATCTTTTGGATGATATATTGAGAAAAGATTAATGGGACGAGAATGAAGGTGTGGAGACCAGTGTGGATAGATGAGACATATTGGTAACTTTCTGGCCCAGGGTGGTAGCAGGGAAAGTGGTGAGTGGCGATCTGACGCTGGCTACGTTTTGAAGGTGCAGAGTACGGGATGTGTTGCTACATGAACTGTGCAATGCGCTGAAGAAGAGTGGAAGAAGACTCCCAGTGTCGTGATTTGAGTAACTGGAAAGATGAAGTTGCCAGTAACTGAAGAGAAGATGGCAGAGGAGCAGATTTTTGGACAGGTGGGAAACATAGGTTCAGTTTTGTACATCCAAATGGAGATATCAAGTAAGCATTTGGATAAGAGGGCCTGGGTTATTTTCTCTTTCTGTGAGTGCCTAATTCTTGCCTTTCATGCATTTCTGAATTGTGTTGGTTACCTTTTTCTATTTGATTTGCAGGAATAGTTTATGTCTTCTGGATACTGAGTCTTTTTTATGTATGACATAAATATCTTCTCCCAGGTTGTGGGTAATGTTTTTACTTTATGATGTCTTTGCATGAAGAGTTCTTAATCTTATCTGAATAGAATTATGTTTTCTTTTATGCTCAGAAGTTTGTACATTGTTTAAGAAATTAAACCTCTGATGAGGTCTTATTGATTGTATTCTATATCTATTTCTAAATGAATTAAAGTTTCAGCTTTTACTTTTTTGTTCCTGATCAATCTAGTTTCATTTATGTGTATTTGGAGTAAAATATGAATCCAATATTATTTTCATATCATAAGAAGTTTATTTCAGGAGTAATAATCAATTGTATAATTAATTTTAATCAATTGATTACATTATTACTACCTTCCCTGTCAATCTTCAATGTCATCTCTATATCACATTTCCACATGTGCCTAAGTTTCTAGACTCTTTTTTGTCATTTCTTGAATTAATACCAATGTATAGTTGGATGAGTAACCCTACTCTTTTGTTCTTATCTTAGCTAGTCTTGGCCTGTAGTTTTCCACATGAATTTTGTGATCACCTTTTCGTGTTAAACAAACAAAAAGACTATCAAAGTTTGTACTGGCATTAATAAGATGAATTCTGTTATTCTATATCTTATACATGAATACTGAGAAAGACTCTGTATCTTAAAAATGAAAATTCTTACTAATTCAATTTATTTTTAAGTCAATATGTATTTAAAACTTAAGTATACAATTAAAATTGAATAAGAAAGAATTTGCATTTATAAGATACAGTCTGTCTATTTATGAATGTAGTTGATTTCCTTAAGTAGCTTTATTTCCTTCTTTTAGTTATTCACATTTTGGGATAATTATTTTTTGGTTCCTTATAAATTTAGTTGATATTTTAACTAATTTTTTAAAAATAATATTTCCAAAAGTTTGTTACTTTTGTTTGGAGAAACTGGTATTATTTTATACATTGATATTTTATCTATGATTTGCTTTCCTTTGAAGAAGGGATATTGTCTGTGAATAATAAACATATTACTTTTTCTTCCCAATATTTATAATTTTAGTTCACTTTATAGTATCTTTTGAGTAGTATTAATATTACAATTTTTGAAGAGAAATAATATTAATAGGCATCATAGACTGCGTTTTAATTTTATTATAAATGTGTCTATTTCACCTAAAATTTTAATTTTATTGGTATTATATTGTTTCTACTATATTTCTACTACATTTGAAATTTCTAACATGTTCAAATTTATTATAATTTTATATTTCTAATGTTTATTTGTGCCACTCAATTTTGTTGATAATTCTTGATAGAGTTTTGTCTATTTTATTTATCTTTAAACAATTTTTTTCTCTTCTGCCTCTTTATTATATAGTTACTATCTTTTATATTTTGTATCAAAATCTAATTTTTCTGTTTTCTCAATTTAATGTTATTTTTCTACATTATCAAGATGATATATTCCTGAGATCAATTTTCACTTATATTGCTGTAATTTCTGTATTTCTTTTTTAAAAATCTTAGTCTCTAAATAACTACAAAGGAATTTGTTAAAATCTCCTGTTATAATAGCTTAGCTAATGTTGCTTTGTAATTCTTTTAAAATCGATTTTATTTTACATATTTTAAAGGTTATATAATCAGATAAATGCAAATTCAGAATTTTATATCTCCTGATTGAATTTCACTTCTTATGTAAACATGTAATTATTCTCTATTCCTGGTATCACTTTTTAAAAAATAAATTGAATATTTTATATTTTTCTTTTAAGGATCAGTAATTTGTAATGCTGTTATAAAAGTTATGAAATATGAAAAAGTTTTTAAATGAGTAAAAATGTAACTTGTACTTGGTTTAACTTTATGATTCCTGCTATTATTCCTATTATGATAATTATTTCTTTCCAGGAAGAAGTAATACATTTGCCTAGTAACACTTTTTATTGCCTTATTAGTTATAGTTTCCCCAAATTTGATTATGACAAGCAGATTTTCTTTTTACTTTCAACTGTTTTGTATATTTCAGTTTTTGGTATTATATACATCTCCTGTAAGTGCATAAAATATAATTTGCACATCTTTTTACCAAAAGACTTGGTCTATTTACATTTATCCTAAATGTCTTTACATTAGACTTTTTTCTGTCAATGTATCCTTTTCCTTTCTTTATATCATAATTTTGCTTTTATATTTTTCCTTCTGCTGTTCCTTGAACTTTTTTGATATTTTGTCAAGTTTGCTTTCTATCTTCTTAAATTTTTGTTATTTATTGATTTGGAAGTTTTGCATTCTATTTCTTTTCTCTCTTTCCCTTCCTTCCCTCTCTTTCTTCCTTCCTTTCTTCCTTTCTTTCTTTTTCTTTCTTTCTTTCTTTCTTTCTTTCTTTCTTTCTTTCTTTCTTTCTTTCTTTCTTTCTTTCTTTCCTTCCTTCCTTCCTTCCTTCCTTTCTCTTTTTCTTCTTTCTTCTTTCTCTTTCTGTTTTTTTTTTTTGAGACAGTGTCTTGCTCTGTTGTCCAGGCTGGAGTGCAGGGTGCAATCTCGGCTCACCGTAACCTCTGTCTCCCAAGCTCAGGCAATTCTCATGCCTCAGTTTCCTGAGTAGCTGAAATTACAGATGTGCGTCACCACACTCGGCTATTTTTTGTATTTTTAGTAGAGATGGGGTTTCACCATGTTAGCCAGGCTAGTCTTGAACTCCTGGCCTCAAGTTGATTCCCCCCACCCCACTGCCTGAACCTCCCAAAGTGCTGTAATTATAGGAATGTGCCACCATGCCTGTGTTCTATTTCTTTTAGCTCATCTTAACATTTCTAAATAAATAGTTGACTTAAAAATAAATTTAGTAATGATATCTCCTCTCAAAAATACTAAAATATTTCATTAGCTGCTAATGTCTCTCATTGCATTTTTTTCTGATAGTTCACATCAGCATTAATTATACATTATTCAAATCATTATTGCTATTATAGTTTTATATAATCAAATTGATTTATAAGAACCCACGTTTACAAATTTCTTTGCTACCAACTATTCTTGCAGCTCACCTCACAGCCTTCTTGTGTTTGTTTCAGCATTTTCCTAAAGTAATCCTCTTAGTAAAAGTCTTTCCTATGCTTTAAACATTTGTTTTCCTGACAATATAGCTCCTTTTTTCTCTCTGATAGTTCTGAAAATCTCTTTGCCTCTAACTTTAAAAAATTATGTCTGTGGGTTGATTTGCTTAATTTGTCCTGTTTGTTATTCTTACTTTTTAAATCTGGGGATTCATATCTTTCATCAGTTCTGAAAAATTGTCAGTCTTTGTCTCTTCAAATATTATCTATTTATCATTTTCTGTATCCTTTCTTTCTGGAATTCTCCTGACTTTTCTAGTCTCTATCTGTATTGTGCACAACATATGTGCATCCCTTGCTTTAATGAAACACACCTGCCTCCTGGGTTCTGGGCAGCTTAATCATTGCAGAGACCTGGTTGTTGCTCTTCTTGAATCATTTCCTCAGAACTAGACTTGACTGTAGACCTGAGCTCCTGTGGAGCACCTCTCCATGGGGCCTGGAGTCTGGAGTGTGGTTTTCCCCATATTTGTGGAAATGCTGGAAATGTTAATGATCCATGGAGTCACCTTTGATGGAAGGCAGAAAAACTCCTTTCACTCCCCTGAAAGACTGCTCTGAAGCACATAGGTTCTGTATTGTCTGTTCAGATATTCTTACATTTCTGAGAGTTCAGTTGTGCTTTCTTCGAATATGTAGCCCCTTACTGATGTACTGAATTGAATTTATTTCCCTTTCTTCTTTGCCTCAGTTTCTCTTTTTGTCTTCATTTGTGATCCTTGGGATTATACCGCCAAATAAAGCATTAGTATGTAAGCTTTGGCTCAGGTTGTTTTTCCTAGGGGACGCAGGATAATTCACTACCTATTCAGCTTCTCATTATGTTTTATAAATTTTTCTCTTTCCTTAACCTATTTTGAATTCAATCTGTTCATTAAGATTTTAATTCCATTGATATTTGTTTTTATTTCTGAAGTTTCATTGTCATTATTTTAAAATATCTGTATGCTTTCAATCATTTTTAAGTATACTCTCTCTTTTATTTCTTTTTCTTTCCTTTTTTTTGTTGGGGGGGGGAAGGAGTCTCGCTCTGTCGCCAGGCTGGAGTGCAGTGGTGTGATCTCGGCTCACTGCAACCTCTGCCTCCTGAATTCAAGCAATTCTTCTGCCTCAGCCTCCCGAGTAGCTGGGACTACAGGCGCCCGCTACCATGCCCAGCTAATTTTTGTATTTTCAGTAGAGACGGGGTTTCACCATGTTGGCCAGGATGGTCTCCATCTCTTAACCTTGTGATCGGCCCACGTCGGCCTCCCAAAGTGCTGGGATTACAGGAGTGAGCCACCGCACCCGGGCTGTATACTCTCTTTTAAGGCTGTAAAAGTTCATTCTGTTTTTCAAATTTTCTGGAGGTCAAAAAGTTAACCACCATTTTCCTTATAGGCCACCTGCTCTCTACCTCAGGAGATCGACCAGTGTAAATTGCACAAAAAGTTTCTCATTTTTATGGTTTCTGATTGGGTCTGACTAGTGGTTTGGACTAACTACAGGGAGGGAGAAAGAGGAATGAGGTCATGGTATTTATGTGTATGCTTTATATGCTTGCTATGTAAAAAATTGATTTAAACTTGCTGTATCCCTTTTAAAAAATGACTATCCCTCTCCAGAAAGTTTGCTGAAAATACTTCCTTCTACTTCGATTTCTGAAAATCTTCCCTCATCGGTCATTTCAGAACTCAGCTCCATTGCTATGGAAAAAATTACTACACTATTTCTTCTACACTCAGTTTACTACTTTGTCATCTATCTTTTCTTAAATAATTTTCCTTGAATTATCCTAATTTGAGTATGCCACCTGATTTCTTATGGAACCCTGAATGATACAGGGTCTAATACTTCTATGGTTGATTCTATTATCTCAGTCATGGAATGTAGTAACCTTTGCGTTTTAGACTTTTAAAAATTATTATAATTTTTATTTCTGCTTTAATTTTACTGTGGCACAATATGCTACTTGATTTGAGGGCATGATTGTCCAGAGTAGTTTCACAATTGCTTCCAACACACCAAACGCATTTTATTCCCTTCTTGAAGTATTTATAATATTAACATATTTTGTTTCATATTCCTGAAATATGCAAATAGTGTAAATTCAAACTTCAAATCCATAAGGGTACATAGCTGTAGATATAAACTCAGAATTCAATTTTTGTTCACTCAGAGATCACGCCAAAATAGATGTGCTCTGTCCTTAATCTTTATGGCACATGCCCTATTCCAAATTATTTATTATCTCCCTGTGCCAGGGCTGGGTTTTTTCTGTATTCCTCTAATATTTTACAAAGGATGCAACCTTTCAAACCTGCCAGCTTCTTCATGTAGTTCTGGTCTATCTCCCCATATCATACAGGCTAAATGCTCATTTTTCCATGTGAGCTTAGAAAATTTGGCTCTTAGATGACAAAACCAATACCTCTTCTCCTGTTCTACGAGGGCAGGGTAACTGTAGCATCAGCTAAAATCAAAATCAGTTTTAGTTTGCTTTTTGTTTCTGACCTCAGAAACTTTCTTTTTTTTCTGGTTAGCACTTAAAAAGATATTTGTTATATTTTATTGTACATTTTAATATTCTTGACCAGGAGGATTATCAGGTTATTTAATCTGTCATATTGATAGAACTCAATATTTCTTTACTTTTCATCACTTCTGCTAATCTCATATTTAAGACATGATTTTCTCTATTGAAAAACAAGTCATTTACAATGTGTTCTATTTTGTGTCTCTTAAATATTTAACAGATATTAGGCATTTAACATTTATGTAAAATAATTGAAACAATCAGTGATACATAACTTTTTCCCTGGAACACAATTAGTTTTATAATAAAATGGATTTAGTAACAAAAGCTTGCAGAATGAGAGCACACACAGTGCATTCACTGAATATTGTACAATTGACACAGTAGAATCTTCATTAATTGGCTCACCTGTATACCAACACAATCATATTTATGTCCAAGTACGTGAAATGGCAAAGTAATAATAATACCAGTAATTTCAAGCATATTTTCAGTGTCTTATTTCTACTAAATGAATTTCTATTTACAAATTCAGTAAATAAGCATTTCACAGACACAAATAATAATTTTATACTTGATGTAGCATTTCTAGCATCTTATAAATAAATCTAGGTAAATAAAAAACCAAGATCCATAAGAGCTATACTAAGAGTTCAGCAAAATCATTGGGCTTTTCAGGAAGGTTTTGTTTTGTTTTTTTGAGAAGTCAGTTATATATGCACCAGAATGAAGCGTGCTTACCAAGTAGAAAAACTGTAGTTTAAGAAGTGAATTTGGAGCATTCTCTTTTAAGATATTCTTTAAATGTACCTTGAAACATTATAAATTTAAAATAAGTCGTTACAACTTTTTAAAAATATTCAACCTTGGGAAAAAAATGTAAATTCAAAAATATGTAACCAGTTCATGAAGACGTATTATAGACTAACTCCCAGTAGCTGTCATGCAAGCTAGCTAGTAATTTTAAATAATGACATTTTATTTCCATACTATGAAATCTTTCTATCTTGAACATAAAACCTTGAAAAAGAATCTCTGCTGGCATAATTCTAAAAATCATTAAGCATGAATAAAACTATGAGAGAATAATTCAATAATGGATTTCACATCTTCAGTATATCGACAGAGGGTGGTGTTCTTTCATAATAGGCAATTTACCTCCAATACATGAAGCAGAAAAGCGTCTACAGTAAAGAAAGAGGAAAAAAACGCTGGTTTGTATTATTGACAAAGATAAGATTAAACCCAAGCAAGAGATAGTGGCAACATGGAGGCTTCAAAATTCTACAATTACAAGGGAAAAATAATGATGATATAATAGAATTATGTTAATGTTTCACATACTCAAATAAAATAAAAATGGAGAAAAACAGGACATGAGACTGGGTGTGGTTGCTCATGCCTGTAATCCCAATGCTTGGAAGCTGAGGGAGGATGGATTGCTTGAAGCTAGGAGTTCGAGACCAACCTGGGAAACATAGGGAGATCCTGTCCCTACAAAAAATAATTTTTGAAAAAATTAGCTGAGTGTGGCTGTGTGTGCCTATAGCTGCAGTTACTAGGAAGGCTGAAACAAGAGGATTGCTTGAGCTAAGGAGGTTGAAACTTCAGTGAGCCATGATTGCACCACTGCACTCCAGCCTGGGCAACAGAGCAAGACCCTGTCTCTAAAAAATAAATAAATAAAAGTAAGGATCATGATTTCAATTAACTTATAAAAGTTATTTTTACAATTTTAGATATAAACTGAGGCTCAAGCTTGGCCAAAGCAGAGGGACTCTATTGGGGAAAACAAAACCAGTACATTTTTTACATTTGTATGGGCTTGCTTTAAGAAGCCCTGTATACTTGAAATCTTTGATGAGCTCTGGTCTGGTGAAGCTTTTGTGAGGCTGGAGAGCTAAGAAGAAAGCTTCTTGAATATACTGTGGGAGGGAAACTGACTAAAGGCAATGAGTCTCTGAAGACATTTGGCAGAATTTAGAGCTTCAGGGTATTGACACTGAAAGGTAAACTCAAAATCCCCACAAAAGCAGAACTGAATCTCTTTTCACTAGTGAAAACATCAGTATTTAAAAATAACTCTGAATAAAGTTTTAAAGAAAGGAAATATGCATCAAATGGAGATGCTAGAATAAAGAATGAGTGAACCCAAATTACACAAAATGGAAATTATCTTGTTTTTGAGACCAAAATATGATTTGAAAAAAGACAAAATCTTGGGGACCTATTTGATAACATTGAAAAGTCTAAGATACATGACGTTGAAGTCCCGGAAGATTAGGAAAATAAAGACAAAATAATTATGTAAAAAAATGACGGGAAACTTCTAAAATTTGGTGAAAGATACAAATTTACAAATTCAGAAAACTCAGCCACATGCAGGAAAATTTAAAGAAAACCATTCATAGTTATCTTACACTCATATTGATGAAAATCAAAGATAAGAAAAATTCTTGAAAATCACTAGGGGAAAATCACACATCACCTGCAGGGAAGCAATATTTTGAATGTTCACGGAATCCTCATTAGAAACAAATGATGTCAAAAAGAATGGAACATCTTTAATTTCTAAAACTGAGGAACTGCCAAAACAGAATTTTACATCAGGAAAATCTCCTCTAGAAACAAACTTAAAATCTTAAAAGAGAGTGCTCCAAATTTACTTCTTAAACTAAAGTTTTTCTACTTAAGATAAGCATGTAATACAAAAAATTAACTGAAGATGGATTAAAGACCTAAATGTTGAACCCAAAACTGTAAAAGCCCTAGAAGAAAACCTGGGCAATACCATTCAGGACATAGGCATGGGCAAAGACTTCATGACTAAAACACCGAAAGCAATGGCAAAAAGCCAAAATTGACAACTGTGATCTAATTAAACTAAAGAGCTTCTGCACAGCAAAAGAAACTATCATCAGAGTGAACAGGCAACCTACAGAATAGAAGAAAATTGGTTGTCCATCAGTGCCCATCAATGATAGACTGGATAAGGAAAATCTGGCACATATACACCATGGAATATGCAACCATAAAAAAGAATGATTTCATGTCCTTTGCAGGGACATGGATGAAGCTGGAAACCATCATTCTCAGCAAACTAACACAAGAACAGAAAACCAAACACCGCATGTTCTCACTCATAAGTGGGAGTCGAACAATGAGAACACATGGACACAGGGAGGGGAACATCACACAACGGGGCCTGTCAGGGGTGGGTGGGGGCAAGTGGAGAAAGAGAAGTAGGACAAATACCTAATGCATGCGGGGCTTAAAACCTAGATGACGGGTTGATAGGTGCAGCAAACCACCATGGCACATGTATACCTGTGTAACAAACCTGCACATTCCGCACATGTATCCCAGAACTTAAAGTAAAATAAAAAAAAGTCAAAAAGAAGACATTTTTAGATAAGGAAAAACTAAGAAAATTTGTCACCAATGGACTTGTTCTACAAGAAATGCTAAATGCTGAAGAGAAATGATACAAGTTGCATACTTGGATCTTTGAAAATAAAGAGCAACAGAAATGGTAATACCTGGGTACATGTAAATGATAATTTTACTCTTAATTCATTCTAGTGTGCATGACTGTTTAAAGAAAAAACGTTGTCTTCTAGAGTTTAAATAAGAAATATAAAAACTATAGCATAATTAGAGAATGTAAGCTTTTTATTTTTTACGTGAGGTGGTATAATATTAAGTGTAACTGTGCATGTACAAGTTAGGTTTTTGCATTGTAATTCCTGGAACAGCAAGTTTAAAAAGGTATCCTTTTAAAAGATCTCCTTTCCCCCATCATGTTTTGTAAATACAACCAAAACCAAGAAGCCAATAGATAAATTGAAACATCAAAACTGTGGGATGCAGCTAAAGCAGTTCTTAAAGGGAAACATGTATCTTTAAAATTGTTATTTTATAAGAATGTTCTACAATTGTTGACCTAATATTATGCTATTAGAAGTTAGAAAAGAAGAGGAAGTAAACTTAACATAAGTAGAATAATTTAAATAATAAATAAGAATTAAATACATCTTAAAATTAGAAAAAGTAAATCAAAATCGTGTTGTATATAAATATTAACCAAATTACCAAACCTTTCCCAAGACTAATGAAGAAAATAAAAAATACATTTATCAATATTAAGCATGCATGAATGGCTATTATTACAGATTCTACAAACATTAAAGGGATAAAGAGAATATTATGAACAATTTGATACAATCAACTGTGAACCTTAGACAAAGTGGCAAAATTTCATGTTAAATACAACTTACCAAAATTGACAAAAGTAGAAATAGAAAATTGAACATAGCCCTATACCTCTTAAATAAAATCTGCTTGTTATAAATAAAAACAACTCTCCACAAATAAAAACTCTAAGGCAAGATGTTTTTACTCATGTGTTTACTCAAATATGAAGGAATTATTAATGCTAAACTAATACAAACTTTTATACAAAACAGGAGAATCTCTGCACAAGTCATTTCATACGATCAGCATATTCCTAATACTAAATTTTGACAAAGAATTATAAAACTAGGAAACTATAAAACATTATCTCTCATTAATGTGGATTCAAATCCTTAACAAGATATTGCCAAATAAAATCTGACAATATGTAGAAGGATAAACACCATGTTAAAGTAGGGATTGTCTTAGTAATACCAGGTTGAAAATCAGCCAGTGTGATTTATCATATTATGACCATAAAGATATAAGAGCTTATGATATTTAATACATGCAGAAAAGACTCCTGAAAAAATTCAACATCAATTATGACTAAAAAAATCTGAGCAAATCAGGAAAGTAGAAAATCTCACTAATCAGATGATGAAGATCTTTGTAAAACCTAGAGAAAACTTTATATTTAATACTAAAAGACTTAAATTTCTCCCCTGACTGGAAACAAAGCAAGGATGCCTGCTATTATCATTTCCAATTAACATAGTACTGGATATTCTTAACACTACAATAGGACAAATAAATAAAATTCATAAAAATATTCAAGGAAGAAGTAAAAATTCTACCTATTGTCATATGATGTATTAGCTTACATCAAAAATAACAGTGAGTTTACTAATGGACTGTTAGAATTAAAAAGTTGAAGTCACAAGGTATTTTTATATGCTAACAGAATACATTTAGGAAATAAAACTTTAAAAATCCCACTTCAAGTAATGCCAACAATTATAAAATATTTATAAATAAGTATAATAAAATACATACAAATAAACTCCTGAAAAAATTCAACATCAATTATGTTGGAGTAAATTGCTGAATAATTAATAAAAACATTGCTGAAAATAAAAACATTGCTGGGAAAAATAAAGATTAAAAAATAGAAATTTACAAAAATTCTGAAGTAGACAAAAATAAATTTACTATATTTGTGGATTGAAATAATAAAAGAAAATCAACCTTTGCTATACTTTCAGACATAATGAGCATATTACTTTCAAAGGAAAACTCAAGGAGTCAACTTCTCAGATGCCATATGACTAGGTGTGAAACAATAACACAATACCTACAAAACTAGTTATACAAAAAGAACGCAATCCTAAATTTTATAGACAGCCGTATTATCTGTCATTTGTTATGAAGGAAAAAAAGTATGACTTGGTAAGAGTTCAGTTAATAGGTTACCCAAATATCTAATCCAAAGACATTACTAAAGATGGAATACTAACTATAGCAAACTAAAATAGAGACTTCGAGACAAAGAAGTTCAAAGCGTAGGAATAGGAATTATGAGAAATGAGCCTTGACGTATATGAATTTAATGGTAACCCACTGTGAGAATCTATCTCCTTGAAATAAATGTACCAGTAAATAAGGACAAATAAACAGGAATATCCATAGCAGCACTACTTATAATAGCAAAAACTAACAACAGTGAATTTCCCTCAGTAAGAGAAGGGTTGTGAAGATTGTGGCATATGCATACCATAAAATTGTGTAAAACTGTTACTGAAAGAGATAATTAGATCTCTAAGACACAGTTGGGAAGGTTATCTACAATCTACACTTAAATGGGAACATCAAAAGCAAGATGTAGTTAAAGGTGCATAGCATAGTGTTAAAGTAAGTTTTGCCTAGAGCTGCCTTCTTGCATATTTTAAGTTTAGCCTAAGGGTTTCTCTGTACCTAGTAAATTGAAGCCTACCTGGATGTGTAAGCAGACTGTAACATACTCTTGTGGCAATCACCAAGTTTTGGCCAACTAAATGTGGCCAACGGTTCAAACTGTGTTCAAACAAGGCAAACATCAAGTCAAGCTGTAAATAGTCTGGCTATTTCTGTACTTCACCTTTGTTTTCTGTAAGTTACTTTCCTTTTTCTGTCCATAGATCTTCATGGCTGAGCTGGAGTCCCTCTGCGCCTACTTGGGTTTGGGAGTCTGCCCAATTTGTGAATCATTCTTTGCTTAATTAAACTCTGTTAAAATTAATTTTTCTAAGGTTTTTTTAACAATAGTGTTGAATTTTTGTAAAACACCACGAAAGTGAAGAACCCAATGATTATATGAGCCTTCTAAAAACAGCATTTCTTGCAACAACTTCAATAATCAATTATTGGCCAAATGGATTATATATGTATAGATTCAATAGATTCCAAAGGATTCTAGGTCTTGAGTGATACTGTAAAATCACTCCCCTCTTCTTCCTTTGAGTTTGAAATCATTCAGAGAAAAAATTATGAGCCAATCATGTGAGACTCAAAATATCAGCTTCATGACTTACGAGGATAAATTGGAGAAAAAAAATAAAACACAAACTTGAATTGAGACTCAGGCAAAGTTGGACATCACTGGGTCTTCCATAAAGGGAGAAGCCATTTTAGCCTGGCAGAGGGAAAAAAATCTATGCATGTCAAGGATAAACCACTACTGTGCAAGAAGGAACCAGGTGAGTCACAACTACTCCATCACGTCTTCCAACTTAGTCTTCCCATGGAAGTGAAGCAAGGTGCTAGAAAGTACTTCTTCCCTGTTTCTGTTCTTCTGAGAAGTGGATATTCCTTTCGTCTATGGGAAAAGGACTGAATAAAAACATTTCTTACTAATGTGTTATCTTTTAATTTGAAAGGCATGTGAGCCTAAAAAGAGATTCTTCCCATTCTCCCTCACCTACTCAAGGAACACAGCTTGGCGAAATATTTGAATTCATTGTCTTTCTTAGGCTTTGCTTTACTATCCAATGTCAGATAAATAAACAGAAGCAATCTTATAATAAAGCAAGTGTCAGTGAGTCCAAGTAATCCTTTGAAAAAAGTTGTGATTTATTGAATTACTTTGTGTATCACTTGGTGAGAAAGTATGTAGGTTTTATACTTTGCATTACGTTTTGTAAAAGTAGTTTTTTGACAATGAAGCTGTTAAGACTTTTTAATTAAAAACCTTAGAAAATGTTATTTGGTTAAGAAAAACTCAAATACTGAATAATTGTTTAAAAGATTTTGCAGTGCACCTGATGGTTGTCATCACAATTACTCTTGAAATTTGATATTTTTTCAGTAACTAACAATATTATATGACTTAGTGTTACACAGTCTCTATTGCATTTTTCCAAAGAACACATCTAAAACAGGCTTAAGTTCTCTAAACCGTACAAAATAACTAAAGTAATGTGAATTATAAAAAAGTTAAGTAGACTTTGGTAAAGAGATCCTGTTTGAGACCTATCCAAACCTACCTTATGATTGGTTCAATTGTGCCTGTGTGGAAGATCCAGGTAACTGGACCTTTTTATTCATTTTGGAAGTTAGAAGGCAGGTCAGGAATGGAGATGGGAACAGAAGGAGATAGACAGTGAGATATAACTACAATCTTTAGGAAAGTTTTCAGATCAAGTTAGAAAATCTCTGTTATGTTCTCCTCATTTGAACCTGCAAAACTTTCATCTCTTTCATCTCATTTAAAAGTATAATATCCTAATTTTCATAGTATTTCATTGTATTCTTTTTATAACCCAAATAGAACAAGTCATTTGAGTTCAGGAAATGTATCATACTCTCGCTGGTTTCCCCACCTACAACTAAGTAGAGAGCTTTTGTCTTGAAATGAGTTCAATAGACATTTGTTAAAATAAAGAAAATATCATCCTAACTAGGTTTCCTTAGCTAAGATAAATGTCAGCTCATCTTGACTAGATAATTTTTCTTCTATATGGAAGTCATAGATGACATACCCAAGCCTAAATAGGTTTATCATGAATATCCATTATGGGTATCTAGATTTAAAGACAAGATTGATTATTACAAAATAGTAGTTCTCCCTACAATAGGAAGTTTATAAAAGCTATGATGATTTGGTATCTCCTAATTGTAAATATATCACATTATTGTTAAATTTGTAATGGAATCATTAAAAGGAGGCTTCTGGTGGAAACTGGCTTAGGGATCATAGACCAGCAGTGACCTATTAGCATTTTCTGTAATAATGGAGAAGTCTTGTATCATCTCTGCTGTCCCATATGGTAGCCACTAGCCACGTGTGGTTAACACTTGACATGTGGCCCACGTGACACAGAAATTGAATTTTAATTTTTAAATTTTAATTAATTTAGATGTAAATAGCCATGTGTGACAGCAACTACACATTGGACAGTGCAGTAGAACTTTTTTGCAAATCAAACTCCAGGCCCTAAGTTTTCTTGCCTCTCTGAACTTGGGGGGACAAGCTGTGTGGCATTTATAACTGAAGGAAAAGCAATAGAAAGAAAATAGAAAGCAATATAAAGAAAATAATATTTAAGGGTTTGGCATTGAGAGTCTGCTGATCGTACGACAAATGGGACCTATAACAATAGCTAACATTAACTGAAGATGCTATCTATGTGCTAGCCATTAATTAAAGGATTTTGTAAGCACTAACATATATATATATATATCATAAAACCCTTGAAATTATTACTCTTATTATACCTATTTTGTTGATGAGGAAAATGAGACATAGAGAAGGTAAGTAACTTGCCCAGGGCCACCCAACTAGTAAGTGTTGGAGTCTAGATACAAACATACAGTCTGGCTTCAGAATAGATCCTCCACATATAGCTTTCATCCTTCCTGGGCTATATACTAGAACTTACCAAATCTAATATTGTTGGTTTAAAATTCTCCATCATTTTTTCTACCTATAAAGGAGAAAAAACCCAAAATATTGTCACTAACTGGAAGGTCATTAATTGTAAGATGTAATGAAAATATTATGATGTTAAAAAAGTATGGCTTAGGATAGATAACGTATTTTAGCATTGCTGAGAAGACAATGCTATTTCTAGTTAAAAGTCATACTCTACTCGTGAGTCAAATACACCAAGTTGGGCTTGTTATTTTAGCTCTTCACCAATCTATAACAAGAAAGGAAAACCGACATGGCCCAGAAATAAGAGACTAGAGCAAATACTTAGACTGGATTTTAATAAAATCTTTCAGGATCTATCCCCTTTACACAGAATAAAAACAAGGGAAGATTTGTTGAAAGCTTAGATTTACCAATCCTGATTATTCACTGTTCAATATATCTAAACACCAAACTCCACATTCCTGGTAAAATACAGATGCATCAGCTCTGCAGGGACAAAGCAAGACTCCATTCTGTTTGATTTTGATAGGGCAGCATTGTAATCTACTTCTGCCTTATCCCAGACTTGCCACAAATAAGGAAAGAACCACTTCTGGGTGGCACTGGGAATTCAAAGTGGCTGCTAGAGCATACAATATTTTTATAGGCGGAAGCTGTTGGAAAAGTATCTTCAATTTAGCATACTGTCACAAAGTCTTTTGAGACAGAGTCTCACTCTGTCATGCAGGCTGGAGTGCAGTGGTGCAGTCTCGGCTCACTGCAACCTCCGCCTCCCAGGTTCAAGCGATTCTCCTGTCTCAGCCTCCCGAGTAGCTGGGATTACAGGTGCCTGCCACGACGCCCGGCTTATTTTTGTGTTTTTAGTAGAGACAGGGTTTCACCATATTGGCCAGGCTGGTCTCAAATTCCTGACCTTGTGATCCACCCGCCTTGGCCTCCTCAAGTGCTGGGATTACAGGCATGAGTCACCACGCCTGGCCACAATGCCTTTTTATTAATACCTAGATACATAACCTGAAAAGCCTTCCTTTTCTCCCTAGACTGACGTGCGCATATCGCAAGCACCAGTTGGTCTTTGTAGCATCTGTACTACAACAGTGATGTCATGGCATTGTGATCAGGTATTTTCAAGCCTAATACGCTGTCCACATTAGTGGCTGTGTTTTTCCATCCTTAGTACCCAGAAAACTAGAACACATAGGAAAATCATTTTTTGAATTAAAAAAAGCTATTCAACCACGGGCACTTAATGACTACCAGAAAAAGGGAGAAATGAAGTGCTCTTAGGTGCTTATGACACTTCCTAAATGTATTTAACACTCTAGAAACTCTCTAAATCTTGCCATGGTAGCTAAGTAGATGTAGTGGATATGTGTCATTTGGTTTGTCTAGAATCTGTCCTCCCTTCTGGTACTCTAGACTCTATTTCTGGTGGGGTTGCTGAATTGTTAGGATGTAGATCTAGAGCTGCTGGCAGCAGCTTTTGGCTCCCTTGTCGGAAGGTCTGCATGAGAATGAAATCATCACAAACAAAAGCACAATGGAGAAAAGTAGAAAAAGATCATTCTAATAGCTTCATTTGAGCACCTGCATTTAGCAGTAAGTAGAATTTTCAACTATTTAAACCAGTGATTTCTCCCTTTTTCCAAGCTAAAATAAATACTTATGTGAATAGCTGTTAACTTGGAATGTTGTCCTTTCAATTATGCAACACTGAAACAAAATACTTCATGTGCCTTCTTACAAGTGCCACTGGGTGACGAGCATGTGACAAAACTTTTCTCACACAAAATATGGAAGATATAGGTATCAATATGGAAACGTTTTACCTCTGTATCCCAGGTTCAAGTGATTCTCCTGCTTCAGCCTCTAGAGTAGCTGGGACTATAGGCATGTGCCACCATGTCTGGCTAATTTTTGTATTTTTAGTAGAGACGGGGTTTCACCATGTTGGCCAGGATGATCTTGATCTCTTGACCTCGTGATCCACCCACCTCGGCCTCCCAGAGTGCTGGGATTACAGGCGTGAGCCACCGTGCCTGGCCTCAATATGGAGTTTTAAAAACATGTCTCATTTGCCACTCAGTACTCAGTTATTATCCATAAAAGTGGTATTCCCTTGTTAGACTTTGATAGAGCAGCTATATATGGAAGTGTGAGTTATCATGAGACTATATGAACATGTTTCCTCTCAAGACTGAAGCTTGAAGAATGTTTGCCCTGTAGAAGAGTACTGCCACTTACCCCATTTGTTTGACATTTAGCTAATTTGCACTATTTTCCAAACATTGCAGTAGATACTAACTTTTGAGAAATAAATAGGATCCCAAGGTCTAATAGATAATATTTTAACCTGATGACTCTAACAAAGCAAAGCACAGTCATGTCCTTTTCTTTTTGACCTACTACCTAGCCAATTAGGAGATATGTGCCCACTGGAAATTATGGAAGAATGGAATAAAAACTTGAATTCTAGTCCAGTCTTGAGATTCTCACCTACAAATTCAGGAATGTTGGGTAATTTGTTTAATCTTTCTGGGTTGTGGGTTTTTCACAATAATCTCAACGGATTAGATTGAGTCCCAGATTTCTTCAATCCCCTATAATCATAAAATGGGAAATGATATCCTTAAAAGTTCATCTGTAAGGGTTCTCTGATTCTGAACAGAATTATACATCAATTAGCCCTGGGAAACAGCCATGAAGATCTTACTTTATTCTATGAGTCTTCACTCTGACTAATAAACTTCACATTTTCATAATGAGGCCATTTACCTTAATGTTGGTAAAATATTCTTACTAAACCAGTGCTAACCAATTTGGAATTTATATTAACCATTTATTATTAATCTGGTTTATGGAACTAAACTAAATAGTACTAGAAATAGGATTCAGTGAAAAACTATATGTAACTTACTTCTGAAATAGTCTATTCCTAATATAAATACATTTAACCACTTAAAAACTAAGAATAATACTTAGCTTAATTGAAAACGTAACTACATATCCAGCATGGTACTAAGTGCATTACATGAATCATCCAATTTAAACCTCATTCTAATTTATGAGAAACATAGTTCTTATGGATAAAAACATAGAGATAGTTAGTAAATATTCAGGGCTTAACGTTTTGCCTATTTGCCCAAATTTGAACTTAAGTTACCAAACCACAATTAGATTATATTAAAATATTTTCCTCATTCTCATAATTTATATAGGTTAAAAATAGTTTTTCTAAATTTTATTCATAATTCCAGAGAAAACCACAGAATTGGGAAGCTTATAATACCAAATAATATATTATGGTAATAGTAGAATCTCTCTTTTTGGAATTCACCACACTAGGTCTTCTAGCTTGTAGTGCCACTATTCTCTTATTCAGGATGTGTTAGATTATGCCATGGTAACAACCACAAAAATTTGATTTCACACAGCAAAGGTTCTTATTCTATGTAAAGTCTATCATAAGGCTGAGCCCCTCTCCATGGAAAATTATCTTCATGAGGCCAAACCTGAAGAAACCTTCACCATCTTGCAAGTTCAACTTAAACATGTAGCCTCTTTGGTCAATGAAGTAGAGGAAAGTGAATCACTAGTAATTAAATTCTTCAGTCTAGAAGTAACCAGTATCACTTTTACCACAACTGGGAAAGGGGCTCTTGGAAACAGTTTTCTACGTGTATAGAGAAGCAGAAACTGTATATAGGGAGCACTAGCGATGTCTTCCACAACCATCTTCAACACATGATTTCGAAAGTCACTGTGCATTTCTGTTATCAAGTTGGTAGAGGGTGAAGGAACAAGAATTGTACAGAAGAAATGTTTTTGCCCCAGACTTAGAAATGGCACATCAGCTAGAAATCAGTAATATATAGCTTTGTCAAGGGGAGCCAGGAAATTTCATGGAAATGTGAAGCCAAGAAGAAAAGGAAATGGATTTGATATTAGCTCACATTCTCTGTTCCATGGGCTTTGCCAGTATTTTTTCCTTTCTTGGGCCCTCTCCTCTCTCCACCCAAATGTTAATGTTAGTGCTTTCTTCTCATCATGCCAGTGTAAAACTCTGGTTCACATCTCTCCGCACATTTCCAACTTACATATAAAATTGGATATTTTAAAGTCACATTTAAAATGTAATAATCCATTACCCTTCCCACCTCACAATACTATGTCCACACCCCAGATCATTAAAGGCAATTTCCTTTATCCACCTGATCAGACAAAAATCAATCAATATTTGGGAGCACTCTTGACTCTTTCTTTGTTTTCTCACATTTATTATCCAGTAGGCTCATTCCCTACGATCTGTCTTCAGACCATATCCAACATTGGACTGCTCCTCATCACTTCCACCACTGGCCCCTGGTCAGTCATCATCATGTCACCTGGATGATGGCAGAAACTTATTGTCAGCAATTTTTATCCTTGTTCTAGTTCAGTTCTCATCACTGATGCCAAAATAACCTATGTAAAGCAAGAACTGGATTTTGTCACACTATATTTTCAGACCTAGGCTGGTGACATTCATTTCATGAATGAAAATATATCCTCCCGGCAACAAAGACATCTGATGTTTTGGAGAAGAATAATTAAAATGTGCTCACCCACAATCAAGATCTTCAGACCCAACCTGACTTCTTACTTGCTCTGTGAAGTTCTGTGTTTCCAACTTTTACTCCCCATATAATCAACAGTGACTATATAGAATAAGAATGTTTTCTTTCTTCTTGGTGACATTGGGAATTAGGTTTTTTCTAGTCTTTGGTAGGAATATTATAAATTATAAGACAGGTAATAATTCTTAAGATACTGAGCAAGCCATCAAGACTGAAAAACACTTTATGCTTTTGTTCCCATCTTAATTGTAATTTATATGTCATATATTGAGAGTGAAACAGCTCAAAACTTACAATATTGTCTCCTAATGGCAGCTTATGAAATTCACCTTGCCTCCATGTGAAAGCAGACGTCACAGGGGAAGTGGCAATAGCGTGTCTGTCTTAGCACAAGTTCTTCTCCCATTGCCGTTATATATACACACACAGACACACACACACACACACACACATCTTTGTCCTTCCATTATCTGTGTGTGTGTCTCAATAACTTTCTTTATCACATGATATTGCTGATTTGTATCACTTTCTGTGATGCACGTTGTATCTTACCTTAATATTTGCAAATATTATTTCACGATTTCACTAAAAAATGATTTTAGTCATGTAGACAGACATTCTCTGTGTGTGTGTATTTTGCTATATTTTTGCCTTTTCAATGTACCTTTCCCCTTTATTAAATTTATCAAAGTGAAGTTTCAAAGACCCTAAGGCTCTATTACAATGGTGACAAGATCAAATTCAATTCTTTGTAAAAATCAAATGTGATTTATGGTTATGTTTTTCAAATTCTAAAATTGCCAATACATTTTTGTATTTGCCAGTTTGATTTGATATTTGCTACCTCACAGGAAGTTTGGCTGATTTTTTTCAACTTATTTTTTATTTTGCTCATTTTACAAGTCAAAATAAGTCTTCTACACGATTTTAAAAACCACACAGTGTGTGAAGGATTATAACAAATACTATTATTTTACTTTCCTCAATCTAGAATGTAGTTACAGGTTAGGAAAATGTCAATTTTGGTCATCATATTCTTGAAGAGCAAGTAGGGAACACTTTTTCTAATTATGGAGCAATTTTCTTCTTACACATATAGAGCTATTCTGAAGAGTATACAATTTCTGTTGGAAGGTTGTGTTTCTAGCAAAGCTACCATAGTTGAATGCAAATCATAGTTACTTTCTAGTTTCTGTAGTATTTAGCAGATATGCAGCGTGTTTATTATGAGGAAAACTTTGTGTGGGGACCTGTTGAAGGACAAAATGACAATTCTATCATGAAGTTTGCTCTCAATAGGTTTGTAGTCTGGAAGGGAAATAATAAAGCAATTAAAATCCATACATGAACTCTTGCCTGATTCACCTCTTTCTACCAGCTGATCTCTTTTCATTTTGTCCCAATGTTGTTTATCATGTTATCATTAGTTGTTTTTGCATATTCTACAAAAGTAAAACAACTTGAAGGTAGTTAGGGGATATACTTGATTATATCTAAAAATATCTGTCACCCATTGGATACTTAATAAACATTTGTGGAATCAATAAATGGTGCATATACAAAAGATATGCATATACTTAAGGACATTTTGATAATGTACAATAGTATTCTGAATAATTGAGGAATCTGATTAACATTATGGGTATCCTGTTAAGAAGAGGAAGGATAAAAAATAAATTATTTCTTTTATTTCATAAATTGTTTGAATTTTTAATTCACTAAGTAGTAGTAAGTATGACGTTCTCCACAGAGATTTTTTTTGAGGATTCTCTCCTTTCTCTCTTTCTTTTTTTCTTTTTGTCTCACACATACACATACACATTCTCTCCCTCTTTTCTTGCTGAAATCCTCCCCTGGGATTGTTTAGTGGTGAAAAGGAGCCATATGTGCATTCAGACTGTTTTAAGAGGCAATCCATTAAGGATAATATATAGATACATGAAAAGGTCATGCTTGCAGGTTTTACATATATTATGATCTTTAGGAAATAAATTCGTGGGAATGAAGATCTCCCAATTCAGTTTGGTGTAAATGACTTTATTGATGTACTAAGGACTGTATACATCAGTTGTCAAATAGATAAATTTAAATCTGGGCTTTTATTTGGGGATGACAAGGAGTTTTGATGAATTGGCATGCTTGTGAATAGACTCCATGAAAAAAGTCTCTAGGTGCAAGATTGCTTTTCCATGTTAACAATCTTTAAATAGACACTCAATATGAAGAACCAAAAGCCCTTCCATGGTGAAACTAGCCAGTTAGCTAGCCAAGGTTCTGTATAATTGGGGCAGATATACTATTTCAATGCTTAAAATAAAATCTGTGGACTTATCTGAAAACCTGAGATTTTTACTATTATTATTTTATCTTTTGAACAACATATTATCATCTTAAGATTGAGGTCTTCTAGTATAGTAATTGACATCATGAACCTTTGATTTAGCTATGCCAGTCTGTGCTTCAATTTTTTATCATTTTAAGAGAAATAATAATACCTAGGGATTATTCTAATGAATAATGATGAAATTTTTTAAAATTTTTATTTTAAATTCAGGGGTACATTTGCAGGATGTTCAGATTTGTTAGATAGGTAAATGTGTGCCGGGGGGTTTGTTGTACAGATTATTTCATCACCCAGGTATTAAGCCTAGTACCCACTAGTTATTTTTCCTGATCCTCTCCTCCTCCCACTCTCTACTCTCTGGTAGGCCCCAGTGTGTGTTGTTCCCGTATCCATTAGTTATTTTTCCTGATCCTCTCCCTTGACCTACCCTCCACCCTCTGGGAGGCCCCAGTGTGCAATTCTTCCCCTCCATGTGTCCATGTGTTCTCATCATTTAGTTCCCACTGATAGGTGAGAACATGCGGTGTTTAGTTTTCTATTCCTGAGTTAGTTTGCTAAGGATAATGGCAATAGCTCTACCTATGTCCTGGCAAAGGTCATGATCTTGTTATTTTTCATGGCTGCATAGTATTCCATGGTGTATATGCACCAATTTTCTTTATCCAGTCTGTCATTGATGAACATTTAGGTTGATTAGCGAGGAGGCCAAGATGGCCTACTAGAAGCAGCTACGGTGCGTGGTTTTCATGGAGAGAAAAAAAAGGGGTGAGTAAATACAGCACCTTCAATTAAATTTTTGAAAAGTATTTAGAATAGAGTCTACCTATAGTGCTAGGAAGGACTTATTAATTGTTCAAGCTTTTCATAATTTTCATGATTGTTGCTTTTATTATTATTATACAGTTACTAGCATGTTAGTTATTCACTCTCTCTATATCTCAGTTTTTCGTCTGGATAATTGGAACTGTGCAATTTACCCCAAAGCGTTCTTTGTAAGTATAGATAAGTGATAGCTAGCTCAAGGGAAACATTACACAAATTACAGCCAATATTTCCATTGTTGTATTATTGTAACCATTTTTTATTACTATTTATTATATTTGTATTTATTTACTTACCAGCTATGTGAAACCTTGGAAATATTATTTAATCACTCTATGCCTTAATCTCTTCATCTGAAAAATTAGGACTACACTACTATGCTTTAGGGATTTTTTAATAAGAATAAATGTAGCTCATAGTAAGCATTCAACAAATGATGGCTAAAATTCTTTTCATATTTGGATTGTTGTTGTTATTGCAGGTGATTGTGATGATTTAATGTAGAATAACTACCCATAATATTAAAAATCTGCTTTTCAATCAGCTCAATGGAATTCAATCAACTCCAACAGTTAAAAGGATTCATTGATTGAAAAGAGCAGATGTCTTGTCCTACAAAATCAGATAGTTTTAAAAATCATACTATGTAGTATATTTTATTGTATAAATCTATATATGTTTGCCCATGGATAGAATAGACATATTTTCCTTTTATTTCCTCTAACAATCATATGTTGCTTGTCACTATTTTCAAAACAAAATGCCAGTTCCAATGGGAAAACTGAAATTTCACTTGTCATAATTGTCAGGAGATTCGCAGCAGATTATTTACAGATTAATAGATGTGCTGGAAGATAAGGGAACTAGATATACCCTTTATTATCCCGTGAAGAATTTGATTTGCTAACACATAATGCATTTCTATCTAGAACACAAATGGCTGGTTCAGTCTTCTTTATGTCACCTGCCAAGCATAGTTCCCTTCAGTTAAGGACAGTAAAGAGTTGTTTACAAATTAATAGAGCTTAATGAAAATTTTAGACTAAATCGTGATCAAACATCTACCCTTCAGGATTGACAATGGAGAAAAAGTTTAGATGAGGATTTTTTTTTTTTTGCCTTACATTTTAGTTTTCAGTGATTTTTATTGATAATGAGTTTTTTTCTTATACACAGGATTTATGTAATCTTTGTTTAATACTTTCTACGCTTTGAAGAATGTACGATCAAATTAAATGTAAGGTACTTTTTTCTCTCAAATGCAAAGCTATAGCTTTGTAAAAAGATAATAAAAATTCTCACATTGAACGCTTCTGACTAGGATCAGAATAACGTTATGAACATTTAAAAGTAAGTTGACTTATAAAGTTTTATTTGTGGAGAATGATTTTTTAAGCAGAATTGAGATAACTATTACATATAACCTATAGTGCTAAGAGGGACTTTAGACAAAAATGTCCTCACCCACTAGTTTGCCCAGAACAGAACTGGTTATACCATTTATACCTCTTATAATATGTGGTTATCAACAGAATATCCTTCTCACTTCAAGTTGTCCTTGTTTGAATAAAATACAATCACTCTACTTAAAGGAGACAAAATCTGAGCTTCATTCTAAAAGATGAATAACTCTTAAGTGGAATAGGTTGCAAAGCTGGAAAGAATATACAGGAAGAGAGAATCATGTGTTGTAAGGACCACATGAATGAGAATTTTTGAGGAAACACACAGTGTGAATGAAATGTGGCATATGAAGTACTGAGAGTTAAGTCTAAACATGCAGGCAAGAGTCATTTCAATTCCCCCTTCTTGTAGATTACTTTAGTAGTTGTATTTTACTTTATTTCTCTTTATTTTATAGTATTTTAAATTTAGACTTGCTTCTAATCTTCCAGGTATCATGGCCCCGATCATGCACCTTGTTGCCAACATCCGATATCTTTTAAAGACAATGATTCTGCCATTAAACAGGTTTCCCGACTGTAGCTCTTCAAACTTTGCTCAATACCTCCATATAACCATAAATATGACCGTAGCATGCAGCTGGAGTGTGTTTCCTTCAATATCTCTTACTAATAAATATGACCCTCCAACAGACATTACAGGAAGTACAACTGTCCCATGGCCCACTCCACAATTCTCCTTAGTATTTGAAATCTAGTTTTAACAAGAATGAGTTTATGTTGGTTGTTGTGTGTCCTGGAAAGAAACTTGGAAACCAAAGAGACTTAGAAGTGAAATGGAGTTTGTGATTCTTTTGCTGTTTTATACTGTATGCTCCACCCATCTCCAGAAAAAATATCTTACTTTTTTTTTTTTTTTTTGGGACAGAGTCTCGCTCTTTTGCCCAAGTTGGAGTGCAGTAGCACGATCTCGGCTCACTGCAAGCTCCGCCTCCTGGGTTCACTCCATTCTCCTGCCTCAGCCTCCCTAGCAGCTGGGACTACAGGTGCCTGCCACCACGCCCGGCTCATTTTTTGTATTTTTTTAGTAGAGGTGGGGTTTCACCGTGTTAGCCAGGATGGTCTCAATCTCCTGACCTTGTGATCCACCCACCTCAGCCTCCCAAAGTGCTGAGATTACAGGTGTGAGCCACCACGCCTGGCCAAAAATACCTTACTTTTTAATATGGGTCTATATAGCAAAGAATTTTGAAATGAGAAGTCAAGAATTAAGTCTTTACTCAAGTCTTCTTCCAGTAATTAGCCATGTGACCTTGAGTTAATATTAAATCTCTCTTAGCTTCAACTTTCCATTTTCCTGATAAAGAAATTGAATATATAACGATCGCTACCCTCTGGGCTCTAAATTCTATAAGATTTAAAAATCTCTTAGAATGTCCCTGTGCCCTAGGAAGAGCCTCAAGCATGCAGACTGCATCTGGCCTGCTGAACCAAGCACAAATCATTGCCTAAGGCTTTTGGGCCTGGGCATAGTGTGCCTTTCTGACAGCATTCATGATGAATGCTGTGGTAGTCTCAAAGCACAGGCAACAGTGTTGGCCTGTACTATAGACAGGAAATCTGTCCTGCTCTGACTCAGAGGGTGACAACTTTAATGTCACAGAGTGTCATAGTGTTGATGATCAAGTAACTGAGATGTTAATGAGACAAAACTTGTTTCCTCAGAAATAAGAATTGCATGTGTCTATACAACCTAAGGATCATATGTTAATGGCAATGAACTTTAAAAGGCATGGAATGTGACTGAAAGTCTTTGCCATGTACTCATAAGAGCTTCTCTCTCATCCCTGACAACAGTCTCTGTTTCGAAGGCTACCTTTACTATTGTAGCTTGTGCTATTTTATTTTGCGTTTTCCCTGAAAAGTCAGGTTCAAAGTTCTGTTCCATGTGCTGTTTTACCTCTGATAATTCTTCTTAAAGCTACTTTTCTTGGAACTGACAATTTATGGAATTTTCCAATGTTCATTCATTCATTCATTCAACAGTGTGAATTCCACTCCAACCAATAATGCTAAAGACCTTTTGCACAGCTCAGGGAATGCCTAGGTACATCTTCCAGAGCACATATACCCACAGAATTCAGAGTATACTTTTGCTGCTGCCCAATCCACATATTTGTAGCTCCAGTTTTTGATATAGTGCATGGCATGTAGTATACCCTTAACTCTTACCTATTACAGCTAGGAATCATGTTGACTCTTCTCTGGTGCCCAGCTTCACCAAATCACAAAATGTCAAAATTAAAAAGGATCTAATTATTCATCTATCCAGGTAATCTAATTTTATAGAAGAGAAGATATCTGTAGAATGCATAAACACAAGGAAGCATGTTATATTCAAAGTCACACAACAAATCAAGATCAGAGTTGGGACAGATATATTAATTCTCTTATCCACTGCTTGTTACAATAGCTCTTTAACAATATGCTCTGCTTTCTAAATTAAAGATTAAGTATTGCATGCAATTAGTCATGATAAATATTTATAATTTAAGTACATTATTAACTACATATTTTTTAAAGTTGAAATAATCTGAAGTTAGGCTTTTGTAGAATACATTTTTATTTGATGCCTGTAACAGTTATTATATGGGCAGAAACTAGGTTACAATTTTGTAGAGGTCAGCTTACACCTGTCACTATGTCTCAGCAAATGCCTGTCACCAGGTACTGATAGAAAAAAAAAATAAGTTCACAATTAGCCTCTTTATCAAGAATAGAAATAATGACTGCCTCTGATGCCCTCTTTAAAAATGTAGCCTGAGGAAATACATCAAAATAAAGCTTTTTTAGGGAAAAGAGGCATATAATTTTCTCAAGAGCAGAGCCTAGTGCTTGGAGGCAAATACATTTAGTCAGTGAATAGGCTAGAGAGACTAAAAAGTAACAATAACTGTGTTCTTAAAAGTTTACTACTATGATGACATACCAGTTTTGTTTTACTTTAGTTTTGTTTGTTTGTTTGTTTGTTTAAGTGGTCTCATCTATCTTTTACAGCATTTTCCTGTCCTTGTGGGTTAAGGTGATTTGCTGTTGACTGAAGGTTCCCCATGACATTTCTGTCATTCAGGATCTGACCCTAGGGATGGTTTGTTCCCTCACAGAGCAAAAGCCACCCATGGCTTATTTCTGAGTCCGGATGTCTGTAGAAAGGGCTTTCAAATCCGTATGAAAATGAAAAATCTAGCACACTGGATTTTCACAATGATAATAAAAATAAAAGCTCACGTTTATTAAGAATTCACTCTGATGCAGATTTTGAGCTAAAAACAACATCCTTGCATATATTTAATCCTCACAACTCTGTAAGGTAGGTTATGTTATGTACTGCATTCCATAGACAAGTTAAATTGGGTTAAAACAGTTAAATAGCAGTATTGACTTGGATGGAAAGCCTTTAGCAGTATAACCTTTATAGTATGAACTACTCTACATTTTCAACCAAAATTACCCTATGCAGTAGGCACTATTAATATCACAATAATTTAGCAGAAGAAGACACTGAGCAGTAACACAACTTGCCTAGCCATACTGCTAGTACACAGAGCAGCTGGAGAGTTGAGATTTTGACTTATATAAACCTTTATTTCACTGTTCACTTGGCATAATGCAGATCTATCATTAAAATAGGGTGTGAAGTGTTACATAAATTATCTCTAGCATAGTAAGTAAAATATAAATAGGTATATCGTAGAGTGAAGTTTTATCATAAAGTATTAGTATTGTTTCTAAATTTTAAAGGGTGGATTATAAATTTAAATTGGGAATTAGGTGTAATCGTTATTCAGATTCTCAATTAATTTTCTCCAATCACAAATAGAAACTTCAAATCTATTGGATCATCTGCAATACTTTCATTATAACATTACAGCATGAACTATGTGATGAGATAGTTTTAAATTTTACTTAAATTTACTTTTAAATAAACTAAAACTTTAATAAACAGTGGTTATAATAGAAATAATCCACAAATTATTTCTGTTATCAATGAATATGGTTTGTTAAACTCTCTTTTTTTCTCTTTACTCTCTTTGCTTCCTTCTTCACAGATTCCTTTAGGATTTTGTTAACTTTTTAGGAATCCATAAAACACTAGGAAGAAACAAGGGCTATATAAGAAAGGCCTGGCAGAAATACAGTCAGGACAAGCCCACTATGGTTGAGAATTGTTCCCACTGATTATGAAACAATGATGCCTCAGCTTCACTAATATACAAGAGGCACTTATTTTTCCTGGCACTCAAAGATCTTATCAAAATGTCTAGTTGTAATTGTATCACAATGGTGTTTAGAATATAATTTGAAGTGCCTTTTACTTTTTTAATTTTTGAGGGTACATAATAGGTATATATAATTAGGGGGTACATGATATGTTTCAATAAAGTCATTAAAATGTGAAATAAATACATTGTTAAGAATGGGGTATCCATTCCCCCAAGTATTTATCCATGGACTTGCAAATATCCAGTTACACTCTTTAAATTATTTTAAAGTGTATGGTTATTATTGACTATAGTCACTCCGTCATGTTATCAGATAGTAGGTCTTACTCATTCTTTTTGTTTTGCTGTACCCATTAATTATCCTTACCTCTTCACCACCCCCCACTATCCTTCCCAGCCTCTGGTAGCCATCTTTCTGTGCTCTATGTCCATGAGTTAAACTGTTTTGACTTTTAGATCCCACAAATAAGCGACAACATGCAATGTTTGTTTTTCTATAGCTGGCTTATTTTACTTATAAAGATTTCCAGTTTCATCCATGCTGTTGCAAGTGGCTGGATCTCATTCATTTTTATGGCTAAATAGCACTCGATTGTGTACGTGTACCACATTTTCTTTATCCATTTGTCTATTGACGGACACGTAGATTGCTTCCAAATCTTACCTATTGCTAACAATGCTGCAACAAAAGGAGTGCAGATATCTCTTCAATATACTGACTTCCTTTCTTTTGGGTACATACCCAGCAGTGGGATTGCTGGATCATATGGTAGCTCAATATCCATCTGACAAAGGATTAATAACCAGAATATATAAGGAGCTCAAACAACTCTATAGTAAAAATCTAATAATCCAATCAAAAGATGGGAAAATGATTTGAATAGACATTTCTCAAAAGAATAAATGAGTTAAGGGATTTTTTTCAAAATCATTTTGTGATACATATTTGCATTGCATTTTGCAGATTTAAATACAGAATGTTCTTATATAAATATTTGCTAAATAACATTTTGGTAAGATGTAAAAAAAAATGTACTGGAACACTGGGTATTAAATACCAAAAAGTCTTCTACCAGGGAGATATTTACTTGAAGAAGTTTTCTATGATATGCCTTATTTCATTTTGAAAATTTATTGGCAAGCAACAGACATGTGAAAAAATGCTCATCATCACTGGTTATCAGAGAAATGCAAATCAAAACCACAATGAGATACCATCTCACACCAGTTAGAATGGCAATCATTAAAAAGTCAGGAAACAACAGGTGCTGGAGAGGATGTGGAGAAATAGGAACATTTTACACTGTTTGTTGGTGGGAGTATAAACTAGTTCAACCATTGTGGAAGACAGTGTGGCGATTCCTCAAGGATCTAGAACTAGAAATACCATGTGACCCAGCCATCCCATTACTTGGTATATACCCAAAGGATTATAAATCATGCTACTATAAAGACAAATGCACATGTATGTTTATTACAGCACTATTCACAATAACAAAGACTTGGAACCAACCCAAATGTCCATCAATGATAGACTGGATTTAGAAAATGTGGCACATATACACCATGGAATACTATGTAGCCATAAAAAAGGATGAGTTCATGTCCTTTGTAGGGACACGGATGAAGCTGGAAACCATCATTCTGAGCAAATTATCGCAAGGACAGAAAACCAAACACTGCATGTTCTTACTCATAGGAGGGAATTGAACAATGAGAACACCTGGACACAGGGCAGGGAACATCACACACTGGGGCCTGTCATGGTGTGAGGGGATGGAGGAGGGATAGCATTAGGAGAAATACCTAATGTAAATGACGAGTTAATGGGTGCAGCAAACCAACATGGCACATGTATACATATGTAAGAAACCTGCACATTGTGCATATGTACCCTAGAACTTAAAGTATAATAAAAACAAAACTTTGTATAATAAAAACAAAAATTTGTACAATAAAAACAAAAATTTGTTGGCAAGCATTTAAAAATGTTTATGCAGAGTGTCTGTATTTCCGTCTATGTATTCTGCTGTTTGGCAGTGAGATAGAAGCAGAGAATGTGGCGATCATACATATTCTGGTGTGTTCTTTTAGTTTTTGTCTCTATAAAGAAACACTTTCTCAATGCACATTAAATCCCGAAATTGCTTTGAAAGTTTTTCAGTTACTTTGCCTGAGTTTTAAGCAAAACTCCCTTTACTCTTGTGTAAATTCAGATGAAGAAAGTCATGTAAGAAGGGCCATGAAAGAGTATGGGCAGCATTGATTTCTGAGTCTGAAAATAAGAGTGCCAAGGTTTCTTACTCTTAATGAGGCCATGGGTCCCACATTTTGAAGATTATTGATATTTAGAACTGTAAAATGGTGTGTGATAAAAGTGGAATAAACTAGATTTTCATGGTGATTTACATTTGTTTACATAATCTTTGCATTGTGCAGTCTTACAGTAAGGAACTCATATACCCTTTAATGTCACTGAAGACACAACCTTATAGTAGAAATAGTGCAATAATTACAACTGACCTTGATTTCAAGGAGTCCAAGAAATATTATTGTACCTTAGTAGCAAATATTATCATCTTACTTATGCAAATGTTACCCTACCTCCAGATTTTCTGAGGCTCAATCTAAGGGAATTAGCAATGGATAAGTGCTTAAATAAAGTATGAACGGAGTTATGCCTGCTTTCCTTTTCTACTACGGATCTTGAGTGGAAGAAAAAAACTTATGACTGGCAATGTGGACTTACTGTTTTAGGATTAATATTTTTTCAGAATCATTTCTACTGTAAATCTGTATGTTGAGAAACTTTTCCCTGAATCTCAAAAGATACAAGTGAGCAATGTTCACTGTGAAATTGGATTAAAACAGGGCATTGACTTGTACTTTATGTATTTTTCTCTTTATATGTTTTGAATCCTGTATTAATTGAATGTATTAAAATGTTTATATCAATTACATATAAACATACATACATACACGATACACACAATTTTATTTGCACCTTAGTGAAATCACTTTGTTTTTCCTGGCTTTTTACATTTTTATATCAACTTTATTGTAGTTAAGTGAAGCTAATTGTTTTAGAACAATTCACTAGTTACTAATCTTGAAAGTTAACTTAAGGCAACTTAAAAGCACAATGAGCCAATAGAAACATTTTAAGTTAGGTTCAGTGAATTTAATCATATAGAAAACCAATTATTAACTTTTAATTTAAAGGTATTTCCAAGTATCTTCTTGTCTTCTCCAGAAATACATTTCTAAATATTTATTTTCAAAATATTGCTGATATGATGATTAGGAATTACTCTGCTTTTTACCATGAGCAACTGGATGCTGAGAGACTGGAAAATCTAGAGGAAATGAATAAATTCTTAGATATATACAACCTACCAAGATTGATCCATGAAGAAATCCAGAACCTGAAAACACCAATAACAAGTAATAAGATTAAAGCCACAATAAAGTCTCCCAGTAAAGAAAAGCCTGGGACCCAATGACTTCATTGCTGAATTCTACCAACCATTTAAAGAAAAACTAATATCAATCCTATCCAAACTATTCCGAAAAATAGAGGAGGAGTGAATTTCACAGTACATTAAAAAGATCATTCATCATGACCAAGTGGGATTTATCCCTGAGATGCAAGAACAGTTCAACATACACAAATCAATCAATGTAGTACATTATATTAATAGAATGATCATTTCTATTGATGCAGATAAAACATTTGATACAATTCAACATCCCTTCATGATTAAAAAAATACCCTCAGAAAAACAAGGTATAGAAAGAACCTACCTCAACACAATAAAAACCACATGTAACAGACTAACTGAAAGCCTTTCCTCTAAGATCTGGAACATGACAAGGATGCCCACTGTCACTACTGTATTAAACATATTATTGGAAGTTCTAGCTAGAACAATCAGATAAGAGAAATAAATAAAAGACATCCAAACTGGAAAGGGAGAAATCAAATTATCTTTGTTTGCAGATGATATGATATTGTATTTGGGAAAAACTGAAGACTCCACTGAAAAGCTATTAGAACTAATTAACAAATTCAGTAAAGTTACAGGATACAAAAATCAACATACACAAATCAGTAGCATTTCTACACCCCCACATTGAACAATCTGAAAAAGAAATAAAAAAGTAATCTTATTTACAATAACCACAAATAAATGCCTAGGAATTAACTTAACCAAAGAAGTGAAAGATCTCTATAATAAAAACTATAAAACACTCATGGCTCCCTCCCCAAGATGGCTGCTGAAGACAAGCTACTGCTGCCGCGGCTCCCCGAGCTGTTCAAAACTGGCAAAGTTTCTGGACGAAGCAGAAGTAGCTGCTGAACCTGCTGGTTCCTGGATAGTCCAGGAGAAAGTGTTCAAGGGCCTGGACCTCCTTGAGAAAGCTGTCAAAATGTTATCACAGCTTGACTCCTTCAGCCGAAATGAAGACATGTAAGAGATTGCTTCCACTGACCTGAAGTGCCTGTTGGTGCCCTCACCATGAAATAAGTCAACCCCAGCAAGCGTCTGGATCATTTGCAGCGGGCTCCAAAACGCTTTATAAACTACTTAACTCAGTGCCGTTACTATCATGTGGCAGAGTTTGAGCTGCCCAAAATGAGAACAACTCAGCTGAAAATCACACTACTAATTCCTCCATTGCTATCCTAGCCTCATTTCTATGGCATCTCAAAGACAGGCTAAAATAGAGAGATACAAACAGAAGAAGGAGTTGGAGCATAGGTTATCTGCATTGTAATCTGTTGTGGAAAGTGGTCAATCAGACGATGAATGTGTTCGGGAATATTATCTTCTTCACCTTCAGAGGTGGTTTGGTATCAGCTTAGAAAAGATTGAGAGCATTGACCAGGAAATAAAAATCCTGAAAGAAAGAGAGTCTTCAAGAGAGCCCTCAACTTCTAACACATCTCGCCAGGAAAGGCTTCCAGTGATACCCTTCATTCTCGCCCGGGACATATCCAAGCCAGCGTATTTGGAGCTGGTTATCCAAGTCTGGCAACTATGATGGTGAGTGACTGTCATGAACAACATCAGAAATATGGAATGGAGAATTACCAAATCAGGGAATATCCAAGGCAACATCAGAGGAATTCAGAAAAGCAGCTCAGCAACAGGAAGATCAAGAAGAAAAGGAGGAAGAGGATGATGAAACAAACACTCTACAGAGCTTGGGAATGGGATGACTGTCAGAACATCCATCCTAGGGGCAATGGCAACCGACAGAACATGGGCTGATCTTCCCACAATGTAACAGGACTGCAAGGTGCACACTTCCCCCCTCCAAGGAAAACCATGCAGTCTTCCCCTCCCTGGGCTCCCACTTCAGCTGTGTACAATGAAGTCAAAGATGCTAAATCTTACTTTGCATTCAATAAAGTGTCAAGTGATTTAAAAATAATAATAAATAAATAATAAAACACTCATGAAAGAAATTGAAGACACACAAAAAATGAAAAGATATTCCATGTGAATGGAGTGGAAGAATCAATGCAATCCTTATCAAAATACAAATGATATTCTTCACATAAATAGAAAAAAAATCCCAAAATTTAAATGAAACCACAAACCACTCAGAATAGGCAAAGCTATTCTGAGACAAAGAATAAAACTGGAGGAATCATATTACCTAACTTCAAATTATGCTACAGAACTATATTAACCCAAACAGCATGATACTGGCACAAAAACAGACACATAGACCAATGGAACAGAATAGAGAACCCAGAAACGAAGCCACAAACCTGCAGTGAACTCATTTTAAACAAAGGTACCAAAAACACACATTGAAGAAAAGATAATTTCTTCAATAAATGGTTTTATGAAAACTGTGCATCCGTAAGCAGAAGAATGAAACTAGACCCCTATGTCTCACCATATACAAAAATCAAATGAAAATGAATTAAAGACTTAAATCTAAGACTTCAGAGTGAAACTACTACAAGAAAACATTGGGAAAATTCTCCAGGACATTGGTCTGGAGCAAAGATTTACTGAATAGTATCCCATAAGCACAGGCAACCAAAGCAAAAATGGACAAATGGAATCACATCAAGTTAAAAAGCTTCCGCATTGCAAAGAAAACAATCAACAAAGTGAAGAGACAACCCATAGAATGGGAGAAAATATTTACAAACTACCCATCTGACAAGGGACTAAAACCAGAATATATAAGGAGCTCAAACAACTTTATAGGAAAAATCGAATAATCCAATAAAAAATAGACAAAAGTTATGAATAGACATTTCTCAAAAGAAGACATACAAATGATAAACAGGTATATGAAAAGGTGCTCAATATCATTAATTATGAGAGAAATGATACTACAATGAGATATTATCACACCCAGTTAAAATGGCTTATATCCAAAAGACAGATAATAGCAAATGTTGGAGTTGATATGAGGAAAAGGGAACCCTCATACACTGTTGGTGAAAATGTCAATTAGTACAACCACTACAGAGAACAGTTTGGAGCTTCCTCAAAAATCTAAAAATAGAGCTACTATAAGATCCATCAATCCCACTGCTAGGTATGTACCCAAAAGAAGGGAAATCAAAATATCCCAGAGATATCTGCATTTCTATGTTTATTGCAGAACTCTTTAGAATAGCCACCATTTGGAAGCAATCTAAGTGTCTATCAATAGATAAATGGATAAAGAAAATGTGGTACATATACACAATGAAGTACTATACAGCCATAAAAAAGAATGAGATCCTGTCATTTGTGACAATGTGGATGGAACTGGGTGTCCTTGTGTTAAGTCAAATAAGCCAGGCACATAAAGACAAACTTGCATGTTCAAACTTATTTGTGGGAGCTGAAAAATCAAACAATTAAACTCATGGAAATAGAGGGTAGGATGAAAATCAGAGGCTGGAAAGGGTAGTGGAGTGTGGGGGGAAAGTGGGGACAGTTAATGGGTTTAGTAAAATAGTTAGAAAGAATGAATAAGATCTAATATTTGCTAGGACAGCAGAATGACTATAGTAAATAATAATTTAATCTTATGTTTTAAAATAACTATAAGAGTATAATTGGATTGTTTGTAACACAAAGTATAAACACTTGAGGAGAAAGATATTCCATTTACCATGATGTAATTATTATGCATTGCATGCCTGTATCAAAATATCTCATACATATATATACCTACTATGTACCCACAAAATACAAAAATTAAAAATTACTCTGCTTTTATCTTAATTGCAACTTATATTTCAAATCTCAAGTTTACAAACATTGGAGAATAAAGCAAGGTATTATTCATAGCTCTACTCAATTTATAACTCAATTTTTGCTATGGCTAAAGATATTATTTACAAATACATGTTCACTGAATGTAGAACTAAGAAAATATCCTAGACATATACATTCTTTATTATTGAATGACCTATATTTCTTATAGAAATCACCAGAAGTAGGTGATTGGGAATTTAAGGTTTCAAAATCATATCAGCAAGCCAAGGGCAATAGACTTTTTAATTATAATGCATTACTTCAATATCCTAAATGCCAACTCCAGAGACCCCTAACTTCCAGCTAGTTCATGATTTTGGTAGCATTAAGTAGTATAACAGCTTTCAAATATGATGTGAAGTCACAATGGTGGGTTGAGGAAGAAATTAGGAGGAATTACAGCTGGGCTCCAGGGAATTTTTTGTAACATGATGCTTATCTTAGTATGTATGATTGAGTTATTTATGGGTTCCATAAATAATAGGCTTGCAAGATAGCCTTGCAATGCATAACAATCACATTATGATAAATGCGGTATCTGTCCCCACAAACATTCACTTCACTCTGTAGTGGAAAGTAGTGAATGTAAATCATGCAGGTCAATATTCTCTCTGAGGTATGTCACAGTGAGGGAAAGCAAGTTTGAGAAACGCTTGTGTCATGTAATGGTCCTTTCTCTCAAGGGTCTTGTTTAATCATCCATCTATCTACCGCACATATTTTTGGAAGTGCTTATTATTTGTATAGATTATACTATAGTCCAAATTCTGCATTAAACTAATTGTGAGATTCCTGAATACCTTGTAATCTCTGTGCTTGTTTATTCTTCTGTGTAATAACAAAGTTAACTCAGATGATAAGAGTTATCTGTCTAGAAGGGCCTTCACTGTCTAAGCAACTCAATCAGCTGCTTCAGCACTTTGAGAGCCTCCTTTATTTTCCTATTCTTTCTCTCATATATGATTAATTTTCCTGTAAAAAGATAGGCTTATAATTTTTACTGAAAAATTAACTCCTGCATTTTACTGTCCAACAGTATTTTTAGTCTTAGTGAGAGTGTGTTTAATGAATTTAAAAAAAATTCACCCTTGGATGTCATCACAAGCGACAAGTTTGGGAAAGCAAGAAAAGGACAATCACATTCCTCTATTGATGCCTACAAATGAGAGTGATACACTCAAAGCATTAAAGAACCAGAAGGGTAAGGCATTGCCCAATCAGGATAGAAACCTACCAATTCAAGAACCCACTGGCCAGAGTACTCTTTGGGTGCCTAATGACTAAATACCAGCTCTAATTTCAAAAATCGAATGTTAATGTTTTTACAGAAGCCAAGTATGTGGATGATTATGTTTACAGTGTAGCTTTTACTTATTGCTAAACAATTACATCTTTTGCTCTGTTTATATTAAGCAGAAACTCCATGGCAATCAAGTTATCTTCATATGGAGCCCTAATTAGTTTACATAGCAACATTTTGGTTGTGAGTATGACTTCACCAATAAATAGATGCCTTCGCTTGAGGCAAGATGCTAAACAGAAAACCTGCCATGAACTTTGCGATCATCATCAATGGCAATTTAATGAGTTTTTGATAGAACATAGTATATGATGAATTGTATGCTCTCAGAATAGTCATTTCATAGATTGGATGGCAGGCTAAAGCTAGAGAAATGACTAAAGTTTTTAAGGACTTTGTGCTTACTCTCCTAATTATTATTGAAAAATAGCTTTAGTAATGCAGGACAGTTTATGTTCTAATGTATCAGAAGAAAATGGGCACTAATATATTTTACTACTAGGTGCTATGTTTTCAAATTTTATTTTTTCACTTTTTAATTTAAGATTTATGCCCCTTTATGAGAGTTTCCATCAGATATGTACACCTCTTTTACGTTGTACAAAAATCAATATACAATTTGGAAATTGCCTTTTAATTTATTCATCAGGCTCTCATGCATGCCGAAAGCACATTACTGCACATTGAAAGGAAAAGAAAATAATTTTGTCTCTGCTTTGGTTCATATTTTCTCAATTCACAATTATATTTAACCTCTTAAGAAACTAATTCAGGCATGCTCAAATAAAGCTCATCAAAGTAGCCACAGCATAAAAGAAAAATCCTAATGAAGCTTGGATCAGAATTTATTTGAGGGTGAATGCTTAAAATGATTTAAGGGTTAAAGATATGGAAATTGCAGTTGACGCTACAATTTTCAAACATGCTAGATTTTACAGATATTTTACAATTTGAGCAGTTTGAGTAAATTACCAATTCAGAGACTTACAGTATTGAATGCCTACTATGGGCAACGAAGCCAAACCGTGGGAGCAGTGTGTCTCTACTTTTCCAGGGGGCTATTTGTTGGGTCATCTAGTCCTCTGGTTTTCAAAAGACAGCCTTCAAGCCAGATGCATAAGAATCATCTGATTTATCTATTAAAGATAGAAATTCCTGAGTTCCACTCAAAATTGACAGGCTAGAAATAATTAGGTGGGTTCTAGATGTTAGTATTTTATTTTTATTTTTTCTGATACAGAGTTTTGCTTTTGTTGCCCAGGCTGGAGTGCAATGGCGTGATCTCAGCTCACTGCAACCTCCCGGGTTCAAGCGATTCTCCTGTCAGCCTCCCGAGTAGCTGGGATTACAGACACCAGCCACCATGCCCGGTTAATTTTTGTGTTTTTGGTAGAGATAGGGTTTCGCCACATTGGCGAGGGTGGTCTCGAACTCCTAACCTCAGGTGATCTGCCCGCCTCTGCCTCCTAAAGTGATGTTAGTACTTTTAATGAACCTCTCCAGTTAATGCTGTCCTAGATGCAATGTAGTATGATTCTCACAAAATTCCACATGATATATTTCAGCCTTATTTTGATATTTAATAAAACGGAGAGAAAAAGGTAGAGGGTGACAAAATTGCTTTATTGTAATGGGTGCACGATGTACAGACACAAAACTTCCTGCCAAATGAGCTTTTCTCAGAGCTCTGCACCATTTCTTCCAGCACCATTACTCTTCGTTGCCATCATTTGTTACCTTTTGGTGAACTCTTTCTGTGATTTGAGAGGACACAGGTGCTCCAAACCTGAATAGCAGCCTTAGACAGTTTTTAGCTGTTTTGCTATTTGTAGGGAGCACTAGAATTTTTCAGATCCCTTAACTACTCTTTGTTTGACAAATAACACAATAGAGAAGATTGATATCAAGGTCTTTTAGATAATTGTGCAGGAAGAAGCTGCAGGAGCTATACGTTAGCTCTACTGTGTTTGTCAACAGTTGAGTTAAGTGATCCACCAGTCATTTAAAACAAATGAATCTAAATTTATTTTAACACCAGTGCTGATAATAGCATTAAGCATTGGCTTAGCTTAGCACTACGGATAGACTTTAAATCTTTCATAGTACATGATTGCTAATCACAGCAAAAACATTTGGAAAAGGGATAAAGAGTAAAGGATACAAATTATACTGACCCTAACACTATTAGGTCCCTAATAAATAACTGAAAGGAAAGAAAGAAAAAGGAAAATGGAAAGAAGGAATGAAGGAAAGGAGGAAACAAATTATACACCTCTTTATACGCATCTGCGTTTCTAAAACAATAAATCTTGTGTGTTTACCTACGAGAATCTGCTAAACGTGTTTAGTTCTAATAATTACTTAATATAATATTTAGGGATAAAATAGCAATACATAAAAAAGAGGATTTTCAGAATAGTTTCTTAAATGTATGCCGTGAAATGTGATTTTGAACAAGTCATACATTTTTAAAATCCCGTCTATGCCACTTTTATATCTATTGTGTGACTTACTGCAACAGCGAAAGTACAGCTGCTAATATTCCCTGTGCTGCTTTTGGTTACTAATATTGTCTCATGGGCCTTTGTGCTTTGCCTTTTCTATTGTTCAAAGTAGAAAAGTAATATCTAAATAATAATATTTTACTTTGGCTGGGCGCTGTGGCTCACGCCTGTAATCCCAGCACTGTGGGAGGCCGAGGTGGGCAGATCATGAGGTCAGCAGTTTGAGACCAGCCCCAGCCTGGCCAACATGGTGAAACTCTGTCTTTACAAAAAAATACAAAAGTAGCTGTGCATGGTGGCACACGCCTGTGATCCCAGCTACTCTGGAGGCTGAGGCGGAAGAGTCACTTGAACCCAGGAGGCAGAGGTTGCAGTGAGCCAAGATCGCGCCACTGCACTCCAGCCTGGGTGACAGAGTGAGAATCTGTCTCAAAAAAAAAAAAAAAAGCAAAAAACAAAAAACTTTTAGAAGGTGGAAAAATTAAATTTGGAAGCAGATGTTAAAGGTTCGAGCCTTAGTGCTCTCAATTACTGGTTTTGAGATTTGGGCAAGTCTCTTAAATGCCCCATACCTAAATCCACTCTTTGCTAAAATGGGAATAAAAATACATTTGTTATATTCTTTAGAAAGTGAGGAGACATTCCGAAGAGAGTACTCTGAAAGCTGTTCGCAGATTGTAAACCACTGTTCAATTGCACTCGTTATTCTAATCTTTCAACACAACTTCTTGCCTTTGGTCGGGATTCTGGATGTTCTAACTTAGCATAGTGTCAACACACAGTTCAGCTCTAATGACAAGAAAATCCAATTCTTACAGAGAAAGAAAATGAATTGTATGCCGTTCGGTCACACATTTGGAACCTGTTATTTTCAATAATAACATGTTAGAGAAGCATTCATTATCGACTAGAAATAACTTATTTCGACAGTTAGCTGTAGTAGAGTTCATGCTGAGTGCTAAGATGCTGACATCAAACAGAAAGAGAGTAAATACAGTGAGCTCCATTCTAGCAGAAGGCATCCATCAACATGGTTTATTTGCACGGTACTGTATTATTTCTTCTCAATCAGCAAGTTTAAGGTAGTCTTTTTTACAGCAGGAAGTGTTGTCTAGTCATTTCTCTCTCCGTACTGCTCAACCTTTTGCCATTCACAGTAAATCTAAACTATTTTAAGGCCACTTCTCTTTGAACCCACAGGTCTGGTTTAATACTCAAAAGTCACCCTTAGGTTAGAGGATATAAACCCAGTTATTTGAATCTAGGAGAGCTAACCTGCTTTCGTGAAGATCTCAGCTTTAGAGTCAGATAAATGTCTTCAGATGCATTTGTGCAGAGTACAGCCAAATGATATGAGGCCAGTTAGAAGATTACATTTCTATGTTCCCTTCCCAGCAGATAAGTTTATCCAGGGACCTATATCCTCTTCATTTCTCAGCAGGAAAAATAGTATTAAGACTTCGAGCCTGATAAAATGCATAGCATAGCAATTTCATGGGTAAGACAAGAACTGGGCTTGTGGGGAAAACGAAAGCATGAAGTCTGTCCATCAGAATTACTTTAAGAAGCCTGTTGTGCATTGGTATCAAAGATCTTCCTCTGGAAGCAATGTATGAAGGGCTGGGATTATCAACAATAAAATGATTGAACTTGAAGCCAGGAGAAAAGTCAGAACCACAGATTATTCTCATAGCAGTAAGAGAAATAAGAGGTGGCAAGATATTAAGAAATTACTTTCACTGTAAAATTGGGTGCTGCAAACACACAAGAGATATGACTGCTAAGCAGTATTGTATAAAATACAAACTAACCAAAAATCTCTAGTGACAAAATGATCAATAACACTATACATACTCATAGATTCCCAAAGAGTTACGTCCATGCATTTTGGACATTTTGGTCAGTAGAAAGATAAATAAATACATTGCAATCCAATATTGAACTTATCTGGTTGAAATGTACAAGTATACAAAATGATTATTTTGAAAACATTTTCCCACTAAAATTATTTATATTGTAATCCTATAGTGAATAAAGATCCTTTTTGTACTAGAAAATGTAAATAAGTATATAATTTTTGGATTTGAACAAAATAGCTATGTTTAACAAAAGTTTGTGAAGTACTTTTTAGTTTCTTATTATTTCAAGAAGCTAATAAACTCATCTAAATTTAAATTTTAAAAAAATTAAAATTCCTTTAAATCAATTCTAAGAATCTAGCTATTCCTTCCCACACCAGGTGGACTACAATAAAAAAATGGGGATCTAGTAAATGATGTAGCCCATTTTGAATATTACTTTTATTCAACAAATAAATATCAGGTGCTAATGCACAAGCCTTCATCATGTCAAAAACACATCCAAGTGAATGATTTTTTAATGAAGACATTATGGAATTTGGAGAAATTACTCTTTCAGGTAATTAGAATGGTCTATGTTAGCCCTTTTCCCCACCACCTAAACCCATATCCATCTCAGTTTCCATAACTCAGATCAAAATGAATCATTTGTAAGATTTTGGAAATAAATTCACTCTACATAGTTTGCTACTTTGTTCTGTGGTAATAGTCTGTGTTACCCTGATGATATAACAACTCATGGGACATTCAGATTGGTGCGAGACAATAGGGGTTCAATCTTGGTTCTACCACTTACTGGCCATATGGCTTGACTAGTTGCTTTCAGAAAATGAAAAAAATAGTACAATTTTTATGAGTATTTCATGATGTAGAGCACTTGGTACTGAATATAGCACATTATAGTGGGTCAGTAAGTATTGATTTATTATTGATATTGGTCTTTAAAAAATTTTCCTGTGTATAGTATTTGATAAGTAACAAAGAATTATAACAAATAAATCTGATCTTGTTTTTCTATTTTTAAAAATAATTATTTTCAAGCCAATTTATTTTACGTGCTTCAGTCTTTTTTTTTTTTTAATTTAACTTAATTTCAAGTTCTGGGATACATGTGTGGAACGTGCAGGTTTGTTACATAGGTAAACATGGGCCGTGGTGGTTTGCTGAACCTGTCAACCCATCACTTAGGTATTAAGCTCCACATGCATTAACATTTTTGCTTTTCGTGTTTCTGTAACCCCCAACAGCACCCACAAAAAGAGCACACTCAGCTTTTGGCACAGCTTCAATGAGTAGCTGTGTCATGCTGTTAAGCTGACTGATTACTACCCATGTGTAAATCACCCCAGAAAGCAATTCAGCTTTAGCTTGGCAGTCTCTGGAGTGGCATGGATATTTTATCTTTTGAAATGGGAATAATGTTCAATGCAACAGTCTGGACTCCCGGAAAAGTCTACCGAGTGGTCTTCAATTACATAAAAATGTTTGCAAACTGCTGTAAATCTTGTTCAAACTAGGAAATGCTCAACCCTGTGCAAACCAGTAGTGATCTTAGTCGATTCCTTTTTCCTCTTACAGCCCGTACTTGGCAGAAGGCCATCATAAATTTTGATGGACTATTTTTCTCTTCGTATTATGGAGAGTCTAAGTGACAGGTACATTGTAATAGATGCCTCCTGTTTTCTGCCCAAATGATTTGAATACAGTTAATTACATGTGAGGCTTCAGGATCTAGCTTCAGGATTGACTCAGTTAGCAATATTACTCCTTGGCCACAGTTTGAGGTACAGAGTCCTGGGCATGTGACTCAGGTTTATCTAATCAGATTGACTCTTAGGATATTTTGCTGGAAATGCTGGGATAAGTCTCACTTCTCCACTGGAATTAGTGATGCAAGTTTCTGAGACTTAAAACTGCTGCATTCTACGAGCAAGAGCTTGAAAACTCCAAGGGATTATTATTAGATCTGAGGATTAGGTGTAATCAGAGGAAACAGAGCTGTAAGATGAATTTGATTGGCATCTTTAAGCCATTGATTAAGTTCTCTTGGGAACTAGAAGTGCCTCTGAGCTGTTATGTCTTGTGCACCATTATTTGCTAAACCAGATTGTTTTAGGCTTTCTGTAGCTTAAAATTGAAATAATCCTGAGATATAGAGTCTCCTAAATCTATTGTATTTTAGATCATATTGAAGGTCCTGAATCCAGCATTCCTGGCCCAATACGAATTCCTGGCTGCAATTCCTTGCAGCTTTTCTCCCTGATTATTCAAAGCTTATATACTGTTAAGACTTGCCAGGACAGTGCCTGGTGAGAGTGTGTGTGTGTGTGCGCGCGCACGCGCATGTGTGTGTTCGTGTTCGAAGGTCAGCTAATGTCGGGTTATAAATCACTAAAAACACAGTGCTTTAAAGCAACAGCCATCTATTCCTGTTTACTCATAGATGCTTCTTGGCTGTGCACAGGAAGCAAATTTGCTTCAAGATAGGGGCACTTAACCAGGGCTTGGCTTCTTGCTAAGAGTTGGGTTCAGGTTTGTTCCATGCATGCTCTCTTTAGAGCTCAGGCTAAAGAAACAATAGTTTCTCATGATAAAGTCTTGAGGTGACGATGAGGTACAAAAGAGCAACAGTAATCCCATAAGCACATTTCAAGAGCCTGCTGGTGTATTTGTGTATTTGAGTGCAGAAGGTACCTCAGTATGTTTTCAGTGGATGATATGTACAAATAAACTTCTTAATACAATTACCTCATTTGAATTCAAAATAATTGAAATCTTAATATCCAGATTCTATTCCCAGCTTAGTCACTTGTTCTATGACCTATAGGAAGTCACTTTACCGCTTTAGATTTTTCTCCTCCTCTCTAAAATGGAATTAGTTAATTTTTAGTTCTAAAGTGGTTGTGGAAATAAAATAAAATAATGTAGATGGAAACAAGTTGAAGGAAAAGACTCCATCCTAACTGCAGTGTATAAAGAAATGAATAACCCTAAATACCTGAAGTAGAGAAGAAATTGGGCTTGTGGTTACCAGAGAATCAAGATAGAAAAGAATTACAGTTCTTTTTTTAAAAAAAATAAATAAAAAGAGAGTGAGAGGAAGAAGGATGAACATCAGCTATCTTAAAAGAGCAAGACACTCTACTAGACAGTGTTTGTTATCTCATTTAATCCACACATTTTTCATGGTGGAAAAACAAAAGGAAAGGAACATTTACTGAGGTGTAGCACTCACAAAATTCTGAACGGCCAATTTTACTTTATGGGTACATGGCTTGATTGGCAGTCTGTCTGTAGGATAGCAGAGATTTCAGAATTTTCCAGCACTATTTCTCATTTCCTGGAGCTTGAATCACACTTATGTCACTAATTAGCTCTCCTCTCCTTGGAAGTTGAGTCAACCACTCTGGGCTTTCTTTTGGGTAAAAATAAGAAAAATGATATTTACTGAATATTCTACAAGAATTGAAGAATTTTTTTCAAGTAGTATATACTTGTATGCAGTGCAGAGTTAATTTTTAATAAGTCAGATCTCCTTCTGATTTTACTTCTCTGTTAACCAAAACCTAAACATAAATTTGGATTTCCCATCTTCCTGTCTCTCTATATATACACTTCCAGAAAGAATTTGATTTAACGTCTTAAGGAACAAAACTGTCCTGTGAAACATAGCGAATGTGTAAGCTAGAATCTTCCTCCTTCTTTAGGCAGCTGAAAAAAAGCAGAGAATAAAAATAAAATATGGACCCCCTAAAGCTTGCCTACCATTGATTAAGGCAAGAGCAGAAGAAAAATATATAATATGTAAACATGCCTTCTTTCTTTCATTGCATTTTTCTAGGTTATTAAGATGTAATTCAGATGTTTTCCCCTCAATATTTTTGAAAAAGAAACAAGATTATAAGGCTTCTAAGAGCTGTTGAAAAATCTGGAGTTAAATAAAGTTTATCATGTTACACTTACAAAATTTGATTGTTCACAAAAGTGAATATTTTCTAAGCTCCAGTAAAATCTTCAGAAATAAGATGATATCACAAATGTTTCTACGGTAGAAGCTACTTCCAGTGTGGTGACTACATGGTTAAAAGCATGACTTCAGTAGTTGTCCTACTTAGGGTGGACAAGAGACAGGCACTGAGCTCTCAGTGGATTGGTACATCAAATTTTACTTCTCCCTCATGCAAACCCCACACAGTTCAGTGGGAGTGCTCCTCTATTTATGAATGTGCCTGGTTGAAAGTGAGAATGTTCACTTTCTCTTATATTCTAATTTGCCAGAACTTAGTCTCATGATCAATTGTAATTTTAAAGAAGATCGGGAAATATAGAAAAAGTCTGGTTTGTTTCATGAGCACTAATTATCTTTGCCACAGGAATGAAACAATTTGGGTTTGACTTACAGCTCTCCCATGTTTTAACTGCAAGTTCTTGGGCAGTTACCAATCACCTCCAAGCCTTAGGTGTTCAACTATGAAATGAAGACAATCATTGTTGCTTATTTTGAATGCCTGGAGGGTTAGACAAGATATTACCTGGAAGAGCTTGTCCTAGTGCCAGTCATATAATAATCACTAAAAATAGGCAGTTGTTATCATGCTTATATCAAACATTTTTCTCCATTGTTTGAAAGATTGAGGTATTTCTCAACTAAAAACATTGGAATGATAAACCCTGGCGCAAGGTAGACAAAATAAATAGTACTGGGGAGGTACATTGGACTGAATGGTGAGTGAATAACTCTCTGTTGAAATGACATGAAAGCTAATATACAAAGAATAGTAATAACAGGGAACCAGTCTTCCAGCCAATTAAAAATGCATGCAAAGGCCCCAAGGCAGATAATAGCTTACTGTCTTAGAGGAACTAAACCAAGACCAGAGTAACTGTGGCTCAGTGAAATAGATGAAGTAGGGTAGAAAGAGTGGCACTAGGGTAGGGCTAGAGAGGCAGGTAGTGTCCAGAGCACAGAAACTTAAGGAGCTTAACAGCTCGCTGAAGTTTTCACAGTTAATAAGGCACCTCTTTAAACTTGTGCTCTTTATATTACATCATATATTCTTCCCAGAGTTAGAGGCATAATTATAGCATCTAGTTATATGGGATGATAGAATTAAAAAAATTTTTTTTAAGTATAATTTCCTTCAATTATTAAAACAAGTCTCTGATATCACTAAGGCAAACAGTAATCCATAGAAACAGATGAGAGATGTATGTACAGGGGGCTGACTGAACTAGCCAAGATCACACAGTAAGTGCTGCAACAGGGGTGTAAAATAAGTAAAACTCCACCTGCTTTGAGGTAGGATAAGGGTAAGAAGTTGCACATGGACCATGTATCTACTATGTGCCAGATCTTGGATATTTTAGAAATGTTACTCAGAAAGATCTTTGACAATCACATCTGCTGCAATTTGAAATAAATTAGTTTCTTTTTGCTTTTTTCTATCATGAAATGTAAGTCATGATATTCTAGTATTCTAACTCAATATTAATGAGGGGGCAGCAATTGCTTCTATTTTCAAGAGCAGACCTGCCAGAAGAAGAGAAAGGTGTTAACATATGAAATATATCCTTAAAAAGTAATAATATCCATGATGAGAATTATACAGTTAGTACACATTACCCTTATGCTTTGATGATTATAATATATCAGTCAAAGGCAAGTGAAACCATGCATTAATTACTGAGTCATTTGTTAAATACAAAATTGTGAATCAATTTTAATCAAAAGAAAGAGAGTTCACCTGAATTTAGAGAAAGTGATGACTAATAGTGCATCTAGGTAGACTTAATCCAATTTACCTAAAAACATTACATATATATTTATCTTTGCCAGTGCTTTTAATCCCAGCTGGATCCATGTTACACAAGTCATTTTTACCTTTTGGGTAATTTGTCACTATGTAAATTTAAGTGAAATTATTTATACAGATAATGAAAACTGAAAATGATTTAAATTTGTGGATTAATTATAATGAGAATATTCTCCATATACATGTTAGACATACAAAAGGGAACTAGCAAAGTAAAGTTGGGAACTCCAAATAAATACAACATGGTTTTATTTAGCCCTGTATTTGCAATGACCCATATGTCTGACCCATCTCAGGGGCTAATAACTAATTAGTAAAATAATTCTAGACATATAAAAAAGGCATTGTGATATTGTTGCATAAAAGTGTTAGCTACGATGCTACTTAAGATAGGTTTGCTGGCTATTAAATGCCTAGTTGGGGTGATTTCTAACTGCACATTCTACCAATATTTTCAGATACCAAGGTCTTGTCATTAGGTGACACAATGAAAAGAGACTGAGTTTCTGATTCAGCTGGACCCACGGTGGAGCTTCACACCTTTCAGAATCTTGACCTTGAGCACATTACTAAACTTGTGAACCTCAGATTTCCCATCTGTAAATGAGATTAACGTACCTACACCCATTAACTGTGCCAGACATCTTACTGGGTACTAGAAAAACATCTTATCCATATGGAACTTAAATTCTAATAAGACTTAATGTTATAAACTAGGTAAAGAATCGAGCAAACTACCTTGCATGCAGTAGAAGTTCAGAACTTCACAATTCTCCTGTTACTGCCACATGAGCCATGACTGGAGGTACACTTGTTTTTTTTCTAAGACTTCTATGCAATTAAACTTTACATTACTCATGTTGCCAATATATAAGGGGCCTCACATGTTATAGTGCTTTGAATTAAAATTTAAGAGGAACAAATAAGTACCTATTTCACTATTCTAGGTACATGGAGGACATTGTTAGAAAATAGGACATTACAAAGTCGCAATACAGCCAATGGTTCTTGCCATCTGACATTTGTTTGAAAGACACAAATAATGTTCTCTACAGTAGCAAAAGTCACATAAGGTCAATCATATTTTGGAGCTTGTCCCTCATGGACAAAAACAGGTAAATGTTTAACTCTACCTGTAAAATTGTGAACAACAGAGGGAAGCAATGGGCCAACAGGGTGGTCAGGGAAGGCCAGCTGCAATTATGTGAAGTCTGACCTCTGTGTCTAGTTGACCCAAGAGGAAAGAATACAATAAAGTCTCTGACCTAAAATGTATTTTTAAATGAAATTTGACAATAGCTGGTAAAATACATTTAGTGTTACATCAAGCCTCTAAATTTTGAAATCATTTAATATGTTCAAAAAACCCAAAACACTGGTAGGGTCACAAGTCCCTTCTAATCCCATGATGTATTTATTGGAAAATTCCCATTTACGTAATAAACAATTGTGATACTGTTGACATCCACTCTCTAGAAAATGCAGTGCACTAGTAGCTCCCTTCGTGCCCCCAGTCCCCTTGTAGCTTAGACATTCTTGCTTATGTTGCAAGAAAAAGCCTGTCAGAACCAAGTGAAATGATAGTGCTGGATATTGACAGGTTGCAAACGTATGCATATGCATGCTCTCATTCTTCATTATTCCCTTTTTAACCCCTTTATTCATCCATTCATCCTTTTATTTGCACTCATCCAACAATAAATATTTATTCAACATCTTTTGTCAACAGTCACCATCCTAGATCTGGTGGACAAAAGAGATATCTGGATTAAAACAAATCTTCTGTTCTTGGATCTAAAAAGTCTAAAAGAGAAGAAATTAAAATAAATTTTAAGAAACTTTAAAATACTAAAAATCAGTTAAAGCATTATGTAGAACTTTAACAGGGGGTTGAAAATCAACAAATTGGGGCAGCCAGTAGCAACAGAGGCCAGTTATTTACATAGGTGGCTGGGAATGCCCCTTAGATAGACAGTATTTAAGATGCAACCTGAGGAGTCAAAAAGAGCTGGCTAAACAATGGGTCAGATAAACAGGTTTTTATTTGGAAAAAGTTGGTTATTCAAAGACTTTGAGTTGGAAAAGAACCTGGACTATTTGAGTAAGTGGGAGAATATTGCTGTAATTGGAATATGGAAACAAGGGGCAATGATTCTAGTCAAGATGGCAGTGAGAGTCTGGGGTTAGGTTGAATAGAACATTGAAGGCCATAATAAGACATTGATTTTATTCCAACTACATGGATGGGTATAAGCCATAGAACAGCAAGATGAAATTTCTATTTTCAATTTGTCATTTGTGCTACTGTACAGAATGTGGGTTACTGAAGGGCCAAGGTGGAAGAAGGAAAACCAGGCCGAAGCCTCCTGTGAAAAAGAAATGGTGTTGACCTAGATGTATAGATCACGTCTAGAACACATATAGAATAACTTAAATTGACATCATAATTGATAATTTCTTAGGGTTAATATTTTCTAATTCTTAAATTTTATGTGTATGGGGATGGAAAACTAAAGAGTTGATGTCATGCCCAGGATCATAAGCTAGTTCATGATAGACAAATAGCTCTGCTGTTCTGGGTCCCAAATCAAGCTTAACTTCAGGTGAATAGATTCAAACAAAAAATCCTGGCTGCTCTGTTACACTACAGTTGCTGAGATATGTTGGCATTAGGGGTAGAATTAAATTCTGGTCATTTAATTAAGATGATGATGGTGATGATGATGATGATGATGATGATGATGATGGCAGAACATTTTTAATTGCTGGTCATCATATGCCAGATTCTGGGCTAAGTCATTCTTTAGCCCAAACACATAACAATCCTATGAGTTCCAATTCTGTAGTCCAGTACATCCATTCTACACACAGGTAGCACAGGCTGAGAGAGGTTTTATGATTGGCTATGTCCACAGAGTAAGTATAGAACCCATGTATAATTCATTCTAAAGAATATACTGTGTTGCCAACAATAAAATATCTATTGTTTAGCAGTTGTGATCATTACATTAAAAAGTGGATAATATATTTATACATGGAAGATTGTTTAAAAGTCACCCAAAACCTCAAAATCCTAAATTAATCCCCCAAAATATTTTGATAGCTTCCTTTCATGCTTTTCATTACGTATTTACATAGATATCAACAATATTAACCCAGGTACTATGAGTAGCAGTCATTGTTTTTGACTTTCAGTTATATACTTGAGATTATTCTACCATATCAGCTAATAAATTATTTCCTTTGCTTTCGTTTAATAGACTATTAAAGACATTGTTTTTCCTGAAATGTGACTATGTCTTCAATCTGCCTAGCAATGAGTGATAGCAATAATTACCTAATCGCCCATTCTTACATACTTGCCTCCTATAAGAATGTATGTATTTGGCATAACACGGGGTTTCAGTTGAACTATGATGATCAGAATAGCATCACATGATGGATAAAGTATGGTGACAAAAAAAAATGACAGAATAGTCACAGTGAATCTGGAGTCCCATGCCACTATCTAGTTGCACCAAATTTAGCAAGGAAATTCTGGGTTCACTTTTACAGAAAAGATGCCCCTGAAAATAGAAAGATGTTTGCAAATAGAACAATGTTACCTCTAAAGTAAGGGAGTTTGCTCTCTAAGCAATGCTTTGCTCCAAAAAACCTAAAGAAGTGTAGAAATCTCCTCAATAATTTTTGATATTTTACATAAATTGATATTTTTAAGATCTTCAGAATACATAGGAAAGGGTAAGTTACATTTATCAATTACCGTCTCATTTAATTTTCACAAAAGCCATGAATCAAGTCTATTACAAATGCCATATAGTCATGGTACTCTTCGAAGATTTCCTTACCCCTGAGGAAATCTGTACCTTTTAGCTCTAGAGATTCTACTGCAATACTTAATGGATCATTATGTTAGTCTGTTTTGCATTTCTATAACGGAATACCTAAGACCAGGGAATTTATAAAGGAAAGGGATTTATTTGGCTCCTGGTTCTGCAGGAAGTACAAGCATGGGTCCAACATCTGGGTGAGGCCTCAGGAAACATTCAGTCATGGTGGAAGAGATGAGGGAGCCAGTGTGTCACATGGCGAGAGCAGGAGCAAAAGAGAAAAAAGGGAGGCCCCAGACTCTTTTAAACATCTAGATTTCATGTTAACTCATTACTGCAGGGAAGGCACCAAACCATTCATGAGGGATCTGCCCCCATGACCCAAACACCTCCTACCAGGCCCCACCTCCAACACTGGGGATCACATTTCAACATGAGATTTGGAGTGAACAAGTATCTAAACTAAATCATCGCTTACTACTCCTCCCTCAAATCATTATCAAAAATGCATCTATTGAATTTTTCATGTGATTTTATTATACTTCCTTCTATTGTAAGTTGAGTATGTTTTCCTGCCTGAGTGATATTGGGTTTAGGCAGTTATTTGCTTTGGGCACTGTATGTTAGCAACACTAATTCCAGCAGAAATTGAGTGTTTTTCAGTTGACCTCTTGTCCTTCTGGCATCCATGATTAAAAAAAAAGCACACTTCAAATTCCTAATGGTTCCATAATGGAGAAACACTTGAGCAGACCTAAACTAAATCTGCAACCCCAAAGCAAAGCCCATTTGAGGCCAGCCACAGTCAGAAGAGCAACATTTAAATTTATAGATTTGTGAGTGCTGAAAAAAAAAATGTATTCTGGCCGGGCATGGTGGTTCACACCTGTAATCCCAGCACTTTGGGAGGCCGAGGCAGGCAGATCACAAGGTCAGGAGATCGAGACCATCCTGGCTAACACAGTGAAACCCTGTCTCTACTAAAAATACAAAAATTAGCCTGGTGTGGTGGCGGGCGCCTGTAGTCCCAGCTACTCGAGAGGCTGAGGCAGGAGAATGATGTAAACCTGGGAGGCGGAGCTTTCAGTGAGCTGAGATCACACCACCACATTCCAGCCTGGGCAACAGGCTGACAGAGTGAGAATCTGTCTCAAAAAAAAAAAAAAAAAAAAAAAAAATGGTATTCCTTTAAGCCACTAAGACATTGTGGTATTTTGTTATGCTGCATTACTGTAGCAAACCTAACTAATAAACTTTTAAGAGTGTCCTGTCACATGCTATTTGGAATGCCATTTTATTTTATTTTCCTTGATCTTCCTATGCCATTTTAAATTAAAATACCTTCACATGCCATGTCTTTGTTACCCTGGTAGTTTATCTTCTATGTGCATACCTTGTTTCATTGTGTTTTGCTTAACTGCACTTCGCAGATAACACATTTTTTTACAGATAGAAGGTTTGTGAGAACCCTACAATGGCCCGTAAGTGTTCAAGTGAGAGAAGAGTTACATGCCTCTCACTTTAAAACAAAAGCTAGGAATGATTAAGCTTGGTGAGGAAGATATGTCAAAAGCTAAAATAGGCCAAAAGCTTGGCATTTTTTGCCAGTTAACTAGGTTGTGACCGCAAAGGAAAAGTTCTTGAAGGAAATTTAAAGTGTTACTCCAATAAAAACAAAAATGATAAGAAAGCAAGACAGCTTTGTTGTTGATATGAAGAAAGTTCATGTCATCTGAATTGAAGATCAGACCAGACTCAACATCCCTTATGCCAAAGCCTAACCCAGAGCAAGGCCCTAACTGTCTTCAATTCTATGAGATCTGAGAGAGTTGAGGAAGCTGCAAAAGAAAAGTTGGAAGCTAGCAGAGATTGGTTCATGGGGTTTCAGGAAAGAAAGACTCCACAACACAAAAGTGCAAAGTGAAGCAGAAAGTGCTGAAGTAGTAACGGCATCAGGTTATCCAGAAGATCTAGCTAAGATCATTGATGAAGGTGGCTCCACTAAACAAGAGAATTTCCATGCAGACAAAACAGCCTTCTACTATAAGAAGTGCCATCCAGGCCTTTCACAGCTAAGGAGGCAAAGCCAGTGCTTGGCTTCAAAGCTGCAAAGACAGCTTGACTCTCTCGCTAGAGACTAAAGCGTCTTGTGATTTTTAAGTTGAAGTCAATGTTTATTTACTGATGTGGCTTCAGTTTGTTTTCCAACTCAAATATCATGTTGAATTGTGATCCCCAATGTTAGAGGAGGGGTCTGGTGGAAGGTGACTAGGTCCTGGGGGCTGACTGCCCCCTTGCTGTTCTTGGGCTAGTAAGAGAATTCTTAGGAGATCTGGCTGTTTAACAGTGTGTGGCACCTCCCCCTTCATCCTCTTCCTCTTGTTCCCCTTTGCCTTTTATGACTGTAAGTTTCCTGAGGCCTCCCCAGCCATGCTTCCTGTACAGCCTCAAGAACTATGAGCTAATTATACTTCTTTTCTGGATAAATTACCCATTCTCAGCTAGTTCTTTATAGCAGTGAGAGAACAGGCTGACATTCACCATTCTGAAAATCATAGAGCCCTTAAGAATTATGCTAAATATACTCTGTCTGTGCTCAGTAAATTGAATAATAAACTCGGAATGACAGTGCATGTGTTTACAGCATAGTTTACTGAATATTTAAGCCCACTGTTGAGAACTGATTAGAGAAAAATATTTCTTTCAATGTATTAGTGCTCATTGACAATGTCCCTGATCACTTAAGAGCTCTGATGGAGATTGGCAAAGAGATGAATGTTGTTTCACGACTACTAACAAAACATCTATTCTGCAGTCCCTGAATCAAGAAGTACTTTTGACTTTTAAGTCTTATTATTTAAGAAATATGTTTTATAAGGGTATAGCTGCCATAAATAGTGATTCCTCTGATAGATCTGGACAAAGTAAGTTGAAGATCTTCTGGAAAAGATTTGCCATTCTAGTTGTCATTAAGAACATTTGTTTCATGGGATAAAGTCAAAATATCTACATTAAAGGAATTTGAGGGTAAGTTTATTCCAACCCTCATGGATGACTGAGATGTTTAAGACTTAAGAGGAGGTAGCAACTGCAGATACTGGTGGAAATAGCAAGATAACTAGAATTAGAAGTAGAACCTGAAAATGTGATTGAAATGCTGCAATCTTATGATAAAACTTTCATGGATGAGGCATTGCTCCTTATGGATGAGCAAGGAAAGTGGCTTCTTAAGATGGAATCTATTCTTGGTGAAGGTGCTGTGAATATTGTTGAAATGACAGCAAAAGATTTAGAATATTACATAAACTTAGTTGATAAAGCAGCACCAAATTTTGAGTGGATGGACTCCAAATTTGAAAGAAGTTCTACCATTGGTAGAATGCCTTCAAATAGCATCACATGATGCCAAGAAATCTTTCATGAAAGAAATAGTCGATTGATGTGGAAAACTTTATCGTTGCCTTATTTTAAGAAATTGACCCCAACCTTCAGCAAACACCTCCTTAATTTGTCAGCAGCCCCAACCTTCAGCAAATGCCACCCTAATCAATCAGCAGCCCCCAACCTTCAGCAAATGCAACTCTGATCAGTCAGCACTGTCAACATTGAGGCATGAACTCTACCAGCAAAAAGATTATGACACACTGAAGGTTATTGGCATTTTTAGCAATAAAGCGTTTTTAATTATGGTATGTATTTTTTAGGCATAACGGATACTTACACTACAGTATAGTGTAAAAATAACTCTTACTTGCACTGGGAAGCCAAAAAATTCATGTGGCTCACTTTATTCCAATATTCACTTTATTGCAGTGGGCTGGAACTGAACCTGTAATATCTCTGTAATATGCCTGTAAATCTATGTTACACTCATCAATTGTCTTTTGCAGCCATTGTTGTCCTGGTGAGTATACAAAAGCCATATAAATATTTGGAAAATAGACATAACAATAAATGTTTATTTTGAAGAAAGGATGAAGAATGACTATGTTGAGCCTGGCTTCAGGGATCTTTCATAAAACATTGATAGATGTTTCGCCAGTAGTGCTAGAATTGAAGATTTTGCTTCAATATTTCTGTAGAAATATTTATAAAGAAATAAATCTCATGTTTTCTTTTTTCCCTAACATCAGAAAAACATGTTATTGTAGGCTTTGAGAGTATTGACTTTCTCGTAAGGGAAATATAAACATCTCTACCACTTACCCTCAAATATGTTACCTAGAGTCTTACTCATTTTAGTTCCTAGTAAAAGGGTTCTATGTTTTGAGTAAAACATATTGAATGTCAATTATTTCCCTGTAATGATCCCAAATATCTTGAAAATGCAAGAAGTACTTTGCTTTCTGTCTGTCAGCAGCAACGCCTAGAGGGCCATATTCTGGAAGCACTGGACTTCCTGTTGAATGTATGGTGAGAATATTGACTTTTATAGAAGAATTAATGTTGATGTAACCATTTCTGGTGGACTTATATTGTTTTCTCAGTTTCTACTGCAGGACAAACTGCTTCTCAGTTTCTACTGCTTTAGAGTGACCCAGTTCTCCCTTTCTTGCTTGTAGTTCTCAAGAACAACTGTAGAATGTGCTGTGAATGCAACATTTTCAGATAGGGGTGTGTGAGAGCTGGCTGGAACAGCCAGAGCTCTGTTCAACTCTCCACTCCCAGTAGACAGTGTCCTTCAATGCTTTTAGCTCAGTGAGTCCTGTGACCCTGAGGTATACAACCCAGATGGGCTGCCTTTGGAAGTCCCTCATCTGCCGTGCATGTGGGCTATGCACAGTTAAGACTATCTACCCTATGCAGCTTTCTGAGTGTTTAGGGCCTGGCTCAAAGTAAATCCCAGGCTTCTATTGTTCTTTGCTGCCTATCTGAAAGTAAAAAATCCACGTCATGTAACTTGTTGAGCATGTTCTCTCTCACCAGATGTAGACAAGTTGGCGACCAATCCACAGTGAAACTGCTTCACACCTACCCTTCATTAAGTGTTTTAAAACCACCAAAGTTAATAATAATCTATTATAAAATCTTATTTTTTTACATGTTTGATATGATTTGGCTGTGTCTCCACCCAAATCTCATCTTGAATTGTACTCCCATAATTCCCACATGTTGTGGGAGGGATCTAGTGGGAGAAAATTGAATCATGGGGGTGTTTTCCAACATACTATTCTCATGGTAGTGAATATGTCTCACAAGGTCTGATGGTTGTATAAGGGGTTTCCACTTTTGCTTCTTCATCACTCTCTCTCTGCCTGCTGCCACCCATGTAAGACGGGACTTGCTCTTCTTTGCCTTTGCTATGATTGCTAGGCTTCACCAGCCAGGTGGAAGTGTAAGTCAGTTAAACCTCTGTCTTTTGTAAATTGCCCAGTCTCAGGTATGTCTTTATCAGTGGCATGAAAACAGACTAATACAATGTTCTTTCGATGGCTGTGTGATGTACTTTAAAAATCGAGTTTATTTCTTTTATGCTAACATGTGAAAATGGTATTCAATGAGTTTTCAGTGGTTTATCCAAAAAGGAAGCAAAGTAGAAATAGAAGAGAAACACTTTATATTCTCTGGCTGTATGATTCTATGGCCAGCATGATTTTTCCATTAAGTTCATGAAGAAAATGTCAGATGAGTAAATCAGATTACTCTTTCATGTGCCTTGTTTTTTGTAAAGTCTTTGGAAGTTTGCAGACTTTTGAAGTAATTTCCATATCACACATACAATAAATGAATATCCTGACAGAGTAACATGTGAAAAAATTGTGAACATTTTATATTGTTGATTTAAATCATTTAATATTGTTGTATAAAAATAATTAAACAATATTTTGGTGTTAAATTCTACTGGGGAAGTTTACCTGTTTAAATGCAAATTCAGAATTTTGACACCAGGGTTGGATGAGTGACCCATACTAGTCTTCTCTGCTCTTTCTTCCTAATAGATCAATTTGAAAGAGTTTTCCAGATAAATCTCTGTTACAGAGGAAAGCTTTTACACATGGTGATGATGATACAGGTATTAATACTAAATGGCTCTGTTGTATAGTTACAAATAGAGAACAAATAATTTAAGGGGACCATGATTTTAGTTGCACTTATTAATATTACCTTTTATTGGCCATTCAAAGACTAGTAATACATATGAATAATAAGAAGATATTCACAACATAAGTATTTTAAATTCTCTGTAGTTGTCAGGACTCTCAAGTCATTTCCATTTCAACCTATTTGTTGAATGAACTGGAACAGAAAAGACAGAAGTTGCTTTTCATAAAATCTCTAGACTTTCCTCATTTCCATTGAACATTTATTTTAGAAAATAGACATTGGTATTCCAATTTATTGTTATTTACTGATTACGACAAATTTTTTAAACATGTTACATCAGTCTTATTTATAAAATAGGTTATTCAAAATGAAAACAAAATTATAATTATGAATGCAGCATTTTGCTATGAACCTTGTTTCAGTTTGATTCATTATAACATTTTTTTTTTTCAGATTCCTTACCTAGTGGAGTATGGTTTTCTCACACATTATCTCTTCCAGTCTCATGTGGTAGGTTTGACACTCTGGATGCCATTATTAATGTGTCAGTTACAATTAGGCTGAAAATTCTCCAGGGACAAATGGCTTCTACAAAGCAGGTGGGAAACCCCATGATAATATTTCTTGAGACAGAATTCATAGCACTCTGTATTGCAGTGCTTTGGAAAACTCCTTTATCCATGGCTAAGCAAACAGGCTGATCCTTATCTACTACAGCAGGTAGTTCTACTTTAAATTGTCAAAGAATGCAAATGTCCAATAAACTTATTCCTTTTAGGGTTATGTACTTGTGTGTTAGCCTGTATATGTGCACATGTATATGTATGTGAATACATTGCACATGAATAATATCTTTATTTTAGATCTATCACTTAAAAATAATGATGTAAACACCCAAACTAGCTTGACAAATGGACAAGTATTGATCTCACTGCAACTTCTCTCCATCACTTCATTCTGTAGAGCACTCAAGAACAGAATAGCAGCACCTTTTGCATCCAGATTTTAAGGAAGAAAGACTGCCACTATAGCATAGCTGATACTTGTAGCTTCCACTTCGGAAGAAAAAGAAAAGAAAAAGAGAGACAGACATGTACAGAAAAATAAGAGGCAGTCACATGTTAGGTCAGAGAAGGAATCAGGGAAGAGAATGGCAAAGGAATGAGAATAAAGTATCAAAGGGTAAAGTAAACAACACTGTTGTCAAATCAGGCTCGCTCTCTCTCTCACTCTCTCTCTCTCTCTCTGTGTGTGTGTGTGTGTGTGTGTGTGTGTGTGTGTGTGTGTGAAATCTGGTGTGTTTGTGCTTCAGTGTTCCCATTTACCTTTCTTTCCTTATGTTCCCAGCAAGGGAAGTTATGTGCAGACAAATCTATAACAAAGTAGGATTTTCCCCCAGTTTAATCTTAATTTTATTCAAGAAACCTATTATTAATTGAAATAGAATAGTTGTACATATAATGATCAAATTGGGGTAACTGGGATATCCATCACCTCAAACATTTTTAGATACTGCATTAAATAGAGGTTGGGCCTGGATGGGACTGTTAACAGCTCTGACCTCCTCACTCCACTCCAAGTACAAAAGATGCTTTGGTAAAAGTTGGTTTGAAAAATATTTCCAGAAGGTTTAGGAGAGACTTCTTCAAATACAGAGTGTCCAGCTATGTGGATTATACACTTGTTAATTGCCTTATTTAACGTTTTCTTCCATGTGGTCACCTGCAGATAATCTAGTAGATGGAGAATGAGTTGTCTTTAGCTTTTCTCTCAAAAGACAGATTTTAGGTATGCTTACAATATGAAGACAGGAGGCGAAAGAAAGAAGGAAGAACTAGAATGATACCTTTAAGGGGAGGTAAGAAGCCTATAACAAAATGTAGCCTAGTCATTTTCAGGTCCAATGAATAAAAGCCTCAATTTCTCCCCCCAGGTAGGAAGGCCAGCAAGAAGTGTAAGTGGAATTTTGTGCTCTACTCTGGGGCCAAGTATAAACCATGGAAAGAAGGGCAAAATCATTTCCATCATCCACAATAGATGAGAGGGAAAATTAGTTAAAAAGATGAGAGACTTTGGATACATAGATAGATAGATAGATAGGCAGATAGATGATGGATGGGTGAATGAATGTACAGATAGATTAATGTAAAAATGGAAAATTATAGTTGAAATGATAGCTGAATATGTAGAGTGTAGTGATTATATTGTTCAGACACTGTGTGTATTTCTGAATGTTTGTGTGAGAGAAAAAGAATAATAGTTTAAAAAATTTAGCCGTATTTTTGCTCTAAGTGTTAGAAATTTCTCCAAGTATGTGTCACTATTAATTCCAAACACTTGCTAAGTTTTCCTTCTATTATGTATTGCAATTTTTCCCTTCCAAAAAATGCTAATCGTTGAAAGGTGATAGTATTTTACAATAGCATATTGTTAACCTCTTGCACCATGCTTTTATTTACTGCGTTGTACCACCTTATGTATTCCTTTTGTTGTGCTCATATGCTCTGATGATAAAAGCAAATAAATACATAAAAATATAATGAGCTTCTGGTCAAAGGTGAAAAGTGCATGCTATTTTCTTCTGCCTGCCTGACATAGTGATTCTCACTATTGTATTAACTGGATCTTATTATAATATCAGACGCTATTGTTTACATCAAAACAAAATTATATAAGACATTTAGAAATTTGGCACCTCTTTGCTCTTATTCTGTAATGTAGGATATTTTTGCTCCATAAATCTAATTCCTAACACAATCTGCAAGATGAGCAGTTTACTGATTTCAAGGGAGGCTTCTGGCAACTCCTTGTTAACTTAAAACATGACCATTCACTTGGATATTTTCAAACACATTTTCTTTCTTTGCTATGGAGATTCTAACTGCCAACATTTTATCAACATGTTTTCAATGGGAAATTTATTTCACACTTTCTCATAAAACCTCAATAGACCACACTTCTCAAATTTGATAGGTCAGAATGTGCTGCCTGTGTACTGCTATGATAAGGGGAAAATCCCAAAATGCCGGCTTGGACTTTTCCATTCTGGTGCACTGAAGACAGCATTTTTCTCTGTTATCATGTATTAAGTATTATATATCAAACCATAGAATAAAGTTTTGCAAGGGAATATTAACGTCAATTAGGAATCATCAGAGCTATCCTACACTTGCCATAGAAGTGTCAAATTAACTAAATACTAAATATTAAAATTATCAAACCCTACAGAAAAAGGCATTTAGTTTTCAGAAAATACTGGGATTAAAATAAAATTAACATGACATTTTGCTGCTGGATTCGTGATGAGGAAGCTTGGGCTCTGGGGCAGAGTTCCGTTCCTCATTAGCGACTTTCATCAAATTACTTATTTTCTAAGTTCTGTCTCCTCCATACAAAATAGTGCTAGTGCCTCCAATTCAGGTAACTTCAGACTTGTATAAATCCAACCGGTGATATTGATTTTTTTAAAACATCAGGTGACATATACAGTTTTCATTTCACTTCGTCAGAAGAGCAGCTAAGTTGTATATTTCATCTCATTTAAGTCTTCAAATAAACCCAAGTACTAGCTGGGAAATGACAAAATAAGGATTCAAGTTTAATTTCCTCCCTCTCGAATTTAATTTCAACAACTAAAACAGAGAACATGTGTCTATGATTATGAGGAAGAAGAGAATTCTGGGAAAATGCCAACTGACTCTCTTCCATTCTCCACTCGAATTCACCTGTCTTTCTAAACCAAAAGAACCACACGCAGAGCTAAAGCTATTTCTATATTTAAATGTACATACTTATTAAAAATAAGAGTTCATATTGCTACTTACAATTCAAATTTCTATATTTATATGTACATACTTATTAAAAATAAGAGTTCATATTACTACCTACAATTCAAAGCCCAAAATCTCAGATTTCTTTCTAGCCTTCACTGCTTTTCATGCTTGTATGTCACTTTTCTAACATTGGAAAACCTGGTTCACATTATCGTCAATATTTTTACTTATTCTTTCATGATTTTACTTATTTGTTTCATGTTACTCCTCTCCCAATCAAGCCAACCACTTCTATCCATGGCCTCTCCACTCCTGTCATGCTGCCTCATAGGCTATCAGATGCCTCCTTCATGGACACCTCTCCCTCCATTCACCCTCTACTCTCTCCTAGGCCAGCAGCACTGACAAATCCCTATTGCTCGCCTCCCAGAGCCCCATTTCTTTCTTGCTAGATACCCTATTGCCTCCTCACCATCCGGTTACCTACTGCTCAGCTTCCTTGACCATCAGGAACACTGGTTCCTCTAGATGACCTTTCCCACATCCTGCCTGGCACCCTACTCTCCATCCTCACCATTCTGCCTTCTTGGTCTCTGACACATAGACCCTGCCACTGAGGGAAGGGAAGGAAGAAATGAAGGGAAGAAAGAGAGAAGGGAGGAAGATATGAAAGATAAAAAGAAGAACGAAGAAAAGGAGAGGAAAGAGGAAGGGAAACAGGAAGGGCAAAAGAGCAGAAAGAGAAGAGCTGGAAGAGAAATTGTAAAAATAGGAAAAGACTGAAGGAAAGGAAGGAACAGAAGAGAGAAGGTAAGGTGAGACTGAAAAAACAACAAAGGAACAAAAAGAGAAAACTCAAGATAGAGGACATGAACATGTAGGCAAAGGCTTTGCTGTCAACATAAAAATACCGTTTATTCATGAGACTATTTCAGTGATTCTCAACACATTTGGGCTACAAAGCAACACCCTTATTTGGGCTAACAATAGTCTCAATATATTTACTTATTTGCTTATTCAGTCTCTCAACCAAGGTAGCCAATTTGCTACCTTGTTCTCTATGAATCAAGGTCAACACCTGAAAAACCATGCTTCTTCACAAACATAGTCATGTGCAAGCATGTTGTGGACTCTTCATATACACACTCACCCAGATATAAGAAATCTTGTGGCTGGGCCCGGTGGCTCATGCCTCTAATCCCTGTGCTTTGGAAGACTGAGGTGGGGGGATTGCTTATGGCTAGGTTACAGTGAGCTCTGATCATGCTGCAGCACTCCAGCCTGGGTGACAAAACAAGACCTTATCTCTAAACAAACAAACAAACAAAAACCCAGAAAAACCCTTTGGATTACTTTTAAATAAAATATGATTCTAATATACATACAAATTTTATTTCTTTATTCTTAATACATTATTCTTTAATATGCTAAACATCTTTCAAAAAGGGCTTTATCAATTCACATTTGAAAGAGGGGTATATGACAGTAACTCACATTCATAAGAGCAATAGACATGATTTCATTGTTAGCTATACTGATAAGCATAAAGTAATAGCTCTTTGTTACTCTGATTTGTGTTTCCTAATTGTGAATTTAAGCATTTAAAAACATTTTCAGCCATCTAGAATTATTCTTCAGTGAATTGTTTATTCATGTTCTTTGACTATTGGATAATTGGGTTAACATCATCTTTGCTCAATTTCTTAAGATCTCTTTATGTGTCATAGAGAGTCATCCTTTTTGTCTTACCTGAATTGCAAATCTACATTCTAAATCTATTTTATATTAATTGATTTGGTGAATGTAATAATTTGCCACAAATAGTATTTTTAAAATATTTTAAAATTATATCTTTTCTTTTTTAGACTCAGGATTTTAAAGCTTAGATTAAAAGCTCTCTTTGACCTTAAGTTGCACAGGATTTTTGTTTGTTTGTTTCTAAGTGTTTTTGTCAACATTTAAGTATTGAACACATTTGTGATATATCTATTATATATGGTGAAAGTTAGGTAACTGGTGAATGTTTTCATTTGTTTTCCAGATAGGTAAACTGGCTGCCACAAGTATCATGAAATAATTAGCCTTCCTTTTAATAAATTGAAAAAAATCACCTTATCTTACATTAAATACGTTAATATTTTGGTACCCATTTTTGAACAAATTCCACATTGATTTGATTAATGTAGCCTGATAATATGTTTGATACAGAGTAAATTAAGTTCCCTTCATTATTGTTCATACATTGTGGAGCTATTTGAGTACTTAAAACTACTTTAAAACTCCAATATCATTTGATTCCAGTTGTAAAGAAAAAACAATTGATATCAAATACTTATCACAATTCCAGCCAGTTAATAATTAATTTGTTAATTTTAGTGGTAGTAGTTTTAGACTGGTAACCTTTTATCTCACCTAATTATCCAAACACATCTCTAACCAGAATTTTGTTTTGAATTATGTTAAGTATTTTAACATATATTAGTTAAAGATTGTTTGGATTCAGCTAGTTTAAACTTTCATGTAAAATTACATAAATTGAAAAAGCAAAAACACAAATTCTGTTTATATAGTGTATCATATATTACATAGCTTAGTATAGTACAGTATATTTTATAGCACATGTTAAAAGACATTGTACATGTTACATGAAGATTATTATTCAGAAAATGAATTTAGAATTATAAAGGGCATAGAAAGGGCATTAACAGTTTCTATAACAATTATGCCATAAGTGATGCCTAGATGATTACATTAGGGACACAGTTTGCCTAGAATCCAAGTCTCTGATTCAAATTTCAGTTCCTAGTTCACTGTGATAGCTCATTCCAATTGGTAGTGAGATCACAGTTTGACTACTGGAAAACCTAAACTGGAATTTATGTATGTAACTTACATCTCTCTACAGAAATATGACCACCAGGCTCACCCTTAGCAGCACTACTCTTTGATGCATCTGAATAACCATGGGAGCTGAAGTTGAAAAGAATGTATAATAAGAGGCACAAGATGTCTGAAAGTTCAATGCTTCACTGGCTGACCATAGTGTCTTACAATTTACCATCACTCCATAAGAATCCTTGGCATGCCTAATGTTTGTCAATCATTCTGTAAGTCTTAAGCAATATCTCAAGATACAAAGTCTAGGCATCTGGTCCTGCATCAACTGTTTCTTTATTAGTTTTGGCAGTCTTCAAGACATGCTGAAATACCAATGAGAGTATCTTAAGCTTTTGCTTCTAGTTTTGCCTCTTGCTATTTCAGGCCAAGTACTAATGGAAAATCATTCAAATTATTTGAGTCTCAGTTTCATCATCTTCAAAATAAAGACAGTAATCCTCATACTGATGACATGCAAAGATTTAATGAGAATAAAATAAGTAATTTATGAAACCCTAAGAGAAAAGTAACGTGGTATTTTCAGGTGATCTCAGATAGTTTTGGGTTTCAAATTTCAATCACAGAGGATAACGGCTTAGCTTATATAATATGTTGGATGTTGCAAACAACTTATTCATGGTTTATTTCATTTAATATTCAGAAGCTTTTGTATTAGTCTCTTGTTTCCTAAATGAAGAAGGGTTGAGGCATACAAAAATTAAATACATAGTTGACAAGAAAACTAGGCAAGTCCCAGGTTTTCTAACTCCATACTGACTGCTCTTTTATGTGTTTCTATTCAGAGCTTCATTGCTTCATAGTGTAGAACATAATATCACTAGAAATAAAAAGCCACTTAACCCAACTACAGTGGCTTTCTTTATTCCTCCAGGAAAAACTGATTACTCTTTAAGTACACAATTATATGACGCTAATAACCTCAAAGTACTTCCAGCAATTTCCAAAAGAGCTAATTCATTGGCATTTTCACAACTCAAATACAAAATTGAAATAGCTTAATAATTCAGAATAATCCTACACTCTCTTTTCCTAATAACCCTCTGAATGTGCTTTTTATTTGCAAACTCATATTCCATTTAATATCTCTCAAAACTCCATTCTACGGCTTTGATTTGAGTGCCTGTCTGATTCTCTAGTGTTTTTTGTCCTTTGAAGAGCGGAACTGTGTCTTATTCATGAGTAGACTTGAAAGCAGTGAGAGCTCCCTGATCTCTTATTTTAAACACCCTTTCAATTTTGTACCTAGAATGATTTTGCACATAATGAAAACAAAAAACAAAAACAAGACAGCTGGTGTCCACTGAGCAACAGTATGAGTAAAGATGTATTTCATAAATGAACACAGTTAATCCTCACAATAATCCAATGAGCCAGATATAATTATCATCCCCATTGTATATATAAGGTCACCGAGGCTCAGGAAGGCTAGGTAATATTCCCATGTCCAAAGTACTGGCAAACTTAAAACAGGATTTTAATCCAGGCCATCTGACTCCAAAGCCTTTACTTTTAGCCACCTTGCTACTTTATCTCCTGTGATAGGTAATTATAATGTATTTATCAGAAAGAAGAAATATTGCTTCAAATCGAAACATCTCAAACCAAAACCTTGTCTGGTCAGTTGGTTTACAGATTCATTTGATCTAAAAATTCGATTAAAAAGCTCCCAATAACTGGGAGGTAAAATGAATGGAGGAACCCACTACTTGTACCAGATCAATAGAGAGTATACACAATGCAGTTTAGGAACTGAGAAAACACATTTCTAACTTCATGTAATGGAAAAAGTGTCTGAATCATAGCATTATATTTTGAAGTCCTCCAGATTCCTGTAGATGTATTACTTCAAATAGAGTATACCACATCAGCACCCCATACCTACATCTTCTGAAATAAATTATTTGCATCTATTTTTGCTCTGTTTATAAGGTGCTTACCATCCTTCTGAAATACATTTGTGTGAAAGCAATTTTGAGTACCTTTTCTCCAATTGGAATACAGTTGACCTTTTTCTCCTCCCTACCCCTCCAAGTTTTCGTTGCCACAGTTCAAACCCTGGCCTTCAAAGTCATAAAAATTTATTTTATTTCTGTCTGAGGGCTTCTGACAAAATTCTCAGGTACACAAATGGGAAATGATGCCAGACCTGAGAGTTTCAAAGGAAGAAGTAAAGAGGTGAAAATTAATTGTTTCTGTATGCAGTTTTGCTGCTGACTTTTGGGGAGTATTTTGGTTTGTTCCAAGTTGTTCTCCTCATCTCCCTTTCCCTTCAGCACACGTCGGGAAGAAGAATGACTCAGAGTCTTTCTCCTGCTCTGGAGGAGGCACCCTACACACAGCAGTTCTAATACATAGGCTAGGCATAACAGAGAAAGGGAAGGAAGTATTTGGCATTCTCCCCCTTGGTAGAGTTAGAACGATCCAGCATTGGTGCCTGACTACTTAGCTTCATCTTTCTTCTTTGCGCTTGAGGAAAGATCAAGATTCTGAAAAATTATAGTTCAACCTCCAACTCTAGAACTCGCCATTTTAACACCATGGGAAAATTACTTTCAAATAGGCGATATAAAACCCACATTCGTTGACATTTATAAAGATACTCAACTATTGGGAATGGTCTGTTATTGGTAGCACACAATTGATTATAAGAGTTTATGCTGACACTTTCCAGATTCATGATGGGCACAATGCTGGTGTTAATTTTATAAGTAAGAACAGATCCACTCAGGAGTAACTACGTTGCAAAATCATTATTTTTCCATAAGAAAAAGTAGTGCTGTAGTTAAAGAGCATGGAATATAATTTTAAGATCTCGAATTTGGCTCTGCCACTTACTGACCGTGTAATTTTCGGCAAATGAAACCATCTACCTTCTCCTGCTTCCACATATTACATTGTCCTGGATTCTCTAGCAGTGCTATTGTCCTTTATTTTTAAATCAAGAATTACTTATACTTGCATATTATAGGACAATTATGCAATCTGTCTCATGCCTGTAATTTATGTCAGTGCATTTGCGTGACATGTCTTCACATGCTGATTTAACAATCATAATTTAAATTTAGAACTTGATTTTAAAGCTTACTACAGTTTAATACAAAAATTTAGCTCTATGTTATTTTGCTTTTTTGATTAGTAATTTCTGCAGTTTTTTCATATGTTACTCCTTCTGGTACAATTGTTTCCATTATAGATGAAGATTTATGGGTAGCCCAAAAAATCATTATGACATTTGACACACACTTTTAAGTTAATGGGATAAATCTGATTTCCCTCCATCTTCCAATATCTAAACATCTTTTCTGAGAGTCATATTTGTGAAAATAATTAAGCTCAGATAATCAGTTTAAAAACATGAAAGTAACATGTCCCTTAGGTGAGAATGATTAGGAATATAGTGAACATGCAATTAAGTTTAATTGGACTAAGTAGAGCAGACTGACTTTCATAATTAATTAAGTCCCATGATTGGCCTTTAGGGGCACTATCCCAGATGAAAAAGATGATTGTGGTGAAAGAGCATGAACTACTTCAAGATATCAACCAAACTACAGATGATTCAGATAATAGAAAAAAGTAAGTGACTGTAGCAAAGGAATAGGACACAAGATCAATGTACAAATGATAATTGCTTTTGTACATTCCAGCAATGAACAACTGGAAGTTGGATTTAAACATACAACAACATTTATATTATAAACAAAAAATTAAATGTTTAGGCATAAATCTAAAAAATAGAAAATCTTTATGTAAAAAATTACAAAACTTTGATGAAAGAAATCAAAGAAGAACTAAATAAATAAATAGATAGTTTGTATCTATGGATTGGAAGACTCAATATTCCTAATATATTAATTCTTCCCAAATTGATCTATAGATTCAATGCAATCCCAATTAAAATAGCAGCAAGCTAACTTGTGGATATCAACAAACTGACTATAAAGTTTATGTGGAAAGAGAAAAGTTAAAGAGCAGCCAACACAATATTGAAGAAGAGCCAAATTAGAAGAATGACACTACCACACTTCAAGACATAGTATAAAGCTACAGTAAGTGAGATAACATGATATTGGCAAAATAATAGACACCTAGAGCAATGGAACAGATTAGAGAGTCCAAAAATAGATATACACCAATATAGTCAACTGATCTTTGAAAAAGGAACAAAGGCAATTTAATGGAGAAAAGATTGTCTTTACGAAAAATGGTGGAGAGGGACAAGACAGATGACTAGACTCAGCCAGGAAGTGCTGCTCCCTCTGAAAGAGCTAATTATCAAGTAAATCAATGTAATTTGGGCAGATCTTCAGAGAGAAAACACCAAGAAAGGATGGAGAGGTGATGGTGACACCAAGGCTGAAGAGGGAGGAAGCTGGGACCCTGTGTCAGGTATCCAACTGCTAGGGGTAGCTCCCAGCCCTGAATGGTCACTGAGGAAGGGGTGAGTGAGGGAACTGAGGGACAGCCTACTCTGACCAGAGACTTTTGGGATGTGAGCTTCAGGGGACCCTATTCCCCCTATGGATGTGTGAGCTGGCAGAGGGATCTGCCTGGGCAATAGACATAGACAGGGCTTCAGCAGGCACAGAGCGCAGGAGATTTTGTGTATGGGGTGGCTTGGGCAGAGCACAGCCATGGATGCCCATTCCCCAGGGCTCTGCATCTCCCTCTGAGAGACTCCAATTCCAGCTGACACCTGGGCTAGCAGAGAGCAGGACTGGCTTCCCTGCAGGACTGGGGAGCATCTATTCTGCAGGCACTCCTGCCTGCCAGCCCCTCCCAGGGCCCTTGTCTAGTCTCTCTGCAGGAATGTGTGCACAGCACAGCCTCTGCTGCCCAGCCTGCATGCTTTGCTCCACCTGAATGTTTTCTCAGTGACCTGAGAGCACTTTGGATCCCCCAGGGCAGCTGAAGCCCAACCTCAAGGCACAGGTTGACCTGTAGCCACAGGGCTGCAGTGAACAGCTTGAGAATGCCAAGTGGAGGGCTGTGGCTGTCACTGGAGTAAGGAAGGAGCCCCCACTCTCAGAGCACTGAGAAGGGTGAAACACACAGATTTGTGAACCAGCATGGAAGTGGGGCATTCCTCCAACCCCTAGAAATACCTAAGAATACAGCTAACCAAGAAGGTAAACAATCTCCACAAGCATAACTACAAAACACTGCTGAACAAAATCAGAGACAACACAAGTAATGGAAAAACATTCAATGTTCATGGATTAGAAGAATCAATATCATTTAAATGGCCATACTTCCCAAAGCAATTTACAGAGGCAATGCTATTCCTTGCAAACTACCAATGTTATTCTTCACAGAATTACAAAAAACTATTGTAAAACTTATATAGAACCATAAAAGAGGCTGAATACCTAAGGCAATGGTAAGCAAAAAGAACAAAGCCAGAGGCAACACACTACCCTACTTCAAACTGTATTGTAAGTCTACCTAACCAAAACAGCATGGTACTGGTACAGAAACAGACACACAGACCAAAGGAAGAGAATAAACAACCAAGATAATAAAGCTGCAAACCTACAATCATCTGTCTTCCACAAAGCTGGCAAAAACAAGTAATGGGAAAAGGGGTCCCTGTTCAATAAATGGTGCTGGGATAAGTGGCTATTGATATGTAGAAGAATGAAACTGGGCCCCCACCTTTCACCATATACAAAAGTTAACTCAAGGTGGATTAAAGATTTAAATCCACCTTACAAGACCCAAATTATAAAAATCCTAGAAAATACCCTTCTTGACATCAGCCTAGGCAAACAATTTTTGGCTAAGTCCCCAGAAGCAATTGCAACAAAAGAAAAATAGACAAGTGGGACCCAATTAAACTAAAGAGCTTCTTCCCAGAAAAGAAACTATCAATGGAGGAAACAGACAGCCTACAGAATGGTAGAAAATATTCATAAAGCATGCACCCAACAAAGGTTTAATATCCAGAACTTATAAGGAACTTAAACAAATTAAGCAAAAACAACCTCATCTAAAACTAGACAAAGGACATGAACAGACACTTCTAAAAAGACATGGAAGTGTTCAGCAAACATATGAAAAATGCTCAACATCACTAATCATCAGAGAAATGCAACTCAAAACCACAATAAGATACCATCTCACACCAGTCGGAATGGCTGTCATTAAAAAGTCAAATAATAACCCATACTGGTGAGGTTGCATAGAAAGGGGACCATTTACATATTGTTGGTAGGAGTGCAAATTAGTTCAGCCACAGTGGAAAGCAGTTTGGAGATCTCTCAAAGAACATAAAACAGAACTACCTTTCAACCTAGCAATCCTATTACTGGGTAAATGCGCAAAAGAAAATAAATCATTCTACCCAAAAGACACATGCACTTATACGTTCATTACCGTGGTATTCACAATAATAAAGACATGGAATCCATCTAGGTACCCTTCGATGGTGTATTGGATAAAGAAAGTGTGGTACATATATACCATGGAATACTATGTAGCCATAAAAAATGAAATCATGTTCTTTGCAGCAGTATGGGTGCATCTGGAAGCCATGATTCTAAGCAAATTAATGCAAGTAGAGAAAATCAAATACCACATATTTTCACTTATAAGTGGAAGATAAACTTTGGGTATTCATGGGCATAAAGATGGGAAAAATAAATATTGTGGACTACTAGTTGAAGGAGAGAGGAAGGGAGACATGGTTTGAAAAACTACCTATTGGGTACTATGCTTACTAGCTGGATAATAAGATCCTTACCACAAACCTCAGCATCATGCTATATACTCATTTAATAAACCTCCCTAAGTATCACCTGTATCTAAAACAAATACTGAAATTGTATAAAAGAAAAAAAAATGGTATTGGAACAACTAAATTCCACATGCAAAGGGAAATGAATCTAACCGAAGATGTTATAACTTTCACAAAAAGTACTCAAAATGAATTATAGACCTAAATGTCAAATGCGAAACTCTAAGACTTCAAAGAGATAACAAAGAAGAAAATGTAGGTGACCTTGAGTTTGATGGTGATGTTTTTGATACACACCAAAAGCACTATCTGTGAAATAAAAAATTGATATTTTGGACCTAGTTAAAATTGAAATAGTCTTCTCTACTAAAGACACCGGTAAGAAAATGAAAACACAAGGTAAAGACTGGAGAAAATATTTGCAAAACACATACCTGTCTCATAAAGGACTTATCTCAAGAAATATAACCAGGACTCATCAGATTAAACAATAAGAAAACAAACAGCCCACTTTAAAATAGATAAAAGTTCTAAACACTTCCCCAAAGGTCTACAGATGGAAAATAAGAAGAGACAAAAGGGCAAATGCTGCATGATACCACCTCCATGATAAATCTCAAAAAGTCAAACCCACAGAGGAAGAGAATGGAATGGTAATGGCAGAGGCTGGTCAGAGGGAAAAAAAAGAAGAGGAGTATTAGTCAAAAAGTACAAAGTTTTGGTTATATAAGTAAGTCCTAGATCTACTGTACAGCAAGTGTTTATTTTTAATAATATGGTATTGTATACTTAATTTTTTTCTGAGGACAGATATTACATTAAGTGATTACATCATAGATAAACAATTATAGTAAATAAGAGGATGGGAGAAAACTTCTGGTGGTGGTAAATAGGTTTATGCCATAGATTGTGGTGATGGTTTCATGGATGCTATTTAGCTCCAAACTAATGAAGTTGTATATATTAATTATGTATGGCTTTTTGTATGTCAATAACTACTTGTTTGAAAAAGAGAAAAAGTTGAAGTTATACTGAAGTAGGATGGGCCTCTAATCCAATATGACTGGTATCCTTATAAGAAGGTGGCCATGTGAAGATAAGCACACCGAGGAGAATGCTCTGTGATGATGAAGGCAGGGACTGGAGTTACTCTGTTGCAATCTGAGAAAAGCCAGGGATTTGCAGCACACCACCAATAGCTAGGAAAAGGCACGGAAGGATCCTCTTCTGCAGGTTTCAGAGGGACCCTGGTCCTGTGGACACCTTGATTTCGGACTTCTAGGCTCCAGAATTGTAAGACAATAAATTTCTGTTATTTGAGCGATTCCATTTGTGGTACTTGGTTACAGCAGTGCTAGGAAGCTAATGTACTACTTCCAAAATGGTCAAGGTCATCAAAAACAAAGGAAGTCAGAAGCAGTAGCCAAGAAGAACCTAAGGATACGTGGCTATGTAGTGCAATTAGGTATCCTAGATAGAGTCCTGAGCCATAAAAAGGACATTAGATAAAAACTAAGAAAAATTGAATAAACAATGATTTCAGTTAATCATAGTTTATCTTTCTATGATAGCTCCTCAGTTTTCCTGTGAAGCTAAAACTGTTCCAAAATAGTCTATTAACAATGAAGATAATGATCATTATAATTTTTTATAAAAGCACACAATTATAAGTTAAATATCCAAGAAACTTTCAATGTAAGGAAAGAGATATATTGTAAGTTAAAAAGAATTAAACAATTATACCCTGTGAAACTTAGATTAAGAAAGGATCTACTTTAAGGCAAGATAAAGAGTGATAAAGAAAATAGGACAACACAAGAGAAAGTCATAATAGTGCTAAATTTTTACATACATAATCACAAATATTCAAAATATAAAATAAAAGCAGGACTTAAAAGTGTGAAATACAGCTGAAGATTTTAGCATGAATTTCTCAATAATGCCACAAACAGAAAAAAAATAGACACTGAAGATGTGAACCACACAATGAAATGAATTGCCCAAAGTGACATATTTGGGCATTGTGCAATATTTCAGACAGAATATAGATTCCTTTCATGTGCACAAGAACTTTATTTTTCAAGCTAGGCCATACTCAGAACCCTAAAGTAATCTGAAGCAATTTTAAACAAACATACAAACTCTCTTGAAAGCATTGCTAGAATTCTTCAGTTTGGTATTATTTAACTCCATCTGTTAAGAAATAAAAGTAATTTGAAAACTTTAAAAAACACATATGGCTGCATTAATGAACGGATTATACTCACAAGAAGAGAGAAGTGGTGAAGAGACACTATTCTGAAGAAATGACTATGGCAGAGTTTAGGGGATGTGGGGAATGGAATAAAAGTCCTAAAGGTTTAACATTTTCCTAATTATACTTTTAAAAAGAAAGATTAAAGAAGAAAAGTACTGAAGAGGTTATGATAGTTTGTTAACAGGATTGATGCATCCTTTGATACCCAAATCACAAGAATCTAAAGCAGGAAAAATTTGAAACAAAGAAATCTATACCTACTCACATCCAGGTTTACTGAATACAATAAAGGCAAACAAATGATGTTAAAAGCAGGAAAAGAAAAAAAAAAGCAGGAAAAGAGAAAAATCATATTATCCTTCAAGTAATTTTATTTTATACCTATATATAGATAAATTTTATCTATCTATCTATCTATCTATCTATCTATCTATCTATATATATATATATAATTTTTATTTTGAGATGGAGTTTTGCTCTTGTTGCCCAGGCTGGAGTGCAATGGTGCCATCTCGGCTCACTGTAACCTCTGCCTCCCAGGTTTAAGCAATTCTCCTGCCTCAGCCTCCCGAGTAGCTGGGATTACAGGCATACACCACCACACCCAGCTGATTTTGTATTTTTAGTAGAGACGGGGTTTCCTCATGTTGGTCAAGCTAGTCTTGGACTCCCGACCTCAGGTGACTCGCCCCCCTCAGCCTCCCAAAGTGCTGGAATTACAGGCATGAGCCACCGCGCCAGGCCTGTATGTATGTATATATATATATATATATATATATATATATATATATATATATATATATATATATATATATTTTAGAGACCCAGTCTCACTATGTTAATCAGAGTGGTCTCACACTCCTGGACTCAAGCAATCCTACAGCCTTGGCTTCCCGAAGCACTGGGATTACAGGCATGAGTCACCATGCCTGGCCCTTAATTTTAATTTCATTTAAAATTAATGAAAGTCATAAAATATTAGACTATTTTAACAGCACTGATAGAAAATAATAATCTAAAATTATACACTTAGTCAAACAATAATTTGAGAACAACATTGAATTCAAAATATATGCTGACAAACCACCAAGCAAAATTTTGCCAAGTTCCCTAGAACAACTTTTGAGCAATCTACTTTAAATAGAAGAAAAATTAAATGCAAAAGAAAGAATAGCAATTTAATTTAAAAAATTAATTAGTAAACAACTTAGTACATCTATTATTGATAATATAAAGCAATAATACTATCTAAATTGGAGGTTTAAAGAATAGAAGTAAGCCTCAGAAAGTAATGACATAAATATGCAAAGGGAAATGGTTTTCTAAGAGTTTTGTATTTTTTATCAGGATTAAAAGTGTAGTGACTTACATGAGAAATATGGATGTAGTGATCTAGGCTAAAATTTAAAGATAACCTCTGGAAGAATAGAAATATGATATATGATAATGAAAATAATGGTGGAAAACAAATCAATGTAAAAAAAAAGACAGAAAACTTTAGTTTCAAATAGTACTAATTATGTTAATAGCAATTAGATCAAATATTTCACCAAATATGTTAAATGTCAGTTGATTAGACTTGCCAATTAGAAGAGCTGAAGATGAAAAGGGTAGAGGAAAGGCAACACACCAGCAAACGCAAACAGGAAGAAGCCCTGTGTGTATTTGAAAGCAAATGCTGCTAAAGTAAATATAATCAATACATATGAATAAACAAAATCATCCAGAAAATGTATCAGTCCTAACTGATCTAATGAATGCATGTAAAACTGCGGAATCATTATCTTTAGAAAACATACTTTTTGTGTCCACTGGAACATTTATTAAAATTGACCAAGTACTAGGTATTAAACGTGTCTCAAGAAATTTCAAAGAATCTTTTAGCTCTTCCGTAGTAGATCTAGTAAATTATAAATTCAAAAAGAAAGATAACAAACGCCCTGAAACATATACAAATATAACAAAATTGTAAAAAACTCAGGAATTTTTGGAGAAAAGTATCAATGGAAGTTATGCAAATACAACAGAACTTAACAAAAAAAATAAAAATATGAATGAAAGAATAAAACTCATCTTAATTTTCAGAGACTTATCTACATAGAAAAAATAAAGTATTTTAGAATTAACAAGATTGGAAGATTGCTGACATAAAAATCAATTTTTAGTAGTCTATTAAATTCACACAAAACAGCAAAACGAGTGTAGAAAAGTGTTATTAAGAGCACATTTTAGTGTATTTTTTGCAATTTTGCAACTAAAATTTAAAAGTAGCTAGAACAAGACTAAGAGAAGAATTGCATTTTATGGCAAAATTATTTAAAAATTGTTGAAAACCATAAAAGACCTAAAAATAAAGAGGAAGAGAATATATCTATGGATCAGAAGACTCAATATGGTAAAGGTAGAAAATCACCTCTATTTTAATCAATATGTAAATTCAAGTGATTCCAAGTAAAGTTGCAAAAAATACTTTCAAAAAAATTGGCAGCTATAATATTTGTATGGAGCCAGGCATGGTGGTACACTCCTGTAGTCTCACCTACTCAAGAGGCTGAGGCAGAAGGATTGTTTGAACCCAGGAATTTGAGATCAGCATTGGGCAACATAGCAAACCCTCGTCTCAAAAAAGTAAAAAATTACAAAGAAAAAAGATGAATACAGTAAATAACTATAAAATGTGAATATGAGTTATAATAAAAAATCAAGACATAATCAAATATGGTATGTAAAATAGTGTAACTTTATCCTGATTAAACAATTAAACCGGAGGACTTACTATGAAATTCACAAAAATTTTCAAACTTAATAGATGATAAAGCTGGATTTCAATTCTGTATCATTTTACTTTCTTTTTTTTTTTTTTTTTACTTAAAAACCAAACGCTTATGACAGAATGCCCATTGCTGGTAGTGTTAAGACTAGGTTGTTACAAACCATCCCTTCTCATGGGGAAAAACTAGAAAACCTCAGTAAAATATATATTTTTTTAATTTTGTGCAGCTATCTGATAGCTACAAGGGAGCAAATACTTGCTACCTTGAACAAGTGATAAGTTTACTGAGTTTTATTTCGCATAATGGCCTACCAAAGGAGACATATCTCCATTTTCATCGATAATTTATATTGCCTTGAAAGAGGATTTGATTTGTTCACAAGAGGCACTCTGTTGTATGGAGTTTCAACCAGACCAGGTGGAAGTGGACGTCTTCTCTAGTACCAAATCCATCCTTAATTACCTTAGGCAATTAAGGCAAGAATCCTCAGTCAAATCATCCATGGCCAAAAATGCAAGTTTCGTTTTGGATCATCTAAAGCCCAGAAATTTTGGCCAAGTAGAAACCATTTGAGCCTCTTTTTGAAGTTTCTTTTTTACAATTTTAGAGACATTTCCTGAAGTACATTCAGCACTTGGTTAAAGCCAAGGAAACACAAATAAGTCATTTTCATTCTCATTCAAAACTCTTGTATAGCTAAAAATATTTTATTTGGTTTGGCTCTGTGTCCCCACCCACATCTCACCTTCAATTGTAATAACCCCCACATGTCAAGGGCCAGACCAGGTGGAGATAATTAAATCATGAGGTTGGTTTTCCCCATACTGTTCTTGTGATAGTGAGTGAGTTTGCACGAGATCTGATGGTTTTATTAAGGGCTTCCCTTTTTGCTCGACTCTCGTACTCTCTCCTGCTGCCCTGTGAAGGGGTGCCTTCTGCAAGTTTCCCGAGGCCTCCCCAGCCATGTGGAACTGTGAGTCAATTAAATCTCTTTTCTTTATAAATTACTGAGTCTCAGATATTTCTTCATAGCAGAGTGAGAATGGACTAATATAATATTATTGTCCAATTTGATTACTATCTTTGTCAATTCAGCCTAACAAACATGTTTTAAAGACTCTTGTATATTGATGAATGTTCTTGGTTCTGTGATAGGTCAGAATTCTTCATGAGAAGTATAAAATGTTCTAAAAAACTAACTATTACACAAGTCCGTATATGAAAGTTGCCTAAGCAGATGTATAGTCTTAGCATACTATGCTATGAAAATAGTTTATATGCTTTCATAAAATTATACAAAGTCCATATGTAAACTTACTGGAATTTCTTACAGTATAAGTTTCCAACTGTGTATAAAATCTTAACTCCTTTTATTGTGACAAGCCTACCAAAAATAAATGTTCAATAAACTCTTCAGAATGGGAAAAGGGAATCTAGATTTCAAAGGAATCTAGAGCACTAATTCTTCATAGAAATATACAAGTTTGTCCTCTTTTCCCACTGTGTAGCCAGAGGCTCTTTCTAGCAAATGACGTCCTAGAAAACCCCACTTATTCTGGTACTCCTTCCTGTTTTTCTATAATTAAACTCACCTTTGCTGTGTTCAGTGTTTCCGAAAATTCTGGTGAAAATAGCTCTCCCTTTTTTTTTTCCTTTTTAACCCACTTTTTAATAGGTGCATTAAAGATCTATAGATGTGATGCCAGAGAAGTTTCAGAGAATTGAATTCACCTGCTGGACATTGAGAGCCTATCTGAGTATCACAAGGTGAAATCCAAGGGTGTGTAGCAGTCTAGCTATATAAATAGTTACTCTTCACCTGCAGTTGAGGGGGATTATACGTTTACAGATTACATACATGCATAGTGATATAGAATGTTAGCTCACTCATTCATTCATCGATCCATACAATCAGTTACCAAACTTTTATTAAGCCACTTATAATATGTATTATGCTAAGCATACAAAAAATGAATAAAATAACATTGTTTGTAACTTAGGATATTCAGTCTAGTGAGGAAAAATAAACAAAAACTATAACCCAGTGATTACAGTCAAGTGTGCTAAATGAGAGAGCTTTGTACATAGGTGACGTTAGCAGATATGGAAGGAGGCTAAAACAGGGCTTAGATTCTCTCTAACACTTCACCCATTGAACTGCTGCTTCTTTATCCTCTGTTGCTCCGACTTCTAGGTTTAAGACTTAAAGCCAGAAGACCTGCACCTATTTGTTGCATTCTCCTTGCCCAGTCAATCTCGCCAACTCCTGTGAATTCCCGTGTCCCATATATCAAAGGAACAATGCCTTAGATTGAGCCTTGAAAAAGAAAGCATTAGTTATCCAGGGCTGGAGGTGGGGTGTGGACAGTGAGGCTTTTGGGAGGCAAAAGCTCAATGGTGTAAAACAACCTGGTGGAGAAAAACTTGCCAGCAGTGTGAAGGACTGGCACTCTGCTAGGGCGTTTTCCACGTCACTATCCCATATGGTCACCTGTTTCACCTATTACCGATCTGATTCTAAGGACAGTATAGTGGATGTTGTGGGGAATGCCTCATTTCATTCCCCTGAGACATTTTTACTACTTTGAATGATGTACTCAATATCCCATCCCCCGCACCAGCCCTTTCCTTATCCCTTATTCTTATAAGGATAAGAGCTTATGCTTGTGCGTGCGTGTGTGTGTGTGTGTGTGTGTGTGTGTGTGTGTGTTTAAATACCTCTTTCATGAACCACTTAGGGTAAGTCCCAGCATTTTTACCTCAAGGCAAGGCAGACAGTGTTGCAATTCATACCTCAGAGATCCCATTGAGGTCAGCCGGAAGCTAGATTTTCCCTAAATTTGTTGTTGCATAGTTCTTTCCTTTCCCTGGCTTATGCCCCTTACACTCATACCATTTTCTCCTTAAGGCATTCTTTAATAAATCACTTTCATAAATTCCCATCTCAGGCTCTGCTTCTATGGAACATAGCCAGGATAATTGGGATCAGTATTTCATTCATCTTTACGTCAAAGTACCAAAGAGTGGAGGCATGCTGCAAGTACCGTAAAAATGAATGGTTACATGGATGGATCTGAAAAATACATACATTTGGTAGGATGCAAGTATACATGATAATTTAAAATCAGACCTTTGTTAATGTTTATTGAACATTTCCTGTGCTCTAGGCATCTTGTTAAACTTGTTACTTGAATAATATCATTCAAGCCCTGAAAGACCCCATGAGGTAGATTAAATATTATCTATATTTTACTAATGAAGAAACTAGGGATTAGAGCGTTTAGTTCTTTTGACTGAGACCACCCAGAAAGAATGATCTGTACATTTCTATTTCAGGTTTTTTTTGGTGCTGGTAGAAATCTGATCATTAGAACTTTATTGGTTAAAATGTAATTGATCTTTAAAAAGACTTAAAAATGCCTAGAGTCAAATGTATAACACTAAAAAACTAACAAAGGAGCTGGATGCATTATTCGAGTTATTAAGAAGACACTTTATTTTTATTAAGTTAATTTACATAGACTATTTTACTTACGCTCTAAGATTCATCCTAAAAACAAAAAGTCCTCTGCACATCTCCTTTCCCAAACATGGATTAGCACCATTTTGTTTGTAGGTAGTTCCCTAAAGTGTCAGTTTGGCATCTGGATTCTGTAGGCATAATTGGATTTATTCTATGCAACTAGAATTGGGATTTTTTTTTTTTTTTTTTTTTTTTTTTTTTTTGCTGCTGAAGCACTATGTTGCAGTTTTTGCTGGGAAATGAGTGTTAAGCATTTTGTTTGGTACTCGGAAAATCTGCCTTGACAGTCCTTCATAATAGAACCAATTATCAGGTATGCTATTACATATAGACTTCCGGACCCCAATTTAAATAGAAGGTAGTGATCATTTCTTTTGTAAAATAGTCTCCATAACACTTAAAATCAACCATATGTGAAGACCTACATGCTTATCAAGGTGACAACATGGGACTGAGAATACTTGTTACCTAAATAAATACTTCTGAGGCTGTGATGATTCAATTGCCAACTAAAGAGAATGACAGGTATTAACATCCTCTTCCAAAGCCAATTCTCACTGAATTTCTTTAATACCTAATAGCACAATTAAACCTATATTCTACTTGTATTATTTCTCTAACAGACAAAAATTATCTTATTGACAGAAGACTAATATACTTTTAGGTACTCTGAAACAAAACATATTTTGATATCCTATTTGTCCGTTGATTTATGTGAGCATTCACAAAATAAATAGTCCATTCACCAGAGAACCAAGTAGAAATGCCTGATGAATATGTAATCTTAAATTCAATAATGAAATGTGTTACTGTTTATCTATGCTATGTGTAAGCAGCATTGAAAATTACTACACAATTTTTATTGATGATTACTTACATTTCACAAGGGAATGTGGCATTAAGGAAAAATTCTCAAATGCATATATGCAGCTCAGTGGCTATATCTGGAAACCAACAGTTTCGTGTTCAATATGTAAATTTATAAATGCATTAAATTATGTTGATAATTTATCACACACTCTGACTACCGATATATACAATGAGAAATGTATCTGAAAGTAATTATGAATATATTATATTCTTCAACTCTGAACTTTAGGAAAACTCTTCCTGTTTTTATTTATAACTACAACAGGCTTTGAATATTGATGTTTAGGGCCTTTTAAAAATAGTGTCTTATGACTAGAAAAGATTCCAAAGTCTCAACCTGCCCATTCTGTTGCTTCAAGACAAAACTATGTTCCCATCTCAGGTGGATTAAGCATTGGGGGGAACAAATCCCATGCCTACCATAAGCTCCTGTTTATTTTAGTGAGTTAAAGTGGAGTGGCTAAGGGAAGCAGAAAAAAAATGCAGTTTGTCTTAGCGCAGTGGACATAAAACTAGGATCTATTTACACCTGGAAGTCTATAAAAACATCCCAAGAGTTTCAGGGAAAGAAATAGTTGTGAGGGATTCAATGCCCAAATTCTCATTTTCCATATATACCTTTGCCTACAATTTATCTATCTATGAGTGCCCACATCACTATGCAGATTTGCATTTTCCATCTTCCTTTTAAAACTCACCCTTCTCATACTTCAAAAAACAATGGAAAATGTCTAATCTACTTATAATTTATTATAGTAGATTGTGTTGGGATGTAAAGATCTCAGAGGCTCCAAAGGAACCATTCACAATATTGATGTGGGTGTTGAAAAAGTAAATGATTCAAATGACTATGTAACAAATCCTTTTGCAAAAGCAATATTGATGGAAGAGCAAATGGATTTGTCCCTGGAGAGGTCATTAATATTAAATTTTGATCATAGGACATCATGCAGTTTTTGGATGTTACGTAGAGGTAGTTCATACAATTGCATGACAAATTTTTTTTCCTACCCACAGATTTGTTAATATGAAAAAGATACATCATCATTTATATCTATAAAAAAAGACTGTATAAATTTAGTTATAAGTAATGTTCTATATTTCAAAGCAGTCAGAGTTCATCCATTTGAATTCCAAGCCTAGACTACTTTTGTAGTCTATAACAATTCTGAAAAGTAAGATCAAATTAGAACTCACAATATCTGTTTATAAATATTATTTGCAGTGTTGATATCTTTGCAAAAATTAGTCTTTCAATCTATTGAAGTGTTATAGCCCTTGATTTATTTAGGGTTAATTTAATGTCTTTCAATTATATGTTCTAGCTTTCATATTTTTTCCTAGGTATCTAATAAGTTTAGGTACTATTGTAAGTATTATGATTTAAAAATTCAATTATTTGTTGTTTCTATGTAGACGTAAAATTTTTAGAGTTGACTTCATAACATTAGTATTTTGAAATTTAATAATTAATATTATTAGTAGTTTTTTTGATGTTCTATGTATATAGTCTTGTCATCTGTAAATAATGACAGTTTTATTTCACTTTTTAAAACTTTATAAATGTATTTTCTTTATTGCCTTATGGTACTTTCTAAGTCTTCTAGTAAAATGTGGGAAGGCTTGGAATATTTCACCACATCAGAGTATATATATATATATTTTTTTTTTTTGCTATAGGCTTTTTGTAGATATTCTAATTCAGATTAAAGTCATTCTCTTGTATTCCTGATTTTCTAATAGTTGCTCCTCCTGGTGGTATTTTTAAGCATTTGTAAATTCTGCATATTGTCTCATTTTTTTCCTGCTGTCATCAAAATCATCACACAATGGTTCTTTTCTTGTCTTTGGTAAATACATTGGTCGATATTTTGAATGATAGACTAAACTTTTAGTCTATGAATGAACCTACTTAGTGATGATGCATTATTCTGTTTTAGTATATTAGGGTGATGCAAAAGTTATTATACTTTTTTTCTACCTTTAATGGCAAAAACCACAATCATTTTTGTACCAACCTAATATTTCTTGTTATGCCTTATAATATATTTTCATATAATTCTAGGCAATTTTATGCAAGATTGGTATTATTTCCTTTTTAAAAGTTTGGAGCAATTCCCTGTCAGGGGATCTGAATTCAGTGTCTGAATTTGTAATTCCATTTATATGACATTTTGGAAAAGGCAAAACTGTAAGGAAATAAATTATGTCATTGGTTGCCAAGGACCAAGGGGTGGGTAATGGGATTGACTATGAAGAGTTAAAAATAATCTTGTTGAAATAATAAAGATATTCTATATTTTGAGGTGGTGGTTACATGGTTGCATATATTTAGCCCAAAGTCTGTGAACTGTGCAATCTACACTGTATACTTAAAAAATAATGAATTTGACTTTGTGAATGATCAATATGTGTGATTGGTAAATAATGTGGTGCAATTATATCTCAATAATGTACTTCAGTTAATTTTACTTAAAAATATATATTCAATCTTGAGAGAGGACATGTAGAAATAAGTGTTTTGAAAATATACTGGATTTAAAGTAAAAAAATGAATATTAATCTCAGCTCTGCTTTTCAATTTTGTCATCTTAGGTTAGTCATTTAACTTCCCAGAGCAATGTCATTTGTAGAATGAAACTTGTGTCTATATAATCTAGCTCTCCTAAGAAGTTCAATAAATACTATTTTAAAATATCCAGGTCAAAGTAGCAATGCAGCAACTATCCATCAAACTTACATATGCCATTAAGTGCCTCTATCATCTTCTTATCCCGTCTTCAACAAGGATTTTAAAAACTCTTCATGGAAATAACAGCTTTTACATTTGTAATGAACACTCATATAAAAGAAAACACTCTCCTCTTTTGCTTGTTTACATTAGCTGGATTAAAATTATAAAATGGAATATGGCCACTTCATTTAAAGAGCATAACTGGACTAATAAAAAGCCTTATTTTCTTTCATTATATTTTTTATTCAGTAACTGCAAGCTGCCTGCCCAGCAACCAACCTAATTCTATTATGTGAGTAACCTGATGTATGTAAAGTCTGAGCAGAAGGACGCTCTTAGCCCTTCCTTGCCACTGAATGTTCCCGCTTCAGAAGCCAGTCTAGCTAGGTTCTTGCTTTTATTTTTCTTCTTCTTCCTCCTCTTTTTTTTTTTTTAGACGTATTTTCGCTCTTGTTGCCCAGGCTGGAGTGCAATGGCGTGATCTCGGCTCACTGCAACCTCCGCCTTCTGGACTCATCTCCTGCCTCAGTCTCCCGAGTAGCTTTGGATTACAGGTGCTCGCCACCACCCCTGGCTAATTTTTGTATTTTTAGTAGAGATGGGGTTTCACCATGTTGGCCAGGCTGGTCTCAAGCTCCTGACCTCAGGTGATCCACCCGCCCCGGCCACCCAGAGTGCTGGGATTACAGGTGTGAGTCACCGCGCCCAGCATTTCTTGCTTTTCCATCCCTACTGCAGTCACAGTGATGCCATATAGACAAACCTTGGTTATGGACCTGCAAAATAGCCTCTAGAGTTCCTTGATTTCTGCCAGCTTTCCAGCCCTTTGATTGATTCTAGGTGCAACACAAATTCCTCCAGTAAATTGTGTCTTTTTTATTGTATCATGATAAGTGTTAATGTTGACCACAATAATAACCTTGATTTATACTATAGCGAACATGAAAAGTCATTGCCCTCAAGGAGATTTCTACTTACATTGGTTGGGAAATTAGACAACCTGCTTCACAAAGTAAAATTGATGACAGTCTGCCAAGTAATTGAATATATTGAAAGAAAAATGAGTAAAAGGGTACTTTCACTTCTGGTCACAATCGTGTTTCAAAAACCAGATTTATTCTCATGTCTTAAAAACAAAACCAAACAGAACAAAATGGAAAAAATATGAAATGATAGTTTTGTATATTGGAAAACAGACAATGGAAGAGTGTAATACAGTAAAAAGGCAGCAAACAAACAAGGTGGGCTTTACATGTACCCTGAGTTGAAGTGCTAGAAGGGCATACCTAAATAGAGCCTAGCTATCTTCTTACATGAGAGTTGGTGTCAGAGTCTGAGGAAGCCAAGTTGTCAAAAATTAGTGGAGCAGAGTACCATGTTTGCCAAAGCAAGTCCAAGGTTGGTCCAGATTGAAAGAGGTGGGGGAATGGACTCCAATTTTTGATGGAATCACATTGTAGTGATTTCTTTGTTGGTACAACAAAGAAAGATTGGGAACAATGTTTTTAATGATCCATCTACCATATATATTTAATTATAATAACCAAACTCGTGTTATACTGAGTGGCACTTTGTAGTCTCAATGTTATTCTCCACTTTCGGTTTGAAACGAGAAATGGGTAGTTTAGACATAAAGGAAAGACTTGGTCCCACTAATACTTTCATTTTCTATCAGTTTATCTTGTGGTTACATTTTCACTTTGAGTGGCCCATTTTCTGTCTGCAATTAAAAAATAATTGTATTTCTATTTACTTACGGTTGTCATTAAATCCTGAAATACTTGTCAAATTTTACCATCTAATTATTTTTTAAACTAAAATTGTGTATCTCTCAAACCACTAAGCAGCAGATATTTGATTTACACATTCAATATTATATAAGTTGTATCCCAGTTCATATTGATTGGGGAATAATTAAAGGAATTTTACTCTATTTCCTGAGCACTTTAGGTATAAGATACCATAGAAATAAATTGCCTGAACAATATATACAACATATTAAGAAAATAGTACTGCTACAGTGTGCTGTTAGCCAATGACTCAAATCTCTGACTCCATAACCCTCTAGGCTTGCTTTGAAAAAGCCCATATATGCCATCAATTATGCATTATAGATGAAAAAAATAGAAGAGCCCAAGAGTTTCCTAAAATTATATAATTTAATTTCTTTATCTAAAAATAAACCTCGTTATAAAAGGATTTTGAACATTTGAAAGAAAATAGCAACTTTAAAGACTTAATTGGTTCTTTATTAGCAAATTACTTTCAGCGAGTTGGTATAATATTTCTTCATTGAATAATTCAAAATGGAGAAAACTGACAATCTACCAACTCTGAATAATTTGCCAGTGTGAGAGAATTAGCAAAGAGACATTTTAATTATCATTTGAATAAAACTTACTTATTGTTTCACTTTAAAATGTTTGTGTTACAAATATTTCACCTTAATTGAATTCACTTGAATCTAATGCACTAGCGGATCTAGATTCATATTTTCAACTCTCAGGTACCTAATGTAGTGGACATTCATTTGTTTGGCTACTTATTACCTTTGAATATATTCAATTGAATAAATTTGTGAATCTTGTTTTCTTAAGGCAGAAAACAGGAAGCTTGAATTGCTAGGCTCCTGTGAAGCTGGGATTCACACATATAACTAGGTTTTGCCATAAAGAGAATTAATAAAACAGATTCAACAATGAGCAACATGAGAGAATAAATCTTCTAACAAAAGTGTTGTGAAATCCATCTGATTCTTTGAGGAAGACAGTAGTAGAGGTTTTGGCTTTTAGTTTTCATTTTTAATATAACAGTAACCTAGAAACAGTGACACGTGTGGTATCGTTAGCAAAACTCCCATATACTTGATTGAGCTGCCAGATAAATTACAGAATGCTCAGTTAAATTTGAATTTCAGATAAATAATTAACCATCTCTTACTCTTAAGCATACCCCAAATATTGCATGGATATACTGTCATTAAAAAAAAAGAGTTGTTTATGTGTTTTATATTCTTATTTGCTAAATCTGGCAACTCTATTGCTTGAGTATATTTGACCGCTTAGCCTTGGAGTAGGCTTGTTTGTATCCCTTCTTGAGACCTATGAGCCACCAGAAATAACCTTATGAAATTACATTTGGTTTAAACTAGCTAGAGTTAATTTTATTAATTACCAAATAAAGTTGTGATGACAAAGACTCCTTGAGTTAGTACAGAAGCCACTATGTTAAGAGCTACAAAGTGGGTACTGTACAAACAGGTTTCAGAGCCAGGGTGGCAACCAGAATGACTCGAACCACAGTAATCTTTGGCTGTGGCTAATCTATCATTGGTGCCTAGCACAAAAAGGAAATGAGCCATAAGAAAAAGAAACCTCCAAGAATTGTCTTTATGAAGGAGATGTATCTTCATCATCAAAGAGTCAGAGATTTTCAATAATTTCTAAGATGTGGCTTAGTTTGGAAAAAGAACAGTTTAAGTAACCTTGAAGAAAGAGTCCTCAAGGTTATGTTGCCCAGGCTTTCTATAAACTTTCCACTGTGCTTTGACAGGGCCAGGACTCTATAGGCTCAGGAACAGCTTTTTGAGATTATTGGATTTTCCAAGGTCCCCTGGGAGTCACTGATAGAACGTAAGACAAAGGCAGGACCTCACTGGCCTCTGTTTGATTTGGGGCAGCTTATCTAGAACACTGCTGACTGGCACTCTGATAAAAATTCAAGTAAATTGAATGTAATCAGGTCTTGAGAACTAGCTGGCTACCTCATGGAGCCTGCTGAAAGCACACTGGAGGTCCCTGGGGAAAGGGTGAGAGGACTTTTTTTTTTTAACTATACTTTAAGTTTTAGGGTACATGTGCACAACATGCAGGTTTGTTACATATGTATACATGCGCCATGTTGGTGTGCTGCACCCATTAACTCCTCATTTAGCATTAGGTGTATCTCCTAATGCTATCCCTCCCCCCTCCCACCTCCCTCCACCCCACAACAGTCCCTGGTGTGTGATGTTCCCCTTTCTGTGTCCAAGTGTTCTCATTGTTCAGTTCCCACCTGTGAGTGAGAACATGAAGTGTTTGGTTTTTTGTCCTTGCGATAGTTTGCTGAGAATGATGGTTTCCAGCTTCATCCATGTTGCTGTTCATGTTGCTGTTCATGTTGCTTCATCCATGTTGCTGTTCATGTTGCTGTTCATCCATGTTGTTGTTGACAAAAGCAGCAGTAAATGCTTAGGTAGAGCTGTGCCTTACGGCAGTTTGCTTTGAGCAGTTGTCCTGAGCAGGCCTAAAAGCCAAGACAGTGTAGCCAAAGGTCCAAGTGCAGTTTGTAACTGAGGGCTGTGTCATCCCAAGCCTGGCCCATGGGGTCAATAGCATCCTCTGCATCTTTGGAATGATTATGGGTCCGTGCAGCAGGGATTGCTCCCTTGCCTGGAGTACTGCACTGCATTTATCAGGTAAAGGAAATGGTTTATCAATAACAATTTACACTTAGCAAACTGTTATTTAACCACACATTGATTTCATTAAGGCTGGATCACAATAATCATCATAATAACTGTGTGCTTTCCACTTGCCCTCCTAATAGTGAAAGGTTTTAGAGCCCAGTCCTCTCTTAATGGACTGACATTGAATTTTGAGATATAAGCTTGTGACCAGGAGAAAGAAAGGAAAAAGCATTGGGCAAATGTTGAATTCAAAGACCTTATTGTTGTTACTCTGATCAATTTATTGATTCATTTATTTGCCAAATATCTTTGAGTACCTACTGTGTGCCATGTACAGTAGGCCTCTGTCCCTCTGTATCCACAGATTTTGCATCCACGGATTCAACCAGCCGCTAATCAAAACTATTTAAAAAATAATACAAGAATAAAAAAGAATTCAAACACCAAAAAAAAAAAAAACTTTCCAATCAGCTTCCTCCAAAAGAATCTGTCACTATTTCCTAGGATAAATATACCCTGAGAAGAGCCAAGGGTATAGAATATTCAGTGATTGCCACTGGTTCTGAAATAACACTAATTCCTGGTACTGAATTTCACTGTGGTTGACACGTTTCTGGAGATCAGATGATAAATGGAATTTGGCACTAGTCTCCCTTAGAGTGGTCCCATTGATCTATAAATACTTTCTGTGGTTACATCCCAATCTCTAATGTATGGGTTGAAGAAATAAAAACAGCAACTGAGAGAGTTTATACATTGGCTCTTTGACTTATGCAATGATATAAACTATCCAAGGGGAAACTTCTGGAGCATCTCCATGGGTCAAAATGGTAAAGCAAAATTAAGACTGCATTCCTAATAAAATGTAAATATTGGTACCATCATCAAAAACCTGAAAGGCACAGTTTTTGTGATTCTGCTCCTATTCAAACCTCTATAACTCTGGGATCTGCTAGTTTGTAGTAGCCAAGAATACAACACAATTTCAATTAAATGGCAGCTGAGACTTCTGCCTGGTTATTGAAGACTTCCTGACACTAGAATAAAAAGGAATCAGAAAGATATTTGTGTTAGGTGTTCATTGGTTTGATTATCAAGGAGATGAGCTTTTTGTTAACCTAATCTGAGAAGAAAGAATTATAGATAAACCCAGAGGATCCTCTGAAGTATCTTCTAGTACTTGTACTTCTATGTGTTTTGGAAAAGTTAGCAGATAGTAAGAGCATCACAATAACTGTAAAATAACAAAGGATTTCTTTAGGAAAATCAGTTTTGAATCACCTTCACAAGTAAATAACATTGAGTAACTCAGTCACTTGCTGAGAGCAAAGTGAACATGAATTACACATTGAAAAAAGTAGTCTCAATATAATGTATACCCTTTTAGTCAATTGCAGAAATAAGGAATGTGATATCTGTCTTATAATCTGTTTATTACCTATAGACTATGTATGTATGCATATATATGTGTATCCATTAGTTTATTTAAGTGTTTCACTTCTTCTCCTCATGTGGCAGAGCGAGCTGTAGTCTATTTTTTCTTACATTAATTTTATGTCCTTCTATTAATTTTATCACAAGGTTTCTACCCTCATGATATAACCTAAACCTAATTATACCCCAAAGGCTCTACCTCCTGATACCATCCCATTGGAGGTTAGGTTTTCAACATACAAATTTTGGGAGGACAGACACATGCAGTCTATAACAACTCGTCTATAGGAAGAATACTTATTACTTAGAAATCTTGGACTTGTAGATTGAATAATTAACTTGAACTTTTTATTGAAAAGTGTGCTCACTTATTATTTGTGTGAAGAACAGTTATAGTTAGTTATAATAAGTTAGTTTGGGTCCATGCTGTTTTGAGTTTAAATGGGGATATTAATTATATATTAATAATGGGGAGCTAATATTGAGACTTGGGCTCTAATGGAAATTCATAATTTTTAGTGGCCTAACATCTTTATAGACCCTGTCTCTATTTAGAGAAAATCTTTATTTTGAACCTTGCCTTACTAGGTTATAAGTCAGGAAATTGATTTCCCTAGACTCCCTTCAAGCTCAGATTCAGAGTGGCGATGCTTGTTCTACTAGTCATATGTATTTAAATAAAATTTGGAGTAAAATAAAACAAAAAGTGATTTATCTTTGGAAAATGTGCTGATAGATATACTTGATTCTATGTAGAAGACAGGGACCATGCTTGTGTCCCAAACATTATGGTTACCATGTGAGAATGGTAAATGGATTTCTATAGAGAAACCCAATAGTGACATTGGCTGTAGATCTTGCCTGTATAAGCATAGGGCTTCAGAATCTGTCACCTCATCTTATTTAGTTCTATGAACAAGTTATAATCTTCCAACAAATTGCTTTTCTATTATTGTGGATTATGTTGTTTTAGATTAAGGCAGCCGGTGGTATGGATATCATTTTTCAACACTCAAATTCAATTTGCCCCTAATATGTTTGTACTATATTCTTCTGAAAACTAACTCATCCTCATGAATTTACCAGTCTATTACCAGTCTGAAGACCACCAAAAGTTTAGAGAAACAGGGTTTTAATTTTAAAATTCAATATTAACTTCATCTCTTTCTCTATTCCTGCATACTAGTTGATACAACTCGAAGCTCCCACATGATTTTCCTACAAATGAGAAGACCATGTCAGGATAACTTAGGAAAGTGTTCCAGATTTTTCATACACGATGGTATCTAAAAATCCTCTCTATATTTGTAAATTATTACTGGGGTAGGTAAGTATGAGAGTAACATGTTCTAAAAACAAAACACAACATCAACAACAAAAACTTCTTAGGTTAAGTAATATAACAGTATAATAGTTTTGAGCTTTGGATTCAAAGACTAGAATTTATTGTCAATATCAATTCTGTTTCTTATTAAGTGTGCTTGGACAAGTTCTTTAAAGTCTTTATCAATATACTCATTAATCCAAAGATAGCAATAATATCAACCTTGTATGGTTGTCATGAGAATAATAAAATTCATAAATATACCAGGCCATCTAATCTCTGAAACCCGGAAATAATTTGATAGACACCTCTTTTCTAGCTCTTTGTGATCTTTATGTCCTTGGTCCTATTTCCAACAGCCTTCTCCAAAACTTCGTTAGCTCTATACTGGACTATTGCAATTGACTGTAAATATTTTTTTTCCCCTTTTTGGTTTCTCTTCACTATTCAAATGATCATTTCTACTGTTGAAGAAAAATGATTAGCTGTAAGTGTAATTGTAATCATATTTATCCTGCTCAGTGTTTCCCCATTGTCTCACATAGAGTAGTCCATTTTTAATTTGTATTTCAATGATCTCCAAAGTATAGCCTCATTATAAATGTCCAGGTGCTTCTCTTACTGCTTCACTATACATGCCTTAAACTTACATTTGCCTCTACCCCCTGTGATTTTTCAAAGGGACTGCAAAATTCTTTTCATTTTGTGCACTTCTTTAACTTCCATCTTTCCAGAGAGCTCTTAAGCTCTGTTTTTTCACAGCTTTTACCCATTGTTAAATGTAGACTTTCAGAAAACCTTCCCTAAATATCAAAACCCAATGACAACTTTTGTCTTGGTCTTATATTATGGGTGTGTGTGATTTTGATTGCTATATCCATTATCTTGCTTATTTTACCTTAGCCTTCCATACAGAAGTAGATGTTGGATTCCTTAAATTCATAGACTTTCAGGATTAAAGAATACTTTGAAATTATCTAATCTTATGCCAAAGCAAACAATTTCTCAAATATTACCTTTAACCCTGAGTGCAGAGCTATTATGTAATCTAAATATAAAGCCTACCTCTGTATTTTTTCTGAAAAGTATGTCTTTGTCTGTTAAACAGAAAATCAACATTACAACTTTAACCTCACACTTAAGTCCTGTATTATCTTAGGCAGTTTGGGCTGCTATATAAAATTACCACAAACTGGGTGGCTTAAGCAATACTTTTATTTCTCACAGTCTGGAGGCTAGGAAGTCCAAGATCGAGGTGCCAATAATTTTTTTGTCTGCTGAGGGCAATATTTCTGTTTTGCAAATAAGTATTTTCTCATGTTATTTTTCACATAGCCAAGAAAGCAGAGAGCAAGGTCTCCTGTGTCTTCTTCTTTTTTTTTTTTTTTTCCGAGACGGGGTCTCGCTCTGTTGCCCAGGCTGGAGTGCAGTGGTGCTATCTTGGCTCACTGCAAGCTCTGTCTCCTGGGTTCATGCCATTCTCCTGCCTCAGCTTCTGCAGTAGCTGGTACTATAGGCGCCGCCACCACACCTGGCCACTTTTTTTTTTTTTTTTTTTTTGTATTTTTAGTAGAGACAGGGTTTCACTGTGTTAGCCAGGATGGTCTGGATCTCCTGACCTTGTGATCTGCCCACCTCGGCCTCCCAAAGTGCTAGGATTACAAGCGTGAGCCACTGCGCCCGGCCTCCTGTGTCTTTTTATGATACTGATATCATTCATGAGGGCTTCCCCTCATAACCTAATTATCTCCTGAAGACTTCACCTCCTAATACTAACATATTGGGGGTTAATATTTCAACATATAAACTTTGAGGGATTCATATATTTAGTTCATAACACATATTCGTTATATAGTCAGTTAAAACTAAGACATTAAAAAAAATACATATCCATCACTTTACTGGGTACTCAAAACGGTAGGTTTGTAGTGCTCAAGTGGGGAAATACAAAATTTCCCTGTTAAATAAAGACATTGGAGGTTCTTAAAACTAGAAAACAATTTTCAAATCATTTGGATGATAATAAATAAAACATTTATATATGAAGACATTACAACCAAATAAATATGATTTTAAGGATTTTTGAGTTACATATCCTAAAATGTAGCTGTGAAATATTCTACTAACTATGTCAGTGGACTGAAGAGTATAGCGTAGATATAACTCAGGTGTTCAGAAAGGTCTCTCTAAGTTGTCACCACTGGTGCTATAGTGCATCTTTAATGTACTATAGTTACATAATTATTTGAAGGCTTGAGGAAAAATGTAATGGTATGTTGCCCAGTAAGTATTCTAAGCCACCTTAGATCCTTTGGTCTCAAAACTTCACTGTATTTATGACACTCAAACATCCTCTATTTGAAATATTTACTTACTCTGCCTGGTAAAAAACAATAAACCCCAGAATTTGCCATTATTTTTGAAGAGGACAATAATACAAATGCTTGCATTTGAGCTGGCATCGTTTCTGCCTCTGATAAATTCCAAAGGCCCCTGGTTATTAGACCCTTAGAACTTCCCAGGATCCCATTTTCTAGGCCAAATTGCAAAGAAAACTCATAGAAATGGAAAATCATAAAAGAAATCACACTGTGCTGCCAATGTTCAATGGGAAAGAGTTGCTTGGCCAGCAGTCCAAAAACAGGAATGAGCATTTTACAATATTGTATGTGTGCTGTTCCCATCAATTTATATTGAGGACAACTGGAGGAAAAAGAAAAAATAAAATAAAACAGCAACTACAGCAGAGATGCAGGAAGCTAAACATTAAGAGCATGTCTAAAGGGCTGAATTGACTTAAAAGTGAATTTGAAGGACTTTAAATGGGGGCTTATTTAGCTAATATTTTAGAACATTTTAATTAAATCAGTGTGGTTCAGGGTTGAACTCTTCCCTAAGGATCCAAATTGGACACAGATAACTCATCAAATTGACACTCTGATTCTGTTTTCATTAATGAAAGCCTGTATATATGCTTTAACTGTGGCCAGATATTCCTTCTGGAAAAGTGCAATTTGGAGGGCAAAGTAGCATATTTAGTGCTTAAAGGTCTTCCATGTAAAATAATGACTTAATATTTTCTGCAAGACTCTAGAGAACAGATCTAGGACCAATGAACTGCACTCAGTGGGCAATCATGTTCAGCTTACATAGAAGATATACCCTTGGAATTGCTCATTAACTGGAATAATGTGCCTTTCAAGGTCAGAAGCTCCCTGTCAAAGAGATGCTTAGTATGTGTAAAATTTTTCTATTTTTTAATTATGTGAGGACATGTAAAATTATGTCAAAATTTCAATGATCTTAACTATTTTACTTTATATTTGATAGGATTGAGCTAAACGTGTATACTTTTAATGGATGCTAAGAACATTCTAACTTCACAAGCATCAAATACTACCTTAGTAATATTAAATAGATCAATTTTAATGCAATTTTCTTGCATTTATACTAAACAGGGAATACAATTTGAATAATGTCATTTCCATGCATTAATTTCAATATGATTAAGAGAGGATGGAGACCACTATGTTAAAGAAATTGTTTTCATATGTTAATTTGTTATGGTATTGTATGTGTTTTCAATTGTCTTCTGATGCACTCACACACATATATATAATGTAGTGCTTTTATATTAGTGAATATAGTTCATCATGGAGCCCTTTAACAAGAGGGGTTGAAGAAAGCTAAAAAGAATAAACTGAACAATAACAAGGCAATTACTAAAGGTTATTTTTTTCTCCTTGGACTTCAGATTTTTTGTTGTTGTTTCAATAGGAAGTTATTTCCCTTAGAGCTCAATTTCTCCTTTAACTTGGTGATTCTTTGATATCCTAGAACTGGATTCCATTTTTGTGTGACTCTTCATAGAATTGCATAAGATGAGAGAAGCATACATTTGATTTGTCCATGAACTGGTTTTCATCAAAGGAGAATGACCGATGCATTTACTAAAAGAGTCAGAAAAAACTTTGATCAGAAGACCAAAGAAATAGGAAAGATTAAGTATAGACAGACTTGCCTCGAGAGGAAAAATTCTGACTGAAACAGCAGAATTCTCACACTGTTGTGGATACTTTGCCCTGATCAAGTTATTCATTTTTATGTGTTGAAATAGGTAGGGATAGAAAAATGAAAGATTTGAAATGATTAGATATTTTTGGTGAATCTAAGTGAGATAAAAGACAGTGATACTGGTCTAGTCAACAGGAAATAAAACTTAAGAACTGGAGAAATTATGTCTGTTTGTGGCTTCTCCATATTTCCATTACTTGCAATCATTTCTTTGCAACAAGTTTTTCAACAACTTTTCAGCGATTTTTTAAAAATGTAAAAGTTGACTTTATGTTTTCATAGTGATAGCTTCCATCAACAAATCTGGCAGGGAATTGTTTGCATAGGGTAAAACTTAATGAAAGAGAAAAAGAATACTTTTTGAATGGTAGAATCTTTGCAAACAATATAATATTTATTTATTTATTCACTTATTTAACAAGCACTTCCATAGATTATATTTAGAAGCAAACATATTTCAGTATGTCCTGACAAAGATAATGCACGTAATACTCCTAATGTCACTATATGGTAGATATGTTCAGTCCCACTTCATAGACAAGAAAGCAAAGCCACAAAATGATAAATAACTTGCCCAAATTCCAAGGATAATAAATGGTGACACAGGCAATTTGATTCCAGGATCTTACCTCTTAACCACTACACTACGTTCTTTTATAATACTTAAGTACACATTGAATTTTGTTGAAACTTGTTAAAAATCCAAAATAATGTCTACTCACCACCATTGGTTATAGAAATTTCAAGCTACTTCACAAGTTAGCTGTAACTCCACTTGATGTCTCAATGTTGTTGCATTAAAGACATCAACATCAATCATCTTTTTGAAAGATTTTTGTGGAAATCATCCGACATACTGGGATAAAAAGCCAAACTGAGGTAGAAACAGAGGTCGGAATGTGATTTAAAAAAAAATAATTCATAGTGGCCAGGCATGCATGGTGACTCACACCTGTAATCTTAGCACTTTGGCTGAAGCAGGAGGATTGCCTGGATCCAGGAGTTTGAGACTAGCTGGGACAACAGAGTGAGAACCTATCTTTATTAAAAAAATATATATATATATAATTAAATATATATATAATTAAATATATACATATGTAAATATTTCTAGGAACTCACTTTCATAGGTTGTTAGAATTATTGATTCATTCTATCCATACAGACTATAGATTACTTATATTGTTCATGTTTCTGATTTTGCTGTAGGTGGTACAATAAGTAATTCTTGAAGAATTTATAGACTGGCTGGGGAAAACAGCATTAAAATACTTGAAAAGTTAAATACTAACACAAGCAATGGAAAAGTACAGTGTGATTTACAAAACTTATACTTGGTTTGAATTTTCATGAATTTCCTACTGATCTATAGAAATATATTACATGCTATATCCTGTGATATAATATTTAGATGTATTTGTGGAATGGCTTATGTTTGCATTAAATTTATCGTGTACATAAGTAAAAAGTTTCAAATGATTGGAATCACTTTTCTGGGAAAATTCATTAATTTTAGAATGTTATTGTGAAATGTTTCTGTGGTACATAAATGCTGAAGATATAACTTTGAAATTAAATTACCAACATAGTCACTTTCAGTTATCAAATTAAGTTTGAGACTCTGTTTATAATACACTCATTATCTGAACCTGGAATAAATTAAAGAAGAAATATGAGAATTCAGAGAAGTTCAAAGTAAATTTCATGTTTGTATAGAAGCTGAAGATAAACATTTTACATTTTATTTACCTAATTTATGTACTAAAAGTTTCTTACTTGATTTTTATCAAGTAACGTGCATTATTTACTGTATTTTTGTATCTTTTATTAGTTTTCTGTGTCAGCCATAACAAAGTATTACAAACTGGATGGCTTAAAAAACCGAGATTTATGTTCTCATAGTTCTAAAGGCTAGAAGAGCGAGATAGAGGTGTTGTCAGAGTTCAGTTTCTTTTGAGGTCTCTCTCCATGGCTTGCAGATACTTAGGGCGGTGTTCTCACATGATCTTTCTTCTGGTTCTGCACATCCTTGGTTCTGTTTGTACATCCAAATTCCCTCTTAATATAAGGACACCAGTCAGAATAGATTAGGGTTCAACCTAATGGTCTTATTTTTAATTGAATTGCCTCTTTAAAGGTCTTATCTCTAAATACAGTCATATTCGGAGGTTCCAGAAATTAGGGCTTCAACATAGAAATTTTGGAGGGACAAAATTCAGCCCACAACACACATCATATACACTCAAGGCTTTAGTAGATTCTGCTGACAATGCATATAAAAAAGAATACATTAATTGGGCTTTGCATGGTATAATGTAATACAGTGTTACGATATAATGTAACGTAAAACAATCACGTATTAATTGTAAATCACATCAATAATGACTGAGTGAAAGAATTTGTAGGACATAACAGTACCTTGTGGATTTGGGCTATTCTTTCACCTGTGGCATGAAATTGCACATGGTTTTATGGAAAAATGTTTTCCAGCTTGACCTATGGCCACAGAAACCTAAAGAAAAGAAAAAAAATCTTTATTAAAGCAGAACAGGTTTTAGTTATGTATGAAGAAGAGTAACAAGTGAAAAAATACTGGCAGGATTACTGGAGAAGTTTTGCAACTTTTAGCTTACTTTTTGAAAAAAGATTATAACAAAACCTATAACCAGGAGGCTTTACAAGTTTATGAGACTTACAGATTATCTTTTCTACCACTCTTTTAGACACCTTGAACATTCGATTGCATGAATAGTAATGTCTACCAGCAACCCTCTGCATTTGGACATTATCAAGTCAATGTTTGATTAACGCAAAAGCATACCAACCAATATGCCATTTGAGTTTCTTCTGATCTTATCTATTCTTTATATTGCCAGTGAAATAACTAACCTGTTCAGGAAATTTCAAAGACTCAGTTTCCATGGCTGGGGCTGAACTCAACAAAGCACTTAGCTGTCTCTGTTACATATCTCTACTTTATCTCTCATTAACTTAGAAGTCTAATTCCAACTTCTGTCAATTCAACAACTTCAGTGCTGCTGAAGCAAATAATATTTAGTTTGTCTTTTTGTGTTTCTTTTCTGGAACCTCCACATTTTAATGTATTCTTTATTGCCTACACTAATTCTATCTATATTTTAAGATACAGTGCAAACCACATCTTTTTCAACACATTTTCTTAGATTGCATTTATCTGTGGGCATATCCTACTTATAGATCTCATTTTATGATATTTTACTTTGCTGCGCATATTAACACTTATTTTTTACTATTTTATATTACTTAAGAGTTTATCTTAGTTCATCTCTGAATTATTAAAATAGTTCAAAATTTGAAAAAAGTAGACTTCAAAGACACACAGCCAGGAGTTGTGATATTATCCCTGTCAATTGTGAATAATTTTGGGACATTCACTTAATCTCTCTAAACTGAAGTGTCCTCATAGCGACAATTTAGTGAATAATGTCTGTTTCATATGATTGATTAAATATATGTCATCACATAATACCTACCAGGCAGTAGTATTCTTTTCTGTCCTCATTTTTCCATTTCTTTGGCATTCTTCACATTTCCCAGGATTTTATTTAGTTTTTTTATCCAACATGGAGCAGACACTCCAAACTTCTTTTTTTTTTTTTTTTTTTTTGATGTCAATCTACTCTAGGTATTTCATTCAGAAAGGGATTTAATATAGGAAATTTATTATGGAAGTGTTAGAAAGTAGAAGGACTTCAGGAACAAAAATGAATAAAAAGAAGGGCAATGTTACTCAGAGTATAATAAGAGCAAATAGTTATTACTATCCCCTAGGCAGAAGTAAATTAGAAAAAAGCAATATTATCTGTGGATCACTAATTATAAGAAGCTGTCATTGCTCATGGGGCTGAGGTAAGGATGAGAGAATGTGGTATTTCTGGGAAAATAACCCACATTTCTTCTAATGCTGAAGAAATCTCCTACTGACAGTAATTAATCACAGTCGAGATGGAAACGGATCAGGTGAAGTTTAATTTTCAGGCTTTCAGTCTTGTAGGCATAGCACTATGCTTGTCAGCATTTTTAGGTTATTCTATAGCAGCAAACAGCCACAGGATATTTGCGGTTTATAGCTATGCTATATTTCTATCTCTGTTACATGTTGGCAGCTTCAATGTAGTTGAAGGTCTTCTCCATGTGTCTTCTTTTTCAGGCTGCAGGAGTAACATATTTTGGATATACCATTTTCAGTACAGAGTAAAAGAGCAAGACTGCTGATAGAAACACACACAATGGCTTTTAAAGTTTCTGCTTTGAACTGGCCTTTGTCATTTCAACTCACAGTGTGGCTGGTTGAGTTTCATAAAGGAAGGGTATAGAATTTACCCTTTTATGGGAAAAGATGTAAGCTCCTCTCATAAATAGAGGAAAATGTATTTGAGAACAAAAATGTTATGCACCACAATGCATTTTCCTGGTCACAAATACTCACTTGCCTTCTTTCTCCCTCTTTATGCAAAATTCAACACAGTTTTTTTCATGTAAAGGACAGTGTAAAACCTCCATTCAAGCTCAGCAATGAATGACCCAAGGTCTTCATATAGCCTCTACATGGAATACATTTTGGTTAAGAAACTAAAATTTTAAAGGAAAAAAAAATGAGATTCTGTCTTCCAAATGCCCAAGGCTTAGTGATTAAACAGAGATAAAATGGCAATAATAATTACTCCAATTCAGAAGCAGCAAGAACTGAAAACAGATATCAGATACTTGTTAGTAGAAATTATAAAATATTGCTCTTAATATAGCCCCTAACTTTGAAGTAGGGAATGTTCCCAATTGAGCCTTAGTTCTAGTTCATGAGAGTTGCTTCTTCCTTGATTCTTGACTCTTGACTCCACTCTCTGAAAAATTCTTCCTTTTCCATTATCCTTCCTGGTCATATACAAAGAGGACATTAAATTACATGACTTCTTTAGAACCTGAGAGATTTTTTCCCACCTTCATTCTGCCATGGAAATTTGACAGCCCAAAGTTTATTGTACACCTTGAACAGCCACAATATCTTTTAATTTAAGCTAGTAGCTTTTTTGGCAGTGCAACTCACTCAAAAACTCTGCCAACAAAGTATTTATTTGATTCTAGTCAGGGTAATTGTGCTAATAGCTTGACTCACAATTCTTTCTGAGCTATGCTTCTCCCTCTAAACTGAGATACAGGCCATTTGAGTTGGCCAGTTGTTAGGGGAGAACACCATACCATCAGTCTCTTTATCCTGAGACATTTTGTCCATTGAAAAGAATTTCTAGGGTAAATTAAGGGTGCTACGCTTGTTTTATTAAACAAAGGTTACTGATAGTTACCTACTGGATTTGGTCTTTGCTCTGTGGCTGAACCTTAATTTATTTTTTAGCTATTCCATCCCTCACCTTTTAAGTCCTAAAATTTCTGGAGTCTCCCTTCTCCATCTTCAGCCAACACTTTTCTAAGCCAAATTAGTTCCTGTAGCAGTTGGTCAAATGTAGCTAATGTCAAAGAAAAATATCACCAGATGGAGTTAAACAGGCAAGAATATATCAGTTGAGGCTATTGCAATAGGGAGAGATACTGAACACAACTCAGCTGGAAAACAGGCAGGAGAATTTTTAAACACTAGGGTAAGTGGAAGAGTTTTGGAAGACATTGTTGGGAGGTTGGTCAATGTAATTAAGACTACTGTGTTTGCTCATTGGCACCTATATTCCTATAGAGACTGGGAAACAGGAGCTGTATGTTTGTTGATGATTGCACATGTCAAAAGAATGGCTTCCAGGTCCTTGAAAAAGAGGTTCCTGGGCCATAGAAGATGTGCATCACAAAGGGGCAGAGAAAGAATGTACAATTGCAAGTCTTCTAAAGTAAATGCTTTAAGAGAAGGAAGGTCAGGAACTTATAGTCAGAAAGAAACCTATCTAAAGTTTAGTCAAGATTAGGGGAATGTTAAGGCTGTCTTGGTCACTAAAAACAATTGTCTCCTCAGTAACATTACTTATTCCAACCTTCATGTGATGAAATCTACAACACATTCAGCACATTATTTGCCTTACAATCATCATAGGTAAAAATTTTACAAAATATTTTGCATCTTTAACTCATGATGTGGCTGCTTTTTAAAGATTCAATAACAGTTCTGAACTTACCTCCTCCCCTAGCCCCAAAAGCCAGTGTCACATATTTTAGAGGGATATTATGAAAAAATCTCATTTCAGTGTCAATTTTATAAGGTTTTACTTCAGTTACCACCTGAACATCTCCATGGCTTATACACTGTTTTATTTCTCACTCATATTGCATATTGAAGCTAAATGTTGCATGTGTCTTCTTTCCATAGAGCTTCTATTCTGGAACTTGATATGAAAGAACAGGCTGTATTTGAGACACACTATTCTCATGGCAGATGATGAAAACAAGAGTAAGCAATAATATATAACAGCTAGTTAAACTACTGCTTGGAATTTACTTGCATCACTTCTGCGCACATTTTATTGACCAGAGAAAGTCAAATGGTCACACAGCTGACAATGGAGTCATGAAATAAATTCCTGCCATAGGATGGCCCCACAAGTCACATGGTCAAGAGAACGATGCAAATTTCTCTTACGGAGTAGGAGGCTCCTCTTCAGAGACTTTCAGAACTAAAATGCAACCAATTATAAGAGCACACTGTTGGAAGGGGCATGAGGGCCTGAGAACCAACAGATGATAACCTGTATTTGATTTTTAAAACTTTGTACCAAATTTGTCTTACCAATATTGATTGCTTTGCAGATTGCTTCTGCAAAACTCCATGTGATTTTGTAATTGGAAAACATTTGGGAAATCAATTTTTCAGTGAGTAGTTTAATGTGTAAGTTCATTTGAGTGAGGTCTTGGTCAAGTGGCAGTCAGTTGAATGAACTGGAAAAGATCGCAGAATAGTATTTGGCTCAAGCCAATTCATTTTATTTTACTGCTTTCATCTCTGGGTTCATAAATATTCATGACATTTGAACATGGAAGGGAAATAGGTTCTACACAGCTTGTTTTATAAAGTGGTACTTCCAAATTTTTTCAAATAAAAACAGACAAAAGATGCAATTGCATTTAGATCCATGCCAGTTATTTCAACAGAAAAAAAATTAAGAGAATGTAAGATTATACTTCACTTAGGTTTAAAGAAAATAAGAGAAAAATAACCTCTCTATGATGTCAATTTCAAGCTACTCTCACACAAATCCCAATATCAAAATTGGGTTAAGCTTCACCATTGGGGTAGTGGAATTGTGGCAGACTACGTTAGATGGTAAGGTGCTGGTCAAAGGCCAAAAATAAAGGTGCACTATTTTTCTAGTCTGTATCTAGAGCTGTCTGAATTAGGAAAGTGATTAGAGTCACCACTCTGGGGAGTTGTGCCACAGTCATTGAGAAATAGAGGAAAAGCAAAATAGATCACCAAAGAAGGTAGTCACAGAAAGCAAGAGATCTAGTAGGAATTCGGGGTTCAAAGATGGTAAAAGTCACAATTTGGAAACAATAGGTTGCAATAGTAATTTTACAATTTTACAGTGTTTGTATGGATTCACTGATGTGATTTTCTAAGTCACCTGTTTGAAAATGACACATTGAGTTCTTCAATAAACCTCGACTCTCAGCCTCATATAACATACTCAACAGCTAAAATGCGGTTCATATTTTGAGGTCTATCTCAGAATAGCAGAGCGTATATTTAGCCTATTTCCCTACTGGTGGTTTTTAAAGTATTAAAATAGTTTTTAAATATTGAAATGTTTTTATGCTAGTTGGTAAATCGTCACTAGCTGAACTGCTTGAACATCCCTTCCTTTCTGGATTTTTGCAGCCCCTCCCTCAGGTTTCTCAGTCATTGTCGTGATAGACTAAAGAATGAATGCTTGACACGGGGCACGATGTGGGGACATCCAAGCTTCTGCTTTGGAGCTATGGCTGGTTGTTATTATTTTATTATCAATCTCTTCTATTGATGTCTGTAATGTACTATGTAGTGATTATTAAGTTTGGTCCCTTCAAATCATAAGTCACAATCACTCCTTATATCTGTCATGCTCACTAGTCATATTTTAAAAAAACACACATTTAAAACACTGTTAGAGTCTTACTGATTTATGTACATATGATACGTATGTAGCTCCTGTAGGACTGTGCATTTTTTAGGACAGCATTCATAAGTGATTTGCCTTTTAGTTTTCTCATGGGTTATACAATACTGATCACTTATCTGCTTATTAAATATTTTCTGGTTGAAAAATGAATTCCAAATATTGATAACTGGTGACATTGTTGCTTTAGCTACTTAGCTGAAAGGCTGCTCACAATATCCTTAATTTGTTAATATAAATGCCATGATGTAAATCATTTCAAAAAAGGAGAGAATAATCACAAATAAAAAAACTAGACAAATGCAATGCATCTTTTTACAAAATAGGCTAGCTAGTTCTAGAAGTTGGTTGCCATCCCTTGAAGTTAAATGGCAGTCAGTTAGTGAACAGAAAATTTGTGTATATGGAGAACCCCTACATCAAATATTCCATTATTTGAAAAATATAAATATTTTTACTGCCTATTGAGGTGTTCATTCTTTTAGAAAAGAAGAAAATCTTTGTATTATATCATGAGGAATATTTATTATTTATTGTTATACATAAACTTTAAAATTCTAACCAAATATTCATTGTTATATTATCATAATTATAGTAGAACTATTTCTGTATAGTATATAGTTGTGGGTATACCAATTCTATGCATAGTAAAATTAAGTATATTGGTGCAAAAAATAATATTTTGCTTCTTGTACATAAGTCTTAGTCATATTTACTTTTTAAAATATTGGCATTGCAAATTTTGCAGTCCCTTTTGTAAAGAACTATCCTGGAAGGAATTGTCAGACACTTACATGCTGCATTTGCTGGTTAGTAGTGGTTGGAAAATCATTCTTCTTGGCAGGGAAGCTAGAGGGAAATAAAAAATTAGTATGTTTGAATATTTTAACATGCCCCAAACCTCTGTGTTTTTTCACTCTTTCTCTCCCTGTCTCTTTTTATCCCTCTTTTACTTTCACTTTCTCTTTAACAGAGAAATATAGGGATAAACATTATATCATGTGTGCGTTATACATTAATGATTGCCACATGAAGATCCCCCCACACACATATGTAAAACAAACAAACAAAACCATTGTTTGCACACACTTGAAAACAATAAGGAAGCTACAAACATCCTAAGAGTTCTTAGTCATACTATGAATTGTTTATGGGTTGAGCAATTGCTTCATCTGAATTTTTTTTCTCTGAAAATATATTGGTTTTAAGCTATTTGCTTATTTTGTATTGGGTGTCTAATAATAATAATATAGTAAACATTTATTTAGAACTTACCAAATGCCATACTATCAGCATATTTTATCTTTATGATAATCTTATCACACAATGAGCCATAATTATCCTCATTCTATAGATGAGGACAATTAAAGGAAGAGTTTGAGCGATTTGCTAAAGGTCTTACAGCTGAGAAGGGGCAGCACTGTGATTTAGAGCCACAAATTTTCAGCTCTAGAGTCCATGATTTTCAGAGCTACAATATACTTCTTTTTCCATGAACATGCTAAGTTTACTCTGGACACAAATTAACCCTCTTGTGTAGAAAGCTTTTTTCATAGTGCTCTGGTGTCTGAGCAGTAGCTACATTAAACTCCAGGTCTCCTTGACTTCTTCTTCTTTTTTTCCCCGTAGAGAAAGGATCTCGCTATGTTGCCCAGGCTGGTCTCAAACTCTTGGTCTCAAGTGATCTTCCCACCTTGGCTTCCCAAAGTACTGAATTGCAGGCGTGAGCCACTGTACAAGACCTCCTTGACCTCTTCAGTCTGATTTGTTATACTTCTGTGTCAACCCCGCTAAAACTAAACTTTACACTAGCGGAGACTGCGCTCAACAGTTTCTCAAACAGTATTATAATTTTATTGTTGCTTGGTGAGAATTGACCTTATCTTCCTTCTACTTAATTGCAAACTCTTTGAAGAAAAGAATGACATATCTTATTACTCACCACGGCTTTCATTAAAGTGCCAATAGCATAGTTAATGCCTCATACTTACTGAATGATTGCAGAAGCATGAACTCGGGAGGCTGAGGCAGGAGAATCGTTTGAACCCAGAAGGCGGAGGTTGCAGTAAGCTGAGATCGTGCCACTGCACTCCAGCCTGGAGACAGAGTGAGACTTCGTCTCAAAACAAATAACAAAAACAAAAACAAAACAAACAAACAAACAAACAAAAAAAAGAAGCATGAACTCATGGACACAATTATCAAATCCAGGCCCACAAAACCTAAAATATTCACCAGCGAGTCTTTTAAAGAAAGTCTGCTGCCCCTTATGCTAAAAAGTAAGTTAAATCTTTTATTAGCTGAAGTTTCTCAAATTGTCACCTACCATGTGTTCTCTGTCTCTTTGTTCTAGACTACATGTAGATTTTTGTCTTTATACTGTTTTCCTCCCATTTCTCACATGTATGTTTTATCCAGAGGCACAATTAGCTCAATAAATAGACCTATTACCTTGGGGCAGGGGGAGGGTGCAGAGCTACATGTGTTGGGACCATTGAGAAGAACTGGAACACCTAGGAAACATAAAGTAAAAGACCCCAGGATTAGCTTTTTTGGGTAAAAAAGAGTTTCAGGTTTTATGCTTATGTTTTAAAGAGATGAGTAGAAATATTAGAAAAACGTACAAAGCTAAAATATATATTTCTATTGTGTGGGAGTGAACTCAGAAGATGAAGAGAAAAAGGAATATCTATTTTCCCATTAAATGTCAGTGAATCCTACTAAAAGGCAAATCATCCTATCAAATGGTTACTTCAAAGATTTCAATAATCCTGAATAAACTAGTATTGACTGAATATCAAAAGAATTTTGAGCCTTGACATAGATTAACTAAGACTTTCAGGAGACTTGAAGACTGATCTTTACTTAAACATTTTCCCTGAACATAACTGTAAGTGACGAAGTTTAGTAATTGGGGTTTAGAGGCAATTATTGCTATAAAAAGGTATTGTCAGTGGGAAAAGAAACTCTGGACAATGAAATAACGTCATTATTTCATGAGCTTATCTATGAACCTTCACAATATACATTGAGATCGGTCCAAATTTAATGTCAAAACCATATATTTATTTATATCATTGTGGATTGTTTTTATATAAATTATAAATAAAATAAGAGGGTAAAAATAGAAATTTTCAAATCATGGGTCTTCTTTAGGTATATACAGAGTGAAAAGTCTACTTTTCAGAACACATAAAATACTTATAAAATGGTTTAATCAGAGAGCTGTGGCTTTCTGTTGATTTTTATTTTTTCTCATGATGTATCACTTAAACATCATCAATTGTATATATAATCCAACTTTTTAAACATATTACTACACGTTCTATATTATTACCATTTTCTTCGTAGGTAAGCCGCATCATTCTATTTTCCTGGGACTAGGTTTATTTTTAAAATTAACATCTCATGGTATCTTTATCATAACATTTGGGCCCATTTGCTTTTCTTCTACTTCTGTGGCTACATAGCAGATAATTCAGGAAAAGGCAGAAAGAATAATAAATCTCTAAAAGGCATATTTGACCCAAATGTTAATGCTCAGATATTAATGATGACAACAACAAATATGTATACTTAGCCTTCCACCAATGGTATACAAACCTTTATATCAGATATTTTACAAATTATTTTGCTATGAACCAAACGTACATTGATATATTATTCTATAGAAATTACTCATCTACCCATAAAGGGAATTTGTAAAAATTCTTATTCATTAGATTGTAAGGTGTGTTATGCTTTTTCAAGGGCATTATATTTTTATCTTCCTTGGAACTGATAATGTAATTAAGCAATTTATCTGTTATTGATCCAGTTATTAATTATTATGCCACCCTTATATAAATATATTTCACCTAATACACTCATATATTTTATAACATTTGACCAGGGAGGAAAATAGAAGGAAGCAGTTTATAAACTTGAAAGAAAGCCAAATAATAAAAGGGTTCATACAATACTTTTGTCTATGTATATTTTTATTAAATTATAGAATGTACAGAAACATGGTCTGCTCTAAATTCTCCATGAGTTTATTGCATATTCTACATATGCAATCTTGCAACCCTATTGATTACTGTACAAACTGAAAACGCTAAAACTATTAAAACGTTATCTAACTTTACTTCAGTGGCAGAATATTCCATGAGCCATGCATTTGTTAATGATAACTCATTATCTTTAGTGTTAAAGTAAGATGGCTTCTTAGAAGGAATTTTGTCTGCTGATCCATAGTGAAAGCAAAATAAATATTTTTCTTTGTTTTAAAGTTGATTGCCTCTAGAGATTTATAATGACATGTCTAGAAGCCATCACTTCCTCTCCTGAGCCACAGTTTGCACTGTACTTGATTCAACATTTCACTAATTCCTTTACATTAAAAAAATGTAATATTTAATTTTTTTTCAAAGTTGTTTTTGTTTGTTTGTTTGTTTGTTTTGCGATGGACTCTGTCATCCGGGCTGGGGGGCAGTGGTGCGATCTCGGCTCATTGCAACCCCCACCTCCAGGGATCAAGTGATTCTCCTGCATCAGCCTCCAGAGTAGCTGGGATTACAGACGTGCACCACCACCCCTGGCTAATTTTGTATTTTTAGTAGAGATGGGGTTTCTACATGTTGCCAGGCTGGTCTCGAACTCCTGGCCTCATGTGATCCACCGGCCTCAGCCTCCCAAAGTGCTGGGATTACAGGCGTGAGACACCACACCAGCTTTTTTTAAACATTTTTGATCTATGGTTGGTTGAATCTGTGGATGTGAAACCCACAAATACAGAGGGCCAACTGTACCTATTAATGTATTCTTCATTTTTTATTCATCTCTTAGCTGGGCTATGTCTTTTTTTTTTTTTTTTTTTTCCTTTTACAGACAGGATCTCACTCTGTCATTCAGCTAGAGGTCAGTGGTGTGATCAGAGCTCACTGCAGCTTTGGACTCCTGGGCTCAAGTCATCCTCCTGCCTCAGCCTCCCAAGTAGCTGAGACTACAGGCTAGTGACACCACATCTAGCTGCTTTTTTATTTTTTGTAGAGACGGAGGTCTTCATATGTTGCTCAGGCTTGTCTCAAACTCCTGGCCTCAAGCAATCCTCCTGCCTAGGCCTCCCAAAGTGCTGGGATTATAGGTGTGAGCCACTTTTCTCTGCCTTGAATTTTTTTTCAAGAAAAAAACATAGGTGGCTTTATTAGCTAATCTCTTCACAAATGAAGTTGATTGGGAACTAAAATTAATACGTTGCAAACATTTTCCAACCTTAAACTCCTTAAATGTCAGTCTTTAGATGTCTTCTACATTTAATGTCCCAAAGAAAAAGACTAGTTAGGTTTTCTTCGTGTTTTGGTAACCTATTTTGTATATTTTTTTAGCAGTTTTTCTTGGAGGTTTTGTTTGACTCAAAATGATCGAGAAAACATTCACTAGTATAGTAGGGTGGTGATTTCTTTTCAATAACTTTTCTTGGTGGACTCTGAATCCTTAATTTACAACTTCAGTCTTTCTTGTATTGTAATGTGTTTGAATACTTCCTCTGTTCAATTTTTCCAGGTTCTTTGGACATCATTGGGTTGCATTCTTCTAGTCACCTTCCTCTAGTCACAGTGGCTTGACCACACTAGATGTGGTATAATTTATTTTGGTTGAATTTTATAAAAAGCTGAGGTAAAAGCCATACAAATGCAGTAATAGGTGAGGAATAAATAAGTGAGAAGAACAGGTTGATACTGTAATTAAATTGTATTCTGAAAAAGAGAAAATAAGCTAAAACAATTTCTAAAGCAACATGTAAGTCACTATCACAACAATCTTGCAAAGTAAACCTTGTCTCATATAATTTTTTCAATCTCCAAAGCATAATACTTGATGTCTGGAAACATATACTATAAAATATTAAATTAGTCAATGCTGCAAATATATTTGAACCCTTACAGTGTTAAAAATCCCATGGAAATATGTGCCATGGATGTGAAATATTTAAGCCCCACAGGAGATTAAGGTGTAGTGGGAAAAGGTTAATGTGTAGCAGAGCATGATGAGGGAAACATAGAAATAACCATGAGTTAGGGGTAACAAGTTTCTTAGGTGAGTCATAGAGAAAGCTTTAAGGCTATTTAGAGATGGAATAGATTGTATCCCACCAAGAGAATGGAGAAAGGCTTTGTAATGGAGTGGTTATTACTAAAATTCTCTGTGCCTCAGTTCCCCATTTGTAAAATGAATATAATAATGGTACCTTCCTCAAACAGGGTCATAAGTGTTAAATTAACTGATAAACATAAAGGTTTTAGAGGAGCCCTTTGGCACATAGTATGCGCTCAACCAAAGTTAACTAACGTCATCATGACTGCTACTAATAGTATTATTTGAGAAGGAACTTGACAGGTACAGTAGAATATTCTAGGTTTAGAGACAAGCATGGAAAAATAAAAGATTCAGAAAACCAAGTGTATTTTTAGAAACTGCAAAGAGCATAGTTTGAGTAGAACATAAACTGAGGGAATGTAAGAAAAAGTCTTGTTTGAAAACAATGCAGGTTTTTGTTTGTTTGTTTGTTTGTTTGTTTTTCTCTGAAACAGAGATATTTGTTCTTGTTGCCCAGGCTGGAGTGCAGTGGTCTGATCCTGGCTCACTGCAAACTCTGCCTCTCAGGTTCAAGTGATTCTCCTCCCTCAGCCTCCCGAGTAGCTGGGATTACAGGCATACACAGCCATGCCCAACTAATTTTTTGTATTTTTAGTGGAGACGGGGTTTCACCATCTTGGTGAGGCTGGTCTCGAACTCTCGACCTCAGGTGATCCACCCACCTCAGCCTCCCAAAGTGCTGGGATTACAGGCGTGAGCCACCGCACCCAGCAACAATGCAGGTTTTAAAAATTATGTTTATTTTAGGTTATCAGAGAACTGTGAATGTTTATATTCTTTGATTGAGGCCCTTCATTTCCTCTATTACAGTGCTTCTCAAGCTTAAGTGTGCACACCCATCACTAAGGGATCTGGTCAGATTCTGACTCAGGAAATCCTTGGTGAGGCCAGAAATTCTACATTTCTGACATCTTCCCAGATGATGTCTATGTTGCTGTTCGAAATGCCACCCTTTGAACCTGCTTACTTATTTGTCTATAAGTCCCCACTGAAATCGCTGTGAGCACAGACTCTATGTCTTGTTCATTATTGTATCTTTAGTGCCCAACACAGTGCTCAGCACACAGTAAGTGTTCAATAAATGTTTAGTGAATGACTTAATAAATGACTGGGACAATTAATACAAAACATAAAGGTATAAAATTTTTTTAAAAATTTTATTTGTATAATCTTAAAGGGTACAAGTGTAGTTTTGTTACATGGATCTGTTGGATAGTGTTGAAGTCAGAGCTTTTAGTCTAACCATCACCCAAATAAAGTACAATGTACATATTAAGTAATTTTTCATTGTCCATCCCCCTCCCACCCACCCACCATTCCAAGTCTCCAATGTCTTTCATTCCACACTCTATGCCCATGTGTACAGATTATTTAGCTCCCACTTATAACTGAGAATATGCAGGACTTGATTTTCTGTTTCTGAGTTGTTTCACTTGAGATAATGGCCTCCGGTTCCATCCATGTTGCTGCAAATGCATGATTTCATTCTTCTTTACGGTGAAAAGTATTCCATTGTGTATATATGCCACATTTTTCTTATCGGATCATCTGTTAATGGACACAGGTTGATTCCATATCTTTGCTACTGTGAACGGTGCTGCGATACACATACAAGTGCAGGTATCTTTTTTATACCATTGTGTCAATTTCTTCTCCTTTGGGTAGTTAGATACAAGTGAAAGGGGAAATGATCAGTGGAATGTCTGTCCTGGGGATGAAGAAGTAGAAGATGATTGAGAATATAGATAGTGTAGATTATGTTTGGCCACTGTTGGGAGAAAAGCTGAGTGTTGGGAGAGAAACGGAGGCAAGGCTTGGAACATGTGCAGGGTCCAGGGTCTCAAACCCCTCATGGCCTCTGAAATGTGTCTAGACTTGCTGGCTCCTTGCTTCTAGCACTCCCATTATCTCAAGTAGCTATATGTTTCAAAGAAAATGCTAAACGGTCACAGCTGTAGCTCATTCACTTGATACACTGCTTCCTTTCAACCCCCACATCCTCACCACTGTTTCTTTGTTTGAGCACCAATAAATAGCATGTGTGCCCAGAGCTCAGGGCCTTCACAGCCTCCATACTAGCATTGGCCCCCGGTCCCATTTTCTCTCTTAACTTGTCTTTTCTCATTCCTTTGACTCCAACTGACTTTGTAGCCCCACGGCCTGGTATTGGGTCTGATCACCCCAACAGCCACAAAAAGGAAAAAAATACCAATGAAAATAATCTTTTTGTAGAAAAAGGGGAAAAATATATAAGGTAACTATGTTGAAACAGAAAGAAGAAAATAGAAGTCCCATTGAATGTTCTGTAACAGCACAAAAATTAAACTTTACAGATGCTTACCACCTAGCCTCACCAGCAATGCAAACATGCTGAAACATCTTGAGTTTTGTGGAGTAACTTGAGGATGCTAATCTCAGCCTAGTCAATAAGCAGTGTTGAGATTTTGTTTTTAAAGTACAAATTCTTGAACACTCCAAATTTATGGAGTCCACTGATGGCTTTAGTTGAAGGCCCCTGGAATCACTATTTAAATAATTATACAATCATCACACAGCCGATACTTAGCAGAGCAGAAACTCAAAGCTATTATAAATGAATATTTTAATTATTTTATATTTTGCCTCACTGTCTTAGAAACAGTGTTTAGAATTTAACTAGTACTATTGCTAATACGCTATTGATGTGGTTCTATAAACTAAGTTTTCAAACCTCATAATATTAATCCAGGAAAAATTTAAGAATTACTTAGGGGGGGTTACTGGAACCAGAAATACTTTTTAAAAAGTTGATTCTAAAACTGATGGCTTTTGTTTGCATTTTCTTTACATATGAAGGCTGATCTTTGTTCATTGCTCACAAAAAAGTATAATTTATGCACCTCGTAAGGTATTTTGAACAGTGAAAGCCCATTTGATAGTGGAAAGGATACTGTATTCAAACAAATGATTTGTCTTGTTAGAATGATATCTCAATTGCATAAAACTACCCTAATATTTGAACTTAAATCCTCCTAAATTTAGAGACAGTGACCTAATCAATGTCTGTTTCCTTAACCGAGGGTGACAGTGATAGTCCTACATTGATACATTCCTAGTTCTGAAGGTATTTCATGGTATTTCTAGTAGTGCTTAAAATAATCTTGGAAGAAAATAGATTGTGAAAAATCATATATTTCCTGTTGATTTAGTTGAACTAACAAATTTCTCTTTTGAAGAAAATGCCATGGCCAGGCGTGGTGGCTTACACCTGCCTGTAATTTACCCAGCACTTTGGGAGGCCGAGGCGGGTGGAAGACTTCAGGTCAGAGAGTTTGAGACCAGCCTGGCTGGCTAACATGGCAAAACCCCCTCTCTAGTGAAAATACAAAAATTAGCTGGGTATGGTGGCACACGCCTGTAATCCCAGCTGTGCATGCCTGTAATCCCAGCTACTCAAAAGGCTGAGGCAGGAGAATCGCTTGAGGCCTAAGACAGAGGTTGCAGTGAGGCCAGATCGTGCCACTGCACTCCAGCCTGGGTGACAGAGGGAGACTTCATCTCAAAAAATAAAAAATTCAGGATAATATTTAGATACTGGCTCAATTAAAATGTTTTAAAGAAGAGGAATTGAGAAATAGTGTAGGCTGTAAAATTAAAAGTTACAATGTTTGAATTAATTGATTAATGTTTTATCTTTTTAGCTTTTCCCACAAAAGGAAGCGTAATTTCTTAAAACACAGATGTTATATCGGATTAGTTGTGTTTTTCTTTTTTGCTTCGGTGAAAGAACTAAATTAGTACTAAAATTTAAGATTCTTTTTTCATTACCAACATAAAACATTAGATTAAGAAAATATATTTAACTAAAAACACTGGCCTTGCCAATGGAGTTATCACTGTTGAAAATTTTCTTTTTCTGTTTTCTATTCTTTATATCAAAAATTCATCAATTTTTACTATGTATTACTTAACGAGAATATTTTTAAATTGTGAATACTGCTATTTCTGATATTTCATTAAGAGCTTTCATATTGCATCAGAAAGAATATAATTTTGTATTAGAACCTGTTTCTGATGTGTCATTTTATTTCAGAGTGACTGTTCAAATTTAACTCCATGGAATTCAGTTCAGAAAGTAGCTAATTTAAAAAAAAATTCAATTACTACAAGTATAAAAATACGTTTACAAGAATCAGTAAATTCTGATTCTGCTGAGAGTAAAGAAAAAAATAGAAAAAGAAATCCCAATAAGACAAAAAATAAAAATAACAAAGGAATGAGAAAAAAAAAAGAATCAGTAGAGTCAATGATAGGTCATTTTAATTGAAGCAATAAATTATTCAACTTTAGTCTTGTTATCACCGAATGTTTCATAAAAATCATACAATTGCTGTCATTTACATTTTTTAGGCAAATATTTCGTTGCCAAACTTCCTGTTCACGTTATTTAAATATTTTATTTGAATTTGTTGAGTGCTATTTTGGGTTCAGTTTTTCCAAGGAGAATTACTTGAATTATTAGTGAGGTGATCCATGTTGACAATCCACCTTAAAATATATTTAATGTATTATATGATAGCAATCATTTAATTAATATTTAGTTTTTTTTTCATTATATCCTCTGCACGCTCAGCAACTTCGATTGATAATACACAAGACCAGGTTTTAACCCACTGTCAATGTTTTCTTAATATAAGGAGACTAGTAATGAGTGGTAATGTTTTCATTATTGTTTAGTGAAAGATTTTCAATCATTGCATTAGTTTACTAGGGCCATAACAAAATACCACAGATTGGGTGGTTTAAACAGCAGAAATGTATTTTCTCACAGTTTTTCTGGAGGATAGACTTCCAAGATCAAGGTATTGGCAAGTTTGTTTTCTTTTGAGACCTCACTCCCTGGCTTGCAGATGGCCATGTTCTCATATGGGCTTTCCCCTGAGTATGAACCTGTCTGTGTCCTAATCTCTTCTTGTAAGGACAACAGTCATATTGCGTTAGGGCACACCCATCTGGCCTTATTTACCTTAATACCTCTTTATAGGCCCTGTCTCTAAATACAATCACATTCTTAGGTCTTGGGTTTAGATCTTCAACATATGGATTTGCATGTGAGAGGCGAGGAGCAAGTCAGTCCATCACAATCATTCATAAGAGAGTCTAGTCTTCTACTTCTAAAAGATTTACAAAATCAAACAACCTTTATATGCCCAAGTGGTATTGATTTAATGGTTTTGATAGTGCCAGCAGATGATTCTGAAAAGGCTTTTCCAATTTTGCAAAAACAACCTGAGCATATTGTATAAGGCTACTCATTGAATCTTATCTGGTATTAATGGCTGTATTTCTTCCATGACAGTAGAATTAAAGGGCACATATCCAATCTTTAAGGGAACAGAGTGTTGAGACTACGGCTAAATGAGATTTAAGTTGCTAAGTAGAATAACATGAAAAAATAAAGCATTTACAATTTAATTTAAAATTAGCATTGCTTTACGTGTTAATAGGTAATTATTTCTCTTTTAGTGATACCATTTAGATCTGTTCCATTTTTAAAGAAAATTCTATTTCATAAGCCCCTTTGCTCTTTCTCTTCTTTAACAAGTTATAGTTCTAGAAAAGGAGAAATTATTTTGAAAATTGTATATTTTAGTTATTACAGTAATGTTTCAGGTTGATATACATACAAATGTTCTTTTTTTTTAACCCCATGTTTTTGTTTTCTTGGAGAAAACTAGTTTTTTTGAGGGAATTGAGAAAGAACTGCCTAACAATAACACTGAGGTTCTAGTAATAAAAACTGGAGTTGATTTAATAATTTTTAAAATTTGTTTTTAATTAAAGAAGGAGCATAATTTCCACTGTGCTTGATTACAATGCTACTAAAAATTGTGGTCTGAAGTTTATCCTGCCCCTGAAATTTGTGCAGGTCAGCTTAGCAACAAGAGAAGTACAGGAATTGAGAGTGAAGAGGAAACATTGAGTGCCATTATAACACTTGAATAGGTTAATATTGTCTGTCATTTCTAAGGGTAAAAATTTGCCGAACTGTATTTTGAATTCTTTGTTTTAATGTTATTTTGCAGGCAATATTCTTTGGATTTCACAAAATTGCAGATTTACAAAGCAATACAGATTTACAAAGCAATACAAATTTAAAATGAAGCAAAACAAAACAAAAAATATGACCTTCAACACTGAGCATGTGAGCAGCACTGATCTATGGAGTAGGGGCAAGAGCTCTAGATGTGATTCTGGCTGACCTTGGTTGGAGCCTGCCTCTGTCACTTAAAAGCTATTGGGACTTTGGGGAAATTACTTACAATTTCTGAGCTTTGGGCAAATTACTTACAATTGCTCAGCTTTCAAATGATGATCATAACAAAATATTGGCATTTTGTCTCATACAGCACATTGGATCTAAACCAGGGCATTTCTGTCTCAGCACTGTTGATATTTTTGGACAGATATTTCTTTAACACCCGTGTTAACAAGAGCTTGTGCGGGGCATGGTGGGATATTCAGCAGTGTGCCTAGTTTTGATCCACTAGATGTCAGTAAGCATCCCTTGAATCTTGACAATTGAGATGGCTCCAGACATTGCCAAATGTCCTGAAGGGGGTGGGGATAAATTGTTCCTCGTTGAAAACCACTGTTCTAATCTCACCACATAAGGAAAAACCTCACATATGGTTAAGTAAACTTTCATAAAATTTTAAGAAATGTTGACATTGTTAACAAAGCCAACATACTGTATCTTAATAATTCCAACAGTCATTTTTTCTTGTAGCATTAATTTGATGGATTACATGTTCTCTTTCCTTTATAATTTTAAAAACATTTTAATTGCTGTGTTTTTAATATATGTACGATATGAAATGTTGGCTTACATTTATTGGCATGTTATATATATACATATGCATAAATACACATTCATGTATGTATATATGTATACATATACCCACATACATTTGTACACAAATACCAATTCATATACCTAAAAACACCTACCGATATATTATTGTATAACATAGAGTAGTATATTATAATCACATATCTCTATCACTTAAAATATAATCACATATAAAACACATATGTTACATAATATATGATTTGCTGAGGAAACAATAGATTCACTTTTCTAATCACATTTTTACTGTAGAGTTGTAGTATTCAACGCAGTAGCCACTAACCACATGTCTGGTACTTAAAATGTCTCTAGTTTGAATTGAAATGTGTTGTATATATAAAATAGACAGTGGATTTTGAAGACTTAGTAAAAAAAGTAAACTGAGTCAGTTTTATATCAGTTACAAAGTGAAATAACATCTGGGTTACTTGGAGTAAATAAGATATATAATTAATTTTACCTATTCTCTTTTGCCTCTGTTAATGTGACTATCTGAAAATGTAAGATTACATATGTGTTCTGTGTCGGTATCTAACATTATATTTGTATTGGACAGCACTACTGTACAATTTATACTCTGATTAAAATGTTGACCTTTCATATAATCTATTTTGCTGTAATTTTTTTCTCTTTTTTCTTTTGAATTCTTTACAATAACATGTAATAAGTTATGTTAAAGGCATATGTCGCAATACTTTCTCTCAGGGTGAGATTTATTTAAATCAATATGTTCATGATACCTACAAATAATAAAATATTAGTAAATATTCATTTCTATTATCATTATTGTTACTATTGTTGCTGTTATGTGTTTAGAAGTTTAGTTTCTCAGTACTTAAACCAGGGAAGGAAAAAGGAGAAAAACATTTTGAGTTCAAATTCTTCTCGTAGTTCACATTTATAAGCCAGCTGTTAATATTTTACATTTCTAAATAAGATGAGAATTGATGACCTGAATACAGGCTCTTTGAGTACACCGTTCTCCATTAATTTTTATGCCCCTTAATCTCATCTTTTTAGCCCCACAGCGTTCATATGGAGGTACTCAGTACATTTTTATTGAGTGTTTTCTGTTGTCTTCAGAAAAAATATGGAATTAAAATATTGATTATATCTTCTGAAGTTTTGATTAATTTATTTAATCAATTTGTATTAATGGTAATAATTTTATTAAAAATTTATTAGAAAAAATTTTTCAACTCAATAGTGTAAGTAAATATACAATCTTTAAAAAATAAAGATATTCTTTTGTGAATTGAGTAAACTGATCAAAATAATTATAAAAGATATATGTGGACAAAGATATGAGTGGTTTTGTTGCTTTTCTGAACTTTATTCTTACCCTATGATGACAAAGATGTATAGTCCTTTCTTGGTATCCATTGAGGGACTGGCTTCAGGACTCCCATGCGTACTATAATCCATGAAAGCTCAAGTATCTTATGTAACGTAGTATAGTATTTATGTATAACCAAAGCACATCCTCCTGTATACTTTAAATAAACTCTAGATTACTTATAATACCTAATACAATTAAATGCTATGATAATAGCATACTGTTATTTACATAGTAGTTGTACTGTATTTTTTAATATATTACTTTTTATTGTTATATTGTTATATTTTATTTTTTAATATTTTCGATCTGTGGTTGATTGAATCTGTGAACGTAGAACTAATGGATAAGAAGGGGGGACTGTACTAATATAAAAATAAATAAATGTTTTAAATTGACATTTACCATAAGAAAATCAAATTGATGCTAATGTGTGAATATTCATCATATATAATGGATTAACTTATTTCCTATGTATCTAGAATAGTACAAGTATGTACAAGTTATGTAGTAACTTGAAAAAAAATAGTAACTCCATCATTTTCTGTGTTATTGTTGGTTGTTCACACGAGGAACCTGAGATAGTTTCTATAGAAATCTTCTAATTTTTCTATATTTGAATATTTGCCTTTTCTTAAATAATCCAGATTTAAGGAGAGAAACCTCTTAAAACAACCAAAACCAAAGAGAATCTGATCAGTTTGTTCATTAATCAGAAAAAAAGAACACAGCATTTTATTTTTAATTACTGTAAAATCAATCCTGAATGACAGCAACAGAAGTCAACATTCAAGACAGACAAGGTAGTAAACCTCAGGAGACAACAGAAGTATTCAGAAGGGTTGAACTAAGGTTGCAAAGAAAAAATAGAAATTGGGCAGAACAAAGTAAAAATGCTAAAATACAATAAGAGTAGAAAGCAGAGATAGCCCCTGAGGGATATCTAAAGTTCCACATTAACATTTCAGGTAAGTCTGCATGTACATAAAAATACTACAGCTGAAGAGGGCAATTAGTGTAAGGGCAAGCTGAGTTCCGCCTTCTAGGCCCTCTAAAGATATCATATCACTGTAAGTAGTGTTACTGTGAAAGGAAAATGAAACAATAGCTTGTATCCACTTGAGGAGAATTGTACTGTAATTTTAGTACGTGGCAAGTTAGTCTGTTATAGTGTGAATTCCTGTAATGTGAACATTGATCCATACAGAAATAGAATCCAAAGTAGCAGGAGCGGAAGGCATGTATTTAAATATGAATCTGAAGAAGAATGTAAGTAAGATGAAATCATTAAAGGGGAAACTAGAGACTTATAGATAAAATAGTGTAAATAAAAAGGGTTGAAGACAGAATGCAAGGGTGGGAGGTAGGGAATGCAAGTGTAGTCAGCAACTTTGGGTCAGTGACTGGAAAGAGATGGGAGGGATCAAGGACCTTACTTTTTAATAAAAAAAGAATGAAGCTTGTCTGTATTCTGACAGGAGGAGAAAATTGGTAATAGAGGAGAGAAATCATACAACGATAAGAGGGAAGTCTTTAGATTGCAAGTTAAGAAAAAAATGTTGAGCACTATTTGAGGCTTTGACCTTAGCTAATAATAGGGACAATTCATCAATTCAAAAGTTAGAAGGCAGAGTATGTTAGAATACATGGAAGCAGCCTTGTGTTTGCTTAATGGAAAGTCAGGAACAGTGGAGGGTGATGTTGCTTGTTTGAGAAAAGAGTACAAAATGTCTATTTTTCCTCTCTAAGAATGAAAGAGCAAACTACTGAAGGATAAGTAAGTATTGGATGCTGGGGCATTCTGAAGGCCCAGCTGATACTTGGACTTATACATGTGTGTTGAGTTTTGTTGGAATCACGACTTATTTTCATGGGTCCATGCAATTGAATGGGACATTCATGCTTTTACATGATAACTTTGGCTTTGTTTCAAACTTAGATTAAAATATTCTTTATTCCTTTTAAAGAATGGTTTGACTTGATGCAAAATGCAGCCTCTCCATGCCTCATCTGTGTATTGGGGAAACTATTACCTGTCTGATAGGCTCATGTGAGAATTAAATGATGTAGAACTTGTAGCACAGTACCCAGCAATAAGCACCCATCCATTGTAAGTTATTCTTATTGATATTATATCCTTTAGAAAAGTGTCAATAACCAGCGACCTTTTGTGAACCAGGTACTTGGGATTCAATGAAGGTATAGTTGTTAGAGATGTCACTGGTATTAATAAGCAGAAAACTTGCTTATGATACCTCAACTGTACGGGGCTTTATTTTTCTCATCAACATAATCACAGTTAAGGGCTGGATCTGTGCTCAAGAATGTATTCAGAAACCAGTGATCCTTCTTTATTGTCTGCTGCCATCTTAGTGTATGGCCTTTGTCCCTGTGATTGAAAAATGGCTACCATCCCAATAGGCTTTGCATCAGAGTTCCAGGTAAGAAGATGAGGGGACTATAAGTATGAATGACTAATGCGTGGGCCATTGAGAGTGTGTGTCTTTGTGTGTGTGTGTGTGTGTGTGTGTGTGTGTAAGGTAAAGCAATAGCTTTCCTGAAAGAACCGATCTGTTGACTTTCTCTTGTTTCTCATTGGCTTGAACTCCCAAGACACCAGGTAGCCTAGAGAGCTATTTTATCAGGACAGATTGTGTGATGAATTAAATTGGGGTTTTCTTTTTAAAGTAGCATAGAATGCATATTTGTTGGGCAGCTAACTACCCCTACCACAGAGTAGCAAGGAACGTTATTTTCCTTGGGGAAGCCTATTTAGTTGAGGACAGAAACGTATTAACTTTTATTCACAAATTCAAACATGTATAGGGCCAGGCAGAAGATAAAATTGAGTGCATTGGGTTGGATAAAAAATTACAGAGCATGTGTCATGACTAAAGTGGTTAAGAAATGAAGAAGTTCTAAATTAAAGATGGCTTAAAAATTAAGAAGTTCTAAAAAATTGCTGCTGTGAGATCTCTGGACTCAATATGCTTAGATGTTTTGCTTTGTCAATGAAAGTTTAAAGTTTGGTTTTATGTAAACTATTCAATTTTTCTTAAGAATTATAAACTAGGTTATTATATTTTTAATGTGGAAGCCAAACAAAATATGTCTATGGTCTAGATTCAATACAATTCACCTCTGACTTGTATATTTAGGTATCTTGAAATATGACGAAGGCTTCAACAGGAGTGCCTGCATAGTGCTATGGGAGCTTCATGAACTAACATGCTCATAATGAAGGAATTTGTTTTTCTTTAGTGTTGTATGAAAATACTGGATACCATAGAATAATAAATTTTTACAATAAAATGGTCCTAAATAATCATTTTATTCAGTCTGTTATTTTATATATGAAGAAATTGAGGCCTAGAGAAATAAAGTTACTTTCAAGGCTACAGAACAACATTCTAGAATCTTGGTTTCTTGCTTCCTAGTCCAAGGATGCTTCCTAACTCAGCATGCATGTTCATACAAGTCAGGCGGAGGAGAGGATTGAAATGGGCTGAAACTGAAAAGGCGATTGACCTAGTCCACTGGACTTGTGATGCAGAAATAATAGATAATGTTTTAAACACTCCTGTCAATTCACCACAGTGATAATGCCAGGGAAGAAGAATAGTTTATAGAGACTGTGAAAATAACTCAGTTGAAGGCTATTTCACAGCCTTTGAGTCAATAATTAATTCTGCCAACAGGTAGTCCTGTTATCCTTCTCTGAAGGTCGTGCAGTTGCTCATGTTTTATTAAGATTTTGTGAGAAAGAAATGACTCCAAATAAGCTCACATCAAGGACTTTCTTAATATAGTCGAATATTTGCATTGGGTTGTTTCCAAACAATCCTATCTTTCAGTGGATATGTTTCTGAATTTGCATAAAGATGCAATATTGGAGGTTTTTTAGTTCATTTAAAACACCTCAATTTTCTGAGATTTACTATTAGCATAGGATACATTATATTTATTATACTGGGTTTGCTCAGGTTGGGAAGGCTGCAATAGCTTATAGAAATTTTTTGATCAGAATAGATTAAATTAAGAAAGTGATTAAACAGTTTCGGGAATTGACTATTTTAAAATGTTAATTTAGAATAGCTCATTTTTAGAATACTCAGGTTACTATTATTAGTAACTTTGTCTGGTTTAACCACCCTTTAGTCTTTATTAATGAAAAACTTAGCTCCATATCTTCTTTTTAACCTGGTGAGTTTTTATTTTAAACATATTCAGCATGATTCAGAAACAAAAAAGGTGAAGGATATCTGGCTATTAGTTAAATCAAAACTTACCTGTTTAAGCTGAATAGTTCTTCATCTCCTAATTTAGAGCTCAGTTGGAGCCTGTGCTCTCTGTTTTTCAATTTGTCCATTAATCTCTTTTTTCAGCCTTGTTCTTTAAATGATACTAATGCTGATAACTTAAGAGTTCATTTGTTTTTTTTCCCAGTATAAATGCCCCAATTTGTGCTAGGCATAGCTTCACCTAAACCTCTTAGGCAGATGTATATCTAGCTCCTCAGGATTTTTTTTTCTCTCCAGGGAGGAAGATTCCATAAACTCCCTTGGCAACCAGTTCTAGTGTTTAATGGAACATGTCCATTCATCTACATTAATATTTGTAATTCTACAGCACATTTCTTCTGAGTAGCTCTTGGCACTTTAAAATAGTATTTCAATCCCCAAGACATCCATAGAAGTAGGTGGTAAGCTTCATTATACTCCTAAAGGGCACAAACAGCATCTTCATACATGTTATTTTCAGTGCTCAGGACATTGTGAATACTTTAGAAATGTTTAATAATCAGAATAGTAATTTTACAGATGGACGGATTGAGAAAAAGCAGATTTAGCTCCTCTCCCAGTGCCCACAACTGAGGAAACAAGATGGAGAATTTCTGAGTTACACAAGCAAGGGTCTGCAATGTTTTTCCATAAACCTCTCATACCAGGCTTGATGATTTGCTTAGAAATTAGACATTTTTAAAAATTGCAAAAAAAAAAAAAACAGCAAATAGTCCAGGTACTTCCTACACAATTCTGATATTATGCAGTGAGTTATGGGTTTAAACATACTTGAGACCAATAACAGCAAATGAGATAAACTCCATCATTAGAATTTCTCATTTTGGTGTCTCATTTCTCATTTTGGTGAGAAAATCACAGAATCTATTGGTTGCATCTAGCTGCCCATTATAATACGGAAGCATTATCATATTACCTGGTATATGTTGAAAAAGCCCTCTCTAAATAGAGCTGTGAAACTTTCAAACTCCTACCAATTAAAGTATTTCCAACTTGTGTCTCTTCTCATTTGGGTCCTGGTAAGTCTTCACAATACTATTAGATAAATACATTGGAGATATCTCACATGTCCTTGATCATAAAATACAATTTCATTATAGAAGGGAGTTTTTGAGAGCATAGTGGTTTATCTCAAAAACTAAAAGCAGAAATGTCAAGACAAATGTCATGGGTCAGTAGGAAGAAATATTTGGGGGGAGCTAGTTTCCTTAAAGTCACCTGAATTTTGTTGCATAAATATCTACTGAATCTTTGAGTAGGAACGGTCATGGGCAGTTGTATTTATTAATTTGGAAAATTAAGTTTGCATTAAAGATTAAATTTTGCCGCATTACCAAGTTCAGTAGCTTAGAAGCCATTGCCATGCTCAAAAAGTTCAGTCTGTCTAATATAGATGTTTTCTGGGACTTGGATGACTCAAATCATGTGACTGGTAAGCCAGCTTATTGGTTAATTTTCTTACTTGTGCATGTTGTGTTTTCAAAAGCAAGTGTTCTAGGCAGGTTCTGAAAATAGTTCCAAATCTGAGATATTTATGCTTAACCTGATTTTCCTCAGCTGTTTGAAAATTTAAGATTAAATCTGAAAATCCTGTGGATGAGTGAATGTGTTTATATAAAATAAAAAATAGAGGGGGAAAGGGATCTCTGTCTCCTTTATCTAAAGGAGGAGGAGGAGGAGAGAGAAAGAAATATAAGTGTGTGTTTGTGTGTGGGAAAGAGATGGAGAGCGCAACAGAGGGAATATTCGAGTGCTCATTCCAACAGGCTGAGTGTTGAGAGTGTCACAGACAGGGATGTAAATGGATCTACTTTTACCACCTCTCTAGGGAGCATGTGTTATGAAGCTCTCATGTACCTTTCTGAAAGATACTGTTACTGAATGGAAAATATGACTTCACTCAGACCTATAGTCCCATTCATTCTGGGGAGTATCTGAAATTCTAATAGAGAAATAAGGGAAAGAAGAGTTTCATAGAGACATTCGTGGAAGGAAACATTTGTAATCTTTTTTTTTTTTTTTTTTTTTTTGAGATGGATTGTCACTCTGTAGCCCAGGCTGGAGTGCAGTGGCGTGATCTCCGCTCACTGCAAGCTCCGCCTCCCAGATTCACGCCATTCTCCTGCCTCAGCCTCCTGAGTAGCTGGGACTACAGGCGCCCGCCACCACGCCCGGCTTTTTTTCTTTTTTTTTTTTTTTTTTTTTTTTTTTATTGTTAGTAGAGACGGGATTTCACCGTGTTAGCCAGGATGGTCTCGATCTCCTGACCTTGTGATCCGCCCGCCGCGGACTCCCAGAGTGCTGGGATTGCAGGCGAGAGCCACCGCGCCTGGCCACATTTGTAATCTTTATCCAGCAGGCAGCAGTGTGAAGTGTCTTGCTCTCGGAAGAGTTTGCTTTAGTGCCTGGTGCATTGGAAGTCTTCAGATCATGTAGACACTGTAACATGTCATGCTAAAGAAAGATCGAAGAAAATATAAATGCATTGAATAATTTAGAAAAAAACAGAATTATTTGTAAAGTATAAAATTATAAATATGGACATGTCTCACATTTAAGGTTGATACTAGCATGAATATATTTGGAAGTAGTAATGTAAGTGAAAAAACAAACGAGCATTTATTATCATGCCGTTGATCAACAGGAGTAAGCCTGACGTGTAAACAGAGTGTCATCCAAACGTTTTCTATCACTTGATTCCAGGGGGAAGAAACCAAATTTTGTGGCATATCAAAATTCATGTTGTAAAAATTCTTCATTTGCTTTCCAACCTACACCTGGGTGGGTGGGACACTGAATATTCATTCTACATAAAAGATCATGCATAATAACCAAATAGAAGCCTAGGCAACTCTAGACTTCAGAAATAAATACTATATTCTATTTTCCTAATTATATTTCTCTTTAAAAAAACCTGAACCACCTACACATATCAGTGACATGGTACTAGTTCCTATAAATTGAAATGGTAGAAGTAAAACTTGCATGAGTATTATTCAAATAACAGGATGCAGGTGTAAATGGAAGCATTCCATCTAATTGACAATCTTGGTGCTGTGAGGAGAAAGGTGAGCTGTCAGCTATGACACTAATGAACTATTTGGCTGAGTAAATAGATTTTCTGTGTGCAATGCAAAGCATGTTGCTTTTAAGCATATATTCATAATTAGATGGTACTAATAAAATTGGCCAATTCTATATATAATGCCTGAGGTACATAAAATAAATAATGAACTTAAGGAAATAAGTTTCAAGTGTCAGGCATTGACTGTCATCACAAATCCCATTTCTATTACTTTCATGCTTATGACCTTGGCTAGGTAATTTAACACAAATAAACGTAAGTTTATTATCTAAATTATGGAACTAAATTTTTTTTTACCTTATAGGGTAGTTTAAGAATTTTTCAGCTAGTATTCACAAGTTGTATAGTCTTGTGTCTATAGCATAGTAAATAGTCTATAAATGGTAGTTATTTATTAATAAAACTCAAAAAAGTTTAAAATGCAGTACTGTAAAATTTCTAACCTGTAAATACTGTGCACTAATAGTAAGTTTTGGTAAGATGACACCTCTGCAGTGACAAGTAAGAGTTTGTATATTTGTAATTGATATTATACAATACTATGTATGACTATTATTCAGGCATTGAGGACAGGATCCCATGGTTCCAAACTTTCCATTAAATAACCCACCCTAATTGATATCTGGAGAATCTAGGGCAGGTGCAAAGAATGTCTTATTAAGTATTATGATAATAATAAAATGAATTATGACTTACATGACTATTGTTTCATAGTTTTGTATATAAAGATAAGTACTCTAATCTTACCTTTCTTCTATATGTATGGATTTAGAGCATTTTATGTAGGCTTTTATTGCTATAAACTTCCCTCTTAGAACTACTTTTGCTGTATCCCATATGTTTTGGAATATAGCGTTTCTATTTTCATTTGTCTTGAGAAATTTTTACATTTTCTTCTCGATTTCTTCATTGACTCATTCATTGGTCAGAAGCATGTTATTTAATTTCCATGAATGTATACACTTTCTTGTTTTGATTGATTTCTAGCTTTATTTCACTGTGGTTAGAAAAGATACTTGACATTATTTTGATTTTTAAAAATGTAATAAGACTTGTTTTGTGACCTAACCTATGATCCATCCTGGAGGATGTTTCATGTACTGTTGAGAAAAATGTGTATTCTGCAGTTGTTGGATGGAATGGTCCACAAATGTCTATTAGGTCCATTTGGTCTAGGCTGAACTCCAATATTTCTTTTTTGATTTTCTGTCTGGAGGATCTGCCCATTGCTGAAACTGGAGTGTTAAAGTCCCTTACTATTCTTGTATTGTAGTCAATTCTTTCCTTTTAGGTCTAATAATATTTGTTTTATATATTTAGAGGCTCTGGTGATGGGTGCATATATATATACAATTATATCCTCTTACTGTGTTGACCCCTTTATTATTATAGAATGGTCTTCTTTGTCTTCTTTTTAACCCATTCTTGACTTTAAGTCTATTTTATTTGATATAAGTGTAGTTACTTCTGCTCTCTTTTTATTCCCATTTGCATGGTATATGTCCAGAATACTTTAAAGTCATGATTTTGAAGATAGTGATTGATTTAACAAAGGAGGCAAATGTAACAGCAAGAATCAGAAACCTTTTGATATATATTGTTTGTAAAGAACCTCTTAAAATTATTAAATGAATTGATACAGTGATTTTTAAATGTATTGGCTAATTTATTAACTAATTTGGTAATTCCACAAAAATATACTGGATGACTTCTTTGTTCAAAGTATTGTGATCCAGATAAATGAGAAAGTTGATAGAATATAAACAAAAATGTAAAGGAAATCACAGAGTTGCCATAGAAATGTATAGAGAAGAGGCATTCACTTCTCTTGTTGAAAGTGTTCTTCTGGTACAGTACAAATGTTAATTTGGAGCTACTGTATCATGTTATTAAAAGTTCTAGTGTGATAATACAATCTCTCCTTTCTGCCTCAAGTGGCTAAGTGTATTTGTTCTAAGATTTGTGTTTGTTTAATTTTAAAATTTCATTCGCTATGCTAGTCACTCTGGAATGCTTGATTTCCCAATCAGCCTAGTCCCTAGACCTCCCTGACCCCAGCTCTGCCATTTAAGGTGCAAGTTTCTCCCTCTTTCTTTCCCATAACTCATGGTATTCCCCTAATGTAGAATTTCTAGGTATGGCTATTTTTCTAGAGGATCAACTTCTTGCAAGTTACAGCCATGTCTTATTCATGGCTGCATTCACTGGGTCTGCCACAGTGGGAAATAACTCACATTCCATGGTTTTAGAATACATGCATTAAACTATTTTCAGTAAATCTTGCTTCTAAATTCTTTTTTTCCACATTTTTTTCTAATATCTCATTATGTGTATTGGATGAATAAATGGTTGGCCGAAAGAACTAGTGAATAAATTTTGCACCTCCATACATAAAATGGAGTTTGCTAGAAGTCATTTCAGAACTCCAAAACAAACAATAACAGACATAAAAACCTAAATATACAAAAGCATCATGTATGTGTAAGTGGAAGCAGTTTGTCAACTGACTTTTAAGGGTGTCAGGAGTTGGCTATTGGGTCTTTGCTTTGTGTTTCCATATTCATTGAATTTTCCGGTGCCATTTTTCCTGTCCATCCCCACTGCCCAACTGCTTTTCGTGTGGTAATTGTTGTTTTTGGCGTGTATGTGTTTCCTGGGTGCATGGCTCCTGAGTTATTCTGAATATCAAGATTGGGTTGGGAAAGCCAGCCTTTATCCATTGTCTTCCAATTAATCCCACTGTTTCTGAGCTCAGGATTTACTACCAATTTGTATTGTACATGGCCTTTCAGAACCTCACAACTTCCCAGTGCCCAGGGTTCTGCAAAGCTCAAGAGCTTCATTCTTTGTTTTAGGTCTTTCTGACCTTTAACTTTTATTAACTGGCTGTATTAGCGATCATTGTTCCACCCTCTCCTTCTGTCTTTAATAAATTTCAATTTCTTAAAATCTTCTGGGCATGCATCATCTCACAATTTTTGTTCCCTTTGCTGTGGTCATTTTATGCTTTTTATTATTTGTGGTATTAGTTTATTATCATTTTAATGGATCCTGGAAGTGAGACAAGGCAAATGTTTATTTTGCTCCATCTTGCATATAATTCTAGAATCTCTACCCCTTCCCAATACTGTTTAAACATTTGTTTAAATTTTGGAAAGTGTTGAGGGATTATGGAAAAATAAAATAAAATAGATTGAACATAAAATAAGGAATTTGTTACATACTCTGTTATAACTAGAACTTTTAGGAACTTTTCTCAAACATTTTCTGCTGCTGATACCTAGATATCTAGCGTCATTATATATAATAAAGATGAAGTTAATTTGTATGCACAGAGTACAAGTGAAATTATTTGAGGGTTATTTTTTCTATTTTCTATATTGACTAAATTGTTTCCAAATCCCTATGTTCTTTTTCATGTTTCAGTTTTCTGTTATAATTTTCCCAACCACAGAAGTTCTTGGAAGACATATTAAAGGTAGGAAATGTGGATAGTGAAATTAATTCTATATCCTTGGAAATAGCACTATGCCAACATTATTTGTTCTCTGAATTTCAGATGACTTGAACCATTTTCAGGAGGCTCAAATAGCTGATCTCAGTCAAGATTAGGAGCCAACCTGTGGTTGAAGAGTAAAGTTTTTATTTTTATTCCACAGGGATTGGTGTTGGCTAACAAAATGTTTGCTTGTTTGTTTTTAATTTAACATCAAAAACACAATCTACTTTACCGGGAAAGAAACCAATTTCCATTTTATGTAGCTAAAAATTACATTCTGTAGTGAGTCAGATGTAGAAATATACATTATCTATGCCTTAGTTCAGATTTATTCCAGTGATGTTTGTATGTCACTTTTCATATGATGTCCTAGGAAACTGATGGCTGGTTTTATTTTTAAGCTGGCTATGGGCACAAGGAAGGCTATATTTAGCTCTGGCCCTGCAGTTTATATGTGATGCTCTGACTCTGATGGAAGAGACAAAATATGTCTACTATTTGTCCATTTATCTTGTCTTCTTCAAAATCTCCCTTTCCTTTTGAAACTATGGCTTTTGAAAGAGCTTTCATGTCTCGTCACAATTGCAAAGCCAGTATAATTCTCTGAGCATTGTGCGTTTGCTCATACTGTCCAATCCAATGGGACACCAATTTATCCTGGCTCCAATCCTCACCTATAAAAGCTTTCTTATCTTTCAATATTTAGTAAAAACGTTACTGGCTTCATAAAACATCTTCTAGTACCCACAACTGGATATAACCACTTATTGACAACTGCCATGGGAATTTTTGGTAGATCTTATAATTTTATATTTTAACTAATTAGAAAGTTATCTGATATATCCCACATGAGAAGTCCTTTAAATATCAAAACATATCTCATTCCTTATTTGATTGTATTTTAACACCTATCTCATTATTCTTTATATATGTATGTATCTATTATTTGTATACTATAGAATAGTAGTAATATTAACAATGCAAAGAACAAGTATACTAGCAAACAAATATTGAATGATTTCCCTGTGTAGACATATGCTAAGGGCTTGATACATGATATCTTGTGGGATCGTCATAACGCTATGTGTTAGGCACTAATGTAATCTTCATTTGCATATGAGAAAACTGGGACCTAGAGAGATTATATAAGTTGCCAAGAGTTCTAGAACTACTACACTCTAAAGGTATTTTAGCACTCAGATCTACCTTAATTCAATTGAGTATTTGCCCCTCTGTAAGTATACAGACAAATATAGGTCTTACACATGGTGGATGGTTAACAAAAATCATTTACATGAAACTATTAGTGAATTAATGACTCCTTATAGATATTTTAAAATCAACTCTATTAAATTTATTTTTCTGGAGCACCACACAAGCTAGATTTTACCTAGCTTTGTCATATTTGTTCTTACAGTGAGTGACCCATGGTGTATAATAGGATCACAAAAAGAGTCATTATTTGATACCCTAGGATGGCCTTTCTGGCTTTTATTTCACATATTCAAGTGTTAAGATCCACCTATTGTGCTTTAAAATACAGCCTGCTTTGGAGAGCACTCCTATAAGCAGAGTTTGGGGGAGGTATACCTTTGCCTGAAGAAACAGACATTGTATTCATTAGGATATAGAATTGCCACCAGAAACGGAGATCCAAAATAAACTTCACTTAACCAAGGTAGAAGTTTGTTTTATATTCATATATAAAAGTTGAGCTAGCGTGACAGTTCTGCTCCAGGGAATCATCAGAGGCACAGATTCCTTCTATAATTTTGCTGTGCCATTTCTAAGGAGCTGCATCTATCTGCAGAACTCAACATAGCTTACTGTGATTTATAAGGTGAGGGAGCAGAGCTACTTTCCCTTTAGGGCACATTGTGGAATGTTCACATGCCTCTTTCCTTAAACCCTATTGCTCTGAATTTAGTCATATAGCCACACTTTGGTACGGTGATGCTAAGAAATGTAGTCTTTATGTTAGGTGGCCATATGATCAGCTAAACTTTCTAATAGTATAAAAAAGAAGAGAGGGCATATACAAATTGGGAGATAAACAGTAGTTTCTCTCATAGACCTGATAAACATATTATGTTTGCTTTTAGTTGCGGAAGAAACTTGCTAAAATATTCTGCCACTTATTTTGCCATTAATATATAGAGATAGTGACAAACTTAAGATGAAATGCAACATAGAACATGAAGTCAATTGGAAATACATATTATTTATTCCTAAGTGCATCTTAGACATCTGTAAGTTGGATTTGTAATTGATGTCTGATGTTAGATCACAAAGAAATGAAGGTATGTTATCTAAGAAATTTTTTTTGCCAGTGGTCCTATCTCCAACACTCCTTCCTTGAATGGACATTAAAATACCTATGCATAAACCTTCACCATATTAATAGAAATTAAAAATGCAAAAATCATGCAGAAGCACATGGAGTATTTTGTTCACAGGTTGAAATTTTGTCAGCTGTGTATGAATAGAATGACTTTGACCTATAAAATAAAAGATTTTGTTAAAGCTACTAGACTCTCTTTCCTCTGTTTCAGTGAAAAGGATCAGATGAGCAGCCTCCTTTTGTCTAGGAGAAAAGAAGAAAAAGTGAAAATTGCACTGTGATCTGTGGAATGGAAGTTTGATGGGAAAGTACAAGAGAGTTTAAAAGCAAGAAGGAAAAGTGAATTTATGAAACAGCTGGGAATGGTAGCAAAGAGAGTGAAGGGTTAAGTGGAATTTCTAGAGTTGTGATTTAACCAACAGTAAATGGCTAATATGATGAAATTAGGAATGTTTTCTACTCATAATGAGTTGCCTCTTAAACCTGCTTGTTATGAAAGTTTATTTCTGTATGCACTGACTCTTGTTTCTAAATGATTTTATTTAAATAATCTACATCACAAAACCTTTGGCAATTTATTTCTTCTGTCTATACATTTAGTAAATTCATAATTGATATGCCAGCATTGGGCTTTTTCAATGCACTGCCATGGACATATTCGGTTAATGTGTGATGCCAGAAGTGAGATAACAATATTTGTTCGCCCCTGTCTTTTTTAAATCTCTGCATTAAGTTTAAAAATTAAAATATGGATATATCTTATCAGAAAAAATTAAACTTGGACTCATACATCATATTCTTAATGACAATTTTGAAAATTTTCTTTTGGAACTTTTATTTTCATTTTCTGCCTAACTCATTTTTTTTTCTGTGAGTCTGGCTACTTGGCAACAGCATCCTTTCTTCCTAAATCTTAGTAAATACTTTTTAAAGATGACATGATTATGAAAACTGTTATCTGGAAAATAAATGGACTAAGTTTGACAGGGCGGACTAGTTACAAATAAATACTTGGTCTGTTCTAGTTATGCACCATCACAGAATCAGAGGGTCAGAGCCAGAAGTCCTTAAAGGTTTGGTGATCAAATTCTCCCACAATGCACAGATAACGAGAGAGAACATCATGTTTGCTTTCATTGTTATTTCCATTTTTTTATGCCAACATCAGAGCATACAAAGCATAAAGAACAATCCAGAGATAGCAGAGGGGTTTCTTTCTAAAAGAGCTTCTCATTCTTTCAGGTGAATTCTAGCACTGGGTAAAGAGTTTACACAATTTATGTAAACTTCCCATAAAAGAAACTGAATGTTTTATTCTTTTACTTAATTTCTTTTGCCTCACGCATAACACATTTGTCTACAACTCTAGTCGTATGAACAATAAAGATATAATAAAGTATCTTAACTTATTGTTCTCCCTGGACTACACATTTTGGGAAAGGTTAATTTTCCTAAAGGAAATTAACATGTTGAATAGACCCCCTACCACCAGACACCTCTATCTGAATGTCAAGTAGAAATCTCAAATTCGAAATGTCTAACATAGAACTCCTGATCTCCTCTCCAAATCAATTGTTTAGGACAAAAGTCAAGAAGTTGTCTTTAAGTCTTCTCTTTCTCTGTTACCTCATACCCAATTCATGGGCAATGCATATTAACTCTACCTTCCAAATTTATCCCAAATCCTGCCACTTCTTACTACCTCTGTTATTAGTGGACTTGGGGAAGGCACAGTTATCTCTTATATGAATCTCCACAAAAGCTTCCTAACTGGCTTTCCTCATTCCACACTTCCTTTATGCTCTTTTCTTCTCTTAGAGGTCAAGATAATCTTTTCAAAAAGTAAATCCTAGCCAGGCACATTGGTGTGTGCCCGTAGTTCCAGTTATCTGGGAGTTTGAGGCAAGAGGATCACTTGAGCCCAGTAGTTCAAGGCCAGCCTGGACAACGTAGTGAGACCCACATCTGAAAAAAAAAAACAAAACCAAAAGAAAACAAGCAAAACAAAACAAAACAAAAAAACAGGAAATCCTTCCTCATGATCCCTAGCTCTAAGAGGAGGAATTTAGGCATACTTAAGAAAAAAATGGATGCTGGGGGAAAATTGGAGGCAGTGGACAAGAAATAGTAAATATTACTACAGAGTGGAGGGAATAAAGCTAATACCCCTTATGAGTTTAATGTCTTTCTGAAGAGTTTAGTTGTGCTTAATTTATTTTGGGGGATAGTGTAGAAAGCCTGAGAGTGTTTGATAACCTGGAGGACTTCCATAAAGAAAGTTTATTTAAAAATAGCAAGAGAGAAAAAAATGCATCGTTTTGTTGTTGTTGTTGTTTCATTATTGTTTTTAAACAAAGACTTGCTTTGAGTTAAAAATCAGATTATACAGTGTTTAGATCAGGGGGTGTGACAGAACAAGCTGCCAAGTATTTTTGACCTGGGGTAGTTTTAAGTTATTTGTAACAAAAGTAGCTCAAAGAAGGAGGAGAGCTCACCCTTGAAGAGCAAAACACTTTAAAATAAGTTCAAACAAATTTTTGTTTGTTAGTAAGAGGCAGGTGCTGACAGGGAGCGGTGCAAGCACAGGATACAAGCGCTGAGGAAGGCTGCCATCCTTCTCTGATGTCAATAGATGGCGGTGGTGCACCAGAAGAGAGTCGGGAGGTTTCGCCTGAGGCCTGCAGGAGCTAGTTTATGCAGGTACATGCTGAAAAAGACACTATTTTGTCTGAGGAACTGTAAATTGTATTCATGATTCACATATCATTATTAATTCATTTTGTATTCATTATCATACGGCAGATTCATTTGACATTTATGCAGATGTCAGAGTGTAGGCACTTCCAGGAGCGATCTGTGCAGGTTCAGACCAGGCTGTGTGCAGGCTTTCATGGAAGCATGAGCGGAAAGAAGAAATGCTTTTTTAACCACAACAATATTAGACTGGAAATTGGGCCAGGGATTGCCCAACTAAAGGCTTTCAGTGCCTAGTTCTGTGACTACTGCGTGTGCTCACTACTTCCCCCTGCATATTTTTTTGGCAGATTAAGTCTGGCAGATGAGAATCTCCCAGTTTAGAGAGCTCTGAGCAAGATAAAAATTTAATAATCTTATTGTTGACCCTGCCACTTAGGGTAGAACAGATAATCCTTTAATAATGCACTTCAAAAGTCTGGTTTGCATAGTCAGAGACCAGAGGCAGCCTGGTATAGTGGAAAGAAAGCCTTTGAGACAGGAAAACGATGGATTCTGGTGTTGGCTCTGCCACTAACTAGCTCTGAGACTTTGGGAAAATCAATTAACCTTCCCAGGTCTCAGCCTCTTAATCCATAAAATGAAGGGACTACATGATATCATCCCAAAAGTCTCCTTTAGTGCTATAAATAACAAGATTTTTTGACAGAAAAAAAACACATAAAAGATTGAGTTTTGAAACGCTAACATTTCTTTGTGACCTACTTCAAATCAGATGAGTTGTAAAGCTTGCTATGAATTGTAAAGCATATATCATCTGTGAGTAAATGCACCTCAAGCAGTTACAAGTGTGATTTATCGCTGGTGGCTGGTACGGTATCACATGTAACTGACAGTACTTGGTCTTGAAACCTTTCTTAAATTTCAGAGATGACAGAATAGAAATTTTGAGAAGGAGGTCTAACTCCAGGACTCTTCTCACAAATGAACACAATTTGACAAATTTTATGTCGTGCTGTGGCATGCACTTTACAAATGTGTGAAGAGATTATCTATCTCGCAACATCCCCAAACTCTAAACTAGATTTTCCGCAGTACTCAAGTAGCTCTAGCAATAAAGCAGATGCTCAGAGACACATATTAACTCTTCAAAGACAGCAGGCTCTTCCCTCCTCTGAAATATGAAAATTTAGTTCTCTGAAATGGTTTATATACTCTCATGTGTTCCCTGATTGACACAGGAGATAGTGAACCAATTGGCCAGTTTGCAAATAAAGTACACTAATATTGAGCAGTTAAATAGATTATGTGATTAAAGGTAACCAGGGAAAACCATATTTGGCTGTTTTTAAAAAGAGATGGCCAATAAACATGATAGGGATGTATACTTTGAATTTCAAAACCTTGGACAGGGCTTCAAAGAAGAGATTTTTATAAAAGAGCAACTGTCAGAAAAGGGAAGGATGTTTTGTCATAGATCTCATACTTCCATCTCTTTGGAAGTGAATGGATGGATGAGGCATGAAAAGAACAATCCCTCAGGCATCAGTGTTGATACTCATTGTTTAATCTGATTATCCAAGATCAGATGGAGGAAGTGTCTGTGTTCTCGCATGTCTGCAGGTGATGTTAAGCTCTTCAATGCTATTCAATACTGGATGATTGGAAAAGTCGAATGAGAATTTCATTAGATTAAAAGGATTGAAAAATAAGAAGGAACTTTATTTGACATACTCTAAGCAGCCACTACATGCCCAGAACTCTGCTAGTGTAAGAAATACCAAAATGCTAAAAAAAAAAAAAACCAAACCCAAACACAACAAAACAAACAAACAAAAAACCCCAGCTAAGAGAAGATTGACATACCATCAAAAACTCACTATTGCCACTATGAAAAGTGCTATCCTAAGAGATGTTGGGAGCAAGGAGAGAGGGAGGGCATCTAGAAGGATTGCTGAGGACTTCTAGAATAAAACAAGGCTGGAGAGGTAAGTGGCTGAAGGATGGGTAGAAGTAATCTAAATTAAATCGCAGGAGAAGCAGTGTATGGAAAGGCTTGAGAAGCTAAAAGTACATAGTATCTATTGAACATTCATTACCATAGTGTAACAGAGAAAAGAAAAATAATACCTGAGAGTGAGTTGTAGGACATGTGGTTAAAGAGGGAGACAAGGACCAGTTCGGAGGGATTGAATGTGAGAACGGTAGATGCTTTTATGTGAGATCTATCTAGATCCAATTTTTAAAAATAATTTCAACTTGTATTTTGCATTCAGAAGGTATATGTGCAGATTTGTTACATGACTATATTGTGTAATGCTGAGGTTTGGGGTACGAGTGATGCCATCGCCCAGGTAATGAGCATACTAACCAATAATTAATTAACCCTTCCTCCTCCCATCCTCTAGTAGTCCTCTGTGTCTATCATTGCCATCTTCATGTCCATAAGTACCCAGCATTTAGCTTCCACTTATAGGTAATATCATGGGGTATTTGGTTTCCTGTTTCTGCATTATTTTGGTTAGGATAATGGCCTCAAGCTGCATCCATGTTGCTGCAAAGAATATGACTTCATATTTTCTATGTCTGCACAGTATTCCATGGTATATACACATATATACCACATTTTCTTCATCCAATCTACCATTGATAGACACCTAGGTTAATATCACGCCTTTGCAATTGTGAATAATGCTGGGATGAACGTATGAGTGCATGTCTTTTTGGTAGAACAATTTATTTTCTTTTGGATATAGACCCAGTAACAGGATTGATGGTCTAAGGGTAGTCTGTTTTAAATTCCTTGAGAAATCTCCAAACTGCTTCCCACAGGGGCTGAGCTAATTTGCATTCCCACCAACAGTGTATGAGCATTCCCATTTCTCTGCATCCTCACCAGCATCTGTTGTTTTTTAACTTTTAATGATAGCTATTTTGATGGGTGTGAGATGGTATCTCATTGTGGTTTTGATTGGCATTTCTTTGATGATTAGTGATGCTGCACACTTTTTTCATATGTTTGTTGGTCGCTTGTATATCTTTTTTGAAAAGTGTCTGTTCATGTCCATTGTTCACTTTTTAATGGGGTTATTTGTTTTTTGCTTGGTGAACCATTTAAGTTTCTTACAGATTCTGTATATCAAATCATTGTCAGATGCATAATTTGTGAACATTTTCCCCCATTCTGTAGGCTGTCTTTTTACTCTGTTGATAATTCCTTTTGCTGTGCAGAAGCTCTTTCATTTTATTAGGTCACAATTGTCCATTTTTGTTTCTGTTGCAATTGCTTTTGAGGACTTACACATAAATTATTTCCCAAAGCTGATGCTCAGAATGGTGCTTCCCAGGTTTTATTCCAGGATTCCTGTAGTTTGTGTTCTTACATTTAAACCTTTAATTGATCTTGAGTTAGTTGCTGTATATGGTGAAAGGTAGGAGCAAAGTTTAATTCTTCTGAATATGGCTACCCAGTTATCCCAGTACCATTTATTGAACAGAGAATTCTTTTCTCATTGCTGATTTTTGTCAACTTTGTTGAAGATCAGATGGCTGCAGGGATATGGCTTTATTTGTGGGTTCTCTATTCTGTCCCATTGGTCTCTATGTTCGTTTTTGTACCAGTACCATGCTGTTTTGGTTACTACAGCCTTATAGTTTAAAGTCAGGTAATATGATGCCTCTTGCTTTGTTCTTTTTTCTTAAAATTGCTTTGGCTATTCAGGGTTTTTTATGTTGTTGTTGCTCCACATGAATTTTAGAATAGTTTTTTTCTAACTCTGTGAAAAATGACATTGGTAGTTTGATAAGAATAACATTGAATCTGTTGATTGCTTTGGGTACTGTGGACCTATTAACAATACTGATTCTTCCAATCCATGGGATGGAATGTTTTTTCATTTGTTTGCATCATCAATGATTTTTTTTCAGCAGTGTTTTGGAGTTCTTTGTGGCTATCATAAGTGGGATTATGTTCTTGATTTGTTTCTCACCTTGAATGTTATTTGTGTATAGAATTGCTACTGATTTTTGTATATTGATTTTGTATCCTGAAACTTTACTGAGGTTGTTTATTGGTACCAGGAGCCTTTTGGCAGCGTCTTTAGGGTTTCCTAGGTATAGAATCATATCTTCAGTAGAGACATACAGTTTGATTTCTTCTTTTTCTATTTGGATACATTTTTATTTCTTTCTCTCGCCTGATTGCTCTTGCTAGGACTCCCAGTACTATGTTGAACAGGGGTGGAGGGAGTGGGCATCCTTCTCTTGTTCCAGTTCTCAAAGGTAATGGTTCCAGCTTTTACCTGTTCACTCTAAAGTTGGCTGTGGGTTTGTCATAGATAGCTCTTATTATTTTGAGGTATGTTCCTTTGATGCCTAGTTTGCTGAGGGTTTTTATCATGAAGGGATGTTGAATTTTTTTGAAAGCTTTTTCTGCATCTATTGAGATGATCGTATGGTTTTTGTTTAATCTGTTTATGTAGTGAATCACATTTATTGATTTGAGTATATTGAATCAACCTTGCATCCTAGGAATAAAGTCTGCTGGATCATGATGAATTAACTTTCGGTAGTGCTTCGGGATTTGGTTTGCTAGAATTTGGTTGGGGATTTTTGCATCTATATTAACCAGGGATATTGGCCTGTAGTTTTCTTGTTTTCATTGTCTTTGCTAGGGTTTGGTATCAGGGTGATTCTGGCTTTATACAATGAGTTAGAGAGAAATCCCTCCTCCACGATATTTTGGAATTGTTTTTGTAGAATTATTACAGGTTCTTCTTTGTATGTCTGCAGGATTATGCTGTAATTCATCTGATCCAGGGCTTTTTTTGTTGTTAGGATTTTATTACCGATTCAGTTTCAGAACTCAATATTGGTCTGTCCAGGATTTTAATTTCTGATTCAATCTTGGGAGATGGTGTGTTTTCACTAACTCATTCATTTCCTCTGGATTTTCTAGTTTGTGTGCATAGAGGTGTTCACAATAGTCTCTGGGGATCTTTTATATTTCTGTGGGATTGGCTGTAATGTCATTTTTTTGGTTAATTCTCATTGTGCTTATTTGGATTTTCTGTCTTTTTTTAATTTGTTAATCAAAGTAGTGGTCTATGGATCTTGTTTGTCCTTTCAACAAATCAACCTTTGATTTTATTGATAATTTATATGGATTTTTTGGTTTTAATTTTGTTCACTTCTGCTCTGATTTCAATTATTTCTTTTCTTGTGCTACATTTAAGGTTGTCTTGTTCTGGTTTTGAAAATTTATCTAGGTGTGATGTTAGATCCTTAATTTGAGATATAACTTGTTGAGTTAGCTCTTGAGTGCTATAAACTTTCCTATTAACTCTATTTTTGCTGCTTCTGGGAGGTATTGGTATGTTGTATCTTTGCTTTCATTTATTTTAAATAACTTTTTTTGATTTTTGCTTTAATTTCATTGCTTATCCAAAAGTCATTTGAGAAATAAATGTTTAACTTCCATGTAATTGTGTGGTTTTGAGAAATCTTCTTGATATTCATTGCTATTTTTATTTTACTGTGTTCTGAGAGTGTGCTTGGTGTGATTTCACTTTTTTTTTTTTAATTTCTTGATACTTGCCTTATGGCTAAGCATTTGGTTGATCTTGGAGTATGTTCTGTGTACAGATGAGAATAATGTATATTCTTTGGATGATGGGTGGAGTATTCTGTAGATGCCCATTAGATCCAATTGGTTGAGTGTCAAATTTAAGTTCAGAATTTATTTGTTACTTTTCTGCCTCAGTGATCCATCTAACGTTGTCAGTGGGTTGTTGAAATCCCCCACTTTTATTATGTGGCTAAGTCTTTTCATAAGTCGAGAAGAACTTGTTTTATGTATCTGAGTACTCCAATGTTGAATGCATATGTATTTAGGATAGTTAAGTCTTCTTGCTGAATTGCACCCTTTATCATTATATAATGTCATCTTTTTCCTTTTTTACTATTGCTGGTTAAAAATCTGTTTCATCTGACATAAGAATAGTCACTCTTGATCTTTTTTTTTGTTTTCCATTTGCATGATAGATCTTTCTTCCACCCTTTACTTTGAGCCTATGGGTGTCATTATGTGTGAGATGCATCTCTTGAAGACAGCAGACAGATGGATCCTGCTTTTATATCCAACTTGCCATTCTGTGCCTTTTGAGTGAGGTGTTTAGACCATTTACATTCAAGGTTAATATTGGTATGTGACGTTTTGGATCTATTATGAAGTTGTTAGTAGTCTGCTTCGTAGTTTCTATTGTGTGGTTGCTTGATAGGGTCTGTGGGCTGTGTATTTAAGTGCATTTTTGTGGTGCCAGGTGTCATTCTTTTATTTCCATGTTTAGAACTCCCTTAAATATTTCTTGTAACACTGGGCTAGTGGCAAAACGAATTTCCTCAGCACTTGCTTCTCTGAAAAAATAAATATTTCTCCTTCACTTATATAGCTTAGTTTGCCAGAATATGAAATTCTTGGTTTGAATTTGTTTTCTTTGGAAATGCTAAAAATAGGTCCTCAATCTCTCCTGGCTAGCAAGGTTTCTGCGGCAAAGTCTGCTGTTAGCCTGATAGGGTTCCTGTTGTATGTGATCTGACCTTTTACTCTTGCTTCTAAGGTTTTTTTTCTTTAGCATTGACCTGGACAGTCTGGTGACTATGTATTGGTGATGTTTCCTCTGTATAGCATCTTACAGGTGTTCTCTGGATTTTGTGTAACTGGATGTCTACCTATTAGCAAGATTAGAAGAAATTTCTTCAACTATTCCCTCAAACATGTTTTCCAGTTTTCTTACTTGTTCACCTTCTGTCTCAGGAATGCAAATAATTTGTACATTTGGTCACTTTACAAAATCCATATTTCTCAAAAGTCTTTGTTCATTTAAAAAATTATTTAAGTTTTGTCTGATTGAGTTAGTTTGAAAGACTGGTATTCAAGCTCTCGAATTATTTTATCTGTTTTGTTCATTTTATTAATAAAGCTTTTACTTGTATTTTGAAATTCCTTAAGTAAGTTTTTCTATTTCAGAATATCTGATTGATTTCTTTTTAAGATGTTTATCTCTTCCTTCATTGTCCTGGATTGCTTTAGAAGTTTGTTTGTGTTAATTTTCAACCTTGAATTTCATTGAGTTTCCTTGCAATCCACGTATTGAATTCCTTATCTTTCATTTCTGAGTTTATATTTTGGTTAGGGACCATTGCTGGAAAGCTAGTGTGATTCTTTGGTGGTGGCACTACATTCAGATTTTTCATGGTGCAGAATTTTTGCTCTGGTTGCTTCTCAACTGGAAATGTTGGCACTTCTAATTTTTGTAATTATTTTTATGCAGGTAGGATTTTTTTTCTTTTTCTTTCTTGTCCTATAGTATCATCATTTGCTCCTTCCCTTTCCCTTTCCCATCGCCTTAGGGTGTATGTGTATATAGAATGTTGGATAGGATCTTTTGGCTTTGCTTGTACAGCCATAAGCACGCATGTCAGCTGGTTTCATATTGAGTTGTGCAGTTTAAACTACAAGCCAGTAGATGGCGCTTATAGGTAAACGCTGTCTGCTGCCAGCATGACTGGGTGGGTGTATACTTGGTCCTTGTTTACTGGAAGAAGCTCTCTGTTGCCTCAGGCAATGGGCTGATGCATGGAGTGCACAGGCTCTGAGTTCACTGCTCTGACCTCGGGAATTGGGGAAAGATGGGTAGGGCTGGATTGGGCAGGTCCACCTACAGATTCCCTGATGACAGACACAAGCACCAGCACTGAGGAAGAAGAGGAACAATCCAGTGGGTGGTCGCCAAGCACCCAGAGGTGTGCCGCCTAGGTGTGGAGCTGAGAAACCTCCTCATCCCCAAGATCTCTGTATGGGGAAGGGAGTGAGCAGCCTAAACTCCTAATTCAGGTGAGCAGGTGCTCCAGTTGCCTGAGATCTGCCTGGGCATGCAGTGTAGAGGGCCCTTCTGCACCACAATCTCTGCACATGCGGCTGAGGCGTCTTAGGTTGCTCATCCAGGCAAAAAAGTGCTTCAAATGCCTAGAGATTGGCCTGGGTGGAGAGTGGAGAGGACCCTGTGTTAGCACAATCTCCACTAGAAGGGTCAGGGAGGCTCAGGCTACTGATTCAGGTGAGCAGGTGCTCTGACTGACTGAAGACCTACTTGGAACATGAAAATGGAGTGGAAAAGGCCTCGCTAAACCATGATCTCTGCACAAGAAGGACGGGATAGCTCAGGCTGCTGGTTCAGGCATGTGGGTGCTTCAAATGCCTGGAGTTATCCCTGGGCATTGAGCAGAGAGGGCCTGGTTGTATCACAGTCTCCGTGCAGAAAGGGTGGGGCAGCTCATGCTGCTGAACTAGCAAGGGGCTGCTCTGACTGCCTGGAGTAGATCTAGTTTTGAATTCTTTCTTGACACTTAATGTGTGTCTCTGAGAAAGTTGCTTAATTCTGAGTAATGGTTTACTTAGCTTTAAAGTGAGGGAGGCTACTTGTGAAGTTTGAAATGACAAATGTGTCTTTATCAGTTATCTGAAAAAAAATGGACATTACCATCTCAGCTTTTGGCAGCTAGCATGAGGTTGGAGAAGGTGGGTTGGATAAGCAATCAGCCCTATCGCCATAGAGTCGGCTGAGAAGAAATTTACCCATGCATTGCTATAGACTTTTAGTTTCCTTCTCTCTTTTTCACCCTGCTCAGAATAACAAATTAATGTGGTTGGTGAGCTAGCCAGAGGAAGCATGCCTCACATGATGACAGGGGAAAGAAAATCCTCCTCCCTCCCTCAGATTTTGTTCCCTTAAACACCTGGGCTTCAAAATGATGGTGTTGTCAACTAAAGTTGTGGCCGTGCTCTCTAGAGAAACCAAGAGTCTATGAAAATATCTCTATTCCTACCTTATGAGAACACTCCCACAGCACCAACTTTATCTTCCTAGAACCTCTGGCATGTAGTTTAGCTTAGGTTTCAGAAGGATAAGAAACAAGGAGCTTATAAATAAAACTAATTTCTAATGTAAACTGCAACTTCCTAAGATATTCACATTTTTGTGAATATTTTTTGATTCCACATTTTTTCCAAAGTATGGTATGGCCATTCACGTTACCCAATATACCACACAGGAAGCATGGCAAGACATGTTAATGACAGCATAAAATTCCAAGTAATACATCTAAAAGTGTTATAAATTTAAACTATGAATTCTGTTTACCATTATTAAATTCATAAGAAGTCAAAGCCCGAAATTTAAACCCCAATTCTGTTTTAACTTAAATAAAAAGCTTTATGTTAAGCCCAAAAGTAATTAGAGTCTCTCAATTTTTTCCACTTCAATTTTTTTCTCTGCTGAATCTCAATTAGATGGATCTTGGTGAAACATCTAGAGAAGTTGGGCCTCCCTGAGAGATTATAACTTTAACCATTTTACTGGAAGGCGTATGGTATATTCAGGACCTCCCAATTTCAAATACTTTTACTTAGGTCTCTCATGTGCCCTAAGCTGTGAAAACTCAAAAGAATTAATAAGCCATATAAGGTTTTCACAATATGACCCCACACTCTCAATAGAGGAAACCACAGCTTCTACAAGAGTTACCACAAGTAAAGTTTATTCTTATAATGCAGTACCTGGTTCAATTACACCCAAGTTATCATTAAAGGCAAAAAACAGAAGAGTAATTCTCGTTGGCTGACACCTTACCAGAATCTCAATCAGCCAAGTCCAATTGTCCAGAGTTTAAGACCTAGGAGCTTATAGTCCATTCGCCTAGATGTTTTTGTCAATTCTGATATTGTGCTTATCAGATGGAGTTGGGAATATTCACCTACCTATACAACCTGACTCCCATCTCTCTGAGTGACATTTGAGACATTTGAACCTTCTTGAAAAGTTTACAAATTTGCACTAGTAATAACGGCAGTGGTTCCTTCCCCCCATTTAGAGAAGTTGAGCCTCCCTTAGTGAAAAAAAACTTATTAAATCCTCCCCTTGGGACCCCAGCCATGATCTTATCCACATGTCCCTTTTATCCACAGGATCAACAACAGCAGATGTCTGACCTCAGCTGAGACCTCTGAAAGAGCTCCCCTCAAAGGTTCATTCAGTAATGCAACCTTGCCATTTGAGCTCATTCCAAAGGTGACCATTCTTCTGCTTTGCTATTGGGTTTTTTCAGAATTGGAATAATGTGTTCTATTTTGATGGCAAAATCCATCTTTTACCACTGCAGCATCTTTTTCCATCGTAGTGAGCTATTCCATAGATGCTCTGATTCCCTCCTGTTTCTCCTTTCTGGAGGCCTTGTGGAGATTTGGACATTCTTATCCACTCCCTACACTGACTGCTTTCCTTTCCCATCACATGGGGGGTGAGCATTGCTTGTGGTGTTTTATTCATTCTCTTTCTTACTCCTCTCTCAGTTCCAGACTTGTCCTTTCTTCACCTAATCCTCTAGATTTTGTATGCTCAGACTCCCTAGTAGGAGACATAATACCAGGCCCAGTCTCTAATTCATTTTTGGTCTCTCTAGTTTTCTCTTTTGTCTTCATTTTTGTGTTGGCCTTATGTGTCTGCTTTTTCACATTCTTTTGTCATCCCTTTGAGTTCCATTCCCATCATTAAGGACTTCCTTGGTCACTAATTCTTCCCTAGGTGGACACTTCTTATTCTTCCCTGGTCTCTTGTTTTCCTTACTATTTGTCACTCTCTCTACATATTCACCTATTTATTTATGTATTTATTTATTAGCTTATGGCCCTTTATTTACCCATTGACCAACCTAAACAGTTGTCGACGTTTGTTGTTTCATTTTGTCCACCTCTTTTGTTGTTGGAATATATATTTTTAATTATACTTTAAGTTCTGGGTTACATGTGCACAACGTGCAGTTTTGTTACATAGGTGTACATGTGTCGTGTTGGTGTGCTGCACCCATGAACTTGTCATTTACATGATATTTATTTTCTATCGTCTGTTCCTTTAAGATGTAAGTCCCATGGGTATAGAGATTTGTCATCTTTCCTCATATATATATATATATATATATATATATGAATTGGAATTGGAGATATATATATATATATATATATATACACACACACACACATACATACATACCTGGGAACAAGAGCAGCACCTGACAAATAGTAAGTCCTTAAAAACTCTTTGGAATCAACTTGTGGTAGTGGTGGAGCAGTATCTCTATTTTCAACTACTGCAATGATCTTCCTTTGAAACAAACCTGATAGCGCTTAAAGTGCTTTATGATCTGTCTAGTTTCTCCCCTCAAAGGTTTGAATAATCCATAATGGCTTCATATGACTTTTCCAGTGTTCATGAAATGGTTTCCTAATTGCTGTTGCTACAGGCCTCCCATCTGCTCTTATATTATGATGCTTCTCAATGCTTTCTTGAAGATGAGTTCCTTCTAGGGAGGTCACTCAAGTTCACTGCTAAGAAGTTTTACTGTTATTAATACAAGTGAAGAGCATTTGGTATACATGTAGCTCATTTTTCCTTTCATCTAATTCTGATTTGGTGGTAAAGACCTCAAGATAGCTCTCAGGTAGATCCCTGTATTTCTTTTTTCTTCCTTTTTTCTTTTTTTTTTTTTCTGTTTTTTTTTTTTTTGAGACAGAGTCTCGCTCTGTCACCCAGGCCGGAGAGCAATGATGCAATCTCGGCTCACTGCAACCTTTGCCTCCTGGGTTCAGGTCATTCTCCTGCTTCAGCCTCCCAAGTAGGTGGGACTACAGGCATGAGTCACCAAGCCTGGTTAATTTTTTTTGTATTTTTAGTAGAGATGGGTTTTCACCATGTTGGCCAGGCAGGTCTCGAGCTGCTAACCTCAGGTGATCCACCCACCTCGGCCTCTCAAAGTGCTGGGATTACGGGCGTGAGCCACCGTGCCCGGCCTTTATTTCTTGATTTCTTGAAAATATGCTCTTTTCTCTTTGTAAAGGTAAAACCATTTCCTGAGACATAATCATTTATGACATTTCAATCCCCCTATATTTAACTCTTGAATTTTTTTCATATTATCTGCAAACTTTATTTCTAAGATGAATGAAGCTTAAAACATTCCATTGTTGAATTTATGGTTTTAACTTTGTGATAGTCTCCTTCAATATTCCTTAAGCCTAGGTTCAAATAAGAGCCATTTCCAGTGCAGTATGCCTCTCTCCTCACCGCTTGATTATCTGTTGATTAATTAAATCAACCATCCTTTTATGGATCAATTCAGTCTTAGTCTGTACCTTGGAAATCTTATGCCACAGTTACAGCCTATTCAGTTACCAAATCAGAGTCAATTTGAAACTATATTGTAGAAAGTGGCTCTTAACAGTATAAACATGGCACATGAGTCCAAGAGATTAGCTCTTGGTATGTCTCATCTTCACTCTTTTTGGAATTGTATGCCCTTTGAAGTGTGGCAAGAGGAAGGAATTTCAAATAGCTAAAGTATTAGCCTCTATTGTTGTTAAACGCTGACAATATAAAGGCTAAAATCTCACCCACTCATTTTACAGCCTACATGGATCTTAACTGCCTTTGCAGATGGAAGCCTCAGCCAGTTGATGTCAAGAAACACTACAAGGAAAAAAAAATTCACCCCTTGAGTCCTGGAAAGCCTGTATCAGGTGAGCCTTAACTGAAACGAAAAGACTCCCTTTCCCTTCATACAGTCGAATCCCTATCTCACTTATTCCTGCGTAGGTCAAGCCTGCACCTCCATCAGTCAAAGTCAGCTACAAAAGTCTGTGTGAGATGTATTTACTGAGCCCTGTGCTACTTTTAAAATAGCTGCTAAACACCATAGACATCCACTGCAGTAAGCTGCTATGATCCTAAAAGTCAAGAACTGGAGCCACACTTGAAGCATCAATTTATCCACATGACACTTTGTTTCATACAACATCAACCCATTGCTGGCTCTTTCAATGTTCCAAGCCAACATACCAGTATATTTAAATTTTAAGGTCCCAGGACATAATTAATATGTTTTTCCTTCCTCCAGTGTTATGTACAAATTGAAGACAGTAAACACATAAATTGCCAGGTGAATATTAAAACGGCAGCTTTATTATTGGAACAGCTAAATTGGAGGAAAGAATCTAATTGTGTGCTCATTGTGGCACTTTTAAATTCTGTCCTTTGTTAATTAAATTTACCTACCCCAAGTGATAGACTGCCTTGCTGAGAACAGAGATCGTCTCAGTAAATGCACTGTAATAAGAGACAGAAAGTTTGTACCTTAGAGAGCCTCATTCTAAAAAATGAGGAAGTCCAACACACACACATACTCTAATCCTAACCAACAGTCTGGTAAGAGAGCATGTCCAAAGGGTCGAGGTGTTCCCATACTCTCCTCTCTTTAGGCTTAGCCATGGGGCTATTTTTGTGAGCAAAACTGAGACAATTCATATCGCCATGAAGTTTAAAGTCTAGTGGGGAGAAATAGATACTAATTTTTTTAAATTACGGTAATAATAAAGCATAAGTAGGTAAGAGAAGTTTTTGAGAAAATATTATTTAAGATATTTTAAGGATGAATAGGAAGAGATGTTCTTTTTTTAAAAAATTTTATTATTATTATACTTTAAGTTTTAGGGTACATGTGCACAACGTGCAGGTGTGTTACATATGTATACATGTGCCATGTTGGTGTGCTACACCCATTAACTCATCATTTAGCATTAGATATATCTCCTAATGCTATCCCTCCACCCTCCCCCCACCCAACAGCAGGCCCGGTGTGTGATGTCCCCCTTCCTGTCTCCATGTGTTCTCATTGTTCAGTTCCCACCTATGAGTGAGAACATGCGGTGTTTGGTTTTTTGTCCTTGAGATAGTTTGCTGAGAATGATGGTTTCCAGCTTCATTCATGTCCCTACAAAGGACATGAACTCATCATTTTTTATGGCTGCATAGTATTCCATAGTGTATATGTGCCACATTTTCTTAATGTAGAGATTAGAGCAGAAGAGTCGATAGTGTCAGATCATAGGTGAAAACAATAAAATAAGCAGTAAACATCATTAAAATGAAAAAAGCAAACAAACTCACAAGCTCTGCATGAAAATAAGTGAATTTCTGAAGTTAATTTGGTGATTATCAAACAACCTTCTTAAGGCTGGTTCAGTAAGGACATCATTGCTAATAAGAATTCGTGCATCCATTGTACACAGACAAAAGAATGATGTAACCATTTGAGCCTAGGGGAATGACAGCTAATAAAGTTAATGTAAATGATCTGTGTATCTCACATCCACAAATAATACATTATGTTTCTTCATGTTTAGAAACCTGGCCACTGTAACTTGGTTCTTTATTGAGTGATAAGTGCAAAGTTTCTCCCAAGTTTTGCTGGATAGACAGTTGTGGCATTGGGGAAATAACACTCATTCCAAAAAAAAAAAAAATTTGTCTTCTACAAATTCTGGCCTACACATATTTCAATGCTAAGAGTATTCAAACCTTCTGAACTCCTGTTTTCTTATTATAATGTGACTATAGTAATGTCCACTTCAACTTCACTTATTCGTTTGGTCCTCACCAGTTGTCTCTGGTCTCCAGAAGATTTTAGCTGAGCAAATGATGAGAAAGATAACTGGTGTTCAACCATAAGCACAGCACTTACTCAAGTTCGATCAAGAGACTCCTGCCTTGACTGTTATCATTTAGCATCTGATCATATTTCATGTTCTCAAGGTGACTTTTCAATCATTTTCCCATAAAGGCAATTGAATCATTAATAATTTTGCTTATGAGACACTGGGCAACAGAGCAGACAGGGAAGATATTTATAGAAATTAGAACAAAATGCCAAATTGAACTAAAGTCATACGAGTATGGAGCTATGTACAATGGTAAAGATAGAATGATATCAAAAGTGTATTAAACTCATTTTTTGTGACCCTAAATTCTCATTACTTAATATTTGGGTTTACACGGAAATTTAAAAAATACTCAAATATGGTAGAACAAGGAAGAAAAGCCTTTGGAGCTAGACTTCAAAGACTCAAATCTCAGTTCTATGACCTTGGAAAAGTTATATAAATTTCTATGACCCAGTTTTTTCATCTGTAAAGTGAGAAAAATAGTAATAACTATCCCACAGGATTTTGTGAAATTTAACAATTTAACATTATAAAACACTCCAAACTTTATCAAGCACATTGTAAGCACCATATGTTTATTGCTGTTATTGTAAGGAGGTCTGGACTTACATTTAAAATCAGGTTGTAATCATAACACTTTGCAAATAGAAATGACCTCAGGTACAACTGAAGACATAGTCTGCCTTTAGCATCTAAAGATATTGAAAGACTGAGAGGTTGCATGTATTTTTCAGAGATCTAAGAGCTAGCTAATGGTCAAATTGGATTGGGACACCTGTGTCCTCCTCTTCAGCTCAGTGCTTCTCTGTTTCACTCTTCTTCTTCATTATTAAATAGCAGAATGTGTTTCTCATCAGTATGTTGAATACATAACTTGAACAGCGCTTTAGGGGGCAAATGTGAGAATAGAATGACCTAAAATGTTTCACATGTTGAGACCACACTGGCACGTTTTCTTCAAGCAGCGTTGACATACATACACTCAAATAAATTAATGTTCTCATCTCCACTGACTCACTAGGCAGAAAAAGTTTGCCTGCCAATTTAAAAAGAGACAGGAGGAGAATGGCCCAGTCAAGTTGACACGTAAAATTAACCATCACAGGTGGTCCGGGGAGAAATGCATTTTTAAATGTGCCAAATTAATAATTGGTTTAGACAAACAAAGCAAACATTTCTAAACACTGGCAAATATTCTTCCCAGTGGTAACAATTCACCTTCATGTTATTGTTTCCTTATCTTACACTCAAATTTGTTTCCTTAGTACTTTATTTGTGAAGATTTTTGCAGTTTAAGAAAGCAATTCCTTTGTCATGTTTACTACATTTTTATTTTGTTTTCCAGTATATAGTGTGGTGAGATATCAAAAAGTATGCAGCTCCTAAAACATTATTATATATTTATTTAATGAAAATTGACTAAATTCAAAATAACTCATGGGACTTTTGAAAAATATACAAATCCTGGGAGGCCTCCCCCAGTCTCAGATTTAGCATACTAAAATCTTCAATTTCCTGAGGTTTGGCCAAATTCAGTTAAACAAATTAAGCAACAAATAAAGCCCACAAAAAGGCAATAATTCCCTGGTTAGGTAATTTTGAAGAGAAAAACTACTACTGGGAATTAAAAGATTTGTGAAAAGTCTCTGAATTTAAGAAATTCCTGATAATGTTGGTATATGTGGTAGGCTTAATAAGGTCCTTACAAATGTCAATGTTTGAATTCCCAGAACCTGTGAATTTGTTACCTGACCTAGTAAGAGACTTTGTAGGTGTGATTAATTAAGGATCTTGAGATGGGATGTTCCCCTGGATTAGCTGGTTAGGCCCAAATGTAATACTCACAAGGGTTCTTCTAAAACGGAGACAAGAAGATGGAAAAGAGGATGTGATGATGGAAGTAGAGATTGGAGTAGTGCTACCAGGAACCAAGGAAAGTAGTAGCTTCTAGAAGCTGAAAAAGGCAAAGAATCAATTCTCCCCTGGAGCGTCCAGATGGAACAAACCATGCTGACACCTTGAATTTTACCCTTTGAGACTCATTTTTGACTTCTGGCTACCAGAACGGTAAGATCACAAATTTGTATTGTGTTTAAGCCATGAAGTTATGGTGATTTGTTATAACAGCAATAGTAAACTAAAACAGTGTAGCAATATCAATGAATTAACATATGAGGAGTGCTAACTTCCAGTGCCAGACACTGTACTAAACTGTTTGGGAAAAGATGATATTTCATCTTGAAAATCGTGTGAGGCAGATATTAGTATTTTCTCTGTTTTGACATAGCACAAACTGTAGTTTACAGACATTAGGTAACTCATACAGAGTTAAGTAACACATAGACACATTGCTAGTACAATGTGACCTAGAATTCAACCCATGAAGTCTAGTGTCAATCCTTTTTACAACCTCCCGCCTCTGCTCATTCCGAGACTATTCATGTTTATGTCTGAGATTCCCAGCCAAAGGCTTTGGCTAGAGTCTGGCCACAGAACATAATTGCTTCAGATGATGTTATAAACTGCAACAATTAATTGAGCAGATATTTAATAAGCATCCAATCTATGACAAGCATGGTAGATAGTAAACCATGCAGTTGAATAAGATAAACATGGCTCCAACCCTTGAGAAGCTCATAATCACAGTGGGACCTCTAAATACAGTGCCAGTACTGGGTGACCAAAAATGCAGAGTGTATAAATCAGTTATCTCAGATTTTTACAATATTGACATCTGAAGCAGATGAGAAGAGGTGTTTTAGAAAGATGAATAGCAAACATGGAAATACAATTTTTTTTTGTAATATTGCCATCAAAACCTCTGCATTCTAGCATTCTTTACCGGTGGCAAAACCACTTTTAATTTTCATTTCCTTTACTCCCTGGAAAGCAAAATGAATTAAGCAGCAACTCCATTTGTTTTTAAACATGATGGGAAGTTTCAAGTGAGGCATTTGAGAGCGCAGAAAAAAATTTAAATGAAGCAGCAGTGAGTTCGGGGGACAGATTCACAACCAGAAAGAAAAACAAAAGAATGCTTTTAAAAAACAAAGGGCTTATTTTTCCCTGTCTCTAATTTCCTCATCTTAATGCTTTTATGAGCCAAATATTTTATGACTTTATGTTAAATGGAAACAAAAGGCTTCATTGTGTATTATTAAATATACAATTATAAGAATCATTACATAAAAATATATTACATTTGGATTTCCCCCAATGCTATTTTTTTGAATGAATCTGAGCTCATTATATTCAGCTGGATCTATTGATTCTATTTCTACAAATTCTAAGTGATTTCTTGCAGTTTATCTATTGTTCCTCTTTTAATTACCAGTGGATGTGCAGTACAGCAGTAGGCAGTATTTATTGCATAATATTAATTCTGCAGCTGCACAGAGACAAAGCACTTTATACTAAACAAACACGGGTGCAAGCTGCGTGCCCTAAAAGGTAAAGCTCTATAGGATGCCCTGCAGTGTGATTTCTAACTGGGCTTCCAGAAATGTGGTTTCCACCCCTTCTGAGTTAAATGAGTCACTCTGACTGTCTAGACTTCAATCACTGCATCTGTAATATAAGGACCTCTAGTTCCTTTCAACACCTATGCAACCAGATTTCTGTGAACACTCTCTGGCTGACATTATATTGTCTGTTGCACTCTGGAAGAAGTTAGCTTCTGGCTTTGTTATGTGCATAAGAAAATCGTCTTTACACATATAATGGTCACGAAAATTCTGGCTGCAGAATAGTCTCCCAAGTGCTCCTGGGAGTAAAGGAATGACAAGTTTTCTTACAAACCCAGTTCTGCCCCTTTTCTGATTTCCCATTTGCTTTGTTGGATAGCAGGTGCTGGACCACCAGGTGGCAGAATGGCTTTATCTAATCCCCAGGGGAACTTCATACATTCTCCTTTCCTGGGTCTATTTTTGAGCTTTGAGTTTTAGAACCGTATTCAGCATTCAAAACCATCAGTGCCATGATGGCTACAGGAAGGAGGCTGTGGTCTTCCCAAGTGTGTCTCCAAAATCTTATATCCCACTGCAAACTGTTCTTCCTTGGCAGGGAGAAGACAATAATGGCGTATTCTACAGGTTGCTCTAGGACTGGATGGAAATGAAGAGAATCAGCAAAAGACTGATTTATATTGAGTTGAAGAGCAATAAAAAAATGTTTGTAGTCTCCATGTAGGTAACAACACAATCTTTAAAGTCAAGATGTTTAATAGTCGTGAACTCTCTCTGAATATCCACTTTCCTTTAGGTCTGTAACCAGATGAGAGGAAACGTAATATAACAGAAGTCACAATAATCATTTTAAATGGTAGTATATTTTCACATCCCCTTCAAATGCCTCACACTTAATAACTAGTGCTTCTGCCTTTCAAACCCAATCCAATAGTCTTGACACTTTGTGGCTGAGGACAAGGAAACTGCTTAGGAAACCTCTTGGAGAACAGGAACATCTTTCTGCCATTCCAACACAGGTTATCTTTTCAGATATGAGAAACATGAAGAATGAGTATTACCATTACAAGTAAATTTGCGTAAGAAAATAGAGATAGTACTTTTCTTCCAGTATTGTTATGGAGACCAAACAAGATAAGGAACATAAATTCGTAGCCTAGTACGTGGCAAGCACTCCTGGAATGGCAGCAGTTCTTTGTCTCCTGTAAAAGTGAATGACTACGGTTATAGTTGTTCCCAAGCAAAGATCTGTTTGACTGTTTGTATTAGTCAGGGTTCTCTAGAGGAACAGAACTAATAGGATATATGTATATATGAAAGGGAGTTTATTAAGAAGAATTGACTCACACAGTCACAAAGTGAAGTCCCACAGTAGGCCATCTGCAAGCTGAGGAGCAAGAAAGCCAGTAGTGGCTCAGCTCAAGTCCTAAAACCTCAAAAGTAGGGAAGCCGAGAGTGCAGCCTTCAGTCTGTGGCTGAAGGCCTGAGAGCCCCTGGCAAACCACTGGCGTAAGTCCAAGAGTCGAGAAGCCAATGAACTTGGGAGTCTTGAAGTTTGAGGGCAGAAAGCATCCAGCATGGGAGAAAGATGAGGGCTGGAAGACTCAGCAAGTCTGCTCATTCCACCTTCTGCCTGCTTTTTCTTTTTTTTTCTTTTCTTTTTTTTTTTTTTGAGACGGAGTCCCGCTCTTTAGCCCAGGCCGGATTGCAGTGGCACAATCTCGGCTCACTGCAAGCTCCGCCTCCCAGGTTCACGCCATTCTCCTGCCTCAGCCTCCCGAGTAGCTGGGACTACAGGCGCCCGCCACTGTGCCCAGGTAATTTTTTGTAATTTTTAGTAGAGACGGGGTTTCACCGTGTTAGCCAAGATGGTCTCGATCTCCTGACCTTGTGATCTGCCCGCCTCGGCCTCCCAAAGTGCTGGGATTACAGGCGCGAGCCACCGCGCCCAGCCCTGCCTGCTTTTTCTAGCTGCACTGGCAGCCAATTAGATGGTGGTCTGCCTTTCCCTGTCCACTGACTCAAATGTTGATCTCCTCTGGCAACCCCCTCACAGACATACCCAGAAACAATACTTTGCATCCTTCAATTCAGTCAAGTTGACAATAGTAACCATTACACTGTTTTTCCATATAATTTATTTATTATACTTTTTTCTAGCTTTCTTCAAGTACATTTGACAAATACAAATGGTATATATTTATGAGGTACAATGTGATGTTCTGATACATGTTTACATTGTGAAATGATTACCACAATCAAGCTAATTAATAGACTATCACCTCACATAGCTATCATTTTTGTGTGTGTGGGTGTGTCATGAGAACACTTAAGATTACTCTGTTGGCAAATTTCAAGTAAATGACACGATATTTTTAACTGTATTCACCATGCTATACGTTAGATCTCCAGGTCTTATTCTTCCTGCCTAACTGAACTTTTGTACCCTTTGATTAGTATCTCCCTATTTCCCTGCTCCTCCGACCCTGGCAATTACCATCTACTCTGTGTTCTATGAGCTTGACTTTTTTAGATTCCACATATAAGTGAGGTCATGTGGTATTTGTCTTTCTGTCTTTGGGGTACGCCACTTAGCATAATGTCTTTTAGGTTCATCCATATTGTTACAAAAGACAGGATTTCTTTCTTTTTAAAGGCTGAATAATATTCCTTCAGTTTCTTTCAAGCTATTTCCCCTAGTCTGGAACAGAACAGTAGAAGGAACCACAAATTGACATTTTCCCAGAGATCAATGCCATGTCACCAAGCTTCTTTCTAGGAAGCAGATGGAGTCATTCTGAAGTCAGAATTCCAGAAAAATCATTATGGGTAACTGTACTAAAGGATGGCTTGTCTTTTAAAGGTAGAATAAAGAGATGTCTTCTTTATTGCACATTTGGGTTAGAAATGAGAAGCATTTTTCTATTTCTTGTCAAGCCTAAAAGATGAGATTACATCCTAAACTTTAAACATACTTCATATAGTTTCCCATGTATAGCCTATGATGCAAACAATGTAAAAAACAGCATATTTTTCCTTAAAAAGTTATTCTATTGTCTAAATTTGATGTGATATAATATGAGTAAATAAAAGATTTACTGGAAGAAAGCTAATTTTATATTGAGAAGAATTTGAATGCTTTTCTAATACTGGAAACCTGTATTTATTCATAAAACTGATCTTATAAAACAAAATAATTTTATCTGTCAATATCATTAATGTACTACAGTCATACCTTTTATAAAGGATGCATTTTGAGACTGAGCATTATATCTGAAGTGACATTTTTTAATTCTCAGAAGCAGGTTAATGATGTGGCCAAAGGAGATTAGCTTTAGGGTCTCTCATTTAATGCATCCTATGAGTATTAGACGTTATTGGGACTTGTAGAGTATTGCAGGTGAGGAGAAAAAGCCACGTTTAGTCGGAAGTATTTCTAGATTAACATTTCTTGTAAATTGTCACAGAAAAAGGACTTGAATATCAAATAGTTGGTGATATAATAGAATTCATTTTCTCATTCCAAATATTCATTTTGTACTGTGGCTTGCAAAATAATGGCCTCCCAAAGATATCCATGTCCCAGTACTCAGAATTTATGAATATGCTAGGGTACAGGGCAGAAAGGAATTAAAGTTGCAGACGGAGTTATGGTTGTCAATCAACTTACCTTAACATAGAGAAATTATCCTGGATTATTTGTGGTGGGGGGCACAATGTAATCAGAATTTCCTTAAATGTGAGTAAGGGAGGCAGAGGAATCAATGCGAGAGTGATGTTTTGAGACTCAACCAGCTCTTACTGGTTTTGAGACAGAAGGGCACCATAAACCATGGAATTCAGGTTGCCTCTAGAAGGTGAAAAAAGCAAGAATATGAATTTCCCCATAGAGTCTCCAGAGAGGTGCCAATGCCTTGATTTTACCCAGTGATATCCATTTTGGACTTCTGATCTCCAGGACTGTAATATAATAAATTTGTGTTACATAAAAAATTAGTTTATTGCTGTTTATTACTGTAGTGGTAGGAAACTAATACACATACCTAATTTTGAGTTTGTAATTTGGTTATTTGTTTTCTTAAAGAAGATGCCCAAATAGTATAGGTACCTGGCTCCATCCCTATCAATACTACACATGAACATTAGTTTTATTAGTATGCACATATTTTTTCCACAACATATATTTGTCTGTCTCAGGTACACAAATATATTTTATGAAGTCATTGGTCTTTCTTCTGGGAACACTGGACCTCTTTTAATGTTAGTAGGAACCCTTTCTTCCCCAAACCCAACCATTCATAGAAGACAAGATTATTCACTATTTTACAACACTTTGTCCTTTTGTAATTTTTAATTAACTTTGGGCTGCTGTTTTCCTTACATTGGCCACTAAATAAAGCCCTTCGATTCAGTGATTGAGATTCTGTTTGTACTATCTCTGTGAAAATGTTAGAGAGGGATATTGTCTTCCCTTTCAATAACAGCCAGTTGTATATTCTAATCTGTAGATACGTATTTGTTCTCAATTGATTCCACTGCTGGGAACAAAATGGTATCAATATGCATTTCTTTAGAATATTTGTGATATTACAGAAAATGAAAAGGGAAGAAATGTGGAAAGATTACATTGTTTTAGAGTTTAGCATGTATCAATCCCTCTGCTAAATGTGTTACAAATCTTCAACAATGCTGTTGGATACTCTTAGATCATCTCATACTTCTTTTAAAAAAGAAGATATTTAGGCTTAAAATAATAGTTTATTTTCCTCCAGGCCAGACAACTGATGGGCAGCCAAATTGTCATATGATTTCCAGTTTTTATGACTTGAAAACCTATAAACTTGGAAATCCATATTATTCATTCCTGCCTGTGACTGCACTTGACTCTGGAATTTCAAGCTAGTGTGCACATCTATATGATGTGTTAGCTTATCTAAACCGCTATAGTCTCTCGTCTGGCCACAAAGTGGGCTTTTCCTGACTCTTCTACTGCCCCCTCATTCTCCTTCCCACTTATCCTATCCTTGATTCGCTGCTTCTATTGAGTTCAGGAACATCTCTAGAATCTTGCTGGAGGTTCTTCCCTGACTTGGCTAGGTGCCCTCTTATGTGCCCCCAGGATCCCCTGTCGCCTTTCTCATAGTGATCATGCCAAATGATAGTTGCATGATGATGTTTGCTTCTTTGTCTTCCTCACTAGACTCCTGAGTAAAAAGAGTTGAGTCCAATAAATCTTTATAACCTTAGAAACCTCTAGGGCCTAGCCTATGCTCAATCAATACCTGATGAATTAATAAACATATTCCCTGGCTTTAATGTTTCTATAAAATACTTTCCTAGAAATAGAAAACAAATATTGTCCTGTGTTGGGCTTAGAAAAATTTAGGACAGTAGCAGCTTATTATACATATTTTATGAGGCTCTTTTATTTACATTATTATTCCTACTCCTTAGAATAACTGTGTGAGTTTGACTAGTTTTATCCTTATTTCACAGATGAGAAAAGTAAGCCTTAAAAGTTAATCATCTGGAACCAGGTTGTGCTGGCTCAGATGATACATCAATGTTTACTAATAACAACCAATACGATTAGTGGTTATTCGCTGAAGGCATTTCTTGGGAAAATACACAGTAGGACTGGCTGCCTTCCCCTTCCAGTATGACTTCCCTGGGCGTATGGAGAGAGGCAGACACTTCAGAATCCCAAAGTCTCCACAGCCTGCTCCATGTGAGGGCAGCTTCTGCCCTCGAAGGATATTCCTGAAATATTCGATCAGAGCTTGGTAAAAGTTTCTGTCACTAGGTTATAGTTGTATATTTCCAGCTTCTTAACTGGTGGCCTCCCTTGGCCACTGAACAGATCAGATGCTGGTCACTGTGAGAGGAGGTCACAGGTAGTGAATCCTTGAACACATCCCGCACAGCTCTACCAAGTGCTAGTGTTTTAAGAATGCACAAATTATGACCTAGTCATTACAGTCTACAACTGGAAACAGTCTGAGTGCCCATCAACAGGGACATGAACAAAATGGAATACTATTCAGCAACAGAAAGAGACAAACAGCTCATGTTAATACATACAATAATGTGGATGAACTCCAAAAACATTTTGCTGAGTAAAAAAAGCACATTAGTTTCTTATTGCGCATGTAATAAATTGCCACAAACTTGGTATCATAAATTGCAGAAATGTATTATCTTACAGTAGTAGAGGTCAGAAGTCCAAAATGGGTCTGACAGGACTGAAATCAATTGTGTTGGCAACTATGTTCCCTTCTAAAGGTTAGCTTCCTGAGGCTACCATCGTTCCTGGGTTTACAGCCGTCTTCAACTTCGAAAGCCCAGCAATATTTGGTCAAGTCTTTCTTATGATGCCAGCTCTCCAGTTCTGATTCTGTTTTCTACATTTAAAGACACTTTTGATTGCATTGTGCCAACCCAGATAATCCAGAATAATTTTATTTTAAGTTCAGTTGATTAGCACCCATAATTCCTTCTGCTCCTTTAGTTCCTCTTTGCAGTGTACCATTGTGTTCATAGGTTCTGGGAATTACGATGTGGACATTTTGGAGGGCCATTATTTGCCTACCACAAGAAGTCTTATACAAAGGAGCACAACATTTATTACTTTCTTTCAGTAAAGTTGTAAAACAGGCAATTTAATATTTGGTGGATAAAATAAAAAACAACAGTGGTTACTCTTTGGACTTAGGGGAGGAGATTGGGAAAAGGCAATGTGAAATGATGTTTATATATTTTTTATTTAGGTTGCATTTTTTACAAGACTGTATATATACATATATATACAGTCATATATATACTTGAAATATATATATATTTCAGCATATGTAAGTTTTACCTGAAAAATAAAAAAAAACAAATAGTAAAGTGTTGCAAATAATATCCATGCATGAGTATTTAGGAAAAAATTTACTAATGTCTGAAACTTGCTAAAAAGTACTTTCCCAAATGGAGTAATGGGTAAATAGAGGGATGGAGAGACAGATATGTGGTAAGTCAAGTATAGAAAAATGTTAGTTTTAGGCAGTGGTTGGTTAGTTTTATGTGTGAATGTTTATTGCAAAACTGTTTCAATTTGTATGCTTAAAATTACCATAAAAATATGGAAGGGAAAGCGTATTGGATCACAGTAGTAAGCCTTTGTAACAACTCTGTATTACATTCCTGTTTGCCATCTCTACTTCTTTTCTTGGCACTGAGGTTGGCATTGCATCTCTCAAATTAAGGAATGAATTTCTCCTTACTGAGTTTAAGAATTCACTGTTAGCTCAAAGCTCTCTCTTGCTGATGTTCAAACTTAAATATTCAGAGACTATGAAAAAGAATTAATTCCAACTTTCATCCCTACCCCACACAAGCACACCTGGCTAAGCAAAACTAATCCTTTTGACCCTCAGCCTTGGCAAGCCTGTGTGTGTGTGTGGCAGTGGTGGAGATGGGTGGTAGAGGCCTGTGTGTGGGTATCAGGTGCATATGAATAGTCAGAAATTTATTCTAGAAAACACAACACACATCCCTGCCATAGCAGAATCTCAAAACAGATTCTGCAGCTGCGCTCTGATTAAAGGAAGCTATACCAAAGCAGATTCCTGTTACCTTGCAAGAGAGACTGTGTCTGAGTGAAGAAAACAGAGACCCACTGTCTATCAATGAGAAAATTCACTGTCACTTTATTCCATCCAGCCTGTTTAGTGCTTGCAAGCAAGCCCATTCATTTGCCGTATTAGGCTCTAGTGGAGCGTGTGAACAGCTCATTACACTCTCATGAAGGATGCCGATCCTTTACCCTATCACAGCCAGTGGTACATTTGGATATGCCCTTTGAAAAATTCTGAAATGTGCCCTCAACCTCAGAGAATTGCAAGTTACTTCACCAAACTCGGAACATCCCCTTTCTCTGGTGGATGTATGCAGGTTTTTCTATGTGCACAGTCAGCTTCTCATTATACATTTATGGCTGTTTCTCCGTATATGTTGTCAGTGGGACTACATTCCAATCTGATTTTAAAAAGAAAAGAACAGAGTTGTAGTTTTAATCTATCTGTCTATCTATCTGTCCGTCCGTCTGTCCGTCCGTCCATCCATCCATCCATCCATCCATCCATCCATCCATCCATGTCTATCTGTATGTGTGTGTATTTTTTTGAAAACACATGTACATTTTCCTGTGAGGATTTAAGTTATGATCTTGGGACTCTTAAAAAACTCTGGCCTAAATTAGGCTGTCATGTGGAAATTACAAGGTCAGTAACATGGGGCCCCTTAAAACCAAATTCTAATTTGTCTGCAACTGCAGCTACTTGCATCTCTCCTTCCTGACTCTTCTGGACTATAACAGACTTCAATAACAGAGATAGCATCACTACTAATATGATGGAGCTTTTCCCTTGACACTGAGCTTAGCAACTCTCCACAGTCCAGACATATTCAATACTTTTATACGAAAACCCAGGCGCAGTAAAAACACCATCTCAGCTTGTCCCTGGTGATGCTCTTGCTGGTAGTTGTTCATGGATGATAAATGGCTTTGATTCCAGAGAGTGGCGGTGCCTGCTACCTAAGTTGAAACTTAGGAAAATACCAGAAACTATTTTACTCACATACAGTTAACTTCTAATTATTCTTTGTTGACTTCTTTAACTTTTGATCCTCATTGTTTTCAGGAACATGTTGATTCTTCTACTGTTACATTGCTAATCCAGCAATGCTGATATTTTTGTCAATTTTAACTGAAACTTTCTTAAATGACTGATGACATTGTTATAGTTCTCAGTTTCCTTCTAATTTTTCTTTGTTATTTATTCTATTGGTGTCTTACTGTTAATGGCATTTTTATACATGTTTTGCTTGTTGGTTGCATTTGTGAGCAGGTTGAGACAATCTAATAGAATTCAAACAAACATCTAAATTGTCCTCGATGAATGTCCTCATTCTTTCATTAATTCAACATTCATTTTAGCCTTCATGTATGCACTTGCTGAGCACTTTGGGGTACTTAAAATTCCTTTCAATCAGATTAACAATAAATCTAAGCTTAAATAACTGTAATACTTGATAGAATGTGCTATGTCATAAAAGAAAGTTTGTGTATATGAGAAATAAAGTGCTATAAAATTAAACAAAAATGGGCTGGGCAGGGTGGCTCAAGCCTGTAATCCCAGCACTTTGGGAGGCCGAGACAGGTGGATCACCAGAGGTCAGGAGTTCGAGACCAGCCTGACCAACATGGTGAAACGTAGTCTCTACTAAAAATACAAAAATTATCCAGGCATGGTGGCAGGCTCGTGTAATCTCAGCTACTCGGGAGGCTGAGGCAGGAGAATCACTTGAACCCATGAGGCAGAGGTTGCAGTTAGCCAAGATTGTACCATTGCACTCCAGCCTGGACAACAAGAGTGAAACTCCATCTCAAACAAACAAATAAATAATAAACAAGCAAACAAATAAATAATTTAATTAAATTAAACAAAAATTGTAAGAGAAAAAAAAGTAAGGAAAAAAGTAAGAGAAGAGCTATAATACCCATCATGTGGAAAAGAGTGGTTATGAAAAGTGGGAAGGGATGATGAATATATTAACTCCCTGAATAATGCAAAGTGGAAGAATATATCACGAATTCCATCAACAACAGCTATTTCTTAATCTTATCTTTCATGTGCCAATCCCCCTTTTTCCAACCCCTATGTGCAATAACAGGTATACTATAAATATTTGTTAATTTATTGGTTATCAATCTGCAGTAAATCACCAATATATTCTACTGTATTCTCCATCCCCCAGAAAATACCAACTTTTGGAACATCGTAGTTTTATTAAAAAGAGGATTCCCTTCTGTATGACTTAAACAAGGCTATATTCCCAATTCTCCAACTCCAGGCAGATTCTTTACCCTCCAATTTCATTTCTAGTATTTAAGATAGAAACACAAGTCTACCTTCCTGAATTAATTCTGAGGCATCATTGGCATGATGTGTAAAGCTCTGTCATTTCCATAAAATAATTACTGAAAATTATTTGATATATTAGTTTTTTAAAAAATTTGGTTTTATTGCAGCTTTGTAACTTTATATGATTTCTCTGATTTGGGGAAAGTTTTTTTAAAAATTAAAGTTGTATGTTTGACTCCCATGCCTGTTATATGTGATTTTAAATTTTCCCTAAAAAAGCCTTCCCCCAAATAAATTCCTATTCTTTTCTATGTTTCATCTTATGACTTCCTCAAGACTCGTAATTATGCATTTTTTGGTTTCCCTGCTGTTAGGTATCCTCTAGGATGACATATTTTCCTCTTGCTATCATTTTATATCTCTACTTCTTTATATACTAAAGCCTCTCAAGTGCCAAAATGAAGGTTGATTCTCTTCCTTGATTAAGCTATTCTTCAATTTCTTCTTTACTACTCATTCCTTGGTCCACTTCAGTCCAATTCTGGCCGCACTATTCCACTGAGAGTACTCTTAAATAATCATTCATATATATTCAATGGTCCAATCTTCTTGCTTTTGTTCTTCTTGACCATTCAGTAGTTTTAATATTATAGACTATATTATTCCTTGAAACCATAACCTTTCTTGCCTTTTATGACACTATATTTAACAGAATGTGTCTTTATTCTTAACTTCCTTTTTTATCCTCTGCTTATCCCTTACTCCTTAATGGAAGGAGAATTAGTCAGAGTTCTATAGAGATATAGAAGCAGTAGATCTATCTATCTATCTATCTATCTATCTATCTATCTATCTATCTATCTATCTAGAGAGGACAGAGAGTGAGCAATTTATTATGAAGAATTGGCTGAGAATTCTGAAAATCTACAGTCAGCAACTAGAGAGTGAAGAGGGTTGATGGTATAAGTTTCAGCCTGAAAGTTGGCTGGCTTGAGACACAAAAAGAGCTGATGTTTCAGTTCAAGTCTGAAGAAGGGAAAAGACTGATGTCCCACCTCAAGAAATTAAACAGGAGGAGTTCCTGCTTACTTGTGGGAAGGCCAATCTTTTTGTTCTGTTCAAGCCTTCTACTGATTGGGTGAACCCCATTCATATTAGGCAGGATAATCTGTTTATCTAGTCCACCAAATCTAATGTTAACCTTGTCAAAAAATACCTTTACAGACACACCCAGAATAAGGCTTGACTGAAAAGATGTTGTTGCAAATGTGATGAATGTGCACTATTGGTGGAAATGTAAAATGGTGCAGCCACTATAGGAAATAATATGGTGTTTCTTCAAAAAATTGAAAATAGAATTATCATGTATTTCAGCAATTCCAACCCTGGGCATATCCTCAAAAGTGAAACCAGGGATTCAAACACACGTGTGTACACTCAAGTTTATAGCAGCATTATTTACAATAGCCAAAAGCTGGAAGCAAGCCAAGTGTCCATGGGCAGAGGAATAGATAAACACAATGTAGTCTGTACATACAATGAGACATTATTCAGCCTTAAAAATAAATGAAATTATGACACATGCTACAATGCAGATGAGCCTTGAATTGAAGACATTATACAAAGTGAAATGAGTCAGACACAAAAGACAAATACTGTATGATTCACTTATATTTGTTACCTAGCATATTCAAATCCATAGCAACAGAAAGTAGAATGGTGGTTGCTGGGGCCAGAAGAAGGAGAAAACTGAGAGTTACTACTTAATGGTGATATGGTTTGGCTCTGTGTCCCCACCCAAATCTCATCTTATAGCTTCCATAATTTCCATGTGTTGTGGGAGAGACCTGGTGGGAGATAACTGAATCATGGGATGGGTCTTTCCCATGCTGTTCTTGTGATACTGAATAAGTCTCATGAAATCTGATGGTTTTAAAAAACGGGAATTTCCCTGCACAAGCTCTTTTGTTTGCCACCATGTGAGACATGCCTTTCTCCTTCCACCATGATTGTGAGGCCTCTCCAGCCATGTGGAACTGTAAGTCCAATAAACTTATTTGTTTTGTAAATTGCTCAGTCTCAGATATGTCTTCATCAGCAGCATGAAAACAGACTAATACAAGTTGGTAGAGAGTTACAGTTTGGAAAGATAAAAAAAAAGTCCTGGACAAACATGATGGTAATGATTGCACAAAAAAAGATAAAATGATTGCACAAAAAAAGATAAAAAAAAGTCCTGGACAAACATGATGGTAATGATTTCACAAAAACTTGAATGTACTTAATGATATTCAACTATCCACTTAAAAATGATTAAATTGGTAAAGGTTACGTTATGTATATCTTACCACAGTTTAAAAAAATAGGCTATATGTAATACATCTGATGTCTCTGAATTAAGGCCCTCATGATTTAGCTGCTGTCTGAAGGTACCTTTTGCATGACCTAGGCTTCTCTCACTCTCCTCTACACACCATTATTTCCCTGGGGCCTGTATGTGCATAACCATGTACATTTCCTTATGTCTGCTTTCTCATTCTGCTGTATTTGCAATGTCTTTGCTCATGTAGAAATCTTGTTCTACATTGAAGAGTCTATATCCTCAGTGAAGCATTTCCATATATCCCCATTTAGAATCAATTACTTTTTTTTTTTTTTCTTTTTAGATAGAGTCTCACTCTGTTGCCAGGCTAGAGTGCAGAGGCACGATCTCGGCTCACTGCAACCTCCGCCGCCCGGGTTCAAGCAATTTTCCTGCCGCAGCCTCCCAAATAGCTGGGACTACAGGCGCCTGCCACCACACCCAGCTAATTTTTGTATTTTTAGTAGAGATGGGGTTTCACCGTGTTGACCAGGATGGTCTCGATCTCTTGACCTCATGATCCATCTGCCTTGGCCTCCCAAAGTGCTGGGATTACAGGTGTGAGCCACCGTGCCAGGCCCAATTAATGACTCCTTTATTTTTACCCTGTACCTTGCTTACTTATACCTTGATTATAATGTATTTATTTATACACTTGCTGTTGATGATTGTTGGCATTTGGTGGCCTCTATTAGATTATAAGCTCCTGGAATGCAAGGTGTCTGGCTTCTCCTTCTTTTCCTTTGCCTAGTTATCCCATAAATATTTGACCTGAAATTGGGACATCTCACCAATAACCCTCAAGATGAGTTCCTGCTTCCTCTTGTGTTATAAGAAGCAGATAAAACTCAACAATAATGAGAGGTCATTTTCTTTGTTTGAACATAGTTTTTAAGGTTTTGCATTCTCATTTATGTGAAAGATTTTTATTGTCCTCTACTTTTTCCTTTCGGTAGCTCCTAGACTCTATTATTATTTATATTAGTACAACTTAAAGGACTAGGGGTTGATCTTGTTTTATCAATTTGAAAAAAATATGGAGAATATATTATTTCAATTTTTATATTTGTGAGAATTCATAAAGATAACTTTTTCCTCAAGTGATTAGCTTAATACGTGGCAGTTATAGAACAGGCTAGCAATTACAGCAATCAAATGTTTAAAGTGTACACCACCACTTAACTGGTCTCATTGTTACATAAGTTGGAAATCCTGTATAACTAATGATGGATAACAGAGACACAGGCTTTTTTCATATTGCTCTGCTCACTCTTAGTTAACCTCTTCGAGTTGACTCTACTCTGCAGGAGTAAGCCACACTACCTTTCATGATGTTGGCTCCTGAATCTCACACCTGTCAGCATTGTCTTTCTAGATTATACAGAATGACTGGGTTACTGTTTAATAAATAATGCCTTGAAGAAGTTGAACTAACTAGAGGAAAATTACTGTATACATTGAGGTGTTCCTCTACTCCTTTCTCAATCCACAGTTCTGGGAAACTTTAATTCAACCTTGGATAGCTTTATATTGGAGAATGAAAAAAATCAAAGCACTCAAGGGTGGTCAGCTCTATTATTAGTGCCCTCCTCACTAATAGATATGAGTGCAGAATCTTCTTTCTCTAGACTTCATTGCTATAATAACCACTTATGCTGTAGAATCCACTTTGCCACTTTTTTTTTTCTTATTAGCTCTTTTGCTGTTGTCTTTTCCTCTGGAAGACATCCACATACTGGAAGAAGTTCCTTCTCTCTCTCCGCAGCAGTGAGGCAGCAATTTTGTGTAGGAAGTTGTGGGGGGTCATTAATGACTAGGAATAGAGGAGCTGTAAGCCTCATGTCCCAGATTGACACAGAGGGTTACAGGCCCTTCAAAATGTACTCCAGCCACTAAGGGAAAAGAATGACTCTTTTTCAGACAATCCATAGTTCAATATTGACAGGAGCATGAGAAGAAATTTCAGATTGCCTACTTCTGCTGGCTAGAAAGCCCTGTAATTGTGGCAGGCAGGGGGCAGAATGCCTTTGGTGGCTGACAGAGAAAATACTTGATCTGAGCTCTCAAAGCCTTTGTAGACATTTCTATCCAGAGAAGAGCACCAGGGCTGCATTAGCTGAGTCCTTGAGATGCAATTGAGGAGGCAATGCTATTTTCCTTCTGGCTGAGAGAAATGGCAGAGCCTCTTCGTAACAAATGATCATAAATTGCCTGTGTGTCTCCAAGGCAATGAGAGAACTTGCATCTTAGTACTAATGCAAGCTGCTCTCATACTTTTGAGTAGCGCTGGCCACTGGAAAGGAATAAGAGCCTGAGGATAAAGCTACCAAGACATATCTTTATCCCACAAGTAAGTGTAATCAAAAGTGAAAGGCTTTCAGCTGTTAAGTTACTTGAAAAACAGATTCTCAAAACTCAATAATTAAATCGAGAGGGGTGAAAGCCAGAAACTAAGATCAAGTAAAATTTGGAAAATTGGGAAGTGAAAGAATAAACAAGATCTTCAGCTAGAGTTAAACTTGGCTGTCAGCCCTATCCCATTTCTGTTTTTTGGTTTTGTTTTGTTTTAAATCCGGTATAAGGCCACGTGAGATATGACATAGAAATGTGTAATCAAAAAGCATGCGTATATTTGAAGTTTAAATTCATAGAAAAGTTCTCATTCAGTGCTCCTTAAGGCCATTTTGGCCAATTTAGAATTTTTGAGGTATACAATCTAGGTCATCTTTAAGCTTTCTAAGCTGCACTACTCCCTGGTTCTTTATAAATAATTTTGTGAGTACATATCAAATGTACAGATTTACAGTAAGTGATGCTATGTACTTACATTATGCTCATATCTATAGTTATAAAAAGTTCTTTAGAAGCCCTGGAGTGTCATATGTGTTTATAGATTTGCATTTATAAGAATTGGTTTAGCATAACACAGGCATGAAAATCTTGCTACCTGGTATTCTGTGCTTTTTAACAGGCTTGCTGATAACAATGTTGTTGATACCGATGGCAGCACCTATCATTTGGGAGGTGTTTCCAAGGTGCAAGACAATCTGCTAATTACTTAACACAGGTTATCTCACTTAATTCCTTCAACATCCTTATCATGATTATTGCTCTTACTGTTTGAGGAAGCTGAGGTTCAGAGAGGATAATCGGCTTGCTTAAGGTCATATCAATAGTAAATGGAGGATGATGGTTCTAAATGTATATTGCCCTAATTTCAAATGAAAAATATTAACAAAAGAGAGGGAATGATATGATAGAAAATGCTCTAATGTATTTGTTGAGAGATTTGGGATAAAGTTTTCACTTACATTTCATACCACTGTGCAGTGAACTTCTTTTGGTTTTGAGATCCAGCATATGGTCTTCCTTATTCTGGAATATTTATCCTAATCTGGCTTTGATAAAACACCACTTCTAGTGGTCAACCATTTCCATTTAGTGCTATTGACTCAACTCCTAACTGAATGGTTTGGGCCAAATTGGCTTATGGACCATTTTCCAGTCACCAAGTTTGGGATGAATATTTGCTAGAGCTCCTGGAATAAAATTGATCTCCCTCTCTCTTTTTCTGCAGGTACTACCAAAATATGCATTGGCATTTATTGGATAGTATGGTGTTCTATAGAAATATGAGGTTTGCAAATAAAGTAACTATTTGGACATTGTGGAAGGAAAAATCAAAGTTCTCTGTGACCATGTGCCTTTACAGTGTGACTTTTTCACAGCTTTCATCAAGACATGGAAGCTCTTTCCCCACCTCTTGCGTCTAGGCTGTGTTTTCACTTGCTTTGACCAATAGAAGATGAAAGAATGACATTATGCAATTGTAAGCCTTCGATTTTTACTCTTTGGGAACTCTAGCCAAAGACTACCACAAAAGGAAGCCAGTCTAGTCAGCTGGAGACTGATACACCATGAGGAAAAAAGATCCACAGTGATCAAGAAGACGGCCAGCTTCAACTGTCAGACCTACGAGTCTGGCCATCTTGCATCTTCCGACCCAGCTGATCCTGAGCTTAATGAAGCTACATGAGTGAGTGCTATGGAGAAAGCACAGCCAGCCAACATTCTTGTGAGAAATAACAAGTCTTTTTTTTTTCCTTCAGCTTTTATTTTAAGTTCTGGGGTACATGTGCAAGATGTGCTGGTTTGTTACATAGGTGAAGGTGTACCATGGTGGTTTGCTGTACAGATCAACCCATCACCTTGGTATTAAGTGCAGCATCCAATAGCTATTCTTCCTTGTGTTGTCTTTCCTCCCATCCCTTCCCCCGACAGGCCCCAGTGTGTATTGTTCTCTCACATGTGTCCATGTGTTCTCATTGTTCAGTTCCCACTCATAAGCAAGAGCATGTGGTGTTTGGTTTTCTGTTCCTGTGTTAGTTTGCTGAGGATAGCGGCTTCCAGCTTCATCCATGTCCCTGAAAAGTACACAATCTCATTCTTTTTTATGGCTGCATAGTATTTCATGGTGTATATGTACCGTATTTTCTTTATCCAATCTGTCATTGATGGGCATTTAGGTTGGTTCCATGTCTTTGCTATTTTGAATAGCGCTGCAATGAACATACGCATGCATGTGTCCTTATAATAGAATGATTTATATTCCTTTAGGTATATACCCAGTAATGGGATTGCTGGCTCAAATGGTATTTCTGCCTTTAGATCTTTGAGGAATCACCACACTGTCATCCACAATGGTTGAACTAATTTACACTCCCACCAAGAGTGTAAAAGCATTCTTTTCAGAATGAGAGAACATTTTTGCAATCTATCCATCTGACAAAGGTCTAATATCCAGAGTCTATGAGGAATTTAAACAAAGTTATGAGAAAAAAACAACCCCATTAAACTGTGGGCAAAGGACATAAAGAGACATTTCTCACAATAAGACATTCATGTGGTGAACAAACATATGAAAAAAAACTCAACATCACTGATCTTTAGAGAAATGTGAATCGAAACCACAAGAAGATACCATTTCACGCCAGTCAGAATGGCAGTTATTACAAATTGTTGTCTTTTAAGCCACATAGTTTTGTGGTGGTTTATTAAATGGCAATGGTTAACTGATGCAGTCACTATTGCTAGAGAACTGGGTGAGGCGGGGAGAATGATTACAGAGCAAGATAACAGAAAACCAATGGTTGCTTGGTGTTGTCACATGAGTTGCTAAATCAAGCTTTACATGAAGTCTGCCCTATAGCCAGATTTAGAATGTATGAGAGCATCTCCATTCCTCCCTCTCATTGCTTTTTGCAGGAGGTGGGAGAGATGACTTAAACCAATTTTATTTTATTAAGTTGTAATATACAGTAATAAATTACTCTGGTCACCACTTGTGTTGTTGGCTAATTCTTGATACAAAAGCGGTTTTATCATCTCTGGGTCTATTCATCATCTAAGAGACTGATAGAAAGATCATTATGCAAAACAAAGTTCTAAAGTGAGTATCACCCAAAATTAGAGTAAGAAAAAAACTCTAGTAGCTTTCATAGTATCTTTCCTTTGTTCATTTCTGAAATGAGTAAGGCTTTAAATAACACATAACCTACCTAAGTTAGCACTGCAGTTGAGACATTAAGTAATTTTTTTAAATAATCTGATGTTCATGATTTCCTGAGTGTGAAGCTAGTTTTTTTTTTCTTTTTTTTCTTTTTAATTATTATACTTTAAGTTTTAGGGTACATGTGCACAATGTGCAGGTTAGTTACATATGTATACGTGTGCCATGCTGGTGTGCTGCACCCATTAACTCGTCATTTAGCATTAGGTATATCTCCTAATGCTATCCCTACCCCCTCCCCCCGAAGCTAGTATTTTTAAAATAAATGATCCCTTCTAGTTCCTTCTTTGTGGAGAAAAAAAGGACATAATTTTCAATCTGAAATCAGAGGCTAGTACTTCACCCACATAATGGGGCAAGTCCAACATTTGATACAAATGTCAAGTAAAAAGAGTGACAGAAACTAGAAAAACTGGTGAGTTTTTTTTCTGGTTTGTTTTTCTGTTTAACCAATTATATTAAAATACAAATGTATTTGTTTTTGAAACACAATTAGAATAACCTTTGCAAACCTTTAAGCCTCTAGCATTCATTATTTAGATTAAGTCTTTAACACTGAAGTCTGGCTTTTATTCAGTCCTAGTGTGTCCAGAATTGGTTCCTTCCTGTGGGTACTTGCTCTCGCTGACTTCAAGAATGAAGCCACAGACCTTCAAGGTGAGTGTTATGGCTCTTAAAGATGGTGTGTCTGGAGTTTGTTCCTTCAGATGTTCAGATGTGTACAGAGTTTCTTCCTTCCGGTGGGTTCGTGGTCTCACGCTCACTTTAGGAGTGAAGCCACAGACCTTCGCAGTGAGTGTTACAGCTCTTAAAAGTAGTGCAGACACGAAGAGTGAGCAGCAGCAAGATTTATTGTGAAGAGCAAAACAACAAAGCTTCTACAGCATGGAAGGGGACCTGACCGGGTTGCGCTGCTGGCTCAGGTGGCCAGTTTTTATTCCCTTATTTGGCCCTGCCCACGTCCTGCTCATTGGTCCATTTTACAGAGTGCTGATTGGTGCATTTTCACAGAGTGCTGATTGGTGTGTTTACAATCCTTTAGCTAGACACAGAGTGCTGATTGGTACATTTACAATCCTCTAGCTAGACAGAAAAGTTCTCCAAGTCCCCACTCAACCCAGGAAGTCCAGCTAGCTTCACCTCTCACTGGTTTCTATACCTTGGCTTCTAAAACACTCAGTTTGAAAAATATCTCCTTAACAGTGCCATCAAATAGGAATATAACATAATCCAGTTTTTTGGTTTTTTTTTTGATGGAGTTTCACTGTTGTTGCCCAGGCTGGAGTGTGGTGGCATGATCTTGGCTTACTGCAACCTCCGCCTTCCATTTCAAGAGCTTCTTCTGCCTCAGCCTCTCGAGTAGCTGGGATTACAGGCACCCACCACCACGCCCTGATAATTTTTGTATTTTTAGTAGAGATGGGGTTTCACCATCTTGGCCAGGATGGTCTCGAACTCCTGACCTCATGATCTGCCCACTAGGCCTCCCAAAGTGCTGGGATTACAGGTGTGAGCCACTGCCCCTGACCATAATCTAGGTATTAAAAATGATGATCCAACCTTATATAGAAATGGTTGATTCAATAACTAAACTGAGTAAAGTGATAAAGATAAATGATAAAGCTTAGTTTTACTTGTAAGAAAAATAATCAAAGTTGAGTGTAGTATAAATCTCATTCAGTTTTCTGATTAAAAGATTTCAGGCATTCTAAAAGCCGTTCATTTACTTATTAAATGTATTAAGTAAGTACAATATGCCAGGCCCTGTGCTGAAAGGAATGAACAATTTTAAATTTTCTCAGGGAGTTTATAATCTCAGGGATGAGACAGGCAATTTTTCAGAGTCTGTTATAAAGCAACTTGGAATAATGAAAAGTAGTCAATGGGCAGAGTGAATTGGCCGTTCTCCTCAAAAAAAAAAAAACAAAAAACAAAAAACAGAAAAAAACAGTCTTGTTTTCCAGACTTAACACCTTGTTTAGTGTGGGACTTCATTCATGTTGTCCTTATTTCTCCACTGGTGTAGACACCTGCTTGTAGGATTGAAGTACATATGAAAGGGCAGCATCACTGCTAAATACCCATGTCTGGTTCTTCCCTCCTTCTAGTTACTTGGTAGGATTGTATTTGCTGACCTTCTGTGTAGGTGGGAAAAAGTGACTAATTCCAGGACATGAATTACAAATGGAAATAACTTATGCCACTATGGTGTGGAGCTTTTAACTTATGGAACAAATCTCTACATTTTTTTCCTGTTCTCTGGCAATATTCAAGATGATGACTGCTCTGATGTACAGTGTTCCCCCATTGACCTGCAGTGCACATGCAGAGGGAGAAAGGGGTCTACCGTTCTTGATGTAAGTCACTGAGATTTTGGCATTGTTCATTACTAGAACTTTAACCAGGGCATACTGAGTGAAACAAACATTTCGCTTACTTTTGTAACCGTCTACTTATGTGAACTGACATAGCAAGCAAAAGAAAAGGCGGAGTTACAGAGTGACTAGTTAGTCACTCCCCATAGCTGTCCCTATTTTTTCACTTATCTAAATGCCAATCCATGCATTACGAAGTCCTTCTAAATAGGCCCCGAAAGCTACAGATTGTACATACTTACATGTATGCTTCCAATATTACTAAATTATTAGTTAATATGTAATTGTTCACATGATGAATTACGAAGGTACTTATGCAGTATTCGGTGGTTGGAAGGTACTTGGTGTCATAAATGTTTTTAAAATAGACATGCAACAAAGTTTATTTCAGCACTGTGGAAAATGAATTGTGTCTTACTTAAGGCTCATATACTAAGGAAAGTAGATAGTTATAGATTTTATAAGGAAAATTAAATAAAAGGGAAACCAGAAGATAAAAGAAACATTGATCCAAAAAAGCTGAAGTTGGGTGTGACAGCCTCCTCCAGATGTGATACATGGTTTTGTGGTAGGTGTTTGACTACGTACTCCCAAATATAATTTGCTTACAGAATTTCATTATGGAGGGAGGTTTTATTTGTAATGTAAACTTCAGTATGAGAGCTTCTTTTTATTTCTGAAAGTTCTTGGCACTCTGTTTATGTAATGAAGTTTTAGTGCTGTTATAAAAGGCTATAGTTTTGTATTATACTTATCTGTGATTAATCCTTCTTGGGCTGGAGATGGGATGAGATTCTTTCCCTACGGGTGCAATGTGAAGCTTCTGCAGTATTCATGTAAAATACAATTTGACAACAAAATGTAGCTTAGAGAGTGAAAAACTCTGACTGTTCTAAAGGTCTCTTTAAGTAAAGAAACTAAAATAACAATTTCATGTGTAGAAAAATTAAGTTTTAAGAAGGTAGACTCCTGCAACATAAGCTACTTCTTGAGAATATATAAAGCACTTAGGAGCTGTGTTAATTCTTTCAAGATAAATTATTATCTCTTAGTATTAAATAGTTCCCTAAGAGACTACATTTTTTTTTCCTAGTCGTTTCAAACTAAATATATGGTTAGTTGAAATAGCCAGGAGCATAGACCTAAAGGAAACCTAGAAGGTAGTTTTTCTACTATTTATTTTCTTTTAAAAATTATTCGTGGTTGTAATTTTACTAAATGTCTGCATAACTCACTTATAGGACTCATGCCATTTGAGGATGGGTAGCAAACCTATCTCATTTTACCTTTCATTTCTGTTTGGCTCCCAATTATTAAGCACCTTCTCAGATCCTATATGAGACAATGGGATAGCAAAGTTTAATAACATGTGGCTCTTCACTTGAGGAATGCAGTCTAATCTGTGACACAATTCCATGAACAGGAGATTTTGGTGCAATGCAGAAAGGCAATGACTGTGGTAATACTGATACTTTGTGTATTTTTCCTAGGAAAGCATTTCTTCCTCTTTGTTTAGAAGTTGAGTTATGCATGTAATTTTAGTACTCCCTTTCAGAGTGGATTGGAATTTCACAGGGCTGCAGCTACCCAAGCAAAACAACAACAACAACCAAAAGCACAGAGAATTCAGCTATGACACAGAGTAATTACGTTAGAATTTATACCTAAATATACCTATACTTAAAACTGTCTTTGTATATGGATTTAAGATGGCTGGCACCTGACCTTTCCTGAAAATGTTGATAACCCAAAAAGCATATGAAAAAATAACTTATATTTATTCTTACATACACAATATTAATCAGTATGGCTGACATGACACAAACATCATTTAATGAGTGATTTTGAAATGGTGAAATATAAAGTTCTGGAGCTTCCGAGCTTGTCTAAATTTTTAAAATCTCTGATTTGAACAAATTGTCATTTGTATCTTCCAAAAAACACGTTACCTCTGCCGCGGTGAAAAATCCATATGATCTGCACTGTCAGATTTTATTATTATTGTGACAGATACTTTAGCATATAAATCTTAAACTAATGAAAAAATGTCATCTTCTTTTTGGAGCTAAGTGTTCAAAGTGCGTCAATTATTCGATTTGATAGACGTTTCTTCAGAAGGCTTTGGAGGAATCACATATTAAAAATACTTTGTATATGAAACTCTTCTCACTTATATCCACCTCCACAGTGTATAAACTAATTGTAAACCACTTTGGAGAACTAGATTTCCAAAAAAAATTTTACCTGTAGGAACAAAACTCTAAAAAATGCCAAACAATATTTCTTTGCATTTCACCATCTAGCAAGGGATTTCTTTTTATTTATTGGCTTAATATAAAAAACAGAAGGATAATGCAAAAATGTTTAGAGCAGAGGCAAAGTCTTATGTATCTTTGAAGCCATCATATGACAGAGCATAATATGTCGTCAAGTAAACTAATGAATAATTGAGTCTTTGATAGGTGTATACTTTTGGACATTTAAAAACGATAGTGGCAATTATGCATTCTTAGGACAAGCACAATCTAATGTAGTGTTTCTCAAAATATCGTGTGCACAAGATCCAATGGACATCTGTTAAATTGCAGGTTCTCAAACCACATCCTTAGAGATCCTGGTTCAGAAATTTTCTGATGGGGTTCTCTTTAAGTAATTATAATGTAGGCAGTTTGAGAAATATGTGCAGATGAAGAGTGATATGCAAAACATTTAGATTTCTCACTAAACAATTCAAAAATCTTAGGTGTAGCCTGAGTGTATTTGAAATTAAACATGGAATTGGTTAAGAGAACAAAAAAATAACAGAATATATATTTGTTTAATGAAAACCTTCTTCATTAAAATAAGTTTCTTATTATTACGATTGTTTCTATAGGAAAAGGTTGGTTAAAGTTGAGTGTCCAGAGATCAACAATATTCACTTCACTTTTCAAAGTAATTTTCCTAAAACTGATCTGCTGTTTAATATGGAAATATATTAGAACTTGGGTGCAGTGGCTCACGCCTGTAATTCCAGCACTTTGGGAGGCCAAGGCGGGTGGATCCCCTGAACTCAGGAGTTCAAGACCAGCCTGGCCAACATGGTGAAACCCCTATCTCTATTAAAAATACAAAAATTCGCCAGGCATGGTGGCACATGCCTGTAATCCCAGCTACTCTGGAGGCTGAGGCAGGAGAATAGCTTGACCGGGGCAGGAGGAAGTTGCAGTGAGCTAAGATTGTGCCACTGGACTCCAGCCTGAGCTACAGAATGAGACTCAAAAAAAAAAAAAAAAAAACATATTAGGTTTTCTTAGTTCTGAATCATTTTAGTTCACCATGGTCTGAGAGTCAGCATAGGTAGTGCTCTTCTCTGTTAAAGAACAGGCCAAGTATTCTTTGACAATGCAATAGGTAGTATAATTTTTCTCCTCCGGGTAAGCCATGGCTCATGTTTAGTTCCATGAGGAATGCAAAGGTCATAAGCCATTCTCTCATCCTTCTCTCAAGACAAACTCAGAAGGATGTGTATTTGGGCTACAAATCTGAAGCATGAGAGCCATTTTCAGTTTTTAAATCATCCAAGTCATTTCATTACAATGCAATATGTATCCTCTGATTCTAGTTAAATTATTTTAATCTATGTTGAAATATCCTAAATGATACTTACCATGGAAATAGCCCTTCTGATCCTCAGAAAGCCCTAGGTTTAGCAGAATTTCATATTGAATTTCAAGCAAAATTAGTCCATGGAGGTTTCCCTCTAAAAAGTAGTTTCATGGCCATATGACAGACACTGTACAAGCCATACTGCTGCTTTAAAAAATTATAAAACATTAACATATTAAAGGTCTGAAGTTGCCCTGGGAATAAGAAACTTCTTTAAAATTGTTTAACTCAGCAATTCCCATATAAATTTGTCTATGTAGTCTTTCTTTTATTTAATATCTATTGATTGCATATGACAATCTGTTATGTAGTACAGCTTTCTCCTCAGAAGAACTCAGGTCAGTTCTTAATTCCTTTGGAGTATGAAGTCACAAGCTCATTCTCCCAACCTTCCCTCAGCATACATCCCCTGTCCCCCCCCCCCCACAAAATGAGCATATGGCTATAACTATAAAAGAAGAAGATAGACACTTCGGTTTTTAAAATCACTTTAAGCCATATTAATATAGTATAAATACGAGAAAGCTGTCTTTGAAGAATTAGTTGTTAAAAATATCTCTATTTCTTCTACACAAAATCAAACACCAAATCCAACTGAATCAACGTTACTTTAGAATATTCCTTTCCAATCTCAATGCCACAACTCTAAATCCATCACTTCTCATCCAAAGCATTGTGGTTTCTTTTGGGGTGTTCCCTCTGGTCTATACTTTGCTTCTATATGAATCTATCTATAGATACTATTGTTAGTGCCAAAGTCTCATTTAAATATTTTTAATGTCTCCCTTTTACATAAAGAGTAAAATTATAATTCCTTAGAATTTTATTTACAGTACTTTTGACATCATCCCAACTAACTTTTTTAGTTTTATTACTCTACACTTCTACATTCATATTTTATTACATCGCTAGTGAGTCAGATGACCAACAGTATTCATCACCTAAGTGGGCACTTATAGTTTGGTTATTCCAGATCTCTCTTTTTAAATAGGAACTGTAGCCTTTTATAGTACCCTGTTCCCCTGGTTGCATCCATGTTACTCAAGTAAGTCACCTCTCTTCAACATGACTTTAATGTTTTAGAAAAATTGACTGGACTTGGGGTGAGACCCTAAACAAAATGGACCAACGTCCATTTTCCTTATGGAATTTGGAATTGATGTTAAAAGATTTCAGGCCTAATTTGGTCAATCTTTTAATGAAAGAGAGGAAACCCTCAAGCTTTGGAAGCCATGTAGACAGGAAAACAAGAGGAATTAGTCTGCAGCACAACAGTAAAATGAAGAAGACCTGCAGAAAGAAACAAATATGAAACAGAACAAGAATCTTCCCAGTATTCAGGCATTCAATTCCAGTATTCCTGATGCCTTGCATGCGGTAACTATAGCCTCAAAACGTAATCTTTATTCTTTAAGCAAGCTCATGTCAGTCTCAGTACCTTTGCAACCAAAAGATCAAGAGCTACCACAAGGTGTATAGTGATGCACGTACACACATACACACATCCCACAATACTTTACCTGTGCTGGGAATGGTTCTCTCTCTGTACTTCTCATCAAAATCCTAACATAGTTTAAAACCTACCTCTTGCTTAAAGCCCATTCTAACTTGCCATTCACAAACACTCTCTCTATGCTCATGGTATTTTAGGTAGTTTGATAAGACATATTATTACATTATATATATTTGAAGACAAGATTATGTCAAAGTTATCTTGTATAACCTAAAGCTTGTACCTAACATCATGTTTCAAACCAGGGAGGCATTAATAATAATATTTTTACATTGCAGAAGAAATAAGATTCCATAAAGTTACTTATTTCCTCTACAGACATAAACCTCTTGATAGGAAAACTAGCTCAAAATAAACTTCATAGAAGCCATAATGATCATTCCTGGAGAGTACACTTGTTTTCCTGTTGTTATCTCAGTGAATGCTTCAGCCTCAAAGATGATAAAGCTTTGATTGTCTATTTGGAACTCCCTAGAAATGGTGAGAAATCACATCCAGATTGTTAGTATAAATATGAGAAATATCAAAGGCACATTGTTGCAAGATCCTAGTTATTATGGTGAGGGAGGGAGTCCACTAGGTGTGTAGAGTCCCCAGCTGTGTTTGAAAGACCCCTTCCAATGTACGATGAATGAAATGCTTTTATATAACATCTTTAAAATGTATGCCTAATTCAAAAGAGTAAAATCCAACATACATTAGAAAGTTGATAGATGAATAATTGTTAAATATGCCTTCCAGAAAGTAAAGGTCACCTGAACTTACCATCAATGGTATTTAACATCTGAATCGATTTTGACAGTTTAAGCAATGCATCAACCAAAAGTGAAACTCATCTGAAAAAATCAAATTATTTACAGAGTACCTAAAATAGAGACTTGGCTTCTCACCTCTGCCTCTGCAATAGCACTTGCTGAGTAAGGAACCAGGGTCTGCTCCAAGAAGATAAGTCTTGATAAGAGGGAAGAGAGCATGGGCTGGAAGGGTAGAAAATTATTTCCTGCTATGGACTCTACCGAGAGTTCAATTAGCCTATATTTGTGTTTGTAGCAGGCATAATTCTACGAAAGTGGAAGGACAGAAAACACATGGCAAAAAAGTGAAAGACAAATCATCTCTCTGACCATATATGAGGTACCAGACAATGTGATCATTGCTTTACTGATGTTTCATTTTATATATATATATATATACACATATACACAAGATAAGAAGTAAATAACATTATACAATCTATTCCTATTTAATTATGTAATTCTAATTTGGAGGTTCTTTAGAAGTAGCAGTGTTCGTCATGTTCCTCAAATAGTGGTTATGATGATTACAGAATAAAATTTAAGTTAATGATGGTAAAAGGCCCCCAAATACATACATACATACATATATATGTATATAAGTGTATATATATGTATATAAGTGTATATATGTATGTATTTGTATACTTATATATGTATATAATATATATAATGTATATATAAATACATATATAAGTATATAGGTATATATAAGTATATACGTATATATGTATATAGGTATATATATACTTATATAAGTATATATACACACTTATATAAGTGTGTGTGTATATATATATATATATATGTGTGTGTTTGGGGGCCTTTTATTGTAAGTAAAATATTGTAAATATCTGTTCTTTACCAGTCACTAAAAGTCAAGCTAAGTGTAAGGCTGCCCATTGTTAACAGAAGCAGGTCATTAGTAAGCATTTATTAAATAAAAACACCCTTGTCCCTAAGCGAAAAATTTACCCTAAGTTCTCCCAGTCATCTTGTATTTGTAAAACTGTCCTATGGCTGACTGAGACTGTCAGAACAGAAACTTATCTTTCCAGGATTTTCTTAAATACTCCTATTAAGTAGGTGTATTTGTCCATTCTCATGCTGCTAATAACTACATACCTGAGATTGGGTAATTTATAAAGAAAAAGAGGTTTAATGGACTCACAGTTTCACATGGCTGGGGAGGCCTCACAATCATGGCAGAAAGCGAAGGAGGAGGAAAGGCATCTCTTACATGGTGGCAGGCAAAAGAACGTGTGCAGGGTAACTACCCTTTTATAAAACCATCAGATCTCGCGAGACTTATTCATTATCAGGAGTACAGTGTGGGGAAAAACCCGCCCCTATGATTCAATTACCTGCTACTCCCCCTCATGACATGTGGGGATTATGGGAGCTACAATTCAAGATGTACAATCATTGAACAAACGAACCTTTGATAGCGGCTGCACCATCAGCATGTCCTGATCCAACATCGAGGTCGTAAACCCTATTGTCAATATGGACTCTAGAATAGGGTTGTGCTGTTATCCCTAGGGTAACTTGTTCCGTTGGTCAAATTATTGGGGACACAGTCAAACCATTTCAGTAGGGTTTAATAATAGTTGAGACAATGATATTGATCATTTGATAAATTAAGTAGCTTGCCTCAGCTTTGCCCAGCTATTAGCAAGCAATAGGCTCAAGATTTGTATGGTGAGGATAGTGTACTATGAACTATCAATATGTAACCCTGTCCCCTAAATCGTGGTTTACTGACTTCTACTTTATCTACCAATATCTAAGAGCCTAGGTGCTTCTGTTTATACATTGTGTGACAATTAGGTTTTTGTCTTAAATACGATTTTTATCTGAGAGGTAAACAGAGGGCTTTTCCCCACATATACACAAGATAAGAAGTAAATAACATTATAAAATCTATTCCTATTTAATTATGTAATTCCAGTTTGGAGGTTCTTTAGAAATAGCAGTGTTCATCATGTTCCTCAAATGGTGGTTGTGATGATTACACAATAAAATTTAAGTTAATGATGGTAAACTATCTAAAAAAATAAAAGAACTGGAGGTGTTTTAAGTACAAGAGGCCAGCTGCTATATTTTATATAATCTACTTCCTGAGATACTGCAACATTATAGACAAGAGACCTCTTTACAAGTAACAGACTTATACTAATATAAAGAACAGGAGGTTGATCTTTAAAATAAAAGACATTTTAAGATATTACTGAAAATCTGAAGTAAGTGGTGGAATGATAAAACAGGTTGAGAAAAACATTGTATATATATATATATATATATATATATATATATATATATACACACACACACACACACACACACATACATGCATAATGTTTTTCTCAACCTGTTTTTTTCATATAACATATATATGTCATATATATATATATATGCCCCATAAAGACAGACCAAGATGCGTTCATATTCTAGGAAGCAAATGTTCATGCATGCATCCCTGAAAGGCCCAGAGACAAAGTCTCTATATAAAAAAGAACAAGTAGTAAAACATGGATTTGAAAATGAGGAATTAATTGAAAATATACATACAAAATGTTTACCACTTCAACACACAAAGTTAAGCACATCTCTCCCACAGCACCAATGTACAATGTGTAGCATTTAAATTAAATTAAATTCTGTTAAAAGATAATAATAATAATAATGATATAAAATAGTGAGGACCTCCTGTTCTGGCAACATGTTTGTATGAATATACACAACTTCCCAGAATGAAAAGCTTCAAAATGTTGACAAAAAATGTTTAGCAAATCTTCATATGTGAAGAGCTGGCAAAGCAAAAAATTAAGGCCAATTTATAATCCCAAATGGAGGAAGGAGGTTCCTGAATCCTTCTCTATCCTGAGGGTATCTGCAGATCTGTTTTACTCCAGTGGCCCATGCTTGGGGTGCCAAGCCCTGTAGCAAGCCATACTTCAGTCTACATACTGCAAGAAACATTAAGGGGATATGCTGTCTATGAGTGAATTAGTAGAAAAATGGATTCCCTTCACTAAGGAAGGCTCTGAGGAATTGTGCTTGCCCTCACTTACCTTGGATGGAGGTAAAATAGTACCTGTATGAAAATACAGTAATCCAGTCCTGTCAAGGGTTTGCCACTGTCTATGTACCCTGAAGCTCTTAAGACAGGAATGTAGTTGGAAGTGATCATTGGTTCATGTGTCTTCTGATACCTGGAAGAAGCAATGAAAATAAATGACCTATGGTTACATATATCAATACCAATGAGTCACATAAAAAGTATGTTATATGAAAAATCATTGTCACAGAATAATACCCACAATATATTTTCACAAACAAACATATGAAACAAAACAACACATTATTCAAGCACATGTACACATATTGTGAAACTCTAAGAAACCTCTGGAGAGCAACATGGGTCACGATGCTATTATAAAAGTACACTGGGGACTTCAAAGATATTTAAATGTATTTTTAAATCAGGTTGGTGTTGACATAGATATTCTTCTTTATTATTCTTTACAAAGTATTTTTGTACTACAAATATTATTTTGAATATAGGATGTACTATAGTAATTAAAAATTTATTATCAAATCGTCAAAGGCAATAAAAAACATGCTCCCTCCATGGCTACTCCCCATAAATTTGGCTCTGCCAGTCAATAAGCCTCCCCACATGCACAGAGCTCCCCACTCAGCATGCCTCTTAATTTATTCATAACCACATTCAAACTGCAAAGGTTCTCCAGATATGTGAGAAAATGCTGCAACCTGAGAGAGAAAAAGTAAAGAGAAAAAAAAAAAAAAGACCCTAGGACAAACATGAAAGAGGGAATTAAATGTAATCAAGATAAAAGAATTTTACACTAAATTCTATTAAAAACGTTCCAAAATTTTTAATAATGAATGTCATCTATAAAATGAGAATGCCCTGAAAATGTAAAAACTAGAGCAGATTGGAAATTAACAATGCAATTACTGAAATAAAATAAACACATTATTTTATGATTGTAGCATTCAGTTGAGCTAATCACAGAAATTGGAGCAGAAAAATAAGGAAATAATAGAAAAGAAAACTTAAAAGACAAAATGAATCAAACCCAAATTTTAATCATTCTATTATTAGGAAGATCAGAGAGAGAGAGAGAGAGAGAGGAGAAAAAATTAATCAAAAGATATTATCAAAAAATATTAAAAGGTAATTTCTCAGAGCTAAAGGGACATTATTTTCAGACTAGAGACCCATTAATCAAGCAGGGATAAGATGATAAAAAGAACCACACCTAGTTATAGAATTTGCATTTCATAACAATCTAGATAAAAAAAGAACTAGAAAGCACTCAAACAGGAGAAATGTAAACTCACCTAAAAAGTAAAATCAGACTTTAATTAATATTTCTTTAATGGAACTAAAAATATAGGAATAATACCTTTAATGTTCTCAGAGAAAATTGTTTTAACTTAGAATTCTATACTCATCCAATGTGATACTACTCTATCAGGTTTTGTCTGTCATATTCTTATTTTAGGGAATTATTTGAGATCATTCTTCAGAAAAAGGTAGGAGGAAATCAAGAAACCAAAAGGCAAGAGATCTACAGAACAAAGGAATACACCCAGGATTCTGTAGTAAATGTTTTAATAGAGTCCTATGACTATAATCATTATTTACAGATTTTCCCATATATAGCACAGGAGAGAAGGTAAATATTAACAACTTGATGCTGTAAAAGTAAAAGAATATGTAACCGGGGAAATTTTTTCCACCAGTATTAATCTCAAAGATTTAACTTACATGGCAGTATTCTTATTGCCTTCCACATCTGCATGAGGTTAAAGTTTAAAGAACACCTCTGATGGGCTATTCGTGTCCTGGATCACCCTGTGGAGTTAGCTGTGGCTTTCTTAGTTCAGCAACTTAATTAGATCTTTTCCTCTGTTCAGTCTTGCTTTCTCTCACTGCTTTCTACAAGTGTTGGTTCCTTAAAAACGTCTTACATGTCACATTTTATCTCAGCTCCTGCTTCTGAAGAATACAACCTGTGGAAGCAGGTGCTAAGAGTGGTCCAGGAAAGCGAGTAATAAAATGGGATTATGGAGAGGAATCACTTTCCACCCAGTCATTAGCAATATGTAGATCCCAGAGGACATCTCTGGCACAAGCGAACAGTTCAAGTTAAAAAAAAAAAAAACAACTCTCACTGATAGTGAATTGGGATGGCATAGAAGCGAAAGGGAATGCACTAGCTGGTGCAATTTGTCGGACTTTTGAAAAGTACAGGCAAAGAGTAACTATAAAGATGGTGGGTTGATACCTAGGTAGAGATGATAAAACGTTCCGGGGATTAATGAGCAATTGAAGACTGAGTGTGAAAGCCAGAGCTTACGAAAGAGATTCTCGTCTCCTGTAGGGAGAAACAAAAAAAAACTGGGGACTCGACCCAGAAGTCACTATTCTAGAGTATGTTAAATGCCCAACCAAAGATGTCTGTTATACTAAGGTCATGGCCCTAATTGAAAATGAATGAGAATAGAGCCACTTGGGAGGATGCTCCAAAATATTTTGAATTGTCCCATATTTCTGAAACTTCTGAGGCTGAAGAAGTGGCTCATCCTTCCCAGTTAACATTACTTTCTTGCCTTGAAGACAACCCCAAAGCCTCTATCCTTCCAGACAATGTTTCCCTCAGGATCTGCTCTGCCATCCATCCACTTTTTGTGAAGTTGCTGAGTAACCCCACTAGGTACATGTTGGGTGCAATAAGGGAATGAAGGGACTAAATTCCAAGGGGGCAAAAAAAAAAACAAAAAACCTAGCCATAATGTACTGGCAGAATCCTGAGGAGCATATTTCTTAGGGTTTGATCAAACAGGCTGGATTAAATGATGATATGGGAAGAGTTTATTGATTTGGAAGTATTATCTTGCATGTTCTTAGGGTCCTAGGGGATGTAGTATACTCAATATTAGGATGGCTCCAACAGAAACAAAAGAAATCTGAAAACCCATAGGAAGTAAAGTTAAATGACGGAACTTTTTTTTTTTTTTTTTTTTTTTTTTTTGGTCACGGGGGAAGAGTGCAAAGGCTCCAGGGGTGTGGAAATGATGGAGTGGAAACGTTGCAGAAGGCCAGAAGATGTTCCAAAAATTGTGGTTCACAGAAACACTGGGAGAATTCTCCATTTACCATGAAAATAAGAAACACATAGATAAGGTTGCATCAGAATCACTAAAGGGATCAGTAGTTTCGATTTAACTTGTAAGGGGAGGGGAAGCCTAAAAGAGGTGTTAAAAGGTATTAAAATAAAATTCTACTTAAAAATTTTACCACAAAACTCCATATTTAAGGTCAATTCAAGCAAATGGATCTACTGATATCTAAAACTAAAATATAATCTTGGAGAAACAAAAACAAAACCAAATAAACCTCAAAAACAATGGTTCTCTTCTATAAACCAGGGCTAAAAGCTAGGGTTTGAGCTAGGAGAGGCTATTACATAACTAGGCTTGATGATAGTAATAACACAATTGACAATCAGTAGTATTAATATTGATATTAATTTATTTATGTATAATAGGTCTCTGACATAATAGAGGTAATGGAGATATTTAAATGTGAGTAAAATGGATATAATTATTATATGAACCCCAGAGTTCATACAACCCAGGCCCAGCCAGACTTAAGGAAAGGGTGCATTGAACACCATGCTCACAGGGGTAGATGGATCATCATCCAACAAGTCGCAGCATGAATAGATGACCAAAACCAGAACTTAGCCAGTTTGTAACCCAGACTCACTGGCTGAAGGGAAACTTAGATGTCCAGGAGAAAGAACTCCACGGTACCATGGCAAATACTCATAAACATGAATCTTAGAGTCCTTCTTCAAAGGAAACTGCATCCAGAGATGGCTTCATGGTCCTATAACCAGTGCAATTGGATAGGGTTCTGTGCTCAGAAAGGGAATTGGCACCTGGGCTTGCAGTTGTCTTCTAGAAATTTTTAATAGTTTTGTCCATTAATCTGCATTTTGGTAAGATGGGAGTCTGATAGAACAGTGAAGCATCTTCAAAAGATTTGAAGCTTTAACTTACACATGGTTCTAACTCTCCACTTCCCATCTCCTTGAGACAAGTTCATGACTTTTTACTCTACACTCCTCCCAGCAACTGCTGCTGCCCTGGGCTCCAGTCATGGGTGGAAAACAGGTGCTTGGGATGGGCACAGGAAGGATCAAGGGGGAGGGTCTGCACTAACCTGATAAATATCCTTGTGCTTGAACAATGGCACATGAAATAGAAAATGAAACACACATGACAGGTTGAGAGAGAGACCATGGAAGAAAGAAAAAATACTATCATATTTTTGGGCTTTTAAAATAAGTGGCCCCACATTTTCGTTTTTTCATTTTCCACCACAAGTTTTGTAGTCCTGCTTTCAGACATGTACTCAGGTGAGCTTGCATTAGGAAAACAGGAGCGTCCAAACATTTTAAAGACAACCGGACCTATGTCCAAGTTACCATTGATACCTAGCATCCTGAAATGTCATTATGATGTCATTCTTTGTGTGGAGACATATAAGGACCAGGAAATAAATGGAATCCCAGACTAGGCGCAGCACACACGGGAGCTACTGGGTCTGTGGAACTACTTGGTGGTCATTTCCCAGTCCCTGAATATGTAATTAGAATTATTCTACTTAGTGGTAGGTGCAACCTCTACTTTGTATCCTTGGCCTGTGAGGTAAGAAATACCATAATGGAGAGAGCCGAGGGGAAGCCACTGAAATATCTCTTTTTATTGTCCAAAAAAGTTAATCAAAACAATATCTCATAATCGGGGGTGTGTAAGGGAGACAGAAAATAGTGCCACCTCAAAGGGAGTAAAGGTTGCCAGGGTAAATATACTCCTTTAATTCAGTCAAGTGTTTTTGTATAAGCCGCTAGCTGTCCTTGTGCTACTCATGTAGTAAGCTGCATTTTGGAAAAATTTTTTCTGATAGTTTTTGTCATCAGACAAATGGTGCATGAGAATCCTGTCTTCATCATCTTCCCTGGCTGCATTTGCCAGGGTTTGGCACCAGTGACTCCAGTTTGAATCCTACACCTTTTACAAAGCCAAAAGCATATGGTACCTCCACCACAGCCTCACTTACAACCTGGTCAGCCACTGGTGTGGTAGAAGAAGTGGATCTCAACTCTGGACCCTGCAGGATAGGGCCCCTTCCACAGGCAACAAGAATATGTGTGCCACAGTGGGTGCAAATAGGAGCGATTTGGAAATTATCCTAAGGGTTCCATGGGTGAGGCTCATGAAGAAGACTATATTAGTTACAGAAAAATAAGCTTTATTTCCTTTACATATATAAGACGCATGTATTTGCCACTACCTGACATAAGATGTTAGAAGTTGAGAGACAGATACTAGGAGGTGGAATCCAGCCACCTAAATTCCAGAGGAGCTGAAAGAAAGCAAGGATCTGCAATTTGGTGGGTGCAGATCTAAACATACCAACAGAGATACCCTCTGCAGTTGATGAATATGAAACTGAGGATGCAATGATATTATTCAAATATACAGGTAATCTATATTAATTATTCAAAGTATACATAAAATCATATATTTTTTTTTAGAGACAGGGTCTCACTCTGTTGCCCAGGCAGGAGTGCAGTGCCATCATGACAGCTCACTGCATCCTTGAACTCTTAGGCTTGAGGGATGCTCCTACATCAGCCTCCTGAGCAGCTAGGACTATAGGTGCACACCACCACATCCAGCTAGGTTTTTAAAAAAATTTTGGTAGAGACGTGGTCTCGCCATGTTTCCCAGACTGGTCTGGAACTCCTAGCCTCAAGTGATCCTCCCTCCTTGGCCTCCCAAAGTGGTGGAATTACAGGCATGAGCCACTGTGCCTGGTCTAGAAAATAATGTTTATATCAATATATTGGCAGGTGGGATAGAACACACTGATAGTAGTTGTATAAAGGAGCTAATCCATCACCTATATAATAGAAAGTTAACAGATGATATCAAAAATTGATAACACCAAGCTGTCATATGAAGATTATATAACTATATGAATATAAGGAAAACAAAACAAAAATACCAAAAAGAAACTAATATGGTTGCTTCTTTAAGGTGTGTATCAAGGGACAGTTGATAAATCATTATCTTTATAAATCATTCTCTGCTATTTAAATGCTTACCAGTTTGCCTGCATTAAGGTGGCATAGTACCTGCCAATCACTCGTGGTATCCACCTTGCTTCATCATGCCTTTCCTGTTTCCCCAATGTATTGCTAATTCTCCTTTGAGTCTTGCTTACTACCATATGTTTTAGTGTTTTCACAGTGCTATAGAGATACTACCTGATACAGTGTAATTTATAAAGAAAAGTGTTTTAATTGACTCACAGTTCTGCCTGGCTAGATAGGGAGGCCTCAGGAAACATACAATCATAGTGGAAGGTGAAGGGAAAGTGTATTAGTCTGTTTTCACGCTGCTGATAAAGACATACCAGAGACTTGGCAATTTACAAAAGAAGGAGGTTTAATGGACTTACAGTTCCACCTGGCTAGGGAGGCCTCACAATCATGGTGGAAGACAAGGAGGAGCAAGTCACATCTTACATGGATGGCAGCAGGCAAAGAGAGAGGTCGTGCAGGGAAACTCCCATTTTTAAAACCATCAAATCTCCTGAGACTTATTTACACCACAAGAACAGCATTTCAAAGACCCACCTCCATGATTCAAATATCTCCCACCAGGTCCCTCCCACAATGTGTGGGAATTATGGGAGCTACAAACTGAGATTTGGGTGAGGACACAGAGCCAAACCTTATCAGGAAGCAATGCACATCTTGCATGGTGGCAGTTGGAAGACAGAGAGAGTGCAGAGGAACCTGAAACCATCAGATTTCTTTAGAACACCATGGGGTAAACCACCTCAGTCATCCAATCACCTCCCACCAAGTCTCTCCCTCAACACATAGGGATTACAATTCAGATTACAATTCAAGATGAGATTTGGATGGGGACCCAAATCCAAACCATATCATCATATAATATCACTATTATCCAGTATTGCAGCCTCTTTCTAACTTGTCTCCCTATATATACTGTCCTCCTTTATGACTTCTCTGAATATCAAATTTCCTCATTGAAGCTTGTGTAATTTTTCCAAAAAAAATTTTTCTGAGTCAATGTGCTTCCTTGGTTTCCTGCCTCCAGAGCTTCTTCCTCCCTTTACAATAAGGTCCAAATGTATAACATGTGGTCCACATTCTATTTCCTCCCCATCTTTCCACCTTAGCTTTTACCAGCCTTCCAGCTGATTTCTCCTATCAGATTGAACCACTTTTGATTCTTAAAGTGTGTCATTTAACTTGATCATTTATGACTTTACATTTCCCATTCCTCAGCTTGGAACATGTTCCCCCATTCCCTCCCTCTCCAATTTCCTATGCCCTCAATTTAAAAGTTACCTGAATCTAGGACCTTTCTTCCTCTGCAAGACTAGGTTAGAGGCCCCCTGCAGTGTGCCGTTGAGCATCCTGTGGTTTCTGGTGAGTAACCTGTTACATCCCCATTAAATACATAGCTTGCTTTTTCACTTTCTGATGGTAAGGGTCCTTAGGACAAAATCAACTCTGTCCACTGTATTTCTATTATATATTACATGTATTCTTATGTACATATTATGCATATGTTCATATATGTATGCACACATATGTTCATATAGATTTATTTTGCATATGTTCTGGCACTTAAAGGAAACAATCATTAAAGTTATATTTTGATTTAAGTAGTTACATAGGGCCAGTTTAATTCTTGCAGGAAAACTTGAAGTCAGAAGCAGAATTGCAATAAACATAAAAGGACTACATTTTAGAGAATTACAATGCATTCCAAAGCTGTTTTATAATTTCTAAGTTAAAATATATTAGTCACCGAAAATATGGTATGCTGCGCAAATTTTTGATAATCAAGAATATCATGGTTTAATACTTAAGTTCTTCTAGTGGAAAAGTATCCATATAGAAAAGTCTATTACCCCCTGCCCCACACTCAGCTATTGAGGCATAATTGCCAACTAAAACTTGTATATATTGAAGGCATACAATATAATGTTCTGATGTATGCATACATTGTGAAATGATTACTACAATCAAACCAATTAACATACTATTTTTTTTAGCAAATTTCAAGTATGCAATACAGTATTATTTGCTATAGTTACCATGCTGTACATTAGATCTCCAGAACTTACTCATCTTGCCTAATTGAAACTCTGTACTCTTTTACCAACATCTCTCCTACCTCCCTAGTCTCTGGATTCCACATATAACAGATCACGCAGTACGTCTTACTGTGCCTGGCTTATTTCACTCAGTATGACATCCTCCAGGTTCATCCATGTTGTTGCAAATGACAGGATTTCCTTCTTTTTTAGGGCTGAATAATATTCTGTTGTGTATATGTGCCACTTTTTCTTTACCCATGTATTGATTATAGGGTGATTCCATATCTTGGCTATTGGGAATAATGCTGCAATGATATAAGAGTGCAGATATCTCTTCAAGATCCTGATTTTATTTTCTTGGGACATATATCCAGCAGTAATATTGCTGGATAATATGAGAGTTCCATTTTTACTTTATTGAAGAATCTACATACTGTTTTCCATAATGACTCTACCAACATACATTCCCACCAACAGCGTATGAGAGTTTCTGTTTCTACACATCTTTGCCAGCACTTATTTTTTGTGTTTCTAATGATAGCCATTCTAACAGGTATGAGGTGTTATCGCATTGTGGTTTTGATTGTGTGTCTCTAGTAATGCGTCATGTTGAGCATTTTTTTCATCTACCTTTTGGCCATTTTATATGCCTTCTTTTTGTGCTTATTTGCAAATCAGGCTATTTGTCTTCTTGTTATTAAGTTGTTTGAATTTCTTATATATTTTTGATGTTAAGCTCCCATCTGATGTATACCTTGCAAGTATTTTGTACCACTCTGTAGTTGATTTCTTTTTCTGTGCAGAACCTTTTTAGTTTCATGCAGTCTCATTTGTCTGTATTTGCTTTAGTTGCCTGTGTTTTGGGAGTTATATTCAAAAAAATAATAGGCCAGACCAATGTCAAGAAGCTTTTTCCCTATGTTTTCTTCTAGAGAAACCTATTTTCTAAGTACAGTAAAAATATTTTCATAATATTATTCTAGATATAAATTATCCATAATGACATCAGTGATTAAAAACTACATACTTTAATAATGTTCTTAAAAATATAAAACAGTTTTATCCTCCTGGGAGAGGCAACTGTCAGATAAAATCACATTTAGTTTTCTCAGTTTACTAAAAATGAAAAAAAATAAAGAAACATCAGCAAAATTGGCTTATGCTCACTCACACCAGGTGTCCTCCATTATTTAAATAGAATATTTACCGAATGCAGTGCTTTTTCTCCACCAGAACTGCCCCATCTCACAGGCAACAAGCAACCACAGAGCTTTTATTTACTTTGATTCTATTATGTGGCTCATCTCAATTTGTATGAAAAGCCTTAGAGAAATATATGGGCATCAACACTAATGTTAGTTATTATAACCTTCACTTCTCTTTAGTGTGGCAAAACAGTGTATATTTATTTTCCTTTTGTTGCATTGCATACATAAATATTATTAGACATATCACAAGGACAGGATTTATTTTTTGTCTGTTCTTCAAGTTGGTTTGTAATCTCTTGTGTCAAATTGAGTTCTGTGGTCTTTTCTTGTCTGTTCTGGCCCATATTGGCTCCCTAAAATTGGAACATATGCCACAAGAGTCTTCACTATAAGTCCCTTTTAGCAGAAATCTTAGTCTGTCCTCCTTTTTGCTTTTAATTATTATTATTTTTTAATAGCAAGTTGGCAAGATTTTTTAAAATTGAAATTTATGTTTTTGGGCATACAATTTCCTTGGTGATTCTGCTGAGCTCTGATGCAGCCTCAGAGATCTGAGATAAGATGTGTAAAGCAAAATGATTTCTAATACATGTATTTGAAAGTGCATTTTTTACAGCTAAAGCAAAATTGAATTTTGAGCAGTCAATTCAATTTCAAGAAGGATTAAACAAATGGTATGTAGATCATTTATGAATTTATTGAGCGCTTATTATGTTCCCAGTACTTTGCTAACAGTGACTTTTGATAGAATTTAAGCAAGGTTAATGGTCATTCTGTAAGTGTCAGAATGCCATAGTGAATATGATGATCTGAATTTTTGGAATTGGCCAATAAAAAATTTCTAGAATAGAAGGTAATTGGACTCTACTTCAATCTGCATTATCTAGAGATGGCTTCAGGGATTTAAACATTAAAAACCCAGTTCTTCAGAAAAAAACCTCACAAATTAAAATAGTTACTCTGAAAAAGCTCTGTGATAATACATTGTAGGGTTTTAAAATGTCCTGCACACTCTGAGAATCAAAAAATTTGGGGATGCTACAATCATCATACTGTACAGACATTTCAGGAAACATAATGAAAGAATATATGAGAGGCGATTATAGAACATGGAAACCTGACGGATTAAAATCAGAAAAACTTCACTTTGAACCTTGGCTCATTCACTTAGGTTGTACAGCCTTGACTAATGACAGGTTAAAGGATGCCGAGCCTTAGTATCACCTTATATTAAATTGGGACACTATCACCTAACTCCCAAAGCTCTTTGGAGTATAACTTCAATGACAATTTTAAGCTCCTGTCAAGCTCTTGTTTAATAATAAGTTGTTCAATAAACATTAGCTCTCTTTGCCAAGATTCACTAGTTGCATTTTTCTGGAAATTCATACAAATAAATTCTAGTGATTCAGTGGCTTTCTTGGAAATTGATTTTTATTTTTGTGTATTTTTTCTAGTGACTTCCTAAGGCTGCTTCCTGCTGGAATGATGTATTGCTCTGGGCATTCTCATGTGTTTCATTCAGGAATCCATATGCTGGGTGTAAAATAACTGTAAACTCTTTCCCAGCCCAGCTGGGCTGGGTTCCCACTCTCTCTAGACACTCAGCTTGCAATGATCTGGTTGGTACTTACTGTGAGTATCCAATCAGATCTAACTCTAGAATTTAAAAAATGCAGTTTGACACTTAGCATCAGTTTATTTAATTATTAAGATTTTATTTTCCATGTGTTTCACAAAGTACTTTATACAGATAATATAGTTATATTTTCTAAATCCCTTAGATGTACCATGTGTGTCATCTATCTCCTTTTTATCTGTTTCTTATGGACATTTAAGAAGGCAGAAAGAGTGAATGTACTTGAGTAAAGAAAAGTTAATATGTTAATCTACTTAATGTCCTAATTTTCCTATGAGCAGTCTGTAATAACAAACTTACCATTTAATTAAATTTCATTGTTCATTAAATCACCTTTTCATTATATAAATACTTTAATATTTATTAAATGCTTAATAAATATCAATATCCAAGAAGCAAGCTCAAATGGGGTTGACTGTAAGGGAAATTTTTATCAGACATGTCATTTAGATATCATGCCAGTTTCCCTAGAAGGTCTTGAACACTTTTTGTAATTTTTTTTTTCTGTTTAAGATGAGTTTTTGATAAGCATAAGGAAATACATATACAAAATGTTTGCATGCATGTATACCTGTACGCATGTGTGTATATGCATATGTACACATATGTACACATGTGTGCATGTACACACATATGTATACATATATACATACATACATAATTTTTATAGGCACGTCATTCCTTCTTCCTTGTTTTAGCATAGCCATTCCAATGTCCCATTGAAGGTCTGTTCATTGCATATCCTATTTCACACCAGAGGACTAATAATGACAGAGGGTAAGTATGTGACCAAGTTCAGGCCAAACGGACTCTCTTTTCAGGATTTATGTGCATATATTTGTTTGTATGTATGTATGTTTGTATATATGTATGTATTGAACCTGACTTTCATGTAGCTTCATGCATTAGAAATTTATCTACGTGTGGGGATGTATCAGTATCTCATTTCTTATTGCTATTTAGCATTCCTTTGTATGGGTCTTCCAGCTTGTCTATTCAGCAGCTAAAGGCAGCTTCCATTTTTTTAATTATGAATATTGCTGCTATAAATATTTGTGTACATATTTTTTGTTGGAATCTACATTTTCATGTTCTCAGGTGAGTAGACAAAAAGATTGATTAAATGATAAATGTATAATTAACTTTAAAAGAAATGGTCAAGCTATTTTACCAAGAGTCTAAAGTTTTGCATTTCCACCAACAGTGTATGAGAATTCTAGTCACTCTGCATCCTCACCAGTACTTGTAACAGGTGTTTTTTGTTGTTTTGACATTTTAATAAGAGAATATTTGCATCTTATTGTGAGTTTAATGTGCATTTCCTTAATGTCTCATGATGTAGAGGGTGTTTTCATATGCTCATTTGTGCTACATATATCATCTTTGGTCTATTAAAATGTATTGTCTGCTTTGTTATTGGGCTTTTTATGCATTCTTATTATTAAGTTTTAAGACATATTTAAGATATAAAAATCTATGATATATGTGTTTTGGAAATATTTTCTCCCACTGTATGACACGTTTTTTCATTTTCTTATGCGTCTTTAAAAGGGCATTTTTTTCATGTTTAAGTTAAAATAAAGCTCAGTGTATTAGGTTTTCTCTTATGGATCATGGTTTTGGTGTCATATCAAGGAAATCTTTCAAAGAGATTATGTATAATTTTAATGTTTTCTTCCAGAAGCTTTAGAATTTGTGTTTTTATTTTATCCCACAATCCAGCTTTGAGATAACTTTTTATATGATGTAAAGTATTTTATTTTGAATAGCATAATTTTTTAAATTTTAAGTTCTAATTGTTGCTAGTACATTGAAAACATTTGACTTTGCATATTAATTAATTATGCAATCTTATTTAACTCATTTATTATTTCTAGTATATTTTTTGTAGATTCCATATGATTTTCTACATAGACGATGATATCAACAGCAAATACTTTTATTTCTTTTTTTCCAATCTGGATGTCTTTCTTTTGTTGCATAAGCTTGAGGATGTTTTCTTCAATTTCTTTTACTGAAATTTTTAAAGAATTGTAAATGGATATGGAGATTCGTCAAATGCTTTTCTCTGCTTCTATTGAAATTATCATGTATATTTTCTTCATTAGTCTGTTGATGTTGTAATTTACATTGATTGATTTCCAAAATATTATAACAGTCTGAGTCCTGGGATACAAGCTACTTGGTCATGAATACTATTTTTTTGTATATATGACTGGATTATTCTTGCTAACATAGTGTTGAGTATTTTGGATCTGTATTCATTAAAGATGTTGGTCTGTAGTTTCCTTCACCTGTAACTTTCTTTTTCTGGTTTAGGCATCAGAACTGTTCTGACCCTAAAATTATTTGGTAAGTGTTTCCTCTTTTAAATGTTTCTGATAGATATTGTGTAGTAGTCATGCAATTCCTTCTTTAATATTTGGTAGAACTGGTTAATGAACTCTCTTGGCTGAAAACTTTCTTTCTTGAAAAGATTCTAGCTACAAGCCAATTCAAAAATATGTATTTGCATAAATAAATATATATGTATATGTATATAAGGATATTCAGACTATTAAATGATCTTTGTTATTTGTTGTTATTCAAGGAATTTATTGACTAAATTTATGTTGCCAAATTTATAGACCTAATAAGGTTGTTTATAGTATTACATTTTTATAGCTTTAATGTCTGTAGGATCTGATGTGATTCCCTCTACACCATATATTATACTGACAATTTATGTGTTCAGTTTTTACTTTTTCAATCTTACTAGATGTATATGGATTTGTTTAATATTTTTGAAGGCCGAATTTTAGTTTTACTGATTTTTCTGTAATATTTTTCCTTAATGTCATTGTTTTCTTCAATTATCTTCATTGTTTTCATCTGTCAATTTGGTAGGAGCTTAGTATGTTTTCTTTTCTTGAATTCGTTAAGGGATACATTTATAACATTGATATAAGAACTTTCTTATTTTCTAAGAAAAGCATGGTATTGCGATAAAATTTCCTCTAAACACTGATTTTCCTGGATTGAACAAAATTTGCCTATATTTTATATTTATTTAAATTTTTTTAAATTTTTATTTGTAGGTTTCTATCTTATCCATAATTATTTAGAAATGTGTTCTTTGATTTCAAATATTTGGTACTTTTACAGATATATTTTTCTTGTTGATTTCTATTTTAATTTTTTATCAGTCAATATACTTTATATTAGTTTAGTTCTTGAAGTTGGTTGATATTGTTTTCTGATTCAAAATGTGGTAGATCTTGATGAATGCTCCACGTATACTCGAAAAGAATGCATATTCTGCTGTTGTTGAGTGGAATATTCTATTAAAATCACTTAGGTCCTGTTTACTGATAGTATTTTTTAGATTTTCAAAATCTTTACTAATTGTATGTTTACTTATTCTATCGATTAGAGAAGAGAGTTAAAATTTTCAAATATAAATGTGCATTTTCTACTTCTTTTTATGTATATATGTTTTGCTTCATGTTTTTGTATTTCTGTTTTAGTTGCATACAATTGTCATGTCTTCTTGTTTATTTTCCCAATTATCATTACATATAGTCCTTTTATACCTTTGGTAAATTTTTTTGTTCTGGTATGTATTTCTTTGATACCAACATAGCAACTCCACTTGATGAATTAAATTGAATATTGTAAACACTAGGGTAACTACTAAAATGTTTTGGAAAGTAAATAAATAATGTCAGTAGTAGACATAAAACAAAATTATAAAAAGTACTTAATTCAACAGCAGATCAAAAAAGAAAAAATAAATAACAGAATATAGCAAAAACAATGATCAATTCTGTAGATTTCAAGTCAATCATATCAATAATTATATGATGTAGAACTGGTATAAGCATAACAATTAAAGAACTGAAATTGTAAGGCTGGGTAAAATAATTCAGGTCCACAAACTGTGCCTAGAATAAACAATTTATTTTAAATATAAAAAATGCAATAGATTAAAGTAACAAGAGGGAAAGAGTAACAAGATATAAAAATAGTCATGTATACAGCAATCAAATTTAAGCTGAATTTGTTATTTCCATTTTACTCTTAGAGTTTCTAACTTTCTGCTGAAGTTTCTTATTTGTTTATAACTTTTTCATGAGAGATGTTATCATAGTAATCATAGTTAATTTGAATTTTCTACCTACTAATTCCAACATATATGGCTCTCTTAGTCTCATTCTGTTGAAGATATTGTCTCCTGATAGCGTATTGTGGGGTTTTTTCCTTGCTTTTTTGTATCTTGAATGTTTCCATTCATTGTCAGATATAGTATTTAGAAAGCAGAAACTGCACAGTACTTATGCCTGGAAATGGACCAACTCTTTCTGCTAGGTTATTGACTTGCGAATTGAGGTAATTTAGACAGGAGTTTAGTTGGTTTGAAGAGAATCATATACCAAGAAATTATGGATACATGGGTGAGTGGTTTTCCCTTCAATTTTTCACAGAGACCTTAGGCTGTCCAGGTGTGCCTTTACTATGAATAGATCTTTTCTCTACCCTTCTGTCCTTCTCTCAGCAGTAGTCCTCTCTTTCTTACGTTTTGATGTTTGCTAAAGTGGGTGGTAGGTATGACGGTGGGTTCTTAGTTGTCCTGTTTCAGTCCTGTTTCAATCTTAGGGACCTGTGTTGCTATGCTGCATGAGTGGTCATTTCTCTGTGACTCAGCTCCTCTCCCAACAGACAGTGATTTCTCATGGTCTGGGCACAGGATGCATTTCTTCCTTTCTACAGTGCCGGGTTTCTTTTCTTCGACATATATTGCAGCTACAATGGGTCTTCACCATGTTCTAGGGATGCTGAGATGTACTACCTTTTCCTCAGGGATTTCGGGGTTTTGTTTTGTAGGGTCTTTAGTGCATTTCATTTCTTTCTACACTGGTGGTTCTTCTTCTCTCTAGCCTGCCTCACCAAGGAGATACTGTCCAATCTTCTCCGCACCACCATTCTTTCTTATGAGCACCCAGTAGACGTTCATGAAAAAGAGCCTGTAAGAGAGTGAAATTTCCCTTTGATCTGCCACACCTGAAGTTTCTCTCCTCTCTCTCATTAGCCTACACTTAACATTTAGCACTTTGTTAAAAAGTTTAATTTATCTTACCTGCTTTCAGAGAGGTGCTATTTTTCTTCTGATGCCACAGGTGAGCCAGTATTTGTATTCCATCACTCCTGGGAGAGATCCATGTTACCTTAGTTTTCAGGTTACGTGGTTACTGTGACATCAGCTCTCTGATGGTTTCAAGAAAAATTAATATTTTACTTTAGTATTTTGTAAGTGTTCTTTAATATCATTTTGCATTTTGGTGTTTATAGGTTTATATCTTCACTTTTAGGTATAACCTTTAGTTTACATTATAAAGTAAAAGCAAATATTTGAATGATGTTTCCTAATCAGACTGTGTTTTCTAGAGCATAGTTAATTAAACCGGATTAATTTCATCAATTTTTAATGTAGAATTATTAAACTATTTTGAGATTTTAAAGTTTCTTTTACATTTTATTGATATAATCTGTATTATTTTTATCTGAATCCTAGAAGATATTTGATTCATTTGCATTTTCAAATTTGTACCCTTGTGAGTTTTATTGTAGACAAGTTTTTACAAAATTTTCCAGGTGAAAACTTTTAAATGTAGATTTTTGACAAGAATATTAAGTTCTTCATTAGATTTCCAAGCAATAATAATATTATATTGCACTCCAAATTAAGTATGATCAATATTATTCTATGTTGATTAATTCTAGTGTAAGTTTTCTGGGATAATTTTGTAAATTTTAATTGGAACAAATCGGTGCAGATCTATTTATGTTTACATCTCTAGCATATTTTAGTGTGTGCATTTTAGCCACTATAGTTTATTTTATCTATTCAGTCATATTTATTATGTATCCATTACTGTCTTATGTTTTAATTGTTGGAGCAAAGAGCAAAAAACATAAAAAGGGCAAAAGCTTTCAATATGCACATATTGCAAGGTCAAAATATACTGTTTTAGGAGGAATATATGGAAATATCATTTCATGATATAGAAAGGGCACGAATAAAGTCTAATAAAGGGCAAGGATTTTTTGAAATCCTTGACGAATAAAGTCTAATTTTTGAAATCCTTGACGAATAAAGTCTAATTATTAGACGAATAAAGTCTAATAAAGGGAAAGGATTGTGAAGATAATAACAAGACAAAGAGGGGAAAGGTAGAGAGAACAACATAAGAAAAATAATAAATTCATACTAGGGAAATAGGAGAAAAGCTTTATTGGAGACAGATTATTAAATATTTCAAAGGGTCCTGTAGATCTTGAGAACAATAATGGCAAAATGTGCTATGTTTAGGAAAAGGCTGTGCTGGCATCTCAGCAAACCTTTCTCTTCATTCAAGAAATCTGAGTAGAGGTTTGCAAGCAGTATTTTTGGAGTACAAAATTTCCTTGTAAATATATTCCTCCTACAAAATGTAAATGAGTAAAAGAAAGTGTTTGCTGTGCATCTTGCATAGAAGCTATATATTTCTGAGTAAATGTTTATTGGTAGTAGTTCTGTGTCCAAAACTACTAAATGAATAATTAATATGTAATCTTTAAACATGTCTTTGAGGGATTAGTATCGTTTGTGTGTAGAAAACAAAGTAAATCTCTTATTCAGAGACACAAAATTTAGTGAAGGTGAGAGCAAGGATTTTATTTCAGGTTGACCAATATAATTAGTTGTGTGCGTGTGAATTTAGTTCAGAGAATTACTAAACAATAATTTAGTCAGATAATAAAATTTACCATCTCCTGTTATATTTTTTAGAGCTTCAGTGTATTTTTTAATGACCAGCAAACCTTTCAGATATATGTACTCTGATTGCGTTATAGGTACCAAAATCACCCCCTGTAGTCACTGCCAATAGGATCCTGGCTTAACCAGGAAATGATGAAAAGCAGTCACCCTCATAGAATCTTTGTGCATCTAATTGTCTCATTGATTTCTAGCTTCAGAAGAAAAGACTCAGCTCTATGTCGAGCCAAGCTCCAAGAAAAAAATAATTCTCAAGGATTTGTGGATGAACTTTATTCATTACTGATTTTTCCCATAAATTGCCCCCAAATCTTTACCCCTCTTCATCATGTTGCTCTTATTAACAACTCTTAATAAAGAATAGAACAAGTTATTAGAAAAATAACTAGGAGTAAAATAATCTGATGTTTATTTGGCATGTGGGAGTTGTATCTTCCTTAAAAATTCAATTCATTCTTTCATTCCTTCATTTGAAAATATTTATTGAACACCAGAAACTACTCTAGGCACTGGGGATATTGCAGTGAATAAAACTGACCAAATCTCAGGATTCATGAATTCTACTTGCTTGAGACAGAATATAAACAAAATATATAGTATATTATTGCTAATAAATGCAATTGTGAAAAATGAAGCAGAAAACGAGGATGGGTGTGTGTGTGTGTTATGAGGGGCCAATTTTAAATATGGTCATCATTGAAGGATTAACTGAGAAGGCAGAATTTAATAACTTCCTAATGGAGGTATGGGAGCAAAACATTAATATATTGCAAGGAAGAGTGTAAAGGCAGTGGCAAAAACAAAGAATGCTTTGGGTTCAGAAGCATGCCTGATCTGGTAGAGTAAAAGCATGTAAGCTGTTATAAGAATTTTGGAATTTATTCTTACTGGCATAGGAAGGGGTGAAATAATCTACAAAAAGGGGTAGTGTTATTACTATGCGAGGGGAATCACTCAGGTAGCTTTACAGAACGCAGTTTGTTAACAACCAAGAGAAGAAGCAGAGACCACTTAGCTGGCTAATGAGTCATGGTAATGCCCTACTTCAGTGTGGTTGTGATGGGGGCTACGATATATAGTCATTTATATTATATCATACCTAACAAGATAATCTGCCACCTGTATCACATATGACATATATATTATTATAATATATGATATGACATATATCATTTTATATATTCTATTTATGATAATCAGGGTATATCATATCATACCGAACAAGATAATCTGCCACTTTTATTATATCGTATATATTATCTTGTTGGGTATGATATGATATATATGACTATTTCTCACTGCCCCCATCACAACCACACTGAAGTAGACCATTACCATGACTCATTAGCCAGCTAAGTGGTCTCTGCTTCTTCTCTTGGGAGGTAATTGAATCACCAGGGCGGTTTTGCCCATGGTGTTCTCATGCTAGTGAGTGAGTTCTCGTGAGATCTGATGGTTTTACAAGAAGCTTCCCCCTTTGCTCGACTCTCATTCTCTCTCCTGCCACCCTGTGAAGGGGTGTTTTCTGCCGTGATTCTAAGTTTTCTGAGGCCTCCCCAACCATGCAGAACTGTGAGTCAATTAAACCTCTTTTCTTTATAGATTACCCAGTCTCGGGGTTTCTTCATAGCAGAGCAGTGTGAGAACAGACTAATACAGTATCAAAGTCATTACGGTGGATACTATTTTCAAGAGAGGAGTAGAGGTCCACAGGAAGAGAGCATTTGAGTCAAGAGAAGAAGGAAACCTAGAAAGGATAAGATAAAGAAGGAAAGACTCAGATTGAACTCACAGGCGTTGGATGCTTTCAAATTGCCAAGCATTTTCACATGTGATTTAGTCTGATCCTTAAAAATGCTTCATTGTGAAGGAAATAATATTATCTCCCTGGTATAAATAAGAAACAATTTTGTGGGGTCATCTTATGAACCCAAGTTCATATATCTTATGCAGCAGAGATTGCATTTGAGTGCTGATGTTAGAATTTCAAGTCAAGTAAACTTTGCACTATTCAACTAGGTTATGGTCCCTTCAGCATCTGTGTCTTTGGGTTCATTAGAAGCAAATATTAACTCTAAATAGTGGGTTAAATATTGCAAACAAAATTTAGTTAGCATTAGCCCAAAGAATTTAATAGACGTCAGTTTGGCCTAATCTGAGATGATATACGAAACGAATAAGTTTGTTTGGAAATAATTTCAGATGTGTAAGGAGGCTGTGATAATTTGAAATAAAGGAAAGGCAAGAAGCAGGAAAGATGCAATGGTTAGAGATTTACACATTAAAAGTGATGGACAATGAGTAAGTTCTGGACACGTGCTATACAACAGTACCAATGGTTAACAAAATGGTATTGTGCATCTAAAAATTTGTGTAGATTTCATGTTAAATGCACTTTCCATGCAAAAGGGGGACACAAAGAAACTTTTCAAGGTGATTGATATGTTTATTACCTTGACTGCAGCAATAGCATCATGGCTGTATGTATATATCCAAATTTGTCAAATTGTATACCTTAAGTATGCAGTTTTTTGTATATCAATAACATCTCAATAACACTGTTAAAAATGGAATGGTAAAAATATTTTATACCTAGATAGAGATGGTGGCTTATGACATTGTAAATACACTAAATATTACTAAAATTTCCAATTTAAAATGGCCAATTTGTTATATATGTGATATTACGTGGATATTCATCCCCTCCAAATCTCCTGTGAATTTTGGTTCCCAATGTTGGAGGTGGAGACTAGTGGGAGGTATTTGGATTACGGGGATGGATTCCTTATTAATGGTTGGGTGTCCTCCCCACTGTAATGAGTGAGTTCTCACCCTATTACTTCATACGAGAGCTGGTTGTTAAACAAAAGAGCCTAGGACATTCCTTCCCTGCTCTCTCTTGCTCTCTCTCTCACCAACTCCCCTTGCCTTCTGCCATGAATACAAGCTTCCTGAGGCCTCACCAGAAGTTAAGCAGATGCCAGCACCATGTGTCTTGTGCAGCTTGCAGAACTGTGAGCCAAATCCACCTCTTTTCTTTATAAATCACCCCGTCTCAGGTATTCCGTTATAGCAACACAAAATGGAATAAGCCAATATGTTACGTTAAGTAAATTTCATCTCAATTAGACAAACGATGATAAGGAAAATAAAGTAAAAGTAAAATTGGGCCTGAAAAGTTGTTCAGTAGAATTCCTGGGGTGTCAAAGATCAGGTGAAGCACTTAGTTCCTGGAGTATAGAGAATGAACATGATTTTTTTTTAGATGTGAGATGATTAGGAAAAAATGGTAAAGAGAACAAGAGGAGAGTAGAGGTCTACAGGAAATCAGATCATTTTGAAGAGGTAATTGGCTAGACAAGTCTGAATTGTTCTGCTTTCTGTATCACTTTTAATTAAAGTTCAATAAGTATTTATGATATACCTACTAGTTAAGTGATCAAGTTTATTCTGGTTCAAAGAGACAAATATGATGTGGTTCCATGTCTTGTTTTTACAGTTTCTAATAGTCCTCAATTACTACATCTTCCTTTTTCCAGGAATTTAACAATCCCTACTTTATCTATTGTAGAGCTCCTTTTTTTTTTGTAAGTATTTTGTCAATCTGTATCAGTGTTTTAAATATAGAAACCTAATACTAGTGTTACAATAGCAATAAAAATGAAATAAGAGGAAAAAAAGAAAAAAATACTCTAAGTCTTTTACATTCATTGCTAAGAAACTCTTCAAGTCAGGACAATTTGGAATGCTATTAATTTGCATAATAAATATACTTTTAAAATTAGAGTCATTATACTTCTTCTAAATGAATATATGTCCTGAATGTAGACCCAGACAGATTTCTGTGTGAATAATAAGAGCTGGTAAAGTTATAAAATATCTTATGTCCCCTATTTGATATCTACCTATAATATTTACATAACTTATGGTATCATTTTTTGGATTTTTTTTTTTTTTTTTTTTTTCAGACGGAGTCTCGCTCTGTCGCCCAGGCTGGAGTGCAGTGGCGGGATCTCGGCTCACTGCAAGCTCCGCCTCCCGGGTTCACGCCATTCTCCTGCCTCAGCCTCCCAAGTAGCTGGGACTACAGGCACCCGCCACTACGCCCGGCTAATTTTTTGTATTTTTAGTAGAGACAGGGTTTCACCGTTTTAGCCGGGATGGTCTCGATCTCCTGACCTCGTGATCCGCCCGCCTCGGCCTCCCAAAGTGCTGGGATTACAGGCGTGAGCCACCGCGCCCGGCCCCATTTTTTGGATTTATATGTGGCACAATGATGTCTGGAAAAAATCAGCTAATCAATATTTATGAATAGATTCTGTGGATCATGAAACTTGTTAAAGGTTTACAAAGACTAAATGCAATAAAAAACGTTTTAGGGAAAAAGTGGAATCATCACGTTTTCCATAAAAAGTGCAAGCCATCATATTGGCACGGTGTGCCTGCTGATTAGGAAGTAGGTATGAATCTGTCTAGTTTCTTAAAATCCTAGTGAAAATGTCTCTTTCTGGCTATGCTGGACCGCAACATGACCAGATCCTATGGCACTGCTAGCTGCTAGCACCATGAGGCAAATGACCTGCTGTGATTCTGACTCTATCTGAAGTTTCATTATCTTTGGACTTCACAGCCCCGCCAGTGGGGGTTTTGGCCTTGGTTTTCTGTATCAGTACAAAAGCCTAGGGAAATAATTTGACCTCCAAGATAAAAAAGAGTATTTGCAATCTGATCAATCTGCTGTTGCTCTTGGTTTCCACAAGCACATCTTTGTCTTCAATCAACAGTTCTTAAGTGTAGTTCAGGAACCCATTAGGGTCCCTGAGATAATTTCAGGTAGTTTGAACACTAAAATATTTTTTCTAATAATAGGAAAACAGTATTTGCTTTTTTTTTTTTTTTTTTACTATGTTGACATTTGTGCTGATGGTGCAAAAGCAATGATGGGTAAAAAGCGGGTATATTTTACTTACTGAAAAAAAATGCTTGAAAAATGGTGATTACTGAAGCTTTGTTTTTTCTGGTACACATTTTCTCCAAGTGGCTGATGTGAGCCTCTTGATTGGCTTTATTTGTTGATTCAATTTGAGCTTTTAGGTAAAAACTTCAACTTTGGAAGACTTGAATCGAGCACTGGGAACTTGACAGCTTTTCAGTACATGTACTAGTTTTCTGTTGCTGTGTAACAAATTATTTAAAAACTTAATGGCTTAAAATAATATTCATGTATCCTCTCACAGATCTGTATGGCAGAAGTCTGGGCATTGCATAGCTGAGAGTTCAGGGTCTCACAAGGCTGAAAGTAAGATGCCATTTAGTCTTCGTTCTCTGGAACTCAAAGTCCTCTCCTAAGCTTATAGGGTTGGTGACAGAATTTAGTGGTTGTAATACTGAGGTCCCCATTTTTTGTTGGATGTTGTCCAGAGGTGACTCTCAAATCCTAGAGGCCACTTTCTCGCCCTTGCCACGTCTTCCCTGACCCCATCTCCTAGGCCCGTAATGGAGAATCTCCCTCAGGTGAAATCTCTGTCCCCATTAAAAGGGAAATGAGGAGTCCCTTTTAATGAGTGGTCTGGTTATGTCAGTTTCACTATGGATAATTTTCCTTTTTTAAAGTTAACTGTGTCACATAACATGACCTAATCATGAGAGTTGATCTCATCATTTTCACAGGTTCAGCCCACCTTCATGGAGAAGGAAATATACAGAGTATATACTGATGGTTAGATATCTACCACCTCACAGGCTCAGAATCACATCATCCCTGAGAAAAGAGTGAATTTACATCTTTAGGCTTGGATTGGAATTCCATTTTGATCTTCAAAATAAAAACAACCTTCCTGTAACACTTCTTCTCAGATAACAGAGTCATTCTCCAATTCTCTTGAAAAAGTTTACTCTCTGCCTCTAGGAAGCTCATGTCCTTCTGTAAGAGTAATCTACCCGCACATGAAAATGAAGGCCACACAGCCCACAGTGCTCAGTCTTATCTTCCTTGGGGACAGTGTTCTGTTTAGTAACCCCAAGATAATGTGCTGATATCCATTTTACTATGAAAAAAGTAAAAGACAATCATAAATAAATGCTCTTGCCATTAGGATTCCTAAACATAAAAATGTATTAGAAGCAATCCATATCTCCAAAAAGAATCCTATAGTAGAAGACAGAACCCTAGGTCAAATCCCATTGCTAAACTGTCCCTGCCCTAGCTCCCATACCAGTTTCCAGTGTTCTATATTATATGGAAATGACCTGCACATGTGCTGGTAATACTATTTATCAGGAACTCACACTTTGCCAGGCGTTATGCTGGTTGCTTAATAATGGTGATGAGAATGATAATACGCACCACATATATATCACTTACTGTCTTTAATATTACATCCTGATGCTATATGTCCATATTACTATGGTACTAGTGTTATTTCCATTTTACAGATAGGGAACGTGAGGCAAAGAGAATTTGCATACAGTATCCAGCATTCCTCACAGTCAGTCAGGAGCAAATCCAGGTTACAACTCAGGTAGTCTAGCTCCTGAGACTGACCTCAGCTATTACACCTTGGCACCTCTCCTAAATCTTGTAAAATTATTCAAAGATAAACCCTTCAACATAATAAATCCTATATACAACTGTTACTTATAATATCTAACGTCCAAAAAGGAGATAAAGGCATCCTTGAGAATACCGTTTTAATGGGAGGAGGAATGGCAGGAGAAACATATTTAGCTATAAACATTTCTGGTACAGCCAGGCACCTTCATATACAATTACTAGAATAGTTAATATTCATACCTGGACTGTCTGTTAACCTTCTTGAATGTAATGGATAGCTAAGGGTTCAGATATACATATATTTTTCTCCCTTCATCCTAGAGGTGAATCAGATAATCCTGTCTCAGAGAATCCAGGACAGATAATTGGCTATCCAAAGAAAAGCATTCCTTTTTATATTACCCAAAGCAACATCTCAAATTATTAGTGTCTTTCTTAGGCAAATCTCCATTGATGCCGAACTAAGGTCCTGGATGTTAGTTGACTATAAGAAAATTAAATGATCTCTCTCTCTCTCTCTGTGTCTCTCTCTCTGTATTGGAGATAAATAATTTGGCTTTAATTATTACAGAATCATGAAATCATGTGATTGAACGTGGCTTTACTGACAGAGACACTGAGACACAGAAAGTAAGATTAATTGTTTAAGGTCACACAGCTAATTAATTTTATAACATGGATTAGAACACAGATCTCCTGATTCTAAGTCTAGTGTTCTTCATCAGAATTACGTGATTTCCAACAAAGCTGGTATGTATTAACGTAATCACATTTCATGATCGTAATCCATGCTGCGGGCATACTAGATTTTAAAATTAATTCCCCTTTCCTTTTAACTTTCTTAAAGAGTAGAAGTGAAAGACAATCTTAGTCTTTTTAAAATAGGAAGCTTTTGTTGACTTGAATAATAATCACAAGACAGTGAAAACAGAAGCTCTTCTTAAACTTATTTATAGATAAATGAGTAGTTCTTTACTGTCAGCTCGTCATTTGCATGTATTATCTTTTTACATTTAAATGTATTAAAAGAAGAAAAAAATGATTGTTAAGTCTACATATATTTTGCAAGGTCTTTCTCTTTCTATTGTTCGAAAAATACCTCACCTGGTATTGGGGTTTAAAAAAATGGCAATATGTATTAATCCACAAAGAACTTATATAGCTTTGTGATTATGAATAGAGAAAAATATGAGAAAAGGCAAAGTTAGCAAAAAAAAATCTTTAAAAGTAAGCAAAAATTTCATGTCAGTCAAATACATTAAAGCTAGATGCTTTGAAACTCTACTTGCTAAGCCTTGGGCATAAAACAAGAAAGCTATGAGCTTGGCTGAATAAAACACACACATTCATGAGTTGTTGGCAGGTTTTGAAAGTTAAAGTATGAACATTGGGCTTTCTATACATATAAATATGTATTTAGGCTTGTCTATATATATTTGAACTTTTTAGAGGTACCATTCTTCAGTGAATTACAAAATATTAAAAAAAATCATGGATTAAAAATGAGATAATAAAAATATTAAATGCAATATTTGGGACAGAAAATTGACATCTGTGATTGCCATTAAATGTCTCAAAATGTTAGAATGTACATCTCTTGACATCAAATTTTTAAGTAGTTGAAATTTAACTTTCAATTTACATGAAAGGCAGAAAGACATTTCCTTTTTTCTTAATCAAATGCAGTGTTGTGCCTACCCAGGAATGCTCAGAAAAGGCAGAGAGCTGTCATCAGAAAGCCAGTTAAGATGGAGAGGCAAATTTCTACTTGTGAAGAAAGCCTGGTAGGATAAATTCAGGATCTTACAGCTAGGGTTTTAGAGTTGGGTCTTGAGCAGAAAAAGTCTTGTTAGAGCCATAATCCATGCAATGTCAGTTGGGAAATGTCAATTAAGACTGTCATTCTAGAGGGATCTCTAATTTATTTATGGCCATTTATTTATTAAGCTAAAAGTGTGTCAAGACACTTCAGGAAAGTGGTATTGTAATTCCTTCCCTCTCCACCCCAAAGGAAAATGGTTTTTGGACAGAATCAAGAATACTGTGAAAGATACGAGAGTCTTAACCCGCACAGTACTAGCCCCCCTTCATTTCCCCACCTCTCTTCCATTCCGTGTTCCTATTTCTGAATTCTACTCACTTTACTCTTATTTCCCTTCTCAGACGGACTACTATTTCTTCATTATTGTCTTCCATATTCTCTTAAATTTCTTCTGATATCAGCTCATATGTGAACTGATTTTTTCTTTTTATTGTCTATACACAAATGCTATTAATATCATATTTCTAGATGTTCAATGGAGTCAATTAATGTAAGTTAAAAGAATGGACTCCCTAAACTCCCAAAGTACGTAAGGGGATTCAGATGAATGAGCACTATGTTAAACTGTCTTTAGTGTTTTTGCATATTTTACGTCCCATAGTTTTTATTTTTTAGGTCATTCTTGGATTCAGCACTGGTGTTTAATACCTTGGATTAATGAGAAGAAAGACTTTCAGATTTTAAAGAAAAAATGCTGTGTCTTTGAATCATATCCTCTCATAGTTGGAAAAGACATTATTACTCATCTAATCTTTTCTCTCCCCAAAGTAGAAATTTGTAATAACCTCCTGAGAGCTCATCAGCTTCTTGAAGGGTAAACATTTTGGAGAGTTTAGTATCTGTCAAGACAGTTCATTCCATTTTGAGTTCAAAATTATTGCTAGAGCATTCTTCCTTTTATTGGTTTATCTTGTAAGTTTCCCTTTCTGATTTTATTTCTACCAAATGGAACAAGATGCTAAGAGGGCATTTTTACATTATTTTATTGTATTTACATGCCCCCATTTCCCCCTCGAACTTTTCCCTAAAACTAACAGTATCTGTCACTTTTTTAAAGCAATGTTTTGCTTTAATAATGCAGTGACAGCTTTATTATTTTATAATTATTTTAGCAACTAGCACAGTTCCACTTAATTAGGAAACTCTTTATTTGAAAAAATTTATAGTACCTCGATAGGTTATTAGCTAAGGGGATAGGACCTCAAGGGCTATGCTGATGGGGGGCCAGTTGAAAGGGAAATGTTTATGGTTGCCCTGAACACAGGAGAGAAACATGTTTTACTCAAATAATGAAGCTTTAACTGGGTGGAAGAGGGAGCCAGCAAAATGAAGAGGAGCTAAAACAATTTGTTATAAGGGCCTATGAAAGATCACTCTCCTTCCCACTCAACCTACTGCATAAAAGCCAAGATACACATTTAGAATCCTGATGACTCCAGTTCACATTTCAAGGTATTTGCAAAGATCTTACATAAACCTACCTCCTTATGCTACATGAGATCTTCTTCAAATCCTGCTATGTGTTTCTGTGCAGTGTAGGTGCTGATGTTTATGGAAGAGGTGTTGAATTTCACATCTGGGAATATTCTACGTAACAGGCAGAACACAGTCATACCGGGAAGTTGGAGAAAAACATATGAGTATACTGGGAAGTCGAAGAAATGTTATGAGAATGTTACATTTTCATTTTTCACAGAATTGGAAAGTTCTAATTATTTTCCACCTAGATTTTTCAAAAATATAAAGGTTTATACACAAATACTGTTTTTTAAACCAATATTTTCCTTCTCTGCATGCAGTTTTCTGTATGTTGCTTAAAATATGTTACCCAGAACATAATGCAAAAGTGAAAACATGAGCCAACTGGCTCGGTGCTCTCATTTGCTCTGTGGCTCAGTTATCTCATTTTTATGTTTCCATATATTGAACTCTAAGAATATTCCAAATACGCCAAAAAGTAACAAATTGACGTGAACGTTCTCGTCCTATTTTGAAAATTTCTAATTTATCTTTTCAGCTCCCAAATAAGTTAGCGTCTCTTACAACCCTCCTTTAAAAGATCAGTGGATGAGTTATGCCTTGTGAAATACAGATTACCCATTTGCCCATTCAACAAATATTTACTGACTTCTTAACAAATGTCAAACACCGTTGCAAGAGTGAACTTTACAAAAATGAAGACATATTCTTTATCCTGTAACGATTTAATAACTAGTGAAATAGAAAAAAATGAACAGAATTGTTTTTACTTGTAGAATAAATTAAGGAAAGTTGCAGAACAATGTGTATACTACAATCTTATAAGTTCAAATTTTTTAAAAGGCATAAATATGAGTCCTTCTATGAAAATACTGAAAAGATATACAACTGTTAATAGTGGGAATAGGGAAAGGACGGAAGAGAAAGAAAACTATTACTTTAATTCACAGTTTCTTAATGTTCCCCTAATTTCCATTTTCTGTTCCAAAATAGCATCAGGGATATCACATTGCATTTAGTCATTGTGTCTCCAGGCTCCTCTTGGCTGTGATACTTACACAGACTTGACTTTTCTCTTGGTTACCTGGACAGTTTTGAGGATTGCTGATCAGGATGTTTTTGTTTTGTTTTGTTGTTGTTTTAGAATGTCCCTCAACTGGAAATTGCTTGAATTAGTCTCATGATCAAACCTAGGTTATGAGTTTTGGGGAGAAAGTCACAGAGATGAAGTACCATTCTTACCTCATCATGTCAAAGCTGCATACTATCAACATGCCATCATTGTTGATATTAACCATTTGGCTGAGATTGTTTTGTAGGTTTCTCCACTGTGAAGTTATTCTTTTTGCCGCTTTCCATAGTCTACTCTTTGGAAAGAAGTCAATATGCACAGCCCACACTTAAAGACCCAGCGTTGCTGGAGGTAAAGCTCAGGAAAGGGTGTATGTGTAGGCAGGGGCAGAAGAGACTCAGAAATTGACCCAAAAGAGTTTCTCTTGTCACTCGGTCACATTAAGCCTCCAGCAATTTGTCAGAAGTCATTTCACTGTTTCTATAGTTTATGGCTCTAACACTTTCTGCTCCATATAAGCAGATCTTAGCTATGACTCTGGAATTCTCTGTCTCTCCAGATTTCAGATTGTAGTTCATTGTACAATCTCAGTATATTAAGTTCAAGGAAACACATTGTTTTGTTTTTGTATGTCCAACTTTTTCTTGTTGTAACAATGGGATGGTGTTTGTTAGAACTGCCATAACAGAGTATGGCTGAGTAGATTGAACAACAAAAATTTGCTTTGCACAGTTTTGGAAGATGGAAGTCTGAGATCAAGATGCCAGCAGGATAATATCTTCTGAAGCCTCTCTCTTTGGCCTGTAGTTGACTGTCTTTTTGTCTTCTCATTGTTTCTTTACATAGTCTTCCCTCTGTGTGTGTCTGTGCCCTATTCTCCTCTCCTTATATGGGTGTCGGTCATTTTAATAAGGGCCCACCCTAAAATTTTTATTTTATTTTATTACCTGTTTAAAGACCTTAGCTCCAAACACAATCACTTTTTGAGGCACTGGGAGCTTACGTCTTCAACATACGAATTTTGAAGAGATACAATTCAGCACATAGCAGATGGCAAGGACAATTTCTAAGCTCTTTACAATATGGAGCTTAAAGTGGAAGTGCCAGTAAGCAAACGTTAAGTGTCAATATTTTATGTGCTGTGTTTGGGTGTGTTAAATACTATTAGCAAAGGGTCCATAGTGAATTACTAGCAAACAGTCTATGGTAAAATTTGCTCAAATTAAAGACTCAGAGACATCTGCTCCCTATGTTCTCTACAGGTGAGCTGTGAGGATTAAGCATATTCTGCATGTCCACAATGGTGCCTTTCGCAGAACCAGAAGTAAATAATTAGTGCTTATTATTATTGTCTCAGTCAATTTGGAATGCTATAACTAGAATACATTAGATTGAGTGGCTTATAACAACAGCAATTTATTTTTGAAAGCTGTGTAGGCTGGGAAGTTCAACATCAAGGCACCAGCAGATTTGATGTCTGATAAGGGCTTGCTTCTTGATTCATAGACAGCCATTTTCCCCATGTCCTCATATGGCACAAGGAGCAAGGGAGATTTCTGGGGCCCCTTATAAGGGAACTAATTCCATTCATAAAAGCAGAGCCTCCAGGACTTCCCAAAGACCCCACTTTGAAATGCTGTCACATTGGGGATTAAATTTCAACGTATAAATTTTGGGGGAGATGAATATTCAATCTATAGCAATTACCAAATCTGAAAAGGACAATTCCATAAACGGACAAAGAATATGACTCTCACTGAGCTGGGACAGAGAGTTGGGCTACCAGAAGTAGGAATAGCCAATTAAAGCTACAAGCCATAAGGGAATATGAAGATTTTAATCGCTTATTGTTATGGTATAAGCAAGAGTCTAAAACTGTAATGTACTGCAATGAGTAAATAAGTAAATAATCTAGATTTCAAAAAGCAATATTTCTCAAACTTTATCTCCTAAAAGATTATAAAAATACTTATTATGATAACACATCCTGAATTTCCGATTCGGTACATCACAGGTTAAAGCCTAAGAAAATGCAATTTCTGCCTTTTTGATAAGCTGACTGGGGTAATTCTTATTTATACAGTCTTCAGACTAGACTCTGATAAACATTTTTATGTGGTTAATTTGAAAAGAAAAAGTGTGATTTCTATAAAATGATAGAAAATAATTTAGTGTGATTAAAAAATGTCCCAGAGGTTTAATAGCTTCTGATCTGAGATCTGCCACTGAATCTTGCTAAAAATTACCTAGGTAACCTCCCTTGCTCTCAGTTTCTTCATTGTTAAAATATGCACATTTAATCACACAATCTTAATGTTTCCATCACATTCTAAAATTCTATGTGGATAACAAAATTGTAAGTGTTACTACGGAAAATTCCTTTTTACTACTCTTAGAACCACTCAAGCTCTGACAAATATGTGAATTCTTTCCAATTTTGAATTGGTGCAGCTTTTTAAATAATTTCTTTAATGGGAGAGATGTATATAACTTTCCTTCCACACACAACAAATAAACTTCAGGAAATAGAAGTGTTCACCACCCATAGACTCCTTCTGTTTTTATCAGGGTGGCCTTTGTGCTTCGTTTTTGGAGCTGAGAGAGATGATAGATTTTTCCATTACAGAGCTTGACATTTAGAGATTTAATAATTGATCTTAATACTAAGAGTGAAAACTATCTTAGGTTTTAATTTTACTTTCAGTTTTTACTAATGAATTACAAGCAATTATTTCCTTATCTTTACTGAATCTTGAATCGCCATTGGAAAAATGAATGTGTTTTACACTAACATTTTTATTTTATCTTTTATCAAATTGACTCTATTGCTTTTAGCAGCAACCTAGAAATATGGTTAGGTGTGAAATGTTCAGACGTCAAACTGTCCCATTAAGGCCAAAACTTACAACTTATCTGCTGTGAAATTTCAGACAAATGATTTACTCTTTACAACTCAGTTTTTAAGCAACTGTAAAGTAGGAATATTAGTAATTGTGGCTATCTTTTGCTTTTTCATTTGATCATAGTGTTTTCACTTAGAGTTTATATTCAGTTTATAGAGCATACACCAAAACATGCTTTGAGGAAATTATGATCACAATCACATATCAATAAGCAAGTACAGAGAATATTTCCAAAACAGTTCACCTAAACCCAGATAAGTTGACAAGCCTTATTTAAGGTCATGCAAGCGTATCAGGAGATAGAAAGACAAATATGTAACATTTCCCAACATTCACCACTCTACACTAACTTCTATCATTCACCACTCTAAACTAACTTTTAGCCCTGAAAAGAACCTAAAACTCTTATAAGAACTCACTGTGGTACTAAAAGGCAAGTTAATTTCTCAAGCCTCGTTATTGGTATTACCTTCTGCTTGAGGAAAGGTCTTCATGAAAGAGCTCAAACAGTTGGCATCCACAATTTTCTTCATGCAAAGAGGCCACAGTGCAATAAGAGCTTGTGTACATATAAAAAAAAAAGCTGTGATTGTAGTGGCTTACCACTATAACTTAGTATCTGACAAAGATTCGAAAAACAAAAGCAAGGATTTCCCAATATAAGCTTTGGCGTAAGAGACCTGTAGTACTCCAGTATTATTTTCCTTAATCCCTGGACTCTGCACACTGTGAGATACCATCCTATGTGATTATGTCAGTTTACACGGCAGATGTATTTAAGGTTATTAGCTAGTTGACTTTGAGTTTAATCAAAACAGAAAGTATCAGGGTACAACTAATCACGGGAGCCCTTTAAAAGAAGAGAGTTTTCTTTGGCTGATGGCCAAAGGGAAAGTCAGAAAGAGTCAAAGTAGAAGAACTGAATGTGTTCTTGCTGGTTTGAAGATGGAGAGGAAACCAAATATGAAAATATGCAAATAACTTCTAGAAGCTGAGAATAACTCCCTGCCGACAACAAGCAAGAAAAAAGACAGAACAGACCTTCAGCTTTAAGAACTCGATTTTGCCAACAAATGGAGTGAGATTGGAAGTAGATTCGTTCTCAGATTCTTTAGATAGGAAACCTACCCAGTGAATACTTCGATTTGACCTTGTAAGGTCTTAAAACAGAACTCAATCAAGTCCTCCAGACAGACGTTTGACTTACAATTCTGTGAGCTAATACATGAGTGTGTTTTAAGCTGCTTATGTATAGTAATTTATTACATAGCAATAGCACTAAAAAAACTAATACAGAACCCTTGCACATCCAGTTATTCTCTGTGTTTCTGCTGTTCCACTCCATGCAAAAGTGGTGTTATGACATCCAGTTGGTGCTCATAATATAAATATGGTGAGTGTCCCTTCATCATGTCCATACACACTGGCCAGAGCCCTCTTTTATACAGTCAAAGTTTGGACAGCTTTCTTGGGTACCCAAAATCTGAGCAAGAGAACCTAAAAAATTCTTTCATTTTATGGTAAACACATATATATTGGCCCAGAAATTTCACAGGTCAAACAAGCTGTTCTTGTCTACTTATTGTTTTCAGTGAACTTGGGGAACTTGGTTAATCAGTTTGAGACACGTTTTTCTTTTATAAAATATGGTTAATAATATCAAAGTCATAATATTTTCTTGAAAATATGTTGAACTATGTAAAGTGCTTAGCATAGTCTCTGGCACAGTGAGGGGTCAATGATGAATTTTTTTTTCATATTTTTTTTTGTTCAACCAAGGAAATTGAGAAACTACAATGTGGTAAAGGCAACATTATAGGATGGCGTGAAACTGACACACATCCCTGTTCCTATATTGTTTATAATAAAATTAGAGAGGGGGACAATAACATCCTCATTTATGTTTGTAATAAGTTGTCACAAATGCTATCAAGGAAAAACACGAGGAGCTATGAAGGAAGGTAGATAAGCAGTCAAGAGAGACTCCCTTCATTATGTGATATTTGACTTGAGACCTACAGTATTGCAGTATTGAATGTGCAAAGAGCTGAGAGGTTGGGCAGTGTGCAATGAAGGAAGCTTCAATGGCAAAGGGCAAAGCGTGTGGAAAAATCCTGGGGGAAGAGGAAACGCAGGACATCTGAAGAACTGGAAGAGGGTCAGTAGGGCTGGAGGACCTAAGAGAAAGAATGCTAAAAGTGCTCATACAAATAAAACTATAAATGGTTCCATTAGGTATAATTTATTTAAAAACAAAATTGCAGATTTTTTTTTCTAAGGTCCTTTTAAACTCATATTGTCTAAAATATACTTCTATAATATTAAGAGTTTCAAAGCAGGCTGTATAATTATTCTTAACATTTTCAGGTAAAATGTAAAACAATGCTTAGGGTGTGGGAGTCATAAGAAAGTCTAAGGTTGACTTGAAATTTTTGAAACAAAGAGCAGAAATTTTAAAAAACCGCAGAAACTTCAACAGATGACATTAATGTGGGAGGAAGAGTAAATAATAAAGAAAATACAGCAAGATACATGAAGACTTAGATCATTTAAATGCTAAAAGATGAAAGCTAGTTCAAAATAGCTCTTAATCAAACAGTGACACATCTCTGCAAAAAAGGAATATCAAACAATTGCATATCATTAAGTCTAAGGTAGCAAAAAGTAAAAGTATAAAGGTGATCTGTGTACATCATTAAATCTGAAAGATCAGTAATAAGATTTTTTTAAGCTGTAACATTAAAAGGAAAGACCAAGTATAATTAAGTAGGGCAGAAAGAGTCTAAAGGATCAATGAACATCAACAATCTCAGTAACAGAAAAAATAAGAAGAAATTCGGAGTAAGAATGTCAGAAGTAATACTACCAATAAAACTATAACTGGTTTCTATAACAGTAGGTGTGATTTATTTAAAACTAAAACTTTACATGTTTGCCTAAGTTTAGGAACTTTCTCAGAAATTATTTTCTGTGTTCTCATTTAATCTCAGACCAATCGATGAGTGGATGGGTAAGGGAGTGAAGCCCTGACTCTCCTATATTTTGAAACCAGAATCATACATTTTTCCATCTTTCACTAGCATGAATTGTCAAAGTCAAATTAGAGGCAGTTAATCAATTGGAGGCTACCTACTCTGTGTGTCATTCATGCAATCAGCACCTAAAATCCTCGCTAGGAAAATCCTCCAAAGGATGTCAAAGGAATACAGGGCAACAGTCCCTTCCAGAGTTGATACACACTCTGTTCAGGCTGCCCTTCTGCACTTTCTTTTCTTTTTTTTTTTTAAGTGATCTCGATAGTAACTTAATCTTATTTCATTTGTATAAATAAGAATTCACGTTTAGTGTGTTCATGTACGTGTGTTTGAGGAACTGAAATGAGAAGTCATTATATTAAAAAAGACATTTGCACATGTATGTCTATAGCAGCACAATTCACAATTGCAAAGATGTGGAACCAACCTAAGTACCCATAACTAATCAGTGGATAAAGAAAATGTGGTATGTATACACCATGGAATGCTACTCAGCCATTAAAAGGAAAAAAACAATGTCTTTTTCAGCAACTTGGATGGAGCTGGAGGCCATTATTCTAGGTGAAGTAACACAGGAATGGAAAAACAAAAACTATATGTTCTCATTTGTAAGTGGGAGCTAAGCTACGAGTACACAAAGGCATACAGAGTGATGTAACGGACTTTAGAGAACTCAGAACCACTCATACCCAAAAAGCTATTGAAGTAAAAATTTTAAAAAATAACAACAAAAAAATGGAAAATAGAGATATATTCACTAAGAATTTTTTTTTTTTTTTCTCCTTGAGACGGAGTCTCCCTCTGTCGCCAGGCTGGAGTGCAGTGGCCCGATCTTCACTCACTGCAACCTCCGCCTCCCGGATTCAAGTGATTCCCATGCCTCAGCTTCCCAAGTCGCTAGGACTACAGGTGTGCTCCACCACGCCCAGCTAATTTTTGTATTTTTAGTAGAGACGGGGTTTCACCATGTTGGCTAGCATGGTCTCCATATCTTGACCTCGTGATCCGCCTGCCTCGGCCTCCCAAAGTGCTGGGATTGCAGGCGTGAGCCACCGCGCCCAGCCAGAACTTTTACACCTTCCACCTCTTGGGAGCTGGGGATTAATAACTGATCTTGCTCTTAAATCATTCCAGGAGTTTTGAAATAAGTCATGAGAATCAGATAGATAGAGATCAATGTATAGATTTCATTAGGGATCAAGCTAATTACAGTCTGAACTTGAATCCGTGGGCTGATGTGCTTTCTAATCATGGCTTTCCCCACCCTCAATTCTCACTGTCTTTGGCAGAACTACATACTGCCGAGGCCTTGGAATAAAGGCAGAGTGAGCAATATGCACTCTTTCCTTTTGCCCAATCACACCAAAGAAGAAGAGTGAGCCAGAGATCCTTGGAGGCCGGACGCGTTCTTCCCAATTGATGCTCCTTCCTATCTAGAAGGAATCTAAGATAAGTTCCTAGGCCACTCCCCAGGATTGAGGAGTAGCCCATGTTGGGATGTCCCCCGGACCCCAAGACAATATAGTAAAGGCATTGCCACTTGACTGACTCTGACTCCAATTCCTTTGGCATTCTTATTTTCTTTTCGATTTTTCATTAATTTGTTGACTCTTAACCTTTCTATTACCCTATAAATGTGACCCTTGTAAGGAACATATCATGTTTTTTCAATCATGCCTGACAATCTTTTCTCTTAATCACAGTAGCTCATCACTTCACTTTCAATGTATTTATGAAATACTGGGTATTGACTTTCTATCTATTTATTTTCTATTTGTTTCACATGTATTGCATTCCTTATTCTCTTCTTTCTCACCTTGTTTTGAATTGACAGAGGTATTATTTATTGTTCTTGTTATTTCATTGTTCCTCTCAAATGCCTTGTTAGGATTACATAAGTTTTTTTTAGATGTTATCTTAAAGATTGCAACATGTTTCCTTGGCATAATCTGTTCTAATATAAATTAATATTTTACCCCATTCTAGATAACTCTAGGAACTTATTACATGTAAGTCCATTTGCATATCTCCTGCTCTTTGTTTATTGTAATCATTATTTTAATTCTACATGTATCATTTCATTTGTAGAGACATTATTATTTTGTTCATAATCAATGTTCATTTGTATTCACCCACATAGTAACCTTTTATTTTTGCTTTTTTTTGTTCTTTCATTTTCATGTTTCCACTTAGAGTCATTTTACTTCTGCCTGAGAAATCTTTAAATATTTATGTTTCAGTAGATCCACTGGTGATAAATTATATCAGTTTTTATTCATCTGGAAACATAGAGATTTCTTGATTGGCAACTATTTTTCAGCACTTTAAATATGACATGTAATTGTCTTCTGGCTTTTATTGTTCCTGTTAAGTCAGATCATTTTTTTGTTGTTGTTGTTGTTTCATATATAATCTATATATAATATGTTTTATATATATATAATCTATATATAATGTTTTTTATATATCTAAAATCTCTCTCTATATACATATAGACCTGTATTCACCACCATAGTATCATACAGAATAGTTTTACAGCCCTAAAATTCTTCTTACTCTAACTCTTCATTCCTCCCTCCTTACCAGCATCTGGCAACCACTGATCTTTCCACTCTCTTCAGAGTTTTGCCTTTTCCAAAGTTTCATTTAGTGGCAATTTCACAGTATGTAGCCTTTTCAAATTTGCTTCTTTCATTTAATACTATGTATTCAATATTTCTCCATGTCTTTTGTGGTTTTATAGCTCTTTTTTAGTGATGAATAATTTCCCTATGTCTGGATATATCACAGCTTATTTATCCATTCACTTACTGAGGGACATCTTAGTTGTTTCTAAGTTTTGGCAATTATAAGTAAAGCTGCTATAAAATATAAACATCTCTCTGTAGATTTTTCTGTCAAAATAAGTTTTTAACTTATATGGGTAAAGACAAAAGAGTGAGATCCTCTTTTAAAAAAATAAAACGTATTTGCATTGAGTATGTGTGTGTCTTTAATATTTTATCTTAGTCAGGTTGTTAGTCATTTTACTATGTGGTTAAGTGAAGTTTTCTTTATATTTGTCCCTTTGTATTAGACTGTAGTACTTCTTAAATCCTTACCTGCCAGTTTTGGAGAATGATCACTTATTACTTCTTTGTTCTCTGTCAACATTCATTTCTTTAAATGTGGTTTAGGCCTTTTATACTTTGTCTCAAATGTCTTTTACACTTTCTGCCACTTTTTTCTCTCCATTCTTTAGCTTGTATATTTTCTACTGACCTATTTGTAATATTGCTAACCTTTCCTTCTGCTTTTTCAAATCTGCAATTAAACCCATATATGAAGTTTTAAACTCAGACATTTGTTTTCTTTTCAGATAATCCACTTAATTTATTTTTTAAGACTCCATCTAATTAGTGAAATTTCCATGTTCTTTTATTCTCTTGAACAAATGTATCACTATTATTTTAAAATACTTTGTCTTCTATACCTACTACCTAGGTCACCTGCTTCTATTTTTAATGTTTTGTTCTGTGTGTGTGTATGTGATATGAATAACACATTTTAATTGAATGTTTAACATTGTGTATAAAAAATTCTAGCCTCTAGATGTATAATTACTCTCAAAAGAGAGTTTCTCCTATTCTCTGGGTGAGGAAAGATCACACCTTAAGTTAGACAGTGCAGAAACTAATTTGTGAATTGGGCTAAATTGCACGGAAGGTCCATTGCATTCCTCCTTCCTCTATACCACATTGTCTCGAGCTCACTGTCTCCAGACAAAAATGAAACTTAAAATTATAGAATGTTAGACATAGGGGGTACTTCAGAGATCATTAACCAAATGATTTTATTTTTACAGTGGGAGAAGTGCCAAGATAATGTAAATGATTTGCTAAGATTTCACATAGATATATAGTTGAAATTACAGAACTGGAATCCAATTACCCCGTACCTCAATTCCCCGTTCTCACATCTCCTGAAGTGGTACACTTTGTACTCTCCGGGTGCACTTGCCAAGATTTCACTGCATAATTCAGAAATCAACTCCAGTGGATCTAAACTGACACATAATTTATTAGAGGTTTATATTCCAGCTTACAAAATTACTGGAGGTCTGGAGACCGAGGCTAAGAAAATGCTCAAGGTCTAAGAAAGGCTGCAGGGAGTTTGGGCAGCATCATCTGCCGGAGCAGCCTGGCTGGGGCACATGGCTGGTGCTGCCAATAGTGTGTCTTCTGGATCCTGCTGGATGCTGCCAAAGAGAGCAATCTCGGAACTTTTTATTTGCCTTTTCCTCATTCACTTGCAATTTAAATTTCTGGGCAAAAGCATCTTAGTAAGCAAGCTGTGGTCACGTGACTCTCACAGCCATCCAGGGTGCAGAGTAAGGCACATTGAGAATGGAAACCTGACTCTTAAAATAATAACAAAAAATGTCTGTATCATTGGTTTAGTATGAAGTACAGAGATCTTTCAGTGAAGAGATTTGGCTTTTCATCTAGACCTAAAAGGGTTAAAAAAATTAGACGATAAGGCCGGGCGCGGTGGCTCATGCCTGTAATCCCAGCACTTTGGGAGGCCGAGGCGGGCGGATCACGAGGTCAGGAGATCCAGACCATCCTGGCTAACACGGTGAAACCCCATCACTACTAAAAATACAAAAAATTAGCCGGGCGTGGTGGCGGGCACCTGTAGTCCCAGCTACTTGGGAGGCCGAGGCAGGAGAATGGCGTGAACCCGGGAGGTGGAGCTTGCAGTGAGCCAAGATGGCGCCACTGCACTGCAGCCTGGGTGACAGAGCGAGACTCTGTCTCGAAAAAAAAAAAAAAGGAAATAAATTAGACAATAAATAGGACCTCAGTATGCCTTATTTTTCTTATCTGAAAAATAGATTTAATAACTTTTGCCTTTTCGTAATTCACAGAAGTATTGGGAAGACCTTAGAAGTCATATAAAGTAAATGAGATTTATAAGCATAATTGTTTGATATATGCCACTATAAGATAATAGCAGTCTTACTAAAATAAATAAAGCCATCATCACTTTTTTTTTTCCTTATGGCTATCTTACCTATGAATTAAAAGTAAACTGTTTGGCAAAATCAGCAAAATTTCATGAAAATTGAAATAATACATTCAAGTAACTATAAGTTGATTTTTAAAATATGTTCAATACACCCAAACCCCATAATTTATGGTTAAACTGGAAAATTATTTGTAGCTGAAGGAGGTCCATATTTTTAGTTTTATTTGAAGCCCCATGTCCACAATCTTTTTCATTATTAAAGAGACAGCATATCAATTTCTGGATTTCATTTTGCTCTATCAGTTTCCAGTAAGAAATTTTAGTTTCCAGGCCTCATTCTTAAACTCACTGTATGGTTGTCCATTATAAATGTGTCTGGGTGACCAATTACAAAGCAGAGTAGACCTCTGTGGTGATGGGGTATGTATTAGATAAGAGGCTTTATTCATCCTGTAGACAGTCTCAGCAACGAGCTCAATGAGTGACTGAGTACTAGGCTAAACCCTCTTTCTTTTTTTTTTTTTAATGAAAAAAAAGAGTTTTATTTTTCCCCCCTAAATTTCATAGATCTTTTATCTTCCCTTGCTGCCCTGACAAATGCCCTACTAGAAGTGGTGGCAGCAGGAACCGCTGTTTTTGTCTTATCTTTTTTTTTGCTTTTTTCTTTTTTTTCATGATGTTCTTACTCATAGGTGGGAATTGAACGATGAGAACACATGGACACAGAAAGGGGAACATCACACACTGGGGACTGTTGTGGGGTTGGGGGGAGGGGGGAGGGATGGCATTAGGAGATATACCTAATGTTAAATGACGAGTTAATGGGTGCAGCACACCAACATGGCACATGTATACATATGTAACTAACCTGCACGTTGTGCACATGTACCCTAAAACTTAAAGTACAACAATAATAAAATTAAACCCTCTTTCTAAATCAGGTGTTTGCTGTGTCTAGACTGACATTCATCGGTGTTATTGTGAATTAAAATTGCAATACTATAAATATATGTGGCTTAATAGTTACTTTTAAGATTCTCGGATTTAAATCCATCTTAATTCAAAACATTCACATACAAAAACATAGACACAGGCTAGGCGCGGTGGTTCACACCTGTAATCCCAGCACTTTGGGAGGCCAAGATGGGCGGATCACCTTGGTCAGCAGTTCAAGATCAGCCTGGCCAACATGGTGAAACCCCATCTCTACTAAAAATACAAAAATTACCTGGGCATGGTGATGCCTGCCTGTAATCCCAGCTACTCGTGAGGCTGAGGCAGGAGAATCGCTTGAATCTGGGAGGTGGAGGCTGCAGTGAGTCAAGATCAAGCTACTGCACTCCAGCCTGGGCGACAGAGCAAGACTCCGTCTCAAAAAAAACAAAAAACAAAAAAAAACCAAACAAAACAAAACACAGATGGAGGATAATATAATTCTAGTCTAGGTCAAAGGTTTTCTTTGTATTTAGCCAACCTATGATGACTATTAGAATGATATTATCATAAGTAAATTCATCTTCTAAAATGGCATTAGTATAATAAAACAGAAGGTAACTTTATATACATTATTAAAAATCAGGAATTCTAAAACTAATAACTTAATTTATGAGTTCTGCAATAGCGTTATACCGTATTTCAATAAATGAATTTACATATATATGCCTATGGTAGCAGCAGGAAGTCATAGATGACAAGCAGGAAAAGTTGCTAATCTTTCTCCTTTTAACCATATCTTATAATGTTATGTTTCAGAAAAGAAAATAGAAATAATGGAATGATAATTTATTTTTGTAGGCAGCAAAAGTTTTAAAAGTTTTTGTGTAAAAAATTTTCAAGAACAAACCAAAAGCTGTCACCTCGAAATTATTCTAAAATGAGAAACAAGTAATTAGTGACTTTTCCCTTTGCATAATGAGAGTCATTAAAATGACAAAAAGACAGAGTGATATAATGAAATCCATATATTAATAATCCTTGTTTAATATTTGACATTATGCCAGGAGACTAATGTATTTATGATTACTAAAACATTAAAACATTTATACTGTATTTCATGAGCAAGACGAATAAAATTATTGATAGATTTCATTTGTTACAATAAAATACTGCTAATATCTTGATTTTATTTAAGAAACTCAATATGGGCCGGGTGCAGTGGTTCATGCTTGTAATCCCAGAACTTTGGGAGGCCGAGATGGGCGGATCACGAGGTCAAGAGTTCGAGACCAGCTTGACCAACATGGTAAAACCCCGTCTCTACTAAAAATACAAAAATTGGCCAGGCGTGGTGGCTCACGCCTGTAATCCCAGCTACTCAGGAAGCTGAGGGAGGAGAATTGCTTGAACCTGGGAGGTGGAGGTTGCAGTGAGCTGAGATTGCACCACTGCACTCCAGCCTGAGCAATAAGGAAGGACTCCATCTCAAAAAAAAAAAAAAAAGAAAAAAGAAAAAGAAACAAAATATGAAACAATAACTGGAAAAACTGATTGAGTTGTGAGAGAGTGTTTTGGGAATTGTGGAGCCTGCTTTATTTTAATAAATTTGGTGGTAATCTAATGACACATCTGTTGTATAGTGTATATTGTAGAATACACAACATAACATATAGGTACAAAGTTTGAAAGTTAAAGATGTACTCACAAAACAACAAAAACCAAAAACATAAACTACGGGCATTATTACCACAGATGTGTGATTAAGTACACATAAACTTTGAGTTTGTCTTCTGAGGCTCACAGCATTGAGTGTACTAGATCCTACACTTCTCAATGGATAATTATTGGAAGCTATAATTACACTTTCCTTTCTAAATATGCAAAACCAGTTTAAGAAAAAGTATTCTAAAATTATTAAAGTTTAAGGTTTACAATGTCTTAAATAAAAGTATTCAAGAATTCAAGTCTGAAAATTTCCCTTTGTATTAAAGACTGGATGTATGTCAAACCCTTCAGGAAAAGAACTAAGTAAACTTTAAGAAAAGCCTCCAAAAGCCTAAAATGTGTCATTGGCCCTAAATTCAGCTTACTACACATCTAATGCCAAGTAATGTCTTATTCCTCCATTATAAATGAAATGACTTTATGGGTAAACATATTAGATAATTTCATAAAGATGTCTGACTGAAAGCTGTAACTATGTCTCGCTGGGTAAGCTCAGGTAATATATATATATATACACATACATATATATATATATAAAATATATATATATATATATACATTTCCATGATGTCTGTCAGATGGCAAGGCCATCACCTCATCAGTCAGAGAGCGTATCTTAGTTGCTACTTCTAGTCATTACTTTTCATACATCTTGCAATATTTTGGGGATTATGCTCTAAAGCATTCTGGGACATCACAGATCTATAAGATAAGACTTTTATTAGGCTCTTATGAATTTCCTTGTTGCAGTTTTTCATATTCATATAGGGTAAAGAAGTTGTGCTGAGTTTTCCTGGGGGTACTAATAGTGTGAATCTTTGCATAGGATCACTTGATAGATGTCAGTGATCCTGAGGCAAAGAGAATTGTGAGAGCAAATTGTCTGGAGATCAAGCAGCAGGTGTTCAGGATCTGATAACAGACCGTGACCGATCTTGCAGAGCACCTGCTTTGTATCTCAAGGGATTTCCTGTCTTTCATACTTTTTGACTGAATAGCCAATGAAATGTTGGAAAGACTGGAATGTATTTCAAATCTTGCAGAAAAACGAAGACACTTTTTGATTGTTGTTCTGGTGACTGATTTTTACATGTAGGGAATGTTCATGGGTCTGGGTGGGGAGTGGTGTGAAAAGAATATAATTCTGAAATAACTCTCATGTTAGGGATATAATTAGCAATCTGGGAATTGGGAATTAGGGAGATACACACTAGGGCTAGGGTGGTTCACAACATTGAAAATAAATACTTAAAGTGCAGATTTCCTTTTGATGTGTAAGACACAAATTAGCAATTTTTTCATATTGTGTTTTTACTTGAGGTGAGAATGCACACTCTTAGTACATAAAATGTAATAATTGAATTAACTTGACCGTGACAAAATTTAAAATATATATATATTTCTCAAACATCAATTTATCAAGTTACATCCCAATTATACCAAATTTTTGGTATAATTTCCAAATTATGCCAAATTGGAGAAAAGAAACTTGGGTGTATTTGACTAGCAATGATGACATTGGGGTAGTGGTTGGAGTCTGGTATAGAAGCAATCAGAGATCATCACAGAGATCAGCTTAGCTCTGTTATTTATTAGCTTTCGTTTTAGAGAAGTTCCTTAGCCAAGATGAGCTTCAGTTCATCATCTGTCCAGAAGAGAGAACTTTCTATCTGATTGGGCTAATATGACCATCAAGTAAATTGACATACATTTTAACTGAAAAGTATTGTATGGTTTTTACTTATATAACCATGAATAATGAACTTTGAAAACATCATAATCAAGTGGCTATGAACATTGTTTAACTCTTTCCATTCAATAAATCGAATTAAAATTTACATAAAATCCTTGGTTAATCTCCTGAAATTTGACTGCCATGCTGCAGCTTTCAGATTTTTGAGGCTTAGAGATGTTCTCATTCAATTTGATTAAACTCACATTTATTGAGCACTTTCTAAGTACAGAGCTTGAACTAAATATAAGAAGAGAGAGAGAGAGAGACAGAGAGGACTCTTCTTATTCAGAAGAAATCTGGAGGTAGAGAACCTGAAACCCACACAGATAATTTTCATGAAAAGATAATTAAAGTATAATGGTACAAGTTTTCATTTATTGTGTATTTAGGGCTGGGAAAATACCTAACCGCCCTTAAATTCATTATATAATTGACTCTTTGCAGTAAATGTGTGCTAGAGGTATGATTATGGGCATGTCTTCTTTTATTGCATTTTGCTTTATTGTGCTTTGCCTTATCATGTTTCATAGACATTATTTTTATTTACAAATTGATGGTTTGTGATAATATCATGTACATCGAATCTATTGGATTCGTTTTTCTAATACCACGTGCTCACTTTATGTCTCTCTGTCACATTTTGGTAATTCAAACCTTTTCATTATTATTATATCTGTTATGGGGTCTGTGATCAATGATTTGGTATGTTACTCCTACATCAGAGTAATAGTCACACCATGAACCACCTCCATAGAAATGTCAAACTTAATCAATCAATAAATGTGTGTGTTCTGACTGCTCCACTGACCAGCTGTTCCTTCATATCTCTCTCTCTCCTTGGTCCTCTCTGCCCCATGAGACACAATAACATGGAAATTAGGCCAATTAGTAACTCTACAATGGCTTCTAAATATTCAGGTGAAAAAGAGTTGCTCATTTCTCACATCAAATCAAAACTATAAATGATTAAAATTAATAAGCAAGACATGTCAAAAGGTGAGACAGACTGAAAACTAGCCCTCTTTTCCGAAGAGGTGGCCAAGCTGTGAATGCAAAGAAAAAATTTTTGAAGGAAATTAAAAATGCTAATCTAATGAACACAAATTATTAAAAAAAAAACAACTTTATTGCTGATATGGAGAAAGTTTTGGTGGTCTGAATAAGATAAACCCAGCTACAACATTCCTTTAAGCCAAAGCCTAATCCAAAGCAAAGCCCTAACACTCTTCCATTCTCTGAAGGCTGAGGGAGGAGGGAAAGCTTCAGGAGAAAAGTTGGAAACTAGCAGAGGTTAGTTGTTGAGGTTTAAGGAAGGAAACCGTCTCCATAACATAAAAGTGTAAGGCGAAGCAGCAGGTGAGGTAGCAAGCGCTGATGTAGAAGCTGATGCAAGTTATCCAAAAGATCTCACTAAGATCATTGATGTAGGTGGCTACTCTAACAACAGATCTTCAATGCAGACAAAGCAACCTTATTCTGGAAGATGTCACCTAGGATTTTCATTGCTTGAGAAGAAAAGTCAATGACTGGTTGCAAGAATTCAAAGGACAGGCTGACTCTCTAGTTAAGGACTAATGTTACAGCTGGTGACTTTAAGTTGAAACCAATCCTCATTGACCACTCTGAAAATCCTAGGGCCCTTAAGAGTTAAGCTAAATCCACACTGTCCGGGCTCTATAAATGAAACAACACAGCCTGGATGATAGCACATTTATTTACAGCATGGTTTACTGAATATTTTAAGCCCACTGTTGAGACCTACCACCCAGAAAAAAATATTCAGAATATTTTCACCTATTTCTGTTAATTGACAGCACATCTGGTCACCCAAGAGCTCTGGTGGAGGTGAACTCTGAGGTGAGCTCTGATGGAGGTTTCATGCCTGCTAATATGACATCCACTCTGCAGCTCACAGATTGAAAAATCCAACAATTGTGGTGATGGTTGTGCAACTCTGTGAATGTGCTAAAAATCACTGCATTGTACGTTTTAAATAGGTGAACTGTATGGTACGTTAATTATATCTCAATAAATCTAGGTCAGAATTATTTTGTTGGAAGGTGATAAAGTCACCAGAAAGGGGTCCCAATCTTTGACTTTCAAGTCTTATAATTTAAGAAATATATTTTTTAAAGCTATAGTTGTCATGAAGAGTGATCCCTCTGATGATTCTGGCCAAAGTAAATTGAAAACCCTCTGGAAAGAATTCACAATTTTAGATGCCATTAAGAACATTTGTGATTCATGGGAGGAGATAAAAATATCTATATTAATAGGCTTTTAGAAGAAATTGATTCCAATGCTTATAGATGACTTTGAGGATTTTGAGACTTCAGTGAAGAAAGTAACTGTATATGTGGTGGAATTAGCAAGAGAGCTAGAATTAGAAGTGGAGCTTGAAGATGTGACTGAAACGCCACAATCTCATGATCAAACTTTCATGGATGGGGAGTTGCTTCTTATGGATGAGCGAAGAAAGTGATTTCTTGAGATGGAATTTATTCTTGGTGAAGATGCTGTGAACATGGTTGAAATCACAACAAATAATTTAGGATATTACATCAACTTGATAAAACTGCAGCAGGGTTTGAGAGGATTGACTCTATTTTTAAAAGAAGTTCTACTGTAACTAAAATGCTATCAAACAGCATCACATGCTACAGAGGAGTCTTTTGTAAAAGAAACAGTCAATTGACGAGGCAAACATCATTGTTGTCTTATTTTAAGAAATTGTCACAGCCATCACAACCTTTAGCAAACACCACCCTGATTATTCAGCAGCCATCAATATTGAGGCAAGGCCTGTACCAGCTAAAAGATTATGACTCCCTGAAGGCTCAGATGATCATTAGCATTTTCTAGCATTAAGATATTTTTAATTAAAGTATTTCTGTTATTTTCTCAGACATAATCTTATTGTACACTTAATAGACTGCAGTATAGTGGAAAAATAACTTTTATTTGCATTGGGAAACCAAGAAATTCATGTGATTCACCTTACTGTGATATTTGCTTTATTGCAGTGGTGGGGATCTGAACCCGCAATACTTCTGAGGTATGTCTGTAAATTCACATTCCATGAAAAGAAACTAAAGGACATAGATGATAAACTAAATTGTTAAAGATTTGCCAAGCTGGTATGATTAATTAAATTATGACTGGTTACACAGCTAGTTAGTGGCAGAACCTGGATCCAGTCTCCAGCGGGACTGCATGACTGTTTCAGTAATATATAATTTGAAAGTTCGAAGGGTGGGGTTTCAAAACCACGTCAGGAAAGATTTGAGGAGTTGACAAATGAGAAAAATAAGAAAGACAACTCTGTGTAAGGGTGGAATTTTAAGCTTAAAAATTGTGTGAGGAGAGACACTGGATAACAGACAAATAACCTTATATATGCAAAAACCACAAGCTGTTTAGTGCTGCTGGATGATAAAGTGGGCAGCCTTGAGTGGTAAAAAAAATAAATAAATAAATACAAGACTGCTAATGCCAACTCATAAAGGCTGAGTGTGCCCGTTAGGAGTCTTCAGCTGTAGCTTGAGGGCAATGATGACCTTAAAGAGATTTGATATGAGAAAAGGGACACTTGTATTTGATGTTTAGCTAGCTCGCTGGCTATTTAAGAGACGTTGAATTCAAGGACAAGGAGATTGGAGTTAAGGAGGCTCACTAGAAATATTTTGAAGTTATCCAGTCAATAAATGATTGAGGTTTAAAAAAAGAAAGAAAAAAGATAGAAGCAATGAAAAAAATAAATGTGTGAAATAGGAAGTCAAGTCAGTAGGATTGGGTGTTTGTTGGGGGAGGGTGCACAGCAGGGAGAGGAAAGGGCTGTGATGCCTCCCAGTTTCATGCTTGCATTACTAAGGGCAGTGCCTCAAAGGGGATAGGAAGTACAGTGGAGAGCTGAGTTTGTGGGGCCAGCACCGCAGCAGGTGTTTTATAGGTGATGAGATATAGAAATATAAGGCTTGGAAGAGCTATCTAAACAGGGATCATTGGCATCTGGGAGCCATTGGCATAAGGATAGTTATTATAACCATGAGAATCAGTGAGAGAACTCATGGGCAACTTGGGATCATGGAACTGAGAAACTCCTTTCCAGGAATAATGACATCAAAGTAATTTGAATATCGATATGTTTGGCTGTGTCCCCTCCCAAATCTCATTTTGAATTGTAGCTCCCACAATTCCCATGTGTCATGGGACGGACTCAGTGGGAGGTAATTGAATCATGGGGGTGAGTGTTTCCTGTGCTGTTCTCATGATAGTGAATAAGTCCCAGGAGATCTGATGGTTTTATAAAGAGGAGTTCCCCTGCACAAATTCTCTCTTCCCTGCCACCATGTGAGATGTGACTTACTCCTCCTTGCCTTCTGCCCTGATTTTGAGTCCTCCCCAGCCATGTGGATTGTGAGTCCATGGAACCTCTTTTTCTTTCTAAGTTACCCATTCTCAGGTATGTCTTTATTAGCAACATGATATATGGACTAATACAAATACTGGCTAATTCAGCACACTAAATCTGTTTCCCTTCACACACCCAAACACTAAGGGGGCATTAAACCATGTGCACTGTCAAAATGTATTCTGGCTATCACCTACTTTGGAATCACCTGGCCACCTGTTGATAATGATAGTGTCTTTGCTCCGCTCCAGGAATAATAACTTAAAATCCTCTGAAAATAGGGAGCAAGAAATTCATTTTCACACAACTCTCCTGGTGGTTGCTTATTCCAAACCTAAGAAATAATGTACTTTAGCCAGTGCTTCTCAAATATTAATGAGTCTACGAGTTACCTGATTGTCATGCTAAAATGCGGAATCAGATTGCATGTGTTTGAGGAAAGCCTGATCCTCTACATTTCTAATAAGCTTTTTGAAGTGGTCAAAATTTCACACATTGATAAACAAGGCCTCAGGGCGTGTGATGCCATCTCAGATTGGATGTCATCAGGTATAAATAGTCAGTGTATTTGGGTTATCATTATTATTTCCTCATTAGCATTATTTTTATTATTACCATAAAGGATATTACGACTTCCACTCAATGAATTTCTTTTGGAATATCAACCCTGTCCTTTTGAGTTTGTTTCTAACTCTGTAGCCACAATTTAAAAGAAAAATAAATCACCTGAATAATATTGCTGACTTAAAAATGTAATCTTTTTTTAAATAATTTTATAAAACCCTTCAAAACTTGAAATATGCAATGTAAGTACCCATGAAGGGAAAAATGGTAGGCTACTTTACATATGTATTTGACCACAGACCTTTCTACATGAGATCTCTATTAAAAGCTCAAGAAAATATATTTTGGGAATATTGACTAAAGCCGCACCTGAGCTGACTGGAGCAGCTTTTTGCACGTTGTTTTTAGTTTGCTGTAATATACCTACACTTAAGCTATTGTAAATCAGTTTCTGTAAAGTATTAGAAAGTTGTTTAGCTCTTCTGAATTTCACTTTTCTCATCTGTAAAACTAGCACATTAGTTCCTATCTTAACACATTGCCAGGATTCAGCTAGGCAATCCAAATAAACACGTAGCATTTTGCCAGCACATTGTAAGAATTCAACAAGTGCTACCTTATTACAATTAAAATTTAGTACCTCTGAATTTACTGTTCTTACCCGTGAACTCCAAAGTTGTAGGTCAAACCTGAGTATTATGTTGGTCTCCATTTTGTTCTTTTTCTTTTGTTTTGTTTTTGGAAACAGGGTTTCACTTTGTTACCCAGGCTGGATTCAAACTCTTGGGCTCAAGCAGTCCTCCCACCTCAGCCTAACAAGTAGATGAGATTACAGACACATGCCACCATGCCCAGCTTTATTTCTTATTTATTTATTTTTTAATTGACAAATTAAAAAATTATATATTTTAGAAAATAAAATGCATTCATGTTGTTTTGAAATATGTATACATTATGAAATGGTTAAAGCAAGCTAATTAATATACAAATTATTTCATATACTTTTTTTCTGGTGAGACTACTTAAAATATACTCTTTTTCATTTTCAAGAATACAGCATATTATTACTATCTTCACCATGTTGTACAGTAAATCAAACTTATTTCACTCTCTAGTTGAAATGTTGTATCCTTTGTCCATCATGTATTGGTGCTTCTTGTAATTGGAATAGAAATAGAAAATTAATGATTTCCCTTTCAGAACACTGTTTGAATCCATACTATGGTTTGGGCCAACTACTTACTCACTCGCTCTCATTCCAAGCAGTATTGCCAACTCTGAGTGCTTATATAGGTTCTCATTTTCACTAATATTCTTTTTACTTCTCTATATTCATTCATTTTTATTTGTTGGGTTATTGCTTATATTTATTTTATTTAAACAAAAGCTAATTTGGTTAAATTAATTTGAAAATACCATGAATCTAGGAATAATGCCATTTTATAGTTTGGTATTTACTCGTAACTTTAAAAGTGGTTAATAAATGTAAATGAGTAAGTACCTTTCCAAATAATCACACAAACATCTTAATCTTGAAAATAAAATTCCATACTGAACTTATAAAAAATGTGTGTAACTACATTTTCTGATTTTTGGCATTGTCAAAGACAAAATCTACTTGAATTACATTACATTTAATTTGAGTCTCTGCTTGTAACTATTACACTATATTTGAGAGAACCATTAAAATGGAATTGCAGTGAGATATGATATGGCTTAGATTAGGGCTTTAGACATGAAGATGGAGTGAAGTGAACCAATTTCAATCTCAAGTCCTTAGGATTTTTTTTCTGATCAGTCTGATCTAAGGTAAGGAAAAGAGGGAATCCAAGATTTTTTGTATTTTACTTGAATGACTTGGTGGGTTTTTGTGCCTCTTACTGAGAGAAAAATGACTAGGGAAGAAATATTTTGGGTAGGGGTTGAACAGAGTTCTTTTTGGTATTGTTACTGTTGAATTGCCTAATAAACACCCACATGGACATGTCGAATAAACAGATGAATGTTAGAGTCTGAAGTTCCAAGCTAAGTTAGGGCTTGAAATTCAGCTTTTGGAGTCACTGGCATCTAGATGACATGTAGTGCCACAAGTTTGAAATGTGAAAAAGTCATTTTATGGGACTTTGTTCATTTAAAATATAAGGGATCTCAGAACAAGATCCTGTGTGAGTATTCTCCAAAAATACAGGCTGAACCTCAGAAAAGGTGCCAGCAAAGAAATTGGAAAACCAGAGTCAATAGTATTCTATTAAGGCAAATAAAAAAAACTAGAAAGTATGGTGTCATAAAAGTTAGACCAGAAAATATTTCAAGAAGGAGAATGAGGTCAATCAAATTTGAACAGAAAGGTGGCAGACAACTAGATTTGAATACATTTGTGTCGTCGGTGGTCTTAAGCAAAGTTGTTTAATTGGAAGGTTTGAGAATAAGTTTCATTTGGAGAAGTGTGCAGAGAAAATGTTAGGTGTGTGAGTGGAGATAACAATAAAAGACATATTTTCAAGAGGTTTCACTGTGAATGTGAGTTAGTAAGGATACTAGATCAAATACAGAATTGCCAAGTTAAATTTGAATTAGAAATAGTCAATATATACTTTTTATTTTTTTGGTATAAGTATGTCCCGTGTGTATTGTGTATTGCTCTATTTTTACGTGCTAAATCTGCCAACCTTAAGTTAAAGAGGATTTGTTTTCTTAAGACTGGAAGTAATAACATGTATATTGTTTTTATTGTTTTTAGAAGATCTTGTAGGGAGACAGAATGATGAAAATGTAGATGTAATTGCAGATTTTGGATGTTTCTTTTTTTTTTTTTTTTTTTTTTTTTTTGGGACGGAGTCTCACTCTGTTGCCCAGGCTGGAGTGCAGTGGTGCCATCTTAGCTCACTGCAAGCTCCGCCTCCTGGGTTCACGCCATTCTCCTGCCTCAGCCTCCCGAGTAGCTGGGATTACAGGCGCCCACCACCACACCTGGCTATTTTTTTTGTATCTTTAGTAGAGACGGGGTTTCACCGTGTTAGCCAGGATGGTCTCGATCTGCTGACCTTGTAATCTGCCCGTCTCGGCCTCCCAAAGTGCTGGGATTACAGGTGTGAGCCACCGCGCCCGGCCTAGATGTTTCAAGTAACTATTGAATGGGACCCAGAGCACAAGAAGTGAGGTCAGCTTTGAGAAAAATGGGACATTTCTCACATAATAACTGAAAGTAAAGCCAATTATGTAACCAGATGCACAAAGACAGGAAATTTGAGTGAAGGAAAGATCAGAAAATGTCTACTTAAATCCTTTCTTTTAAACTTAAATATGACCAAAGTCATCCTTAATCTTATCTAAATAATAACATTCACTAAGTCACTGGTGTGTTATATTAGTTTACATAATTGAAAATATTAAATAAATGTATATGTGATTTAATTGATATTTTTACAATATAATGCTTATTTGGCCAGTTAGGTAAATACACTGGCCATTGCAATGACATCGAAAGATTCTACATCTAGTAAATCAGTCTCTTTAAAGTCTTGCTCATGTTTAGGATTGCCTATGTTTAGTGGATTCATTTTACTTTGCTGTCTATTATATTATTTTATTAGATGGTTATATTTAAATTGTACAAAAAGACTGGGCACCGTGGCTAACACCTGTAATCCCAGCACTTTGGGAGGCTGAGGTGGGTGGATCACTTGAGCCCAAGAGTTCAAGCCCAGCTTGAACGACGTGGAGAAACCTTGTCTCTACTAAAAATACAAAAATTAACTGGGTGTGGTGGTATGTGCCTGTGGTCCCAGCTACTTGGGAGGCTGAAGTGGAAGAATGGCTTGAACCCAGGAGTTGGAGGTTGCAGTGAGCAGAGATCACGCCACTACCCTCCAGCCTAGGCAACAGAGCTAGACCCTGTCTCAAAAATAAAATAAATTGTACAAAAATATTTTTAAGAGTTTTCCATTACATATTAATTTTAATGCATCTAAATCATGCATGTCAACGTAGCACATTAGTGTCTTCATGAATAATATACACACACCTTGTATATCATAATGAGATATTTGTAGGCATAAATGAAATCAATAGCTAATGCTTATTGTCAGTATTTTATAGATATGTGTACATATATATTATCCACATATATACATATATATTTTGTCTACAAAATATTGTGTGTGTATATATATTACCTACCTATATATTGTCTATCGTGTGTGTGTGTGTGTGTGTGTGTGTGTGTGTGTATGGTAAACAAAATAACAGCATAACCACCACAGGTGAAACAGGTCTACTTAAGTATGCAGAGGCTAAGGAAATTCAAGTAGATCATATTTGCTGGAGGGAAGAAAACCTGTTTGCTTTGACTAAACATGGAGTTTACCGAGTTTTCACACATGGCTAGCCCCTTCTTTTTAGATCAGAGGAATCTCATTATTTACTTGTATGGTGTCAAACAGATCTATGTTTGAAACCTAACTCCAAAATTTATTTTTGTGTAACTTTAGGGAGGTAATTTCTTTGATCTCAAGTTTTCCATTCTGTGTAACAGGGATAAAAACACCTATGTGAGCCTAATTTGAGGATGAAAAGATAAAAAAGGTGGAACCAGACAATATGTCTGGTACATAAACTCAATGTGTACCAACTAGAGCAACTGCTAATCAGAGCCTGCTATAGGACAGGTATTGCAATAGGCACCGCATATATATTAATTTAATCCTTGACTAAACTGCTGCACTAGTTCTGTGTGAATAGAGACTGCCATGTTGTCTGGCCAGCATTTCCCTGGCTCATATTTAAAAATAAGTTGTTGAATGAAGTGATTAAAATGAAAAAAAACCTGTGAAGGGACATTGTAATCAGTATTGCACAGATGGGGAAACCAAATGAGTGAAGGGTGAATAAATTCACCAGCCAGGGAGTGATGGAGCAAGAATCTGAAAACAAGCTTAGCTCACTCCACATTCATGGTGTTCACTACCATGCTAGTAAGTCCACAACCAATAGAAAATAGAGTTATCTGTTAAATTAAAAAAATTTGGTAATATTTACTAGATCAGACAGTACTTTACCTCTAGTGAAACAATGAAGGTTAAAGAAGAATAGTTCTATGAATGTGCAAGTTGCCATTCTTCATGCACATACAATGTTGTTCTCTCTCTTTTTTTTTTTTTTTTTTTTTTCCTGAGACAATGTCTCACTGAGTTGCCCAGGCTGGAGTGCAGTGGTGCGATCTCGGCTCACTGCAGCCTCCACCTCCTGGGTTCAAGCGATTCTCCTGCCTCCGTCTCCCAAGTAGCCATGACTCCAGGTGCTCGCCGCCACCACTGGCTAATTTTTGTATTTTTAGTAGAGATGGGGTTTCACTGTGTTGACCTATCTGGTCTTGAACTCCTGACTTCAGGATCCTTCCACCTCAGCCTCCCAAAGTGCTGGAATTACAGGCGTGAGCCACCACACCCGGCCACAATGTTCTCTTTTAAACCAACAATGTTCTGAAACATATTTCTAGTTAGTGAATATCCTTTTGGGGGTGGGGGGGGTGGAGTTGAGCACTGGGAGAGATTGATAATGATAAATTAGGAGATCCTCTGCCCCCAACTAAGACAAATAGAGCTTGAATTAAGGCTTTTTGTTCTTTTTTTTATTTCTGTGACATTTTTGAATTATGCTATAGACTTTACCTTATCCAGGGATTGTCAGAAAATATATTTAGAGGTCCAGAAAGGGAAATTCAGTTAGTTTTGTTCTGAGAAATGTGAATGAACTGGCTAACTCTGGGAATCTTGTCTGTATTTCAGTTACCTTTTTACCATACTGTTTATGAATTGCATGCTGGTGGGAACATGAAGTCCCAGGGCCATATTTCCACTTGCTCAGCCAACCCCAGGGTCTATTTTTTGTCCCAACTTGCCACAATAACATGAGAGACAGTGTAGTATAACAAAAAGCATATAAGCTGTGGAGTTATACAGAGGGAAGTACCACATTAATTATTTTTACATTGATAACCGGAAGCAAGTTTTAAAGTTTATGAGAATTTTCTTGCTTTCAGTACACATTCAAGTACGAAATAGAAAACCAGAATTTGTCTGTTTGGCTTTCTATCTATTAATGTATTTATTCAGCCACTGGAAAAGAGCAACTTACAATACACTAGGATTTGACACATATTCTTAAACATTTGTTTCATCAGCTTAACGGAGATTGGAAGGATATTGTCATAGGGAAAATATACTATGATTACATACAATGAGTCATCAACCAGCAATGCCATTCCACAGGTATGTCAGGTATAGTTATTTTGTTATTCTTAGAAGACATTATTAAATATCTTATATGGATGAACTCTGGTAAGGAAAGAAGAAAATTAATGAGGTCATTTAGCCAGTGGGCTATTTAGAAATCAGTTGGTTCCTAATTGACAACTTCCCAGGTGTTTTGCTGTGTTTAACTGATCATATTTAAGCTAAACACTTGAAATTCAATCCCCATTTAATTCCATGCTGACTCGTATGCTGAGCCCAAGCTACAGTACAATATACAGAATCGAACTTGATGGAATTGGCCACTTGATTGAATTGTGCTGTGATTTTGGACCATTCTTAACTTTCTCAATAACGAATGTACTTCAAGATTGCAGCGAAATGATTAGTGGCGTAGTCATTTTGTCCAGACAAAATGGTCAATAAATCAATCTAATAGTGAATATTTACTAACTGATTGACTTAAGCCTAACGTTGTACAAAATTTTAGTTAGGGGCTCAAAGCATTTTTTCCTCTCACAAATTCTGAGTTCCTTTCCTTCTCTCCTACAGCCCTTTTTCACAAATACTACTCACTACATTTGCTCTAGTATAGGCATCAGTAAAACACGAATCACTGTCTCTTGCAAAACTTAGCAAGGAAACGTAAGTCCACCATGACTCCCTTAACCTGACCCTGGGATGCTTGTTTTACAATCAAAATAAGAGGGTAAGGAAGCCCCCAGAGGTGGGAGGGCGCTTTCCTCTGTGTCCAGCTTTTACCAAATGAGCATTATTCAACAAAGATAACTGCCTAGACAATTGGTACAGGCTTGGAAAACTTCAGAAACCCAGACACAAGCACGGGAATGAAACTCATTAAACCTAACTACTTTAACCAAGTGGTTTGACAGCAGCTCCTTCTTTGAAACTCATAATAATTAGGCAGAACATAAGACTTCTTTATAAAGAAGGCTTTCTCTGCTCTTCACTGCTGACCTAGAATTTGAAAGATGTTTCAACATATACTGGCTCTTCAGAGCAAACTTGGTTCCACTGATGTATTTTTTTTCCCCTTTGCACAAGGGAGATCAGCGTAAACCCCAGCGCTTTTGCTAATTCCCAGTGGAGCACAGACACCTGGAAGAAAGACATAATTTTTAGCACCTACATATTTCCAATGGCAAGAGCAGGAGAGAAAGACAATCATTGAGACCAAGAGGAGGAAAAGATTAATAAGTGCTGCCGTCACTGCAGGAAAAATAATTTTTCAAAACAACAACAGTAAAAAGTGCCTCTAGGATAGTTACGCTCTGTTCTCCTTTCTTCTACTAAAAAGGAAAAACACAGCAAAACAGAGAAGCAAAAGAGGACTGGAAGAAGAGATAAATGAAATAACAGGTCAAGCTCCTGGAGTTGCTTTTTTAAAAAAGGAAAAACTGAAAGGATAAGATAATTTAATTTCTTATTTTTCATGTATTATATATGTGCAGGTATTTGTGACTGGGCCATGTGAATGTTATATATCTGGGTAGAAAACAGCCCTGGCTATAAAAATAGATTATTCACACAGGAGTTTATGTACTCCAAGTCATTTGTGTGCTACAGACTGTCAAGTGTAGGCTTTTTAAAATACAGATTCCAAAGCAAAACTATAAAAAGAACAGTAGTCAAGTAATCGATTTAGAAAAAAGAAACAAAACATGATCCTTTGTAACTACTCTCTACTAAGATCTATTATTTATGTGTTCCTCTCTGGCATGTATTATTTTCCCTGAAAATATGATTATTTGTTTCCCTGTGTGTGTCTTAGTTTGAAAATCGAGAGTGATTAACTCTACATATTTTTCTAGAGGTATTCACTATGTAAAAATGAACTGGTCTGATAGTAGTTACATTCATTTTAATATAAACAATCACTGTGGTGTTTGTTTCTCTTCTATATATTTTCCCCATTTTCAAAGGATCTTCTGGAATTGTCATTAGAGACTTTGTGTATGACTGCAAGAATTTGGTTTTTAAAAAGACCACACTCATATTGATATACTTAAGTTATAGTAATTCTGTTAACGAAAATTAGTCTGCCTGTCTCTGATACTGCTTTTAAAAAAAAATTATAAAAAGATATTAGCTCAGGTTGAATATTCACTAGTTTTAGATCTTATAATTACTTGATAATATATTTCATGTATTAATATGAAGAGACTTATACAATAGTCCTGGATGCTTCAAATTATCATCTTGGAAAGAGAAAAAAATTAAGCTGCCTGCAGCCTCAGAACAGACTTTTCTTCCTAGTCTGCCCACAGAAGCAATGCTGCAGAGAGATAAAAGTGACACTCAGTGATTTAATTATTGCTCCACTCCTCATTACATATGTGGCTTAATATAGCATACAGATAGCAGAGATGACAGTATAGATAGTCGGTTTGCTCCTCTTGCAACCTACAGTATACTCAGGCTCATAAATACAGCTCTCAATTTATTATGTTGCTACAAAAAAGCCCACATTTCTCTGGAAGGAGAAAGTGATACTCAGATACTATACTGCCAGTTTTACTAACATGTGGCACTCTGAGGGAATGCCCACAAACTTCCACACGTGATATTTTAAGTGTTTGCATAATGAGTCAAAATGTAGCCTTGTTGAGTATGTCCTTAGGAATTATCACAATATTCTAGAATTGTGTATTTGCAAAGGACATGCGATGTTACCAGATCGCGTGTATTTTAGCGTTACTAAATGAAGAGGATTGTGAATATCCCCTCAGTGATTAATGCTAATTGCTAATCACTCTTCTTGCTTTTAACTGAAATTTCTCACATTGCTGCTTAAAACTTATTTCTAGACTTCTGATGTTTGCAAATGATTGGCCAGTCTGTCTGAGATTCCTCTGCTCTATCCATCTTCCTAACAAAGAGTTCTTATCATGACACTACATTTTATCAGGAAAGAATCAGTGTGTGTTTTCAATGCCTGCAAAATGAAGTCCAGATTTTTCGAGGGTCTGCTTTCAAACCACAGCTGACCATTCCTTCTCTCTCTCTCTCTCTCTCACTATTTTTGTACTCTAAAATGTATCAGGTTGCCCCTTTCTCTCCTCTGTGGTCTTCATGCACACGTCTGTGTGTGTTGTGTGATGATCATGCTGTTTCACTGGCCTAGAATTTTTCACTGTCATCCACTTCCATCACTTTCCGTGTGAGCAAATCTAGTCTTTCCTTCAAGATTCTTTTAAAAATGCACCAGCATTAGTTTACTTATTCTATTAATTTAATGAACATTCATAGGCAACCACCATGCGACAGGCGTGGTGGCAGGTATGACAGACACAATGATACATCAGCTGGACTCAGTGCTTGCCCACTGGCTACTTACAGAATAGGAATAGTTCTTCCCCTAACAATTCTACCACTGAATGGGATTTCTTCATTTTTGTATTTCCCTAGCATTGCATTTATATCTTTACAAACCTTTCTAATTTTCTACCAGAGTCCATTTTGCTTTCTATCTCATGTGTGTGTAACACATACATGCACACACACATATGCATACATGGATACTAAATTTATATTTATATTCCTATTTAAATGCCTCTTTCCAGTTATCTGTTATGGTCTAAAAAATACCCCAAGCTTCATGTCTTAAAACAGCCATAATTTTATGTCTCGTAATTTTATGAAGCAGGAATTTAGGCAAGGCATTAGCACCGATGACTCACCTGTCTTCTATGATGTTTCCTGACTCTGCTGAGACGGCTAAAATTCTTAGGAGCTGAAAAGTCCAGGGATCAAGCAAACATTTTTTTCTGTCTCTCTCCACGTAGCTTCTTCATTGTAGCTATTTGGGCTTCCTTATAATATGGTATCCTCAGGTAAGCTAAAGTTCTCACAATGCTACTCAGGGATTCAAAGACGAGGGTTCCAAACAGTCCAAATAGAACCAGAAACTGTCTCATGACCAGACATCAAAAGTCATTTCTTCCACATTCTATTGTTGAGGCCAATCAAGAAGGCTACCCTAGATTCAGAGTGAGGGGAATTAGATTTACCTCTTAATGACAGGACTACCAATGTAGGACTACATATGTACTATGTATCCTTAAGCTACATAGTACATACCTTGTCTTTTCTAATAGACAAAACATCTTTGGGGACAAGGTCTGTCTCATTAATCTTTGTGTCACCTCCAGGTGAATTAATATTAATTGACATTAGTTGCCACAACAAACTTCACGTTCTCTGTGACTTAATATTACAAAAGTTAATTTTTTATTTATAATGCATTTCAGTCCTTATCTTCCACCCTTAAATAGATCCCAGTGTCTATACTAGTTATGAGCGTCTCTGCATGGGTCTCGTCCAAGCACTCACTCACTCAGGATGTGGGCTGCTTCCAACTTGTAGTTAAGCAACCCAAGGCAGTGACCTCTGTGTAACCACAACAGGGGAATAGGGTTGTATGGGATTCTGTGGAGTGTTTTATGGGTGCATAGGTTACATCACTTCTCCTCTCATCATTTTGGCTTAAATGTAGTTACACGGTCTCTAAGTGGAAAAGAGCCTGGGAAATATCAAGGAACACGCAAATATTTGAACTAGCAATTTCTGTCACACAAACTATTTTGTTTTCTTCTTTCTCTTTGGTCACTGGGTCTAGTCTAACATCAAGACTGTCTGGATGGTTCAAAATCCTTTTCATCAGCTTAATCATCATGTGAAAATATGTTCCTCTTCTTAATCCATTGATTCATACACTAAAAGAGGAACATTGGCTGGGCACAGTGGCTCATGCCTGTAATCTCAGCAGTTTGGGAGGCGGAGGCGGGTGGATCACAAAGTCAGGAGATCGAGACCATCATGGCTAACATGGTGAAACCCCGTCTCTACTAAAAATACAAAAATTAGCCAGGCGTGGTGGTGGGAGCCTGTAGTCCCAGCTACTCGGGAGGCTGAGGCAGGAGAATGGTGTGAACTTGGGAGGCGGAGCTTGCAGTGAGCAGAGATTGCACTGCTGCACTCCAGCCTGGGCAACAGGGTGAGACTCCCTCTCAAAAAAAAAAAAAAAAAAAAGAGGAACATTGATATCTCTGTCCTCTCACTTCTCACTTGCAATACAGGAAACTAATATATACTTATCTACTGGTGGGGCAGGACATCCTAACCACGTTAAACCCTACCATTTGCAAAAGGTCAGTCCTGTTCCTGTTCTCTTGGAGGAAGTTTGTTTTCATTTATCTCAGAGGTACTTGACTTTAATTTGTGAGTTATTTTGCTGCTAACCATTGTGGCCAAATCTGGAGGAGAGGGAAAAGTTTATGACAGGTTATGCCTCGTGGTCACACTGTCCTCTTCCTTCCCCAGTATGAATGATCAAGGTAATAGCCTCCATCCATGTTGCTACAAAATACATGATTTTGTTCTTTTTTAGGGCTGAATTTCATTGTGTGTGTGTGTGTGTGTGTATTTCAATATTTTTATGACAGAATTTCATTGTGTACATATATACACACAAATAGAGCCATAAATATATATACACATTGTGTGTGTGTATATCTATATTTCATGGTATGTGTGATGTGTATGTATGTGTGTGTGTGTGTGTGTGTGTGTGTGTGTGTATATATATAATATATATATATATATATATATATATATACATATCATTGCATGTGTATATTAGCTTCATCCAACCATCCATTGATGAATGCTTAGGCTTAGGTTGATTCTATGTCTTTGCTCTTGTGAACAGTGCTATGACAAACATATGAGTGCAGGTATCTTTTCTGACATAAAGATGTATTTTTCTTTGGATAGATACCCAGTAGTGTGATTGCTGGATAGAATGGCAGTTCTAGTTTTAGTTTTTTGAGAAGGCCCAATATTGCTTTTCCAAGAGGTTGTACTAATTTACATTCCCACCAACAGTGTTTAAGTGTTCCTTCTTGTCCACATCCTCGCTAACGTCTGTTATTTTTTGACTTTTTAGTAATAGCCATTCTGACATGTATAAGATCACATCTCATTGTGGTTTTAATTTGCATTTCTCTAGATAGTATTGATGTTTAGCATTTTTTGATATACTTGTTGGCCATGTGTATGTCTTCCCTTTAAAATTGTCTATTCATGTCCTTTACCAAAAATACATTTTAAGTAAAACCGTCTTAACAATGTTATGGACAAACACAAATACAAAAATTATTGGTAAAACTGTACAGTTACAGATGAACTTAAAAACTTCAAAGTGTCACACATTATATCAGAATAATCAGATACATGATGAAGAGGACAGTAACAATGGCCCTACAATTGAGAAGATACTCTCAAAGAGATTAAGTAACTTGAACAAGTTAATAAGTTTTTTTTAATAAAGCAAAATCTAGAGCTAGTTTTCTAAATTCAAAGTCAAAATATATTATCCTGGAAAAATAAAAGGACTAAATGTATGAATAATCTGTCTTTACTGCCCGTACCATTGAGTCACATTTTTTAGGTGTTTTTTTTTTTTTTTTTTTCCAAAGACTTATGGTAAATTTATTGAAGGTCATTAATTCTGGATTTAGAAGAGACTGTTAAATCTTACAGGCTTGGAAATCTTGTCATATATGTTTATGACTAAAGGAATTGAATGAGCTTGTTTTAGAGAAGCTGAGGGTAGACATGCCAGCTGTGGATATTTAATAGACTGTCAGAGCAAAGAGGTATTACACTACTCCTCAAAAAAGCAAAATTTAAACATTGGGTAGCAATTACCTAGAAGAAGAGAAGGCAGCCATATCTCAAAGTAAGGAACTGTTTCACAGTTAGAAGAGTCAGACAGTGGAGTTGTCTTCCCTAAAAGGTGTTCTATAGTAGGAGATTTTTCAAGTTAAAACTGCATGACCCTCTGGCATGACTTCATAAGAAAACAAAAAGATTCCGGCAGTAAGCAGAAGATTGGATTTTGGGACTCCTATGGGGTCACTCAACCAAATTATTAGAATTACAGAATGCTAGAAATGAAAGAAACCTTGGATAATACACCTTTACACCTCACTTTTAAAGATGAGAAACTAGAACTGTAGAAGTTAATTTATCTGCTTAATATCATGAAGCAGAATCTTTATTAGCAAAATCATAAATAAATCATTGAACTGAAAGAGAAGCTACAGAATTTTCAAGTCAATTTAACCATCAGGCAGTGATTACCAAGTTACTCTGATAGTCTTTCAGGAAAGCAAGACTTTTATTGCAATGTGGTTTGCCAATGCTATGTGGTTTTTACTGAGAAATTGATGTGACTTAGAAGCAATTGTCTCAATTTATACTGTCCCTTTGGCAAAGATTTATTTTATTTGCTATGGTTCATTTAGTTGAATCTGTAACATTCACCAAACCTAACAGTAAAGGGGAGGCCTGCCAGTATGACTTAGAATCTCATAAACAAAAGAAACATAACTGCAACCATGCGGAGGCCAACTCATCAGTTCTTAAGGATTCCTTGGTAGAAAAGACCCATGGGATAAAGCTCTGAAGAGGACATAAATATGTTCAGTCATCCATCCTATTATTAATTAATTCACTCATTAAATATTTATTGAGCCCCTACTATGTGCCACACAGGCATTTTTTATTCATATTTTTGCACACTTGTGGTAATTTAGTGCAGAATAGGTCATTTCTTAATTTCTAATCAGTATTTATTTCAAACGCAAGATAAAAAATAACTCAGATACTCTATTCTGAAATGCATGCTATTAAATTTCAGAGGAAAACTCAAATAAAACAGAGATCTAAATCACAATCTAAATATTTGCACACCAGTCAGATAAACAGCTACCACCAATGTCTCAGCATATTCTAGGTTTGGGAGATTTAGTAAACATATATAGAAAGGCATAGAAGAGTAAGATGCATATTATTTCAAATGAGGGCAACATAACACATCAACATTTGCTGTGCATAAACTCTGTGCCGAGTCCTACTTTGGAAAATCCCATATACAATATTTCTTTTTTTTTTTAATTTTGAGATGGAATCTCACTCTGTTGCCCCGGTTGGAGTGCAGTGGTGCAATCTCGGCTACTGCAACCTCTGCCTCCTGGGTTCAAGTGATTCTCCTGCCTCAGCCTCCTGAGTAGCTGGGATTACAGGCACACGCCACCACACCCAACTAATTTTCATATATTTTAGTAGAGACGGGGTTTCACCGTGTTGGCCAGGCTTGTCTCAAACTCCTGAACTCAGGTGATCTGCCTGCCTTGGCCTCCCAAAGTGCTGGGATTATAGGCATGAGCCACTGCGCCTGGCCTTCCATATACAATATTTCATTTAATTCTCACCACTACAATAAGAAGGAGTATTGGTAGACCGATTTTAGAGATAAGAAAGCTGGTCCTTAGGAAGATTATATAACTGGCAAATGCTGACATTCAACCATATCTTCTAACTACAAGCTCATATTTTTTCTTACTAAATAAAACAATTGCTAGAAGAATAAAACAACAAATATGATAAGAAGCAGAAAATGTATTTGAGTAACCAGAACTGGATACACCTTGCCTAACTTCATTAAAATCTTACAAATAGACCCCCCCTAAACAAAATGGGATAATTTTATCCTTTATATATATGAAACTGAAGCTTAAGGAGGTTAGCAATTACTTAATTCCACATTGCTTTAAAACAGTCAAGTGTTATTTCAAGGCTCGGTCATCCTGACTTCTAAGCCAGCAATCATCAGCTGTTATTCTGAACTTCATGCTTTTCTCAAAGATTCTGTCTTTTCTGGTTCCGGTTGGCAAAAACTGAAGTTTCCCTAGATCTCTGTCTTTTAAAAAACTTTCTTCCTCAGCTATAAAGCCATGTATTTTTACTGAGCACTGGCCACCTGGAACAATGCCACATTTTTCTGACTCTACTGGAACTAGGTATGCCCCTTTATATGTGCTTTTTACCAGAGATATATACATGGAATTTCTGGAGTTCCTTCCCTGGACTACCTGAATAAAGTTGGTATGTTTCTCCTTTGTACCTTCCTCCATCTTAGTGCCTGGGAGGCAGACATGATAGTGCTTTATCAACCATCTTAAGCCACAAGAGTAAGAGCCACAATCCCGGGTCAGTGATGCACAGAGAATAAAATGTTCCAAAACTTGGACAAATCTGTAGGACCACCAAAGTGAACCTGGACTGCCTATGCCCACCATCTTTTTACAAAAGGGAACAAAAATGTATGTCCACTATTTTTTTTTTTTTGTCATATGCAGTTGAACTTAACCAAAGCGGGCAAGTGTAAACTGCAAAATATAAGAATAGCCCTGAGTGTGCATCCGTTTCAATTCAAGAAGTATTTATTGAAGAACTATTGGGTGAGCAGCACTGTGGGTGAGAATATAGGAAATGAAAAAAAGCACTAGCTTTTAGAAAGGAACAATTCTTGGAAGGCAAAAATAACCATTAATTAATGAAAACATAGCAGTTCTGAAGAAATGGCAATAATAATGAAGACCTCACCAGCAAAATCACTGGAAAGAATGAAAACAGCTATTTTAAGGGTCTTATTTTAAACAAATTGTGTAAATATTGACAAATAGAGATTAAAACATGGTCAATAAATTATAAAGTTACTCTTAGGAGAACCATCAATGAGGTTAGTTCCTTTGATTAAGTAGAAAATTGGAGAGAGGGAATTAATTCCTATAGGTAGTACATGAAAAAAGTATTTAGACAATCCATATTATTAATTTGGGACCAGTTCATATTGGCTTCCTCTTGGTGAGATTTAGGAGCAATAAGTAGCCAGGACATTCCTTGATTTTATTTGTCTCTGGGAATTGTGAACATTAGTGGGTACCATTGTGGAAAACAATAAAGTCAATATGAGGTCCTCATTAAAAAAATTCACTACTTCTTACCACGTTGCTGGCTCCATGGTATTGATACGTGTGCTCTCTCTGTGTGTGCCAAATACGTATTAGGAAATGAAAAATAATAAGAAAGTACTTTGAGAAATTAATTTTTTAAATATTTCACAACTGTATGGAGGTATAGACAGAAGATACATTTAGGCTTTTATGTTCATTCATTCAAGTTATGTTAATGAACTTTAGAAAAGCTGCCTTGTGACAGAGATTGTTATTGTTATCAAAGATCCATGTGTTTCTTAGCTTCTCAGCACATACTTTGGTTTAAATCCTGAGACTGAGCTCCGAAAAATAAAGTGTAGGTGATTATGATGTAAGTCAATTTCAGGAACACCACACCCTAAAATATCTCACAGAAACATCCAGCTCTCTTTCTTGTTGCTGTTGTGACCAGAGAAACATCATGGCTCCAAGATGGAGAGCCAGCTGTTTCTGGGAGAGTCAGCTGTTCCTGGGAGAGCCAGCTGTTTCACAGCATTGACTATGATGTGAACGAAAAGTAAACTTGTGTTGTTAATTCATTAAGATTTCAAGTTTTATTTATGCAGTACCAAAGAGTTTGTTGTTGAGTGAGGGAAATGATACTTGAAATAGGGTACTGCTGGTACATATACACCATGGAATACTATGCAGCCATAAAAAAGAATGATACCATGTCCTTTGCAGCATCACTGATGCAGCTAGAGGCCATAATCCTAAATGAATTAATGTAGGAACAGAAAACCAAATACTGCATGTTCTCACTTATAAGTGGGGGCTAAACACTGAGTACACATGGACACAAAGAAGGGAACAATAGACACTGGGATCTATTTGAGGGTGGAAGGTAAGGACTGAAAAGCTACCTACCAGGCACTATGCTCATTACCTTGGTGATGAAATTGTACATCAAACCCCGAGACATGTAACTTACCCATGTGACAAACCTGCATATGCATCCCCTGAACGTAAAAATAAAGTTAGAAAGAAAAAAAAAAGAAAAACGAAGCTAAATTATGTAGCATTGACTTACTGGTCAGGTCCTGGGCAGTGAGGTAACTGTTCATTGGCTGCTGGAAAAATTGTCATATATGTTAAACTATGGACAAAAATTTGGAAAACCCTTTGCCATTTTGAAATAAGGAAATGAACTATGGGCTTTCTGACGAAAAGGTTGAAAATCAGAATGGTGTAATGTCTTTTGGCTGCATTTGGCAAGGTCTATTTAGAGTAACACGTAAGATCAGGAAAGATTAGAGTGCAAGTGGAAATTTACAAACAGAGAGAGAAATTCTTGAAAATGGAGATTCAGAGCCTTAAAGGAAAAAGAACTCTCATATGCTGCTAGAAAGGAACAAATTTGGTACTAACACCTTGGGAAACTGGTAATTTCTAACACTGAATACATGTATGTCTACTACTCAGAATTCCTACTTCAAGGTGTATACGAAACAGAAATATGTGTATATATTCACCAAAGTATATGTACTGGAATGTTCATAGAAGCCCTCTTCAAAACAGCCAAAAACTGGAAATTACCCAAGTCTTCAACAATATTAGAATGGATACATACATTGCAGAATAGTCACAAAATGGAATATTACACAGCAATGAACTAACTACGATATTAACAATATAGCCGAATTGCCCCAACAGAATGTTGAACCAAGAAAGCCAGATGCAAGAGCATGTTAAAGTTTTAATATAGTTTGTTTATGTATAATCAAGAATCACTTAAAATTACTAACACCAAAATTAACCATGATCATAAACCACAAATGTTTATATTTACTTTTGAAAGTTACAATAATGTCTATCTTGAAGCCATTAAAATAAACTTTGAAATAAGTAATAAGTGATTTTTTTACATGTTTTAAAAGCACAGAAAATTATGCAGGTGACATTTTAAATACAATGAAGAAAAAAGTTAACATATCCTGTGTGTGAATTCCTGTGGAAAGTCTAGACAACATTGTAGCTACATTCTGTGCATGAGCCCCGCTAAACACAGTAGAGTTTTACACTACAACTCATCTCCAATTTGATTAACATCTGTCTGTTGTCTATGTGACTCAGCGGTTTGTAGTGCAATGAAGGGATTTTAAAAACTCTTATTTCAAATTGATTTCTAGCTTTTATAATAAAACTACATATATACCTTCTAAAGTTTAACAGTCTGGTTCCTTGAATATCAAATCAGTATAGAAAATGTAATTTCATTATTTTGATTCTTTGTGCAAATTGTTTTTTTGGTCTATAAAAACCATTTAGATTTAAAAAAAGGTCGTGCCCTGGTTTTTTTTCTCATTGTACAGAAGCTATTAACTGGGGTTTAAATGAGCTGACCAATTTGCTGTAATGCCTGAAATGGACTCTACAACATACAGTTTTGCTATTTAAAAGTTATTTATAGTATCATATTTAAAGTAGTTAGGATGTTTTGCAGTCTAGTCAGTATCAGAGTTTGCTGAACTAAGAGCAACAAAAGATTCTTTTCTTTTCCAGGAAAAAGTGAATCAATTCTATGATAAGGGCTGGACAAAAAATTGGAACAGCACCTGATTCATGAGATGAGATAGTTACATTTTTTTTTCAGAAAATGGGAAATCCATCACCATTTTAAGGCAGACAGGTTTTTTTTTTAAATGACATCAACAACTGACATTTAGTAAATTGTGAACCCACAATATTGTTCTTTTTTATCAAATGACATCACCAAAGCAATCAATCATCTTCCAGTCAAACTCTGGTTCCTAACATTATTTAATGTTACCTCCTGGCCACAGAAGGCCTCCCCTTTTCTTCACTCAGGAGCCCGAAAGCTGTAGTGTTTTGACCGTTGAACAGGATCCATTGCAGCACTGCATAGTCTTTCTCTTAAGATGATTGAAAAAAAAAATATGTTTCTGGTCACTGATTTTGATGTATAGTATCTTGCCAGGTATGGGGAGGTATAGAAGTTGCTCCATACATTGGGACCCACTGGTCATATCGAATAGTGCTCCATGTAAAAGTTACCAGGTTAATGCAGTGTTAAAATGGACTGCTAAATCCACTGAAGCAATGTTGGAGGCAATATGCTGTGAATAGGAAGAGCCATCCTCCAAAATGCAGTATACACATTTAATCAGAGACCTCTTCTTAGTGCTGTGTTCCCAAGTGGAAGACATAGGTCCAGAAACCAAGATTTAGACCCAGGAGTCTAATCACTCCAATGGCATACTGGTGTTCTTTGTGCTTCCTGTCCCCATGACTTTGGGCTTTGCACGGGAGGACTCTTGCAAATTTCCATGCAACCAGCACCCCATTACAAACTCCAACTGCCCCCAAGGCACTCTGGGCACTTTTTGTCCAGAGTCACACAGATCAAAGAGGATTAGCAGGAAGAGACAGTACTGTCACCCTGGAAAAGGGGTCAAAAAGTGCAGAACTCTTGGGAACCTCTTGGTAGTCTTTGCCCAGTTGTGATGGTAAACAGACAAGGGCAGCAATCCTAGTCTGGGAAGTATGTGGTAAACATGAGCTAAGCCACCAAAAACAATGAAGGTTTGGATCACACTAACAGTTATACTACTGAGATCAGCAGACTTGATAGCTGAATGTAAATGGCAGATTTGACCATGAAGGAGAAAGACGATGAGTACCAGTTGCAGTCCTGAACCAACTGGTAATAGGGTCTGAAGATCATCTCATCAATCTTCCCTTGTCTGAACTCCCTCAAGTAAAGAGGCTCCCTGGGATCCTGGAAGTACTGCCCCACCAAGCATAGATGAAGGAGATTCTTGCAGTACAAGAGACAGATAGACTGCAACAGCCATGAGCATGTGTCCCACATATCTTCGCAAGACACCCGGCTTGCTGACAGCCTCCAGCTGGGATCATCAGAATCTGTCTCAGCTCCAGCCTAGGGCTGAATGTTTCAAGTTATGAATGGGCAAGGTGGGCATACTAGGATTCCTCTGTTTTTGTTCAACAGGTGTCTCCTCTAATGGGCTATCTTTGCTCTGGAGTTTTACACTGGATTGAAGGAGGCTTTGGTAGATTTTCATTCTAGTTTTAGGCTGTACATGACTAGCACTCTTCCTTCCTCCATTTCTTTTCACCAGTGTGAGGTGGGGTCTGCTTGTTCTCAATTTATCTCTGACACACAAACCTCTTATACTACGAATGCCATTTTGCGCCTGCCTCCTGGAGGACATAAATGACACAAGAAGATGGGGATTCAACAATATTCCGTTTTAGTTAAATACTTACATTTTTTTGGTTCTCATTAAATGGGAACATAATTCTTCTTACTGGAATTTGTTGTGAGATTAAGGTTGATAAATAAGTAAATGATCTCAAATATAAGAGGCTGTTCAATAAACGTTGAACCCATCTTTCATTTTTATATTTAATACAAAATTTTGAAAACATACTACCAAGACCTTTTGATTTTATTGTACTTAAAATTATCATTTGAATTGTAACTGAGAAAGGCTGAGAAGAGAAATTTTAGCTCATCTTTTAGTTTAAGTTTTACAGTGACATCTTAAGGAAAGTATAAAACACGTGACTTTTGTTGTTGATTAACATCTCTCTGTTGCTCTTTCTTGTAACTTTCTCAGCATAATTTCCTCACTGGGCTTTTGGAGAGAATTTCTATGTTTTCTGAAACTTCAGCAGGATGCTGTAATTGTTTCTGAGTGGATCAGTTACAGTACAACCTTGGAATGCTTTGCAGTCCAATGTTTTCTTCAACAATTCAGTATTTTGATTTTAGTTGATGTTAGAATGATACATTTTGCAATATGAAGTCTTAGTGATGGGAATGGGATGCAATTAAAAGAAATGCAGGCCAGGCTTTGCCCTTATTTTAAAAGTTTACTAGTTGTACTTATTGATTATATTCTGTACTAATATAGAGCAAGTTAGAAGCCTCTTCCTTTTAAAAAAAATTAGAGCATATTCAAAATAAGCTCTTGAAGAACAACACTAAAAGGCAAAATTAGGTATAAATCAAGCATATTTAAATAATTTATCATGCTTTTTTTGCTTGAAAGTACACCGTGTGTATACATATATGTATGTTTTTAATATAATAATATTTAAAACATGCAATCTTACAAATTTGAAAGCCACCAAAATTGACTATACAAGTACATCTTCATAAAGAATACTAGTATCCAAAATACTCAAATACAAAATCTCTAATTTACTCACCTCCAAATTATTCTCCAAAGAGATTTAAAAATAACACTAAAAATGCTAACTAGATTATGTTATAAAAAATAAAAATCGACTGGGCGCGGTGGCTCATGCCTGTAATCCCAGCACTTTGGGAGACCAAGACAGGTGGATCATGAGGTCAGGAGATCAAGACCATCCTGGCCAATATGGTGAAACCCTGTCTCTACTAAAATACAAAAAATTAGCCGGGCATGGTGGCAGGCGCCTGTAGTCCCAGCTGCTCCGGAGGCTGAGGCAGGGGAATCACTTGAACTGGGGAGGCAGAGGTTGCAGTGAGCAGAGATCGCGCCACTGCACTCCAGCCTGGTGACAGAACAAGATGCCCTCTCTAAATAAATAAATTAATAAATAAATATATTCCTTACAACTCTCTAGCTTTAAAAGTAATAGACTTTATTTTACAGCAGTTTTGCTGTACCAAAAAATTAAGACGATAGTAAGGAAATTTCTGATGTGCCTTCCCCCCTCCCCCAGTTTCTCCAATTATTAATCTTAACATCTTACATTAATACGGGGCATTTGGAACAACTAATGAACAAATATTAATATATAATTATGAATTAAATCCATGGTTTATTAAAATTTTCTTATTATTTTTTACCTAATGTCCTTTTTACTTTTTCAGGATTCCATCCACGATCCCACATGACATTTAGTTGCCATGTCTCCTTAGGGCCTTCCTGGCTTTGACACTTTGTTTTTTTTTTTTTTCACGTCCTTGACTAATTTTGAGGAGCACTGTTGAGACATAGTGCAGGACAATCCTCTATTAGAATTTGGTGCTTTTTCTCCTGATGAAACTAGGGTTGTAGGTTTTTGGGAGGAAGATCACAAAGGTAAAGTGTCATTTTCATCGTATCACTGCCAGGGTCCATATGGTTTGCCTGGCTGCATCTAGCTTCTCAGGTTTCCCACGGAAGTTACCCTTGCCCTTTCTCCTCCCCATACCTTACTCTTTGGGAGGAATTCTCCATGTATAGCCCACATTTAACATCTCCTCCCTTTAGAAAACAGTATTCACATAGATTATTTGAGATTCTTCTGCTCAGGAGGTTTGTCTACTCACCATCATTTATTTGTTTATTCAGTTGTTTATTTTGTCAGTAAGGACTCATAGGTATTTATTTTCTAGTTTGGGTTATAATCTGAAACTTTGTTATTTATTTTCTCTCTTTGGTTGTTCTAGCTTTGGCTATTGGAAGCTCTTTCAGTTGGTTCTGTGCCCCTTTGGCATACTCCGTGTGTGTGTGTGTGTGTGTGTGTGTGTGTGTGTGTGTGTGTGTGTGTTCTTTCTTAGAACTCTTGTTTTCTGCACTATAAGATGTTCCAAGTTTACCTTGTGCATTTTCTGTTCCATTCCTAGAATGAGCCATTTCTCAAAGAGTCTTGGTTCCTTTTATTGGAGAATGGTACTGGAAACCAAGATAGGGTGCTAGGCATACTCACTGCTACTGGGGAGTCATTTGTTTATGTGAGTATAACAAGTCATGCATATACAATATCTATAATACTTCTAATTTTAACTATCTGTAACTATATTAAGCAAAACACGGGTTCTTACCAATGTTCCAGCACTAATCGGGATCACTGTAGCCGTCCCCCACCCCAGCCAACCAGTTTATCTGTAAATTCCACAAGAACAGTGAGAAACTTAGCTGCCAGCACACTCTATCCAGTTATTTGCTCTGTTGCAGTATTTGCGTATAACAATTTCAGAAATGTGAACCTTTTACCCATGGTGGCAAACAACTAGATAAACTAGAATACAGTTACTCTATTCAAATCCTTTTGCCTTTATTCTTATGGACACAATTCATTTCCAAATTTACTGAGGTCTTCACTTTTTTGTCCCAACCCCTTTAGTAAGGTTGTTTCATACCTTTGTGATACATTGGGATACTCCTGCTACAGAATGTATTCCTTCCTGAAAATCCTGACTTCCTAAGCCATTTTTATAATTTGCATACTGCTCAGAGTGTTTTTCTAGAGTCTGTTAAAATTAGGATGTCATTACTAGCCAAGTAATAATTATCATGGGGATAATGGGGCGATAACTATTTATTTATTTATTTATTTATTTTTTGAGACACAGTCTTGCTCTGTTGCCCAGGCTGGAGTGCAGGGGCACTATCTCAGCTCACTGCACCCTCTGCTTCCCCAGTTCAAGCAATTCTCCTGCCTCAGCCTCCTGAGTAGCTGGGATTACAGGTGCCTGCCAGCACGCCCATCTAACTTTTTTTTTTTTTTTTTTTTTTTTTTTTTTTAAGTAGAGCTGGGGTTTCACCATGTTGGCCAGGCTGGTCTCAAACTCCTGACCTCAGGTGATCCACCCACCTTGGCCTCCCAAAATGTGGGACTGTAGGCATGAGCCACTACACCCAGCTGGTGATAGCACTGTAAATAACTCGTTAAGAAACCATGAGAATCTTGCCAAAGGTTCTGAAGTTTTATACTAAGGAAACATATTTATAAAATTCCAAGGAATTCACTGGAATTACTTAACTGGGCTTCCTTTGTTAAGCTTAGAATTAGAGGTTATGGATTTGTTCAGGTCAGGTTCCAAAAGCAGTTTAAAAGCTATCACTTTCAGTTAGTTCTTTTCCAATTCACATACTTAATGTATTTTTAAAAAATCAAACTCTTCTTTAAATGTTCTGTCAGTGTCAATAATAGTCTTATAAAGAAAGTCCCAAGAATTCATTGCATCATAGGTAATCCTACAGGTATAAACTCTGGTTACCTACACAATAGCCAACATTTTAAAAATACACTTAAATTGGATTTCAACAACTCATAATTAGTAGATCAAAGATATTTGATAATTATTAGAATACAATGTACATTCAGATTCTATATTTATGACTGAAATCCCCTATAGGCCCCTCATATATAACCTTAGTATAATTGAAAGTCTTAAATGGACTGGTTTTTGAATATAACTTGTACATAAATAAGCAGAGTTTAATAACTAATTTTTAATAAAATAATGCTCATATTTATGTGTTGCTTGAAGAATGTCAAGGCATTCCAATTCATTACACATAGTAACACTCCTCAAATCCTCTTTCCTTTATTTCTCTCATGGCATCAAATTGTTCTAAGTTCTCTTCTTTACTAAGTCTTCTAATCTCTCTCAAACACCCCACGAAGCTCTAACAGCTCTGCCTTCTTTCAGATTTTTCTTTACTCAAATCTCTCCCTATGTCTTCTCTAGCTGAATATGTAATGTCTCCCTTCTTCTCTGCCCTGTCTCTGTCGGGGTAGATAAAAGCCTGCTTAGATGGGAACCTGGGGAAGGGAACACAGCAGGGAAAGACAAAGGACAAAGGAAAGAATCACTCCCATAATAAATTGTGTACTGACCTGGTGCATTTTAAACAGTTGAAAAACAAGAACTTTTTTTTAATCGATAGAATTAATACCAAGGAAGTTAATCCTCAATAAATATGATGTGTTTTATTTTTCATAAGGTGTCTATACCCATCAATATAAAATGTATTTGATTCAAAATAGAGATTTTGGTTTTTAAATTTTATTTTAATGTAAAGAATCACTTCAGAGTGTCTGCTCTGGTTTTGCTTTGAAAGTTCATGAATCGAACCTTAATGAATGTCAAAATGAGAAGCATCTCTTTGAAGCTCCATGAATCTTTTAATGTCCCTGTTACACTATTTTTTGGTGATAATCAGTATCTATAACAAGAAACTCATCTCAATGCCTTTGCCTGGGGCCAGGAACACCTCACCTTCTCCACAAGATATTGTTACACTGAGTTGGTTAAAAGGTGATTTTAGACATAGCAGTTACATGTTTTTCTCCCTTTTTTGTCAATTTGAGTTTAATTTAAATTCATATATTTTTCCATAAGTAAGAAATTTTTAATAATCATCTCAGAATTAAAGAAAAAGTAGCAAGCAAAGTCTGAAACATGACAATATGTATTGATAGCTTTGATTTTTGAAGTCAGCAATCTCTAGCTGCAGAAGTATGGAACAAAATGACCCATTTTTACTAAGGGGAACTTGGAAACGTGTTCCAAATTTCAAAGAACAGATTGGGAAGGTTAAAATATCATGTAGTAGTGAAAAAGGATGAGTGCTGTAGTCAAAAACACATTACTTTGGGTTGCAATTTACATACAATAGTAACTATTTTTATTGAGCCATTACTAAGTGATACATACTGCACTAAGTTCTTCATGTGTATTAACTCATTCCACACTTGAATCTTATGAATGTACAATGTTATTACTATTCCAAATATTAAATTAGAGACTGAGGTTTGAAGAAATATAGATAAGTTACCCATAAATATGAAATAAATAAATGAAAAAGAAAGGATTCAAACACAATCTGTAATTGCAAAGTTCAGGAAATAATGCCTGGAATATACTGCCTCTATTTTTGTGAATTAAATATTAGCTGCAAGAAATAGAATGTTCACTAGTTCACTTAAGGAGAATAGCAACTGAGAAAAGAATATTGAGAAGCTCACATAATCTACAGGAGGGAGAGTTATGCTTAGGGGTTACTCATCAAGAACACACTCACCACACTGTTGGGGGTTCCAGTGAGGACTCACTGCAACCTCAGTTGGGCAAAAAAAACTGAGGGTCACACCACCACTTCTCTACTGCCACTGCCTTTCCAAAGTCAGCAAATGCTGTATCTTCTGCTTTGTCACATTGTTCTATTCTGATTAAATCCACACTCAGCTGACTGAAAGATCCTAGCTACAAGGGAGGTGAGAAAAGAAAGTATAGAGAGAAGACTTCCCAAGCCGTGAGAGCACTTATTTCTCAGTGTCCTGGAGTCCTTCGTCTGTATTTTGTACTCAGAGTGCCTGCTTTGCAAATAGCTAACCATTCATTTCAGTGGTTTGAACCGAATGCCTCTCTTAGAATTATGGTAGCACATAGACAGAGCTACTAAAACAATCTGGCTAAGGAGCATGATGAGTCAGATCTCTTGGTTCCTGCTCCAGGATTCTTCCATCATGTAGTACTAAATTGTTCTACTTCCATAAAGATAATTTACTCTACCTTCCTATTCATAGGCAGAACTCCCCTCATTTGGTTTTTAGCAGAATACTTTCAATTATATTATTACAAAAATGGGTGCACTATCTTATTCATGGGCATGGAAAGTGATGACATTAGAATCTCATTTGATACACCTTTTAAAAAGATCTTTAAAATTATAGACTATTTAAGCTAATGGCTAAACATCATTTGCCACAATGTTTCTGTTTTCAAAAGTTGAAAAAAAAAAAAGCTGATTATGAAATGCCTCTGTGCCTCCGGTACTGAACTAAGCAGGGAATCTGTGGATTTCCACTGTAGTTTGTACTTACAGCATCAAAGCACTTACTATTCATGCCCATTGCGTTGACCTGGTGAGCAGTTTCTAATGTGCACTAGACTGAGAATTTTTTATGACAGCAACTGAAATGTTTGCAGGCAGAGTCCCATCAAGTCAGAGTCATTATTAACTCATAGTAAGTACTTAGTAAATTAGTATTAATTGTGGGTGAAAATAAAATACCTTTGATTATTGTATTAATAATACAATAATCAATAATCAAATTGATTGTAAAATAAAGTACCTTTGGTTCTGGTTGGGGCTTAGGACAGATACCTGTCAGCTTTCTTTTTTTTTTTTTTTTTGGAACGGAGTCTTGTCCTGTTGCCCAGGCTGGAGTGCAATGGTGCAATCTCAGTTCACTGCAACCTCTGCCTCCCGGGTTCCAACGATTCTCCTGCCTCAGCCTCCCAAGTAGCTGGGATTACAGGTGCCCACCACCGTGCCCAGCTAATTTTTGTGTTTTTAGTAGAGACGGGGTTTCACCATGTTGGCTAGGCTGGTCTTGAACTCCTGAGCTCATGATCTGCCCACCTCGGCCTCCCAAAGTGCTGGGATTACAGACGTGAGCCACCGTGCCCAGCCCCAGCTGTCCCTTTATTGGCAGTAATTTTACAGCTCACAGGGCACCAAAATATAAGAGATTTGATCTCAAAGAGAAAAGCATATTTGCAGATGTTCTCTGTCTTTAATAAAATTAACCAAGTTAAACAAAAACTCCCCCTCCATCCCAATCCTACAAGACAGAAGCAAGAAGACTTGTTTGGAAGCAGTCATAGTGATTCGATGCTATATAAAGGTGAATCAAACCAGGCTAATTACAGACAAGATGATGAGAAGTTTTGGTTTCTGAATATATTTTGAATTGAGAGCTAATGGCATGCCCTGATGCGTTGACAAAAATTATGAGAAAAAGAGAAGTCATACATGACTTGACTTGAAGGTTTATGTTCTAAGTAGCTGGAGAAAAGAGGTCAATCTTCATTGAACTGCAGAAAACTCTAGATGAAATAAGATTTGAGGACAATATGGAGAGTTCAGTGTTGAATATGTTAAGTTTTCAATCCCTGTTACGATGTTATACTAAGTAGAAATATCTAGGAGACTATTGCATAAGTAGTTGAGAGTTTGTAAGAGAGATCTGGGATGAAGATATGAATTACAGAGCCTACAGTCCATATTGATCACTATAAGAATGGATGATATCTATACAGGATTGAATGTAGTACAGAAAAGGTGAGGATAAAGGAATGATTTCTAGGGTGCTTCAACATTAAGCGTTTGTGGAAAAGAGAAGAAACATTCAAAGGTATGATCTGTCAGTTAGGAGGAAACTAAGCAAATGTGTCATCCAGGAATACAAGCAAAGAAAAAGTTTCAAAGTTCTAGGAGAAGGAAATGATTGATTATGTCAAATGCTACATATAGATCATGTGATATGAGGTTGGCATATTGATCAATTGACTTTACAGAGTTATTTGACAATCTTCAAAACAGTAGTTTAATTATAGTGAGAGGTCAAATACTTTCTGCAGTGAATTTAAGAGAGAGTGGTAGGAAAGGAAATAGAATCAATAAAAATAGATAACTCTTTTGAAAAGGTTTCACTGGAAGATGGAGGTGAAATGGGTCCAAATAATTCTGATTTTGCTTTTTTTAAACAAGATGAAATAAGACAGCAAGCGTGCATACTAATGGAGTGATCCAGAAGAGTGGGCATCATTGATGACATAAAAGAGAGTAGATAGAATTATGACAGTAAGGGGATTGCTTGATGTACAAGAGGAGGGGCTGACACTACATAAGCTCAGAAATTGCTCAGCCGCATTATGAGGAGGGAAGACACTGTACATTCCTGTAGATACTAATGATACTAGTTAATGTAGAAGTAGTAGAAGTAGAAAGCAAACTAAAAATGAAAATCAGAGAAGAGGTTTGGAATTTTGAGGACAGTGACATATCTGACAGTGATCAAGGAAAGAGGGCCAAAAAAGAAAATGAAGCCAAGAAACAGATTCAAATTATAAGGCAGCATGGGGGCCCACTTGAGCTCATAGTTGTGAATTTAGTAAAACTAGTCATCATGGTTATACATTGTACTTTAGCCCTGTTAAGCTGCATGAGAATGGTCAGTTAGGAAGCAGATAAATGGATTTTGCTGCCACATGATTTTTCCCAAGTGGTATAATAAAGTAAGAGAGAGGCATGGGTTTGGACAGTTTGGGCAAAAGAGTAACTATAACAGACAATGAAATTAACTGCCTAAGTAGGGGAATTAGAGCATTAATGAGTTTGATACATACTGCTACTTAACAGTAGTACCTATTTAGGTTTAGACTTTGGTGTGATGGATTGCTTAGAAATTTTGTTGCCAAATCAAAGGAAAACAGAAGACAAACTTGCTACAGCTTTCAGATATTAAGTTGTTCCAAAAACAAGCAAGCGTGCAACACACACACATTCACACACTCACACACTTAGTGTGTAGCAGCTAGTTGTTTTCACTCTGTCTCAAGATTTTTATTTCAAAAATTGAAATTGCAGACTGTCTTATTCAATAAGAATATCATACTTTTTTTTAAATGACAAAAGCTGATCAGACACACTCTTAACATCATGGTTAGATGGACTGTTTGAATGGTAGAATGTGACTGCCAACAAAGGAAGTATACAAATAAACAAATATGTTCTTGCAAAAAACAAAAAGTCCAGAGAATCGAATGATCAGTGCCTCAGTCGTTACTTCCTTTTCACTTATCATTTCAAGCTGCGTTATTTTGATGGCTTTTCAGCTGTGAGACTACTTGGTACTGATGCAGAAATAATGAAATACTGAAAACCCCAAACAACAGAAACGTCTATAACTGGTAATGGGCATCCTCCTTCAGTTTATTAACTCCAGCTGTGCTGTTTGACTGTTTTTTGTGAAGAGGTGCCATATGAGTTGAATATCGAATGGAAGATAGAGGATCTAATGTCACAAGCAACTGGATCACCCAAACTCTGTATTACAAGACAGGCAGTTTGAGGAAATTGCCCTACTTTGAAACACAGTTCCATGCTCATCAAGATAAAATGTGACCAATATAAATTCCTTTTGGTGGAGGTGTGTCACCTTCAGTGTTCACAATGACACTCGACAGTGAGTGTACTGATTATATGCCCAGACAGAACTCTGAACAATATTACAGAATAGTCACGGTATCAAGGTGTGACAGAGTATTTTTCTAATCTCTGGATCTCCCAATAGAATAAAATTTGGAAAAAAAAAATCATTTAACAGTAAGAGTGAGAATGTGTGCTACCTTACTCCTGACTTTTCTCTTTAAAGTGACTCTTATATTTTGATGCCCTGGCCCATTTCAATTACTTTAAAAATAAAGGAATGACCTAGAAAACTGGAAAGATCATTGCTTCCAAATTCACAATAAAAAAGTTGAGCAGGCCAGACGTGGTGGCTCACGCCTGTTATCCCAGCACTTTGGGAGGCCGAGGCGAGCGGATCATGAGATCAAGAGATTGAGACCGTCCTGGCCAACATGGTGAAACACTGTCTCTACTAAAAATACAAAAATTAGCTGGGCGTGGTGGCACACACCTGTAGTCCCAGCAACATGGGAGGCTGAGGCAGGAAAATCACTTGAACCCAGGAGGCAGATGTTGCAGTGAGCCGAGAGATCAGGCCACTGCACTCCAGCCTTGTGACAGAGTGAGACTCCGTCTCAAAAAAAAAAAAAAAAAAAGTTCAACAAATTTACAAATCCTCTTGATCTTTCAGAGAGCTGAAGTTGTAGGACAACCAGTTGGTCCCAAATCTAAGGAGAGTCAGGTGCCTGCATGGAGAAGCAAGAAGATGGAGAGCTGGGTTACCTGGGCAAAATGCAGCCAAATACTAGTAAGAAGAGTTCAGTGAGGGTGACTGATAATTATTGGAGGCCAGGCAAGTATGCACTGTTGAAAGAGGGAGAGTCCTGAGAAAACCTCCCTGATGATACAGAACTGGGGAGAGGCACCAACAGCCACCCAAGCAGGGATTCAGATTTCTACCGGGACACTCCTTCCCTTAATATGAGGTAGAAAGGGCTACAAACACTGTCATTCGCAAAGCACTAGTAAAAATTCATTACCAGCTAGGAGAAGAGAGCAATAAAACAAAACAAAACATCCTTTACTCTTGGGACAGGGTCAGAACTAAATTAAACGGGGAAGGTGGGAGCATTGAAACCACAACTCTGACACCCAGTGCCTTAATGCGCACCTAAGACTGAGACTTGGCATAACAGAAACTCCATCCCCTCCCTCTATCCTTCACACGCAATCTCCTGTCAAGCTGTAAAGCATTGAGGCTGGTATGATACAACATCTCCTTAAAGTTTAGCTCAAAGAGAAGATCAAAAGCTCAGGATGGATCAGAAACAGAACACATGCACACACCCACACACTCATACAAAATTAAAATTAAAATTAAAAAAAAATTTCAGGACCCATCTCCCTGAAAAAAAAAATTAAAGAAAGTTCTTCAAGTAAAAAGATGATAATACCAGACAGATATAATAGATTTTACATCTATATAAATAAATGAAGAGCAATGGTAGTTGAAACAAATGATGGTTTTAAAAAAGATTATTTTTGTATTGGTTTGGAGTGGTATTTAACAAAGTGCTATAGATTTAGTGGCTTACAATGTCATCCCTGTATTATCTCACAGTCATAAGGCTCAGAAGTCTGGGAATGGCAGCTCTGCGCAGGATTTTACAGTCCAGCATTAAGATCTCATCTGAGGCTGAAGATCTTCTTGTAGATGCACCAATTATTTCAATTATTGCCATAATTCAGTTTATTGAATTTGGAGAACTTAAGTCCCTGTTTTCTGGCTGGCTCTTGGCAGCGTAAACCACAAAAATGATCAAATTTCTTTGTCAATTGTGTTTCTAACTGTATCCAAACTGGACATTTTATTATTTACAGATAATTGTTATTTTGTTTTAATTCTCTTCAAAACATGGTTTATATTCAAGCTGTGGAACTTTAACAAGTGCTCTCAAATGCAGGTTACTCACAACAACAACAAGAACAACAACAAAACATACAGAACTCATGAAAAGCTAAAATGTTTATAAATATCAAGCAAAGCAGAGGTTAATAAAATGGACTAAACTAACAGAAAACCAAAACAAATTTTACTTTTGCTTAAAACATGGCTAATCTTTATCTTATTTTTCAGAGTCAATAAAACTTGTCTTAAGCTAGCTACAGCGTTTAACAACTAAGTAAAGTGTACTCCTGTAAACAGAATTTAAAGTGTTTGTTTCTCTCTGACTAGTTCCTCTAGAATTTAAAAACTAGTTGTAAGTATTCGTAAATTACAACAATATAGTTGTTTGCATCAGTTCAATAAGAATCTATTTTCTTCTGTAACAGAACTCAATTGGAAAAACTGGTCATTTTACCAAGGCTTTAACTGAAATCCTTTTATAACTATAGGGTCTGGAATGACAGAGCAGGAGCACCGTCACCGTGGACAAACACCACCACTTTAAGTTCCAGCTCCCTTTCTAGCCTCACGCATTTCAAGGAAATCACGTCTGTTCTAACTACAAGCAGCCAGAAAAAGCAGACAGTAAAACACAGATAAGACAACTCCGGCACAGAGGGAGGTGGGGGGAAAGTCTCCTGGGTAACTGCCAAACTTCACCCTCATACAATGGGCCCCGGTAAAACAGTGGGCCTTAATAAACACATTCCTTTCCCTTCAGGTGCACTAAAATAGGGAAGCTAAAAGCAAACTCCGGGAATATGCCTGCAGCTGCAGAAAGATATATGGAGACAGACACGCAATTCTCCCTCCCAAATAAGCACAAGAAAATACAGAAGCAGTCCAAGTCTCTAACAAACTCTCCCACCCTAAATCCTTAAAAACTCTTAGTCCTGCCAGCACGGTGGCTCACGCCTGTAATCTCAGCACTTTGGGAGGCCAAGGCGGGAGGATCACAAGGTCAGGAGATCGAGATCATCCTGGCCAACACGGTGAAACCCCGTCTCTACTAAAAATAACAAAAAAATTAGCCGGGGGTGGTGGCGGGCGCCTGTAGTCCCAGCTACTCCGGAGGCTGAAGCAGGAGAATGGCGTGAACCCGGGAGGTGAAGCTTGCAGTCAGCCGAGATCGCGCCCCTGCACCCCAGCCTGGGCAACAGAGCGACACTCAGTCTCAAAACAAACAAACAAACAAACAAACAAACAAACAAAAAATTCTTCCGTAAAAGAGTGTGCCTCGGACCTAATTCAGCCAGAAGCTCCTTTCAGATTTGTTTTCTCTAAAATAAACCTGTCTTAACTGGTGAGTCACCCTTCCTGTTTCTCTCCTCTTTAATTCTTACAGGCAGAGGACTCCTCTCAGCTCTCAGAAGTCAGTTTCAGATCCCCATCACATGGTCCCTCCACAGGTAGTTCACAACAAAGATGTTTCTCCCAGGCCAGTAGGAGGAATTTTTCAAAATGTTACCCTCTTTCAATGACCTAGCCTGACTAAGTTACATCCACCCAGAATAATCTTCCTTTTGATTAACTCAAAGCCAAAGGATTAGAGACCTTAGTTACATTTGCAATATTTTTTCTGCCATATACCATAGTATAATTAGTGATAGCTCTTCATATTCATAGATCTCTACCAACTCAAAGGATATGGATTGTACAGAGTGTATACATTAGGAGGCTGGATTCTTGGAGGTAATGCTAGAGCTTTGTCCATCATAATTTTTATTCTATTCTAATTGCTGTAAAAAGTAACTGATTATCTAAAGCAAAAATGGTAGCAATATATATTTTATGGCATATGAAAAATAAAATAATTGATAATAGTAGCACAAAGTATGAAAGAGAGGAATTGGGCATTTCATGAGTTTCTTATATATTAAATAGTATAATATTAGTTGAATGTAAATATGAACATTTTAAGACCTAGGGAACCATTATAAAAATATTAAAGAGGTATAAATAATAGGACAATAGGGGAAATTAAAGGGAATAATTAAAAACATTCAAGTGGCCAGGAGCGGTGGCTCACGCCTGTAATCCTAACACTTTGGGCCGCCAAGGTGGGCGGATCACCAGTTCAGGAGTTTGAGACCAGCCTGACCAACATGGTGAAACCCCGTCTCTACTAAAAATACAAAAATTAGCCAGGCATGGTGGTGTGTGCCTGTAATCCCAGCTACTCAGGATGCTGAGGCAGGAGAATCGCTTGAACCCAGGAGATGGAGGTTGCAGTGAGCCGAGATTGCTCCACTGCACTCCAGCCTAGGCAACAGAGTGAGACTCTGTCTCAAGCAAAAAAAAAAAAAAAAAAAAAAAAAAAAAAAAAAAAAGGTAACCAGAAGGAAGCAAGAAAGGAAACCAAATATAGATGGTAAAAAATAGAAAACATCTAACAAGCTGGTAGATTTCAGTGCAACCCTATCAATAATTACATTACACACAAATTCTCTAAACACACTAGTTCAAAGGCTGCAATTGTAAAGCTGGATAAAAATGCAAGAGTTGAGTGCATGTTCTCTATAAGCAGTCCACATTAAATATAAAGGCAAAGAGATAAAAAGTTAAAGGAGGGTGAAAGATATATCATGTAAAACTAACAAAAATAAAGCAGAAGCAGACAAAAAATATCAGCTAAAGTAGACTTCAGAAGAAAGATTATTACTGTGGATTAAAAAGAGATATTACAGGATGAGAAAATAACTCCTTTTCCAAGACACAGCATCCTAAAGGTGTTTGAGTACCTAAGAATATTTTCTTTCAAAATATAGATATAAAAAATTATAGAACTCAAAAAAGAAATGAGAAAATATAAAAGTTTAGCTAAAATCATTAACGCTCCTCTTTCAGTAATTGACAAAACAAGTAGGTAGTAAATCAGTGAATGTACAGGTGACCTGAACCATGCTACTAGCCAACTGGATCTTGTTGACATTTATAGTCCCTTCTACCCTCAAACAGTAGAATACACAGTCTTCTCAAAAGCACATAGAACATTAACAAAGACAGGCAATATACTTCACCATAAAACAAACACTAACAAATTTAAAGTAATAGATATGCAAAGAATATTTTTACACTTTTAACAGAATCTAACTAGAAATCAATAACAAAAAGCTCTGGAAAATCTTCAAATATTTGAAAAATTTTTAAAAAGTAAAATAACCAATGAATCAAAGGACAACTCTGAAAATAATTAAAAATATTTTGAATCCAATGGAAATAAGACATATCAAAATTTTGATGTTTTAGTGAGATGTAGCTAAAACAGTGTTTACAACGAAATCTACAGCGATAAATATTTATTTTAAAGAAAAACAGATAATTCAGTCATGTAGGGGTCCACCCTGAAAAACAAAAGAAGGGAAAATTATGACAAAAGCAAACAAAGTAAAGCAAATAATACAAATAATAGCAAAAATCAGTGGTACCGAGAATAGAAAAACAATTAAGAAAACAGATGAAATCAAAAGCTGGTTCTCTGGGGAAAAAAATCAATAAAGTTTTTAAAGTATTATTCAATCTAATCAAAGTGAATGTGAGAGAGAGAGGAATAAACACAAATTACCAATATCAGAAACAAGAAACATTACTACAGACCACACAAATATTAACGGGTAATAAGGAAATACTACAAACAATTCTATCCCCACCACTTGGAAGAAATAGGCCACTACTTTGAAATTCACAAACTGCCAACACTAAATCAAGAAAGAAAAAATTCTTTACGTATTGAGGAAATTGAATTTGTATTTGAAAGCTTCCAACATGGAACACTCTGATTCCAAATGTTTTCACTGCCAAACATTTAAAGAAAAAAAATATATATACATTCTACACAAATAATCTACATAATGGAACAGGAGAAAACACTGCCCAACTCATTTTATGATGCTAGCATTTATCTAACAAATGGAAGGGTGGTTCAATAATTAAAAATTAATCATTGAACCGTAGTAACAGACTATAGAAAGAAACCCATTTAATTATCTCAATAATTGTTGTAAAAACATCAGAGAAAATTCAATATTCATTCATGGTAACAATTCTCAGCAGAAGAGTTATTCATAACTTGATGAAGAGTATCTATTAAAAGCTCATAACTGACATTAGTTGTAGTAATGAATAACTGAATTTTTTCCCCTAAGATGAGTAACATTTCAAGGAAGTCTTCTCTCCGCTCCTGAACATGATATGGAGAATCCTAGTGTTTTACTAACCTCCTTTTTGCACTGGTAAGGGAGGGAATCCAGTCCTAAAGTTACAGGGATGGGGGGACACAGGAAACAGAGACTGGACAGATGAGATTGACTGCAGTTTATCAGTGACACAAATTCACAGCCTGTGGGGCAGAGGACCCTGCATTCTTTGCTTCACAGGGATTTACTTGGCAACTGAATGAATAAACAGGGACATTAGAGGCAGGGTTTGTAGTAATAAGAGAACATAGTGAACTCTAATTTTTATGGAAGGATGTGTTTTATTGATTTAAACTAACCATTATTCAAGGATAAGCAGGCATTATGCCTTGCCTCTGTGATAAAGAAAGTTGATTGGCTAGGGCAGGGGTCCCCAAACCTCAGGCCAGGGACAAGTAGCTGTTAGGAACCAGGCTGCATATCAAGAGGCGAGCTGCAGGGGAGCATCACTGCCTGAGCTTTGCCTCTTGTCAGATCAGCGGTGGTATTAGACTCTTATAGGATCCTGGATACTATTGTGAACTGTGCACGTGAGGGATCTAGGTTGCCTGTTCCTTATGAAAATCTAATGCCTGATGATCTGTCACTGTCTCCCATCACCTCCAGATAAAAGCATCTAGTTGCAGAAAAACAAGCTCAGGACGCCCACTGATTCTACATTATGATAAGTTGCATAATTATTTTGTTACATATTACAATGTAATAATAATAGAAATAAATTGTGCAATAAATGTAATCCACTCAAATCATCCTGAAACCTGCTCACCAACCCTCGTCCATGGAAAAAACGTCTTCCATGAAACTTGGCCCTTGTGCTAAAAATGTCAGGGACAATTGGATTAGGAGACCTCATCCATTGGAGGAGAGGCAGAGGGTTAGGTCAATTGAGGCCCTCCTGATTTTACTAGATATTATCAATTGAATTGCATCTCCTCAAAAGATATGTTGAAGTCTCAATCCCAGTATCTCAGAATGTGAACTTATTTAGAAATAGATCATTGTAGATGCAATTGGTTAAGATTAGGTCATACTGGAGTAGGGTAGGCCTTTAATCAAATATGACTGCTATCCCTATGAGAAGAGGAGAAAAGATACGAGATAGAGACACATAGATATGATGGCCATTTGACAACAGAGACAGAAATTGGAGGGCTAGATCTATAAGCCAACGGATGCCAGAGATTGTTGACAAACACCAGAAAATAAAAGACGCAACAAAGGATTTTTCCCCTACAAACATCGGAGGGACCATTGCTGTGCCAACATCTTGCTTTCAGAATTCAAGTCCCCAGAACTGTGAGCTCAAACCAGTTATCAATGTTAACATCACCAATAATAAAATATTGACATCTAGTGCCCCCTGATAAGATACACTAGGAAAGACATGGCCTCCCTTCTGTGGACTTCTTTCTCCAAATCCACAACTTGAATCTAGTAATGAAAAGACATTACAGAAATACAAATTCAAGAATATTCTACAAAATATCTGATGAGTGCACTTTGAAGGCATTGAGATCCTGAAAGAGAAGAAGATTGAAGAAGTGTTATAGATCAGAGGAGACTAAAGACAAGTGATAAGTTAATACAATATGGGACCTTGGATTGGCTCCTGGAACAGAAATAGGATGTACTTGAAGAGACAGGTGAAATACAATTGAAGTGTATAGTTTAGCAAACAATCAATCAATCAATCAAAATAAGACAGCTTAAAGTTCCATACCAGCCAGAACATGATATTCAAAGAAAAGATAAACTAAAAATATCCAGTAATAGTGATAAAACCATTTTCATTTGAAACATTCTGAGTAGTAATCAACAGTAAGATTTTATGTTGTTTCATCTCTGCTCATTTTAACTTGAGATGTGCATAGTTATTACATGGCATTATTTTCCCATTTATTATATTTTTATTTTAAAAGCTAATCGTGTAGCCAAAAACTAGTTTTGGGGCCACTGGGCAAGTGGAAGTAGATTACCTATAAAACCTTGTATTCTGTGGCTTTCTTTCTCTTTTACCATTATCTCTTTGATAATTTTAAATTTTTTTATTGTTCACAGCTTAATTTTATTTCAGTAATTTTTCTAAAATTCCCAGATCTTCAGGGATCTAAGATGAGATATGAGACAGAATTACTTACAAGCAGTCAACTCCAAATATGTCCAGGATTTAAACAGAGAAATTCAACAGTCATTTGGTAAGAACATAGACTCAGCTCACACCAGTCAGTGATAAAATCCTCTCTAAATACCACTTTGAATGGGTTTGAGAATTAGTCCAACTATGGAGCCACTCTGTGTTCTGTGGATGGGAAATATTTCCTTTAAACCTTCCAAAAACATTCCCTGAACAGGAGTCCTGAGGTTTCCTAAGTCACTCGGATGCCACTGGAATTTCTCTGAAATAACTGATATATTTGATCACCACAGTCATTCGAGAAGAAGTATGGGAGATCTTCCAAGGGCTTTCAAATCATGTCAACATAATTCTTTTCTGTGCTAGCCTTCTGCCTAGCTCTCTGAGACCCATATTTAATAGAGAAAAGCTGCCTTGGGTCTGCAACTGATATCCTTAACAATATTTATAAATACAGCTACTTTTTTTTTCTTTACAAATGTCACTTATCAGGGATATTTTCTGAAAGTGAGAGGTGAGAAGGTGGGCCTATTTTAGGTCCTTTTGCTATGAAGGCTTACTATTTCTGTTTTCCTTTGTTTCACACTAAAATATGTTTTACTTTGCATGTACAGATTCTCTATATCCATAGTTCCCCAACTGTGGATTCAACCAACTGGAGATTGAAAATATTTGAAATTTAAAATAAAAATAAAAATAATACAACAATGAAAAATAATATGAATACTTAAAAAGTAAAGTATAACAACTATTTATATGGCGTTTACATTGTATTAGGCATTGTAAGTAACCTAGAGATGGTTTAAAGTACATGGGAAGATTTGCATAGGTTATATGCAAATATTACACCATTTTATATAAGAATTTGAGCATCCTGAGATTTTACTATCCTGGTAGGTGCTAGAACCAATGCCCCATGAATACTGAGGCATTTGGAATGTTTTGACTCCATTTTCAATATATCCAACTTTTCACATAAGTGTAAATTCTTCCACAAAGATTTTTCTGTCTCCCTTCTTTGGGCAGTTGTATCTCTCTGACAGCTTTTTTTTTTTTTAAATTCTTTGCCTTATTTGTATTCATGTACAAATTAGTTTTCTCTATTAAATTATGAATGTCTTAGTTTTAACTGTCCGTATTCTACCCAATGTAGCAACATATATTATGCCTTGAATATTGCAACAGGTCAGATATTATTTACTGAAAATAACAAAATCAATGTACCAGATATATTTCTTCTTAATACAAATCATTCAATACAGAGGGTGTAGGTTCTGTTTGTTTTGGATTTGATTTTTGTAAAAATTGCTACAATTCTCCACCCCTGCCCTGTATCCATACCCTTTGCAATGTGACCTGCAGCAGTTCCCATGAGGAGGTAGATGATATTTTCCCCCAGCCCTTGAATCTGAACTCATTTCGTGAAAACTTTGAAAAATAAAATTCAATGGAGGTGACAGTGTGCCAGTTCCCAGGCCCTAAAAGGACTTGTGCTTTTATTCTCTCTCTCTCTCAAAATGCTTCCACTGCCCTGTGGCTTGCTGGAGAAGAAAATACCATGTGCAGAAAAAAGCCAAACCAGCTGGTGCGATCTTAGATTGACCAAGCTCGATCAAGCTCCACCAGCTCCCCACCTGACTGTAATTGCATGAAAGGGCCCAGCCCAGCCCAGCCCAGCCCAGTCCAGATAACCAGAACTGTCTAACTGGCTAATTGACTTCTGAGCAAAAATAACTATTTGTTGCATGTCTTTATGATTTTTTTCCTGGTTGTTTGTTACATACCATTATTGTGGCAATGAATAACAGATACAGAAGTGGAAGCTGTTACTGATTTTATAATAAGTACTAAATTTACTATATTTCATATTATGCAACGAATTAGTACTCTTAATTTAATAACTGGCTTATTTCTTAAACTCTCTTCTTATTATACCTCCCTAGTCAATGAGTCACTACTCTTTACTAGAACTATAATCACGCCTCAGTCAAAAAGCAAAGCACATGTTTTAAAAAATTTCTACTCAAAGATTTAAGTTTTGCCATCAAAGTGTGCACGTATTAAATTCAATTCTCAGGATCTCCCCACCCCACAACCACCAGCTTTTACCTGTATTTTTTCTAAGATCCCTAGCCAGTTGTACATCGCTATGTGCTCCTAGAATTCTCCAGATTAAAAGATGATGACACAAATGCAAACTTCTTTACACAAAAGTCCTACCAAAAGCCATTGTAATTGATTAGGTGGCCTCTGCTGGCTCTGTGGTACAAGATTGCTTTCATTCATACCCTGCAGGTTTATGTCACCAGTTTTCCCAGCAAGACACTTCATGGGCTGACCTCCTGTCTTAAAATTCATTTAAAATTCTTTACCTGACTACAGACTGTCAAATGCAGTCAGATAACCCTAGCCTAGTTTTAAAAAAGAAAAATAAATCTGACAAAGATGAAGATACAGGGAAACATTCAGAAAGAATTGCTCATTGTACCACTTAGAAAAAACTATTTTCAGTTGGAGAGCAATGCTATTAGGTAGAGATGTACAATATTGAAAGTGATTTAATAAGGTAGATGACAGTTTGCCTTCTGTCCTTTCTCTATCTGGCTGTCAAGATTCAGATAGTGCTATCTCACCTTGCTTTGTCATATATCCAGAGGATTTAGTGAGATTAGATCATTAATGACCCCAACCCTAGAACAATGAAAGAATATTATTCACCACCCTTTCTGTATAGAAGTATGTATAAATTATCTAAGCAGCCTTGAATATCAGAGTTTATGAAAGCCTAGGCATTGTTATAATTTTAAGAATAGTTGGCATTGGACTAGCATTCTACAGTTCTCCAATTTTCTTTTTCACTGCTGTAAGCTTCTTTGGTTCATACTGAAATCCGGTGAGGTAGGTGGTTGAGGGAGTGAGGTAAGGGGCGTGAGAAGGTGAAGTCGAATCTGTGACTAAATGGCTCCCCTTCCCCTGCCCAAGCCTTCTAAGCATTACAATCTGATTTCATGTGAGATTCTTTGACTCACTCAGAGAGAAAGAAAAATGGAACTAGTTAACCAAGACCTGAATCTGTCTTCTAGTCATTTAAGTTTTATTGAGTCTAGTATGCACCAGATAGCATACTGGGCATTTTCATATTCTATCTTGAAAATCACTCTGTGAGTTTGGTATCATAATTCATATTTGAGGTGAGTAAAGAGACTGAAAATAAATCCTTTTTTAAAAATAGCTTAAATGCCAAGCAATAAAACAATAGTTTAATTGTAATAATTTGCCTTGCCTATTTAACTTGTGGAGATATTGAGGACACAAAATATTATACAATTTGGCCAGAGTTAAATTAGCTTTCCCTTGCTTTATGTGAAACTGGGCAAACCTTTAAGTTACATATAGTCTTTCCTTGGAAACAGATCATCTCTGAAAGGCCTCTAATATATGATAAATGATGTGGGATGTATTAATATTGTCATTTATCTCATTCTATGTTATCCCTTGGTGCCTATTTTCAATTAAGATAGACAGAACAAAACTTGTTTGTTATTTGTTAAATATATAATACATCAAATCCTTGGAGGAAGCAAACAATCACACTGCCCATGGCTGTCTACCTAAACATACTTGCTAGAAGATGCTGGATGCCACCCAATTCCTGTTTATCTCTTGCCTACTCTTCCTCAAACCTAATGTTCAACATCTTCAAATTTATCTCTCTTAATCCCCTACATGAATTCACCCATTTGTGTTCCCATTCTAGGTTGTCTATATATTGGTGTCTCAACATATCTGTGCATTTTTTTCAGGTTCTTTTTTTCATTCTTATGAAGCCCTTTCATCCCTACATTCAGCATGAAGCATTCATCAAGTAATCTCTTGTGAGTAACCCCTTCTCCTTACTCAGTAGTACTTTCTTATACATTCATGGCACCTTGCCATATGCTACCTAGTACCATTTTTTAAATTTTGTGCCTGATCCATGTCAATATGTAGGTTCTTGATATTAATAATAAATTCTCATTTAATAAGTTTCTAGCAGATGATAAGAACTCAACAAATAGTATATATCTGCTACTATTGCTAAAGATAATATGTACATTATTTCATTTAATCCAAGGAGAATTAAATTATTTCCCATTTATAAATGAGAAAACAGAATGTCAGAAAGACTAAACAACCTGCCCAAGATTACACAACTGATGGCCCCGGGGGTTAATATTCCTGTACTTCCACATATGTAGGAAGAGTGCCTTATGCTTTTTTGAATACTCACTAGCTAGCATAGTAATTCACGTATAGTCAATACTCAATACATGATTGATGATAAAAATGTAAACAGGTATTTATTTCAATGAAAAAGAAAGTTTCACTTTGTTCAATATCCCATTTCCCCATCTGAATATTTAAGAAAACAATATAATGTCCTAGAAAAATGAATGACCAGTTGTACAAGCATACCCAGGAATTTCTCATTTGGTAATTTATTCCAAGGAACTAATACTGAGAAAAAATATTGTAGGGGAAAAAAACGTTTATTTTACCACTATTTAATTTTAAAATTTGGAAATATCCCATTCAATAGAGTAGTTTGTAAGTATAAATATGTCATTTACATAATGAAGGAAATAATGTGAAAAACTGGATAATTCTGATGTCTGTACTACAGAGAAAAAATATTTTTTAAAAATTTAGTAAAAAAATAACAAAACCTAAAGCCTTCCAAGTCTATCACCAACTTCCAACACAAATATCTGGCTATGTGCCTCAGCAGCATGCAAGATTGTGCCTCAACTTTTAGTTTCAGCAATCACCATGGGAGGACCCAGCTTCCGGCCTTCCCTGTTTTAGGCTATGGACATCAACAACCAATCAACTCCCTACTCTAGACATTAAAAGCTAAATTGTGCTCCTCACTTTCTTAATACCATTTATTTGACAATTTTGTATATTATCTTACTTATTCCTTTTAATGACCCTGTAAGGTATTTGTGAATGGGACTGTTACATCTTCCTTCCAGCAGAGCAGGAAGTGTGCATGTCTAATTTCTAAGAAACTAGGTGGAAACATGTGACTGAGTTTTGGCCAATGGAAAGTAGTGCAGGCATGATATGTGCCACTTGACTTGGCCATAAAACGTTCTTTGCAGTCTTATATGCTGTCTTTCCTTCACCCATGGAAGCCAAAAGCAAAGCGCTCTAAACAGCTTAGTGCGAAGAAGGAAGGATGAAGAATCCCTGAATGCATCACTTAGAGGAGAGCCACCCAAGTGTGCCATCCAATTGAAGGATAGTTGAATCCAATTTTAGGTGAAATGAAATAAACATAGAAAAAATTGAGTTCAAGGTTAATTTCTGCAACTTGGGTTGGTGCACATAGACACAAATGGTAACCTCGAATAAGTACACTCTCAGTTTGACTTGAAAGCTTGTGTCTGTTCCATTATAAAAATCAGTATTATAATTTTAGTTACAAAAATGTATATATATTATATAAATGTATTATTATATATAATTATATAAATGTATATATAATTATATAAATTATATAAATGTATATGTAATTTATATATAATATATAAATATAATTAATATATAATATATAAAAATTACATATTCTATACATTATATAAATGTCATTTATAATAATAAAATGGTAATTAAAAGCTTAGTTAATAATAGAATATGGAATATATTTTGTTGTAGTTAAAATATGACATTGTGAGAAACCATGAAAATCAGTTTTTAAAGAAAACTTTATAAAAATAAAAATGTTCATAGGGAAAATGGAAAACAATCTTTTATATTAATATTTTTTCATATGGAAATTATATATATAACATATATATTTATAATATATGTTCTGGGCCTAATTTTGAATATGTTTGACATAGAAAATATCCTGAAAACAAATCTACCAAAGCGTTTATAGGAGTTTACTCTGAAAGTGGTAGCATTTTTAATTTTTGTCTGCTATTTATTATATAGTTTTAATTTTCTTAAGTATGTATTATTTTTAATCCAAAAATATATATTATATGGATAATATAGACAATTTATATCCCTTTTTACCTCAAAGCAACATCTAAATCAAAGGCTCATTCGCTCTCCTGTATGGTTCAGAAACACCTAAGTGTGTGAAGAGCAGGCTCTTTTGTCTTCAACAGCAGCCATATTTGCAGCTGGTGATGTTTTTGTATGAAGAATTCATAACTTTTCTTCTGTACTGAGACACATTTCTAAATGGTTCATGATGTGCATCATGAATATCTTTTATTGCTGTACTTTCATTGAACCAAAATGGATTGCTATTAGTTTAATGTATTCAGTATGTACAATTTTTTGCCAAATGGTTGTGACTCTATCAGCATATACATTATTTAGATTTTTTAACTTTCAATACTGTCTGGAATGTTATATAAGCCTTCTGCAAACTCCTGAAATGATTTAATTTCTGTATAAAACACTGTCGGCAACTTTACTGCTGACAAACTATCCCAGGCAAAAAAGCTCAACAGCAAATCAGTCAAAACTAATCCAAGGTTCATTAATCACTTAATATGCAGAACAAGCATTCTTCTTCCTGCTTTCTCCAGAAGATGGTTAAAATGACATTTCTGCTGTTCTCATTGCCTGATTCTCGAGACTAAGGAAGTATTTCTTTAGTTTGCAGGCAAAAGACAAAAACAACCAAAATGTTATTTCAGAAGGATTTTTCTGTTTTCTGGTATCTATGTTAATAGTCTGATCATCTAAGTTGATTTCTTCTTAATAATATGAAGCTCATCATTGTTTTTATTTTACTATCTTTAGGAATATTTGCTTTTAATAGCAGTAAATACCAAAGATGAAATTTCTTCTCAAATTTCTCTCTGGAGGAATGGGGGTTTTATGAATTATATTCAACAAAGAGTAATTTTAGGATTTTTGAAAGCTCATTCTTCAGTTTTTTTAGTGAAACGCTGAAGAGGTTAGCTGAAAATTTAGAGGCCTAAGTTAAAACTCCAAGGCTGGTATTCTTCATTCTATTTTTATTAGCATTCTATACCTATTAATTCATTAATTTATTATAATGTTTTATAATTGCATATATATATATATATATATGACATTTTCTTTATCCAATCTGTTTCGCAATTGGAACTTTAAGCAGAAGTTACTTGTTTAAGTGATATATTTATAGTCAGCTTACTACCTTCATTTTTTAAGGTTACTAGGCAAACTTGTTATGCTTATCTCAATGAGATTTTGGGGAAATATCAAGTTTTAACTTTACTGATTGAAAAAGCAATAGGTAGTGACTCAATTGCTTTGATTGATTCCTTCTTATTGTCTTTTTCCACCCTCTTACACCCACCCTCATCTCCTTTCAAGGTTTGTCTATATTCCTAAGCATATGTAATCTCAGTAAATTTCTCAGTCAATTGCTTTTCTTTCTTTTCTTTGCTTTTTTTTTTTTTTTTTTTTTTTTTGAGACAGAGTCTCGCTCTATCCCCCAGGCTGGAGTGCAGTGGTGTGATCTCCTCTCACTGCAACCTCCACCTCCTGGGTTACGGAGATTCTCATGCCTCAGCTTTCCAAGTAGCTGGGATTACAGGTGCATGCCACAATGCCAGCCTAATTTTTTGTGTGTATTTTTAGTAGACACTGGGTTTCACCATGTTGGCCAGGCTGGTCTCAAACTCCTGACCTCATGTGATCCGCCCACCTTGGCCTCCCAAAGTGCTGGGATTACAGGCATGAGCCACTGCACCCAGCCCTTATTTGAATTTTTTGTACAATCATTACCTTCTTTGAAATTAATCTATTTAAAATAAATTAATGGTTAATAATCTGTACCATTCATAACAGAACTCATAAGTAACTTCTTGTGGAGCTATCAAGAGTGTGCATAGTAAATTTGGTGACATGATAATTAATAGAGATTGAGTTGGTAAATATCAAGTTGACTGGATTTTGCTGCACCAATAATCCTACTAAATTCCATTCTTAAGACCGAAATACAGCTCAGAATATTTTGTTTCAGTCAAAGCACGAGGAGGATTAAATTCAATTAAAAACTTTGGCACATGACATCTTAAGTGAATCAAACAGCCACCCTGTCTTCCCTATGTATTAATTAATCTCTTCTAGGTTTCAAGAAAGGGGCATACAAAGGTTCCCTTGCATTAGCAATGAACAAAGTATGTTCCAGTGAATGCTAGTTGTGCAGAAATAGGTATTTCATCAAGTACTTATTAAATATAAGTGTGAGAACTGCTTGTTTCAAAAAATTAAACAGAGTTTGCTTTGTTTTGGCTCTAAGGCTATTCAACATCTTTAGTTTATAAATAGAATTGTAAAAAAAGTATGAGCTTATTATTTACATTTTGCAAATTTTCACTTTATATATCCCATAATAGTGTCTGCATGAAACACTTTAGAATATGTGGGTACATTGAATCATTGAAAATGTGTATCAAAGTCTATATGACCTATACTGTTTTCAGTGCTGTGATTTCATTGATGAGCAAGAAAGAAAAGCTAACTGCTCATAGAAAATTTACAAGCCAGTGGGGATGAAAAACAATTAACATGTAACAGTTGAACAAAATCATTCTGAAGAATGCTGAATACTAGGAAATACATGCAATAGTAAAATTAGATCTAGAGTGACTGGACATGAAGGAAGCCAGGGCGACTTGCGCAGGTTGACTAGAGACGGGTATATTATTTTGGGCTGATCAGAAGTGGGGGAAAGGAGTGTATTACTTTATGATCCAGTTAAAGCGTATTCCAGACAGAAAAAAATATGGCAAATTCAAAGGTCTTTGTTTTACAGAAGTTTATTATAAGGATACACGAGATAGCTACCAAACATCAGGATCTCTTGCTAGCAAGATAGCCACTCTGAGACCACAGTACAAATATTTAGTCCCTGAAACTGTTTTCTAACTATAACCCCTCATTAAATTACGCACATTGAAAGCATTTTAATATCCCGTGATTACAGTTGACTATATGTGTAATAAACACCTGGACAAGATGAACCAACATAAAGCATGGGATTTGCATTTTATTTGAACTAGAAGACCAAGAAACCCTAGGCAGATGTTAGTAGACCCCTGAACTGAAAGGCTAAGTATATACAACACATAAAACACCATTTGCATTCCAGATTAAAATGAGCTGTTCTTTCTGTTCTTTATTTGGCTTACTACTTAAGGCCTGAAGTAGTGACAATATAATTTAAGGACTTTTTAAAAATTGACACATTAAAAAGTTGATCTTGTGGAGATAGTGAGTAAAATGATAATTTCTAGAGGCTGGGAAGAGTGTGGGGGCAAGTGGAGAATGAAGAGAGGTTGGTTGATGGTTACAAACATAAAGTTCGATAGAAGAAATATGATCTACTAACTAGGATTTTTAAAATTACAATTATAATAGACAATTAAAACTAAATTTAAATTAAGAGATCTGAAGAAAACATTACATAATAGGCATTGGCAAAGACATCCAAAACTAGATGTTGAACTACAACCGTCCTGAGAAACAGAAAATCAGCAATAAAGATTTCTTAATCTTTACACAATGACATAGGATTTTTTCAGCAAATCTGACATCCTGCAGGAGACGCTTTAGGTTCTTGAGGTCTCGATCAAATTTTCCAACCCTTAGAATTAGATCTATTTCTCCCAGTAAATCTTTGCCATATTCTCCTTATGCACATTAATTTTGTATTCTAATACTGATGATTGCTATCAGGTGTTACTTTAAGAAAATTCCAGGGAGATGGCCCTCCTTAGGAGCATGATGTCCTCATCTGCCTTTTGGTACATGACTCATCTCTACTTCAAAAGGTTTTATTGGTCTATCCAGGTCCCATGGAAGAAAGAAAAGGAATCTTAGGAAAAGGCCTTAGGATTCCTTTCCAGAAAGGAATGTGAGCCTGAAAGGCCCTTTATATTACATGGATACAACACTATTATATACCTTCATGCTTTCATTAGAGAATACACTCGATATTCAGACAAAAAAAAGCCAAAACCAATTTTCATTAATCATACAACTTAGACTGAATAATGCTTTTCTAATTTGTGGTATCTTATAAACTAACTTAATTCTTCACTTTGCATCATATGTATAAGACTTTATTCAATTCCTAAGAATTTGATTTATTTTTCTCTCTCAGAATATCTTGAAGAAAAATTAGATGACAGGATATAAAATATATTTTTACTTTTTATTTGTATAAGTTTTTACATATTCAAACATAGAAATGTATTTCATTTTGCTGAACAGATATGTTTCTAAACAGTTGCCTGTAAATCAAATTCCTACATATTGAAATTGATTTTGTTATTGGCTTTCATTATAAACTGAGACATGCCTGGAGATGTGTTCCTCTAGGGAATTTAAAATAAACTGGACTTAAAATGCAATACAATCACAATCACAACTGATGCAAAAATGTTGAGACTAAGATGTTTTTAAAACAATATCACTTTTTAAATTTTAGTATTATCTAAAATATACACTTAAACATTTTACTTAGAGTGTGGTTTCTGGCATTCCACATCTTAAAAGTTGGGGAGTAAAAAATTATGCAAGCCACCTTGCAAAAATATAAAATCAAAAGTTTTTCAATCTGAAACCTTTCTCTTCTTTGTTCTATTATCAGAAAAATAAATACGAATATATTTGGTACAAAAGTCTCTATACACACTAGTAAAGTATGATAAACTGGAATAAATGGAGACTCTGAAAGAGTGCAGTCATAATACACCAGGAAGTCCACACAGAAGCACATTGGAGATGACGTATACTTACTTTCAAGTGGCATATCACAACTTGTGTCTTGGCAAGAGTGATGGGCCCATCATGCAAGTGTCAACCATTTGCAGCTATTTGCCAATTCTGCATAAACCGAAGACCTCACTGAGTCTTAGTTATCTTGTTATTGAAGACAGAATATTTGGATAACAAAGAAAAAAAGGTAAAGGGGGAAAAAGAAGTAATATTTATTGAATATGTATAATAGCAGGGCTAGATACGTTACGTATGTTACTTCATTTACCTCTCACCACAGCCCTGTCTGGGAGATTTCATTTTCCCCATTTATTGTTGAGAAAAGTAAAGCCACCAGGACGAGACAAAATAGCTAGTATATAAGTCCTGTACTATTCAACTGCATATTCTATATACTTTCTGTAATGGAGACTTTGATTTAATACTTCCTAAGTGCAAGGTGTCATGCTGGATGTTAAGCGGGCGTTAGTTCCATGTCATTGCATTGTGAGAAAACTGAGACTAGGCAGGGTAACTAAACACATCCATGGCAGTAAAACTAGAGAGTTAAAAAAAAGTCTCCCTGCTGTACAAGCCTATTTTATGTATGACTTTCCTTCAACAGCCACTTTACCTTCCAAAACTTGTTGATTCTGTGATTCAAATTAAGTATGGGAATAACATTTAATAAAATTTATAGAAAAAAATGTTTGCAAAATAAAATATTAGAAACTTCATAATGAATTTGTATTAAGATATACTGTGAATATAAGTTTCTGGGCATTGAGATATATACAATCAGACATATGTACTACGATTATTAATTAGGTTCACAAGAAACGGTAACTGCTTGGTTTTATGCCCTCCATAATTTGTGGCTTTCTTGGTTGTAAATCACTCTTTAGAAAAGTAGTGCACATTTTTTCAAGACTCCTTTTACAGTTTTATTTTCATTATTCAAAAATAACGAGTAAAATGTATTTTAAATGTTTTTCTTTTTTTTTTCTTTCTTTTATTATACCTTAAGTTCTAGAATACATGTGCACAACGTGCAGGTTTGTTACATTAAACGTTTTTCTACTAAAAATAGTAGTTCGGCCATATACTAGAGTCAGCTTTAAGGCAAAAGTTTTAAGCACCCAAATTTAGCAGGCAAAAATTACCCACCTATTCTACCAGAGGAGAACAGAAAAGTGTTACAAATACTCTTCTCTATTGGAGAAGAGGAGTTAGACACAGTATCTTAGTAGAGTGCATGTTTTGTCTTTCCATCAGGTGAAAAACTGGAATCATTGAGGAATTAAAGTTTCTTCTCCAGGTCCATGGAAACTCCCGAACAACCAAAAACTACAAAGATTTTTTAAAATCTCAAATTTCTTGCTAAGTAATCTGGTCCCTTCTCTAGATTATGAAACCTCAGAGATTATTTCCCAATGCACCTTGTATTTCTGTCTTCCTTTTGTGGGAGAAACTTACACTATAGCTATTGCACATTATAGGAGTCTTGAGAAATAGGTTATCTGACATCATTTTAAAGTTACTCTCCTTAATGACACAATATGCTTAATATAAAATGAGACATGTATGACTTAAATTTTATATTCTTTCCAAAATCAGTATATTTTTCTTTTAATAGTAATAATGTAGAATCATGAAATGAAAGAATTTCACAATTAATTTGTGCACCTTAATGTAACCAAAAACATTTTCATTTTCACCAAGAATAAACAGTTGTTACACTGGCTAAAATGTCAGAGAACATATTGCCCTATATTTTTTGACAGCATGGTGTTGTAGGGAAACTGAAAATCCCTTCAGGCCAAAACAACTACTATTCCGTGTAATTAAGAAAGTAATAAAAATGCATCCTTGAAATAGCATGAAATTCAGAATCAAAGAAAAGGCAAAAACAGACATTTTGTGAGACACCTACTGCCAAAGATGACTTTGCTACTGAAAATTTCTGCCAAATCTTGGGTCAAAGAATGTAAGCCCCAAATTTAGCGTTTGTGGATAAGAAACAAAACCTTAGATATAATCAATGTGGAGAATTTTATAGAAAATTCAAAGGATACAGCTGCACTATAAGAGATGATACAGAAAGGAATCCTGCTGCGAAGAGTGCAATGCCAAGAGATTTTCCTATCTCAGATTGGCATTGGAGAGGAGGAAAAGTTACGTATTCTCACTGAGAATTCATAACCACAGTCATCTCATGTCTTTGCAATGAAAATTCAAACTTCTATTGACATAGAAACCTCAAAAGGATAGTTTAATTTAAACATGCTGAGGTGGTGGAGCCTGCAGGTAACTGGCAGAAACACAATTTTCCTAGAAAAGAAAATTCATTTTCAATAAAGTTTCCAAGTTAATGATCAACTTTCAGAAATCAAAAGCGTACACTGGCATAGAAGAGAACAAGAGTGAACAAAAATAAACTCACATATAAATCAGTTGTTGAAGTGATTGGATTCAGAGTTTAAGATTACTATATTTCTATTTAATAGTCTTTAAAAATGAAAAAGAAGCTTGTGGCCGGGTGTGGTAGTTCACGCGTGTAATTCCAGCACTTTGGGAGGCCAAGGTGGGTGGATCACCTGAGGTCAGGAGTTCGAGACCAGGCTGGCCAACATGGTGAAACCCCATCTCTACTAAAAATACAAAAATTAGATGGGTGTGGGGGCGCATGCCTCTAATCCCAGCTACTTGGGAGGCTGAGACAGGAGAATCACTTGAACCTGGGAGGTAGAGATTGCAGTGAGCCGAGATCCTGCCATTGCACTCCAGCCTGGACAACAAGAGTGAAACTCCATCTCAAAATTAAAATATATACATGTATATATATATATATATATATATATATATATATATATATATATACACATACATATATATACATACACACATATATACGTGTGTGTGTGTGTGTATATATATATATATATATACCTTGTAAATATAAGAACAGAAAAATTTAAGGCACTTTCAGCATGCAGATAATGGTTTCTAATGGCATCCTCCAGTAAAAGGACTCAAGGCTCCTTGGAAAAATGGCTGATTCCGGGCTGAGGCTTAAAATATACATAATGAACCTGGAATGTCTTATAGTGCTTGACAATAAGAAAATGCTAAAAAGAAAAACAAATTATATGAAACCTGAAATGATGGGAGTACTACATGGACAGTGAAAAAAAGTAAATTTAATGTGAGGAGAACTTACAAACACTACCTCAGTCAGGTGATAAGGCAGACGATCATCAAGAAATAGGATGTTAAGGCTGGGCACGGTGGCTCACGCCTGCAATCCTAGCACTTTGGGAGGCCGAGGCGGGCGGATCACTAGGTCAGGAGATTGAGACCGTCCTGGCTAACACGGTGAAACCCCGTCTCTACTAAAAATACAAAAAATTAGCCGGGCGTGGTGGCGGGCGACTGTAGTCCCAGCTACTGGGCAGGCTGAGGCAGGAGAGAATGGCGTGAACCTGGGAGGCGGAGCTTGCAGTGAGCCCAGATTGCACCACTGCACTCCAGCCTGGGCGACAGGGGAGACTCTGTCTCAAAAAAAAGAAAAGAAAAGAAAAAGAAATAGGACGTTAAATTATCTGTGATTGTGGATTTGTCTATTGTTTTTGGTTTTTAATACATATATATGCATATATAGAGAGAGATAGATTTGCTTTGTATGTGTGTAAACTATGTCATTGATTATACAAAGTAAAGCAATCCCATATGTTCCTGAAATTCTCCTAGGTTCCATTTCAACTCTAGAAATATGTCTTGCTTTAATTTTTTTGTTTGCTTGTTTGATATTGGGCTAGATAAATCAACTTAATTTTGAGTAGTACTTTCACTGCATATTTTTTCATTATTTTTCTGTTTGTTGTCTATCTATCATCTATCTATCTATCTATCTATCTATCTATCTATCTATCTATCTATCATTTATCTACCTACCTACCTAACTTCCTAGCATCTGTTTATAACCAAAACACAGTTATATATTTGGGTCTTATTTTCTCACACATGTTGAGAATTATAATTTTTAATCTGCAGTATTATTTCATTTATCTTAGAAGTAATTACTGATCTATTTGTGTTTGTTTGTGTTATTCATTTTCAATTTGACTTTTTACTTTATATTCTCTTCCCTACTTTCTTATGTTTCTAAGTTAAAGAAATATTTGTGTTAGACCATATTTTTCTCTATTAACCAGTTATTTATTTAACTTTTTCTGTTTCAGCTGGGCACAGTGGTTCACGTCTGTAATCCCAGGGCTTTTGGAGATCGAGGCAGGTGGATCCCCTGAGGTCAGGTGTTTGAGACCAGCCTGACCAATATGGTGAAACCCCGTCTCTACTAAAAATACAAAAATTAGCCGGGCATGGTGGTAGGCACCTGTAGTCCTAGCTACATGGGAGGCTAAGCCAGAATTGCTTGAACCCAGGAGGCAGAGGTAGCAATGAGCCAAGATCATGCCACTGCACTCCGGCCTGGGCGAAAGAGCAAGACTCCATCTCAAAATAAATAAATAAATAAAATCAAAGAAGATAACTTTCTCTGTTTAAACTATTACCCTAGAGTTTTGCTGTCCTATATTGTAGCTGGTACCTACACATATCTGATTACATTTAAATGTGATAAGATTTAATGATATTAAAATTTCAAAAGTGACATTTCAAGTGCTCATTGTGGTGAGGCTACTGTACAGAACAGTGCAAATATAGAAAATCTATATGATCACAGGCTATTATTGTCTTTGTTCATTTTCTGCTGCTATCACAGGATATCACAGATTGGGTAATTTATGAAGAAAGTGAGTTAATTTTGCTCATGGTTCTGGATGCTGGGAAGTCCAAATGCATGGTGCTGACATACAGGGAGGGTCATCGCATGACAGAAAGGCAGAAGAGGGAAAGGCAAGAGAGTGCATGTGAGAGACAGTTCACTTCAATGACAAAGCCAGTCCCTCAATAACTAACCCACTCTTACAATAACAGCATTAACTCATTCATAAGGGCAGAGTCCTCATGACCCAATTACCTCTCAAAAGCTCCACCTCTTAATATCATCACAATGGCAACAAGTTCCCAACACAGGACATTTTGAGGGACACGATCAAACCATAGCCATTATACACAGAGTGAGTAAATTGTATCGAAAATGCTTGGGATCAGAAGTGTTTTGAATTTTGAATTATTTTGCATTTTGGAATATTTGCATATATGTAATAAGCTATCTTGGGGATGGTACTTAAATCTACATACAGAATTTATTTATGCTTCATATAAACCTTATACACACAAACTTGAAGGTAATTTTATATGATGTTTTTATAATATCATATGATAATGATAAAAATTGATGGGAAAATACGATGTTAATATAATATATTTAATAATATCATACAAAATTATAACGTTTTTGTACATTGAACCCTCAGAAAACAAAGGCGCCACTATTTTAGCCACCTATGTGTACAGTCTGTGATTTTTTGGCATCACCATCATTCCTGACTTTGAGTTTATATGCTACCAATTGTTTCCTGACACTTATTTCCACATGAGTACTAAACAGTAAAAAAAAAAAAAAAGTGGCATACCATTAAAACAATGAAATATAGTGTGTTCAGGGTAACTAAACAACACATGGCATCACCAGAATACTTGCATCAGCTATTAAATGACAGCAACAACAAACAACAACAGCAGGATTTGTCTCTATCTATGATGTTTTCTTCCGATTAAAAGGTTACTATACACTAGGTTAGAAGAGACATCAGAAGTAGTTGAAGGACCAAGAAGTGAGTCCTTTAGGAATAAAGAAGCAATCTGCTGAATGGCATTTTAAAATGTTTCATCTACAGTCATTTCTTTCATTGACAATGCTTTTTGTCTTAAAAGTCTCTCTTTGATCTTATACATTGACAAGATGTCTTGTTCTGTTAGGAATACATGCTGCTCTAGTTCTTCAATAAGTCCATCACACATTTTCACCATGTTTCTATAGATGCTTTTTCTGCAGTGTTAACCACATCATCTGCATCATCACTATTATCACAGTCATCTGGTTTGAGAACCATTTCAGTTATTTCACCATCGGTCACTGAATGAACAACTTGGAACCTCATTATTCATGTTAACAACTTCTTGGATATCCACTTCTTTCAGCCTACTGAAAGACTCTGAAGGTATATTTTTGCATATGTAAGAAGGTCAGACATCATCTTTTCTCACTTGGCATACAGAAACCTTCAAAGTCACCACCTTTCCATTATCATCACTGAACATAGTCACAGGCCAGAGGTTGTGTGTGTGTTTCAAATATTGGCAAGAGCATATCCGACATTCTTCATGCTAAACTTTTTTTGAAAACCTAACACATCTTCACTTCTCTTCACTTCTGTTCAATGCTCCTCAAGAAGGTGATTTTATATTTACTCTACATTTATCTAAAAATACCCTGATTATATGGTTGAATTAATGAAGTCACATTTGGGGGAAAGAACGTGGCATAAACGTTCTTTTTTGTGAGAATTTAAGCTGGAAGATTAGCAGAACAACTATCAAGGAATGATAAAATCTTGCAGTTATTATTCATTCCAGTTTCCCTGTAGTGAGCATGAGCCACTGGCACAAAATGTTTGTGAAACCAATTAGAAAACATGATCCTGGTGATTCATGCTTTTTTGTTAGCATAGCAATGGATTGGTAAGAAATTCACTCCTTGAAAACAGCAACGACGCGAGCTTATGCCTATCGCAGCAAGTTTATATTTATGCATGCCTGCTGCATTAGCACATCCCAACACAGTTATTCTGTCCTTGGCATTCTTAATTCCTCCAGGGTCTGTCTCATCAGCTGTAGTCAGTGTCTTCCTGTCTCAATAATGCAAAAAGAGTGATATTGCATCAGCATTATAGATTTGTTCTGGCCTCAAATTTTCATCAGCAATAATCTTGACAAAATAGTCAATGAATTTCTTCACTGCTTCATGATGAACAGATGCTTTATCACCACAAATCTTTAAAAATTTAAAGCATCATCTTTTGTTACATTTCTGCAACTAGCTTGTTGACCACTCACAGTTCTCAATTTTCAGTTCACTTCAATAGACCTTTCATGATTAGAATACCACCAATGGCATGTGTGCACAGCAGCACTGGCAGATCCACTCTTTCAATGCACAACTGAGATCCTAATTTTTAGCATTATGCAGTGTTTTTCTATTTTTCAACTTATGTTCATATTTTTCAGCATTGAACTTCAACATTTATCCTTCTGTTTCTTCAGGTTATACATGGTGGTGATTCCTATACCACTGTCTTCTGTTAGATGTTTCACACTTACACCACTGTCCAGTTCCTTCAACAGGTTGACATTTTGTGCTATAGATAAACATAAATGCCTTTTTTCTTATCGTTGTTACCCATAGCGGTATCCATAGGCCTTTATGATATATTCAACAATATTCTTACACCACAGAGTAGAGAGTAAGCAAAAAAACCACAGCGAGTAATGTATGTAGATATGGGCTCCACGTGCGGTGTCGTGGGGAACCTACTGTTGGCGCATCTGGCCTGCATGTATGTCACTTTATCACCCTTTTCTGGGTGTGATTATGTGGAGTAATCTGTGTATGTGCAAAAAAGACTGATTGCAGCTGAATGGGCAGGGATGATTGGTTGGTTGTTTTTTAGCTCTTTCGGGATGCTGAATAAACTGTGTGTTGTGCACCTGCATTTTAATTGCAACCCATCACATGGAACAGTGTTCAGGCTGGGTCTGGAATTTTCCCCTTGCAGTATCATGTCAGCTCTCAAAAAGTTTTTTATTTTGGTACATTTTGGATTTTTGATTTTTTGATTAGAAATGCTCAACCTGTAATGTGAAGTGCCACCCTAGAGGTTTGGATATGTATCATTGTCATATTAAGGTCAGATACAAATTATTTATCTTTACACTCCTCTGATAACAAAAGGGGCTTGGAAAATGTTAACTCCATCTACATTTTCTGTTTTTTGTATTCTTGTTTTCAGATTTTTAAGTTCTACCTATATTTTAACCTCATAAGTCAATATGGTACTCTTTTTATAGTAAACATTCATTTCTATTTGTTCTTTTTCAAGCTCTTCTTTCCTTCCTCTATTTATTTCGTTAGATCTAGAATTATTTTTCTTCTACCTTTGGTTTTATTTTAGGGTATGGCTACTGGCAATGTATAATCTGAGTTTCTGGTTGCCATTATAATTGAGTGATCTATTTACTGCCTATAAAATAAACTTTATAAGGTAAAAACTGAACAAAGAAGGCTGGAGGAGCTGAATTAATATAAGGAACAATAGACATTAAAATAATTACTAGTGAAGATAAAACATAACCTACCATTCCATTCCTAAGTATATATAACATTTCCTGTATTATTCATAACAGCACAAATATGGAAAAATATACATGTTTATCTATTATAATAGAGTAAAAAAGCTGAGGGTTGTTGATGTAATGGAACACTATTCAGTATTAAAATTCAATCAAATATAGCTAACATATCAAGTTGTAGGAATTAAAGCATATGAAAATATAATAATGAGAAAAAATACAGAAGAAAACACACAGAGACATTCAATGTATATAATGCTTACACATGCAAAAATAATAATATATATTTTAGGGAGATGATGTAATCAGGACTGAGGTATTCCACAGGTAACATCCAAAGTACTGAGAACGTTCCACTTCTTATTTGTGTGGCTTCCTATTCAGTTGTTCATTTTATTACAGATCTACTCTTTGGTATTCATGATCTTTTTCTGTATTTATTTTAATATATATTTTCTAGTTAAACTATAAATATATATCAATTCATACACATGGTTTTTTTTTCTTAACAGGCAGTTAAGAAAGTTATCTTTACATTTAATCAAAAAATCTGAAAATTTCTCCAAAGAAGGAACCAGTTTAAAGTTTTCTAGTATGGATCACTCTACCATATAGCGTATGCTACTCAACAGGAACTGAAATTGGAGTCCTGTACAATAATTGTGTCCCATAACTGCTGCTTTAGAAATTACCTCAATAGTTCTGCCTTGAAGTCAAACCTGAAGATAAAATTTTCTCAAGGATTTGAGGCTTCAACAGCTGCTTAACTGTGTTTCTCTTATTAGGTGGGTATATAAATGTATATATGTATAAAATATATTTTTATAACTTTTAATGGAAAACTAGCAATTATCTCCTTTGCAAATTTTCTACAGAATTCTATTTAACCTTATAATAGCATACACTGGAAACTTTCCTTAAAAAAAAAAAACAAATTTCTCAAGATATTGGATATTGCTTTAAAGTCTATTCTCTGAATGTCATTGTCTTATATTCTTTACAATTATTTATGATTTTGTTAAAAATAACAGCCCAACAAAAAACTCTGGGACATACTTGGACACACCTTTTTTATCCATCTCACTAGTTCTTTTTCTTTTCTTCTTTTTTTTAAATTGACAATATTTCCTGGATATATTTTTATATATGTAGAAGAGAGCTTCCCTGTTCTGTTTTTCATCTGCATGTATGCCACTTATTTAACTAGTCTCTTTTACATGTGTAAAAATATAGTCTTTTTTACAGTTTAGAAAAAAACTAAAAGAATAGTTTTTTTCCTTGTCTTCTATTATGATAACTATGGCAATCCATACCACTGTGCACACAACATTTTGTAGATGAAAGTAGACCCTTAGGACAGAGTCATAGAAATTGAATCAATGGATCAAAAGTAAGTTTATTTGAAATCCTAAATATTAAATAATAGATTATCCTTCCTGGAAGCAAGTCATGGCATTGTTGCACTCCCAGAAACAATGCAGAAGAGGGCCTATTTTCCAGTCTCCTCTATAATGGAGCATGCAGTGAATTTTAAGTTTTGGCTTATCTGACAGTCCAAAAAAAAGTATCTAAAACCAGTTTAAATTTGTGTGTCTGTTATTATAAATGATACTAAATATTTTTATATGTTTAACAAGTATAGTTTTATATGTAGAATTGTTTGTGGTTTTATTGTAGTGATTACCTTTCATTTATATGCTTTTACATACTACATTCAATTTTTGTTTTTTTTTAAAAATTATAATATCTCTCTTATATGGGTAAGAGAGAAAACAACCAATTATTTTGTGTCTTGTTCTCCTAAATTTAGTAATTAGGGTTAACTTTATCAATATTTACCATTTTACTTTTAAATACGCTTAAACATTTTCTCTTTTTGTAAAAACAATTTTATCTAATTTCTCATGTTTCTTTGTGTCAGGCCTGGGAATATTGCTGATCACTTACACTCAAATCCTCTGGCCAAAAATAAGTTACTTGAGTTCATGTAAATGAAAATGAACATAGAGAATTCAGGAAAAAAAATGTGGGTTTTGATGATTGCTGAGAAATTTCTGTTTCTCCGAAATGTTAGAAATAATCTTATCTAATTTCTAATAAAATTTTTGTTTTTGGTTTTGTTGAAAAAAGAAAACCTTTCAAAAATTTGAAAAACGAAAACAAATTTTGTTTACATTTTTCTTTCTTTTTTGTTAAGTTTTACAGTTAATTATACACAGGATCTTTTTATGGATGTCATGTTTATTCTTTTTCAAAAAACATATTACATTTTGTTGAATTTTCTTGGACTGGCTATTAGCAAGACGAATCCTTGGAAAAGTGAGAGAGGCCCGATGGCTCCTTATGTTTCTTTCTTTCTTTTTTTTTTTTTTTACTTTTATAGGTTTGGGGTACATATGAAGGTTTGCTACATAGGTAAACACGTGTCAGAGGGGCTTGTTGTACAGATTATTTCATCATGCAGGTATTAAGCCTAGTACTCAATTGTTATTTTTTCTGCTCCTCTCCCTCCACCCGCCCTCTCCCCTCAAGTAGACCCCAGTGTTTGTTGATTCCTTCTTTCTGTTCAGAAGTTCTCATCATTTGCCTCCTACTTATGAGTAAGAACATACAGTATTTGGTTTTCTCTTCCTGGATTAGTTTGCTAAAGATAATAGTCTCCAGCTCCATCCATGTTTCTGCAAAAGACATGATCTCATTCTATTTGTGGCTGCATAGTATTCCATGGTGTGTGTGCACAACGTTTTCTTTATCCAGTCTGTCACTGATGGACATTTAAGTGGATTCCATGTCTTTGCAATTGTGAATAGTGCCGTAATGAACATTCACGTGCATGTGTCTTTATGGTAGAATGGTTTATATTCCTCTGGGTATATACTCAGTAATGGGATTGTCAGGTCAAATGGTAGTTCTGCCTTTAGCTCTTAGAGGAATCACCGTACTGCTTTCCACAATGGTTGAATTAATTGACACTCCCACCAACAGTGTATAAGTGTTCGCTTTTCTCCACAACTTCACCAACATGTGTTATTTTTTGACTTTTTATTCATAGCCATTCTGACGGGTGTGAGGTGGTATCTCATTGTGGTTTTGATTTGCCTTTCTCTAATGATCTTTTCTTCGTATGCTTTTTGGCTGCGTGTATGTCTTTTGTGAAATGTCTGTTCATGTCCTTTGCCCACTTTTAAATGAGATTATTTGTTTTCCTCTTTTAATGTTTTTTAAGTTCCTTGTAGATGTGGGATATCAGAACTTTGTAAGGTGTTTCTTTACAATTCTCATACAATTTCTATTGATATAGTGAAGGACTGTATCTTAAAATAATACCTCTTAGTAGCTATACTCCCTTTGCCTCTCAGAATCTGGTGTAAGAGTGCTTCTCCCACCAGCACAGATATTGATTGACATATTAGTCAATATGAACTATTAGCACAGCCTCTACCATCAAGGCTACCACTTTTAGAAAAACCAGTTTTTTTAAAGTGACCTCCCACTTCTGCCTTCTTTATTCACCTCTCTCACTGTGCACATCTATTTGATCTCAGTACAATTTATAACAGTTTCGACATAGGGAAATAATATTTGGAAAGTGACAGAAATTTCTCAGCAATCATCAAAACCCACATTTTTGTTTTTCTTGAATTCTCTATGTTCATTTTCATTTACATGAACTCAGGTGACTTATTTTTGGCCAGAGGAATGTGAGTGTAAGTGATCAGCAACACTCCTTGGCCTGATACAAAGACATTCAACGCCATACTCCCTATGCCCTTTCCCCTAACAGCCGGATCAAATGGTGATATGAGATTACCATTGTGGCCACTTACACAAGATGGAGAAGACTCTAAGAGCTGGATCGTGAATGACAACATGAAGTAGGGATGCCATGCTAACTCATGCCCTTGCTCATGGCCATTGTGAGCAAGAAATAAACTTCTGTTATGATTGTGCTATGGAGAGCTAGAAAAGGGTTACATTAGTTATATAGCAAGTCTACCTTAACTAATAGAATGATTATTTCATTTTAGTAACTTTATCCTAACTTATTGAGAACAAATCAGAACAAGACAAAACCTAGAGGATATTGCTTGAGTTTAAGAGAGATGATAATCAATGTATTAAGTAAGTATCAATAAGGATAAAAAGAAGTTGAATTCAATGAGGAAGCCATAGGGCTCTGATTGACAGGATGGTAAGGAAGAAGAGTGTGAGGAGTCTAATAGCATATCCAAAGGAAGGCAACATCAAGACCTGTACTCCATGTGCTGCATATGGTATTGATATTTTGTCAGAACTGTACACGAAACAGAAGAATCTCCTTAACATAGTTTCATATCTATATTCAATAATAGTCAAAGTAGATATGGCTAAGTAAAATATTTCTTTTATTTCTTTTTCTGAAATACTGATTTCATTTTCACATATTGGGTAATTTTGTTCATACCACACCCCTCCCTATATGAAGATCATTTCGCAAATGGAGAAACATAATGTGGAGGGATAAAATCATTTGATTTCGGAATTTAAGTCACAAAGGAAATTCAGGTGCTGTTTTGGGATTTTTAGTCAAATCAGAGTCTACTGTTCTGGCTCTTATAAATGTGTATATAAGTGCAAAATATTTTAGAACTATCTCTATTTTCTTTAAGATAAAACATTTTCCTAAAACAAAAAACAAAACAAATAACCCATTCACCTCTGTGGGTATGAGAAATCGTATTAGAGTAGAATTCAAAGGAAAATAGAAGCAGTTCTCTTCCAGTATATTTATTCTGAGAGAAGAAATTGTATTTTATACATAAGGCCAGATATTAGACACATACTCATAATTTTTTTCCACTAAAATGGCATAATTTGTCTTTTTTATTATTATCATACTTTAAGTTCTGGGGTACATGAGCAGAACGTACAGTTTTGTTACACAGACATACATGTGCCATGGAGGTTTGCTGCACCCATCAACTGGTCACCTACATTAGGTGTTTCTCCTATTGCTATCCCTCCTGTAGTCCCCCCACCCCCGGACAGGCCATGGTATGTGATGTTCCCCTCCCTGTGTCCACGTGTTCTCATTGTTTAACTCCTACTTATGACTGAGAACATGTGGTGTTTGGTTTTCTGTTCTTGTGTTAGTTTGCTGAGAATGATGGTGTCCAGCTTCATCTATGTCCCTGCAAAGGACATGAACTCCTCCTTTTTTATGGCTGCATAGTATTGCATGGTGTATATGTGCCAAATTTTCTTTATCCAGTCTATCATTGATAGACATTTGGGTTCCAAGTCTTTGCTGTTGTAAATAGTGCTGCAATAAACATATGTGTAATTAAGGAAAAAAGCTTATATTACCTATTTTTTAAAGTTTTAAAAGTTTTTAAAACCTATTATTTTAAATAAAAATTAAAAGTATTTGGGTATATAATAGCTTTTAAAAACTTTTAAAACTTTAAAAATAGATATTTTTTGCTTAATGAATTTCAGAATAATTACTCTCTTGATTCTTAATTACTTTTGGAGGCATTTTGAGCAACAATTTGTCCCTCACTCCTCACAAATTCTGGACACACAGATGATATCCTCTGGGAACTCTCTTGTTTTTACTTTCCTTTTTGGGCCAAATCCTCATCTTTCTGTTTCCATGTAAAAGTCATTCAGTCTAACAACACATATTAAAGCTTTTTAAAGAACAGATTTGAAATATACTTCATGTACCATACAACTCAATTACAGTGTAGAATTCAATAGTTTTTAATGTATTTGCAGAGTTGAGCAATTATCATCACAAATTTTACACCATTTATATAATTTAAAAAAGGAGTAATATTAATGACATTCATTCGTCCCTGATGTCCAGTCTCAGGAAATTACTAATCTAATTTTTGTATCTATTATTTTGTCTATTATGGACATTTATGACTGACTTCTTTTACTTAGCATAATGTTTTCAAGGTTCATTCATGTTGAAGTATGTATCAATATTCCATTTCTTTTGATTGTCAAATATTTCATTGTATAGATTCCATTGTATGAACATTTTATTTATCCATTCAACAGCTGATGAACATTTGGGTTATTCCACTTTCTGACTTTTATACATAATGCTGCTATGAACATGAGTGTTTAAGTTTTTATGTGGACATATGTTTTCATTTATTTTGGGTATATTTCTAGGAGTGGAATTTCTGAATCATATGGTATCTTTATATTTAACATTTTGAGGAAATGCCAAATTGCTTTCCAAAGTGGATGCATCATTTTACAATCTTAGCAGTAATGTATGAGGGTGCCAATTTCTCTAGAACCTCATGCATATTAAGCTCTTGCTATGTGCTGGGCTCTGTTACACACTGAGAATATAGCAGTGAATATAGCATTCATCAGATTTACTCTTATACCGTTTGCTTTCTCTTCGCTGAATCTTGTCAGATTTTCCTGGAATTACTCAAGGCCTTGGTAGAGATTTCAATGGCATGATTATATAATTTGATAATAATTATACCTCATTTTCTATAGTGCTTTAGAATCTTCAAAATTCTTCAGCTTTAATAAATCACTACAGAGAAGGCAAAAATAATGAAATTAGGTCAAATAATTTGTAACTTGCCAAAGCAAAAAGCTAGCAAGTCTCATTTTCATTTTTTGGTAGAAATGGGATCTGCTATGTTGCCCAGGCTGGTCTCGAACTTCTGGCCTCAAGTGATCTTCCGGCCTCAGCCTCCCAAACTGTGGAGATTACAGGAATGAGCCACTGTTCTTGGCAGTTCTCATTTTCTAATTGCTAACCTAGGAATCTCTCATCCATTCTATGATATGAGAAGTTTGCCTATCACCTTTTAAAATTATTTCTACTTATTATTTTCATAATTTTATTCTTATACACTAACACTTTTAGATTGAATATTCTTGCTTTTGTTACCTAATCTACTACTGATTCTAAAGTTGATTATTTCAGGGTGATAAGTGAATAGTAGGGAAAGGGAAAACTGTTTTTCATCTCTCAAAACACATCAACAAGGCTTAGTCTTATATCTAACTCAATGAAAGATCTTCATTGTGTTAGCCTAATGAGTTTTATTTGTGATCTCATTCACATAATGTTTAGATGAAATAATCACCTATTTTTGAACCCTTCTAATTTCTTTTCCTTTTTCCTCTTTTTAACTGATAACTCTTCTTATATAAAGTGGCTGTTAAAAGGGGAATTAAAGCAAAGACTAGAAAAATACCTGTTTCTATATAACACTTTAGAGAGTAATTATTGGCTCTTTTTGAGGAAATGGTTAAATTTCTATTTGGAGAAATTACTTTACAAGAGAGACCAGCATTATTGTATCACAGTAGTGTATTTCTTCTTCAAATAGTAGTTTGTTTTTGGTAGACCAATGCTTCCTAGACTTTAGACTCACCTGGGGAGATGTTACAAAGATCTTTGCTTGGGCACCATCCCCAGAGATTCTCTCTAAATTGGACTTGGAGGAGGTGGGGGCATGTTTTAGAAATGACAATATATAAAATCTTTCTAGGTGATTCTAAATTGAAGAAAAGTGTAAAGGTATAAGAATCACTGATATAAACTTCTGCATATAGAAATTAGGTAATAGGTATTTCCAGTTGGTAGATTTCTGATGATCTGCCAGTTGTTAATATAAATAGCTTTATAATATTTTTATTATAAAACCGGTCCCAATAGTAAAAAGTTAAATGGTTGATAAAGTTTCATAATTGCTTTTCTTGTAAAAAATAGCTTATATCATAAAGCCCATACTTACGAGAGTAGGAGTTATTGCTTCATCATTTGCTTTTTATAATATAATTAGGTTGCATAATATTATTATAGTTATTTGAACTGTTTGAAATCTACTTGACATCAGATAGTTCTGTAATATGATCCAAGTCCTTTGTCTAGTGCATGAATAAAAGATTATACCATGTCTTGTTCATTCAAAATAACTCAGCAGTTTTGAAGTTTTAACAGTGCAGTAAGACATTTGCTAATAAAAAATAGTTTGTCTTTGAAGAGAAATAACCACAAACAAGCTGTGACTTAGTGAAATAAATATATAAGAAATATAATGAATGTAATTTTTATATTGCTGAAATGCACCTATTTCTATGATTGAATGTTTATGTGTGTTCAAACCTAAAACAACATTTGTGAATTTAACCTAAATGTATTAAATAATATATACAGTAAATAATAGCTTAGTATGGTTGGGAATGGCTTGTTACAGTATCTGTGGTAAATAAGAGCTCAATCAATTTTAGCCATTGTAATTATTGCCCTGTCTTTGCACCTGTTGTTCCTTCTTTTTCCTAACTTGTCAAATCTGACTCCTCAGGGAAATACACCCATATATTACAACAGTCTTTGACTTTGTGAATCTTTTAAGATTTATTTCAGTGTATTATCTATTTTATTCTTTGAACCTGAAAATGGGTATTTGGGTAGATGTGTCCTTTGGATAGTATAAGAATTGAACTGGGCATATATATCCTTTCTATATCATGGCACCAATGGGAGATAACAGAAGAAAGTAAATGGATAAGCATACTTAAAGAAATGAAAACATTTCATATGATAGGGCATTTTGGTCATGCTGAGAAGGAAGCCAATATATAGATATGCCTCATGTACATTCTATAACACTTTTAAATTATTAGCTAAAATAGCATTAACTGGTTATTGCATAGGAACAGAATTCTGTTGTAAGCTATTTTTTAATACATTCCCAGTAGCCTAAGCTTGAGAGAAATGATAATTTTCAAGGACATATTTAAGATGACTCAAACCTTGGCAAAAATGAATTTTTATAAAGCACAGTCATTTCTTTGGTGAACCACTTTTTAACTTACAGTATGTGTCATAAACCTAAAAAAAGTTTCTTCATATTAGGAAAAGACCACAGGATAAGAAAATGGAATCAAACCTACGGAACATCAAATATTAGCTCTATGAAAAAAAATAATATTGTAGGAAGAAATTAAGCTATATTAATTCTGAGGCAGAGCTAAATCCCAATGAACTTTATTTTTTATTTTTAATTATAAAGGCCAAATCCATTATTGAGCAATACAAATATCATTAAAACTATATAACAGAAACTCATTATTTCTGCCTTTAGATATACCTGTGCTAATATGACCTTGTGCTAATTCTCTGAGTTTTATATTTTTCTTCTCCAAATCACATTCACTTTAAAATTTTTCTTTCACATTTGAGAGGGACTCAAATCCGTAGTTTATTAAGATAATATTTAAATTTAATTTTGAGTACATTTAATTTTAAATAAACTAAGAATATCGGTCCTCTAATTCAGACAAAAGGCATATATTTAACCCCTTTTCCAGCCATTCTCCACCTTAAGAGCATAGTGCTTGGCAGGGATTTCACTTCTGGAATCTCTGTCTTAGAGAGTTCAGAAAAATTTGACCTGGCCCACTTGAGTCAGTGTCCTGATGCCCAGCAGTCTTAGGAAGTGTTTATACTATACCTCATCCTACTTCTTACAGAAATTTAAGAGACATGGTTGTCTGCTTTTACAAATCTCAAAACTCAAAAGCGCAGAGAGATTTTTAGCTAGAAAACATGGTTGTGGGCTAAAATGTAATACCAGATTATTGAATTCGATAGTGCAACTTATTTTAAATTAACCATAGCCTTAAGTATAGATCTCTAAATTAGTTGATATGCAAAAGCAGTTCTTTCACCCTCATTTTGATCAGTAATAATGAAAATAAAACATTTTTCCTGGTGGCAGACAGTAGAAGACACTTTTTCTACTCTATCTGGACTAGCAGCTAGTAGCCTAGTCAAATAGTAACTAAAAGCAATACATTATAAAAAAATTAATGTGTACATACCTTAAAAGTTTTTACTTGAAACATGTTAATATAAAATAAGTCTTAACTAAAAAAAAAAAAGACATGTATACCTAAAATATTTTAACTGAAAGCATATCGAAATAGAGTAGAATCTGTCTTAACTGACCTGATAATTTACTCACCATAGTTCTTTGGCACTCAATGAACAATGAACTAATGATTCCTAATATTGGTGAAATATGGGGTAAACAAAGGTAATATACTTTGAAATACCTGGTAAAGTCAGGTTGCTGTAGTCCTAGCTGCTCAGGAGGCTGAGGCAGGAGAATCACTGGAACCCAGGAGGCAGAGGTTGCAGTGAGCTGAGATCAGGCCACTGTACTCCAGCCTGGGTGATAGAGTGAGACTCTGTCTCAAAACAAAAATAAAAGTCAGCTTGCTTAAGATGTATTGCCAAATGAAGTATGGGTGAGACAATTATAAAAGTTCTGAAACTATTTGGAAGATAGTATTCTCTTTTGTCTTGAAAGAAATAAAAACTCTAGTCCATTATGAATGATAATTTTCTAATGAAATTAACTCGTAACTAATAAATTGATCTATATTTATACTGTTTCTTTGAAACAAGTGACAAGTGGAATTATTTTAGAGTTAAAGAAGCATGATTTCTCCAACTGATCCCTACAAGTTTCAAAAAATATTTCTGTATTTGGGTGGGGGCAGAGAGAGGAAGAGAGAGAGCATGATGGAGCAATTGGATCAAAATGTAAACAATTTATCCATGCTATGTGCTCTACCTAGACGTCTTATTCTCTTTGCCATGCTAACTCGTGCATTCTGCAGCTCTGAGATTAAAGGTCAGCTTCCATAATCCCCTGATTTGGATGAATACCCCATTAGATATTCTCATAGCACACTGTATTTCACCTATGTGGTCTTTCAGATTTGCAAGTTAATTGATAAGTATACAATTATTGGTGTCTTAACTTTCCCTTTGCTAGATGGTAAATTCTATCAAAGAGTTACTCATTTCTCTATCCCAATACCCAATTCAATGGTAAGCTTTTAGCAAACTGGATTAAACAAAAGAATAGAGGGTAAATAGTTCTTCCTCATTCTACGTAAAAAGTTAGGCTTAGGAATTTAATAAGACAGTGGATGAAATATTTTCCTCACACTTCTGTATTCCTCCACCTCAAAACATGTATATCTCTCCTTTCCATTAAACATTTAAACAGTGTTTCTAACAAAAGGCAAAACGGACTGCTTATTCCCCATGTTTATGTATGCCTTGAGCAAAGATACATGATTAAGAATGGGCATATTGTCTATCTAGGGCTACATTACTGGATGGTGCAGCTAGATTTCGGGTTTTGTTAGGACAGAATAGGAAAGTAGCCAGTGCACATTACTGAAGGAATGGAGATGATTGAGAAGAGAAAACAGATGGCAGAAGATAGTATCTTGCTGTGATATAGCACAGAAGTTGAAAATCGTTGGACTGTATAACTGATTTGTTTGGGCTGCTTAGTAATTTTAAAATAATTAGATTTGATTTTAACATTTATAGTCAAGAAGGTTAGCATTAAAAAAATCACAACTTTTCTCTTTTCTTGAAAAACTGATGGAAAATATTGAACTTGCATTTGTGTGCTCAGCAACAATTAGTGGAGCTGAGTGCCTGCCACTCACTTTTTACCGGCATATATTCTTCAGTTTGCCAGGTTTGCTAACCTGCATATTTTACTCATTTATTTATTTGTCTGGCCTCTGTTGACATTTGAATTTATAAATCCTGCTACGTAGGAATTTTAAAGAGCCATGAAAGTAGGAATATTTTGTGAGGCTAAACTTAGGTTAATCAAATTAGTATTTTACTGAGATCGATTTTAGAATTATTCTACATTTTTAAGTGTCAATCTATATTTACTGATCAATGAGACATGCAATTAAAATTATCTCTGTTTTTTAACTGGATGTAGGCTTTACATCTGTCTTCAACTTGAAAGCTATGGGATTTTAAATGCTCACTATTTTTTACCCTGCTAAAAATGAACTATCGATTATAGAGTATTACTACAGTTCATTTTGTGGTGTTTGGAGACTCAGGGAAGTTTTCTATCACCTTGAGAAAATATGTAATTAAAAGTGGGTTGTTGACAGTATTACTAAACAAACCACTGACTCTTTGGGAAGCAGAAGTCTAGAACTAAATTGGAAATAAAGATGTCTGCAGGGAAATGGAAATTTGAACATTTAAGTAACATAAACTTTGATCTCGCTTTCAGTTAAATAAGAATCTCTTACATTTGATCAGTCCATATTTTTTAAGTATTTTAAGACTTACTATTGCAATTTATCCTTGCAATAATTTAGGTGTCTCAGAAAAGAATTATTATTATTACCAATTTACAAGTGGATAAAAATCCCAGGAAAGTTAAACATGGCCCAGGGTGCATAATCATGTATTTATGGAGCAAATAAGAGAATTCAGTTATTTCTAATACTATTTTCTAATATAATAGTTTATATTTGCCATTTATTCAGAATAAAGCTTAAAAATACCTATAAGAATTATGCAATGGCCATATTTAAAAATATATGAAGCGCACTTACATTAAAAAAACACTAGTAGAAGATAAATAGATGTAATACATATTGAGATGTTTTGATTTTTATACGTGAACAGTCTATTTGGTTTAGAGATTCCTAACAACCAAGATAAAAAGAAGGAAAACATAGGTTACATATTTTTGTTTCATTTAAAGGAAAGCTTATAATACTACCTAGGGAGATAATTATTTTCTGAGAATTAATTACTAAATGAAATATAATACATGGATGGCCTGTGTATTATATATTTTACAAATTGAAAAATTTCATACAAAATGTTATTATGGCTATTCACTTTTAAAATATATTCTTCAACATTTTGAAGAAGTAATATTGCTCTACTTTTTAAAATAATATTTAAACTGTTATATGTTTTTAGCAGAAGATGAAATGATACTGCACTTTCTAAAAATAATGTTAATATTTATTGAATACTTGCTGTATAATACACTGCTCTAAGTAGCTAATATGTACTAAATCATGTAATCCTCACTATAATATCAAGTATAGGTATTTTTATTTTACCTTTTACTGAAGGTGAAATGGAGATATAATGTAAAATAACCTGCCCAGGGTCACAGAGCTACGGTATTATTTAGCTATTATGCCTAGGACAGTATAATGAACCATTCAAATCTATCAGTGGCTACATTACTTCAAGCTAATTAATTTTATGTCCATTGCTTAGTAGGTTGGCTGCAGCAGTTCATCTGATTTGGGCTGGCCTACGCTGGCCGAACTGAGTGCTAAACTTTGGGTTTGGTTCAGATCTGTTCCACATGTTTCTCATTTTGGGACCTAGGCAAAAAGGGTGTTGATTTAAACGGGGTGCTGTTCCCATGAATGGTTCTCTCAACAGGGCTAGCACCAACCTAATCTACGTCTAAAAGCCTCAGCTCATATCCAGTACCTGCATTCCATTGGCAAAACGGGTCACAGCTCAGCATCAGAGGGGCAAATTAGTATATACTCCTAAAGTTAAGCCATGACAAGTCTGGAAAAAAGAAATTTTGAACAATATAGCACAGCAAGGACATAAATCTAGGCAATGAGGTTCCACAGCCAATACACTTTTTTCCTGCACTCTGCTGTTTTTTATTGTATTATATTAATAGATTTACTTATATTGAACTATCCCTACATTTTGTAGTTAAATACTTCAATGACAGCTTACAGTATTCTTTTAATGTATTGTTGAATTCTATGCTAATATTTTTATGCTTCCGTATGTATATTCGTAAGTGAGACTGGCCTGTGGTTTTGTTTTCTCTATTTTTCAAATTAGATTTTAGTATCATCAGGGTCATGTTTGCTGTGTAGAATAAATTTAATAGCTCCACATCTATTTATAATATTCCAGAGAAACAAAAGTGAATAGCTACTTAAAACAGAAAACGTATGTGAGATTATTATGCAAATTGAGGATGGTAATACAAATATAAACAACCATAATTAAAAATAGCATTTAATATGTAAGCAGTCTAGGAGAGATTGTGCTGGATGTTAAATATGTTCTCATTGTTTTCTCCTAATTTAAATAATCCTTCTTATTTAATTATTTTTTTCTGCTCAATTAATTTATAATTTTCTTCTTATGTTACCTTCCATATGCTGATCCCTGATCAGTTATTTAAAGTAAGATGTCTGTAATTGTATTTTACATCTTCATTTTCTTTATCTATAAAATTGAAAAGCTGAATGATGAAGAATTGAACATCATCATATCTAATGTGTGTGCTTGTTTTTAACTGCAGCATTTTTGTATTATAATCAATCTTCTAAATCTTAAGATTTAGATTACATGTAGCCATAATGAAAACATTTGTCTGAGAGTCTGGTAAAAAGGCATTAAGGGAAAATTTATCAAATTCACTCAATTATTTTTACTTTTTTAAGAAAGGCAGAACTGATGTAATGGAGCTGGGTCATACCAGCTCACAGGAGACTATTTATACATCCCTTACTAACATTGCAAGTAGTAATAATATGTTGGTAGCTTGAAATGGGCCATAGTGGGAGTAATTACATTCAGGAAATACAAAATACTAGAAGTCAGAGCTCCCCCGTTCACCCAAAGTCCTTAGGGAGCCTATTTACCAGCATATCACTGTTTCTATATCATGTTCCCAGGCTTTAATTATATCTATTTTAAGTAGATATGTATCTATAAAAGCTTATTTTTTCATTTAATTTAAGTTTCTTTTATCTAAAATATATATTCTCATTTACTCATCTGGCTATTGCACACATCCTATGTGCTTACTGTGCTGGGGCAAGAACATAGTTACAATTTCAGTTTTCTTATTTTCTACTAAATAGGGGCCATACAATATTTACTATGAACACACATAAAAGACACTCTGTTGTGTTAGTTAAATGAATGCTTTTACCAGTAACTTTAACCCCAACATAATCTCAGCTCCAAGTATCCAGTTTTCTAAGTTTTCTAATTATGACTTTTAATGTTTTCATTATCTCATTTCCCAAAATTATTTGATCCCATGCAAACCAATGACTCTTATCAGTTTCTCATTGTCTCCTGAAAACCCTCATGCCTTCATATCTCTGCTAATAAAATTTGGATTCTATGGCTTATAATTAGAATGGCAATCTTGCATAAGCCTAAATTTTCTCTTTTAATCAATTTATTCAACTGGACCGGCAACCTACAATTTAAAGAATTCAAATCCCCAGCCTTCTATTGTGTGTAGCTGAACTTGTCTAAAGAAAAGCACACAACTTTAAATGTATACCCATTAATAATAACAGGGCCCTTAATACTGCCTTAACTGTGCTCAAAGAGCTAAGGAAAATTATGAAGAAAGAACTTAAGAAAACAAGGAGAATGATGTACCATTACATAGAGAATATCATAAGCATATAGAAATTATAAAAATGAACCAATAGCAATTCTGGAGCTGAAAAGTGCAGTACATGAAATGAAAAGTTTCCTATAAGGTTTTAATAACATATTTGAGCAGACCAAAAAAAAAAAAAAAAAAAAGAACCAGGAGAGTTAATGATAGAGCAATTGAAATTACCCCACCTGAGGAGAAGAAAACAAATAAAGATTTTTTTAAAATGGACAAAGACTAAGTGACATATGGGACACTACCTAGTGTGGCAACATAGAAATTATGGGAATCTAAGGAAGAGAAGAAAAAGGTAAGAGAAAATATTTGGTAAATTTCTAAGTTTGATGTAAGATATTAACATACACGTCTAAAAAGCCCAATGGACTTCAAGTAGGATAAGCTTTAAAAGATCCAGATGGACATATTATAATCAACCTGTCAAAAGCCAAAGACAAAGCAGCAAGTCAGAAGTGATCCATCCTGTGTAGGAAATCCTCAATAAGATAATAGCTAATTTCTCATCAGAAACATTGTGGCTAGGAAGCATTGGATTGATTTATTTTGTCAACCAAAAATTATATACCTGGGAAAACAATCTTTGAAAAATAAAGAATACATTAAGACATTTAAAGATAAACAAAAGCTTTGGTAGTTCATTACCAATACTTCTTTCCTACAAGAAATGATAGAAGGAGACTTTCTCTGTGAAATGAAAACATGGTAGATAACAACTTTATGCCATAAGAAGAAATAAGAAACACTGGTAACAATAACTAAATAGCTAAGCCAGTATTTGTGTACATTGAGTTTCTAATACTTCTTCTTTTTCTACATAACTTAAAAGAAAAATGCATAAATTTGTCTTAATTGGCACCCAATGTAAAAAGATGTAATATGTGACAATAATAATTTAAAAAGTAAGGACAGAGATGTGTAGTAGTGTTTATATACCATTGAATCTACGTTATTATTATTTAAAGTAGGTTGTTATACAAGTAAGATATTAATTTCAGCCCTAAGGTAACTATTAAGAAAATATCTAAAATATATAGAGAAAAGGAAAGGAGAATCAAAATGGTATGCTGCAGAAATTTGGCTAAGTATTAAAAAAAAGCAGTAATGCAGAAATCGTGGAATTAAAAAACAAAAACCGACAAACATATAAGCTATATAGGAAACAAACAGCTAAATGGCAGAAGTAAGTCCGTCCTTATCAGTACTTATTTTAGATGTTCATGGCTTAAATTATCCAATCAAAACTTACAGATTGGAAGACTGGACAGAAAAAAAAAACAAGGTAATTCATTTGTACACTGTGTACATGAGACTCACTTTATATATAAAGATATAATGAAGATAAAAGTAAAAATGTAGAAAAAGACATTCCATGTAAATTGTAATCAAAAGAGAGCTGCGGTACGAATACTAACATCAGACAAAATGATATTTAAGTAAAGAGTTTATAAGACAAACAAAAACTTACGTATTAAAAACATTGCCAATACAGCAAGCAGATATAACAATTATAAATATATATGTTGTACATGCCAAATGAGCAACAAATATATGCAGTAAAAATTGATAGAATTGAACGGGGAGATAGATGGTACAACCATAATATTTGGAGACATCAATACCCCATTTTCACCAATAGGCAGAGCAACCAGACGTAAAGCAAGAAAGAAACAGAGGACATGAACAAAAGTTTAAGCCACTTTGACTTACTAACACATGTAGAACACTGAACTCAGCAAAAAGAGAATGCATATTCTTCTCAGTGTTTATTAAACTTTCTCTAGGATCATATGTTGGACCAAAAAAAAGATCTTAACAAATATAAAAAGATTGAAATCCTACAAAGTATCTTTTCTGGCTACATGGAATAACACTAGAAATCAGTAACAGAAGGAAAACAGGAAAATTTACAAGTATGTGGACATTAACAACACGTCTTAAGCAACCAGTAAGTCGAAGAAGAAAACACAAGAGAAAACAAAACATACCAAAATTAAGAGAATATTCATCACAATTATGCATTGGCTAAGTTATTTTAAAAAGTGGTAATGCAGGAATTGTGGAGTTAATTTGTCATATTGTGTTTTCTTTTTATTCATCACAATGCACATTATAACAAATAAAGAGAAAACACAGCATACCAAAATATTTTTATTCATCACAATGCACTCATCACATTATGTATTGTGATGAGTAAAGAGAAAACACAACATACCAAAAGTAATGAAATGCAGTAAACCTCGTGCACATTGAAAACATTATAGCTGTTGGCTAGGCATGGTGGCTCATGCCTGTAATTCCAGCACTTGGGAAACTGAGACCAGCAGATCACTTGAGGCCAGGAGTTGTAGAACAACCTGGCCAACATGGTGAAACCTGTCTCTACTAAAAATACAAATATTAGCCAGGCATAGTGGTGCCTGCCTGTGATCACAGCTACTTGGGAGGCTGAACCACAAGAACCGCTTAAACTTAGGAGGTGGAGGTGTAGTGAGCCAAGAACATGCCACTTACTTCCTTCCAGTCTGGGTGACAGAGACAGAGCGAGACCCTGTCTCAAAAAAAAAAAAAAAAAAAAGTAAAGAAAGAAAGTATTACTGTGAATACCTTCATTTAAAAAGAAGAAATAAATCAATATTTGGAGGCCAACATTTGGCCTCCTAGAACATATTAGAAAGTACAAAGATTAGCAGACAGATACCAATATTGGAAAGTATAAAGATTAGCAGACAAAGATACCAATACAAAAGTACAGACCAATATCCCCTCTGAGCATAGATACAGAAATTTTCAACAAAATGCTAAAAAGCTAAATCTGACATCATATTAAAAGTATTATATACACGGACCAATTGGACATCATCTCCAGAATGCAAGACCAATTCAAAAGAAGAAAATTAGTATATGTAACATACCACATCAATAGAATAAAAATACATCAGCATCTCAATTGATGCATGAAATGTATTTGATAAAATTTACATTCAGTTAGCTGTAAATGCATAGATTTATATGTGGGTTCTCTATTCTGTTCCATTGGTCCAATTTTCTGTTTTAATACCAGTATCAAGCTGATTTGGTTACTATAGATTTGTGGTATATTTTGAAATGAGGTAGTGTGATGCCTCCAGCTTTGTTCTTTATGCCCAGGACTGATCTGGCTATTGGGTGTCTTTTGTGGTTCCATACAAATCTTAGGATTTTCCCCCCTGTTTCTGTGAATAATTTTATTGGTATTTTTATACAAATCTATAAATTGCTTTGGGTAATATTGTCTTTTTAACATATTAGTTCTTCCAGTCCATGAAAATGAAATATTCTTCCATTTTTTGTGTCCTCTTCAATTCTTTTCATTAGCATTTCATAGTTTTTCTTATAGAGATCTCTCATTTCATTGGTTGAATTAGCTTCTAGGTATTTTATATTATTTGTAGCTATTGTAAGTAGAATTACTTTTTTGATGTCTTTTCCAGATTACTGAATTTATATTGCCATCTTCAAATGCTACTGATTTTTGTATGTTGATTTCGTATCCTACAACCTTCCTGAATTAGTTTATCTGTTTTGTTTTTTGATGGTGTCATTAGGTTTTCTAAGTATAACATCAGATTGTCTGTAAGCATGGCTAATTTGACTTATTTCCTTCCCATTTGCTGCCATTTCTTTCTTTCTTTTCTCTAATTACTCTGGCTGAGACTTCCAAAATTATGTTGAATAAAAGTGGTGAAAGTGGGCATTCTTGTCTTGTTCCAGATCTTAGAGGAAAGTCTTTCAATTTTTCCCCATTCAGTATGATGTTAGCTACGGGTTGGTTATGCAGGATCTTTGTTATTTTAAGGTATATTTATTCTATATCCAGTTTGTTAGGGTTTTTATCATCAAGGGATGTTGAACATTATTAATTTTTTGCCATCTATTTAAATTATTATGTGTTTTATGTTATTGGTTATGTTAATGTGATGTATCACATTTATTGATTTGTGTATGTCGAACCATCCTTGCATGTGTAGATGATTGGTCATGATGAATGATATTTTTAATGTGTGGTTGAATTCAGTTTACTAGTATTTTGCTGAGGATTTTTGCTTCTATATTTATCAGTGATATTGGCCTGTTGTTTTATCTTTTGTTGTATTCTTGTCAAGTTTTGACATCAGGGCAATACTGGCCTCATAGAATGAGCTTAGAAGTATTCAGATCTTTTCCAATTTTTTTGAATAATTTGGGTAGAAATAGTATTAATTCTTCTTAAATGTATGGTAGAATTTAGCACTGAAGTCATCAAGTCCAGAGCTTTTCTTTGATGGAAGACTTTTTATCACAGCTTTGATCTTGTTACTTGTTATTTGTTTATTAAAGTTTTCTATTTCTTCATGGTTCGATGTTGGTACGCTATATGTGTCCAGGAATTTCTTAGTTTCTTCTAGGTTTTTCAATTTGTTAGCATACAGTTGTACATAATAATCTCTAAAGACTTTTTTTTAAATCTGTTATTTCAGTTGTTATACATCCTTTTTTGTTTCTGATTTTATTTATTTGGTATGTTTTCTTATTTTATTTATTTATTTATTTGAGACAGGATCTTAATCTGTCACCCAGGCTGGAGTGCATTGTACAGTGGTATAATCTCTGCTCACTGCAACCTCTGCCTCTCAGGTTCAAATGATTCTTGTGCTTCAGTCTCCCAAGTAGCTGGGATTACAGGTGTGCACCATCACACCTGGCTAATTTTTGCATTTTTGGTAGAGATGGGGTTTTGCCATGTTGGCCAGGCTGGTCTCCAACTCCTGGCTTCAAGTGATCCACCCACCTCAGCCTCCCAAAGTGCTGGGATTACAGGTGTGAACCACTGTGCCCAGGCTTTTTGTTACTTTGGAAGCCTAGCTAAAGTTTTGTCAATTTGGTTTATGTTTTCAAAAAACCAACTTTTGTTTCATTGATCTTCTGTATTTTTTAGTTTCAAATTTATTTATTTATGTTCAGATTTTTCTTATTTCTTTGCTTCTACCAATTTCGGGTTGGGTTTGTTCTTGTTCTTTTTGTTCCTTGAGATACATCATTAAGTTGTTCATTTGTGGTCTTTTAACTTTTTTGATGTAGGTGTTTATTGCTATAAACTTCCTTCTTAGTACTATTTTTATTGTATTCCATAGATTTTCACATGTTGTATTTCCATTTTTATTTCAATACATTTTTAAATTTTCTTCTTAATTTCTCCATTAAACCGTTGTTGATTCAGGAGCATGCTGTTTAATTTTCATGTGTCTTTGCATTTTCTAAGGTTCCTCTGGTTATTGATGTCCAGTTTTATTCCATTGTGGTTAGAAATACTTGATATTCTTTCTATATATTTTTTAATTTCTTGAGACTTGTTTTGTGGCCTATGATATCATCTCGCTTGGAAAATGTTCCATGTGCTTATGAAAAGAATGTATATTCTTTAGCAGTTGGGTGAAATGTTTTATAAAAGTCAGTTAGGCCTGTGGTCCCAGCTACTCAGGAGGCTGAGGCAGGAGGATTGTTTCAGCTCAGGAATTTGGGCAGCAGTGAGCTGTGATCTTGCTACTGCACTCCAGCCTGGGTGACCAAGTGAGACTCTGTCTCTAAAGAAAAAAAAAAGTCAGTTAGACCTATTTGGTCCAGTGTGTATAGTGTGTAGCTGAACTCTGCTATCTCTTTGTCACTTTTTTTTTGAATATTCTGTTTGTGCTAATCGTGGGGTGTTGAATTCCCTTTATATAAATTGTATTGCAGTATATTCCTCCCTTTAAATCTATTGATGTTTGCTTCATATACTTGAGAGCACTCATGTTGGGTGCAAAGGTATTTATAATTGTTATATCCTCTTGCTAATCTGACGCTTTTATCATTATATAGTAACCTTCTTTCTCTGTTTTAACAATCTGTCTGTCTGTCTGTTTGTTTTACAGTCTTTTAACTTGGTCTGTTCTGTTTTGGTTTCCATTTGCATGAAATATCTTTTTCCACCATGCACAACCAGTCTGCCTGTCTTTATAGATGAAGTAGGTTTGTTGTAGGAAGCAAATAGTTCAGTCTTGTTTCTTAATCCATTCACACAGCTATGCCTTTTAATTGGAAAATTGAGTCCTATTAAATTTTTAAATTTTAATTTACATTTAGTTAGTACTGATAAGGAAGGCCTTAGTGCTGTCATTTTGTGCCTTGTTTTCTGGCTGTTTTGTAACTCCTGTCTTCGTTGTTTTTGTTTTGTTTTGTTTTTCTGTCTCACATTGCGGTTAAGGGATTTTCTCTGGTAGTATATTTTAATTGATTGCTTTTTATTTTTAGTGAACCTATTACATTGCATTGTGGTTACCATGGGGCTTTCAAAACACATTTTATACCAAGTTATTTAAAAGAAATGACAATTCATGTTAGATCACATAGAAAAGAATAGAAAACAAAAAGCAAATGGAAAAAAAAAAAACCTCTACACTATAAATTCTCCCCCTCCTCTCCAATATGTTGACTTCATGTTGTCTCCATTTACATATTTTATATTGCCTATCTCTTAACACGTTGCTGTACATATTATTGTTTTTGATAGAGTTTTCATTTGGGCTTTATATTAACTTTGTGAATAGATAGCACACCACAATTATATTATTAGAGTATTCTTGCTTTGTTTTTGTATTTAATTTTACCAGTGGGTTTTATATCTTGGAGGTTTTTTTTAATGTTAGTGTTTTATTCTTCAGATTGAAGAACTCTCTGTACCTTTTCTTGGAAGATGAGTCCGATGGTGGTAAATTTCCCAAACATTGTCTAAAAAACACTATATCTCTCCATATTTGAAGGATAGCTTTGCGGAATAGGAGTTTTATTCTTTCTTCCAGAACTTTGAAAATGTCATGCTACTCCCTCCTGTCCTGTATGGTTTCTGTTGACAAGTCTGTTGCCAGACAAATTGGAGGTCATTTATATGTTATTTACTTCTTTTATCTTACTTCTTATAGAATCCTTTCTTCTTCCTTAACCTTTGAGCATTTGATTATTATGCACTTGTAGTAGTCTTATTTGGCTCAAATCTGTTTTGTGTTTTCTGAACGTCCTTCAGTTGAATATTTATCTCTTTCTTAACTTTTGCAAAGTTTTCTGTTATTATTTATTTGAATAAGCTTTCTATACCTTACTTTTGCTCAACTCCTTCTTGAACACTAATAATTCTTAAATTTTGACTTTTTTTCTTTTTCTTTCTTTTTTTTTAACCTAGCCATTAACCACCTAATATAGATCTGGTCTTTTGAGGTAATTTTCTGTATCTTGTTTGCAATCTTTATGGCTTTTCATTTCTTTTTCTCTTCTGTTTTCAAATAACCTATCTTTGAGCTTACTCATTCTTTCTTCTTCTTGATGCACTCTAGTGTTGAGAGCCTTTGATTTTTTTTCAGTTCAGCGAATATATTTCTCAGTTCCAAAATTTCTCTTTGATTTTTTTAGTATATCAGTCTCTGTGTTAAATGTCTCATAAGTTTTTGAATTGCATTACTGTGTTATTTTGGAGGTCATTGATTTTCTTTAAAACTGCTGTATGAATTCTTGGTAAGAGAGTTCACATATCATTATCTCGTTAGGGTCAGTAACTAGTTCCTTGCTTTGTTCATTTGGGGAGGTGACAATTCACCATTTCTGTAGTTTTTTTGTGGATTTTCACCCACATTTGGCATTAAAGGGTTATTTCTTTCTTTCAGTCTTCTCTGTCTGGCTTTTTTGTTTGTTTTTTTAATTAGATACAATTGCTTACTCTTTGTAATTTACCTGTTGATCTTGTTTTTTCCCCACCAGCTCACTGCCTCTGTTTCAGCACTAGATGGTGCCTTAAGCCCAGGTTTGCTTTGGTTCTAGTAATCACATTGCCAAATGTGGGAGGTGCCAAAAGAATGCCCTGGAGTGCCAGAAAGCTTCCCAGGAGTTTGTGCCCAGGGAACCTGTGGAACAAACTTTCAACAGTGTGGTGCTACTGAACAGCTGTTCTGATTTGGCATCTTTTTCATCCGAATTATGGAGCAGAGTTTTTATAGCTGTGGATGGTCATCCCACCTCCCAATTTGGTCTCTGGCAGTCCTAAGGAATATTTATCCCTCCAGGCATTCTCAGTGCTTCCTATGGGTTGAGGCAGAAACAGTTCTCCTGCCAGAGAACACAATATATTGGGGAAATTGGTTGTCTGTCTCAATCTCCCTTTTTCCCGTGTAGAAACCGTGAGTTCGGGAAATTTTCCACAGGCTTTGTGCTGGGCACATTGCAGGGAAGTGCATTGTGAATGTAGAAGTCTGAATGTCTTACCATCTGCTGGAGGGTTTTTTTTTTTTTCTACTTCTCTGTGGCCACAGAAACTGACTCATTTTCATACTTGAGGTATAAAACGTTGCTAATAATAATCTCAGTGCTGTATATTTGTTTTGGGTTTCTGCGGGCCTGGGGAATGAAGCCTGCTTTCTTCTATGCCACCATTTTGGACCTTATTGAATTTCATGTGGCTCTGGGTAGCCATAACTGTTTTGAAAGAAAACAAAGTTAAGGACTTATGATTGTCAATTTCAAAACTTACTACAAAGCCACAGTAGTCAAACCAGTGTGGAACTGACATAAGCATAGATATATAGACAAGTGGAATAGACTTCATAATACAGAAAGAAATTTAAAATTGATTTTTGAAAAGAATGCAAAGACCATGGGGAATGACCAATTCACTCAAGAAGCAGAGCTGTGAAACTGGATAAACATATTCAAAAGAATGAGGTTGGACCCCTACCTCATGCCATATAAAAATTTTAACTCAAAATAGATTAATATTTAAATTAATAAGCTAAAACTGTAAGACACTGTAAGAAAATATAGAGGTAAATCTTCCTGACCTCAGGTTTGGCATGGATTCTTAGATTTGACACTGTAATCATGCACACAAAAAGTTAAAAATAAAAAGATAAACCTGACTTTTTAAAAGTTAAAACATTCATGCATCAAAAGATATTGTCAAGAAAGTGAAAATTCAACTTATGGCTTGGGGGAAATTTTGCAAATCATATGTGTGATAAGTATTGAATATCCAGAATCCATAAAATCTCTTATAACTCTAGCAAAAAACCTCAAACAACCCAATTCAAAAACAAGCAAATGATTCGAATAGATATTTCACCAAATAGGATATAAGCATCCAAGAAGTTCATGGGAAGATGTTCAACATCATTCACAATTAAGGAAATGCATATTATAACCACAATGAGATACCACTTTATACACACTTGGGTGGCTATAACCAAAACAATGGAAAATAAACGTTGGTAAGGATGTGGAGGTTGGAAGTCTTATACATTGCTGATGGGAATGTAAAGGGTGCAACCATTGTGGAGAACAGTTATATGGTTCCTCAAAGAGTTAAACATAGACTTATCATAGGACTCAGGAATTCTACTCCTAGGTATACGTGCAGGAGAAATAAAATATGTGTACATGCAGAAACTTGTCCATGATTGTTTATTGTCTCATATTCATAATAGCCTAAAGTGGCAACAACCTAGATCTATATTATTAGACAAATGGATAAACAAATTGTGGTACATATATACAATGAAATAATTATTCAGCCATAAAAAGCAGCAAATTTTGATAATGATACAACTTGGGCCAGCCCTAAAAACAATATTCTAAGGGAAAAAAACCACACAAAGGTTGCACATTGTACGATTCCTTTTACATAAAATATTCAAAATAAGCAGATTTATAGAGACAGAAAAACAGATCGGCAGTTTCCAGAGAATAGGTAAAGAGAAGATTTAGGATTGGCTAGTTTGTAGGCAGAGGGCTCTACTCTAATGATGAAAAGTTATGAAACTATTGTTGCACAACCTTGTGAACGCATTAAGTGCTGCTGAATTATATACTTTAATACTTTAATCTGATTTTTTATAAGTTATGTAAATTTCACTTTGATTATTTAAAAGAACCTTTTAAATGTAGTTCAGAATTGTCTTTCCTTAACTGCCCTTAAAATATCAAAGGAAATGAGTCCAAAATTCAGTCTCTCTAGTAACTTTTCTCCCAGGAACCTTCTCTTTTGTCCTCAAAATTCTCAATGTCTCAAAGAGCGAAGGAAAGAATCATTTTATCTTTGAAAATCCTATAATATTCCTAGGTGACATAGAGACAACACATTCTACCACTTATTTTCACCTTACACTGCCTCAGCATACAAAAATTGTACGGTGGTGAAACTTGATAACCTACCTCTTGACTTTCCTTTATCCCAACCTTTTTCTGTCTTACTAAGATCTCTTACTACCCAGCTGAGCTTAGTGCTGATACTCCAGCATAACTATTAGGAAGAGAGCAATTTTTAGATGCGAAACATTGAGTAATAAGCCTTTTGCATCTGCACACACGTTTATCACGTTTATATATTTGTGAGTATGCAGTACTTTCCTACATTTTATGGTGTTATCAAATTAGGTTATATTATCACTTCAAATAACTCTATCCTAATGGTTTACAGGTATGTAAGCACTTCTATTAATTAAACTTTCTAAAACTTCAGGGAATTGGACTTACAAAACTTTCAATGTGCCTAAAAGTATGCCTTTAGAAACTAACATGTTTTAAGACTTTGACCACTTTATTTAGGAATTTTTGTTTGCAAACAAGACTAATTTAATATGCTTCGTTTAATAAATCAACTGTCTTCTGATTTACCCGTGTCAAATAAAAAAACAGATATGCATTTTACCCCACTTGGATAGTTCTTCTTCAGGTTATGCTGGTTTACTGTTTGACTAAGATAGCATTGCATCTACTAGATCATTAAGATCATAAAAATTGTAAATTTGTGCTCAACCAAATTAAAGCATTATTCTGACAACTCTATTTCAACAATCATATTTTGCAGTGGGTAAACTTGAGGATAGTTTTCAAGATCATTAGGTAACTTAAAACTCTGAACATATGCCAAATTATGTTATTTAATGGATATTCATTGCATAACTGGATCATTTCTAAGCAAGAAAAATACTGAAGTATTAAATACAGAGCATAATTTAAATTTATATACTTTTGGCCTCATTTTTAATATTTTTACAGAGATAGACTGTATATATATGTGTATATATATACACACACACACACATATACATATACACATATATATATATACACACACACACAATCATTTTTGTACCTTAGAATTTGCACTATAAAGAATGTGGATGGCTATAAAAAAAGTCCTAAGATGTATATTTATAGGTTTTGCTGGTCTAATTCAAAATGCTGGTATATGACAGTTTAAAATTAACTACTTCTTAGTTTTCTTTGTGAAATTGAACTTACTGTGGTTAAAAGCTCTAATTACTATATATGAATGAGAGGATCATAGGAGCCATAATACAGAGAGGAACAATTTTTTATGGAAGGTATAAAATATGTGTTAAGGGAAAAGAAAATATTACTGCCCTAAAGTAAATTGACTATCCTAGAATGACAAAGAAGAAAGTGTAGGATAAAATCTGAATGCATATAGACAATTTTAGAAAGTCTGGAAAAAAGAAATTTCATTTGCCCCCACCAAAGCTGGCTATGTTTTGATGGGTTTAGCTTTAATATCAAATATTATATTCATGCAAAACTAAATTTCGTTTTCTCTCCATTAAACTGACAAAATTATCTCGGGATTTTTGGTTTGCTTTTAGTAAAAGTTTGCAAAGATTTTTCTTTACCTTCTGAGTAATCTGCCTAGAAGGCAAAGATTCTATGTAATTGAAAAAATTTCAGATGGAGAGGATACTGTCTTCTCACGTTTAAAAGATCTAAGATTCTTTATAAGCATGTTACCTCTTATGTTTACTTAAAAAATATTTTACAGCTACTTAACTAGTCAAGTATTGTTTTTCTTAATAACTTATGATTTTATTAAATTGTTAGAATCTCCTGAATATTTTGTTATTTTGCCATCCCCAAATCAGATCATAAATGAGAATAGGGCCTCTGGAAAAACACAAATGATTTGTTATCTCACCTTGTAAAAAGAGACATGCTAAAATATTTCTGTTGATGAGCTGAATGGAGGTACTGTCAAATCAGAACAGCTTAGGCTTCTTGAGGTAAAATCTGGAGAGTATGGGGAAATGTTACTTATGTAAATATTTAAGAAATTGCATAAAGTTTCCAGGGATTTGCTATTGCCTTCACTGTCAATTAAATCTTTCAATTTACCAGAGTCCTGGTGCTGCTTTGCAGAAAATTAGATAATAGTAATACGGTGTTATACAATTTTAGCTATTTTTTTAAAAATGCAACCTTAATTGCAACTTTGCTTTTTTAATTTGCTTTTAGCATATTCTAGGCTGATGGTTTTCGTGATGTGAATTTGAGCATTCACATCACTTACCTATGGAGTTTTATTAAAATATAGATGTTTAGGACCTACTCCAAACTTAACAAATAGATTTACTTCATAGTCTTGATATGTTCTTGGTACATTCCAACTATATGCTAGCTATAGTCATAGTATATTGTATCTCAAACCAGATTTCCTTTTTCACTAGAAAGTAAATTTTATTCAACTCCCAAAATCTCATGAGCACAAATATGTTCTAACCACAGCCTGCATATTTTCAAGATGGGTATAAGCCTTTCCCTGAAAACAGGCTACTGCCAACACCAAAACTAAGATTCTCCACTTGAGTAATTTTTTTTCTCTTCCCGTGCAATAGAGGCATTCCACTGGTAAAGTTCTTCAGGATATTCAATGAGTATTTCCATTTTCACAAAAACCGTATTGTACCTTACTCGCATAAATTCTGTAGAAAAAAAGAATAAGCAAATGACACTCTTTAAATCAAACTAGCTAAATTCTCTAAAGAATTCAACTTGTCTCAGCCCAAAGTCTTGCTTTTATCTCTGATGAGCCTGTGATTCTGCCCCTCTTTTCTGCATTGATTATCTCTTAAGAAATAACTATTAGCAGCCCAGTGAAGATCACTTACTCCTCTTGGATCTAGGGAGGCTTTAATACAATTAGATATTTTTAAATACTGGCAAGGTTTTGTTAAACATCTTCATACTAAACACAAACATGTGAATTATTTCTTTTGTCATGCATCCCGCTACAGTTTTTGCATGATCTTCTGGTTGGAAACATAGTCTTCTGGAAAGACACGGAAGAAGAAACAATCTTGAATACAAGTGGGAGGGATCTAATTTGGTTCTCCTAACCAATATCTCTGGAAAACTATGAGGATTTCACTTTGGGTTTGTATCACGCTGCCATTTTCCTTCTTTGTCTACTCCTTGTCATATCCCTTCTTTTTTACTGACCTTTAACACATCCTTTACTTATTATCCAACATCCTGAGAAAACTTTTTCTCTTCTCTGTCCTCCTTCTCCTATACTTCCCACTATCCAGATAAAAGAGAGTCATTCTCCAGTGATGGCTACCACACTCAATCTCACAGATATGTCACCCCCGCACCGGCCCCAACCAAGCTCCCAGGTCTAACAACTGATTATAAACCATAGCCTTTTGCAGGTGCTAGCTGGATATTAACTCCTGATGAAATGCTTCTCTTGAAATCTTCAAATTCATGACTCCACTTCCCCAAGATTAGATATTGGAAAAAAATAGGAGCACCTTTGTTCCCGGTAACCATCATTTTATCCTCTACCATTTTCAATCAGTTTTATAATGTTTTACAAAGTATTACCACTTTTCAATCAGTTTTACTTCTCAGTTCTTCAATAGACTCTGGCCTCCTGAGGCTAACCTCAGTAACTATTAATAATACCTACCCCTGGCCGGGTGCAGTGGCTCACACCTGTAATCCCAGCACTTTGGGAGGCTGAGGCGGGTGGATCATGAGGTCAGGAGTTCGATACCAGCCTGGCCAATATGGTGAAACTCCATCTCTACTAAAAATACAAAAATTAGCCAGGTGTGGTGGCGCGCGCCTGTAGTCCCAGCTACTCGGGAGATTGAGGCAGAAGAATCGCTTGAACCCAGGGGGCGAAGTTTGCAGTGAGCCGAGATTGTGCCATTGCACTCCAACCTGGGTGATGGAGCAAGACTTCCTCTCAAAAAAAAAAAAAAAAAAAAATTATCAGGCCCAAAGAGTCAACAGTATAGGACTTCAGTCACACACCCTCAAAACTAATGCCCAGGGGCAATTGTTTAAAAGCATTTTATTCCTGACTAGCTGCCTCACCGATTATCTTCAGGTTCCTAATGTAGGCGCAATCAATATCTTATTTTTGTAAATTCTTATTTTGTAAATTCTTATTTTATTGTAAATTCTTATTTTATTGTAAATTCTTAAACAACTTAGAAACTGCCTCTTCTTTTTCTTTAAAAGCTGATTTGTAACTGTTGCTGATGGAGTATTTATTCAGGTCAACTGAATTTATGCTCCAAAGTTTGGCCCAAACTATTTACTTATACTAATTTTGCCTTACCTTCTTCCTTTTCAGTAGAGACTTCCCATAAATGAGTTGAACCACACTCCGGAATGCAGTTCTTATAATAATACTTTATAAATAAACTACTAACAGCAAACACCTCCATCAGATTGAATCAAATTACTCTTTTAGTACTCTGGGGCACTATTTATTGCCAAAAGAGAGGAAATTGATTTCTCAAAGGTTCTTTGGAAAAATAGAAAAATCTCACAAATGTATGACCTTCTGAGAGCAGCTTTTGCATCATTTAGGATTAATTTTAGTATTAATATTTAGTTGTCCTAAATTAGAGAACATCGAATGTTCAGCTTATCTCTAAAGCTTCATTATTGTAACTGAATACTGCTTTTCAGAAGCCAAATAAAATGCCACAAAAAGCTTGCCAGCTCAAGATAAAAACTATGAAAACATATTTTTTATTTTTATTAAGCAAATATTCATTTGATAAAGATAAAAAAATAATTTCCTTATTTTATTTTTATTCTTCCAGAACAATTGTGTGTTAAATTTATGTTTATAAATATGGCACAGAGACATTTTTAACAAATAATAGAATATACTTGAGAAACTACATTATACAGGGTAGAGAAATTTAGTTACAATCATATATAATGCTTAATCTAGCTTCTTTACATTTTATAATTTTGGAGAGCTTAGCTGCTTGTATTTTAGCAGATATTAGAACTTTTTTCTTAATTTCTATATATGTTATAAAACGTTAACCTGTTTAATCTTAATATACTGGTTTATAACAGCTTTTAGGCAGAATTGAATTACCTATAATATTTCAACTTCCTTTTCTCTTCTGTTTAAGGACAGTGGTAATTCAAGGAAGGTAGTTTTGTTGTAAAATATAACTGTCAGTGTTTGTCATTAGCACCTATTTGTAAACTGAGTACTGAGCACTTAAAGATACTTTTATGAAGTATCCTTGTAAATTCTTTACAAATAGTCAAGTTATAAGTATTTTGCTTACTGAGAACCTTGAAGCTTTGCAAGAATGTGCAACCTTCATTCAATAAGCCCCATGACCTTGTTTTCATTATTACCCGGTATTTCTCATTCTCTCTCTCTCTCTGCCCTCCTCCCACATACACTTTTAAATTTGTTTTTCCACTTCTCCCTCTCTCTCTATTTTGTAGTTTCCCACTAGGGCATTTTTAGATATATTAAGAAAAATGTTACCCCCTGCACCGAGATGGAGTCTTGCTCTGTCACCTAGGCTGGAGTGCAGTGGCAAAATCTCGGCTCACTGCAACCTTCACCTCCCTGGTTCAAGTGATTCTCCTGCCTCAGCCTCCCAAGTAGCTGGGATTACAGGCACATGCCACCAGGCCCGGCTAATTTTTTTATTCTTAGTAGAGACAGGGTTTCACCATGTTGACCAGGCTGGTCTCAAACTCTTGAACTCATGATACACCCACCTTGGCCTCCCAAAGTGTGCTGGGATGACAGGCGTGAGCCACCAGGCCCAGCCTGAAAAATGTTTTTTTCCAGGCAAAGAAAAGCATTCAAAATATTGTTGCAATTAATGGAATAATGTGACATTTAAAAATTTTAGAAAACAACACAAAATAACTTATTTTTACCATTCTCACCTTCCAGGGTTCTATCATGTGACCATCCCCTCCAAAATCTATTCACTAGAGGCAATACATTTGGGAATGTTACCAGCAGCAAATCCATATGGGTCTGCAGCAATCTCAATTCTTGCTGCCCCAGAGGAAATAATTTGACCAAGGAGGAGACATAAAGCAAGAGGAGAGACTAAGGCAAGTTTTAGAGCAGGAATGAAAGTTTATTAAAAAGCTTTAGAGCAGAACTGAAGGAAGGCGAGTACACTTGGAATAGGACTAAGCAGGCAACCTGAAAGACAAGTGCCGTGTTTGACCTTTAACTTAGGTTTTTTTGTTGGCATGCTTCCGGAGTCTTGCATTCCTTTTACCCTGATTCTTCCTTTGGGGTGGGCTCTCAGCATGCACAGTGGCCTGCTAGCGCCTGGGAGGGGAGTACACAGAGTGTTTACTGGAGTTGAATGCATGCTCCCTTGAGGTATTCTTCCCTTACCATTCAAATATACCTAGAAAGTCATATACCAGTTGAACTCTCCGCCATTTTACCTCTGAATGCAGACACTTGAGCCCACTCGTTCAACTCCTGAGATCTCATTGGGAAGCTGCGATCACTAGTTTCAGGTCTGTTCTATTTATTGGGAGACCGACTTGCTCTGGTGCTGCCTGCCACCAATTATTATTTTAGAGAGACAGTTAACAACCACTTCACCATCACCTGATAGTCAGTCACCTGACATTCCTTGTAGAGGGTAGGGAGAGCCCTCTTCTGTCCTGCTCATGCTTGTCTAGCTACCTCCTGTAACAGGAACAATTTGTCCATGAACGTCAAGTGTAAATCTGTCTTTAATTCATGAAAATTTGTGGAACAACTACCCCTAGCAAAGGTCTGTAGTTGGTCCATTGTGGCAGAAGAGAAAAGCCCTGTACTATTTCACTTAAACTACTCAAGATGTTATTAAGGGCCTAAGATAGCAGATAGGAGATAAACATTGCACCAATAACTTGAACTTGAATACTATTTCACTAAGTAGTGAAAGGTGAATAATGCCAAACTGGGGTGAAGGAGAAATCTGTAGGGCGCAAAGTAGTAAATGGAGGATTAGCTACTATTCCTAGACCGCAGGAGCATAAACAAAGAAGGAACTTAGAAAAGTAGAGAAGGCCTTGCCCCTAAAACTGATACTCAGAGCTCTGAGAAGATGGCATGGGTGTTACAGAAATATGTAACCTTCTGGTGAAAAACTTGCCAGACATTTCTCAAAAGAAGACAAATGAATGACCAACGGATATCTAAAAAATGCTCAATATCATTGTCACCAGGGAAGTACAAATTAAAACCACAAGGGTGTATCACATCACAACTGCTAGAATGGCTACCATCAAAGAGACAAACAATAACAAGTGTTGACAAAGATATAGAGAAAAGGGGACCCTGTACACTGTCAGTGAGAATGCAAATTAGTACAGCCATTATGGAAAACAGTATGGGCATTCCTCAGAAATTTTAAAATAGAATTAACATATAATCCAGCAATTCTACTTCTGTGTATATATCCAAAGAAAATGAAATCAATATATTGAAGAGATATCTGCACTCCCATGGTCGCTGCGGCATTCACAATAGCCAAAATGGAATTAACTTATGTCCATCAAAGTATAAATGAATAGAGAAAATATGGTAGACATACATAATGGAATACTATTCTGCCTTAAAGACAGAAGTAAATCCTGTCATTTACAACAACGTGAATGAACCTGGAGGTCATTATGTTAAGTGAAATAAGTCAAGCACAGAAAGACAAGTATCACATGATCTCACTTATATGTGGAATCTAAAAAAAGTTGAGTTCGTAGAAACAGAGTAGAATGGCAGTTATCTTTGTCAAGGGGAAGGAGAGGAATAAGGAGGTGTGGGACCAAAACATCCAAAGTTTTAGTTAGACAGAAGAAATAAGTTCTGGAGATCTGTTGTGCACCACAATTACTATAGTTAATAATAATATATACTTGAAAATTGCTAAAAGGATTGATTTGAAATGTTCTCGTCACAAAATAATGATAAATAGTTGGTAGTAAGTTGGCTATATTCATTAGATTGAGGTTATCCTTCTGCAATGTATACATACACCAAAACATCACATTGTACACCACAAATGTATACAATTTTTGTCAATTAAAAAAATAAAGACATATGTATAAAAGAAAGTAAGAAAGAAAAATCTTGCCAGAGAACAGAGAATTCGATTAAATGTCATAGGGTGTAGGCTGCAGATGGAATGCATGAGCAGTTAGCTGCTTAATAGTGGAAGGAAAGGGCTAAGATGAACCCTGAAAGTTGCTATTGTGATAGGGAGAAACTCGTGAGACAAGCTGGACAAAAGCCACAGGATGCACACACATACACACACACACACGCACACACACACGTATCCTATCAAGTGGATGCTGTGCCAGAAACCACACACTGGAAGAAGGAACAAAAGTCATTCCTGTTTTAGCCTAGGCATCCTTCTACCCACACTTGCACCCTTCTGTACGACATTTGAACATTTACACAGCAATAAAACAACTGTATGTGTCCACCTAAAGATAGGAAACTTCTTCATACTTTTAAGGTACTCACTGTCTCCCCTAATAAAGATACACGTGTCCCAGTATTATTGTACCTACTGTTAGTTATGCAAATTTTTATTGAAATTTATTGAAAATCTCATTTAATATTCCATTACCTAAACATTATATTGTAAAGGTAGCATCAAACAATTTACATAAAATAACAAGGGAAAGAAGTAGAAAGAAGGAAAAAGTAGTTAATCAAGCTTCTATATATGCTAATGATTGAAATGAAATATGCAAAACTACTACTATCACTTTTGTAATTGGTCACAAGGTCATTGTGATATCTACGACTTGTTTCCAGTACCCATTCCATATTTTCTTTGCTTTCAGCCAGAATCCCAGATTGTTTGGGTTCTTTCCTTCTTTCTTTTTGGTTACCGTAATTTTCTATTAGCCTTTATATTGAACATGGAAGTAATAAGGAATATTCAAGAGAAAAATCTGCGGTCCAGATGGAATCACCTCTGTCCTCACTGCATAGCAGCAAACCATCTTTCCTTAGGTAATTAGCATCTATTATTCTAGCTTGGAGAGTAGCCCCCTTTCTTTGCTTTTTGCTTCAGTGTTATTCTGAACCCATAATTCCCACGCAGCAATCTCACCTTCAATTTAATGAAACCAATGTTTGTGCACTGGTGGAAACATTATCCCCTTTGAAACTAAGACTTCTAAAACATGAGAGCTCAAAGGTGCTTAGACAGAAAATAAACATTCTGCCTGGGGATTATGAGGTACATCAGAGGGGGAAAAGACACCAACACTTCACCCCTTTATTCCAGGACTAATTTGCTCTGTTCACAAGAATAAATGTGTTGCAAGACCACACCATATAATGGTCTTTGATCAAAGCACAAAATGTATCCATAAGACAGAATTCCATCCATTCAGAGGGTTGTCTTGTACTGTCATTGTACACGAGTGTTCAATAAGTACTTTGAAATTTCTGTTAGGACAGGCACTTTGGGTGGTGCGATATGAGATAAGTAAGACCAGTTTACTCATTGGGCACGACTACATTGCTGTAATTCCTTTACTGTGAAATGAATCAATTGCTCAGAAGTAATGCTATACAGAATATCATGATGGTTGTAAAGTCCTTGGTAAGGGTAAGGCTTTAATAAGGGGAAGTCTGTTTTCTTAAGCCCACGCATAAGTTCTGTCCTGCTATTATTCATAAGCCAATTGAAAAGACACTGGACTGGTTAGGGAAAAAGACACAAATATCCACAAGGTAAGTCATTTGGTCGACCCATGATTTACAGTGGATTTAGCAGTGGATGTCTTTTAGTGCATATTAACTTGAAACACAATATTTTCATCATCTATGCATATTTTGAGAGAGTCATCTTTTCTGGGATTCTTTTATATCAGTCTTTCAAGCTTATTCCACTTCAGCCTGTGATCACCCAATCAAACCATCAGCAAGCATTCATGAGTCAATGTAGATCAAAAATTCTGGCCATTTTCTCAAAGTGGACCACAAATGTATAACTCTATGGTCTGCCCACTGGAATAAATTTTCATCATTGCTTTCCTTCAAAGTCAACATTAATTTGTGTGGTAATGCAGCAGGCATGCACTTTTGGGTGGTACTGGAATGTCATACAGAAAAATATCCAAAGCAAGCTTGGACATTTTATTCTACATTAAACTAATTGTAGGGAACTACTCCATGAGGTCAAAGATGCTGTGATTTTACTATTGCCAGTAACTATATACACCATCACTATTTACTACAGGTACCTCATATATATGTATATGTAAACAGAATATTGCTTGGTTCCCCTTGTTTTTGAGGTACAAAAAGATCACATCACATTATGTATGCTTTTCTGTGATTTGAAAAGATCACATCACACTGTGTATGCTTTTCTGTGATTTGACTTTTTCACTTAGCATTATGATAATAAGATGATACACGTTGCTGCTTGTCTTTATGTTTCAACCATTTTCACTAATATATGCTATTCCATTAAGTGCATATATGACAACTTATTTGTCCAGTTACTGTCAGTAAATATTACCTTAGTTTTTTCTGTTTATCTACTCTGAAATTTCTTTTACATGTCTCCTGGTGCTTAAGGTTTATTTCTAACATTGTTGGAGAGTGCATTGTGTATGGTGTCTGATTTATACATTTTTAAAATGTACTTTTATATATTTTACACAAAGAGATATTTACATAAACTCATGAATACATGATGTTTTTCACAATTTAAAATAATAAAAAGGTACACTGCATGCTAAATCAATAAATAACCTCAATTTATAATTGTGTTATAATAGATTAATTATGTTCTTCCTGTTGCCGTATAATATGTATATTTAAAAAGATATTTCTGTTATAAATAAATTACGTTGACAATATTTCTTTCCCACATAGTTGCTCAACCTAATTCGTGTTTGAATTAATACCATTAAGCCATTAATAAAATTGTATAGTCACAAGTTTAGGAAAGATTGGTAAATCTGAAAATAACAAGTGTCGGTGAAAACTTGAGCCAATGAGAACGCAAATACCTTTCTGGTGAGAGTGTAAGCTTGTATTCTTACGTTGGAAAATAATTCAGCACTATAATGTGAAGATAAAAATTTACATACCTAAATAAAGGTACATATCCTACAAGAATCAGAGTTTCACAAACATTCTTACATGCATTTTCTGTTACATATGTACAAAGACTGAAATTGCTGATTTATACCTTCTATTTATTGTTTCACTATGTAATGCCAGTCGTTTTAGAAAGTGGGTAAAAACTTTCACTCTTAGGAATGCTCAATATCCTCTTGTATACCCAAACATTTACCATTATAAATCTGCTATACCTTATATAACAAATTTTTATAAATATATCAATTGTAATTATGTATAAAATATTTTTACTTTGTATTTCCATGACTTAGCAGGGTTGCACGTTATTTTACAGTTTGTGTTTCATTATTGTTTGCTGTTGTCTGAAATGGCTATTCGTTTCCTTTCCCTTTAAAAATATTTGTCTGTTGATTTGTAGTAATTCTTTACATCTTTTGAAAGTGAATTTCTTATCGGTTATAAGTCACATATGAAGTCCATCAGGGCTTTTCTTTCTGCTTTTGTGTTTATGACTTTTGATAACCAATAATACTTAAAAAATGATCCATTTTGCTCTTTATAGATTGTACTTCCGTGTCTAGTTAAATAAAATATTTTCATACTTTCTGTTTTAAAAAATCCTCAGCCGGGCACGGTGGCTCAGACCTGTAATCCCAGCACTTTGGGAGGCCAAAGTGGGCGGATCACGAGGTCAAGAGATGGAGACCAGTCTTGCCAACATGGTGAAACCCCGTCTCTACTAAAAATACAAAAATTATCCGGGCGTGGTGGTGCATGCCTGTAGTCCCAGCTACTCGGGAGGCTGAGGCAGGAGAATCCCTTGAACCCGGGAGATGGAGGTTGCGGTGAGCCGATATCCCGCCACTGCACTTCAGCTTGGCTGACAGAGCAAGACTCCGTCAAAAAAAAAAAAAAAAAAAAAAAAAAAAATTCCTCTATATCGTCTTATTAAATATAACAGTTTACAGGTGTATTTTAGTCATTAGTCTACCCATCTTATTGGTAAGTACAAGTCTATGCCCAGTAACTTTAATATCTTAAAAGCATGTTTATTTCATGTAGTTTTTTCCATTTTATTTTTATAAACTTGAAAATTTACTTTCTTTTTAAAATTTTCCTTACACTAGCTAGTTCTCTCCAGTCATTTCTTATTTTTATAGGAGTTTATGCAGCTGTTTCTGAAATTTCTGTTTTTTTTTTTGTTTTTTTGAGACACAGTCTGGCACTGTCGCCAGGGCTGGAGTGCAATGTCGCCATCTTGGCTCACTGCAACATCCACCTCCCAGATTCAAGCAATTCTCCTCCCTCAGCCTCCCAAGTAGCTGGGATTACAGGTGCCCGCCACCATGCCCTGCTAATTTTTTGTATTTTTAGTAGAGATAGGGTTTCACTATGTTGGCCAAGCTGGCCTCGAACTACGACCTCGTGATCCGCCCTCCTCGGCCTCTCAAAGTGCTGGGATTACAGGCGTGAACCACTGCACCGACCTCATTTTTTAAAGAATAAACTTTTTCATAAATGCATCTTTGTTCTACTGTCTTATTCTTTTAACTTTATTAAAATACTTTATTGAGTATTTCATCCTTCTCTTTTTTTTACCTTTTTACTTTGAATTTTTGCTATATTTCATTATCTACTAGGTTAAGTATTTAGTGCCATGAATTTTCCATTTAACACTTCATTAACTCCTAAAGAGCCTTCTGAGTCACAGTTTTCTTATCATTATATCTGCAACTCCTTATATTTTCCTTTGGACCAAATATTGTTTAATAAGAAATATATTTATTTTCTATTTTTCTAATGTTTCAAATGGAAGGTTTAAAAATATTTAATATTCTGTTGCATTGTATTTAAGGAATACTGAAAGTTACTATTTCCACTTTTAAAAATTAGTTGTCTTTACTTTCTGGTCCCATGTATCTGCTTGGTTAATTTTGGCCAACATCCCATGCTCTCTTGAAAAGAAGGTGCTTTCCCTAGTATCAGTGTAGAGTATGTAATAAATATATCAGGGTTTGAAAATATGTGGTATATGCATATATCATTACCTTTACCTAATTGATAATGTTGTTTAGTTTCTCTATATTTTTAATATTATTCAATCTACTTGAATTGTACAGCATTGATCATTATTAGTTTATGTCTTTCTGTTATCTCCTATAATTTACTGTACGCAAAATTTGCAGCCTAGCTATTTCAACAGTCTATGCTGCTACTGTGATCCTTGCTGGAGATACTTTTGTATTGATTTTTGTGTTTGCTGGGAAGTAGTGCACATTTTTCCCCTTATTTATAACCAAGCGTGTTAAGCTCCATTTTTATTAAAAGTTTTGTCCTTTTCTTGCATGACAAATGTCTATATATGTATCGGTCAGCTTCTACGCCCTCTTTTCTATTGAATTGCTCAATATATCTCTTCTTCCAGAATGCACAGTAGTAAACACAATAGCTCTAAAACAATTACTTTGCTAATGTATTATAAATATCTTTTCTCTGTCTTATCTTTGTACTTTTCTGTAGTAATACAATATGAACTTGCAGCTCCTCCCTTCAACAAGCAGTGGCTATTTTCCACTTCCTGAATCTTGATGTGCTTATAGTTTGCATTGGCCACAGGAATATGGTGGAAGCAACATTGTGCTAGTCTTGATCATCAGTGTTGTGTCTATTCTCTCCCTCTGGGAACACTACATTTGAAATATGAAGGTATCCATGGTCACCTGCTGGACGAGGCATGTGGTCCAGTAAAAACCATTGCTCCAGCCAATAGTCAGCCATTTCTCTGTTGTTGATTAATTGACCTCAGATATATGAATAAGCTCAACTGAGATCAGCTAATCATGGCCAGATCAGCAAAACTCCCTAGCTGACACAAACTCGTAAGTAATACTACATACTTGTTATTTTAACCCACTAAGTAGTGTGCTGCATTTACCCAGCAATAATAGATTATTGATATATGTTGAAATTTGATATGGTATTAGTTATCACTATTTTGTTTTGTGCCCTGTACAATTTGTTTAGTTTTTTAAAAATACCGTCTAAATAAAACATAAAATATTCCTTTATGTTTTCTAGAAGTTTTGGCATTTGCCCTTCTCATTTAAGGTTTAAACCAGTTTGGCACATTTGTGTAAGGTGTGACATAGGGCTTAATTCAATTTGTTTCAAATACAGAGAATAATTTTCTTAGCAAAATTTAGTCATGATTTCTTCACATATATAGTGCTACCTATTTCATATATCGAATCTCTGTAAGTTTTGACCTGTTTTGGGCTGTCTATTACATTCTATTGCCCTTTATTTCATTTTTTCTGTGCCAATAACTGTCCTACTATCGCCTTTTTGTTCTTTTTTATGTGTATATCACTTATTTTGGTTCATTTTATCATATACATAATTTGTAGGATTAGTTTGTCAAGTGCCTCAAAGAAATCCTGTTATCATTTTGATTGGAATTGCATTTAATGTAGAGAAATTGTCACTGTTCCAATAGCTTTTTAACATCCAATAACAGCATATATATTTGTATCTCTTTCATGCTCAGTGTTTTTGATTTTTTTCTCATGAATATTTATGTCTGTTTAACATAAATTATATTCTGAAACACTTTCTCATTCATCATTAGTCTAACCAATCTTAAATTTTTCTTCAAAATATAATTTAATCCCATGTCCTAAAAGCATTTTTGGTCATCTACTTATTTACATGCCCTCCACTTAAGGCTCCAGGTGCTGGTAATTTGTCTTTTTCTTATCTATTCTTATTTCCCCCATGCTTCTGATCTGCATTTTAGAGAACCACATTTGAAAGGATAATTTAACAGTTGGCTTTCAAGTAGGTCCAGCCAATGACAACAGAGAGAAACAGGATATATTTCCCTCTCTTACTCTGCCACACCCAATCATTCTGGCATGGGCTGTGCCTCTTCTCTCTGTAACTCCAATTATTTCCTTCCATGGTCCAAATCTTATCAGGCCACTTACCCCACACTTTCATTGCAGTTTCAGATCTCTTTAGGTGGCCCTGTATATTAGTCCATTCTGGCACTGCCATAAATAAATGCTTGAGACTGGGTAATTCATAAAGAAAAGAAGTTTAATTGGCTCACTGTACAGGAAACAGAACAGCTTCTGCTCCTGGGGAGATCTCAGGGGACTTTACAATCATGGTGGAAGGCAAAGGGGAGTCAGTACTTCCTATGGCTGGAACAAGAGAAAGAGAGAAGGGGGCAGGTGCTACACACTTTTAAACAACCAGAACTCATGGGAACTCAGTCACCATTGCCAAGACAATACCAAAAGTGATGGTGCTGAACCATTAGAAACCACCCTTACGATCCAATCACCTTCCACCAGGCCCTATATTCAGCATTCGGGATTATATTTCAAACATGAGATTTGGGCAGAGACACAGATACAAACCATATCATTCTGCCCCGGCCCCTCTCAAACTTCATATCCTTCTTGCATTTCAAAATACAATCATACTTTCCCAATAAACTCCCAAAGTCTTAACTCATTCCAGCATTAACTCAAAAGTCCATGGTCCAAAATCTCCTTTAAGATAAGGCTAGTCCCTTCCACCTGTGAGCCTGGGAAATCAAAAATAAGTTAGTTACTTTCAAGATACAATGGGGGTGCAGGCATTGGGTAAACACTTCTGTTCCAAAAGGGAGAAATCTGTCAAAAGAAAGAGGCTGTAGGCCCCATGCAAGTCTGAAACCCAGCAGGGCAGTCATTGAACCTTCAAGCTCCAAAATAATCTCTTTTGATTCCATGTCTCACATCCAGGGCACAATGATGCAAGGGGTGAGCTCTCAATGCCTTAGAGAGTCCGCCTCTGTGGCTTTGTAGGGTTCAGCCCCCACAGCTGCTCTCATGGGCTGGTGCTGAGTGCCTGTCACTTTTCCAGGCACAGGGTGCAATCTGCCAGTGGAGATACTATTCCAAGTCTGAAGGTCTGGAGGACCCTCTTCTTACAGCTCCACTAAACAGTTCCCCAGTGAGGCTTCTGCATGGAGATTCCAACCTTCTATTTCCCCTTTGCACTGTCCTAGTAGAGGTTCTCCATGAGGGCTCTATCTCTGCAGCAGGCTTCTGCCTGGATATCCAGGCTTTTCCATGCATCCTCTGAAATCTAAATGTAGGCTCCCAAGCCACAACTCTTGCACTCTGTACACCCACAGGTTAAACACCACACGGAAGCCACCAAGGCTTAAAGCTTACGCCCTCTGAAGCAGTGGTCCAAGCTGTACCTGGGCCCCTTTGAGCCATAGATGGAGCTGGAGTGACTGAAATGCAGGGAGCAGTGTCCTGAGGCTGCACAGGGAAGTGAAGCCCTGGTCCCACCCCATGAATATATTCTTCTCTCCTAGGCCTCTGGGCCTGTGATAGAAGGGGCTGCCACAGAGGTCTCTGAAATGCATTTGAGGCCTCTCCATTGCCTTGGGTATCAGCATATGACTTCCTTTTAGTTAAGCAAATTTCTGCAGTAGGCTTGAGTTGCTTTCCTGGAAATGAGCTTTTCTTTTCTAACACATAGCAATGCTGCAAATTTTCCAAACTTTTATCCTCTGCTTCCCTTTTAAATATAAGTTCCAGTTTCAGTTCATTTCTTTGCTCATGCATGTAAACGTACATTGTTAGAAGCAGACAGCCCACATTTTGAAGGCTTTGCTGCTTAGAAATTTCTTCTCTCAGTTACCCTTAATCAACAGTCTCAAGTTCAACATTCCACAAATCCCTAGGGCAGAGGCACAATGCACCCAGGATCTTTCTAAAGCAAAGCAAGAGTGACCTTTACTCCAGTTCCCAATAAGCTCCTCATCTCCATGTGAGACCTTGACAGCCTGGCCTTCACTGTCCATGTCACTATTAGCATTTTCCTCACAACTGTTCAACAAGTTTCTAGGAAGTTCCAAATTTTCCCTCATATTCTTGTTTTCTTCTGAGCCCTCCACATTCTTTTTTTTTTTTTTTTTTTTTTTGAGATGGAGTCTCGCACTGTCACCTGGGCTGGAGTACAGTGGCGTGATCTCGGCTCACTGCAATCTCCATCTCCCAGATTCAAGTAATTCTCCTGCCTCAGCCTCCTGAGTAGCTGGGATTACAGGCACTCACCACCATGCCTGGCTAACTTTTTTGTATTTTTATTAGAGATGGGGTTTCACTATGCTGGCCCGGCTGGTCTTGAACTCCTGACCTCACAATCTGCCTGCCACAGCCTCCCAAAATGCTAGGATTACAGGCATGGGCCACTGTGTCTGGCCGCCTCCACACTCTTCTAACTCTGCACATTGTCTAGTTTCAAAGGTGCTTCCACATTTTCAGGTATCTTTATAGTAATACCTCACTTTTGGTACCAGTTTTCTTCATTAGTTCACACTGCTATAAAGAAATACCTGAGACTGATACCAATTTTCTGCATTAGTTCACACTGCTACAAATAAATGTCTGAGACTGGAAATAAATTTCATCAGCTTCTGGTTGTGCAGGTATAGGAAGCATGGCTGGAAAGACCTCAGGAAACTTACAATCATGGCAGAAGGCAAAGGGGGAAGCCAGCTCTTCACAAAGCCAGAACAGAAGGAAGAGAGATGAGGGAGATGCTACACACTTTTCCAGATCTCATGAAAGGTCACTCACTATTGCCAAGACAATTCCAAAGTGGATGGCGCTAAACCATTAGAAATAGCCCACATGATCCAATCACCTCCTGCCAGGCACCATTACCAGCACTAAGGATTACATTTCAACATGAGTTTTGGGGAGGGACACAGATCCAGACCATATCACCCTGATTTCAGGGGTCTAGTAACACCATCTTTCTCCATGGTCCTTCTGGCCCCATTAAGAAATTGACTTCTTGATGCTTTTAATAGAAAGGTTACCTTGCTGAAACTATTGGCTTTTTGTTTTGTTAATCAGTGGAGTAATCAGTTATCTTTTTTTGAAAGACCTGAGTGATATCTGGGGTTTCATTCCCTGACTTATTTCCTCATACTTTGGGTAGATCTTTCACATCTTATACTATAATAAATGATTCACTAGTTTAACCCCACACTAGACTGTCAGACACTGAACAGAAAGTACCTACCTCATTTAATCATTTCTAAAAAACTGATACTTAGTAAAATACTTTGTACTTTATAATTAAATTTGTACATGAATGGTTGCAAGAACATTTTAAATTCCTCAGTAAGTAAAAAAAAAAATTTGAAACTATATCACCAGTCACCTTGTGAAGCACTATTCTTTACCTCCTCTGTAACATCTCATATGAAATTGAGAGTCAAGCTATGCCAGTTTCCCTGTTTTCCCAACTCACTATTTGTAGTCTAGTTGTTCTGAATTATTGCTCCTGTTTTTCCTTTTCCTGGGACTTTTTTCTTTATCTGCTGATTAAATTTTATCTTTTAGTAATGAATCTCTTTGTCACTATTTAGACTTCTCATCTGGGAGTCTTTTGTAATAATCGTCTAGCCAATCAAACATTACTTTTACTAAAGTTTGTTAAAAGTTATTTTTCTTTTCCGCTTTTAATATTCTTCTGTGCTTATATTTTAGTTACCCTTTTTTAAAAATTGCATTCTTCTGGATTTTGTTAACTTTAATAATATTATTTACAAATACTATATTTATAAATATGAATATGTGTAATATTTACATATAATATAATCACACCACTTGCTTTTTGCTCTTTATCATGCTGTTTGCTTTTTTATATTTTTTCCTGACTTTTACTAAATTTATCAAATTTTCTTCCTTCTCTAACTGCTGTTAGAAAATTATATATTTTATTTTTAGTAACTTGAATTTCTTCTTAAGTTTTTAATTCACACAATTGACTTTGCACTCTTCTAGTTAGTATATTTCTTTTTATACTGGAACCACACAATGTATATGTGTTCATGAAGCTCATGAATCATTTTGCAAACAAATGTCTACTATTAAAAATTGAAGGTAGGTGTTGATACAAAACCAAAGCCTGAAAATGACCTATAAATAATTAAAACCTCAACTTAATTTTGTTATAATTATTGGTAATTTGCCTAACAGGGCTTATATATCTGATTTACTACTAGAAAAATGTGTTTCTTTTTCAAGGGCCTGCTTTCCTTAGGTAGCATTAGCTAGCGTAGGTTACATTATTTTCATGCAGAGAAATTGGTGAACTGCTCCACGCAGAAGGCCTCATTATAGGTTAAAAATATAAATGAGAAACAGTATGATACAGGGCAACAAAGAACAGATGATGCTTAATGTTTTTCTCTCTGAAATTAAGAGTAAGCAGTTATTTGTTTGGAAAACAGTGTTTAAATAACAGGGTTTCAATAATCTAAAATTTTAAGCAGACATAAAACTGTTTCTATAAGGCATTAAGTGTTTCGAACATTTACTAAAAATATTAATGGTTTGTTGGCTTGATGCATCACTCAAATAATTTTAATGGGCTGCGGAATTATTTAGTCTTTTATTAGCTCAAGGTAAACTCAATAGAAGCTTCCCATTCAGTACAAAAGCCTTTAAATATGAAGCTATTAATTTTTTTTCCTACTAACCAAATCTTTTTAAATGAGTTATAAATGGGGCCTGGTGTCAACCACCAGGCCAGGCCTCTTTTTTTAATTTACTTGTTTATCCTAGCTTAGTTCATCTTTTATTTATCTTTTCAGGTATCCAATTTAAGTTTATTAATTTTTCTCCACTTTTTTTCTATTTTTAATTTTATTGATTTATACTTTAAACTTTTATTATTTATTTTGTTCTCTTTGTTTTGGGCTTAAATTGTTCTTTATCTAGTTTCCTAAAGCAAAGTTTAGACTATTAATTATAAACATCTTTTTTGTATTTATACATTAAAGTTATAAATGTCTCCTTAAGCACTGTTTTTGCTACATTCCACACATCTTGATAAATTTTACTTTCATTTACATTTCCATTTAGTTAAAATATTTTGAAATTACTCTTGAATTTTTTCCTTCATTGAATATTGAGAAATGTACTGATTAACCTCCAAATACTTTTGGTATTTTCAACTATCTTTCGGTTATTAATTTCTAGGCTAATTTTACTGTAGTCTGAAAACGTAATTTATACAATTTCTATTCTTTTAAATATTTGCAGTCATTTTTATGCCCTCGAATGTGGTCTATCCTTGTGAAGGTTGTATGTGAGCTTGAGAATATATATTCTGTTTGTGCTGGATGAAATATTCTACACGTATACATTAGATCAAATAATTAATGGTTCTGTTCAAGTCAACTACATTCTTATTAATTTCCTGCCTATCTACCTATGAATTCCTGACAACAGATATGAAATTTCCAACTATAATAGCATACTTATTTTCCTTGTAGTTCTATAAGAATTTGCCTCATGTATTTTGATCACTGTTGTCCAGTACATATAGGTTGAGGATTTCTACATGCTCTTGAAATATTTTTATATATTCTTGGACCTCTTTATAATAACATAGTGATCATCTTTTTCCTAGGTAAAATTTCTTGTTCTGAAGTCTGCTTTTTCTGAAATTAATATGGCTGCTCCAGCTTTCTTCTGCATAGTGTTAGCATACATCGTCCCTTACATTTATCCTTACTGATTCTTTGCATTTAAAGTGGTTTTCTTGCAGATATAATCTAGTTGCATCTTGTTTATTTTAACCCATTCTCATAATTTCTGTCTTTAATTGTAGAATTTAGATCATTTTCATTTAAAGGGATTATTAATATTCTTGGCTTAATATCTACCGTATTTATAATTGTTTTCTATTTGTTGCACTTGTTCTTTTTCCTTTTCCTCTTTTTTTCTATATTTTCTGGTTTCATTAAATGTTTTATATAATTTCATTTTCTCCCCTCTTCACATCTGAATTGTACTTCCTTTAAAATTTGCAGTGGTTTCCCCAGAGTTTAAAATATACATTGACAATTAATCTAAGTCCACATCAGAGTAACACTCCACCATTTCACATGTCATGTATGCACCTTATAAACAGAGTGCTCTCAGTTTCACCCTGTCATCCTTGTTCATTGCTCTTCCTCATTTCTTTTTATTCATGTGCTGCAAATTACAATATATATTTTACTTTTATTACTTTAAACAGTTATTTCAATCCATTAAGAATAAGAAATTAAAAGGTGTAGTTCATCATCATTTGTTCTTCAGTGTTCTTCACCTACTTACGTAGATCTGAATTATGATCTACATCATTTTCTTTCTCTCTGAAAACTCCTGTTAATGTCTCTTGAATGGCTCATCTGCTGGCCCAGAGTTTCCTTAGTTTTTGTTTGTTTGAGAGACTATAACCCCTTCATGTTCATGTCACTGAATATAAAATCATTTATTTGTGGTTTGTTTTTTTCCTTTCAATACTTGAAGCGTATCACTCTACTTTCTTGCTGACATGGTTTCTGATAAAAAGTTTGCTGTAATTCCTATTCTTATTACTTTATAGGTAGAGTGTGTTTGCCCTCCCTCTACTCTTTCACATTTTTTGTTTGTTTGTTTTTGTCCTTGGTTTCCTGCAGTTCAAATATAATATGCCTATGTGCAGATTTCTTTTTTTTATATTTTGTTTGATGTTCTCTGAGATCCCTGAATGGGTGATTTCACAAATCTCATTAATTTTAGAAAATTCTCAGCCATTGTTACTTCAAATATTTTTATCTGTTTCACTTTATTTTTCTTCTACTTCTGTTATTCTAATTATGTATATGTTACAGCTTTTGAAATGTTCCTATGAATCTTGTAAATTCTGTTCCTTTAAAATTATTACTTTTTTTCTTTCTTTGCATTCTATTTTGAGAAGTTTCTATTGAGGTATCTTCAAGCTCACTGATTCTTTACTTGGCAATGTCCAGTTTAGTGATGAGTACCTCAAAACTTTTTCTTATTTCTCTTACGTTGTTGTTACTTTTTCTTTTTTATTTCTCTTTAATAAAGGGAATTAATTAAAAGGTACTTTAAAAATTTTTTTTATCATTCTTCTTGCATTACTATTTGCTCTTCCATGTTATTTAGTGGAGTGTTTTTGGAGGGGATTTCTAATACAATTTTTTAAAATTTTTTAGAGTACTTTTAGGTTTACTGAAAAAATACAGAGGTTCCCTTATACTGTTTTTTATTAGAACTTTTAATATATTAATTATTAATTATAGTTATTATAAATTCTCTGACATTTCCAAAATCTGTGTCATATGAGTATGATTCTGATGTTTACTTTGTCTCTTCAGAATGTATTATAGTGTTTCTTGCTAGGTGCTGTTAAATGGAGCACCAGGTACAAATGTTTTCAGAAGGCTTGTAGACTCATTTCTATCACTGGTATTGCAGAGTTAGGTGACGCTAAGAGCTATATTATGTGAGTCATTGCTATGGCAGCAGAAATAGGCAGATATCCATGAATATCGAATTATTAGGAAAGATCTGTGCTAAGTTTAACATTTACACAGTATGTAATACAGAAAAATTGTGTAATCAGAGATTGGAATCTACAGTTTTCTGTCCAGTTCCACCACATCCTAGCTGATATATTGTTCAACAAACAGAAACCCTGCCTTATTTAGTGGCTTATTGATTTTCTATTCTCAACTCTTAACCTCTCTGCAACACTTATTGCTTTCTTTTAAAGGGTCTCCTTGGCTTACATGACCCCAAAGTCTTTTTGTATTGGTAAAAGTTCAATTATGAAAACAGAAACTACACTAAGTATTTGAAACAGAGCAATTTTCTTACAGCAAATGGATTAAAATGGTGACAGAAAAGCCAAAAGCCAACAGGAATAGAGAAGCAATGCAGAAATTAACAAAAGCCAAAAGTGACCAGAAACCCCAGGATGAAGACACAAAATATTTTCTTGTGGTCCAGAAGCTTGAACTACAGCAGCCAGGTGAGGCAGCTAGCATACCAGGAGGTAGTGGGGATGAATGTAGTTGGTGTTGGATATGCTACCTGAGGCATTAGAGCCCAGAGAATCATCTTGAAGTGGTCAGACTGCTTGCATAAACAGAGCCAAACAGGGCAGTACAAATAATTGATTTGAATGCAAACATGCCTAACATCAGTACAATTTGACTTTACTGTCTTTTTCATTGGTTCCTCCTTCAAGTTGCAGGTCTTTTAAACTTTACAGTTTTTTAATTATTTTGCAAGTCTTTTTAATTTGTTCCTTTTTCAAGTCGTTTCATTTGAGTGCTTCACAGGGGTCTTAGTCTCAGTCATCTTCTGGTCTACCTCTTTATACTGTTTTTTGGACATTTCATCTATGCCCACTGTTTCAACGATATCCAAATGCTAATAACTTCCCAAATTATGTCTTAACTAAATATTTGATTGCTAAATTCTGGACATCCTTCAAGGACCTCAAAATTAATATGTTCAAAACTTCTTATGCTTTTCTTCTTAATCTGCTATGTCCTCCAAACTTAATTAAATATCTCTTCTGGATGTCCATTCTCTTTCCTCAATGCTTTTGCCCAAGTTCAAGATTAATCACTTTGCAAATTTGTCAATATTCTAGTCTCCCAATCTCCATTTTCTTAACCTTAAAATCTATCTTTCAATTTATTTATTACTCAAAGATTAATCTTTTTAAATCCTGATTATGATGAGGCTACTCTCTCAGATAAAATATTTTTTGACTCCTCACTGTTTAGATATGGCTATATCCTTATCTATAACTTGTTATTAATTAGATTTTTATAAATACTCTTATTGAAATATTCACATTTCTTCAAAATGTTGTGTTTTTATAAGTCCTTATATGTTTGTATATGTTGTTTTCTCATTGTCCAAAATCTTTTTCCTTATTACTCATCTAGCTAATTCCAAAATGTCTAGAAAGATCATTTTTATTTTTGAGACAGAATCTTGCTCTTTTGCTCAAGTTGGAATAGTACAGCAGCATGATTGTTGCTTACTGAATTCCAGGGCTTAAGCAATCCTCCCATCTGAGTCTCTGTAATAGCTAGGATTAGCAATGAGCTAAATACAGACCAGAAGATGCTAAGGAGAAAATGAACTATACTTCAAGAGCCCGATCATATAACTGTATGGAAATATTGTATAATATCATAACAGTACCTACTTTTAAGTGCAACATGTTCCGTACCTGTTACAGACAATATTAAGAAAAATAATTTCAGATGTTGGACAATCAATGGCTATAATAATCTTTTTGTGTGAAGGATTGATGTGCAGCATTGAAGTTATGAAAGGATTTCTTCAAGTTGGAGGAGAGAATGAATTTTCCAATCTACTTACTTACACATTCAGTAATACTAAGAACCCATTATATGTCAAGTAAGTGTATAGACAGTTATTATAATGGTCAAAAGAAGAGAAAGAGAATCTAAATTAAAAGAAGTTTCTAAATAATTGTATTGCTTTGAAATAATTTATGTTTAATGATCAAGTTGGCATATAGAAAGCATGTCTAAATGCAACTGATACTTATCAATTACAAAGAACAAGTTTGTTTCTTTCCTCAGTACATATTTCTTTGCCAAAAGTTTCCACTTTTTCAATATTTATGCTACAGCTTTCATTATGCCATGAATTTTGTCAGTAATGTTCATTCACATATTAGAAGACAGATTTCAGCAGTGTTGGTCATTTTAAAAGCACTAACTACCCCACTCCACAGCATATTTCATGCTTCATTATTGTTCCTTGTGGAGCCCTGGAAAGCACTCTGACTTCAACTTTCGTGAGATTGGGCCCATTATATTATAATATGCACCCTGAAGGGCATCATAATGCAGCTCAGCCTTGCCCTTGTTTAGCATAAAGCATAGGCTGGCATATGAAAATGAGGTGCTTACCACAGAAACTGAAACTTTGTGTTCTAAGTGGTATACATTTGAGTCCAAAGCTATGCATTAAATCACTGGAACTAGATTCAACTTGGACTTCTGCCTTCTTATTCTAATTAGTCAATCATTCTACAATATATAATGTTAACTTCATTGTGATTAAAAATTAATAACTTTCAAAATGATTGTATGATCTGAAAGAAACAAAAATGTATATCAGAAGTAGCTCTGGTTAATTTATTTATCTGAAATTGGAAACTGTTAATACAACTCCTATGAAGCTATGCAGCATTAAGGAAAGTATTTTGAGCCATGGAGAAGAAATAGTAGCTTGGCATTTGGAGAGATGCCTGAAAGTAGGTATACATAATATGATTCCAAAGAAGCATCAATAAATAAGTAGCCTGATATATTATTCTAATGGTGTTCACTTAGTTGGACATTTTTGTCTAGACTTTTCTTTGGAGTGACATAGCTTGGGCAAGGGGAAAGATCCTCTCCCCATTTAAAATTTACAATTAATTTCCTTCCCTCCTTCTCTTCTATTCCTCCCTTCTTCCTTCCCTCCCTTCCTTTCATCTTTCTTCCTTTTTCTTTCTTCTTTCTTCCTTTCTTTCTTTGTCTTTCTTTCTTTTCTTTCTTCTTTCTTTTTCTTTCTTTTCTTTCTTTTTCATTCTTTCTTTCTTTTCCTTCCTTCCTTCCTTTCACTTCAAGAAAGATAATTCATTGAAATATTAAGTATATATATTCAAATAAAGTATTTTTATTGATAAGCCTACAATCTAGTTAAGTATACATGCAGAATGAAATAAGTGTAATTGTAAAAATATTCACAGGATGTGACAAAGCTCAGTGTCCAGCACAGAGACCAAAAATGCCAGAAACTCCCTTTTCCAGCTCTGTATGGTTTTATTATATAGGCATGTTAACCACACCTAGCCAATGATACTAGAGGAAATGACTCCTAAGAAACTATTGAAGATATTATTTTCTATAAGAAATAAATTTAAAAAAAACAATAGGAGGAAATGCTCCTTTTCTTTTCCCAGGTATTACAGTACCTACATATAACGCCAGGCAGGAACTGGGACAGCCATCATATATCCTAAGAGAACACTCGGTCCTAAGGGACCAAGACAAAATATGGAGGATAGTTAGATAATAAAATGGAAAGAGTCAGGTTATTGATTACAATTATTGAGTACCTGGACCAAACCAGGTATATACCTGCCCCAGTGTTCTTTTTATGTGATGAAATGCTGATATGGTTTGGCTGTGGCCCCACCCAAATCTCATCTTGAATTGTAGTTCCCAAATCCCCATGCATCATGGGAGGGACCCAGTGGGAGGTGATTGAATTGTGGAGGCAGTTTCCCCCATTCTATTCTCATGATAGTGAGTAAGTTCTCATGAGATCTGATGGTTTTATAAAGGGCTTCTCCTTTCACTCAGTTCTCATTCTTCTCCCTGCCACCATGTGAAGAAGGACATGTTTGCTTCTCCTTCTGATATGTTTTTAAGTTTTCCTGAGGAATCCCCAGCCCTGCAGAATGGTGAGTCAATAAAAACTCTTTCCTTTATAAATTACCCAGTCTTGGTTATGTCTTAATTAGCAGTGTGAGAATGGACAAATATAGTGAATTGGTATGGATAGAGTGGGGTGCTGCTATAAAGATGCCTGAAAATGTGGAAACGACATTGGAACTGGGTAACAGGCAGAGGTTGGAACAGTTTAGAGGGCACAGAAGAAGACAGGAAAATGTGGAAAGTTTGGAACTTCCTAGAGATTTGTTGAATGGCTTTGATCAAAATGTTGATAGTGATATGGGCAATGAATTCCAGGCTGAGGTTGTCTCAGAAGGAGATGAGGAACTTGTTGGGAACTGGAGCAAAGGTGACTCTTGCTCTGCTTTAGCAAAGAGACTGGCAGCAGTTTTGCCCCTGCCCTAGAGATCTGTAGACCTTACAACTTGAGAGAGATAATTTAGTGTATCCGGCAGAATAAATTTCTAAGCAGCAAAGCATTCAAGAGGAAGCACAGCATACAAGTTTGGAAAATTTGCAGGCTAATAATGCAATAGGAAAACAAAAACCCATTTCCTGGGGAGAAATTCAAGTCTGCTGCATAAATTTGCATAAATAAAGAGGAGCTGAATGTTAATCACCAAGACAATGGGGAAAGCATCTCCAAGGTATGTCAGAAACCTTCAGTGGTAGCCCCTCCAATCACAGGCCTTGGATACCTAGGAGGAAAAAAAATGGTTTCTTGGGCCGTGCTGCTTTTAGTAGTCTTCGGACTTGGTACCCTGTGTCCCAGCTGTGGTTAAAAGGGGCCAAGGTACAGCTTGGTCCATGCCTTCACAGGGTGCAAGCCATAAGCCTTGGCAGCTTCCACAAGGTGTTGAGCCTCTGGGTGCACAGAAGTCAAGAATTGAGATTTGGGGACTTCCGTCTAGATTTCAGAGGATGTCTGTAAATGCCTGGATATCCAGGAATAAGTTTGTTGCAGGGGCAGATCCCTCATGGAAATCTGTTCTAGGGCTGTGTGGAAGGGAAATGTGGGATCAGAGTCCCCATACAGTGTCTAGTGGAGCCGCGAGAAGAGGGACAGCATCCTCCAGATCCCAGAATGGTAGTTCCACTAACAGCTCTCACCATGTGCCTGGAAAAGCCACAGGCACTCAATGCCCACCCATGAAAGAAGCCAGGACGGGGGCTGTACCCTGCAAAGCCACAGGAGCAGGGCTGCCCAAGGCCATGGGTGCCCACCTCTTGCATCAGGGTGAACTGAATGTGAGACATGGAGTCAAAAGAGATTACTTCAGAACTTTAAGATTTAATTACTGCCTCATGGGATTTCAGACTTGCATGGGGCTTGTAGCCCCTTTGTTTTGGCCAATTTCTCACATTTGGAAAGGGGGTATTTACCCAATGCCTGTACCTCCATTGAATCTAGGAGGTAACTAACTTGCTTTTGATTTTATGGGCTCATAGGCAGAAGGGATTTGCCTTTTCTCAGATGAAACCTTGGACTTGGACGTTTTGGTTCATGTGAGAATGAGTTGAGAATTTGGGAGACTGTTGGAAAGATATGGTTGTGTTTTGAAATGTAAGGACATGAGATTTGGGAGGGCCCATAGTAGAATAATATGGTTTGACTGTGACCTCACCCAAATCTTATCTTGAATTGTTGTTCCCATAATCCCCATGTGTCATCAGAGGGACTCAGTGGGAGGTAAATGAATTATTGGGGCGGTTTCCCCCATGCTATTCTCTTGATGGTGAGTAAGTTCTTACAAGATCTGATAGTTTTATAAGGGTCTGCCCCCCTTTGCTCAGCTCTCATTCTTTTCCTCCCTGATGTCATGTGAAGAAGGACGTGTTTGCTTCTCCTTTCCCCATGATTGTAGGTTTCCTGAGGCCTTCCCAGCCATGTTAAACTGTGAGTCAATTACACCTCTTTTCTTTATAAATTACCCAATCTTGTGTATGTTTTTATTAGCAGTGTGAGAATAGACTTATACAAATGCATTATAGCTCCTTTTAAGTCAGCTTTAATTGGTTATTTGATTATAACAGCAAAAAAGCCTCTGAACTTGTTTATTTTCCATGTCTTCAGAATTGTTGTCATCTATGGTCTGTTTAATCTTAACATTTATTTTTAAGAGAAAACTTAAATGTAAATTAAAATGGAAAATACAATTTTCTCATCTTAAATACAATACATTTTTAGATATTATATGATACACTGAAATGTTTTCTACTACTTACATACTAAATGACCCTCTTACTATACCCTGTGGAAATCATATGCTTTCATATTATCTTTATTAACATAAAGTTTAATTTCGAGTAATAGGCCTGAGGTAGACAGAGCAAAAAACTAAATTTCTGATTTTATTTCAGATTCTATAGCTCACTGAATATTGCATAAAATTTACTGTATTAGATGGAAATGATTCTTGTTCTTAGTGGAGGAAGCACATGAAGTTCTGGCCCCAATTTTTATTACTAATTATCCCCTTATTTATAATAATACAATTCAAGAAGCCTTTCTTATGAGTTTGAGTCCAAATTAATCCCCTTCTAAATATTTTTAAATATTCTACTGCTTTAATTGGTGTGGTTGACAACCCATTAGCCTGATTTATCTGAATTTTAATCACAAACTTTGTATTAATTTTATGAGTGGCTCTGTGTCATAGTTCATTTTTGTTGCTAAAACTGAAATCTCGAGATTTGGTAATTTGTAATGAACAGAAATTTATTTGGCTTATAGTTTTGTAGGATAGATAGTCCAAGATTGCAGGGCAGCATCTGTGTCATAATATGGCAGAACACGTGGATGAGAGAGAGATAAAATGGGGCCAAACTCACTCTTTACAAGGAATTATCTCCCATAAAAATAAACCCACTTCCAAGATATCAAACTCACTCCCAGAATAACAGCATTAATTCATTCATGAAAGTTGAGTCCTTATGACCCAATCAGCTCTTAAAGTTCACACTTCTCCGTAATGCTGAATTGGGGATCAAGTTTCCAATACATGAACACTGATGAACACATTCAAATTATAGCATTCCTCCCTTGGCCCCCCAAATTGATGACATTATCACATGCAAAATATATTTATTTCATCCCAATTGACCCAAAAGTCCTAACTTTTTTCACTTTTAAGTAAAAAGTCCAAAGTCCAGAATTTCATCTAAATTAAATTAGACGGTAATTGAGTGAGACTCAAGGCACAATTCCTCCTGAGGAAAATTCTCCTCCAACTCTGAGCCTGTCAAATTTTTTTAAAACAAGTTATATGTTTCTGAAGTACAATGGTGGGACAGGTATAGAATAGATAATATCATTTCAAGTGGTAGTGATAGTCAAGAAGAAAGAAATAACTGGCCCCAGGTAAGTCCAAACCCAACAGTGCAGACAGCATTAAATCTTAAACCTCCAGAATAATCATTTATTTCATGTGCTGCATCCTGAACACTCTGAGTGGATTGAGCTCTCAATGACTCAGATAGCTCCACTCTTATGGCTTTGTTGGGCTTAAACCATGCCACAGTTCTCACCAGTTGGAGTGTCATTCCTGCAGTTCTCCAAGGCTGAAATTGTAAACCAGTGTCTCTATAGATCTGGAATCTCTGAGGTGGCTTCACTGCCACAGTTCCACTAGGTATTGTCCTAGTGGGAGCTCTCTGTGGGGGCTCCACCCTTATGACAAGTCTCTTCCTGGATCCCTACGCTGTCCAATACATCGTTTGTCATCTAGGTGGAAAGTTCCATGGCCCCACAGCTCATACACTCTGCACATCTGCAGAATTAGCACCATGTAGATGCTGCAGACGTTTACAGCCTGTACCTTTTTAGAACAGCAACAGAGCCTGCTTGAGCCAAGGCTGGGGCAGCTGAAGAGTGATGTGTTGGAACGTGGGAAGTAGACACTTGAGTTGGCATTGAAAAGCAAATGCTGAAGTCCCAAAGCCATCTTTCTGGAAACCTTGACTTCTAGGTACTAGATGGAAGGCACAGCCTTGACGATCTCTGAAATATCTTCAGAGTATTTCTCCCATTGTCTTGATAACTAGTACCTAGCTCCCTTCTGTCAATATTAATCTCTTTAGAAAACTATGTCTTGGTCACATACTTGGTTTGTTATTCTAAAGACATCTTTTAACTCATTATATGGTCAGGCTGTGAATTTTCCAAATCTTTCCTTCTGCTTCTCTTTCAGTTATAAATTCTGTCTTTAAATCATTTTTCTACTCTTGCCTCTTACTATATTCAATTAAAATTAGCCATGCATCTCCTTCAATATTTTCCTTAGACATTTCTTCTGCCAGATATCCTAATTCATTGTTCTTAAATTTTGCCTTCCATAAAATCCTAGGTGAAAAACAAAGTTCAGACAGTTCTTTGCCATTTTATAAGAAGGATGACCTTTACTTCATTTTCCAATAAGATATTCCTCATTTCAGCCTGAAACCTTATTAGAATGGCTTTCACTGCCCATATATCTACCAACATTCTGGTCACAACCACTTAAGTAATCTCTAAGAAGTTCCACACTTTCCTTACAGCTATTTTCTTCTTCTAACCCTCACCAGAATCACCCTTAATGCCCCATTGATAGCAATACAGGCTTTTTCCAGAATTCACTTTAAAAGTACTTCAGCCTTTACCATTTACCCAGCTCCAAAGCCACTTTCACATTTTCAAGTATTATAATAACATCCCATTCTCTGGTACCAGTTTCCCATCTGATTCTTTGTTTTTTTTTTTTTTTTTTTTTTTTGCTGCTGATAACATAGTAGTCATGACTAAGTAATTTGTAATGAACAGAAATTTATTTCGGTCATAATTCTGGAGAATTCCAAGTCTGAGATTAAGAGATCATATCTGCTGAAGGCCTTCTTGCAGCCTCATAATATGGCAGAAGGCATCACATGGGTGGGAGAGAGAGAGGCAGGGGCTGACTCATCATTTATAAGAACCTACTCTTGAGATAACAAATGGATTCCCACAATAATGGCACTAATTCATTCATGGGGGCAGAGCTTTTATGATCAAATCACTTCTTAAATATCCCACCTCCTAATACTGCTGCAATGGGAATTAAGTTTCTAACACGTGAATTTTGGGGGACTTATGCAAACCATAGCACTACGAATAGGCTTACTGGATTTTTATTTGCAAATTTAATCAATAAAAGTACTTACAGTAAACCAAGTGTTATCCTAGTTACTTGGCCTACCAAATGAATGAGAAATAGTTCTTTATCTCAAATAATTTACCATGTTATATACAGACAATATAGACAATCTAGGAATAAGTATGTGTTGAACTAAAATGCACTATAATAAATCAAATTGATGAAGCATATGAACCAAAAATTATTTACACCTCTTAAAGCAATTGAAGGTTTAAAAGTCATAATGCGTGATCTGATTCTTAAAGGCTAAGTAAAATTCCATTGGGCATAACAATGACAGCTGAGGGACAAGTGCATGTAGATGTGTATGAAATTGATGGGACTTAGCATTTCAGACAAGAATTAATATGATAAAGTATAAGGTACTTGGAAAAATATTGAAAAGATAAATTCAGGACACACTATGAAGGATCTTGCATGGCTTCATAAAGGAGCTTGATATTTATTCTGAAAGTAATGCAGACTACATGGGTAAGTTTAGGATTGAAGAGAGAGTAATAGTAATAACTATATCTCTATATCTGGAAAACCACCTACAACTGGAAATGTTATCCATTGACATGTTCCAGAAAGGAGATAAAGACAGAGTTTAACCATAGCAGAATTTTTGTATTGGATAAGGCAAGAAATAGTGAGACTTAGAACGAAGGTTAAAAGGCCTATTACAGACCAGATGGGGGCTAGAATAGGCAAAGCTAAGAAAGTTATGTCTTGTTTATTTCTCAATCATATTATATTCAGTGTGGCCCAGGTTAGCAGAGTGGCTCTGATCTATGAAGTCTTTCAGGGACCTGGGTGTCTTACATATTGTTGTTCCACTATTCTTTACAGTGTAGTAATCATTGTTTGCCTATTTGAAGCTGATTACATAAACAAAAGAAAAGCAGAATTTAAAGATTTGGAAAATTATCAGCCTGGCCATATTGTAAAGGATGAGAAAATGTTTTCAGAAAAGAACATCAAGGATATGGCCGAGTGTTTGGTGAGATTAGTATGGAGAGAAGGAAGCCAGATGTTATTCATCAAGAAAATAAAAGAATGACACTGGAGGCATTTCGGAGCTCTCTGGGGCTGCCCCACCCATCACCATCCAGAATGCCAAGGGTTTGCTGGCAACATAATTTCAAGGCACTGCTTCTGTATTTTGGTATAAGACTTTTTGGCTCCTGCAATTGTGGCTCAGGTGAGCCCATGTTCTACTCAGGCCACCCCTCTGGAAGGCACAGGTGGTAAACCATGGCAGCATTATGTATTGCCATCTCTAGGGGTGCACAAATTGTGGGGAAATGACTAACTTCCTGTAGATTTCAAAGGATATATTGGACAGTTGGGAGGTCCAGGCAGAGACTTACCCACTGGGGCACAGCCACCACTGAGACCACCCATTATGGCAATGCCTAGTGGAGCTGTGGGAGCAGAACCATCACAGCAAGTCCAGACCAGAAGGTCTACCGGTGTGCAACTCCAGATTGAAGAGTCACAGGCATGACTCCCATGCCTGAGAATTGCTGTGTGGGCTACACTCAACAAAGCAATGAGAGTGAGTCTGTCCAGAGCCATGGGGGCCCAATCCTCACCACAGTGTTTCCAGAAGGTGGTACATTGAGTCAAAGAGAATTGTTCTTAAGCCTTAAGATTTATTGTTGTTTGTCTTGTTGGGTTTTGGAATTACTTGAGATCTTTTACTTTTTTTTTTTTAACTTCTTTCCTATTTCACCCTTTTGAAATGGAAATGTCTATATTATACCTATTCTGCCATTGTGTTTTAGAAACACATAACTTGTTTGATTTCACAGGCTCACAGCCAGAGAGAAAGCTGTCTCAAGATGAATCACACCTTGAGTTTTTCATCTCTGAATTCGATAATATTTAGATGAGTCTTTGGACTTTAGACTTAAAAGTTGATGCTGGAATGGGTTAAGAATTTGGAAGCTATTGGGATGGAATAAATGTATTTTGCATGTGAGAAGAATATGAATTTGGGGAACCCAGGGGCAGAATCCTGTGCTATTAAGCATTCTGCTTATGATGATATTAAGAGATGGGGCTTTTGAGGGGTGATTAGGTCATGGGAGAATCGGCCTCCATGAATAGGATTAGTATTACTTACAAAAGAGGCTTGAGGGAGGCCAGCTTGTCATTCACTATGTGACAATGTATAGAAATGCCACCTATGAAAAACAGGCCCTCACTAAGAACCAAATCTGTTGGTACCTTGATTTTGACTTTTAGCCTCCAGAACTGTGAAAAATAAGTTTCTATTGTGTATAAGTTACCCATCTAGGTATTTTGGTAAAGTAGACCTAATAGACAGCTTTTATATTTCAAACCAGCTAATTTCTATGTTTTTGTAGATAGTCCCCAAACTATTTCTACCTTTATACTCCTACAATGTCTTAAAACTTTTTTATGACTCATTTTAGAATTTGTGTAAAATGATGCATTTATTGACTTCCGGTTTGTTAGCTTTTTGTTAGCATTTAATCTGGGAAAGAGTTCATCTGGTGTCTTTTCTATTTTTTTACTGCATAAGCTAATATTTATATTAGCTTATAAAGATTATTATTGTCTTATAACTGTGTACACATATACCTTTCAGGCTCTAACACAATTCTAGTTCCTCCGTCTGTGTCAGTGTCCTCATTCAGCTTGTAAAAGGGGAGTTCAGATCCTTAAGCAGGCACTTATGCTTGAAATTAAAAAAAAAAAAACACTTTTTTTTTTTTTTTTTTTTTGAGACAGAGTCTCACTCTACCACCCAGACTGGAGTGTAGTGGCATGATCTCGGCTCACTGCAACTTCCGACTCCTGGGTTCAAGTGATTCTCCTGCCTCAGCCTCCCGAGTAGCTGGAATTACAGGCACACACCACCATGCCCGGCTAATTTTTTGTATTTTTAGTAGAGAGGGGTTTCACCATGTTGGCCAGGCTTGTGTTGAACTCCTGACCTCATGATCCGCCCACCTCAGCCTCCCAAAGTGCTGGGATTACAGGCTTAAGCCACTGTGCCAGGCCAAAAAAACCCCAATTTTTAATTACAATTAACTGTTTCAAATCTTCCCTGGATTTCATTTAAATAGTCTTCATTTCTTTTCTTTTGAGGCTGATTATTAGGAAAGAGTTTTATTTGGATAAGCAAATTAATGAGAGAGTTGGAATATATTTTTATTAGAAATGTATACAAAAGCTGGAAAAAATAAGAAATGGGTATAAAGTCTAGATTAGCAAAATGCTGATTACTGATAAATACATGCACAAGAAAAGAAATTCCTCTTAGGGCCAACATTCTTGCACTGATAAAGACAAAACAAATTTAGAAGCCTAATAAACTATAGATAACACATTATAAAGTTGGATTTTCCACACAACAAACGCTTAAAAATAATTGCACACACACACACAGACACTAAATCACATGGCAGATGATTTGATAAAATTAGCGCCCCAGTGATTGCATTATCCATTTAGGTAACATAAATTATTGTTTATCATTTTTCTAGGACCAGTTAGATTACAATCTCTTTCAGATTAGCAATCTTTTGGGGTTAAATTGTATAACTTTAAAGAAGACCATATTTAGGGTGCTTTCCCACAAGAATCCTGTGGGTAATGTAAGACACAAGTTATGGTGGAAAAAAAAAAGTTTTAAAGGTACACATTTTACCTCCACTTCTTGCCTTTTAGGATGGTTATGATAAAAAAAAAAGAAGGAAAATATCAAGTGTTGGTGTATTACTGGCGGAATGTAAAATGGTACAGCTGCTGGGGGAAAGTTTGGTGTTCTTCAAAATGTTAGAAAATTACCACATGATTTAGCAATTCTCTGCACATACCCCAAATAAATATATATATACACGTACACAGAATTGAAAGCAGGGAGTAAAACATACTTTGTATACTACTGTTCATATAAACTTTATTCAAATAGACAAATGATGAAAATAACAAAGTGTCCACCCAGAGATGACTGGATAGACAAAGTGTGGTATATACATACAATTATATGTTATTCAGCCTTAAGACAGAATGACATTCTGATACAGGCTACAACACAGATGAACCTTGAAATCATCAGACAAAGCTAAATAGATTAGTTGCAAAAGAGCTAATATGTATAATTCTACTTATATGAGGTACCTGAAATTGACAAATTCATAGAGACATAAAATATAATAGCAGTTACCAGGGGCTAGAGGAAAGGGAATACGGAGTTATTATTTAATGGATACAGGGTTTCTATTTGGGTTGATGAAAAGTTCTAAAGATGAATATTGGCGATGGTTGTACAACATCGTGAATGTAAATAATGGAGCTGAATTATACACTTAAAGCTGTTTAAAATGGTAAATTGTACATGTTATTACAATAAAATGATAAAAGTGCATTTTTTATAAAGAATATTTCTTTAAGATGCAAATACAATTAAGAATGCAATGATTAACTGTCATTATACAGCAGTTTAAAAATCTGAAGGGTACCTACTATACAAAATGTTACTTAACGGCTGGGCACGGTGGGTCATGCCTGTAATCCCAGCACTTTGGGAGGCTGAGGTGGGGCGATCACAAGGTCAGGAGTTCGAGACCATCCTGGCCAATATGGTGAAACCCCGTCTCCACTAAAAATACTAAATAAATTAGCTGGGCATGGTGGCACGTGCCTCTAGTCCCAGCTACTCAGGAGGCTGAGGCAGGAGAATCGCTTGAACCTGGGAGGCCTGAGTGACAGAGTGAGACTCCCTCTCAAAAAAAAAAAAGAAAGAAGTTACTTAAAATTCTATTTAGTCACAAAAATCCACTGTAAACCTTTTATTTATACATACTTGCATAAAAATTGGTATTCAAAATGCATACCCATTTCCTTACAACCATCCAAAAATATATTTTAAAATTAGCCTATTTTTCATGAAACCTTTATTAATTTTTTTGAGATGAAAACATTAAGATATTTTAATATCTTATTATACTTATTTTGAAGTTTGTTTCCTGGCTTGTAGTATTTCTTTCTTAGTATTAAGTATCTTAGTTGAATGGAACATCAAGAGATTTTTAACACCATGAAATAACTTTCTGAGGAGTCCTGTTGATACATTGTTATAATTTGCCTCACCCCTGTCTATTCTGGGTCACATCATCAACTAGTCATTGAGAGCAGAAGAATATATCATCATCATTATTCTATTGCCTGGATGGATCAGTTCATTACTGTCCCAGATAAACCATTTTCTGCTTTTTAAGTGTTGTCCACATAAAGGGTTATAACCATGGAGAGGGCAAAGAACATGATAGAGTACCATAACTAAAGGGCTTCTGAGGGGGAGCCCTGGGGTATTCTGTTACCAGGATCAATTAGAATAACAAGTGATGCACAAAACTAGATCACAAAAAAAATATTGGCCAAGAATGTAATAAGACAGAGAAACTTACCAGTGAGAGTACCCAACTAGAAGGTCTGTAGCAGGAAGGACACGGCTGTCGGAAATGGTCATCAATTGTCAGTATGAATTAAATAGCAATGGTAGTGATGTGAGGCTGGATGAAGCAATGGCTTAAGTCTCTTCAAGACCAGGCAGTGATAGATCCTTGAATGACCTATTAACTATGGTGGTGGCAAAGCCAAATTTATAACTACAGAAAGCAATATGGTTATACATAGCAAGAGTTGTACATTTAGACCTAGGAATTCTATCTTAAGGGATTTATTCTGGGGAAGTAATTTGAGACAAGGAAACCAAATTTTCTTCTTAAATTATGTTAATGTCAGCACCATTAATTACAGAGAAACAAAATGAGAAATAGAGAAACATTTTGGTGGATTTTGGAACCTCAAAAAAATTGGGATATTATTTAGGACATAAATTCATAAAAGCGAAAGTTCAAAAGTACTATTGTGGAAACCATATAGACATGTACAGAATGGTTAGCATAATATTAAGTGACTACAAGTACATTAAATGTTATTTTTGAGGCATTTTCTGCCACTTAACATGGGATGTTGTTACAAGGAACTAAAAACTTTAAAGCTGTGTTATAATATTGGCATATCTTTACAAATGTCTTTCATGTCACCTTGAGAATATATGTGCGTGCATATAAGTATGTATTTTATGTATATATATACATGTAAATAGTTTGACATATAAAATAATGTATAAAACATAAAATAGTCTTAATCTCTTTATACATATGATAATCAAAACTATTTTCTTATAAAGTTTACACTCACAATTACAATGGATAACTTTTTCTAATTATAACAATGTATGATTTAGAATTAGGATTCCTTGTTACCATATCTACAAGAAACCTCCAACCTAATTACAATTGCAACAAAAAAAAAAGATTCCTTAAAAATACATGGGTAGTTTTCAGCAGTCATTGCTGACATGAAACAAATGGAGAAGAGCAAATCATGTTATGGCCTTGGACAAAACAACATAGGTTCACTTGCTTGACCCAGGAGCCTAGATTCCCTTGTTCTAGCCAGGCTCATCTGATATGTTCTAGACAATTTTCTTACCTAGTATGTATGAGAGTATCTGAGGAACGAAGCCATCTATGGTTTTCAGTGATCTGTCTTCCAAACAGGTTGTGAAATAAAAGAAAGTTTGCACCTAAATTGCTAGAATCACCCGAAAATGTCATTTTTAATTGGATAGGAATTATGCAGTCAGGTATGACAAGAAGGAAGGGGTTATCATGAGCTAATAATTTGACAGAAATGCAGCCCCATGCTTCTAATCCCTCCAGAGCGTTATCTCATGATTACCAAACACCCTACTTAGATATGCCTTATTAGTTTCTCTTTTGGATATCTTTATTCTTAGAAAACCATACTGCAGTGTGCTAGAATGTGATGATGTTAGCACTTTAAAATATGAGCAGCTGCTTCAGCCGAACTAGTCGCTCACAAAAATTAATCTGCCCTTTACATTAATCTGTGGACCAATCAAAATGTTTTCTTAATCCTAGGAGTTTAATAATGTAGTCTAAATCAGTCTGGTCCAGGTGCCTTGCGCTGCCTAAAGGAAAAGTAACAAGAAAATTTAATCTGAAGATTATTAAGTATTTTTGGTTGGTACTGGCTGGTATCACCTAGCAACTATAGAACATACTGAATAAATCTAACAAATAGCAACTCTTCCTTCCTGTTACCTCAGATAAAATATTTAGGAGAAAGTAAGTATGCATACTAATGGCAGTAAAGAAGATGATAAGACACTAGAATTTTAGGAAGACAAAACCTTTGCAATAACAACTTGTGGCCACTCCTATTACTAGGATGATAGTTGGCTGAATAACGTTTATAAAAGCAGAAGTTCAAAAGATGGCTTGGAGGTTATAGTCTATGATACAGATGCACAGTTTTGAAAACTGAAGAAACACAGTCTAGGCCAGAAGTAAATGAACTCGGTTAAGTAATCTACTGTCCAGGCATTGTAATTGGTCAGGTTTGCAGAGAAGGACAAAGCAAACAGCTTAAAATTTTATCACGTAATTGGGTAGGTTATGGGTACATCATTTACATATGTTATCTTCATAATATTTTGCCAGATAGCAGTTTGTGCAAGTTCAGATTTCTAAGACTAATGAGAATTCCCTTTTATAAGGTGAATGAGGAAAATGAGTGGGGTCTGGAAGGAAAACAATTACATTGGTTACTCAGAACCAATTCTCCAGCATTATTCTCAATTGTAAAAGTTTAAAAGGAAGTTTACCTTTGAAAATAAAAATTGAGTCTCCTCTGCTTCCAGCCATGAAAGATTAACTGGTAACAAACCTGCCCTCCCAATTGTAAACGTTTTAAAACTGGGGAAAAAATGTTAAGAAATAATATCGAGGTGTTGAACAGTAGATGGTAAAGAATTGTGATCTTTGGGAGAAGGACAATACAAAAAGTGAGCCCCATGATCAAACCCACAAGATGCCCAAGTTTCTATTTTGGAGAACTTTTCTGACAAAGAACAAGGAAGTGACACATTGGTCTCAACAAGTTGAGAGAGCAGAGTTCAGAATTCTGAGCCACGGAAGTGGCCAGAATTTGTGGGAGGAGATAACTGAAAAGAAGGGGCTGCAGGGAAGATAGATCACAGAAGTTTGTGTGGACATTCAGCAAGGGTTCTTGGATAAGGGTCAAGGGGCATATGCGCAGAGTAAAGTGTTAAGGGCTTAAAAGAGATCACCTGTTACAGAAAATGTGCAAAACTGGGAGACACTGAAGTGGTTATGATACAACCAGAAAGGAGAAATCTAACAACCCCAGGTATTCAGCTGAGACCTTCAAAGAGCCATAACCTAGAGATAAAGAAAATAACCAAGAGTAAGGACACATTCTAGTACTCAGTTCAAACTCTAAGTGGATATGAACTGACAGAGAACAAAACCAAGCCTGGTTACATCAGAAGATACCACCTCTAATTTCACTGCGTGCCAGAACAAAGTTGAATACCTCTTAAAAGAAGAGGTCATAACTAATCCATGATGAACAGCATACAATAGAAAACTAGTAGACATGGTCAAAATATTACCCATCACTAAAAGAGAAAACATTTAATAAAAGTGACATTACGATATCTGAGATTTTATAATTACCAGTGCCATGCTGGATCCCTATTAACTTCAAAAGGGATAGTACCAGGTTCAAGAGGTCAAATAATAGATCCAGAGCCAGTAAATGAAACATAGGTTTTATTCAAGGGAACTTACTTACAAGCCAGTCTGGTAGCAGTAGGCTGGACAGGAGAATTGCCACTGCTTGCAAAAAGCCTGCAGTTTACATAGCGCCCTCACTTAACATACTACCTACTAGCAACCTCCACGTGGCAATCCTCATTTCTTAAGTTATTGCTGTCAATCACATCTGCCATATAGGGTATGCTTAGGTTGTTGCTGTGAGGAGTATCCTCCACATAGGATCATTCTCAGGGTATGCTTAAGTTTTTGCTGTCAGGTGGTTCTACCATACAACAATCTTTTTAGATTTTTAAAATCTAAAAAGGATTTTAAAGCAAATATTATAAACTTGTTCAAGGACACAAAGAAAAATATGACAGAAATAAATAACACATGGAAAATTTCAAGTAAATAAATTCTACCTTTTGATGGGAAAATAGGAATTAATTTGCAAACACTTTAATCCAACATAGACTAAGTATAGTATGTCATTTTCTTTCTGTCTGCTTTTATTACTCTTTCCTTAACTTTGATTTTCAATAGTTTGACAATGATGTGCTTTGGTGTAGTTTCCTTTGTATTTATTCTGCCATGCTTATTCTTAACCGCAAGTTTGTAATCTGATTTTGTTCTTATTTCCCCCGTGTTTTTTTTAAATCTCTCTATGAACACTTTTAGGATGTTCTTTTTTAACTGGCTATTCTAAAATTTTATGATAGTATGTCCTTTAGCTATCATCCTGAGCATTTGTTGGAACCTTTTAATCTATAAATGCACAGTTCTGTGTTCTGAAAAAAAAAAACAAAACATCGAATTGTTTATTCCTCCTCCATCTTTCATACCCTCATTCTGTAATTCCTGTTTTTCAGTTTCTATAACATCTGGGCAGAGTCTGTATTTGTAAATAATTTTTGTTTTCTATTAATATTTTTGGTATTTCTAATCTACTTTCTGAGAAAAGTCTTCAATTTTAACTTCAACTCTCAGTATTCATCTGATTTTTAAATTGATGTTAATACATATTAATTTCAAGGCATAATTTTGTTCTCTGAATTTTTCTTTTAGAGATAACTCCTTGTTTTACGGATACAAACTATTGAAAAGCATGATTGACTATGCTTTAAAATGACTGTACCATAAGTTGCAGATCCCCACTTTTCTTCAAGATATTCTTTGGGGCTGGTTTTACCGACTAGATAAAATTCTTCCAATGTCCTCCCCGGAAGACAAACGAGGCTGCCAGCCTGCTAAAATCAATAGGGAAATGGAAGAGGTAGGGGCTCTTACCATTTTCTGCTTTCAGAAAATTATCACTGATTCTAACTATTCCTGTTGTTTCCTAGTCCAGATTCCTAATGGTCTGTCTTCTCAGAATTGTAATTTCCAGGTTCCTTTCAGGGCAGCAAAAAAACAGTTTCATGGCTGCATTTGATGTTGTATTAGTTCAGGCTGCTGTAACAAAGTGGTGTAGAGTAGGTGGTTTATAAACAACAGAAATTTATTTTTCACAGTTTTGGAGGCTGGAAATCTGAGATTAGAGTGCCACGTGGTTTGTTCTGCTGAGAGCCGTCTTCTGGGTAGCAGACTGCTGACATCTTATATCTTTACATGGTGGAAAGGGCAAGTAAATTCCTTGAGACCTCATTTATAAGCTCACTAATTCCACCCATAAGTACTCTAAACTTATGACCTAATAACCTCTCAGAGACTCCACCACCTAATACCGTCACATTGAAGGTTAGGATTTCAAGATATGAATTTTGGCAAGATACAAGCAATCAGTCGTAACAGGTGACATAGTGCAACTTCAGGTCTAATTGCCTCTTGCCTGAATTGACAAACAGTGCTCCTAAATGCTTCAAGTGCAAACCACATTTTAGATTACTTGTCATTGCTAATTCCTGAACCCTTGTGCCATTCTCAGGTCTACAGTGGGCTAGTCTGAGCTTCTTCCACTCTAAGCTTAAGTTCAGTTTTGCAAGTCTATGGATTTATATCAGCAGATGGCAAACCATGACATGACTGTTACCTATCTCTTTTGGTAAATAAAGTTATTAGAACATAGATGTGCTCATTCATTGTTGTGTTGCCTGTGGCTGCTTTCACACTACAATGACAAAATTGAGTGGTTATGACAGAGACTGTGTGGGCCACAGGCCAAATTATCTGAATCTTTACAGAAAGTATTTGCCAACCCCTGGTCTAGAGTGCTATTTACTTATGCATCCATATCATAGCCTCCAAAACTTCATTCTTAATGGTTCTTCTTACCTGCTATTTTTGATCTCGTGATTCATTTTGTTAACCCTTTAATATTGTTTGTGCAGATTTCAGATTGGAGGAGAGTTAAGCATGAGGGTCCAGTTCACCAATTGTAACTGAAGGCTCCAACCACTCTTCTTTGTCATCAATACCTAAATCAGTCACTTTATCAGGACAATTTGTTTTAGTGAACAGCAAAAGCAGGTCTGTTTCAATGCCAAACCACAAAGGATTTCCACATCCTTTTATCATTTTTGTTTCTATACATGGGTATTAGATATTGATTAATATCTATTGATATCTCCTGGGCATTAAAGTTTTCCATGCTACTGTAGATTTCACCATTTATAAAGGAAAGCAACATGAAACATTATAAGATGCTGATGCTAATTTTATATGCTCTCATCTAGCAATCATTTATGGAACATCATATATGCAGTTGCCATTGTGTTCAGTCTTAGAACACTAAGAATAGCAGTAACAATAATAATTGTTATTATATAAAAGATACGTTCACTGCCCTTACAAAATGTAGCATGGTAAGGAATATTGAAATTTAAAAAATATTTCAAATCACTGTCACACGATCTATTATAGAAGTAAGAACAGCTCAAATGCAGAGGATACTTGTCTGTGATCATCATACAAAGCTTTATATTGAATGATAAAATTTTGACACTCAGAGCAGAAAGAGTATTCTTGCCAAGAGGCAAATATAAAATATAAGCATATTTTCTAGGACAAATATAAAATATAACAAATATAAAGAATAAGGTAAGTTTCAAAGTATTGGAACACACATTTCCACCATTATCTATCTGTGCAATGTTTGGTAAGTTATTTAACCTCTTTAAGCTTTAGTTTTCAGAATTTAGTTTTCAGCTTTAAGAATTATGTGAAATAATGCACTTGATAGATTTAACAGAATTCCTGGCACACAACAAATGCTTAGCAAAGGTTAGTTGTTTATGTTGTTGTTACGAATTATCCTGAGGCAGTAATATTTTAGTAATAATTAATATATAACAATATTTCAAGCACAATGGCACTGTTGGTGAGAGATGTTTCGGAAAGGAGTTAATTTCTAATCATCCTGCAAATCACAGAATATAGAAAACTAATTACTTTTTTTTCAAACAAATCCAACTGGGACTAATAAAGGATGACTCATAATTGGACTTTCTTGGGTTTGAATTAGGATCACTGAATTCATGTTCATCCAAATTATTTCTACAATTTTTCTTAAAGATCAATAATCCAACATGCATACACACATACATGCATGCACACATACACACACACGCACACACACACGCACACACACACACACATACTAGATATATCTTGGCTAGCACTTGGGTAGCATTACTTGAAGGGAATATATCAATATATTTTCCCTAACTGCTATGATAACTGATGTTTTCTTTCACTTCGCTTGTATTTTTTATGAGAGAAAAAATTTTACAATATCGCTTAGAATTGATTGTTAAAAAAGCAACATTGCGACATTTATTGATGTACAAGTAGGTGAAAATAAAAAATAATATGTGACATAATTTAGTACACTGTTGCTTCAAATATTTTGTCTCCTATCTTATTATTCATTAATAGTGACTGGAGATCTGGCATACTTCTAGAATTTTGATTAGTATGATGTTTAGAACTATGGTATGCCTAGTTAAAAACAGTAAGTGAATGGCTCTTTTTTGATCGCTTTAATAATCTACTGGAAGCATGCAGAATTTTGTTGTCGTTGTTGTTGTTGTTGTTGTTTCAGGACCCATGGAAACAATCACAGGCCCTTGAGATTCGAGTGTCTTTAATCTTGCACATTAGGTGCCCATGTTTTATATAGGCTCAATTATCCTTTGCAGTATAACCCTTGACCTAAATAGACATTTACAGAAATGTTTCAAAGGATCCTCTCTGCAAGGTATTGGAATTGCACATACTGATAATTTCCTTTGCAGAATTATTGTGACAAACACTTTTCTAAGCTTCCACTAATCTCTCTGAACATAGCACAGCATTTTACTCATATTTAAGATGAAATCTTGAACACATTCCATTTTATATAGGAGAAGTTTTAAGCCAATAGAAGGGCTCCAAACTGAGTAGATATTTAAAGATACTTAGTGTCAGTCATTGGAATGTAAACCACTGTAAGAAAAAGTTCTTTTGGCTGCTGTGAATGTCATATTGGAAGCAGACTCTGGGGCAAAGAATGCAGGACCTACAGTGGCACCAGGCTTTCAGGATAGAAAGAGTCCAGGAATGCAAAGGATTGGGCTGGGGAGACAAATAATTTCAATGTCTAGTCCCCCGAGAGTAACTTAGAATCCTTGAGCAGGGGACTGATGAAGTTGGCAAGCTCATGCTCTGCAGACGCACGGGGAGGAGGTCATGTCCATTCGGCATTTGTGACACAGCTTTAGGGAAGTACTCATAGTGATCAGAACAGTGTAATATCATAAAATTACTTGTTCAAAAAATTCACTTTATTTATCTTTGGAGGCCCTATTTCTGCTTAGTGTTGGAAAAATTGATCTTGCTAATTCAAGATAGCTTATTCTAACCCAGGAATTTTTTTTCCACTCAAATGTGTAATTTATGTTTAGTCCTACCCAATTTAAATTTCCAACATCAAACTTTCTCCACCTTCCTGATCTCTGAACGGCTCTATTGCAACAAAAGCTTTCCCAGCTACTGTCAATCTAGTAGGATAGTGTTTGTGTGCGTGTGCATGTGTGGGTTTGTGTATATGTGTGCATGCATGTGTGTCTTAAAGGTATTCTTGACCTTGATCTCATCTAATCATCAATCTTGTGATAACACTGAACAGAGCTGATTTTGAAACAACTGACTCTTTCACTTTGTCCCATTCTTTTTGATGGCTCTCAGGTAATTGGCTTCCATCAGTATCACGGTGTCAGGAAACCCATAAAATCGCAGCTAACCAGTCCCTTACTCAAAGGCAGATGCCACTCACATCTCTGTACTGTGATGTTGTTATTCTACCTGTGAGTGTTGGCTTGGAAAGGTAGGCTGTGCTGGGTGGCCATTGTTATGCCTGGAACTGCATGTACCAGATCCCCTCCCTCTTTGGTGTCAGATTAACGTTGGCCACAGGAAAAACATATGCACAGTTTGGAAGATAGAAGTGAATTAGCAACCATCACTTCTGAAGCTGTTTTTGCAGCTAGATGCAGTAAAAGAGAGATAGAGAGGCCAAAAGACCTCTGCACAAGGCCCCTTTTCTGGTTGTGAAAGCACATGGTTTCACAGATTTACTAGTCTCTTTCTGTATCCTCCAACCCCCACCTCTCCTACACGTTTCAACCAGTCCTATAATAACTCAATATTCTATAGCACGGATAGTGACTCTACTCCATAACAAAGTCCTGACTGAGATAGGTTTTTGTTCACTGTTTTTCCTAAATGCCACCACTATGCCTGAGTTCAAGGAAAACATGAAGATTTTTCTACAATGTTGTTTGATTCCACACTCCCACATCTAGAAGCAGCAATCACAGGCAGATTGGCCAAATCCTGGATTTCTGGATGGATTGGATGTCGGTGATGGTCTGGACTTTTTCCCATCTCAACCTCAATGTCAGAAGGATGCCCTGCTAACCCTAGCATACTCATGGTTTTTGTGGGGGAGATTCAGGGAGCAGAAGCACTTCTGGTTCACTATCTCTACATTTCTTATCATCTATAAAGGTTAATAATATTCATGCTACTCTTCTGGTACATAATCAATTCCCATTACCTTTGTATCACGCCTGTTGTGATATCTTTTGAATTCTGAGATAAGATTTAGCATCTTTCTTCCGGCTGTCTTTCTGAAGATCATTGGGAAAATAAAATTAAATTAACCCCTGATGTGATGTCTAATGCATTTCATATTTAGTCTGCACAAATTATGACTTCACCTGTTCTAACTCAGGTGGTGAGTGTTGCTTAGTATAGGCTCTGGCTGTGATTTTACTCACTCAAAGGCTGCAATAGTTTTCTCAGGGTAGGGGAAGCAGATTCTAAGAAGATAGTGATAAATTGGCAAGGTGCCAGAGTACCAGATTAGTAGGTTAGGGTCCAGGTTCAGATTTTACTCTGATATAACGGGGTCAACACCATTTCTGTGTAATAGGTTGAGATGAGAATATAGGGATTCCGAGTCTGTGAGACTGCAGGGATGCCCAGGTGTCATCCAAAATAAGCTTGACATAATGTGTGAGAAGAGCAACTTCACACTGTACCACTGGATGCAGTTACAGCTTTTTATATATGTGCTCCCTCCCGCCTCTCAGGTGGGAGGCATATATATATCCCTTCTGCATCAGGACAGACTGATGAAGGAAATGAAATGAGCCTTGGACTGCAGGGTTGTTTTTCAACGAGTAAAGCAAAGAAGCTGAGAAATGAGGCAGGGGCAGTGCCTGCTCACTGGCCTGCTTTCACTTTGGTATTGTCAATTATTCAACAGTAATGAATACTAAATGCTGGAAAGTATCATTTTTTGTTCCACATTTTGAATACTCCTAAAATATCTCTCTTGTTTGTATTCACTATCTTAACCCTTTGAAATAATTTAGGAATTGAGTATCTCCTCTTTATCTTTTACATTTAAATATCTTCACACTTTTTAAAACAATTTTTTACACGTTTTGAAATGTTAATCATCAGAATTCCTCTTACTGTGCTCCAGAAATAGTTCAGACCTACCTGGCATCCCATCTATACTTGAGTCCTAAACTAAAAACTGAGGTAAACACCCTTCCCCAGCCACACCGAATGATAAGAAAAGAACATTCTATATAGATAACTTCTGTCCTTTGTCCAAGAAGCTTAATTTGCATGGCCAGTACAAGAGAGGTGTTTTGTGGATACCTTGGCACTTTCTAGGGTAGATACTCATGATCTCTGTGTTGCTTATTCCGTACCCACTTGGACTGCCATCAACTTAAAATAACATAGAAAAAATTGGCTACTGAATCCCTTTATCTGGGTCATTCCAAATTCAGCCACATCAATCCAGACAGGATGATTGCATCCAAAGCAAACCTACTTGTTCAACAATCTATGATGTGAGTTTTGGATCTCTAGTAAAAATACATTTACAGATGCTCCTTGACTTACGATAGGGTTATGTCCGGATAAACCCATTGTAACCTGAAAATATCATAAGTTGAACATGCATTTAATAGACCTGACCTACAGATCATCATAGCTTAGCCAAGCCTACGTTACACATGCTCAGAACACGTCCATTACCTTATATTTGAGCAAAAATATCTAACATAATGCCTATTTTATAACAAAGGGTTGAATATCTTATATAATTTATTGAATACTGTACTGAATGTCTATAACTTTTGCACCATTATAAAGACAAAAATCATATGCCAAAACATTTAAGTTAGGAACCATCTGTATAAAGATGTCATACGGAATAAAAATGGTTAACAGTAATTGTCAGACACTTTACATATATTTTCTCAGTATTATAAGTGATTTTACAGAGGTGAATTACACACATGTGAGTAAATTTACTGCCCATAAGGTTCACTAACAGGCTAATGGCTGTGTAACTGTTTCATGGTGTATCCAGGATTAGAAGCCTAAGCTATATGACTCCAGGTTTTGGCTCCTAACTCTGAACTTCACTACATTTCTACATTGCTCATTTTTGTTAGCTCCCACCTCGACAACCCATTATTGGTTTGTTAAGGCAAACACTTTTCATAAAACAATAAATAATCATAATGGTCCCTAGACCTCTTCTTTCTAAGAGGACTTAGGTTTGCAACATCCATATACTGACTAGGGGTGGGAAGCCTTGTAACACATCTAGTTTGCTGCCTCACCCGAGTAAGAATGCAGCAAATGGGACTTTTTGAAGAAAGAGATAAGATCTTTGAAAATATAAAACATTGGTTGCAAACAATTGATTTTCTGAAACCCTGCATTTTGTGTTTCTACTAAATTTTTCACTTAGGATAAAGAGAAATGAATACTCTATGATGTGAGAAAATCACTACCTAGTAGACCATGAGAAAAGGCATGGGAAATATCACTTGTAATTCGCTTCCATCCTGTGATATCAGTCTCCATCAAAACAAGCACATGCCCTTACAGAAGGTGCTGTAAAACCTTCTGTGACACTATCAGACTAAAGTGGTTATTTTAATTTTCAATGTAATAGGGGGATTACTTACCCCACACAATCAGATACATAATAAAAGCTTGGATAATCAGTGAAGCTTTGCAGCAATATCTGAGCTGTACTGTTTTGGTGATATTTGTTTGTTGTATACTATTGACTTCAACAAAAATGTACAATTTCTAAAATGAGAAAAATATGGAGCAAATCCTTTAAAATGAAAGTAAGTCTAGTAGTGAGAAGGTGTAATGAAGTGAGTTTCTATTTCATTCTAGGCTTCTCTAAGAGATTCAATCTGTTCATACACATAAGGATATTGATACAAATGTTAACAATATCTGAAAGTTTATTTTTCATATTTAAATGTCAATGTGCTAAATGTTTTACATATATTATATTTATTCTAACAACCTAATTAGGCCAATATTATACTTCTCATTTTACACATAAGGAAATCGTGGTTCAGAGTGGTTTACTAAATGCTCAATGTCATAATGCTATTATAGGTCTGGCACCATGTAAAATCGCATCCATCTGATCCCAAAGATTATACATTTAAATACTATTTCTGTACTCTAAACTGAAAACAAGTAAAAGCTGCACGCTTAGTACTGGTTCTTGTTTTCCCTGAATTTATTTGAACTAACTCCTTTCTACCCTATTTCCATTCCTTGTCTTAGCTGGTTTTCCAGCATCCCCATATTAATTTTATGTGTCAACTTGGCTAGGCCATGAGGTGCCCAGATATTTCATCAAACATTATTCTAGGTTTTTCCATGAGGATGTTTTTGGATGAGAATAACATTTAAGTTGTAGACAGAATAAAGCTGATTTCTCTTGCTAATGTGGATGGACCTCACATAACCATTTGAAGGTCTGAATAAATAAAAGGTCTGCCTCAGTAGGAGGGAAGTTCTCCTGCCCGGTTTCCTTTGAACTGAGACTTCAGTTTTATTGTTGTTTTTTCCCTGCCTTAAGACTCAAACTGCAACATTGGCTTCTCCTGGTCTTGAGCCCCCTGGCCTTCAAACTAGAACTCCAACATTGAATTTCTTGGCTCTCAGGCCTTCAGACTCAAACTGACACCTAATCATCTGCTCTCCTGGGTCTCCAGCTTGCCAACTCACCCTGCCTCAATAATCAGGTGAACCAATTCCTCATAGTGTCATATGTCACAAAAGAAGTTTCAGTCAACAATGAACTGCATATGTAACAGTGGTTCTGTAAGATTATATCATATTTTGACTCTATCTTTTCTATGTTTAGATATGTTTAGTATACAAATGCTTACCATTGTGTTACAGTTGCCTAAAGTATTCAGTACAGTCACATGCTGTACAGGTTTGTGGCGTAGGAGCAATAGGCTGTACTATATTAGCCTAGGTGGGTAGAAGGCTATACCATCTGAGTTTGGAGAAGTACACTCTAGGATGTTTGCACAATGACAAAATCATCTAACAACACATTTCTCAGAATATATCCCTGTGGTTAAGTGACACATGACTATAATAAAACTTTCTCTGTCTTGTCTCTCTCTTCCTTTCTCTTTTTCTCTCTCTCTCTCAATAGATAGATAGATAGTATTGGCTATTTTTCTCTGGGGAAATCTGACTGATACACCATGTGACCCAGAACCTCGATTCATAGAAATATTGTTGATGCTTGTATCCTATTTGGACACATTGCTCTGGCTCTGTGTTGGCACTTCAATTCAAAGGAATCTTGTAAACACTTTAAGAAGTTGAAACAAATAGGGAGGGGGTAAAATTAGGCTGTGTTTCAAAAGGCAGAGTGTCATGTTCAGAAACTCGGAGGCAGTCATAGAACTCAAGAACACAGTAACAGGATAAAACCTTTGCCAAAATAGGTTGTTGGGAATATAAGACCTCATGCCCAAAATAGGAACAGTTTTACACTGTTGGTGGGAGTGTAAATTTGTTCAGCCATTGTGGAAGACAGTGTGGCGATTCCTCAAGGATGTAAAACCAGAAATACCATTTGGCCCAGCAATCCCATTACTAGGTATATACCCAAATAATTATAAATCTTTCTACTATAAAGACACATGCACATGTATGTTTATTGCAGCACTATTTACAATAGCAAACACTTGGGACCAACCCAAACGCCCATCAATGATAGACTGGATAAAGAAAATGTGGCACATATACACAAAATGGAATACTATGCAGCCATACGAAAGAATGAATTCATGTCCTTTGCAGGGAAATGAATGAAGCTGGAAACCATCATCCTTAGCAAACTAACATGGGAACAGAAAACCAAACACCAAATGTTCTCATTCGTAAGTGGTAGTTGAACAATGAGAACACGTGGACACAGGTAGGGGAACATCACACACTGGGGCCTGTGGGGGGTTGGGGGCAAGGGGAGGGAGAGCATTAGGACAAATAGGTAATGACTGTGGGGCTTAAAACCTAGATGACAGGTTGATTGGTGCAGCAAAGCACCATGGGACATGTATACCTAAGTAACAAGCCTACACATTCCGCACATGTATCCCAGAACTTAAAGTAAAATAAAAAAATGGAAAAATCTTAAGATTGTTTATCTTCTATTTTTTATCATTTTGTCCTTTCTATTTTACCATGCAGCAGATGTTCTTAACATCAAAGAGCTTGGAAGTCATAGTACAATGTTTTGGGAAATATCTCTGTGACCTATTCGTTATATTTATACGCAGATCTTTAATTCTCTATGTCTATTTCATTGCCTACTTCTTAAGTTTTAATCTGCTTAAGTTCTTTGAGTCAATGCATTGCATGAATTCCTCAGTCTTCTAGTACATGATCTCTGGTTTCATGTAATGCATCCCTTCCAAATTTCTCTATATTCACTTTCATCCTAGACTTCTAGATCTTCAATGAGAATATTAAGTCTTTTTATTTAGAACCAGGATTAAGATCATGCCTTCTCCAAGATTTTTATCCTAATTTTACGCTTAGAGTTGTGGCATTACCCTTAGGAAAGAAAAACAAAAGCTTAAATATATATCCTATTTGACCTATCAGTTTTAATCTTTGCATATGCCAATAGAAGAAGAGATATATTAATAGATACTGGTGAACTTAAAAAAAATACTATGGACAAGCCTTTGTATTCACAAGCTTAGAAAACGCAGACCAGTCATATACATTAATCCTATCCTGTGGTTCCACTAAATGAAGGTATGGTATACTCAGGAATTCAAAAGTATCTCAACTCATTTATGAGTTGTATTCTCAACAGAATTATGAAGAGTTTATGAATAAATTTGTTGGATTCTCAACAGAATCCAACTCATAAATCTCCCATGAGTGATTTAGTTCAGAACAATGACACAAAGGTGTCTTTATGAAGATTTCTTGCATACTTCTTTTTATTGCTCTAATCTCTTTCTTTAATTCAACAGATGCATATTTGCAATACAGATGGCAATGCAAATACATCTAAAAGAGTACTACTTTATTCAGCTAAAGTCTTTATCTTTAGTGTTGATTCAGCAAAAAATACCCCCATTTCCCCAAATGTTTCATCCAAAAGTCTAGGGTTGATTTTCTCTATTTTTCCTACCAAACTCTAATTCCTCAAAAAGTAGTGGGCTACTTTTTATTTCAAAAATCGATCTGAAGTTTATTTACTCTTTCTCCGGGAAATCTACTCCATTATAATTTTATTATCTTACATCTGGTCTAGTGCAGTAGCCTCCTAATTATTCTTTCTACTTTTGTATTCTTATAATTTATTCTTCAAGGACAAACCAGAATATATTAACATTTAAGTAAAATTAAGCTACTCCTTGGCTTACAACATTCCACTAGATTTGTATTAGATTCTTATTGCTACTATAATGAGGTACCACAAAATCATTGAGTTAAAACAAAACAAATTCATTATCTAACAGTTCTGGAGATCTGAATTCCAAAATAAATCTCACTGGGCTAGAATTTAGGTGTCAGCTAAGCTGCATTGCTTCTGGAGACTCTAGGGAGAATATGTTCTTGACTTTTGCAGCTTTTAGAGGCTGCTTGAACCCTTTCCATCTTCAAAGTCAACAGTGGAAGAACAAGTCTTTCACCATCTACATCATCTGACACTCACTCTTCTGCCTTCTGCTTCCATTATTGAGGAACCCTGTGATTATGCTGAGCTTATTCCTATTTTAAGCTTAGCTGGTTGGCAACCTTAATTCCACTTGATCATGTAAAATAACACATTCACAGGTTGTAGATTAGGACGTAAACATTTTTGGGCTGTTATACTGCTTACTACAGGCTTTCAAAAAATAAAAAATGCAAAAGACTTTTCAAGTTCCAAATTTCCCTACTGCTTGGCCCCTGCCCAACTCTCAATCTCCATCGCAGACAGCCCTCTCCCTTTGCTCACTGGGCTCTGGTCACACTAACCTTTAGTGACATTCTGATCCAAACAAGTGTCATCTGGCAGAGGACCTTTGCCCTTGCTGTTCTTTTGTGTGAAGAGTTCTGTCACCAGACACTCACATGCCTGGCTTATTCTTGTCATTTAGTCCATTTCCCCAAGTGAGGCTTGGGAGACTTTTCTGCCCACCCCAGATAAAACAGTTCCAACTACTACACTCTTATAAATTATTATGGTTTATTCCCTTCATAGAACTTATCACCAGCTGAATTGCCTTATTTGTTTTCTTGTCTAATGTCTTTTTAACCCACTAGAAAGACACATGTGAATATGCATCTCGTCTGCTGTTTTAACAACTTTTACCTCCAGAGTTTACAACAGTGCCTTGCTTGTAAATTTTCAAGGCATGTTTGATGAATGCATGATTGAATAATTTTATGAATAAATTTTAAATGAATCTCCAAAATAATCATGCACTATTTTTTTTTCTATCAGGAAAAGGATTTGCCAGTCTATTTTCCTTCTCCACAGAGCTAGCCATTATTTAAAAAGGAAGAAACCTTCAATTATTTGCTCCCTCTGGGGTACCGTGCATCATCCCTCTGAGGGTATTTTTAGCCCACAACAAAGTTGTCTTTATTCTGCAGTTCCTTAATCCCTTTTTCTTCTGATACTCTGGGAAACAAAACAGTAGCTGTTCTCAGAGGAATGGCTAGAGAATTACATTAATTCAGAAAACAAGAGATTTACCATGTAGTTCTGTGATCTAATTGGAATGAGAAGGTCACACTGTACCTATTCTTAAATTGCATCGTTTGCTTCTCCCATTGTTACTTGCATTTTATGCAGACTCTTACTTGTGCCAGTTAGCTACAAATTTGGGATTATAGTCAGTCCACTGCTCCTCCAGATAAATCTGAGGCAAAATCTACTGCATTAGCTCTAATAGAGTCCTTTGCAAGCTTGACCTAACCTGGTCAGGATCTGTTCTGATTGAATTGTAAAGCCTGTTATGTCTCTTGCTGTACATTTCTCTTGCTGCTAAAGTCTTCATGTTTAGTCGGATATACTAATTCTTCCAAGATCCTGGCCATCTCAGCCCTACCATCGGTCTACCCTTTGAGGTGTTTGGGATTTAACAAAAATGAACTACTTCTCTTGCCCATGTGAGTAAATGTTTTATGTAGTTGAAGAATTCGATGTGGGCAAAGGCCATCTATTTTGTTGTTGTTGTTCAGCAGTATATATTTTGTACATAGCAGGTACTTGTGCTCAATTAATGTTAGCTTAATTAATTTATTTATGTCTTTAACACTTAGGGTCTTGCCAGACTTTAGAAGGGATAAAAATAATTCATGTTTATATGTTTAAAAGGAGAAAACCCACTTGAATTGGTTACTAACCAGATATTTTACTCCAAACTGTACACAAGGTATCGACTTTTAATTTTGTTCATATTGTTAAAAATAAGAATCCTACTTGCTGCCATGTTTGTCATAAGGCAAACATCCTACAGGAATTTCCATTTACTTCTTTACTTGTAAGAAGCGTAGGAATATGAAAGCTATATTTTATTATTTCAGGTAGAACCCTGGCAAGACATTCTACAAGCTTTCCTACAGTACTCATTTTTCCATTAATCTCAATTTTACTGAGACAGATTCCATTGTATTGGAAACTCTCTAAGGAATTTGAAGTCTGGGTCAATTCTCTGTTATATACTTGAGTGCAGTATATGACATTATATAGTCCTACTGTCCAAGGAGCTCAAAGCATTTGATAAATATCATCCTGTTGATCGTATTCACTTTCCTGAACAGTACCTGGCAAGCATTGGTATCACCATTTAGCAGTGAGATGAAGCTATGAGAACTAAAATGCAGAGGGATTTGAAAGACCAGTAAGAAGGACAAAAATACCTCAGTCACACAGTTTAGGTAAAAGCTTTCCTGAGTCCCTGAAATATACCTTTTCTCTCAATTATATTATTTCTTTAGCTCTAATTCTTAAAGACTCAGTTCTTTTGAAACTTACTTATTTTGATTTTTTAAAAATATAAACCTTTAAGTAAAGTTTTTTATTACAAGTCTGGAAAATATATCATTATTCCTCTTGACATACAACTTCTCTGTGAAATTCATCTAGTTTTGCCCTTTCTTCTTATGATTCATTAAGAATCACAGTAATGTCACTTAAAATAACTTGAGAAATCATTGCATCAACTCCTGATGCTACTGAAAAGAAAGGCAAAGTCCAAGGTAAGTATAAGATTTGCCCACAGTCACATTGTTTGATAAAAGCAGGGAAAATGCTGGATTCAAGGCTTTCTGCCTTGAATGACTGTATTACTATAAAATACTCCAGAAACAGGAGGAAGGAATTATATTTAAAGGCCATCATCAGCTATAGGGCAGGGGAAAGATATTTCTGACTACCTCTTTTTTTTCCAGTGTGGGTTTTGTTGTTGCTATTATGTTCTTTTTCCACCTTTGTGTTCTTATTATCTAGCATAAGTCTTGAATGAATGAATGATACATTATTCTTATGACAAAGGATGCTAATGTAGATATATTAACATCATTAATGGCTTCAGACATCTTAAAATAGACACTATATGACTGCAGTTTAGGTTATTCAAAACTACTTTAATTATTGCAAAATGTTTCATTGAAATATGCTATCTCTTAACTTATTGGTATTATCTCAATCAATCATGGGTCATTCCATGGAATTAATAGGGGAATACTTAAGACTTTAGCAGAGCAAATAATGCTTTAACTACCTTATCCAAATGTCTTAATACAGATAAAAGCAGATTATGAAATGCATCTGTAGCATCTTTGAAGATTTTTAAATAATAATAGGCATAGAATAATGAGTGGTTTTTTTTGTTTTCACCAATATTATGTTTAATCAATTCCTTACTACCCAAGGGACAGATGATTCAAAGAACTTTTTCTGTATATTGCCATTGAAACTGAGAGTACAGATCATTGATATTCTTGTGAATGACACAAACATTGCCAAATTCCTGACGGTAGATAGAACCTAATGTTAAAACAATGACATGAACATGCCTATTTCAATAATTCTTACAGCACCATTCACAATTTCCTTATCTCTTTTTATTTTTAAAAATATTTAATTACTTGAAGGATAAGGGAGGGTCTCTTCCAAAAATGTCAATACCTGTGAGCTTAACATGATAGAAAATAGTCATGTGAGTATATGTATTGATGGTACTAAATCTAGTTAGGTAACAAATATTTTTGAGGTAGTAGATCCAGTGAGTTAATAAGTCTAATACATTTCACCTTTACCTTCATTTGTATTGTGCCACTTTAAGCTGTTACATCTAGGCTCAACTTTTGGAACAGGCTTGTTTATATTTCTGCTTATGTTCTCTCACTTTATCACACAATTCTCTATATAGTGGTTAAATAATTTTTCTCCAATACAAATAAAAACATGTCATTTTCATGCTTAACATTTTTAGTAGCATTCCTGTTGTTAAATGATTTTTAACATGGATATGGGATAAAATGACTGCCCATCACCACATATGGTTAAAATTAATACCAAATATTTTATCATGGTATGAAATTACACTTTCATCTGTCCTCTGCCTCACACTCAGCCTCTACTCTCACCACTCTACTTCATATGTTTTTCTCCAGAATTAAAAACATCTTTACAGTTCTCTAAAAACAAAAATCACATTGTCTATGTCTCCCTACTAGAAAATTCTCTCTGCTTGGAATGTTCTTTCCAGTAATGTCTAGTGGGATGAATTATCCATTTTCCCCTCAAGCACTGTGACTCAGTGAAGGCTTTATCTACCTCTGAGGCTTCAATACTTTCATCAGATATGCACTTTAAAAATTTTTTCCTGTTTATTTAGTAAGAATTCAGAAAAGGCTGATTATGTACTTTAATTGCTGTGCTTGCACACCATGCTGAAGTTGTTTGTATACATAACATTCTCCTTCATTAGCATATGAGATTCTGGAAGAGAATCTGTCTCATATCAACTTCTGACATTCTGGGACATAGCTCAGTGCTTGGCAACTAAAAGGATCCTCAGATATAGATACTAAGTAAACCAAATTAATACATGTCGAATATGTGAAATTAGTACGTATGACAAGAATTTCATGGACATGGTAATTTCAATTTAAAGACATTTCTAGATGTGGTGATTGTTAGGTTTTGAAGGGAAGGCAAGGGTTAAAGAAAGATACAAAGAAAAGGAGAGAGAGAGAGAGAGAGTTGCTCAACAGCAATTGCAGGCGTTTATGTCCAGCATACACCTACAGAGGTGGGGGCCAGCTTAAAGCCAATGCCTACCGCTGCTTACAGGCTGGTGTGCTTAATGGGTATGAGCAAGAGGGGTCTGGGCAGTATGTCTTGCTGCACGGCAGGATATTGATAAGATGTCCCTATGATCAGGCAGTTTGGCCCTTTTTTTGGTGGGATGTGATAGGATGTTCTTTGAATCTTTGCCCAACAGGATATGATAGGGACATTCCTTTGGTTGGACCATTGCCCAGCAGAGTATGATGAGAAAGTCAGCTGGTTGGGCAGGATATTTCTGATGGCCCAAAAACCCATGGAATGTTTCACTTTGACCAAGGTCTGCGAAATGGTGGGGGGCTTACAAAATGGTAAAGTTCGGACTAACAGTAATAAGGGTTTACTGTCATTTTATTATTAAATCAAAATAAATGCAAAGTTCACAATTCACTAGGAAATGCCTTCATAGTGGATTGTTGCTGCTGAGTGATCCCTAACCAGTGATGGATTATGCAAATCTCAAATGAGGCTTTGCCCTGGGTCTTAGAGGAATTAGATACTTTTTACACTATGCTATAAATGCCTACCTTCATTTTATGTTTCCAGAGGGCATTTGTGTAAAACCTGCTGGTTAGTTGCCCTTACCAAAAGATGAATATGTATGTATGTGTGTGTGTATATATATATTGGAGCCTGGATTGTATTCAAACATGATAAATGAAAAAAGCAACTTTCTTTTATTACTATTTTTGTCAGTATCAATAAATTTTCTAACTACTGTCATACATTCTAATTTAAAAGCACGTGTTCCTCCCGAAGAGCAGAACTGAAAACAAAAGGCAAGCTTTAAATGTAGACAGGTTTACTCTTAGAATTACTGCTGAGTATATAGAAAAATGAAATGCCTTTAAAAAGTTCAGCAAATGTCTGATAAGAAATAAAGAGGTCAGAAAATAGTTTCTCCTGATAAGCTTACATTTTCTACATATTTCATAGGGAAATAAATTCCCTGGATATTTTTAAAAAATAACCAACATGCATTACTCAAAATTAGTTTCCCATAATTGGTGACTCTTCAAAATGTAACTGATGGGCTTCCCTATTACTGAATAAAATTAGCAAAATCCCTAAAATAAAAACTGCAAAAAGAAAAATGATGATCTCTTCCTATCCCCATCTCTGTCTCTCTCTCTTCATATATACAGATGGGTGTCAGTGTGTGTGTGTGTTTGTGTGTGTGTGTGTGTGTGTGTGAGAGAGAGAGAGAGAGAGAAGAGATAATATTTTTGAAGATGGGCTTGCGTGGAAGCTAGCTTGCAAAATTCAGATTCTTCTAATATTGTCTTTGCTGTGAAAGAAGATGGAAAACACATGAGTATCTTACATTCTTGCAAGGAAGATATAAATTTGACACTTCATGTCTCTTTCTGTTTTCAGAGACTTATCTGGAAAGGAATGGAAGATGTGTGCATAAGAGATGATGGATTGAGTTATTGTATGTAAAATGTCACATTTAGGTTCCTCTAGGCTCAAGTACAGGTTTCTGTTACACATGTATGTTCTGTTTTCCTATATCTTCGAAACACACTTATTGAGTCATTTCTATGGACCAGACACTGTTGAAACAAATATGAGTAAAAATCAGCTTCATCGAAAACAACCTCTTAGTTTATTGGAGGAGAGAATGAGTACCTTATACACTTGAAGTGTTATAGTGAAAATTTGAACAAGTTCACATTGGAACACAGAAAAAAGGTACCTAATGATGCTCAAATGCTGTAATCAAGAGAAGAGGATCAAAAAACTGATGTTGGGTGCTTGATTTAGGCTACTGAAGCAATGGAACACCATTGTAGAAAGAGTCAATGTAGTATGCAAAGAGATGGAATAGAGTAAGAGTTGCATATTCAGAAAAATACTCTTTTATTTGAAGTGACAGAAGACTCTGATATCTTTAGGATGATGGTAGAAGGCAGAACTAGAATTAAAGACAATTAGGTAAAGATAGTTCCTTGGATAGACAGCATGGGAGGAACTGTGAAGAATAATGACTGAAACAGTCATGAGACAGGGGCCTGGACATGGAAGACTGTGTGTGCCATGATAAATTACTTCAGATTATCCTGTAGGTGCACACAACCATGAAAAATAATTAGCAAAGGAATAACATAATCAGGTTAATATTTTGGCTGTATTATTCAAATAACCATACTGAGATTGGACTAACAGAGAATATCAGAATTATGAAACCAATTTGGAAGCTACTGCACTGGTTGCAGCAGGAGAATATGAGGATTTGGATTAAAGAAGTGAGAGTGACAATAAATAAAAAAGGGTTAATTTGACATGCATGTAGAAATTCATTGTACATAGAACTCAATGCATGTATGCAGGGAGTAGGTGAAGAGAAAGGAGTTGTATCTACTTTTTTTTGTTTTTATTTTAGTAACTGGGTAGAAGATGTGGTAGAAAGTGTAGTAGAGATAGTAAGTTTAAGATAATTATCAATGCTCTCAGTGCTGCCATTTCTGAGTCTATAGAACTGTTATTTAGGTTAGAGTGTTGTCCATTAGTACATATTTGTAAGTATTAAGCATATTTATTAACACTAAAGAGGTACTTACATTGATCCAGAAGAGGGTTTAGAACAGTTAATTAATTTTTTATTATTGTTGCAAATAACAGCTTTGAGAATCAAATAAATCTATGACTCTTACATCCAAAATTTTGCATTCAATATCAGGAGAGTCACATACTTCTGAGAATATTTGTTGGCCCTAGGTTAAGAATCTCTTGAGTTTCACGAAGAAAGAGGAGAAACATTAATGAAGCTCTTAGGGTACTACTCAGTAAGCCATTAAAAACATTGATTTTAGTGTTGGCTGTAAATGTTTTCTGTGATAAGTTCATCTCTGTTGGATATTTCTTTTAAGGAATAAATCAATCATTAACGTCATGAATTAATGAATTAGTCTATATATCCTAATCTCTCAATGTATAAAATATAACTTTTTAAAGAGAAAACCATGAAAAATTATTCTCTAAGTCAGGAGATTGTTTTTATTTTGTCACAAATTATAAGATCTTCAAGAAAATTTAGAGTGTTACTTGCCTGAAGCCTAAACTACATTTTTAAAAAGTTCATATAAATAATACTACTATTTGATGCTTAATTAAGCCTTTTGGCATGACCACTGCCAAGCTCCATGCCAATATAAAACAATTTATTCCCAAGCTAAAAATAGCTCTGACTAAATTGAAATTGACAGACAATGAACCAGTGGTTAGGCAAGTTTATTGAATACCATGCCCCAATTTTGTTAATGAAGGTATACATCATGCACCAGTTGGTACATTATTTGTTAAGCCAGGAATGATGCCAATTTATATAGCCTGTGCCAAGATCTATAATTTAGTCACTAAAGAGCCGACACATGCTGGAGACATCATAATGTGGGGAATCCTGAGCCTTGGAATAGAACTGGTCCAAGAAGAATGCCCACCAGTTTCTGAGTTTTCTCATCCCCTTCACCCCCTTTAATTAGACCATCGAAGTCTAATTATCTTAATTAAAATAACATTTCCAAAATACCACATATTGAACACACACTAGGCAAGGGACAAGATAGGAACTGGGAGTAGAAATCACTAGGTTAAATTCTTCCTACTATTTGGTTTATTTAAAACTGAGAGTTGTCTCTTTCCATAGTTACATTTTTCTTTTTTTTGATAAAATATCTCTGCCAATTAAAATGCAAAGATCAATAAGTAAGAGAAGACATGATTAACAGTAAAAAAAAAAAAAAAGCACTTTTAATTTTACATAGTAAAAGTCCAGAGGAAGGTAGTTTCAAAGATAGTTCAAGAGCTCAAAGACATCATCAAGCTGGGGGTTCTCACATTACTGCTGTACCATATTCATTATGTTGATTTCCCTTTCTTAGATTACTTGTCCCCCGATCAAAGGATGGCTATACCAGATCCAGGAGTGGTCATGAGTTTCAAAAGTAGGAGGCACTAACACCTGTTTCAAATCAAATATTCTTGACATGAATAAAATATAACATTTTAAACTAATTTTAATTAAGCTTAAAAGTACATACTTTTCATAGCATTTATTGCTCTGTTATATTTTAATCCAATTCATGCATTCAATTATATGATACAGTATGAGCTGAAGCAATAATTTATAGATCTACATCATTATTTTTAATTGGGGAGCATTCATCGAGCAGAAAGAGAATATTCACATGTACAGGCAAGCAACCCACAGCATATGCAAATTCAAGCTAAAAAACACTGGGACATGTAGCTGCTTAATACATACTTATTCTGAAAATAATGTAATACGTACTTAAGCTTGATTTCTTTGCTTTTACTTCTAGGGACTTTAGTGGGGATATTTACACTTAACCTACCATTTGTGTTCAAGGACCCTTTGGGTATTTTGTGTTATTCTCAGACATAACATTATGCTACTTTATCATCACTACAAATGTTCATTTATTATTTGTGATAAAAATCAGTACAATTTGAATAAAAATTTCACTCATACTACTTAATCATCCTATTCCTAGTAAGATTTAGTAAGTCCATCTAATGTTAGTTGCTGTAAACGTTAATCATAAATCTCATATCATATTATTACACAAAGGAGAATAAAGCTTGCCAGTCACATTTACATAGACAAGAAGAACTGATACAAATTTTTTAATTACTGAGAAAAAAATGATTTGATATAGAAGCTTAATCCAGAAAGGGGGAGTGATCATTGTTTTAAGCTATATAATCAATAGCTTTGAACTGTTCTAGTTAGGTGAATTTGGGGAAGTTACTTAAGTTTTCTATGCCCCAACTTTCCTGTCAGATAATGGGGAATATATCCTAATAATATTTTTGTAATTATTAGAGGAGTTAATAGTCATGAAATGCTGAGAACAGAAGCTGGAACTGGGCAGGCCTATGGCAACTCTTAGGCATTACTCACTGGCTCTTTAGCCATATCATTTTGCTATTAGGGGTAAGAAGACCTTGGTCTTGCATACATTTTTTTTCGATCCCAGGTCCAATATGTGTAAAATGTGAATAATAATTCCTGCGCTTTCCACTCCAGTGAGTTGTGTTGAAAAGCAAATACAATAATGGATCCTGGAGTCAAGTGTCATCAAAAGAGTAGCTTTATAGCAAGACAGAGCTGGTGCCAAATCCTTGTTATGGGATTATTTCTTCACGGAGCATCTTGAACGAGATTGTTAACATACAAATCTAATCTTACCATTTTGCCTACAAAACCTTTTAATTTCCTTTACATTACCCTTGGAATGAAATCAATAATTCTCTAATTGATAGGTAAAGCCCATATAATGTGACCCCTTTCAATATTTTATTACATGTCATGCCATTTCCTATCACCTGCTAGATTCCAGCCCCACCCACTGCCTTTCTTTGATTTCCTTCTCCTTGCCAGAAATGTCTCCACATTGAGGTTTTTACACTAGTTTCCTCACTTGAATTGTAATTTTTCTTCCATATAGTTCAGCTTTTTGACTTTTATTTACATACAAGATCTCTTCTCAATTGTCACTTTCTCATTCGTTCTTTAATCTCCTAAATTGAATTACTGTTTTGATTTCTCATAATACAATTTATTTTGCTTCATAATATATCACAGTATGTAATTCTGTATTGTTTGAATGAATATTTGCTTGTCACTCTCTTCTGCTCACTCACCATGCTCGTTTAGACAGCAGGTCTATCCCCAGGTTCCAACAAATAATAGACTCCTGATAAATAGTATAGTACTGAAAGAATTTGCATTATCCCTTGAACCTTATTGTCCTCATTGGAAAAGATAAATATTAGTAATACTTACCTTGAAAACAATGTGTTTTTATATTGAGGATAATGTGTGTGCAATACATTTCCTTTAAGCTATCAAAAAATAAATATTATTAAGAAGCAATTGTATAAGATACAACGCATTTTAAAATAATGTGGTTCTTTGTTGTTGCTGCTGTTGTTCTTTTGAAATGAGTGAGATCAACAAAGGAAACAGAAACATGACTATTCCCCCATGGTACAAATTTAAAATAGATTTTATTGCGGTGGGGGTGAATTTACAAGCAGTGATGTCATAGCATGCATATGATCCCGTAAGTTATTATTGACACAAAGAGGGGTGCTCAGGCCACACTGGATACAACATGGAGAGAGTTTTAGTTGTGAATAAAATTCTACATATTCATGGGAGGTCAGGGATAATCTAGGCAACCATGCATCACCAGGAGCTCTTTGGTGAAGGAAGTGGCCTTGTTAGAATGAGGAACCTTCAGAGCCCAGTGGCTGGTATCAATCTCTTTTTCTTTTGAGTTAATTCAGTTGAGCTAGTTTTTGCAAAGTGTGATGGTTAATATTAGGTGTCAACTGGGTTGGATTGAAGGATGCCTAGATGGCTGGTAAAGTATTGTTTCTGAGAGTGTGAGGATGTTGCCAGAGGAGACTGATATTTGAGTCAGTGGACAAGCAGAGGAAGACCCACACTCAATGTGTGTGGGCACTATCCAATCAGCATAAGAAGGTGGGATAACCTTGCTTGCTGAGTCTTCTGGCTGGCTCCTTCTTCCCATGCTGGATGCTTCCCTCCACTCCTCTTGCCCTTTTACATTAGACTCCAGGTTCTTAGGCTTTTGGACTCTGGGACTTGCACCAGTGGTTTCCTGGGAACTCTTGGGCCTTTGGCCACAGACTGATGGCTGGACTGTTGGCTTCCCTGGTTTGAGGCTATCAGACTCAAACTGAGCCCCTACCAGCTTCTCTCTTCCCCAGCTTGCAGTCGCCCTATTACAGGACTTCACCTTGTGATCCTGTGAGTCAATTCTGCCTAATAAAGATATCTGCATCTAGCCTACCTGTTCTGTCCCTCTGGAAAACCCTGAAGAATGCACAAAGCTACCAAAGGTGAGGAGAAAATCAACTATCAGTGGCCTTCAGGTTTGACTCTCATCATTGAGAAAATAATTCCGAATTCTCTGTGGCTAAGATTCTGGATTATTATTCGTGGTGTTGAACATATCTTCAGTGCTTCCCCTTTGTCTCTACTACCTGGTCATCCAGAGATCTTTCTGCAAATCACTTTGTTTTATTTTATTTCTTTTTTCCATTTCTAATATCAAATGCCATATTTAGCCTGAGAAAGGTGATGCTCAATAAATGTTTACTCAATAAAACAATTACGACTCATTCAGGGAGGAAGTAAATTCTAATGATTGCATTCTGGAGTGAGTGGGACAGCTCGGAGTTCTGATGCCAGCCATGTGTTTTCTGGCTGTTTGGCCGTGGACAATTAAGTTTCATTTTCTTCACTGAAAAGCATCATAATGGTACCCAATTCTTAGAATGGAAGGGGAAATCAATAGAAAAATAGATTTTCTTAAATGCCTAATCATATTCCTGGCATATAAGTAAAAATAAATTAAAGCCCTCACTGTTAGAATTTACTCTTCTATTAACAATTCTTAGTTATTAGTCTAGTTGAAAGATGTGTGTATGGTTTGAGATATGAGAGAGATGGTGTGTGGCAAAGATAAAGGGGTTCTGGGAATGTTGACGAGGAAGGGGAGCACATTGGAAAGGAAAGAATAGAGAGAGCCCAGACACTGAGACTACAAGGACAGAATTTTTGGAATTGACTCAGTAATTAGTACTGTGGACTCTGAAAATATGTCACCAAACAGATGTGCTTTGTATTTAATAAGCCAGAAATATCTCTTCTCTGCTATTAACGCCAAGTTACTCTGGTGGAAAGATTGTGAAATTGGATGATTTTTATTAACTTTACACACAAATCCTGATTACGTTTCTCAGATCTTTTTACCAATTCCTTCCTCTCCTGGATGTGTGCTAAGAAAATGTTTATTGCTTATGTTAAACTTATAAAAAAAAGGAACAGCTACCCATTTTGTCCCCATAGCCCTAAGTGATAAGTAAAGCAGTTTAGTCACACAGGTCTATAGTTTTCCAGTCTCATAATTATTTTACCTGTGTCAGTATTCCTTGTTTTTGTATTACAGTGGTTAAAAACATAGTTTCTGGAGTTAGTCACCTTTTGGGCTATTAAGCAAAGCCTGACCTCTCTAAACATGAGTTCACTCCTTAGTAAAATATGAATGATAAAAGCATGATCACATTGGTTTGCAGTGAGGCTCAAACTAGATAATGTCTGCGAAGAGACTGGCACTCAGTACATAAATAATTTTGGCTTTATGATTATCACTAGAGTAACAACTGTGAAATTCTTTCATATTTACCATTTGATTGATTGTTAAGAAAATACTCTGAAGTAAATGTAACTCATATTACTTATGGAAATATGAGTTATATGTTTATAGAAAAAGAAACTGAGGCTTATGAAAATTTATCTTACTCTTACCCTTGTTTGCAGTAGATGGCAGAACTGAGAATTGACCAGGCATAAATATCAAGAATCTATGCTTTTTCTACTTTAATATCAAGTGTATGTGTATGTGTGCACATGCGCATGTGTGTTTTACATGCTTTATACACCTGAAACATTGAGTTAGTCATTGGCAAGTCTGTTAGTGGAAAGTATGAAGTACAACGTGTTAATAATTTGGTTCGGTTCCATTAACCTTTATTGAGCATCTAGTGTAAGCAATGGAAGAAATATCTGAATAATAAAATCTTTGCCCAAAAAATTCGTGCTCTATGTTGGGAGACAATCATTTATAACCTAGACTGATAAGCACAATATGAGTACACCAGACAAACTGGCAAATAGAAACAAGATGTTGACTCTGCCAGGGATGGGGTAAGATGAAATGAATGATTTCCGAGAACAGTTATGGAGAAGGTGACCTGAGGCAATGTTTTAAAGACTGGGCAGAGTTTCTTACATGAGAGGTCATCCAAGAAAATGAGAAATATTGCTAAGAAATAGAAGTGAAAGGAACATTAATTTGAAAACATTAAGAAACTCAGTATCACCAGAATTGATACTTAAGCATTTGGCAGGATGGTAAGAAGGAGTTAGGTAAGTATGAGACCAAAATATACAAAGATTTTTTTTTTTTTTTTTTTACCGAAATGCAACTAAGATCTACTAAGAAATTCTGGATATTCCCAGTGGAGAAGGGATACATTTTCTCCTCTCTGCCTCAGAAATTATCAAATTAGAAATCCTGATTATAATCTCAAGGCACTAGGTCGCTGATGTTGGGTAATTCCAGGAGCAGAAGGTCAGAGATCATGCCTTATGATCAGAAAGTCTGTCTCTTTGATTTACTACACAAGGATAATCCACCTTGTTTTACTTCTTCAGGATCATTTAGGGAACTAATGGTGCAATGTCAGGCATATAGATGTGGTTGATAGAAAAACACGCAACTGGTTAGTGAGCTCTCACAGAGACAGTTAAATGGAATGTTTATGATTTCATTTGTAACTAGCACAATCTTGGGAGTTAGTGAAATCCCTTTCAGAGCCCCAATTTAATCAAAGTCATCTAATTAAAAACCTACTAAAAAAGTACTTTTCAAAAAGTTTTAACTACTTTCCCAGTTGACTTAAAATGAAGAGAAAATAGCTTTTATTGTGACAAAATCTAATAAGAAGTCAGTTATATTTCAGTTTATTGAGAAAATTAAACATATAGGCAACTTGAAATTACAAGCTTATAACCATACTGAAACTAATTATCAATCAATATTTCATAACAGCCCTTCAAATTAAGCAATGTTAAGACTCAGAGACTCAGTCGCTTGGGATTTTGAATTTGATAGAGTCCTTTTTGGATCATAAAAATTTCACTTCTATACCTACAAGGACTTCACATATACATCTGCTCTTACATACTGCTTACTGAATATATCTGACTTCTTCAGTAGATAATTCTGAGACAAAGCATCCCTTGTCTGACAAACAGTGCTACAACTCTATTCATTAATACTTTTTTATGTTTACAAAGGGATTACCGGCATGACAATAAGGCTCATTATTTTCAGAAGCTTGTAACTATGCAGGAGAATTTATATGTACTTCTGTGTGATGAAGAATTGGATGCAGTCTCTTTGGAAGCTGTGCACCAACAAAAGATGAAGAATAGACAAGCCCACTCTTCATCAGGTAACAAATCTGGCATCTGATCACAATTGATGGCTGGTTTATCATCTACAAGGAACCATGCCAATATTGTGTTAAAAGTTTTAACAAAATTAACTGAAAATCGCTCTCAATATGTATTTTTTTCATAATACTGAGCATATACAGTTTATTCAGAGCCATACAAAATGAAATTGTTGCATGGAGACAGGGATATGCTCTAAGACCATTTTTGCTCCATGGCAAGTTTCTGGAAAATGGTTGAGACTACAATCACATTGTACATTTGATTGATTTGGAAATCTTCCCTGGAAATAACAATCATTTAATGAAAAATAATAATGCCTGTAGAGGAACTTATTTTATAAGTCTTACCTCTCATGCTTTTTGCCTGATCATCAAACCATTCTTTTACCAGACTCTACAATTAGGCATGTGCTGTATTGATGGACAGTCTGTACAGTACATGAACACAGTAGATGTAAACACTGTGCTTGGGGGCTCATCTACTATGTCATATGACATGAATAAAAGCATTTAATGGGCATTGAGAATGTTTTTTCCTGTCTTCAGTTTTCAGCATATCTCCCAAGTCTCATTTCAGCTTACCTACCTGGATTCCTGCTTCAGTTTTTGGGCTCTGAGAATTTCTCACTCTTTCTCGTTTTTTGTTTTTGTTTTTTGTTTGTTTGTTTGTTTTCTCTTCATTCTAGCCATGCATTTAAAAAATGACATAAACATTTTATACAGAATCCTTATGTATTTTGTAGTTTATTTTGTTGCTGTGGGATTTTTACAGGGTATATAATTTCCACGTTTTCATGAATTAAATCATCACCTACTTTTAGCATATGAATAAAACTTTAGGGCTCAAAATGCAATTATAGCACTTTTTAATCATAACATAGATTTGAACATATGCATTTAAATATTATAAGCTCATATGTAAACTACCAAGATAGTTTAAAAAGTAAGCACAGTATAACACTGAAATCAATATCATCAATATCATAATATAATTTATATTGCTTTTACCTAACATACTGAACTGATAATTATTAGAAGAAATTTGCCTTTTAAATTCTCAAAAGACTGTGAGAGAGAAAAAAAATCATTTTAATGAAACATACAAAGCACGTTCATTATAAAACACAAGTGAAAAGCAATGTATTTTTGGGAAGATTTAAAATGAGACAGAAAACAGAGATAGAAAAAGAAACGTGCTTAGGCCTCATGCATGAGGTTTTTCCTTAAGATTTAAGTTTTACTTAAGATATTAGAAATATTTTCTCAAAAATTACTACACCATCAATCAACGTAATGCATCTGATTAACAGTTTGATTTTTAAAAATCATATGACCTTTTCATTAAATTTTTAAATAAACTTCAATAATAATTCATGATGAAAATATTAGCAAATTGGGATTAGGAAGAAAATTTTATTTGGAAAAGTACGTATTTTTAAAAACTACAACCAAAACCACACTTGATTTTGGAATACTGAAAAGTTTTTCTTTAAATTCACTACTAAGAAAAATTTGTTCCATATGCCTATTTCTGTTTTTCTTTGAACTGGAAACCCTGAACATCTCATTAAGGCAACAGAAGTAAATAAATTTGTAGAGATTAATACAAAACAATAAATGTTACTATAATTTTAGATGATACTATTGTGTATGGAAAATTTAAAAACAATCAATAGATACTACTAATTTTATAAGAGTTTTACAAGAGTGCTGAATACAAAACAATTACAGAAAAATAAGTTGGACCAACCAAAAATCTTAGTCAAAATTTTAAAGAAATAATGTATATATCATAAAAAGCAAAAAATATATATGTAAATATATGATAAGTGGAAATTGTTAATAATTGTCCAGCTTGAAATGCATTGCAGAATTGAATTAATCTATTGATATACAACATATGGATAGAAAAATTCAATATTATAAAAACATCAAGTCCCTTTAAATTGATTTATAGTTTTAATTTAATCCCAATAAATACCACACATATTTTAGGGGAAAGCTAATTCTAAAATTTATGTGAAATTAATTGAGAAGGGTCAATCATTGCCAAGATACTCATTTAAGGAAAGACTATCGATAGACGACTTGATCAATGAAATATCATTATTTATTATAAAACTATATAAATTCTGACAAAGTAGCACCAATAGGTGCAGGAACAGACAATAGAGAACCTGAAAATTAACCACATCTATACAGATGCTTAGCGTATAAAATGAATCACTGAAATCAGAAATCAGAATCTTTTCAATAATTGTTGGTACAATGATTAGGCATCCAGAAAGGGAAACAAAAGAAATTTGATTCCCACTCAAATTCATTCCAAGGGGACTAAACACCTAATAAAGTTTTAGAAGATCGAGTATGAGAGTATCTTTGTGACCTCAAGCTGAGTGAAGTTTTCTGAAAACCCAAATATGCTACCAAAGAAGGATGGGATTAATAAACTCAACTACATTAAAATTGAGAATATCAGCTTACAAAAGATTTCATATGTTTATTTTTTTAAGGGCAACCATCTTGGAGAACATGTTTCTAATATCAATCAATAGGAAATATCCAGAACATCCAAACAAAAACATTGGACAAACTAAATATTTACTTCACAAAGGGATGTATGCTAATGGCCAATTCATGCATGTAAAGATGTCAAACTCATTGCTAGTTGCAGAAATGCACCTTACATGACAATTGTTTACCACTTTAAACATCCAAAATAGTAGCAAGAATAAAATACTGTATTTGTAAATACTTTGTGCTGGCAAATAGAAGATAAGGAAACTCTCTTCTCTCCCATCTATCACTGATGAGGAAAACAATTAATTCAAGCACTTTGAGAAATAGATAAGCATTATCCAGTGAAATTGAAAACATGAATACTGTATTAGTCATAAGTTAGGGTCCTGGATATATGCTGGAGAGAAAGCTGTGTTCATGTATGAAAATGGTACATGGTAGCAGTCTTAATAAAAGTAATAAAAAAGGAAACAAAAATATTTTGATAGCAAAACAGGGAAATAAATTATCATATATTAATACAAATGAATACTACCTATCATTGAAAATGAATGAAATGTATCTATCAATACATATTGATGTTAATCTCTAAAACATTTGAAGAACAATGGTGATCACCAAAGAATACACAGTCAGATTCCAATATACCTCACTAAAGATTTTATTTATATGAGTACATATTTTTAGGTGAAAATAAAGACAACAAAGTAAATTATAAATATAAAATTACAGATAATTAACTTAGGCAGAAGGAAACACTTTAAGACTACTGAGATAAACAAGATGTTGCAAGTATTTATAACATAATTTTTCTCGAGCTGTATGTGGATATTAGGGGATTTGCTCTGTTTTTTTTTTAAATATCTTATTGATATGTTATACAGTACATATTTGTTTTATGATAGAAGACTTCAAAAGTGTATTTAAAAAGAATATTTCAAAAAATTAGGTTTGTGTGAATGTTATAGCTATTTTTAAAGCTAATAAAATTAGCATAATCATTTACATATCAACATTAATGGAATTTAGTTATTTTAAAAGGCTGAGCACTGTTGTTTTGACATTGCAGTTTTCCTTTCACATTCTTTACCGCCCATTTGCCATAAAACACTGTTTGGAGTAAACTCATCCCCTTATTTTTTTTCCACTCTCTCATAACATTCTGATCTATTTTCCTTATGCACTTTTAAGCTTTCCAAAGGAATTTTCCATTGTATTTTTAAAATCATAATAGAATGGCCTTTAGAAGAATTATACTTGCCCTTCCCTTTGTGAATGACCATATCATGTTTTTCTCATTTCATCAGGAAAAATGTTATTTTTGGCAATCAAATTTAGAGATTATATCCTTAAAAGAAAAAAACCCACTAAACATGCCATCTTTTGATTATGTGTACAATATTCAGAATGCTGTTGCTGTAATCTAATACATTAGAATTGGTATTTTCAAATTGAATTATGTCAAGGATGTCTTTTCAAATACTTTTGTTTCTTAAAAACATCTATCTGCCCATTTACCTTCTTAACCATCCGTGTTGAAAAAGAGAATATTTAATTGCTCTGAGGTGAACCCTGGGGACCCTGAACTGGTTTTCAAGTTTATAGTCAGAGACTACATTCATGTGCTTTTATCTTTCTGACTGTTTTCTTTGCCCTCTACAAAGTGCTTAGAACATGATTTTCTACATTTTCTGGTTTTTTCTTTTGTTTGTTTTATTTTGTTTTTTAGACAGAGTCTAGCTCTGTCACCCAGGCTGGAGTGCAATGGCTCAATCTCTGCTCACTGCAAGCTCCGCTTCCCGGGTTCAAGCGATTCTCCTGCCTCAGCCTCCGGAGTAGCTGGAATTACAGGCATGCGCCACCACACCCGGCTAATTTTTGTGTTTTTACTAGAGACGGGTTTCACCGTGTCGGCCAGGCTGATCTCGAACTCCTGACCTCGTGATCTGCCTCCTTGGGCCTCCCAAAGTGCTGGGATTACAGGAGTGAGCGATGCACCTGGCCTCTGTCTTCTTAATCTATTACTGAGGTGCTGTTAGATAACAGGAGCAAGAATTGTTTTGCTAAAAACACTTTAAAAAAATAATGCTAATTTATTGATGGCTTAAACTGGTGAAGAGAATTACTGATGCCAACATATTTGGAACACTTGTCCAAGATGAACATTTTGAAAAGTTATTTTGTTTCCATATATAAAAGACCCATAAGATTCTCAAACGCAGTTCTTGAGAACTAATTGCCAGCTGAAGACAAACATTAATTGGAGTCAAGGGAAGATGGATACGAGTTTGCACCTCCTCATTCTTAAATAATTAAGAAGCTTGTTCTAGAATGTGGTTGTTATGTAGATGGAAGGGCCTAACTCAAATCTTTTAATATTAAGAGAAAATAATCCATATCAGATGACCTCAAGCTGGAGACTGGAGAATGCTGGAGATCTCTGAGACACTTTCAAGGGTTCTGCAAGGTCAAAACCATTTTTATAATAATATTTTCAAATTTGCATTCTTCAATCCCATTCTTTCACAAAGGTGAAGTAGAACTTTTCAGACGCTAAATAGCATGTAATATCACAATAGATTGAATGCACAAACAGCTTATGAGAAACCAGCTGTCGTTTATTGTCAGACATTACAGAGAGTTACAAAGAGAGAAAATGATGCCACTCTTGTAATTTTTTATTTTGGAAAATATGCTTATTTTCATAAAAATAGAATCAGTATGTTAACTAATAGGTGATTTGTTTGCTCATGTTAAATGGAATAAAAAACATTTCATATTTTCATTTTTAATTTCACATAATGTAAATAAAAATTAAATCTTACTTAAAACCAAAGCATTTTGGGGTGCTCAGGAAGTTTTTAGAGCATAAACGGATATTTAAACGCAAAAGTTTGAGAACTACTGATCTTAAATTATATTGAATTGTAAGATGATTTACTCCCACAATATAGTTTATAATTTTTCAGGTTGTACAAACCATCTTATTTCTTAGTTTGCCTGAAACACAATGAGTTAGAGTAATGGCGATAGATTTCTTAGCAATTTGAACAAAATAGAATGATTACATTTTATCCAAAGTATTTTCTGATTGATTTATGGTATTTGATAAAATTTTATTTTATTTTTAAGAAAAGACTAGAATTAGGAAACTGATTTTAATATTTTAATTCTTTACAGTAATAAGTATAAATTATTTATAGGGAAAATTAATTTTTAATATGATTTTGAAATTTGTTTTTTAAATTGGAAGCAAGATTTATATCAACAATAATAAAATCAAACTTTCTTCTCTTTAAATTTTACAGGGATGTGTTTTAAATTTGTATTTGTGCAAAGAAAAATATCTTTCCAAATATACACTTCTAGATCTCAATTAATTTTATATATGTATATACCGCATAACCAACACCAAGATCAAGATGTAAAATATTTTCAAGAATATCCCATTTGACCAGTTTTAAGCAAACTGTTTTCCAAGAGATTTCACTCATTTGTATTCCCACCAGCAATCTAGTTGTTCTATGTCCTTCGCAACCTTTGACATTGTCAAGCTTTTAAACTGCAGCCATCCTAATGTGTATGTGTCACGGTATCTTGTAGTCATTTTAACTTTCATTTCAGTCGTGATTACTGCTCTTCAGCCTCTTTCCGTATCATTATGGACCATCTGAATATCTATTTTGTGAAATGCTCCTTCAAACGTTTTACTCATTCATCAACCATATTCTCTATACTATGTGTAGACGTTACTTGTAGTCTATGTGCTTTATAAATCTTCTTTCCTGATCTCTGACCTCTATAAACATAACTTTTTATTGTAATCAGAACAAAATAATGAATATGTACTTTGCTGCGTAGTGATTTTTGTATCCTTCAGAAAATCTTTGACAACTGTAACATCAAAATGCATTTTAGTATGTTTTTTGCTGCAACATTATTTTATATGTTACAGTAGTTCTATGATGAATCTCAAATAAATTATTTTGTATTTTGTGAGGAAGAATATGAGACTCATTTATTTTTCCATATGGATATGCACTTGATCTGCCATCATTTATTTCAAAGAACATTCTTTCCAGAATGGCCCCTTTTAGTTAAATCAGGTGGCTACAATGCATGGTTTTGCGTCTGAACTGTTTATTCTTCTCCTATGATTCTCTGTTTTTTTTTTCAGAATTCTCAGAAATTATGCCTTTGAATTGCAGTTTTAGAACATTTACATTTAATGTATATATTAAATATGTCAATTGTGTTTAAATCTACCATTCTCATATTTGATGTCTCTCTGTTTTTTATCTGTTTATTTCTCCTTTTATATTTTCATTTTTCTTTTGGATTAATTGCATTTTTCTAGCATTTCATCTTATCTGCACTATACTTTTATTAGACATACTTCTTTTTTTAATTTATTGCTCTCAAATTTACAGTATTCATATTTATCAGTCTATTTTCAAAATGTTATATCACTTCACATATAATGTAAGAATCATACAATATTCCCCCTTTGTCTTTTTGCTGTTATTGTCATGTATTTTGGCTCTAAATAATAATATGTAAAATAAAATTATACATTAGATAAAAGGCTTTATATATTTTACTTAACTTATTTTCCACCTATGGCGCTCTTCATTCTTTTGTAAAAACCTAAATTTCTGTCAACCTGTAGACCTTTTTTTCACATTCTTAAAGGGCAGGTATGGTGCCATCAAATTCTCTTAGCTTTCATCTTTCTGAACATGTCTTTATTTTGCCTGGATTTTTGAAGCATATTTTCTTTGGGTATAAAAATATGAAATATCTCAGCTTCCAACAGGACCACTTACTCTATTTCATTTTTTTATCCTGTTTAGCACATGTCTAGTAATACTTAGTCCTTGGTTGTCTATCCATATCTAAGAGGAGACAATAAAAAATGAAGCAAAATCAGGAAAAACAAATATTTATATATATATATTATAAATAATTTACACTTAAAATATATACTTGTTACATACCTCATTCTAACTCTAAGGCTGCCACTTTTAACCCAGGATGGTCTGATAAGAAGTCAGCTGCCAAGCAAGAAAATCACCTAATGGAAATTAAAATATCTTTCCCTTGGAGATGTCTCCATTTCTTCACTTGATCTTAGCTAAAAGGCTGAGAAGTGATTCAATTTCTTAAATCAAACACTAATAGATTCTTTGCCTGGAAGGCAGAAAACAGGATTCCAGACTTTTCACAAATGTACATAGAATTATTATAAATATATATTTATTTTTAGCACCAAATGGTAATTGCATCTTTCAGCATACTCAGCATGTCTGAGTTTTCAAATATTTTGGGTATTGTGGAAGTAGTTGGCTTTCTTCTGGAGATATTTGAATAATTTTCCAGACTATTACTCCCAAATTCAATTAATAAGCATCTACGCTGGTAACATATTTTAGTGGTACACACACACTCTCTCTATATATATGTACATACATATATACACACCCACACACATATGTATATATAAAATACATGTATATTATATGTAATATATTTATTTTTATATCAGTTAATACTTCTCTGTTCATAATATATTATTATTTATAAATTATTCATAGATGGCATTAGGATACTTAATTTATATATGTCTCTTACTTATAGATTATAGTAGAAATATTTTACATTGTATTATTAGTATATTAGTATAGGTAGCATTAGGATGCTTAAATAATTTATATATGTATATTACTTATAAATTATAGTAGAAATATTTTGTAGTATATTATTAGTGTAATTCCACATAAAACAAAAGCTTTTATTGATGTCAGTTTCTGATTATGATGATCTAACTCCCTGTAGCCTGTTAAAATCATCATGTTAAAAATCCTTATAATGTGGTTTAGTTTTCAACATAAGAGTAGGGAAAAAATACATGCTGCCTTATTTAACTTGTTTACATTATTAATATAGCCTCATTTCTGGACATTTAAAGATAAATGTCTATTTTGTGATGGTAATTATACTGAAAATTACTTAACTGAATCCGTAAATCTAGTTGTCCAAGTATTGTTAAGTTGCAAAGCCCAAGCTCCTGACACTTTCCTGTGGTATGTTCACTCAGGTTTGAAGATGCAGCTCCAGAATGCAATTCCCTTGTTCTAACCTCCTCATTTACCACCCACCCATATGGTCTCTGCTGTGAAAAAAGTATAGACAGGGTCAGGCACTGTGGCTCACGCCTGTAATCCCAGCACTTTGGGAGGCCGAGGTGGATGGATCACGAGGTCAGGAGTTAGAGACCAGACTGGCCAACATGGTGAAACCCCATCTCTACTAAAAACACAAAAATTAGTTGGGCGTGGTGGCAGGCACCTGTAATCCCAGCTACTCGGGAGGCCTGAGTCAGGAGAATCCTTTGAACCCGGGAGACAGAGGTTGCAGCGAGCCAAGATCGCTCCAGCGGAGATTGTACTCCAGCCTGGGAGACAGGGTGAGACTCTGTCTCAGAAAAAAAAAGAAAAAAAAAAAGTATAGACAGGTCTCATTTTCTAATGGCTCCCTTCTAGTTCAATAAGTTGTAATATTTTATCATTAATAATTTATTATCATTTTAAATGGTTCTCTGTAAAGAAAAAAGAGGGTTAACTTGCACTGTTCCGCTAAGGACTTGAGTAGTATAATGTATAATCTTTCTAATTTGCTAGACGGAAGTAATTGTATTGTATCATGTTTTAATTTGCATTGGGGTTGTAAATAAAGTGAACATTTAATACCCTAGTAAAGTGATTTTTAATGTCAATATTTAGAAGATTATTGATTACCGAAATTTAGCTTTAAAAATTATCTTTGATTGACCGGGTGCGGTGGCTCACGCCTGTAATCCCAGCACTTTGGGAGGCCGAGGCGGGCGGATCACAAGGTCAGGAGATCGAGACCATCCTGGCTAACATGAAACCCCATCTCTACTAAAAATACAAAAAAAAATTAGCCAGGCGTGGTGGCGGGCGCCTGTGGTCCCAGCTACTCGGGAGGCTGAGGCAGGAGAATGACGTGAACCCGAGAGGCGGAGCTTGCAGTGAGCCGAGATCCCGCCACTGCACTCCAGCCTGGGCGACAGAGCAAGACTCCATCTCAAAAAAAAAAAAAAAATTATCTTTGATTGTGGCAGGCATACTTTATATTTCATGTAATGTATGCATCCCTCAAAATTATTTCAGATAACTTTTTGTAGACCACTATTTGTATCGTTAATGAAAATATATATTTTCCTTATTCTACATTTTTAGTTTTTAAAAACTATCATGTATTATTTAATTTGACATATAGTTTTCTGTACTTGTACTAATGCCATCAGCTAACAAAATCAATAAACAATGGAACCCATTGGGCATAAATCAACTTAATTAACAGTTATACATCTGTTATTAAACATTGAAAGGCATTTTATTCTCTTGTTGAGTATAGATATGGCCCTAATTAACCATTATAAAACTTATACATACCCATAGAAAAAGAACATTCAAAATATAAATAAAAAATAGCCCCAGTGATTTTTTTCTGTTTACCAGGGTGCATATTTGAAATTACATTACTTTAGTGAAAAAATGCTAGCCAAACATCTTTATAGTATTTGTAAAAATGTAAATGTCAGAGAATAAATAAAGCTCATTTCTCTGGTCAGCTTGGAATTTTTTTTCAGGATCATAACTCATTGTTAAATTTCATGTAAACTGATTAGCATATTTTATTTAATTATGTATTATCCATGTTTCTCTTTGCTAATTGAGTGGTTTTTGAATTATGTTTGTAAAATAATGTAAAATGTTTCCATGAGAATAATAGTAACTATGAAACTCACTTCCTTGCAAAAGCAAATTTAAATAATGAATTCATGTAACTACTGGTAGAATATGCTACAAAAAAGTACTTGTGTATTTATTTACATTTGTGAAAACAAAGTGTACTCATAGAAGCTGCTAACAGATCACCCTTGGAGATTGCATGTTCACTTTAGAGTCTGTTAGGTTTGCCCTGCATGAACGTCTAAGATCTTTTCAAAAAATTGTTATTGTAATAAGGACTCTTAAAATGAGATTTGTTCTATTAACAGATTTTTAAATGTACAATACAGTGTCATTATCCATAGGCTAAACGTTGTATAACAAATCTCTAGAATGTACTTATTATGCATAACTAAAATTTTATAATACCAGCAGAAAACAAACAAAAAATTACCAATCACGGAATAATGTTGTTATTACACATTAAAATGAAAGTTTTCTATGTGATGTTGAACAAATCAGTTCAAATATTTGAGATTCAATTTGCTTATTAGCCAAATAAGAAGACTTAGTATGATTATCTTCAAGGTAGCATTCCACTGTCACTCTCCCTGATTCCAACAGATAAGAACAAGAATTAGGATGGTTTGAGCCTTTGACTTTGGAAAATAGCATTGCTCTCATGCTTTTGAATGCATTTACAAACTTTAAGAGTCCTCACCACAGTTACTGCTAACAACGAATAGGCTACTTCTGACTTCAGCATAGATTCCTGAAGGTTGTAGAGTGGTCAAGAGAGGCAAGTATGTTTTTGAGGAATATAATATAATTCTTACCTCCCTCTACTTATTGACGGATACTCACCAAATGCATGCCCACGTCATAGAAACTTGCACACTCTAGAGAGTGTTAGTAGATGTTAGTAGAACATCTTTAGAGAGATGTTAGTAGAAAGAGTCAAATTGCAGCTTAAATATGTCAATAAATGTATATTTTAGAAAGCTTAGGAAGTAATTCAACTAGAAGTTAAACATAAGATCTTTTGTTGGTGTTCTCTTCTAAGCCATCCTATGTTCTTATTTTCAATCATATGGTTCTTAAGCAAATTAAGTCGTAGATTATACACAATTGTATGTGGATAAAACATATCATCTTACTTTTATTACTAGAATAGACAGAAAATCATTTTACTTAAAGAGATACAATTTTTTTTTCTGGTCATAGCATTAAAAAGTAAACAATAAAATGATATAAATTTTGATGATCTTGCCCAAGATCGATGAACACTAAACTAAAATATTAAAACCATTTTTTGATGGAAAATATTCAGTATGTAAATAGAAAAGGGTTAAGTAAGCATAGAAATATAAACTGTGTTCTGTTACACAATTACAATCATTACAGAAATAATATAGAAGCCTGAAAATGACTTTTTTTAATGTCCAGTGAAATAAATCAATTGCAAAATTGTATGTGCTATGATTTTTATTGGATAAATATATGGGAATTTTGACAAGATATAGAGAACAGAAAAATGATAGCAGTTGATTCTTGAAGGATAGTGGGTAAAGTATTTCTAGATTAAAATTCTAAAATTATTTTATTGTTCTGCTAACAAGTTATGCACGAAGGTATGAAAAAATTATTTTCATGAACAAAATTAGGATAGTATAAAAAGTCTCCTAAGACTATATAGCCAGGAAAGTTTCAGAGACATGATTCAAACTTAGTTCTGTGTTTCGCACATGTACACTGTCAGTTACACCAAAATGTCCATCCTTATATTCATTTCCTCTATATTAATGATGAGAGAGTTAAAGTGACATATCGGTTCATCCTACATTGTGATCATTAACATTGGTTTTATATTTGAACATGTGAAGTTTATATTGGTTATAAATAATTAACATTGTAAATATTAATGTTAATTCACTTCCATCTTATTCTATGAGCATCATAAAATTAATATAAAGGCTAAAACTATAGAGATGACAAGTTAACCACATAGGAAAAGAAACTAAATTTGGAAAATATATAAATTAGGGAAATATAAAACCAGAATTTAAAGTTCTTTGGTCAGGTAGAAAATTGAAAAAATTTATAACACTGAAATGTAGTGGGATTAAATATAACATTGCATACTTATTTAAAGGAGGTAATAGTCCTTAAATAAAAGTGTAGTCATCTAGGTTTTCATGCAAAAAAATACTCCAAATTATTATAATCAAATATAAGGCTGGATATTAAAACATATGGTTAATTGAAACAGTACTAGTAAAACTAAATTTCTAATATAATGCTTTCTCACTGTGATTTGCAACACAACTCATTATTGGGGTCCATGTCAGAAGAACTACTCTTCTCTAGAAATTATAATATACCATCTAAGAATTCAGGTCTTCTTAGTTAATAATCATTTAATTGCCTTAGTGAACCACTGTTACTGAAGAAAGCAAATAATTCTCCTTAACTTTGATGAAGACTAAATAAAAAACAATAAATTGAATTCCTCATTTAGAGGTTACTATATTCAGATAATACATAGAATAATATGCTCAACTCACTTTGGTATAAATTTGTAAGCTGAATTTTTGAGCCAAAGATAAAACAAACACAATTAGAAATTGATAAGCAATGTTACACAAAAATAATGAAGAAAATGGGCTCCTTATTTTGGAAAATACATGAGCCAAATTTAAGTATGCAATGTTATAAAGTAGAAGAGAATATGAATTTATTCCTTGCCTGTTTGCAGGGGAAGAGTAGGACTAGACGAAATTTACCTCTATTTTAAAAAATATGTAATAAAATTAAAATTGAAGTAGAAAGCCTCTGAAAGTATTAACCTCTTACCACTGGATTGTTCATCTGGGGCTTCCTGACCATCTATCAGGGAATGTGATTCTTGTTCCAACAGACTATCTCGTGTTTTCTACCTGATGTCTCCAAAACTCTCTGAATCATTGTCAAACAGTTATGCAATTTCATGCCTATATCAGGTAGAACAGATGTGGAAGTGCTTCAGGTTTGAAAATAAAGCAAGAACGTTGAGTTGGCTTGCTTGAAAGTTGTTTTACTTTGTGCAAAGAAGCAGTGTACAGACTCTAAAAGAAGATAATAATCATTGTCAGGAAATGTGTCTCCAGACTTTAGGCTTGCATGTATCAGAAGCAATCCTGATGTTGAGAAATTTGGGGCATTTAGTTAATTGCTGACCATATTTGCAGAGATCTGATTTCGGGACATCTTGTTTTTTGCATTAATGGTCAAGTTATAGCTAAAAACAAAACAAAAGTAAATTAAGCTAAATAAGGTTAACACTAGCTTAAAAGTTAATCATTATAAGGTAATAATTATGTCATGTTTCTAAGTTTTGAAAGTTTTGCTTTGCTAGAACTAAAATCTCAGCTACAATCAAATCCCTAGAAACTTTGCTATTAAAATCAATTTAACATCTTGCCAATTAATGTGTTTGAATACATGCATTTTTCTGAAGAGAGAATTTTAAGGGAATTTATGGTCAAAAATTATAAACCAGAGCAGATACTCACACACAGGCACTCAAACAAAACCCTTGGTCAGTTGAATAAATAGATCAACGATTAATTAAGGACTACATGCTTATTATATTCTCCTTACATAAAAGACTGTTAAAGATTTTCATATAAATCGTTTTAGAAAGAATCATGAGTTTGAGTTCTCTTATCTTTTAAATAAAACATTAATGCTAATCTTATCAGCAGTTGTGAAGATTAAATAATTTACACAAATTCTCATGGCCAGCAAGTGCTAAAATTAGGACTTAATTATACATAATCTCATAGATAACTCTGCACACCTAGGGGAATCCTTTAAGAATTAAACATTGATGCATGAACTGATATGCATAGATAGGATACTTTAAAGATGGGCATACTAGCAGGACGATTAAAAACAGAAATTACTCTGAAATAGTCTCCAAAAAGAGATACCATTTTTGCCAGTATAGTTTCAGAGATATATGCCGTAGAGTAGAATACTTAAATTCTATGCTAAATATTTTTAGTTGTAGTTAGTGAATCAGCTTTGCATGATAGGTTTACTTTAGCTAAAAAATAATGGTGAGCAGGTAGAACATACTACATAATCAATCTGCTGGGCAGGACAGGCAGTAGAATTATTAAGCTGGAGATAACGTCAGAAAAAAAAAACAGGTTCCATTTGCAGTGCTAATAGGCTCTTGCATTAATAAATCATGATTTCAGAGAAATGGTGAGCAACTGAATGTCCAAGGTTAAATGGCTGGGAAATACAGCAGTGGGCAGAATGAAACATGAGAGAGGCCTTGAGCGATCTTCACAACTCTGTGGTGTTTGGCATCAAGGGATCCATTAAAGGAGGAACAGAGTTTCTACATATTCCCACCAAATGTCCAAATACTGAAATCAAATCTCTTGCCTTGGAGTAGGAAGGAATGCTTGCTAGAATTTTTGGCAGAGTTTTGTAGCATGGATGAAGACAACACAATGGATGGGGAGATGAGTTGTTTAAAATACGATAGGATTTCCTGATACCATCCTAAAGGTAGTAGGCCCTTAGAACTTATTAGCCAATTGGGAGTTTTCTGGTTGCCAAGTTTTAATGCCATGGCTGGCCCTCCATGGTGCTTTATGCAAAATCCCACTGATTTGGGTTGGGGAACTAAGAACTTAATTACACTAAGACTATTGATAGAGAGATCTGTTAAACTGGCTGTGGCAAAACAAAACAAAAGGCAAGAAACGCGGAAGACTGAAGGTTGGTGTCCAATTCCAATATGCTATGCCTCTAGAATCCTAAATGTCTAGAAGTTGTCTTTCAAAAATGTTCATACATCCATGTATGTCTACATAGATGTATACATTAAATGGCCACATCGTCTATGGGTAGTTGAACTAAATTTTCTTCCAGGAGTCTTAAAGCTATATACAAGAAAGCAACAATCAATTTTATTTTCAATCTTTTGAATAGTATTCAAAACTGCTAATTATTCTTGTTTTTTACTACAACTGTATGGTAGCTTAGGTATAGTTTGGACTAGCCTGGGAGCTTAACTACCAATAACTGTGCTGTTTATATGACAAATGTCATTCAGAATTTCTAACGAGCAACTTAAAACTGAAAGCATTGCTTTTTTTTTTTTTTGGGGGGGTTCTCTATAAGCAGTATTACACATTTTAGTATTACATTCAAAATTGTTGCTAAGGTATTGCCACTAGCATTCTTTCTGTCTTTGTCAGAGGATATTGGAATAAATCTTAAAAAAGGCAAAATGAGAATGGAGCAAGGTAGCAAGTGGACATGTTAGCAGTGAGCAATGTCATAAAAATAGAATGGTGTAATTCATGTTTCATGAAAGCTGACTGTTCTACAGGGATTGTCTCACTCTTAGCTTACATACTGTACTATTTTACTGGAACCGGACATGATGACATTATGTCAACATGTAATTAAGAAGGTGATTAAAATCAGTTTGGATTAGGCCAGAATTGTGACTTGAGAATTAATGGGTAAGTATCTTTTAAGAATGGTGATACATTTCAGAAGAAGGTTAATTGTTGGAAGAAAAAGTAAAAATGAACTAGTGCTACTGTCATATTTGTCCATTTTCTACTTGCTCACATTTTCTTCCTAAGATAGCTGAGTCAAGAGAAAAATGAGTTATTTTTTTTCCTGCTAAAATGCAAGATATTACATCAGGAAATGTTAAAATGAGTTTAAATCAACAAGGTTTTAAAAATCAAATTGACTCATTTTTAAAGTGAGTTAAAATCAAAATGAGTTATCATCAGAGGGAGGCTGAATTGGGTCACGTTAATAAAATGGAAAGAGCATGAACAATCTGATGAAGCTTGGCAGTTTCATCATCACAAACATTCCCTGCTGAGATAATGAACTTGACAATAACTCTTCTTATTCTTAAGATATGATAGCACAAAGCTATTGTACAAAATCTCAGAATGTGGGCAATTCATGCTGACTACAGAATCATTTTCCATAGAGACTAAGAGATCCTGTGATTGATACATTTTCGTAGTGACTCCTTCATGTTCATATAGGAATGCTAAGAATAAAACTGGCCTGGTTCTACTTATAATATTTAGGTGATGCTGTTAGTGATCTCAAATAATAGTAGGCAATTTGCTGAAGTTGGTTATTTGAATTAATTTACCTAAGTGTTGAAAATAACAGTGAAAATATCAACAGGAAAAGTTTGATTCAAAATGAGTAGTTCAGCGAGATTTCTGTTCATCCTACTTTTAAGCAGAGCTTAAAGTTTATCCAAATATTTCTCATGTCTAAATTATTTTGCATCACAGTCCTTATCACCACCACCTTCCATCACCAGCCCAAGAGAACTTCTCATAAGCAGATAAACATGTTAGATGCAATCCTGTGTGTTAGTTTCTATCCCAAGGCATTTTTCATCTTTTTTTATGTAAGAAAATGTCCTAAGTCTATCTAGAAAATCTACATTGAATACAGAAGTCATGATAATCTCAAAGAAAGTTAAGCCTATGTAATCTACATCTTTTTTTATGTAAGAAAATGTCCTAAGTCTATCTAGAAAATCTACATTGAATACAGAAGTCATGATAATCTCAAAGAAAGTTAAGCCTATGTAATCTACTAAAAGAAGTATTAGTTGTCATTGGTCAAATATTCTGCTTGTCAGAGAGTTAACTTTCAAATCTTGTTAAACCCAAATATTTAGAAGCCTTTAGGGACTTTGGGGTAGTGGGGAGACCATAGGACCCCAGAGGATCTGTCTGCCTGTAGCAGAGTTGGAGAGTCATAACTAATGATCCCAGCTATATGTTAATCATCCTCAGAAATCTGCAGTGACAAGGATTGATTGAAAAGAATGAGCAACCTATATAGTAAGATATTCTTAATCGCTCTAGCACATGACTATGGTTGAGAAATAGCTGTATTAACCATCCTGTTCAACCAGGATACAGAACAAAACTAAAACTGACAAGTTCTCCAGCGATGACCCTTGGGGATTGTGCTTTGATACAATGTTGCTTTCATATTTGAAGTTCTCTGCAATAGTTTGAGAGACTGCTACATGCTCCCAGAAGGTTACACAGTAATATCTGTGAGTTGTGTTTCCCACGCAGAAAAAAAAACCAGCAGGAGCTAGAAGTCCTTTGAGAAGTGCTTTACCAAATCCTTAAATAGATACTTTTTTAAAAAGTCTGTATCTTTAATTCTATACCTGGTGGTTCCCATTACTTCCAGCATTGCTTCTACTGCTTTGTAATGTTCCTAGTAGACAGGGCTACCTCAGAAGGCAACAAATTGAGAAGGAAAATGAATGTTCAAAGTCAATCTTTTGCTTGATTTCCCAAACCATACCACCTAACACAGTGTTATGTTCCTTGTGTCTCCACATATGTTAAGGTATTATATATAGAGTCATAAAAATCCTTGCGTCTCATGAGTAGTGAATCAGGAGTGTCAAATGTATTTGTTTTGCATAACTCTCTAAACAGTTCCTGCGAAGGACTGTCAGTGTTGTCCATGCTATTAAAAATAGAGTCCTTAGCATTTTGGGGCCAATAATATTAACCATCCAACTCCAGAAACCCAAAAACCAAGAAAATAACTTCATCCTTAATATTCTGTTCCTCTAGAACTACTCCTGATACCAAAATCTGTATTAGTCAAGGTTATCTAGAGGACAGAACTAGTAGGATAGATGTATATAAAAAGGGGAGTTTAGTAAGCAGTATTAACTTACACAATCACAAGGTCCCACAATAGGTTGTCTGCAAGCTGAGTAACAAGGAAGCCAGTTCAAGTCCTAAAGCTGAAAAATGTGGGGTCCAGTGTTCGAGGGCAGGAAATATTCAGCATGGGAGAAAGATGTAGGCTAAGAGGCTAAAGGTGGGTTTGCCTTTCCAAGCCCACTGATTCAAATGTTAATCTTTTTTGGCAACACCCTCACAGACACACCCAGGATTAATACTTTGCATCCTTCAATCCAATCAAGTTGACAATTAGTATTAACCATCACACTAACACAATGTACATGCTATGTAAAGAGTAGCTATGATGAATCTGTATTATTTTTATTGTTGTATTGTTGTGTATTATTTTATTTTTTTGTATATTTTCTATTCATGATTGGTTGAAGTCATGGATGCAGTATCCACAGATGCAGAGGGTGGACTGTGCCCCTCTACTGCCTTAACCCTATTCTTTCCAATGAGTTAAATTGTTTTCAAAATTTTGTTTAGGTACACATTAATTGTGTGAAGAAAAATTCAATATATTGATATTATTTATATTTATGTTTTGCTTGATATAATTAGATCTTTCTGAATTGAGCAGAATTTTCCCAGGATGGATGGGAAAGGAACTTTCAATTTGGATTTCAGCCCAAATACAAACACTGCTTTAAATAGACAGTAAATATTAGTGTTAAATAGAAACACACTGAGAACAGCAATAAAATCTCATGGGAAACCTAACTTTGAATTATGCTCCCAGACACAAACTCTTCAAATACATAATTAAAAGTGTGGTAGTATTTGTGGATTAAATAGTGGCTATTGCAGGCAAATGTATTACTTTAGTGTGGTCATTAAAGTGATGGCATAGATATTACATATCCTAAATTATTTTAAGTGTAATTGCATATTATAATTACAGATACTTAAAAAAACTCTGATAAGCAAATCAGTCTGCTAAAGCCAGACCTTCTTTAAAAACATAACTACCCAAACTCATTTTACTTCTTTCTTCTCTGTCAAATGAATATCTTTAAATGAGCAAGAATAGAACACATATTATTTTATAAAGAATTAAAATCCACGATTATTTAGAATATAGGACAACTCTAGTTGCTTAACATCAGTTTAAATCTCTTGGACTCACACATAGATTAATGGAACAGAATAGAGAGCCCAGGAATAAAGCTGCATGCCTACAACCATTTGATTTTTAACAAATTTGATGTAGACAAGCAAAGCATAATAAATGGTGCTGGGATAACAGGCCATCCATATGCAGAAGAAAGAAAATGGACTCTTACCTATCACTGTACACAAAAATTAACTCAAGATATATTACAGACTTAAATATAAGTCCTCAAAATATACAAATCCTAGAAGAAAACCCATAAAATACTATTCTCAATATCAATGTTAGAAAAGAATTTATGGCTAAGTCCTCCAAAGCAATTGCAACAAAACAAAAATTAATAAGCGGGACCTAATTAAATGAAAGGGCTTCTGCACAGCAAGAGAAACAGTCAAGGAAGTCAACAGACAATCTACAGAATGGGAGAAAATATTCACAAAGTATGCATCTGACAAAGGTCTAATATCCAGAATGTGTAAGGAACTTCAACCAACCAACAAGCAAAAACAAACTGCCTCATTACAAAGTGGGCAAAGGACACAAATAGACACATCTCAAAAGAAGACATACAAACAACCAACAAACATATGGGAAAATGTTCATCATCCTTAATCATCAGAGAAATGCAAATCAAAACTACCATGAGATAGCATCTCATGCCAGTCAGAATGGCTTTTGTTAAAAAGTCAAAAAATAACAGATACTGGTGAGGATGCAGGGAAAAGAGGACACTGATACACTGTTGCTGGGAAGGTAAATTATCCCAGCCTCTGTGGAGAGCAGTTTGAAAAGTTCTCGAAGAATTGTGTTGAACTACCATTCAATCCAACAATTCTATTACTGGGTATATACCCAAAGTAAAACACATCATTCTATTGAAAGTACACATGCATCCATATGTTCACTGCAGTGCTATTCACAATAGCAATAACATGGAATGAAGCCAGGTGCCTATCAATGGTGGATTGAATAAAGAAAAAAAAAATACACACACACACACACACACACACACACACACACACAACATGGACTACTATGCAGCCATAAAAAATGAAATCATGTCCTTTTCAGCAACATGGATGCAGTTGGAGACCATTATCCTAAGCAAACTAATACAGCAAAGGAAAATTAAATACTGCATGTTCTCACTTATAATTGGGCACTAAACACTGGGTACACATGGTCATAAATATGAGAGCAATAGAGAGAGAGCAGGGAAAGGGCTGAAAAACTACCTATTGGGTACTATGCCTACTACCTGGGTGATGGGTTCAGTCATAACTTAAACTTCAGCATCATGCAATATACTTTTGTAAAATATCTGGTCATATATCCCCTGATTCTAAAATAAAGTTGTAAAAATATATAAAACAAAATTGTACCTAAATGCAAAAAAATATCACAAACACTTCTCTTGGTCTCTAGGATTTTCTTTCCAGGGAACTCCGATAATTTGTAAATGAGAACACTAAGTGGCTGTCAGTAAGTTTTCAGAAGTGGTAAATAATGCACCATCTTCCAAAAGACTGGCAATTAATAAATATTTTTCAGATATTTTTTACACAGATAACTGTAACCTTTTTTTCAAAATTTCAGTTGGTAAAATGTACATCTCTTCCAAAGAGAACAAATGAACTATTAATGTGATGATTCAGGTAAATTAGGAAATAATGATTACTCAGAGCCATCAAAAATTTACTAAGAACAAGGAGATTTATCTTTTTTTAAAAAAAATACAGTTGTTCAACTGGGATCTCAGAAATGTTTTAGAAAACATTAGTGCATGATGCTCTCATCATTTTTGCTATGTTTGCAAATCACATGTATTCTTATTTTCTTAGGTTTTTCCTTAAATAAACTCACATTTTTTTAATTATATAAAGAATTTCAAAAGGGAACTTGCTGATAAGAGGGGGGTAGAAAAGATGGGGATAAAAGAGAAGAAAAAATATGCCTTTGAAGATAAAAAGCTACAGTCAGATTTCAAAGGGTAGACTTTTAAAATACCAGAGACAGAGAAAGGAATCCAAGAGGCCCCAAGGAATCAAGTACAAGAACCTTCAGGTAAATAAAGGCAGCAGGTAACAGGCACTCAGTACTGAGGTATCTGGCAGACATATTGAAAAGAAGAGAGTACAGCTCAGACAGAGAAGTGGGAACAAGGATTGAAGTAAAGAAGAAATTTCAGATATTCTGTTACAAGGATAATGGGGTAAAAACATACTTAAGAGAGTAGCACGGTGTCCATTTGTGTGTTGGTATAAAGGAATACCTGAGACTGGGTTGTTTATAAAAAGAAAAGTTTTAATTGAGTCACTATTCTGCAGGCTGTGGAGAAAGAATGGTACCAGCATCTACTTCTGGTGAGGGCATCAGCAAGGCTTACAATCATGGCAAAATGCAGAGGGGGAGCCAGTGTATTATATGGTGAGAACAGGAGCAAGAGAGAGATGGAGGAAGGGGCCACACTAGAGGCAATCAGAACTTGCGTGAATGACCAGAATCATCCCTGGTGCTAGGTCATTGACGAGGGATCTGCAATCATGATCCAAACACCTCCCACCAGGCCTCACCTCCAACACCAGGAATTACATTTCAACACGATATTTGGAGGGGACAAACATCCAAACTATTTCACAGAGAAACCATTGTTTTCTGTAAGAATACTGTCTAAAGTTAAGTTTTTGTGTTTGTTTGGTTGTTTGTTTGTTTGGTTGGTTTTTGAGTTAATATTTGGATGTGACAGTTGTTCACCTATGAAGAAAGATTTTGTTTTTTTTTTTGAGACAGAGTCTAGCTCTGTCGCCCAGGCTGGAGTGCAGTGGTGCAGTCTCAGCTCACTGCAAGCTCCCCCTCCCGGGTTCACTCCATTCTCCTGCCTCAGCCTCCCGAGTAGCTGGGACTACAGGCTCCCGCCACCACACCTGGCTAATTTTTTGTATTTTTAGTAGAGACGGGATTTCACCGTGTTAGCCAGGATGGTCTCGATCTGCTGACCTCGTGATCTGCCCGCCTCGGCCTCCCAAAGTGCTGGGATTACAGGCTTGAGCCACCATGCCTGGCCTGAAAAAAGATATTAAAGGAGGTAGTGGGAAGTCAGGACTCTGAGATGAATTCATTTTGCTTCTCCTTTTAAGGATACCATCTTTTAAAATCAATCTGCTCCTTCATCAACCCAAGGCACAGGCTTTATTCTATAGTCTTCGTGGCTTTAGAACTTGGTCCAATGTCCAGTGATGGGTTAAGAATATCAAGTAGAGAAAATGGCCTTGTTAGACTGAGAGATGTGTTCTTCTGGAGAAAGAGGTGCACAAATGAGAGCTGATATGTTGGAAAGATTTTAGAAGGAAAAGCAGGAGAATAGAAATTAATGCTGGAGGTGGTCCTTGAAAAGGGGTTACAGGGTGGAGGGGGAGCTCATGGAACTGGAACTAGAAACAGGCACTAAGATGATTAAGTGAGAATGAGATAAAGGGGATCCAGATAAGAGAGGAGAGAAATGAATGGGAGGTAAATAATTGGTGCCATGAGAAATGTGAGGACTCAGGAATTATTTCAGGAGAAATAATTTAATGTAAGAAACTGGTTGAATGATTATTAGAATAGTTAAACTGCAAAAAGTGAACCTAGAGTTGTTACATTCCTAAGGTTGTTGTCAGAAAGTAGCTAACGCCCCTAGGAATGAAGAATCAAGTGGACAGTTTAGAGTTATTGGAAACGAGAAGTTTGAAAAAGGACCCTGTGGAGTTAGGCAGCAAATCTTTGAGAAGGTGTTGCTGCCAAACAGGTGCTGGTATTTTAGAAACAAGAAAAAGGATCGTTGTAATGCTAAAACTGAACCTCTGAGGAGAAAGTGACAATGGCTGACGCTGGCATCTCTGGGGAGACACAAAGAGGCCAGTTCTGAGGTGTTGAATGAAACTTTTGGTTTCAGTGGAACCCAATTGCTACTGACAACATGAAAGCCCATTGTTAGGATGACCCAAGAACTCAGGAAAACAGAAACAATTATTTCACATCTTCCTGAATTCCAATAGTCTCTAGCTCATTCTATGGGCCAAACTTAACAGGATGCTATCTGGCAAAGGACAAGGGTAACTTTTAGAGTCCCGGCCCTAGTTGCACACAGACGCGCGCGCGCGCGCACACACACACACACACACACACACACACACACTGGATTGAAAAATGAGACTAAATTTGGAACTGAGGGACAAAACCTTAAAAGCATGTGGAAATGTCAACCTTAAGACATTACACAATTGCTTTCTTGAAATTTCTGTTCTCAGTCCTTTCGTCTTCAGAATTTCTATAAGTGATTTAAATAATAACACAATTAATATTATGACTATATGTAAATCAAATATGGCAGTTTTTCTTGCCATGGTAATTGACAATAAGGGTTTATAGACATCGTCAACGGAAGTAAAATAGCCTAAAGGTTTATTAATTAAAGATGTAAAGAGCAAATATAAAATCCAAAGTTGGTCTAAAGTTGGAAAGAAAATTCAGGACTGGGCCGAGCGCAGTGGCTCACGCCTGTAATTTCAGCACTTTGGTAGGCTGAGGCTGGTGGATCACGAAGTCAGGAGCTTGAGACCATCCTGGCTAACACGGTGAAACCTCGTCTCTACTAAAAATACAAAAAATTAGCTGGGCATGGTGGCGGGCGGCTGTAGTCCCAGCTACTCTGGGAGGTTGAGATAGAAGAATTGCTGGAACCTGGGAGGCAGAGGTTGCAGTGAGCCAAGATCGCGCCACCGCACTCCAGCCTCGGTTACAGAGCGAGACTCTGTCTCAAAAAAAAAAAAAAGAAAAAGAAAGAAAAGAAAATTCAGAGCTGTAAATTGTATAAAAGCCAATATAGTAAAGAAACTGTCAGAAAACCTTACATAACCCTACCTTTTACTAAGGAGTTCCTTAGGGATATAATTATGGCCGCTAATATGTATGGAGTATATTTTATGTGCCAAGCACTGTGTCAAGTGCTTTATAGGCATTATTTCTTTAAAAACACACCCACAAACTCTCTGAAGTAAATTCAGTTAGCATTTCTATTCGAACTATGAGGGAATGGAAGCCTAGAATGGATAAATTTTTTTTAATTTCCAACTTCTATTTTAAGTTCAGGAGTACATGTGCAGGATGTACAGGTTTGTTACACAGGAAAACATGCGCCGTGATGGTTTGCTGCACAGATCATCCCATCACCTAGGCATTAAGCCCAGCATCCATTAGCTGTTCTTCCTGATGCTCTAGCTCCTCCCAACCCCCATCCTCCGACAGGCCCCAGTGTGTATTGTTCCCCACCATGCGTCTGTGTGTTCTAAGATGGAGCTGGAAGCCATTATCCTTAGAATGGATAAATCTTTACAATGGATTTGCCTAACCTTCACAATAAGTGCTGGAAAGATTCAAATCCAGTTTTATGCCAAACCCGTAACCAGTATGCTGTTACTTGTTATAGACAGAATAATGACCCTCCAATTATGTCCTTGTCCTAATTCTCAGAACCTGTGAATTTGTTACCCCACGTTTCAATAGGAACTTTGAAGATTTGATCAAGGATCTTAAGGTGTAATGATTATCCTGGATCATGCAAGTGAATCTAATGTAATCACAAGGGTCCCAATAAATGAAACAAGAAGGCAAGAAAGTCGGGAATGAAGATGTCAAGACTGAAGCAGAGTTCAGAGTAATTTGGTGTAAGAAAGAGTCACCTGGCTGTTGCTGTCTTTGAAGATGGAAGAGGATCACAAGCTAAGAAATGTAGACAGCCTCTGAAAGGTAGAGAAGGCGAGGAGGCAGATTCTTCTCTACAGTCTCCAAGGAAGTACAATCGTTCTGATGCCTTGATTTTAGCCCAGTGATATCCATTTTAGAATTCTGATTTCCACAATTTTAAGGTAATATATTTGTGTTTTCAAAGTCTTCAAGTTTTCCATAATTTGTTATAGCTGCAATGGGAAACTAAACAGAAACTTTTTACTGTGGGACAGATGACCACTCCATTCTTCTTTTCCAACAGATGAGAACTGGCATTCACCTATCTGCATGTCTCTTTAAAAAAAAAAAAAAAAAAAAAAAAAAAAAAAGACAAATTGACAGGACCCAGAGAAGACACAAAATAAGTTGTTGTTGGTTCGCTTAGGGAGCTTGGTTCTTCTCTCTCACACTGCACATATGATGGCAAATCCTGTCCTCTGATTCTCAAATCTGGAATCAATGTCTCACTACTTCTTCTTAATCCATCTGATAACACCATAACTTTTCCACTGGATCATCATGGTAGCTTCCCAAATATTCACCCTGAATCCTACCACCTACCTTCCCCCTTTAGCTTCACTTCAATTCAATAGCCAAAGTTACCTTATTGAAACTAAAATAATCAACTGTCTTTCCATTTATACAAGTACATTTTTATGTCTTTTATGACCGGTAGTTTATATGTAGCCTATTTTTTTGTAGATTTATTTCTTAAATAATCATTCTACTAAAATTAGATTTGAAAGATAACTTTTTAGATATTTATGGTCTATGCACATCTTTTGATTCATTTCCTCATTGATAATATTATGTACCAAGTTCGTCATTTACTTTCATAACAGTGCTTTTTTTACTCAAAATATATAAAGCTATGATGCAGACATCTTTATTTTTTAAATAATAATGAATGGAATTTATCTTTATTTAATACTTTTTTATTAAAGTAGTAAAATGTCCAGGCTTTAGTATAATTTACAAAACTTCCAATGTCTAATTGTGCTTCCTTTTCCTGTTACTAACACTTCATAGCCTGTTCTAAAAAAAAAAACTACATTAAACCCTAAGCTGTTCCTTCTGTTTTTTTACTCATATATCTTAATGATATAATCATGTTACTATTTCTTTAGTTTTTATATGTACCTATTATATACAAAATTCCCACTATTAAAGGTGAGAATTTTTCTCTTTTAAGTGCCTCATTCAGGTAGGCATATCCTAGTACAGCTGTGAACACACACACACACACACACAGAAACACACAAATTTCTCCTGCTTTCATCTCTCAGTAATGGTGAAATACTCTGTATTTTCCTATTTATTGACTTAATATGATTTATCATTCATATTACAGTCTTGAAATATACTGTATTTCATCCTCTTTCTTGAATCTTGCTTGCTTTGTTTTCTGTTGAGTGAATAATTACCTTGTGTTTATCTTGTCAATTTTTTACATACTTTTACTAATTGAACCCCTATTAAATTCAGAACTACAAATCACTCCTTACTATATCAAGCATATCAAGTATCTTATCCTTTTCACGTTAATTTTCTAGGAGATCTCCCAACAACAACAACAACAACAACAAAATGTTCCCATGCTGTAATTCGGACTGGTTGGTTTTTTTGGCCTACAGATCAGAGCTGCCTGGAGATTTTCCTTCATCATCTTCCAGCAACTTTATAAAATTGTATAACATGCAAAGCAATTCCTACATATGCTATAGTTTTTATAAAATATGAATTTGAAATATTTGTATGTATATGTTAACAATATTCAATAAGGAAACAAACAAAAAAAAAACCTGATAATATTGTTTGTCTCCAGGAGTGGAAAGAAGATTGAGGCAACTTTTCAACGGAATTTTTTTGTACATTTAAATTTTGAACCACGTTATTATATTCCCTGTTCAAAAAATTTAAATAGTAGGCTTTGTAAACATAATGAAATTAATATTTTTATGTATTATGAGATATTTACACATCTGAGGCCTAGTGTGATGACCATCTAATAATTTAATTATATATACATTTGCCAGCCAGCACACATATAAACATCAAGCATTTGAATCCTTGTCCTGAATTCTTTCAACAGCTCTCTATTTTAATAATATGTAACAAAGAAGGAGGACAACAGTAAGTTTCAGAAATGAAAGATGATACCATCTATAGCTGATGCCACAGAAATCAAAATGATTATAAGAGACTACTATGAAAAACTATACACCAAAAAAATTGGATGACCTCGAAGAAACAGATAAATTCCTAGAAGCATACAACTTACTGAATCAGGAAGAAATAGAAAATTTGCACAGACCTGTGAAGGGATTAAAGAGATTTAATTTGTATCAAAAATCTCCCAACAAAGAAAAGCCCAGAACCAGATGGCTTCACTGAAGAATTCCACCAACATTTAAAAAAACAAATTAACACCCATCCTTCTCAAACTCTTTCAAAATATTAAAGAAGAAACACTTCGGAACACATTTATGAGCCCAGCATTGCTCTGATTACCCTGATATAAAAGCCAAGCAAAGATACTACTAGAAAAGGAAATTACTCGCCAATGTCCCTGTTTAATACCGACACAAAAATTCTCAATGAAATACTAGCAAACTGAATAGGATCATATGTCATCATCAAGTGTGATTTCTCTGTGGGTTGCAAAAATGATTCAACATATGCAAATCAATAAATATGCCACACTATAACAGAACAAAGGATAAAAAATCAAATCATCATATCAATATATGAGACAAAAGCATTCGACAACATACAAGTACTTTTATAATAAAAACACTGAGTAAACTACAGATAAAAGGAAATGATCTCAACACAATAAAGCCCATATATGGAAAGCCCACAGCTAACAGACTACTAGACAGTAAAAGACGGAAAGCTTTTCCTTTAAGAGAAGAAACAGACATATGTCCAGTCTTAAAACTTCTATGATACTAGAAATATTAGTTATAACAGTTAGATTAGAAAAAGAAATAGAAGACCTTCAAATCAAAAAGGAAGAAATAAAATAGTCTATTCCCAGATGACATGGTCTCAAATGTATACAACCTTAAGGATTCCACAGAAAAGGTTGAAACTGATAAAATGAATTTTAAAAGTTGCAGAATATAAAATCAACATACAAAATAAGTAGCATTTCTATATACTAACAATGCATAATCAAAAAAGGAAATTAAGAAAACAATCCCAATTAAAATAAAAAAAGCTTAAAATGCTTAGGAATAAGCTTATCCAAGGAGGCAAAAGATGTACACTAAAAGCTGTAAAACATTTCTGAAGGAAATTATAGACGCAAATATATGCAAAGACGTCTTATGTTCACAGATTGAATATTTCATATTTTAAAATGTCTACCCTACCCAAAGCAATCTGCATATTCAATGCAAGCCCTATTTAAATCCCAATTTTGCAGAATAAAAAACCCAAATCTAAAATTAAAATGGAACCACAAAAGACTCCACGTTGTCAAAACAATGTTGAAGAAGAAGAAAAATGCTGAATGTCTCACACTTTCTGACTTCAAAATATATTATAAAGCTAAAGTAATCAAGACAGTATGGTAGATCAATGGAACAGAATAGATATCCCAGAATAAAATCTATGCATAGGTGGACTACACAATAGAGAAAGGATCGGCTCTTCAACAAATGTTATTGGGAAAAATGATTATTCACATGCAAAATAATGAAATCAAACCATTATCTTACGCCACACACAGAAATTAACTTAAAATGGATTAATGACTTAAACAGAGACTGGAAACTATAAAACTCCTAGAAGAAAATACAGAGAAAAATGCTCAACATAAGTAATCGTCAGGGAAATGCAAATTAAAACACAATGCGATTTTATCTCACACCTGTTAGAATGGCTATTATAAAAAAGACAAAATACAACAAATGTTGGCAAGGATACGAGAAAAGGAAACCTGTACATCATTTGTAGAAATGTAAATTAGTATAGCCACTATGGAAAACAGTGTGAAGTTTCCTCAGAAAACTAAAAATAGATCTACCACATGACCCAGCAATTGTACTTCTGGTTATATATCCAAAAGAAAGAAAATCAGTATGTTATAAAATATTTTCACTCCCATGTTTATTGATGCATTATTAAAAATAGCCAACATATGAAATCAACCTAAGTGCCCATCCACGAATAAATCCATACAGAAAATGTGGTATATATACACAATGGAATACTATTCTGCCTTAAAAATGAAGGTAATCCAGTCATTCTGTGACAATATGGATTAACCTGTAGAGCATTATGATAAGTAAAATAGGTCAGATATATAGACAAATACTGCATGATCCCACTTACATGCAGAATTTTTAACAGTTGAACTTACCAGAGCAGAGAAAAGAATGGTGGTAACCAGGGCCTGATGGGGAGCTGACGGGAAAGGGGAGATGTTGGTTAAAGGGTACAAAGTTTCAGTTAGACAGGCAGGGTAAGTTCTGGAGACCTATTGTACAGCATGGTGGCTATAGTTAATAATAAAGGATTGCATGTTTTTAAATTACTAAGAGAGCGGATTTTAAATGTTTTCACCACAACAAAAACCATGTGAGGCATGAATACATTAATTAGTTTGATTTGCTCATTTCACAATGGGTATATATATCAAATATCATCTACACAATAAATATACAATCTTTGTCAATTAAAAATAAATTTAAAAAATAAAGATGTATTTTAAAATGAAGATGTATTTTAAAATGCACAATAAATATAAAATTTTTGTCAAATTAAAAATAAATTTAAAAAATAAAGATGTTTTTAAAAATGTAGTGTATTTTTATGTGTGTATATATGTGAATATGTGTGTGTATATGTGTGTATATATGGCATTTTAACCATATATGTGTGTATATATGTACAGAGCAAGTATACATATATGTACATAGCATATATACATAGTACATATTTTTACACAACACACACATACAATAAAATATTCAGCCTTAAAAAATAAGTAAATCATGTCAATAATACATGGACAAATCTTGAGGACAAATACTTATTTCACTATGCTAAGTAAAATAAGCCAGTCACAGAAGGACATATGCTGTATGATTCTACTTGTATGAAGTGACTGAAGTAGTCAAATTCATAGACCCAGAAAGTAGACGTGCCAGGGGCTAAATGGAAGGAGAAATGGAATAGCTGCTATTCAATGGGTATACAGTTTCAATCATACAAGACAAAAACTTCTAGAGATCTAGAACATTGTATAACAACATACATTTAGTTAATGGTAGTGTACTGTACACTTAAAATGTGTTTAAAATTATATGTCATTACGTGTATTTTACCAAAATTAAAAAGAAAACAACTAAAAACTTCTGTTCTCTAAAAGACAGTTATAAGAATAAAATAGAAAGCCACAGATTAAGATACTTGTAAATCATATGTCTGATAAAAGATTTGTATTCAGAAAACATAAAGAAGTCTGAAAACAATATAAAAACAAACAGCCTATCCTATAAAAAGGACAAAGAATATGAACCTTTTTTCAAAGAAGATATAAAGATGGCAAATAGCACCTGAAAATACATTCAATGTCCTTAGTCATTAAGGAAATGCAAATTGAAATCCTAAGTAGATATCAATATACATCCATTAGAATGGCTAACATAAAAAAAAAAAAAAAAACCTGACAATAACAGGTAATAGTAAGGGTACAGAGTACCTGGAGTTCTCATTCATTGTGTGCAGGCATGCAAATGGCTCAACTTAAAAAAAACAGCTGGGCAGTTTCTTATAAACATACGTTTACTATTATTACCCAGCAATCTCACTCCTATGTATTTACCCAAAAGAAATAAAGTAGTCATACAAAAACCCATACAGGAATGTTTATAGCAACTTTCTTCATAATTGCTCCACAATGGAAATAATCTAGATGCACTTTAATTGGTAAATGGATGAACACATTGTACTATAACCATACAATGAAATACTACTCAACAGTAAAATGTAATTAACTGCTCATACGAAAGCAAATGTAAATGAATCTCAATTGCATTATGCTGAATGACAGAAGCCAGATCCAAAAGGCAGAATTATCTTTATTACCAATTAAATGACATTCTGGAAAAAGCAAAATTATAATGATTACCAGTTTGCAAGAGTTTGAAGGTTGGGGGCAGGACTGACTCCAAAAAAACAGCATGAGAAAATTTTGGAAGGTGATCAAACTGTTCTATATCTTGCTTGTTGTAGGGGTTATAAGACTGTGCATTTGTCAAATTTCATAGAACTGTACACCCAAAAAGATAAATATTAGTAAACATAAATTTAAAGTAATTTTTTTAAATTAAAAATCATAGCATATGAAGAAATGGAGCCTCTGTACATCTGTTTTGTCTTCTTTTTTATTTCACCTGCTCAAACACTGCATCCCTCCATACAAGCATAATCTGTATAGTCACACATGACTGTATTTGTTACTTCAGTTTTTCAATTCCAGTGACCTTTTAATGTTTATTTTTTCTTTCCATGGGTCACCTGCTTTTCTTTTACAGAGTAGTATATTTGTTATGAATTATTTTATGTTATTTCATCCAAAGCTTCCCTCCACCTTCCAGGCCAATCAACATGCCTTTCCTGTGGACTCCCATACATCCCATATGCATTTTCTTTGTGCTGTTCATTTTAATAAATTACCATTGCTTACTTTTGGGAATACTCATCATACTAAAGCAATTTATTACCAATGCCTTACCTAATGTCTAAAAGAGAAAAGGCATTTGAAAGAAATATTTCAAATGAAGAAACATAAATAAAGAGTGTCATTATTAGAAGAAATTAGATATATACCAAATTGCCATTTTTGTCTTTAAAAATTTCGTAATATAGGCATATTATATGTTAACATTTCCTAACTCCTAATTCTATGGCCTACCTATCTGAAACACATTTCTTTTCTTTTCTTTTTTTTCTCTAAGGCAGAGATCAGGAAAGTGTATTATCTACTCTAAGATAAATAGATTATTTTTGTGGCTTTGGAATTGTCTAATTCAGAGATACACTTCTAAATCCAATCTAAAGTTTAACTCAATGAAATATTTTCGAGATTTTTGGAGTTCTACCACACAATAAGGCTAGCACACAAATAACTACTTCTGCAACTTTAAATTACTTTATGTATTTATTGAAAAACTTGGCAGGGTTCATAGATAAATTTTCAATCTTCATTTTGTATATATCTGACAATACCCCCAGACTACAGAATTTCAGCAGAAGATATTAGGTCCCCATATATCTTGGTTGGAAGTGATGTTTCTTAATCACTTCTACTTTTTAAAACACCCGTACTAGGTAACTAAAGTTATAATCCAAGGACAACATTAAAAAGAAGATAGAATGCTCTTCACTTCCCAATGTGCTTGCAAATTGATCAGCATATTCAACTTGAACTTGATGGCCAAGAATCATGACTTAGGCATGTATAATTAGTTTATAATAACAGAAATGATAATCTGTTTAATATCTCAACATTTTGATAGATGAGTTTTTAAAAATTGTGTTTAAGTATTATCTTCTAACACAGATGTTTGTGTGTGTGTGTGTGTGTGTGTGTGCACATTGGATGGAATGAGAGATGTATGCGGGGGTACGTCATAAGACACTGGACTATTCAACTTCAGTGAACATTCAAAAAAAATCATTATTTTATTCTAAGAAAGTACTTGCTGAAAATAAGGGTCATTTGTGCTAAACATAGTAGAGAGATACCTAAAACTTAATTTTTATAGTTTAATTTTGCTAAACATTATGCATTCTTTAGTTTTAATTCTGAAAAGATATTTCCTCTTTCTTGTGTCCAGTTGTACCATCCTAATGCTAAAATCTGAATAGAGAACACATTTACCAGTCTTATGTTTTAACATTTTCATATATTTGCTCTATTAAAAACAAATATGCAAACAAGGCCTTGCCCTGCCCAGCCTTCCCTTCCCTTCCCTGTCTTGTCTGTCTGTCTGTCTTGTCTTGTCTTGTCTTGTCTTGTCTTTCCTTTCCTTTCCTTTCCTTTCTTTCCCTTTCCTCCCCTTCCCCTTCCCCTTCCTTTCCCTTCCCTTCCCTTCCCTTCCCTTCCCTTCCCTTCCCTTCCCTTCCCTTCCCTTTTCTTTCTTTTCTTTTCTTTTCTTTTCTTTTCTTTTCTTTTCTTTTCTTTTCTTTTCTTTTCTTTTCTTTTCTTCTTCAGCATCTGGCTCTGTCACCCAGGCAGGAGTGCAATGGCAGGACCATGGCTCACTGTAGCCTCAACCTCTTGGGCTCCATTTATTCTCCTGCCTCAGACTCCTGAGTAGCTGGTACTACAGGTGTGCACCACCACACCAGAGTAATTTTCATACTTTTTGTAGAGATACGGTCTCACTATGTTGCCCAGGCTGGTCTGGAACACCTGGGCTTGAGTGATCCTCCTGCTTTAGCCTCCCAAAGTGCTGGGATTACAGGCATGAACCATCTACTGTTCTCAGTCATTGATGGACAGTGAGAAGAGCAAGTATTAGCATAAACATGATAGCAGATCCAAACGGACAGGAGCTGATAGAAGCTGTCAGTCCACTATGTTCTTCTAGCCGTTCTCTTGATGGAAATTACAGCAGCACACCTACATGGCCATCACAGTTCACCTCTTGTTATACTTAGGTCCACTTCTTCATCTATACTTGGAAGCAGCTACTTCATGGTTCTCTAAGAGGGAACTTAGCAAAGGAAAGTTAGTGAGTTGAATTGTAGCCATCGTCCTTGCAGTTGCTCTTGGGAACACACCTGTTACTCATGTACTTTATCTCTTATTGGACACTCTACATTCTCTGTATATCTAAATCCTCACCTTCAGCTATCATCTCCACAGGTTTTGGTGTCTTATGTGGTAGTGTGAATGAAACCTATATTCCAGGTAGTAAGGCCCTTTGGCAACCATTCTTCCCAGGTCAAGTTGCTTTATATGTCCAGAAAGTATGGAAAAGGGCTCAAGTAAATCAACTAGCATCCACAAGTATTTCTTCATGTCCTCACTGTGTAAAACAGCCCAAAGTCCTCTGGCTGAGTAGGGTCAATTACCCCAGTCAGGATGGTGACTTCTTGTCTGATGGCTGCAGAATAAAATGCTCTGACAAAAGCAGCAGTTTATAGTTAAATGGAACTATTATGATGTCCACATCAAGAATGTACCTATTTGGGGGATAAATAGCTTCAGTTCTGAAGATCCCAAACATGGAGGGACCAAAAGCACAAAATTCCTAGGGGTTATTGGATATCAGTGAAAGAAGGGCCACTCCTGTTTGTAATCTTACATTCCTGGACCTATCTATTCTTTTCATTATGGACACAATGCCATAGAGAGATCTCTGATTCGATGCATGTACTGCATCCTGAAGGGTGGAATTTCTTCTTCACAAAATGTTATCTCAATGCTACTACTTCAGCTGTACCTTTTGTAGGCAATTCCAAAAGTGTATGAGACTAGGTGCATTAGCATGATACAGTATGTGACATAGCCAGTGGAACCCATACCCATGGTTATGGGACCACTGCTGTGCCTCCTTCACGTGAAAATTCTTCCTGGTTACTAGCCATGTCTTGTCATATGGGAGTTTATACCAATGTATCAGGTATAGCGTAAACCTCCAGATAATTGGCTAGCTGAGGTTGTTTGGGTAGAAAATGTAAGTTCATATATTAAATATGCCTACAGCTATGAGAATGAACTGTTGGCCTTTCTAAGACAGAAATGATGTGATGTAATCTACTTTCCACCAAAGGCCTGGTTGGTCTCCTTAAACTATAATTCAGTATCAGGAATTCAGAATTATGCAGCATTCTCAGTATTATGGAGAACTGCACTACTTGTTCATGAAGTTTGCCTGTCCTCTCTGGTCCATTCAAGTTCAATGCCTCTGGTGGTATTATGAATGGAATTATGTAACCCCCAAAAATATATATATATTGGAGTCAGATCCTCAATAGCTGGGACAATTAAGCTGGACACTGCATTTTTCTCCATACCTATTAATAAAGATCATCGAAAGCAGTTTCATTTCTGTTAAAAGGACTAGCATTTGGCTCCCTTGCTCTACTTTAGCATTATGTCAACTCTCCAGCCTATGTCATGTCCTAGGCTGCAGAGACCTTGATTGATTTTCTAGTGTACGAGCCCAAGAACCAAAGAAGGCTTGTCAATAGATTCAGGCTGCCATGCAAGCTGCTCCACAATTTGGGCCATGTGAGTTAACAGACCTGTTGTTGCTTGAGATGTAAGTTGCAAATAGGATGCTTTATGGAGGCTTTGACAGGGAGTTATAGATGGATCACAGGGCAAAGGCTTAGAATTTGGGAGCTAAGCAATATTATCTTCTACTCTATGCCTAACCACTCTTCTTTTGAAAAATAGCCTTTGTCTTGTTATCAGAACTCCGTAGAGACCAAATGCTTTATCATGGGTTATCAAGTCAATATGTGACCTGAACTGCCCATCAGAAACTGGGTATTGTCTGACTCCTCAACCCATAAAGTTGGGCGTTCACAGCAGTGCTCCATAAATTGAAAGTAGCATATATGAGATCAGCTTTAAGCATGCCCTGAAGGCACAAGTGAATGAGGAAGTAACACAAATCCACACTTCATATACTCCTGCTGCACTGGCTTCTCTTTCTCAATCCACACATTTACGTTGAACAGTTGGTTGAGGAAGAAAAACTCAAGCTTGGTTTCCAGATGGTTCTGCACAATATGTAGGCACCATGCAAAGATGGACAGTTTGAGTACGATTGCACCAATCCAGGATGACCCTGAAAGGCAATGCTGATGGTAAATTCTCCTAATGAATAGAAATTCAAGTAGCACAGCTGGTTATTCATTCTGGCGGGAAGGAGGGGTGACCACAGCTATGGATCCTCGCAAGTTTATGGGGTGTGGCTTTGCAATTTCAAGCATCTAACAAAGAAATCAGAAACTACAGAGGTTTGTTTCTAGTTATTATAATTTAATAAAATCATTACACCTATGTTATTTCTCCATGTTTACTATTTAGGGATCTCCTGTATGTTTTGGAAGTTTATAAGTTAGTGTTTTCAAGAATTGAAAGGGTGAGTAGAAAATCTCAATTTATAGCCAGATTTGCATTACACTTGAAGAACCCTGAGAAATATTTCAGGTTTTGGTAACTAATGAATAACAACATAATAATAATAAGGAGAAGAAAAAGCAGACACAGGTGGAGAAGGAAAAGAGTAGGAGGAGAACAACATTACCAGATTGTTGAATCTCAGTCCACTGCGGTATAAATGTGAAAAGATTACAGTTGTCTTGTTGCTCTTAAGTGTACTCTGTTAAATCTTTCATCCTTATGAAGTTACAGGAACTCTTCATACTTGAGACAGATTCCATCACCTTTCACCTTTTTTGGCTTTTAAATTTTAGTTCAGTCAATTTTTAGACTTGAATCACCTATCAGATCCAATGTTCTCCTCCTCCTTCATCACGAGGAAGTCTAATGTCGCACAGTAAATGGTTTTCTCTCTCACATTTCTCCATTTCTTTTTCATATTTCTTCTTCTCTCAGTTTCTGTATTTTTAGAGCACTTTATACCAGTATACTTCACTCTAGCCACAAAGGGAAGCTGGGGAAAAAAAGAAGAAGAGACTTGCCTCTAAACATTCTCCAATCTTCACCTATAGGATGACTAGTTACAACTTGCTTTTCTCTATGCACTGTCTGTCTATCTATCTGTCTGTCTGTCTGTCTTTCTATCTATCTAATCATCTATCTTGTCTATCCATGCATCCATCCATCCATCCATCCATCCACCCATCCATCCATCCATCTATCATCGCATCTATCTGTATGTTCATGGAAAACTAAGATTATAAATGAGGTGATTGAAATTTTTACAGCACATATGCAGTCTTAAGATATCTTTCTAAGACCCCTTTTGGGATATTAATACAGTTGAACTTGTAGCACTCTATGAATACCTAGTGTTCTAGGATTATTTCAAAAGCATGGTGATGATTAAGCCCCTTGTATGTTGCATTATATGGATAAAAAGAAATAGCTATCAATATGGCTGCAGTAGACATTAAAGATAATTTAGACAAGAGAACTAAAGTGATTCAACCAAATTAACCGTGAACTGAGACTAGAATTCTCTCTTATTTCCTATATCAATTTGTAAAATATGAATTAATCAGTGGTAGAAAGTATTAGTTTTTTTTGTTTTTTGTTTTTTGTTTTGTTTTTTTTTGTTTTTTGATACAGAATCTTGCTCTGTCGCCCAGGCTGGAGTGCAGTGGCATGATCTCGGCTCACTGCAAACTCCGCCTCCTGGGTTCACACCATTCTCCTGCCTCAGTCTCCTGAGTAGTTGGGACTACAGGCGCCTGCCACCACGCCCGGCTAATTTTTTTGTATTTTTAGTAGAGATGGGGTTTCACTGTGTTAGCCAGAATGGCCTCGATCTCCTGACCTCATGATTCACCCGCCTCGGCCTCCCAAAGTGCTGGGTTTACAGGTGTGAGCCACCGCGCCCGGCCTAGATTTTTTATTCCCACTTATAAAGTACATGGGTATAGAGCCTGGCTATTTCATGTGTTGTATGTAAGAAGTGCAATAAAAATAAATAAATGTTTCCTAGCATTTGTGCCATATGCATCCTAAAGACAAAATATCATTAGGTCAGAAAAAAAGAGTTTAACTGAAGATATTATCAGAAAATCTCTAGAGTTGACGGATGAGACCAAAACAAAGCCTGGATAAGAAACCTCAGCAAATGGAGTCAGGGGTTCAAACACCATTCTCTCTCTTTCTGTGTCTCTCAGCTTCCTTGGCTACCTCTCTTTTTCTCTTTAATCATGAGTTTATTCTAGCCATGGTTAAAATGACTACTTCAGCAAGACTTCTTTACAAGACAGTGATCAGAGCCCCACAACCAGAATAAGAAGGGATTATAGAATTATTAAGGCAAACTTCAGTGCCTGCACAATGAAATGAGAAGAAAGGACACAAATAGATTTACATTGGGCATATTCCTACCCATCAGCTATTTACAATGGCTGTGATGGTGGGGTGAGGTGGTCAGAAAGTGGGTTGCTTTCAGGCCTCTTCACTTTTCTAGGGTAATGATGAATCATTTCTGAAAGTGGTAGAGGTTGAAAACTTATGGCCGCTGGACAGAAAGATCATTGTGAGCTAAATAGGTACTCCCGACTTCCCCCATTAGAGTTTACTACATCTAATTAAAACAATGTACTGGATAAAAGAATGCTCAAAGATAATCAATAAGGATAGGCTTCCAACACCATGGACTACTGCTAGTGTCTTAGTTGCAAGAAAGGGGCAATTTCACTGAGAAGTTTTCTTCATTTGATTCTGAAAAGGTCATTGGTATTTACATTCCAAATGAATTCACAAAGTAATATGAAAATGCTTAGAGATTTTGAGTTGTATGAATGGTTTTAAATATTCCTGCAGAGCATAACAACACAGCCGACAGAGAAGCCTCAGCCCCCTGCTTGGCACAGCTGCATTTATTACATGCCACATTAGGAATAAAAGAGCAAATTTGAATTAAATTATCAAAAAGAAGGGATCATCTCTTTTTCTCACATTGCTGCACATTTTTAGCTCACGTGTCTTGGTAAATATGTGGTCAACTCTTCTGAGATAAGTACGGTATTACCTTGGCAAATAAAATATATCATTAAAAATGAACAAAATTTAATTTTACATTCAAGGTTTTAAGATAAATAGATTAATAGCATTAAATTTATGTATGTTTTAAAATTCATCAGTAATTTTTATGCCATATTATATGTGTGGCTTCTGAAGAAATATTTTAACCTCATTTAATTTTTCAGCTTGCCCTGATACCTCTGGTTGAAGTCACCATCACCTCTCACCCATATTATTGCAATAACCTCCTAACTGGGCTCTTCACCTGCACTCTTGCCACCCTTTAATCTATCCTTAATAGAGTAGCTAGAATGAACTGGTAAAATCGTACATCAGATTATGTCAGTTGCATGCACAAAACACTCCAGTGATGACCCATTTCACTTCACATTTGCCAGTGTAAATGACAAAAACTGTACAATGGATTAGAAAATCCTATATGATCTGAATTCCATGATCTCTCTGAGCTCACCTCATATCACTGTCCCAGTCACAGACTGTACTGCACCCACACTAGCTTCCATGGTGCTCCTGGGACACTCCAGAGTGACTCCTGCTTCAGAATCTTTGCTCTGTGTTTAAAGTTTCTAAGATTTGTTTGTCTTGCTCTCCCTCACCTCCCAATTTCTTCAGGTCTTTACTCAAACATCAACTTCTCTGTGAGGCACTCCATATCAACCATTTTTAAATGTGAAGCCATCTGCAACAGATCCCAGGTCCAGTGTTTCCAATCCCCTTTTCTTGCTTGATTATTTTCACATCACTTCACGTTTTCTAACATGGATGGATAAATAAATCAATACGTGATGGCTAATTTTATGTGTCAAACTGACTGTCTCATGGGATGTCCAGATATTTGATTAAACATTATTTTAGGTGTTTCTGTGAGGATGTTTTTAGGTTTAATTAACATTTACATAGGTAGACCTAGTAAAGGAGACTAGCTTCCCAAATGTGGGTGGGCCTCATATAATTCATTGAAGGTCTGAAGAGAACAAAATGGCTGACTCATGCCCAAATAAGAGATAATTTATTTTGCACAACAGCCTTCAAATGGGGATATTGACTTTTTCCTGCCTTTAGACCTGAACTGAAATATCAGCTGTTTCTCAGTTTTGAGCCTGTGAGCTTTAGGACTAGAACTATACCATCAGCTTTCCTGGGTCTGCAGATTGCCAATTCACCATGAAGTTCTTGGGATTTGTTGGCATTCATAATCACAAGAGCCAATTCCTTATCATAAATTTATATCTATATATTTATATATATGTACATACATATAAATCTACTTTATATATACACATATGTACACATAAATCTTTATATATGTACATACATACATATACATATATACATCCCATTGCTTATGTGTCTCTGGAAAACTAACATAGATAACTAGATAGACAGACATATGTGATCGATAGACATGGATATATGAATGTACATGTATATATATGTACAGTGTATTTATTAATTTTTTATCTCACCCTTCCACTAAAATGTAAGTTCCACTGATGCATGAATTTTTGTTTTCCTTGTTCATTGCTGTATTCCCATTGCATTGTATAAATGTACATAAATGAATGTACATGAATATATATAATCTAAATATTAGCACCTTCAAGGCTATAAAATACTAAAATAAAATTTTAAACAAACTGCAATTATACATATTTTCTCCTAATTCTAGCAAAACCAGCTGGTGGGAAATTTTAAAAAAAACTGAGGATACATATTTGATAGGGGAAAATGTTTATATAGTCACTTCAATAATTTTGGTCATTTTTGCCACTAATCTCCATCACAAAATGGCCTATGTAGTTAATTACCTAAATCTGGGTTTCTGATGCCGCTGAAAAGAAGTAAAGTAAAATGCCATAAGCAATTCTAATGAATCACACAGTCATAGTAAAGGAGGGAAAAGCAAATAGAGTTGTTTATGTAATAACATAATGATGTAATAGTCAATATTTCAGACTTAAATTAATCATTTCAGAGCAGCATTGACATCATTCACTAAGAATCTATTGTGTGGAGTAACTGCAAACCATTATATCACATTAATGATTTCTATTTTGACTCAACAATTAGATTATGTATTATTTAGAGGGAAAGACCTGTTTGAACGACTTCGCACATAGTAGGGCCTCAATAAGTTTACATTAAAATTGTAATGAGCTTGATAATAAATGCAAATCCTGTGCCAACAAGTCAAACCTACCCCCTGCTTAAAATTCTAGTTTTTTTTCTGTCAAAGAAAATAAAAATTACTCAGATTCATAGCCAATGCTCTTTTCAGCTAGTCTTAAATTACATTCCATATCTCTTATAATTCCCCTTTAATTTCCAGTGCAACAACAAAATTAAATGCTTCTTGCTTCCTGAGGATAATTTCTTTGTGTCATCTCAGTATCTTTGTGTATACTATCCCGTCCACACACACACACACAAAAATGAAGAATAAAAAATCCCTTTCTATTACTTCTGAAATAATCTCTGATAATATGTGACTATAGCAAAAACTATATTCTCAATGTTTCCTAATCTTCTCAATAAAACTGTCCTCCCTACTTTTTTAATAATCCAAAAAAATTATAATATTTTTAAGGCTGATTACAATGCAGCTGTAAGAAACAGTCACTTAGGACTTCAAGTTCTTAAGAATCTATATTTTGAAACTTCAGTATCAAATTGGATGCCCACAGGTATCTGTTGAACTAAGGAGATGATAAATTTATCTCAACACTTGAAGAATATTTCCAGAGTAATTTTTAAATAAATTTTTTTATAGCTTAGATGGACATTTTTAACTTATGTATCAGGTGATTCAGAAAGAAAATAAATGTTTACAAATGCATTACAAATTAATCTTTAATACCAAACAAAATATAAGCAGGACTATGTTAATGCTTTTAATGTATCTCCTTTTCTTATTATTTTCCTTTCTAATGAGGTTCTTTTTTTCCCTAATATTATAGCATATACCACTGTATTAGTTCATTCTTACACTACTCTGATGAAATACCCAAGACTAGGTAATTTATAAAGGAAAGAGGTTTAAATGACTCATGGTTCCGCATGGCTGGGGAGGCCTCAGGAAACTTACAATCAAGGTGGAAGGCAAAGGAGAAAGAGACACCTTCTTCACAAGGTGGCAGGATGGAGTGAGTGCAAGCAGGGGAAATGCCAGATGCTTATAAAACCATCAGATCTCCTGAGACTCACTCACTATCATGAGAACAACATGGGGAAAAGACCTCCATGATCCAAATAACTCCAGCTGGTCGTGCCCTTGACACCTGGGGATTATGGGGATTAAAATTCAAGACAGGATTTTGGGCAGGCTCACAGCCAAACCATTTCAACCACAGTGCAATAAATGTTTATGCTTTTGGCTGTCTTACTAGATGATAAGCTGGTTGAAGCCAAACACTGTATTTTTTTCCTTGTTGCATATCAAACATATGGCATAGTTCATGGCATATAGCAATTTTTTGGGTTGAAATCCATGGCATTAAAAATATTGACATGGTTCTCAGGTAAGAAATAAAAACAAAATACTGATGTGAAATCAGACAGATGTATCATTGAGTCCTGGTTACCTCACTCCATATTTGTGCTATTTTTCCCAAATGCTAATTTTATTAGGTATTTCATTAGTTTTTTTATTAGTAGTGTTAGTTATCTTGCTGAGACACCAATTTTCAGCTTATTCATATGCAAAATGAGAGAAACAAAAGCAAATAATGTAGAAAATTATTGTAAGAATTCAAATGTTCATCACAGTGTTTAGACACAGCAGGTACTCAAGGATACCTTAGTTGTGAGTGAGTGCATGGGTTGGAAATTGCAGAATCTGAACAGAAAATCTAGATTCAAGTGCCACCCATCACACTAGCTGGTGACATTGGACTATTTTCTTAACCTTTGTGAGTCATCTATAAACATTGAATATGAATTATTACAATGATTCATATTTTAGAGAGTTATTCTGATAATCACGTTAGATAGAGATGCACTTAAAATTGTTATTGGCTCTTGTAAGTAAACACTGTATAAACATTTACCAGTATTATTGATCTAAAAATTGTGATTTGGGGCTTTGATTTTGTACATCATTTCCAATACATGTCAATAGATTTTCTTTATTTTTATATGTACTTTTGAATCTATGCCAAAATGTTCAAATGTAAGCATCCATCCTCCACAGCCTGAGTTCTGTCTCTTATGTTCTGGACTATTGCTTGCCACAGTCTCCCAAATGGCCTCCCCATCTCTTATGTTCTTTCTAACCCGTCCTCTACCTTTGTCCTTAGATAACCTCTCTGATTGTGCCAATCCCATCCTTAAAGTGCCTCAATAACCCTCTTTCATAGATTTCTTGGCACAGGGGACACACAAACCTATGATCTGGTCCTCCCTTTCCCTAATCCCATTATCTGCTCCCTCCATTCCCTACCTATCATTCTTACTACGTTGAACTTTTGCATATGTTATTTCTTCTACTTGAAATTCCTTTTGCGTGGTTAGTTCCTACTTAGGCTTCAAGACTCAACACAAGTGGCATTTACCTACCACTCCCTGCCCAGCATTTTCCTAACACTCCTCCCCAGTTAAGCAACCTTCCTCCCTCTGTGATTTAACACTTTGAATGGACCACCAACTTTTGTATTCATGTTTGTTTTGTCTGCCTCTCCTAATCTGGGAGCTACCCAACAGCAAGTGGAAAGCCTTAATTTTCTTTGCATCTGCAATACCTTCCTAAATGCCAATTGTGAATAGGCTTTCACTGGAAGAAAGAAGGGATAGTGTTTAAAATTATGAAACACATATTAAACAAATACAAATGCCTATCTTTTTTTAAAATGTTGTATCATCCATCATAAATCCATTGTGAATGGCATAGATACTGTCAGACCTCTGAGCCCAAGCTAAGCCATCATATCCCCTGTGACCTGCACGTATACATCCAGATGGCCTGTTCTTGCCTTAACTGATGACATTCCACCACAAAAGAAGTGAAAATGGCCTGTTCCTGCCTTAACTGATGACATTAACCTTGTGAAATTCCTTCGACTGGCTCATCTTGGCTCAAAAACTCCCCCACTGAGCACCTTGTGACCCCCCACCCCTGCCAGACAGAGAACAACCCCCTTTGACTGTAATTTTCCTTTACCTACCGAAATCCTATAAAAGGGCCCCACCCCTATCTCCCTTCACTGACTCCTTTTTTGGACTCAGCCTGCCTGCACTCAGGTGAAATAAACAGTCTTGTTGCTCACACAAAGCCTGTTTGGTGGTCTCTTCACATGGACTTCAGTGAAATTTGGTGCCGTGACTCGGATCGGGGGACCTCCCTTGGGAGATCAATCTCCTGTCCTCCTGCTCTTTGCTCCATGAGAAAGATCCACCTACGATCTCTGGTCCTCAGATCAACCAGACCAAGGAACATCTCACCAATTTTAAATCGGGTAAGCGGCCTCTTTTTACTCTCTTCTCCAACCTCTCTCCCTATCCCTCCACCTCTTTCTCCTTTCAATCTTGGTGCCACACTTCAATCTCTCCCTTCTCTTAATTTCAGTTCCTTTCCTTTTCTGTCGCTGAGTCTTTCCTCTTTCCTTTTCTACCAACCCATCTGACCTCTCCCCTCCTCCCCAGGCTGCTCATCGCCAGGCTGAGCTAGGTCTCAATTCTTCCTCAGCCTCCACTCCCCAACACTATAATCCTTCTATCACTTCCCCTCCTCACACCCGGTCTTACAGTTTCCCCACCTGCCTAGCAATTGCCTCTTAAAAAGGTGGCTGGAGCTAAAGGCATAGTCAAGGTTAATGCTCTTTTTTCTTTATCTCAAATCAGTTAGCGTTAAGGCTCTTTTTCACCAAATATAAAAACCCAGCCCAGTTCATGGCCCATTTGGCGCAACCCTTAGATTCTTTACAGCTATAGACCCTGAAGGGTCAGAAGGCCGTCTCATTCTAAATATGCATTTTATCACCCAGTCAGCTCCTGACATTAGAAATAAAGCTCCAAAAATCAAATTCCGGCCCTCAAACCCCACAACAGGACTTAATTAACCTCACCTTCAAGGTGTACAATAATAGAGTAGAGGCAGCCAAGTAGCGATGTATTTCTGAGTTGCAATTCCTTGCCTCCACTGTGAGACAAACCCCAGACACATCTCCAGCATAAAAGAGCTTCTGAACCCCTGAAATGCAGCGGCCAGGCATTCCTCCAGGACCGCCTACCCCAGGATCTTGCTTCAAGTGCTGGAAATCTGGCCACTGGGCCAAGGAATGCCCGCAGCCCGGGATTCCTCCTAAGCCGTGTCGCATCTGTGGGGGACCTCACTGAAAATCGGACTGTTCAACTCACCTGGCAGCCACTTCCAGAGCCCCTGGAACTCTGGCCCAAGGCTCTCTGACTGACTCCTTCCCAGATTTTCTCGGCTTAGCCACTGAAGACTGATGCTGCCCAATCACCTCGGAAGCCCCCTGGGCCATCATGGATGCCAAGCTTCGGGTAAGTCTTACAGTGAAGGGTAAGTCCGTCCCCTTCTTAATCAATACGGAGGCTACCCACACCACATTACCTTCTTTTCAAGGGCCTGTTTCCCTTGCCTCCATAACCATTGTGGGTATGACAGCCAGGCTTCTAAACCTCTTAAAACTCCCCAACTCTGGTTCCAACTTGGACAACATTCTTTTATGCACTCCTTTTTAGTTATCCCCACATGCCCAGCTACCTTATTAGGTTGAGACATTTTAACTAAATTATCTGCTTCCCTGACTATTCCTGGACTACAGCCACACCTCATTGCTGCCTTTTCCCCCAGTTCAAAGCCTCCCTCACATCCTCCCCTTGTATCTCCCCACCTTAACCCACAAGTATGGGATACCTCTAGTCCCTCCTTGGCAACTGAACATGCATCCCTTACCATCTCATTAAAACCTAATCACCCTTACCCTGCTCAATCCCAATATTCCATCCCACAGCATGCTTTAAAAGGATCAAAACCTGTTATCACTCGCCTGTTAGAGCATGGCCTTTTAAAGCCTATAAACTCTCCTTACAATTCTCCCATTTTACCTGTCCAAAAACTGGATAAGTCTTACAGGTTAGTTCAGCATCTGTGCCTTATCTACCAAATTGTTTTGCCTATCCACCCCATGGTGCCAAACCCATATACTCTCTTATCCTCAATACCCTTCACAACCCATTATTCTGTTCTGGATCTCAAACATGCTTTCTTTACTATTCCTTTGTACCCTTCATCACAGCCTCTCTTCGCTTTCACTTGGACTGACCCTGACACCCACCAGGCTCAGCAAATTACCTTGGCTGTACTGCCGCAGTGCTTCATAGATAGCCCCCATTACTTCAGTCAAGCCCAAATTTCTTCCTCATCTGTTACCTACCTTGGCATAATTCTCATGAAAACACACGTGCTCTCCCTGCTGATCATATCCAGCTAATCTCCCAAATCCCAATCGCTTCTACAAAACAGCAACTCCTTTCCTTCCTAGGCATGGTTATGTGTCCGGAATTGGTGGGTTCTTGGTCTCACTGACTTCAAGAATGAAGCCGTGGACCCTCACAGTGAGTGTTACAGCTCTTAAGGTGGCGCGTCTGGAGTCTGTCCCTTCTGATGTTCAGATGTGTTCGGAGTTTCTTCCTTCTGGTGGGTTCGTGGTCTCGCTGGCTCAGGAGTGAAGCTGCAGACCCTCGCGGTGTGTGTTACAGCTCTTAAGGCAGCGCGTCTGGAGTTGTTCGTTCCTCCCGGTGGGCTCGTGGTCTTGCTGGGCTCAGGAGTGAAGCTGCAGATCTTCGCGGTGAGTGTTACAGCTCATAAAAGCAGCGTGGACCCAAGGAGTGAGCAGTAGCAAGATTTACTGCAAAGAGCGAAAGAACAAAGCTTCCACAGTGTGGAAGGGGACCCGAGCGGGTTGCCAATGCTGGCTCGGGCAGCCTGCTTTTATTCTCTTATCTGGCCCCACCCACATCCTGCTGATTGGTAGAGCCGAGTGGCCTGTTTTGTCAGGGCGCTGATTGGTGTGTTTACAATCCCTGAGCTAGATACAAAGGTTCTCCAAGTCCCCATCAGATTAGTTAGATACAGAGTTTCCACACATAGGTTCTCCAAGGCCCCACCAGAGCAGCTAGATACAGAGTGTCTATTGGTGCATTCACAAACCTTGGGCTAAACACAGGGTGCTGATTGGTGTATTTACAATCCCTGAGCTAGATATAAAGACTCTCCACGTCCCCACCAGACTCAGGAGCCCAGCTGGCTTCACCTAGTGGATCCCACACTGGGGCTGCAGGTGGAGCTGCCTGCCAGTCCCGCGCCATGCGCTCTCATTCCTCAGCCCTTGGGTGGTAGATAGGACTGGGCGCCGTGGAGCAGGGGGTGGTGCTCGTCGGGGAGGCTCGGGCCGCACAGGAGCCCATGGAGTGGGTGGGAGGCTCAGGCATGGTGGGCTGCAGGTCCCGAGCCCTGCCCCGTGGGAAGGCAGCTAAGGCCCGGCGAGAAATCGAGCGCAGCGCCGGTGGGCCAGCACTGCTGGGGGACTCAGTACACCCTCCGCAGCCACTGGCCCGGGTGCTAAGTCCGCCATTGCCCGGCGCCAGCAGGGCTGGCTGGCTGCTCCGAGTGTGGGGCCCACCAAGCCCATGCCCACCCGGAACTCCAGCTGGCCCGCAAGCGCCGCACACAGCCCCGGTTCCCACTCATGCCTCTCCCTGCACACCTCCCTGCAAGCTGAAGGAGTGGGCTCCGGCCTTGGCCAGCCCAGAAAGGGGCTCCCACAGTGCAGTGGGGGACTGAAGTGCTCCTCAAATGCCACCAAAGTGGGAGCCCAGGCAGAGGAGGTGCCAAGAGCAGGCGAGGGCTCTTAGGACTGCCAGCATGCTGTCACCTCTGTTAGTACAGTCAGAATTCTTACATGAGAGCCAGGACAGCGCCCTGTAGCCTTTCTGTCCAAACAACTTGACCTTACTGTTTTAGCCCAGACCTCATGTCTGCCTGCAGTGGCTGCCACTGCTTTAATACTTTTAGAGGCCCTCAAAATCACAAACTATGCTCAACTCACTGTCTACAGTTCTCATAACTTCCAAAATCTATTTTCTTCTTCCCACCTGATGCATATACTTTCTGCTCCCTGGCTCCTTCAGCTATACTCACTCTTTATTGAGTCTCCCACAGTTACCATTGTTCCTGTCCTGGACTTCAATCCGGCCTTCCACATTATTCCGGATACCACACCTGACCACCATGACTGTATCTCTCTGATCCACTTGACATTCACTCCATTTCCCCATATTTCCTTCTTTCCTGTTCCTCACCTTGAACACACTTGGTTTATTGATGGCAGTTCCACCAGACCTAACTGCCACTCACCAGCAAAGGCAGGCTATGCTATAGTATCTTCCACATCTATCATTGAGGCTACTGCTCTGCCCCGCTCCACTACCTCTCAACAAGCCAAACTCATTGCCTATACTGACTCTAAATGTGCCTTCCATATCCTGCACCACCATGCTGTTATATGGGAAGAAAGAAATTTCCTCACTATGCAAGGGGCCTCCATCATTAATGCTTTTTTAATAAAAACTCTTCTCAAAGACATTTTACTTCCAAAAGAAGCTGGAGTCATTCACTGCAAGGGCCATCAAAAGGCATCAGATCCTATCACTCAGGACAATGCTTATGCTGATAAGGTAGCTAAAAAGCAGCTAGCGTTCCAACTTCTGTCCCTCACGGCCGTTTTTCTCCTTCTCATCCGGCCACTCTCACCTACTTCCCCACTAAAACTTCCACTTATCAATCTCTTCCCACACAAGGCAAATGATTCTTAGACAAGGAAAAATATCTCCTTCCAGCCTCACAGGCCCATTCTATTCTGTCATCATTTCATAACCTCTTCCATGTAGGTTACAAGCCACTAGCCTATCTCTTAGAACCTCTCATTTCCTTTCCATCCTGGAAATTTGTCCTCAAGGGAATCACTTCTCAGTGTTCCATCTGCTCTTCTACTACTCCTTAGGGATTGTTCGGGACCCCTCCCTTCCCTACACATCATGCTCGGGGATTTGCCCCCACCCAGGACTGGCAAATTGACTTAACTCACATGCCTTGAGTCAGAAAACTAAAATACCTCTTGGTCTAGGTAGACACTTTCACTGGATGGGTAGAGGCCTTTCCCACAGGGTCTGAGAAGGCCACCGTGGTCATTTCTTCCCTTCTGTCAGACATAATTCCTTGGTTTGGCCTTCCCACCTCTATACAGTCTGATAACGGACCAGCCTTTATTAGTCAAATCACCCAAGCAGTTTCTCAGGCTCTTGGTATTCAATGAACTAATGATTTTTTAAAAACGCACCTCACCAAGCTCAGCCAACAACTTAAAAAGGACTGGACAATACTTTTACCACTTTCCCTTCTCAGAATTCAGGCCTATCATTGGAATGCTACAGATTACAGCCCATTTGACCTCCTGTATGGACACTCCTTTTTATTAGGCCCCAGTCTCATTCCAGACACCAGCCCAACTTGAACTGCACCCCAAAAACTTGGATAGAGCCTAAAAACTCACCAACCAAGCAAGTAATTATGCTGAACCCCCTTGGGCACTCTCTAATTGGATGTTCTGGGTCCTCCCAATTCTTAGTCCTTTAATACCTGTTTTTCTCCTTCTCTTATTCCGTTTAGTTTTTCAATTCATACAAAACCATATCCAGGCCATCACCAATAATTCTATATGACAAAAGTTTCTTCTAACAACCCCACAATATCACCCGTTACAACAAAATCTTCCTTCAGCTTAATCTCTCCCACTCTAGGTTCCCACGCTGCCCCTAATCCCACCTGAAGCAGCCCTGAGAGACATCGCCCATTATCTCTCCATACCACCCCCAAAAATTTTCACCGCCCCAACACTTTACCACTATTTCATTTTATTTTTCTTATTAATATAAGACGACAGGAATGTCAGGCCTCTGAGCCCAATCTAAGCCATCATATCCCCTGTGTCCTGCACGTATACATCCAGATGGCCTGTTCCTGCCTTAATGATGACATTCCACCACAAAAGAAGTGAACATGGCCTGTTCCTGCCTTAACTGATGACATTACCTTGTGAAATTCCTTCTCCTGGCTCATCTTGGCTCAAAAGCTCCCTCACTGAGCACCTTGTGACCCCCACCCCTGCCAGCCAGAGAATGACCCCCTTTGACTGTAATTTTTCCTTTACCTACCCAAATCTCATAAAACAGCCCCACCCCTACCTCCCTTCGCTGACTCTCTTTTTGGACTCAGCCTGCCCGCACCCAGGTGAAATAAACACCATTGTTGCTCACACAAAGCCTGTCTGGTGGTCTCTTCACACGGACTCGAGTGAATGACACTTCATTTTAATTTTTTTTCCCCATAGTTTCTGAGGGATGGGCTTTACTTCACTGGTACATAGATTTTACAATTTGATGCAAATGTATACAGACTCTCTGGTGTAAAGAAATTATGTATAAGTGATATTTTAATATGAAATGAAATATTCACATAACATTAAAGAAATAAAAGCATTAATCAAATTCTATTAATAAGACTCATGGGAATCTGAGAGTATTTCTGTTTTATGCCAAAAGGCAATTGGTCAATTCACTGAATCTGTTGAAAATTCAGATAAACTGTTTCTTCCTTGAAAGTATAAATATCCTGTGATACAGAGAAAAAAAAAATGACCAGCCTCGATTTAGAGAATCTGACCAGAATCCATGTCTTCAAGCAAATAATTGCTTAATGTAATCCAGTACCCTGTCACCCTGTCATAGAAGGAGGTAATATGCTGTAGAATACAATTGCTTTTTTAAAGGTGCTCAACACTTTCCCCAAATCATAAATTACAGCTGTCATTTTACTTACAAAGGAGATTTCTAGAAGCAATGAATCTTTATGATAATTGCCTGCCTATTCCATTTAATTAATCATGCAAAATAGAACTGGCTTTGAAAGAAAATGGACCTATGTTGTAATCAGTCTCCTATAGGAACTTGTTGTATAACCTTGGATAAACTGGTTTTTCCAGGCCTCAATGACCATGTGCCTTATGAGTAAAATGGGCATAAGAATAACACCCTCAACCAATTGTGGGAAATATGAAGTGAGTTTTGAGAACTTGTTTAGTTTCACTGATAGAAAATCTCAGTATATAGGTTAAAAGAGTGTTAGTTAACGCATGAGTTATTGAAATGGCAATGACCAAATTGAGTTAAGCACCAATCTCTAAAACAACATGCCACGGTGGCTAGCAAAATGGGTCTGTTTATTTTCTATGCCTGAGTTACATATCTTCTATATCACCAGGGTTTATCCAGAGAAGGATAACTTCATAACCGCTAGGATATAATTTATCAGGGGTTAGGGATTTGGCTTTGCAGAATTCTTAGAGTGAATAAAGCAATCTTTGTAAAGCTGTTGTCTTTCTATCTGATGCTGGGGCTTGAAATCCACAGGGCAAGTAGTGAAGAAGGTAAGATGAATGTACAGAGAAGGCAGAAACACACACACGAACCAAGAGCCCAGGAGGAGAGACTGAAACTCTTGTCAGTCCTTCTTGCCTCTGGTGTTTGGGATATGGGTATACTGTAGAAGCCAGGGGTCTTTCTCACTGTGATAAACACTGACACACACACACACACACACACACACACACACACACACGAGTTCCAGTGTTAGAAAAACTGAAGGAGAATTCAGCAAAAAGTTGAGCAGTTGTAAGTCCAATGCTATTCACGAAGTGAATCAGCAAATCAACAATAACGTGTACTAGTTACAAATGGCTGCTGCTTCATTTTTGCCTTCCGAATCTCTCAAGAATCATGCATGTAGCCACCACAACTGGAAATATTCAGGAAAGATAATTCTGGGAAATGTAGTTTACCGTAGTCAAGCTGACACATTGCAAAGCCTCCATACTGCCTTAGAGCTAGGATGCAAATCAGCTCCATCTTTGGAGGATAGAGAATGAGACCCAGAGAGAATAGGTAATGTGAATACAAATGTGAGAAAGCAAGGACATCTCCACTGATCTTTTAAATTGTTCAAGTTTGGGCCTATAACATGGTAAGCACTCGATATTTGTAAAAAAATAACGAAAAGAAACAGAATGAAACCATTGATTTAGAAACTTTTAGACAATCTAAAATGTATTTGAAAAAGAATATCATCTACAAACTTATGGGCTTCTTTGCTGTAAGAAATACTGGTCATTGCCATGCAGATATGACTGTATCATTACTGTAAACTTTTCAGTGATCCTACTCTAATCCATGTTTTATTTTTGTGGTTCATCATGTGATTTTCCTCATATAATACAAAACTTAGCTTCTTGGGATGAAATATAAGGCATGAAATAAAGGATCACACTGAGGTTATTCTTCTCAAATCTCCTGGATACTATGGATAAGCAAAGACAATAAGCAATTTTCATAAAATGCTCTGCCCTCTGAATTCCCTCAAGAAAACTGGCATTTCATTTAATGGAAACCTTCTTCATAACCATCCTCCTCCAGTGAAAGCAGTCATTTGAGACATTAGTGCATGTGTAGGTTCATTATGAAACCTAAACACTTCCATTAGATAAAAGACCTAAAATGATTATGAAAAATGTTCTTTTTCTTCCAAATTGCTCTAAATCAAACACTCAGTAGTATAATATGTTTTAGGTTAATTAGTTTAATCCAGTTTTAATTAAACTGATGTTTCCATGCCAACAAATGGTTTTTAAATTGTTGAAATCTTGATGTTTTGGAATATGACTAAAATTAATTACCTAAGAGCATTTGACTCAATTTTTGGAAATGTGTAGTGCACTTTTAGCATCAATATAGCAATGATTTTAATAATGGCAACAAATTATGATTAAAAACTTTGACTAAATGTTCTATATGGTTTCCATTAATTTCCATATTTTTAAATGTATTTTTTATGATGCACATATACTACTCAGATTAAATATAATTTAACAACGACAACAACAAAAAATTAGTTACAGAGACACCAACACAGGCACACACATGTCAACTCACTATTAGCCCTAAATAAGCCCCATTTCAAAATGTTCAAAGTCTATTTCCTGGTAATATTTGTCTGTGTCTGTACATTCAACTAGAATATTAAGATCAATAACAAAATACGTGGTTTTGGCCTAATTTTAAAATTTCAATTCTCTCACTGAGCTGCTTAAAACTGAAGAAAAATTCTCAATATGAGATAAGGAAAATCATGACTCACCAATGCTAGGAATAGTGATATACCAGCTGAATAAAAATTGTATTTACATTTAAGAATTTAATTTTTATATTTGCATTGCTTTTTCTTGGAATCGCCTTATTTTTGCCAGGACCAAGTTGGCAAATAAAAATTATCTTACTTATTTCAACAGAGATCATTTAATACAGGGAACTTGTTACATAGGTATTAGAGACCTGAATACATAAAGGGAACCTTGAGTAACTCAGAGATAATAATTGCAGGAACTAGCTCTCATCTCTAGGGCTGGAGAAGAAAGGAATGAAATTAGCATTAAGTGAACATTAGAAGCTCAGATGAGGGTCCCCACATAGCTGGGGCTCAAAACTCAGAGAAAACAGTGTCACCTGGCTGCTGTTAGTACCTCTGAGAGGATGATACGTACTTGGTTCTGGAAGATGCTAGAGGCTGAAATCAAATGACAATGCTTTAGCAAATGGCTGCTGCTGGGCTGAAATGTTGCTTCTCATAGGGAACCTCGCCGGAATCAGAGCACAAAACAAGAGAACATCCCTTCTTGCCTTTGCCTTCTTTTCAGTCTCCTCTCTGCCTTCTATTGCCTAAATCTAATGAGGTTACCGCTAGTTAAAACGAAACAAACAAACAAAAACCCTATGGTTTGTATAGTGTCAGCCATAGCATCACAGAGTGATGGCAAATGTAATTAAAGGATGAATTTGAAGCTGTAAAACGACAGGGAAATGACCAGCATATTTAAATCATAATTTCATTTTCTTAGCTGGTCTGTTAACTTATCTCTTGCATTAAATGCTTCTGTATTCTTCCTAGACGTTTCCAGTTTGCTTACAATTGTGATATCCTTCTAATTTTCCACTTTACATTGAAGTCCTTGGTCTTTCTCATCGAATCAGTGTTTCATAGGCCACCCTTCTATTTCATCAGGTGTTTCTAAACATAAAGGTATTCCAGTATTTTCTATCTTGGAACTGCAGTCTATCTCAAATTCTAAAATACAACTGAACTCCCCCAGTTGAAATGATGAGACAGGGAAAGCAGATTTACAGAGGAAAACATCATGACATTTATACTTATCAGAAATCAGGAATGAGAAGCAAAAAAAAAAATATTGAACACAAACTATGGGTGAGGCATGGTTGCTAGGTTACCTCTCTGATTTGACGAGGTATGTGACAAAACATTTAAATTAAAATTTAATTTAAAATTTAAATATCTTCAATTTTAACATAAGGGAAATAGTACACATACTGCTCAAGGAGAATTATGAAAGTGAAGTAAAATCAAAGTGTAGAACTATGTTGTAAACACTAGGAACCCAATAGAAGTGACAGGTGCACAAAAGCTTCTGTAGAATTGGTACTCAATCTGAAACAATTAACACGGAGTTACTCACCTGGAAAAAAAAAAAAACCAACTGATTGTCAAATCAATGCCTGGAATTTAGCATATCTGCTGTTGTGACTTTCAGTTTGACTTTCATATTTAAGGTCGTACTTTCTTTGTGGTAACTTTGATGTGTGGCCCACTTCAATTTACAAAGCCACATAGCTTCACATTTTAGCGCAGTTTCCGTCCAGATGACAATGACCTACACTTAGAGGTGTTGTCCAGGAAATCTTGAAGTGAATTTTGCACATACTGTAAGAATCTATTTAACTTAGATTTCTCCAAGCATACCATGAGAATTAGGTGAGAGTTCACCTGGCCATTTTTACCTGATAGAGAAATAAACATTCAAATAATATCTGATTTGTTAATATTGATTATGATTTTTAGAGGAGAAAAAAACCTAGTAGATATTGAGGGGAGGAGAATAAGGGATTAATAGAAGGGAAGAAATAAAATAGTGTAGCTTAATAATAGAATCTTTCCTTGGCATTTTTTATAAACCATTGTAGATGGCAACTTCCAAAATAAGAAATCCTGTGACTATTTTTCATGAAGCCTAATGATATTTAATAGTTATTTGGGAAGAAAGATAAACTTCAACATTGTACACAAGTTACACACTTGTCCCTAAGTTCTGTGTCATAGCAATAGTGTTAACTTCTGTAGGAATAATAATTAAATGGTCAGGATAAAGAAGAAATCCAGAGAACTTGATTTTAGGGGGAAAAAAACAACTTTATCTCCACATTGCAATTTTTGAGTGCTAAAATGGAGACAGCCACATGAAGGCACTTGGCATGGGTCACTGGTAAAGCATGCTCATAAGAAAAGATAAGATTAATGTGCTTACTTAAGAGAAGCCTCTCATCTGCAGTGGGCCTGAATATTAATGAACCTTCAGCTTTGCTTTCTTCATGGGAATATGTTTGCTTGAACAGTTAATTCCACCAGAAATGTAACTTGCATCCTGATTGGTGAGACACTAAAGCGCTAAGTCAGGGCCATTGCTCTCAATGGAAGCCTTGTCTAAAAAGAAACCACAAAATAGGACAGTGAATATTTGAGAGGGGCTTATGTATAACCACTTCAGGAATAAGCTGACACATGCCCACAACAAAATTCAGAGTCAAAAATAGAGTCAGATCAGCATTATGCTAAGTCAAATCACTGCAGTGAAATGAGAATAAATAACAATGTGTTTGGAACAAGATGACTTTAGGGAATCATGGTTTTAGTGAATTGCTCCAGATCACAAAGGCATTTTCATATCATAAATTATGAAATTTAAGTCAAAATATAAGAGCATGTAGAAGTAGAAAAATAATATCTCATATATGAAACACTATGAATTTCCTTATTTTGATTATACAAAAATAAGATTATATTTGAATTTAATTGGTGACCTACATATTACCATATTTAAAAAGCCAACTGACGGCAATATCTATTTACTGAGGGAAAAATAAATTAAAATATACTTAATATATTTCCTGTATAAGCCTTTTATAATTGAGAAAAAAGTATTTTTTCTCTAGACCTTTATAAAACAAACAAACAAAAAAACAACCACAAATACTTCATGTATCTGCTAAGAGGTATAGAGAGTTTCTTGGACAATTGAAGTATAATAGTAAACATTACCTTAGAAACTGCATGGATCAACTCTGGTTTGAACCAGTCCTTGCAAAAATATACTCCAAAGAATGTTAGGACTAAAAGGTGCTTTAAATGCACACATACACACTGAAGTTGTTTAGGATTTATATTTTATCTCCCCTTCATAGAGACTTAAAAATGAAAATTAACATTTAGTCCCTGTAAATTCCTAAAGAAGTGTTTAATTTTTTTATTAATTCAGCATTCCAATTTTGCAATGAAAATATTTTTCTCTTAACATCTATTAATATCTGCATTTTTAGTATTAAATGTCATACCTGTTAAGAAAAACCAGTTTAACTATTTAGGAGATGGAGTTCTCTAGACTCTCCTGGAAAACCTCACAAGTAGTGGTCTTACATGATCGTCTGGAAGCCCATCTCATGAATTCATTTGTTTATTTATTTTAACTTTTATTTTAAGTTGAGGGATACATGTGCAGGTTTGTTACATAGGTAAACTTGTGTTGTGGGAGTTTGTTCATCTCTTGATTTTATAGCCACTCTCCTCATTTTAAATTTACTTCGTTTAGTTTTCCACAGGTTGAGAAATAATGTACTTTTCTCCCAATTTTATATTCCTCCATATACTTCCTACCCCTTCAGAGTCAGATACATGGTAACAAAAATGTTCACAGAAGTCATCTTAAAAGCTTATAATCAGGCCGGGTGTGGTGGCTCAGGAATTTAATCCTAGCATTTTGGGAGGCTGAGGTGGCTGGACAACTTGAGGTCAGGAGTTAGAGACCAGCCTGGCCAACATAGTGAAACCCTGTCTCTATCTACTACTACTACTACTACTAATAAAAAATAGCCGTGTATGATAGTGTGTGCCTGTAATCCCAGCTACTCAGGAGGCTGAGGTAGGAGAATCGCTTGAACCCAGGAGGAGGAGGTTGCAGTGAGCCAAGATTGCGCCACTGTACTCCAGCCTAGACAGCAGAGTGAGACTCCATCTCAAATAATAATAATAACAATAACTTATGAGCATTTTTAATTGAAAGTTGTATTGAGATAATCTAATAAGAAATAACACAGAGAAATCCTACATGTATTTTACCTATATACATTTTGTAAAACTATGATGTAATTCCACAACGAGGGTATTTTCATCCACAAAATCCTTCAACGTATTCATATTTCCTTACTTTCTTGTACTCATATGTATGCATTTAGTTCTATACAACTTTATTAAATGTGTCGGTTCAAGCATGTGCTACTATGGTCAAGATATCGAATAGTTCCATTGCCATGAGACCCTTCCTTTTGTCCTTTCATAATCACATCCACCTCTATCCAGCCCTTCCAAATTGTGTGTATGAAATATTTGACCATTTTTATTGTGAGTTGGTGCAAGATATGCACCTACTTCAGAATTTTTATCATTCATCATTTGAAGAATATCTGGACTGATGCCAGATTTGGGCCATTATAAATGCAACTTCTTTGAATAGTGTACAGATATATGTATTAAAAATATTTTGATTTCTCTAGCATAAATGCTAATGATAATCACTTTTCCTTTTCTTTTTCCTTCCCCCTCTTCCTTTATCTTCCCTCACCTTCCTTTCCCTCCCCTTACCTTCTCCTCCCCTCCGCTCCCCTCTCCTCTCCTCTCCTTTTCTTTCCTTTCTTTTCTTTTCCCTTCCCCTCCTCTCCCCACCCCTCCCCTCCTTTCCCCTCCCCTTCCCTCCCCTCCCCTCCCTTCCCCTTCCCTTCCATTTCCTTTTTTCCCCTTTCTTCCTCCCTTGCCTCGTTTCTTTCTTTTTTATTAATAAACTGCTGACAGATTTTGTTTTCTCTCAGAATGGCTATAACGTTTTCCATTCCCATCAGCATTGCATGAATGACTTAGTTTGTGCAGATCCCTGCCATAATGTATTACTGCCACACTTTTGTTGTTGCTGTTATTCTGCTGGTAGGTAGGGATACCTCATTGTGTCTTTAATTTGCACTTTCCTAATGGCTAATGATTTCCAACATATTTTCATGTGCTTATTTTTGACATCTGTATATTGTCTTTAGTATATAGTAAATGTCTGTTCATGTTCTTTGCCCCCTCATTTGTTATTTTGGTTAATTGATATATTTACTCTTGAGTTTTAAAAGTTCTTTGTATATTCTAGATATATCCTGTGATAAATAAGTATTTTCCAAATATTTTCTCCCTGTGTGTAGTTGTCTTTTCATCCTCTTTGTATGGGCTTTTACATAGCAAATTTTATTTTTGATGAGATTCAATTTATGAATTTTTTATGGACTGTGTCTTTGGTGTCAATTCTCACAACCCTTTGCCTAACGCTAGGTTCTAAAGATTGTCTCCTATGATTTTTCTAACACTTTATACTTACGCATTTTAAATTCAATATTATGATCAATTTCGAGTTGATTTTCATATAAAGTTTGATGTGTAAGTAAAGGTTAACGTCAAGGTTTTTTGTTTATGGATGTCCAATTACCTTGGCATCATATGATGAAAAATCTATTCTTCCTTATTTGAATTTCTTTTGCACTTGTGTCAAAAGTCAATTGGGCACATTCCTGTGGGTCTATTTCTAGGATCTGTCTTCTGTCTCACTGACCTATGTGCTTATTTCTCTGGTAATACTATAATGGTTTGATTACTGTAGGTCTCTAGTAAGTTGTAAGATAAGATAAAATAATTCCTCTCATTTTATTCTTCTTTGTAAAGGTAGTTTTAAATACTTTAAGGCCTGTGCTTTTGCATGTAAATTTTAGAATAAGCTTGTGGAGGTCTACAAATTAATCTACCTGGGATATTAAACTATAGATCATTTTTAAGAATATTGATGTCTTTTTTGTTTTCATCCATAAATACACTACGCCTCTCCATTTACTTAGGTTTTCTTTGATTTTATTCACCAGCATTTTCTAATTTTTAGCACAAAAATCGTATACATGTTTTGGCAAATACATTACCTGTGTATTTCATTTTCCTTAGAGTAGTTTTTTATGGTTTTGTGTTTTAGTTTCATTTTCCAAGTGCTCCTTGTCAGTAAGTAGAAATGTAATCAATTTTAGTGTGCTGACCTTATATTCTGCAAATTTTCTGAGCTCATTTATTATTTTAAAAATTTCTTTTGTGTATTTTGTTTTACATGCTTTTGGATTTTTGCATAGATAATAATGTCATCTGCAAACAGAGACTGTTTTCTCCTTTCTAATCAGTATGCTATTTTCTCGACTTGCCTTATTGCAGAAGTTAGAATTTTCAGTATTATGTGAACAAGAGTGGTAAGAGCAGACACACTTGCCTTGTTCTTGATCTTAGGGGAAAATGTTCGTTTTTTTAACCACTAGGTAAAGTGTTACTTGGCAGATATTTGTAGGTAGCCCTTATCAATTTGAGGAAATTTCTCTATAATCATAACTTACTGAGAATAGTTATCATAATAGGTATTGAATTTTGTTAAATGTATTTATTGAATTAATTGATGTTTGTTCTTTAGCTTTTTGACATTGATGTGAAATAGATTGATTTTTAAATACTGAAGCATTCTTGTATTTCTGGCATGGTTATGTTATCCATGTAACAAAATTGCACTTGTATCTCTTATAGTTAGACAAAAATTAAAACTCTATTTATATATTGCTGAATTATATTTACTAATATTTTGCTAACAATGGTTGTGTCTCAGTTCTTGATAAATATTTTTCTATAGCTTTATTTTATTTTTTTGTACTCCTTTGGTTTGGGTATCAGTGTAATCCTAGCTTCATATGCTGAATTGAGAAATATTTCTTCCCTCCTATTCCACTCTTCATTAATTGTTAGATTGAGTTTGCCAATGAAACCCACTTGGTTAAAGATTTGTATTTTGTAAAATTATAAATACAATGATTGTAATAGTTATAGGAATATATAATGATTCACAGTAGCCCCTTATCATTCTTTTAGTGACTGCAGTATCTGTAGTGAATCCCCTGTATAATTTCAAATTTTGGTAATTTGCATGCTTATGTCTTATCTATTTCTCAATGTTTAGTCAGTGTTGCTCAAATGTTACCAATTTTATTGATTTTTTGAAGAAATAACTTTTTGTTTCATTGTTTTTCTCTATTACTTTTCCAGTTTTAATTACATTGATCTGCCCTATCCTTGTTTATTCCTTTAATCTGTTTAATTTGGTTTCATTTTACTCTTCTTTTTCTACTTTGGATGTTAAGCTAGATTATTGATTTGACTCTTTTTCTAATTTCTAGTTGATTGTTCTATAATTTTTTTCCTCAGGACAGATTTGGCTGCATTTCATATGCCTTTATAAGTTGTGTTTTCAATTTCATTTTATTTCTCTGTATTTTTTATTTCCTTTGAGATTTTCTTACCTACAGAATATTTAGTGTGTTTAATTTCCACGTGTTTAGAAATTTTCCTGTTTTCTTCAAGTTACTGACTTTTATTTTGATCCTATTGTGACCAGGGAACATGCTGTATATGTATAATTTCAATTCTTTTAAATTTGTTGAAGTTTGTTTTATGGTTCAGATACAACTTATTTTAGGAAATGGTCCACATGTACTTGAAAAAAAAGGTGTATTATGCTGTTTCAGGTGGATGAATCTACATATGTCTGTTGGATTCAACTTGTTGATTGTGTAGTTCAGTTCTTCCATATCTTGCTGATTTTCTTTTTTTTTTTCCCCCTTTGGTTGCTAAGAGAGGGGTGTTGAAGTCCCCAGCCATAACTTGGTTTGTCTGCTTTTCTTTCATCATTTTGATTCGTTTAATTGTCGTATTTTGAGGCTCTGTTGTTAGTTGTTTAAATATGTAGGATCATTAGGTCTTCCTGGTGTGCTTATTTTATCTTTATGTAATGTCTCTCTTTGTTGCTAGTCATTTCTTTACTGTGTACTCGACTTCATCAGATATTAAATATCACCACTCCTACTATTTCTGGATTCATGTTTTCATGGTATGTTTTTCCCATCCTTGCTTTCAACCTGCTTATATTATTAAATTTGAAACTTATTTCTTTTTAGCAACACATAATTGTCCCCTCCCCTTTTCTGTTATTAATTTTCATAATCTCTGACTTTTAACTGGAATATTTAGATCATTTACATTTAAGGTAAGTGATGTGTTAGTACTCGAGTATGCCATTTGATCATTTTTGCTTACTATTTCAGTCCTCTGGTTCATATTTCACTGTTTCTTGTTTCTTGCCTTCCTGTGGTTTAACTTGAATACTTTAAATATTCCATCTTGATTTATTTATAATGTTTCTGAGCGCATGTCTTTGAAATTTTCTATATTTGTTGCTCTGGGTATTATAGTATATGTTTGTGACTTATAACATTCTACTGGTATCAGCATTTCACTACTTTGAGTGAAGTGTGGAAACATCACTTTTGTTTGGGTAACTTTACCTTCCCACCTTTTAAAGTCCATTTTCTTGAGTATGAGATGGTGTTTTTTTTTTTTTTTAATCATCAAGTATGTGTTACAAAACTCATGAAGAGAAAGATAGACCTATGTATTCATTCTGCTCTTTTCCTTACTCTTCTCACCTGATTCTCCAAACATTTTATACATATTAAGTATTAAGATTTAGGGATATTCCTGTCCAGAAATAAATAATTGGCCTACGTTATCTCATTATCATTCTATCAGTACTTCTCTGAAGTAATACATATGAAGCACATAAAACGGTGTCTAACACATAGAGATTAGTAAAATGTATGTCTCCAGGTTTAGCTTCTGTTCACTATTTGACCTTCTTTACCACATTTCATTTTTATGCATTTTATATCACCAATATTAAGCCATGTTCTAATATACAATTATGTCATACTTTTCAATGTCATGTTTATATAAATTGTTTTTATATTCTACAAATCTTTTCCCATCTGACAATTTCTTTCTCATCTTTCAAGATGATGTAAGTGTCACACCATTTGTCTTAATATAGGTAGTACCTCTCAGAGCAATCCACATCAGGCAACAGAGTGAAGCAGATGTAACAGAAGTTTAACCATTTCACTGTACTGTGAGACAGCTCTGATGGGCAATACTAGAACTTCCCACTGGGTTGATTAATGATTTGTTGATGCTGCAAAGAATTTTGATTTCTTGATCTTACAAATTTTGTTTTCTTTTTCTACCTTTTATAGATGTTGATCTCTAATAAACATCTTGCACCCCTAACAACTTCTGTTTCCAGAGGGCCCAAACTGTGACAAAGAATGTCATAAGTGCAGCGAAGTGATTTGCATTTTATGCAGTGAAACCAGGTGTGCGAAACAACTAGTACATCAGAAAATTCAGCAATCCAGAATTCCGGTTTTTCAGAAAAGGGCAAGAGCAGGGCCAGGTAAGCATGATGAGTACATGAGGGCTCAGGAATCAAACCAGGTTCTAAAGCCTAAACATGATCTCTACAATCTCCCAGGTAGTATGATTCCAATATGTTTCACCCATCCTCTGATGATAGTAACGTTGGTAGGATAAGAATAGACAAAAAATTAAAAAAAAATCAAATTTACCTAAAAAAGAGCATTTAGACAGAAAGTATAGTTAACTATGAACTGTCTGGCAAAAAAATAAGTTACAAATACAAATATAAGTAAGCCACTGATGAGTCTGCCTATGGTGAGCATGCCTGTCTTTGGATGAGGACAATTAAGGTCAGGCAGGAATGGGTACTAAGGAATAATAAATATTTTTTTCAGTCTGTTTGAAAATGACATTTTATAAAATGTTAGGTTTTTTTTTTTTCTTAAACAGCACAAATTTATTTTCTCATAGTACTGGAGGCTAAAAGTCCAATATCAAGGTCTGGAACATATGGTTTCCTCTGAGGCCTCTCTCTTTGACTTGCAGATGGGTGCTTTCTTATGGCCTGACATCGTCCTTCTCTCTGTGCATACATACCCCAGTATCTCTTTGTTTGCCTAAATTTTCCCTTTTTTAAGTACACAAATCAGATTGAATTAGGGGCCCACCCTTTCAACTTAACTTTAATTTAATCACCCCTTTAAAAATCTTATCTCCAAATACAGTCACATTCTGGAATATTGAGGGTTTGGGCTTCAACATATAGTTAGGTGAGACACAATTCAACTCATAACACAATCTATTTAGAGATCACTTTTCTTCCATGCCTCTTGGTTACTGGACATTAGACTTTAGCTAGAATACACAACACGCAACACAAGAAGTAATACGAAATATGTCTTTTCATGTTTTAGTAATATATCAGAATTTTCTGATCAATAATCTTATTATTTTAATGAATGTAGAAATGACAAATATAATGTAACCTTAGTGTTAGTGATGAGGGCTATTTCAGATTAGACCACTAAATTGATATATAATGTGTTATAATGTATAATGTGTTATGAATACCTTTATTTATTTAACTTCGTAATTTACCAGTGCCAATTTACACAATGCAAGCCATTGTAGAAGAAAATACCATTCTAAGTCAAAGGTTTAGGAATTATAACATTCAATGCTAGCAAACACAGATTTTATTCAATACTAGCAAAATAGCTGCTGATCGATACTTTTTTTAACTTTTAAGTTCAGGGGTACATGTGCAGGTTTGTTACATAAGTAAACTTTTGTCATGGGGGTTTGTTGTACAGATTATTTCATCACTGAGGTATTAGACCTAGTATTCATGAGTTATTTTTCCTAATCCTCTCCTCGTCCCATTCTCCAAAATATCCTAGTGTGTATTGTTCCCCTCTATGTGTCCACGTGTTCTCATCATTTAGCTCCCACTTGTAAGTGAGAACATATGGTATTTGGTTTTCTGTCCCTGCATTAGCTTGCAAAGGATAATGGCCTCCAGCTCCATCCATGTCCCTGCAAATGACATAATCTTGTTCTTTTTTATGGCTACATAGTATTCCATCATATATATGTACCACATTTTCTTTATCCAGCCTATCATTGGTGGACACTTATGTTGATTCTATGTCTTTGCTATTGTGAATAGTGCTGCAATGAACATACGTGTGCATGTGTCTTTATAATACAACAATTTATATTCCTTCAGGTATGTACCCAGTAATGGGATTGCTGGATTGAATGGTACTTCTGTCTTTAGGTCTTTGAGGAATCATCACACTTTCAAATGGCTGAACTAATTTACACTCCTACCAATAGTGTATAATTGTTCCTTTATCTCCACAACCCCTCCAGCATTTGTATTTTTTGACTTTTTAATAGCCTTTCTGACTTCTGAGAGATATTAGCTCATGATGGTTTTGATTTGCATTTCCCTAATGATCAGTGATGTTGATCTTTTTTTCGTATGATTGTTGGCTGTGTTTAGGTCTTCTCTTAAGAAATGTCTGTGCATATTCATTGCACACTTTTTAATGGGGATGCTTTTGTTGCAATTGCTTTTGGCATTTTTGTCATGAAATATTTTTCCATGCCTATATCCTGAATGGCTCATGGATAGGAAGAATCCATATTGTTATAATGGCCATACTGCCCAAAGAAAATTATAGATTCAACGCTATTATTTTTAAACTACCACTGACATTCCTCACAGAACTAGAAAAAAACCATTTTAAAATTAATATGGAACCAAAAAAGAGCTCAAATAGCCAAAGCAATACTAAGCAAAAAGAACAAAACTGGAGGCATCATGCTAATCAACTTCAAACTGTACTACATGGCTGCAGTAACCATGTAGATCACGATCTGATTTTCAACAAACTTGACAAAAACAAGCAATAGGAAAAGGACTCCATATTCACTAAATGATGCTGAGATAAACTGGCTAGCAATGTGCAGAAGATTGAAATGACCCTTCCTTTCATCACATATAAAAATTAACTCAGGACGGATTAAAGACTTAAATGTACAACCCAAAAGTATAAAATGTTAATCAGCATATTGATTGCATATATGGGAAGAAATAAGATGCAATTTTAATCACCATGTTGTTAAGGTAGCATTTTGGATAAAGAGGAAGAAAAATCCACTAATGTTTAAAATAAGTGCAAAATGAAATAGACTTTAGCATTTGTTTGGAATAGATGTAAGGGAAGAAGAAGCATCATATGTTGGGGTTATAAAACAAAAATAGGAAAGTTAATGATGAGAGTTGTCATGAAATAGAGAAGTGGATGAAATCACTTGTTATTAAAGCATATATATTATTATTATTTTTTATTTCAATAGGTTTTTGGGAAGCAGGTGGTGTTTACTTACATGAACAAGTACTTTAGTGGTGATTTCTGAGATTATGGTGCACCCATCACCCAAGCAGTGTACACTGTACCCAATGTGTAGTCTTTTACCCCTCACCACCCCCCACATTTTCCTCTTAGTTCCCAAATTCCAATGTATCATTTTTATGCCTTTGCATCCTCATAACTTAGCTCCTACTTATAAGTGAGAACACATGATGTTTGGTTTTCCATTCCTAAGTTACTTCACTTAGAACAATAGTCTCCAATTCCATCTTGGTTTCTGTGAATGCCATTATTACATTCCTTTTTATGGCTGAGCAGTATTCCATGGTGTATATATCTTTATCCATTTGTTGATTGATGGGCGTTTGGGCTGGTTCCATATTTTTGCAACTGCAATTTGTGCTGCTATAAACATGCATGGCAAGTATCTTTTTTGTATAATGACTTATTTCACTCTGGGTAGATACCTAGTAGTAAGATTGCTGGATGAAAAGGTAGATCTTTTTTTAATTCTTATAGGAATCTCCACACCCTGTTTTCCATAGTGTTCATACTAGTTTACATTTTCACCAACAGTGTAAAAGTGTTCCCTTTTCGCCACATCAACACATCTATTTTTTTTTAACTTTTTGATTACGGCAATTCTTGCAGGGGTGAGGTGGTATTGCATTGTGGTTTTGACTTGCATTTCCCTGATAATTAGTGATCTTGAACATATTTCCATGTTCTTGTTGGCCATTTGTATATCTTCTTTTGAGAATTGTCTATTCATGTATTTAGGCCACTTTTTGATGGGATTGATTGCTTTTTCTTGCTGATTTGAGTTCCTTGTAGATTCTGGATATTAGTCCTTTGTCAAATGTATAGATTGTGAAGATTTTCTCCCACTCTGTGGGTTGTCTGTTAACTCTGCTGATTATTTCTTTTACTGTGCAAAAGTTTTTTAGTTTAATTAGCTCCCATCTATTTATCTTTGTTTTTGTTGCATTTGCTTTGGGTTCTTGATCATGAAGTCTTTGCCTAAGCCAGTGTCTAGAAGGGTTTTTCCAATGTTATCTTCTAGAATCTTCATGGTTTCAGGTCTTAGATTTAAGTCTTTGATCCACTTTGAGTTAATTTTTGTATAAGGTGAGAGACGAAGATCCAGTTTCATTCTCCTACGTGTGGCTAGCCAATTATCCCATCACCATTTTTTGAATAGGGTGTCCTTCCCTCACTTTGTGTTTTTGTTTGCCTTGTCAAAGATCAGCTAGCTGTAAGTAAGTGGCATTATTTTGGGGTTCTCTATTCCATTTCATTGGTTTATGTGCCAATTTTTATGCCAGTATTGTGCTGTTTGGGTGACTATGGATTTATAGTATAGTTTGAAGTTGGGCAATGCGATGTCTCCAAATTTGTTCCTTTTGCTTAGTCTTGCTATGGCTATCTGGGCTCTTTTTTTGGTTCCATATGAATTTTAGTTCTTTTTCCTAGTTCTGTGAAGAATGATGGTGGTATTTCAATTGGAACTGCACTGAATTTGTGGATTCCTTTGGCAGTATGATCATTTTCACAATATTGATTTTGTCCATCCATGAGCATGGGATGTATTTCCATTTGTTTGTGTTGTCTGTGATTTCTTTCAGCACTGTTTTGTAGTTTTCCTTGTAGAGGTCTTTTACATCCTTAGTTAGGTATGTTCCTAAAGATTTTTTGTTTGTTTGTTTTGTTTTTTCTGCAGCTATTGTGAAAGAGGTTGATTTCTTGATTTGATTCTCAGCTTGGTCGCTGTTGATGTACAGCAGAGCTACTGATTTATGTACATAAGTTTTGTATCCTGCAACTTTGCTGAATTCATTTATCAGTTCTAGTACCTTTTTCGATGAGTCTTTTGGGTTTTCTATGTTTATAATTATATAATCAGCAAACAGCGACAGTTTGACTTCCTCTTTAATGATTTGAATGCTTTTTCTTTCTTTCTCTTATCTGATTTCTCTGGCTAGGACTTCTAGTACTACAATGAATAGAAGTGGTGAAAGAAGGCATCCTTGACTTGTTCCAGTTCTCAGGGGGAAAGCTTTCAATTTTTCCCCATTAAGTATATTGTTGGCAGTGAGTTTGTCATGGATGGCTTTTATTACCTTAAGGTGTGTTTCTTCTATGCTGATTTTGCTGAGGATTTTAATCATAAAGGGATGCTGGGTTTTGTCAAATGCTTTTTCTGTATTTATTGAGATGATCATGTGATTTTTATTTTTAATTCTGTTTATATGGTGTATCACATTTATTGACTTGTGTATGTTAACATCCATTCATCCCTAGTATGAAACCCACTTGATCATGGTGGACAATCATTGATATGCTATTGGATTTGTTTCACTAGCATTTTGTTGAGGATTTTTACATCTATCTTCATTAGGGATATTGGTTTGTAGCTTCCTTTTTTTGTTATGTCCTTCCCTGGTTTTGGTACTAGGGTGATACTGGCTTCACAGAATGATTTAAGAAGGATTCCCTCTTTTGCTATCTTTTGACATAGTATCAATAGGATTGGTGACAATTTTTCTTTGAATGCTGGATAGAATTCAGCTGTGAATCTTTCTAGTCCTGGACATTATTTCATTGGCAATTTTTTTATTACCATTTCAATCTCAAGGTTTGTTATTGATCTGTTCAGATATTCTATATTTTCCTGGCTTAATCTAGGAGGATTTTATATTTCCAGGAATTTATCCATCTCCTCTAGGCCTTCTGGTTTATACATGTAAGATTGTTTATAGTAGACTTGAATACTCTTTTGTATTTCTGTTGTTTTAGCTGTAATATCACCCATTTCATTTGTAAATGAGCTTATTTGGATCTTCTCTTCTTTTTCCCTTTGTTAATCTTGCTATTGTTCTATCGATTTTATTTATCTTTTCAAAGAACCAACTTTTTGCTTCAATTATCTTTTTTATTTGTTTATTTCAATTCCATTTAGTTGTGTTTAGGTCTTTGTTATTTCTTTTCTTCTATGGAGTTGGGATTTGGACTGTTCTTGTTTCTGCAGTTCCATGAGGTGTGACCTTAGATTGTCTGTCTGTGGTCTTTCAGACTTTTTGATGTAGGCATTTTATGCTATGAACTTTCCTCTTAGCTCCATTGTTGCTGAATCCCAGAGGTTTTGATAGGTTGTGTCACTATTGTCATTCAGTTCAAAGAATTTTTAAATTTTCATCTTGATTTCATTGTTGATCCATTGATCATTCAAGAGCAGGTTATTTAATTTCCATGTATTTGCATGGTTTTCAGGGTTCCTTTTGGAGCTGATTTCCAATTTTATTCCACTGTGGTCTGAGAAAATACTTGACATAATTTCGATTTTCTTGAATTTACTGAGACTTGTTTTGCAGCCTATCAAAAAGTCTATCTTGGAGGATGTCCTATGCGCTGATGAATAGAATGTATATTCTGCAGTTGTTGGGGAGAATGTTCTGTAAATATCTGCTAAGTCTACTTGTTGAGCGGCATAGTTTAAGTCCATTGTTTCTTTGTTGACTTTCTGTCTTGATGGGCTGTCTAGTGCAGTCACTGCAGTATTAAAGTCCCCAACTATTATTGTGTTGCCATCTATCTCATTTCCTAGGTCCAGTAATAATTGTTTTATAAATTTTGGAGCTCCAGTATTAGGTGCATATATATTTAGAATTGTAGAATTTTACTGTTAGTCATTTTATCATTATATAATATTCCTCTTTGTCTTTTTTAACAGCTGCTGCTTTAAAATTTGTTATGTCTCATAGACGAATAGCTACTCCTGCTCACTTTTGGTGTCTGTTTGCATGGAATACCTTTTTCCACCAATTTACCTTAAGTATATGTGAGTCCTTATGTGTTAGGTGAATCTCCTGAAGACAGCAGAAACTTGGTTGGTGAATTCTTATCCATTTTGCCATTCTGTATCTTTTAAGTGAAATATTTAGGCCATTTACATTCAATGTTAGTATTGAGATGTGAGGTATTAGTCTATTCATCATGTTATTTGTTGCCTAAATACCTTGTTTTTTAAAAAAAAAATTAATTGTTTTCTTGCTATATAGGTCCACTGAGATTTATGCTTTAAGGAAGTTCTATTTTGGTGTATCTTTAGAATTTGTTTCAAGAATTAGAACTCTTTTTAATAGCTCTCACAGTGCTGGCTTGGTAGTGGCAGATTCTCTTAGCATTTGTTTGTCTGGAAAAGACTGTATCTTTCCTTCATTTATGAAGCTCAGTTCTGCTGGATACAAAATTATTGGCTGATAATTGTTTTGTTTAAGGAGGCTAAAAATAGGACCCTAATCTTTTCTGGTTTGGAGGGTTTCTGCTGAGACATCTGCTGTTAATCTGACAGGTTTTCCTTTATAGATTACCTAATGCTTTTGTCTCACAGCTCTTAAGATTCTTTCCTTCATCTTGACTTTAGGTAACCTGATGATTATGTGCCTAGGCAATGATCTTTTTGTGATGAATTTCTCAGGTGTTCTTTGAGCTTCTTATATTTGAATGCCTAGATCTCTAACAAGACCAAAGAAGTTTTCCTCAATTATTCCCTCAAATATGTTTTCCAAACTTTTAGATTAATCTTATTCCTCAGGAACTCCAGTTTTTCTTTGGTTTGTTCATTTAACAGAATCCCAAACTTCTTGGAGGCTTCGTTCACATTGTTTTTATTTTTTGTCTTTTCTGGATTGGATTAATGTGAAAGCTTTGTCTTTGAGCTCTGAAATTTTTTCCTCTGTTTGTTTTATTCTATTGCTGAGACTTGCAGTGCATTTTTCAATTCTCTTAGTGTGTCCTTGATTTCCAGAGTTGTGATTGTTTTTTGTTTATGCTATCTATTTCACTGAAGAATTTCTCTTTCAAGTCAGTTTTTGATTTCTTTAAGTTGGACTTCACCTTTCTCAGGTGCCTCCTTGATTAGCTTAAGTATTGACCTTCTGAGCTCTTTTTCTGACAATTCAGGGATTCCTTCTTTGTTTGGATCCATTGCTGGTAGGCTTGTATAATAACCTTGTTTTGTCACATTACCAGAATTGTTTTTCTGGTTCTTTCTTATTTGGGTAGACTACATCAGAGGGAAGATATGGGATTCAAGGGCTCCTGTTCAGATTCTTTTGTCCCATGTTGTGCTCCCTTGATGTGATATTCTCCCCCTTCCTCTAGGAATGGGGTTCCCTGGAAGCCAAACTGTAGTTATTGTTTTTATCTTTCTGGGTCTAGCCACCCAGTGGAGCTACCAGGCTCCAAGCTGGTACTGGGGAGTGTCTGCAAAGAGTCCTATGATATGATCCATCTTCAGGTCTTCCACCAGCACCAGCTCCCATGGAGATAGCAGAGGAATGAAGTGGACTCTGTGAGGGTCCTTGATTGTGTTTTTGTTTAATGTGCTGGTTTTGTGTTGGTTGGCCTCAGCCAGGAGGTGGCGCTTTTAAGACCTCATCAGCTATGGTCCTACAGGGAAGATGCAAATTTGCCCTAGGGAAACCTGGTTAAGTATTCAGGTTTCTCAGGCGGTTGACAGGGCCATAGAACCCTCAAGAGATTACGACCTTTGTCTTCAGCTACCAGGGTGGGTAGAGAAAGACCACCGAATGGGTGCTGGGATGGGCATGGCTGAGCTCAGCCTCTTTTTGAGTGGGGCTTTCTGCAGCTCCTGTGGGAGATGGGGGTGTGGTTCCCAGTCCAATGCAGTTATATTGCCAGGGGCAGTATGGCTGTCTCTGCTGAGTCACACAGGTCACCAGAGAAGTGGGAGAAAGCCACAGTCACAGGGCTTACCCTGCTCCCACACAGCCCACCATCCTACAGGCTGGTCTGACTCCCACCGTGCCCCTCGTTTCAACAGCACTGAATCTATTTCCAGTCAGCCAGTGACCAGGCCTGAGTACTTGCCCCAGACTATAAGCCTCCCCATTGAGAAAGCAAACCAACTCACAGTTTTTTGGTGTCTCAGGGAGCCTAGTTCCTTCAAAGGGTCTGTGGATTTTCTTGGCTTTCCTTGTATGATCCTAAGGTAGTACTTGGAGCAAAAGTTCATGATGTGAGTCTCCACTTGCTGCTCTGTCCATCTGAGCAGGAGCTGCAAGCTAGTCCTGCCTCCTATCTGCCGTCTTCTCACTCACTCCATACATATTATTTTTAACTCATCTCTGTAGGATGTAGCCCAGAGTCCTGAATGTATTAAGTACTCAACAAATAAATATATATGTTACAATAACATTGATACATCCAAGCCGAGACATCTAGTTAAGGTTTAATATATGGTTGTTATTAATGTAATATATTAGCAGTTTGAGCTAGAAGTAGACAGAAGTAGTTGTTCATGTCATTACAGAGATAACTGCTTCTTTCACTTTTTCTCCTCTTGCCTTTCCTCCTTTTCTTTTCCTTCTGTTTTCCCACCCTTTTCTTCCTTCTTCTTCTTTTATTTTAGAGAGAGGACTAAAATAATGAAGACCAGAACTAGACAAGTTATCAAGACGTACTAATTCCTTAGTTGATAAAGAACCTGTGCAAGAGACAGTGATACATCAGAGAGAGAAAAACATTAAGCACTGAGAGGGGACAAACTGATGGATTCCATGGCAAAGTTTCCTGACACAATTCACCTCCAGAAATGTTAATGTTACTTAGTAGAAAAAAATAAAATTCTCCATGTTTAAAAATAAGATTCAACTTAAACGACCCTATTAATGATGAAGAAAATTGTCTTTAAAATGGAAGTGTATTAACCTCTGTGAGGTCTAGAGAATACCTGGGGCCCATATAACATAAGTCAGAATTTTTTAACATTATAAACCAAGATTAGTTATTAAAAATATGTTTTATCTTTTTACCCTGACAAATATGTCAGTAGAAGTCTTGAAACTGAGCACAAGTGTAGACAGATCGCCACTCAGAAATGGTGATGCAAGGACCGCTGGTTTGCACCTCCTGGCTTAAGATTCCACCTATCTTCTCTTCCTACTCCCAATTTCTGCAGTTACACACTTTGACCCACATTCCAAGTTTCTGTCACAGCCTCAGAGAAACAACCATCCCCTGGCCACTCTTGCTATCCATGAGGTTACCACGTTCATGGTGTGCCTTTGGGGGAAGGGAGCTTGAGATAATGCCCACTGAATTACTGGAAGGAGGCTTAAGGCTATTTAAACCAGACATGCAAGATCCTGGGCATTTAGAACAAGAAAGGTTTAGGGATGGGGTGCATAAAGGCTCTGAGTGAGCAAGGACCCTTTGTTCCATGGCCTGCTAACTGTGTGGTAAGTAGGAGCATGGCTAAAATAGGGCCAGAGTGGGGTTATTTTGTCTGAGTCTATGGGCAGCCTATGTGCCAATATACAAGTAAAATCTATACCACAGTTTGACTCTGTTATCCTATATACAGAATTTAGTTAGTGAATAAAATCTTTCTTCTTCTACATTCAAAAGTTTTGAATACAATTAGAACATAGAATATAATGGTTTTAAGAAGTAAATGTGTGCCCAGTTCCTTTGGCAAAATTTTGGGCCAGCTCAGCCCCTGTTCCCAGTGGGAATTACACAGATCTATTGAGAAAGTTCTCTAAACCATCTGGAGTGTTACAATGGCATTTACTTTCCTCTAATTTGCTCTCAGTGTGCCACTCAACTTTTTCTGTTCTCGAAGGACATCCCTGAGTTTTAAATTGGCTGTTTTCTTTATTTATTATCAAAGACTAACATTAAGACAACACAGAAAATAATGTTGCATTTCAAAGCAACAGCTGTGCTGGTTTCAACAGTGCTTTATTAAAAGTCTCTAAGTTGTGTACCACATTGAGTTTTTAACTTTCAGAGAACAACACCAATTTTTATCCACTTCACCAGATTTTTAATGAGCAGTTTCTCCCCTGATGTCTGTGTCAGAGGGTGGAGAGGTATGGTTTTTCGTTTCCGGCTGTTTCAATTTAGGAGATAATCATTATTTTGTGTACTCTAACATCACCAATAAATCTGATTAGGGAAAATTCTGACACAAGAAATGGCTGAGTTGACATTGATTTTTAAAAGACATTGATAATTACTCTAGATTGATAAACCTCATCTGTTTCAACAACAGATGCTTTCCACTAGAAGTCCCACACCATAATTTATCTTCATTTTTCCTGCTGTATTTTTTACCCATCATCCTGTACATTCTGGAGCATGTAGGAATAAATAATCTCCTACAGAACAAAGGGAAGAACAGCAGATTAAAATCTGAATCAAGTCATCAAAGGCCCTTAGACTGCACAGTGATGCAAAGCTGCACAAATCATCAGTCTAAATCTATCAACACTTTCATGCTGTTTCCTCAATAGGAATAATTGGATGATTTATATTTCCTGCTGACTTTTCAACATGATTGTCAGTGCACAAAACAAATTGGTTTTAATAAGAACTTTTATATGAGCATACAGAAATGGAATGATGAGAGACGTAAATGAAGGTTTTAATAAGTGTATTGATAGAGCTGTACCAAAAAATATTCAAATAACTAGGATGATTAAGCAATAATGAACATCCTACTTATTACCTTAACCTCTTTCCAAATGTCTAATGAACTTATTAATAAATAGCATGCTGTCTTTAGAATAATGAGTCCCTTCTTTTTTCACCAGTGCTGAAATGTTACACTGATGATAGTGAAAACTAATCATACTTGAAAAGGTTAAAATGCAGACCCCACACACATTCATCTAAAATGCAGGTTTTATTATAAAATGAGTCCTTAATAGATTACACTTTACTAAAATATGTGATTTTCATTATTTTTAAAAATTTTGTTCTGGAACATATTTTGAAAAGAATAGCAAATTGTAATAGCTACAAAACTAATTGTTGTTTTATTTTGGGGAGGGGATTGATGGAATTATGTAATGTTTGAATTGAATAACTTTGATTTTGTTTTACAAAGTTTGCAAATGCTGACAGAAATATCCTGACAAATAGAATTTATAATATTATGTTTTAAGTACACAACATTGTCATGGAGCGGAGAGATCGGGGCCACCTGCATAGAGCCTTATCTATGACTAAGAGGGAGTGGTTGCAGTGAAGTTAAATAAATGAAAAAAAATAAGTGAGGGTTGTGAAGTGGTTGGGTCAAATTGGGGAACCCTTTGAAACCAGATAAAACTTAATATTATGCTTCATTCTGTGCATAATATTGTTAGTAAACAGTGAGAAAAAATGTCAAAAATGTCTGCTCAGTACTGTTAGAGTAAGATTGACAAGATAAAATGAAATCACTGAGGCTTCATTTGGTAAGCTTTATTTTCTGTATCTTTTAATATAAAACAGTTTAGTTAATAGAGCTGACCCTCGAACAATGTGTGGTTTAGGCCTGCTGAACTTCTGTGAAGTTGAAAATCTGCATATAACTTTTGAGTTCCAAAAAACGTAACCACTAACAGCCTACTGTTGACCAGAAGCCTTACCGATAACATAAACAATCAATTAACACATATTTTGTATGTTACATGTGTTATATGCTGTATTCTGACAGTACATTAAGCTAGAGAGAAGAAAGTGTTACTAAGAAAATCATAAGAAAGAAAGAATATATTTACTATTTATTAAGTGGAAGTGGATCATTATAAATGTCTTCATCCTCATTGTCTCCATATGAATAGGCTGAGGAGGGGTTGGTCTTGCCGGCTCAGGGTGGGCAGAGGCAGAAGAAAGTTCACATGAAAGTGGACCAGCGACCGGGCGCGGTGGCTCATGCCTGTAATGCCAGCACTTCGGGAAGCCAAGGTGGGCCGATCACGAGGTCAGGAGATCGAGAGCACCCTGGCAAAACATGGTGAAACCCCGTCTCTATTAAAAAGTATAAAAAATTAGCTGGGCGTGGTGGCAGGCACCTGTAGTTCCAGCTAATTGGGTGGCTGAGGCAGGAGAATGGTGTGAACCCAGGAAGCAGAGCTTTCGGTGAGTGGAGATAGTGCCACCGCACTCCAGCCTGGGCGACAGAGTGAGACTCCGTCTCAAAAAAAAAAAAAAAAAAAAAGTGGACCAGTACAGTTCAAATCCTGGTTGTTCAAAGGTCAACTGTACGTTGATGTTTCATTTTAATTATTTAAAACCTCATGTTATTAGCAGATAAAAAGGATGGTAATGGGGTACAGAAGTTTGAGAATTTTTCTATTATTGCTGGAATATAGAATTTTTTATATTACTATATTATTAGACAATTTTTCTGTATTACTACATTTTATATTATCTATATTATAGATACCACATGTAATAATATATATCATTAAATTCTTTGTAAAATTACTTTTTAAATATTCTTATTTAATAAGATGCAAATTATTGCATTAATATATTAGTTTCTTATTGTGACTTTTTAAATTTAAATGGAAAAATACAGTTTGTCAGATACTACGAGCAGGGACTCACCAATGAAATTTTAAGATCACGTTTCAATTTAAATTGGTCAGTAAAAGTAAAAAACGATCTCCTCCTTATTATAAAAAGTTTTAACTTCTGAAAATAAAGTTCTGAACTTACTAATAGTTTGAACCCAGCCCTAGCACAGAGAGTGTGGTGAGGTATAGCTTCTGCTGCCTCCTCTCTTCCTTTGTGCATCTCTGAAACTTCAGGAGAGGCAAGAGACTGTGATCATATCCAGTATGTGCAATCAGGAGTGGAGGATATTAAAAGGATTTTTAGGAACAGAAGAGAAGTTGGCTTAACTGCCTGCAGGATCCTCAAACAAGCCAACATTTTTAAACCAAACTTTCATTGAACTTATTATTTGCACAGTCCTCACCAATAAATGTACCAGGTAGAAAGAAAAGGAGGTTATTAAAATGAACAAGGGTCAAATGATCAAAAAACCAATGAATACTAATATGTAAGCTAATATTTCAGATTTCATATATATTTATATATCTCCCTATATAGGTATACATATATACATGATATATATGTGTATATGTGAGTAAGAATATATATAAATATAATACTGTACATACATGCTATATATATGTATATGGCATTAAATATTACATCTTTATATCTGTTTTATATATACTACATATATATTTACATGTACTTATATAGGACATATATAAAATATAAAGTTTTGGAAAAGATACAAAGCAAATAAGAAAATGGTTACTTTGGAGAAGACGGGGAGACGGCGATGGTATTTAGAATTGTCAACAAATAAGACCTTAGATATTGTATTTTAAACATTTTTCCAAAACATGTACTCATGTTCTATTTTTGTAACTTACTAATTTTAACAAAGATTTGTGCCATGTGAACAACAAGAGTTTCAATCACCAGTTGAGTTTCCAACAAGCTCGTACACAATGGCTTTCTTTCTTTGAAGTGATGGTAGAGCCAAGAAAAACTAAAAGCAGATACTGTCCTCTACTATTTTCACCATTGCCCTGTGATTGCCCAAACATTTTTTCTTTGGCGAAGATCTTCCAGTCCCACGTGACCTCTGTCTGCTGTGCCTTAGTGGCAACTCATTATTGGATTACCACAGCTTCCTTATAGCTTTTGCTGGCTGACAGCAGGAAATGCTAATATCACTTTAGCCAGTTTAACAAATATTTTATTCATTTGTTTACGTTCCATTTATTTTGCTAAGCTCAGGTCAGAATCTATAGGAATGTAGGAGACAGAATATTAAAATGTAAATAAAACACTAATCCATTATGGCAAAGCTGTTTCAATCTTTAAGAAAAAAAGACATCCTTTTTGTTCTTAATATAAATAATTAAGAAATGTGTCTAATTTTATTTTTTGTTACATATTTGTTCTTCTTTTCATTTTTTAAATCTACTTATTGTATCTATGGGGTAAAATGTACTAACTAGCAATATTTTTATCAAATGCTTATAATATACTGCATACCATGAGGGAATTTAGAACTAAATTAGTAGGCTCCTGACCTTAAGGAGTATATTAGCAAATTAAAGAAGTAAGATACATGCCTGGACAAATCTGAATATGACATAGGAGGGACTGTGAGAGCTCACGGAGAGAAAGATACTGTCTGGAGTAATGAAGAAACTCTTGCTTTAATTGGGATTAAATGATATCATGAAGCAAAACTCTGCAGTAAGAGTGCTTATAACTTAATTAGAAACATATGATACATATAGTGTACAGTATGCATTTATACACAGACATGAATATTAAAGTCATTCCTATATATGCACACAATATACATATACATATAACAATATGTATATAATATACATTTATATACAGGGAATGACTTCAATATTCTATGGCATGAGACACAAACTTATTTCCATCTTTCGTGCATGATGTTTACGGTCCCATCATTACTACCCTACATTTACCTGCTCCATCTAGTGTAAGTATTTTGGTCACAATTCTCACAAAATAAACATTCTTTAAAAATGAAAAAGAAAAACTAGTATGTTTGTGAAAGATGTTCCAAACCAACCAAATAAATACACCCACAAGTAACAACAAAAACAAAATTAATAGAAGTAAAAATTAAAAGAAGAGGCCTAAAAGAGTAATGTTTTTTAAGCCAAATTTTAGATTAAAAAAAAAAATCAGAAGAGAGTCAATTTTCATGGGTGCTAAGATAGTAGAAGGAAATAAGACCTTCATGTATACTCTATGACATTTAAAAAACAGTGATTAATTGTTTTCAGAAAAGCCTCAGCTGGGTCAAAATTTTCTCATCAAATTAGAAAATGTTAGTGAAATTTGGAAAGTCTTAAGGTGTAATATGATCAGTTTATATACCACTAGACAGAAATAAGATTTGAAAGAAAATTTGGAGCTCAAGTAAATATAAAAAGACCTCCAAATATGTCTTCATAAATATAAATATATGTCATATAAACATACCAAGAAGCTATGACACGCTAAGACTGAGAAATAAGAAGAGTGTGGCCAGACAATGAAGGGTACTAAAAGCCAGGAAGATTGTGGGAGGAATTTGGAATTCTGTAATAGTTTAAAAGTTTGTAGGTTAGATTGATATAACAAAAAACTATATGAGTAATGGTATTGAATTGTATTGGGAAGGTTTTTAATGTTAACTCATATTCTTGCTCTCTCATTCTCATTTGGACAACCATATGCATATTTTAATGTTAACGGACAAGTGTGATGAATGTCAAATGAGAAAATAACCTCTGTTTGTGGACCTTAGGTTTCCTGGAAGTGCATTCACCTTGCACAGTAGTCAGAAAATCACAGTGTGCATGACTAGGAAGGAGAAGAACTCCTAATGCAATCCTGGATCATGAGGCAGCTGCTGAAATTGAGCAAGATCAGAAACTGATCCTAGATACACCCTATTTCCTCTCAAGACTGCTTGGTGAAATACAACTAGTATTATCACCATTTTGAATTGTCATGACTTGAAAGCCTTTAATGTTAATAAATTCAAGGAAAACTTCTGATTTTTAAAATATTAAAGACTCGGGCTTAAATTTATAGCATCTGCATGCTGAAGCTTTTGGGAGTTCTCCAAACCTCCCCTCTTTGAAAGTAGAAATGTAGTTTAGATAGTGACGCTCTTTGTTGGGAAGCCCTAGTAAATATCCTTCAGGGAATGAAATGATGAGGGCTTGAATGGAGAGAAAGGGCTGAGAAAATATTCTAATGTACAAAAACACAAGATATTTTCTTGTGTAATAATTCCCATTTTTAAACAATTGAACACCATTAATAATGGCTTTTTGAGAGGCTATTTATACTAGATGCTGTATCGCTCCTTTATATATATGATCTTCTATTTTTATAACATGGACTATTAATTTTGTTCAACCCTGGGCAACCATAAGGTGCTGTAAATTTATTTACAGATATGAGAAATCAGAATTTTTTGTATTTTAGAGAACTAAACCAAAAGAGTCCATAAATTGTAAGAATACCATCAGTAATAGAAAAACAATAATTTATTCTCATCCATCAGTATAAATGCAACACATTATTTCATATGAAATTTCCTAAAATTTCAATAGTGCCAGGTATTTTTTAATCATATATTCAGTACGATTTATTTAAATGATGTACTTAATTTCCATTTTTATTTTCAGAATTTGCAGTTTATGAAGGTAAGCACTCCTTCTATCTTGCCTAGAGGTAACATTATATCCATAGGGACTAACACATTTATTTTCACATAATAAATACTCAGCAATTCTTGAGTAAAAGGATGCTGAAAAAAATGGCCAGTAATTGTGCAACCAAATAGCTGCAGAATGAAAGAGATACAGAATTCCAGAACTCCAACAAAGATGACTCAGGAATAATCTAATTGTTGAAAGAGTAGACAGCATGCTAATTTGATCAGCAGTTATATTCATCATGGTAGGAGAAAGAATGCAAACAGAAGGCAACAGTCAGTGTCAGGCTCCAACCTGAGCTGGGGTCCAAAGGGAGCTGGTGGACGGGTGGCGGGTAGCTGAAAGTACACTCAAGAGACCGTAGGCAGTTGTGATATGGTTTTATTTTCTCTCTCTTCATCAGCCTTTGTCTCAGCTGCCCGCTCTGGCCGCAGTCCCGCTCTGCACCAGCTCCACCTCTCCTGCTGCTCCCATGCCTGCAGCTACTCTCCCTTGCATGCTTGCAGCTTTCTGACTCCCCCTTGCTTGTCTGTCTGCAAGGCAGCTGGTGGTTCTCTTACAGAGTCAGCAGTGAAGTTATATTACTCACAGACAACAGTGGCTCAAAGCCAGGTGATGGGCCCACCCATAACATGGTTACAGAACTGTGATTATATAATGCACAGAACTGTGCACGTGTGCTCCAATCACACTGTGTCATGCTGCATTGGAATGTTTACCTGGGCCTACTCTTGACTGAAGCACATCCATTTTCCTTACACTCCACTCCGTAGGATGAGGGAGTCGTTCTAGTGGGGAGATGTGCTCACAGGGCAGAACCTTGGACCCATAAGCTACAGCACTAATACAGGGAGCAACAACTCGCTGCTAACTAGCCCTATTCGTTATAGATGCTATGGGTCAGCCAGGGGCCTCTGTGCTGAACAATGGTACCACACCTTTTCAGCTCCCCAATGTTTCCTTTGGGTTCTGTATCTGTGTTTGTTACTGGGGAGCTTATAATAGGCTAGACAACATATATGTCCCCCGGAGGAGGGTTCTTTCCCTGGCTCTTCCCTTACAAACGGTCAATTACGGAGGCCATATATTAAATACCCAAGGAGTGACGTGTAAATTATACTGTAGGCCTTCCCCCCAGGGGGCTATGATGGCCAACCACCTGCAGTGGGGCCTTGGAGGGTCCATGGCCAAAGCCAGGTATTTTGTTTCCCTGCCTTTGTTGGTGTTGAGGCAGGCAGCAATAGGTTACCATTTATATTAGTCAGGGTTCTCTAGAGGGACAGAAATCATGGAATAAAGGTGAGTTTATTAAGTATTAACTCACATGATTACAAGGTCCCACAATATGCTGGAGAGCCAGTCTGAGTTCCAAAACTGAAGAACTTGGGAGTCCAATGTTCTAGGGCAGGAAGCATCCATCATGGGAGAAAGATGTAGGCTGGGAGGCTAGACTAGTCTCTCTTTTCACATTTTTCTGCCTGCTTATATTCTAGCCATGCTGGCAGCTGATTAGACTGTGCCTACCCACGTTAAGGGTAGGTCTGCCTTTCCCAGCCCACTGATTCAAATGTTAATCTCCTTTGGCAACACCCTCACAGACACACACAGGATCAATACTTTGTATCCTTCAATCCAATCCAATTGACACTCAGTATTAACCATCACAATGTTTATCACCATTACTGGTCGGAGGAGGTCATCCTTCCTCCCATAGGTCTTGAGTTTGGCCTGGCAGCACATGGGCTGATGACCAACTAGCCAATTCTGTAACTTCTAGGTAGTTAACCACAAGGTTAAACCTTGATACACTGCCCAACTGTCGGTGCAGATTTACCATAGGTGTCTCCTCCTTGGTGATCACCATTCATACCACTCTGAGCTCAGCCCATTGACTATGTTGTCCACACCCAATATTAAACCATATGATGTCAGTATTAGCCTGGACCACGTTAGTCCAGCACCCTGGCTGAACCCATCTGTGTACCATGCCCCATTGGGGCTGACTTGGGGGTGCCACTCTTTAAACAGTGATGAGGGTCTAAGGGTGCCTCAGCTGACCCATGGCCTTATCTTGCATTAGGATTACAGATCCCAAGATTTCTTGTAATTCTGCTGCTAAGGGGCTTGTACTCAGGGTATTCCACTGTTCAAAGTAGGCACCCCACTTTGCTAAAGTGGATGTGTGTGCCATCCCAGTCCAGGGGGTTGTTACCCATAAATGTACCCACCCCACTAATGGGTAAGTCACCTGCATGTTGACTGTAGCCCATCCTGTCATGCTCTCACGAGTCTGATGGGTGGCATATGCAGCTGCTAAGTGCTTCTTTATTGATGCATACTGGAGTTCAGCTCCCTTCCAAAGTTGGGACTAAAAGACTACTGGTGTTCTAAAGCTCTCCATGTGCTGCCATAGGCCCCAGCCAAACCTATCTGTGGTCACGTGCACATCAAGTTCAAATGGGCACCCTTGATCAATCATTTGTAGGGCCTGTGCTTGCTGAATAGCCTACTTGGCTGCCAGAAAGGCTGTCTTAGCCTTATCATCCCAATCCCAGATAGCCCCCCTTTTTGTCAACAGATACAAGTGTTTTATTATTTGACCCAAAAGGGGCACACATGCCTGCCAATACCCCAGGAGGCCCACAAAGGTTTGCAACTGCCTCACCATGGTGGTCTGGGGATATGCCTGAATTTTGTCTGTGATGGCCTCTGGTATGGCTTTTCATCTTACACGACAAGATAACTCTCAAGAATTCGGCAGTCAATCCAGGCCCTCATTCTTTGGATTCATTGATAGCCTAACCACATGCTGCCAAATGTTGTCACAAGAGGGCTACTGATGCTTTTAAATCTGCAAGAGAATCAGAGGTTAACATAATATCATCAATATAATGGAATAGGTGGATTCCCTTTGGACATTTCCAGGGAGCTCAATCTATGACAGCAAGACCATGACATATAGTGGGGCTATGCACACAGCCCTGTGGCAACACTGTGAAAGTCCACTGTGGCCTCTTCCATGTGAAGGCAAACTGTTTCTGACTCTCTGGAGCGATGTCAATGGAAAATAATGCATTAGCCAAGTCCACTGCATAGTGGTACTGTCCCAATTCCATCGTCAAGCAGTCCATGAAATCCATGATAGATGTGGCAGAGCTGCCAAGCCATGTGAAATATCCATCCCCAGAATGCACTCTGGTATGGGACAGACATATGCAGTGTATAACTATGGAGCCAAACGGCTGATGCCTAGGTGCAGAGATACAGGTTTCACTTTCACTGACCGGCCTCCATAGCCATCTATGTATGCAGCTTTGCCCAGAAACTTATCCAGGTTCCCACAGACGAGGCTACAATTACTTCAGCAACTTCCCTAATTAAACACAAAAGGCTCTATTCCTCTGCTCATTTGCAAGTAATCCGTGAGCTGGAGCATCCAGGTGGGACTGGGTCTAGCGGCTAACCCTACCCACTTATGGACATTTCTCAGAATTGCTGCTCCGAGGATAATTGCCTCCACAGTGGGGCAGAACAGGAAATACTGTCAGCTCCTTAGTTCCAGAGGCCAAGCATCCAGGGGAGGTGGGAGCTCCCCAGGAGGCTGCTGACATTGTTTACCTAATTCCCACAACTCAGTTGGGATATAGGCATATATGAAGTGTGCTCTGCCATGGTAAGGATCCCTGGGCCCCCCCACCCCAGAGCTGTTCATGCCCTACTTTCTGGTGGAACACTGGACGAGCCTGAAAAGGAGGTTCTTCCTCCTCTGTATCAGACTGAGTGGAGGTCCCTTACCTGTGCTGCATCCAACAAGGACTGAGTGTGCCTGTCCCATAGTGTAGTCAGAAATGCCCATCCTACTCTACTGGGAAAGGCCCACTTCTGTCCAGTGTTCTGTGCTTCCAGGTACTTCAGCACCTTTTCCATACTTATGGGGGACCTGTCCACTGCCACCCATGTTTCCATTGGGGGCCATCGAAGCAGCATGGCCACATAGCTTACCCGGGATCATCAGGCTGAGGGCTCACTCACCTCAGAATCCTACCGACTATGCCAAGTATCGGGTTCCAGCCCAAGCTGGGGTCTGAGGGGAGCTGGTGGACAGGTGGCTCCCTGGCACTTGCCACTTTCTGGCTTCCCACCCTTGTCTGCCTGCAAGGCAGCTGGCAGCTCTCTTTCAGAGTCAGCAGTGCAGTTATATTACTCACAGAAAATAGTGGCTCAAAGCCAGGTGATGAGCCCACCCATAATGTGGTTACATAACTGTGATTATATAATGCATGGGCTTGTGCACTTGCACTCCAATCCTGCTGTGTCATACTGCTCAGCCTACTCTTGACTGAAGTTTACCTCAGCCTACTCTTGACTGAAGTTTACCTCAGCCTACTCTTGACTGAAGCACATCCATTTTCCTTACAGTCAGTCCAGGTAAAATAGGAAAGGGCAACTCCAAATGTTGAAGGCAACGGTGCTATGCTGACTGACTGTACTGTTGGGCTGCATGACTTTCCACCTGCCCATGAACCAGGTCTATTTGTCTTCAAGGCTGCACCAGGCTACTAGAGCCTAGAACTCTGACATTTGAAACATAAGAGTAACTCCTCTGGTCAGGATTAAGTCTATCAGTAAGCTTTTTGATAATTTGAATTCCAACATAATTTTCTTGCAAAGAGAAAATATGTCAAACAGGCTGATGCAAATGTCCAGTTGGTTCGACATTTTATTAATATTTCCTTCTTTAACTTCATAAATTGGAATGTCTAGTTTCTCAGTCTTATTAGTTTTGTGAAGATGCCATATTGCTGAAAGATAACAAAACCAGGTTCCTAAAATTCAGGGCTGAGTGTACAAGCCCAGTTTGGTGAGAATTAGGCAAATACAATATCACTCATCAGGCTTCTTGCCCTGACCTGTGATATGAGGCCACATGTCACAGTGATCAATGTGGCATTAATAAGAAGCTATAAAAACCGTTCCTTTAGAGGCAGTTATTTGCTGATTGTGACCAAAATGTAGCTTTGCATTGTAATGGGTTTAAAAGCCATTTCTAGTTTTAATAGCATGCAATGCATCAAGATGCAAAAATCATCACATCACATAGATATGTCTCTATGAAGCCAAAACTACAAATAAGAAAGTGAGTAAATTTCATGAAAGAGTCAATGGAATTGAAATGTTTGGCATTTGTTTGTCCTTTTGAAGAAGCTCAAATTTGCAAGTGGAGAAAAAGTTTTTAAAAATTTAAAATATTTTACGCAATCATTTCTTAGTGCCACAGACCCCAAAATGTATCAGACTTCAAGCCAAATAAAATTAAAAGTTACTTTTGACCATTACACTGTGTAAACCCCATGTTTTTTTTTAATCAGAAAGATGACGTATTCAGTTATAAAAATGCCAGCCTTCTATGGATAGTTTCTGCTAATATCTTGAACACAATTTTTTTTCTGTTGGTTTTCTACCTGTGTCCATTTGATTTTGCCCTTTTGGCAATTACAAATTTCTTGAAAGAGGCTGTATAAGAATGATGCCAGCCACTGACCTTATCATCAGATAGATGACTCTCACTTCTGTTCTTCCACAAATTGGGCAAGGCGAGTTATTATTTCCTTTGCAAGAGAGACTTAACCTTGTATATTACACGGGCTGCTTTCATCAGGAGAAGGCTCAGCCCTAGTTGATCTGTGGAATGCTAATGATTCATTTCATCTTTCATGGAGAACACCTCTTGCAATCACAGCTCAGATGTTTCTTGCTATTTTCTTGAAATTGCTGACTGTTAAGCATTCTGGTAGGGCTTATTGACCTAGCACCTGTGTATTTTGGGAAGTGAAAAGCAGCAGGTGAAAGGCAAATGCAATGGAGGCATATTTTAGATGGTGACACTTGGTTCCCAAATCTTCTGATTTATAGGCCAATATCTAATGAGTGATAAAGTGGGTGATCAGGTGGGACTGTTCTGTGTTTAGAAGACTGAAATGATGAGATTATTTCACAATGGGTATGGCTAAATGGATATTTGGTAAGCCAACATTTACAATCATATTATTAACACTTGGGACTTTTGGCTAGGACTGGATTAGCCCAGGCTGCTGAGAAAGTGCCAAGCTAGGAGTTGGCCATTCACTATCCTCCACAGCAGGCTCCCTTTTAATAACTGTATGTTTATGGTGTAGGCTAGTGTTTATTATTTGAATTCCTGTTAAACAGCAATCACGTCCAGGATGAATGTTTATGTTACAAAAAGGCTGAGCCAAATCATCTCAGTTTCATTATCTGTAAATTATGAAAATTAATAAAATAGGTAGGTGATACCATATGTAGTTATCGGGACAGAGAAGAGTGTGTAGTTTGCAGTAAATTCTGAGTAAAGTTTAACTATGACCACAAAAATGATGATGATGAAAAAGGTGTGGATGATAAAATTACATATGTAACAAAACCTTGAAATGCTTATGTCTCTGCTGGTTTTTAATACTCAAAAACACTACCAGACTTTTTACATTAACATGTAATTCTCAAATCTTCACTAATCAGGATAATATGAAAATTTCAAAGAGTCTCAACTAGATATAATACTGCATTGGGTTTCATGGGGATAGGCAGAGGGGGCAAAAATAACATAGCTTACCTGGCCACCTGGGTATTTAATCTAATATTAGGCTTAGAAACTTTTCTGTAAGCAGAAAATTAGGAGAGATATATACCCTGTTGAGTAATTAAAATAAACACAGGTACTACTTCAAAGAAGAATTTATCCATTTAACAATTATCTACTGGGAACAAGATTCTTGCATTCATGAAACTTACATTCTGGTGGGAGGACAATGAGAAGCTACTAAATCTATAGATACATGATATTACTTACAGAGATAAGAGATACTGAGAAAAACAGTGTTAAGAAAATAGGTGCTGCTGGTCTAGGAGGCAGGTAGTTGTTACCTTATGTTGGGTCCTAAGGAATCACTGAGAAGAAAACATATGAGCAGTTCATTGATGGAAGAAGGAAATGAGCCACATAGCATTGTCTGAAAAGATCATTTCAGTTAGATACAACAGCAAATACCAATGCTCTGAGGCACTTCAGATGTGGAGATAGTTTAGGGTGTTTCAGAAATGAGGAACCAGTGTGGGTGAAAATAAATGAACAAGGTTGGGAGCAATAGGAGATAATGGCGGATGGGTAGCTAGAGACAAATTTATGTAGGCTCTTTCATGAATTAAATGAGAAACCGCTGAAGGATTTTGTGCAAAGGAATGAATTTATCTAACTTGCAGTTTTAAAGACGTGCTTTGGTGCTGTGTTAGGAATAGACTATGGGGAAGAACGTAAGTACACTGGCAGGGAACGCCTTTAGAAGTCCGCCACATAAGCCTAACCAAATGCTGGTACTTTCTTAAACCACAGTAGCAGTGGAAGTATTGGAAATGGCTAGATTCTTTTTAAAAAACACCTTATTGAGGTATTGAGGTATGATCAGCATACAAATAGCTGTACAATTTACACAACTTGATGAGTTTGGAGATAAGTGTATACTGCTGAAACTATCATCACAGTCTATACCATAAACATATCCATCACCTCCAAAAGTTTTTTCACCCTCTAAATATAATGCTATTGTGATAAGATCACATAAGATCTATTCTCTTAGCAGAATTTTAAGTATACAATATATTTTCAACTATAGGCACTATCTTGTATGGTAGACTCTTAGGATTTATTCACCTTGTATAATTGGAAGAGGCTTAATTCTAAATGTATTTAGAAGTCTGAGGTAAAAATAGTTACGAATTGAATACATGATAGAAGGAAGAAATAAGTCTCAGGGGCTTTGGGAGGTGAAATTTAGAAGGATGTAACTGCCTTTGGGGAAAATGCAGGACAAACAATTTTGGCAACAGTGGAGGTAAGAATAGGGAATCAAGAAAAGACAATGAGATGAAACACTAACCAAGAGAGAATGAGACTCTCAATACCAAATGTGGAAAATATTTCAAGCAGAAAAGTACCAAGTGTACCAACTGATGCTGTTACATCAAGAAAAGTGAAGAATGAGTTGTGACCGTTTGGTTTAGCATAAAAGTCTCTGGTCACCTTAAATGAATTAGTGTTGATAAAAGTCTCATCAGAGTGGGGGACAATGCAATAATTGCTTTTCTTTTCTTGAGTACCTTTTCACAGACACTTCAGTGTGAAAAATTTGTCACATCAAGGCCACTGAGAGAGGTCTTTGCTGTTACAGGCTCATACTGATTCTTTTTCTTGAACCATGTGGATTCCATTAGAGTACAAAAAGCTCTCCCGGAGTCTTAGTGACTGGCAAGCATGATTACTTTTTTTGTTCTGTTCTTCTGGTGAACTAGGCTTAGCTAGCACTTTGACATAATAGGAATATAATGGATTTCTTTGAATTAAACTTAATAAAGCAGTTTTGCGTGAGTACTCATTACATCTGCTGGCACTCAGTAACCTGTCCATCATTGTTTAAGCCAGGCACACACAGGTTGGAAGTTGGAAATGTGATAATAAATTTTATATCAACTGACCTAGTATTCAATATACATGAGACATCATCATCATCTCCTTTAGGAACTTGTTCTGTAATCTAACAAAATTAGTTTACATGACAAAGTCTCATAGAGCCATTTTTAAGGGTGAATTATGTTATTTTAATTATGTTATTTTACTGTTGGCTTCTCTACACCTCTACTTGAAAGTCAGAAAGTCAGATGGCCTTTGCAAACTTAGCAGAAACTAAAGTAACTCCCGGTTTTCTCTGTTAAACCTGCTTCTCCTGGAGTTTCCCCGTTTTTTGCTAGTGACAACTCCATTCTTATAGGTACTAACACCAAAATATTTACATTCACTTTGAAATCCTTTCTTTCTCTTACACCCTATTTCCAATTCATCCACAAATTCTGTTTTCCTGACCTTCAAATTATATCCAAATCCATTGACTTCCAACCCACTTCCACTGCTAATGTCCTGGCCTAAGCCACAATTAATTTTCATTAATTACAGATGACTACTACAGATGACTGCAGTAGTTTCTTCCTTCCTTTTGCCTTTCTATACTTATTCCCTACCTACATGCTATAGTCCAGAGAGCAGCCAAAGGAGTCTTTTGAATGTATATAATGATGTCCCTCCTCTAATCTGAGTCCTAAAATAGTTCTTAAGTTATTTCAGTGTCCTACAAAAACTTACATTATTGGTCCTCCCATCCTCATTTGTATAACTTAACTTCTACTACTTTCGCTCTCATTCACTGGGTTCTGTCCAGCAGCCCTCCTTGTTCTTCCTTGGGTTTATGCATAATTGTACTGTCTTAAGACTTTTCATTGACTGTACCATCCATCTGGTAAACATTTCTCCCCAAGATCTTCAAAATTCCCTACCTTCAAGTCCTTATGCATATTACCTTCCCTAGCATGCCTATCCTAAGCACCCATTTAAAATATAAGTGCAGATATAAAATTCACCACAGAGAGTCCTAATGCCTCCTAGTCTAGTCTGTTTTTTTTTTTGCTATTGTACATGACACTTGTATAGTAATGTTCTCTATAACTTACATATTTATTTATATTTTCTGTATAAAAATAATTTCTATATCCCCTTGCTAGAATATAAGCTCTATGAGACGAAAATGTTATTAAGTGAAGATTCAAAAGTACCTGGATCTGTATGGCCCATAGTAGGAGCTTAGTAAATATTTGTTAAATACACTGATGAACAAATTAACCATTTAAACTCAAAACAATCATATATATATATATAGCTACATATATATGTATACAGCTATTGCCATCGTACAGATAAAAAAATCTAGTGATAAAGAGCTTTAAAATGCCTGAATTAATATAGCTAGCAAGTGATTGGATTTTAATGTAAAAAGAATTTTAGTGCTAGTTGGTATTGGTACCAAAACAGAGATATAGATCAATGGAACAGAACAGAGCCCTCAGAAATAACGCCACATATCTACAACTATCTGATCTTTGACAAACCTGAGAAAAACAAGAAATGGGGAAAGGATTCCCTATTGAATAAATGGTGCTGGGAAAACTGGCTAGCCATATGTAGAAAGCTGAAACTGGATCCCTTCCTTACACCTTACACAAAAATTAATTCAAGATGGATTAAAGACTTAAATGTTAGACCTAAAACCATAAAAACCCCAGAAGAAAACCTAGGCATTACCATTCAGGACATAGGCGTGGGCAAGGACTTCATGTCTAAAACACCAAAAACACTGGCAACAAAGGCCAAAATTGACAAATGGGATCTAATTAAACTAAAGCACTTCTGCACAGCAAAAGAAACTACCATCAGAGTGGACAGGCAACCTACAAAATGGGAGAAAATTTTCACAACCTACTCATCTGACAAAGGGTTAGTATCCAGAATCTACAATGAACTCAAACAAATTTACAAGAAATAAACAAACAACCCCATCAAAAAGTGGGCGAAGGACATGAACAGACACTTCTCAAAAGAAGACATTTATGCAGCCAAAAAACACATGAAAAAATGCTCACCATCACTGGCCATCAGAGAAATGCAAATCAAAACCACAATGAGACACCATCTCACACCAGTTAGAATGGCAATCATTAAAAAGTCAGGAAACAACAGGTGCTGGAGAGGATGTGGAGAAATAGGAACACTTTTACACTGTTGGTGGGACTGTAAACTAGTTCAACCATTGTGGAAGTCAGTGTGGCAATTCCTCAGGGATCTAGAACTAGAAATACCATTTGAACCAGCCATCCCATTACTGGGTATATACCCAAAGGACTATAAATCATGCTGCTATAAAGACACATGCACACGTATGTTTATTGCAGCACTATTCACAATAGCGAAGACTTGGAACCAATCCAAATGTCCAACAAGGATAGACTGGATTAAGAAAATGTGGCACATATACACCATGGAATACTATGCAGCCATAAAAAAGGATGAGTGAATGTCCTTTGTAGGGACATGGATGAAATTGGAAATCATCATTCTCAGTAAACTATCGCAAGGACAAAAAAATCAAACACCGCATGTTCTCACTCATAGGTGGGAATTGAACAATGAGAACACATGGACACAGGAAGGGGAACATCACACTCTGGGGACTGTTGTGGGGTGGGGGGAGTGGGGAGGGATAGCATTAGAAGATATTCCTAATGCTAAATGACGAGTTAATGGGTGCAGCACACCAGCATGGCACATGTATACACATGTAACTAACCTGTACATTGTGCACATGTACCCTAAAACTTAAATAATAATAATAATAATAATAATAATAATAATAATAATAATAAATTAAAGCCATTTCGACTCAAAAAAAAAAAGAATTTTAGTGCTAGTTTGAGAATCAACAGTTGACTAAGCATTCAAGTTAGTATTCTTAAGAACTATACTTTCTCCCTCCAATTGTATGTTAATATTGTGGAATAGCATTTATTTTGAGATGAACAAATATAACTTTATATGTGCAGACATAAAGGGACAGCCCTGTCATGTATTAAATTTAAGAAAAAATCAAAACCAAATTGAAGAACAAGTTCTATAGTACATCATATTTTAAAATGTATGTGTATGTATATATGTTTATACTCATATACATTGTCCACTCCTGTATTTATTAATATACATGTATAAAACATTATCATGAAAAGTAGGACATAATACTGAAAAAGGAAAGTTTTAGGGTAATCTGTTATTCTTGAATGTTTTGCAACCAGCATTTGTTACATTCTAATTTAAATAATTTTAAAATTGACAGGTAACAACTATAACAACAGAATCCCCATAAATACTAAACATAAGTCTATATAAAAATCAATTTTTCTTGTCCCCACTAAGTTTCATGATATCTTTGTTCACTCCAAAACAGACACCTATCCTTGAGAATGGTAATTGGATAAGTTCATCTGGTCCTCTAGGGAAGTGAAATAGTGCAGGAATCTTTATTACTCCTTATAAATATCATTACATTTTAATTTCAAAATGCTTTTTTCAACAAAATCCCAAAAGACCTATGGAAGATGCTGATAGTGTTTCTTTCTTTAAAATGTGATTTAGTTTTCAAACTTAATCCCCTTGATCCTCCAACGATGGCCCTCTGAACATGACTAGTAATGTGGTATGATTTCAACAGCAAGACCAGGGGTTTCCAATAGCGGGAGAAAGCTAGGGCAGAGCATATTTGAATTCTTTATGGGACATCATTCTTTGATGAACCCTTGAGGGTACACATTTCTTATTAAGAATAAATGTTATAATATGTTAACTGAGTAAGGAAAATTAACATTGTCCCAATTTATTCATCCTCAAATTTAGGATTAAATGTGCTTTATATAAATTATAAGTTATTATTCTTACACATCTGAGTAGAGCTAGCTTTCTGTATACACAGTAACTGATTTGTTTCCTTCAGATCATTTGCAAAATTCAAATATATCTTTTTGAATCTTTAGAAGTGGCAAACAAAGAAAAACTCAACTCTTCTGGGTTTTTTTTGCTTAAATATTTTCCTGGTGATAATTCTTCTGCACCTATTTATATTTAACATATACTGTATACATACCCATATCATTCTCTCTCTATATAAATTTAATCACTTTATATGTACATAGCAATTTAATTGTATCACTTTTTTTCACAGTATGTCTTTTTTTTTTTTTTTTTTTTTTGAGAGGGAGTCTCACTTTGTCATTCAGGCTGGAGTGCAGTGACACGCGATCTCCGCTCACTGCAACCTCTGCCTCCTGGGTTCAAGTGATTCTCCTGCCTCAGCCTCCTGAGTAGCTGGGTCTACAGGCATACGTCACCATGCCCAGCTAATTTTTGGATTTTTAATAGAGACGGGGTTTCACCATGTTGACCAGGATGGCCTCAATCTCTTAACCTGGTGACCTGCCTGCCCTGGCCTCCCAAAGTGCTGGGATTACAGGTGCAGTATGTCTTTTTAAAAATCATAAGCAGCAAAGTGAAAGCAGTGAGCTAACTGAAGAGGAGCAAATGTGTTATCCATAGTGCTTTCTGATATAGACAGAGGTATGGAAGAGTGAGCTTATGCTATAAGCATCCTTCCTAGACAATGGAAAAGAGGAGGAGATAAATACACTCTGATTCAATCAAACGAAACAACATAAAAGTTGAACTGACACAGGAGTTTTCAGAGCCATCCTATAATACCTGTTGTGATAATACCCTAAAAACTTTAAATTCTATTTTTAAATTTATATTTTCTCGTTATCACTGCTCAAAACCAGGTAATTATTTTTTCATTTAGTGTCATCAACTCTTGCCTGAATTGGCTATCTAAGAGCCTTTCAGGGCCAAGGTCATTACAATATTTCTAAACAAGAAGTAATTTCCCATGAGGTCTCCAAGGTGTTACATTTCAAACCAATACATATATTATGGTATTTGGAGCTCTTTGATTTTCATTTATGCATATCCCAGTCAGCATATGATCACAGCTGGAAAAATAAGCTTGAGTAATGGAATAAAGGAGATGCTAAAGCAATAGTTCTTAGAATGGAGGCCATTAATCTAATTGCCACGGATGAATGATTATAAGGTCCTGCAGCCCTGTTACTTGGAGCTACCTTTTAAACCACAAATATGAATATAACATTTTAAAAATATGACCAGGCTGAAGAGTGTTAAATTTACAGTTTCCGGAAGGAATATTCTGGGACTTCCAGCATCTCAAAGTGATCCCTCAAACCTTTAGCTTGTTAAGTTCAACATGCAAGATGCGGTAGATGGAGATGTTTACTCCAGTTCCTCACCTATAGAAAGAATATTATCACAGTCATCATCCTCTGTATCATCATCCTCATCATCATTGTCATCATCATCATCATCACTATTTTCATTATTGTTCCTGTCTAATACTGTGTGATTTATTGAGACATTTGATGTGAAGGCTTTAGCATATACCCTGGCAGGTAGCAATCATATACTAATATTCTAAGTAAATTCTAAATATACTTAGTAAAGTAAAAATATATATTTTTGAGATCTTGGCTCTTCCAGTTGTTACTTAAAACAAAATAGTAGGAAAGTTGTATAATCTTGGTAAGTCTCAGATTTACCCTTGTAAAATGGGGATTATACTGTCTGTTTCTAGGTCTGCAACAGTATAGGCATCAAATTTAAAAAGCTTGTATAACACTTAATAAATAACTTGACATATAGTGCAAGCTAAAATATTGAATTCAACTTTAGCAATTGGAGAATATTCTCATAAAGCAGGTGGTCAAGGCTATGTACATTGAGCTTTTAAGAAGCAATCATTCTCTGTGACTAAAAGTTGGTGGATATATGTTTTTGTTCTCCCTGTTCTCCCCTTTGTCTACGTCTGACAGAATCCTGCCCTGTAAAACCATTATAGACAAGTAAATTTATCAAATTTGTATGAGAAACATCCCCTTAAACAATACATCTTAGGTGAATGTTTTAAAATCCAGTGAAGGAAGAGTCTAAGGTAATTTATATTTGTTACATTTCTATATATCTTTAGATCTTTAGTACACAACGCCCATCCTTTTTGGGTCATCCACATGTTACATTTGTGTTAAAAGAAACAATTCTCATTGAAAAGAAATAAAGTGGAAAAAGTAAGAACTTTGGATCCAGGATGACTCTGTTTCTAATACCTGCATTGATTGCTACTTATAGGTGTGAGGCTTGGGCAAGTTATTTGACTTCTTAGTTTCCTCATCTATCAGAGATAGATAATGGTGCCAGTACTGTAAGGTTCTTACAAGGATTAAATATCATGTATGTGAAATGCCTAATAGATATTCATTAAACTGAAGCTTTCATAACTCTCTACTAGAATTTTATGCCAAATGTACCCCAGTCTCCATTTGTTACTCATTTTTTTCCATCGACAACATTCTTTAGGAAAAATTTTTTAAGACAATTCCTTCAGAGACATTTTCAAGATGAATTTGTCATGTGATTTTCACCGTCACTCAGTTCCCTTTTTCATTCTCCCTCTAGAATGGGAGACTATGATAAATGAATGACTGGGTCTATGGCCTTGACATTAGACACCACACTTGAAGGGGGTATTTCAAAGTTTCTGCCTTCTAAACTAAATGGAGACAATATAAGCTACTTTCCTTCTACAACCATAATATCTAGGCCTTGGTATTTAGGAGTTTCTGCATTTCAGAAACAATGGTGATATTTTTACTTCTCAGAAAGATCTGAGCTCGTCCTCTCCAGGCCTTCCCTTGCTCTGGTCTACCTTGTCTTTAGGCTATTCTTTCTCTGTACCCACCCCACCCCTATCCAGAAAAGACCTTCTCTTCCTTCAGATCTAGGTTCATCTCAGAAAAAATGCTTCTTCCTTGTTTTGATTTAGAAAATTTACCTTCATATTATCTGAAGTCTCTCCTGCAGGATAATCATCACGGAGGTAATTATTTTCTTGACTTTCTCTCTGGTGAAATGTCCATTAGAGCTGGGATGAGTATTTATGTTGTTCAGTGTATCATGCCAGCATAGGCACAGTACCAGATACACCTCAATCATTTAATGAATATTTTCTGAATAAACAAAGACAGCAATGGAGAAAGGATGAGCTAGAAATGCCAGTGATGTACCTATTTCTTAGGTGTTATGTAATTCTTTTTGTTACTTTGTTTTCCTTTAATTGTGATATAGTTGCACTGGTAATTATTTTCTTGTTCTCATAAAACAAAACAAAATAATTAAAAAGCCATTCAAAATACATCCTAGTAAAATTACAACTGAAATGTAATTGAGTAAAAATAAAATTTACTTATGTAAGTCGTAGAGTTTTAGTTTTTATTCTCAAGGTCAATTTCTTAATCTCTCTGGAAATTTATTAATTTCATTAAAAGATATAAAGAAAATGACACCTGCAAAGACCAATTTAACTACTTTTAACTCTTGTTGTCTTTTTAGTTCAGCCATATGCTGTGTGATTTAGGACATGTTATTTAATCTCTCTGTGTTATGGAAATATGTATAATCTATCCAAATGAATAGAAAGAAAACTGTGTGATTCGGGGCATGTTATTTAATCTCTCTGTGATGAAATCCTTGCCTAAAAGTTAGAGAAAAATTAGAACTAAGCTCACAGAGATTTTAAGAAGCTAAAATGAGTCAATATATGTAAATCACTTAGAATATTATTATTGTTAGTTTTTTGAAAAAACTTGAACAGTATTTGGTGCTATGCCTTCTTCAATTTTTAGAGATGCCACTTGAATCATCAAAGGACAACTATCTTGTCATTTTACCTCTCTATTTAGTAGAAACACGTATTAAATGAGTTAGCATTCACTTTTTAATAACTAATTTGCTCAAGGTGGTTTCAATACTGCTTGTATCTAATTTTTTGAACCATAGGTAAACTTAAAACTCAACATAAGTTTTGCTCTGTATTATAGATAAAATTGAAATGATAATAAATATCAAATACTCTTATTGAGTTGATTGTTAGTTCAATAAATATTACCTCCTTCTTTACAGTGGGAATAAATTAGGCACGTAATGAGCTTTCATGAACAGTTCAGTTTTCCAAACAGCAACCCTATAGATGGAAAACTTGTTGGTATCCAAAAATCACACTGGAGTGTGGAACATTTGGAAACAACAGCTGTACCACTCGGCAGGATATACCCAAAATGTTCATTCAGGGGAGTCTAATGAAGGTTTATAACACAAGATCTGTTCTTAGATATGAAGGTTGGACTTAAGGACCTAAATAGAGGCAGTGTGATGTTGGCAATTGCTTGATAACTTCACCCCTTTTACTACTTGTTCACCTAAAGGAGCAATGCAGCATAGAAACATGAAATCTGGCAGCTGGAGTGAGCAGCAGAGGTAGAAGTTTCCTCTACATGGAGGAAAGCAATCCCTGTCCAAACTGCACCCTGGCAAAAAAGAGAGGAAAGAAAAAATTCTCGCTTTCTTTGCAGCTCATCAATTTTCTACTGCTGCCTCCAAGTTCAAACTGGGGATGGAGGAGTTAGGACGTGCGGGGTAACGAAACCCATAAATCAATCTCCCGTGGCCCAGAGCAAGGTAGTGAAGAAAGCGTAAGTGAAGCATCTGAGGGAAAATGGAGATTAGTCAGCCCAGTGGCCTTAGGGAAAATTCGGTAATTTTAAGGTACCATCATCTTAGTCTAAATGAGTTTGGTTATTTTGTTTTGCTTACAATTAGGTTTGTATAAGCAGTCAAAATGAATAGAAAGAAAATGTATACATCTGTCATCTATCTAAGTTAATTAATTTGTATGACACACCGTTTTTGAGTAAAAATAACACAGGAATAATGTTATCTCCTGGTAAGCTGAAACTACTTGCTAATGAAACTCAATTTTTTTCTGGTCAGGTTAAGATTTTAGACATACTTGCCATATTACCCAAGGAGAACACTATTTTAGAATATTGTTTTTCCCTTGTGCTGATACATGTTTACTTCTCTGTGCTTTTGGTATTAATACAGTAGTATTTGTTACAAACATTTATATTGCGATTGTGTAGAATATTACCCTTAATTTTTCAGGATACATTTTGTATTTTATATGCAAACCTATTCGTAATTGATTGGTGCTCAGGACTATCAGTGTTTAACTCCAGAACGTTCTAAGACATAGATAGTAAGTACCTACGTATTTTCATGGTGATCTTGCCTAATTCTAATGTACTGTAAGATAATCAAGTTCATATAATTTGTCTTTGGGATTTTGTAACAAAGCCATTTCAGATAATAAAACATAGAATTCAAATAAATTGAATATTGGCTTGCAAAATAAACTCAAGATTTGTTATCACATCACATATATTATAGATAGACAAAATAAAATATTGACAGATAATAAATATCCATATTTTACAGATATATATATATACATATATTCATCCTCGATTTTTTTCTTAAAGTAGAGATCACAGCCTAAACTTTCATGGTTGTAGAGAATGGTAAAAACGTAGCACTTTATGTGTGCAGTTCTCAAACATTTTTGTTTCCTTTATATTTTTAAAAATTATTGAATGCTCTAAAATGTTTTTGCTTATGTAGGTTAAATATATTAATATTTTTGTGTTAGAAGTTAAAATGGAAAAACAGTTAAATATTTATTTTAAAATGATAATAAATGTGCATATTAGTGTTTTAAAAATATTTCATGTTAAAATAATATTTCACAAAACAGAAACAATAAATTGAGGATAACAGTGGTATTGTTTTACATTTTTGCAAATATCTTTATTATCTAATTTGATAGTAACAAACATGAATTTTGACATGCAGTTCTCCATTCTGTTGCAATATACTGTTTTGGTTGAAGTGTATAAAGAAAATCTGGCCTCACTCAGATAATGCAATGGAAAAATGCAGAACCTTTTGGACCTACATAAAGGCTTTTAAGGACCTTCAAAGTGTCCTGGGACCACACTCTGAGCTTTAGGCCATTCCTGTCAATAGAAGTAGTCAATAGAGAACAATGATACTGGTAATGGGCTGATTCCCTACTCCCATCCTGCTGGTTCAGAAAGAACAAAAATGTTATAAAACATTTATGATTATTGTATCATTTAATAATCACACAGCTCTACAAGGTGGGTACAATGATGCCCAATTGATAGGTGATGAACTGGAGGCATACAGAGTAACATGTCTGAAACCACAATTACTAAGAAAATAATCAGGGATTTGAGTCATGCCTATTTGATTCCAAAGCCCAAGCTCTTTTCACTATATCATTTTAAGGGAATTTTTTTATATTATCAGCTTTTTCTGTTAGGACTACCTGAGAAGGGACAGTGTCACCTGTCAGTTGTGTTTTAACTTTAATATATGACTTTCCTTATATAATAACAAGAGTTGCATTGCCTATATGCATTTTGTTTCATCATCATTATTGTTCGTTGTAATTTTTTAATATTACTTCAAAAGAATACTTAAAACTACACTACCTGAGTAATAACAGGTTTGTCTTTGGTGAGCACAAAGCTATTTTTATCCTTAGTTTTTTTTTTTTAAAGAAATTCTTACATATAATAGTACCCCTAATCTGCAGTTTTGCTTTCCATGGTTTCAGTTGCCTGAGGTCAACTGTGGTTAAAAATATTAAATGGAAATTACAGAAATAAACAATTCATAAGCTTTAAATTGTGTGCCATTCTGAGTAGCTGATAAAAATTTCTGTTATTGCACTCTGTCCGGCTCAGAGCATGAATCATTTCTTTTTCCAACATATCCATACTATATGCACTATCAACCCATTAATTACTTAGTAGCACTCTCAGTTATTAGATCAAAAAAAAACAATGTATACAGGGTTTGGTACTATTTGTGGTTTCTGGCACCCACTGATAAGGGAGGACTATTGTATATGTACTTCATTTCATTCGATATGTTATACATATACAGAAATTAAAAATAAGCTTTTCTCCTTCTGTATTGACAGGCAATATCGTCACTATCTCTCTCAACTCACAGCCCTGACCTCCTACCTGATTAACTATTGCAAAATCCTGAATTTTCTTAATAGTATAGCTTGAAATACACTGATATAGGTGTGTACTTTTCTTAACTAACTTAAAAAAGTGGGTATCTCCTCTTTCCATGGGCATGAAAATAATAATCATAGTTTTGAGAATAAAGAGAATGGGTCAAAGTCCTTAGTTTCATTTTAGTGACACTCTTCCCCAAAATATCTTCCTTTGTGACTTTTCCCATAAATGTTTGGTGATATAACTACCTATGCGTTCCTGACAAATGACTATTTCCCCACTAAAATACAAATGCCCATGAGGTTATGAAGGGGTTATTACTGATCATAATTCACTATCATGAATGCAATTATTAGATTTTAAAAAAATAGCTATGTAGATGAGGAGTTAGAAAAAATAGCAGTCAATATGTATTTCTGCTAAGGAGTACAGAATAAGATGTAGACATTTGGGTTTCTCTGGATAAAATGTCATATGCCTAGAAAGAAGCACAACAAAAGTACTAGCTTTGAATGGGCAGTGGGAACCCATGAAAGAAAGAAAGGTTTATTTAATAATATGATCTATCTTGTCTTGACTCTTATTATGGCTTTACATTCTGTTTCTATTAGAAATGTGTTCAAAACATAATGAAAGCAGTCAGCCGTAATTTAAGTACAGTTTAAACCCCACATGGGGTTTTATATTTTACCTGTGGGAAGTTCAGGGGTAGAGAGTCAAAGGCTATGACAGCAGCTGAAAAATACCATCACCAATTTTGACTTTTTTCTCTTGCTTTTCCCTCATCCTTCATGTGTTTTTATCTCTTTAAAATCAAAAGATAATTGCTTAGTCTCCATATTTCACATTCTCATTCTAGGCAAGAAAAAAGTCATAAATTCCATATCCTTTTCTGTAAGAAATTTACCTTTTATTTGGGAAGGAATCCCTTCCTACAAAACATCCATACATATCTCACTTACAAGAGACACAATAAGCTCATACCACACTGAAATGTAGCTAGGAAAAATGAATATTCATTTTTTAGTTCTTCTGAAAGAGGAAAGCAAGGGAGAAGGTGGTGAACCATCATTTTTATTCATTCATTTTCACATATTTATTAAGTGTGTATGGTGTTTCTGGAAGCTTTCTAGGCATAGATAGTATAGTATATTATACCAGAAAATACAAAAATTCTCATTTTAGAACTTACATTTTAGTATCAGAATGCTGCTGGCCTAGTAAAATGTGTTAGAGAGAAGTCCCTCATTTTTTTTGGGGGGGGAATAATTTCAGTAGAATTGGTACCAGCTCTTCTTTGTATGTCTGCTAGAATACAACTGTGAATCTGTCTCTTCCAGGGCTTTTTAGTTGGGAGGCTTTTTATTATTGATTCAGTTTTGAAATTCATTATTTTTCTGGCCAGGATTTCAATTTCTTCCTGTTTCAATCTTGGGAGCTTGTGTATTTCCAGGAATTTATTCATTTCTTCTATGTTTTCTAGTTTGTGTTCATAGAGGTAATTTTAATAGTCTCTGAGGATTTTTTGTATTTCTTTGTGGTTAGTAGTAATGTCATCTTTGCCATTTCTGATTGTGTTTATCTTGATCTTCTCCTTTTTCTCTTTATTCCTTTAGCTAAAGGTCTATCGATCTTGTTTATTCTCTCAAAGAACCAACTTATGTTTTCATTCATCTTTTGGATGGATTTTTGCATCTCAATTTCATTCAACTCTGATTTCAGTTACTTCTTTTCTTCTGCTAGCTTTCTGGTTGTTTTGCTCTTGTTTTTCAAGTTCCTCTTGTTGTGATGTTAGGTTTTAATTTGAGATCTTTCAAACTTTTTGATATAGGCATATACTGCTGTAAACCTTTCTCTTAACACTCTGTAAGCTGTGTCCCAGAGATTCTGGCATGTTGTGTCTTTATTATCATTAGTTTCGAATAATTTTCTTGATTTCTGCCTTAATGTCTTTATTTACCCAGAAGCCATTTAGGAGCAGGTTGTTTAATTTCCATGTAATTGTATGGTTTTGAGCAATTCTCTTAGCATTGATTTATATGATTTTTGTGCTCCTGTCCAAGAAAGTAGTTGGTATGATTTCATATTTTGTATTTTTTCTGATAATTGTCTTATGGCCAAGTGTGTGGCTGATCTTAGAATATGTGCTGTTTGCAGATAATAAGAATGTATATTCTATTGTTGTTGGGTACAGTGTTCTGCAGATGCCTCTTAGGTCCATTTGGACAAGAGTTGAATTTATGTACCAAAAAACTGTTAGTTATGTGCCTCAATGATCTACTACTCTCCGTGGGATGTTGAAGTCTCCTGCTATTATTGTTGGTAATTTAAGTCTCTTCATAGGTCTCTGAGAACTTTTCTTTTTTAAATACCAAAACCTGGCAAAGACAGAAAAGAGAAAACTTTCAGCCAATACTCCTGATGTACATAGACACAAAAATCCTCAACAAAAATACTAGCAAGCCAAACCCAATAGCATACCAGAAAGCTAATCTATAATCCCAAAGTCTATGGGATACAGGGAAAGCCATAGAAAGAGGAAAATTTATAGCTGTAAGTGCCTACCTAAAAAAAGCTGCAAATAAATAACCTAATGATGCATCTTAAATAATTAGATAAGCAAGAGCAAATTAAACCCAAAATTAGTAGGCAAAAGGAAATAATAATAATAATAATCATGCAGAAATAAAGGAATTTGAAATAAAGAACACGATACAAGATCTATGAAACAGAACGTTGATTTTTTTTAAAGTTTAACAACATTGACAAACCTTTAGCAAGACTAACTAAGAAAAAAAGAGAAAAGACCCAAATAAAATCAGAGATGAAAAATAAAACATCACAACTGATGGTTCAGCAATTTAAAGGAAAATTACTGGCCGCTATGAGCAACTATACACCAATAAATTGGAAAATCTAGAAGAAATGAAAAAAATTGTTAGACACATACAACCTACCAAGATTGAACCATGGAAAAAATCCAAAACCTAAATACACCAATAACAAGTAACAAGATTGAAGTAATAATAAAAAGTCACCTTGTAAAGAAAAGTCCAGCACCAAATGGCTTCACTGCTGAATTCTACCAAACATTTAAAGAATTAATAGCATTTCTACTCAAACTATTTTGAAAAATAAAGAGGGAATACTTCCAAACTCATTCTATGAGGCCAGTATTACCCTGACATCAAAATCAAAAACACATACAATAAGAAAACTATTGTCAAATTTATCTGATGAATATTGATGTGAAAAGCCTCAGTAAACCATTAAAAAACTGAATTCAACAATACATTAAAAAGACCATTGGTCATAACCATCTGGTATTTATTCCAGAAATGCAAGGATGGTTCAACATCTACAAATCAGTACATGTGAGGAGACATTACCTGACCTCAAATTATACTACATGGCTATAGTAATCAAAATGGCATGTACTGGCATAGAAATAGACACATAGGTCAATGGAACATAATAGAAAACCCAGAAACAAAGCCAAACACGTACACTGAACTCATTTTTGACAAAGGTGCCAAGAACACAGTAAATGGTGCTGGGAAAACTCAATATTCTAGTAAAGAAGAATAAAATTTGATCTTTATCCCTTATTTTATACAAAAATCAAATCAAAATATATTAAAGACTTAAATATAAGACGTCAGACTATGAAACTACTACAAGAAAACAGGAAACCTCTCCAGGATATAGCTCTGAGCAAAAATTTTTGGGGGCAATACACCACAAGCACAGACAGCCAAAGCATAAATGGACAAATTTGAATACATCAAATTAAAACGCTTTCACACAGCAAAGGAAACAATCAACAAAGTGAAGAGACAAACTACAGAATGCAAGAAAATATTTGCAAATGACTCATCTGACAAGAGATTAGTAAAAAGAATATATAAGAAGTACCAATATCTCTGTAGGGCAAAAATCTAATAATCTGATCATAAAACAGGGAAAAGGGTGAATAGACATTCCTCAAAAGAAGGCATACAAATGGCAAACAGGCATGTGAAAAAGTGGTCAACATCACTGATCATCAGAGAAATGCAAATCAAAACTACAATAAGTTATCATTTCAACTCAGTTAACATGGCTTTTATCCAAGTGAAGCAATAACAAATGCTAGCAAGAATGTGGAGCAAAGGATACCCTTGTGTACTGTTGGTGGGAATGTAAATTAGTAGAACCACTATAGAAAACAATTTGTATGTTCCTCAAAAAACTAAAAATAGAGCTGTAATATGATCCAGGAATCCCACTACTGAGTACATATTCAAAAGAAAGAAAATTAATATATCAAAGCATTGTTTACAATAGCCAAGACTTGTAAGCAACCTAAGTGTCCATCAACAGACAAATGGATACAGAAAATGTGACACTTAAACACAATGGAGCTATTCAGCCATAAAAAAATAAAATGAGTTTCTGTAATTTGCAACAACATAGATGAAATGGGAGGTCATTATATTAAATGAAATGAGCCAGACACAGAAAAGCAAACATCACATATTCTCATTTGTTTGTGAGATCCAATAATCAAAATAATTGAACTCATGGAAATAGAGAATATAAGGATGATTACTGGAGCCTGGGAAGGGTAGTAGGTGGGTGGGGAGTAGGTAGGGATGGTTAATGGGTGCAAAAAAGTAGAATGAATAAGACATATTATTTGATAGCACAACAGGGAGGCAATAGTCAATAATAATTTAATTGTACATTTTGATATAACTAAAGTAGTATAATTGGATTGTTTGTAACAGGAAAGATAAATGCTTGTGGGAATGGATACCCAATTTTCCATGCTGTGGTTATTACATTTTGCATACCTGTACAAAAATATCATGTACCCTATAAATACATGCACTTATATGTACCCACCAAATTTTTTTTGAAAAAGCTAATACACCATGATGAAATACACTTTATTCTTGAGATGCAAGGTTGGTTCAGAATATGCAAATCAATAAATCACATAAGCAGAAGTAAAAGGAAAAAACACATGGTTATCTCAATAGACACAGAAAAGACTGCTGCTGAAATTCAACATCCCTTCATGTTAAAAACCCTCAACAAACTAGGAACGAAATTAACATACTTCAAAATAATTAAAGCCTTCTATGACAAGCCAGCATCATACTTAACCGGCAAAAGCTGAAAGCATTTCTCTTGAGAACTGAAACAAACAGGGATGCTTACTCCCACTACCCCTATTCAACATAGAATTGGAAGTCTATATTAGTCTATTCTCAAACTACTATAAAGAAATATCCGAGACTGAGTAATTTGTAAAGAAAAGAGATTTAGTTAGCTCATGGTTCAGTAGGCTATACAGGAAGCAAGGCAGCATCAGCCTCTAGGGAGGCCTCAGGGAAATTACAATCATGGTGGAAGGAAAATGGAAATGAGGCACTTCACATGGCTTGAACAATAGGAAGAGAGAGGATGGAGGTACAATATACTTTTAAACAAACAGATGTCACAATAACTCACTCAGTCACTATAACAAGAACAAAACCAATGGGACGGTGCTAAACCACTCATGAAGGATGCCTGTGATTCAATCACCTCACACAAGGCCCCATCTCCAACAGTGGGGATTACAATTTAACATGAGATTTGAGCAGGGACACAGATCCAAACTATTATTCCACCCTGTGGCCCCTCTCAAATCTCCTCTCCTTCTCACATTGCAAAAGACAATCATGCCTTCTCAACAGTCCCCCAAAATCTTTTTTTTTTAAATTCGAGATGGAGTTTTACTCTTGTTGCCCAGGCTGGAATGCAATGGCATGATCTCAGCTCACCACAATGTCCGCCTCCCAGGTTCAAGTGATTCTCCTTCCTCAGCCTCCTGAGTAGCTAGGATTATAGGTATGCACCACCATGCCTGGCTAATTTTGTATATATATATATATATATAATTTTTTTTTTAGTAGAGATGGGATTTCTCCATGTTGGTCAGGCTGGTCTTGAACTCCTGACCTCAGGTGATCTGCCCAACTCAGCCTCCCAAAGTGCTGGGATTACAGGCATGAGCCACCGCGCCCAGCAAAATTTTAACTCATTTCAGCATTAACTCAAAAGTCCAAAGTCCAAAGTCTCATCTAAGACAGGATACTTCCTTCCAACTATGAGCCTATAAAATAAAAAACAAATTAGTTACTTTTAAGACAGAATGAAGGTACAAGCATTGGGTAAACATTCTTATTTCAAAAGGGATAAATTGGCCAAACCAAAAGGGCTACAGGCCTTGTACAAGTCTAAAACCCATCAGGGCAGTCATTAAATATTAAAGTTCCAAAATAGTCTCCTTTGACTGCTTGTGCCACATCCAGGACACCCTGATGGAAGGTGTGGGCTCCCAAGGACTTGGACAGCTTCACCTTTGTGGCTTTGCATGGTTTGGCTCCCACAGCTTCTCTTAGGGGTGAATGTTGAGTGCCTGTGGCTTTTCCAGGCAAAGTGTGTAAGTTGCTGGTGGATTTACCATTCTGGGGGCTGAAGGACAGTGGCCCTCTTCTCACAATTCCAGTAGGCAGTGTCCCAGTGGGGACTCTGTGTGGGAGGTCCAACTCCACATTTTCCCTCCACACTCTTCTACTAGAGGTTCTCCATGAGGGCTCTGCCCCTACAGCAAGCTTCTTTCTGGACATCCAGGTTTTTCAGTACATCCCCTGAAATTTAGGTGGAGGCTTCCAAGCCTCTACTCTTGTACTCTGTGTACCCACAGGCTGAACACCACAAGGAAGCCATCAAGGTTTATGGCTTGCACCCTCAGGAGCAGCAGCCTGAGCTGTACCTGGGCTCCTTTCAGCCACAGCTGAAGCTAGAGTGGCTGGTTTGCAGGGAGCAGTGTCTTGAGGCTGCTCAGGGCATCAGCGCTCTAGGCCTGGTCCAGGATACTGTTCTTCTCTCCTAGGCCTCCAGACCTGTGATGGGAGGTGCTACCATGAAGGTCTCTGAAATGCCTTTGAGATCTTTTCCCTATTGTTTTAGCTATTAGTACTTGCCTTCCATTTAGTTATGCAAATTTCTGCAGCCCATTCGAATTCCTCCCATGAAAATGGGATTTTCTTTTCTACCATATGGCCATCCTGCAAATTTTCCAAACTCTTAAGCTCTGCTTCTCTTTCTTTTAAATATAAGTTCCAGTTTTAGGTAATTTCTTTGATCATGTAAATGAGTGTAGGTTGTTAGAAGCTGCAAGGTCAGTCTTGAACACTGCTGTTTAGAATTTTCTTCTACTAGATATCCTAAATCATCTCTCAAGTTCAAAGCTCCACAGATCCCTAGAGCACGGGCACAATGCAGCCAAGCTCTTTGCTAGAGCATAACATAAGTGACCTTCACTCCAATTTTTAATAAGTTTCTCATTTCCATCTGGGACCTCCTCAGCCTGGATTTCACCCTCCATATCACTATCAGCATTTTGGTCACAATCATCCAACAAGTCACTAGGAAGTTCCAAATGTTCATCAAATTGTTCTAATCTCTGCCCATTAACCAGTTCCAAAGCTGCTTCCAGGGTTTCAGGTATCTTTAAAGCAATGCCCCACTCCTCAGTACCAATTTTCTATATTAGGTTGTTCTCACACTGCTATAAAGAAATACCTGAAACTGGGTAGTTTGTAGAGGAGAGGTTTAAGTGGCTCATGGTTCTGCAGGATGTATAGGAAGCATGGTGGCATCAGCTTTGGGGGAGGCCTCAGGGAACTTACGGTCGTGATGGAAAGCAAAGGAGATCAAGACACTTCACATGGCCGGAGTGGAAGGGAGAGAGAGAGTGGGGAGGTGCTATGCACTTTTAAACAACCAGATCTCACAATAACTCACTCACTCTTTATCACAAGAACAGCACCAAGGGGATGGGGCTAAACAGTTCAGGAAGGAGCCACTCCCACCAGGCCCCACCTCCAACGTTGCAGATTCCAATTTGACATGAGATTTGGACAGGGACACAGATCCAAATCGTATAAAAGTCCTAGCCAAAGTCATCAGGCAAGAGAAAGAAATAAAAATCATGCAAATAGAAAGGGCAGAAATCAAACTATCTCTCTTCACGGGCAATATGATTTTCTTTTTTTTTAAACGGAGTTTCACTCTGTCACGCTGGCTGGAGTGTAGTGGTGTGATTCAGCTCACTGCAGCCTCCACCCCCAAGGTTCAAGTGATTCTCCTGCCTCAGACTCCTGAGTAGCTGGGATTATAGGCACCCACCACCGTGCCCGACTAATTTTTGTATTTTTAGTAGAGACAGGGTTTCACCATTTTGGCCAGGCTGGTCTCGAACTCCTGACCTCAGGGATCCACCCACCTCGGCTATCCAAAGAGCTGTGATTACAGGCATGAGTCACAGGCATGAGTCACCGCACCCGTTGGCAATATGATTTTATACCTAGAACACCACAAGTCTCTGCACCAAAGGCTGCTAGAACTGATAAACAATTTCAGCATTTCAGGGAACAAAATAAATGTGCAAAAATCAGTAGCATTTCAATTCAAAAATAACATTCAAGCTGAGAACTAAATCAAGCACACAATCCTATTCACAATAGTTATAAAACACATACCTGGGAATATAGCTACTCAGGGAAGTTAAAAATTTCTACAATCAGAATTAAACAACACTGCTGAAGGAAATCAGAGACAACACAAATAAAATTTAAAAAGCATTCCAGGCACAATGACTCATGCCTATAATCCCAGAACTTTGGGAGGCTGAGGCGGGAGGACCTCTTGAGGTCAGGGATTCAACACCAACCAGGCCAACATGGTGAAACCCCATCTCTATGAAAAATGCAAAAATCAGCTGGATGTGGTGGCACCCATAATCACAGCTACTTGGGAGGCTGAGGCAAGAGAATCACTTGAACCCGGAAGGCGGAGGTTGCAGTGAGCCAAGATGGCACCACTACAGTCCAGCCTGGGTGACCGAACAAGACTGTGTAAAAAAAAAAAAAAAAAGCATTCCATGCTCATGGATAGGAAGAATCAATATTGTTAAAATGGCCAAAGCAATTTACAGATTAAATGCTATTCCTATCAAACAGTCAATGTCATTTTTCACAGAATTAGAAAAAAAAAACTATGCTAAAATTTGTATTGAAACAAAAAAAGCCAGAATAGCTAAACAATCCTAGGTAAAAGAACAGAACAAAGACAGAGGCATCACACTACCTGACTTCAAACTATACTACACAACTACATTAACCAAAACAGCATGATTCTGCTACAAAAACAAACACACAGACCAATAGAATAAAATAGAAAACCCAGAAATAAGGCCACACACTTACAACTATCTGATCTTCAATAAACCTAACAAAAACCAGCAATGGGGAAAAGACTCCCTATTCAATAAATGGTGCTGGGAAAACTGGCTACCCATATGCAGAAGATTGAAACTGGATCCCTTCCTATCATCATATATAAAAATCAACTCAAGATAATTAAAGACTTAAATGTAAGACCTAAAACTATAAAAACTCTAGAAGAAAACCAGGAAATACTCTTCTGGATATAAGCCTTGGAAAAGATTTTATGACAGTCTCCAAAAGCAATTTCAACAAAAATAAAAATGGACAAGTGGGAACTAATTAAACTAAAAAGCTTCTGCAAAACCAAAGAAACTGTCAACAGAGTAAACAGACAACCTACAGAATGGGAGGAAATATTTGCAAAGTATGCATCCAACAAAGATCTAATGACACGAATTTGTATGTAACTTAAATAAATCAACAAACAAAAAACAAACAATTCCTTTAAAAAATGGGAAAAGGGCATAAGTAGATATTTTTCAAAAGAAGACATACACATGGCCAACAAGTGAATGAAAACATATTCAATATTACTAATCATTACAAAAATGCAGTCAAACCCTCAATAAGATACCATATCATACCAGTCAGAATGGCTATTATTAAAAAGTCAAAAAATAGGGCCGGGTACGGTGGCTCACGCCTGTAATCCCAGAACTTTGAGAAGTCGAGGCGGGGGCATCGCTAGGTCAGGAGATCAAGACCATCCTGGCTAACACGGTGAAACCCCGTCTCCACTGAAAAAAAAACAAAAAAAATAGCCGGGCGTGGTGGTGGGCCCCTGTAGTCCGGGCTACTCGGGAGGCTGAGGCGGGAGAGTGACGTGAACCCAGGAGGCGGAGCTCACAGTGAGCCGAGATCACGCCACTGCTCTCCAGCCTGGGCGACAGAGCGAGACTCAGTCTCAAAAAAAAAAAAAAAAAAAAAAAAAACAACCTATTGGTGACGCTGTGGCAAAAAGGGAATGCTTATACACTGTTGGTGGGAATGTAAATTAGTTTAGTTGCTGTGGAAAGCAGTTTAGACCTCTCTCAAGGAAATTAAAACAGAATGACTATTTGACCCAGCAATGTCATTAATGGGTACATAGCCTAAGGAATGTATATCATTTTACCAAAAAGACACATACAGTTGTATGTTCATCACAGCACTATTCACGATAGCAAAGACATGGAGTCAACCTAACTGCCCATCAACGGTGTACTAAATGAAGAAAATGTGGTATCTGTACACCATGGAATATTATGCAGCCATAAAAAGAAACAAAATCCTGTCCTCTGCAGCAAACATAAATGCACCTGGAGACCACTATCCTAAGCAAACTAGTATAGGAGCAGAAATCCAAGTGCTGCATGTTCTCACTTATGAGGGAGCTAAACATTGATTATGCATGGACACAAAGATGGGAACATTAGACATGGGGGCCTATTTGGGGATGTGGGAGGAGGATGGGGGTACAAAGAAACCCTACCTATTGAGTACTATGCTCACTTACCTGGGTGATGAAATCATTTCTACACCAATCCCCCGTGACACACAATTTACTCATGTAACAAACCTGCACATGTTCCCCTGAACCTAAAAGTTCTAAAGGGGAAAAAAATCATTTAAACTTTGTGAGACAGGCTTTTAAACAAGTCAAACAGTTAAAATGGTGGTTAACAATAATTGCTATGGAGGATAAATTGAGCTTTAAAGTGGAATCTAGATAGCCAAGAGGTAGGATGTCATTTCAAAGACGGTGAGGATGATTGACCTTCATAAAATAGCATCTGGATAGAAACTTGGAAAAGTTCAAAAACAAAGCCATTTGGATTTCTGAGGTAAGAGTGTTTCAGTTAGAAGAAATGGTAAATCAGAATTCTCAGGCAGGATGTCCCTGGTTTATTTAATGATGGAGATGAGCAGAGAGGAGTGAGATAGCAGAAAGGTGATGGGAGACGTAGAATAGGGATTCGTAGGTTATTGTTAGAAGTTTAGCCTTTTCTGTGAAATGGCAAATCATTGGAGTGGGTTGTGGGGCTTTGGGGAGCTTGAAAAGAGTTATCTTTCACACTGTGCTATACAACGTTAAGACTATATTTGAAATGTTACTTATCATGTAATGCTTTCATTGTCTCATTAGGTATACACAGTAAAATGATAAAATACATAGATGAGGGAGATGTCTTTGTTCTCCTTTTTGCAGAGAGGAAATAAAGCTCAGGAAACATATGACACTTATCAAAAATTAGATAGTGACAGAGCTGGGACCCAGAGCCAACTGTGGTCCATCCTAATCTAGAGAGATTTCCACTATACCTCACAACCATAAAGACAGATTCTTTATGGCAGGGTTTTCTTCTTTTTAGGACAGAATATATATATATATATATATATATATATATATGTATATACACACATTTTCTTTATTTATCCATTCATGGACACAGATTGTTTTCATATCTTGTTGCTTATGAATCATGATGCAATGAACATGGGAGTGCAGATGCGTCTTTGAGATAGAGATCTCTGGCCAGGGCTACTGTCTGTGTAGAGTTTGCAAGATCTCACCATGTCCTTGGATATTATGGCTTCCTTCCACCTCCAAAACATATGCATGTTAGGTTGAATGATGTGCCTAAATTGTCCAAATAAGAGTGTGCGTGTATGTATGAATGTGTCCTGTGATAAAATAGTATTCTGTCCATGGTTGGCTCTACTTTGCACCCTGAGCTGCTGGGATAGTATCTGGCCACCTGCAACCTTGAACAGCAGTGAATGTCTTGAAAAATGAATCAATCAATGAATACAAATTATTGTAAAATAAAAAGTGGTGAAGCATATGATAGTCATACAAATGTATAGTAATAAATAAAGTGGTACAATTGCTCATCTCGCCCACCATCTTTGTTATTGTTTTTTAACTGTGTGGTGGTTAGAGGTGCTCCTTAAACTTACACTTTGCAAACATTTATTTCTTAATTCAACCTACCACCACTATGACTACCATCTCTCACTGATTCACCAAAATTGGAGACATAATTATTTTGTTTTTATTAATCTATCTTAAATATATGTATACCTTACAGTTATTTCAATGTTTAGTATCAGAAGTGTTTAGGGTCTTTATTTAGTACTTCGACAATGTATTTGTGAATAGAAATATGCTGTAGGAAGTAACTCTTGGGTAGATCAATTAACCTATAGTAAAATCGGTTTTGTTACACTTCAATTAAAGTCACAATTTTCAGGAACCTATTAATGGTATTACGTGAGGACTTGTAATATTTTGCTGAGGATTTTTTCATGTATATATAGGTCTGTAATTTTCGTTCATTTGTAGTGTTCTTGTCTGGCTTTTGTATCAGGGTTATGCCAGCCACTTAAAATGAGTTTGGAAGCATTTCCCACTCTTTATTTTTCAGAAAAGTTCTAAAAGGATGGATATTAATTATTTAAATGTTTGGTAAAATTCATCAGCAAAATTATCAAATCTAGATTCTCTTTGTTGGAAGATTTTTTCCATTACTGATTCAACCTCCATACCCATTATTGGTCTGTTTAGAGTTTTAATTACTTCTTGATTTAATCTCAGTAGGATGTTTGCTTCTAGGAATTTATCTGTTTCTCCTAGACTTTCCAGTTTGTTGATTTATAATGGGTCATAGTTGTCTCTCCTGATCCTTCGCATTTTTATGGTGTCAGTTCTAATGTATTCTCTTCCATATTTAATTTTATTTATTGAGTCGTTACTCTTTTTATACTTAGTCTAGCTAAAGGTTTTTAAATTTTGTTTGTCTTTACAAAAATCCCACTCTTAGTTTCTTTGCTTTTGCTATTGATATTTTAAAGTCAATATTTTGCTTATTTCTGCTTTAAGCTTTGTTATATTCTTCCTTCTGCTAACTTTGAATTAAGTTTTTTCCTCTTCTTCTAGTTCCTTGATGTGTAAAATTAGGCTGTTCATTTTAGATCTTTGTTTTTTCTTATTGTAGCTGCTTATCACTATAAACTTCCCTCATAGAACTGCTTTTGCTGCATCCCATAATATGTGGTATGCTTTGTTTTAAATTTTTTTTGTTTCAAGGTATTTTCTATTTTTGTTTTGAGTTATTTTATAACTTTTTATCTTTTTAATTTTGGGGGGTCAATGAGTATATATAATTATGGGGTACACTAAATGTTTTAATACAGGCATTCAATATGAAATAAATACATTATGGAGAATGGGACATTTATCACTGCAAGCATGTATCCTTTGTGTTACAAACAATCCAATTACACTTTTTTAGTTATCTTTAAATGTACAATTAAGTTATTATCAACTATAGTCACCCTGTTGTGCTATCAAGTAGTAGTCTTATCCATTCTTTCTATTTATTTTGTACCTATTAACTATCCCCACATCCCCTGTAGCCCTCCACTACCCTTCCCAGCCTCTGGTAACCGTCATTCTACTCTCTATCTCCATGAGTCTAGTTGTTTTGATTTTTAGATCCCACAGATAAGTGAGAACATGTGCTCTTTGTGTTTCTGTGATGGCTTATTTCACTTAACTTAATGATCTCCAGTTCCATTTATGCAGCTGCAAATGACAGGATCTCATTCTTCTTTATGGCTGAATAGTACTCCATTGTATATAAGTACCACATTTTCTTTATCCATTCATCTGTTGGTGGCCACACGTTGCTTCCAGATCTTAGCAATCGTGAATGATGCTACAACAAACATGGAAGTGCAGATATATCTTCAATATATTGATTTCCTCTTTTGTGAGGTGTATACCCAGCATTAGGAGAGCTGGTCTTATGTTAGCTCTACATTTAATATTTTGAAGAAACTCCAAACTCTTCTCCATACTGTTGCTACTAATTTACATTTCCACCAAAAGTATATGAGGGTTCCCTTTTCTCCACATCCTTGCCAGCATGTGTTAGTACCTGTCTTTTGGATATAAGTCATTTTAACTGGGGTGAGGTGATATCTCATTGTAGCTTTGATTTGATTTTCTCTGATTATCAGTGACGTTGAGTATCTTTTCATATGCCTGTTTGTCATTCGTATATCTTCCTTTGAGAAATATCTGTTCAAATAATTTGCCAATCTTTTGATTAAATTATTAAAATTTTCCCCATAGAGTTGTTTGCATATATTCTTGTTATTAGTTCCTTGTCAGACAGGTCATTTGCAAATATTTTCTCCCATTGTGTGGGTTGTCTCTTTATTTTGTTGATAGTTTCCTTTGCTGTGCAGAAGCTTTTAAACTTGATATATAATCCCATTTGTCTATTTTTGCGATGGTTGCCTGTGCTTGTAGGATACTGCTCAAGAAATTTCTGTCCAGATCAATGTCCTGGAGATTTTCCTCAATGTTTTCTTATAGTACTTCCATAGTTTGAGGTCTTAGATTTAAAGCTTTAATCCATTTTGATTTTGTTTTCATAAAAAGTAAGAGATAGGGACCTAGTTTCACTCTTCTGCCTATGGATATTCAGTTTTCCCAGTACCGTTTATTGAAAAGACTATCTTTTCCTCAAGGTATGTTCTTGGCAACGTTGTCAAAAATGAGTTCACTCTATGTGTGTGGACTTGTTTCTGGGTTCTCTATTCTGTTCTGTTGGTCTAGGTGTATGTTTTTATGCCTGTACTATGCTGTTTTGGTTACTATAGCTCTGTAGTATAATTTGAAGGCAGGTAATGTTATTTCTCCAGTTTTGTACTTGTTGCATAGGATATCTTTGACTATTCTGGGTCTTTTGTGGTTCCATATACATTTTAGGATTGTTATGTCTATTTCTGTGAAGAATGTAATTGGTATTTTGATAGGGATTGTATTGAATTTATAGATTGCTTTGGGTAGTATGGACATTTTAACAACATCGATTATCTCAATTCATGAACATGGAATATCTTTCCACTTTTTGATGTCCTCTTCAATTTATTTCATCAGTGTTTTATAGTTTTCATAATAGAGATCTTTCACTTTTTTGGTTAATTCCTAGGTATTTAATGTTATTTCTCACTATCGTAAATGAAATTACTTATTTGATCTCTTTTTTACATTGTTCACTGTTTGCTACTGATTTTTGGATGTTGATTTGTATCCTGCGACTTTATTGAATTTGTTTATTGGTTCTCACTTTTTTTAGAGTCTTTAGGTTTTATCAAGTACGGGATTAGATCATCCGCAAACAATGATAATTTGGATTCTTCCATTTAAATTTGCATGTGCTTTATTTCTTTCTCTTTTCCGATTGCTCTAGCGAGGACTCTCAGTACTATGTTGAATAGTTGAATAACAGTAGTGAAAGCACCCATCCTTGTCATGTTCTAGATCTTAGAGGAGACTTTCATTTTTCTTTCTTTTCTTTTTTTTTTCAGATGGAGTCTCACTCTGTCGCCCAGGCTGGAGTGCAGTGGCGCGATCTCAGCTCACTGCAACCTCCGCCTCCTGGGTTCAAGCGATTCTCCTGCCTCAGTCTACCAAGTAGTTGGGACTATAGGCGCATGCCACTATGCCCAACTATTTTTTTTTTGTATTTTTAGTAGAGATGGGGTTTCACCATGTTGGTCAGGAGGGTCTTGATCTCTTGACCTTGTGATCAGCCCGCCTGGGCCTCCCAAAGTGCTGGGATTACACCCATGAGCCACTGCCCCCAGCCGAGACTTTCATTTTTTTTCCCATGTAGTCTGATACTAGATGTGGGTCTGTTGTATACACTTTTTATTGTGTTGAATAATGTTCCTTCTACATCCAATATTTTGAGGTTTTATTCATGAATGGATGTTGAATTTTATCAAGTGATTTTTCAGCATCAATTGAAAGGATTATATGTTTTATATCCTTCATTCTATTGATGTGATGTATTATGTTAATTGATTTGCATATGTTGAAACATCCTTGCATCCAAGGGATAAATCACACTTGATCATAATGAATGATCTGTTTAATGTATTGTTGAATTCAGTTTGCTAGTATTTTGGTGCGGATTTTGACATCAATATTCCTCAGAGATTTTTTCTTTTGGATATGTTTTTGTTTGGTTTGGTATCAGGGTAATACTTACCTTGTAGAATGAATCTGAAAGTATTCCTTCTTCTATTTTTTGGAATAGTTTTAGTGGGATTCATATTGTTTCTTCTTTAAAAGTTTGGTATAATTAATTAATAATAATTAAGCTATCCAGGCTTTACTGAGAGACATTTTATTATGGCTTCAATCTCATTACTTGCTACTTGTCTGTCCAAGTTTTGGATTTCTTCCTGGTTTAATATTGGTAAGTTGTATGCATCTAAAAATTTGTCCATTTGTTCCAGATTTTCCAATTTGTTTGTATATACTTGCTCTTTGTAGCTACTAATGAACCTTTGAATTTTTGCAGTATCAGTGGTAATGTCTTTTTTAAAATCTCTGACTTTATTTGAATCTTCTCTCTTTTTTTCTTAGCCTGGCTAAAGGGTTGTCAATTTTGTTTAACTTTTTTAAAAAACAACTTTTTGTTTCATTGATCTTTTGTTTTCTTCATTTCAAGTGAATTTATTTCAGCAGTGATCTTTATTATTTTTCTTTTACTAATTTTGTGTTTGGTTTGCTCTTGCTTTTCTAATTCTTTAATATGCATCATTACATAGTTTATTTGCATTTTCCTTCTTTTTGATCTAGGCACTTACAGCTATAAACTTCCCTTTTAGTATTACCTGTGCTGTTTTGGTATATTGTTTTTCCATTACCATTTGGTTCAAGAAATTTTTTCCCTCTGCTTTTCTGAAGTAGAATGAGTTTTACCCCATAGCCACCACAGCTGGTAATGCTGAGTTTCACTTGAAGCCAGCAAGTCTCAGAGGCTCACCCAAGGCTCTCAATGTAGTACCTGAGTATTGCTGTTGGTTATTCAGGGCCCCAGGGCTCTTCAGTTAGTAGGTGATGAATGCTGCCAGGACTGAGTACTTCCCTTCAAGCAACAGATTCCATTCTGGTCCAAGGTTTGTCTAGAAATGTCTTCTGAGAGCTAGGGCCTGGACTGGTCCTTATGACTCTGAGCAGTGCCTTATCCTGCTATGGCTGAGCTAGTACCCAAGATGCAAAACAAAGTCCTTCCCACTCTTCCATCTCCCCTCTTCAAGCAGAAGGAAGGGGTCTTTTCTGGAGTCATGATCTGTGTAACCTGTGCTTAAGGGAGGGGTGATGCCAGCACTCCCTTAGCCACCCTTGCTAGTTTATCAGTAGGTCATGTGCCCCCTTGTCCACCGTCTCTGGGCCTAGCAGCACTAGGACTGACCTAAGATTTGCAGCCCTTATGGCCTAGACTGCTTTTCAAGTTTACTTGGAGATACAGAGCACTGTAGCCCTCGATGACTAAGTTTGCGGCTCTCAAGTTCAGACTGCTGGAGTCAGCAATTCCCTACTGGCTAGGGCTGGTTTAAATGATCTTTCTGTGGGCGGGCATCAGCTGAGTTTGGTCCACTTTTTCTTTCCATTTCTAACAGGATAGTACTGAGTTCAGTGCCTCACAATTGCTATGTTCTCCCTCCCCCAGCACCCAGAGATGCTCTCTGCACCATGCTGCTGCTGTGGAAAGAGGGGGAAGGAGTTGCGTCAGGGATTCAAGAATGTTTTTTTCTATATCTTCAGGGTCTCTTTTAGCAATATATCATGAAAACCAGATACTATTCAAATGAGGGCTCACCTGATTTTTGGTTCTTATGAAGGTGTTTTTTTCTATGTAGGTAGTTGTTTACTTGGTGTCCTTGTGGGACAGACAACTGGTGGAGCCTTCTCTTCTGCCATCTTGCTCCACCTCCACCTCCTTCTGAGTTCTTCTTTGATGCATTAGTTGTATTGAAGTATGTTGTTTAATTTCCACGTATTTGTAAATTTTCAAGTTTACTTTCTGTTATTGATTTCTACTGTCATACAATTTTGGTCAGCAAAGATACTTGATATAATTTCAATCTTCTTAAATTTAAAACTTGTTTTGTGGCCCATCATATGATCTATCCTGGACAATGTCTTATGTCCACTTGAGAAGAATGTGTACTCTGCTGGGTATGTTTTATATAAGTCAGTTAGGTCTATTTGATCTAAAGTGCAATTCAAGTCTAATGTTTCATTGTTAATTTTCTGTTTGTAAATGTATTCATTGTTTAAAGTGAGGCATTATAGTCTACAATTATTTTACTGTTATTTACTTCCCCCTTAATATCTATTAATATCTGCTTTGCCTAATTAGGTATTAAACTGTTGAATGCATGTAAGTTTATAATTTTTATATTTTCTTAATGAATGGAGTGCTTTATCATTATATAATGACTTTTAGTCTTATTACAATATTTGACTCAAAATCTATTTTGTCTAATAGAAATATAGATACCCTTTGTTTCTTTTGATTTTCACTTGCATTAAATATATATATGTTTTATTTCTTCACTTTTAATATATGTGTGTCCTTAAAGCTAAAGCTCTAGGAAGCATACAGCTTGGTTATATTTTTTAATTTATTCAGTCACGCTGTGTCTTTTTATTATAGAATTTAATACATTTACATTGAAAGTAAATATTGATGAGTAAAAATTTACTATTGTCCTTTTGTTATAGTTTTAAGGCTATTTTTTAGATTCTTTGGTTTTTATTTTTTCTTCCTTTTTTGCTCCTTTCCTCTGTAAATCTATGATTTTTTTGCTGGTATACTTTTATTCTTTTCTGTTTATCTTTTGTATATCTTGTACAGGCTTTTGCTTATGGTTACCATGAGACTCCATAAAATATCCTATTATTATAATAATATAAATATCCTATTTGAAATTGATAAAAACCTAACTTCAATCACATATGAAAACCACATTTTTATTCCTTCCCTCTGAAATTTTATGTTTTCAATGTCACAGTTTATATCTCTTCATATTGTAAATTATTTTAGTAATAATCATTTTAATAGTTTTGGCAGTTAACATTTACTGGCATTATAAGTGATTTACATGCCAGCCACTATTATAGTATTAGGGTAATCTGAATTTAACTGTATACCTATTTTTGCCAGTAAGTTTTATACTTTGCCCTGTTTCCATGTTATTAATTAGCATCCTTTCATTTTAGCTTGAATAACGCTCTTTAGCATTTCTTGTAAATCAGGTCTAGTGATTATGAACTTCCTCAGCTTTTACCTGGGAAAAGTATTTTTCTCTCTTTTTCTGAAGGACAGAAAAGTTTGTCAGGTTAAGTATTGTTTGTTGTTACTTCTATTTTTATTTTTTTTAGTTTTCAAACTTTGCCTATATTATCTTACTCTCTGCTGGCCTATAAGGTTTTTGCTGAGAATTCTGAATAATCTGATTGGTAGCTTTATGGAGGTTTCCCTGTATGTGAGGAAACTCTTTTCTAATGTTGCTTTCAAAATTCTCATTGTTGTTGTTATTGTTGTTACAACAGTTTGATTATACTGTATATTGGTGATTTGTGTTTATGTGTGTGCGTGTGTGTGTGTGTGTTGGGCGGGGGGAGTTTAACATGATTGGAGAATTGTGAGCTTCAAATACCACGATGTACATATCTTTCCCAGGTTTCAGAAGTTTTTAGCCATTTTTTAAATAATCTTTTTGCCCCATTCTCCTTCTTTCTTTATCTTCTGGGATTCTTATTATGTGCAGTTTACCCCTACCAGTGGTGCACCATAAATATCCTAGGCTTTCTTCATTCCTTTTTATTCTCTCTCTCTCTCTCTCTCGCTCTTTTTTTTTTTTTTTTTCTAACTGGGTATTTTCAAATAACTTGTCTTTAACTTCACAGATTTTTTCTTCTGCTCAGTCAAGTCTGTTGTTGATGCTCTCTTACTTTTTCATACCATCTATTGTATTCTTCAGCTCTATAATTTTTGTTTGTATTTTTATTTCTATAACTTCATTGAACTTATAATTCTGTTTGTGTAAAGTTTTCCGGATTCTTCTTGAGTTGTTTGTCTGTGTTCTGTTGTAATTCACTGAGCTTCAGACAATTATTTTGTCTTTTATGAAGCAATTTGAAGATTTACATTTCTTTGGCAATGGTTACTGAAATATAATTGTGTCTTTTTTTGGTGTCATGTTGCCTTGATACTTCATGTTCTTTGAAGAGTTGTCTTTCTGTCTTCTCATTTGAAGGAGTCTCATCTCCTAGGCTTTACTGACTGGCTTTCAGAAAGAAACATCAGAGAAACGTCTTTACCAATCAGCCCAGCTAGAGAATCTGTGGCTCTCAGATGTTCTCTATGATGTTCACTCATACACTTCTTGCTCCTTCTTAGGAGGAAGGATTCTTAATATTGTTCTCTTTCTCCCAACCCCACAAAGCCAGGCTCAGTGCAGAGAGACTCACATTCATTTTCCCTAGGTTAGTGCCCTGAAATACTCTCAGTTATGTCCCTTTTCCCAATACTACAAGGTAACACTGACTGCAAGAAGCTTGCACTCCCCCAAACAAGGGGATGTGTTTGAGGAGCTGGACAAGGAGTAGGGGGATGCATAAGCTACATAAATCATTTAGGGTATGTTTGGGTTAGTTGTGTGAGACCTCCCAAGGGTTCCATAAGTGGGCTTCCTGACAGAGCAGTTGGTAAGATCTGTGGCTTCTGTTCCCTGATCCCAGCCTCTCCCAACCACTCAGCTGCGCTGATCACCTAATTTATCTGGGTGAGAATAGAAAGAAATGAGTATTGGGGGCAGTGTCCCACATGGCTGAAAGAATTGGGCACTCACTATACTTTCACTCTCCTCTGTGGGAGAAATCTCAGGTTGAGGGGGTCTCCCTTGGAATTGAGATGTACCACCTTGGAGAAGGGGTGACCCAGGTAAAATGAAGTTGTTATTCATATCCTTCTCAGTACATCTGGTCTCAGTCTTTTTTGGTTGTTGTTCTAATGATGTGCTGTAACTTCTTTGCTGGACCTCTAGACTCTCTCAAAGTAACTCTCATTCATGGTATTGTCAAAATTGATGCTTCTAAAGGTAAGTGATTGTAGAAAGCTCCTATTGTACCATATTGCTGATATCACCTTAATTTTATTTCTTGATCCATACTTTGAAAGCTTTTCTTTCTGGAATTTCATACACACTATGCTAGCAACCACTGAAGCTAATGTGATTTTGTTGAGCTAACCATTATCTTCTTTTTTAATATAAAATTATCTGTGTGAGTGAAAATGTATAGAACAATATCTTCACATTGTCATGAATTGAAACTTCAAGGAAAATATCATTAATGACCCTCTCTAAGGCAGCCAGATAAAAAGTAACCTCTGTTCACACTTTTTCCCAGCTTCAGAATACAAAAAGTCTGTCTCATAACGCCCTCTGAATTTCAGGCCACACACTCAAATGGAAACAAGTGTTAAGGACACGGAACACTTTGCCAAGTACCAACACTCCTGCACAACTGATAATTTTGATGCCATCTTTTTTTTTCTTTTGTGTGGCAAACTGGCTGCTTTAATACTAAATTTCACCCACAACTTTCAAAAGATATTTTGATTGAAATATCTAATGAATATTGAGGCCAGGTTTTTAAAGTTATTTTACTTATTATGAAAGTCATATATGATTATTAAAAATTATTTGAAAAACTCAGAAATGTATTTTTTCCCATCAGCATTAGAAAATGTTATGTTTGGATGCTTGCAACACACACATACACACACACACACGCACACACACACACACATTTTAAAGATACTTTAGGATATCTTAATTTTGTCATTTTTACCCGTCCAAATAATGTTATAAAAAATGTTTCCACACATAATTTATTAGATTTAAAAAACATGATTTTAAAATATTGTTGTAATATTTAACTATGTACCACTATCAATTAATAATATTATTACTGAGAATTTTGGAAATATGCTAGTAGAAAGCAAAATATTTTGAATATTGTATCTTCAATTCTAAATTGCCTTCCAGTTAACTTCTCCAAAATGAAGTCTATGAGAATCCTTCTTTCACTATATCCTTGCCTCTAGTATTGAATAGTGTCATTGAAGCTGGCTTTGATCTTCATGCCTGATGGCTGCGGAGCAGTTAGTTGCTTTATTTAAAATCTCATTTACATTTTAGGTGAGTCAAAAGACAAAGGGGAAGGGGAAACATATCTACTAGCTGAGTCTTCCCACAATGCATGCATTTTTTTTTCCTACTCATCCTCAACAGAATTTTGTGTCTATTTGTAAAGAAAAAGGAAGACTGGGTGTTGAGTAGGCAACTGGAAGTGTCTGCTAGATAGTGACTGCACAAAATGAATTCACATCTCGGCTCTGAAATTTGTCAGCTCTGTTTTCATCTGTTTAATCTCAGCTTCTTCATCCATCAAATAAGGCAAATAATAGTACCAATATCTTATGATTTTAAAGACAGTTAGGAGGCTGAGGCAGGAGGATTGCTTAAGCTCAAAAATTTGAGACCGGGCTGGGCAACACAGTGAGAGCAAAACCATGTCTCTTAAAAAAAAATAAGTAAAAAAGAATATTAATTTTACAAATTATTATAAATATTTCTTGGTCATGCATTTAACATTTTGTAGACAGCCATGAAATGTTAGCAATTATAACAAAATATTATTATTTTGCTAGTCAGGAGATTTTTAGATATATGATTTTTAAAATAGGAATAATATTATTGAATGTATTTTACATTTTATCACTATTATTAGGAATATTCATTATGTCTTCTAATTGGTTGTAGGTAGAAAACATAGGAAGACAATTGACTTGTATATTTCTTTATGAATTGCCGATTCTAAAATATTTATATTTTCTACATATTTAATGTCTTGCTCCTCTGTCTTTAAATTTTATAGCTTTTTTATCTTTTATTATTATTATTTTGGCTATTATTACTTTGGCTAATTTTTCTAGGACAATGTTATAATTATGTAGATGAACTTTTGATCTTCCTTCCATATGTATGAGAATGCCAATATATTTTGTCATTAGGTAAAATGATTGCTATTAATTTTAAATAAGTGAATTTTAATCATATTAAAGATCATGTTTAATCACTTCAATTAGGAATGAGTGTTTAATTAAATAGAATTTCTTAACACCAATTTATCTGCTAGTTTTATGTATTATTTCTTACATCATCTCACATCAAATAAATTTTTCAATCCTAGAATAAATGTTATTCAGCCTTTGTCCTTTAATTTATTCCTACATATGTGATTTACTGGGCCTTTTAGAAGATGCAATACTACTTAAAATATCTATGATAATATTGCTCAGGATATAGTAAATGCTTACTGTGTAGCCAGCACAAAATGTAAAATATACATTATTTCATTTAATCCTCAGGGCATTTCTACTAAAAAATAAGTACCTCTATCTAGCAGATGCTCAAACTGATGTTTTAGAAGTCACATTACTTGATATGGTCAACACTGGCAAAAGGGAGAACTGGGATTTTACCCATATCATTCTGCCACCAAAGTTCATTGTTTGTAAACACTGGGCTACATTTTATTTTATTAATCACAACAGTAGCTCTCTGTATCATTAGAGGTTTACATGTGTTGAAGGTATATTATTTATTCATTCTCTCTTGCAAAGGTATAGACCTCTAAGGCCCTTTAGGACTTTGTAACATTTAAGTAGTTAGTACTTGATTAAGCCCTTATTGCATTTTCCCTTTATTTGTGTAGACAAATGCATAATGTAAAATGTATACTTAATTAAATTTTATTCTTTTAAGTTTAGTAATGAAATACGTTAGAGCTAAGAATTAACTTGTAAATAACTCTTTGCTTACACCAAAGAATTTCAGTATATGTTATTTTCATTGTTATATTATCTTTGACTTAAGAGGAATTAAGAGGTGGGAGAGATAAATTTTGTTTCATTTTCAAATAATTTAGTTTTTTTAATATCCCACCTTTGTTTTTTGTTACTTTAAACACAGATATTATAGTCTACATTTTTTTTAATCAGGGGATTAATTCAGTTTTATTTTGTGGCTAAATTTGCAATGGGTAATTGACAAGTGTATTTTATGAAAAAATACAGTCATTAATGATATATTTTTAAAGATTATAAAACGAATTCCAATTCAAGAGACCAATAATAAATTATTGAAATTAAACCGAGGAATGTAGAAGTGAAGTATTAATAAAGACCAAGGTTTGTATTCAATAACTAGAAATCAAAAATACCGATTTAATTTATGAATTGGATGCCAAACATAAATTCAGTAAAATGAACACAAATATGATAAAGCCAATTAAGAGGGAAAAATGCAACTATATAATTGGCAAAATAAATACCATTCCAATTATGAGATAATTTTAAAATGTAAGAGAATAATATATACAAATTCACACTAATTAAATTGAATACTTTTATAAATAAATATATTTTTGAAAATTTAAACAGTAAAAACTGACAAAAGAAGAGATGGTTAACTAGATTAAAACAATCAAATATAGTGAATTTTAACAATAATCAAAATTCTAGACATAAAAATAAGTAAGTACTGGTCATAATTTTGGATAACGTCTATAAAACTGAGAATACCTACAATAAAGTATGTTAGAAGAAAAGCTTCTAAATCCCAGTTCATTAAGCCAACATGATTCTAATACGAAAATATCTTAATATTCCTGTAGAGTAAATCACAAATCAGAAAAAAAGCGATAGTATATAACATACATTATTAGTTACAATTTTTTATGTTTTTGATAATATAGGAATGTGATTCTTGACAATTTAGGAACAATAAGCTTTTAGGTATAAGATAATACAGGATATCAATTTTTTTTTGGAGGATCTGATTATTCTGGAAAAACACAAAAGAATGTAGAAACAGATTATTGGCCCTTCTGAAAGCAAAAATTTCACATTAACCAGGCAAGGAAAACTTTATTCAAGAAGACTGTAATAGAGGAGAGAAGCCAGAAGCAGTCTCAGCTCAATTCAGCTGAGCACAAAGGACTGAGGAGTTAAGAGCCAGGCCAGCTACCTGTGTTTGCTAACCGGCCTTACCCAAAGGAAAAGTAAACTTTCTCAGATCTTCATCATCAGTGGTAGTTTTACAAATTAGAGCGGGGAAATAAAATAAAGTTAGGCTCCTGTCCTGATACAGGAACAGGGAGAGAGGGGTGAGAGGGATGCTATTTTCTTTGATGCTTGCATTACAAAGAGATGGTTTCTAGGTCTTTGAGAAAGATATTTTTGGAAAGTAACACCCTCAAAAAGTTTAAAAAGTATTTACATCTCCCATGGCTCATGCCTGTAATCCCGGAACTGTGGGAGGCCGAGGCGTTGTGGATCACTTGAGGTCAGGAGTTCGAGACCAGTCTGGCCAACATGGTGAAACCTTGTCCCTACTAAAAATACAAAAAAGTAGCCAGGCGTGGTGGTGCGCACCTGTAGTCCCAGCTACTCAGGAGGCTGAGGTAGGAGAATCCCTTGAACCTGGGAGGCAGAGGTTGCAGTGAGCCGAGATCACCCACTGCACTCCAGCCTGGGTGACAGGGTGAGATTCTATCTCAAAAAAAAAAAAAATATATATATACACACACACACACACACACACACACACACACACACGCACACACACACACATCTCAGTGGGGCAGGAAAAAAGAATTTACAATAACTTTTCAGAAAAAGGAGCTTAGGATATATAGTCAGAAAGAAGACTGTCTGAAGTTTAGTCAGGCTGAGAGATGCACTAAGCCTTGCGCTGGCCACTCCATACAAGAATATAAATAGAAATGGCATATATATTCGATAAAATAGAAAATATAACAACACGATAGAAAAAGTTTCTTTCACAATAACAGAAGACAAAAGATGGAAATAAACTACATAAGACTTTACACGAAGCTTTTAAACAGAAATTTTGTAAGAAGACTAAATATGTTGAGAAAGAATTCCAAATTAGTCTTACTTAAAATAATGTGTCCTAAATCCATGGAAGGGAAAACTCGACTGTATATAAATTGCATAAAGCTCAAAAAAGTAATAGAATGAAAGTTAAAATTTCAATGAGATTCAGGCTTGGCAATTGGCTTAATAAGACAAATGTTTACTTTATAAAATAAATAGATAAAATGAACAATACATATTTTGAATAAGGAGGTAATTAAAATGTGATTTGTTCTTCCAGTTTTGAAAAAATATTAATAAAATTGCTATGGTTGAAATACTACTTTAAACACAGAGAGACAGATAAGTAGAGCAGATCAGAAAGTTCTGAAACATATCAATATTTATATAGGACTTTTGTATGTGATAAAGATGGCATTGGAAGTTTGTGAAAAAACAGGTTATTACATTAGAGGCATTGTGATGGCTGGTGATCTGCCTTACACTTATTGAAGCCTTTCAGAATAATAAAGAAATTCAGCATAGTTGTTACATCCAAGTCTTCTCCAAAGTCATATTGAGGTCTGAGAGACTCGGCTTAATATATAACTGAAACGCGAGATCGCGCCACTGCAGTCCAGCCTGGGCGACAGAGCAAGACTCTGTCTCAAAAAAAAAAAAAAAAAAAAAAATATATATATATATATATATATATATATATATACATACATACATATACATATAACTGAAATGTTGTCTTTACAAGTCTCACTTTCTTTGCAAAATTGGGCATAAAAATAGTTCTTAACTCATTAGATTATTTTAAATATTAAATTAATATATGTTATTTGCCACTTACATTCTATGCTTGACTAGCAAGCATTGAATATAATTTTCTTTTTTCTTTTTTCTTTGTATTTGATTATTTAATTATTTATGTATTTATTTTGAGATGTAGTCTCGCTCTGTTGCCAGGCTGGAGTGCAATGGTGCGATCTCGGCTCACTGCAACCTCCGCCTCCCGCGTTCAAGCGATTCTCCTGCCTCAGCCTCCAGAGTAGCTGGGATTACAGATGTCTGCCACCACACCCGGCTAATTTTTGTATTTTTAGTAGAGATGGGCTCTCACCATGTTGGCCAGCTACTCTGGAGGCTGAGGCAGGAGAATCATTTGAACCCAGGAGACGGAGGCTGCAGTGAGCCGAGATCACACCACTGCACTCCAGCCTGGGCTACAGAGTGAGACTCTGTCCAAAAAACAAAACAAACTAACAAAAAAAGAAAGTAATATGATATAATGTATATTTTTAAAAGATCTTTCTATAGAGAATGAATTATTAGGGGTGCATTAGAAGCAGAGAAGCCATTAAGAAATGATAGTGTTTGACAAAGGTGGCAAAGAGAAACAGAAAGAAACTTCATGAAGGAGAAGTCTGAGAGTGGCCTTATTTCCTTGTGACGTGTGTTTTCATGTTGTGGTTGTCGTTTGAGTTTCTGGTTATTGTCATTTTTATTGTTTGTAATATTTTTCTGAGTACCTCTATTGCATTGGGAAGTAGTTGCCTTAAATATCTGATGTAGAATATGTAGAAAACTGGGTAGAACTACGATGGGCACAATACATTTGAAGATTTGAAAGGTTGGAGAACAAAATAAAGACAGAAAAGGCGGATGGTTTATGTGGTACAAGGGAAAGAACTTGAATCTCTAATGGAACCCTCGGGTTTCTAGATCTTTGGAGGAAATTGTTATATTTGTGTACTTAAGAGATTTATGATTTATGTTCCATTGATTGTATACATTGACTGGAAAATAAGTTAAAGAAGTAGAAAAATGGAATGTAAAAATACTGACATATAAAAATGGAAACAGATTTTTACCTCACTGAGAAAGTCAATTCAATAAATATATATTTAGTATGTACAATTTAGAAATCAGTCTGCTTGGAATTACAAAATAGATGCTTGCTTATTTGACTTGGTTGTATTGAATTGAAGTAAATTGACTAAAATTGCACAATAAGGAGTAACTAATGTGATAGTCATCGTGTCAACAATAGGAAGAAAGATGTATGAATTTCAGAAGAGTTTACTGGATGAGAGTAACAGAATGCCAGCCTGAATATGGCAGATGTGAACAGGTGTGCACAAAAGTATCAGAAAATACTTTTTGATCTTGTCTGAGTCAGATGTAAGAAAATAGCAAAGAAATATCAACAAAGCCTTAAAAGCTAGAATAGCTTGTATATTAATTTAAATTTTTCCTCTTTTAATAAAAAGAAAAAGATTATTCATGAGTGGAATAACCAGGAGACAAATAACAAATTAGAATGTTTTAAAGTTGGTTAAATCTAGTTCTAGAGGCACAAGCTTATATTGATGCACAACATAAATGAATTACTCTCAGGCCCTGGCAATTGAGTATGCAATAATTATAGCATAATGAGATAATGAAGAGACTCTGTCAGGTTTTTTTTAAGCAGAGAGGCTTGAGGATACAAATATTTGAAAACAGAGAATACCAATTAGTTTTCATGTTGCCCTATTAGTAGGACAGAGACTTATATTTTGTTAATTCTGCAGTGAAATGAAAGAAGGAGGGAAACAAAATGCAACTCATATTATGGTGCTGGTGATAAACAAGTCATGGCCATTATGTGCTGGAAACATAGTAATTGAAAATCAGATTTCCTTGCCAGCAAAAGCAACCTCTGAACTACTGTTGCACAAGTGATACATAGGATGGGGTCTTAGTCCGATTCCTATATTCTCTCTGTTTGCTTGGAATTTGGATCCCAAATGTGACATTTATCAGTACTTATCTAAAGAATATCTTAACACCATTTTAGGTTAATTATCGTTATATTTAGGTCCTAGCTATTTGATTTCTACCAGGCCTGGAAGGGTACTTAATTTTATACTTAAATTTATACTGCTTTGTAGGTGTCCAGTAAAATTAACATTATAAGTAGCTGTGCTCTAAGGTTAATTTGTTCTGTAAAATTACCCATATTTCTCCAGGGCATTCATTAGTGAAATAAAACAGAGAACTAATCTAGATGCAGAAGGATTATTGTTATTGCCATATGGTTATTTTTGATAAAATTCCCATTGAGATGACCTCCCAGGGATGGAACAAACAAAGCAGATTATGACAAATCTCAGCTCATATATAGCTTGCAAAAGCCACAGATGAAATTCCTGAGAATTGCAAGCCAATACAAACATTCGGAGGCCACTTGCTACTTGCTGCAGTAATGTATTGAAGAGTTTTTCAATGACATTTTGATGTTTCATAGGTATCTCAAACAAATATTATTAAGAACTAAGTTAAGCTTAATATTCTGCAGTAACGCTGGGCACATTTCAACAATTCAAATGCATTTCCAAACACTATTTGGCCTTTTGAGACTGAAAATAACAGTTCCTATAGGAAACAAGGGATATTATGTCTTTAAAACACACACACGCACACACACAAATAAAAAATATAAATTATCTTGAAAAAGGTAATACTTTGACATTTTTAAATAGACGTATAATCCATTTTGCTAATTTCCTATGTTTTCTTTACTTTTTGTTGTCATGTATGTTTATATTAGTTTTATCACAAAAGACTCAGGCTGTAGAGATTATCACAAAGTAAAATATAGAAGATCTCAGCTCCCATCCATACTCTTCCTTCTTCAAAGGTAATAGGTTGTAATTTGCTGTAAAATTTTCTACTCTTTGTTCTGTTTATTTGCTTGCATGTACAGCATATGTATATATTTACATTTTTTTCCAAATTTGGATTAAGTCGTGATTTTTTATTCCTATAATTTGATTTTTTAATAAAATTTTGATTTGGGAGAATTTCTTGAAGGAGACTAGGGTAGGTCATTCACAGAAGAGAAGAAAGTGTTTAACGGCCACTGTTTCAACAGTAGAAGTTTGTTGACCATTCCAGGAGCTGAGATTAAGGTAGAAAACTCTTTAATTTTTCTATGCTATGTAAATTTTAAAACAATATAAATATTAAGAATATGCATATTTATAAACTGTCTTTTCACCCAACATTATGTCAGCATTTTCCCATGTCATTGCACTTTAATTTTAAAGTTTTTGTGTTGGTTTCTTATATGTATTCACCACAATTTACTTAAATATTACATTTTTACATAATTCTAACTTTGACTTTGGAAATTTCATTTTTTCTATTAATATATAATGTTGTAATTAATATTATTGAGCATAAATCTTTTTTCTCAGCTAAGATCAATATCTTAGCAGAGCTTCTCATAAGTGAAGTACTAATTTAAAACTGTTAATACTTTCAGAGTAGTTGTTGCCTTCATTTAAACTGAGGTTAAATAGAAAACTATTTTATTAAAGCCTCAGAGTGATATTATGAGTGATTGTGGTTGGTTAATGATATAAAAGCCTCTTAACTGCTTTGTTTTAAATGCTCCAACTGATAAGATTTTCATAAACCCACTTCATTAATGCCGGTTTCCTCTTATAGCTACCAAACTTATGTCCATGGAACTGCTCTGTCTCTGTACACACTGGTAATTACAGTTTCTCAAGAAACTATTTATTTAGAATACTTACAGCCTGTTTGGCTCAAGGAAAAGAAAAACAAATATCTCTAAAATATTATATGGAAATTAAATCACCTAATCTGTTGACAATGTTGAAAACTTTGCTTGGCCTACCACTCCTAAAAGCTCATATATGTATGCTTATATATGCCCAAATCTTAAATTGTACTGAATTTAGCTAGGGTTCCGTAGCAGATTGAATTCATAGGAAGGCGATGATGTAACTCACGGAAGTGAAAAGAGAGCTGAAGAAATAGAGCTGGACAATTTTGGAAAAATCTGTTGACTTCTCCAAGCAGCTGCCATTAATACAACTCAGTTCCAGCAGTTCCCTGTTTTTGATATCTCCAAGTCCAAATTTCACATGCTTAATAATGAGGATCCAGTTCACCTACTCATGATCCATGTTCCAGGACAAAAATTTCAAAGGACACATAGCCACTGAGGATACAACTCTGTGTGTTTAGTGGGACAGAAGAATTATCATGAGCAGGCCACATCTTAATTGTCCTAATTGGTATCATCAACAGCTGCTAAGAATCTTGATACTTATTCATGAATATTTACTAAATACACTATGTAAGTGAGAAAACAAGTTTAGAGACTGGTATTAGGGAATTTGTTAGATTTGTCTTTTGAAAGCAACAGGAACTTGAGGTGCTGTCTAAAATTGGGAAGTATATAACAAGAAAGTTTTCTGTTTGGGTCCTAGCTTTGAGCAAGCTTAGGGTCAAATGAAAGATTACCATTTATTGTTAACATATTTGCTGTTTGCTGTAGGTTCTAGTCTTAATTTTTTAAATATATCTTTTTCATTCATCATGTAGGTCACTGTAAATTGCTACAAATCCTGTGTCATGGTTCAGAAATACAAATAAGTAATAGAAATAAATTTTCATAAGGTTATATAAATTAGGACTAGTATTAAACTCCAGGTTTGTGTCTCAAAATACAGCTTCAAGTGCATTTAACCATCACTGTTATTAAAACTCAAAACACCCCAAGTCATTTTAAATTTCTACTCCACTGTTTAACCTACAGCTTGCCTTCTTTCGCTTCTCAGATTATTTTATTAATAATGGTAATTTTAGACTGATAATTTTTAAATTCTCTTGCTTATTTATTCTATTATTATATAACTTTAAACACAGTTGATTCCAATGCAGCTGAAGCAGTTGCCTGGAATTGGGGCAGATAAAATCTACAAATCATAATTTACGTTGTCAAGAAAACCTAGTTCACTGTTTTAATAATTATTTTTTACTAAGAAGTAAAAGCCAGATTGATTTTGACAGTTTTTATAAGGACGATAATATCAGAAACTTATCAGATGATTATTATATATATATTTCACAGAAGATATATATATATATACACATAGATGGATATAGATAAATGAAAAGTTCTACAGTTAGAAAATCATTTGTTATCTCTAATAAAGGTGTGAAGAGAAGTTCAAATAACTATAATAAGGTAAAAAATATATATTACATTTTTACCTGGCATCAGAATTTTGTTAGGTAGTAGGCTGTCTTTTTTTAAAAAAAAGTAAGTATCTTGCCAACCTCCCTTGAATCGGCATACTGAGATCCAAAAGATATTATTTGGAAATCAATTAAAAAATAGAAAGATAGCCTAAGAACCATAAATTTGAGGTTGGAGAACCTGGAGAAAGAGGAATGGGAATGGGATTAGATTAATTAAACTATGGATGTGGCTTGAATTTAAAGTCTGGAGACCTGGAGAACATGATCAGGAAAGAAATTGCCACTAGCAGTTTGGTCAAAAGACTTTTATGAACAGGACATTTCTTAATGTTTTATTTTAAAGTGTGTTACTGTAATATAAATGTGCCCTTCCTCCAACTTCTGCAAAACATTTGTTTATTTTTCGAGACAGTCTCTCACTCTGTAAGCCAGGCTGGAGTGCAGTGGTAATCTTGACTTACTGCAATGTCTGCCTTCTGGGCTCAAGCCCAGCCCCCAAAGTAGCTGGGACCGCAGGCATGCACTGCCACTCCTGGCTAACTTTTATATTTTTTTGTAGAGATGAGGTTTCACCATGTTGCCCAGGCTAGCATTCTTAAATTCTACTGTATGTATGCATTGGTTTTATTTCAAAAATACGTGCATATTTTTATTTTATTTTTGAGTGTGGGGAGATCAAGCAAAATAAGCTATATATCACTCTTGAAACAGCACTGAATACAGAGAAAAGACCATCTGCAGAATTAGAGACATGTATGGGATCAAAATTTGGGTAGTTGTAAGTAGAAAAGGCATGATTGTTTCAAGGGGATGATTTAAATGGATTAGGTTTAAATATGAGAGGATAAGGTAAACTCATCTGGCATTTTGAACTCATTACTGAAGCACACAAAATAACATAAGTACCATCGAAGAGTTTAAAAAATGGTGGGAGATAGAGTTGATAGATAATTCAAGGCAGAAATAGATCAAGCATTTATTTGGTCATTTTCAAGAGGGTAGTTGAGGATGATTTAAAATTCTTCAAAGTGAAGAAGGGAAAATATATTCCAGAAAGAAAAATGTGTTAAAAAGATGATTGGATTCCTTTGGCTTCAATACGCTTATACAATGTCTCTGGAAGAAGTAATCTTAGAGTCACCCTGGTAAGATGAAAAATGTTTTTTGATTATAGATACTCAATACAGAAAACTCCTGCCGGTGGCAGAATGAATCCTGAAATTGTGAGAGAAACATCCATCTCATGGATATACTATCACTTTTATCCAGACTTGATAGGGCTCCAAAGTGAGATATCTTTTGAGTATTTTATATGTTTTATTGTCTAGATGACTTGGCTATTGGTTAGAACTGTAGATATAGATATATAATGTTTTTATTTGTAATTAACAAACTTGCCTATATTTATGGAATTGAATTATTAAATCAAACTAATGTATCAAAAGAACAGTAGATGATTTATAAGATCTATTCTCCTCTCTCATCACTTATTAAAGAGGGGCTAAGAAAACATTTGTAGAGGTATGTGTAACTTTTACAAGAAATAGATCATTGAAAGTGCCCACCACATAGTTGGTATTAAAATCTGTGTGGATTGATGAGATCACATAGATCACAGTGGTGCAGATAAAAATCAAAAAGGTCATAGAAAAAAGTCTGAGTCACTTAAAAATTTGAAGATTTTTTTCATCCTGATATTTTGGAAGCATGAGTGTGGAATAGAATTTGGTCAGAATCACCTCAACCCATATATTTGGAATCAAATTCATAGGTGCGTTATGTGTCCCTTCATTTATTTGTATTTCATATATATTTGTATATGTTTATATTTCATTTATTTATATTTCCCTCATTTCTTCTTCTTCTCTCCTTTTTGTGCTCTCCTGATGGAGGTATATACGTCATAACTTTATTAACTTCCAACTCAGTATTCACAATTTGGGGAGCGGGTTATCTTTGTATGTATAAACTTATAAATTTTCTACAAAACAAAAGGAGTTAGTAGAGCTTGGAATAAACAGTCATGGGTGCATAAGATGTGTGATGGTTAATACTGAGTGTCAACTTGATTGGATTGAAGGGTGCAAAGTATTGTTCCTGGGTGTGTCTGTGAGGATGTTGTCAAATGACTTAACATTTGAGTCGGTGGACTGTGAAAGGCAGACCCACTCTCAATCTGTGTATCATCATCTAATCAGCTTCCAGCATGATCAGAATAAAAGCAGGCAGAAGAACATGGAAAGACTAGACTGGTTTAGTCTTCTGGCCTACATCTTTCTCCCGTGGTGAATGCTTCCTGCCCTCGAACATCTGACTCCAAGTTCTTCAGTTTTGGGACTTGGACTGGCTTTCTTGCTCCTAAGCTTACAGATGGCCTATTGTGGGACCTCACCTTGTGATCATGTGAGTCAATACTACTTAATAAACTCCCTCTTATAAATACACCTATCCTATTAGTTCTGTCCCTCTAGAGAACCCCGCCAAATACAGATTTATGTAAATTTTCTGTAAGTTCAAGCTTGCTGTATATAAAACAAAGCTTAGAGTATTATGAACATTGTCATTGACAATAATTTTTCATTTCTATTTTTTGGCTAAAAGAATTTACTAAGTAATTCACTCACACTCACAAAGTCTATTAAACAATTAGCAAATTACAGATTTTTAAAATTCTACCATAACATGTCTGGTACATTGGTTATATAGGGTAAAAATTGATCTTATAGTTTTTTATGCCTCAAATCAAATATAAATTTGCTTCATGTTCTTCTGATATTTATACTTAGGAAAGTCTTTTTATAATAGAAAATATAGACATGAATGTGAAGAGTAGCATTGACATTACTGCACTAAAAATTCATTATTATTTTTTTCTTACGCAAATTAGTTAAGTCTAGTTGCAGAGCTTTTCACATGAAGATGGTATTCAGTTCCTTCACTATTTATAGATACAAACCATACAACTTAACAATTAAATTCTGTCAGGCATTATTTTCACAATATTTCACCTGCGAGCCTCTCTCTCCTCAGTCAGATTTTATGCTTACCAAGGGCAGGTCCATTTTTATAGTAATTTTGTATTCCCACTGAATCTGTGATAATGTTTTGTGCGCAGAATATCATCTAAAATAATTGATTGGTTCATATCTTATCATCATATGTCCCCACAATTTTATTCTTGATTTTATATGACTGGTTTGGCGAGGTATTAAAAGGTCATAATTATGAGCAAACTAAGAATGTAAACAAGTCAAAACAAATAGATTTAAACTAATTTTTATTATTTGATCTATTTAAACAAATCATAAATGTAATTATTATTATTTGCACAATGCAACAAGTATATGTGCATATCTCTGTGTTTGCATATTTAATATTTATTTGGAGAGAAAAAGAGAATGTATTCAAACTGAAAATTTAACCCAAAACAAAGTTTGGTGACATTTTTAAGTTATACATGTTATGAAAGAAATAATTTGAGAAAAATGCCTTTCATTTTCATTAGTTTACTTTCCTAATATTATTTGGCATTACTTTCCAGTAGATACAGAGACATGTTCAGCACAGTCTTGACCATTCAGAGCATATTATTTAGTAGGGAACAAGGCAGGTGCAAATATCTATAAAGTAACCAAACCTGTGCCAGATTACTTAAAACCAGATATATTTGTAATGTGACCATATATACAACTAAAATGATAATGGCTAGAAAATATTTCATTGATAAAAGTAAAATCACAGTACTGAGTTAAGAGCAAGTTGAAGTCCTTTTTGTAGGTGAACAGTAGAAATCCTAACCTTTATCCTAACACTAATCCTAACTAACACTCTGTTAAGTCTAAAATTTGAACCAGCTCTTAAATGATGGCTATCATATATAGCTGAAGATTTCAAGGAGAAAAACCATTCCAGATGGAGATCAGCTTGAAAAAGCATGATAGTAAAACAGTACGGTGAGTTTGAAAACTGGCAATATGGTCTGTTTGTATACGTTTTCTGATCTGTTACAGCACATTTAGCAGTTGTTTTTCTGTTTGTTTGTTATTCCCTAACCCATAAAAGATGTAAAAATGGACTAAACTAGTGCCTGTTTCTATCCCACACCCACTGCCCATATTGCACTTCAACATGTGTTTCATTTCTCTGGTTTCTTTTTTGATCACTTCTAGTTTTCTCTCTCTCTAACCCCCTGATTTTGGTACATCTGTTGGAGCATCTGTCTAGCTTTTCATTGAATCTTCTCTAAAAAGGATATATCCCATCACTTCCCTCGCCCCAAGCACCACTGCCGCTCATGCCTGTTTATGACTTCATGCCTGGTCCAGCCCTCAAGTTGGGGTGATCAGCAAGAGGGCGGGTACTGTCAGAAATAAAAGCTGAGTTCATATCATAGTGGAGATGATATCAATTAGCACCTTACATAATTTTTATTTTATTTGACTCATATTTCTAATTGTATTATTTTAACATCTGACACATTGTTCCTTTTATTAAAACGTCCTGAAAAAAATTAAATCTATGAATTATTAAATATGTATTTTAATTTGTTTCATATCCAAATAAAGCATAGTATTTATTAAACTGCAATAGGAAGCCAGTGAATATTTTTTAAACTGCAGTGAGATGCCGCTGTGAAGCTGGTCAGTAGTGAAGCTGTACGATTGTAAAAGTGCTTTATGAAAATAACATCTGGCCATAAAATCTAATCTCCTATATAACAATATAATTGTTTTATTGTTAATGTAATAATGTAGCATTTTTGAAAATAAAGTTCTTTGTTCAATTTTTAAATTGAGTGCTCTGATTTATATACCACATTCATGTATATTTGCTTTGTTCCTTCCATTTGTTTAACATGTATAATAAGACTTTGTGTTTTAAAATACAGAAGACAAGGCAGATAGTTTCTAAAGGTAAGTATACATATGCATTTTTAAAATGACAAAATTCAAAGCATAGAGCTAAGAATGCTGCTAAATAAAATTGAGAATTCAATGGCTGGGCTTAACAGAAGATTAGATAAAGCTGAGGTTACTAAAAGAGAAACAACCACATTGTTAAACAGTAAAAAAGCTTAAGAATAGAGCCCCAGTAGAGAAAAATAATGGAGCAGAAACATTTTTAAAAAGATATTGGCTAAAATTTTTCAAAACTAGTTTAAGGTTTTAGGCTAGACACTCAAGAAACATTACTTAGACTAAATAAGATAAATACAAAGAAAATCACATCATAGCATACTAAAATAAAACTGAGACCAGCCTCCCAAATAAAGGAGAAAAAATATTTTAAAAACAACCAGAAAAAACACAACTGTTTCCTTTCAAAGTAGCAATAATAAAATGATAGAAGACTCATTAAATTAAACACTAAAACTCAGAAGCAAATGAAATGATTTCTTCAAAGGCTGGAAAAAAATCTTTCAATTCAGAATCCTACTCAAAGCAGCCTTAAAAAATAATCATACAATTAAAACATTTTCAGAAAAAAAACTGAGAGAATCTGTCACCATCACTAAAGAAAACACTAAATAATTTTTTTAACTTTTTTTGTCTTTTTTTATTGTACTTTTAAGTTCTAGGGTACATGTGCACAACGTGCAGGTTTGTTACATATGTACACATGTGCCATGTTGGTGTGCTGCACCCATTAACTCGTCATTTATATTAGGTATATCTCCCCCGTGCCCCCACCCTACAACAGGCCCCGGTGTGTGATGTTCCCCTTCCTGTGTCCAAGTGTTCTCATTGTTTAATTCCCACCTATGAGTGAGAATATGCGGTGTTTGGTTTTTTTGTCTTTGCGATAGTTTGCTGAGAATGATGCTTTCCAGCTTCATCCACGTCCCTGCAAAGGACATGAACTCATTCTTTTTTATGGCTGCATAGTATTCCATGGTGTATATGTGCCACATTTTCTTAATCCAGTCTATCATTGATGGACATTTGGGTTGGTTCCAAGTCTTTGCTATTGTGAATAGTGCTGTAATAAACATACTTGTGCATGTGTCTTTATAGCAGCATGATTTATAATTCTTTGGGTATATACCCAGTAATGGGATGGCTGGGTCAAATGGTTCTCATAAATAATTTTATTTTATGAGAAAAAAGTAATCCCAGAAGGCAACTCAGGGAATCAGCAATGAATTTAAAAAGCAATGAAAAATATAATTATGTATATTAGTAACAGTTATAAGACTGAGTAAAAATAGCACTAATACTGGTCTCTGAGTGTACTGCATATATAGAAGTAAATAATCAGCAAACAATAAAGTAGCAAGGTAAATGGAATTAAAGTGTTTTAATAGGAAATAATGAAATTATTAATTTATATTAAACTATGATAAGTAAAGGATATTATTATAATTTTTTGGATGACCATTGAAATAATAGTTGAGTATTAATAGAGGGAAAATAATAAAAATATAATCTAGGCATTAGGAAGAGCGAATAAAAATGAACACAGTGATTTGAAACCAAAAGAAAAGTGAGGATATACTGGGAAAGACCAGGGAGTGAGGGGCTGGTGTAGAGAATCCCATGGCAAAGTGCAAAAGGGTGGGCCTTTATTTCCTTAGACTGGGGAAAGTATGGTTCTATGTTGATCCATTTTTCATGAAAATTTTATTTAAATATTCTAGTCTGCCTCTACCAAGGTAAGAGTAGTCTCAAGGGAGTTACATGAATCTTCTGCACAGGCCTGAAAATGGCATCATTGCAACATTTGAATTCACTTATAGGAGATGAGTAGAGGACTGCTTGTGTGACCCATTTCATCATCTCTGGTGCTTTGATTTGCTTTTTCCTTTTGTCCATAAAGATATGAACTAAAAAAATATGAATATAGAAAGGCCTCTGTTTTGCTAGCACTTTAGAGGAGTGGGTATAAGATGTGGCTTCCAGCTACAGCACCTTCCAGAGTGTTTGTTGCTTGAAATGATTTAGGCATTTCTGATAGAACTGCCAACTGCCATGACTTTTTCTTTGGAAAAGATGTTAGCATTATGCACAAAGAAAAATCTTCATAGCTTCTGACATGGTAACATCACTTCTACAAACTTTCCATAATAAAATACAATTTTGAAAATTAAACCTGTGTTCTATTATGTTCAACAAAGATTCATAATAGAGACAATCATAAAATAATCTAAATGGCTAGTTATATTTAAATACTTAACTGCTTTAAAGAACATTTATGAAGTCTAATATGATTTTAAAATACGGTAATAAAAAACAACAACAAAAGAAAGCCCAGGACCAAATGGAGTCACAGCTAAGTTATATGACCCATACAAAGAAGAACTAATGTCAATCCTCCCAAAAGTGCTCCAGAAAATCAAGGAGGAGAGACTTCTTTCTAACTTCTTATATAAAAAGGCCAGTATCACCTTGATACCAAAGCCAGACAAGGAGACACACACAAGATAAAACTACACATCAAAATACCTGATAAACAGGGAAACAAACATCCTCAGCAAAATACTAGCAAACCAAATCAAAAAGTAAATGAAAAAGATACTACTCCATGATCAAATGGGTTTTACCAGGGATGCCAGGATTGTTCAACACATGCAACTTAACAAATGCTATACACCACATAAACGGAATTAAGGACAAAAAGTATGATTATCACAATAGATGCAGAAAAAGTATTTGACAAAATTCATGATAAAAATCCTCAACAAATTAGGCAGACAAGAGGCATACCTCAAAATTATAAAGGCCATATATGACAAAGCCATAGCCAATATCATACTAAATTAGGAAAAGTTGAAAGCAGTCACTCTAAGAAATGGAACAACACAAGGATGCCCACTTTTACCATTCCTTTTCAACGTAGTACTGGAAATTCTAGCCAGAGCATTCAGGCAAGAGAAAGAAGTAGAAGGCATCCACATTGAAAAAGAAGAAGTCAAGTTTTCCCTGTACACTGATGATATAATCTCATATCTACAAAAGATACAAGAAGACTAAAGATTCCACCAAAAAAACTTAGCTTTTATAAGTGACTTCACTAAAGTTTCTGGATATAAAATCAACATCCAAAAATTAGTGGCATTTCTATATACCAATAACAATCTAGAGGAGAACCAAATCAAGAAGGTAATCCCATTTACAACAGTGACTAAATTAAAAAAAAAAAAACTTAGCTAATATATTTAACCAAGGAGGTGAAATATCTCCACACACACACACACAAAAACCCTACTAAAGCTGTAGATGACACAAACCTCCCTTCTGGTAATTAGAATAATTAATATTAGTAAAAATGATCGTACTTCTTAAAGCATTAGACAGAGTCAATGCAATCCCTGTCAAAATACTAACACCATTTTTCACAGAATTAGAAAAAACAATCCCCAAATTCACATGGAACCATAAAAGAGCCTGAATAGCTAAAGCAATCCTAAGCAAACTCTGGAAGCATCATAGAATCTGACTTCAAATATACTACAAAGCTGTAATGACCAAAACAGTATGATACCAGTATAAAAATAGACACAGAGATCAATGGAACATAATAGAGAATCCAGAAATAAAGCTATTTATCTACAGCCAATGGATCTTTGACAAAATTGAGAAGAAATGCATTGGGGAAAAGACACCCTTGTCATTAAATGATGCTGGGAAAACTGGATAGGCATAATGCAGAAGAATAAAACTGAGCTACATAAGAAAATCAACTTATGATGGATTAAAAACTTATATATGTCCTAAAACTATAAAAATATTAGAAGAAAAGCTAGGCTAAACTCTCTGGACATTGATCTAGGCAAAGAATTCAGGACTAAGACCTCAAAAACACAAGCAATAATAAAAAAATAGACAAGTCTTAAACTAAAAAGCTTCTGCAAAGCAAAAGAAACAATTAACAGTGAAAAGACAAAGTGCAGAATGTGAGAAAATATTTTCAAACTATGTATCTTACAGGGGACTAATATCCAGAATTTACAAGGAACTCAAATAACAACAAAAACAAAATGAAAACAAATACCCATTAAAAGACAGGCCAAGAACATAAATAGATGTTTTGCAAAAGAAGACATATAAATGGCTAACAAGCATGTGAAAAAAATGTTCAACATCCCTAATCATCAGAGAAATACAAATTAAAATCACAGTGAGATATCATCTTACACCAGTTAGAATAGTTACCAATAGAAATGTTATAAATAATGCCTCCTTTAATTTCTTCTATCCTTTATAGGAATATTGAAAGCACTAAATGACAAAATATATACAAAGCACAGAGCACAATATTAAATTGCCTAAGAACAAAAAAAGAAAAAAGAATAGTTATGTTGGCAAGGATGTGAAGAAAAAGGAACTCTTATACATTATTGATGGAAATGTAAATTGGTACAACTTCTACATAAAGCAGTATGCAGATTTTTTTCAAAGATTAAAAATAGTACTACCATTTGGTCCGGAAATCCCACTACTGGTATCTATGTAAAGAAAAAAAATTATTATATCAAAAAACTCTCTAAACTTGTATGTTTATTGCAGCAGTACTCACAATAGGAAAGACATGGAACCACCCCTCATGTCCATTACCAGATGATTCAACAAAGAAAATGTTGTGTGTGTGTGTGTGTATATATATAGATATATATGGAATATTTTTATTCCATATAAATATACAATGGAATAGTATTCACACATAAAAAATAAAATCATGTGTTTGCAGCAACATGGATGGAATTGGAAGCCATTATCTTGAGTGAAACCAGTCAGACACAGAAAGACATATGTAGCATGTTCTCATTTATAAATGTCAATTAAAGATGTACACATGAATATGAAGTTGGAATGACAGAAAAAGGAGGCTCACAGGAGTGAGGCAGTGGGAGGAAGTAGATGATGGTAAATTACTTAATGGGTACAATATTTTATTCAACTGATGAATACACCAAAATCCCTGACTTTACCACTATCCCATCAATCCATGTGACAAAATTACACTTGCACCCCATAAATTTATAGCAATAAAAAAGTGCATAAAAATAAAATTGCACAGGTACTACGATCATAGCTATGCAAATACATGTAAAGATTAGAAGAAAAATTAGCAACATGTGTCAATACATGTGACAATAGTATCTTTATATAGACATTATTAAAATGAGTGATTTTATATCTTGTCCTGCTAGTCGGTATTTTTATTTTGAGTATTGATTGTACTTTTATGGACAAATGCACAGTAAATGTTATTCAGCTTTAAATTCCCCTTGGAAAATTGCAGGAAAATATACATATATTATCATATTAAATAAATTAAATATTATATATTTATACATTTGTATATGTTAAATATAAATTAGAACATTATATATGATATATAAATATGTATTACATATATAAATTGTATGTATAGTTAGTCAATTTGACATACGCCTAAGACTTGGGGTTCCAATATAAGGTCTGTGTTTGAAGCTGGCTTCTCACTTCAAGCACTCTGAGACTTTAGATAAATTATTTTACCCTTGAATCTTAGTTTCCTTATGTGAAAATTCCTGTTATAACAATGCCTACTTTAATTCCTCCTATCCTTCATAGGAATATTGAAAATACTAAACGGCATAATATATATAAAGCACAGAGCAAAATATTAAGTTGCCAAAGAACAAAACCAAAACAAAATTTGCCAGTGAAGTGGTCAATAACTCAATGATGATAATAGGTAATCATGCTTCCAACATGATGAAAAACATATTAAATTGCCTGAATGAAAGTTTTTTTTTTGTTTTGATTTTGTTTTTTGAGACAGATTCTCACTCTGTCGCCCAGGTTGGAGTGCAGAGGCATGATCTCGACTCACTGGAACCTCCACCTCCTGGGTTCAAGGGATCCTTCTGCCTCAGCCTCCCGAGTTGCTGGAACTACAGGCACACGCCACTCTGCCCAGCTAATTTTTGTATTTTCAGTCGAGTCAGGGTTTCACCATGTTGGCCAGGCTGGTCTCGAACTCGTGACCTCAGGTGATCCACTGGCCTCAGTCTCCCAAGGTGCTGGGATTACAGGTGTAAGCCACAACACCTGGCCCAAAGTTTTTAACCAGTAGAAAAACAAATATATAACTCCTTACATTTTAGACCTAATCTAAACTGAATAAATAAAAGAGCAAATGTTATTATTAGAAAATATAACTATCCATCTGGGTAAAAAATGAATGTTGGAATAATGATAATAATAATAATTGAAAGTAATTCAAAATTCACCACTCTAGGTCACGTCCTCTACCATGAAACTAGAGCCATGTGATCGACTACGAAATGTAGTTCAAGAAAACATGTAACAATTCTTTTTCATAAACTTCTGATTTAGTGGGTACTGTTGAGAAAAACTCTGGTTTGGAGATGTCAAGTAGGATTTAATAGAGAAAGATCTAAGTTCTTTGAATTTTGTGTTTCATGTTGTAACTCCATATCTAGTCATTTAGACATTTATGTTTTATAAAGAGTCTTTTGATCTGATTATGCCTACATGGCTGAATTCTCTTATAAAACACGGAAGGTGGTTCGCAACTCTTCTCTTAGTGTGCAAAGGGGAACTCAGTGGAGTTGGACGGGGGATGCATAGGACAGTGGGGCAGGTGAACTGGACAGAAATCCAGGAATCCAGAGAGAAAAATCTATCTCAATTTGCAGTTTAAATTGACCTTTCAAGTAAGAATTGCCTTTAAGGAAATGCTTTTGTGTCAAAATGGTTTAAAACAACTATTTTAAACCAATGTTCCCCATCCTGTGCACTGGGGACACCTAGGGACAGGAATTTATTTCTACTTTCTTTTTTTTTTTCTTTTTTTTTTTTTTTTGAGATGGAGTCTCGCTCTGCCCAAGCTGGAGTGTAGTGGCGCGATCTCGGCTTACTGCAAACTCAGCCTCTTGGGTTCAAGGGATTCTTCTGCCTCAGCCTCCTGGGTCGCTGGGACTACAGGCCTGCACCACCACGCCCGGCTAATTTTTGTAGTTTACCATGTCGGGCAGGCTGGTCTCCAACACCTGACGTCAAGTGATGCACCTGCCTCGGCCTCTCAAAGTTCTGGGATTACAGGCATGAGCTACCACGCCCTGCCTCTAGGGGTTTTTAAACTATGTGCACACTAAGGATTGCCTGAAGACTAAAGTAAAAGTCACATGGTCTACATATGTGTAATATATTTATTTTTCAAATATTTACATGTGATATTATGTTTAATAAAACATTCATTTATGTAAATTTGGGTCAATGAATATTTTCCGAATTCACAGATGAAAAAGCATAGCTATTAGCAAGTGAGGGTTGGTAAACCTTGAATTGTTTTTTTTTTTGGTGAGAGGAGAAGATACAGATTTTATATACATGGACATATATTGAAAAATTTGAGGATAGTAGGTCAATTATTTTTACAGAGCCATAAAAATGTGTTGACTTTTAGTTGTCATTGATTATCCAAATATACTTTCCAGTGCTTTATCACTTTAGCTTTTAGGAATAACCAATATTTTACCGCTGAATTACAATTACAAAATACAGTTGATAAAGTAATCATTTCCTTGAAAGGGGAAAAAGTGTACTGTTGAGAAAAACTCTGGTTTTGGAATGTCAACTAGGATTTAATAGAGAAATCCATGTTCTTTAAATTTTCTGTTCAATGTTGTAATTCCATATCTAACCATTTAAACATTTATGTCTACGTATTGAGAGCCTATTATTTCAAAATAAGTACTTTATAGTAAGTTGGTATCTGACGATAGTATTAGTTTCAATAGGCTTTTTTGAAAATGTATTGTTATCTTTGTGATGAGAGGAGGGCAATGACGTGGTGTGTGTCTGTGTTATGTAGTTGGGAGAAGTGAATATTATTTAGTTTGCCAGGTTTTAAATTACTAGCTGAGGTTAATATATATTTCTACTCATGTTTCTCTCTCCTAACATATGCACAAAATCATACATATATTCACATACCCACTCCCACCAACTTAATGTGCCTCTTAATGTGCCCCAAGGTCACAGATGAATCAAACACTGAAAAGGAATCTTTTAGAAAATACTGATGAAAGCACACCAAACTAGTTAGAAAACTAAGAATATTAAAAGTTTAAAGTGGATGAAAGCGGAATAAAGGAAGACCTTTTGATCTGGTTTGGGCCTGTAATCAAAGATATGAGAAATGTACATCAAGACAGGGACCAAAGGAAAAGTTAATCTTTTTATCCAGAAGGCTCACTTCCACTCTCTTGCCTTCATTTCTGGCTTTCTTGAATAGTCAGTGCTCTTATTATGTATCCTTAATGCAGTATCCCTTCACCTGGGGCAAATCATAATCTGGGCTGTAACCTTCAAGGGAATGCCCCATGTTTAAGTCTATGAAAGCTTTTCTGGTTTTGCAAATTTACTTACAAAACTACTGCAGGAAGCATCAAATATAAAACAAATGGCTAAAACAGTCTCTTAGCCTTGAGTTCATCCTGAATGTTTATCTTTTATGATCTAACTTTTTACCAAATATAGCCAGGGGATACTTCTTTGGCATCTTACAGTATAAAGTCATAAAGTCAGAGAGATGATCAAGCCAGTTTCTCTCTAGTGTGTAATTTAAAGTTTTAAAAGATAGTGGAAGACTGAAGCAACATACTATTTATCTTTCAGTCTAGTAGACACTATGAAACAGAAAGTCCAGCCTTCTTTAGAGTGAATGTTATAAACCTTCATAGATTTCTACCTCTTTCAAATTAAACGTATAAATGGTACTTGTTTATTTTTTCAAGTTTTAAAATTTCATCCTGAATATTATTTGGGCACTTTTTCATTATAAAGTGAACTTCAAACAAAATAATTAATTTCAGTTCACATTTCTAAAAAAATGGGTATAATGAATTCCTATTTTGTGATTTGACAGGAAGTTCTTTCAAAAGAACTTTAATGGCATTAGAAAATAAAATAATGAGATTTTAAAATAAATGAAAATTATTCCAAATTGATATATACTAATTGATTGTACTGCAACACAGTGTAAAACACTTTTTCCCCTTACAGGAAACAATTATTTTATCAACTATATTTTGTAATTATAATTCAGCAGTAAAATATTCTTTATTCCTGAAAGTTAAAGTAATAAAACACCAGAAAGTATATTTGGATAATCAATAGCATCTAGAGGTCAACACATTTTATGGTTCTGTAAAAATAATTGACTTACTATCCTCAAATTTTTCAAATAATTATGTTTTCTACATACTCTCTGCACTTTAAGAAACATTTTTAAAGTAATTATTACATATCTCTTTTCATAAAAAGTTATTTCTCCATAGGTAAAAGATTATTTTTAATTGCTCCTTTCTTTTAAATGTGAAAATACGGTAATTTAAAAATCAAAAGTTGATAAATATAATATATATTGCTTTTTTAAGAAAATCATTCATTTCTTAGAGTAGTACAAAGCACAAAGAAGCCTTTAATTTTTAAGGATATTAAGCAAGCTAGAACAAAAGAAAGTCAGTTATTGACCAGATAATAAAGTATTTGAATAAACAATACTGTATTAAGAGAGATAAGTTTTTAGGCAAATAAAACTTCCTCTGGAACTAAAAGTCATTTTTTCAGGATTCATGTATGGAATGATGGTGTGAGGAGATTCCCAGAGAAACAACAATAAATGTTAAAAATTATTTTAAATAACCATTACAACTTTCTGGGAGTCTGTTCCAAGATGGCCAAATAGGAAAAGCTCTGGTCTGCAGCTCCCAGTGTGATCGACGCAGAAGATGGGTGATTTCTGCATTTCCAACTGAGGTACCTGGTTCATCTCAATGGGACTGGTTGGAAAGTGAGTGTAGCCCATGGAGGGTGAGTTGAAGCAGGACAGGGCATCGCCTCACCCAGGAAGTGCAAGAGGTTGGGGGATTTCCCTTTCCTAGCCAAGGGAAGCCGTGATAGACTGTACCAGGAAAATCGGGACACTGCCACCTAAACACTGTGCTTTTCCAATGGTCTTAGCAAACGGCACACCAGGAGACTATATCCCACGCCTCGCTCAGTGAGTACCACACCCATGGAGCCTTGCTCACTGCTAGTCCGAGATCTAACTGCAAGGAGGCAAGCCTGGCTGGGGGAGGGGCACCCACCATTGCTGAGGCTTGAGTAGGTAAACAAAGCGGCCAGGAAGCTCCAACTGGGTGGAGCTCACCACAGCTCAACTAGGCCCGACTGCCTCTGTAGACTCCACCTCTTGGGGCAGGGAATAGCCTAACAAAAGGCAGCAGATACTTCTGCAGACTTAAACGTCCCTGTCAGACAGCTCTAAAGAGAGCAGTGGTTCTCCCAGCACGGTGTTTGAGCTCTGAGAACAGAGAGACTGCCTCCTCAAGTGGGTCCCTGAACCCCCTGTAGCCTAACTTGGAGACACCTCCCAGTAGGGGCTGACTGACACCTCATACAGCCAGGTGCGCCTTGAGATGAAGCTTCCAGAGGAAGGATCAGGCAGCAATATTTGCTGTTCTACAATATTTGCTGTTCTGCAGCCTCCGCTGGTGATACCCAGGCAAACAGGGTCTGGAGTGGACCTCCAGCAAACTCCAACAGACCTGCAGCTGAGGGACCTGACTGTTAAAAGGAAAACTAACAAACAGAAAGGAATAGCATCAACATCAACAAAAAAGACATCCACACCAAAACCCCATCTGTAGGTGACCATCATCAAAGACCAAAGGTAGATAAAACCACAAAGATGGGGAGAAACCAGAGCAGAAAAGCTGAAAATTCTGTTTTTTTTTTTTGTTTTTTTTTTTTTTTTTTTGAGGTGGAGTCTTGTTCTGTCGCCCAGGCTGGAGTGCAGTGGTGAGATCTCTGCTCACTGCAAGCTCCACCTCCCAGGTTCACACCATTTTCCTGCCTCAGCCTCCCAAGTAGCTGGGACTACAGGCACCCACCACCACGCCCGCTAATGTTTTTGTATTTATAGTAGAGACAAGGTTTCACCTTGTTAGCCACAGTGGTCTGGAGCTCCTGACCTCGTGATCCTCCTGCCTCAGCCTCCCAAAGTGCTGGAATTACAGGCATGAGCCACGGCACCCGGATGAAAAGCTGAAAATTCTAAAAACCAGAGTGCCTCTTCTCCTCCAAAGGATTGCAACTCCTTGCCAGCAGCAGAGCAAAGCTGGACGGATAATGACTTTGACGAGTTGACAGGAGTAGGCTTCAGAAAGTCAGTAATAACAAACTTCTCTGAGCTAAAGGGGGAGGTTCAAATCCATAGCAAGGAAGCTAAAACCTTGAAAAAAGATTAGACGAATGGCTAACTAGAATAAATAGTGTAGAGAATACCTTAAATGACCTGATGGAGCAGAAAACCATGGCACGAGAACTAGGTGATGCATACACAAGCTTCAGTAGTCGATTCAATCAAGTGGAAGAAAGGGTATCAGTGATTGAAGATCAAATGAATGAAATGAAGCAAGAAGCTTAGAGAAAAAAAAGTAAAAAGAAATGAACAAAGCCTCCAACAAATATGGGACTATGTGAAAAGACCAAATCTACATTTGACTGGTGTACCTGAGAATCATGGGGAGAATGGAATGAAGCTGGAAAACACTCTTCAGGATATTATCCAGGAGAATTTCCCCAACCTCACAAGGCAGGCCAACATTCAAATTCAGGAAATACAGAGAACACCACAAAGATACTCCTCAAGAAGAGCAATGCTAAGACTCATAATTGTCAGATTCACCAAGGTTGAAATGAAGGAAGAAATGCTAAGGGCAGCCAGAGAGAAAGGTCGGGTTACCCACAAAGGGAAGCCCATCAGACTAACAGCAGATCTCTCGGCAGAAACCCTACCAGCCAGAAGAGAGTGAGGGCCAATATTCAACATTCTTAAAGAAAAGAATTTTCAACCCAGAATTTCATATCCAGCCAAACTAAGCTTCATAAGTGAAGGAGAAATAAAATCCTTTACAGACAAGTAAATGCTGAGAGATTTTGTCACCACCAGGCCCGCCCTACAAGAGCTCCTGAAAGAAGCACTAAACATGGAAAGGAGCAAACAAATTCAAAAGCTAGCAGAAGGTAAGAAATAACTAAGGTCAGAGCAGAACTGAAGGAGATAGAGACCAAAAAAACCCTTCAACAAATCTACGAATCCAGGAGCTGGTTTTTCTGATCAACAACATTGATTGACCACTAGCAAGACTAATAAAGAAGAAAAGAAAGAAGAATCAAATAGATGCAATAAAAAATGATACAGGGGATATCATCACCAACCCCACAGAAATACAAACTACCATCAAAGAATACTATGAACACCTCTATGCAAACAAACTAGAAAATCTAGAAAAAAAAATGGATAAATCCCCGGACACATACACCCTCCCAAGACTAAACCAGGAAGAAGTTGAATCACTGAATAGACCAATAATAGGCTCTGAAATTGAGGCAATAATTAATAGCCTACCAACCAAAAAAACTCCAGGACAAGGAGGATTCACAGCTGAATTCTACAGAGGTACAAAGAGGAGCTGGTACCATTCCTTCTGAAAATATTCCAATCAATAGAAAAAGAGGGAATCCTCCCTAACTGATTTCATGAGGCCAGCATCATCCTGATACCAAAGCCTGGCAGAGACACAACAAAAAGAGAGAATTTTAGACCCATATCCCTGATGAACATTGATGCAAAAATTCTCAATAAAATACTGGCAAACTGAATCCAGCAGCACATCAAAAAGCATATCCACCAAGATCAAGTTGACTTCATCCCTGGGATGCAAGGCTGGTTCAACATATGCAAATCCATAAATGTAATCCATCACATAAACAGAACCAAAGACAAAAACCACATGATTATCTCAATAGATGCAGAAAAGGCCTTTGACAAAATTAAACAGCCTTCATGCTAAAAACTCTCAACAAACTATGTATTGATGGAATGTTTCTCAAAATAATAAGAGCTATTTATGACAAAGCCACAGCCAGTATCATACTGAATGGGCAAAAACTGGAAACATTCCTTTTGAAAACTGGCACAAGACAGGGATGCCCTCTCTCACCACTCCTATTCAACATAGTGTTGGAAATTCTGGCCAGGGCAATCAGGCAAGATAAAGAAATAAAAGGTATTCAATTATGAGAAGAGGAATTCAAATTGTCCCTGTTTGCAGATGACATGATTGTATATTTAGAAAACTCCATCATATCAGCCCCAAATTTCTTTAAGCTGATATGCAACTTCAGCAATCTCAGGATACAAAATCAATGTGGAAAAATCATAAGCATTCTTATACACCAATAACAAACATAGAGCCAATTCATGAGGGAACTCCCATTCACAATTGCTACAAAGAGAATAAAATACCTAGGAATCCAGCTTACCAGGGATGTGAAGGACCTCTTCAAGGAAAACTACAAACCACTGCTCAACGAAATAAAAGAAGACACAAACAAATGGAAGAGCATTCAGTGCTCACGGATAGGGAGAATTAATATTGTGAAAATGGCCATACTGCCCAAGGTAATTTATGAATTCAATGCCATCCCTATCAAGGTATCAATGACTTTCTTCACAGAATTGGAAAAAACTACTTTAAAGTTCATATGGAACCAAAAAAGAGCCCGCATTGCCAAAGCAATCCTAAGCCAAAGAACAAAGCTGGAGGTATCACAGTACCTGACTTCAAACTATACTACAAGGCTACAGTAACCAAAACAGCATGGTACTGGTACCAAAACAGAGATATAGACCAATGGAACAGAACAGAGGCCTCAGAAATAACACCACACATCTACAACCATCTGATCCTTGACAAAGCTGACAAAAACAAGAAATGGGGAAAGGATTCCCTATTTAATAAATAGTGCTGGGAAAACTGACTAGCCATATGTAGAAAGCTGAAACTGGATCCCTTCCTTACACCTCATACAAAAATTAATTCAAGGTGGATTAAACACTTAAATGTTAGACCTAAAACCATACAAATCCTACAAGAAAACCTAGGCAATACCATTCAGGACATAGGCATGGACAAAGTCTTCATGACTAAAACACCAAAAGCAATGGCAACAAAAGCCAAAATACACAAATGGGATCTAACTAAACTCAAGGGCTTCTGCACGGCAAAAGAAACTACAGTCAGAGTGAACAGGCAACCTATGGAATGGGAGAAAATTTTTGCAATCTACCCATCTGATAAAGGGCTAATATTCAGAATCTACAAAGAACTTAAACAAATTTACAAGAAAGAATCAAACAACCCCATCAAAAATTTGGCAAAATATATGAACAGACACTTCTCAAAAGAAGAAATTTATGCAGCTAACAGACACATGAAAAAATGCTCTTCATCACTGATCATCAGAGAAATTTAAATCAAAACCACAGTGAGATACAATCTCACACCAGTTAGAATGGTGATCATTAAAAAGTCAGGAAACAACAGGTACTGGAGAAGATGTGGAGAAACAGGAATGCTTTTACACTGTTGGTGGGAGTGTAAGTTAGTTCAACCATTGTGGAAGATGGTGTAGCGATTCCTCAAGGATCTAGAACTAGAAATACCATTTGACCCAGCAATCCCATTACTGGGTATATAACCAAAGTATTATAAATCATGATACTAAAAGACACATGCACACATATGTTTAGTGTGGCACTATTCACAATAGCAAAGAGTTGGAACCAACCCAAATGTCCATCAATGATAGACTGGATTAAGAAAATGTGGCACATATACATCATGGAATACTATGCAGTCATAAAAAAGGATGAGTTCATGTCCTTTGTAGCAACATGGATGAAGCTGGAAACCATCATTCTGAGCAAAGTATCACAAGGACAGAAAACTAAACACCACATGTTCTCACTTATAGGTAGGAATTGAACAATGAGAACACTTGGACACAGGGTGGGGAACATCACACACCAGGGCCTGTCGTGGGGTGGGGGGAGGGGGGAGGGATAGCATTAGGAGATATACCTAATGTAAACAATGAGTTAGTGGGTGCAGCAAACCAACACGACACATATATACATATGTAACAAACTTGCACGTTGTGCACATGTACCCTAGAACTTAAAGTATAATAAAATAAAAAAATGGAAATCACCTTAATGATATGCAAAAATGAAGACATATTTGTGAAAGATAATCTACTAAATCTCAGTGGTAAGAGCAGGGAGAGTCCCTGGCATGAGTCTTATTTATCCCATCCTCAACTTATTTATCCCATCCTCGACTCAGCATGATGGAAATTCCCCTGTGAAGGGCAGGTACAGCCCATATGATAGGAATCCCTCTTCCTAAAGTGCAAGAAAGAGAAGTCATCTGCATTTTTTATGCCTCCTCTACAGCTCTGTATAAGAAAGGCTAAAGTCCAGGAAAGTGTGATCAGACTATCAGGGGCTTTCTCCTCCACCCAGCACCCATTCATGGTATGGAGGCCTTACCCCAGGGATTGCAGGCCAAGAACACTGGGGCTCAGATTATCCTCACCTCAACTCACTCACAGGGATAAGCATCCACACTGGAAGAGAAAAGCCAAGAAATCCAGAGGCTACTGCCCCTTTCCAGTGTCCTGGAAATAAAGTGAGTGTGTCATTCTGAGGATAAGCAGGCCACTGTTATAGACACGAGTCCAGAGAACATGGCCAGACATGTTGCCAAGGGAAAGAGGACATTAAAACGCAGATATCTGTAACTATATCTATGGAAACTAGCTTTATTTGGGAAAAATGTATGAAGTTCAAGCATAAGAGTACTTCCCAAAAGAGTAGAGACTTTGGTGGGTTGTGAGCAATTAGGAGGAGGCCAGGGGCCCTGTGACAGCCACCATCAAAGCCTGACAGTTTACCAGTGTTAAAAGAAAACCTTAGCTGAGTTCAACTGAACACAGAATAATTGAGCAAAGAATGATTCATAAATTGGGCAGCCTCCTGAACAAGAGTTGGCTCAGAGACACTAGCACAACAACTTGTTGGAAGATTTATAGACAGAAAAAGGAAAGTGACTACAGAGAATGGAAGTGAAGTACAGAAATGGCTAGATTGGTTATAACTAAGCATTTGTCTTATCTGAACAGTATTTGAAGAGGTGGCCACTGTATTAGTCCATTCTCACACTGCTAATAAAGACGTAGCCAAGATTGGGTAATTTATAAAGAAAATAGGTTTAATTGACTCACAGTATAATATTGCTGGGCGACTTCAGGAAGCTTACAATCTTGGCAGAAGGGAAAGCTAAGATGTCCTTCTTCACATGGAGCAGCAAGGAGAAGTGCAGAGCAAAAGGGAGAAAAACCCTTATAAAATTATCAGATATTGTGAGAACTTACTCAGTATCATGAGAAGAGCAGCATGGGAGCAACCACCACCATGATTCAATTACCTCTCACCAAGTCCTTCCCACAACACATGAGGATTATGGGAACTAAAATTGAAGATGATATTTGAATGGAGATACAGCCAAACCATATCATTCCACCAAGGACCCTCCAAAATCTCATGCCCTTACATTTCAAAATCAATCATGCCTTCCCAGCAGTCCCCCAAAGTCTTAACTCATTCCAGTACTAACCCAACAGACCAAGTCCAAAGTCTCATCTTAGACAAGGCAAGTCTTTTCTGCCTATGAGCCTATAAAAACAAAAGCAACTTGGTTACTTATTAGATACAATGGGGACACAGGCATTGGGTAAATACAGCCATTCCAAATGGGAGAAATTGACCAAAATAAGTAGCTATAGGCTCCATGAAAGTCCATAATCCAATAGGGCAGTAGTTAAACCTTAAAGTTCCAAAATTATCTCTTTTGACTCCATGTCTCACATCCAGGTCATGCTGATGCAAGAGGTGGATTTCCATGGCCTTGGGCAGCTCTTCCTATGGCTCTGCAGGATACAGCCCCACTCCTGGCTGCTTTCATGGGATGGCATTGAGTGTTTGCAGCTTTTCCAGGGACACAGTGCAGGCTGTCAGTGGATTTGCCATTCTGGTGTCTGGAGGATGGTGGCCCTCTTCTCACAGCTCTACTAGGCAGTCTCCCAGTGAGGACTCAGTGTGGGGGCTCTGACTCCACATTTCCCTTCTGCACTGCCCTATTAGAGGTTCTTCATGAGGGCTCTGCCCCTGCAGCAGACTTCTGCCTGGACATCCAAGCTTTTACATACAACCTCTGAAATCTAGGCAGAGGTCCCCAAACCTCAATCCTTGACTTCTTCATATCCACAGGCCCAATACCAGGTGGAAGCTGCCAAGGCTTTGAGCTTGCACTCTCTGAACCCACAGCCTGAGCTGTATGTTGGCCCCTTTTAGCCATGGCTGGAGCAATTTGTTATAGGGGCACCAAGTCCCAAGGCTGCACACAGCAGGGCAGGTCCTGGACCCAGTCCAGGAATCCATTTTTCCCTCCTAGGCCTAGGGGCCTCTGATGAGAGAGGCTGCTATCAAGGTCTAGGACATGCCCTGGAGACATTTTCCCCATTGTCTTAGTGATTAACATTCAGCTCCTCATTACTTATGTAAATTTCTGCAGCCAGCTTGAATTTCTCTGCAGAAAATGGAGTTTTCTTTTCTATCACATCATCAGGCTGCAAATTTTCCAAACTTTTATGTCCTGCTCCCACTTCAATGGTTTGCCACTTAGAAATGTCTTCCACCAGATACCCTAAATCATCTCTCTCAATTTAAAAGTTCCATAGATGTCTGGGGCAGGGGCAAAATGCAACCAGTCTCTTTGCATAAGAGCAACCTTTACTCCAGGTCCCCATCTCCATCTGAAACCCCCTTAGCCTGGACTTCATTGTTCCTATCACTATCAGCACTTTGGTCAAAGCTATTCAACAAGTTTCTAGGAGGTTCCAAACTTTCCCCCATTTTCCTGTCTTCTTCTGAGCACTTCAAACTGGTTCAACCTCTTCCTGTAACCCAGTTGCAAAGTAGCTTCCACATTTTCAGGTATCTTTACAGCAGCACCCCACTCTACTGGTACCAATTTTAGTCCATTCTTACACTGCTTTTAAAGACACCCAAGACTGGGTAATTTATAAAGAAAAGAGGTTTAATTGACCCACAATTCAGCATGACAGGGGAGGCCTCAGGAAACTTGCAATCACAGCAGAAGGGGAAGCTAATATATCCTTCCTCACATGGGGACAGGAAGGAGAAGTACAGAGCAAAAGGGAGAAAAGCCCCGTATAAAACCATCAGATCTCCTGAGAACTCACTCACTGTCACAAGAACAGCACCATGAGAGTAGGCCCCCTCCATGATTCAGTTACCTCCCACTGGGTCCCTCTCAAAACACATGGGAATTATGGGAACTACAATTCAAGATGAGATTTGGGTGGGGACAGAGCCAAACCATACCAGGTCCTTTTAATTGGCCAAAACTCAGTGATTGCCATAAGAGTAGCATACGGTGTGTTTACACCTCCATTTAGGTTATAGCTCACTATGTACAGAGAAACCTTTTGGGCAAGATTAAAGTATGTAAGGAGGTGCCCTCTGGGGTCCTAATGAACTTCAAAGACCGTTCTCAAAAACTCCCCCTGCAAAGGGACCCACATTTAACTGCAGCTCAATATATGTTCCAAGACATTGTTAAAAACAACAGAGGAATCACTGGGCAAATATCAGAGCTTGACATCTGAGTATGATACCTGAAAAGGCAGATAGCTGCAAAGCGAGATTAGGGAAAGAGACAAAGAGAGCCCTCTAAAAACCAGTCATCCTAGGGTAACTAACTGAATCCTAAGACTGCACCTTCTGAGGAGCAATACCAGATAGTTCACATTGCAGGGGAAATGGACTTCACTAAAATACTTCAGCCAAGTTACTAAAGAAATAAGCAACAACAACAATAACAAGCCTTGAGGTAGAATTGGGGCAGAGGGGAGGTATCCATAGTTGCAACAGTATGTTATCTAAAATATTCAGTTTTCACAAAAAATTATAAGACAGGAAAAGAAACAAGACAGTGTGACCTACACATAGAAAAACAAGCAGGCAACAATACTGCCTGTGACATGTCTACAGTGTTTGACATAATAGAAAACAATTTTAAGGTAGCTATTATTTCAATGAAATGAAAGAACCCATGAATAAAGAAGAAAAGGAAAATATGATGACAAAGTCTCACCAGTATAGAATATTAATAAAGAGGTAGAAACTATAATAAAGAATCAAATAGAAATTGAGTTTAAAAGTACAATGATTGAAATGAAGAAGTTCACTGGAGAGACTCAACAATACATTTCACTACCAGCAGAACCAACCGGCATAGTTTAAGATATATCTATGCAATGTAAAGAACAGAGGGGAAAACAAGTGAAAGAAAATAAACAGAGCCTTAGAGAAACGTGAGACTGTACTAGGCACGCCAACATACACATAACAGGAGGACGAGAAAGAGAAGAGAGAAGTAAAGAGACTGTACTAGTTTCCTATTGCTCTTGTAACAAATTACCATAAACTTAGGGGCTTTAAACAACATACATTTGTAATTTTACAGTTCTGGAGGTTAGAAGTCTAAAATCCATCTTTTGGAACTAAATTCAAGGTGACATCAGGGCTGGAGGCTCTACAAGAGAGTCTGTTTTTTTTTTTTTTTTTTTTTTTTTTTTGCGTTTTCCAGATTCTAAAGGTTGCTGCGTGGCTTGGCTCAGGGCTCCAATTACATCCCCAACTAGGCTATTGTCTCATTTGTTCACTTACCTGAAACAAATGGAGTTTATAAATGACAAGAACTCTTCTAGATGCTGGAGTACTGTGATAGGTTAACTATGTCATTGATTTTTTGTCCTTCTCTCCAAAATAATGCATAGCTATACAAAAAAAAAATTGTCATGCTGCATATCACAATTTATTAAAATAAACAAATGAACAAGTAATTGTGCTACATATGGTTAAAATACAAACTTAATATAGTGTTATATAGAAATCAGAGTGGTAGTTCAAAGAGGGGAATTATGAACTCTAAATCAATCAAGTGTGGAACAAAAAAATAGGAAAAAGAATAATCCAGGGAAAAGGATAAAATTTCTTAGGACCTTGAATGATAAGTAGGACTTTTCAAAAGCTAAAACCTGGACAAAGTAATTTTTAGAAAGGAGAATGTTATTCACAAATTTAAAACAAATTGTTATTTGTTTTATTAATTAATTAATTTATTGTTTACTAATATTAATAAACAATAAAAATATTTATTAATATTAAATTATAATGAGAAAGTATGTTAGATAGATAAATGTGCTAATATTTAAGAGTTTTAATGCTAAGTTATGCAGTTAAATTTAATACAATTATACTTCATTTCTAAGAGCAAATGAGGGTCAATTCTCAGACATATTCTACACATGTCTTCATAATCTTCGTTATTAACATTACATTAATGCACATTTTGTGGCTTTTTTTCTTCCTCTACTTTACTTTCTCTTATTTTTCACTTCTGTTCAGTGGGTTCCCCATCAAAATGTATTACCTGCATTTAAATCCTTACCTTAGGTAGGCTTTTGAGATAACCAAAATTAAGAGAGATCATACTGGAAGTGGTCTTTCAGATAAGAGCTTTAGGGTGGTATTCAAGTGTAAAAACGTTTACTTGTTGGATTGCATCAAAGACACCATTGCCAATGGTATGTGGAGAGATGGTAACTCCCGGTAAGCTGTAGCATCATTAATATTAAATAATTCTTTTGTGTGTCAGAAGGCTCAAAGAGATGGTCATTTAGAGTGAATGCTTTACATGAAACCAAAGTACCCATTACATGTCTAAGTTCCCAGATGACAGTCTCTTAACTGGGGAAATTAAAAACACACTACTAAGATTGAAACCAGCGTATCTGAGTAGCTACGTTATTGTTTGTGGCTAAGATTTACAGTGGTACATCTTACATAAAATTAGTGTCCAGGCTACTGTTAATAGTTGCGTAAAATTGTATTTCCCAATGATGGCTACAGGTAGACAGGTAAAATATAAAGATATAGATATTCTACATAGGTATAAATAGAGAGATATATACCCCAGCTTATGTATTATTCCTACGTATTTTGCTGACACGTCTTCCACTGAGAATACTATCTTTGCTTCCACTACCCTCCTTAAAACTAGAAGAAAAAAAGAAATAGACAAATTTTTCAAGTAGAATTGGAAACTTCAACACCCACATTTCAGCAACTAATAGAATTACTACATAAAAATTATGTAAGAATATAGACCATCTGAACAACATATGCTACCAACATGATCTAATTGACTCATGTAGAATACTCTACCTAACAACACAATGCACTTTTTTTCAAGTTCCCATGACACATACACCAAGAAAAAACATTATTCTATCTTGAGCCACAAAAAAACGTAAACATATGTAACAAACCTGCACATTGTGCGCATGTACGCTAAAACTTAAAGTACAATAATAACAATAATAATAAAAAGTAAACAAATGCACTTCTAAATAATCCATGGATTAAAGTGGAAGACTCAAAGGAGATTTTTAGCAACTGAACTAAAATGAAATTGCACCATATCACAATGTGTGGGATGCAACAAAAGCAGGGCTGATTGGAATGCATTGCATTAAATTATTATGTTAAAAATCAGAAAAGATCACAAAGCAATAAGCTGTTTCTAACTCAAGAACTAGGAAAAAAAGCAAAATGCAAGAAAGAAAAAAACCAAAGCAAGAAAGAAGGATAAAAGATAAGAACAAGATCTGTGAAACTGAAAATAGGAAATATTAGAGTAATAAAACAACATTAATATATCCTCATAAGCAAAAAGAGCTAGCATCTAGAATATATAAAGAAAATTCAACAGTGAAAAAAGGCAAACTAAATAGAAAATGGGCAAAAGTCATGAATAGAGATTTTGCCAAAGTCACATAAACAGATGAAAATATGTTCAACGTCTTCACCCATCAGGGAAGTATGAATAAAAATCACATGAGATCACTATACACTTATCAGAATGGCTGTTTAAAAAAATAGTGATAGCAAAAAATTTTGGTGAGGATTTAAAGAAACTGAATCACTCATACATTGCTACTATAGCCACTCTAGGAACCAACCAGTTTGGTGTTCCCTATGAAACTAAACTTTCAATTTCTGTCAGACCTAGCAATTGCACTCCTGGGCATTTATCCTCCAAAAAATGATAACTTATGTTGACACAAAAACTTGTATATGAATGTTTATAGCAGCTTTATTTGTAGCAACTAAACTTTAGAATCAACCTACATATCTTTCATTAGGTGGAACATACATACCATGGAATGCTACTTGGCAAAATAAGGTAACTAATCTAATGAGGCACTCAATAATTAGAATAAATCCCCTAGTAATTATGGTGAGTGATAAAGATATATACTGTATGATTCCATTGATGTACATTTTTAGGTAGCATTTCAAAAATGACAAAATTTTAGAAATAGAGAAGAGAGTGGTCAGAGATGGAGAAAGAGAGAGATGGGTGTGGTTATGAAAAGCATAATTTGAAGTATCCTGGTTGTGTTGAGTCGGTTCAGAATCTTTACTGTGATGGTAGATACAGGAACAAACACAGGTGATAAAATTACATAGAACTTAATACACACACACACACACATACAAATGAGTGCAAGTAAAACTGAGGAAATCTGAATAAAATCAGTGGATTACACCAATGTCATTATCCTAGTTGTGATATTACAATATGGTTCTGCAAAATGTTACCATTAACAGAGGGCATAGTATACACATTATTTCTCAGTGTTATTTCTTACAACTGCATGGAATTGAACAATTATCTAAAAGAAAAATTTGAAAAACCCAAAATAACACAGAGAAGGCTGTGATTGTCACAACCAACAAAATAAAGCAGAGGTGTTACTATTTGACTTCAGAGGCTGGATCTCTTCCTCTCTCTCTCTCTCTCTCTCTCTTTCACTCTTCCTCTACACATACATTTGGAGCTCTGAGATACCCTGTAAAAAGTTTAACTTCCCTGAAACTGCCATACTGGGAAGACCAAGAGAAACAAGAAAATACCTGAAGAGTCCCAGCCGTTCTATTTTTTAGCTGTTTGAGTCTTTCAAGCCTCAGTGACAGGTATGAGTCGTGGAGTTATTATCATCTCTGAGGACAACTCTCAACCAATAGGAGGTGGAGCCTTGTGGTTACATGCACCGTTCTTTCCAGTACCTAATGAAATAATTCTGACCTGTATGTAAAAACTGGAATTTCCACAACTGTAATGTTAATATATGCTATACCAGCTTTTATCTTTCCCTCTTTCTTCCTATCTTCCTCACTTTTTTCTGTTCTGTCATTTCTGTTTCCTTGGTTTAACTTTCAGATAATCTAACTATTTCTAATTCTTTTCCTTCAAGTCTGATTTTTTAATAATTAAAACTCAAATCAAGACATCTTCAGGGGAATGAAAGAGTAAACTGCATTTCATACAAGATGATATTTCAGCAAAGGACCAAACATGCTGGTCAAGTCCTGAAGGAGACAAGGAAGAAAACTATGCAGATGTCTCGGAGCACAGTATTCCAGGTAGACAAATGTGCAAGTATTAGCAGATACAAATACTCAGAGGTAGGAGGTTGATAAAAATCCAGGAAGAGAATGGTTGGGTTAGAATCTGTAGGATTAGATTTTTATGATATGAGGTTGGTGTTAGAGATAAAGAATCACAGTGCCATGAGAAGGTGCTATGGATTATTGTCAGGATTTTAGTTCTTACTAAGGTTAAGATAATAACATGTTGGTAAGTACTAAAAAGGAAATGATAGGATGTAATTTATACTGTTTTAAAAGTATCATATGTCTACTTTGTGAAGAAAAGAATAATAAAAAACAATTGCATTAGTGGGAAAAATTGGGAGGAGACTTTTAAAATCTAGCTGGAAATATGATGACAGGGGCTGGAATCAAGTTTGTAGCAGAATCATTTTGGACAAATATCATTAGAAATGGTAAATTTGGAATGGGAACATAATATAAAGAGAACATGCAAGCATTATTCTGCACTTTTGAGGTGAGTAAATAGAATTGAGTTGGCAATTACTAAAATGGGAGACTTGTTTAATCTGTAGGTTAAACAAGTTTAGAAGGCATGATTAGACATGTTAATTTGGAGATATCTATTATATATTCAAATGAAGTGCCTGATAGGCAGTTGAAGATATAAACCTGGACTTCTGGGAAGTAGCCAAAGTTGGGTGTACACCTATTCAAATTTTCAGATTATAGAATAAATCAAAGTCATGAGTGGGCAAACTCGTACTGAGAAGTAATGCTGGTAACAAAGAAAAGAAGTCTAAGAACTGAGCTCTAATCTTCAACGTAAAGAAAATGTTACGGAGGATAAGAAAAATGGTGCAACTGAGATTGAGAAGCAGTCAGTGAGATAAGGAAAAAAAGCAGATAGATGAGTCTCTTTCTATAACAGTAAAAAACATATTTTAAGAAGCACTAATGAAATGTGTCTAAATCTACTGAGACATCATGTAAGACAGTTTACTACTAAATTTAGCATTGTGGAAATCATCATTAGGGACCTTTTCCAATATTGATGGAAAGGTGGGGGGGCGTACACCTGATTACAATGGTTTTAAATAGAAAACAATTGAAACTGGCAAGTTCAAACAACTCTGCAGAAATCTGCTGAAAATCTAAGGTGAATAAATTGCATTTCCAGTATCCTCTTTCCCCAAGAAATCATGTGTTAGAGGATTTATTATCACTCTCAATTTACAAAAGAGGAGACTGAGGCTTCGGCAAATTAATTTATTGAAGTTCCTGAGAGAATACATCTATAGGTTCTACTACTTGCTTAATGTGGTTTAAACATATTTCTAGATAAATTCCATGCAGATTGCAATTTTATTGCTGCTATTTCATTTATATGTCTCTCTATCCTCACCTTTTCCTCTGACTTTCTATGACTTTCTTTTAGTGCAAAACTCTAAAAATTGGATTCAGTAAAGTTGCAAAAGAGTGTGGGGCAGTGTATTTCATTGTAATCAGAAAAACATCTTGCACCATTAGATAATTAGTGATTGATTATTCACTCATTCTTATACATAATCCCTATGTATTATCTGATTTCACTTTAGTAAAAACTATACCAATTATTTTGTGCTGCTCCTTTGCTATGTACAATATCCAGAGGATTACTTTAGATCTTTCATGCATTTGTGTACTGAGTTGCTTATTATTACAATAACATAAAGCATTCATGAGACTGTGCTGAGCCTAAAAACAAGGACAAGTCTTAAAGTTTTAAGACTCTAAGTATTTGAACTTTAAACAAGCCTTAAAAGTTCTAAGTATTAGGTCAAGTGAAACAATACCAGTTTGCCCAAAGCATGAAGAGAAGGAAACGAGACCATCTCTAATAAGAAAGTGATAAGTTGGAAGAATGGACAGAGACACTGATAAAGATGATTCATTTTCTTGATTATTCAGATTTTAGGTAAACTTATGATTCATAGACAATATTTGGAAATATGAGAATGTTCCTATTTTGCTGCAGAACACTTTTCTGTTGGATATCCATTCATTCAGCAAACATTTATTGTGCTCTTGTGACTCATACATTCTTTCATTCAACAAATATTTATTGATTGCCTACTATATGCCAGTGTTGTGCTAGACATAAAAGAGAAAACAATAAAAAGTCAGATACAGTCTGTCATCATGGACTTAAACCATAGTGGGAAGAAAAACATTGAAGTATTTAGTTATAGAACAGGAAATTTAGTACACTAAATGAAGCCTAATCATATTAATCAGTTTTCTTTGTTTTTGTTCTTTTTTTAGGGATGTTATTCCAGAGCACCAGGAAGAAGTTTCTGTAAAAGTGAAGATACCTCACAGTCTGGTGTCTGTTATTAAATGCAAAGAGTGACACAATGACAGAGGACTGGTCTTCTGTTCTCTTTCTACAAAACTTTACCTTATTTACTCAGAGCTAATTCAATAGCAGGTGTGTGATTGCATGTGATTTGGCCTAACATTTTTGTCATTTATCATTTGTCACGGGTCCATTTTGAAGCATCTGTTTGCTTGTCTGCAGGTAATTTGCGATTTGTCAAAAACATTAGGAGCAGTTGACACAAATCATGTGTTGCCTGGTAAATGTCTTTGTATTTATTGGAGCTGTGGTCCTTTCCGTTTGTTTTTATTTAAAATACATCTGTGGAGTCACACAAGAAGGTCAAGATCAGTGTAGGGAATTGATCACACTGATTAATTTCAAACTTTAAGGAGATAAGTGGATTCATATAAATATACACTTGATAGTTGACTCAATTATGGTATGTCATTCTCCATAGTGCAATAAGTACTTTTAAGTACTTAATTCTAGCATCAGACTATATGAGATTATCCTCCAGCTCTATCATTCACTAAAAGAAGAAGAAAACAATATATCTATCTATCTATATAACTCTATCTATCTATGTATCTATCTATCTATCTATCTATCTATCTATCTATCTATCTATCTACCTATCTATAGAGAGAAGAAACAAATGCTCTTGAAAACTTGGGACATTTACTATCCAAGGAACAACAATCTACGTTTGGGGAGAAAATGGCAGATACACTGCTTCCCACTAAGCTACTAGAAGGTACAGGTTTCAGAATCATCAATAACAGATAAAGTCCATTTTTTATTTTAAAAAACTGAGATAACTTTCCCAAAAGGTGGGTTTCCTGAGCCTGAGTTATTTTATAGCAGAAGCCAGTGGAAGAAACAAATATGGCCTAGGACTGAAAATGTCTACTCACAAGTGGTATGTCAATAAAATTATTTACTTTAAGGCAAGTATGATGGGAAAACAACAATAATAAAAACAATAGCACCTATATATTATATATAGTGTGTGTATGTGTGTATACATATATACACACATATATACATTTATATATATACACACATATATACGTGTGTATATATATATAGTGTGTATGTGTATATATATAGTGTGTGTATGTGTGTATTATATATAGTGTGTATGTATTATATATAGTGTGTATGTGTGAATTATAGTATAGTGTGTATGTGTGTATGTATGTGTGTATGTATGTATAGTGTATGTATAGTGTGTATGTGTGTATGTATGTGTGTATGTGTGTATTATAGTGTATGTGTGTATGCGTGTATTATAGTATAGTGTGAATGTGTGTATTATATATAGTGTATATGTGTACTATATATAGTGTATATGTGTGTATTATATATAGTGTATGTGTGTATATATATACACACACATATATACATGTATATATATACACACATATATACATGTGTATATATATACACACACACACACACATATATATATCACACATTCATCACATTTATTCTCACAACCTAAGAATCTAGAATTAGATGCTATTACTAATTCTCTCTTGAAGAAAGTGAGGGACACAGAGATTAAATAGTATATTCTAAGATATACCTTTAGTATTTAATTTTTCTCTGGCATTTCCATATACTTTCAGCAAGGTTCAGTAGATTTTTGAAACAGTCGTACATTCTACTTGAGTTCCTTCCTTCTTTACCACATGTAGGTCTAGTATTGTTTCCAAGAACTGCTTGCTTTTCTCCTTTTAACTTTTCATTTCTAAGCCATTAATTTTTTAACGTTCTACTTTAGACTTAATGTAGCTGATTCCCTCATGGTGAGTTATATGAAATGTATGCTTTTTGAGTCATGTGCTTAAATTTAAGATAATATACCAAGGTGTATTATTTCTTTCTCCCATTGCTATGAGGAAATACCTGAGACTTGGTAATTTACAAAGGAAAGAGGTTTAATTGGCTCATGGCTCTGCAGGGTGTACGGGAGGCATGATGCTGGCATCTGTTTGGCTTCTGGGTTGGCCTCAGGAAACTTACAATCATGGTGGAAGGCAAAGGGGTATCAAGGCATCTCACATGGTAGAAACTAGAGTAAGAGAGAGAGTGGGGAGCTGCTCCACACTTTTAAACAAACAGATCTTTTGAGAACTCCATCAGGAGAATAGCACCAAGGAGATGGTGCTAAACCAATTATGAGAAACCCCTGCCCATGATCAGATCACCTCCCAACTCCAACACTGGGGATTACAATTGGAGATGAGATTTGGGTGGGGACACAGAACCAAACCATATCAGGAGGCAAAACAATTAGACACATTCAATTCAATATAACAACAACATTTTAAAATAAAAAACTGAGTTGCAAGAAAGTAAAAGATAGCCTCAGCATACTAAAACAAAACACAATTTGAACTTGAAGATGATGACCTAAACACAATAGAAGAAGGAGATAAGGTTTTTGGGTATACAAGGAAGAGAGTTGAAACTCAGCTGTGTTATTAAGCCAGGCTAAGGTTCTACCCTTCTAATAAAAGTAATAGCTAGAAAAAATATATGTATATAAATTGCTCATTGACAAAAGTAGACAGCAATGAATCTTGTCTGCCTAGCCTGTCACTGAACCGAATGCTCTTTCTGACTGTGAATATATTCAAATGTCTCTGGTCTTTGACTGTGTTAGGTCCCTCTGTCACCCCTTTCCCTGTGGGTGCATTGTCACACTTTCTGTCTCATTTCTGCTGGTCTCAGTTGCTTTGGGCCACAAGTACATGCAATTTGGAGTTTATGTTTCTATTGTCTCCTGGCTTAGCTCTAAAGATTTTATTCTCCTTATCCTTCTGCGTACATTCCAAGTGGAAAGGCGGGAAGAATCAGAACTAAGTTACCGATCTGTAATTACCAAATAGGATGACCCCATATCAGGATTTTCAAAGATAACGAACCCAGCCTTTTGTCCGGAGTGTTGTATAGCCAGAAATCAAATTCCTCTCTAATCTGCATAAATAAATGTATGCATTTTTCCATCTTCCCCTTTAATACTGTCTCCTTTGTCAAACTACTTGTTTGGTTTTTTTGTTTGTTGATTTGTTTGCCTAACTTTGCTGTTCCCCAAACACGTTTTGTGTTACATTTTGCTCCACATTCAGAAGTCAGGTCAACACCTTACACTGGTTTATGTATCAAAACCTAAAGGCCAGAGCTCTACTTGTTAAAGAAAAGATTTGGGAGAATAAATACTTGAAAACTGATCAAAAGGGTACAGCTTAAAATCTGTAAGAACACTCATGCCAGATGTACCTAATTGTATTATTAATAGGCATGGTGGAATGACGTTTACCAGTGCTCCCTAACCTTCCCAATTCGTGTAACACTGATAAGACTTGTACAGGTGTGCCTAGATACCTCCAGAGGTGAATTGACCATCATCTAGCATGCATGTGTTTTCTGTGGGCACATTGGAAGTCCCCAGAACAATATTTGAGAATCTCTGCCACAGAATAAATAAATTTGGAGTTCAGTGATATGTTTTTGTGATATTAGTTATCTCCTAATACTTATAATTAATTCGTGTATTCAAAGTGTTTTCAGCAAGTGACTTAAGAGTGGCCTTTAAAATTTTCAACGTTAATCTGACATTTTTCTTTCTGTGAATAGTTTATAAAGAATAAAATAGATCTTTTGTACAAATTTGAAGGTTAAGGAGAGGTAGTCTCACAAAACCGTTAAAAAATCTCATAATACAACTTTACAAATAATTTGCACTGAAAATAAAGCAATTTAGAATATAGATATGTAAATTATGCCATTCAGTAGGCATTTGGTAATCACTAAGAGATTGGCAAGTTCACTGCCTCATGGAATTTGCATGCTAATTAGGGAGAACAGAAAATGTTCAAATAAAATAATACACAGCATATATTAAATAATGATACTATTACGCACATCACAGTCTCCCAAAATTGTTTTATGAAGTTGGAGAAGATTTTCTATTTTCAATATTAATGATGTCCTATTATTTTTATTCTTTGTTTTATATTTTGGCCTTTTAAGCAGTACATTTTCAATTGCTAAATGAGTTAATTTGACTTTATTTGAAAACTGTTGGATCAAGGAAAACTTTATTTCTAGCTTATATCTGAAGTATTTCCTTTTCGTTCTGAAAGATCTTTTCTGTTTTCTTTTCATTTTTATTAAGGTTAGTGTTAGCTGTTGAAGTCCTGTTTCTTGAATCTATTTGTTGTATAACTATCTTATCTTTTTTATAGCTAATTTGAGATAAGCAAAGAACCAATTTCCAGAGCTTTCCCTGGAAAAACCCTGAATTGACCCTTGAAAAGAAAATATGTCTTACTTTATATTAGAGCTCTAGCTTGAGAGAGAGAACAAGAAAGAGTGCTATATGCAATCAATTCTTGCAACATTTCCAGAATAATCACGTTCAGATATGAAATGGATTCAGAGTTATTTGTTCTTTGTCAATAAACTAGTCAATAAAAGATGCAAGTCCTGAAATATAGAATTACATGTTGCTTCCACCTTCTAGAAGCAAGGAAAGCAAATATCATATGTTGTTCAATTCCAGCCATATGTCAATATGAAAGAAAAACACAGATTTGCAGTTTTATACCTTTACCAATGTGATGACTATAAAAGGACTGATAAAGAACTTAGAGAGTAGCTACTTACAGAGGCCTCCTTGCTATTTTGCCAATTATCGAGTTATTACCAAGAAATATGAAAATTGGAAGCTTATTATTATTGAAGGGCAGCTTTTTTCCTTCAACTGTAGTTCACTTAGGATAGATATAGATATACTATATATTACATATATATATAGATATAAGAACAAGTTAATGCATGCTGAAATTATTATATAGAGGAATGAAAAGAAAAATTAAGCAATAAAAGGTCAGATTAGCATGCCAAGAGAAGAGCAGGTCTCTTAAATTTATTATTTTTCATAACTTAAATTGATCTTTAATGTTTTTGATGATGAAATTAGTGTGTATTATTACAGAAATCTGAATAATTTAGAAAATCTAACAGAAAAATTAAAATTAGTCTGTATTCCAGAGTTAATGTATTTTTCCTTGCTATGTGCACATGTGTTAACATGTGGCTATATATGTAAATTAGGCATTGCCATATTTACCAACATATTGTGGGTACCTTTCTTTTTACGTTCAAATATTATCTGCAATTATTACATGCGTCTATCAATTTATCTTATAAATAATCATATTTTATTTTTGCAATTTTCTATGGCCAAGATTTTAATTCTTTCTAATACTTTTATTATCTTAAATAACTATAGTAATTATGTTTATGTATTTATGGTTACCATGAGAAAGAAAATTTTAAAATGTAGGATAACTGGGAAGAATTACCTTTTTAAAAAACTATGTTTGATGTAAACTGACCAATTTATTTCAAGAAATGCACTAATATGACATCATTCTATGCTTGCCGCAGCAGCAAAGAGAATTATTGATTTCTTCTTGCACCTGCTATTGTTGAAACTTTATCCAATGTTTCAATGTTTGCAAATTGGATTGGGGAAATATCTCTCGGCATTTGTATGTCTTCTTTATACATTGCCTAGTAATACTTTTGCTCAGTTTTATGAGTTTCTTTCTCTTTTTATTGATTTATTATTCTTTTTAATATAAGGTATATTGAGCAAGATATGCATATATGGACTTAATGTTCAATTTGTGATAGCTTTTATGTTTCAATTTTATATACTGTTTTGTAATGTGCACATTTAAACATCTATGTGATCAAATGATGTGAAATTTTTTTTAGGCATTGTGCAAAAAACTTCCTCTGTAATATATAATAAATGTATACCTATATTTTTTGGCTAATTCTCATGTTGCTTTTTTTTGAGACAGTAGTTGTTATTTTATTTAAAACAGAAAACCATGTCCACATATCATTTGATCAATGTTGCACCTTGTCACATAACCTTGAAATACCATCATTTTGTTTAAAATGAATCAATACACATAAACAGAGTTATACACACGCGAACATGCACACACACACAAACACAGAGTTTTTCTCAGGTTCTATTTTGTTTAAAAACTGCCTATGTATTCTTTACAGAATAACATAGTTTAATATAATTTTATATCACGATAACACAAATCCCTCCTTGTTACTTACTTATTTTTATAATTTTTCTGATAATTCTGATATAAATTTTTTCTCAAATGTGTCTGAATATAATTTGGCCTAGTTATAGTAAGATATTAGAATTTTTATTAGTGTGTTGAATTAATAAATTAGCTTGTGAACATTTTATACCTTATGTTATAGAGGTTTCTCTAGACAGTCTACTATGATTACTTTTAAAAATAAGAAAGTATAAAGACGATCAAATGATTCTGTAGCATCTGTAAAGATGACCTAGATTTTGCTCTTTTACTTCGATCTATTAATATAATGAAGATTATTACTAATATTGTCTAATGTATATAAATTAGACAATTTAATATTTTGACAAAATTATATACAAATATTTCTTTTTTTTTTCTTTTTGAGACAGAATCTCACTCTGTTGCTAGGCTGGAGTGCAGTGGCACGATGTCAGCTCACTGCAACCTCCGATTCCCTGGTTCAAGTGATTCTCCTGCCTCAGCCTCCCTAGTATCTGGGATTGCAGGCACGCACCCTTACGCCCAGCTAATTTTTGAATTTTTAATAGAGACGGGGTTTCACCATGTTGGCCAGGATGTTCTCCATCTCCTGACCTCATGTTCTGCCCCCCTCTGCCTCCCAAAGTGCTGGAATTACAGGCGTGAGCCACCACGCCAGGCCAAAATTATTTCTTAATAGCATCATTCATATTAAATAAAGAAAACACCTTTATCATATATTTATCTTTCATAATGTACAGGTTTCAGCTTTGTGCCGTGCAATAGTTGTCTAAATGAGAGCCCTCCCCAGTCAAAAACTGTAATCCCCACCACCCCAAGAAAATAGCCTTCATGATCATATGAGTGATACTAAGGGCCAGGCCTTTCAGAAAACCCACATGTCATTTTTTTTTTGTCCTCATTGTAGCCTCTTAGCAGCATTCCAGGGTAAATTAATTTTCCACTAAGCTTCATTTAGCTAATTTGACTCCAACTTCACAGAATAATATTTTCATTCAATCTTCTCTTACTTGCTCCCCTCATCAACATCAATTCTAATTGTTAGAATGTTAAAGGTTTCTTTTTTATATTATTATTTTTTCTCTTTTTTGCGGGGGACAGAGTTTCATTCTTGTTGCCCAGGCTGGAGTGCAATGGCATGATCTCGGCTCACTGCAACCTCTGTCTCCCAGGTTCAAGCAATTCTCCTTTCTCAGCTTCCCGAGTAGCTGAGATTACAAGTATGCACCACCATGTCCAGCTAATTTTTGTGTTTTTAGTAGAAATGGGGTTCCACCATGTTGGCCAGTCTAGTCTTGACCTTCTGACCTCAGGTGATCCTCCAGCCTCGGCCTTCCACAATGCTGGGATTACAGGCCTGAGCCACCATTACCGGCCTCTTTTTTTTTTTATTCTTTTGCATTTTCAATGATCTTATCTGGTCTAGAGGTTTCATATACTGATATCTTTCTAGTTTATTTCTGAACCCCTGAACTCTACCCTGAGTTTCAGAGGCACAAATTATTACACTATTATTTTAAGATATCATTGTATTATACTTAAAACAGGTTTTATTTAGGGATTTTTAAAACTTTATATTTTTATGTTGACTGCATTTCTCCATGCTAACATTTTTCATGCAAAACATTTAGCATGTGTTGTATTCAGAATATATTAATTTAATAAAACAAGTTGATTTATTCTTCTCTTTTTTTCTGTGCTCTGTAACAATGTAAGTAGTGTGGGATTGGCCGGGCGCAGTGGCTCACGCCTGTAATCCCAGCACTTTGGGATGCCGAGGCAGGTGTATCATGAGATCAGGAGTTCAAGACCAGCCTGGCCAAGATGGTGAAACCCCGCCTCTACCAAAAATACAAAAAAAAAATTAGTCAGGCACGATGGCAGGCGCCTGTAATCCTAGCTACTCGGGAGGCTGAGGCAGGAGAATTGCTTGAACTCGGAGGGCGAAGGTTACAGTGAGCCAAGATCGCGCCACTGCACTCCAGCCTGGGCGACAGAGTGAGACTCTGTCTCAAAAAAAAAAAAAAAAAAAATCTCTCTGACAGTGAGTTCAAGGTGGACTGATATAAAAGATAAATATCATTTCAGGTAAGAGTTTCACTTGGCCTGAACATTGGCATAGGTCAGATAGGGAGAGTTCTAATTTCAAAAATAATAAATTCATAGCATTTAATAGAGTAACTGTGTGCCAGGCACTGCTCTACATGCTTTATCTATATTATCCCATTTTGCCCAATTCTGTGAGGACTATCATTATTTTTACCATTTCCTAGATGAGCAGAAATAGGCACAGCCATTTAGGTCATGTGTCCCAGATCCTGTAATTAATAAATAGAAGATCTAGGATTTGAATCCAATTAAGTCACCCCAGAGACCCAAGTTTTATGACTATTAATTACAGCTTCCCAATATGTGTAGGCAGGAGAAGAGAATGTGCAAACAATAGGTACAGGAGTAAGGATTGTTCAATTATTCATAAATATTAATGGAACGTTTTTGCTGTGCCAGCACAAAAAGTCTAGACTTGTAAGCCTGTGCTTCTGGGAAGATGGTGGAACAAATCATGAGAACATGTGATTTGGTATTAATAGAAGATGCATTACATTTTCATTCATGGTTCTTGGGCTATTCAGGAGGAGATATCCATCGAATTGTTAGGTGGACTATTGTGCTTTCAGGAAAGAAGTACATCCAGAGGATGTAGAGGATAGAGAAAAGTATCATCATATGAACATATAGTTGAAGTTGTGGACACAGATGAATTTCCAGTGAGAAAAATGTTTAGGCGTATGTGAAAAATGAAACCAAAGCAGCATTCCTAGCAAACAGAGACATGTAAAGAGAACTGCAGTAATAGTAACCCATTAGGCTGAACATTATAAAGTTAGACTGAAATACGTTGATAAATAAGACACAGAAACAAATAATAAGGTAATAAAAGCACCATTTTGTCTGGGAGTAGCATTCTAAGATTACAACTAAAATTACACATTAGATATGGCAAATAGCAAAGATATCCTGGGTGATCTTGGCAAAATAATTTCAAAGGTATTGCTTTAGAAAGCTGAAGAATCACTTAATTAGTGTAAGAAAATAAATGACACTGAGGATGAGAAGCTGTTATAAAAATTATTTCCAGAATCTTTTCCTAAAGAAAAAAATAACAAGTCGGTGAAAAGGCTAGAGGGGGCTATGCACCAGAGATAAGGTTTTGGGTTTGATTATGTCTGAGTTTTTTTTTTTAAAGAAGAAAAATATTGAGGGTGGGGTTTGCCAGCTGAATTTACGAGCAGGAGCCAATGGTATTTTAAGAATCTGCTTTTAATGTCATTTTATTCCTCCTTTTGAATGATACATTATTATTTGCATATTTCTCAGATGCATATTATGCTGGGTTGGTTTTTAATTGCCCCCAATCCATTTACAACCCATCACACATGCAGAGACATAGACATCTACTTGTGTGCACACACAGCACAAAAACAAAAAAACCAAACAAGCAAGAAACTATCACACACGATTTCACATATGAATCTATATGCCAATACTAAAATGATTACTAGGTTGATTGATCATTATTCAATATATATTCATGAAGTTCCTAGAGTGTCTCTTGGAGGTGACAAGAAGAAAGTTGTGGGCAAGAAACACAAATCTCTACTCTCTTACCTTTACATTCTATTTGGAGAACAGAGAATAAAGAAATAAATAGGTAAAGTTAAATAGAATAATAAGTAGTTACAGGAGCCATGAAGAAAATTTAGCAAGGTCAACAGGATACAGAGTAATGAGAAGGGAAGCTACTTTTATGAGGGTTAAGAGTAGGTGACCATAAGCATGGGACTGACTGTCCTAAGCAAAGGGTCACCAAGGGCAAGGCACAGAGGGGCTTTGGGAAAAGGACAGGATGAGTGTGACCTGAGAGTGTGAGAATCCTGAGGATCTATGATCAAGGAAGTTAGATGGTTAGCTAGGGACCACTCTGCAAATTCTCACAGCCAATGGTAAGGAATTTATTTTATTCTAGTTGCAATCAAATATAAAAAGAGTGCAAATCAGAGGAGAGCCGTGATAATTACATACTGTATTTGATTTTTGGATGCTATAGATGTATATTAGACATTTGAATGTATAATAGGTATAGTTTTGCATTCTCGTAAATGAGAATGTTAATAAGAAGTATTATCAGAACAACTAATAATTTAAAACCTGATTTATTTTTTTGTTATCTTATGGAAATTGAAAGAGTTGCATTAATTTGGGTAGAATTAGGGAGCTTTTCTACTTCATATGTTTACCACGTTGTTTTCACATCAGTCATTTAAATCATCCATGTATGAGATTGAGGTCAACTCCTAACAAAATTAGAGTCATCCACAGCACAACCCGAGCTCAGACAATTCTTTCAATGTTATCATTGAAAATGTTTTTTAAAGGATATTCAAAGAACTAGAGTTATTTTGCTATTTTTCTCTTAATTTTCATAAGACTCTGTAATAATTGAAGAATAGCTCAGAACTTAGAAAAAATGTAAGATAATACTGGATTTAACAAGGTGAAAGTCTCTTTAGAGACTCCAAAATCTTGAAAAGGGTTTCCTTAGTTTTTGCTTTTATTGTAACTACATTTGGTGCAGAATTGCCCAGTAGTGGCATCTTACATCACTATAAAAATCCTATTCTTGGCCAGGCACGGTGGCTCATGCCTGTAATCCCACCACTTTGGGAGGCCGAGGCGGGAAGATCACAAGGTCAGGAGATCGAGACCATCCTGGCTAACACGGTGAAACCCCATCTTTACCAAAAATACAAAAATTAGCCAGGCGCGGTGGCAGGCGCCTGTAATCCCAGCTACTCGGGAGGCTGAGGCAGGAGAATCGCTTGTACCCAGGGGGGCAGAGGTTGCAGCGAGCTGAGATCGCGGTACTGCACTCCAGCCTGGGTGACAGAGTCAGACTCTGTCTGAAAAAAAAAAAAAAAAAAATCCTATTTTTTTTTGCTGCTTGTGACTAATACTCTTTGAAAAACATTTTAAGATACACAGTGTGTGAGTTGCTATATAAAAATAAACGACATTGCATTATGGGCACTTTTGCTTTTGATGTATTATACAGCGCTTCCAAGATGTTCTAATGAATAGCAGATGAGGTGTGTCTCATAACAAAGAGGTTAGTGTATATTCTCTCCTTGAACTCTATTTTCAACCTCCATTAATCCTAATGTGAGTTATGTCTTCTATGTGGGCTTTAAATATATCAACCACTGTAAAAATTACATGCAATGAAAATCAGCATTTGATGATGAAAATATTTTGTATAATACAAGAGATAAGCAATGGGAACGGACTCCTGAAGTTATTATTATATGCCAAAATCTAGTTTTTTCTTTCTTGTTTTGAGCAACACTTTCCTTTAAACCCCTTGTTAGAAGATTAACATAAAGATTTTTTTTGTGATGGCTCTAAAAAGCTGAAGTTATAATTGAATTATTTTCTTTAAAATGGTTGACATGACGTTAATAATTTATCCTTCTCTCTCATTCATCTCCAATATACCACACAGGTAAATAGCTTTGAACAGGTTTGGGACTTAACAGACACTGTAGTCCAGTTTAACTTATCAGAAAGATGTAATTAAATTTTTTTTTACTAAAATTATCTGATATGCTTTTCTTGTCATAGACAGATTCTTAGTGACAGGATGTGGAAATGCCTGCTTGCGCCAATTTATTTTCTCCCCTAGTTTGCTGTATTACCTGAAATTCTCTTCATTAAAATCTCTTTTTTGATCAAAGCATTGTGCCTCTAGATGGCTCCTTTAAAGTAAGGTTAATGCAAAATCTCAATTCATTATTTAATCTGTTACATGATATCAAATACCAAAAGTGAGAAGCAGAAATTTAGACACACCTCCAAGGCAATGAAACTCATAAAAAAATACTTTGTGATAAGAAAAAGGGAAAAGATGGATTATGAAGGTGAAAGCAGGACAAGGTAGGTAAGAAGTAAGGGTGTGGGAAGGGATAGACCCACATATGACATTGCAATAACATTCTTAGACAGCAAAGGATTAATTTTTTTTTTTATATTTTCTATTCAGGTAAGCATAGTTACTCTGAGGATGTAAGGCATTTGGTGTATGTGCAGGTATTGTGTATGTGTGGGTGACAAACTTTGCCCATCCTGTAACATTTCTTCCTTTTCCATCTGAAGAAATGATGTTTGCTTATGCAAGTATTTGTCCTTTGCCCCAAATAGAAGACAATGAACTATTATATTTAGAAAAATACAGTGGAATTACCATAGCCAAGTCTTCAAAATGAGGTTGTGGACCCTTAAGCACACATGAAATCTTGGGGACAAAGATTATGTTAGGACAGGGCTTTTTGATCTCAGTCCTGTTGACATTTTGGGCCGGATTATTCTTTGTTGTAGGTGACTGTCTTGTGTGTTGGAAATGTAGCAACACGCTGCTCTCACCAGACAGCAGTAGCACCCCCATCCAAGCCCCAACACCCAGAATTGCCTCCCTATGATCCCACCCATCCCCTGGAAGGGAGACAAAATTGTTCCTCTTCTAGAATCAGTAGTTTAGAAAAATCAACTTCTAGATGTTTCACCTCTACATGAAGTGTTTCTTTCAACAGATATGTCCGAGAAAGTGGGGTGTGAATAAAGTATCCTTTAATAAGGCAACACAAACATATAGCTGAGCTTCGTGACTCAAGCACATTTCTGATAATTTTGAAGTTTGATGTTAGAAATGGTGTTTTAATCTGTGTTGAGATGTTCTGAACTGCAAAATGAGTGACATGAATAATGGCAGTTTTCATTACACAAATGTACATTTTCATTTGGCCATTCTAAGGAGAAAAAGAAGGAAGGAAAGAAGGAAGGAAGAAAGAGAAGGAACGAAGAAAGTAAAGAAGGAAGGAAGGAAGGGAGGAAGGGAAGGGAGGGAGGGAGGAAGGAAGGAAGGAAAGAAGGAAGGGAGGGAGGGAGGGAAGGGAAGGAGGGAGGAAGGAAGGAAGGATGGGGCATTGCTCTTCTGGAAAACAAACAAACAAAAAATCCAGAAAGACTGATGTTAAATCTATTGAAGGCAGTGACACATTGTTTTATTGATAAAATAAAATAAGTATGTGTAAGTCATAACAAATCTATCTAGTCATCTTTAAATTATACATTAGATGTGATTTTTTTTAAAATTACAATGGGATAACCTTTTTTAAAAATTATTTTAGGTGATCTTAAAGCAAAAGTTAAGGACTGTTGGATTAGCTATTTTGGATCTTGTCAGCAATTCCATCTCTTTAGAATATACACAAAAACACACAGGATTAAAAAAATTATTTTGTAGTCAATTTAGATGAAACAAGAAATTTCAGTGTTTTAATTTGATTGTATTTATTTTTGTATGCCTTATCTACAGGAAATTTCCTTACTCCAAGTTTACTTACTAGTAGAGTACACGAAATACTTACTAGTTGATATAGCATCTGTCTGAGCCTGAAAACTATTGTCAGAGTTGATCCAGTAAAATGTCTTAAATTTAAATGTAAGATTTAGAAATGGGTAAGCAATAATTATTTTTTGTGGGTCAATTTCTCAAGCATCTTTCTAAAAACGTTGAAAGGTATAAACAATTGTTTTCTGACATGCTCAACAACAGTTGGAAACTGCTTTTACAGTGTTGCAAAACTTTGATGTATTATATTTCCCAAATTTACCAAGAACAAGATCTTATTAATCAGACTTGATTTTGAATAGCTTTGCTACATTTTAAAAGAATGTTTTCTTCTGAGCCATCAACATTTTCAATAAGTAAACTTGTATTTTATTTTTGGATCTTCTAATAAACCATAAGGAAAAGCAAGGAGAACGAGATTCTTCTAAAATTGTGGATTTACAGAATGGTTATCTTTAGGCATGTTTTTGATTGACCACGACTATCATTTAGTTAACTGTAATGTAAAGAAGAAAAATAGCATAGGATTTGATAAGTCAGTATGATTATAAGAATTCAGAATTAAGTGAAGATTCTGTATCAGTCTCTAGTTTTTTTTTTCTTTTGTTTGTTTGTTTTGTTTGTTTGAGATGGAGTCTCACTTTGGTGCCCAGGCTGGAGTGCAGTGGCATGATCTCAGCTCCCTTCAACCTCTGCCTCCTGGGTTCAAGCGATTCTTCTGCCTCAGCCTCCCGAGTAGCTGGGACAACAGGCACGAGCCACTATATCCGGCTAATTTTTGTATTTTTAGTAGAGATGGGGTTTCACCATATTGGCCAGGCTGGTCTTGAACTCCTGACCTCAGGTGATCTGCCCACCTTAGCCTCCCAAAGTGCTGGGATTACAGGGGTGTGCCACTATGCCCAACCAGCAGTCTCTAGTTCTTTAAAATTTAATGTTTCTTTTGCATATGTGACTTTTTCAAGACATATAATGCCATTGTCCTCTGAAGCTGGTGAAAGGAAAGCCTTCTTTTTGGATAATATTTAGAAAGGCATGTGTCAACCTACTCTCCTGACAGTCAGATTTGCTTTCATCAAACATCGATGCTTGGTTTGAATATGTTCCTGAAAATAAATAGTATTGTGTTGGAAACTCTGTTACTAGATATCATTTTCAAATAAAGGTTATTCTTTTTCTAAAGAAAGAATATATACTGCTGAACATAAATTCACACATAACAGTTATGAATTAGGATACCTTGAAAAATGAAAATGAGGAATTTAATTCTGAATTTTATCACAAAAATAAGAGTTAGTATTGAGCTTTGCAAAAGGACCGTTTTAGCACACATTGACATATGACTTACCTCTTCTGACTAATGTTAGAATTCGTTCATCCCTTAAAATACTGCTTTCTGCTAATTGGGCAAAAAAGTTTGTAATAATTGAATGTAACATTTTTAAGGGACCCTACATACCTAGAGTCCCAAAGATATTACAGTTTATCATAAATCCTGATCTTGAAGTTGTAATCATTTGAATTTCTGTGTGTATGTATTCAATCTTAAGCTCTCAAAAGTAGCTTTGTCACGACAAACTGTTACTAGATCACATACTGTGTTTTCTCGGCTGAAATGATTACTCTATGTGAAATCAGGCTTTGACAGTTGTATTCCTTTTTGTTCTGTCAAGAGGAATGCTTTCTCATTTATTGAAGAAGAAAATAATATTCTCTAATTCCTGAAAGGAATTGTGTTTCCTAGAACTTGATTATTAATCATAATTTTAGAATTTTCTAGCACCTGCAGCTGAATAATTTTCACTGCTACCCCACTGTGAATGGAAAATAGACATTTCTGAATAATAATCTATGTTACATCCTAATGTTAGTTCCCAACTTATATTGGTTCAAATTAGAACTTTTCTACTTGACAAATGGGAAGAAAGCAATACACATTCAGTATGCTTCTCAATTTACCACGCGGTTATGTCTGAATAAACCTATGTGTCAAAAACACACTTTTGACTTGTTATTTTCAACAGAGAATGAGTTTATTGGGGCACAACCCCATAGTAAGTCAAGGAGCACCTGTGTAGTGTCACAACTCGCACATTTCTTAGTGACTGAAAGCACTGACCTTTTGGGGACTGCAAATTGTCCAATTTGAGCTTTTGGTCCTGGAATTATGATGAATTTAATGATGAATCTGACGTATATTTGTGCTCAAGGAGCTTTCAATCTGGTTAGTATATCAAAAGGATCAATATCAGGGCCCAGAACTTGCTTAAAGGTTTTAAGAATTCTGAAAAATACAAACACATACACACACACACACACACACACACACACACACACACACAATTACTTTTAGCTTATTATAGAAAAGAAGAATTGCGTGGGGAAAAAAAAACCGTCATACATTGTGGAGGAATCTGAATTCAAACTGAATTTAGAAGTGAATAGAGTAGTTCATCATGGAAGAAAGTAAAAGGGGTAAGTTCTGCAACAAGCAACAGCATGAACAAAAAAAAAAAAAAGGAAATTACTATCATATACATCAAAGAATAAATAGGTCAAGAAAAGTTTATAAAATATATATTACGACAGTAATACTCTATGGGTACAGTTATAACTGTCAAAAAATACATAATAATGTGTATTGCCTAATTGAGCACAACTTTATATCTGTTTGTTTCCCATGTATTAAAAAATCATGTTTTATTGATAATTGTTGGGTTGTGCCATATGAGAAAGATCATTAGATATCAGATTAAATTTATGTATTAATATGCAGAAATCTTCATGTGGCATAAAAAATTTAACACACGAAAGCATACAGCAGCTTACCATTGTACTGCAAATTGTCTCCTGTTCAAGGGCCTATTTCTTACGTGTTAGACAATACAGTGCAGTAAAGCTATATTCCTTTAAGAACATAAAAAAAGGTCAGGATTATAATGATTTCATCAATTTTCAAAGATCCTAATGAGTTTGTATTAAAAATTTCTCTGCTTTTTCAATAACATATAAAAAGTCTTGGACAATTTAGTCTTTCTCTTGCTGTCTTAGCATGTAGCTGCCAGCCACAGTATTTTATAAATAAAACATTTCAATAAATACTCCATAAAAAAGGCATTTCCTCATGAATATGTGCATTCAGGCTGGAATCTTGTTTTAATAACTATTCATTGTTGAAAGTCACTTACTCTTACAATGCAATTGTTGACATAAAGTAGATATAATTTCTGTCTTATCTTGGGTATGTAAGTAACACATACATTCTCCTTTTACAGTAACTTTCTGTAAGGTCTATCAGTCCTAAGAAATTGATAAAACATGTGAAAGATGTTATATTATTTGTAATGAGAGCTCTGAGCAGTGACATTTTTCTTTTCTGATAGTTCTGTTCACTAATTTGATTTTTCAGATTAACTGCCAAATAACTCCCACATAAATAAATCATTCTGTAATGACCTTGAATGTCCATTGAGATGAGACATATTTTTATTATTATGAATATTTATGTACAAGATCATATGTTTATATTTCAACATGGCCTAAATTTAGATACTTCAAAAAAATCAAAAAGGGAATAATAATCCCAAGATTAAAATATTAAATCTGATGAAGTTAATCTTTTTACATTTTATATATGCAGAGTATTTTGAACCCTTGAAAACTAACTATATCATGCTATCTGGCATGGGTTTCCATTTCAATTTATATTTTTAAATATTGATGTGGAACTCAGTGGAGAAATAGAACTCTATTCCTGAAATATAATATCATTATTCTACATAAAAGAGATTGGTAATCATATGGATATATAAGTATATATGTATATACTCTTTTGACTTCTATTAAATAAATTTGCTAAGTGGCAAATAGCATATATCTATGACTTCACTTATTTTTTTTTTCATCTTGGTTATATATGTGTATGTGTATGTGTATATATGTGTGTGTATGTGTATATATATATGCGTGTGTGTGTGTGTGTGTGTGTGTGTGTGTATATATATATATACTCTTTTTGACTCCATTAAATAAAGCTGCTAAGTGGCAAATGGCATGTATCTATGGTTTCACTTTTTTTTGTTCTATCTTTCAAATGTAAATATGCAGTCCAAAGTTCATATTTTTTTTGCTTATTTTTATGAAACTTTAGACTCCTAGAGGACAAAAACCATGGGTTTTATCCTTATACTAAAAGTCCTATCATAATACTTGCAAAATGGAAGTACTAAATTAATGAGTTGTTTAAATAATTTACATCAGATAATAGTCAAGAGCAAAATGCAATATTGCAACAAAATACTACATATTTCTAAATATGCAATTTACCAGATAGGGTATACACATTATTAAATATTTTAAAATATTTACATAGATAATTATATAGACACATATACATATATATGTCACAAGAAAATATTGACAAATAAATAGATATTACTTGAATTGTAAAATAGTTTAGTAATTGATATAACAAGACTTTTTAACAAAGTATGAATATAGATATTTTGAATTGCGCAGTTGTCATATCAGATCGTTTAATCAATTGTAGAACTCATTATTTAATAATTAGAGAACACCTATGCTTTTAAAGTTCTGGAACACATATATTTTATCAAATACCAGACTCCAGTGAGGCATCAGAAAACTATTACAATTTTCAAATCAAATAATTTGATATAAACACAATAATATTAAATAGCATTGAAAAAAATTTACCCTAAATGTAATGGAGAAAATATTTGAAGAAATAATGAAGATAAAATTACCATAAATAAGGGTGAAAGAGCTAACATTGAAAGGGCACATGATATGCCAAAGAGATCAGTAAAGACTTAGATCTAGCTATAAGTGATGTTTAAATATATACGAAAGAAGGGTAAAATAATTTTTAAATAAAAATTTCCCAGGCATACAAAATATCATTTGAAAAAGAAAAAAAAAAAACAACAGATCTTCATCAGGGTTTTTCTTTTAACCACACTATGAGATATAAGAAGATCATTGGGTGGCATTTGTTAAGTATTAAAGAAATGGTACTTAGAATTTAGAATCTTCCTTTGTTGAGACGGAGTTTCACTCTTATTGCCTAAGCTGGAGTGCAATAGCGTGATCTCAGCTCACTGCAACCCCGCCTACTGGGTTCTAGTGATTCTCCTGCCTCAGTCTCCCTAGTAGCTGGGATTACAGGCGCGTGCCACCACGCCTGGCTAACTTTTTTGTGTTTTTAGTAGAGATTGGGTTTCACCATATTGGCTAGGCTGGTCTCGAACTCCTGACCTCAGGTGATGCACCAGCCTCGGAATCCCAAACTACTGGGATTATAGGCATGAGCCACCGTGCCTGGCCCTAGAATCTTCTGTTTAGCCATAAAATCAAATCCAATAGTATTTTGGGAGAGGGGGTGATGTCAACCAGGCTGAAGTGCAGTGGTGAGATCATGGCTCACAGCAGCCTCAGGGTTCAAGCAATCCTCCTACCTTAGCCCCTGGAGTAACTAGGAATACAGGTACAGCCACCATGCTCAGCTGATATTAAATTTTTTTTGTAGAGACAGGGTCTCACTATGTTGCCTAGGCTGTTTTCAAACTTCTGGAGATCCTCCTGCCTTGGCCTCTCAAAGTTGTGGGATTACAGGCATGAGCCAGGAGGCTGGCTCAATAATATTTAAAAGGGTAAAGAATCTGTTAAGATAGCAGAGTAGGAAGCACCAGTAAACTATTTCCCTACTAGAGAACAATCTCACTGGTGGTATCTAACCAATGTAACTATTTTGCAGCCCTAGAGTGTGCTGAATGCTTGCAAAAGAAGACTTGGATCACAAATGATGATTTAAGTTTGGTCATTTCAACCCTGAGCAGAGCAGTGAGAAGTGACAGCGTGCTGGCAAGCCCTCGCAGCCCTTTCTTGCTCTGGGCACCTCCTCTGCCTGGGCTCCCACTTTGGCGGCACTTGAGGAGCCCTTCAGCCCACTGCTGCACTGTGGGAGCCCCTTTCTGGGCGGCCAAGGTCAGAGCCAGCTCCCTCAGTTTCCAAGGAAGTGTGGAGGGAGAGGCGCGAGCGGGAACCGGGGCTGCGCGCGGAGCTTGCCGGCCAGCTGGAGTTCCCGGTGGGAATGGGCTTGGTGGGCGCCGCACTGGGAGTGGCTGGCCGGCCCTGCTGGCCCCAGGCAATGAGGGGCTTAGCACCTGGGCCAGCGGCTGTGGAGGGTGTGCTGGGTCCCCCAGTGGTGCCGGCCCACAGGCACTGCGCTCGATTTCTCACCGGGCCTTAGCTGTCTCCCTGCGGTGCAGGGCTTGGGACCTGCAGCCTGCCATGCCTGAGCTTACCCCACTCCATGGGCTCCTGTGCGGCCGGAGCCTCCCCGACGAGCACCGCCCCCTGCTCCACGGCGCTCAGTCCCATCGACCACCCAAAGGCTGAGGAGCACAGGCACAAGGCGGAACTGGCAGGCAGCTCCACCTGCAGCCCAGGTGTGGGATCCACTGGGTGAAGCCAGCGGGGCTCCTGAGTCTGGTGGGGACTTGGAGCACCTTTATGTCTAGCTAGGGGATTGTAAATGCACCAATCAGCACTCTGTATCTAGCTCAAGGTTTGTAAACACACCAATCAGCACCCTGTGTCTAGCTCAGGGTTTGTGAACACACCAATGGACACTCTGTATCTAGCTACTCTGGTGGGGACTTGGAGAACCTTTGTGTCCCCACTCTGTATCTAGCTAATCTGGTGGGGACGTGAAGAACCTTTGTGTCTAGCTCAGGGATTGTAAAGGCACCAGTCAGCACCCTGTCAAAACAGACCACTTTGCTCTCTGTAAAATGAACCAATCAGCAGGATGTGGGTGGGGCCAGATAAGAGAATAAAAGCAGGCTGCCCAAGCCAGCAGTGGCAACCCCCTGGGGTCCCCTTCCACACTGTGGAAGCTTTGTTCTTTTGCTCTTTGCAATAAATCTTGCTGCTGCTCACTCTTTGGGTCCACACTGCCTTTATGAGCTGTAACACTCACCGTGAACATCTGCAGCTTCACTCCTGAAGCCATCGAGACCACGAACCCACCGAGAGAAACGAACAACTCCAGATGCGCTGCCCTAAGAGCTGTAACACTCACCGCGAAGGTCTGCAGCTTCACTCCTGAGCCAGCGAGACCAGGAACCCACCACAAGGAAGAAACTCTGAACATATCTGAACGTCAGAAGGAACAAACTCCGGACACGCTGCCTTTAAGAAGTGTAACACTCACCGCGAGGGTCCGCGGCTTCATTCATGAAGTCAGTGAGACCAAGAACCCACCAATTCCGGACACAGTATCAGCTACATACCTTCTCCCATCTCAGCCTTGAGGCAGGCAACTGTAAATGTATTCCTGGAGCAGCTTGCACGTAACTCCTGGGAGCATGGGTGGACCAAATAGACTCTCCCTTCTCAATACGAGGGGTCATTACTGATTGCTGCTTCTGATGAGAGAGGTACAGACAAAGAGGCAAAAGCCATTGTTGCACCTCCCCTATTATTACAAGCCTGTCCCCCTCTAGCTGAAGTGACTTCCAGGGAATTTAAAGGGCTGGTGCTTCTTTATTGTCCTGTTTCGTTTTTCTCTTTTTCCTCTTTCAAGGGCCAGGCATTGAAGATTATGACATTTAAAAAGTATCACATAGGGCCATGTGCAGTGGTTCATGCCTGTTATCCCGGCACTTTGGAAGGCCAAGGCGGGCAGATCACCTGAGGTCAGGAGTTCGAGACCAGCCTGGCCAACATGGTGAAACCCTGACTCTACTAACAATACAAAAAGCAGACGTGGTGGCGTGGCGGAGGTTGCAGTGAGCCGAGATTGCGCCACTGCACTCCAGCCTGGGCGACAGAGCAAGACTCCATCTTAAAAAAAAAAAAAAAGTATCACATATATATATTTGTCCAGTTTAAGTCATCTTGGTCTCCAGGAGATGGAGGCTGCAGTGAGCAGAGATCGTGCCACTGCACTCCAGCCTGGCTGACAGAGTGAGACTCTGTCTCAAAAAAAACAAAGAAAAAAAAAAGAAAAAAAAATGAGAGACATTATAAAGTCACCTGGCATGCCTAGGGGAAGGAAGAAGCTCGGAAAAGACATGAGAACATCTTATGCTTTATCTCAGACTGATCCTCAGTACAGAGACAGCCTACAACAATCAAAAATGAAAAACAAAAACAAAAATACAACAAACCCTAGGAAAAAAAGGAAAACCTGATTTCCAGAGTTACCATATGCAACGGGCTGCAAGTTTATGTCCCCCCAAAATTTGTATGTTACAATTATACACTTGAAAGTGATGGTATTAGGAGGTGGAATATGTGGGAGGTGATTGGATTATAAGGGGGGAGCCCTCATGAATGAGATTAGTGGCCTTAAGAGGCCCCACACAGCTCATTCATCTCTTCAATGATGTCAGAACACAGTGAAGAAGTGCCATCTATGAACCAAAAACCAAGCCCTCATCAGATCTTCTAGCATCTTGATCTTAGGCTTCCTAGCATCTAAAACTATGAAAGATTGTGATGGTTAATATTATGTGTCAACTTGATTGTTGTGAGAGATGCTTACATGGCTGATGAAATATTGGTTTTGAGTATGTTTGTGAGGGTACTGCCAGAGGATACTGACATTTGAGTCAGTGGACTGAGGAAGACCCACCCTCACTGTGGGTGGGCACCATCAAATCGGGGTACTAGTGCAGCTAAAACAAAGCATGCAGAAGAAGGGCATATAAGCAGCAGAGTCTCCTCCCTCCCTCTCTCTCTTCCCATGCCAGACACTTGCTTTCTCTCCTCCTGCTCTTGGATATCAGACTCCAGAATTTTGGCCTTTGGACTCTGAGGCTTGCACCAGTGGCTTTCCAGGGACTTTCGGGCCTTAGGCCTCAGACTGAGGGCTGCACTGTTGGCTTCCATGTGTTTTTTTTTTTTTTTTTTTTTTTTTTTGAGACAGAGTCCCGCTCTGTTGGTCAGGCTGGAGTACAGTGGCATGATCTCCGCTCACTGCAACCTCCGTCTCCCAGGCTCAAGCAAATCTCCTGCCTCAGCCTCCCGAGTTGCTGGGATTACAAGTGTGTGCCACCACGCCAGGCTAATTTTTGTATTTCTATTTTTTATTTTATTTATTTACTTATTATTTATTTATTTTTTTGAGACAGGGTCTTGCTCTGTCGCCCAGGCTGGAGTGCAGTGGCACGATCTTGGCTCGCTGCAAGCTCCGCCTCCCGGGTTCATGCCATTCTGCTGCCTCAGCCTCCCAAGTAGCTGGGACTACAGGCGCCTGCCACCACGCCTGGCTAATTTTTTGTATTTTTAGTAGAGATGGGGTTTCACCCTGTTAACCAGGATGGTCTCGGTCTCCTGACCTCATGATCCACCTGCCTCAGCCTCCCAAAGTGCTGGGACTACAGGTGTGAAACACCGTGCCTGCCCTAATTTTTGTATTTTTAGTAGAGATGAGGTTTCACCATGTTGGCCAGGTTGGTCTCGAACTCCTGACCTCAGGTAATCTACCCACCTCGGCCTCCCAAAGTGCTAGGATTACGGACTTGTTTCTTCATCTTTCAGCTATTTACTGTTACTTCTACCAAAACTTCTTTATCTGTATTTTCTGAGTCTACTAAAAGGGTAGTTACATTGTGTCTGGAATTGGTGGGTTCTTGGTCTCACTGACTTCAAGAATGAAGCCTCAGACCCTCGCGGTGACTTACAGTTCTAAAAGATGGTGTGTCCGGAGTGTGTTCCTTCTGATGTTTGGACGTGTTCGGAGTTTCTTCCTTCTGGTGGGTTCGTGGTCTCGCTGGCTTCAGGAGTGAAGCTGCAGACCTTCGCCGTCAGTGTTACAGCTCTTAAGGTAGTGTGTCTGGAGTTGTTTGTTCCTCCCGGTGCGTTCGTGGTCTCGCTGGTTTCAGAAGTGAAGCTGCAGACCTTCGCGGTGAGTGTTACAGCTCATAAAGGAAGTGTGGACCCAAAGAGTGAGCAGCAGTAAGATTTATTGCAAAGAGCAAAAGAACAAAGCTTCCACAAGCTGGAAGGGGGCCAAAGCGTTTGCCACTGCTGGCTTGGCAGCCTGCTTTTATTCCCTTATCTGGCCCTACCCACATCCTGCTGATTGTTCCATTTTACAGAGAGCTGATTGGTCTGTCTTACAGAGAGCTGATTGGCCGTTTTGACAGGGTGCTGATTGGTGCATTTACATTCCCTGAGCTAGACACAGGGTGCTGATTGGTGTGTTTACAAACATTGAGCTAGACACAGAGTGTTGATTAGTGCATATACAATCCTCCAGCTAGACATAAAAGTTCTCCAAGTCCCCAGTCCACTCAGGAGCCCAGCTGACTTCACCTAGTGGATCCCGCACCCGGACCACAGGTGGAGCTGCCGCCAGTCCCGCGCCCTGCGACCGCACTCCTCAGCCCTTGGGCGATTGATGCTACTGGGCGCCCTGGAGCTGGGGGCGGCGCCCGTCGGAGAGGTTAGGGCGGCGCAGGAGCCCACGGTGCTGGGGAGGCTGAGGCATGGCGGGCTGCAGGTCCCGAGCCCTGCCCCACCGGGAGGCAGCTGAGGCCTGGCGAGAATTCCAGCGCAGCGCCGGCGGGTCGGCACTGCTGGCGGACCTGGCGCACCCTCCGCAGCTGCTGGCCCGGGTGCTAAGCCGCTCACTGCCTGGCGCCGGCGGCTCCGGCCAGCCGCTCTGAGTGCTGGGCCCGCCGAGCCCACGCCCACCCGGAACTCGCGCTGGCCAGCAAGCGCCGCGCGCAGCCCCGGTTCCCACCCGCGCCTCTCCCTCCACACCTCTGTGCAAGCTGAGGGAGCCGGCTCCGGCCTCGGCCAGCCCAGAAAAGGGCTCCCGCAGTGCAGCGGCGGGCTGAAGGGCTGCTGAAGCGCGGCAAGAGTGGGCGCCTAGGCCAAGGAGGCGCGGAGAGCGAGCGAGGCCTGTGAGTGCTGCCAGCACGCCGTCACCTCTCAATATGACTTAGGTATGTAGGGGAAAACAGAAAATTGTGAGGGCAAAAATTGGTTCAATTAAGTTTATTTTCTAGCACTTTCATTCCTTAAGACCTAAGTGGCATTTTTATTAAAAACAAACAAAACGAAACAAACCTATCTCTCTTTCCTTGATACTTCTTCTCTCGTACATACGCTTTACCCCAAGACCTTAGGCAAGTTTGGTGGACAGGCTAGTCCCAGAAATGCTCTCATTCTAAGAAATAAACTAAATTCTGCCTCTGACATTCCATTCCCCCTGTGGTTTTAATTAGGTGCGAATTCTCCTATGCTCACTTTGAAACACGCCTCAGGATCTTAGGGAGATGGCAGGCAGATGGGTATTAATATAGGGTAATATTTCTTACTTCACGGTGCCCATACATTTATTGTCATTAAAATGGTGTCATTCAAATGAGGCAGCTGAAGTTGAAAAAGGAATGCAAAGTTGGTCATTGTTCTGAGGATCTGAGCTTTGGTGAAGAAGCTGAATTAGAGGTAGCACTTCAGCTCTGCTTATGTGAAATGTATAGATGTACTGATCACTCAGTAGTGAAACCCTTGAGGCATTGACAGGAGGACAAAGTCTCTAAGACTATATGAGAGTCATGGGGATGAAAACACCTGCCTCTCCTGCTTTACCAGGCTGTGGGGAGAATGAGGGAAATAATGTGTGTGAAGTGGCCTGTGTACCTAGAAGGAATCATGTAGGTGCTTTGTTAGCGCTGTGTACGATAATCGGTTAATTCCCCAGAACCCTGTAGAGTCCTGGAATCCCTGTAATAAATTTATTTTTTCCATCTCAGGTTTTTGTTTTTCCCTGGTGCCCAGGTTAAAGAGAAATTGATGACTTCCAACTTATGTTTAGCTTCTATTCTTCTGCATTGAGGATTTGAATTCAGAAAACATTTCAGGGTCTGTAGAACTGTACATTGATGTTAGGTTTAAACATTCAACAACCTCACAATATTTAGGTTTTATGAGCTATGGCCAAGTTAACTAAATTTGCTTGATAGGATTTCTGAGAAGAAAAAAATTACATATTTATGATTTGGTAAGACTTTCCTCAAAGTGTCTGTCTCCTTGGAAACGCAAGTGTTACTGACCTAGGGGAACTGTTTTGTACTAGCTCAGCTTGGGAATATCCCCCATATTTCTATTCTCTATTCTTTATGACTTCCTTCCAACTTGAGCTGTGAAAAAGTGAGGGGGACTGGAGCCATTTTGGAGAAGTATTATAAAATAGAATGAGTCAAATATCTAGAGAACAGAGCTTGATTAATTCAAAGCTGTAAGCCCTGGCTCCCCCAGGGCTCCTCCATTGCTATGGAGTCTCATACTCCATAGCAATAAGTTCTCCTTGTCCAGAGGCCTAAGCATCTGTTTCCAAATCTCATACGCTTTCCTGGATAGATTCATCAAGTCAAACCTTAAGTTGCTTGACTTTTTTCTGCACCATCCTCTAATTTAGGTTAAGCTTAATAATTAGAGCCATTAAATAGCAAAACAAACAAATGCAACAATAAGAACAGAACATTATGCTCTGGTCTGTGGAGTTCAATTTAAACTTCAAAAATCTAAAACTTCAAAAAGACTTTTGCTGGAGGGTTACCAGAAACAACGTCATTCAGGATATTGCCACATGCTGCCATTCTCTCACTTTGGTGTTATTTATGGATTGTTTCTAATAAACTTTTAGCTTCCTTTCAGCTTTTCCTGAGTCGAGGTGAAACTTCACCATTATCATTATTGAGAATATGTAAACAATATTTAGATATCTAAATATTACATTTCCATTTACAAAACCAAGCACTGAGACAGAACTTCTCAACCTGCTTTGATTTATATCAAGGGGAACACTGTGTGTGTGTGTGTGTGTGTGTGTGTGTGTTTTCACACAAAAGCTGGTAGTGAGAGGAGCAAGAGTTTTCAGGAAGAAACATGGCTGGAAAAAGTAAAAAAAAAAATTCAATGAATTGAAAGGGTATAAAAAGATTCTAAAATTGAATTTTAGAATGGCTTTCTTTTTTCTCTCACCTCTTCCTCTCTCCTTTCCTTCTCCTCAGTCTCACCAAAAGCACTGTTTAGGTTCTTTGCCCAATTCACAATTGGGTTACTTGTTTCCTTGCTTTTGAGTTGTTTTGAGTTCTTTACATTTTTTAGATATTAGAACTTTATCAGATGTATAGTTTTCCTTTTTTCTTCCTGTTCTTCAGACTCCATAATTTTTATTGTACTATTTTCAACTTTGTTGATTTTTTTCTTCTACCAGTGCAAAATAATTCTAAATAACATGTAAATACTCTGCCCTCAAGGTGGTGGCACATTACTCCCCATTCTTAAAAGTGTGGACTCCCAAAAGTGATTCTTTCCAGACAGTACATTTTGGAAATTAGCAACAAACTACTTCACCCTGGAGAAACTTGACAGACATCAATTGAGCAAGGTCATCACTATCAGCATCAATGGTGTTTAGTTGTGTGGTTACAAGGTGCCCTTGTTAGAATGTGAAGAGAAGGGCAATTTACCTCTGTGATTTTCCTCCCAAAAGCCCACTACCCTAGTCTAATCATGAAAAAAAAAAAAAGAGGCAAATTCCAGTGGACGAATAGTCCACAAAATATCTGACCTATAATCCTCAAAATTGTCACAGTCATCAAAGACAAGAAAAGCCTAAAAACCATCATAGTTAGAGGTCCCTAAGAGACAGGATAACTAGATGTAATGTGGTATCCTATATGGCAATGGTCCCCAACCTTTGTGGCACCAGGGACCAGTTTTGTTAAAGGCATTTTTTTTTTTCCATGAACTAGGGGTAAAGGGATGGTTTCAGGATGAAACTGCTCCACCTCAGATCATCAGGCATAAGATTCTCATAAGGAGTGTGCACAACCTTTGTCCCTCACATGTGCAGTTTATAGTAGGGTTCCTACTCCTATGGGAATCTAATGCTGCTGCTGATCAGACAGGAGGTGCTCAGGCAGTCAGTAATGCTTGCTAACCTGCTGCTCACCTCCTGCTGTGTGGCCGGCTCCTAACAGGCCACAGACTGGTACTGGTCCATGGCCCAGGGCTTGGGGAACCCTGCTATCTTGGATCTTGAAAAAGTCAAAGGACATTAGTAGAAAACTGAGGAATTGTGAATAAAGTGTAGACATCAGTTAATTGTGATGCATAAATATCAATTCATTAGTTGTAACAAATATATCGCACTAATGGAAAAATGTTAATAAGTAAAACTGGTTGTGTGGTATGTGAAAACTCCCTATACTGGTATCACACTAATTCTGTAAATTTAAAACTGCTCTAAAATAAAGTTTTTAAAGAAACAAGGAAAATCCTTGATTCCGTAAAACTAATAGAACTAGTAAACAAATTTAGCAATTTGCAAGATACAAAATCAATATGCAAAAATCAGTTGTTTTTCTATACACTAACAATAAAAAATCAGAGAATAAAATCAAAAAAATTATTTACAGTACCATCAAAAAAATAAAATACTTAGGAATAAACTTAACCAAGAAGGAGAAAGACAGCCAGGTGCGGTGACTCTTGCCTGTGATCCCAACACTTTGGGAGGCTGAGGCGGGTGGATCACACGTGTCAGGAGTTAGAGACCAGCCTGACCAAAATGGAGAAATTCTGTCTCTACTAAAAATACAAAATTAGCTGGGCATGGTGGCGCATGCTTGTAATCCCAGCTACTCGCGAGGCTGAGGCAGGAAAATCTCTTGAACTGGGGAGGTAGAGGTTGCGGTGAGCTGAAATTGCGCCATTGCACTCCAGCCTGGGCAACAAGAGCAAAACTCCATCTCAAAAAAAGAAAAAAAAAAAAAAAGAGACAGACTTCTTTAATTGTAAAAAATTAAAGAAGCCACCAATAATGAAAAGACAGTCTGTTTCCATAGATTGGAAGACTTAATATTGTTAAAATGTAAATTCCACTCAAAGCTACCTACAGATTCAATACAATCCCTATCAAAAATCTAATGACAACAAGCCCCAGATAGTATTACATTCAGTGGTGAGAAGGTGAAAGATTGTTAACTGAAATCAAGAGTAAGACAAGGATGCTCACTCTCATCATTTCTTTTAACATAATACTGGAAGTCCTACCTAGTAAAATTAGGCAAGAAAAAGAAATGAAATATATTCTAATAGAATGGGAGGAAGTTTAATGGCTTCTATTTGTTAATGACATGATTTTAAATTTAAAAACCCTAAAAACGTCACCAAAAAAACCACTGTAATTGTAAAACATAGTATAAAGCCATTGTATAATCAAAACAGCGTGATACTTGCATAAAAATAGACACATTGACCAAAAAAATAGGATAAAGAATGCAGAAATCAATCTATCCACTTACGGCCAATTAGATTCTGCCAAAGATACCATGAAGACAATATGAAGAAAGGATGGTCTCTTTGATAAATGATATAGAAGTTTTTTAGTTTAATTATGTTTCATTTGTCTACTGTTGTTTTTGTTGCTTCCAATTTTAAGGTCTTTGTCCTGAGTTCTTTGCCTAGACCAATGTTTAGAAGAGTTTTGCCTACGGTTTCTTCTAGTATTTTAATAGTTTCAGGTCTTACACTGAAGTCTTTAATCCATCTTGCATTAAATTTTGCATATGGTGAGAGATAGGAATCTAGTTTTATTCTTCTGCTTATGGCTATTTTAGTTTTCCCAGCACCATTACTTAAAAGGGTGACCCTCCCCCAGTGTTTGCTTTTGTCAACTTTTTCAAAGATCAGTTGGTTATGGATATGTGGCATTATTTCTGTGTTCTCTATTCTGTTTCATTGATCTATGTATCTATTTTTATAATAGTAAAAATAGACTTTATGCTATGGTTATTCATAAAAAAATTTAAATGATGTATGTATAAGTCAGCAGTTCCACTTCAGGTATGTAATCAAAAGAATTGAAAGCAAGGTCTTAACAAGATGCAGGCATGAAATGGAGACACTGTGGGCTCAGTTCTAGATCATCACAATAAAGTAAATATTGTAATAAAGTAAGTCATACAATTATTTATTTTGATTTCCCAGTGAATATAAAATTTGTGCTTACACTATACCATAGCTTGTTTAAATGTGTAATAGAATTGTGTCTAAAAATGTACATACCTTCATTAAAAATATAAAATAAATTATATCCAAATTTTTTAAATAAAAATTGAAAATAAATTATGGCTAAAGAATGCTAACAATCATCTGAGCCTTCAGAAAGTTGTGATCTTTTTGCTGGTAGAGGGTTTTACCTTTGCCTTGATGTTGATGTCTGCCGGCTGATCAGGGTGGTGGTTGCTGATGATTGGGATGGCTTTGGGAATTTCTTAAAATAAGGCAATAATGAATTTTGCCACATCTATTCACTCTTTCACAAAATATTTCTCTGTAGCTGTGATTCTATTTGGTAGCACTTAACCTAGAGTAGAGCTTCTTTCAAATTGGAGTCCTGACTTTATCAAAAAAAGTTTATGTAATATTCTAAGTCCTTCACTGTCATTTCAAAAATTCACAGCATCTTCATCAGGAGTAGATTTCATCTCAAGAAACCGCTTTTGTTACTCATCAGAAGAAGCAGCTCCTCATCCATAAAAATTTTATCATGACATTGTAGCAAATCAGTCACATGTCCAGGCTCCATTTCCTGTTCTTTTGATTTTTTTAAATTACATCTGCAGTTACTTCCTCCCCTGAAGTCTTCAATCCCTAAATGTCATCTATGAGGCTTGGAATCAACTTCTTTCAAACTTCTGTTAATATTATTTTGACAACCATCCATGAGTCATGAATGTTCTTAATTGAATCTAGAATGGTAAATTCTTTCCAGACAGTTTTCAATTTATTTTGCCCAGATCCATTACAGGAATCACTCTCTATCATAGCTATAGCCTTACAAAATATATTTTGTAAATGATATAACTTGAAAGTCAAAATTCTTAATCCATGGGCTACAGAATGGATGTTGTGTTAGCAGGCATAAAACTAACATTAATCTCATTGTACATTTCCATTAGAGCCCTTGGGTGACCAGGTTCATTGTCAATGGGAATCAATGAGCAGTAGGTCTCAACAGTGGGCTTAAAATATTCAGTAAACCATGCTGTAAACAGATACATTTTCATCCAAGCTTTGTTTTCTCATTTACACAGCCCACAGAAAGTAGATTTAGTATAATTCTAAAGAGCCCTAGAATTTTGAGAATGGTAAATATGCATTGGCTTCAACTTAAAAAGCACAGGATGCATTAGTCCCTACCAAGAAAATTAGCCTATTCTCTGAAGCTTTGAAACCAGACAATGACTTCTCCACTCAAGCTATTAAAGTCTTAGATGGCACCTTTTTTCTATGTAAGGCACTTTCATCAACATTGAAAATTTGTTGTTTTGTGGGACTTTCATCAATGATCTTAATTAAACCTCTTGGATAACTTCCTGCAACTTCTACTTCAGCACTTTCTGCTTCCGTTTGCACTTTTATGTTATGGAAGTGGCTTCTTTTCTTAAATCTCATGAACCAGTGTCTGCTAGTTTCCAACTTTTCTCCTGCAGTTTCCTCACTTCTCTCAGCCTTCACAGAATTGAAGAGAGTTAAGACTTTGCTCTGGATTAGGCTCTGAATTAAAGGAATGGTCTGGCCTGCTTAATCTTCTATACAGACTACAAAAGCTTTCCCCATATCAGCAATAAGGCTGTTTGCTTTCTTATCATTTGTGTGCTCACTGGAATAGCATTTTAAATTTTCTTCAATAACTTTTCCTTAGCATTCATAACTTGGCTAACTCTTAGCTTCAAGAGGACTACCTTTCAGCCTAACTCAGTTTTTGACATGCCTTCCTCACTAAGCTTATTTCTAGCTACACACACACACACACACGCAATCATATATATATATATATAAACAATCATGGAGTAAAAGTGCAATTTTACTATATTGATATATTGCATGATGGTCAAGTCTTCAGTGTATCCATCACTGGAGCGATGCACATTTTACTCAGCTAACAACCTCCCATCTTCCACTCTCCTCCCGCCCCCAAACCTCTGAGTCTCAATTGTCCCTCATTCCATACTTTCCATGTGTATGCATTATTAAGCATGCATTTATAAGTTAGACATGCCCTATTTGACATTTTGATTCTGAGTCATTTTACTTAAGATAATGGCCTCCAGTTCCATCCATGTTACTGCAAAAGTCATGATTCCATTTTTTAAGGTAGAATATATTCCATTGTCTATATATACCATGGTTTTTAAAATCCATTCATTCATCAATGACCCCCTTAGGTTGATTCCGAATACTTGCTATTGTGAATAGTGCTGCAATAAACATATGAGTGCAAGTATTTTTTAATATAATATGTATTTTTTCTTTTTGGTAGGTACCTAGTAGTGAGCTTTCTGGATCAAAATGGTAGTTCTATTTTTAGTTCTTTGTGAAATCTCAATACACTTTTCCTTACAGGTTGTATTAATTTACATTCACAGCAACAGTGTATAAGTGTCCCTTTCCTCTACATCCTCTCCTACCTCTGTTATTTTTTGACTTTTTAGTAATAGCCATTCTGATTGGTGTAGGTGGTATATCTCATTGATTTTAAATTGCATTTCTCTGATGATTAGTGATGTTGAATATTTTTTCATATGCTTCTTGGCCATTTGATTTATATTGAGAGACTTGAAACTCTTCCTTTCATCTGAACACTTAGAAGGCATTGTAAGGTTATTTATTGGCCTAACTTCAATATTACTGTGCCTCAGAAAATAGGGAGGCTTGAGGAGAGGGAGAGAGACAGGGAATGGTTGGTTGACAGTAATAAAAAAGTTTGAAATATTATAAAAATTACCAAATGTGACACAGTAACAGGAATTAAGCGTGTGCTATTGGAAAAATGAATAGACTTGCTTGGCTCAGGGTTACCATAAAACTTCAGTTTGTAAAAATATAAGCAATATCTTTGAAACAAAATATAACAATGCACAAATAAAATAAGATATGCCTGTATTTGTATACTCATGTTCATAGTAGCATTTTTCACAATAGCCGAAATGTGGAAGTGTTCACTGGCAGATGAAAACATAAACAAAAATGTGATATGTACATACAATTGGATACAATTCAGCCTTAAGAAAAGGAAGGAAATTCTGACATATGCTAAAATATAGATAAAGGTTGATGACACTATGCCAAGTGAAATAAGTCAGTCATATAAAGATAAAGGCTGTATGATTCCACTTATATGTGGTTACTTAAAGTAGTCAAAATCAAAGAGACAGAAAACAGAATGGTGGTTTCTAGGGTTTTGGGGGAGGCAGGTAAGGGAGGAGTTATCATTTAATGGGCATAGAGTTTGGGCTTTGAAAGATGAAAATAATTATGTTAATGGATGGTTATGAGAGTTGTAAAATAATATGAATGTACTTAATGCCATTAAACTATACACTTAAAAGTGAAATAAGGGCTGGGCGTGATGGCTCATGCCTGTAATCCCAACACTTTGGGAGGTCGAGGCTGATAAATCACTTGAGGTCAGGAGTTCGAGACCAGCCTGGCCAACGTGGTGAAACCCCGTCTCTACTAAAAATTCAAAAATTAGCCTGGCATGGTGGTGCACACCTGTAATCCCAGCTACTTTGGGGGTTCAAGGAGAATCCCTTGAACCCAGGAGGCAGAGGTTGTGGTAAGCTGAGATCATGCCACTGAAGTCCAGCCTGGGCAACAAAGCGAGACTCCATCTCAAAAAAAGAAAGAAAAAAAGCAATAAGATAGCACATTTTATGTACATTTTATGTTATGTTTATTTTACCACAATAAAAGCTAAAAAGGAACATTAAATACCATGACTATGTTTATTTCATCTCGTACATACAAAGAAGTTCAATCTATAAATTTAATTATCACATTAACAGAATAAAATAAAATCTCCAGATAGTCATTTAAACAGATGCAAAGTATGTATTTGAAACATTTTATCATAAATTTGTGATAAAAATGCTCAGTATATTAAAAAATAGGAAAGTGTGTTTCTGTATCTAATATATTTTTTAAAAAGCAATATGTATTATTCTAAATGTGTAAATGTAGAGAGATTTTCATTTAAAATAAAAAACACAACACAAGGAAGCACATTTTCACAATTTCAAATAATACATATTTTGGAAGCCCTGGCATGCACAATAATATGATGAAAAGAATTTGATGCAGGGGGATTTAAAATAAAGAAATAAAACTGCCATGTTTGTAAAATATATGACTATTTACTTAGAAAACTATTTAGACACATTATTACATATTATTGTAAAGTTTATCTAGCAAGCAGAACATAAGGATAATATAGAAAGTTCAAATGCATATCTTTATATCAGCAACCACCAACCAAAAATTATTTAAAATAAAATCTCATTTAAAACAACATTAGACAATATAAGTAAATAAACCTAAATTTAACAAAAAGAGTGCTGGACTTTCTAAGAAGTGCAATTAAGATTTATTAAAACATATAACACCTAAATTAATGGAGAAGTTTTTTCCATTTTTGGGTAATATACCATTTAGAGAATGTTAGTTATTTTGAAATGTACCTACAAATCACAAATAAAAATGATGTGGAAACACTAATTTGTTTTATAAGATCAGTGTTTCTCTGATGTAACAACCTCACAAAGACATTGAAAAAAAGATAAATTATAAACTGATATTTCTCATAAATACAGGCACTTTAAATTTAATTCAGTAATATATCTCAGGAATTTAAAGCTAGTTAACATTTCAAGACCAGTTAGAGTATTTAACACATGAGCTGTATGAAGGAGTAAACCATATAATCAACTCAACTCAGTAATCATCCATTCATGACAAAATTTATAAGTTAATTACAATTAGGATGGTATTTCTTCAATCAAGTAAAAAGCAACTATGACAAATTCTACAAATAATGTCATTTTTAATTGTGAAATATTGACTATTTTTTCTCTAGTTTGAGAAAAATGCAGATGCCACCTTTCACAACTTCCATTCAGCATTAAAATGGATTTCCCAGCCAGTGAAAGAGGGCAAGAAAAACAAATAAAAAGCATAAAGATTAGAAAAGAGTAAGTCAAACTGTCTGTATTCTCAAACAAGATTCTGTTGAAGGTATACAAATATTAAGTAATTCACCAAAACAAATCTCTTCTAGTTCTAAAAAGTGAATATTGCAACCTCTGAGGACATGGAGTATCCATTTTAGAGTCAACTATATTTCTACATAGTAGCACCAAAAAAGTATAAAATTAAATAAAAATATCTATTTCCAATAGCATTAAAAAGCCTGAAATACTTAGGAAGAAATTTAACAGCAGTCAAAGCAAGATATCTATTTTGGAAATTATAAAACATTGCTGAGAGTAATTAAAGAAAAACATAAATGAAGAAATGTAGCTATCTAAAAAGACTGAAATTGTGAATGTTTTTTAAATGATAAATATCCAAAATTGATTTATAGAAACAACAAAATCTACCTCATAATCTCAGCAGGCTTTTTGTAGTGAATGACAAGATTATTCTACAATTAAAAATGCAAAATACTTAGATTAATCAAAATAATCTTGAATAAGTACAAATTAATTTGAAGACTCACATTATCAGATTTAACAGCTTACAATGAAGCTACAGGCACCGTGGCAGTGTCATGAAAAGACAAACAAATCAATGGAACAGAAATGATAGTGGAGATGTAAACTAATGCTTGTAAGTTCAGTTGATTTTTAAATGAATGTTCCAGAGCAATTCAATGGGAAATACAAAGATTTTTTAACAAATGGTGCTGGAACAAATGGATATCCATGTAGAAAAAATAATCAACTCTGTTTTATATATAACAACACACACAAGCTTAATTCAAAATAAATCTTGAGCTAAATTTACAAACTGAAATCATAAAGGTTAAAAGAAAAGTGGCTCAAGATTTATCAGAGGGTAAGGAAAATTTTCTTAGGCAGAATAAAACAATTATCATAAAAGAAAATGATAAATTATGTTTTATCAATATTTAAAAAAGTCTGATCATCAAAAGGCACTGCTAAGAAAATTAATAAGTGACTCACAGCCAGGAACATATGCATGATAAAAGACATATCCAGAATGTATTTTTTAAAAATCTCATAACTCAAAGTACAAAGTCCAATAAATAATTGGGCAAATGGCTTGAACAAACACTCTTAAAACAAAAATATACAAATAAAAGCTTAGGAAAAAGTATGTAGCATTAGCCAAGAGGGAAATACAAATTATATCCACAGAATAACTTTATGTGTTCACCTTAATGACCAAGATTTTAAATAAACTATCAATATCAAATATGGGCAAGGGTGTGGAACAATGGGAATTCTCATATATTGCTTATGTTAATATGAAATAGAGCAACTGAAAAGGTTTGGCTGTGTCCTCACCCAAATCTCACCTTGATTTGTAGTTTCCATAATCCCCACATGTGGTGGGAGGGACCCAGTGGGATGTAATTGAATCATGGAGGTGACTTCCCCCGTGGTATTCTTGTGATAGTGAGCAGGATCTCACAAGATCTCATGGTTTTATAATGGGTTTCCCCTTTCACTTGACTTTCATTCTTCTCCTTCCTGCTGCCATGTGAAGAAGGATGCATTTGCTTTCTCTTTTGCCACGATTGTAAGTTTCCTGAGTCCTCACCAGCCCTGTGAAACCGTGAGTCAGTTAAACTTCTTTTCTTTATCAATTACTCAGTCTCAGGCAGCTCCTTTTTTATTCCAATAATCACTTTATTTTTTAAATTTCATCTTTTAATCCTCAAAACACTTTTACGTATTAGAGTCAACCTCTTAAGTAGCATTTCTTAAGTTACTCTCGTACAGGTGGTATTTGTTTACATGAGTAAGTTCTTTAGTGGTGATTTGTTAGATTTTTGGTGTACCCATCATAAAAAGGAGCCCACATAGCCAAAGCAAGACTAAGCAAAAAAACAAATCTGAAGGCATCACATTACTTGATTTCAAACTCTATTATAAGGTCATAGTGTCACCAAAACAGCATGGTACTGGTCTAAAAATGGCACATAGACCAATGGAACAATATAGGGAACACAGATATAAACCCAAATACTTACAGCCAACTGATCTTTGACAAAGCAAGCCAAAACATAAAGTGGGGGAAGGACCCCCTTTTCAACAAATGGTGCTGGGATAATTGGCAAGCCACATGTAGGAGAACAAAACTGGATGCTCATCTCTCACCTTATACAAAAATCAGCTCAAGATGGATTAAGTATTTAAACTAAGAACTGAAACTATAAAAATTCTAGAAGATAACATTGGAAAAACCCTTCTAGACATTGGTTTAGGCAAGGATTTCATGACAAGAACCCAAAAGCAAATGCAATAAAATCAAAGATAAATAACTGCGACCTAATTAAAGAGCTTTTGCATGGCAAAAGGAACAGTCAACAGGGTAAACAGACGAACCACAGAGTGGGAGAAAATCTTCACAATCTATACATCTGACAAAGGACAAATAACCAGAATCTACAATGAACTCAAATCAGTAAGAAAAATACAAACAATCCCATCAAAAAGTGGACTTAGGACATGGATAGACAATTCTCAAAAGAAGATACACAAATGGCCAACAAACATATGAAACAATGTTCAACATTGGGCAGTTCTTTATACCAGCATGAGAATGGACTAATACAGCGACTATTCTATAAAATGCTTGGCAGTTTCCTATAAAGTTGAACGTGCAGTTGAACATATAAAAAAGTAAATAAATGAATAAATAAAGCCCTTCCCTACCCTTTGACCTAGCAATTATATTCCTCAGGATTTATCCAAGAAATATTAAAATATGTCTACAAAAGGCCGGGCTCAGTGGCTAACGCCTGTAATCCCAGCACTTTGGGAGGCTGAGGCGGGTGGATCACGAGGTCAGGAGTTTGAGACCAGCCTGGCCAATATGGTGAAATTCCATCTCTACTAAAAATACAAAAATTAGCGAGGTGTAGTGGCATGTGCCTGTAGTCCCAGCTACTTGGGAGGCTGAGACAGAATAATTGCTTGAACCCAGGAGGCGGAGATTGCAGTGAGCCAAGATTGTGCCATTGCACTACAGCTGTAAATACAAAATTCAATCTACAGCAGGATAGATACACACTGTGCATCAAATTCGTACAATGAAATACTACTCATCAATAAAAAGAAGAAAAACTGATTTCTTTACTATTTGTAAATCTCATAGATAATTTGATGAACAAAATAAGCCAAAGACAAGAAAGTACATATGATAAGATTTCCCTTATACGAAGTTCTAAAGTATTCAAAACTAATTTATAGTGAAAAGATAATCTAACTGTGGTTGCCTAGGGTTTGCGGGGGTATAGGGAGATATAATTTACCCCTATGGCAAATGAGAGAGTTCTTTGGTTTGAAGGAAATTTTCTATATCTTATTATTGTTATTCATTGCACGAGTATATTCACTTGTTAAAACTCATTAAACTCAGTGAATTTCAATGTGTGTAAAGAAGTAGACAGGTAGTAAACTCTAGTTAATATATTGAAAATAATGAAATCCATGTTTCTCACTGCTGAGAGAGTTTCAGTATTGGAAAGGGGAAAACTAATATATACTATGTGATGTTGGATTGAAAATATCAATATTTATTTACATCATATATATTTGTGTGTGTGTGTGTGTGTGTGTGTGTGTGTGACAGAGAGAGAGAAAGAGAGACAGAAAGAGAGGGAGAGAGAGAAGGGAGAAAGAAGAAGAGGAAAGGCAGGAGAGAAAAAAAAGAATAAGCACACCCAGCATTCATATTTAAATACCATTTCCCACTAAAAGGATCCATGGCTTAATGGAGAAATGGTTACCATTTTCAGGGCTAGAAAAGAGCAATATAAGCCTGGAGCATCTTGTTGCATTGAGGAAGATGAGCTCAAAGAATTAGGGAAATATGTCAAAATGCACAAGTCAGTTTGACAGGGCTCCCTCTTGTCATATTCAAAGTAAATATTGAAAGGATTGGATTGAAATAACTCAATAAAGTAATAAATCATAAACCCATACTCATAGAAGTAAATAAATGAATAAATAAATAAAGCCCTTCCCTACACTAGAGTGCCAAATAATAAGCATAGCAGAAATGATATATTTGAAATTAACAGTGGATGCTAAACTTACAGGGTAGTTGTTGATTGGAAAGACATTGTTTCAAAGTATCTCCAAAAATCTACTCATTAACTTCAAAGGAAAAAGTGTAATAATATCATTCAATAATGTAGGTAATACCACCTGAACCAAAATAACAAACATAGCATAATCAAAATTGGGACAAACAAAATTGTGTCTAATAAGAAACTCAGAGAAAGACAAAACATCATTACTTCTGTTAATCTAATCATGAGGAGGCACTGGACAGACCTAAGGTGGGAGATAGTCTACAAAATAACCAGGCCTGTCCTCTTAAAAAATGTTAAACTCAATACATAGAAAGAAAGACTGAAATATGACAATTAAATACAATATGCAATTGTGGAATTTGTTTCTGGAAAAGAAAAATAGCTATAAAATACATTATTATGAAACTTCATTGAATATAATATTGTCTGTAGATCGGATAATTTCCTTATTTTTCCTAGTATTTAAAATTTTTCCGTGGTTTTGTAAGAAATTGTATAATTTCTTAAGAAATATGAACTAAATTATTTAAGGTTAAAGAATCAGAATACTTTCAGCTTACTATAAGATACATACAAAATCTGTATGTATAAAATTAATACACTATAAGATACATACAAAATCCTGTATGTGTAAAATTAATACACAGATATGTAAATGGTCTAAAATGAAACAAGCATTGCATTTGGATAAAGGGTATATAAGACTTCCTGACACGATTCTAGCAACTTTCCTGTAAATTTGAAGCTATTTCAAAATATAAACTATGCCCCCTGTGATGGTTAATATTAAGGATCAACTTGATTGAAGAATTCAAAGTACTGTTCCGGGGTGTATCTGTGAGGGTGTTACCAAAGGAGATTAACATTTGAGTTAGTGGGCTGGGAGAGGCAGACCCACCCTCAATCCAGTTAGGCACCATATAATCAGCTGCCAGCCCAGCTAGAATAAAGCAGGCAGAAGAACATGAAAGGACTTGACTTGCTGATTCTTCTGGCCTTCATTTTTCTCCTGTGCTGGATGCTTCCTGCCTTCGAACATCAGACTCCAAGTTCTTCAGCTTTTGGACTCTTGGACTTACATCAATGGTTTGCCAGGGGCTCTTGAGCCTTTGACCACAGACTGAAGGCTTCACTGTCTGCTTCCTACTTTTGAGGTTTTGGGACGCAAACTAATCCACCACTGGCTTCCTTGCTGTTCACCTTGCAGACAACCTACCGTGGGACTTCATCTTGTGATGGTGTGAGTTAATATTCCTTCATAAACTCCCTTTTATTCCTTAATAAACTCCCTTTCATATATACAAGTATCCTATTATTTCTGATACTCTAGAGAAACCCAGACTAATGCTCCCCCTCCAAAAAAAGAAAAAAAAAGAAACCTGGTATAATCTCAGATCCCCTTCCCCACTCCACAGTCAAGGAGGGTGCTCTCCCATCTCCTACCTACTCACCCTTGACAGGATACTTGAGAATTATTCTCTTGCCTAGGTAAAACAGTATCTGTAGATCGGGAAACACAGACCTGACTTATCATAGGTAGCATAGTGTAAACTGGAAATAAATGAGAATTTACTTGATGAAGATGGAGACTCCATTATCATTTCATTCATACCAGCCTTCTTCCTCATTTTGCTTTCAAAATGCTAGCATATAGGTGGAAGGGTGAATCTAGTCTCTCTTCACCAGAATCAAAATTTAAGAATTGGTGATTATAGAGATCTCTGACATAATCCCAAGGTTTTGTTCACATTGGAGCACTGTAAGGCTGAGTAAAACCTTTCTCCAGCCTTTCCCATCTCAATTAGTAACAACCGCATTATTGAAGTTTCACCTGCCCAAACCTCGAGCACCATCATTGACTCTTTTCTTTCCCCACCACACATGTTATCCATCAGTAGATCCTGTGAGTTTCAGGCTTTTTCAACTTTTGTCTTTTTGGAATGCATTGCTTTTCCTCAGTTATTCCTTTCCCCATCCAAAAGAAATGGGTGTAGCTTCATCTATTCTGCATTTTTACTTAGCAATTTTTACCTTATAACTTAACAATATGAAATTTTTATTTCTTATGTTTAAGGTATGTCCCTGTCATTTAATTTAAGCTACAAAGAGTCAGGAGTGTTTTTACTTAACTGTTAATTAATGTATCTTGAGTGCATTGAATAATTCTGTTGACACAGTAAACGCTTAGTATTTGTGGAATAAATGTTTCTTTTCTACACAATTCTAATTTAAGGAACACCTATTCCATTTGAATCTAAATTATTAGATTTACTGAAAAATAAGGTTTTAGTAAGATGTTTATACTTGGACTAACATTTTGGGCTTTAAACTATTGCTGTTATTTATTTATCATTTTTGTATTTGTTAATCTTTGTGCCAAAATGTTTACAATTAATCTTCCAAACAACTTTACATTATCGTAACAATTTTATGTATGAAACAAATCTAGGCTCTTAGACGTTAAGCAAATTGCCCAAGGACACAAAGTCAAGAAATTAATAACTTTTTAAAAACTTTTTATATGAATACAATTTACATACATAAAACTGGAGAATCATAAGTATAAAGCTAGATTAATTGTTGTGAAATAAATATACTCATCGAAGCACAACCTAAGACAAGAAAAACAATTGGATAAAAAACTGCTACTGTGATTCCTTGTTTAAAATCTCTACTTCTCTACTCTCCAAAGACAACCACTATCTCTTAGCACCGTGGATACTTTTCCATATTTTTGAAATTTATATAAATGAAATCAGATATATATTGTTTTGTGCCTTGATTTCATTTAACACTATATTTATAATCACTGACTAATACTCTATTTGTATTGCTATACGACAGGTTGTTTATCCATTCACCTATTGAAGAACATCTCAGATGCTTTCAGATTTTGGAATTATGAATAAAACACTATGAATATTTGCATGCAGGTTTTAGTGTGAACCTAAGTTTTTAATAATTGGGTAAATACATAAGACTGTAAATGCTGGATTAAATGGTTTAGCTTTTTAAAAAGCTGCTATACTGTGTTCTAAAGTGGCTAAATCATTTTGCATTGCAAACAGCAATGAAGGTGAATTCCATTTGTCTGCATCACCTGCAGCAATTGATATTGGTTTAAATTTTAGACATTCTAAATGATACATAGTGTTATCACATAGTTGCCTTAATTTGCATTTTCCTCTAAACAAATAATATTGAGCATCTTTCATATGCTTATTTGCAAAAATGTATTTTCTTAGAAAGGGTTTCTGTTCAGATTATTTGCCTCTTAAAATTGTCCTGGTGCCTTCTCTTTTAGAATGTTATTAATTGTTGAATCAATTTTAACAGGTATTAAGTTTTTAATAGATTACTTATTACTATTTTGTGTAAGTTTTGGTAGTTTGTGTCTTTCAAGAAATAACTACTTACATTTCATTTAATTTATGATAATTGTGGACATAGATTTATTCATAGTATTCTTTTATTATTATTTTAATGAATATTTATAGGATATGTTTAATATCTATGGACCACTCTTTCATTTCAAATATTTTCAATTTATGTATTCTCTCTTTTCATTCTCAATTAGCTTGGCTAGAGATTCCTTAATTTTATTGTTCTTTTCAAATAATCAATAAATTGTATTTATTGATTTACTCTATAGTTTTCCTGTTTGCAGTTTTCTTCAATTCTTCCCTGATTTTTATTATTTCTTCTGCTTGATTTCAGCTATAATTACTCTTCTTTCTCTGGAACTTATATGATGGAAGCTTAGGCTATTATGTTTAGATTTTTTTTCTTTTCTAACATATGCATTTAATGTTAATTTCTCACTAAACACATCTTTCATTGCATCCAACAAATTTTGATAAGTTATAGTTCTATTCTGATTTAGTTTGAAATATTTTAATTTCTCTTGACATTTCTTTTATGAATAATATTTAGAAGTGTGTTACTTAACTTCCAAATATTTGGAAATTTTGAGCTATTCTCATTGAATTTTTGTTGTTGTTTAATAACACTCTGCTCTAAAAATGGATATTGTGTAATTTTAAAAAAATATATTTTATATGTTTTATGGCATCAATGTGATCTATCTCAATTATTTATCATGTGATATTGAGAAAAATATGTATTCAGCTGTGGTAAGACAATATTTTATAAATGTCAGTTAGATCAAGTGGATCAGTAGGTCTGTTCAAATCACTTATATCTTTACTAATTTTTTTGCCTGCTTGATCCATCAGTTATTAAAAGAGTGGTATTTATCTACAACTATAATCATGAATATGTCTATTTCTCTTGGTAGTTCTGTCAGATATTGCCTCACATATTTTGATACTGTTTTTATTGGCATACATATTAAGCAGTATTATGCCTTCCTTAAGCACTGGCCTTTTAACATTATGTAATCTCCCTCCTTGTCTCTAATAATAGCCTTTATTCTAGAGTCTACTTTGAAATTAATATAGCTACTCCAACTTTGTTTTTATTAGCAAGCACCAAATGTTTTTCTCCATTCCACTGTATTTAACCTATCTGAGTCTTTATAAAAGTGGGTATCTTGTACAAAATGTATAGTTAGGTTTCTATTTAAGTCCACTTCATGGTCCTTGGCTATTAATGTCTCCCATTTTTGGTGTATTTAGACAATTCACATTTGAAGTGATTATTACTGTATTTAAATTAGTATATATTATTTTTGTAATTGTTTTCCTTTTTCATTTTTGAAGTCTTTATTTCTTTAATTACAAAAACCTAACCTACCCATATAAATCCATAACTACAAAAGCGTATAGAGTCTTCCTCGACTCCAACCCCTCACCTCACACCCTTGATAGAAAAGTTTGATTTGTATACTTTCAAGTGATTTTTCTGTGATGTACCAACAAATAACATCGTGGTGGGGCTTATTGTTTGTACAAGATTACACTACGAGTCTGCAACTTAATTTTTTACTTAGTAATAAGTCCTGGATTCATACAGATAGATCTTTTCTGTTCCTTTTAATACATGCATAATAGTCCTGAGCATGGATATACTATGTCTTTTTAAAAAATCCCTGATTGATTGATTTAGGTTGCTTTCAATATTTTTGGCATTGCAAAAAATTCTGCAATAAATGTATTTGAGCACATAGTGTGCACAGTGACATGAATGTTTCCAAATGAGATGCCTAGAAATGGAGATGCTAGGCATCTCATTTGAGTATGTACATGTTATGCTCTGGTAGATCCTTTGCTCAATGGTTGCACCAATTTCCCCTCACACAAGCAATGGATATGCATGTTCATTTCTCCACATCTTTTCCTAAACTCCATGTTATCATCTCTATGGTTTTTATCAGTCTGATGGACTCAAAAAAATTTTTTTATGGTAGCATCTTGTTTTTGTTTGCATTTTAAAAATTTTTGGTAAGATTAAGTCTCTATGTGGTCCTTGGCTATTAATGTCTCCCATTTTCAATATCTCTAATTATTAAAAAATTATTCTTGCTGTTGATTCTATATCTTACTTTCTATACATTCTACTTATTGATCTTAGTTATGTTTCTGAACTCAAATGAAGTAGGTCTGCTCTAACCACTAAATGGCAGTTCAAATATTTGGAGAGTTCTACCAAATGTCCTTCTAGCCTACCCGTCTTTAGGCTAACATCCTTAACTCCTCTCTCCTATAAGAGTGATTTTGAAATAGTTTGAAATTCTAAGTTCTGCCTTCTGGAATACCCTGGTTGTCAATGTCCCCTTTTAAAACATTTCTTCAGAACTAATTACAGAACAATGGCATATATGTTCTGATAAGTGCTGGGTACAATAGAAACTATCATTTTTTATTATAATAATGTAAGTTTAAGTTTGGAATCCATTTTACTTGAGTGTATAGCCAATTAAACAAAAAAGGTATATTTTTGCATGGTTGACTTTTAAATCTCATTTCTTCCTTTTCCTATTATGCAGTGGATGTTTTTCAGCTTTGGTACAGGTTTTTGTATTTACTCCACTCAGGCAATCATCTACTATTTTTGGATCTTTGTTGGGGCCAATGGATTATTTATTTTTTAGTTATTTTGTGTAGCATATTAGTGACTCTTACCATTTTATCTTTTGTAGCTTTAATAGGCAAATTTTTATTTTAAATATAGTAAGCAGAAAAAGGCCAAACGTAATCTTCCTTCAAAATCTGCATATATCCAGCCTCCTCCACATCCTTTGGATTTGGTCATGGAAGTAGCTCATTCTCATTCTCAGCCCACATTTCTTCATTTAGGCCAGACAGAAATATGGTATGACCTTTTTGGAATGTGATCTAAATAAGCTTAATTTCTGATTTCACTCTCATACCCCAGTCCAATAACTGCCAAATGAAGAAAATAAACCTAATTGAACATAGCTTTCATTGTAATGAAACTGTGCTAGGTCTCTAGTTATCATGACTTTCTATCTCTTTAAAGGGTTACATAAGTTTTTAAAATTTTTTAAAATTTTTTTTATTTCAATGGGTTTTTGGGGAACAGGTGGTGTTTGATTAGATGAGTAAGTTTTTTAGTGGTAATTTCTGAGATTTTGGTGCATCCATCACCAGAGCAGTGTACCCGTACCCAGTGTGTAGCCTTTTAACATTCTATGCAGGAAAATTTGCCAGTGATAATTTTTTTCAATTGCTCTTTGAGAAGGTTTTTATTTCTTCCTTACATTTGAAGAAGAATTTTGCTGGAGGTAGAATTCTAGTTTGGTGAATTTTTTCCAACACTCTAAATATTTTACTCCAGTTTCTTCTTGTTCACCTGGTTTCTGACAAGATGGCCAACATATCCTTATTCCTCTATAGGTAAGATGCTCCCCATACCCCAGCCTTTTCTATGATTTTATCTTTGTCTTTGGTTTTCTGAAGTTTGAATATGATGTAATTAGGGTGTTTTTTGTTAGTTTGGTTTAGATTTTTTACAATTTATTTTATGAATGTTCTCTGAATTTTCTAGATCTGTGGTTTTGGATCTATCATTAGATTTGGAACATTCTGAGCCATTATTACTTCAAATACTACTTTTGCTCCATTCTTTATCTCTTCTTCAGTATTTCAAATGTGTATGCAAAAGATTTGAAATGGTCCCATTGTTTTTGAATTTTTTTGTCTTTGAATTTAAAACTTTCTATTGAACTATCCTCAAGCTAATTTTTCACTCAACCATATGGTCTAATAATGAGCCCATCAAAGTCAATCTTCATTTCTATTTTAGTGCTTTTGATTTGTAGCATTTAAAAAATTTTCTTACAGTTTCTGTTTTTCTCTTTAAAGCATCCATCTGTTTTTTCATGCTGTCTACTTTTACCATTAAATCCCTTAACATACTAACCACAGTTGTTCTAAATTCCCTGTCTGATAATTATAGCAATTTTCTCATATCTTAATCTGGTTTTGATAATTGCCTTTTCTCTTCAGATTGTTTTTTCTTGCCTTTTTTGTCATGTCATTCAATTTTTGGTAAAAGTCAGATATGTTGAATTGAGTAATTGGAACGAGGTAAATACACCTTTACTGTGAGCATTTCTGTTAATTTGATTGTGAGTTGAAATATTTAATGTTTGTTGCAGCCATGGGCACTAGAGGCTTTGAATTATTTTAGTGTGCTTGGTTTTGTTTCTCCTCTTGAATTTGGACTTCCCTAAGTACTTTGCCTTAGAGAGGTACTGTGTTATAAAGCTCAGATGAAGCTCACAGATAGTATCCAAGAGCTCTGTTGGTGGTATTCTTGCACCCAACCCCACACAGAGGATGGAAGCTCTACCCAAGTCATGGCAGGCTCAGGGTACTTGGCTGGGTTGAGTTTAAAATCATAAAATTCTGGTGATAGCGTGGCATAGAAATATGAGCACTGGCCTTGAAGCCACACACTGTTGGGTTTGACACGCAGCTCTGTCATCTACCATCTGAGCAGCCTAAGGCAAATTACTTTAGTCTCTCTGAACATCAATTTCCATAACTGACATAGAAAAATTAAAACGTTCTTTTAAGGTTGTTGTAAGATATTGATGAGACAAAGTATACATGCAAAATGCCTTGCTCAGAAATGTCATTAGTGTTCAATTAATATTATTATTAGTGGATTAATAATTTAATAATTTTATCATATCAGAATCTTTTCTACTTCTTTACATACAGATAATTATAGTTTTATATGGCTTTATCCTCTTCTTTTTAGGTATGTTTGTGTGTGTGTGTGTATATATATGGAAAAAATAACTTTTATTTGAAGAATCTGAACACTTTAAACTGCTTGGGTCCAGAGAGACATTAAAACGAGACAGCAATCACATGCTATGTCCCCTCTTTTTAGCTATATATTGATCTATTGAAACTGCTTGGTACTGCCACAACTAGCTATGAACTAAAATAATAATGCTGCAAGATGGGACTCTGTAATTTGAATATATAAGCACGTCAAGTGATTTTGATGCAGGTGCTCTAAGAAACATTTTGAAATGTCTAGAAACATTAGGGTTCTAATGATGGTGACTGAAATCCTGGAAAGGCTTCTGAGAAGGACTGGGAAGTATTTCAAACAAATTTTGAATATGGAACAGGTACTGTCTGGTTACGATGCTTCAGTATTTCCCTACTGAAAATGTTTTTAGAGTTTAAATACCCTGCCAAATGTTTCCAATGCTTCTACATACTTTGCACTTAAAATTCTTAATAGAAGATACTTAATTTGCTTATATAGAGTGGAAAAGTGGTGGATGGAAAGAAATGTAAAATGGTTTTGCATTCAGTGTTATCCCATAAACAAAGGTAAAATGGAGCAAATTAATGTTTGGGGTTAGAAAGCTTTAAAAATTCAGATATACTTTGTATAGGGTGCAGATGAATAATTTAAGTTTATTAAAGTGGTTCTGCTTTAAAAATGTGTCATTTTGAAGAACATTTTTAATCAATAGTTTATTAAAGCAATATTCTACTGGATATATTTTATCTCTGGAATTTAAATATTAATGTGACATATATTAATCTGTACTATAATACCAATTATAATAAAACACTCCACATAAGGCATTTTCTTACTTTATTATGTCCTATTTCATGAGATAATTTCTCATATCTTCTGATGTTTAAAGCACTATAATTATAAAGTGAATGCTACTCCAAACTATGTATAAAGTGTAGCATCCATAGCCATTGATGTCCCTAGTTTTACGGTTGTGTCTGTGATTGCAACAAAAAGAAATTACGTGGTAGTTTGATGTTTAGTGCAATGTATATTTTTGTTAATTTTAACATCCCCTATGAGAAGCCTCCAGAAAATTAGAGTGGAAAGCTATGATGATTCCTATTATTTTCAAGCTGTACATTCTCTCTTAGAGTAAGAAAGAAGAAATACATTTACACATAACACAGACACCCACACAGCACACACAAACAGCATGCATTAGTAATTTGGGACACTTTTTGCAAGTTAAATATTTTGTTTTGTTTTTCAAAGAGTAACCCAATCCAGTTTGAACAACTCAAAGTACTCATTTAGAAAAAAAAAAAATGGGTGGCAAATAAAGACAATTTAGAATACCTGAAAACTGAGTGTGGATTAAACAAAGAACAGATATGTGGGAGACCTGTAATGTTGGGCTGCTAACCATCAGTATTCAAGGGAAGGAATAATGTGGCCTTCCAGGAACAGAAACATACAAATCTTGGTCCTGCTCCTAACTCTTGCTGCTTCTGCTGTTGATATAGCAATATTGTTAATAACAGCCAACAAATTTTAATGCCTTTTTTTTGGAAAAGACTCATTTTGTTTCCTGTTTTAAATTGATCCCCCAAATTGACCTTTCTCTCACACACACACACACACACACACACACACACACACACAATCACATATCCTATATCACCATTCTTTAACTTGTACTCATTTTCTAAATCTTTAATGATTGGAACAACCCTTCCAGAAACCTTCCGTTACTACCTTAAACTATATTAGATCCTTAGTGATGGGTTTGGCAGCACAATACTCATACTCCATCACAGCACATATGTGCCTATTATTTGTTTTCTCCAGAAGATCATAAAAACTGGATGACGGAGGCTATAGCAAGTTGTCTGGCATATCTGTGGAGCTCAGTAGTTTGTAATTAAATTGAACTCTACACAACAACTACATGAGGCATGTTTTACTCACCATTGATCATAGAAGCAAGGCATGGGCCCAAGTTCACTCAACGCATATGTAAAGGGGGAAGTCCCTGAAAACAAACCTGGTGGTTCTAAATGAAGTTTTCTTTGCCAGTACAGAGTCTGGCCTTTTGAATAGGCACAGATCTGTCCCTCAGTATCTCATTAGAACTTCCTTACATTTACACTGAAATGTCCACTCTTAGAATTCCAGTTCCCGGATTTTTTTTACTTCACTCACTTTTCATTGATTGAGGATTGATTGATTTTTAATATCATGTGTCTTTCATGGGAACTAGCTGGTTTGCTTTTAAATTTTATAGACTTCTCTTTTAGAAGTGCAGGTGCTCCTAAATTCATGGCGCATTACCATCATTGATTCACTCAGCAACATCCTGTATTCATGTATTCTCTTTAATCTCCATCACCCATTCCCTTTATTCCCCCTATCCTAAAAACAATCATCTTGTATATTTATATATTTAATGCATTTTGTCATAAATATGTAATTTGTTTTGTGTTAACTCATATATAAATACATTATTCTCTATTAAAGGTCTCATATGTTGCTTATTTTTTTCATTCAGCAAAAAGCTTTTAAGATCTATCTATTTAGACCATACATATCGATTCTTTTCCACCTGTTGTACAGAACTCCATGATCTATTCTACCATATTTTACCAGTTTACTCCCCTAGTGGTGACACAAGCAGATTATCACCCCTCCACGGCCAATAACACTGCAACTAACATCCTTGAGCATTTATTAAGGATATGTTCCCAAAAGCAGGACTTTTAGACTACAGATAGGCACATACTAAATTTGATGTTCATTTTGAAGAACATTATTTAATCAATACTTTATTAAAACAATACTCTACTTGACATACTTTATTTCTGGAATTCTAAATTTTAATATGACAAAAATTAATATGTATTATATTACCAATTATAATAAAATACTCCCCATGAGGCATTGTCTTACTTTATTACGTCCTATTCCACAAGACAATTTCCTGTATCTTCTGATATAAGAGCCAGATTCCTTTTGAGGATGTGACAATGTCTGTACCATTTTACAGTTCTAACAGCAGAATAACTACAGTACATTCTGCCATTTGGAAAAAGAAGAGAGGTAAACTGGTCTACAGAAAATCAAATATTGGCCGGGTGCGGTGACTCACGCCTGTAATCCCAGCACTTTGGGAGACCACGGTGGGCAGGTCACGAGGTCAGGAGATCAAGACCATCCTGGCTAACAAGGTGAAACTCCGTCTTTACTAAAAACACAAAAAATTACCCAGGCATGGTGGCACGCACCTGTAGTCCCAGCTACTCGGGAGGCTGAGGCAGGAGAATGGCATGAACCCGGGAGGTGGAGCTTGCAATGAGCCGAGACCGCACTACTGCACTCCAGCCCAGGCGACAGAGCAAGACTCTATCTAAAAGAAAAAAAAAAAAGAAAAGAAAATCAAATATTATGGGCAGATGTTGCAAATATCCCATTCCACAGGGAAGGGAAATGCTGGATTAAGCCCTGATTCTGCTTCCTGAAAGAAATAACTATTCCATTGAACTCTGTAACCTCTTGCTCCATTTTCTGGAAGATTTCTCTGCATCCTTTAACCTACTCAGAGAATATCTAATTAAGTGAACATTTGGGCACCCAACAGTTATTTTTATTCTCATACAGTGGGCTTGGTTAAATCTTCAACCATGACTAACTTGGAGTTGACAATGCTTGGAGTTATGATTTCTTTGGTAGTACAAATCTCTTACAAGCTTAGTTGGCTTCTAGATATTTGATTCCTGTCAGCTCCATTTGCAAATATCCACATCTGCAAATATCCAGACATTCTTCTTATATTTCATCTATTTCTCTGTTTGCCTGCCCCCAGGCTTCTGCTCTCTCTCAACTAAATCATAGGCAACTTGGCCACATAAGTAGGAGAACAGCCACACTTTCACTCTGCTTTCTCTGAGCTGCTTTGTCTAATTGGAAGAATCTATTGGATGCCAACTTAGTTTATTAAAGGATCTTATCAATGGTTGTGCAATCCAAACTTTTTTTAGTAATCTTTGCTGGATGACTAGTTTGAATATTTTTTATGTCAAAGATCTGTTTTATTCCATTTTTTAGTGTTTGAGATAAAGAGGCAGTTGGCTTTCCAATCCAAAATATCCCTGAGTTTCTGAATTACACTTCTTTTCTTGCCTGCTTCAAAGTAACCAATCCTTTTCCGAGCTCAGCTTCTTGTAACACCCAGCCACAATGAACATTAAATGCTTCCAGCATTCTTTTCTGCAACCTGTTCCCTCAAGGTACAAGTTAATTAAGGTGACAGTTTTACCAAATGTTTCGCCAATACAGGACTTGCATCAACATCCTTCCAGGCTCCGATAACAGTTTTCTCTTTGTCCATTTCTTGTTTCCTAAGCCAATACCACATGGCTATACTAAGCCATAACCAATGACAGTGACTAAAAAACAATAATGTTAATTTCTTGATCATGTTATATATGCATAGTGAATCCACTAGAGGCTGTGCTCTATGTCCTTATTTCACATTTGAAATGGCAAGAGCAGCCACTACCTGGACCATTACTAATGGTGGTAGCAGAAGAAAAGAAATCTAGGGTCTTGTTCCGGCAATTAAATGTCTGGCCTAGAAGTGACACTTTCTACTTCCTCACAATGTATTGGCTAAAACAAATTCCATGGCCTCACCTGCTCAGAGAACCTGAAAGACAATGGATCCACGTGTTTATAAGGTGGAGAATTGCGACAAAGTAATTGGTGAACAATCTACTACAATTATAAAGTAAGATTTTCTTAGGAATTTTAAGATGGCTTAACTATAAAAATCTATCAGCATATAAGACAGGATTCTGTATAGAACATAGAAGACCCTCTGCTTTCTGTATTAGGTCATTCTTGCACTGCAATACAGAAATACTGGAGACTCGGTAATTTAGAGGAAAAGAGATTTAATTGGCTTACAGTAATGCAGGGTGTACAGGAAGCATGGTGGCATCTGGTTTTGTGGAGGCCTCAGAAAGCTTTTATTCAAGGTGGAAGGTGAAGTGGAAGTTTGCCTTTGCCACATAGTCAAAGCAGGAAACAGAGAGATAATAGGGGCTGGGGGGAGATGCCACACACTTTTAAATAATTGGGTCTCACAATAACTCACTATCATAAAGACAGCACCAAACCATTAGGGATCTGCCGCCATGATCCAAATACCTCCTACCAGGCCCCACTTCCAGAACTGGGGATTGCAATTCAACAAGATATTTAGGCAGGGAGAAATATCCAAGCTCTATCAATTCCAAATATAAAGTTGTTGAATGCTGGAGACTAAAAGCTAATATAATTTTTGAAAGGTCTGATGGAGTAAAGAACAGAGGAGTTTCCACCAAAAGTCACAGCCCACATGATGAAGTCAAGTAATTTTTAAAATAATTTACCTGTGACCTGCTGCTGCAAATCTAAAGAATCACTGGCAATATCTTCTACTTTACTCAAATGCCATTAAGAAGCACCTAATTCTCAATAATCTCTCCTGACAGCTGCTTCAAATACCACATTTGTGCATTGTATGTTTGCAAATATCTACTCAGAACAATACCTCTCTTTTCTTATGCTTTTGACATCTCCTGTGAAGTCTGTTCATAGGCAGCCTTTAACCTACAACACAAGCTAGATGAAGGAGATTCTGGGAAATAACAGATTCTAATTACTCCTTTGTGAGGCAGAAAGGTATCTTAGAAGGGACTAATATTACGCTTTGTTGACAACAGGCAATTCAGCATGTATGTAAAACTATGTGATCATATGACTAGATAGAGAAAAAGCATTTGATGAATACCATCATTCATTCTAATATAAAAAGGAAAAACACCTTAGCCATAAACAATAAAGAACGATCATAGGTAAATTCTATTTATCAGAAAGTCATCAAAAACATCATTCTTAATGGTTAAAAAGTAGAAGCCTTCACATTAAAATAAGAAATAAGAGAGGGATATCCACTGTCATAACAATACAATATTTTACCCAATAGCCTTAACATTCATGCCTTCATGGGTGAATGCTCTAGTCTAAATATCTGTCCCCCACAGGGATTGTTAGTTAGCCTAGTTAACGTTTTCACTTGGATGATTGATGACCATCCGACATTGAACTTGTAAAATAGAACTTTTGATTTGCCTCTAACACTTTTTCTCCCATTGCTCTGGTTCTCTATTGCTGTATAATAAGCCATGCCAATAGCTGTAAGCACACTTACTGATTGACTGATTATTTCATGGTTTTGTGACTCAGATGACTACTCTCAGCTGAGTGTTTTTGCTCAGGAACTCCCACGTGGTTGCAGTCATAGTGTCTGGGGTAAGAGATATTTGAAATATCACCATAGGTATACTTTTAAAGCCCTGTCCATCTTTATGTTTACATTATTCATTTCATCTCATACTTGTAAGTTTGTTGCTCTGATTACAATTATAATTGGCAATTTAATACACATTTCTAATAATATTTAATTATTAATAAATGAGTAACAAGTTTATGATTTGTTATGTTTGTACTGTCATTGATAAAGTAATATCAAATATTTCATTTCTCTTTGCACTATTATAATATCATGACCAATAATTTGTCATTCGTGTCAAGATAATAACTTTTTTCTTAACATATTCAGAAAGTGATACCATATAGGCATATCTTTGAGACATATGTACATATATTTTAATATAAATTTAATGAACAATCTTTACGAAGTGAGCAAAAGAAAGTAAGGTATCATGCATAATCACAGGACATGCTAATGTAAAATATTAAATTTTAGTGCATTTTCTTCCAGGAAAAAGTATGCATGTCTGTCTCTGTGATGAGATACATAATTTTAAAAATTACAATAACATTTGACAGTTTGTATTATGTTCTCATTTTAATAAATTTTATATTTTATTATGTGATAATTTGTTCTAAATAATGCATAAAATTATATTGTATTATTGCCGTTCTTTTATTTTGGTGTTATTTACTCAACTATTTCTTTAATAATGGACATTGTTTCTGATCCCATGGTTTTGCTACCATTAATAATGCTACAATTCACATTTTCATGAATAATTCATTGTGAGCATTTCTGATTATTTCCTTAGGATATAGTTCTAAAAATGGAATAATTGGCTCAAAGTGTATGGGTATTTTAATGATCTGGATAAACATTGCCAAGTTGCCCTCCAGAAAGTTTACATATATTTGTATTCCCACAAGCAGTATATCAGACTATCCATTTGCATTTCTTTAATTATAAGTCGTGTTGAGTATTTTAACACATTCATTAATAGTTTTAGTTTTTGAGTTTTCTGTATGGGTGAAGTTGGACCAGCTGGTGATTTACTCATTGTCTATTTTTCTTATTTATTTAGTTAAGATTTTAATTTTCTGAGTTATATTTATAGCAAATTGATTTTCAATTGCCATTTGTCTGTTAATATTATTAATATTTTAAAGTTGTAATACTTTAATATACATTTTTTCAAATTTTCACATTTTTTGTTTTACTTTTATCTTCCTGTCACTTATAATTATTTCTATATCATGATATTATATATTTAGTTACATTTTTTGTTCATTTTTATGTTGTTAATTTTTATTTTATCAAATTAACATATATTTCATTTTATATTAAATTTCTCTGTAACTTACTATTGGTTATATTATTATTATTATTATTATTATTATTTTGAAATGGAGTCTCACTCTGTCACGCAGGCTGGAGAGCAGTGGCCCAATCTCGGCACACTGCAGCCTCTGCTGCCTGGGTTCAATGACCCTTGTTTGAAACATTGATATGATTTATCAAGACATTAAGGGTTTTTCTATGGATCCTTATTAGGGACACATTTATAATTGTATCTGTGCCAGTTAGGGGTGAACATGGAAGGAAAAATATCAAATATAAAGTTTAAAAAGTTAAAAATATAACTTCTATTATTAATTCACCAAATATGTCTTAAGTATCAGCTTCTACTTTCATCTTGCAAACTACTTGTTGGAAGTTAGGCTCCATATTTGAAACATTTTTAAACTTAGGAGATTACTGATTCTTCTTGACAAAGTTGATTTTGACAAAAAGTGAACATTGTAAAAATCTCCAATATAGATCTGATTTTGAATTACTTAAGTGTAGAATATTATGATTGTAGTCCATTGGCAATATTTCCCATAATATTCTAATATCTAGATGACATCATATTGCATTTCTTCCTTCTCCTCAACCAGATATTGGCTAATAGCTTCCTTCAGACCTTTTCTTTACATACGGTCACATAGAAAATTATTTAGACATGACTGATGCCTAGCAATGACTAATTTACTCATAACATAAAATGATGATGATTATTCAGCAACTGACAGATTAAGGAGAGAGACATAAGCTTAATGAACTGGACTTATTTTATATTAAAATTTGAAAGTATTTTTAAAGATTTGCCTTTAAAAAAGGTATTTTTGAAAAGCCTTTTCATACTTTTAATCCATCATCTTCATTGTTTTACCATGGTCTATGACTTGCCTAGCATTAGCAATTGATCTGCACATACTGTTTTTTTCATCACAACCACCCACATATTTACATATTTATAGTAAGACTGTGATAATCTGGACATCCCAGTGAGATTAAGTTAAGCAAAACTTACCTAAGCTACATTTTGCCCCAACTCTTTTTGTTTTTCTGATACTCTAGTCTTACCACTGAATAGTAACCCTGTTTGAGTTTTTAGTTTCTGGTTTCTCCCTGATTCACATATGCATCTGACTACAAAGTTTGTTGCCTGTTCATTTTTCTGCTCTCTAATTCTCTGGCATCTGATTCTTAATTTTGAAAACGTATAGATGTTTATGTGGTATGACTCTAAATTTCAACTTGTATCCCCTTATGTCAGAATGCTAGAAATATATTCTTGTTAATGTCTCTGTGAAAAAAAAATACCAATGAAACTGTAATATATTCTGGACCTAACACCTATCTGAGGCTTAATTCATTAGATGGTTTATCAGTTGTTCACTGAAAGAAGAAACTTGAGATAATTACTTAACAGAGGGTTAAATGTTGAGAAATATATGAAGGAATGAAGCAGAGGATGGGACTTCACAGCTCTTTACTGGGCATACCCGGCCTGTTACCTTCTATAGGGTAAAGAACTATAAGGAGGGAAAGAAGGGTAGCCCTACATGCATTTAAACACATTAACATCCATCTAATGAAGAAGTCGAGTGAATGATCTAAAGATAATTTCTGTTTAACAGCCAATTAATTTGTGAGGATATGGAAGAGTCACTGATAAATTTCTCTCACATCACAGATAGAATATTTTCACATCCTACTTCTGTGAAGACTGAACTTAGAGATATTTAAATCAAGTAAAAGTGGCACTGGAACGTAGAGCTTTAGATTATTTTTTCATGTGTGTGCATCTTTATAACCTATTCAAAATTAAAATGAATTTGACTTGTAAAAATATAAAATATAGGATGAAATAGTTTATGCAATATAAATAATTCCAAAGGGAAGAATGATCTCCTTCCTACATTTGTAAAGCAATCCCTGTTGTCCGTGTCTAAATTTTCCTAGACATCTGGTATGTCAAAAACTTTTGGATAAAGTTTGAACATTTTCCCACATACAATAGTATTCTGTGTCAAACCACCATGCCAGAAAGCTGGCATAGAGTAGGGCCTCTTTTGCAATAGGAGAGCTGCAAACTGCCACCAAGGCTTCTCTTCATCAAGGTGTATGATTTGGCAGATAGCTCACTAATTGGGCTTTATAGAGATTACTGTCTTCAGAGCTGCCAACTGATTGTGCTGTTTCATTCTCAGATATAATGGGAATGTCACAGCGTTTGATATTATCTGCCAACTCTCAGATAATTCCATGGACTCTGAAATAGACATGTATCTAAAGCAATCTGGACACAAACATCTAATATTTTATGAAAACAGTACGCAAAAGTTTATCATTGTTTATTTTTTAATAACTCGCAGAGATAAAAATAAGCCACTTGCCTCCTAGGCACATTATGGAAATAGATTAACTGTAGAAAGGCACATTGATCTCAGAAGAAGTTAATTTAATTTAAGTTTATGAAATTATTTTGATATCTAGGTACCACTATCTTTTGCAATTTTTCAAGTTTACAAATTTTTAATAAAAAGTGCATGCTTCTTTGAATTTTGTATCTACTCTCATTTTATAGGATCTGAAAGGTCTATGAAACTGTTTAAAAATTCCATTCCACCTCTGAAAATGACACGGAAATAGAAATTTTTATGATAACTATGTTCAAATCCATTTTTCTGTGTTAAACATGGTGTTGAGTCTATAGCTTTATCTATGGCAATAAAGTCATTGCAGGAGAATATTCATTATTAGCTCCATTGGTCTTATTTCCTCCTAAATAATCATTAGATAAGAGAAGAACTACTGAGATATTTATTTCACCTTTCTTTTAATGAAACACATTACTGATTTTAACATGCATCACTTATTAAGGCAGATGCTAATAATCTCATGAGAAATAAAGACTGAATATACTGCAAATAAGCCCAATGTTAGAGCCAAAAGTAAACCTAGAAACAGGTTTGCTCACCCTCTCATTTTAAAAACAAAAAAAAAAATGAGGCTGCCACAGTAGTTCTCTATGTTAGGAAAGCGGGTCAATAATTCTTCTGAAATGCTATTTCACACAGAGGGGGTGGCGAGTGAAAATGTTATGTTTTCATTGTAAGGGAACTACAACAGCATCTTGAAGACTCGGGAAACAAGTACAGACAGTCCCTGACTTACACACCCACTGTAAAACTGAGGCACATCTGGCCTTAATGGTAGTTTGACTTTTTTTTTAACTTTACAGTTTAATTTATGATATTTTCTATTTATTTATTTATTTATTATTTATTTATTTATTTATTTATTTATTTATTTATTTAAGGCAGTGTCTCACTGTTGCCGAGGCTGGAGTGCAGTGGTGCGATCTCGGCTCACTGCAACCTTCATCTCCCAGGTTCAAGCAATTCTCTGGCCTCAGCCTCCGGAGAAGCTGGGATCACAGGCATGTGCCATCACGCCTGGCAAATATTTTTATTTTTAGTAGAGAGGGGGTTTCACCATGTTGGCCAGGCTGGACTTGAATTCCTGTCCTCAAGTCAGCCTCCAAAAGTGCTGGGATTACAGGTGTGAGCCACTGTACCCAGCCTGATTTATGATATTTTTGATGTGTAATGAGTTTACTAGGACACAAACCCATTGTAAGTTGAGAAGCACTTGTATATGCCTTAAAATAATCTAATGCAAGATAAACAAAATACTATCCAAGTAAATAGGCCAAATATTTATCAAACCTCTTTTTGTCTTCCCAGAAAAATGCACAGTCATGTAAAAGATAATTTTTGCTCAGTTTTGCAGGGTTCATAGACCCCTATTTATTCCTCCAAATTCTTGTGCCCTAACTTATTATTAGTCTTTCATTACATTATTTATTGCAGGCTGCACAATAATTTAAACAAAAATTTGATGGTATTCTGTTGTGGCATGCTGTCATGAAAGGTATGTTTTCACTATTACAGACTGGTTAAACCGAGAAAGAAAATGTTGAAAGGAAGTTAAGCATCTTAGTAAGGGATAACACAGCATATCAAAACATAAAAATATTCTCAACAAGAGTATAAACAAATTGACCAATGGAGCATAACAGGGAGCCCAGAAACCATCCAAAGACACAAAAACTGGATTTAAGACATGTAGTAGCCTTCCAATTCCATTTCTGCCCTCAGCCTCCCGCTGAATAATTATTGTTTAGAAATTTCTTCATTGAATAGTTGTTCTTTCCTACTGAAAAGCCATACTACTTGTCCTATATCAGATGTCTATATATGTGTGCATCTATTTCTGGCCTCTCTTTCTGTTCCATTGATCAGTTTGTCTATCTTTCTACCAATACCACACTATGTTACTTACTCTAACTTCTAGAGGCAACTTGTACTTGGTATTACATCTCTTTTTTTTTTTTTTTTGTCTTTTCCCAATGTAACTTAGCTGTGTACTTTTTCTTACAAAATTTATATCAATTTGTTAAATCCCATAAAAATTGTTTTTGCTATTCATTAGAGATGTTTTCTTGCTCCATTGGAGTGTTCTATGAACAACTGGGAAAAATTGACATTATTTAATATTAAGCCTTTTAAACATGGGATGTCTCCATTTTCTTAGGTGCCCTTGAATGCTCTTTGTTACAGTTTCATTACTGATTCTAAACACACTCGGCATATCATTTGATAAATTTATTCCCAAATAAAGCATAGTAGTATTGCTATTGTAAATTATGTCATATAATCTGTGATTCAAATGTTTTTTCAAAATATGTGATGTTCAGAAATAAATTTGACTTTTAAAATTTTATATCCATGGAACTTTCTAAAATCCTCAGTTATAATACGTTTATAGTAAATTATCCATATATCTGTGAGTCCATGTGAAAAATCATTCATGACAAATAATGAAAGTTTCAGTTTTCTCTTTTCATTTCCTATGCATGCATTGCACTCTATTTTCCTAGTAGCTCTGTAAAACCTCCAGTGAAAAACTGAATAGAAGATAGAGAGTATTTTAGTATTAATTATTCACTATTTTTAATGGGAATGTTGATAACATTTAACCACTTGTTTATTAATATCTTCAGTTGTATAGTTACTATTTCTCGAATTAAATATTTCCTTTTATTCGTTCAATAAAAAGTTAATTTGTCTTCTATGTATGAGGAACTATTCTTGGTGCCTGAGATATATCAATAAACAGAATAGGTTAAAATCCCTTTCTTTATGAAATTGACATTGTAGAGTAACTTGTTCAGGAATAGTCTTTGTTTCTTTGTTTTGTTTTTCTTAATTATTATTTTATATGAAATTGTATCAAAACCATTTTCTGTATCTATAAGAGGAATCACATTTTCCTTTTTTAATCTCTTAATGGAATTGACACTTTAAAATATAATATTCAAACCTTATTGAATATATAAGATAATCCTAACTTAGTAAATATTGATATTTAAAAAAATACGTTCCAGACTTCAGTTTACTAATAGAGTAAGATTAAGAAAATGATACAAGCAATTCTATACAGCTAGCTGGCAAAGAGTTTCAGAAGAATTTTCCTGAATAATTTAAGTACAGATCCAAATTTATTGGTATTATATGACAGTGGTTTTATAATGAGGTTTAAATATGTGATGTATACATATGTAATTTTGTCATTTAGAAATGACAAACTCCTGGACTTCCAAGACAATAGCAGAGATTTCAGAAATATCGTAGTTCATTAAGGCTTGTATTATTGGCCCAATCAAGAGCTATTGGGCTGGGAAATGTCTAAATACACAAGGATCTAAACTCTGCGCTCCTGCTCCTTAAAATAGGATTTTATGCCTCTACTTCAGAAGTCCATTCCCTCTCTGCATTTTCCTCCCGCTCCTTAACAGATACACTTTTAATTTATTCATGAAGATAGGAACTGACTGTAGGATGACTAACTCACCAGTTGGTTTGTTTTCTAATTTGTGTTATTGAAATTTTACCAAATGTATTTAGGAGGTTTGCTTCTATGTTCATGTTTCAAGTAAGCCTGTAATTATCATTTATCACACTTTCTTTTTGAGTATTGGTAATAAGGATTATTTTATTCCCAAAGAATGAGATGTAGAGTGTTTATTCCTTTTTATTTTTTTTGAAAAATCTGGTATAAGATCACATTGATATCTGTCTTGAAAATTTGAATTCAATATCCTCTAAAACTTAAAATTGTTGTTTTCTTTGTAAAAATATATTAAAATATGGTTTCAGTTTATTTAACAAGTATAGCAACATTATTCGGTACTTTCATTTCTGTTGGAGTAAGATTTAAGAAATTAGACTATCTTATAGTTTTATTTCAATCTAATTTATCAAATGTATTGCCATAAATTGTTAATAGTATTCTCCTATCATTCTTATAATGTCTCCTATGGTTATGATTTTCTTTTTATTTATAACTCTACTGACGTGGATTCTTTTCTCTTGGTTCACGTTTACAGAGATTGGTCTATTTTTCATCTTGCCAAAAAATTAACTTCTGTCTTTATTAATTTCTTATGTGCTTTCTAAATTTTATATTTCATTGATTCATAATTTTATTTTTATTTATTTTTATGAAGTTATTATTTTTATTCCTTTCATGCTGCCACCAACCTCCATTCTGTTCTCTTAGCCAGAAACTTGAAGTTATCTATGGTTCTTCTTAATGGAACCTCCATATGCATATTTTAATCTCATAAATGTACTTCAAATCTATATACTACTGTCCCTCATCCTAAAAGGAACACCATAAATGTGGCTTCTATGCACTGAGTTATCTTTTTTCATTCATTTTATTAACTTTTCTTCAAGCTTTTAAGCTTCTCCTAAGAAATAAACCTTTTCTTCGTAGCGTTTATGCTACTTGTAATTTCTTATTCTTTTGTGAGTTATTTGAACAATGCTCTCTCACTAGACTTAAATCTTTAGTGACACTGGGACCCACTCTATCATATCACCAATATGATTGCATATCTGGATAATCAATAGATATATTTTAAATACATAAACACATTAAAACATGGGAAAATAAACATGGCTACCACATAAAATTTTAGGAATTGAGATTTCAACTCTACAAAGTACATTTTAATTCAGATCAGTAGAAAATTGCTGCGTTTGGGAAGTAGTTTCTTAGCCAGTGGATAAAAATATCATACAGAAGATTCAAGAACCAGACAAGGATTAAACAGGTGTCTTTTATGATTATTCCAATTTGAAGGTATTAGGATTAGCATCATGTAAAAAAAAGTTATAAAGGGAAAGGAAATAGAAACATTTACCATGAGAGAATTTTTATTCATTATATTCAGGGCACTTGATATGGTGAATCTTTTATCATCTAATTAGTAAAGTAATTGTACCCAGTTTATATGTGTTGAGTGAAAATGTGAAATCCCTTAGTGCAAGTTATTAATTTAAAATGCTCTTTTATTTTCTTACTTATTCAAGTGTTATAATCATTAGGTCGATGACAAGTGATACACTGTTTACATGGCCTATATGGTTTTGCTGTATATTCTTCTCCAAAAAAAGACAACAAAAATTATCATTAGAAGTGTCAGAACTGACACAACCAGAGAACTAGACACAGCTTACTTGAATAATGAGCAGGCAGTATTTTTATTTGGTTATATTGGTACTATTGGTAATATTGGATTTATCCTCAGGGTGCAGGGTTAAAAAATGAAGTTAAAAAAAAAAGAGTCTCCATAGAGTTCATGTTGAAGAGTGGAATTGATGGATAATGTTTAGAAAATCTCAAGATGGTTGTTTTCGTTTCAGGTTTTATGTCACAGCCTTTGGGAAGAATCTTTAAAACTCTCATAGGCAACATGCTGCAAATGAAGTACACTCCTCTGCTTTAAAATATTATGAATGAAATGTTTTCGTCAGGTTGTTTCTCTAAGAAAAATCAATCAACACTTTTATTAATGCAGATCAGACTATTTCCATACTAGGGTTTGCAAAAATTGTTACTTAAGGAACTTTTTTTTTATTGTTACTGCTTCAAAAGCATTTGAAATAACATAAATTGGCTCTTCAGAGATCCGTGAGAGCACTCTCCATGCCAAATGTCTGCTTCTTGAACTAGGGAACAAACAGATGAACATAGCAACACAATTCATGAAAAGAAATGAATAATGTATTTTATTATATTATATTATTATTATATTATTGAGTCAGGGTCTTCCCTTTTTGCCCAAGCTGGAGTACAGTGGTGGAATGATGGCTCATTGCAGCCTCAAACTCCTGGGCTCAAGCAATCCTCTCACCTCAGCTTCCTGAGTAGCTGGGGCTATAGATGCACACCACCAGGCGTGGCTGAAGAGTGTTCTATTTTATCTTATTTTATTTTTTCTTCTTTTAGGTTCAAGGGGTACATGTGTAGGTTTGTTAAATGGGTAAACTGCATACCACTGAGGCTTGATGTATGAATGATTTCATCACCTAAGTAATGAGCAGAGTACCTGACAGGTAGCCTTCCATTCCATTCTCCTCTCCCTTCTTCCCCCCTCAAGCAGTCCTCAATGTCTGTTGTTCCCATCTTTGTATCCATGTATATTTAATGATTAGCTCCCATGTGTAAGTGAGAACATGTGATATTTAGTTTTCTCTTCCTGTGTTAGTTCACTCAGGCTAATGGCCTCCAGCCACATCCATGTTGCTGCAAAGGACATGATTTGATTCATTTTTATGGCTGCCTAGTATTCTGCAGTGCCATATGTACCACATTTTCTTTATCCACTCCACTGTTAATAGGCATATTGGTTGATTCCATGGCTTTACTCTTGTAAATAGCACTGCAATGAACATACGAGTGCATGTGCCTTTTTGGTAGAACAATTTATTCTCCTTTGGATGTATACCCAATAGTGGGAAAGAGCTTTTGCACAACAAAGGAAGCTATTGACAGAGTAAACAGACAACCTTAAGAATAGGCGAACATATTCACGAGCTAGTCACCTGACAAAGGTCTAACACCCAGCATCTATAAGGAACTTAAACAAATCGGCAAGAGAAAAAACAAATAAAGCCATTAAAAATGGGCAAAGAATATGAACAGACACTTCTTAAAAGAAGACATACATGCAGATAACAAATATATAAAAATATTAATCACTAATCATCAGAGAAATGCAAATCAAAACCACAATGAGATACCATCTCACACTGGTCAGAATGTCTACTATTAGAAAGTCAGAAAACGACAGATGCTGGCAAGATTGCAGGGAAAAGGAAACATCACTTATACGCTGCTGATGGGAATGTAAATTAGTTCAGCCACCGTGGAAAGCAGTGTGGAGACTTTTCAAAGAACTTAAAACATATCTATCATTTGTCCCAAGAGTGTATTTTATATAATCAGATGACAGGCAGATTGTAAGCCAGTTGGTTCATTGAATAACCAATGACACCTTTTTTTAGCTGAAGAGAATTTGACTTAATTTCGTGAAGACAATTCAAGTTTTATTTTTCATGTAGACATTACTCTTTCAACAGGAGACACTGTCTGTGGAATTTGAGCCCTAAGTCATAGATGAATCATGGAACTTCTATAATTTTATTTAGTGAGCTATTGACTTTCTGGTAGTCCATACCGCAGTTGATAATTCCAGAAAACTAATTCCACTGGCCACTGCCCTTATTGAAAATATGATCTAGCAAAAAGGAGACAGGTAAACAATTACAGTAACATTCATCTTGCAGGAAAAGAGAAGGACACTCAACAAAAACCAAATGCTGTGAAGGCAGAAGAGTAGTCTATTTTGTCAGATAGCTCCATAAGGGACTGGTTCAATGGGAATGTGAGATTAAAAAATAAATATATCCTAGATATTATTTTATGTTTCAGTCTAAATATGAGCATTGGGTTTTTATTTACTTAATGAATCTACATCACCAGGGAAATTAGTTGTAAATATCAAAATATATTTTTCAAATTGTTTAATATTTGAATATTTTACCACAACGTAAATTCAATGAGAAAACAGATGGGAAATACTATATTTTATATCCCCAGTGTCTCATATACATTTTTGACAAATAAAGATTAAATAAATGAATGAAGGCTAAGTATAATATTTAACAGAAACATTATTGATCAAAATGCTCCAGTCAACAAAAGCATATAATTATGTGGTAATTGCAATTTTTGGTTCATTCATTTGTGAGTCACTCATATGTTATTTTGTGCATACTTTGTTACCAGTAAATAAATCTATAAATAATAGGAGTATTTAGCTGTCTTCTCATAAAGAAAGAAAAAGTACTTATGAATGCGGTCTATTATAGTTACTTCAAAAAGTGACTTTCTCTGGCTTGGTGGCTAGAAAAAACAAATTTTATTATTATAAATCTAATAATAATAGCTTACATTTTCAGCCTAATCACATCTGGATATGTCTATCATCTTAATTTAATGCTCAAACAACTATAATAATTTGGTAATATCGTGATTGCCATGTGATAGATAATAAAACTGAGATACAGATGGTTTAATGAAATTATCAATAGTCAACTATTTAGTGACTAAATTAGGATTTTCACACAGAGTGATGGATTCCAAAATGTCTGTACTTTGCATTATTGTATTAGATAGCGTTCAAATTGAAGTAATAATGATGATTATAATGGTAACATATTTATTATTTATTATTTACCTTTTGTATAGTATCCTGCAAATAGCTAAATATTTTTCATATACTTTATTATAATTAAAACACAAAACTCTTAGGTTTGTGTTACTCTTTATTATCCCCACTTTACTAATGAAGGCACTAAAGTGTAGTATGTTTACATTTATAAGAATCTGGTAAGTTTCAAAAACCAGAAATTAAATCTGGTTTAGTTCATGCCAGTTATCACTTTTATTTAATAAAATATGAGTGAAAATATTCTCAAAACTATAGAAAATACTCCATTTTATTTTCAAATCGAGTGCTGAATGAAATAAATCTACCTTGGTAAATGCCCTGCTTGATATAAACAGCAGAATCATTGCTTTTTAAAAATGAAATGCATACAGTATTGCAAGGATGGGTATTACATACTTCGGTTCCTGCCATTTGTTATATCTCTACACACACAGACTTGCACACACACACACTTACAGACACACATACACACAGGCTGGGGAGTGTATGTCTAGGTCAGAAACATATATGAAGCACACAATTTGGTTTTCTACTCACTCCTATAAAAATTACAATTCATGTGTTTGTAATAGGAAGAATAAGAAATATATTTGTTTTTTAATTTAGGTTTTGATGGAGTAAGGAAAGCTTAATGAATGTGAAAAATTAATAAAATGATGGGACAGAACATAAAACCAAAGAGTTTATCTTAAAAAATCTTAAAAGTTTTCTCATTTTAACACTTCTAATGCCTTAATCAACTTACAACACCTTAGATTTTGTTACAAGTCAATCTGTTCTATTTTCAGAAGGCTTTAATTTTTACCAATGTCTTCCCTATGATGCATTTAAATCTTGATTCCTGTAACTTCCAGGCTTTGATGTAATTCTTCCCTCTGGGATAATATAGATTAAGGTCATTCCCTCTTCTATTAACCATCATCTTGAAACTGAGATATTCCTGTTGAATTAAACACTCCCAGCTTTTCAGTCATTAATTTCAGCCCTCACCTTTACTTCTCCTTACTGTCCAGGGATTCTATGACTTTACTCTGTTGATCCCAGAATTTTAATTCTACACTATGGTCACACTCTTGGTTACTCATAAACCATAGCAGGTGAATAATACCTCAAATATGGCAAAACCAACTGGCAAGAGATATCAAAGACGGTGGGGCAGAGGGCAGATCCCTGAATTGTGCTATTAAACTACAATCCCCACAGCAACAGTGTAGAATGTATAAAAATGTCCACAGTTCTCAGTAAACTATCGCAAGAACAAAAAACCAAACACCGCATATTCTCACTTATAGGTGGGAATTGAACAATGAGAACACATGGACACAGGAAGGGGAACATCACACTCTGGGGACTGTTGTAGGGTGGGGGGAGGAGGGAGGGATAGCTTTAGGAGATATACCTAATGCTAAATGACGAGTTAATGGGTGCAGCACACCAGCATGGCACATGTATACATATGTAACTAACGTGCACATTGTGCACAATGTACCCTGAAACTTAAAGTATAATAATAATAAAATTTAAAAAAAAATGTCCACAATTCCTTGCAGTTCCTTCATTAAGGGGGTCTCTTTTCCTCTTCCTTAAATTGAGGATGGCATTGGGACAGCAACAATGTATGATTTACAAACCTGGTCCTCAACAGCCTTATGTATTTCCATTCTTGCTCTTGGGATTCCTGTCTAGAACTCAGCTGAGCTGAAAAGGACTAAGCTAAGATGGCAGGTGTGGAAATGGCAGATTAAGACAAGAAGCCAAAAAGAGTAACAGTTAAGCCTTTAATCACTTTTTGCAATAGCATAAGCAAGAAGCTAAATCTGACAAGGTGCCAACTGTCCCAGGTGCCTGAAGGAATGGCGTACAGGTGGAGGATCGGGGGGTTCTGAAGACTACACTTCTGATGCATGAGTAAGCCAAGCCTGGCCAAGGTCAACAGAACATTCCAGCTAAGACCAAGCCAAACTGTCAACCCATAGAATAATAAATTTAACAACTGTTTGCAGTTTTAGTCTACTCGGTTTAGGTTAAGTTTGCTTTGTTACACACATGCACACAGAGTTAACTGACAGGTATTTACCAAAACCCTTGAAATATGAACTATTAACATAGTCGAAACCACCCAATCATACTGTTTACTGGACCTTATTTTCTTGGTTTTATATTCCAAAAGCTATTTTAAAATCAGTGCTGCATGCCTGTTATATGCTTTTTTCTTAGATTTCTATTATTACTTACTTCAGCATTGCTTAAGACACCTTCTTTTTTTTTTTTTTTTTTCTGGTGGGGACGGAGTCTTGCTGTGTCACCCAGGCTGGAGTGCACTGGCAGGATCTCAGCTCACTGTAACCTCCGCCTCCCAGGTTCAAGCGATTCTTCTGGCTCAGCCTCCTGAGTAGTTGGGACTACAGGTGCATGTCACCACGCCCAGCTAATTTTTGTATTTTTAGTAGAGAAGGGGTTTCACCATATTGGCCAGGCTGGTCTCGAATTCCTGACCTTGTGATCTGCCTGCCTCAGCCTCCCAAAGTGCTGTGATTACGGGTGTGAGCCACCGTGCCTGGCCAAGACACCTTCTTAATTCTGCTGTTTGTGTCTCATATTTAATTTCTGCAACTTTTCCCACCATTCAAATGTTTTGACCTCCAGGTCCCAGAGAAGGAGAAAAAGCGAAACAGTCAAACATTATGCAATATGCACTTCCAACATCATAGCATATTGGCCCAAATTTTCATAAACACATAATATTTTATATTCTTACTTATCAAAGATGAAAAAGGAGCAAAAATTGATTTACAGTTCTTTGGGAAAATGACATTCACTTTCTTAGAATGAGGAAACTGAGGTCCAGAAAGAAAAGAGACAGGCTAAATCTTTGAAACTAGTAAAAACCTTGTTTTTCTGAGTGTGAGCTATCAACACTCTCAGAACTTCAGATTCTGATAGGAGGACATGTTCCATGATAAATTGTTGTTTCTCCCTACACTGTGGGATGTGGAAAGGCATGACAGAAATGACATGGAATTCAGTGGAAATGAAAGCTCACACATTATTGATAACGCATTGTTCTGAATGTACCTACTAGTTGTAAAAATTTGGGGCAGTCTGTGTAGAATAATGTCTGCAGATTGTTTGGACTGAATTGTTGTTTCTGTACTGATTTTCAATGTAACTATAGGCCAATTATTTGCCTTCCTACACTTTAGATATTTAAATTTGTAAATTGAAGGTGATTTTACTTCCAGTCTCATCAAGTTATTGTGGTGATATATGTAGAGATAATGCTGCAAGGCACTGTTAAATGTTTACTATCATCCTTCCTGCTCTTTCTACTTGCACTGTCCTGAACAGGCTCTAAGGTTCTTGAGGGCAGGGATGCCCTTTTGTTAGTTTTAAATCCCCAGGACTCCTATCAGATATTATATGCTCAATAAATATTTGTGAATAAAATTTAAAGATGCATGGTAGGAAATGCATAGAAAAATAAGTGAAGGAAAGAAGGATGAGAAGGAGGGAAGGAACCATAGATGAAAGGGAAGGAGAGGGAGGGAGAGAGGAAGAAAGTCAGGAAAAGGGGAATTGCGAGTCCAGAATGTCTTTATGAGAAGTATCAACGTGTTTATTAAAGCTCTTAAAGTCAGAGCACACAAAAGTATTGCAGACCGCTGATGAAGTAATTGAAGATAAAGATAAAGAATTCCATATGTTAGTAGATGCTCACAATTGCTGTTACATAAGCATTTGGACTTAGTAATGGGAGTAAGAAAGAGTAGATACCATCCTCTTAGCTTTGGTTTGGAAGCAGGACATGAAGCTGTGTATATTGGAGTGACTTACAAGAGGAGACAATTACAAGGTCAGGGAGAGTTAAATCATTCACTTCTGCAAATATTCTTATCTGCCTCCTTACCCAGTTTACATTCCATGGCCAATCATTATAATCACTTTTGCCTGCACAACAAATACAACTCTCAGTTTTGACAAGAATGATTTATTTCATTAATTTTCACGCAATCACATCTCAGTTTGAAGATTCTATTATTTCTATTTTAGAATTTATGCTATTTATTATTTTCTGCTTCTTTCTTTCAAATTAATTTGCCATCTTTTAAAAATGTTTATGTTTAATTTGCATGGTTACATATATAGTAGATATATATATTTATGGAATACACAAGATGTTTTAATACAGGCATGCAATGCATAATATTATCATAAAGAATGGGGTATCCATCCCTTCAATTATTTAGCCTTTGTATTATAAACAATTCAGTTAAACTCTTAGTTATTTTATAGTTTACAATTAAGTTATTATTGACTATAGTTATCCTCTTGTGTTAACCAATACTAGGTCTTATTTGTTCTTTCTATTTTTTTGTACCCATTCACTGTCCCCAGCACCCTGCCGCTCCCACCCTACTATCATTCCCAGCCCCTGGTAACAATCCTTCTACTCTCTATGTACATAAGTTCAATTGTTTTGATTTGTAGACCCCACACATAGGGGAGAATATGTGACGTTTGCCTTTCTGTGACTGCCTTATTTCACCTAATATAATCATCTCAAGTTCCATCTATCTTTTTGCAAATGAAAGTATCTCATTCTTTTTTCTGAATGAATAGTACTATATTTTGTATAGGTACCACATTTTCTTTATCCATTCATCTGTTGATTGACACTAAGGCTGCTTCTAAATCTCGGCTACTGTGGACAGAGCTACAACAAACATGGAAGTGTAGATATCTCTTTCTTTTTTGTATATCTAGCAATGGGATTACTGGATCATATGATTGCATGATTTTTACTTTTTTGAGTAATATTTTCTCCCACTCTGTGTGTTATCCCTTCACTTTGTTGATTTTTATTTTTGTTGTGCACAAGCTTTTAAACTTGATGTGATCCCATTTGTCCATTTTTGCTTTGGTGGCCTGTGCTTATGGGGTATGACTCAGGAATTTTTTGGTAAAGACCAGTGTCCTGGAGATTTTCCCCAGTGTTTTCTTGTAGTAGTTTTATAGTCTGAGGTCTTAGATTGAAGCCTTTAATCTATTTTGATTTGATTTTTGTATATGGTGACAAATAGAGGTCTAGTTTCATTCTTCTGCTTATGGATATCCAGTTTTCCCAGCAACAGATATTAAAGAGACTGTCTTTTACCCAATGTATGTCTTTGGAACCTTTTTGGAAAATCAGTTCACTGCAGGTGTGCGGACTTCTTTCTGGGTTCTCTCTTCTGTCCCCTTGGTTTATGTGTCTGCTTTTATGCCAGTACCATGCTCTTTTGATTACTGTAGCTCTGTAGTATGATTTGAAGTCAGGTAATGTGATTCCTCCAGTTCTGTACATTTTGCTTAGGATAGCTTTGGCTTCTCTGGGTCTTTTGTGGCTCCATAATAATTTTAGAATTTTTTTTTCTATTTCTTTGAAGAATATCTTAGTATTTTTGTGGGAATTGCCTCAAATCTGCAGATTGCTTTGGGCAGTATGGACATTTTAACAATATTGATTCTTTCAATGCATGACCTGGAATATCTTTCCAATTTTTGGTTTGTTTTTCAATTTTTTTCATCAGTATTTAATAGTTTTCATAATAGAGATCTTTAACTTCTTTAATTTTGTCACTATTGTAAATAAAATTACTTTTTTATTTCTGTTGATCTCCTGTATCACATTGAAAAGTTGTATATGTTGAACTATTCTTGCATCCCATGGATGAATCCCACTTGGTCATGATGTATTATCTTTTTAATGTATTATTGAATTTGGTTTGCTAGTATTTTGTTGAGGATTTTTGCCCCAATATTCATCAGAAATATTGGCCTTTAGTTATTTTTTAATATGTTTGGTCTGGTTTTGGTACCAGGATAGTACTGGCCTCATAGAATGAATTTGAAATTATTCCCGCCGCCTCTATTTTTTGAAGTAGTTTGAGTAGGATCAATATTAATTGTTTTTTAATTGTTTGGTAGAATTCAACAGTGAAGCCACTGGAATGTGGGCTTTTCTTTAAAGGGAGACATTGTATTATGGCTTCGCTCTCATTATTTGTTACTGGTCTGTTCAGATTTTGGATATCTTCCTGGTTCAATTTTATAGGTTGTATACATCTAGGAATTTGCCCATTTCTTCTGGATTTTCCAATTTATTGGCATATAGTTGCTCAGAGTAGCCACTAATGGTCATTTGAATTTCTGTAGTATCAGTTGTAATATATCTGTTTTCATCTCTGATTTTATTTGGGTCTTTTCTCCTTTTTTCTTAGTCTGGCTAAAGGTTTGTCAATTTTTAAAAAAGCACAACTTTTTCTTTTGTTGCTCTTTTGTATTGTTTTCTTCATTTCAAAGGTGTTTAGGTTGTTTACTTGAAGTTTTTCTTTTTTTATGTAGGCAATTAAAAATGTTTTCCTCTTCACACTACTTTTAGTGTATCCTATATGTTTTGGTATGTTGTGTTTCCATTATCATTTGTTTCAACTTTTCTAACATTTTCTTCGTAATTTCTTCATTGACCCACTGGTTATTCTGGAACATATTGTTTAATTTTTTCTGTATTCTCACAGTTTCAAAAATTCCTCTTGTTGCTAATCTCTAGTTTTATTCCATGGTGCTCAAAAAAGATGCTTCATATTATTTCATTTTTGACTATATTAAGACTTAGTGACTTAACATATAATTTATCTTTCAGAATAATCCTTGTGCTGAGGATAAGGATGTGTATTCTCCAGTTCTTAGAAGAAATGTTTTGTAAATATCTGTTAGATCCATTTGGTCTATATTGCATATTAAGTCCAATGTTTCTATGTTGATTTCTTGTCTGCAAGATGTTCCAATGCTGAAAGGGGCGTGTTGAAATTTCCAGCTTTTATTGTATTGAGGCCCAAATCTCTCTTTAGCTCTAATAATATTTGTTTTATGTATCTGGGAGCTCCACTCTTGGGTGCGTATATATTTAAAATTGCTATATCCTCTCGATTTAATTGACCCTTTTATCATTATATACTAACCTTCTTTGTTTCTTCTTACAGTTTTTGTCTGGATATCTACTTGTCTTACATAAGGATAGCTGCTCCTGGTTCTCTGCTCCTTATTGGTTTCCATTGGCATGGAATATTTTTTTCCATCCCCTTATTTTTAGTCTATCTGTGTCTTTATAGGTGATTTGTGTTTCTTGTAGGGAACAAATCAATGGATCTTTCTTATTTTTATCCATTCAGCCACTCTATGTCTTTTGATAGAAAGTTTTAGTCCATTTATTCAAAGTTATAGTTGAGAAGCAAGAACTTCTTCCATTTTGTTATTCGCTTTCTGGTTGTTTTGTGGTGTTCTCTTCTTTCTGTCTATCCTTCCTGTCTTCCTTCAGTGACGGTGATTTTCTTTGGTCATATGATTTAGTTTCTTTCTTTTTATTTCTTTGTGTAACTATTGTATATTTTTGGTTTGTGATTGCATTGAGGCTTGCAAATACTATCTTATAACCCATTACTGTAAGATGATAACACTATTTGCATAAACAAAGAAGCAAAAAGAAAACTAATAAAAATTCTACAGCTTAACTTTATCCCCTCACTTTTTAACTTTTCATTGTTTCTATTTCTATCTTCTTGTACTGTCTATGTTGTTATTATTTTTGATTGGTTCATTGTTTATTCTTTCTACTGAGGATAAGCATAGTTTATACATCACAGTTACAGTATTATGGTATTCTGTGTTTTTTTTGTGTACTTACTATAACCAGTGAGTTTTATACCTTTAGGCAATTACTTACTCACTAACTTTCTGTTCTTTCTGATTGAAGTACCCCCTTTAGCATTTCTTGTAGGACATGTCTAGTGTTGCATGAAAAACCTCAGCTGATGTTTGTCTTGGAAAGTCTTTGTTTTTCCTTTATGGTTGAAGGATATTTTCATCAGATATATTATTCTAGGGTAAAATTTTTGTTCCTTCAGCACTTTAAATATGTTATGCCACTCTCTTCTGACATGTAAGGGTTCCACTAAAAAGTCTGTTGCCACACATATCGGAGTTTCATTGTATGTTATTTATTTTTTTTTGTCTTGCTGCTTTTAGAATCCTTTCTTTATCCTTGATCTTTGGGTGTTTGATAATTAAATGCCTGGCTATAGTCTTCTCTAGGTTAAATCTGCTTTGTGTTCTATGACCTTCTTGGTCTTGAATTTGGTATCTTTCTACAAGTTAGGGAAGTTTACTGTTTTTTTTTTTTTTGAATAAACTTCCTAGCCCTATCTTGTTCTCTACCTCCCTTTTAAGTCCTATAACTCTTAGATTTTCCCTTTTAAGGCTATTTTCTATATCCTGTAAGCATGTTTCATTGTTTTATCATTCTTTTTTCTTTTGTCTTTTCTGAGTGTGTTTTTTCAGGTAGCCTGTCTTTAAGCTTATTAATTCTTTCTTCTGCTTGATCAATTATGCTATTAAAAGACTCTTATGCATTCTTCAGCATGCCAATTGTATTTTTGAGCTCTGGAATTTCTGCTTAATTGTTTTAAATAATTTTAATCTCTTTGTTAAATTCCTGTGATAGAATCATGAACCCTTTCTCTGTGTTATCTTAAATTTCTTTGAGTTTCCTCAACCCAGCTACTTTGAATTCTCTTTCTGAAAGGTCACATATCTCTGTTTCTCCAGGGTTGGTCTCTGGTGGCTTATTTAGTTAATTTGGTGAAGTCATATTTTCCTGGATGCTGTTGATGCTGGTAGATGTTCTTTAGTGTCTGGGCATTCAACAGTTAGATATTTATTGCAGCCTTCACTGTCTGGGCTTTTTGTATCTATCCTTCTTGGAAAGGCTTCCCAGATATTCAAAAGGACTTCAATGTTGTGTTCTAAGCTCTATCTCCTTTGGGGGCACCCGAAGCCCCATAACACTGTGGTTCTTGCAAACTTGTACAGGTACCTTCTTGCTGGTCCTGGACAAGATCTGGGAGGATTCTCTGGATTTCCAGTCAGAGATTGTTGTTCTGTTCCCTTACTTTCTCCAAAATGAAAAAAAAAAAAAAAGTCTCGCTTTCTCTGTTCTGAGCACCTGGAGCTGGGGTTGGAATGATGTAAGCACCCTTGTGGGGCCACCACTGTGACTATGCTGGGTCAAACCTGATGCCAGCACAGCACTGAAACTCACCCAAGGCCTATTCTAGCCACTCCCTGGCTACTGCTTATGTTTGCTTAAGGCCCTGGGGCTCCACAATCAGCAGGTGGGAATGTCAGCCAGGCCTGTGTCATTTCCTCCAGGCAACAAGTTACTAGAGTCTCTAAGTAGGTTCAGAGGTGCTATCCAGGAGCCAGGGTCTAAAGTAAAAAAATTTTAGAAATCTACCTGGTATCCTGTTGTACTGTGCCTGAGCTGGCACTCAAACCACAAGTCACAATTCTTCCCATTCTTGCCTCCTCTTTCCAAAGGCATAGGAGCCTCACTCATGGCCACTGCCACCACAGATCCACAGGGAGTGCTGCCAACTTGTGAATGCTGCCTGGCCTGGGACTTACCTTTCAGGGAACTGTGCTTTCCTCTGGCTTAAGGCAGGTCCAGGAATACCATCCAAGTGCCAAGTTCTGGAATTGGGGACCCCAAGAGCCTGCTGGGTGCTCTAACCCCCTGTGGCTGAGGTAGTATTTAAGGTGCAAGATAAAGTCCTTTTTACTTTTCTTCTGCTTTTCTGAAGTAGAGTGGGTTTTGTCCCATAGCCACCACAGCTGGTAATGGGCTGATTACTTACCTGAAGCCAGCAAGTCTCAAAACCTCACCCAACACCCTTGATGTAGTATTCAGCTATCACTGCTGCTTATTCAGGGCCCAAGGACTCTTCAGTGAGCAAGTAATACATCCTGCCAGTACTGGGCTCTTCCCTTCAAGGCAGCAGGTTCCCTTCTGGCCCAGGGTGTGTCTAGAAATGTCATCAGGAGCTAGCACCTGGAAAGAGGGCCTCTTGACTCTGATCAGTGCCCTGTCCTGCTGTGGCTGAGCTGGTGTCCAACACGCAATACAACGTCCTTCCCACTCTTCCCTCTACTCTCCTCAGGGGGAAGAAAGGGGTGTCTTTTCATGCTGCAAGCAGTACAGCCTGGGGTTAGGGGAGGGGTGACAACAGCACTCCCTTACCTCCCCAGCTAGTGTCCAGTAGGTTGCATCCGCTCCCACCCAAGTCCACTGTCTCTGGGCCAAGTTCAGCACTAGGAGTCATGTAAAACTTGCCATCCTTGTAGCCTAGACTGCCTTTCAAGTTTATTAGGGCCCCAGAGCACTTTAGCCTTCAGTGGCAGGGCTTGTGGGAACTAATGTTGCGACCACGTCATCGGCAGTTCCGCTCTGGCTAGGGCTGGTTTAAATGCTCCCTCAGTTGGTGGGCATCAGTTGATTTTGGTCCAGTTTTCCTTTCTGCTATAACAAGGCAGCGCTAAGTTCAATTTCATAATTGCTGTGCTGTCCATCCAGTAGCACCCAGAGATGCCGTCTGCACTATGCAGCAACTTTTGGGGGGTAAGGGCGGGTGGCGTCGGTGATTCAAGTCTGTTTCTTTTCTACCACTTCAGTGCATCTTTCAGTGATCTGAAGTTAAAAACCAGGTACTATGAGTGCTCACCTGATTTTTAGTTCTTATAAAGGTGGTTTTCTTATGTGATAGTTGTTAAATTCGTTTCCTTGGGGTGGGAATGATAATGGAGTCTTCTATTCTGCCATCTTGCTTTGCTTTCTCCTAATCTGCTATTTCACTAATTTCTTAGAACAAGCTTCTGTGGTGAACTAAAGGCCTTACAAGATCTGTCTACACCAATAACTTCTTGAGGTAGATGCTTACATAACTAATTTTCAGACTTTCTTCTCTTTAAATATATGCATTTGAAGGTAAATTGGTTTTCTGTTCATGGCCTTAATATCTTTCCACTGTTATGTTTTCATTGTCTTTTAGTTCAAAAGCCTTCCTAATTTCAATTATAACTAAGCCTCCAATATAATTATAACTAATTTGACTCATGGGTTACTTAGAAATGTATTACATAACTTCCAAAAATATATCAAAGAATTTTCAAATTATCTATTCGTTATTGGTTTTCTGGTTAATCTTCTGGTGGTCAGAGATCATAGCCTGATGATTTCAATGTTTTTGAAGATGTTTGAGATATGCTTTATGACCCATGTGCATAAATTTTTAAAATGTTTAATGTGGTTTTGAAAATAAAATATGTTGGCAGTTATTGGGAATAATCTTAGGAATATTAGGCAGGTCCATTTTTTAAATTTTATTTTAAATATTTTCTGCTTTTTTTTTTTGTTCATTCAAGCTATGAGTAACAGAAGCTTGTTAATATCACTCACTCTGCAAATAGGTTTGTCTATTTGTTCCTTTACATATGTCCCTCTTATTTGAGGACTATTTTATCAATACACAAAATTTAATTGTTTTTTAACTTTTCTGATGTATTGACCCTATCATTATTATAAAATATAAATTTTAATCCAATAATACTTTGATATTAGAATAAGTGGGCCTTTTTTATTTTGGTTGCTTTCATATGGAATGCTTTTTTCCATCCATTTACTGTGTACGTTTCTGTATCTTTTCTTTTTAGATCTGGAGTAATTTCCAAGGCTTCCCCCTATTGGAAGTTACTGAACTCCAGTTTTTCTCCTCTCAGCCATGTGAAATTACTCAAATTCTGAGACTCTCAGATATGATTTTTGAAAAGACAAATGCTTCAAGAGAAAACACAGTTTCAAATATTGAACTCACTCCTCTGTGTTTCACTTGGTCTGAGAGTTTGACTCATCAGTTTTTACTGTCTTGGTAGCTCTTCTACTTTTTCCAAATAGATATATTTGGTTTGTCTAGCCCCAGCAGATTTGGCCTGTAATGAACTACACTGCTACTGACATTAATAAAAATTATCCTTTTATTCTACTTTTTATATATCAGGTTGCACGATCATATTACATGGACATTCATATCATTCTGCTCATAATTGGCCCATGGCTTCCCATTACAGAATAGAAGCACCTGTCCCCAGGAGGTGTACAGGACCTTACAAGGCCTGCTGGTGTCAATACCCCTCTGAGCATATCTTTCTGCTTTCTCCTTCCTCAGACTGCTCTAGTCTTTTGTCCCTCTGTCATTCCTAGGACATGCTAGGCATCTCCTAACACATTTTAGGCATACTTTGTACTTGTTCTTCTATGCAAAAAAAAAAAAAAAAACGAAAAAAAAACTTTATTCTCAGTTATTCTGAAAATTGTCTGCCCTACATATGTTTGTGTTAAATCAAATATCAAAAAGGTATTTCTTGACCAGTAATATAGAAAAGCTGTGACCCTACCTTTTCATACCAAACATCACCTAACCTCTACCCTACTTTATTTTTCTCTTTATAACTTATATCCACCTAATATATTTCATGATTTATTTTATTCTTTCTTCCTCTCACAGAATGCAATCTTTCTGAGACCCAGGATTTGATTCTCTGTTTTAGTATCTTATCTATCCACGGAAGCTAGAACAGCACCTCTCACAGAGTAGCACTCCATAAATATATGTTGAATATGTTGTTATACTACTAAAATATTTACTTAATCAAAACTTTGTTTAAGTTCTTTCTTACTTGCGTAATTATGAGGAATACACAAGGAACAACTTAAAAAAAAACAAATTCAGTGCACATGCTAAATATCTAAATATATAGTATATTTAGAGCTTCCTTAATTGAAGAGTATGCAGAATATATGTGATTTTTCTAAATTGTTTTATTATGAATCTGAACCACTATTATCATATTGCAACATTTAAGATATTTAGTAATTTCGTTTAAATTAAGTGTTTTCTCAGTTAATAAAAATGAGACCTCTTTTTTTTTTTTTAAATGGAGATTAAAAAGTAGGAGCAAGGCAAAAATATCTCAATGGTACTATTTCTGAGCCCAGCATTTTTTCAAGATTTTACCTTGTTAACTCATCTTATCCTCCTGCCAATACGCTGAGGGCGATATTATTATAATTATGCTATTACCCCCATTTTATAGGAAGAAAATTAAGACAGGCAGATTAAATAATTTGACCAAATTCATATACCTTGTAAGAAGTTGAGGCTCCCAGATAACTATGTCCAGAGACATAGAAGCAGACATTTACAAGACATATCCTTGTGAACACAAGTGATGTTGTTTTATTTGTTAAATAATAGAAATACAAAAGTTACCTTAGGTAATGAAGTAAAAAACAGACAAAAAAGAAATCTTTTAAGTTAAGTTATACATTTATAAGTCTAGAAAGCAGAAAACTCAGTGGTCAAATGATGTGTAGTCACATGAAAGAAGAATTAGATTTTTCCCCTGTGTGGCACCAATGAATATGATAGAAGTAATAAGGGGAAGTAGCACAGAAATAAAAATAAATCACACTGAACTTTCTAACATACAGAGCTATCCAGAGGAAATAGGCTTCTTTAAGAATCATGAGCCTCCTTTAATCTAAGACTTTCAAATGAGCTGATGGACCACTAAGTATAACGAGGAGAAAATCAAGAGCAACTGGGCTTATAGGCCACATACATTTAGCCACTATCAGCAATAGCTTCCGCAGTCAGGAGATTCTATGATTATGAATACTGGCACATTAGCTAATGTTTCATATTCTTACTGATCCGTTACATTGCACTTGAAATATTGGTTTTCCCAGAGAAATAATATCTGAGTTGGAAGCATTACTGAAGATCATCAAACACTGCATTTTTGCCAAATGTTAAGTACAAGAAATACTGTATTTTTGTGTTATGCTTTGTAGTCAATAATAAAAGCCATAAAAATGATTAAACCATTGGAAAAGTAGAGTCCCTGAAGAAATATGAAAAACAACATATATCTAAGAAAAGAGCAAGCTGAGGAGAAGCATGAGGGAAGCATTAAACATTAAAAGATGAAACAAAAACTCATAAAGAAATACTAAAATAATTTTTTATTTTGTCTATTCACCCCCTTCCCTTAGTGACAGATAATTTAGGTTGTGATTAGATTTATAAAGAAAGATTTAATGTATAAAGAATTGGCAAACATCAGATAAGGGGCAAATGCAAAGTAAATTATTAGGTACCCGAATAGCAGATACTAAGAGAATATTAAGGGTGTACAGAAAAACCAAACTAGCATATACTCTGATTATGAGAAAATTATCTCTAACAGATCCCCAGTAGCTACTAACTCTATGAATAACTCTATCAACTTCCTAGTATCCAGTCTCTGAAGGGAAGAGGCTCAACTTCTCCCATGTGTTTATGGTTAGGGAGCAAGAGGGTTATGGTGGCTCTAAAGTGTATCAAGCTCTTGCAACCAAGATTTGAAAATTCATGAAGTTGTGGAGTTAATCTAGGCACTCCACACCACTCCCTACTATTGACTCTGCTCAGTATCCTCAGATCTGGCCAATAAAACCAGCTCAATTGATCAGGACACATCTGCAATCACAGCCACCATCTTCAATATCACAGCCAGCCACAAGATCTTAAAAAGGAATAGGCAACTGCTACCTGTGGGTACCAAACTGTAGCCAAAAACATGGCTGTATATGGATGGGTAGCTAAGCTGGCTCTTTGGCTAGCTTAGTGTCTAGCTTAATTATACAGGCTCAACTTGGCTATTTCATTAACTCAAAATTCAAAAATCTCTTTTTTTTGTGATTAAAAATTTGAAGACCTCTTGTCATGTTGGAATAGAGTTGTCCTGTACCTAAACTGGAGCCCCTTCTGAAGTAGACGTCACATGCATGATCTTGCATGTCTTAGCGATACTTATTTTTTAAGTATGCAGTTGTTAAATTTGTTATTCAAATAGTAAGAGAGAGAGACATAAGTGAACATGAAAAATTATGTTCATCAACAATAATTACACTTTTGTCTATTTACTACATTAATACTTCCAGTACAGACAGCCAAATGGTTACTTGGTGGATTTTCTTGTGAAGTTCTTAAAAATGCTACATGGCGATTTTGATTGTTTATATAATTTAAGCATTCCAATACAAATGAAAGTATTGTGACTTCACACTGCATCATTGATGTATATGTTTTGATATATGAAGACAACAGTCTCACTATATTCGAAGCACTCCATTGGTAAACAGTACCCTATATTATGAACAGCTTTGACAAATGTAAAAACATCTAGGAGGTTAATAAACAAGGAAAGGACTTAGGATATAATGGCTTATAATGATAAGTGGAGAAACTTAAGGGACTTTAACTTAGAAACATGATAAATACTTTCAAATCACTGAAGTTCCTTTGCACAGAAGAATGAATTTTGTGTTCATTTGAATTAGAAAAGCCATGATAAATAAGCAGATATTCCAGGGAGCAAGATTTTGATTTTTATTAGGAAGAACTAAATACTAGAACTCATTGAAAATGGGAGTTTCCAGAAGCATCCACACTAAATTTTAGTGACAACTTGTTTGATGCAATTATACTACTGTGGGTTGTAGATTGAACCAGTTTTTACTAGTATTGTGTTTAACTCCAAGTTAGTGCTATTTTCTGAAGAATGTTTCATAAGAATGAGACTGGAATTAAAGTAGCTAAATCCACTTAAGTTACAACTAGGGAGTATATAAAGAACATAGAGGAAAAGCACTTTGTTTTCCTTGAAGGCAACAGAAAAATGAAAACAAAACAAAACAAGATTTGATGATAGCTATATTAGAAAACTGCACTACATGAAGTCACAAGACTTGCACTTAATTTTTATAAAATGAAGTAAGATTTGATTCTAAGCATAGTAGAACTGCTGAAGTTTATTACGTGCTTTTGACAATAACAATTTTAGCATTGGTTCAGTTCATACAAGGAGAACATAAAGAACATTTCATGAGGTAAAAAATCAGTTTTTGGGTAGGGGGAAAAATAAGCCCAACTTGTTGCAATACTTTTTGAATTATGGAAATTAAATTTGATCTATGGTGGCCTTGAATTGCCAGGTAAAGATTAGGACATGTTAATATAGATAAAGAGATCTTGTGAAGGTTACTAAATATCATGTTTGGTTATTTATCAGATACTTAGCTAAACTTCCCAAAATGACTATGACAAAATTTTCACATGGTCTCATTTAAATGTCTACTATATATAAATTACAATAATCAAAGAACATAGATGAAAATTTAGTAAGTAGTTAGAATGAAACACTGTATAGGTTTCTCTCCTGCTCTCTATCTCTTCTGCTTGTTTGAATTCACCAGAAACTGAAGAACAGTAGTCATTTGACAAATGTTTGTTAAATGACCATTGAATAAGTGGATTCACTTATCTTTGCAAATGGGCTTTAAATAAATAAAATATAGGCTGATTGGCAAATAATCTCAGATAAAACCCAGCTTAATTATCAATTTTAAGCCAGAAGCCTTTTGGTTTTCAAATAACCTCACTACAAATGTGTATGCCGTAACACTAGTTTTCAATACCACTTTATACTATAAATTGGTGCAAAAGTAATTGCGATTTTAGAACTGCAATATAATATAATCTGTATAACACTAATATAATCAGTGTTCTGTGGCAGTGAATGAGTGTTCTTTGCTGCTGTTATTGTTGCTTTCATTGTGGAATCCTCTTTTAGTGAATTTTTACTGAGATAATGCTGCTCTCAGAATTTCAATGACTTATAACAACTTACATTCATTTTTCATTCCAAGGCCTGTGGATCAGATGCCAAAGCTCTGCTCCAGGCTGCAGGTTTGGTTCTGGTCTACTCCTTATGTTCTCATTTATCCACCCAGGCAGAAAAGTCAACTTCTGCTTGTTGTGTGCTTTTCTTACTGCAGATGAGAGTGGCCAAGAGGCTAAGCCATATCCAGCAAGAGCCCAAACTTGATACATGTCATGCCTTCTGACAATCCACTTGCTCAAAGCAAATCACAAAACCAAGTATGATGTTCACAGGGTGGGGAAGTATATTCCTCAAATGGGGCTTTGGGGCTGATGAACATTGTCTTCTCATTAATCCCATCAAACAAAGTCACATTTTATATGCTTTCTGTGCTATCCCAATAACTCAACATTTCACACATTTTGAAAAATCTTTTCAAATAAAAGTTAAAAAATCGTCTTGGTATTAAGCTATTGTAATAATGGGACTTATTCAAATTGTAGTTTATATTATGTATGATGTTATATTTGGTAAACTGTGAGAATGAAAATTAACCTCATAGAAAAAGTATGTCAATATTATTCCTTAAAATTAAGTCTGTTTCTAGTTATCTTCTGGAGCCAAAACTCATCTGACATGAAAATTGCAACATAAGCCTTTGTTTTTCAAATTCAATTTTTAAAATTTAGATTAAATGGTAGCAAGAAATTTAGATCACTAGTTTTGATCTTTTGCAGTATTTAACTTAATAATTTATAAAGTTAACTAAATATATAACTAAAATGTTGTGAGTAGTGGGTTTGCAAGAGCCTAAGAGTATTAACTGAGAAGTTAACTGCCCTCTGAGTCATATAATGTCTCCCAAAACCATCATGATGAACTCTAGGCCACGTTTATGCAACAAAAATAGTTAATAATTCATTTTAAATTCCATTAATTTTAATCATATTTAAGAAAAGTTTATTTGCTTTTCATATATTGTTTCTCTCTCTCTCTCGCACTCTCTATATACATACAACACAGATATATTTTCTATTTATACTGAATGTTTTCTAAGGAAATGCATGATTTTCTAATGACCTTCTACATTAAGAGAATCACATTTTTACTATACAAATGACTTATAAATGATTTAAGCAGGTTAAACCTTTGTCTAAAAATTACATATCAAACCTGAGTTCCTTATGAATTCCAAAATGAATTGCCATTTTCCCCAAGCTCTTTATATCAGTTAGCAACATGGGCTTATATCTGGTAAACATATTTACACATATGGCATTGATAAGAATATTGATAATTAGAGAGCATGGATGCGAATTATGTCTCCATTCCATAATGGTATTTTTATTTCTTGTTAGAGATATATGGATGTTCTTATCTATAAAATGTCTTGCTAAGACTATGTATTTCTCATAATATTGAATTTGCTATCATTCCATATTTTCTGCTACAAAAATAGAGTAAAACTTTACTAATTATAACTGTATTATATGTAACTTTAAATATGCTCTTTGCTTATAATCAAATGATCAAAATTTTCAATAGTTTTAAAATCAATTATAAATAAATGAATTTGATTTTTCTAAATGTTATGAGAATTCAAGCCAATGCTTTGTCTGAAAACATGGGCATTTTTGGTTGAACATGTTTGTAAGGAAGATGTCTAAAACTTAAATCCCAGAATAACTGAATAATGAAAATGAGAGAGAGAGAAAAAAAATTATATAATTTTATAAAATAATTTAAGTAGAGAGTAAAGAAACACTTCCCAAACAAGCCCAACAAAACTCTGAAGGTTTGCTTTAGGGAGAGGTTTGATGAGTTTTAGAATTTTCTCTAACTTATCTCATGTTTTAATACATGATATTTGAAAGAGAATTTGGGCAGGATTGGTATATCTCAAAATCCAGATATATAAGATGAGGCTGTCAGGAATAGTATTGCCTTTGGTAGAACTGAATGAATCCTTCCTTAACCTCTGATTGATATTTAATTGATGAGAGTGCATTCAGGGTATTAGAGTTATGGTATGTAAATAGAAATAGGGTTGACATAAAAATGCAGAGTCATGGTGAAATTTGACATCAAGGCCATGCCTAGGCAAACAGAAATAATTGCACAATAGCCTTGAATATGCTGCTGTATCTACCTCCTTCATACTGCATTTGACTTTCTGTAATCAAAAGGATTATTTAACAATCAAATAGAGCAATGTCACTGCAAATTCACTGAGTGTGAACGGACATAACTGACAACTGAGTTTTGACTTAAAATGATCAGGTAAGAATCCATAACTCTTGATGACTTGCAAACATTTATCACACTTTTTTTTCTTAATTCAGTATTTCTTGCATGAACTTATTCTAAGTTTTGCTCCAAATTGATTTATGTGGCTCAAGAAGTATATAATGTAGGTATTTGACTATAGGAAAGCTTAGCACTGAAAATTTAAGAATATCTAAGAAATACAATTGACATAATTACTTCAAAGGAATATTTATTAATACGTGGGTTAGTGAAAGAAAAATACAGTTTAAGCACTAAATATATTATTTCAATTTCCATATATACTCATGGATTTTTTCTATCTAACTCATTTATACATTTTAATCTTGGGGTGCTCATGTAAGAGCCCTATCAATAGTACTATGTCTCTGTGAGATAGAGAACACCAATATGCAATTTGCTCAGTGTTACAGACTAAATGTTTGTGCCTCCCCAGAGTGAACATGTGGAAATTGAATCCCCAGTGTGATAGTATTTGGAGGCAGGGCATTGAAGGTAATTAGGTCATGAGGGTGGAGTCCAAGTCAAAGGATTAGTACTCTTATCAGAAGAGACCAGAGAACTAGCTTGCTCTCTTTCTGCCATGTGAGGATGCAAAGGGAAGTCAGCAGTCTGCAATCTGGAAGAGGGCCCTTAATAGAATCTAACTATGCAGATATGCTGATCTTGGACTTCTGTCCTCCAGAACCATAAACAATAAATTTATGTCATTTGTAATTCACTCAATTTATGGTACTTGTTACAGCTACTTAAAAGAACTGACACTTAGAGGTTTTTTGTTTGTTTTTTGTTTTTATTTCTTTTTGCTTCAGAAAACAATCTGCTGGGTGAAGCTCTATTTTTGTTTTACTAATAGCTTTATTTTAAATTTTTGAGTGGGCATTCTGATTTTCCTTGACATTTGACCACACTGAAGTGGTGAAAAATAATCATTTTTCTCTCTGGCTTTTTGATGCATTTTATTTAAAAAAAATGGTAGTAGTAGGTTACCAATACTCCCAATTATTTGCTTCATCTTTCTATTATCAAATTATACTTATCTACTCCATTAATATGAGGTTTGCTCATATAATTTGCTTGGTCAATAGACTGTGAGAGAAAGCATCATGTGACTCTTACTCACATGAGCTTTTAATAGCCATTATGGATTTAATCTATTTTTAAAAAATATTTGCCACAATACACTATTCACAATAGCAAAGACTTGGAACCAACCCAAATGTCCATCAGTGATAGACTGGATAAAGAAAATGTGGCACATATACACCATGGAATACCATGCAGCCATAAAAAAGGATGAGTTCATGTCCTTTGTAGGGACATGGATGAAGCTGGGAACCATCATTCTGAGCAAACTATCGCAAGGAAAGAAAACCAAACACTGCATGTTCTCACTCACAGGTGGGAATTGAACAATGAGAAAACTTGGACACAGGGTGGGGAATATCACACACCGGGGCCTGTCGTGGAGTGGGGGAGTGGGGGAGGGATAGCATTAGGAGAAATACCTAATGTAAATGAAGAGTTAATGGGTGCAGCAAACCAACACGGCACATGTATACATATGTAACAAACCTGCACGTTGTGCACATGTACCCTAGGACTTAAAAATATAATAATAATTTTAAAAATTGGCCACAATAAAAGCATGGCCTAAATCATTTTTTTTCAGTTCAGGAAGAAGAAAACACATAGGGCAAAATTTTAACCAATGTAGAACTGACATGGCAAAAGCAAACTATAAACATTTACTTTTATAAATCACTGAGATTTGGAAATTGTGTGTTATGACAGGATAATTTAGTAAAAGTGATACAGAGGCACAATAGTTTTAGGTCTGTCTAAAATAATGAAAATAATTTTAGATTCATCTTCATCTCAGAAGTGAGTATTCAAGAGTTTTTAGAAAATTATCTTTCGTGCTATTTGATATTTCTATTGTTCTTATTATAGACATGAGACTCATTTGAAAACCACAAATATGTGATGAGTTGACTGAAGTCTACAAGAAAGATCCAGTAGTATGTTTGCTTGGACTATACAGGCATTTGCAGAGTGGTACCACCAACAACTAAATCAATCAAAACAAAATTTCCGCTATTTGCTGTTCAGTTGCCATGTGCCATGTTCCATGCTAAGTGTTTTATGTGCGTTATGCCATTTTTACTTATTATTGTACCCTATGAAGCAGATACTCTTGTTATTTTCATTTACATATGAGGTGATTGAGTATATATTGTTTAAGTAACTGGCATAAAGAGGTAATCTAGAGGTGAAAACACCTGTATCCATACCTAGCTATGTCTACTTCTAAAGACCATGCACAAGAAAAAAAGAAAAACTATAAAATTAATTAAATAGCTTGTTTATTAAGGTGTGTAATAAAGGCAACATCTGTAGCTGGAAGAGGTTTTGTGGATAATATCTTGAAAATATCTTGAAAAAACGCACAAAAAGCTATGACAACCATGTACTCTAAAACTATAATAAACAGATGTGTGGCATTTGCCCAGATCTAGAATAGCAAAGTTGGTGAATTAAAAGAGAAAAGTAAAGACTAAAAACCTCTCTAAGTATTATAAAAGTTGAGTATTTGATAACAGAATTTCTAATCAGCAAGGCAAAAGTATATATTTTTAAATAAACTGATCTTTAATAAACTTGTTACCTTTTGGAGAAAACAAAAATTTGATACCAGCTTAATATAATGCATTAAGCCTTAAGATAAATTAAAGGTAGATAAGCTAGAGATTTAAAAATATTATATATGTAAAGTATTATTTAGTATACAATTATATATATTAGAGAAGACTGTAAGTGAATATTTATTAATATTGGGATTAAGGCAGGACAGTTCCATTTAACAATATTTAACTAAAAAAATCCCTAAAAGAGATATTTCTTACAAAATAAATGTGTCTGCAGAAAATTCATAAAATAAAATACGAAGCGAAAGGTAAAATGTGAGGAGAACAAAACACATATTTAAAAAAGATTATTATGACCCTTATGTATTAAAGTCTTTCATCATAGAAAACAAGTATCTTAGTAGACTAATAGATGATAGACAAAAAACTGAAAGAGTTCACTAATGCAAAGATATAGAAAATAATATATTAAAATAAGTCAACCTCACCAATAAGCCATATGAATTAATTTTAAAATGGCAGCTTTAACCTATCCAATTGATAAATTATTAGATAGTATGGCACATAAATATTGTGAGTTCAGTAAATCGGGCAATTTTGCTGACAGATGTTAGAAATATAAAAAGATACCAGTTAGAGGATCCTAATTGTAGATTATATGGCTGAATCCTTAAGACTTTTTTTGTTGTTTTTTAAACCAAAATTCTACCACTAAGGTTTTATTATGGGTTAATAATAAGAGATGAGATACAAAAATATATCTGAGGAATTCATGTGATTGTATTATTCTAACATTCAATATTCAGACATGATTATGGTAGAAATGCATAATCATTAAGATCACAGTTTTTAGCAATATTTAGATGTTTATATGAATTAAATACACTCTGGTGGAAAACATTACAAGGTATATATTTAGTATGTTCACCAACGTGCAATATGTAATGCATATATACATATATTTTAGTGATGAAAAATAAATGTACATAGTTTCAGAGTACATGTGAAAATTTAATACCTTCATATAATCTGTAAAGGTCAAATCAGTGTACTTCATATATTCATTACTTTATATATTCATCTTTTCTTTATGCCAGAACCATTTGAATTTTTCTTTTCTAGTTTATTTTGAAATACACAATAGATTATTGTAACTGTAGTCACCCTATTGGTCTATCTAACACCAGATCTTATGTCTTCTATTGAACTGTATATTTGTACATATTAATCAACTTCTCTGCATCCTTCAATCCTCTTCCTTCCCTGGTCTCTGATAATCACTAATTTACTCTTAGCTTCATGAGATTCACTTCTTTAGCTCCCACATATGAGTGAGAACATGCAATATTAGTATTTCTGCGCTTGGCTTATTTCACTTAACAACATGATCTCCAGTCCCATCTGTTTTGCTGCAAATGACAGGATTTTATTCTTTTTCATGGCACAATAATATTCTATTGTGTATATATACTACATTTTCTTTACTCAGCTGTTAATGGGCACTTAGGTTGCTTTTATAGTTTGGCTATTGTGAATATTTCTGCTATAAACACAGGTGTGCAAATGTCTTTTCAAAATTTAGATTTTCTTTCTTTTTTTTTTTGGATATATACCCAGTAGTGAGACTGCTGGATCATGAAAATGTTATTCTTAGTTTTTTGAGGACCCAGTGTATGATTCCCCATAGTAGCTATACTATTTTATACATTCCACCAACAGTGTGCAACAATGTACAAAAGGGAAAGGTGTTCTCTTTTTCCCATGTCTTTGCCACCATCTGTTACTGTCTGTCTTCTTAACATAATTCACTTTTACTAGGGTGAGATGACATTGTGGTTTTGATTTGTATTTCTCTTATCATTAGTGATGATAGACATTTTTCATATCCCTGTTGGCCATTTGTATGTCTTATCTTGAGAAATATCTATTCAGATATTTTGCCAATGTTTTATTTTATTTGCTTCTCTGGTTATTCAGTTGTTTGAGTAGTTTGCAAATATTTTCTCAAATTCTGTAAGTTGTCTCTTCAGGTTGTTGTTTGATTTTGCTGTGTAGTAGCTTTTTAATTAGATATGATCTCATTCGCCTATTTTTGCTTGGTTGTCTGTGCTTTTGAGGTCTTACTCAAGAAATCTTTGCCCAGATCAATATCCTGGAGAGTTTCCTGAATATTTTTTCCATTAATTTCATTGTTTCAGATCTTAGATTTAAGTCTTTAATCCATTTTTATTTGATATTTGTTTATGGTGAGAGATAGGAGTCTAGTTTCAGTCTTCTGCATATAGTTATTCAGTTTTCCCAGAACTTTTTATTGAAGAGACTGTCCTTTCTCCATAGTATGTTCTTGGTGCCTTGATTGAAGATGAGTTGGCTGTAAATGTGGGGATTTATATCTGAGTTGTCTCTTCTGTTCCTTTATTCCATGTGTCTGTTTTCATGCCAATACCACACTGATTTGGTTACTATAGCTTTGTAGTAAATATTAGCTGTGTTCTTTTTGCTCAAGATTGCTTTTTCTATTCAGGGTCTTTTGTGGTTCTATATAAATGTTAGATTCTTTTTCTATTTCTGTAAAAAAAAAGGTCATTGTTATTTTGATAGGAATTGCACTAAATTTGTAAAATACTTTGGGTAATAGTTATTTTAACAATATTAATTCTCCCAATTGATGAGTATGGAATATCTTTCCATTTTTTGTGTCGTCTTCATTTCCTTTTGTCAACGTTTTATAATTTTCCTTGTATAGATCTTCTACTTATTTGATCACATTGATTCCTATATTTTTATATTATTCTCTGTAGCTACTCTAAATGGAATTGATTTCTTGATTATTTTTCAGATTGTTTGATGTTGGTATACACAAATGATAATGACTTTTATATGTTGGTTTTACATTCTATAACCTTATTGAATTTATCAGTACTAGCAGTATTTCAGTAGAGTGTTCAGGTTTTAGTAAGCGTAATATTATGTCATCTGTTAACAAAGCTAACTTGACTTCTTCCTTTTCAATTTGGATACTGCTATTATTTTTCTCTTGCCTAACTGCTGTGGCCAGGACTTCCAGTACCATATTTAATAAAAGTGATAAAAGTGAGTATCCTTTTTCTTTTCCAGATCTTAGAAGAAAAACCTTCAATTTTTTCCTGTTCAGTATTATGTTAGCTATTGGTTTGTCTTACGTAACCTTTATTACTTTGATGTATGTTCCTTCTATACACAGTTTGATGAAGGTTTTTATTATAAAGACAAGGTGAATATTATTGAATTCTTTTTTAGCATTTATTAAAATGATTATATATTTTTTGTTCTTGGTTTGGTTAATGTAATTTAACACATTTATTGATTTTTCTATGTTAATCCATCCTTGCATGCCTGAGATGAATCTCACTTGGTCATGGTAAGTGACCTTTTTAATTTTTTGTTGAATTTGGTTTTGTTGAAGATTTTTGCATCTATGTTCATCAATGATTTTGGTCTGTTGTTTACTTTTTTTGTTGTGTTCTCTAGTTTTGATATCAGGGTAATGCTGGCCTCATAGGATGTGTGTGGAAGTAGTCCCTTCTCCATTTTTTCTGAAGAGTTTCAGTAGAACTGGTATTAGTTTTTCGTTAAGTGTTTGGTAGAATTAAGTAGTAAAGCTATCAGGTCCTTGGTTTTTCTTTGATAAGAAATGTTTTATTACAGCACCCATCTTGTTACTTGATATTGGTTTATTGAGATTGCTTTGTCATGGTAGGCTGCATGTGTACAAGAACGTATCTATTTATTCTAGGTTTTCCAATTTATTGGCATATAGTTGTACATAATAGTCTCCAAGGATTCCTTGTATTTCTGTGGTCTTAATTGTTTCATCTCGTTTTTTATTTCTGATGTTATTTATTTGGGGCCTCTTTTTTCCTTTAGTCTACCTAAAGGTTTGCCAATTTTGTTTATCTTTTCGAAAAACAAACTTTTCATCTTGTTGATCTTTGGCACTTTTTTGGCCTCATTTTTATTTGTTTATCCTGTGAATTTTTTTTTTTTTTTTTTTTTTTTTTGGACAGAGTTTTGCTCTTTTTGCCCAGGCTGGAGTGCAATGGCGCAATCTAGGCTCACATCGACCTTCGCCTCCTGGGCTCAAGCGATTCTTCTGTGTCAGCCTCCCGAGTAGCTGAGATTACAGGCATGCACCACCATGCCTGGCTAATTTTGTATTTTTAGTAGAGACGGGTTTCTCCATTTTGGTCAGGCTGGTCTCAAACTCCCAACCTCAAGTGATCCACCCGCCTCAGCCTCCCAAAATGCTGGGATTACAGGCGTGAGCCACCGCACCCAGCCCTCTGAAATTTTATTATTTCTTTTCTCCCACTAATTTGTGGTTTAGTTTGCTTTTGCTTTGCTAATTCCTTGAAGTGTGTTGTTAGGCTATTTATTTGAAACCTTTCCACTTTTTTGATAAAAGCATTTATTGCTATAAATGTCTGTCTTTCTACTGCTTTTGTTGTATCCAATAATTATTAGAATGTTTGACTTTTTTGAATTTGTTCAGACTTGTTTTGTGGCCCCAAATAGGGTTTATTTTGGAGAATGTTCCATGTGCTGATGAAAAGAAGGTGTATTCTACAGCAACTGAATGGAATCTTCTGTAAATGTCGGTTAGAACTATGAGGTTTAATGTGTAGCTTAACTTCAGTGTTTCTTTGCTGAATTCCTGTCTGGATGATCTGTCCATACTAACATCATTTAGATCTGTGTTCCTGAGCAAATATCATGTGATCCCTGATGTTGAAGGTGTGGACTGATGGGAGGTGATTGGATCATGGGGGGCAAAGTTCTCATGAATGGTTTGGCACAATCTCCTGGAGCTTTTCTCATGATTTTGAGTGAGTGAGTTCTCATGAGATCTGGTTGTCTAAATGTGGCATCTCCTGTCTTTCTCCCTTGCTACTGCTCTGGCCATGGCAGATGTGCCTGCTTTCCCTTCACTTTTCATCATGATTGTTAGTTTCCAGAGGCCTCCCCAGAAGCAGAAGCTGCTATGCTTTCTGTGCAGACTACAGAACCACGAGCCAATTAAAGCTTTTTTCTTTATAAATTATCCGGTTTCAGGTATTTTTTTACAGCAATGGGAGAATGGACTATTACAATTACTGAGAGTGAGATGTTAAAGTTTCCAACCACTATTGTGTTGCCATCTCTCTCTCCCTTTATATGTATCAACATTCATTTTGTATATTTGGGATCTGTGGTGTTGGATACATAAATACTTGTAATTGTTATATCTTGTTGCTGAATTCACACCTTTATCATTATACAGTGACTTTTTTTTTTTTTTTACAGTCTTTGGGTTTTATTCTATTTTATCTGTGGCTATAAGTATGGCCACTCCTGCTCACTTTTGGTTTCCAGTTGCATGGAATATCATTTCCAACCTTTCACTTTCAGCCCATGTGTTTCTTTATAGGTGAGGTGGGTTTCTTATAGTTGGTCTTATTTCTTTATTCATTACCCAATCTATGTCTTTTAATTGGAGAATTGAGTTCATTTACATTTAGTGTTATTGATAATTAAGGACTTACTACTGTCATTTTGTCACTTTTATCTTCATTTTTTGTAACTCCTTTCTTCTTTTCTTACTGTCTTCCTTTGTGATTGACTTTTTTCTTTTCTTTTTCTTCTTTTTTTTTTTTTTTTTTTTTTGAGATGGAGTCTCGCTCTGTCGCCCAGGCTGGAGTGCAGTAGCACGATCTCGGCTCACTGCAAGCTCCACCTCCCGGGTTCACGCCATTCTCCTGCCTCAGCCTCCTGAGTAGCTGGGACTAGACTACAGGCGCCCACCACCCACCCGGCTAATTTTTTGTATTGTTAGTAGAGATGGGGTTTCACCGTGTTAGCCAGGATGGTCTCGATCTCCTGACCTCATGATCCACCCGCCTCGGCCTCCCAAAGTGCTGGGATTACAGGGGTGAGCCACTGCGCCTGGCCCGACTTTTTTCTAGTAATGTGTTTTAATTCATTTTTTTTTTATTTTTAGTAAATTTATTACGGGTTTTGCATTGTGTCTACTATGAGAGGCACAAAAACATCTTATAGTATAACAAGTTGTTTTAAAGGTATGACAACTTATTTTAGAATACAAAGAAAAGAACAGAAACAAACAAAAACCAAAAACTTCCAAAATTCAACTCCATTTTCCCCACATTTTGACTATCAGTTGTCTCATCTACATATTTTATATTATCTATCTCTTAATAGGTTGCTATTGCTATTCTTGATTTTGATAGATTTGTCTTTTAAGAGTGCATTATAAAATTAAAATTATAATATTAGTGTATTCCAAATGTATCCATGTACTTAATTTTACCAATGGATTTTATACCTTCCAATATTTTTTGTGTATTTTTTCCTGCACATTTTTCTGCATGTTTGTTGTTTTTTCTTACACATTATTATTTTTTTTCTTTCAGACTGAAGAACTCTCTTTAGCATTTCTTATAAGATGGATCTGCTGGTGGTAAAATTTCTCAAGCTTTTGTTTGTCTGGGAAAGACTTTACCCAGTCTTTGTATTTGAAGGATAGCTTAGCTGAATACAGTATTCTTGAATGGCAGTTTTTTTGTTTTTTTTTTCTTTCAGCGTTTTGAAAATGCCATTCAACTCCTTTCTGTCCTGTATGATTTCTGTTGAGAGTGTGTTGTGGCAGATAAATTGGGGCACCTTTATATGTTATTTCCTCCTTTTCTCTTGCTGCTTTTAGGATTCTCTCTTTGGCCTTTGAGAGTTTGATTATTATATATATGACTTAGGGTATTCTGATTTTGGTCACTTATGTTTTGTCTTCTCAGACCTTCCTCTATCTGGATATTTATATCTTTCTCATGTTTGGGAAAGTTTTCTGTTATTATTACTTTGAATTACCTTACTACCCCTCACTCTTGCTCAACTTTCTCTTAAACACCAATAATTTTTACATTTGTTATTTTGAGTTTTTTTTTATATTATAGGTGATCTTTTTATTTTTTATTATTTTCTTGTTTTTTCTGCTCGAACTATGTTTTCAAATAGCCTGTTTTGAAGGTCACTGATTTTTTTCCTGTTTGATTCTTTCCATTGTTGAGAGCCTCTAATAAATTTTTCAATTCAAAAATTGTATTTCAGTTGTAAGATTTCTGTCTGATTTTTAAAATCATTTAAATCTCTGTTAAATTTATCTGACAAATTTCTAAATTGCTTTTCCATGTTATCCTGGAGATTACTGAGTTTCTTTAAAACTGCCATTTTGAATTATTGATCAGAAAGCTCACATATCACCACCTTATTAGAGTCAGTTACTGGTTCCTTGCTTTGTCCACTTGGGTTTTGAAACCATTCCATAGTGGTTTCCTGTTTGCTGTTATTTATTGTGGATGTATATCTATGTCTTTGCATTAAAGAGTTATTTATTTCAGTCTTCTCAGTCTGACTCCTTTCGGTTTTTATTGAATATATTTGCTTACAGGTTTTTTACCATTTGTTCACTGCCTTCTTTTCAGCTCTAGGTGATGCCTTATGCCCAAGTTCTTCTTTTCCCCAGTAAATAATTGGAGCACTACCATTCCTGAACAGAGGAGGCTCCAAAGGGGTTACCCCGTCAATGTGGGAAGGCTAGCAAGGGGTTCATGCCATAGGAACCTGTGTGATGCACCTCTGACAGCATGGTGCTGCTGAACGACCACACTGATTTGGCACTTTCTTTGGCTGAGTGAGAGTACAGTTTCCAGGTCTGGTGATAATAGTCCCACCTTTTCCCTTTGTCTCTCCCTGTCCTCAGGAATATTTGTTACTTCAAACACTTGTGATGCTTCCAGTGGGTTTAAGCAGGGATAGGTCCCCTGTCAAGGAAACTAAGATGGTGAAGAAGCTAGTTGTCCACCTTGCTCTCAGTTTTTCCATATAGAAACAGCGAGCTGGGGGAAAATTTTTCACATTTTTGTGCTATTCAGAATGGGAGGATGGATACTGCACATGGGAATGTTTGACTCTCTTACTTTCTGCTTGGAGATTTTTCTCTTCTCTGTGGCTCCATAAACTGTCTCATCTTCATATTTCAGTTATGGGATATTTCTGGTGATAATCTTAGTGCTATATATTTGTTTTGTTTTGTTTCCTTTGGTGGTTGAAGAGAAGCGAAGCCAGGTTGCTTATGGAATCTGAAGTCCAATACATATATATTTACATATATTCATTCACATATATATGTAAAAAAAGCAGAAAAGAAACTGCTGTGCAAATACTGATAGTGCTGCTGTGGAATTATGTGATTTTTACTTCCTTTGGTTCTTTTGTAAATATTTTACAACGAGTATTACCTCTTAAGCAAAGAAATAGGATTGTTGTGCATTGAATTTTGTCTCTCAAAAATTATATATTTTAGTCCTAACCCTTAGGACTAGGACCCTTGACCTTATTTGGAAATAAGTTCATTGCAAATTAAAAAAGTTAACATGAGATCATTAGAGTGGGCCCTAATCCAATATGATTGGTATCCCTATAAAAGGGAAAAACTAGACATAGAGATGCACACTGAGACAAGATAATAAGAAGACACAGAACGTCATGTGAAGGCACAGGATTGCAGTGGTATATTTCCAAGCCTAAATGCATTTATACCACTAAAGATTGTTGGCAAACCACCACAAACTAGGTAGGGGCAAGGAAGGATTCCTTTACAGGTTTTGGAGGAAGCATGGCCCTGCCAGCACTCTGACTTTGAACTTCTGGCCTCCAGAACTGGAAGAAAATAAATTTCTGTTGTTTTAAGCCACTCAGTTTGTGGAAATTTGTTAAAGCAGTCCTGGGAAATTAACAGTGATGAATACCTTTGATAAATGACTTAATATTGAGCCAAAATAATGTAAATCTTTTGATCTAAAAGATGCAAATGATTATTTTTCTAGAGTCAAAATGTCCCTAGAAGTTTGAATTCTGTGAAAGAATAATTGATTATTAAATTGACATGTTTTTATCTTCCAGGATAGTTACTGTAGTTTTTCGTAGCCTTTCCATTTATTATACACATTTCCAGAGGAAAAAAAGTCATGTAATAATATTTGTGTTGTGGAAATTGTTATTTTTGGTACTGTTTTTGTTCTTATTTCTTTATTGTGTACATCAGTGTCTACCATCCCAGTTTAAATTGGGCATAGTAATTGCTTTTTGGAAATACTTGTTGCTATGATTCTATATATCTCATGTGTAAGAGACAAAAGCAGTTATTTTGTATTTAAGCATTGTCTCTCTCTTGGCCTCTCTCTCTTTCTCTTTAGTAACTAATACTTAAAAAGCAGTTAGAGTCATAGAGACTGCCGTTTCCCCTTTTCATGCCTTCTTTTTGAATTTCAAAGTACTAACCAGACTTTTTTTGATAAGTGTATATTTATTCATTTCCTATACAAATATTTTAGTTGTAATTTCACTTCTCTTGGGTCCTGCCTTGTATTGGTTTATCCTTTTAAGAAACCCAATCCAAATTGGCAAAGACCTCAAGTTTACTTTATAACTGATGAAAGAGAATCAGGAGTTTTGAAGGGACTTTACCAAATTTTCCCAGTCCATATTTTCATAATCTAGTTTCATCTACACAGTTCTAAAGAAGATATTTTATACAGAAAGACTTTTCAGTGAAAAGTAATAAATGAAATGAAATGTGTAATGTTGAAATGGCTAGTTTTCTATGAAGACATCTGAGTAGGCCCGGATTTATTTTCTTATACCTAGAAGTTTTTTCATGCTTTATTCAACTTTCAGGGTTTGAATAAATATCAGATTATTTGGATAAGTATGTATATTTATATAAACTGATCCACAGAGAGGTTAATTAAGAGATTTAGCCAGAACTATCTAGGGGCATCTCACATGTTGGATATGAAGCCAATGCATAAGAAGAAAGATTTCTACCATATAACTTTTATTTTATCAGAAAGTACATTAACTATTATTCGATTTTAATTTAGATATTTGACCTTTTCTGATATGACTATGTTTTCATCAGCTCTGATGGAATTCTTATATTCATTAATGTATTCGAATATCTTTTTTTCTAACCGAATGTAATATTTCACTTTCTTCAAGTTCTATTTAAAAGAAATATCGGGGAAATTTTAAAAATCTATAAAATTCTCAAACAAATAACTTTAGGAAATTCCATTAGACTGAAATTTCTGAATAGAGAAAGAAGAAAAAAACAGTGCAAAAGATTAAACTCTTATTCTTTCTGTCTTTGCTTTTCTGTTTGCATTCATTAGCTTTCTGCTATTTTTCTTTTTATGTAATATGGAACATTCATTTTAACTTACTGATGTACATAGATGTAAATGCAAGAAATCTTATTTTTTCCTTTTTTGTTCTTGCATTTTGCTTCATAGATAATATGATAAATACTTCATAATTCTTCCCAACTAAGTATACTCCTGATTACTGCATTTTCTTCTCTCCCATCCTCCATTAAATTGCCTTTAGACATAAAGTTCAATTAAAAGAATCTTAGATTTGGGGTTAAGAAATCTGAGTTGAATTACTTCTGTACGACTTTGAACAAGCAAATTACCTCTAAATCTGTGTTTCTTCACATATACAAAAACATTAGAGTGTTTATTATATCCTCCTCCACTGTTCGGAACAAATAAAAGGACTTTGAACATGTAGGGTTGTTCATATAAACTGTATTCAGAAAACAATCTTCCAATTACTAGACATTATTGAGATAAAATTAATAATCACTCTCACTGTTTAGCTAAATATAAAATATATCCAAGGTTATCCCAGGAGTATATTAAAAGCAACATTATCTAAAACATTTGTCTGGCTTTTGCTTGGATGTTAGCTGAATGCAGTAAGCCATTTATGTTAACCTAAGGATAAGTGGTTTTAAATGAGAATGAAGTCAATGAGACAACAGGGAATTAAAAAGAAAATCATATCATGATGACATTTAAAATATTAAGTAATTGATGGGAGTTAGGGTGATATGTAAATCTACTAGTCAATTTACAGGTAGGTCATGTGTAAAAGCACTAGAGAGAAAAATCTCCCCAAGATGACAGGAAACAAAGAAAAGAGAACTACTCTTTATAATCTAATCTCCACTGGTATCATTCCATTTTATATAATAAATGGAAGATTCCTTTCTTAAAGAGTAGCTTTGAATGGATATATGAAAACTCCATCTTTAAGAAAAAGAAGCAGAAAAAAATGTAGATTTCATTTATTATATAAAGTGGAATGGTACTAGTGGAGATTAGAAGATTATAATCACTTGCTTAACAGTATACTTACATCACTTGTTTAATAGTGTACTTTAACATTACATAATCTTGTTTTAAATATAGTAATTTATTGGCATACGTGGAAAATTTAATACAGAAGCACAGAATTAACCCTGATAACTGGAACCAATGTATCTTGACAGGCATTCTCTTTGGTTTTACTATCTCCTCTTTATTCTTCAATTCTCATCATTTCCTGAAAATCCACTCTGAAGTTGAGCACTACTGTTTTATTCCTATTTGTCTTTCTTTCACTAATTATTGATTTCAATTGCATATTAATTGTTATATTTACCTGTTTAATATTCAGCCTTCCAAATACATTGTAAGTACCATGAGTAGAGAGGCCATGTTTGATTTCTTTATTATTTTAAACTCAATGTGTAGGACAGTATTTAAAAAAAAAATAGTTACCAAGTAAATATATGTAAGTTAAAAAATGAATGGCCCTACAATTATTAATAGTTTAGTCACTACTCAATCCTTTATTTATTCATTAAATAAATATTTATTGAGCACTTTGTAGGCACTCAGAATATATAGGTAAATAATACATAAAAGAGGCCTTGCCCTGTTGAACTTACGTGGTATTAGAGGATATGGACTATAATAATAAAGAGTAAATAAATAATTTAATAATAGGTTAGAAAAGTGCTAAGTGATTATGAGGAAAAAATAACAAAGTAAACTACTATAAGGGAATTAGAAATTTAAGAACAACGTCCAGGGCATCTCTTATATAGTATTGAGAGATTGAAATGCTAGGTGGTGTCTTTGCTTTGCCATTCAATGGCTTTATGGCCTCCTTTTCTTTTTTCTTTTTTTTTTGGCCTCATTTTTTAAGGTACCTCTGCAAAATTAGATATTTGACAGAAATTTACTCCAGGATGCTTATAATATTCTATGATTCTGTCTAAGCTAAATAACTCTTGCAGAGTGCATGAATCGGTGATATTAATTCTTGTTACAATTTAAGAAAACAAATGGGGGCATCAGATTCAAACAAAAAACATCTGGCTTTGATGATTGATGAACAAACCACATTTGTTATTATTTGAGATTTAATACTAATTTCATTCATTACCTAGAATCCCTGCATATGAAAAGCTGTCAACTATGTTATAAAATTTTCTGCCATTTTTGAAAATAATACAATGGTAAGCACAAGCAAAATCACTTCACAGTAGAACATGAATAAAGTATAATTTTACAATGTTATATGATATTACGCTGTGTTACATTTATGATGTTGTATTATGTCAGGTTTGTTTGGTTTTCTGAAATATAAAATGTGATGGAAAAAATGTTAGATATTCATATTCTGGTTTTATTGTGCTAGATGTACCGCCTGTCTATAAGTTCCAGGTGGTTCTTCAAACTAACTTAACTACTTAAAAATTTCAAATATGACAAATAGCTCTTTGAAGTTGACTTTTGTGTGTGCTTCAGAGAAACACAAGATGGAACATAAATAAAAACAACTCACAGAAACAAGGTTTAAGATCTGACATTTCTAAGCAGCAGGTTTCTCTTGTCCTCAGGGAGATAAACAAAACTATTGAAAACCCCATTAGGTATATTTATAGGCCAGGTTTAATGTCCAAGATGTAAACTAAGATGCCAGACTGCCAGCCACCAACTTTGGGACAGAAGAAAACAGCTTCTTAGAAGGAATGTTTTCATCCTTTTCTTATCTATATTCCAAAGACATGACACCTTAATCTTTTATACGGTGCAGGGGGAGCCTTCTTTTAGATTACTTTCCATGAACAATTTTATTTTTTGGTGAAATGTTGTCTGGGGGAAATTCACTAACCTGTTTTCTGATATACTGTACTTACTTATTCTTAAGTATGGAAAGAGGGGGCTGGAGAAGCAGAATTCAGAATTTTTCATGGCTCCTCAATGGAAAATAAACATGAATAAATAACTGATCCCAAAGAAAACATACCAATGAACTGCCCCAGCAAGAACAATTATTGATACTGTGCTAGTCTGTTTTCAGGCTGCTGATAGAACATACCTGAGGCTGGGTAATTTATAAAGAAAAATAAGTTTAATGGACTCAGCAGTTTCACATGCCTGGGGAGGTCTCACAATCATGGTGGAAGGCGAAAGGTACAGACGGCCTACATGACAGCAGTTGAGAGGAAATGAGAGCCAAGCGAAAGGGGTTTCCCCTAATAAAATCATCAGATCTCATGAGATTTATTCACTACCAGGAGAACAGTATAGGGGAAACCACCCCCATGATTTAAGTACCTTCCACCAGGTCCCACCCACATCAAGTGGGAATTATGGGAGATACAATTCAAGATGAGATTTAGCTGGGGACATAGCCAAACCATATCAGATGCTGTGAGGTATGTGAGAGCCAAAGGATATCTTATATGTCAACGAATCAGTGTAGTTTTATAGGGCATCTGAAATAGACTTTTTCATATAGTTCCACAGGGCCAAATTGGTATACATTATGGACTGATGCTTGTGTTCTCTCAAATTTCATGTTGACCTCTAACCTTCAGGGCAGCTGCATTTAGAGTAAACAATAAGGTTAAATAAGGTCAAAAGTATAGGCCCCTGATTTAATAGAGTAAGTGTCTACATAAGAAGCGACACCAAAGAGCACTCTCTCTCACTATCCCTGCACACAAAGGAGAGGTCATGAGAGCACATATGGAGATGCTGGCCACCTACAAGCTGAGAGAAGAGGCCTCAGAATGAAGCCTACCTTGCCAGCACCTTGATGTGGGACTTTTAGCCTTTGGAACTGTGAGAAAATATATTTATGTTACTTTAAGTCACCTAGGCTATTTTATGTTGTATTTCGTTTTTCTTTTTTCTTTTTTTTTGAGACAGGATCTTGCTCTGTTGCCCAAGCTGGAGTGCAATGCACAATGTCAGCTCACTGCAGCCTCGACCTTTCTGGGCTCAAATTGTCCTTCCACCTCAGCCTCCAGAGTAGTGAGGACTTTAGGCATGGGCCACCATGCCATGATAATTTTTGTATTTTTTGTAGAGATGAATTTCACCATGTTGCCCAGGCTGGTCTTGAACAACATTGAGCTCAAGCAATCCACCCACCTTGGCCTCCCAAAGTGCTGGGATTATAGGTGTGAGTCACCACACCTAACCTGATACATTTTTTTATGGCAGCCCAAGGAGGCTTATCTGGTATGTATAATATAGAAATAATAATTTTATTTATATATAAGTAAAACTTTCTAGCCTTGTGCTCAGGTGAAATTGACAAACTTGAATAGCATACTGAGTCTACTTTCATTAAGAGATTAAAAAAGGCCAAATAATCCAGAGTGTGTTTATGGCTTGAAGAGGAAATGGATTAAATAGAGCATAGAGTTCTATTTCAAACTTGGATGAAATTTCCTGATTATGTGGACTGAATTGGAAATGCCGACCAAGGAATATGTTTATAAGGAAATGTTATTCATTGTAATTGTGTACTTTTAACATGTGAGAAAAGACAAATCTAGAAATGAAGACAAAGAAAAAGCAGTGAGTTCCAATGTTGTGAAGGAAATATTACTGGAAAGGGTTAAGAAGTGACACTAGAATCTGAAAAGAAACTACATTTGCTGGTAGAGGCAGGAAAATTGTTTTAATGACTTTGCCAATTAACAATTGACTGTGATAATTGCTGAGGATTAAAAAAAAGTTTACTATTACTTTTATTTTGCTGTCTCATATAAATCTACATTTTTTCTGCCTTTTTTTTAAGGATGGAGATTTCATGTATCCATTCAAAGCTACTCTTTAAGAAAAAGATCAAATCCTATAGGGCAAATTACAAGACATTTGTCCTAAATTAGAAGTGGTTCTAATCTTTTCTAATGTTCATTGAAACAAAAGAAATTAATCTTAAAATATTTGATCATCTTTAAAGACGGACTCTATAAGTAATAGTCTTGGACTTGTCCAAATACTGCTATGATTTTTAAGTATCTAGATTTATCAGAAATTTAACAATTATTTTCTCTTTCATACAAACTTCTTTTTCTTCTGGACTTATTTTTTGGAATCATTATCTTTATGCTGAACTGGTATCTGTCTCAGGATCACTCTAAATATAGCCTAGAGAATTCTACTACCTTATGGATTAAAACAATCCAAGTAAGAATCTTGAAAAGCAAGCAAAATTCACATTCAAGCAAATTTACATATTTGTTAGCCTTTGTATAAGCAGATTCCTTTAAGTATCAACTTTTATGCACAATTTGCCAGTTACTTAAAATCCTTTGCAACTGTTATATGAGAACTTAAAAATAAAATATTTGACCTTTTGTTTAGAAAGCTGTGAATAAGAACATAGCACACCAAGACTTCTCAGCTGAGATATTTAACACACCAAGTTTGGTTCAAATGAACATTTGGTACAGATTTTTACATTCTCTCTTTACACTGGCAAAGGTGGAAGTCAGAAAACTGGTTTATACAGATTCTACATGTCAAGCCCCCAGCAACTGAACGTCAAGTCTGGTGCCGAAGACTGCCAAGTGTTCTTTTTCACTTCAGAGAACAAAATATTTCTTATTACCACATTTGTCTATTAAGAAAGCTCATTGAGGCTGGTCCACATCTATAATCCTAGCACTTTGGGAGGTTGAGGTGGGAGAATCACTTGAGGCCAGGAGTTCAAGACCATCCCTGGCAATGTAGTAAGACCCCGTTTCTACATTTAAAAAAAAATTAAAATTTACAAATCAGCTGGGCATGGTGGCTCGAGCATAGACATGGTCTTAGCTACTTGGGAGGCTGAGTGAAGTGGGAGAACTGCTGGAGCCCAGTAGTTCAAGGACTGTAGTGAGCTAAGAATGCTATGAATGCATCGCCGCACTCCAGCTTGGGCAATAGAACAAGATCACATCTCAAAAAATAAAGAAAGAAAGCTCACTGAACTTCTGAAAGTTTGGGTTTTCTCTCTTTGATATTCTTATGATCTAATTCACTGGGATTACTTCAATCACCATTTGCTATTCTGGCTTAGAATTTTACATTCCTCTAATCTGGTTCCCACAATGCTGCCATGGAAGTTTTTCAAAAACACAAGTTTATTTTATCGCCAGTTTCAGACAATTCAATATCACCCATGGGAGAAAGCCTACACTCTTTAGCCAATCCTATGAATGTGTACATGATTATGTGTTTGTGTGTGTGCACGCAGATGTTTGCCTTTGTGGGTGTTTCTGTGTGTGCAGTCAGGTTCATATATATCTTCCACTTCCTTTGCAAACTACTTTGTACTCATGCAAAACTACCTGTAGTTTTCAGAAAGTGCCACACTGATTTATCCTTTTTTTTTTTTGCCTGGGACAGCATAACTCCCACTTTTGAAATGCCTGTCCCTTCTTCGCCACCAATATCCTAGAAAACAGGCTAGATTATTTTATTCACTTCTCAAAATTTCTGGCAAGGTCTCTTATTTATTTAAAGAGCATTGGGAGATATACCTAATGATAGATGACACGTTAGTGGGTGCAGCGCACCAGCATGGCACATGTATACATATGTAACTAACCTGCACAATGTGCACATGTACCCTAAAACTTAAAGTATAATAAAAAAATAAAAAAAATAAATAAATAAAGAGTATTAAAGCTTGGTGTGATGACTCATACCTGTAATCCCAGCACTTTGGGAGGCAGAGGCAGTCAGGTCACCAGAGGTCAGGAGTTTGAGACCATCCTGGCTAACATGGTGAAACCTTGTTTCTACTAAAAATACAAAAAATTATCTGGGCGTGGTGGTGCTCACCTGTAATCCCAACTACTAGGGAGGCTGAGGCAGGAGAATCCCTTGAACCTGGGAGACGGAGGTTGCAGTGAGCTGAGATCGTGCCATTACAGTTCAGCTTAAGCAACAAGAGCTAAACTTTGTCTCAAAAAAAAAAAGTGTTAAACACCTTTGTTTGACGAGACAAAATTATTCAAACAATCCCTTGTGACTTTGTTGAAGTTTGTAAAGATTTCTAGCACTTTATTGCACTTACTTATTTTTGCCTAGCTCTCTCTTCAAAACTAATGACTCCCAACAGTTGGAGGTATGTAAAAATACTTATGTTAATGAGAGGTGATAGAGTTGGGGGGCAGACATGAAACTGAGGAGTTTAATTTTCTTTACAAGTTGATGTGTGCCCTAGAGAGAGATCAACTTGAGCCAAGGGCAGAGTCTTTTTATAACCACTTCTCAGCAAGATACCTGGTAGACATAATGCGTACAATAAATACTTGTTACACAAATGCATAGATGGTTTTTCAAAAGGTTACAAAGAGATCTTCAGTGTGTGCAAACATTTTATTTTTTCTTCTTTTGTTAAAATTTTATGTTTTGAAAAGGAAGATATTCTGTATTAATTTGGATGAATATTTCAGAGCAAGTATAACTATAGAAATATACTTCTAGCTCTATCTGAATATACATGTTTGTTTATATGATATATATTTGTGAATCCAGTAAAGTCTGCATTCTGAAAAGATGGAGACATGCCATCCTTTCTGCCATACATAATAAACATCTTTACCTCTCCCAACTTTTATGAGAATTCTAAGTGGGTGCTCAATAAATGTTGATTAAACAGGTGCATTTTTGATATGTAGTCGGATGGGAAATAATTGCTGTTTTAAAAGCTGCCTCTGGTTTTCTTAGGTGCTATAGTGTGAAGCAGTTGTGCTCCGGTGCGCCAGTGACCAGCTTGTCTGAGTGCAGTGAAACAAAACACCCATACACACGATTACCTGAAACATGTTCATTACTTCCAGACAGGCAGCAAGGGACAAGAGAGCCTAGGATGTGTTGCTATCCAGTCCTCCAAGGCTCGGGAAAGCTGCTTGGGGTGGATGGAGATTCATCTGCACATGTCCCATTTGTACAGCTGCTGAGGGACCCTGGAAAGTAGCCCACTTTGGGTTTTATACCTTGGGGTCACATGATGCACTGAGCTGAAGTGTTAAAGTACATCCTGTTTCTAAAAGGGACTAGATTAGAGCCCAAAGTGTTTGGCCAGTCTCTCCCATATTTGAGAATGTTGCATTCCCAGCACATTCTACAGTTATTCTTAAGAGCAAGCAAGGAAGAGAACTGGTAAAAGGCCACGCAGAGAACTATTCTGCATCTAGGAATAGAGATAAAATTCATCTTTGGAAAAGACCTCTTCATTATTAAGTAATCAAAACCAAAGAAGTATACACACATACACACACTCAAATGTGTCTTTTAGCTATGCAAATATAAAACCCAGAGTCTAGGTTTTATAGTCTAGAGAGAAAAGATTGATAAGAGAAGTGCTAAATTGCTCTGCACATAAATGTAAAATGATTGCTTGTCTGTCTCACTATCCAAAATGAGCTCATCTTTTATCTGAGTTTTGCCATCTTTATCTGAGATAATATAATTGTGCTTATCTGAGCACAATTGTTGGCACTTTTCACCTACTCAGTAAATCCCAGGTGATGAACTAAATGCATTGATCTGAACTGTTACAGTGCTCAACAAACAGCAACAGCAATCATTTGCACATCTAAAAGTTTATGTTTGCATTACCATATGATTACAAAATGTACAAAACATTACGATATATAAAACAAGAATTTAAACAATCATAGAAAGTATTTACTTCAAACCAAATTGCTATATTTATATCTTAATTGACATTTCTTAGAGAACCACCTGCCTCGCAGTAACTTCCTGTCATTTAAGAAAGTATTTGTCAAACACATTTCTAAATAGTTATTAAAGATCATTCATGCCGTTAATTAATAAGGGGGTAAATCACCATTACTCTTATTTTACCAATAATGACATTTAGACTCACAGTTTAAGAAACTATTGCAAGGCCGGACATGGTGGCTCGCACCTGTAATCCCAGCATTTTAGGAGGCTGAGGTGGGAGGCTCACTTGAGGTCAGGAGTTTGAGACCAGCCTAGCCAACATGGTGAAACTCCATCTCTACTAAAAATACAACAATTTAGCCAGGCTGAGAATTGTGCCATATGCCTGTAGTCCCAGCTATTCGGGAGGCTGAGGCAGGAGAATCACTTGAACCCCAGAGGCGGAGGCGGCAGTGAGCTGGGATTTCACCGCTGCACTCCAGCCTGGGTGACAGAGGAAGACTCTGTCCACAACCCCCCGCCAAAAAATAGGTATTGCAAGATGGCACCCCTAGGAAATTTGCCTGATTTCACATGATACTGCCTTTGTTATAGGATAGTAATATCTTTCAGTGCTTCATTGAAAATAAAAACACAAATTTAGGGTTAGAGAATGAAGATGTTCTCTCCTGCAATGCCTGTTCTAATTTAGATGCAAAGAGTCGTAAAACAGTGGCTAGGATTTTTAATCCATTTGCATACATTTAATGTTTTTGTCTATGACTGAATATTTGTATTGAACTTCAAATAAGAAAAAAAGCCATAATTACACTTTATGTGTATTTTATATTTCTAGAGTGTAATTGTTTCTACATAATAAACTATGAAAGAGATGTTTCAGAAATTTTGATCAATATTCTCTTTCTGATTAGTGATGTCTCAACAGATGTTTTCAAAATGATAAACTGGCTTCATCAACCTTATTAACATTGGTATTTGAGAAATTACTTGCCGGTAACATACCGAAGGCTAGAGCACAGTTAATTGCTATGTTATACAAAATTGCTAAGTACTACAAAAATCCTCTCAGCTTAAGAAAAATAGTGACCAGTACACTCAGAACTCTGTACAGGCATTTTTAAAAGCAAAATTTGATATTTAATATAAAGAATGTGATTTTTTTTCTCAAATACATTCTTAAGTTCTTTCATTGTCATATGGAAGTTTCTCAGTTATTTTGATAAAGACATATGACATGTTTTGTCTTATCTATTCATATACTTAAATTCTAAGAGTTACAAATTAACCTAGAAACTTAGCTTGGCTGGTTGAAAGTAGAATCCTGCAGTATGTCAATGAATTACAACATTAATTTTCATAAGAGCTTAATCACTTATTAAGCATATTAATGTTAAGGGTTTTACATCTCTTTTAATCAATACCACCTTGTTAAGCAAGCAAATGTTGTCTTCTAGAAAATGTGCTATCTTTGATTGGACAGTGTGCCTACTCAATTATATTATATATGACTGTGTCATCTCTATGTATTACTGCATCCCACTGACTCATTCTTTGATTCATTCATAGGAAAATATTTTTGAGTGCCTACTATGAACCAGGTACCATTCTGGGTTTGGGAGGTAGAGTAGGGAGGAAAACAAAGTCTCCACCCTGGAGCTTATATGCCTTCTTTGATAATAATTTGATTAGAAACAAATGATATTTTACCACTGGCCTTGATTATTTATTTTTATCCTACAGCTGTTTTTCATAGAATTAAACAAATCTCAGCAGACATCCTTGTTATTTCAATTATGTTAAATTACACTTTGTCTTAGGACAGAAACCAAAGCAAATGAGCTACAAAAGGGCCTATTTGCCTTTCAATCCATGTAGAAATGTTGTAGGATATACATTTCATGTATCTGTAGCTTCAGTATCTAAATATTTTGGACCAGGTCTGCTCTGGTAGTAAGTATTGAGTCAATAGTTTTCCAAGCAGGATGCTACAACAGAAGGCTTTTTCATGGTCTGCTCTTAAGCAATCAAATATAAAAGCAAATAGATAAGCTAGAAACTTCTGCTGCACACTGAATGAAGCTCAACTGATTTAAACACCTACATGTGTGTCATTTTTTTGTTTGTGTGTTTGCTTGCTTCAATTATCTAACTAAAAGAGAAGATTTGCCCTGAATAATCATGATGATAGAATTGGTTGTATCTTTAGTTCATGTAATCTAGATCAATGGTTCTTAACCAGAGATGTTTTGGTCCCTGGAGACACTAAGCAATATCTGGTGACATTTTTGGTTGTCACAGCTAGGGGGGTGCTCCTGGAATCCAGTGTGTAGGGGTCACAAATGTTGCCAAATACTCTAAAATTTATAGAACAACCTCTCACAATGAAAAATTATCTGGCCCAAAATGTCAATAGCACTGAGGTTGAGAGAGACACAGTGTAAAAACCTAGATAGAGTTTGAAGTGAAACTTGAAATTTTCATTACTGATGAAAGGTCATTCGTTTTTTGGAGGGCATTGCCAGATTGAGACAACAAAAATATAGGATATAAAATTAAATTTGATTTTATATAAAGAGCTTTTCTTTTCCTTTCTTTTCTTCCTCATTTTTAGTATGAATGTTTTACATGAACAATTGGGACATACTCATACTAAAAATGTATTTATATTTTTTCTGAGATTCAAATTTAACTGAGTATCTTGCATTTTATATTGAATTTCTCTTTGTGGGGCATTTAATAACTACAAACCTTGTCCTATTTGTTTATCAATGTAGCACTGAACATTTTCCCACGTCTCTTTTATCAGAACACATTTTTAATTTATATTCTTTTCACTCCCATAGTGCTTTGTCTGCATATTTGTTATAATATTTATGCAAATATGCTTTATATTATTAGCAATTTATTATAGCTTGCCACCACTATTAACTTACAAGTCCATGTGATATGGAAGAACAGGAGATAGCAGTGGGAAAACATGTACTATTTACTTTTAAATTTATCATCATACCATAAACATCTGAACTGAACATCCTAGGCTATCAATATCAATATTTTTGATTTAAACAAAATATCTGAAAGTCAGTTTAATAATTTTTTTGAAAAAATACACTCATTTTACATATATTTTAAATCCATTTTAAACTCATTTTAAAACTATGACAAATTCTATCATAGCAATGACTTCAAGAAATACTGTATATGGTAGACGGCAAAAGAGCAAAGTTTAATCCATGTCACTTCATTTGTGACCTTGGCAAAGTTACTTTGGGAGCGCAAAACACTGATATAACATTCAGCATACATATAAAAAAGTATATTTAAGCATATATAATATATATAATGTATAAGCATATGTATAATATATAAAAGCATATATAGGTACACAAATATATTTGTACACAATGATACAGACCTTGTCCTATTTGCTTATCAGTGTAGCACTAAACAAACCTAGTCACATGTATCTGCCTCACAAAATCTCAATATGGCCTGAGGAATAGTTTTGAATCAAAAACAATTAGTGAAAGGAAGTTGGCTGATTGGAATTAGAAAAATAACCAGGAAATTAAAAATCTAAAAAATTTTTCAGGGCAATGTAACATCTAAAATATTCAGATAATTTTTATTGGAATCAAGTCATAGTTCCAGCAATTATGAATTCCATTTTAAGTGAGTTTATGAAAGGTTCTGATATGCATATTTTACCAATTTTACATGATTATGATGAGTAATATGACAGTGGAATAATACCTCTCTGAATATTTTTTATACAGAAATAAGATAGATGATGAGTATTTGTTGAAACATCAACACCACATTAGAGTCCTAGAGGAGCTGATTCCAGCATTTGTTCTAAGAAAAAAATTAATCTGCACTGTGGGAGGAATGGGCTTTACTGCCTGTTGTGATAAGACAACCTTTCCTCCCTTCAGGACCAAAACAGGATTCCTCAGGCATCTAGGAGTGTTGTGTCCAGATGATGGTCCTACACTAAGCCCTTCTTAGGATATTGCCCTGAGGGGACCCACTTGGCCCATGTTAGTGCTCACTCCCCAGCAGCCCATCTGCATCCAATGAATGCTGGTTACATGGTGTGTATCCCAGCCCCCTTGCCTTAGTAGGGCAACTAAGAAGGGCCATTTCAGCTTAGAGCCCCTGAACAGTCAGCAAAGTTGTCCTTTGCATCTGCATCAATTTTCAACACCTCCCTCTATTCATTCTTACTTCTTTTACTTCCACATAGTATTGACCCCAAGGAACTTAGCCTTCTGCTTGCCAATATCCATCTCAGAATTTGCTTCCTTGTCAACCAAATTAGGGGTTGTTCGTTTGTTGCCAAGTGCCCCAAATGGTGAAATATAGAAATTTGTATAGGCTTTGACATTTGCATTTCAGAGAATGGGACATTTTTCTTTTTCTGTGTGAGGCTAGAAAATAGATCTGGACAGAGTTTTGTCCTTTCTAAGTAGAAAACAATATAGTATTTTAAACTTCATTTCATCTTTCATTGAATCAAAGCATTGTTCTGTGCATTAACTACATGCTTACAGTTCATGACTACATTGTACTACATTGTTCAATCTATGTTGTACATGACTAGGTACTGTGTAAAATCTAGTGATGAACTAAATAATAATTGGGGGAATATCAGGTTATGTTATTTTCATTAATTTTATTTGTAATACATATTGTGTAATATGGTTAACAAGGTGTTTTTATGTGTTTTTTTTTCTTCATTTTATTCTCATGAAATCATGGCAGCTGGCATGCATTACTATTCTCCCTCAAGAGGAATAAACCTAGATTTGGTAAAACTGATTATCTTGCCCTAAATCACCCAGGTAAAAATTACTGGATCCCTTTTCTTTCTAATGTATTTATTTAACAGATATAGGGTCTTGCTCTGTTACTATATTAGTCTGCTGTCATGCTGCTAATAATGACATACCCGAAACTGGGCAATTTACAAAAGAAAGAGGTTTAATTGGACTCACAGTTCCACATGCCTGGGGAAGCCTCACAATCATGGTAAAAGGCAGGGAGGAGCAAGTCACTTCTTACATGGATGGCAGCAGGCAAAGACAGAGTGAGAAAGATGCAAAAGCAGAAACCCCTGATGAAACCATCAGATCTCATGACACTTATTCACTACCATGAAATGAGTATGGGGGAAAGTGCCCACATGATTAAATTATCTCCTGCCAGGTCCCTCCCACAACACATGGGAATTATGGGAGTACAATTCAGGATGAGATTTGGTTGGGGACACAGAGCCAAACCATATTATTCCACCCCTGGCCCATGCCAAATTTCATCTCCTCACATTTCAAAACCAATCATGCCTTCCCAATAGTCTGCCAAAGTCTTAACTCATTTCAGCATTAACCCAAAAGTCCACAGTCCAATGTCTCATCCAAGACAAGGCAAGTGCCTTCCACCTATGAAACTGTAAAATAAAAAGCAAGCTAGTTATTTCATAAATACAGTGGGGTACAGACATTTGGTAAATACAACCATTCTAAATGGGCAAATTGGCCAAAACAAAGGGGCTACAGGGCCCATGTAAGTCTGAAATCCAGCGGGACAGTCAAATCTTAAAGCTCCAAAACCATCTCCTTTGACTCCATGTCTCACATCCAGGTCACACTGATGCAAGAGGTGGGTCCCCATGCTCTTGGGCAGCTCCACCCCTGTGGCTTTGCAAGGTCCAGCCTTCCTCTTAGCTGCTTTCATAGGCTGGCATTGAGTGTCTGCAGTGGCATTTTCCAGATGCTTGGTGCAAGCTGTCAGTGGATCTACCATTCTGGGGTCTGGAGGACAATGGCCCTCTTCTCACAGCTCCACTAGGCACTGCCCCAGTAGGGACTCTGTGTGTGGGCTCAACTCCACATTTCCCTTCCACACTGCCCTAGCAGAGGTTCTCCTTGAGAGCCCCACCCCTGCAGCAAACTTCTGCCTGGGCATGCAGGCATTTCCATACATCTTCTGAAATCTAGGCAGAGGTTCCCAAACCTCAGTCTTGACTTCTGTGCACCTGCAGGCCCAACACCATGTGGAAGCTGTACCATCTGAAGCCATGGCCCAAGTTCTACATTGGTCCCTCTACAATGGAGCAGCTGGGATGCAGGGCACCAAGTCCCTAGACTGCACACAGCTCAGGGATCCTGGGCCGAGCCCACGAAACCACTTTTCCCCCTAGGCCTCCAGGTCTGTGATTGGAGGGGCTGCTGTGAAGGTCTCTGACATGGTCTGGAGACATTTTCCCCATTGCCTTGGTGATTAAAATTTGGCTCCCCGTTACTTTTGCAAATTACTGCAGTCAGCTTGAATTTCTCCTCAGAAAATGGGATTTTCTTTTCTATCTCATTGTCAGGCTGCAAATTTTTCAAACTTCTATGCTGTTTTCCTTTTAAACCTGAATGCTTTTAACAGCACCCAAGTCACCTCTTGAATGCTTTGCTACTTAGAAATTTCTTCCACTGGATACCCTAAATCATCTCTCTCAAATTCAAAGTTCCCAAATATCTAGGGCAGGGGCAAAATGTTAACATTCTCTTTGTTAAAACATAATAAGAGCACCTTTGCTCCAGTTCCCAACAAGATCCTCATCTCCATCTGAGACCACCTCAGGCTGGACCTTATTGTCCATATTGCTATCAGCATTTTGGGCAAAGACATTCAACAAGTCTCTAGGAAGTTCCAAACTTTCCCACATTTTCCTGTCTTGTGAGCCCTCCAAACTGTTCCAAGCTTTGCCTGTTACTCAGTTTCAAAGTTGCTCCCACATTTTCAGGTATTTTCCCAGCAGCGCCCCACTCTCCTGGTACCAGTTTACTGTATTAGTTCATTTTCATGCTGCTGTTAAAGACATACCAGGGATGGGGCAATTTACAAAATAAAGAGGTTTAACTGCACTCACAGTTCCACATGGCTGAGAAAGCTTCACAATCATGTTGGAAGACAAGGAGGAGCAAGTCACATCTTACAGGGCTGGCAGCAGGCAAAGTGGGAGTGAGAAACAAGCAAACTTGGAAATCCCTGATAAAACCATAAGATCTCATGAGACTTATTTACTACCACGAGAACAGTATGGGGGAACCTGCCCACATGATTAAATTATCGTTTGCCCGGATCCTCCCACAACACATTGGAAACATGGGAGTACAATTCAAGATGAGATTTAGGTGGGGACCCAGAACCAAACCATGTCAATTACCCAAGCTGGAGTGCAGTAGTACAATCATAGCTCACTACAGCCTCAAACTCCTGGGCTCAAGCAATCCTCCTGCCTCAGTCTACTGAGTAGCTAGGACTCCAGGGGCATCTTAATTTTTAAATTTTTTTTTTGTAGTTCTGGGATCTTGCTATTTTTCCCAGTCTTGTCTGAAGTTCTTGGCATCAAGTCATCCTCCTGCCTTGGCCTTTCAAAGGTCTGAGATTACAGGTGTGAGCCACCATGCTTAGCCTCTTTCTACTTTAGACCCATTGGAAACCAGGCCACATCAGCACTGAATCTGCTACTAGCCCTGAGACTATAGAGCAGAATATGCTACTGGACCCTGGAAGTACTTTTGTTCCAGGAGCGATGAAGACAGGATATCTGTGGGGTGAAAGGAGAAAAGCAAATAAGATGACTTTGAGTAGATTTAATTATATGGGCAAATTCACCATGTAGAATGTTATAAACTTGTGTAGAGCTGCTAGGATCTGAAAATCAGTACCCAAGCATAAAAGTCAAGATTATGGGAAAACTTGAAGCACAAAATGGCATGTAACCAGAGATCCTCCATGGGCCTAGTACACAGTAGGCCTCAGTAACCATATGTAGGGATAATTACTGAATAAATCTATAGGGAATGTATAAGTCCACTTTGATCTGGTAACCTTATAAGACAATGAATCCTTTACCTTCTGGAAGAGTCAGTCTTGTGAGTACCCTGGATTATTACACAATAAAGTATTTATTTGGGATTAATGATTTGAGCCCAGACCTCCTGGTAATGTTTCTTTCCTGAGTTTCAAATGTACAGGGCTTATGGTGCAGTGAGTTGGGTGGTAAGGACCTGCCATTTGCACTTGGTTCACTTAATTTGTAGAATTAGAGGTCATTTTGGGGAGGGCGTTCAGTGTCCGTGTGTCTAATATCTTGCCTGAAAACAGGTCCTCTCCTTCCTGGAATACAGCCACTCATTTACATACGGTTTGGTCATGCCATCATTTCCATACCATAGAATTCCAGAGAATTCTACGTATTGGTAAACTTGATAAATTGTTCTAATTTGCTCTGATTAAACTATCCTATCCTTGAAAACAAGAAAGTTACTTAAATGTGCCATGTCTTTAACATAGTTAATAAATCTCTTTAAAAAGACCTAATGAAGACAGAGCTAGGTCATGATAAAATGTAAGAATTCAGCTGGTAGACACCAGTAGAATAAGTGTTCACAGTGGTCAAATGCATAGGTAGCTTAGGTCTATCCAAAAAATGGTCTGAAAAATAATCTTACCAGAGATCATGCACATGGTAAAGATTTGAAGGAGGGAAAATGGAATTAGAAAATATATGAACAGATCATATAGGGGTGTAATTGTAAGAAGGGTCGAGGTGGTTGGACAATAAATAACCGTAAGTGTTACTTGGGAGAGAAGCCACCTGACACAGTGGAGCTTTAGAAAAAAAAAAAAAAAATATATATATATATATATAAGTTTCTAAATAAAGTAAGAATTGGGATATAGCAGCACAAAACATCTGAATACTATGAAAGCTATTTGTTATTTGTGTAGAGAGCATATTATAAAATTTAAAAGACACAAAAATTCTACCTGTTCTTTTAGTATTACATTTTAATTTCCACACCATTCTTTTGAAAACTACATTCTGGTTCTAGAAACTTGACAGAAATTTTACAAAGTATAAAAAATCTGCATAAAATAGAATATACCTCTGATTAATAAATCTTCAATGATAGATCACCAGAAGGCCTGGGATATAGTTATCTAAGGTCTTAAATACTTCCAGCTTCTCTAAATTGTCAAATATGAGGCTACACAGTAATCTCTGATTTATGTTAGATTTTTCAAAAAGATGTATTTTTGCCTCATGGTTAGGAAAAGATAGATGACTACATATTTTACAATGATGTCTATTAAAATTAGGCTTCAATAATGTCAGATAAAAGTCTCCTTTCATTTATAGCACAAAAGCAGCATATTTGAGATGAATTTCCCCAGTTTCTGCTTCAAGTCTATGACAACTGTTTATATTGGTTAGCATTATATTTGTTGCACAATTAAGGGTTACCAATTTATACCATATGTATATAATTTGATTTTTTTCCAACGGACACTCCTACTTATTTGATGTGACTGCCTTAACACATATCTATCTATAACTATTGACCAACACATTTTTCTCAAGGCTTGCATTACGCTCGTTGAACATACCCTATACAATTCTACTCTTAGATGTAGTTATGAATTGTCTGAGTATAATCTCAAATCTCTGAATTTTCCATTTCAGTATGGTCATTCTAGAATGTCCTATACATCCTCTATCCTGTAGCTTCCTATTTACATTGACTTCCCTTCAGTGCCATCAACCAATTCTGTCTTATCCAAGACACCTTTCAACATCACTTTAATCAGAACACATTTTTCATTTATATCCTTTTCACTCCCATAGTGCTTTGTCTGAATATTTATTACAATATTTATGCATATATGCTTTATATTATTAGCAATTTATAATAACTTGCCACCAGTATTAACTTGCAAGTCCCTGTGATTTGGAGGGAGGAGAGGAGATAGCAGTGGGAAAACATGTACTCTTAATTTTTAAATTCATCATCATGCCTTAAACTTCTGACTTGAACATCCTAGGCTATCAATATCAGTGTTTCTTGAATTAAACAAAATATCTGAAAGTCAGTTTTAGTAATTTTGTTTGAAATAATACAATCATTTTAAATCTATTTTAAATTGATTTTAAACCTAGGACAAATTATATCATAGGAATGATTGCAAGAAATACTGCATATGCTAGACAGAAAAAGTGCAAAGTTTAATCCATGTCTCTTCTTTTGTGACCTTGGCAAAGTTACTTTGGGAGTACAAAATATCGACACAAGATCCAGCATATAACTCCATCTCAAAAAAAAATATATATATATGTATATTTTAAAGACACAGCATATTATTTGTTTCATTTTGGTAACTATATGAAGTTTACTAATGTCTACCTATTGGTATTAGTTTTGCCATTTAAAAACTTACAAAAATAATAATATCTACTTTTTGTTTCTTACAAGGTCAGTGTGAACATCAAGTAAGACAAAATGAGTGGAACTGCATGGTGCTATACAAACTGACATCATTGTTAGCATTGTTTTCTATTTCATTATATATATGTTGGATTAATAAATACTCTCTCCTTTTGCCTCATGTACATGTTGAGGAGATTAATCAATGGCTGCTTTAGAGTGTTTTGTAGTTGGCATATTTTGTGTGATATGGTTTGGATGTTTATCTCCTCCAAATCTCATGTTGAAATGTGATTCCCAGTGCTGGAAATGGGGCCTGGTGGGAGGTAATTGGATCATGGGGGCAGATCCCTCATGAATGGCTTAGCACCATTCCCTTGATGACAAGTGAGTTCTTAGTTCATGTGAGATCTGGTTGTTGAAAAGTCTGGGACCTTCCCCCTCACTCTCTTGCTCCGTCTCTCACCATGTGACCTTCTTGCTCTTACTTTGCCTTCTGCCATGCATAAAAGGTCCCTGAGTCCTCACCAGATACAAAGCAGATGCCAGTGCCAGGCTTTTACAGATTGCAGAATCATGTGCCAACTAAACTCCTTTCTTGATAAATTACCCAGCCTCAGATATTTCTTTATAGTGATGCAATGGAATAGCACAATGTGTTTATGTGCATTATCTCAGTTCTCACATTAGGCTTCATGACTGAGTTTAAACACTACTAAGAAATAGGCTTAAAAATAAAATTTTAAATCTGTACTCTACAATTATTTTCCCTTCTTCTTCTTTTTCTTCTTCCCCCTCCACCCCTTCTCCCCCTCCTCCCCCTCCTCCCCTTCCTCCCCTTCCTCCCCCTCTTCCCCCTCTTCCTCCTCCTTCCCCTCTTCCTCCTCCTCCCCCTCTTCCTCCTCCTCCCCCTCCTCCTCCTCTCCTTCTCCTTCTCCTTCTCCTTCTTGATACAGGGTCTCACTCTGTCACCCAGACTGGAGTGCAGTGCTTATGATTATGACTCACTGCAGCCTCGAATTCCTCGGCTCAAGCAATCCTCCCACCTAAGCTTCCCAAGTAACTTAGACCACAGGTGTGCACCACCACATGCAGTTAATTAATTTATGTATTTACTTTTTGTAGAGACGTGGTCTCAATACCTTGCACAGGCTGGTCTTAAACTCCTGGGCTCAAGTGGTCCTCCTGCCTCAGCTTCCTAAAGTGCTGAAATTACAGGTGTGACCCACGGCACCCAGCCCTGTATTTCTTTTTGCTTGTTTGTTTTCCTTTTGCCCTAAAATTTTTCACTTATTTTTGTTTTGTTTTTCTTCATGAGCCTTAAACATGGTATAAATATACACACACATACATACACATATTAAAATCTCTCTTAAAGCTTTATTTGTAATTTCAACTCAGTATTTGACATTACCTCAAAGATGTCCCAATACACTCTTTATCTAAATAGATCAAATAAACATATTATTTCCATATCACAACTGTCCACTCTTTTCTATCTTCATTTGTGTTAATAACACAAACATTACCCTGGATATTTTTAACATTTCAAAGCAATTCCTGACACCAACTTCATATTTTACTTCATATTGTAGAAGCTGAACAAATTATATAGATTTTTCCTCCACAAAACATCATCCATTTCTCTATTCTTTCAGTAATATTTCCACCCATGCATAATTTATACATCTGGAATTAGCAATACTTCAATAGTCTTCTAGAAAGGCTCTATTTCTCCTTTCTGTTAACATTTTAAACTATCCTAACCTCAAAAGAAATTTAGTTTTCTAAAACATAATTCTGCACATTCCCACTGTGATTAAAAAACTTAACAATTTTTTTACTTTTCAGTTGATATGAAAGCTTTACATTGGCAATTTATGGTTCATAATGAGTCAACTGACCTGGCCTGATTTATCTTCTAGGGCATCTGTGTATATAATCTGTGTTCAAACAAATCTAGATTATCTACTGTTTCCTGAATCTGCTTGTGAGTCTATGGTCATAATAGTTTCTCTCTAGTTCCAGCACCACCACCCATCTTCATCCGTCAACGCTTATTTCAAATGTCATCTCTTTAAGGATCACCTTTGGGCTTCCCTTAACTCAATGCTATCTTTCTTCCTAGAAAGCCTCATAAATATTGATTTTCATGTTTCTCCCTGAATTTATCATAATCTAGCTTTTCAAACTGAAAGTCAGAGAGCTGAGCATTTTCTCTTAGCTGCTTTGGAAATTGTCTTGTAGGACCAGGGACAGTAATAAGTAGTATAGACATGAAATCTAAAACTCAAGCTGGAATCAGAGCCAGTATACTCTTATTGGGTGGTATATAGCATGTTTTCGCATGATATTTATTTTGAAGATAGTGTTTCACAAATTAAAATTTTAAGGAATAAATACCCCTTTAATTAGAGCTGTTTAGTGTATTTATGTAGCATGAATTCATTACACTGCAAGTTTCTTAGGAGCAGAGGTTGTATGGTATGGAGTTTGCTTCCTAATCCCTCCCCCACCATCTAACACAGTTCTCCAGTAGTAAAATAATGCAGTGCTAGATTGACTTGGTGATTTTTCAGCGTGTATGCCTAGCAGAAAAGACATATTTCTGAACATGGATCATGATCTATCTATGAGAGCCGAGTTGAATCAAAAGAACTGTGTTATTCACAGGGAAGAAGTTCAACATAGTAGTGGTTCAGAACAAGGTCTCCAGAAGCTGACTCTTGTTGTAAATCCCATCTCTGCCTTTTAAGGGCAAAGTATTCATGAAATTTTTACATTATCTTGCTGTGTCTTCATTTCCTCATATGGAAAACAAGAGATAGTAATAAAAGTGTCTATTTCACATAATAAGGTTAGTGCATAATGAGTTAAAATATGTAAAACCCTCAGAACAGTGTCTTGTACATGGCTTTAAAAAAAGTATATGTGTTAGTTATTTTCATTAGTATTTTATTAGTGTATGTGTCTCTGTTCATTTTGCATTGCTATAAATGAGACAGGATATTTTATAAACAAAAAAGGCTTGTGTGGCTTATATTCTCCTGGCTGAAAGATTGTTATCTGTAGTGTCCAGCCATTCATGCCTCAGCTGTTATGAATTCCTCCCAGTTGTGGCTCCAGTTTCTTCCTGATCTTTTTCAGAGCCTGTTTCTCTGGTCATCACAGTGATAATGTGAAACACCAAATATCTATTTTACAAATCACAGCTTCATTGAGATATAAATCATATACTATGCAATTCATAGTTATGCAACAATTATCACATCAAGGTTATAATATTTTTATCACTCCAGATAGCAACACTACACCCATTAGCAGTCACTCCCTATTTTCCCCAACCCTTCCACCCACAGCCCTAGGCAAGCACTAATCTACTGTCTGTTACTATACATTTGCCTTTTCTGGCTATTTCGCATACATAGAAGCGTATCATATGTGATATTTTGTGATTGGCATCTATCACTTAGAATATAGTATTTTCAAAGTTTATTCATGTTGTAACATATATCAACACTTCATCCTTTTTAATTGCAAAATAATATTCCATTGTACATTTATACATTTTTCCTATTTATTAGCAATGAACATTTGGGTTATTTCCACTTTCGAGAGGTAATCTTGGAGACCAGTCTTTGAAGTTTGTTCTGACTCCAGGAGGGCTGTTCTCAGCTGCCTCTTTCCCTGCTTTTCTCTGGTGAATTAGCTGGCCTGCAGTTTAGTTTGCTGAACGAATGGAGCTACCAACTTCCTGTTAATCACTTATTAGCAAGTCTTCACTGTTTTTATATCACCGGTATATCTGAACTTCCTGTACTGTGCTCCAAATGAAGTCAGTTCCTTTGGAGAGAGCTTCAAAACTCTCTATATAGCTTGCCTCTCTGCCTAGGCAAAATCTCTGAACTATTGTTACAGAGCTAGGAGCAGGGACAGTGACCCACTTTCTCAGAGTGACATCCTGCTTTACAAGCAGGGTGCTCAGAATGGATGGTGGTCTCATTTTCTCTGCTTGCCTCCTCCAGCATAGATACTCCATCCTAGTAGTGAGCTGGGTGAGGGCACTGGAGGCTCCAGTATTCTAGTCCTGGCTGTGTCTATGACAGACTCTACCCTACAAATGGGGACTTACAGAAGATGGGAGCCTCAGCCTTTCCAAGACACTCACCTAGAATACAGCTTCTGCTATAGAGATAAGGATTATGAGAAATGCTAGTTGACTGTTGCTCTTACATAAACATGGCAGTTCTTGATTGGGAGCTGGGATTAGAGAAAGCCCCATCTTGGTAGACACACCCAGAGTGGTGCATTCAGTCATGCCAAGTGTGACTAGATGAGGGTAGGGTAGAGGTTGAGGAAGTGAGAGGGTTTGAGTGTAGCTCAATTCCTACAGTTTCTTGGTGTTTTTCACTGAGGTTTAGTTTCTTCATTTTTTGTTTGTCCTCAGGACCACTTGCACAAATGCTAAATATTATTTTTTAACGTAATTTCACCACTTGTGGTTGTTTTGCTGAGAAGGAGCAATTTTGCAGGTCTCCTCACATTGTCATTTGAAATGGCACCACTTGGCTGGGGGGCGGTGGCTCATGCCTGTAATCCCTGCAATTTGAGAGGCCGAGGCAGGTGAATCACCTCAGGTCAGGAGTTCGAGACCAGCCTGGGCAGCATGATGAAACCTTGTCTCTACTAAAAATACAAAAATTAGCCAGGCATGGTGGCATGTGCCTGTATTCCCAGCTACTTGGGAGGCTGAAGTGGGAGACTCTCTTGAACCCGAGAGGTGGAAATTGCTGTGAGCTGAGATTGGCCACTGCCCTCCAGCCTGGGTGATAGAGCAACACCTTGTCTCAACAACAACCAAAAAAAAAAAAAAAAAGAAAGAAGGAAAAAGGAAAGAAAGAAGGAAGGAAGGTAGGGAGGAAGGAAGGAAGGACAAAAGAAAGAAAAAGAAAGAAAGAAAGAAGAAAAGAAAAGAAATAGCACTACTCAACATCCTATTGCTAAGTCCCTTTCTATTAAATACTTATATCATCAAGATTCAGTTTCAAGTTTTTGTATCTCACAAACCTAACCAGCATCTTATGAATGCTCTGCATTTAGATATCCAGATAGCGAGACTTGCTATGGGTGTGTCCCATATTTCTCACTGTTAAAAAATGTTAAGCTAGAACTTACATGAAAGTAATAAATATAATAAAAATCCACCTCAAGTCTATGAGGTTTAAGCCACTACTGTAAGGACTTTCTTAATGAAATGGTCTATATTGTATGTCTAAATCTGGATATAGGAAAAAATACTTTAATATCTCTCTAATCTGCAAGTGAATTAATATAATTATGCTGCATTCAAAATTCTATTTCTCCATAATTAATTGCATTTACTATTTAGCTATACGTTCTTAAATTTGGAAAATATTGTGTAAAAGTATTTCTTATGTGAGATTAGACCATATTTATGAAGAATAAAGAAAATGTAATAGTATAACTGCATGTTTATTCCCATATTACAACTTGAATTTTTTTAAATGTCAGATTTTTCTAAAGGGAACATTTAGGACAAGGTGTTTAGAAGGTGTGAGCTTATTAAACAGTATTCTAACTTAATTGTTAGAACATTTTGAGATAATCTGTATTTTCTTCTAACAAAGTTATCTTACTACATGAATTTATACTCATTCTGAACAAAGGTTCTGGGTAGACTGTGAACCTAAAAGACGGATGCACATGTCAGACCCTATCATGATTAGACATACCAGCCACTCATCAGAGATCCGAATCTCCACACATTCCATATGGCTATAAATAGTGCAATAGAAGGAGGTCTCCAGAATGAAAGTCGCACATGTTAAATGGCATATTCTAGTTAGATACTTGCAGTTTTCCCACTAATAAATTATAAAATTCTTGTTGGCAGGGATCATGGCTTATTTGAGCTGTTGCTCCTCAGTGGACATCATAGGATCTTGCAGATGTGTATCAATCCTTCGCAAGTAGGTGAGTAAAGATTCTAGTTCTAGTTTTCTGAAAAATAGTTGGAAATTTGTTTCATTGCTAAGTTGTAAATGTCAACAGCAAAATTTAAAAAAGCATCATTTAATAGAGAATTTGAATATGTAAGTCATATAGTGTTTATAGTCTAGAAAATTGGAAGGAACATTGCTTGGGGGTTGAAGACCTGCATCCAGGATTCCATTCTGTACTATTTTGGGTAAGTCACTTATCCTCTCTAAACTTCTGCTTCATATTTGCAAAATTAAATTATTTACACTTAGCGATGTTTTTCAATTTTAAAAAGCTGTAATTATGCCTTTTTAGTACTCTAGTTCCAGTGGAAACTTTTCAAACAAGCAGTTTTTAGGAGTAAAGAAAATTATTAAAATATGTAAAAGCCAGCCTTCTCTTCTTTTCTGTGTGTGTGTGTGTGTGTGTGCGCGTGTGTGTGTGTGTGTGTGTGTGTGTGTATGTAGGTATGCACATAACCTCTTTACTACCTATGTGAACAAGACCTACCTTTTAAAATCATTTGATCATCATCTTGAAAACTTAAGCCAGGCCACTGATAAAGGAAAAAGTCAACTTTAAATAAATTCTCCTAAATTTACCAACCTTTTCCAGAAGGAAATAGACTATGAACTTTTGCCAGAACATTCTCCTATGAATCTGTGATGATCTGAGACTGTCTTGCACCATTAACCAATTCACAAAATAGCCCTCCGTACAAATATATCTCCTCTGCATTCTTTGTGGTTTCAGAATGGACATTTATTTAAATGCAACCTACTGCAGTTATTTAATGAAATTATTCACTATTTGTTAGGTTTTTAAATTTTTATTTTATCTTCTTATGAGAAGAAAACCAAAATTATCTGACCACTTATCATATCAATTTTTCTATAAGTTATTGTCCAAGGCAAATGTGAATATACAGATATGGGGAAGATTTAAAGGAATTATTCTATTTGCTTAAAACATCCTGTTTAGTTCATAAATCATGCTGTGTATAATAAATTTTGTACATTTAGATGTCCACCGAATTTTCATTTTGATTATACTCAGGATTTTTTTACTTCCTGTTCTTTTTTCAAAGTCTATTAAGGTAGGAAGATGGTTTTGAAGCAATTATCGTACAGAACATGTTCCATTAGCAGAATCAAGGTGTTCTGCTGCTCAAATTGAATAATGAGTATTCTCCCAACTTGTAGGACAAAATACTTACTGGAGAACATTTTTGTAATGTTGTTTTTCATGTGAATATATTTGTCTTAGAACATTGACTATTATTGCATCTTATTGATCCTATATGTATGAAAGATATCTCATATGCCAAAAAATTGTGTGTTTGGATTTGATTAGTACCTAATGCTCAGTGTCTCAGTTTTGATGGTATTCCACAATAGCACTGTGTCAATATTGTTCAGTGCTAACCAGCTGAACAATAGTGACAGCAACTGCTCTAAGTAAGAACTTTAAGAAAGCAAAAGGAAAAATTATAAGTGTGAAAAATATGAAGTGATGAAGTGAATATTCCTGGTGAATAAACCTCTTTGAGTACTATGGATATACTAAGCCATCTAGTGCACCTATATCAAATTATTCATCAAGTGCTCTTGAAAATTTTCCATAAGGAGAAACTTAGAAACTACCAGCTTAACAGAGTGAATTTTAAAGCTTGAGCTTTCCTTATTGGGATGAAAATGCTTCTCGGCCTGGCGCGATAGCTCACGCCTGTAATCTCAGCACTTCGGGAGGCCGAGGCGGGCAGATCAAGAGGTCAGGAGATGGAGACCATCCTGGCTAACATGGCGAAACCACATCTCTACTAAAAATACAAAAAATTAGCCGGGCATGGTGGCACGCGCCTGTAGTCCCAGCTACTCAGGAGGTTGAGTCAGGAGAATCGCTTGAACCTGGGAGGCGGAGGTTGCAGTGAACCGAGATCACGCCACTGCACTCCAGCCTGGGCGACAGAGTGAGACTTCATTTCAAAAATAAAAATAAATTTAAAAAAAAAATTAAAAAAAAAAAGAAAATGCTTCTCATAGTATACTATAAGAAATTTGGAAAAGTTTATTTACCATAAGTATTTCTGGTAAATAGTGACAATTCAAATACTAACACTGATTTTATTTAAACAATTACATTTTTAAAAGGCCTCATTTAGATCGTCATAATTTTGCAGAAGAAGAGTTAGAAACGTATTTTCAATGGTGGGGATGGTGATTCCTGTTTCTAACCCACAGAAGCACAATTATTACAAATAAAAATAAAAAGCCAAGCATGCAAGCCAGCCAGAAAGCAAGAAAAAAACAGACAAAAAAGCAAGTTTGAACAAAAGCCTATTGGGAAGGCAAGGGGCTCACTAGACTATAAGTCATTAATTGAATCACACAATGATGCCTTAGTTCAGAGAAGTTTTATTTTATTTTTTAAGGTTTTAGCCTGTTTCCTTCATTACTTTGATTTAGACCCATTATTGAAAATAATTTAAGAAGATAATGTCATTATTTGCATAAGACTTCTGCCCCCTTGAAAGCCACTATGCATGAGAAAGACAGAAAAATACAGAGAAAGATACTCAAAAAGTACAAATATCTATGGAAAATTTCTCACATTAGGGAATGCCAATGACACAATATGTATTTTTGTATTCAACTGACACTTAAAAATAAAGGCTTCTTTTCAAATCTAACATTTTTGTTAAAAGTAATTATTTAAATTCTGCCATTAATTAGTTTTGCCTTTTATTCAACAAGGCTTTTTAAAAATAATTTGAGGTTAAATTATTCATCTCTTATAAATCATTTATGCATACATTTCTTAGATCATACCTGTGCATGATCAAGTACATCTATTCTTGTTTTCCAGATGACATGATGTCTCTACAAACAAATGCCTTTTCCAAATCTACAATTTGTCATAGGTAAAATAAGTCACTCTCATGAATTCTAGGTAGAGTGAGGGAAGACTATAGTGTAAAACTAAGTTCCATGCTCAGGGATCTTCCTTTCAAAATCGTCCAATCTCCCTTAAATAAAATGCTACAATAGCACTATTTATAGCTGTAGAATGAGAGAAATTTGGAGCTTGGTCTCACTGAGATGTCATATTACTGTCCTTAATCATGAAGCAACAAGAACAATCTTGAAGCTGGAAGTTGCCTAAAGAAAAAAAAGAAAAGAGCTAGATTCTAAAGAAAAGCATTAGCAAGGCTGCTCAACAATTTAGAGCTTTAGAAATAGTGAAATCAGTCATCATCCTCATAAAGTTAGCAATTCCTTGCTGAAACTCAGACTTTCTGTTCTAAAATCTTAAGAGGAACTCAAATTCTCATTATTTTAGATGGAAAACATTATAAATGTTACAGGAATATTTAAAACTCTTGAAACAACTTCCAAAAATGTAAATAAACTCTTTAGAATGCCAAGAAGAAGTATCAAACTATTATCTAAAAATATGAAATGCTTACACATTGCTACCTAGTCTCCAAAATGTCAATATGGTTATTAACAAACAGGCTGGGCGCTGTGGCTCAGGCCTGTAATCCCAGCACTTTGGGAGGCCGAGGTGGGTGGATCAACTGAGGTAAGGAGTTTGAGACAGCCTGGTGGACAACATGGTGAAAACCCGTCTCTACTAAAAATTAGCCAGGCATTGTGATGCATGCCTGTAATCCCAGCTACTTGGAGGCTGAGGCAGGAGAATTGTTTGAACCTGGGAGGCAGAAGATGCAGTGAGCCCAGATGGCGCCACTACACTCCAGCCTGGTTGACAGAGCAAAACTCTGTCTCAAACACACACACACATGCACACACACACACACCACAGTTGTTTTATATACAGATACATGATCATAATAATTACATTTTGTTTACCTGTTTTGCTTCCTTTCATATGATTTCCTTCAACACTTTGTCAGTTTTAGGGGAAGATTCATTGTATAGTAATAGACAAAAAGAATGGCTAAATATAAAGGCATAGTGTAGTCATTTCCAGGATGAGACCAATACAGCAGAGAAAGGTTCAGGTTGTATATTTTGCCATATCCTTCCATTAAGAGCCCAAAATTGCAAAAATCCTTTCTAATTGACATATCAGCTTCTTGAAATTTCTATACATGATATGGCATACTATCAATTACATTTGAAATGTCACTCGAGAATGATGTCTGATATTTTGTTAAAAATGTTGTTTTATAGAAAATCACCTTTGGGAAAATAAACATAAATTGTTCCTATCTAAGTACCAGTTGAAAATCATGGTAATGAGAAACATGTATGTGTTGGGATATTGGGGTTATAAAACAAAAAAAATTTTATAGGGAAAATGTTACTAGAAGAAAGTCTACAGAAATTTCCCCAATTTGACATTTAGATTACAGAAAATTAGCAGAATCTTTTCAGTTTACATACAAAAGACCCCTCAGAAAATTCTGCCTAAGTTTTTTCAGCAATATGGAGAATATAGAAATGTTTATTTTGGAACTGAAACAGGACAAGTTCCCAATCTGAAAATGTTTGCTCAGAATTTCCAGGCATTTCTCTAAAAGACTTTGGAATATTGTAGTTGTTTAAGCTTATTACCTGCCTTCTAAGTCTCGTAAGCAATAAAAAATTTTTGGTGCTACTGCTTCAAGTTTTTAATCTATACCTTGACTACTTCATCTACCTTGACTGCATTCAGAACAGAAAGATTCTCTGTTCTATACTTTCAGCTTTGTCTCATGATTAATTATTGTGGTATATAAAGACACAATCACAGTTCAGTTTAATTAGCTATATGGCTTTACCAACAGCTGAATTGAGATATTTATTTATTTAGTTAGTTATTTAGTTTTACATTGGTTTCGTGCCCTTAGAAAGGCAAGCTGTTTCCAGATTGAAATTATTTCTGGTCATTTCTAAGAAAAACAAAAAGCTAGCAAAGTAGGAACAGGAAGGTATACATAAAGCACTTAAAATGTAAACTCCAGTTATTGAAATAATGATTGAATTAATGCTAAAATAATTTTATTACTAATTAATGAAAACATTCATTAATTTATAATTTGAATGAAATAAACTAGTTATAAAATTTGATATAGCCACCGTCTGTGTTTAGGAATGTTTAAGAGAGGAAAGAAAACACAAGTATTTCAATATGCTTTTGGAGATAGTTATCCATCTATTGAGTACATTTATCGACAATCTTTTTTTTTTTTTTTTTTTTGAGACAGAGTCTCACTGTGTTGCCCAGGCTGGAGTGCAGTGGCGGGATCTCGGCTCAATGCAAGCTCTGCCTTCCGGGTTCACGCCATTCTTCTGCCTCAGCCTCCCGTGTAGCTGGGACTACAGGCTCCTGCCACCATGCCCGGCTCATTTTTTTGTATTTTTAGTAGAGAGTGAGTTTCGCTGTGTTAGCCAGGATGGTCTCGATCTCCTGACCTTGTGATCCACCCACCTTGGTCTCCCAAAGTGCTGGGATTACAGGCGTGAGCCTCCACGCCTGACCTATTGACAATCTTTTATTGCGTCATGTATATAGTGACCAAAACAATCACTGTTCTCTGTGAATTTATCATTCATTCTCAATTTCTCAATTTATATTGTATATGAATACTGATCAAATTATTATATTAAAAAAAATTAATATTTATAGATAACATACAGATTAGATACCATAACTAGACATATAAACATTGTATGCATACACATATTGCAATCTACAATGTTATGCTATATACGTTGTCATTTACAAACATTAGATTAATCTTTTATGTCATCATTTGATAACCATTTACTGTTTTTGAAATCTTTGAGCCAAGGACTGCTTTGAAGAAATGTATAGCTAACTATATAGACAATGTTCCCCTTTTGTTTACTTCATGCCCTCATATCTAATGAACATCCATAAAAATGAACTTCAGTTTGCTATCTCTCATGTTGAACCACCTTGAGGACAAGATATAGAGTCTATGATGTTTCAGTATTAGAGAAGCTGGAGATACCAAGTCTTTCAGGATTGAGGATCATCACTGTCTTTCTCTATAGTATCATTAATAAGGATTTGATCTCGATCTACATGTCGTCTTCCAAAAAGACTGTCGAATGCAAACTTTAAACTGCATAAGGTAAAATCTATCCATAAATGCTCCACTTGAGATTTACAGTGGATTTTTTTTTTTTTTTTTGCAGAAATCTCTACTTTCCATTTGGATACAATTAGTAACTAAAGCCACGTTGATTTTTCCTTTCTTGCTCAACTAATGTTATTTGTTTGGTTGTTGTTTTTATTGTACATTACTGAGAACATTTTCAAGTCAGTTTGTACTCTTAGATAACTTGTAACTCAAGATATAGGCGGTTATTTAATATTTTGTCCCTGAGTCTGATCTTTTGTCTTTCTCTAATATCTGTTGTTTTATCCAGTTCCAACCTGTTCACTTCCCCTTGTCGATTATTTGCATGAATTGAAAAGCATTTCAAACTCTTGCCAAATCTTTTTATCTTAGTGTTTCTCAACCTTAATCTATTTTCCTGTACTAAGTCTGTAATTCTGTCTCCACATTCTTTTCTACCCCATGAACTTATCTCTAATCACAGGCATTTTTCATGCATAAAGCCTGTAATACCTTGTGTTACTATTCATGCCATGTGCTCTCACAGATTCAGGAGATCAGCATTTATATTAGCACTCTGGGCCACATGAATCTATTTTCCCAGCTAAAAAATCTTCCTGTAGGTATGTGCCAAATGAGGGAGAGTGTCTGTAAACAAGTTTGTGTGACAACTATCACTGTTAATGCTATTTTTAAAAGTCATTTTCAGACAATATTGTCATTTGCAACAGGATTCAAAAAAAAAGAACAAATTGGACTAGAATATGAGTATCTCCTACCTTTTCACCTGACCTATGTGATTTCCAGATTTTATAGTTATCCCCTTCTGTTTAAGACACTTGACTCACACCTAAAGAGACAGCTCAGACACTAGCGCCTGCCTTAAGTAGGTGGTTCAGAGAAATGCTTAAACCAGCCGTCAGAACACAATATCAAGTACCTATTGTTCTAATTCTGACTTTGCTTCTTTATCTGATTGTACTGATTTTTAACTTACCCACCTGAGAGAATTCTCTAAATAACAGCATGCATAGTATCTTTTCATTTCCAGGACCTTGGTCCTACCTTCCTTATGCCATTTCCTCCTCTCTCTGCTATCTCCCCTCTTTTCATTCCTCTGTTATAGAGCAGGGGCTTTATATTAGAATCTAGCTTGTTAAAATTAGAACCACAACACCTCATGCCAGGGTTTCTAATTCATAATGCCTCCTCCTTTGTTTGCCAGAACTCTGCTATAAGCTCTGTGGGGACATCCTGCAATATAACTTTAGCCTTCCAGCTACATAGGCCCACATTGCTTTTTCCTGCACCCACCTGAGTACCAGGTATAGAGGCTGCTTATACTTCTTTTTACTTCTTTATATGTCTCATACTTCCTTTGACTGGTTCCCCAGAGCCTATGCACTTACAGTGGGGAGAATTAATTCCAAGACCTCCCACTTATTCATTGGCAAATTGAATTGAAATTATCCTTGACTATAAATATGGCCATTTGGGTACTAGCTATGTCTCCTTTATTTTTCCTATCTTACCATGTTGATGTGTGTGATACTCACACTTTCCTCATTGAGCCATCTCCCACTCTCTTTTGTTCTTCCTGTTGATTTTAGCCTCTCGGTTTCTTTCTATTTCATTTTCCTTCCCATGTGGTTCAGGCTTTCATGCATCATTAATTAATTAATTCATTCATGTAACCAATATTTAACAAACACATGTGCCTGCACTGTTTAAAGTACAGGGGATGCAAAGATAAATAAAACAGACTGTTCTCACTGAGATTTTGTAAGATGGACTATAAAAGGTAAATAGAGAAAAGTTACAATAATTTGTTATTGCAATAAATTTCAGAAAGGAAATAAAATGGCATGATGTGCTGGAATTAAGAAACGATGAGAACAGGGAAAGGAGTTGCTTTACCTTATATGGTCAGGACCAGTCTTGGGACCAAGGATTTGAAGCAAAAATTTGATTAAGTGAAGAAGTGAGCTCTTGAAGAAGATCAATGTTCCAGGAAAAGAAAGATAAAGCAAAGGGCTTGAGGTAGAAAAGGGTTTAGTTTTTAGAAAAAAACAAGAAAACCTGACTAAAGTGGAGTGACTGCACAGGAGTATGAGTATGCAGTGAGTTTACAGATATTATTAAGACCTTGTAAAACATGAATAAAAGTTCACATTTTATTTTTAATGAAATGAGAAGTCAAACGAGGAGTCAAACCAGGAAGTTCAGATTTTCAATTTCAGCCAATGCAGTAGTCCAGGTGAGAAATGATGATGTCTTGGATCTGGGAAGTGTTAGTGATGACGGACAGAAATAGACAAATACTTGGGTATATTTTGTCAAGTTGATACATCATCTAATGATTCTCTGGGGAATTTCATTCATGTCTCAGTGCTCCTTTATAATTTTTACATCTTCATAATATAGTCCAAGGTTTTACATCACATGCAGATTGATTCAATTTGGATATTCACAGTGTTCTCTGCTTCAGTAACCATTTGTTTTCTGGGAAGAATAAAATTATTTAGGAGTAGAGAAAAATATTCATAACCAGCCAACATTGACAGGTAGAATAAAATGATAGGCCAATGGAAGATTTGATTGTTGAAAAGGAATGAAAAGAATTATAAATGAAAATGGCAATATTTTAAAGAGAAGATAAATCAACATTGTATACAATAATTCATGACCTTCAACATGAGTATAAATAATTTAGCTTGATATAAAAGATAATATTGAAGAAACACATTTTCGCATTGTCTTCTCCCGAAATAAGATAAAAGCCCTAAAATGTAAAATACATTAGTTCATGGCTCCCTAATGCTTATAGTACACCATTTAAAAGTTCAGCACAGTATTCGAGGCCTTCCAAAAATCTATCCTGCTAACCCTTATTTGTTATTATTTCTAACACATAACTCAAGCTTTTTCTACATTTAATTTTTTCATTATTCTCTGACTACTTCATACATTCTTTTGAGAAGTACTCACCTTTACTACTTCCCTACTTAGAATGTTTCCTCTTTTATTCCAACTCTAAAAATACTGCTTCATATACCACAACAGATATCACCATCTCTATGAAAACTACTCTGAGAGTGACATTGACTTCTTTTGCCTCTATAATCCCACAGCACTTGCTATAAATCTGTCTAATTTCTATTTAGGTAAATGTATATCTCTGTTGTATCCACTGACTTGCAAACTGTATAAAAACACATACATCATTTACTTTTTTCTTTGTACAATGACTACACAGAACAGCACATTTTGTGCAATAGGCTCCCAAAAATATGTGGCAAATTGAATTAAAATCTTATTTCACATAACCATAATCTAACCCACAAACCACAACTACTAAATTAATTTATAATCTGGAATGAAAGCAGGAACCATTTTGTTGTACTGTTCTTAGAGTCACTCATCAAGGCAGACTACATTAGTAACTTCATAGAGACTACAGTACAGTTTATATAGCATTCATACATTTCTTTGGTCTCGTAATAGTGGGAAGATCACATCCTTCATAAATGTTCATGACCATAATCATCAGCATCATGTTAGTAACAATAATAGAAGGCATGACAGATGATTTGCTAGCCATTCTCCTTCATTTTCTAAATTAATCCTACAGCACTGGTTTAGCAAGGTAGTTGCTAATTCCATTTTGGAAGGAGAAAATAAAGTTGAGAGGGGTTAAGTGAGTTTCCCAAGATCACTCAGTTAGAGAATAGCAGAGGGGAGATATAATTCCAGCTCTGTCTGATCCCAGAATACTTGCTCTTTCTCTGTATTACACAGACACAGAGAAAACAAAGCATCATCTTAGAAAAGGGCAGGTCTGCACATTAAGTCTCTGTTGCCTGCTCTAAGAAGCAGAGAGGAGGGCCTGCATGCCCTATATACCTATAAACCTGTGATGTTGGGTAGGTATTAAAAAGGTTTGCTGTTGGCCAACCACTAAGGGGCAGTGATACATAACAATCGGCACCTTGTGGCTCTGAGCAGCAAGTCATGGCAGCTATAAGTCCATTGCAGAAAAAAGAATTGAATCCTCTTGGTTTTATTTCTCAGTAGAGAACTGGAGCAGAAACAAAGCAAAACACTTTGTCTCCCCCCAGGATCTAGTTATACCTTTTACTAAGACAAACACATCACATTCAATTCTCCGATCTCATTGCTGATGAGAGAGAAATACATTCAGAGAACCAACTGGAGCATCCAAATATCCCTCACACAAAAATAAGCAGTGGCTTTGTTTACAGATCTCTTTCCTTTCTTTACCACCGTCCTATGCTCATAGAGGCAAGCAAGTTAACTTGTATGAAAACATGTTCTCTTTTTGTTACTGAAGTTTAAGGTTTCAAATGGGCTATAATGTCTGAATGCTTGGACCCTAGCAATTAGGGTACTGGTAGTTAATGTCCTTCCAGCTCTGTCAGCTCCAGCTCCTTTACATAATATCCTCAAATATTGCTTTTATGCTGGACAAGGTTGGATGCATAGAAATTGCTATTATAAAGGTTAGAGGGAAAATCCTTGTACTAGAGTTGACATGCTGTATTGATCCATATGAAATCCAACCATTACTGAGACAGATGGGGGAGCTCTGAGACTCTCAATCCAAAAATTGCATCCGTTATTGCTGATGCTGCTGTACATGCTGACAATAGCTACAGTCTGAAAAGCAGGGTTTACATGCCTGAAATAAATTGTTTTGATTAGAACCTTTAGGAGAGAAAGTCATAAGGTACAGTTTTATTGACTACTTGCCAAACAACACGGACCCATGCACCGTAAGCTTGTTTTGCTCTTGTAAGTCAAGCAACAACTAGGCTTTTATTTTCTAACATTATGGACTTAGAGTATAATATATTGTCATTTACTTTGAATTATTGCACACGTGGCATTTTAGGAAATGGTATTAATTTTCAAGTATTGCTGACTTCTCTTCATATCTTTGCTTGTGTATTTGCTTGTTTCCTTATAGCAGGTATACTTTAATTTTGTGTGATAAAATTAGACTGCTTTGATTGTGTGATAATCCATTAAGTGTTGTGGCCAACAAAGTGAGTTCAGAAAGCTGCTACTGGGCCCTAAGAAACAAATTGTAAGGAGAATAATTATATAACTAACTATATTAATAATGCCTTTTTTGTTCTCTCCTCTGAAGCTTATTTTTTTTTCTGTGCAGAGAGCTTTCTTTTAATCTATTGCTGTTTTTCCAAAACAAAACAATTCAGTGCAATCAACCAAAAAAATTGGACAAATGGTTGTAAAATGCAAAATGAGAAGCCAGCATCCTTGTTGTCTGAAGTTGGACCTGTGTTACTTTATCCCTCACTAAAGCAATTCATCGTGATGTTCTTTTCCCATTGAAATGCATGGAGCTCATTCTTCTTTCTTACATTCTTAGCATGCATATGTGAATTTCAGTGTTGGCTCTTACAGATAGAATAGAGAGTACAGAAAGTTCACTCTAAGTACTACTTATAATGATACAATTCCTGTATCTGTTACACCTACGTGAAAACAAACATCTTGCCTAGAGAGAACGAGGGGTGCATGTTTTCCATACAACCACTTTTATGAATACATAAAATTAAGTGCATGAATAAAAGGAAACTACATGTATTATATAATATATTTTATGATGAGCACTGTATTGCCTGTTTTACGTATATTATATACCAAATTTTGTCTAATTTACTGAAACAAAGAAAAATAATAACTAACAAATATATATAGTGTTGTGCCCATTAAGTGCAAACTTGACTTAATCAGTCTTGTATTTATTAATCCAACTACATCCTAACTTTGTTCAGATTAATTAATCAATTAGTAAAATGCAAGTAGAACATGATGACTGCCCTCTAGGATTTTATAATCCATTCAACAGATATGAATCATTGCATTCCGTTGTTAGCTGGGAAATACTAAATGTCAAATGATTATTAAAGCTATGTACTAAGATATCAACAAAGGCCAGATATTGCTAGCTGAATAGAATAATACTTTTGTCTCATACAACAAATGCCTGTTTAAAAAAAAAAGGGCATGTATTAATTAATGTGGCAGCACCAGTATATACAGCTAACATTTGACCAATAGCATTTCAAGGTTTCATAAATTGTTCTTAATATGTGCTGACACCACCAGATTCTAAAATGGTGAGATCCAGGGTCTCAATTTTTAAAAACTCATTTGAATGACAAGTTGCCTAGCTTTCAGTTTATATGCCATAGGAGAGCTAAAGGTAGAATTAAATTTGCTAGAATCTGAACCTTGGATTTGGGGTTAGCATTGAAGTCTGGACCACAAACTATATTTTTCAATACCCAGTCTGCACTACCAGGCACCCACAGTAATGCTAATTGCAAGGGTCCTGTCATCTTTCTAAAGTGTTGCATGAAGTTTTATCACCATTATCATTACAGGATAAATAAAAAAGATTATTACATGAAACTAGTTAACACTTGTCCATATGTCAGAATGGCAGGTGTGTTCATAAGTGGCCCACTTACCTAAACAACTTACTTAATCTGTTTACATTCTTCAAGAATTTCAGACCATTGTATGCAGCAGGAATATGTAGTAGTCTCACTGCAATGCAAGAGTTAAATCCTGTCTCTGCTCTTAAGCAGCCAGGAGGGTCATAAGCATTGAAACAAATGGAGCATCATTTATTACCACTGTCTCCTCTGCTGTGTTTTTGAGAGGAAGTATTGGCACTTACTTTGCAACCGATTTGATCTTCTGTTCTCTGAGGAAATGCTGTCACTGGTATTATTTACTCTCTGAGCAACAAATCCTCATAAATTATAATGGTTCTCCAGACAGCCATTTACAAATTTAATCAGGGATGATTTCCTTGCCTTTTTCAATTATCCCCAAATTATATTCAGGCACTGTCCTGTGCCGCATTTATTTCAGAAATACAACTACAACAAGCTTCCAATCTAAAGATACATAGCTGGTAGCCTGTTGAAAAAAAAAATGTTATTCCTCCTGCCTAAGAGTATAAAAGTGCTGCAGGAGATTCTAGGGCATGCTGTGTGCCAACAACCTTTTTTGTTTCCTGTTGACAACACATATCACCCAAATAACCAATAATCATAGAATGTGAACATGAACAAGAACCATATCCCAACAGCACAGACTTAGAATACAGAGAGACATGAGTTTTTGTTCTGCCTCCACTATTTACTAGCAATGCACCCATGAGAGTGTCTTAGCTTCTTTAGGACACATTTTCTACAAACGTAAAATTAGATCAACAGAACTCATACAATTATTGATAAAATTAAATGGTATAATGTATATAAGTAATACAGAGATGTCTAGATAGAGTAAATACTCAATAAATGGCAGCTATTATTAATGGCCCAACTCTCCTCTCTTTCTAAATGAAGCAACCTAACCAGAAAGTATTTGCCAAGGATCATATAGAGTTGGGAATAACCTCAGAGTTTGAACATGTGTTTCCACTTTTGCATCACTTTCTATTAAACTCTGTAGTAGTTTATATTATGTGACACTCAAATGTAAATAATTCCCTGGGCACTCTACTCACTGTTTAGTGGAGATCCTACTAATTTTGTGTCATTTCAAGTAAGGACATAGAGGAATTGTAGAATGTTGCCTCTGGATATATTTTAGGCTCATTTCAAGCTGTTTTTACATTTAGGCATAGTACTGTTGGATACTGATGCAGGATGAAGTTGAGCTGCCTCAAAAATAAAAACTCAACAGGGCCAAGCCAATGTTAATAAATGTGATGACTACTTTTAATGTGTCAACTTGATGGGAATCATGGGGGTGTCCAGATATTTGGCTTAGCTGTATTCTGGGTGTGTCTGTGGGGGAGCTACTGGGTGAGAGTTACATTTGAATCAGTAGTCTGAGTAAAAAAAGATTGCTTTCCTCAATGTGGGTGGGCCTGATCCAAATTCCTGAGGGCCTGCATAGAACAAAAGGCATATGAAGAAGGAATTGATCCCTTCTTTTGTAGTGCTGTTTGAATGAGATATCCATCTTGCTCTACCCTCAGGCTGTGACTTAGATCTGGTTTTCAGGCCTTATTACTCAGCATGAATTACACCATTAAGGTTTTGTGGGTGTCCAGCTAGCAATGATGTGCAACTTCTCAGTCTCGTGTGAGCCAATTCCTCATAATAAATCTCTTTCTACATATACAACCTATCAGTTATGTCTCTCTGGAGCACCCAAGTACAATAAGCTAAGTAAAGGATCCTGGATCAGGAGGCCAGAGTACAGTAGCCTCAAGAATTGAAGGAATAATAACATTTGTCTTTCACAGGCCACACATAAGGAGGGGGCCACAAGCAGAGAGTTGTATTCGATTTATTTTTGCTTTCATTTTTATAATGACATTTGGGGTCCAATAATGGAAACACCAAAGAAATTGTGTGAACAAGCAGAGACGAAGACTAAGTACACAAAATTACCTAGATCTATTTCCTTTCAAATAATTGATAACTAGTCAAAATTACAACAAGCAGACATCAATAATTTCTTTAAAAATAAAGACAATAATTTACAATTTTATTGTCAGTGATAAGCCAGTCTTCTGAGTTACAACGTTCAGAAAACCAAATAGATAGGCATTTCAAAAATAGGTCCCAATTCAGAAAGTGCTAAAAATGAATAAATTTATGCAAAATAAATTAGTATTAGTTATAACATGCCATAGTATTATACAGAATCAAATTGAGCAAAATGGTAAAATAATTGCATTCCACTCCTGTGTCATTACTATTTGCTCTGGGATTACATTATATATTTGATAGATGCAGGAGGTAGGTATGGGGCATGTTCCCCAGAGAATCCCTGACCCACCTCCCAGTATTTACATCAGATGCTTTTGTGCAGATGAGGGAAACTGCCCAGGATATTTTCTGCACATGCCTGCAACAGACGGGGGACCCTCCTGGGCACTGGGAGAATGAGGTGGAGACGCAGGAAGTTCGTGTCTTGTGTAGGGGGAAGAGCCTGGCCTCTTCAACTCCTATGTGGTGGCCTGGTATTCAGTCTGTGAGGTGGGAGCCTGTTAACAGAACCCCTCCTTTTTTCACTGAGAGTTTTCTTTTAATAAATTCTCCTCTCTTCACCTTTCAATGTGTCTGCATGCCTAATCTTTCCTGGTCATGTGACAAGAATCCTGTTTTAGCGGAACTAAGGAGCAAAAAAATTTGCATAATTTTGATCGTATGCCATAGATTACAGGGAAAAAAAGGCAACATTCAGTGATTTCCAAATAAGAAATGATCCAAAATGTACAGACTTTCAAGCTCTAAAGTAATTTAAAATGTTGTGTATATGTATTTGTATGTAGGAGCTGAGGAATACTGATAGGTATTGAAAGCAGTGTATTGAAAGATAAATACTTATATATAATGAGAGCTGAAGTCTCTGAGGCATCCCAATGAATAATGCTTCTCTTCCTTGCCCCGATTTTTTAAATTAAGGTCTAAAACAAAAGGAAGGTGGAAGACAATATATAATCTCTCTCTCTCTATTTCTGGGAGATATATATATATATATATTTCTATAGAAACTTTTGGTTTCATTATGACTCTATCTCATAGACTCTAATTTTTCTAAATTATTATCTATGTTAATATAAATCCTGGAGTGTCTAATATACAATAAAGAACAGGAAAAGTGTCAGTGATTTTTAAGTGCAATAATATTGTTACTAGTGAAAGAGATCTGATTTACCCTAAATTACTGGTGGCCTATCCTTATGAGTCCATAGCAACTTGAGTCCTTGCTTTCTCAGAAGAAAGAACTGGACTGAGGGGCATAAAGCAAAAAAAAAAAAAAAAAAAAAAAGAGACCTAGGCAAGTTCTAGAGCAGGAATAGAAGTTTATTTAGAAAGTCCTCAGAACAGAAAAGAAAGGAAGGTGCATTTGGAAGAGATTCAAGCAGGCATGTGAAGGTTAAAGAGAGAAGGTCAAGTGCCCCCATTTAACCGTGATCCTAGAACTTTTATAAGCTTGTCTCTCTCCCATGATTCTTCTCCTAGGGTGGGTTTTCCGCATGCCCAGCGCTTTCCTTACCCTTCAGAAGTGAGCACAAGCATTGTGTTTAGGGAATTATATTCATGCCCATCTGAGGCTTTCTTCCCTTTTCTGGGAGAATGTGCCCTGGAAGATCATACTTCACCATTTTTATCTCTTAACACGCATTCCCAGGAAGTTGTTTCTCCCTGGGTGCTGCTTTCAATTAACATTTTGATGTTAACAGGTGCCGACCATCAGGAAATGGCCTCTCCCTGGTGCTGTGGAATTATTTTTAGAGAGGCAATGTGAAATTTGCCGAACCATCACCTGGCATTTCTAGTGGGTAGGAGGGGAGAGCCCTCTCCTGCCCCACTCATGCCTAACTACCTGTATCAATATTTCAGTAATTTAATCCGATAAGAGGTAGCGTTCTTTTCTGATATTTTGCTCTCTCAAAGTCTATGGCACAACAATGTTGATTATCTTCAATATGGTGTCCATTTCTCAATTATCTTAATAATTATATATTTATTGCCCATACAGCATTTACATTGCATTGGTAGTCTTCCCAGGTAACATGAATATGTCACTTTTGTTCAGCTTTAATGAACTTTACATACAACATAAAAGATAATTTCTGACCAGGCAAGGTGGCTCATGCTTGTAATCCCAGCACTTTGGAAGGTCAAGGCGGGTGGATTGCCTGAGGTCAGGAGTTCAAGACCAGCCTGGCCAGCATGGTGCAACCGCGTCTCTACTAAAAATACAAAAAAATTAGCCGGGCATGGTGGCATGCACCTGTAATCCCAGCTACATGGGAGACTGAAGCAGGGGAATTGCTTGAACTAGGGAGGTGGAGGTTGCAGTGAGCCGAGATCTAGCCACTGCACTCCAGCCTGGGTGACACAGCGAGACTCCATCTCAAAAAAAAAAAAAAAAAAAGATTATTTCTGTATCTGTCATGCTCTTGCAACTTAATACTACAAAACCAGAAGTTTAATAAACCCTAAATGCTTCACCTTTGTATTCAGTTTTATACATTTCATTCATATTTACAAGTGATCCTGTCCATCCCTCAGCAAATATTATGAGATAAGCCTCCTATCCCGGCATTATTTTTTAACAGAAGCCAAATGTTATTGCCTCTATTCAAAATCTTAGCTGAGGAATAAATGGAGTTTCATTGCAACTATTCTCAGAAAAGTACCGTAGACTTCCCTCACTGCCTTGTGAACTCCTTTGTCTCCCATTTCCTCAACCCATCAAACACCTTAGACAAGCAAAGGCCTGTAAGGACAGGCTACAGGAACAGTTTTGAAATGTGACATCTAGGTTGCATATCCCAGTCCTTCTCTTGGCATATGCCCAGCATAGCAGACAATGGAATCTGGAGTTAAATGACTAGCTGTTAAACATTTAATAACAGTAGCTCAAGCATTTGTTAATTGTCTTCTTCTTTTGTAAAAGGAATGCCCAAGTGAGAAGGTAATACAAAGTAGCTATTATCCTATCAATATTTATTCTACCAGTCTAACTGGGACCACAGGGTTGAAACAAAACATTCAGACAGTTCATCTCCTTAATTCCAAATTTGAATGTCTTTAAATCTCTCAAGAGGTGATTGTTACTATTATTATTATTTTTTAAATTTCCATTGATAATAATAATAGTAGTAACGCTTCCAATAGGGTAAAATAGGGATTGCTTTCTGACTTAATATTCACTCTTGCCCATGAGAGAAGTAACTTTTCCCATGGGTGATATTGAGAGAAGATAATAAGTGTGACCCAGCCTCTTCCTCACTGGAATATGCCTACTAGCAAAAAGCACATACTCTCTGCATCACATTCCTTAGATCCTTAAAAGAGCAGGACCCCATTGAGACATCTTGTAAATTCCCAGCAATACTTGGAACTGAGTGAGCAAGTTCAACTTCAGGTTATAGTCTGAGCTAGCCAACATGGCTAATAGACTGAAAGACACATTCTCTAATTTAGGTGTTATCAGTATTCTCGATGCTCTTTTGATCTCTATCTGTCTGATCCCTGTGTTTCTTAATTGGTTCCCAACTTGGGCAGAAAAAAAAAGATGCTATTAATTATTCCCTCCTCAAGTTGCCAGCAATAGATCACATTTATTGATGTTTCATTTATTTGAATTTTATACATTTATATTGTTCATAAATGCCACTGAATTACAATTTAGTGTTTCACAAGCAATTAATTATTTACCTCTATAGCAAAGTTATAGTTTTGATTATATTTATAATGGCTTTATTAACTTTTCATTACTTAGATGCAATTAAGCATTAGTAAAATCTCAAACAGTGATCATAGATAGAAGACTTAAGTGACAACAAACACTAAGAAATGTGGAAGAAATCAACTCAAATAAAATCTAAATTTGCTGGAGGATTTGGAAGCAATGATTGTAAATTGCCTTTGTGCATGCTTGTATGTTTTAATTATCTCCACCTCTAGGAGATCACAGTACTACCAGATTTTTAGTGAAAGAGTTCCAAGTTTTTCAACCTTTAAATATTATTGGAGATTTTCCAATTTGTCTTTATTTTCCTAGAACAGCATAGAATCATCACCCTGGTATTTTTTCAATTCATCATAAATTTAGTTATATAGTCAAAGTATCTTCTGAATAATGTATCAGTGCCAGAATGTGCCTAGATACAAACCAGATTCAAAGGATCTTTAATATGCCTTTGTTTAATACACACATAAATGAATCACCAGGGAGTAAACTGATTTCCGTATTTGTCCATAGCCACGAATTATAACTCTTCCTTAAGAATATATATTTAGTGTATGTATTTTAGCTTTCCACTTTTAACTCTTTAATTGTATTTAATTATATTTGGTACATTGTATTTTACATTTAAACTGAACTTCACTATCATCCCCCCACCCAAAGTCAGGAGAAAAATGATAGAGAGAAGAAGAATTTTCAAATTCCCTTGCCTCCCAGTTGTATTTTCTGTCCTTCAAATATAAAGTGATATGTTATCTGTAGACCAAGTGCTTTGAGTTCATTTTCCACTTATGAAAATCCAAGCATGCAAATATCCCTGTGCTCTCAGAAATGCAAGCTCAATTTAAGCTATGTCACTGAGGAACAAAGGCAATTAAATTAGCCTTCCCTCTTCTCCTCGATGCCTTTCTTCTGACCCTTCCACTTTACTGATAATTTGTCTCAAAAACCATGTCAGGAGAGCTCAAGATCAAACTCATATGCTACTCACCATTATAAGCCTCACTTGAACTCTGGAAAAAAAGGCTTGGATAAGACTGATTTCTCTCATTTACCTCCCACTCTGATGAAAACTTTTCTCATGAGCTGGGGATCTCTGTTGACACTGATGTTATCTCACCTAAAACTTAAATTTTCATTTCCACTTTAAAAGTCATTGAGGTGACCTTCTCTATGGAAGCATAGTGATTAGAACAAATAAATGTGCCTAATATCATCTTCCATTTACTACTTTGCTGATAGTTTTTCTGGTTCATCTTAGAATTTTAAAGTTGGATGGAATCGTAGCAGAGAGAGTAGGTAAATTGTGTCTTTCCATGACTAACATGTAAACATTTGGTGACTACCGCAGATTCAGTGAAGACCTTGAATGAGAAAGTTGGCAAAGTAGGATCTGAGAATGGTACCTATGTTATCTGATTAAGATAGTAAAACAAGGGGAGGAATTCCATTTTAAAATCCAGAGATGTAATCATGAATAATTTTAGAATTTTATTTGGAGTGTTCTGCACTTACAAAAGATTGTAGTCCAGGTTCTGTGTAAAAACTATTACATGAACTAGGTAAAGTTAGAGCCAGCCCATACCAATGTGACTTACACACATCAGGATTTGATGGCTGATTCATTCATCAACATTTTTGACGTGATTTATTTTTTTGTCTTTCCTAAATATTTTTATGACTTAGTCTTGCTCTGTCTCCCAGTCATCTGAGAGTACTTGCATGTCTACTCTGATACCTGAGAAACAGTTATAAAATAGAAGAAATATAATTAAACCCACCAAGACAGATCTATTCATTGCCAAACTATGTAGACAAGTACACAAAAATTAGATATACATAAGATTGTTATTCTGGTGGATTTATGAATGAGAAACTGGTTATCTTTATATATAATTTTATCTAATTTTTTTTCTTTTTAAGAAAAACAGAGGTACTATCCCTTGGGTGATCATGGAAAACCATAGTTAATGCTGAGAATCCATATTCATACCATAGGAAAAAAAATTGAATAAAATTCTAACTGTTGCTCTGAGTGGGATCAAGGAATGCTGAAATGCTTAACTGTCACTTTTTTTAAACCTTTTTCGGCCAACCTGTGCGAAATATCAGGAAGAAATGTCAACCTAGAGACACTGTCCTTCAGACTATAGCAAAGTACAAGCATCTGGTAAATGTATTTCAAGCCCCATGGGGAATCACTTTAGGCATTGGCACTTTATATTTTTGCACATATGCTAAAGGCTAAATGTTAAATCAAATTCATGCAGGTATTTGTTTATATGTATACAACAATCTAAATTATTTGGGAAAAGATGAAGCTGAATCAAATATAGAGAGCTGTAACACATATTTAATGCTGTGACAAGGGATAAGTACTGGCCTCCTTAGCAGAATCAGACTACCATGTTGAACCTGTTCTCCCCTTGCAGCTCAAAGGGGCTGTTCCTAGTGGGGGTAGGAATGGATAACAGCTCTGCTAACTGCACACAGTGGAAGGAGGAAAACACCAAACTCTTCTGCTCTGTCTTCTGAAGAGGCCATTCTTTCAAGCAGTAGCTTTAGAAATTCACTTCGATTTGGAAGAAATTAGTTTCTGTCACTTGACTATCCCAGTCTCAGAAATACCTTCAGCGTGTCAATGGGAAAGATCCATTTGGGGTGCACTCACTGCATAAAGGAGGTTTTACAGTCACAGGAGATCCTTACCTTTCAATAGAACTACTTTCCCACCTTTCTTTTCCTAGGTAATTCCCAAGCTCTCTCTCACAGTTGCATTGTTTGAAAACCATTACTTTTAGTAATGGTGGGAGGATTGTGATCTAAGACTTGACTGCAACCATTTCAAAGTGCTAAAGGTAGTGGTAATGTCACCTTAGTGACTAGAGAAACACCAACTGAATTGAAATGTTCTGTTGTTAATGGAAAAAAAAAAAACAAAAAACAAAAAACACTGCAACTTCAGGGAGAGGGAGAAAAAATGACTCTCACAATGCCCAGAACAGCAGGGAGCTATCCTGTACATACAAGTGAAATAATCATGCCTTGGTCATATTGGGATGAATTTCTATTAAGGGTTGATGTAGGTCTTTATGCTGCAAGCTACTGGGTTCTCAAGAGGAATAAAAATGACTCCCTGGGAATCCTGGGTGCCATTAGACAAAGGATATCTAAATGGCCTAGGGTGAGAATATAACACATTTCCTTATATGTCAGAACAGAATCAGAATTTGATATTAACTTCCAAATGGCACTAATTCAGAAACCCATTTTTTAATCAACTTGGCTATTTCCATATGTCTATTTTTAAATTTCTTGCCTGTCACCATAATTTGAAGTTACTTTGACAAGAGTGCTATTTTAGGATTCTACATCTAGTCCCTCCCTGTGCTTTTGTGTTTTCTGTCTTTTTAATATCAATTATAATCGCCACTAGAAATAAGAATAGGTATGCCAGCTCATGTCTTTGCAATTAGAATTCAGGAAATGCTGACGATATCTTATAAATGTATAATTCATATCATTCTTTAATTAATTGTGACCTCATTATTACAACAGTAGCTTACATGACTTTAGATCAAAAATCAGTATTTTGGAGAGATCATGTATTTTGCTACCGTGGCATAGACGCTTTACCTATTGAAGGAATATTAATCAATAGTGTCAGAAGTATTAATGGGAGATAAAAGATGACATGACACTGGCTAAAATGAGGCAGATAATATCTTTTAACTTAAACTATGGATTTTCAAATAATAAGAAATGATATGCTACTATTATCTAATTGGGAAAGGAAAAATATCCTCCCCTTCTTTTTTTTAAAAAAAGTACTAAATCTCAGAGAGTCATTTAAGGACTGAGGGCTCTGTCCCTTACTGAAAAATCCCTTCCCATATGTTACTGTCTGTCTAATTCTGAAACAAGTCAGCTTTTAAATTGCATTGTCAAGGGAGTAAATTTCTGCACATACATTCAGCTGCACATTAAGTTCAATAGCAGTTATTTTCAGATGAATAGTTTACTAAAGTTGCACCAACTATCCAATTTTATAAAGATATATAGGTAAACTTTTTAATTTTTTTAAATTTATGGGATCTTGGGATAAATAATTGCTGAGTTATAAGACTCCAAATAGCTATGTTTCAGACTTATAGAATATGCATATATCTTTCAGAATGCAGAAGTCTTGCACAGTGTGATATGCGCTTTGGGCATGGATCAAAAAGAATTTCCAAATTCTATATTGGCATGTGGAAGGGGAGGGTGAATTATTAGTGATATTGAGGTATTAATTATTCAGTCTTACTGCCATGCATTATGAATAATGTACATGGCATTCAATAGCAGAACAGCAGTTCCCATCAGTATGCAATGGTCTATAAACATATATTGGGACACCAGAGCATTAGTACTGTAATTACTTGGTCCTGGATCTTAGTATGAATACTTCATCTTCATCAGGATTAGTAGGACAGGCCTTTGTTTCCATATAACTCTGGTGTTGACCCAGCGGGTAGCATGAGATGAAATAAAGTTATGCTTGGCAAAGTGGATTAATTCTGTTGGGAAATAGCGCTTAGAAAATAAACTGTGATATGCAGCAAACTAAGGTAGAGAAAAAGAGGTAGAGAATATTTCTTTCTTTTTTCTTTTTTTTTTTGTTTTTTAGTTCTTGTTTCCCTTCCATCCTTCCTTCCGTCCTTCCTTCCTTCCTTCCTTTTTCCTTCCCATCCTTCCTTCCTTCTTTCCTTCCTTCCTCCCTTCCTTCCTTTTTCCTTCCTTCCTTCTTTTCTTTCCTCCTTCCTGTCTTTTCTCTCTCCCTTCCTTTCTTTCTCTCTTTCTTTCTTCCTTCTTACTTTTAACAAGTAAATGCTTGCCAGTGTTTACTCAGCACTGGAGGACAATAGATTGTAATGACTACAAACTTAGATTCTGACCAATTCAGACCTCAGTTCAAATGCAAGCGCTGAGATTCAAGAAAAGTTATTTATCTAATGATTTTTTCATGGAAAAACTGGTGAAAATAATATCTAAAATAATAGTTTAATACAAAGACTAAATTAAATAATTTTTCAGAACAAAATACTGATTAAGACAATCACTACTGTTAGTGAGGATGCATCTTAGTTTCTACACAGCATGCCAGGTACGATGAGCACATGTGGAAATACAATATGCCTTAAAATTAAAAAAAAATCAATTTGGGGTTAAAAATAAATAGCAAAATTTTATAGAAGTTAATTAAAATGTATTAAAAGCCTATGAATATATGGTGAAGTACTTTTTATTTCTGCCTTAGTCCATTGGCACAAATAGAAGAAAGATGGATAAGAAGAAACTTTAACAGCTTCCTGAAAAGATAGCACACAGCAGGAGTTTATGACTCCCTCCTCAAAACTCAGTGCTGGGGAAATTAAAGGCAGGCGGGAAACATGCACTCCAAGAACTAATCAATCAAACAATAACAATAATGGTAACTAAGCAACAACACAAGACATCCATGGGAAGATCGGATGTTGTTTTGGACTTGTGTGCTTAGGCAGAACACGGCTGTCATCTAAAAAATACTGCCCCTGGAACCTACAGAGAGGTTAGGGAAAATGTTTTAAATTTTGTTCCTGCATAGGCTCCTGGCAACACTGTTTCTTCAGAAGAAAACCCCAAGCAGTAGCCTAGGCCATCTGTGCTAGTGTCTTGAGGTTTTATCAGTGCATTTAAGAAGCCTGGCTGGGGTGAGAAGTTGGAGAAAACAGTTGTCAACTGAGTACTCCTTGGGCATTATTTTAAGACTGTAAGATTTTTCTGAAAGACTGACATAACATAGTAATAATCAAACTGGCTGAGACTGTCAGAAAAAAATGGTCTGACTTTGTAGCCTTACTCAGTGCATATTAGCAGATTATATCTGATAACCTTAAGGCAACTTGAGCTCAGAGGCCAAAACCTAGATATCTGAGAAGGACAAACACTCTAAAAGACCTTGACAAACACAATCGTGAAACCAAATTATTGCAACGGGCAATCATTTTAAATAGGAAAATAAAGGTATTAGCAGTAACTAACAATTTGAAATATCATATATGAAACTGTAATGGGTGAAATAAGAGCAAAATATATACAGCTCATAATAGTAAAGATGCAGTAAAGAGGAAATTGGTAGATTGGAATATCAGATTGAGAAACTCCCAGATGGCCGAAGGAAGGCTTGAAAATATAAAAGGAAGGAAGCTTAAACATATAAGATAAATAACTAATACATATCACAAAGGCCTAGTAATTAGAACAGTACAGCTTGGCTGAATGATAGATAAATAGATTGAATTAAGAGTTCAGAGGCAGAACTATGTGTATAGGAATATAAAATACTATAAATATGTTACTATGAATCAAAAGGACAATAATACATTGTTCAATCTATAAAAATTGGTTCACAATATGAGAAAACCTAAAACTATATCTCTATATAATACCAAATTCACTCCAATTGGATTAATTACAGAAAAGTGAAAGGAAAAGCTACAAAGTTAGTAGAAGGAAATGTAGAAAGTATCTCTAACCTAGGGAGAAAAAATTCCTATATAAAACTTCTCACCAACATATAAAAGAGGATTAATTGAATTACATCATAATTAACAATTTCTATTAGTGAACGGCACTATAAACAAAACTATTAGAAGGATGACAGAAGGGGAGATTATATTTACATATTTAAAATTGGCAAAAATAAATATACAAAAAACATATAACAAGGAGATTTTGAAAATCAACAAAAATTACATAATAATTCCAACAGACAAATGAGCAAAGGTTAGAAAGTGTCATTTACAGAAGAGAAAGACTTAAGTGCTAATAAGCATATGAAGAGATGCACAAGTCATTTGAAATAAAAATCATGCAAATGAAAGCAACAATGAAATATTAGCTTATACCTATTTCTCTGGCAAAACTTTAAAAACAGATTCATTCTAGGTATGTGCATACACGCTAGAATACAGAAACTTTGGAGCACTGGTGTTGTCACTGTAGACTACAGAATCCATTCTGGATAACAACCAGTTAATACAAAGTCAAATAACTCTTATGCATACATTTTGTTCAGGGAAGTCTGTTCCTGGGAATACATAGTGCAGAATTTCTTACACAGATCCAGAAGGGGTCATTTATTAGGACACTCAATACATAGCATAATGAGATAGTAAAGAGTTACTGGCAACCTGGGTGTCCATCACTTGGAAAGCAGGTGGCGAAGTATAGTGGATACACAACTTATAGCAATTAAAAGAAAAAAACACACACAGACACACATGCACATAACAGAGCATGGCTGGATCTTATAAATACAGCTCTAAGTAACAAAAAAAGCAAAAAAAAGAATCATGCAAAGCACCTTATTATTTATTTAAATTAAAAATATTTGCATGTAATCTATATACATTTTTTTAAAACACATAAATGTAAATGCATACTAAATATATTTGAATTGTTGTTTCTGAGGAGGAATGGAAGAAAAACACCTACAAACAGAGAAGAAAGGAAGGAAAGGACAGGAAGAAGGATGTTTGAGGGAGGGAGAGAAGGAGGAATAAAAAAAGAGAGGATAATTGAATGAACCAACAATGATAAAATACCATGAATAGTATGATTCATTCAACTTTCTGGATTTGAGGTTTTAAACAAAGGGATTAATAATGTGTAAGAAAATATCTTTTCCTTCAGAGAAAGATGACGAGCACATAAAAATATGTGTCCTATTTTGTTTAACTGCATCCCAGAATTATATACACATAAACAAAGTAAATAAGAAAGTAGGAAAAAAGATAATATATTTTCGTTTTTATTCCATAGTTTTACAACTTTGGTATAATTTGTATGACATACAATAGCATAGAGTCTGACCATTACTATATGTTCAATAGACATTCGTTAAGCCATCTGTGCCATAATTAGTAAAAAAAAAAAGGAAAGAGAAGTATATTTATTTCTACTTTTGAAAAAGATGGAATAAAATAGACCATATTTACATTCCCATGTGAAACAACTAAAAAATATCGAAACCCTAGTTTATAAGATGCTGAACAGACAAGGAAAGACAGAAAACAATGTGAGCTCCGGGACGGCCCAGGCTATGTAGCCTAAAGTTTCTAGGCTGTGGTGGAGGGAGGAGAAAACTAGTGGAGCCTGTTAGACTTTCTGAGTTGAGGAGAAGATGCCAGGCATCTTTGGAAGCCAATGTGACTAGGGTTTCCAGAACAGAAGGGGAGACAAAGCTGCAAAGATATGTATAAACACCCCTTCTCCCCTTCCCTTACACCTCGTATGCAGTATTGATCAGTGCAGATACCCGAGGAAACTACCTGACTCTAGAGCAGAACCACCAGAAAAGTTTAGCGATTTAGGAACAGATTATGCAAAGAGCCTGGAATAATGCCTGTTCCTACTAATCAGCCTGGAGAAATTTCATAATTCATAGCTATTGGGTAGAATACTGAAAAAAAGAAAGTCTTGTCTCTATAGTGAGAAAGAGTTATTCCTAGGCCAAATACTGCTTTGATCCTAGCTAACAAACCTTAAAAGCAAGAATTGAAAAATCAAACTCTTTTTGTATAACTTAACTGCATCTCAGAACAAAGTTCGAGAAACAGGAAAATAAGACACATAATGAGGAGAAAAATTAATCATTTGAAACTACATCAGAACTGTCACAGATTTTACAATTAGAAAAGTACCTTAAAAAACTGTTATTAAAACTGCATTCTATGAGTTTAAAAAGTTAAGTAGAGGCATATACTACCTTTCAGAGATGAAAACACAACGTGTGAGATGAAAACATACTAGATGGAAATAATGGCAGATAGACATTGCAGAAGAAAAAATTTGGTAAAATTTAAAAACTATGACAGTAACTTCATAAAAAGACACTGCGAGAAATACATAATTTTAAAAGTGAAAAAAGCATAAGTGAGCTATGGGGCAATAGAAGTTTCCATCTATTTCTAATTTGCTGAAAGTTGTTACGAGACATGTTAGATTTTTTCAAGTGCTCTTTCTGCATCTATTGAGAGGATCATTGGTTTTTAATGTTTAGTTTGTCATTATTGTGAATTGTATTCATAGGTTTTTATTGCAAAATCAACCTTGCATTCCTGGGATAATTTTTTTTCACACTTGGTCAATAGTTATAATCTTTATTCACTATATACAGTTGGATTTGACGTGCTAAATTTTATTTAGAATTTTCATGTCTAAATGCATAAAGGGTATCTGTAGATTTCTTTTTTTACAAAGTCTTTTTTCTAGTTTTATCATCGGGGTAATGCTGGCCTCATAGAATGTGTTAAGAAGTATGCCCTCATCTTCAATTTTCTGAAAGAGTTATATAAAATTGGTTTTACGTCTTTAAATGTTTGTAGAAATTATAAAGAAAGCCATTTAAGTCTGGAGTTTTCTTTGTGACAATGTTTTAACTACAAATTCAGTTACCTTAATACATTTAAGGCTATTCATGTTATCTCTTTCTAAGTGAGCTTTGGAAGTTTGTGTCTTTCATGGAATTTGTACCACTCTGTAAAGATGTTGAATGTAAAGCCATAAATTCTTCATAATATTCTGTTGTATTTCTTTTAGTATCTTTACAACATATAAGCATGATCCTGCTCTCATTCTTAAGATCAGTAATTTGTGTCTTCTCTATTTGTTTTTCTAAACAGTCTGGCTAGATGTTTATCAATTTTATTTATCTCAGTGAAACAGCTTTAATTTAATTTTCTGTATTATTTTTCTGTTTTGTATTTCATAATCCAAAAATAACAAGTTGATAACTTATTTATCAAATTTAAAACTTATTGTCTTTGAAAACATTGATAAAAGTGAAATACAGTCCATACATCAAAAGGAAATATTTGGAAATCACATATCTAATGAAGAACTCATATCTAGTATATATAAAAAAATTATAAAACTTCAGTAATAACACAACAACAACAAACATACAATTTGAAATAGACAAAAAAAAATGGATAGTTTGCAACAGTATATATATGGATAGCAAATAAGCACGTGAAAATATCTCCAACATCATTAGTCATCAGGGAAACACACAATGAAATAAGCCTACACACATATTAGAATGGCTAGATTAAAAAGGCTACCTAGTGGCCGGGCGCAGTGGCTCACACCTGTAATCCCAGCTCTTTGGGAGGCCGAGGCGGGCAGATCATGAGATCAGGAGATCGAGACTATTCTGGCTAACACGGTGAAACCCCGTCTCTACTAAAAATACAAAAAATTAGCTGGGCGTGGTGGCGGGCACCTGTAGTCCCAGCTACTAGGGAGGCTGAGGCAGGAGAATGGCGTGAACCCGGGAGGCGGAGCTTGCAGTGAGCCGAGATCGCGCCGCTGCACTCCAGCCTGGGCGACACAGCGAGACTCAGTCTCAAAAAATAAATAAATAAATAAAAATAAACAAATTAATTTAAAAAGGCTACCTATACCAAGTATTGATGAAGATGAAACTGGAATTTTTATATACATCTAGTGAAAATGCAAAATATTACATCCATTTTGGAAAAGAGTTTTGCAGTTTCTTAAAATGTTAAACATACACGATCGTAGAAAGTAGACATTCTACCATACGGGAGTAGAAAGTATAAGTCTACACACACAGTTGCACATAGATGTTCATAGTCTTTTTATTTTTAAAAAGCAAAAACTACATACAACCCAAATATCCATTAACAGCTAAATGTATAAAGAGATATTGGTATAGCCATAAAAGAAAATACAACTCGGCAATAAAAAGGATGAATAATTGATACTCATAACAAAGTGGACAAATTTCAAAATTATTATGCTGAGTGAAAGAAGTCTGAGAAAAAAAGAATTTATATTGTAAGGCCACATTTACATAAAACTTGGAAAAGGCAAACTAATTTATCATGGCTTAAACCCACCAGAGGTTACCTGCGGGGAGAGAGAAGCTGTTGGTAGGGTTTGGTAAAGGGTGGGAGAAACAGAAGGGTGAATCACAAAGGAAAATGAGGAGACTTTGGGGAGTGATCAATATGTCCATTATTTTGATTTTCATGATGGGTTGGTGGGTGTACAGTCAGCCCTTCATATCCACAGGTTTCACATCCACAGATTCAACCAACCATTGATTAAAACTATTTGAAAACAAATACAAAATTACAATACAAAACTGAACATTTCACAAATGAAAAATATAACAACTTTTACATTGTATTAGCTATTACATGTAATCTAGAGATAGCAAATTATTAGCTATTATATGTAATTATTAGCTATTATTTTTAATCTAGACATATATGAGAGGATGTGTGAGTTAGATGCAAATATTACACAATTTTATATCAGGAACTTGAACATCTGTGGATTTTGGTTTATTTGTGGAAATCCTGGAACCAATTTCCCCATGGATACTGTGGGATTACTGTATATATTAGCAAATTGTACCTTTACATGTGCGTCATATATTGTATGTTAATTATAACTCAATAAAGCTGCATTTTAAAAAAATGCTTAGTAAAGGTATAAAAATACACTTGAAGAAAATCGCCCCACCGTGTAAAGACAGAACTTAATTGAACATACAAATTCACAGTTAAAACCAAAACAACAGCTGGGTGTGGTGGCTCACACCTGTAATCCCAGACTTTGGGAGGCTGAGGTTGGAGGATCGCTTGATCCCGGGATGTCGAGGCTGCAGTGAGCCGTGATTGTGCCACTGCACTCCAGCCTGGGTGACAGAGTGAAAGCCTGTCTCAAACAAAACAAAACAAACACAATAAAACCTGAGTGGCGTGCCTGATTACAGTTCAGCGTAGGCATGGTATGTACCCTTATTAGCTTTTCCGGATAGTGAACATCAGGGTAAAATATCACCTAAAGTGATATTTTTTTTACCTGTTACTCTCACTTACTGAAGCCCTTAAGCCAGGGGTCCCCAGTCACGGACCGGTACCAGTCCATGACCTGTAGGGCACCAGGCGGCACAGCAGGAGGTGAGTGGTGGGTGAACTAGCATTACTGCCTGAGTTCCCCACCCCCTTTCAGAAAGCCATGATATTAGATTCTCGTAGGAGCCGGAACCCTATTGTTAACTGCGCATGTGAGAGATCTAATGTTCACTCTTCATTTGTGGAAAAATTATCTTCCACAAAATCGGGTCCCTCTTACTAAAAAGGTTGGGGACCACTGCCTTAAGCCATAGGCGTAGACTCTTCGAATGTATCAGATAAGGCTCATTCTTCACAAGCAAGAATTATATTATGTTATTTTCAATGTCATTAATTGCAAAAATAATGTAATTTTAGGTATGTGTCTCCTTCCTATTTTCAGGTAGAAAATTCAACTTTGGCCATGGACAGCAGCAAAAAAATAAAAAATAAAAAATAAGTTAACATAAATAGTTCCCTGTAGTTTTTGATCATCAGTGTGTGTTGCTTCCCTCTAGGAAACCCACAGGTTCATTTCACATGGTTCTCTCAGTTTCCTCTGTCCTGATGCCTCTCTACCTTATAAATCTTTACCAGAGCTGGCAACCATAAAATGTTTCCACTTCGAGTTTCTGATTCTTTTCTGGAAAACTTCAAAGTGGATTAAATATCACCATTGATTGTCCTAATCACAGATCTACACCACAGTTTGCTTCCTCTGTTCCCCCAATTCTCTTGTTAGCCTGAAAGAAATTATTTCTGTCCATGTCTCCTTCTATCTCTTCTTCCTTCAGGGAAGCGAGACTGATTTCTTCAGTAGTTTTGGTTTTAGAAAACAAATGCCAAACAAAGAGAGGGTCCCGGAAACAAATTCTGCTTTTCCTTCCTGCCAAAATTGCCTATGTTAGGAAAAGGAGGCTCAAAACTGTATTATCTACAGGACAGAAGAAAAAAAAAAAGGAAGAATTCATGGTGAAACAGCTACATTGATGCCTGAAACCTTTCATATGGACAAAAGTTTTAATTTCTGAAGCTTTTTGGTGGGATTTGCTAAAATATTTTCAGTAGTCCAATTCAGTGAACAAACAGTGAAGGCTGCCCATGTCTTACAAAACAATGCACTTGCATTTCATCATGAGCAAGGCCAGTAGAACCAGCTTATACTCCGTCTTTGTGAACATGTGAGTGTGTATGTATTGGTGTGTGTAAGACAGAGAAATAGAGAACTATAAACTGTACTTCATTTTCCAAAATAATTATTTAACTTATGTTAAGTGTTTTCTCAGATATTGGCTATGTTTTTCTCACTTCAGCCCTTATGAGAAAATAATTTAATGATACTCTATATTAACAAAAAGTAAGCTAGGCTGAGAGAAATTAAGTGACTTGTCAAAAACATGCAATTAATGTGACAGAGGTAGAATTTGAAACCAAGTTGTTAACACCTCTTTTTTATGTAATTTTCATATTTCAGTATTATATAAGTGATATGCATTGAATGATTTTGTTCATTCCAAAACTCACATGAAAAGTCAATCCCCAATGAAACAATGTTGGGAGGTGGGGTCTAAAGGGAGGTGTTTATGTCATGTGGGTGGAATCCTCATGAATGAATCAATGCCATTATATAGGGCTTGAGGGAAGAAGTTTGCTCTCTCTCTTTCTCTCTCTGTATCTGCCCTTCTACCTTTCATCATGGGATGACACAGCAAGAAGGCTCTCTCCAGATTCTGACACCTTGATTTTGGACTTCCCAGTTCCTAAAGCTGTAAGCCAATGACTTTCCATTCTTTATAAATTACCCAGTTTTCAGTATTCTCTTATATAGCTTTGGCAGCACAAAATGGACTAAAATAATAATCTATCAGCAGAGCTAGGTTGAAATTTCAGTTTGACATTTTAGCACAGAAGACGTACTCTTCTCTGCTATAAAATTAGGAGAGCCAATTAGGTAACCACCACGTTTACTATAAGAACTATGTCAAAATATACAAACAAATTGTTAAACCAATATGATGTTCTTAACATGAGCAATTCCTCTACTTTCTCTGGAGAAAAACAGAAATTATCCCCAAATCACTTTGGTAATGTTTACCATTTAAAAGATTAATTTTTGTCTATTTAATATAATTTCAGAAAATATCAATGAAATATAATCAAACACATCATAATGACATTTCATTCTCATAAGATTATAATACTGTATATTTATTTTACCTTTTCTATATTTAGATACGTTTAGATACACAAATACCATTGTATTACAACAGCCTAGAATATTCAGTACAGTAACATGTACAAGTTTGTAGCCTGGGAATAATAGGCTATATCGTATAGCCTAGGTGTGTAGTAAGCCTGGGAATAATAGGCTATATTGTATAGCCTAGGTGTGTAGTAAGCCTGGGAATAATGGGCTATATCATATAGCCTAGGTGTGTAGTAAGCCTGGGAATAATAGGCTATATCGTATAGCCTAGGTGTGTAGTAAGCTATGCCATCCAGGTTTATGTAAGTCCACTCTATGATGTTTACACAGTGATGAAATTGCCTAACAATGCATTTCTCAGAATATGTCTGTGTTGTTAAGAAATGCACCATTGTAACTCAATTCAGACCAAAAAAAAGAAAGGTTTTCTAAAAGAAGTTATTTACTACAGTGTTGTTCATTCTTTACTGGCAAACACTTTCTATGAGCCAGTTTTAATAAGTAATTAAGAGCTAAAAATGTAAAAATTTCTGGATGACAAAGCTATTCATGACAATGAATGCACTGCAAGAAACCTAGTGAAGCATAGTTAAGAGTACGGTGGTACATTTCTTCTATTTGCCTCTCCCAATATGCTGTACACCCCCTCCTCCGTGTGTGTGTGTTTGTGTGCATGTATGTGTGTGTGTTTGCTGAGATGCTGATTCATATGAACCATATATGGACAGGACACTCGGCCTCTCAGGATTGGTTGTTGGATTCAGATGAAGAAACGAGAAATGAGAATGAGGTCAAGGTCCTTATTCTTGTTGCCTAAGTGTGAGAGCAACTTAGGTTGTCTTTGTTCCTCTAATGACAACCTGTTCTATTAGATTCTTCCTCTTTTCAACATTTGGAAGCCTCTTTCATTTTTTAAAAAAATCCCTTCAGCCTTACATGTGATAACAGTCCTGCTACTAATAGTCAAGAATTTTGCACTATTCGTTTCTTTCGGTTTCCTATACACATCCACACCTTTGTAATTAATTTCTTGGTAAATAAACCTTCATCAAATTATTCTAATTTGAGTGTGCCATCTGTTTCTTGTTTGGACCCTGATTGATACAAATAATTGTGTAAACTTCTAGAAATGTGCTTGCATATAAAACTTATATTCATATATATATATATATATAACAATTTTCATCTCAAAAGCTAGTAGCTTTCTCTGCACACCCCGTTTGTTTCAATTAATAAAATATTTGTAAACTTTAAAGAATATAAAATGTGGAAGGCTATCAGATGAAAGGTAAATATTATTTATAATGGAAATGTTTATGGTCAGAAAAAGAATTTAATCAAAAATTTTTTTTCAAACTTCCCACAACTTCAGAATCTGTCAAACGATAATGTCACTGTAGGATAGAAGACTATTCGTTTTTTAAAAAAGAAACACATTCTTCTTTTCTTCCAATCCCACAAAACAATGATTTCCTTCAAAGTAAATCCTTACATAGCTATTTAGTAAAACAGAGCACATTTACCACCTCAGTAAAAATGCATGTTACTTGAAAGTGAAAAATATCAGGGAGTGGTAGTATAATTGTAGGTGGGCCTCATTATCCCTGAGATGAAAGTGGAATAGCTCATATTGGACAACTACAAAACTGCTGCTACTGTCACTAGTAATATGTCTTTCTGATAGATTGGGGGGTTTGTTCTTTGAGCAGATTTGGAAATATTAGTAGGGAGGGAGAGGGACCATCTTTTGACTCTGAGAATGAGTTAGCAGGGTTTGTGTGCCCTTTGTTCAGCTTTCAGGCGTCTGCAATCATCATATTCTGTGTGTAGCTGCTTTTTCTTCTTACATTACTCAGCTTCGTGGGATTCTAAATATAACCACCCACAAGTTTTCATTTTCTTGACATCTTCTTAACTCCCATCAATATATTTATTATCAGAATGTTCTAATAAAAGTCACTGAAAATGCCTTTCCAATTACATAAATATTCTAGAGAAGTATTAAATAACATTAACAAAATAAATAAATTATCTTCAAATCTAAAAGGAATAACATAACCCTGAGGAAAAATGACATTTTCACAGAAAATACAACCATATGGCCATGTGAGAACACTTTTCCTTATTTACATCACCTTATTATTAAACATTCTCTATGCTATTGTCTGGAAGACTGCAACCACTGTATGTTTAAACAGATTCCATTCTACTCATTTAATATGATTATGAAATAGATTGATTATTTCCAAAAAAAAAAAAATCATACTGTTTTCTCCATGGCACTCCTTTTCTCTATGAATTCCATCAGTTTTGGGCTAGGAAGTGAGTTCTCATAAATGCCCCGGAGGAGTCTGCTTTCTTTCAGTTGGCAATTACCCCTTTCTCAGAGTTTACTTCAGCACTAAGATTTAAGAGTCCTGTGGAACCTCTATCTGTGCCTGCATTATTCCTTTTACCATTTAAAGCTACATGCGTCTTTTTAAGCCAAACAAGAATGGGCATACTCTGTTAGTCATATCAGTGTCTAACTGGAAGTCTCTGTCTTAGAACACATTTCTTATTAAGAACACTGTAATCTAATAGAAGCACATTGTAATACTGGCTATAACCCTAACCAGGATTGGAACTCAGTGTATACCTCCTGTAATAGAAATAACCATAATATGTTACAAAGCAAAAAAAAAAAAAAAAAAAAGAAAGCTATCATAGACCTGAGACCTGTATAACTATTATACTAAAAAACTTAAGAAATTTTTAAGACATAAAAATGGGGAATGATATAAAATATACATTAATTTTACTAGAGATTCCAATGTATTCAAAGTTCACCCATGGCAAATAAAATATATATTTATACTATACCTATACTATATCTTAAATCTGACCTAAATTTATGATGGTGCCATAGACATAATAATATTCCCCTCACCAAAAATGCCCACTCGCTAATCCCTGGTACCTGTGAATACATTACAAATTTATATTCGATGTCATTAAGTTGACTGGCTTAGAGAAGGGGAGATTATCCTGGTTCATCTAGGTGTGCTCAGAGTACTCATGTGGATGTGTAAGAAGAGCACAAGAGGGAGGAAGAGATGAATCAGAGACACGCAGCAGAAATGGGAGGCACAGGAGAGATTTCAAGCATGAGAAGGACTGGACTGCCATTGCCAGCTCTGGAAATTGAGTCAGGCAGCCTCCAGGAAGCTGAAAAGACCCTTGGCCAACAGCCAACCAAGAAGCCAGGGCTTTATTCCTATAGCCACATGGGCTCAATGCTGCCAACAATCTGAATGTTTTTGGAAACAGATTTAACCCCAGAGACTGCAGATAGAAATTAGCCCTGCTGACTCCTGGATTTCAATCTTTTGACAAGCCAAGTCCACTGACCTACAGAACTGTGAGATAATACATTTGTGCCGCTTAAGCTACAAAATGTGTGGTAATTTGTTAAAGCAGCAGTAGAAAATGCATACAGTAGGGTAAGCTTCGCTTGTGATTATATTGATGGTTCCAATTCTTCTAAATAACCAGATTAATTTTATTTTACATCATTTCATTTTATTTCTTCTAATTTTATTTATCATCAACAGACAGAAGGGATGTCATAAATTAAGATATGTCACTGCCCAGTTAAGGCAAAAACAGGTTGGATTGATAATAGATGCTTGAGTGGTCTTCCAATATACATATTACAGCTGTCTTTACGTCATCTGTCTGGTTTTCTTTTCTTTTTTCTTTTTTTTTTTTAAAGATGGAGTCTCACTCTGTCGCCCAGGCTGGAGTGCAGTGGTGCCATCTCCACAGGCTGCAAGCTCCGCCTCCTGGGTTCACGCCATTCTCCTGCCTCAGCCTCCTGAGTAGCTGGGGCTACAGGTGCGTGCCACCATGCCCAGCTAATTTTTTGTGTTTTTAGTAGAGATGGGGTTTCACCGTGTTAGCCAGGATGGTCTCCATCTGCTGACCTCATGATCCACCCACCTCAGCCTCCCAAAGTGCAGGGATTACAGGTGCGAGCCACCGCGCCCGGCCAACTGTCTGGTTTTCTAAGGAGCTAAGATGTTAGTACTACCTAGCCCCTTTGCTTCTGTGTTTGTTTTAGGACAGATAACTAGGTAACAAATTTGGCCTACCCAAGGCTTTGTGCCTCTGATTGTTGGGATGAGGATTTGACATCTTCTTTGAGTTTTGTGGAGAAAGAGAAGGAAGCTGGCACCGAAACTAAACACCAGAGATAAGGAGAGAGCCTACATGGTTCTAGTCATTCCTCTGTACCTTTCTATCTTGACATGAGATAATAAGTTACTTTTTTTCTCAAGCTAGACAGGTATGTGTCTCTGTCATCTGCAAATAAAAAGACAGTGATGAATACTTACTCATTTCCTATTGATACTGTAAAAATGATTACAAACATAGTGGCTTAAGAACAACACAAATTTATTATCTTACAGCTCTGATGGTCAGAAGTCTGACCTAGTTCTCACTAAACTAAAATCAAGATGCCAGCAGAGCTCTGCTCCTTTCTGGAGGCTCTACGGCAGAATCTGTTTCCACGAGTTTTCCAGCTTCTGGAGGTCATCCTCATTCCTTGGCTTATGGGCCCTTTCCTCTCTCTTCAAAATGTGGTAAGGTTGCATTGACTGTGATGTTCTGTCATGCTCACATCTCCAGAGCCTTCTGCCTCCCTCTTTCCCTAGTAAAAATCCTTGTAGTTACAATGGGCCCAATCAAATAATTAGAAGAATTTCTCTTTTTTAAGGTCAGCCCATTAGCAAACTTAATATCATCTGCCACTTTAATTCTCCATTTGCCATGTAAACATATTTATACGTTCTGGGGATTAAGGCATGGACTTCTTTGCAAGGGAATTATCCTGCCCACCACATGTTCTGAGAGTTCAGAGAGTAATGGTCAGAGAAGCTGGGCTCACATTCTAATTCCTGCTTGTTGTGTGATGTTGGACATTTATTAATATTTTCTGAGCCTGAGCTTTCTCAGCCCTAACTTAGAAGCCATAGAAACGACTTAATATAAAAGGTTTGAAAATTAAATTTATGTAAAGTGCTTAGAAAAGTGTTAATATAGTAGTAATGTAATAAATAATAATTATAATTGTAAGCCTTATATCAGAGAGAAAAATTCACCAGAATTCTGGCTTGAGAAAGTAGAAGATAGTGACTGTGATTAAGAGAATAAACAATGATTCTCCTAACACTTTGGTATGTATATTACTGAAGAGAAGGGTCTGAGAGAGAAACACAGTTTCTTTACCTCTATCTTTTAAGAGTAGAAGAGCTTCTAGACCTGATGATTTCTTTGGTGAGTTAAGTTTCCCCAAATGGACATTAAAAAAAAAAAAAAAAAACTTCTGGTAGAAGTGAAATTGATTTCAAGGATATTTAGTAGCATCTGGTAAAAAATGCACATATCCCATGGATTAATTTCCTAGGACTTCCATAAAAAGACACAACATATTGGGCTACATAAGCAATAGAAACTTACTGGCTCACAGTTCTGGAAACTAAAAGATTCAGATTGAAGTGTCAGCAGAATTGGTTTCTTCTGAGAGCTGTGAGGGAGAATCTGGTCCATGCTTCTCCCCTATCTCCTCGTGGTTTGATGGCAATCTTTAATGTCTAATGTCTTTTACCTTTATCATCACACGGTGTTTTTCCTGAATGTACATGGCTGTGTTCAAATTTCCTCCTTTTTGTAAGGACAACAGTCTTATTGGATTAGAGTGACCACATCTTCAGTTGATTATCACTATTAAAACTCTGTCTCCAAATAAGGTCACATTTGGAGGTACTAGGAGTTAAGAATTCAATATATAAATTCTGTGGGAACAAATTTTAACCAATAATGTACTATCATAGAAATTCTGTTTTAAGAATGTATTAGAAAAAGCATTGCATAAACATGACTGAACATAGGCATAAAGATAATCGTCGCTACACTGTTTTCTGTAGTGAACTATTAGAAAACATCTCCATCAATATTGTCATAAAAAACTATTTTAAGCCTATTTGCATCAAATACTACCACATAGCATTAAAAATTATCAAATTCGGGGCAGCCACCATCACTGAAGCTCCAGCCAGCTGTTTTCCCCAGCTGGTGCCAGGGAGACTGGGTGGTTTGGACTGGGGGAAATTCCCCACAGTACAGAACAGTGGCTGTGGCAGATTATGGCCAGATTGCTTCTTTAGGTGGGTCCCAGATTCATCCCTCCTCACTGGGTGGGGCCTCCCTGTGGGAATTTCAGCAACTCTAGCCAGGGGTTTACAGACAAGTCTGATCTGGCTGGGACAGAGCCCCTAGCGGGAGGGGTGGTTGCAATCTCCATGGCTCAGCAAACTTAGTCTCTCCTGCCACTGGCTCTGAAGAGTCCAGTCAGTCTGGACAGTAGGGATTCCCCCAGCACAGTGCACCTGCTCCACCAACGGGCAGCCAGACAGCTTCTTTAAGCAGGTCTCTGATCCCGTGCCTCCTGACTGGGTGAGGCCTTCCAACAGGGGTCACCAGACACCTTATATAAGAGTGTTCCCACTGGTATCAGGTTGGTGCCCCTCCAGGGTAGAGCTCCTAGAGGAAGGAGAAGGCAGCCACCTTTGCTGTTCTGCAGCCTCTGCTAGTGATACCTCCAGGTGTGGGAGGAACCCAGGTAAATAGGGTCTGGAGTGGACCCCCAGCAAACTGCAGAAGCCCTATGGAAGAGGGGCCTGACTGTTAAAAGATAAATAAAAAAGAACAACAACAACAACATCATCAACAAAAACACCCCCATAAAAACCTCATCCAAAGGTCAGCAGCCTTAAAGATCAAAGGTAGATAAACCCATGAAGATGAGAAAGATTCAAAGCAAAAATGCTGAAAACTCAAAAAGTCAGAGTGCCTCTTCTCCAAATGATTGCAACACCACTCCAGCAAGGGCACAGTACTAGGCTGAGGCTGAGATGGATGAAATGACACAAGTAGGCTTCAGAAGGTGGGTAACAATGAACTGTACTGAGCTAAAGGAGTATGTTCTAACCCAATTCAAAGAAGCTAAGAACGATAATAAAACATTACAGGAGCTGTTAACCAGAATAACCAGTTTAGAGAGAAATATAAATGACCTGATGGAGCTGAAAAACACAACACGAGAACCTCACAATGCAACCACAAGTATCAATAGCCAAATAGACCAAGCAGAGGAATGAATTTCAGAGCTTGAGGACTATATTTCTGAAATAAGACAGGAAGATAAGATTAGATTTAAAAGAATGAAAAAGAATGAACAAAACCTCTGAGAACTATGGAATTATGTAACAAGATGGAACCCTATGGCTGATTGAGGTATCTGAAAGAGATGGGGAGAATGGAACCAAGTTAGAAATATACTTCAGAAAACCATCCAGGAGAATTTTCCCAACCTAACAAGATAGGCCAACATTCAAATTTGGGAGTTCCAGAGAACCCCAGTAAGATACTCCATGAGAAGATCAACCACAAGACAATAATCATCAGATTCGCCAAGGTCTAAATGAAGGAAAAAATGTTGAGGGCAGCCAGAGAGAAAAGTCAGGTTAACCACAAAGAAAAGCCTATCAGACTAACAGTAAACCTCTCAGTGGAAATTCTGCAAGCCAGAAGAGAATTAGGGCCAATATACAACATTTGTTAAAAAAAAAAAAAAAAAAAAAAAAAAAAAAAGAATTTCTGACACAGAATTTTATGTCCAGCCAAACTAAGCTTCATAAATGAAGAAGAAATAAAATCCTTTTAAGACAAGCCAATGCTGAGGGAATTTGTCACCACCAGGCCTGCCTTGCAAGAGCTACTGAATGAACCACTAAATATGGAAAGGAAACCATTACCAGACACTACAAAAACACACTGAAGTATACAGACCAATGACACTATGAAGCAACTACATTAACAAGTCTGCAAAATAACCAGCTAGCGTCATGACAGAATCAAATTCACAGACAACAATGCTAATCTTAAATGTAAATGGACAAAATGCCACAATTAAAAGACAACAATACTAATCTTAAATGTAAATGGGCTAAATGCCCCAATTAAAAGACACAGACTGGCAAATTTGATAAAGAGGCAAAACCCATTGTTGTGCTGTATTCAGGAGACCCATCTCACGCACAAAGACACACATAGGCTCAAAATAAAGGGATGGAGGAAAATTTACGAACAAATCGTATGCAGAAAAAAATAGGGTTGCAATCCTAGTTTCTGACAAAACAGACTTTAAAACAACAAAGATCAGAGATACAAAAAAGGGGGCATTACATAATGGTAAAGAGTTCAATTCCACAAGAAAAGCTAACTATCCTAAATACATATGCACCCAATATGGGAGCACCCAGATTCATAAAAGAAGTTCTTAGAGACCTACAAGGAGAGTTAGACTCCCATACCACAATAGTGGGAGACTTTAACAAATCACTGTCATTATTAGATCATTGAGACAGAAAATTAACAAAGATATTCAGGACTTCAACTCAGCTCTGGATCAAGTGGACCTGATAGATATCTACAAAACTCTTCACCCAGAAACAACAGAATATACATTTTTCTCAGTGCCAAATGGTACTTACTCTAAAATTGATGACACAATTGGAATTAAAAACACTCTTCAGCAAAGGTAAAATAACTAAAATCAAAACAGTCTCTCAGACCACAGCACAAATTAGAACCCAGGATTAAGAAACACTCAAAACTAGAAAACTACATGAAAAATTTTTTTAAAAATCCATAGGAGGAAGAAAAAATGCATCAATAACTCTAAACTTAGAGTTATTACTGTTTCTCAATTTGTGAGTACTCTATTTTTAAGTTTCCTCCTTCTCCTCCTCCTCCTCCCTCCTCCTCCTCCCTCCTCCTCCTCCCTCCTCCTCCTCCCTCCTCCTCCTCCTCCTCCCTCCTCCTCCTCCCTCCTCCTCCTCCCTCCTCCTCCTCTTCTTCTTCTCCTTCTCCTTCTTCTTCTTCTTCATCTTCTCGTTCCTTTTTGTTTGCGTAGGAATGAAAATATAACTTTTTTTTCCCTTCTTTCCACTAGTCACCTCCTCACATTGCTAGCATAGCTAGTTACATGCATGTTTGCTTAGAAGTTCCAAAGACTGGCCAGGCGCAATGGCTAACACTTGTAATACCAGCACTTTGGGAGGCCGAGGCGGGCGGATCACGAGGTCAGGAGATCAAGACCATCCTGGCTAACATGGTGAAACCCCATCTCTACTAAAAATAAAAAAAATTAGGCCGGTCGCGGTGGCTCACGCCTGTAATCCCAGCATTTTGGGAGGCCGAGGCCAGCGGATCACGAGGTCAGGAGACGGAGACCATCCTGGCTAACACGGTGAAACCCCGCCTCTACTAAAAATACAAAAAAAAAAAAAAAATTAGCTGGGCATAGTGGCGGGCGCCTGTAGTCCCAACTACTCAGGAGGCTGAGGCAGGAGAAGGGCGTGAACCAGGGAGGCAGAGCTTGCAGTGAGCCGAGATTGTGCCACTGCACTCCGGCCTGGGCAACAGGGCGAGACTCTGTCTCAAAAAAAACAAAATAAAATAAAATAAAAATAAAAATAAATAAATAAAATTAGCTGGACGTGGAGGCATGTGCCTGTGGTCCCAGCTACTCAGGAGGCTGAGGCGGGAGAACTGCTTGAACCAAGGAGGCAGAGGTTGCAGTGAGCCAAAATCGCATCACTGCACTCCAGCCTGGGCAACAGAGTGAGACTCTGTCTCAAAAAAAAAAAAAAGAAAAGAAGTTCCAAAGACTAAATCTTGAGCCAATTCAGTCCCTGTGGAACTCTTCCCCACCAGAAGATTATTTCAAGGCTACAGTTAAGTTTCCAACCTGGTCATCTTGAGATAGCATCAGCCCATTCACCAGATAATGGCAGTAACTCAAGATAAAACAACAGAACAGGAGGAGTGCGGTGGCTCACGCCTGTAATCCCAGCACTTTGGGAGGCCAAGGTTGGTGGATCACAAGGTCAGGAGATTGAGACCATCCTGGCTAACATGGTGAAACCCCATCTCTACTAAAAATACAAAAAATTAGCCAGGCGTGGTGGTGGACGCCTGTAGTCCCAGCTACTCGGGATGCTGAGGCAGGAGAATGGTGTGAACCCAGGAGGCAGAGCTTGCAGTGAGCAGAGATGGCGCCACTGCACTCCAGCCTGGGCGACAGAGCAAGACTCCATCTCAAAAAAAAAAAAAAAAAAAAAAGAAAAACAGAACAAGTTACACAGATGCATTCCCCCACCGCACCAAATGCCCTCCACACCAAACTTCCCCTTCTTAAACCCCTGCATCTTGCCTGGGATTCTGAGGTTGTTTGGTTAGGGCAAGAGCCTAAATCCATTTCCCATGGCTAGCTTTGGAAAATGTAAAGTCACTTTCTTTTACCACACCACGTCCTTGTTATTCAGTTTTGCATGTGGTGAGCAGTTGAACCTGTATTTGGTTACAAACTGACATAGAACCCAGGGATAAGCCGTAGCAACTAAGTTGGTTTCTAATACCATCATTTCTATCTTAAAGCTGCCAAAATATTTGTGAAATCACTAGGTAGGCACATTCACATTTTTTTTTTTTTTTTTTTTGCTGAAATGTACATACAGACACATTTAATTTGCATACTACTTTAAAGTGGTTTAACATCCACTATCTAAGGTAAAATACAACTTTAACAAATCATTTAAAAGTTCAACATTCACAATTATTAAATTGAACAGAATTTTAGAAAACTCCCTTTACAGCAGTATTTTGATGAAGATGTGGCAGTTTTGATTTTCTGGAGAATTAAGATTGTTTTGTGGTAGCTAGGAAGAAGTTTGGTGTAGTGGTTAAGTTTATGAGTGCTAGAACTCCGATCTAACTTGGTGGTCAACCCATAAATTTTCTCCTCTATAAAATAAGGCTAATGATATATCAGGCTATATCAGGCTATATATATATGGCTATATATATACATATATATGTATGTATATGTGTATATATATATATATATATATATATATATATATATATATATCTTGATACTCTAGATAGCCATGTAGAAATCCTGTGTGTTAAGGACCTGGCACTGGCAGCTATTTTTTTTTTTATGATGAGTTTTTTGAAGTTGTTGTAGTTGGAATACTTGTCCTTTCTGAAATTCCTGTTGAAACTGAATCCCCTATGCAACATTATTAAGAAGAGGGGCTGTTAGGAGGCGATTAGGGCAATGAGGGCTGTGCTCTCATGAATGAGATTAGCAACCTTATGGAAAAGCTGTAGGGAACTAGCTAGGCCCTTTTTGCCTTTCTGCCTTCTGCCACGTGAGGACACAGCTTTCATCCCTCGGCTATTGAGGATGCAGCAACAAGGCGCCATATTGGGAGCAGCACTCACCAAACACCAAACCTGCCAGCACCTTGATCTTGGACTTCTTAGGCTCCAGAATTGTGGAAAAAAATAAGTTTCTGTTGTTTATAAATTAATCAGTCTCAAGTGTTTTGTTATAGCAACACAAACAACAAGAAATAAGTGTTTGTTTATTTTTTCTGATAAACTAGTGCATGCTTTTCCTGACTGTATCATGTAATTGACTAACAAATACCTTATGGACAATGAAATAAAAAACAAACCTAAATTTAAGTAAGAAGAGATTGTATTCAAATAGACTACTGCAATAAATGGAGGGAGACCATTGTGAAAGGGAGAATATTCTCAGGATAAAATCTATGCCTATCTCAAAGTTTAGACAGAATGGGGTCTTCTTATATAGGGAGGAGGACATTTGGCTAGAAAGCAACAGGTGTAGGTAAATTTGATGATCAAGTGGCATGATCTAACTGTCGAGCCAGTAATGATTTTCCCTGAAAGTGGTCAGTTCTCAGGAGAGGCCATTAAAGAGGAACTGTTCTGAATTCCAATGCTTGCTTAAGTTTAAAATGAATCGAGGTCTGTAGACCTGTGGAAAGGGAAGAAGACAGACTAAAATCAGTTTCTGTCAAGTTGGGAGATATTTTGTTCAGATCAGGTGGGTGAGACAAAGCATAGGAGTGAAATAATCATCATAATCTATGGCAGCAGCTGAAAAATTCAAATATGAGTGTAACTGATTACAATCAGTAAAACACTTTCTCTAAAAAATAATTTCATGTGTACCTCTCATGAAAGCAAATTAAACATTATTAACCTAGATTTGCTGATTGGCAAATAGGACTGGTTTTATATTTTATTAAAGGTGTTAAAATAAAAATAAAAGGAAAGTAATATTTTTCTCAAATATGTCAGTCACACAATTATTGGCTCAACATCTATTGTAATAATGTTAGTGGAGACTTGATAAAGGTATGCTGTGATTATTTTATTTTACTGCATGTCACTTTGGACCTACACTTACCATTGGCATATTTTATGTTGTAAGATACATGATATTATCTTTTTGGCATTGTTGGTTTTATGGAAGGCTGAAAGGAAAAAGAGCTAGTTTTAGAAAATGTAAATCTTTGTTTAAACATGGACGTATTTAGTTAAGAAAGTAGTAAATATTGTAATAGTTATACAAGCATAGCTAAGGTAAATGGAACTACATGAATTTATGTTTGAGGATGTTCCCTTCTCTTCTCTTTCCAAGCATGAACTCAAAATATTTAACTCAGTGACTGTATTTTCTTTTCTGTTCGAGTTTACTCTCACAATTAAAAACAATTATACTAATGGTAAAATCATTTATGTATTACCTATAAAAGTTATTAAATTTTATAGAATTTGGAAACAAGTTCAATGCAAATGAAATTCTCCAATATGAATAAAATAGGATATAATCATTAATTCTGTTTTTATGAAACATCTGTGAAATTGGTTATAGAAACCTAAAAAGTGTATACAAAGAAGAATGAAAATATTTACACACACACACACACATATATAAAATTTGACAGTTCCTTTTAGAAAAAAATTCAGAATCTTTTATATATTTTGATAAATTTAAACTCTATCTCTAATCATATCTATTTTCTGTCTTGACCTCAACTTTTGAAATGTTAGCACCATTTCATCATTTTTATTATTATTCATGTCTTCTCTACCTTCATTACTAGTTAAGAATAGACATATGTCATTATATAATTTTTAACTAGGAAAAATCCTGACCCTTCATATTTGGCTGCTGTGAAGAATTATTATATCACATTTGAATCTGAAACTTGGAATTGCTAATGTTTTATGCTGAAGGAAGTATGAAATATAGCTCTGCTTTTCGCTAAATGATGCTCCTTCTATTACCAACCTGAATTTTTCATTTGACAATTGGTTGGCATGTTTGAAATTAAAGAGGAAATGGTAGCAATGGTACAACAAAAGCAAATTAACACTAAAAAAAAAAAGACTCCAAACATTTAATTGTCTAGATTCAGGTCACTTGTACAACTTCCTAATCCCCTGATATAATTTTTCTTTGGTGCAAAAGCTTTGTAGCTCTGGGTTCTTTTGAATAAGCAAAACAGAAACTGAAGTGGCCTTACAGGGTTTTCCTTCTGTGGGAAGTGCAAGTAAGTATGATGAGCAATGGTGCCTTTGAGGTCTCTTGCTAACACTGCAAATAATCTGGCTGAATTAAAAGAGTCTTCAATTAGTGGTTGAGTGCTCAATGTGGCACTCAACTTCAGAGTCCCAGATAATTTCCTAGCATCTCTCTACTTCTAAAGAGCCAAAGCAAGCTTCAGGGACTGATAAAATGCCTTATAGATTTGGTTCCAACAGAACTATATATGAGATGACTAGCTTAACAGAGCAAGTAAAAAGTAGGTCATGCTCACTTTTTCATGATAATTAAATTCAAAAAATACATGTTAAATACTTTCTATATGTAGTACACTAATATGTGGTTGGTATCCTAAAATAATTTAGTTTATTCAAGTGCAAAAATATAAATATTCCAATAGAGACTCAATTCACATTAAATGTTGCAATATAAATACAAACAAGATATGAAAGAAGGACAGGACTGGGGTGTACCCTAGCCTGAGGAATCCGGGACAATTTATGGATGAGATGGTACCTGAAGAGAAGCATAAAACAACACAGATAAATAGCCTTTCAACTACTAGAATTAACTTCTTTTATCATTTTTTAAATTATTTCTATGACTGCTATACTACAGCAAACTCTTCACATTTGTAAATTTATACTGCATAAACCCACTATTGCAGAATCACCGTAAAGTTCTGTACCATGAAATATGTAATTTTCCTTAAAATAAAGGAAACCATCCAGAAGGAGAAAAAATTTTTCTCTTACTCCAATCATTAAATATAAATTCTGAATATCTAGGTAAATGTTACAAATTGGGTGCCCCTTTGAACTAATTCCTTTTGAGGAATGCACAGAGATATCACATAAAGTCAAGGTTAGCTCTGTCCATGAAACAGTTACAGGGATAAATGCCTGGGTTTCTGCCATTCGTTTAGAAGATGCATCGGGATTTGGCTTTAGGCCCAGAGCTGGTATAATGCAATAGGGCCAATAGAAAGAGTAGTAGGGGAGAGCCGATGTCCCAGATGATCCTAGACAACTGCCCAGCATCTGCACCACAAGCTCTTTATCATATTCTCTACTAATTTTCTATTCAATGGCTATTAGTAGGGTATTTTCTAAACTTGTATATGTGGAAAGTGATATGATGCTTTGGTCTATGTGAATGTGAAGATCTTAACAGGTGTCCAGTTATGTCACACATGAATATCTATGAACTTTAACACTTATATTTAGTTTTTTAAAATTGGCTTCTAAGATGAAGATGGTGTAAACAGACACCTTTATTAGGTTTTTCAATTGCTGCCACAATAAATTACCTCAAATTAGTGGCTTAAAACAATACTTTTTTTTTTTTTCTCACAACTCTGTGGGCCAGAAGTAGAACGTTTGTGTAAATAGGCTAAAATATAGTTGTCTGCAAGGCTGTGCTTCTTTGGGAGGTCTCCAGGAAAGAATACAATTTCTGTTCATTTCCCTGTAACAGTTAAAGTCCCCATTTTTTTTTCCTAGCTTCTAGATTGAGAGCTGTTTCCAGCTTCTAAAGACTGCCACATTCCTTGGCTTCTGCCTTCCTTCCTCCATTCTTAAAACAAATGATGAAGTATCAGGCTGTTCTTACTAAATTTCTTTGACCCTCTTCAGCCAGAAAAGATTCTCTACTTTTAAGAAGATGGTGATCCAATATAGCTAGACTGGGCTCACCCGGGTAAGCCAGGCTAATCTCCCCATCTCAAGTCTCTTAACCTTATACTCAAACCTTATAGTTTGGATCTGTTTTGTTTCCACCAAACCTTATGTTGACGTTTGATGCCCGTGTGGCAGTGTTGGAATGGGGGCCTGGTGGGAGGTGTTGGGCCCGTGATTGTGGATCCCTTATAAGTAGATTAATGCTCTCTCATGAGGATGAGTGAGTTCTTACTCTAGCTAGTTTCCACTGAGCAGGTTGTTAAAAACAGCCTGGCTTCCTTAGTTTTTATCTCTCTTGCTCTGTCTCTCACCGTGTGACTTCTTAGCACATCCCTTCTCCCTTTCCACTTTCCACTATGAGTTGAAGCAGCCTGAGGCCCTCAGAAGATGCAGCTGCCCGCTTTTGAACTTTCCAGCCACCAGAACCATGAGCAAAAATAAACCTTTTTTTTTTCCTATGAATTACTCAGCCTCAGATATTGTTATAGACACACTAAATAAACTAAGATACCTTACTCACATCTGCAAATTCCTTTTTCATATATTCTCGGGTTCTCAGGAGCAGAACATGCACATCTTTGAGGAGCCATTATTCTGCCCACCATACACTAATTTCTACATAATTTCCAGAGTAATCACCTTAAAATTATCAGTTACTGTATTAGAGCACCTTAAAATTATTAGTTTTTCAGAGTAACAGAAGAAATTAAGTTTGGGAAGAGGGTGGTATTTATTTTAAAGACTTGCTCATGTGATTCTGAGGACTAGAAAGTCCAAAATATGCAGGGTAGGCCAGCAGGCTGGAAACCCAGAGAAGAGAGGATGTTACATTCCTGAGTCCAAAGGCTGTAATAGAGGTGGAGTTCCTCTTCCTCAAGCTACCTCAGTCTTTTCCCGTAAGGTCTTCAACAGATTGAATGTGACCCACACACATTATGGAGAATAATCTGCTTTACCCAATGTCTATTGATTTAAATGTTAACCACATCCAAAAAATACCTTTTCAGGTACATTTACACTGGTGTTTGAGCAAACCTGGTTATCATGGCCTAGACAAGTTGACACATAACATTAACCATCACAGTTACTATACATTAAAATTTTCTAAGTACAATATTCTGCATTTTGCCTTATTTCATATAAGTACCATTTAAATTTTCATTTTGCAGAGGAGAAAAATGAGCCCCAGAGAGGTTAAATGATTTTCCTGGGGTCATGCAAAGACAGAAACTACTTGGGCTTTTCTTATAGCAAAGCTTAAAAATGGTACCCATTCTCTAATAGGGAAAAAAGGCCTCTTTTATTTTTTGTATACCATATAAGACTGTGTGATCTAGTATATAATTACTTCTTCAGCCTTTCCTCTTACCCTATATTCTCCTTACAAGTTATATACAAATCCAGAACATAATCTTAGAAATTGTGATCCTACAACATGTCAGGTTTTGTCACCCTCCACTTGCAACAACTAATAAGTGCTCTTTGGTATCTGAATAGTGAATAATCTAGTTTCAGAATATCATTCTAAGGGTTGACTTCCAAAACTACTTTCATTTAAAGCTGCCTCAGTTTATGTTTATCTGAAGGTGGAATTTGAGAAGATTGTCTGCAAGTAGTTTATTTGTCAGACGATCCTATGAAGAGATATGAGGAAGAGGAAAAATGAGTGTAGAGAAAAAAAAATATACAGTATAGTGTTTATTGAGCTGCCTAGTGCTGTTAGTGACTGGGGCTCAATCTTACCTAAGACCTTTTGCAGAGCCATGCGGAATATATCAGACTGACCCATTGAAGGTAAAGAGGCATTTAACCTCTGTTTCTTGTCTACCGTCTGAGGGTTTCTCCAGGACCATTCCTTCCCTTGCATTACTAAGGCTGACCTTGGAAGAGAGCTGTGAGACAGAAAAGCTGAAACGTATGGCAGAAAATGATAAATATCCAACACAGGCAACTTTAAAAGGAATTGTTCACCATTGCTGAATTGAAATTAAATGGATGGATAGGGGAGATCTGTCATATGTGGAGTGAGTGCTGCACAGTGTCTGCAGGTATGGACTTCAGCAGAGTTAAAGAGCTAGATCTGGACGTGGATAGAGATTAAAAATTATATACATAAAAATCATTTAAAGGAGGTCCTCTATTCCTTGACGAATACAATCTACACATGATATGAATTTGTTTCCACTGATTTTCCCTATTACTTTCCTAGGGATACTGTAACAAATTACCAAAAACTTGGCGGTTTAAGACAAAAGAAATGTATTCTTTTAAAGTTCTGGAGATTATAAGTCCAAAACCAGTTTTGCTGAATGGAAATTAAGCTCTCTGCAGAGCTGTGTCTTTCTGGAGACTCTAGGGGAGAAGCCATTTCTTCTTTCATCTTCTGATGGCTGCTGGCATTTTTCGGCTTGTGGCTGTATTGCTCCCATCTCTGCCTCTTTCTCTTCTACATGTCCATCAATTTTCCCTCTACTTCCCTCTTTTAATGATACATATATAGAATTTAGGGCCATTTGGCAATTTACTTTTTTTTTTTACATTGACAAATAAAATCGTATATATTTATGGTGAACAGCATGATGTTTTGATATATGTACACATTGTGAAATGGCTAAATCAGGCAAATTAACATTGTCAAACATACATTTTTGTGGTTAGAACACTTAAAATCTACTCTAGCAATTTTCAAGTATAAGCAGGTCGTCATTAACTATAGTGACTATGATTTACAATAGATCTCTTGTGTGTATTCTCCTGTCTAACTGAATTTTTGCATTACTTTTGTTAAAATCAAGTGGAGGGTCATTTGGATAATCCAAGATAATCTGCTCATTCAAGTCCCGTTTCCTATCAGTAACAGTGCTCATAAATATTCCTACTCTTTAGTTACTACAACAGACTTATTGTTTCAGTCCTATTTATTTTTAAACTTAAATTTATTTTCCTATCTTCCACTCAGTGCACATTAGAGCTCTGCCTCTCTGTTCATTTTAGCTTCCTTCTCTGAGATTGAGAGAATATAGAGGAGAGTGGCAAAACATAGACCCCTTACCTGTCTAAGTAGTTCAATTTAGATAAGATATTAGGTGGCATCTTATATACTGCTGCATAATAAATCCTGGAATTGTACCTTTGATCATGATCCCTTCAATCGATTGCTACTGACAATATCTTCAGCAAATATGTACTAAAAAATCAAAACTTGATAAAAAGGAGGCTTTGTTTTTGCATCACTTTTGCAGGTAATCTAAAAACCCTTGAAATGCCCTGCCTTATAGAACTGTCTTTGTTTGCCTAGAGGCCTTGATAGTGTAACAATGTGATTTAGAGTAGAAGTTGGCCACACTAGATGTTCTAACAATGTGATTTAGGGTAGGATCATGTGGTATCTGCTCAAACTCCTGAGAGGCTAGAGACTGAGATCAGCCATGTAGGCATTCAACCATGTTTATGAGATGGACCCCAATTAAAATCTGCACACCAAGGCTCAGGTGAGCTTCCTTGGTTGGCAATACCTTCTTATAGACACTAAGGCTTGATGGGAAGGTAATGACATCTTCAAGTCCATAGAGAGAGAACAACTGGGAAGTTATATGATTGGAACTTTCCTGGACTCTGCTGTCTGCAGTTCCTCCCTTGGCTGCTTTAAATTTGTGTCTTGTAATATAATAAACAATAATAAGTATTACAGCTCTTACTGAGTTCTGTGAATTGTTCTAGCAAATGAATGAAAATCAGAATGGTCTTGGAGTTCCTTAACTTGTAGTTGGAATCAAAGCAAGGGCAGTCTTGTAGACTGGGCTCCCTCTAACTCTGCTGCTCTTCATTGATAAACTTTACATTTCTTAATCCAATATTTTACCATCTTCTTTTACATCCAGCACCAATCTCATTTTCAAGCTTTCCCAGACATACATCCTTAATTCTACACAAAATATTTCAAGGTGATTCCAACTTTTTCCTGCTCTAGTATATAATTGCAGTAATTTCCCATGTTGTTAACACCTCTTTTTATCTGTAGCTTGGGTACCTCTTTCCCATTCTACTTTAGGGTACACTATCTGATTTTATTTTGCAAGTGGGCAACAGACATTATGATATAAGTAAAGACTTGAAAAGTGCTTACACATTGAGACTCTTTATCTTGAGGCTTTTAAAACTCCTGTGCTCTCTTGTTAATAAGTCTGAGCTAACCTGCTGGATGGTAAGAGACATGTGGTGACTGAGTGACCCCCACTTCCCCAGCTGACAGCCTGCCATCCATGAGACCCATGACTGAGGCCACATTAGATTCTCTAGTAGTAAGCTGACCTACTGGCTAAACACAGATGCAGAAACAAGCTCAACTGACATCGTTTACTCACATCTTAAATCTCAACAAGAGACTAGAATTGATTAATCCTAATACAGGAATACATGACTTATAAGGCACAGGGAATATAAGAAGGATGGTGCATTTCTGGGCCATGATATCATCAAAGAGGTTAATCAGGAAATAGAAAAGGAAAGAGCTGACTTCAGTTCTACTGAATGAACAGAATTTATATTCATTGGAAGACATAAAGCTCCCTGAATGAAAGAGAAACTAGATAAATTAGTTACTTGTTCATTATAGTTGCTGATATCTTTGGAGTTAGATTTATAATTTCAAGGGTATGCTATAGCGCAACATTATCTCAAGGCAGCCATATTAAGAAAATAGGTTGTTTAAAGAGGTCCAGTGGTATTCTAGTTAGATTCATAATCTAATTTATTAGTTTTTTTTTTTTTATTTTTGGCTCCTCTAAAAAGGGTTCCTTATTGCAACCCTTTAGAGGGCAACAGAAGAGCAGTGGTTTCTTATTAATGAACTATTGCATCAGTGAAAACATTAGTAATAGTAAGGTAGATATAACTCATCAATGTGTACATGGGTTTTATTTAATGTAATCTGTAACATATTTTATGCTTAACATTATAATGCAAGCCTTTCTAAAGTTTAAATACTCAAGACCTTTTCATGGGATCAAATCCTTGTTATGAACAGAATTGTGTTCCTTTCCAAATTCAAATGTTGAAGACTTTAATACCAATATGACTATTTGGAGAGAGGGTTTTTAGAGAGGTGATTAAGGTTAAATGAGTTCTTTAAGGGTGTTCTCTAATCCAATAGGACTGGTGTCTTATAAGTAGAGGGAAAGACTACATGAATCTCTCTATCCCCACAGAAGTACAAAGGAAAGGCCATGTGAGGACATAGCAAGAAGGTGGTCATCTGCAACCCAAGCAGAGAGGCCTCAAAATACAGCACCCCAGCTGGCACCTTGATCTTGAACTTTTAGCCTTCAGAATTGTGAAGAAATAAATTCCTATTGCATAAGCCACCCTCTCTGTTGTATTCTGTTATGGCAGCCCAAGCAAATAATATACTCCCTATTGGTTAAAATGAATCTTTATACTTTTCCCATCATGGTTTCTTGCTTTTTGCCTATCTAGTGTTACTTTGTTGTCTTGAGAAACTGCATGATGCTTGTCATGGTGGAAACTAATTGAAGTTTGTAAATCACTTTTATTAGATCTTTCAATGAAATATTAAATAATGGATAATTCATTATCACCAACCCCTTTAAAAACACTAAGACTTAACTAATCCTTTAATTATATGTATGCTTTATATGCTTAAAATTAAATAAATAATTAATATTATTTATTAAATTCCATGTACATTCTCAATCTTTGTGTCTGGACAAAAATAGAGGGCAAATTGAAGTAAAGACACATTTCAATGTGTGGTACATTATAGCTGCATGATTTTGCTTCCAATATACTAGACAATTACTATCCCACAGGTGAAAAATAATGGTACTACAATATTCTTGTACATATGAGTGAGCAAACTACCACTCCTACATTCACTTTGCCATTTTGTTCATTCAGAAACATATATGAAACCTTGATGAATTGATATCTTTAGGTCATAAACTCAAATTTCCGAGGTATCTGGCTAAGACCTTAGTGGGAAAGTGGATGAAATGGGTACAAATGATTTCCTGCTCAAAATGATTAAAACTGTTTTGAATTCATGAGAAACATGCATTATTTGAATGAAGAAATATAGACATATTAGGAGACAAAGGAATTGTTTATTTGTGAAACTGAGTATAGCTAAGGTGCCTCCAAGAAGCAAAAGAATCTGTGAAGTGCTTTATGTGTTAAGACAACAAATGAGATATGGAAAACTTATATTTAAAGGGAATAATTTTTTTTAAATGAGAGAAACCTGGAGTCAAGGAATTTATATATGCTATAAAATGAACAAGTAACTAGATTTTTTTTCTATATATAAAAAAAGTAGGACTCTGCATAAGTTTTTGGCTGAATAACAGGAATTGGGAAGAAATCTCATACTGTAAAACCACACCACTATTTTCAACCTCTCATGTCTTGTTAAAACCTTGACAAGAAAGGCTTATCCTAGTGGGACCTGTTGTAGTCCATTTGGTGCTGCTATAACAAAATACCACAGATTAGGTAATTTATAATTAACAAATACTTATTGGTTCATGCTTCTGGAGGCTGGGAAGTCCATGATGGAGGGGCTGGCATCTTGCAAGGAACTTTCTGCAGAGTCATTCCATGGCAGAAAGTCAAACAGAGGGTGTGTGTGTGTGAGAGAGAGAGAGACAAAAGTGGGCTGAACTCATTCTTATATAAGGAACCAACTCTTGTGATAAAGGCATTAATCAACTTCAATGACGTTCTTTTAGTTATGTTTAAATGTACAATGAAGTTATTATTGACTGTAGTCCCCATGTCGTGCTATCAAACACTAGGTCTTATTCATACTTTCTTTCTAAATATTTTTTTGGTAATTAAACTTTAACATGAGTTTGGAATAGGATAAACATTCACACCATAGCAGTACCTTATGTTTCTCGTCTGGAGTAAATTTTTCTGCTCTACACTCATAAGGTATCCTGCTTATAAAGTCTTATATCTTCTACCACATTATATTGAAATAACCTTTTAAAGTATCTATCATTTTTATAACATTAAATATCTACAAACACTAATGATGAAGATTGATCTCATTGTCTCTTCCAGGTACATGTCTGATATCTAATAGGTGCTCCTTCAGTGTCTATAGAAGTGAACTATAAATCCATCCTGTGAGCAATTAAAATACTATTTTCCCTGTGGACATTGTATAGAGAATGATATTTTAACAGGATTTCAAAGACTTAGATTTACATAAAGTGAACAACTAAAATCCAAAATGGCACTGGGAGACATGGACAACCTACTTTCACTTTTAAAAAATATATTTTTAGTCATTTCATCTTATACATTTTTGCTTTTTACTCAGTTAAGCCGATTTGTTTGATTTCTGAATTCTGAATGAATTTCTATACTGAAAATTGATTTGACTATTGGTCCTTTTAATATATGCTTGTCTGTAAAGAAATATAGATCTTTATTTGTATTCTGAGCTCCTAGCCCTTACGATGCTGTTGTTAATATGTTGAGTGAATTATTAACCAGCTGAAGCACTTAAATGTCAGTATCAAGTACTTCGATGGCATTAATTAATTTTTTTAAAAGCGCTGATCATATAATTTGTTTTGACTCTAATTTGCTCTGAGATGCAAACAAACCCACTTATTTTTCACAATCTAAATGATAAGTGAAGAGAAAAATAGATAATATGACTGACTACATTCAAAAATTAAGAAAAAATGTATTGATGTCTAAAATATACTATAAATGGAGAAAATAGTTTCAATATGAAATTTTCTAAATATTTGTCTACTTAGATAATTATATTTATGAGTAATTATTTTTAATATATATTTCAAAAATTCCCAAGTATTTGAAATATCAAAATATTTCACACTAAGTAGCAAGTCTTCAATATTGTATTAATGTTTCAGAGAATATTGAATGTTTGTGTTTCTGAGTGTTTGCCTGTATGAACAAAACTTACTAATTAAGAGGAAAGATTCACTGAACACCCTTTTATCATATTGTTACTCCATTTCTTTCCAGAATTAGCCATATCTTACATATCTTACAGTGGTTATTGATTATTCAATGTCATCACTTCTTTATTCAAGCAAACATTATTTGAGTGCCCCCCATAAGCCTTGGGCACTGCATAGAGAGCAGAGTAAAACTTTCACAATATTTACAAAAATGACACAAATTTATGTAATTATCAATATGCATAGTATTGTTTTTATATTTTGAAATATTTTTAAATGATAATAGAGTCATATGTACTTCTAATTTCAGCAGCTTTAGAAATTTTTATGAAATATATTTTTGAGATAATCCACATTAAAACAAATAACTACAGGTAATACATATAACAGGATATATAGAATTCTCATGTAAGAATGGATCACATGTATATCACATGTATTCTACTGAGAGAATACACTGTATGTATTTATTTATTGTATATCCCTATTATTCTTTCTTTTGTTATGAAAATCATGCTGCCACAAAAACTTTAGACAAAAATGTTACACTTTATTTTTATGTCTGGGAGAGGAATTGCTGGCTCTAAGGATATAAAAATTATCTACATTAGTGAATATTGATAAAGTGCTTATCAAAGTGTTTGTACTAATTTACTTTGCAGATAACAGCATATGAGGGTTCTTGTCCACCACATATTTGCTATCAGTTATTATTCTCAAAATTTCTCCATTTATTAACTTTAATATTATACAATAACGTCTTTACACTGTTGGTGGGAGTGTAAATTAGTTCAACCATTGTGGAAGACAGTGTGGAGATTCCTCAAGGATCTAAAACCAGAAATACCATTTGACCCAGCAATCCCATTACTGAGTATATACCCAAAGAATTATAAATCATTCTACTGTAAAGACGCATGCACATGTATGTTTACTGCAGCACTATTTACAATAGCAAAGACTTGGAACCAACCCAAATTCCCTTAATGTTAGACTGGATAAAAAAAAAATGTGGCACATATACACCATGGGATACGATGCAGCCATAAAAAAGTATGATTTCATGTCCTTTGCAGGGCAATTGATGAAACTGGAAACCATCATTCTCAGCAAACTAACACAGGAACAGAAAACCAAATACCACATGTTCTCACTCATAAGTGAGTGTAGAACAACAAGAACACATGGACAGAGGGAGGGGGACATCACACTCTGGGGCCTGTCGAGGGGTAGAGGGCAAGGTGAGGGAGAGCTTTAGGACAAATACCTAATGCATGTGGGGCTTAAAACCTAGATGACGGGTTGATGGGTGCAGCAAACCACCACGGCACACATATACCTATGTAACAAACTTGCATGTTCTGCACATGTATCCCAGAACTTAAAGTAAAATAAAAATAAATAAATAAATAATATATTATACCATAACATGCTGTTTTTTAAATTGATACATAATATTTTACCTATTTACAAGACACATGCGAAATTTTTTTACTTGCATAGAATGTTTAATGTTCAGGTCAAGATAATATAAAATGTCCTAATGTGATTTGGAACTACGATTTCTTGATTAAAAGTGAAAATGAGCATTTTCATATATTAGAAATTATTTGTAAATTGAATATTTCCTTGCCTATTTTGGTAGTTTCTCTTTTATTATTAGTATTCAGAAATTATAGGCATTGTAGTTAAATCTTTACTTTGCTTTCTATACCTTTTGTGTTATAGAAAACAAAGCAATCACAACTTTTAATATCAATGAGGTCAAATTAATTTCTTTTTTATGTGTTGTGTTCTTAGTGTCCTGCTAAACCATAAATATATTATCTAATATTTTATTCTTGATATTTTACATTTTGCTTTTCTTGATTAAATAATTTATTGGCCAGCATGATAATTTAATTTTTATGTGTACTAAAAGATAAGAAATTAGTTTCTTCTTTGTTTTGTACATAAATAGGTATTTGGCTTAGTGTTATTTATTAAGCAAATAGTGATCATGTCTCAGATCTCATTCTGTACCAATAATACATCAAATTTCACTGAAAGCATAGATTGTTTACAATCACTCTATATCATTTCTTCCATTTATCTATTTGTCCCACAGCATCTTGTGGAATGCTCTTATCAATCAAAATAAATGACTCAAATATTTTCTCGTTTATTCTGCATGGAAAATTGTATATTTCAGATGTTCTTGCCTTATTTACTTGACTATTCAGAGTAATTTTAAACATATGCACAAACATAGGGCAGGCATATAGCCCTTGTTAACATATTTTGAATACTGAACTATATTAGAATCCTGGGATAAAGCCCAGGTGGACATAATGTAGTTTTTAACGTTAATTGTTAGGATTGTCTTCGCTATACGGGGTCTTCTTTGATTCCCTGTGAAATTTAAAATAGTTTTTTCTAATTCTGGGAAGAATGTCAATGGTAGTTTGATGGGAATAGCATTGAACCTATACATTACTTTGGGCAGTATGGCCATTTTCATGATACTGATTCTTCCTATCCATGAGCATGGAATGTTTTTCCATTTGTGTCCTCTCTGATTTTCTTGAGCAGTGGTTTGTAGTTCCCATTGAAGAGTTCCTTCACCTCTCTTGTTAGCTGTATTCCTAGGTATTTTATTCTCTTTGTAACAACTGTGAATGGGAGTTCATTCATGATTTGGCTCTCTATTGTTGGTGTGAAGGAATGCTTTCGATTTTTGCACATTGATTTTTGTATCCTGAGACTTTGCTGAAGTTGCTTATCAGTTTAAGGATTTTGGGGGCTGAGGTTATGGTGTTTTCTAAATATAAACTCATGCCATCTGCAAACAGAGAGAATTTGACTTCCTCTCTTCCTATTTGAATACACTATTTCTTTCTTTCCTGATTGCCCAGGCCAGAACTTCTAGGACTATGTAGAATAGGAGTGGTGAGAGAGGGCATTCTTGTCTTGTACCGGTTTTCAAAGGGAATGCTTCCAGCTTTTGCCCATTCAATGTGATATTGGCTGTGGGTTTGTCATACATAGCTCTTATTATTTTGAGATATGTTCTATCAATACGTAGTTTATTGAGAGTTTTTAACATGAAGAGGTGTTGAATTTTATCAAAGGCCTTTTTTGCATCTATTGAGATAATCATGTGTCTTTTGTCTTTGGCTCTGCTTATGTGATGAATTATGTTGATTGATTTGCATATATTTAACCAGCCTTGCATCCCAGGGATGAAGCCAACTTGATCATGGTGGATAAGTTTTTGATGTGCTGCTGGATTTGGTTTGCCAGTATTTCATTGAGGGTTTTCACAACGATGTTCATCAGGGATATTGGCCTGAAGTTTTCTTTTTTTGTTCTGTCTCTTCTTGCTTTTGGTATGAGGATGATACTGCCTTCATAAAATGAGTTAGGGAGGAGTCCCTCCTTTTCAATTGTTTGGAATAGTTTCAGAAGGAATAGTACCGGCCCCTTTTTGTATTTTTGGTAGAATTCAGCTGTGAATCTATCTAGTCTTGGGCTTTATTTAGTTGGTAAGCTATTGATTACTGCCTCAATTTCAGAACTTGTTATTGCTCTATTCAGGGATTTGACTTCTTCCTGGTTTAACCTTGGGAGAGTGTATGTGTCCAGGAATTTAACCATTTCTTCTAGATTTTCTAGGTTTTTTGCATAGAGGTGTTTATAATATTCTCTGATTGTAGTTTGTATTTCTGTGGGATCAGTGGTGATATTCCCTTTATCATTTTTTATTGTGTCTATTTGATTCTTCTCTCTTTTCTTCTTTATTAATCTAACTAGCAGTCTATATATTTTGTTAATTTTTTTCAGAAAACCAGCTCCTGGATTCATTGATTTTTTTGAGGGGTTTCATGTCTCTATCTCCTTCAGTTCTTCTCTGATCTTAGTTATTTCTTCTGCTAGCTTTTGGATTAGTTTGCTCTTGCCTCTCTAGCTCTTTTAATTGTGATGTTAGGGTGTCGACTTGAGATCTTTCTAGCTTTCTGATGTTGGCATTTAATGCTATACATTTCCCTCTTAACACTGCTTTAGCTGTGTCCCAGAGATTCTGGTATATTGTCTCTTTGTTCTCATTAGTTTCAAAGAATTTCTTGATTTCTACCTTAATTTGATTATTTACCCAGGAGAGTCATTCAGGAGCAGGTTGTTCAATTTCCATTTAATTGTCTGGTTTTGAGTGAGTTTCTTAATCCTGAGTTCTAATTTGATTGCACTGTGGTCTGAGAGGCTGTTTGTTATTATTTCAGTTCTTTCACATTTGCTCAGGAATGCCAACCCAAATGCCCATCAATCAAAGAGTGGATAAAGAAACTGGGATATATATATATATATATATATGTAATATACATAAATATATATGATATACATATTTATATATATGATATATACATAATGGGATACTACTCAGCCATAGAAAGGAATGAATTAATGGCATTCATAGAGACCTGGATGAGATTGAAGACTATTATTCTAATGAAGTAACTCAACTCAGGGATGGAAAACCAAATATCATATGTTCTCACTCATAAGTAGGAGCTAAGCTATGAGGATGCAAAGGCATAAGAGTAACACAATAGACTTTCAGGTCCCACAGGGAAAGGTTGGGAAGGTGGTGAGGGATAAAAGACTACAAGTAGGGTGCAGTGTACACTGCTTAGGTGATGAGTGCACCAACGTCTCACAAATCATGACTAAAGAACTTACTCATGTAACTGAACACCACCTGTTCCCCAATAATCTATGGAAATTAAAAAAAAATTAAACCAAATGGCTAGAGATGTCATGGCCAGATTTTTATTTTATGTGTAATAGTCTGATAGTTTTTATGGTAGATGAATTTGAAGGGTAAACAATTAAGATGCTGTCATGATCATCTTAGTTAAACTTTGATCACTGAAAGTAAGTCTAGGTAGTTTGAACAGGGAGTAGTGTGTGCACTCTATGTATACTCACACATGTACAGATAACATGCATAAATAGGAATTAAAATGACTGAATTTGTTACTTAATTGAATTTAGCAAATGGGAGGAAAAAAAAGAATGAAAACTATGTGCCAGTATTTTAGTTAGAATAACCAATGACAGATAGTAATATTACCAAATAGAAATATATGGCAGTAAAATCTGAATGAGGGCATTACAAGTTCCAGTTGGGACGTAGTGATTTTGATATAAACTACTCTAACTAACCATATCCTACATGTTATAAGACTCAAAAAAGATTAGGAATATGGAATCCTTTTAAGAAATTTAAGACATTAAACTAATTTAGGGACATAAAATATATCATTACTATTTGCATCAGAAAAGGGAACTATGTAAATCAGAAGAAATGAAAGTTACTTTTTTTTAGCTGGACAGAATGTACTACAAAGGTGAGATGTATTGTTTAATGTACTACAAAGGGGAGATGTAATGTTTAAAATACATTAAGATGAAGTTTATACATAGATAATTAATTTTATATAATTAATATATACACACACACACACACAAACACATATTTTAGGCCTTGAGACTCTTTAAATCTGTGTTTTAGGCCAATATGTTTTAATATAAGCCACTTTTCAAAGTCTAGATTATTTTCTTATAAATCTAGTTTAAAAAATCACAGTAACGTTTTCTATGGGAATTACTGACTATGCCAAAAGTACTACACTTTGAAGCGATGCCATCAGACTACACCTATGGTAAAAATCATAAAATATTATTATGAAAACTCCTCATCATATCTATTGTAAACACTTGACAGCAGGCATATAAGATTGGCAGCTCACTCTGACAATACAAGGAATTGCTGTTTATGGTATAAAGCCAGGGAAGTTTCAACTACAATGAATGTAGAATTTTATGTGATAAAATGTCAGCAGTTTTGAAAGTTTGTTATTAAAATAAATAGCAATTCAAGGTTTACGGTTAGAAAGCATTTCTATGAGGAGCTAACAGGTAAAGAAAAGAGCTAACAGGTAAAGAAAATGAGTGACTTTGGCCATATAGATGTTCCTGTATCCATATTTTGTCAGTTGTGTGGAATAGACTCACATGCTGAGGGGAAAGTTTATGGTAATTGATTTTAAAACATTTCTAAACCTCGTATCTGGCACAGTCTTTGATTATTTTTCATGTCTAATTGTAACTTTTGTTATTTTATTATATTTTACATTTTTTACAAGCAAACAGGTATTTTCTAAAACTATATTGGAGAGAAAATAGTATTACAAATATGTATGTGTCAATATGCATATATGTGCATATATGTACACACATGTATATATGCATATATATTTATGTGTATATATGGGTGGGTATACATACATGTGTATTTGTGTGTTTATACATATATAAAATATATATATGTGTGTGTATATATAAATATATGGTATATGGCAGTTCATCTCTATATAGGGTAGTTTGTCTCAAAATTACTACATAAAGTATATATGTGTGTGTGTATATATATTTATGTGTATATATATCTATATATATAGAAAGTTCCCTTTCTTCACTTTAAAGGGATCATTTCTGCCTTGGAGAGCAACACTACTAAGGAATATATAAAAAATAGATAAAATCATAATGCTTCCATTTTTATTATTTTATTAATCAACTACTGGACTGAGATGGGTGTCATAATAATGCCCAGAAACTTTTGGCTGCTAGTAAACAGGAGATAGATTAAATATTATCTAAGTTCCTTAAAACACACAAGGTGAGTTTTGGCTCTGCTCTATTGGGAACAATGACATTCTAAGATTCTTAATGTTTTTAAGTTTCATAAACCATTTCCTATAATGTGTAAAAACATTTTCATGGTTTTGGAATTAAATTACTTACAAATGTGATTATATTTAAAATTGTTTTTGAGCTTTAAAGTCTAATTTTTAAACAACACAAATTCATACTCAGGTTCAATAAGCAAGTAAAAAAAGTGTAAGAAGAAAGTTGTTAATTGCATGTGTTATGTTGGTGATTTCCAATTATACAAATGTGAAACCAAAGAATTGTTTGATTGTGTTTTCCTTTATAGGGAAATTTTGAAAATCAAAACCAGTGATTGTCTTTGTGAAACAAAGAACCTATTACATGTTTAGTCAATAAGAAAAGAATGTCTGGTTACATGTTTTGTTTTGTACATTTATTTCCCCAGCTGCATTTACAAGGTTTTCTTTGAAATTGCAATAAAATGAGATGGTCTCTTGGTAGAGAATAAAGAAAACAGTGTTTTCTCTTTTTCATAATGGTCCAGCAGTGCCATGTAGTATGTATAAGCAGGCTCTGAATTGCAAAAAGATGAGGTCACAAAGGAAAGCTTTCCTATGGTGGAGATTATAATCTAGTTCAGCAGGTTCCAATATGATAGGAACTGGCCTGTATGTGTGCACAAGGAGGTGGGGATTTGGGGAGGTGCTAAGGGAAGAGTTGCTAGAAATTGTGCACACTGGAAAAAAAAAAAGGAAGAAAGAAGATGAACTTTGAATATTTTCCCTTTTCAAAGATTATTCCATTGTACTCTTACATACACTTCTGCTGCATTTTCCAGGCCATGTGTACAAGAAAATTGGGCATGCCAACTTATGAACCTAATCAGAAAAAGTGCCTAGCCCAAAACAGGACCTCACGCTAGTTCCCACAGTCATTCCTCATCACAAGAGAGTTCCAAGCTTCTTCTTCACTTCTTTTCGCTTGGATATCCCAATATTTGTGTTTGGTAAGAAAGGATCCTGGCTGGCTCTTTTGCAGCAAAGTATACTATGCTTAAATACTGTGTTAGAAAATCCACTGATTTTTAGCTACTGGATGAGTTTAAAGTTGTCATTCTCAGCTCTCAATAACTCTTGTCATCTGAAGTTGGATTAAGGGGAGAAAGGGTTACTTTACCAAACTGACAGCAGTTCTATCACATATCTGTAGTTTCTGCAGCAAATATTGAGGCTCAACAGTGAAAGTACAGTCTGTCCTGGAGGAAGGACTGGGGAAATGACCTCATTAAAACTGCCAGGGAGTCAGTAATAAACACACCTTATTTCTTTCTGGTTTGGGGAAGGTGTCAACAACAAAAAAGGTCTTGGAGTGGTTGTGAGGGATGCGGGGTGGAGGTTAGCAGCTTGCTTGACAAAAGAACACACAAAGAAACAAACAAACAAAAAACCCAGGAATTAAGCAGACTGTAAGCATACACCCACACCCAAACATGCATACATTTTCCCAGTTTAGAGATTGCTGTAGTGGTTTAATACATATTTATGAACATGTTTCCTTGTTTGGGGTAAGTGAAAACTGAGAAAAGGAAAACACACACAAATAGCAAGATAACATAATTGTAAACCAAAAATAAAATTATAAGGCCTCCCAGCCACCTGAGTGGACTTCCTCCTCAGCCGGGGCTCTTTTAAAATGTAACCTAAGAGACTGTTAGGCCATGATGAGAAGTGGGGTTGGACATGCCTCATTATACCTCTCTAGTGTTAGCATCAACACAGACTTTAAGTCTGATAAGAAACATTTTACAACCTATTCTGTCTGCAGCCTACTACCTGAAGGCCTCCGCTGCAAATAAGAACTTGTATGTCCACAGTTCTTTACCTTAACCCAGACATTCCTTTCTGTTGACAACAGGGCTTTAGACAAACTCAACCAATTGTCAACCAGAAAATATTTAAATTTACCTATAGCTTAGAAGCCCCTGCCTTTCTGGCTCAAACCAATGTCTTTCTTAAATGTATTTGATTGAAGTCTCATGTCTCCCTAAAATGTATAAAACCAAGCTCCACCCCAATCACCTTGGATACCTGCTCTCAAGACCTCCTGAGGGCTATGTCACAGGCCATGGTCACTTATATTTGGCTCAGAGTAAACTTCAAATATTTCACAGAATTTGACTCTTTTCATCAACATAACACAGTCAAAGCTTTAAAGGAATATTTTCAATATTCTTGTCATCAGAAAATATAGGAAAATAACATTTATCAGAATCTTATTTTGTTTCAGGGCTACTTTGTTTATTTTTTTGTTCCCTCCTCCCCTTTGAACAATAAACTTGCTCTTTTTGTACTACAGTTTTTATTAAAAGAACCCTACATATTTATCCAAGTAAAATCAGTAAGTTATTCTGAGGGTCAAAGCCTGGAAAAATGGAGGACGGGAGATATGACCAACTTGAAGCTCCCACTTAGATGGACAGAGTAGTATGTGGCTACCCACATCATGAACTTTTGCTGCAAGAACTACTGTAGGAACATACCAGGAAAGCCAAGAGAACCCACGGTCCCTTTGAAGGAGGTGGTCTGCCTCTGCAGGCTCCGTGGGACAGCTAAGGAACTGTCAGTTGGCTTACTTTCTCAGTTGACAGGCTTGTAGTCTGAAGAAAGTTCTCAGCATTGCTCACTGGCTACCTGGAAATAAACTCAGTGCTGTTGTGGGGGCATGGTAGCAGTGAGACCGGCCTTTTGGGCTGTGGGCTGTGTGGGAACTGGGTGAGGACTGTGTCTGCTGGCTTTCCCCCACTTCCCTGGTGACCTATGTGACACAGCAAAGACAGCCATAATCCCCCTGGGAACATAACTCCATTGTCCCAGAAAGCACACCCCCATCCCCCACAGCAGCCTCACGGAGCCCCACCCTAAGACAGCCTGAGCTCAGACATGCCTAACTCTGCCCCAACCTGAAGGTCTTTCTCTACCCACCCTGGTAGCTGAATATAAAGGACACAATCTTTTGGGAGTTCTATGTCCCTGCCCACCGCCTGATCCTCCCTATAAAACTGCAGCTAATGCAGCCTTGAAAGTGCCACCTCCTGGCTTGAAGTCAACCAACACAAGACCAGCACACTTAACAAAAATACAACCAAGGATCCTCACAGAGTTCACTTCACTCCCTTGCTACCCCCACTGGAGTAGGTGCTGATATCCACGGTTGAGAGAACTGAAGATGGATCACATCATCGGACTCTGCAGACACTCCCCAGTACTGGCCCAACACCTGGTAGCTCTGCTGGATGGCTAGATCCAGAAAAAAATTACACTCACTACAGTTCTGCTCTCAGGAAGCCCCATCCCTAGGGGAAAGGGGAGAACACCACATCAAGGGAGCACCACTGTGGGATGAAATAATCTGAAGAGCAGCCCTTGAGTCCCAGATCTTCCCTCTAACATAGTCTACCCAAATGAGAAAAAAATAAAATAATAAACAGCAAACAATTTGGGTAATATGACAAAACAAAGTCCTTAACACCCTCAAAAGATTACACGAGCTCACCAGCAATGGATCCAAACCAAGACAAAAATCTCTGAATTTCCAAAAAAAGGCCACTCAAGGAGGCATTAGAGAAAGGTGAAGTCCAACTTAAAGAAATAAAGAAAAAAAAAATGATACAGGATATGAATGGAAAAATCTCCAGTGAAATAGATAGCATAAATAAAAAACAATCACAACTTCTGGAAATCAAAGACACACATAGAGAAATGGAAAATGCACCACAAAGTCTCAGCAATAGAATCGAACTAAGTGGAGACCACCCCTCATATTGTCTTATGCCCAATTTCTGCCTCCAAAGAAAGAAGTAAAAACTAAAAGGCAGAAATGAAATCCACAGGCAGACAGCCCTGCACCGTGCCCTGGACCTGGTTAAAGATCGACCCCTGACCTAAAATGGTTATGTTATCTATAGATTCCAGACATTGTGTGGAAAAGCACTGTGAAAATCCCTGTCCTGTTCTGTTCTGATTACTGGTGCATGCAGCCCACAGTCACATACCCCCTGCTTGCTCAATCGATCATGACCCTCTCACGCGGACCCCCTTAGAGTTGTAAGCCCTTAAAAGGGATAGGAATTGCTCACTTGGGGAGCTCGGTTTTTGAGAAGTGAGTCTTGCCGACGCTCCTGGCCAAATAAAGCCTTTCGTTCTTTAACTCAGTGTCTGAGGTTTTGTCTGTGGCTCGTCCTGCTACAGAACAAGCAGAAGAAAAAAACTTCAGAGATCAAACACAAAGTTTTTATGTTAACCCAACCCAGAAAAGATAAAATATAAAAATAAAAAAAAAATGAACAAAGCCTCCAAGAGGTTTGGGATTATGTTAAATGACCAAGCCTAAGAATAATTGGTGTTCCAGAGGAATAAGACAAATCTAAGTTTTGAAAACATATTTGAAGGAATAATTGAGGAAAACTTCCCTGTCCTTGTTAAAGATCTAGACATTCAAATACAAGAAGCTAAAAGAACACCTGGGAAGTTCATCACAAAAAGATCGCTGCCGAGGCACATAGTCATTAGGTTATCTAAAGTCAAGATGAAGGAAAGAATCTTAAGAGCTGTGAGTCAAAAGCATCAGGTAACCTATAAAGGAAACCTATCAGATTAACAGCAGATTTCTCAGCAGAAACCCTACAATTTAGAAGGGATTGAAGTCCTATCTTTAGCCTACTTAAACGAAATAATTATCAGTCAGGAATTTTGTATCTAGTGAAACTAAGGCTTATAAATGAAGAAAAGTTACAGTCTTTTTCAGACAAACACATGCTGAGAGAATCTGCCACTACAAAGCCAGCACTACAAGAACTGCTAAAAGGAGCTCTAAATCTTAAAACAAATTCTCAAAATACATAAAAATAGAATTTCCTCAAAGCATAAATGTCAGAGGACCTATAAGACAATAACACAATGAAAAAACAACAACAACATGGTATTCAGGCAACAAAAAGCACAATGAACAGAATAGTACTTCACATCTCAATACTAATGTTGAATGCAAATTGCCTAAATGCTCCACTTAAAAGATACAGAAAGGCAGAATAGATAAGAACTGACCAACAAATATCTGCTCTCTTCAAGAGACTCACCTGACATATAAGGACTCAAGAAACTTAGAGTAAAGGGGTAGGAAAAAATATTCCATGCAAATGGACACCAAAAGTGAGCAGGAGTAGCTATTTTTATATCAGACAAAACAAACTTTAAAGCAACAGCAGTTTAAAAAGACAAAGAGGGACATTATATAATGATAAAAGGACCAATCCAACAGGAAAATATCACATTCCTTAGTATATATGCACCTAACACTGGAGCTCCCAAATTTTTAAAACAATTGCTACTAGACTTAAGAAATGAGATAGACATAAACACAATAATGATGGGGGGTTTTAATTACTCCACAGACAGCACTAGACAGGTCATCAAGATAGAAGGTCAACAAAGAAACAATGGACTTAAACTTTGCCCTAGATTTAGGACTTACATACTTACAGAACATTCTACTGAACAACTGCAGAATATACGTGCTATTCATCAGCACATGGAACTTTCTCCAAAATACACCATATGATAGGCCACAAAACAAGTCTCAATACATTTAAGAAAATTGAAATTATAGCAAGTATTCTCAGACCACAGTGGAGTAAAATTGGAAACCAACTCCAAAAGGAAGCCTCAAAACAATGCAAATACATGGAAATTAAATATCCTGCTCCTGAATGATCAGGTTAACAATGAAATCCTTATGGAAATTTAAAAATTCCTTGACTGAATGATAATGGTCACACAACCTGTCAAAACCTGTGAGAAGCAGCAAAAGCAGTGCTAAGAGGAAAGTTCATAGCTATTAATGCCTACATCAAAAAGTCTGAAAGAGCACAAAGAGACAATCTAAGGTCACACCTCAAGGAACTAGAGAAACAAGAACAAACCAAACCCAAATCCAGCAGCAGAAAAACAAAACAAAACAAAACAAAACAAAAAAGATCAGAGCAGAATTAAATTAAATTAAATTAAAACAAAAAAAGATGAATGAAACAAAAAACTGGTTCTTTAAAAAGATAAATAAAATTGATAGATCATTAGTGAGATTAACCAAGAAAAGAATAGAGAAAATAAAAAGAAGCTCAATTAGAAAAGAAACAGGAGATATTACAACGATTACCACAGAAATACAAAAGATTAGTCAAGGCTACAATGAACAACTTTATACGCATAAACTAGGAAACCTAGAGGAGATGGATAAATTCCTGGAAATATACAGCCCTCTTAGATTAATCCAGAAATAAAAATTATAAACAGCCCAATAAAAATCAGTGAAATTGAAATGTAATTAAAATGTTACCAACAAAAACAAAGTCTAGAACCAGACAGATTCACAGCTGAATTTTATCAAGCATTCAAAGAAGAACTGGTAACAATCCTATTGACACTATTCCAAAAGATAGAGAAAGAGGGAACCCTCCCTAAATCATTCCATGAAGTCAGTGTCACCCCAATACCCTAACCAGGAAAGAACATAAGCAAAAAAGAATGCCACAGTCCAATATGACTGATGAACATGGATGCAAAAATCCTCAACAAAGTACTAGCAAACTGAGTCCAACAGCATATCAAAAAGATAATCTACCACAATCAAGTGGGTTTCATACAAGAAATGCAGTGATGGTTTAACATATGCAAGTTAATAAATGTGATAGTCCACATAAACAGAATTGAAAACAAAAATTACATGTTCATCTCAATAGATGCAGGAAAAACATTTGACAACATCCAGCAACACTTTATGATTAAAACTTAAACAAAATCAGCATAGAAGGGGCATTTCTTAAGGTAATAAAAGCCATCTATGACAAACCCATAGCTAACACTATACTAAATGGGAAGAGTTGAAAGCGTTCCCCCTGATAGCTGGAACAGGACAAGGATGCCCACTTTCACCACTTCTACTCAACATAGTACTGTAAGTCCTAGCCAGAGCAATCAGATAAGAGATAGAAATAAAGGGCATCCAAGTTGGTAATGAGGAAGTCAAACTCTCACTGTTCATTGATGACATGATCGTACACCTAGAAAACCCTCAAGACTCATCCAAAAAGCTCCTGGAACTGGTAAAGGAACTTAGGATTCAAAATTAATGTACACAAATTAGTAGCTCTGCTATACACCAACAGTGGGCAAGCTGAGAATGAAATCAAGAACTCAACCCCTTTCATAGTAGCTGCAAAAACAGACAACAGAAAGAAAAACTAAGAAATTTACTTAACCAAGATGGTGAAAGACCTCTAAAAGGAAAAATACAAAAGACTGCTGAAAGAAATAATAGATGACACAAACAAATGTAAACACATCACATGCCCATGGATAAGTAGAATCAAGGTTGTGAAAATCCTTTTACTGCCAAAAGAAATCTATCAATCAATGCAATTCCCATGAAAATATCACAATTATTCTTCACGGAACTAGAAAGAAGAATCCTAAAATTCATATGGAGCCAAAAAAAAAAAAGCCACATAGCCAAAGCAAGATTAAGAAAAAGAACAAATATGGAGGCATTACATTACCTGACTTCAAACTACACTATAAAGTCATAGTCACCAAAACAGCATGGTACTGGTATAAAAGTAGACATATAGACCAATGGAACAGAATAGAGAACCCAGAAATAAAGCCAAACACTTACACTCAACTGATCTTTGACAAAGCAAACAAACACATAAAGTGGGAAAAGGACACCCTATTCAACAAATGGTGCTGGGATAATTGGCAAGTCATATGTAGAATAATAAACCTGGATCTTCATCTCTCATCTTATACAAAAATCAACTCAAGTTGGATCAAAGACTTAAACCCAAGACCTGAAACCATAAATCTAGAAGATAAAAGTGGGAAAACCCTTCTAGCCAATGGCTTAGGCAAATACTTCATGACCAATAACCCAAAAGCAAATACAAAAAACAGATAAATAGGATTTAATTAATTAATTAAAAAGCTTCTGCACAGCAAAAGAAATAATCAGCAGAGTAAACAGACAGCCCACCAAGTGGGAGAAAATCATCACAATCTCTGCATCCATCAAAGGACTAACATTCAGAATCTCCAGAAACTCAAACAAATCAGCAAGAACAAAAGAAACAATCCTATCAAAAAGTGGGCTAAGGACATGAATAGATAATTCTCAAAAGGAGTTGTACAAATTGCCAACAAACATATGACAAAATGCTCAACATTATTAATTATCAGGGAAATGCAAATCAAAACAGCAATGTGATACCACCTCACTCTGACAAGAATGGCCATAATCAAAAAAGAAAAAAAAAAAGATGTTGGCATGGATGTGGTGAAAAGGGAACACTTTTACTTTCCTGATGGGAATGTAAACTAGTACAACCACTATGGAAAACAGTTTGGAGATTCCTTAAAGAACTAAAAATAGATCTGTCATTTGATCTCATAATCCCATAAGGGAGGAGACCACCCCTCATATTGTCTTATGCCCAATTTCTGCCTCCAAAGAAAGAAGAAGTAAAAACTAAAAGGCAGAAATGGAATCCACAGGCAGATAGCCCAGCACCATGCCCTGGGCCTGGTAGTTAAAAATCAACCCCTGACCTAACTGCTTGTGTTATCCATAGATTCCAGACATTGTATGGAAAAGCATTGTGAAAATCCCTGTCCTGTTCTGTTCCATTCTGATTACCAGTGCATGCAGCCCCCAGTCATGTACCCACTGCTTGCTCAATGGATCACAACCCTCTCATGCAGACCCCCTTAGAGTTGTAAGCCCTTTAAAGGGACAGGAATTGCTTACTCAGGGAGCTCGGTTTTTGAGACGTGAGTCTTGCTGACGCTCCCGGCCGAATAAAGCCCTTCCTTCTTTAACTCGGTGTCTGAGGGGTTTTGTCTGCGGCTCATCCTGCTACTCCGCCGCTGGATATCTATCCAGAGGAAAATGCATCATTATATGAAAAAGATATCTGCACACACATGCTTATAGTGGCACAATTCACAATTGCAAAAATATGGAACCAGCCAAAATGCCCATCAATCAATGAGTGGATAAAGAAAATGTGGTGTGTGTATATATATACACACACACACACACACACACACACACACATGCACTGATATGGTTTGGCTGTATCCCCATCCAACTCTCATCTTGAATTGTTGCTCCCATAATTCTTACATGTAGTGGGGGGGATCGAGTGGGAGGTAATTGAATCATGGGAGTGGGTCTTTCTCACGCTGTTCTCGTAATAGTGAATAAGTCTCATGAGGTCCGATGGTTTTATAAATGGAAATTCCCCTGCACAAGCTCTCTTGTCTGCTACCATGTAAGTTGTGCCTTTGCTCTTCCTTTGCCTTCCCAGGCCCCACACAGCCATGTGGAACTGTGAGCCAATTAAACCTATTTCTTTTATAAAGTACCCAGTGTCGGGTATGTCTTTATTAGCAGCATGAGAACAGACTAACACATGTGCCATGGAATACTACTCAGCCATAAAAAGGAATGAAATAATGGCATTTGCAGTAACCTAGATGCAAGTGAAGACCACGATTCTAAGTGAAGTAACTCAGGAATGGAAAACCAAATAGGCTGTGTTCTCACCCATAAGTGGAAGCTAAGATCTGAGGATGAAAAGGCATAAGAGTGATACAACAGACTTTAAGGATTCAGGGGAAAGGGTAGGGGGCATGAGGGATAAAAGACTACACATTGGGTACAGTGTACACTGCTAGGGTGATGGATGCAGCAAAATCTCAGAAATCACGGCTAAAGAACTTAGTCATGTAACCAAACACCACCTGTTTCCCAAAAAAACTATTGAAATAAAAAAAAAAACTTGCATGCATAAAAGCACATTAGAAATGTTTTAATAACGTGAAATTAGATTTTTATATTCACACAAACATGCATTAAGTCTATCCATATTGGATAGACATAATGGCTTCCTTGTAAAATTTAAAGAGTTTAGAATTGCCCTAATATTTTACATAGATATTACTTTTAAAAACTGATTTTGAACAAAAACCAATATATCAAAGATTCTTGTGAAGTTGGGACCTGAGATTGCAAACAGATGCATTTTTCTAAATTTTTGTGAGAATGAAATGTTTTCATTGTGATTCAAGCTGGAATTAATAAGGGTGACTTAAGAGTTATGTTTTTGATTTTGTAGGGAGAGCTCCCTTGGTTACGACAGTCTTAAAGATCTCCTGTTACATAAATTTGACAGTAAGTTATCAACATTACAACTAAGAAGCCTAACCATTTGGAATTTAAAACTCCTGTATCAGTCTGCCCTGGAGTCATTCTGGGATGAGTCAAGTGGTCAGACACTGTCTCACTGGATGAGAAACATGATCATGTCTGAGTACCAGGAATAACAATTCTAAAAATGGACAGATCTAATTCATTCAATATTTCAGTGATGGCCAAGTGACGCATGCTGGGAGGGCTCAACCTCTACGCCTGGAAACTTGGCTCTTTGGGAAGATGTGGCAATGCAAATTTGTTGAAGATGAAGGATATATCACTCTTCTGGAATGAATGGAATGAATGGAATGTCTAGCCAGAGACCTTTCAGAAATCTTAATAATTGTGGCAATTTTTTTTTCTTAACTGTTCACTTCTCTTAACAAAAGAAAAGCCACTGCAATGCCCCACCTATTCCCCTCACACATGTCTGTTCTTGATACTAATTTTTACATTTTGACATTTAAATAGTAACTATAATTATCCACATTTTTTCTTCTTTGGGCAATTACATTTGCATTCTTAGTGAAGAACTGTAAAACCAAATGGATGGACCAAAAAAATGGTTTAAACAGAAGTCGTACAAACATGCATATTTGAAAGAGGAGATTCTTATAACTACATAAAATAAATAATGTAATATCTTCTATTTATACTTTCCAGTAGATTAAGTGCTGAGGACACAGTCAACAAAAACAACATTATATGTTTCTACTGGCAATATCCCTGGTGTTGCCTAATTGGTTGAATTTCAAACCATTATCTTTAAAGAAGCATCTCTATAGGTATAGTTAGTTCTTCTTTGCTTTCTGCCAGAGAAGCCTGCAGAACACAATCAAGGGATATTGATGTTCAAAGAAAAGAATGGCCTGACAATTCAAACAACATACCTAAAATTTTTTACGTTCTAAGAAAATAGATGCTGTGTTGCATTTTTGTGCATCTTTGTACCTCCTTGGTTGATAACAAAGTAAGTTTTCTAGCACTGCCTCTGGGTTCTTTCTAAGTAGAGACTTGTCCTGTAACAAGATGAATGAAAGTATGAGCAGATAAATAATGTGCATACAACGTAGAATGAAACTTTTAAAATTAACGTAGCAACTTCAAAAGACTTAAAAAATGAAAATTCCATGGAAAAATTTTAATATGCCTTATTATCCTCCAATATTTGTAGACCTCAGAAAAAAGTTGTTTCTCATTCTGTTGAACATATATTTATGAATTTTGTTCAAATGCAAAAATCAACTAATGGCTAATGTCTAAAAATAAGAAAACATATTAGCTAATAAAAGACTTTTGGGAAAATGTTAATTTGTTTTGATTGAAAATTGTTCATTAATGTACTCTCATGAACTACTATTTAGATTTCATCATGAATTTAAACTACTTATCACAAGTTTTACGAACAGAATATAGTCAGGTAATATTTCCAATTTATTTAATAAGTTTTTGTTTAGCATATACTATATGTCTGGCACTATAAAAGACACTGGTTATATTGCAATAAACAAAATATAATTGTTTTCTATAAGATTTGCTTGAATTATTTTTTACCTAATTTAATACTTTAAAAATTTGCTAACGTAAAATTTTTTATGACTTACAAAATACTTATATAAGCATTATCTCATTGATTCATTTTATAATCCTGTAAAAGATATGAAGTTATTTTTATTGTTTTCATTTTACATGTAAAGGAAAAATGCCCCAAAGTCTTAAGTAAATTTAAAAATATTTTTTGGCTTGCAAGTAATGAAGTTAGGACTTAAACATATTTCTATAATCCCTGCATCATACTTTGCATATGCTCTCCAAAATGCAAATAAATGCTTTGTTTAATATCACAATGATCTCTTTCCTTTAACTTTGAGTATTTAAAATATTACCTATAATATTTCTATATTACATTAATAACATAATATAGGTTGGATTTTACTTTTATCATTTGAGTCTCATGTGCTTAAATTTCATAAGTTGCAAGCATTAATATTTTGTATTTTGCTGAATCTATTTTTATCTAATGGCATATTACTCGGAAATGAAGTTTTAGTTGGATAGGTCTTCAAGTGCATTATATAGAGGCTGAAATCCACAATTGTATTTAATTTTCATTTTTCTATTTTGGCTTTAAGCTAAGGTCTGTTACATACAATGTCTAATGAGGTAATCTTGTGAACAATGCCTAATTCTGACTAATAAACTCAAGTACAGCTGTTCTCCAAAGCTCCTTTGAATTAATATCATTCCGTTTCATTTATGAGACATAACCTTTTCTGAAATTAGTGTGATCTGTCTCAAAGTGAAAACTGAAGTTATTATAACTATTTGGCAAATATTATTTTGTGCATTGTAGCAATTAGATAACAATCAAGAGATAATATATGGTAGAAAACTATAAATGTCATCACAGCAGAAGTATACAATTTTGGAAGAGAAAAATGCATACTTTGTCATTTATTAGAAAAGATTTAATGGAAGACCTTTGAGGCAGATCTTGAAGAATAAATAGAATGAGGACAGCAGTGAGAGATCTACTATACAGGAAATAATTGTCATTAACATTCACTGGTGTAGACAGAGTTACCCTCTTTTATACTAGTTTACTCTTCAGGACTAACTTAACCATGTAATAAATGAAAAGCTATCCTTGCACTACGTGTGGAGGGACAGTAATGTATAAGAAAGCTGTATTAGTCCATTCTGGCACTCCTACAAAGAAATACCTGAAGCTGGGTAATTTATGAAGAGAGGTTTAATTGGCTCATCCTTCCACAGGCTGGGCAGTAAGCATGGTAGCCTCTGCTTGACTTCAGTCATGATGGAAGCCAGCACTTCACATGGCCAGAGCAGAAGAAAGAGAGAGCAAGGAGGGAGGTGCCACACACTTTTAAACAATCAGAACTCCATCAGGAGACGGCACAAGAAGGATAGTGCTAAACCATTAGAAACAGCCTTCATGATCCAATTACCTCCCACCAGGGCCCACCTCCAATATTGGGGATTACAATTTCACATGTGATTTGGTGGGGTACACAGATGCAAACCATATTGAAAGAATATAAGAAAGTCAAAATTATTAACTGCTTTTTGATTTTATTTTTAGACTTTGCTGTTTATCAAAACTGTAGGCTCTGCAAAACTAAGTTTCCACATCTGCAAAATAAGTAAGACAGCCCCATATTACTAAACTCTCTCCAGAACAATTATTCAATAAATTTATAATATTTTAAAAATAATTACAATAAAGTTTTCTGCTTTTCTCTCTTTTATTAAAATCTAATCTGATTTTTAAATTTCAGTGTTTTTCACATGTATGTTTGCATATTTCTCCACATAGTTCTTGATTCAGCAATGCTTGATATTCACCCCACACTACCCCAATTTGACCCATTGAGACTGAGCCAACAGGAAATACGTAAAAGCAAAGATGTGAGAAAATAACGGTGAGTTTTGATCATTGGGAATATTTTTGTGTGGCTCACTCTTCTAACTTGTCTAAGAAGTTAGACAGAGGTATGTAAATCCTAGACAAGCAGGAAGGATTATAACTTTTCATGGTAAAGAATTTGGATTTAATTATCAAGAAATGGAAAACCATTGGCACATGTTAAGTAGATGAAATGGCGTAATATTTACATTTTAAAAGCTAACTTACAACTTCCTGTTTTTAGCTTGTTAGAGAATTTAGAAGTTGCTAGTCCCTCCCAACAACTGGTAAAAAAGGTTGAATAAACTGACAAATCAAGTAGTCTTAGATCCATAAGTGACAGGACAAACCGCTGCCCTTAAAATTGGAGAGAAGGACAGATGGATACAGAGAATCACAACGCACGAAAGCAGAAACGCTGAGGCAGAAAGCTCCAAGGGAATCAGTGTCAGGGGAGGGAAACCTAAACTGTAATTGAGGAATTGCTCAAAGCTCAATGTGGCCAAGTCTGAGAGCTGAAATCTCCTCTCCAAGAGTACCCAGTTATAGTAGGCTTCACACTTTTGTTAGTTTTATCTCAAAGAGCTTGACCAGGTTCTGACAGTGAATACAAGAAAAAAATTCCCCACCTACTTCCAACAAGAAGAGGGAAAAAGTGATCATTTTGAAATACACCAGAGCATTATCTTCCTAACAAGGGTTGCTCACAAGAGAAGCTATTCAACCAGAGGCTGCTCTGCTGGAGTATTGTAGTCTAACCCAATTAGAGGCAGGGAAATTCCCAAACCCAGCAGGCTCTAGACTTCCAAAATGAATAAGGGAAATACCCAACTGTAACCCTGTCTTGTGAATCCATCCCTTCTAAGAGGGGAGGACAATGGGAAGAGGTGAATATCACCTGTGAAATTCACAATCTGGAGACACAGGTGCACTAAAATATGGAGATCTATAGGACTAGAGATTGGTCCCCATGCTCCGACACTTGACCACCACATTGCTAAAGGGGCTACTCACAGTAGTTTCTTTTACCTATTACATTATATCCAGGCATCAAGAAATTTTATATCTCTCATGAAGATAGAAGTACACATCTCCAGTAAAATATTAGCAAATTGAATTCAACAATGTATAAAAAGAATTATACACCACAACCAAGTGACATTTGTTTCAGTTACACAGGGATGGTTTAACATTCTAAAATCCATTATTTTAATCCATCATATCAGTAGGTTCAAAATGAAAAATCACATGATCATATCAATACATGCTGAAAAGGCATTTAACAAAATCTAACATGATTTATTATAAAACTCTCAGTAAACTAGCAATAGAAGGGCACTTCCTCAATTTAATAAAAAATATCTCCAAAAAAACCACAGCCAACATCATACTTAATGGTGAGAAACTTATTGCTTTCCCACTAAGATCGGGAACAAGGTAAGGATGTCCCCTCTCACCACTCATTTTCAAAATCGTTTTGGAAGTCCCACAAGACAAGAAAGTAAAATAAAGTTTATATTGTATTATTTTGGAAAAAAGAATTAAAACTATCTTCATTTGCAGGTGACATAATCATATATATGTATGTATAACATACAAAAGAATCAATAAAAAAACTCATGTAACTGTAAGCAATGATACCAAGGTTGTAGGAGAAAATGTTAGTATACAAAACTCTGAAGGTTAATAGCTACATACTTCTGAAAAAAGAAATCAGAGATCTAAATAAATAAAGGGGTATTCTATCTGCATGGATAAAAAGACTCAGTATTGTCAATATGTCAGTTCTTCCCATGATCTTTAGATTTAATGCACTCAAAATCAAAATTACAAGTTTTTTGTGGATATTAGAAAACTGTTCTTAAAGTTTATATGAAGAAAGAAAAGACTCAGAAAAGCCAACAAGATATTGAAGAAGCAGAAAGATGAAGGATTGACTCTACCCTACTTCAAGACTTACTACAAAGCTACAGTAATCAGGACAGTGTTCTGTTGGTGAAAGAATGACGAACAAATCAATGAAATAAAATAGAGGTCCCAGAAATAGACTCACGTAAGTATAGTAAATTGATCTCTGACAAAGAAGCAAAGGCAACTTGATAAGCAAAAGTTACATTTTCAACAAACTGTACTGTAACAACTGGCTATCCACAGTCAAAAAATGAATTTACACAATGACTTTACACCCTTCATAAAAATGAACTCAAATGGATCATAGATGTAAGTATAAAATGCAAAACTTTAAAACTCCTAGAAGATAACATACAAGAAAATGTGGATGATCTCAGGTTTGGTAATGAGTTTTCAGATACAACACCAATGATAATTCATGAAAAGGCATTTGAGAAGCTGACCTTTATTAAAATTAGTACTTTATGCTCGGTAAAAGATACTGTCAAGAAAATTAAAAAACAACAAGCCACAGATGAGAAAAAATATTTGCAAAGCATGTGACTGATAAAAAAAACTGTTAGATAAAAAACGCTTAAAACTCAACAATAAGAAAATGAACAACTAGATTTAAAAAAATGAGCCAAAGACTTGAAGCCACCTCACTGAAAAAAATATATACATGGGAACTAAGAATATAAACAGATGTTAAACATCATATGTCATTTGATGAATGTAAATTAAAACAACGATAAGATATGACTATGAATGTATTAGAATGGTCAGAATTTGGAACACTGATAACACCAAATGCTATAGAAAATTTGGAACAACAAGAACCCTTATTCATTGCTTGTGGGAATGCAAAATGGCACAGCCATGTTGGAAGACAGTGTGGTGATTTCTGACAAAATTGAATGTACTCTTACCATACAATCTAGCAAGTGTACTCCTCAGTATTTACTGAAAGAAGTAAAATAATTATGTCTACACAAAAACCTATATGCAAAATTTTACAGAGGCTTTATTCATAATTACCCAAACTTGGAAGCAAACAAGATGTCCTTCAGCAGGTGAATAGATAAATTATCTCTGTTATATCCAAACAACAGAATATTATTCAACACTAAAAAGAAATAAACTAGGCCAGGCAGGGTGGCTCACGCCTGTAATCCCAGCGCTTTTGGAGGCTGAAGTGGGCAGATCACTTGAGGTCAGGAGTTCACGACCAGCCTGGCCAGCATGCCGAAACCCTGTCTCTACAAAAAACAAAAATTATCCAGGTGTGGTGGCAAGCACTTGTAATCTCAGCTACTAGGGAGGCTGAGGGAGGAGAATCGCTTGAATCCTGGAGGGGGAGGTTGCAGTGAGCCCAGATCATGCCACTGCCCTCCAGCCTGGGCAACAGAGGGAGATTCTGTCTCAAAAACAAACAAACAATAAACAAAAAAAGAAAACACAGAATGAACTATCAAGCCATGAGAAAACAGAGAAAACTTAAATGCATGTCATTAAGTGAAAGAAACTATTCTGAAAAAGCTATGTGGTGTATTATTCCAATCATATGACAGTCTATAAAAGGCAAAACTATGGAGGCAGTAAAAAGATAAGTGATTGTCAGGAGTTGGTGGGTGGGGAGGCGGGAGGAAGAGGTAAGTAGGCAGAGCACAGAGTATTTGTAGGACAGTAAAACTATTCCATGTGTTATATAATGGTGGATGCATATCATTACACATTTGCCAAAACCCACAGCATACAACACCTAGAGATAACCCTAATGTAAACGATAGACTTTGGGTGATAATGATATTTCAAAATAGGTTAATCCATTGTAACAAATGTATCACTCTGGTGAAGGATGTTGAAAGTGGGGGAGGTTTGTGTGTATGGGGGCAGGGGTTATATAAAAATCTCTATGCCTTCTGCTCAATGTTGCTGTGCAGAGCAAAAAAGGTGGTCACAGCACACACACACACACACACACGGTTATAAGTAATTTTTTTTTGTTCCTACAAAGGTGGTAGATGAAGGCATTGTCATAAAATTATCATTTAGAGAGACAAATTGAAAGGAAAAATAATATTATTAAACTTTTCATTTAATTTCATGTAATTCCAAATATTTAAACAATTCTATTAAACATAATAGAATAATAAGAAATTCAAACATTTATAAGAATTGCATGGAATGGGAAGGATGCTTTTCTCTACCTAACATCCCATCAACATTAATTCTTACTGAACTTTTATTAAAACCAGTGGCCTTACCTTCCTTAGTCCCAGTGGCTTAAATTGTGTGGCTTGTTACCTCTCCTGAAATACTTTTCAAAATTCTCCTTTTCCATGTCTGTTGCACTATAAACCTCCTTTTATTTATTTTTTTCTGTTGAATTTAAAACTCTCTGAGTTTTTATTCCTGCCCACCTCACCCACTTATTATGTAAATTAACAGTTGTTTTCTTCCCCACAAGGAGAGATGACAGGGAGAAAGAAAGGAGGAACTGAGAAACCCTCTCCTACTTTTTAAAGCATACAAGGGAAACAAATTGGTTGTAAATAAGCATATTTTTGATGTATGTGCTCACACTGATGTAATTCATTCATTTACTTATAAGTATTTATAAAATATTGGATATGTATTAGAAACTGCCATTTTCATGCTTTTTAAAAAATTGTTACATATTGAAAAAATTATAATTGTGTATATTTATGGGCTAAAAAGGGATGCTATGACATTTGAATACAATTTAAAAGAAATCAATCTAATTAACATATTCATCATTTCACATATTTAACATTTTGCCTTCATTTTGAAAATATTTACCAAATTTTTCTCTTATTAAATTTGGATTGATTTCTCCTACTGAAATTAAGTCTATTCTCAGCTTTGGGTATCCTAATTATTTAACATTTACTAAAGACTCTACCTGCTGAAAACTCAAACCATGCTTTTCCTCTACCTCATGAATATCAGATGTAGACATGAAGGTTGTAATTATTTTTTTCTCATTGAGGACTTGGTACAAAATTGTAGGTATTTTGACAGTCTTTTTATATTTTTCATCACTGATATTCTTTCAGTATGTTGACTTACTCTTATTTCTTGCATAACTGTTTTTTTCTTATTTTTCTTTATTCATCACCCTATTAGAATATTTTATTATACTACACCGCTTCAGTGCTTCAGTCATATACTCACAGATTGTTCAGACATGTATCAAATGCCTAACAGGTGCTAGTCACTCTTATGCTAAGGGCTGTCAATTCACTGCAGATCAAGAGTAATCATGTCCCTTTCTCATAGAGCTTGCATTAATTCATTGACTGAAAAGCAAAAAGATAAAAAACAAAGCACTTATGAAATATTGCCTCTCAGCATTTTGGTTAATATTACATGTGAAGCATTCACAAAATGTGTGAAGTTTTGGGAAGAAAATGTAAATAATAAACTCTCACAGACTTCAAAACATAATAGAGAAAACTCCACAAATGTTTAAAAGGCATTAATAATGAACCTAATTGTGCTAAATTATATAGCAGAGGTACATAAAATGTACATGGCAAAGTTAAAAAGGAACAGCAGATTTTTTATAGACAGAGCATATAGGAGGTGATGGAATTGAGTTTGGAAGGAACATATCTCAAAATAATAAGTCATCTATGACAAACCCACAGCCAACATTATACTGAATAGTCAATAGAAGGAAGTACTCCCCTTGAAAACTGGCACAAGAACAGGATACCTTCTCTCACCACTCCTATTCAGCATAGTATTGGAAGTTACAAAGGTCTAATAACCAGCATATATAAGGAAATTAAATTTACAAGAAACAATCCCATTAAAAGGTGGATAAAGGATATGAACAGATACTTTTCAAATATGACATACATGTTATTGATTTTTCCTATCCCCAAGAATGAAATGTTTTTCCATTTGTTTGTGTCCACTCTTATTTCCTTGAGCAGTGGTTTGTAGTTCTCCTTGAAAATTTCCTTCATGTACCTTGTTAGATGTATTCCTAGGTATTTTATTCTTTTTGTAACAGTTGTAAATCGGTTTTCATTGATGGAAGTTGTAAGATGTATAGTTTGCAAAATTTTTCTCCCAGTCTGTAGGTTGTCTGTTTACTCTGTTGATAGTTTCTTTTGCTCTGCAGAAGCTCTTTACTTTAATTAGATCTTATTTGTCAATTTTTACTTGTGTTGCAATTGCTTTTGTAGTCATTTGCATAAAATATTTGCCAGTGCTTATGTTCTCAATGGTATTGCCTTGGTTGTCTTCCAGGGTTGTTATAGTTTTGAGTTTTACATTTAAGTCTTTAATACATCTTGAGTTAATTTTTGTGTATGGTGTAAGGAAGGGGTTCAGTTCCAATTTTCTGCATATGGCTAGCCAGTTATCTTAGCACCATTTATTTCATAGGGAATATTTTCCCCCATACTTTTTTTTGGTCAGGTTTTAAAAGATCAGATAGTTGTAGATGTCTGGTCTTATTTCTGGGTTTTCTATTCTGTCCAATTGGCCTATGTGTCTGTTCTTGTACCAGTACCATGTTGTTTTAATTACTGTAGCCCTTCAGTATAGTTTGAAGTCTGGCAGCATGATGCCTCAAGCTTTGTTCTTTTTGCTTTGTATTGTCATGGCTATTTGGACTCTTTCTTCATTCCATATGAATTTTAAAATATTTTTCTAGTTTGGTGAAGAATGTCAATGCTAAGTTGGTGGGAATAGCATTGAATTTATAAATTACTTTGGGCAGTGTGCAGTATGGCCATTTTTGTGATATTGATTCTTCCTATTCATGAGCATGAAATGTTTTCCATTTGTTTGTGTCATCTCTGATTTCTTGGAGCAGTGGTTTGTATTTCTCCTTGTAGAGATCTTTCAGCTTGCTGTTTAACTGTGTTCCCAGATATTTTATTATTTCTGTGGCTATTGTAAGTGGGATTACATTCCTGATTTGACTCTCAGCTTGACTGTTGTTGGTGCATAGGAATGTTGTTAATTTTTGCACATTGATTTTCTATCCTGGGAATTTGCTGAAGTTGATTATCAGCTTAAGGTGCTTTTGGGCTGAGGCTATGAGGTTTGCGAGATACAGAATCATGTCAACTGCAAACAGGGATAGCTTGACTTTCTTTTTTTCTATTTGAATGTACTTTATTTCTTTCTCTGGCCTAACTGTCTGTAGTTTTCTTCTAAAAATTTCTTTGCCTGTTTTGCATATTAGGGTAATTCTGGCTTCATAGAACAAGACGAGAAGTACAACCTCTGCTTTATGTTTTTAAAAAATTGTAGAGAATTGGTATAATTAATTAAATCATGGATAGAATTCACTAGTGAGACCATCAGGGTCTTCTGCTTTCTGTTTTGAAAGGTTACTGGTTATCAATTCAATTTATTTCATGCACACAGGTTCAGGCAGGTTGTCTATTTCTTTTTGTATGAGTCTTGGCAAACTGTATCTTTCAAGAAATTGGTCTGTTCCATCTAGGTTATCAGATTTGTGGGTTATAGTTCACAATTTGCCTTTATTATCCTTTTAATGTCCATGGGATTTGTAGTGATGCCTCCTCTTTCACTTCTAATACTGGAATTTGTTGCCTTTCTTATTTCCCCCACCCTTAGGTAGCCTATCTGGGGGCTTATACATTTTATTGATCTATTCAAATAATTGATTTTTAAATTTCATTTTTTTGATTTTTTTAATTTTCAAAATTGAAAATATTCCTTTTATTGTTCTTTCTTTCATTATGTACATTTGAACATTTGAATTTATGACCTATATCATTTTCCTTCTCTCTAAAAAACTTTTTAAAAACACTTCTTGAAAAGCAATTCTACTGGCAACAAATTCCTTCAATGTTTATTTGTCTCATAAAGTTTTCATTTCTCCTCCATTTTAATGGTTAATTTTTCAGGCTACAGAATTTTAGCTTGCTAGTTTCTGGGGTTCTCTCTCTCTCTCTCTCTCTCTTTCTCTCTGCCCCCCTCTCTCTCTCTCTCCCTCAACATTTTAAACATTTTACTCTACTCTTATTGTTTTTGTGGCTTCTGAAGAGAAGTTTGATATAATTCTTATTTTTGTTCCTTTGTAGATAAGGCATTATTTCTTCTAGCTTCTTTCAGAATATTTTATTGAGGATTTTTGCATTGCTATTTATCAGGGATATTGGCATGATGTTTTCTTTTTTTGTTGTATCTCTGCCAGGTTTTGGTATCAGGATGATGCTGGCCTCATAAAATAAGTTAGGGAGAAGTTCTTCCTTTTCAATTGTTTGGAATAGTTTCAGAAGAAATGGCACCAGCTCCTCTTTGTACCTCTGCCCAAAGTAATTTACAGATTAAATGATATTCCCATTAAACTACCATTGATGTTCTTCACGGAATTAGAAAAAAACTACTTTAAAATTCATCTGGAACCATAAAAGAGCCCATGTAGCCAAGACAATCCTAAGCAAAAAGAACAAAGCTGGAAACATCATGCTATCTGACTTCAAACTACACTGCACAGCTACAGTAACCAAAATAGCATGGTATTGGTACCAAAAGAGACACATAGACCAGTGGAAGAGAATAGAGATCTCAGAAATAAGATCACACATCTACAAACATCTGATCTCAACAAGCCTGACAAAAACAAACAATAGGGAAAGGATTCTCTATTTAATAAGTGGTGATGGGAACACTGTCTAGACATATGCAGAAAATTGAAACTGGACCCTTCCTTACACATTATACAAAAATTAACTAAAGATAGATTAAAGACTGAAGTGTAAAACCCAAAACTATAAAAACCCTAGAAAAAAAGCTGGACAAAACCATTCAGGTCATAGGCACCAGCAAAGATTTCATGACAAAAACATCAAAAGCAATTGCAACAAAAGCAAAAATTGACATTTGGGATCTAATTAACTGAACAGCTTCAGCACAACAAAAGAAACTATCATCAGAGTGAACCGACAATCTATGGAATGGGAGTAAATTTTTGCAATCCATCCATCTGACAAAGATCTAATATCCAGAATCTACAAGGAACTTAAACAAATTTACGAGATAAAAACAAGCAACCCCATGAAAAAGTGGACAAAGTACATGAACAAAAACTTCTCAAAAGAAGACTTTTCTGCAGCCAAAAAACATTAATAAAAGTTCAACATCACTGATCATTAGAGACATATGAATTAAAATTAAAACCATAATGAGATACCATCTCATGCCAGTCAGAATGGCCATTATTAAAAAGTCAAGAAACAACAATGCTAGCAAGGCTGTGGAGAAATAGGAATGCTTTTACACTTTGGTGGGAATGTAAATTAGTTTAACATTTCAAAGACATTGTGGCGATTCCTCAAGGATCTAAAACCATAAATACCATTTGACTCACCAATCCCATTACTGGGTATATACTCAAAGGAATATAAATCATTCTGTTTTAAAGATACATATGCATATATGCTTATTGCAGCACTATTCACAATAGCAAAGACATAGAATCAACCCAAATGCCAATCAATAATAGACTGGATAAAGAAAATGTGCTACGTATACACAATAGAATACTATGCAGCCATAAAGAGGAATGAGATCATGTCTCTTGCAAGGACATGGATGGAGCTGGAAGTCATTGTCTGTAGCAAATGAATACAGGAACAGAAAACCAAACACTACGTGTTCTTACTCATAAGTGGGAGCTGAACTGTGAGAACACAGGGACACAGGGAGGGGAACAACACACACCAGGGACTCTCAGGGGGACGAGGGGAGAAAGAGCATCAGGATAAATAGCTAATGCATGCGGGGCTTAATACGTAGGTGGTGGGTTGATAAGTGAAGGAAAGCACCATGGCACATGTTAATATACGTAACATATCTGCATGACCTGCATATGTATCCTGGAACTTAAAATGAAGTTAAATTTTTAAAAAACGTTAAACTTTTTATCGTAGGTGGGAATTGAACAATGAGAACACATGGACACAGGAAGGGGAACATCACACTCTGGGGACTGTTGTGAGGTGGGGGGAGGGGGGAGGGATAGCATTAGGTGATATACCTAATGCTAAATGATGAGTTAATGGGTGCAGCACACCAGCATGGCACATGTATACATATGTAACTAACCTGCACATTGTGCACACGTATCCTAAACCTTAAAGTATAATAATAATAAAATAAAATAAAATAATAAAAAAAGGAAGGAAGAAGGAAAGAGGAAGAAGAAAGGAATATAAACATGATTAAAAATGCAGATATATCTCTAAAAATTAAGGGTTTTTTTCTTTAAGAGCAATTATTAAATAATATTTTTCAGAAAAAAAAATTATAAAGACAAGACCTCTGTCACTTTCAAATAGGATGCCCTAATAAGTCCTGGAAACTCTATTTAATATTTACACATACTTTACTAGACACCTAGCATGAAGTTGAAGATATATTAGAGCTTAATCTGTAAAGATATGGACCTTGGCCTTTCAGATATGCTATTGTACAGTGACTCCTACTGATGTTACACAGTGCGCACGTGTGTGTGTGTGTGTGTGTGTGTGTGTGTGTGTGTGTGACAGAGAGAGAGAAAGAGGTCTCTCTCTCTGGCTTTTTTTTTTCCCAATGAGTCAGTGGTGTTGGGTCAATAAAATTAACATTCCTATTTTACTCATTCTGTGGAAACAAGTTCATGTGCCAGTGGGTGTTCATGCTGATACTGGTGAGGCCTTAACTTCCCCCAAAATGCATATCGTATTAATTTTCCAAATAAATATTTAACAAGTAAAAAAAAAAATTTAAAAAAGAAGATATACATGTGACCAACAAATATATGAAAAAAAGCTTGACATCACTGATCATTAGAGAAATGCAAATCAAAACCCCAATGAGATACCATCTAACACTAGTCAGAATGGCTATTATTAAAACGTCAAAAAATAAGAGATGCTGGCTGTGTTGTGGAGAAAAAGGAACACTTTACACACTGTTAGTGGAAGTGTAAATTAATTCAGCCGTATGGAAGACAGTGGGGCGATTCCTCAAAGACCTCAAGACAGAAATACCATTTGACTCAGTAATCTCATGACTGGGTATATACTCAATGAAATATAAATCATTCTATTATAAAGAAGCATACACACGTATGGTCATTGCAGCACAATTTACAATAGCAAAGACATGGAATCAACCTAAATGCCCATCAATGATAGACTGAATGTATTAGTCAGGGTTATCTAGAGACAGGAGTAATAGAATGGATGTATATATGAAAGGGAGTTTATTAAGGAGAATTGCCTCACACAATCACAAGGTGAAGTCCCAAAATAGGCCATCTGCAAGCTAAAGAGCAAGAAAGCCAGCCTGAGTCTCCAAACCTCAAAAGTAGGGAAGCTGACAGTGCAGCCTTCAGTCTATGGACAAAGGCCTGAGAGCCCCTTGTTAACCGCTGGTGTAGGTCCAAGCATCCAAAAGCTGAGGAACTTGGAGTCCAATGTTCGAGGGCAGGAAGCATCCAGCACTGGAAAAAGATGGAGGCCAGAAGATTTAGCTAGTCTAGTCCTTCCATGTCCCTTGGACTGCTTTTATCCTAGCTGCACTGGATGCTGACTAGATGGTGCCCACCCAGACTGAGAGTACATCTGCCTTTCCCAGTCCACTGACTCAAATGTTAATCTCCTTTGGCAACATCCTTACAGACACCCAGGGACAATACTTTGCATCCTTCAGTCCAATCAAGTTAACACTCAATATTAACCATCACATGGAGAGGTGAAGCCAGCTGAACTTCCTGGGTCAAGTGGGGACTTGGAGAACGTTTCTGTCTAGCTAGAGGATTGTAAACACACCAATCAGCGTTCTGTGTCTAGCTAAAGGATTGTAAATGCACCAATCAGCACTCTGTAAAAATGCACCAATCAGCGCTCTGTGTCTAGCTAGAGGATTGTAAATGCACCAATCAGCACTCTGTAAAAACGTACCAATCAGCAATCTGTGTCTAGCCAAAGGATTGTAAATGCACCAATCAGCACTGTGTAAAAACACGCCAATCAGCACTCTGTGTCTAGCTAAAGGATTGTAAATGCACCAATCAGCACTCTGTAAAATGGACCAATCAGCAGGACATGGGCAGGGACAAATAAGGGAATAAAAGCTGGCCACCTCAGCCAGCAGTGGCAACCCTCTCAGGTCCCCTTCCATGCTGTGGAATCTTTGTTTTTTCGCTCTTCACAGTAAAACTTGCTGCTGCTCACTCTTTGTGCCCGTGCCACCTTTAAGAGCTGTAACACTCACATGAAGGTCCTTGGCTTCATTCTTGAAGTCAGCGAGACCAAGAACCCACTGGAATGAACCAACTCCGGACACATTTTGGCAACCACGATGGGATGATAGCCAAGTGCTGAGTACCATTGGACACCTTTCACTTGCTAGTCTGTCCTATTTTTCCTTAGAATTCAGGGGCTAAATACCAAGCACCTGCCGGCCAATTAAAAGCAACCAGCATGGCTGCCGGACTAAAGACATGGGTGTCAGGCTTTCTGGGAAAGAGCTCTCTAACAAACCCTGGCTCTTTGGAGTTGGGACCATTGGTTTGCCTGGAACCAGCTTCCATTTTTCCTGTACTTCTGGGCTGAGCCAAGGGTCAACAGAGAGGAAAGCCATTCAGCTACGGGGTCCCGACAAAAAGTTGGTTGACCCTGCAGCCATGAGCAGAACTCTTTAAGTCATGTCGCCCAACTGAGATTCACCCATTTATCCTATCTATCCTGAACCTTGCCTCCTGGGTCCTAATGCCTGTCAGACAAACTTCCTTTTGTTTCTCTTCTCCAAAGCTAGTCCTGCTTCTAAAAACCACTCCCTGTCTCTGGTGCTTTTCTAGTTTCACCTGTAAGAATGATTTCTATTATAAACCTCAGGACTCTGTTTCCTTCTTTAGGCACCCAGGCTCACCAATCAGAAAGACATAATTTTTGCCCAAAGCCTTGTCAGAGGTGGGGACTATCTGGAATTTTAGGATCCGTCCTCAGACAAGTGGGCCTAACAAAGGCTATTCCTGAAGCTAAGATATGGGGAGCCTCAGAAGTGATATCCTTCCTATTCACATGATGAGAAGTGAGGACAAAACATGTCACTCTTCCAACCCTGGAGATCCCTTCCCTTCTTCAGGGTATGGCCCTCCACTTTATTTTTGGGGAATAACATCTTTATAGGACAGGGGTAATGTCCCAATACTAACAGGAGAATGCTTAGGACTCTAACATTCTTAGGTTTTTGAGAATGCATTGGTAAGGGCCACTAAATCTGATTTTTCTCAGTCCTCTTTGTGGTCTAGGAGGACAAGCAAGGGTGCAGGTTTTTGAGAATGTGTCAGTAAGGGCCACTAAATCCGACCTTCCTTGGTCCTCCTTGTGGTCTAGGAGGAATACTAGTGTTTCTGTTGCTGCATCGGTGAGCGCAACTATTCTGATCAGCAGGGTCCAGGGACCATTGTGAGTTCTTAGGTAAGAGGGGGAAAACAAACCAAAACCACAGGTGGTTTTTTCTTTCAGATGGGAAACACTCAGTCATCAACAGGCTCACCCTTGAAAGGCATCCTAAGCCATTGGGACCAATATGACCTGCAAACCCTGAAAAAGAAGTGACTCATTTTTTCTGCACTATAGCCTGGCCTGAATATTTTCTCTCTGATAGGGAAAAATGGCCACCTGAGGGAAGTATATATTACAATACTATCCTGCAGCTTGACCTTTTCTGTAAGAGGGAAGGCAAATGGAGTGAAATACCTTATGTCCAATCTTTCTTTTCATTGAAGGAAAATCCACAACTGTGCAAAGCTTGCAATTTACATCCCACAGGAGGACCTCTCAGCTTACCCCCATATCCTAGCCTTCCTAGAGCTCTCCTTCCTATTAATGATAAGCCTCCTCTAATCTCCCCTGCCCAGAAGGAAACAAGCAAAGAAATCTCCAAGGGACCACAGAACTCCCCTGGCTATCAGTTATGTCCCCTTCAAGCTGTAGGGGGAAGGGAATTTGGCCCAACATGGGTACATGTCCCCTTCTCCCTCTCTGATTTAAAGCAGATCAAGGCAGACCAGGGGAAGTTTTCAGATGATCCTGATACATACATAGATGTCCTACAGGGTCTACGGCAAACCTTTCACCTCACTTGGAGAGATGTCATGCTATTATATCAAACCCTGGCCTTTAATGAAAAGAATGCAGCTGTAGCTGCAGCCTGAGAGTTTGGAGATACCTGGTATCTTAGTCAAGTAAATGATAGAATGACAGCTGAAGAAAGGGACATATTCCCTACTGGTCAGCAAGCCATCCCCCGTATGGTTCCCCACTGGAACCTTGACTCAGATCATGGGGACTATACTTGTAAACATCTATTGACCTGTGTTCTAGAAGGACTAAGGAGAATTGGGAAAAAGCCCATGAATTATTCAATGATGTCCACCATAACTCAGGGAAAAGAAGAAAATCCTTCAGCCTTCCTTGAGTGGCTTCGGGAGGCCTTAAGAAAATATACTCCCCTGTCACCTGACTCACTCGAGGGTCAATTGATCCTAAAAGATAAGTTTATTACCCAATCAGCCACAGATATCAGGAGAAGTCTCCAAAAGCGAGCCCTGGGCCCTGAACAATATCTGGAGGCATTACTAAACCTGACAACCTTGGTGTTCTATAATAGGGACCAAGAGGAACAGGCCAAAAAGGAAAAGCAAGATCAGAGAAAGGCCACAGCCTTAGTCATGGCCCTCAGACAAACAAACCTTGGTGGTTTGGAGAGGACAGAAGATGGAGCAGACCAGTCACCCAGTGGGGCTTGTTATCAGTGTGGTTTGCAAGGACACTTTTAAAAAAGATTGTCCAACAAGAAACAAGCTGCCCCTCACCCATGTCCTCTCTGCCAAAGCAATCAATGGAAGGTGCATTTCCCCAGAGGACAAAGGTTCTCTGGGCCAGAAGCCCCCAGCCAGATGATCCAACAACAGGACTGAGGGTGCCCTGGGCAAGTGCCAGCTCATGTTATAACCCTCACTGAGCCCCAGGTATGTTTAACCATTGAGGGCCAGGAAATTGACTTCCTCCTGTACACTGGTGCAGCCTTCTCAGTGTTAATCTCCTGTCCCAGATGGCTTTCCTCAAGGTCTGTTACCATCTGAGGAATCCTGGAACAGCCTGTAACCAGGTATTTCTCCCACCTCCTCAGTTGTAATTGGGAGACTTTGCTCTTTTCACATGCCTTTCTTGTTATGCCTGAAAGTCTCACACCATTATCAGGGAGGGACATATTTGGCTATTGCCAAAGCTGGAGCCATTATCTACATTGATATGGGGAACAAGTTACCCATTTGTATTCCCCTGCTTGAGGAGGGAATCAACCCTAAAGTCTGGGCATTGGAAGGACAAATTTTAAGGGCAAAAAATGCCTGTGCAGTCCAAATCAGGCTAAAAGACCCCACCACTTTTCCTTATCAAAGGCAATAGCCCTTAAGGCATGAAGCTCATAAAGGATTACAGGATATTGTTAGACATTTAAAATCTCACAGCTTAGTAAGAAAATGCAGCAGTTCCTGCAACACCACAATTCTAGGAGTACAAAAACTGAATGGTCAGTGGAGACTAGTGCAAGATCTTAGACTCATCAATGAGGCAGTAATTCCTCTATATCCAGTTATACCCAACCCCTATACCTTGCTCTCTTAAATACCAGAGTAAGCAGAATGGTTTACGGTTCTGGACCTCAAGGATGCCTTCTTCTGTAATCCCCTGCACTCTGACTTCCAGTTTCTCTTTGTCTTTCAGGATCCCACAGACCACACGTGTCCCAACTTACATGGACAGTCTTGCCCCAAGGGTTTAGGGATAGCCCTCATCTATTTGGTCAGGCACTGGCCCAAGATCTAAGCCACTTCTCAAGTCTGGGCACTCTGGTCCTTCAGTATGTGGATGATTTACTTTTGGCTACCAGTTCAGAAGCCTCATGCCAGCAGGCTACTATAGAATTCTTGAACTTTCTAGCTAATCAAGAGTAAAAGGCATCTAAATCGAAGGCCCAGCTCTGCCTACAAGAAGTCAAATATCTAGGCCTAATCTTATCCAGAGGAACCAGGACCCTCAGTACGGAATGAATACAGCCTATACTGGCTTATCCTCACCCTAAGACATTAAAACAATTGCAGGGGGTTCCTTGGAATCACTGGCTTTTGCCGACTATGGATCACTGGATACAGTGAGATGGCCAGACCACTCTATACTCTAATCAACGAGACCCAGAGGGCAAATACTCACCTAGTAGAATGGGAACCAGAGACAGAAACAGCCTTCCAAACCCTAATGCAGGCCCTATTACAAGCTCCAGCCTAAAGCCTTCCCACATGACAAAACTTCTCTTTATACATCACAGAGAGAGCAGGAATAGCTCTTGGAGTCCTTACTCAGACTCGTGGGACAACCCCAAAACCAGTGGCATACCTAAATAAGGAAATTGATACAGTAGCAAAAGGCTGGCCTCACTGTTTACAGGTAGTTGCGGTGGTGGCCATCTTAGTGTCAGAGGCCATCAAAATAATACAAGGAAAGGATCTCACTGTCTGGACTACTCATGATGTAAATGGCATGCTAGGTGCCAAAGGAAGTTTACAGCTATCAGACAACTGCCTGCTCAGATACCAGGTCCTACTTCTTGAGGAACCGGTGCTTCAAATGTGCATGTGTGTGGCCCTCAACCCTGCCACTTTTCTCCCAGAGGATGGAGAACCAATCGAGTATGACTGCCAACAAATTATAATCCAGACTTATGCCACCCAAGAGGATCTCTTAGAAGTCCCCTTAGCTAATGCTGACCTTAACCTATATACTGATGAAAGTTCATTTGTGGAGAATGGGATACAAAAGGCAGGTTATGCCATAGTTAGTGATGTAACAGTACTTGAAAGTAAGCTTCTTCCCCCAGGGACAAGCACCCAGTTAGCAGAACTAGTGGCACTTACCCAAGCCTTAGAACTGGGAAAGGGAAAAAGAATAAATGTGTATACAGATATCAAGTATGCTTATCTAACCCTACATGCCCATGCTGCAATATGGAAAGAAAGGGAGTTCCTAACCTCTAGGAGAACCCCCATTAAATACAACAAGGAAATCATGGAGTTATTGCACACACTGCAAAAATCCAAGGAGGTGGCAGTCTTACACTGCTGAGGCAAAAGCCATCAAAAGGGCAAGGAGGGGGAGAACAGCAGCATAAGTGGCTGGCAGAGGCAGGGAAAGACCAGCAGAGAGGAAAGAGAGAGAGAGAGGAAGAGATAGAGAGACAGAGAGAGACAAAGTCAGAGAAAGAGAGAGAGAGGAATAGACAGACGGAGTCAGAGAGAAAGAGACAGAAAGACAGAAAGAGAAGGAAGGAGAGAGATGGAAGTAGTAAAGAAAAAAGTGTACCCTATTCCTTTAAAAGCCAGAGTAAATTTAAAACCTATAATTGATAATTGAAGGTCTTCTCTGCAACCTTATAACATTCCAATGCCACCTTGTTGTCAGTGTGAACAAGGGAGTAGCCCAAAAGCACTGAGGTCACTGACAACCCATAGCCTTCCTATCAAAAATCCTTAACCCAGCAGGTTTCGTAACAGGGGATCTAAATCTTAATTAACTACCATACAAAAGTCCGACCAGACCTAGGAAGAACTCCCTTCAGTACAGGACGATAGATGGTACCTCCAGGGTGATTAAAGGAAAAAGACAAAATGGGTATTCAGTAAGTGATAAGGAAACTCTTGTAGAAGCAGAGTTAGGAAAATTGCCTAATAATTGGTCTTCTCAAACGTGTGAGCTGTTTGCACTCAGCTAAACCTTAAACAGAATCAGGAAGGAGCCATCTATACCAATTTTAAGTTAATATGGACTGAACGAGGTCTTATTAATAGCAAAGAATAATTGAAATCCCAAACTTACAAATTTTCAACAAAAGTAAAGTTTGCTAAAAGTTAACAGTTTAACATGTATTATCCTACTACCACACACTCTCAAAGGATTTCTCAGACAGTTTGCAAGAAATAACAAAATCTATCCTTACTCTACAGTCTAAAATAGACTCTTTGGCAGCAGTGACTCTACAAAACTGCTGAGGCCTAGACCTCCTTACTACTGAGAAAGGAGGACTCTGCACCTTCTTGGGGGAGGAGTGTTGCTTTTACACTAACCAGTCAGGAATAGTATAAGACACCACCCAAAGTTTATAGGAAAAGGGTTCTGAAATCAGACAATGCCTTTCAAACTCTTATACTGACCTCTGGAGTTGGTTGACATGACTTCTCCCCTTTCTAGGTCCCGTGACAGACATCTTGCTATTACTTGCCTTTGGGTCCTGTATTTTTAATCTCCTTGTCAAATATGTTTCCTCTAGGATCGAGGCCATCAAGCTACAGATGGTCTTACAAATGGAACCCCAAATGAGCTCAACTAACAACTTCTACCGAGGACCCCTGGACCGACCCACTGGCCCTTTGACTGGCCTAAAGAGTTCCCCTCTGGAGGACACTACAACTGCAGGGCACCTTCTTTGTCCCATATCTAGCAGGAATTAGCTAGAGCAGTCATTGCCCAATTCCCAACAGCATTTGGGGTGTCCTGTTTAGAGGGGGGATTGAGAGGTGAAGTCAGCTGGACTTCCTGGGTCGAGTGGGGACTTGGAGAACTTTTCTGTCTAGCTAAAGGATTGTAAATGCACCAATCAGCACTCTGTAAAAACACACCAATCAGAGCTCTGTGTCTAGCTAGAGGATTATAGATGCACCAGTCAGTACTCTGTGTCTAGCTAAAGGATTTTAAATGCACCAATCAGCACTCTGTAAAAATGCACCAATCAGTGCTCTATGTCTAGCTAAAGGACTGTAAATGCACCAATCAGTACTCTGTAAAAATGCACCAATCAGCACTCTGTGTCTAGCTAAAGGATTGTAAATGCGTCAATCAGCACTCTGTAAAATGGAACAATCAGTAGGACGTGGGTGGGGACAAATAAGGGAATAAAAGCTGGCCACCCCAGCCAGCAGTGGCAACCTGCTTGGGTCCCCTTCTATGCTGCCAAAGCTTTGTTCTTTTGCTCTTCACAATAACTTTTGCTGCTGCTCACTCTTTGGGTCCATGCCACCTTTAAGAGCTGTAACACTTACTGCAAAGATCCATGGCTTCATTCTTGAAGTCAGTGAGACCAAGAACCCACTGGAAGGAACCAACTCCAGGCACAACACTGTATAAGGTGGTACATATACAGTATAGAATACTATGCAGCCATAAAAAAGAATGAGACCATGTGTCAGGGACATGGATGGAGCTGGAGGTCATTATCCTTACTAAACTAATGCAGGAACAGAAAACCAAATACTACCTGTTCTCACTTATAAGTGGGCACTAAATGATGAGAACACATGGACACACAGAGGGGAACAACACACACTGGAGCCTTTTGGAAGGTGGAAGTTGGAAGGAGTGAGAGGATCAAGAAAACAACTAATGGGCACTAGGCTTAATACTAGGTGATGAAATAATCTGTACAACAAACTCCCATGACACAAGTTTACCTATGTAACAAACCTACACTTATACCTCTGAACTTAAAATAAGTTAAAAAAAAAAAAAAAGAAAACTTTCATGGAATCTCAAGGTGAGTCATGAAAGATAGCTTGATGTTACAAATAAACTAAGATTGCCTAATCCCAACATACTCTCTTTTTAGGCTAACTTAACAATTTATATAGTAATCGATTTTCTTTTTTATTCTCTGCTAAAATATATACTGCAATTTTAATGATGTTTTAATTCATCTTTTCATTCTTTACTATCATAATGCCTAGTACTGAAGACATATTCAGCAATTGTGTAATGGTTGAGGGAATTCTCATCTCTCAGGTGATCAATGTGCATTTCAACTAAATATGACTTTGTTGATGATTCAGCACTGACTGTTTTAAATGTTCTCATCAATAGTCTGACTTAGAGATTTACATGTGAGAAAAACTCCTGTGACTTATTATTTCATTTTAAAATTTATTTAAAAAGGAACAAAATAAAATTAGCTAGCTTCTATAAAACATTCTTAAATTCTTCAAAATGACTCACCAAAACTCGTAATTAATAAGAACATAACATTGGATATTATGCTGTTTATAAATGAATTAATAAATCTATATATTTTCCACCAAACTTGATAAATATTTTTTCCTGAATCTTTTAAAAAAATATTTCTTTTTCCCTGTCTCCTAGCAATAATTCTGTTAGTTACAGATCATCTCACTGGTTAAGAGACCCCAATTGTCACAGATTATAATTAGCTATTGAATTTTCTTTGATTCAACTTTTAATCCCACGTTTCATTAGTAGGAAATTATCTTTCCATAAATGAGTAAAATTCTCAAGGTCCTTCAGAAAGTGTCAGGCATCTAATCAAAGAAAGCTACATTTTTTCATGGAGTCAGTTGTACATATGTCTTTATTGATAGGTGGCTTTATGCTTTCAAATTTATCCTAAGGTGGACCTGAAAAACAGATAAGATATATTCAGTAATAGAAAGCACAGTCATAACTCAATTATACTTACGGGCAGGAAAGTACAAACAGCCAATAATAGAAATTCACAATATAAAACAAACTAGTCTTTTAAGTTATATATTCAATTCCCTAAAACCAGGAAATAAGGGAGAAAATTAAAAAACATTGTTGAAAAGTCATACCTTTTAAAATGTTGTGTGATCTCATATTTTAGATACATTTTTGTTGACATGAAGGTGATTTATAGTGGATTGTTACATCACAAAAACAGGTTACAGATCAAAATGCAAGTCCTGATCTTATTCTTTGAAACATGGTATATACATGAATAGAAGAAAGGGAAAATGAGAATCTACAAAAAATGATAGCTTCATCTAACTGGTGATTTTTTTCCTAAGTATTGTATAAGTGTAGAGTACTTATGTCATAATTGTAAAATTATAATTTTAAAAGAATATTAGTTTTTCAGTAATTTTAGTTAATATTTGTAATAATATTTTAAAAAATATGTTTAAATGTTGTACTATCATCTAGAAACTCCACAAGTAAGGAAACCAGGCGGGTCTCATAAATATCAGAGGAGCAACTACAGACAGAAATAATATTTTCCCCAGTATTTCTGAATTGTTTTTATATTAACATGTGAAATCACACACTGTGGTTAACAGAAAAAAAACCCTATGATGAGGAAGGGAATCTGCATCTGAGCAGGGAGAGGCTGCATGTTCATCTAAAAGCAATAGCTGAGGCTGAGGATCTCTAACGGGAGAAAGAAACTCCTAACACAATCCAACTAAATATTCCTGATGTTTTTCTGCGGTGTGTGTGTGCTCGTGTGTGTGTGTGCACCTGCACATGTGTGTGTGTGCTCGTGTGTGTGTGCACCTGCACATGTGTGTGTGTGCTCGTGTGTGTGTGTGCACCTGCACATGTGTGTGTGTGCTCGTGTGTGTGTGCTCGTGTGTGTGTGTGCACCTGCACATGTGTGTGTGTGCTCGTGTGTGTGTGTGCACCTGCACATGTGTGTGTGTGCTCGTGTGTGTGTGCACCTGCGCCTGTGTGTGTGTATATGTATATTATGGGCATCACACTGTGCCGTCTCTACAAGATACAGAAGTTATCTGAAATTAACTAGACTGATCTTTAAATGGCTTTCTGGTGCTCTAGGTATGTTTTGCAAATTGCAATCCCCTTTGTAGCAGCTACATCACATGTGAATGCTAGACATCCAAATTCTTGGGCCTCAACCCAAGCTACTTATTAAATCAGCAACTCACCAAGCCTTCCAGGTGATTATGATACATAGTTAAGTTTGATTATCCCTGGTCTATAGGCCAAATTTTGATGCTAAATTTCCTATATGTGATTTTACCTGTTTGTTATCATTTTACTTACAATTCTACTTACTATAAACTTCCAATATTTTCCATTGTTCCATTCCTGGTTCCCTTATTGATGCAAGGATACAATATTTCCTTTGAGGGTTGGAACATATATAACTTTTGTATCCCTTCATAGCCCAGGACAGTGTTGCTAAAAAATGTTTAATAAATCTTTAGTTAGTGAAAAATAAATTACTTGACACATCCACTAGCTAAAGCTGGTTTTGCAGACAGCTCTTGTGCAGACAGCTTGAACTGGATAGAGCACTGCTTTCTAGATGATGCTGAATGTCAATATGAAAAAGTCTAATTTCCATGAAGCAAAGATGGCTCTTATTTACCCAGCAACATAGTGCTCCATTTGAGATTACCTATGCTAAGAACTCTTGTTCTTTGTTTTTCTATTATATATCAAATATACAAAAGAGAGAACAGAAAATAAATTTGTTATATAGGAATGCTGCTATTTATTGTCAGCTTTGATACATGGTTTGATAGAGGATTCACAATGGGTGATCGATGAAATCTAAGGACCTAAGTGTCCTAACTAAGCAATTGGTACATTTTATTCATCATAGTTATTTCAGCAGCCTGTTGGAGCTGAAAAGGGAAAGTTGACTGAATATACTCAAGAAATCTTAGACAAAAAATAAAAAAGAGTTCAGGTCAATCTTACCTTTATTTTGAAGTACTCCAATGAAGTATGTACTTGAATCTTACCCAGAACTTGTTCATTTATCTAATTCATTTTTTGGCTGTGGAGAGCCTGAGGCATATAAGAACCAAAGAAAGCTGCTTTTTTATGAGAATGAGTCATTTACAATTTTGCACACCTTCTAAATAACAATCCAGAACTATGTTCAGATTATACTTTTTTCAGTTTTATTGACCATGGAAACAGTCTCTCAATTTAGTAATCCAGTCTCTTAGGAAGCAAACTACAATTTGGTAAGGTTTTGTGTTATACTGTCCTCAGCAATTTTCATGTATTTAATCTATGTGATGACCTGACATGTGTTGTTCAGTTAATGATTGATAGGTAACTGAGGCTCAGAGGGGTTGAATAAATTTTAACAGGTCACACAGCTAGGAAAGAGCAAACAAAAGAAATTAAACTCTCATCTCTTTTCTGTTAGAGAATTTAGTTTTTCAACAATATCTCAGACCGTATCAGAATATTTATGTCTTCAGAAATTTTTGTGGATCTAGCCTCAGGTGCCTTCATGTGATTTTTAAACTTAAAACTCTTGTTTGGTGCAAATCTTGTCTCTTTGGCGTCCAAGTAGCAATTTTATTTACTGTTCCTTTACTGTTCAAGTCTCCTGTGAATTTTCTATTTACTTCTCTGGCCAGAGGAGAGAGAAATGTTTGCTGACCTGGCTGTGTGCTTCATGCACTGACCTTTTAGAACCATTTCTGGTTCTGGATGCTGGAGATTGTCCTCTTTCCACCTGCTTTTGTTTGTACTCTCTGAGCCACTGTTTGCATTTAATTTTAAAATGTCTCCTTCTATTACCTTCCTTAGCTTTGGAGTTTTTATGCCACTTTCATTTATATCTCTCATATCTTTCATTTCATCTAAAACTTTTAAAAAAAAATAAATCCTAGCATAGAAGAGAAGATGCCAACTGGGGACAAACTCATGAAAGAGAAAAAAGAAAAAAAATTAAAGTGGACAGAAATGTGAAAGAGATTGAAATACAAAAAAAAATGAGTTTAAATAAGATGTTTGGACCTGAAAATTTTCTTAAACAGAAGTAAGGGAAGTAAAATAAAAGTGAAGAAAATGACATATTAAAGAATTTGGTGCAGCAGTTACATAGATAAAGTTCCTATAGATTGGCCATTAAATCCTAGAAACCTTAACTGTGGCTCAAACTGTCTCTATGTGTATGGGAAACAAAGCGTCTGAATTGACTTTCTGTTTAAATGAGAGACTGAATAAATATGCACAGACATAGGCATCATCTGTAATTTTTTATAGTCCTGTAAAAAAAGAATTTGACCTAAATAGTTCTACATAATATTAGATACATTGGGTGAACTTTCTCAGTTATTCTCATCTTCTGAGGTTGGTGGAGATAATAGGCCTAATTTCTGTTCCCACTGGGCTAACCCAGAACAAAATTGTATAGTCAGTTTCTATACTTTTCACTCTTTTCCTTGTGCCTTTCCATTAGGATTGCAGCGGCTTCATATTTTCCCTTTTAATAAAATTCCCCTGGGCCTTAGTTTATTCCTGATATTATAACTATAAATACCACAGACTGGATAATTCATAAAGAATAGAACTCTATTTCTCGCAGGTCTGAAGGCTGGAAAGTCCAAGATCAAGGGGCCAGCAGATTTGGTGTCTGGCAAAGGGTTACTCTCTGCTTCTGAGATGGTACCGTATTGCTGCATCCTCTGAGTGGGACAAATTCTGTGTCCTCACTAGAGGAAGTCAGAAGGGAAGAAGGGCAAGAAAGGGTCTAGCTATTTTCCTCAAGTCTTTCTATAAAGGCTCTAATTCCATTTTGCGTGTGGAGCACCCATGAGCTAAACACCTTCTAAGGGCCTCACCTCTTCTTATCATTATTTTGAAGTTTAAATTCCAACATATAAATTTGGGGAAAAACATACATTAAAACCATAGCAGTCTAACTTTATTAGGAACATCAAAAGCTCATTAAAATATGTTAATAAATGTTTATTGTTCATTTCTTTTATAATGTATTATTTACATAAATGTATATATAGTCACTCACTGCATAATGACATTTTGATTAATAGCAGATTGCATATATAATAGTGGTCCCATAAGATTATAATGTAGCTGGCCTATTAAATTTGATATTCAATTTTTCTTTATAGGACTCAAGGGGTTCAGAAATATGTATCATTTTAAATTTTAATTTAAAAAAAATTTCCCAAGACCGTGTCTCATTCTGTCACCCAAGCTGGAGTGCAATGGCACGATCATGGCTTACTGCAGCTTCAAACTCTTGGGCTTAAGTGATCCTCCCATCTCAGCCCCCCAAGTAGCTGGAACCACAGTTGCATGCCACCATACCTGGCTAATTTTTGTTTGCTTTATTAGAGACGGTGTCTCACTATGTTCCTAAGCTTGGTGTTAAACTCCTATGCTCAGGTGATCCTCCTACCTTGTCTATCCAAAGTGTTGGGATGATAGGTGCGACCCACTGCACATGGCCATTTTTTATCTTTTATACTGCTTTTAATGTACCTTTTAAAAATATTTAGCTATGTTTAGATACATAAATACCAATGTGTAATAATTGGTGACAATATTCATTACTATCACATACTGTACAGCTTTGTAGCCTAGGAGCAATAGGCCTTACCATATAGCCCAGATGTGTAGTAAGTTCAACCATCTAGGTTTGCATAAGTACAATCTATGATGTTCACATAATGACAAAATTACCTAACAACACATTCCTCAGAATGTATCCCTATCATTAAGTGACACAAGACCTTAAACAAAATATTGTACCCCCAAAAAAGTGTAACAATACAGTTTTGTTGTCATGTGTCACTTTTGTTGGGGTACAATATTTTGAAGCCCACCAAAGAAGTATAAGAAGATAACTCTGCTAGTCATTTTATATGCAGCTATGCCATTTAATTAACACAACACTCTCATGCGGTAGGTGTTGTTATAGAAGACCTAAGTCCTTTGAAATATTTCCCAAGTCACAGACAGTGATAATACTGAAGTTGTGTGCAGATTCAGGTCACTCTGGTTTTAAAGCCAGAACTTTTAACCAGGGATAGATTCAGATTATGTAAAACCTGAGGTTTACTCAATTTGAGGAGCCTACTTTAAGAAATAATTCAAAATTACAAATGCATACTCAAATATGAGAGTGAACATTTAGAATAAGGACAAAAAGCAAAAATTGCACATTTTAAAAATCTGTGCAACAATAACAAGGATTGCAAACTCTAGAAAAATAACATTTTTAATCAGCTACCTAATACATCTCTATAATACTTTTTTCTTACATTTTTTCACTTCGTATTCATATTACAAATATTTTGTATTATCTTTCTCTATAAAGATAGTAGAAAGAAAATTCAGTCTTTTTACAATCAAGGTTAATAATATTTGATGTTTTATAAAGATTTTTTCAGAAGTTTTCAGTTTCACAACTAGTTATTTGTATATTAGTCTTCTAGGGCTGCCATAACACGGTATCACAGAGTGGGTGGCTAAAACAACATAAATGTATTTCTCACATTTCTGGAGGTTGGAAGTCTAAAATCAAGGTGTCGATAGCTGTGGTTTCTCCTGAGGCTTCTCTCCTTGGCTTGCTGACAGATGCCCTCTCATTGTATCCCAGCATGGCTTCTCCTCTGTGCAGACCTGCTTCTGATGTCTCTTCCTCTTCTGATGAGGACACCAGTCCTATTGGATTATGGGACCAGCTTTATTATTCCCTTTATCTAAATTACCTCCTTAAAGCTCTTATCTCCAAATACAGTTACATTGACTGTTAGGGATTCAACTTATAAATTTGGGGGACACAAGTCAATGACAATTGATATTTTCATGCAAATATGTAAAATTGTCAAATTTTGAGAAATTATCTATTAAGGTTTTTACATACATGAGAAGTATTTCAAGAAACTTCTTTCACAATATTGCTAGAAATTTGTGCTCTGTGAAAATAGGATTTCTGATAAATTATAGTTCTATAATTTCCACCAGAAAGAAAAATAATTTATGGTACATTTATAGTTACAGATGAAACATTATTCAAGTAGACTACAGATAAAAGATAAATATAACATTCTTAAAAGTAACAAACCAGAAAATTCATAAAATAGTAATCCAATCTCTCTGAAACAGTAATAAATGGTGCAATTTACATATAGGAAAGCTACAACCTAATTTTACTTGTACTCTGGCCCACATTCCACAGCATATTCTTGGCACATTGTCTGTCTCATTTCATCTCATTTTCTTCTCACCCATTGCCTGACAGTCTTACTCCACCTCTTTTTTTCTTCCTCAAACATGAAAACCCCATATCCACCTGCAAACTTCTTACTAGTTGGTTTTTCCATCTGGATGTTCTTCCCACGAATCTTCATCTGCAACTGCAATATGACTTTTTCAACTGATCTCTACTTCCAGAGAAAATTGTTGTAATGGGTACCCAAATTACTTCCTGCCTGAAGCTATTAGTACTTAAGACAAAATATACAAATGGTTTTAAGACATTGGATCACGTAGAAGAGTGATCACTTAGGCAAGAAGGTGAAATTAAATAATCCTTAAAATTGCCTCAATTTACCAATTAAAGAGAAGTTTCTGACAGTCTCTTTGATCTGAGGATTTGGAGATAGATATTTAGGGAAGGCAAAGTAGCTAGAATTTATAGGGAATAGTGTCAGATCAGAACAGATCGGCTACTCTGGTCATATCTAACAAAGTTTAAAAGCAAGTCTCAAACGATCAAACATTTTTAAGTAAATTAACTGCACTGCAGAGCAAAGGCCAAGAAATTTATAGTACTACAAAAACATCTTTCTTCCAACACAGTAAAATTCAGAGTGTCCATAATCCAACAATAATTACCAAGCATACAAATCCAGAAAAATTTATACCATAATTAGGAGAAATTAGAGTGTATACATATACACCCAGAAATTAGACAGATGATAGGCTTCGCTAAAAGGTATATAACTGTAATCTCTGCATTTAAGAAAAAAGAAGATTAAATATATTAATTAGAGACTTGGAAGATATTACAAAACAAATTGAACTTCTAGAGAAGGATATCATGGTCGAGATTTACAAAATGACAATACTTGGATGGGATAGACAGGAGATCACACACTGTAAAAGTAAAGATTATTGAACTGAAAAATATAATGGACAGTGTCCAAAAACACACAGAGAGAAAAAAGACTGAAAAAAAATTCAGCAAGGTGAGAAATAATGTAATACATTTTCATATATGTTTAATTGAAGTTTCTAAATGGGAAATGGGAACAAAAAAAAGTAGACAAATTATAACATATATGATTCAACATAGAAAAGATAGTAATTCTTCCTAAATTGATCTATAGTTTTAATGCAATTCCAACAAAATATCAGTCCAGTTTTGTGAAGACACAGATAAGCCTATTCTAAAATGTATATGGAACAGTATAGGTATAGAATAAATACAAAAACTGACTCAGGAAGAAAAATAAATATGAACAGACCCATGAAAAAAGAAAAGATACTGAATACAGATTTAAAAACCACCCAAGAAGAAAAGGTGCAGGACCACATGGGTTCATTGGTAAATTCTTCCAAACATGTAAAAATAAATCAACATCAATCTTTCTTAAGCTCTTTCAACAATTAGAAGAGAGAGAACATTTCCAAACTTGTTCTATGAGGCCAGCATTACCCTAATACTAAGCCAAACAAAGGCACTACGAGAAGAGCAAACTAAAGACCAATATCCCTCAGAACTATAGATTCAAAACTTCTCTACAGAATACTAACAGCCATATCCAGTAGGATAGCAAATGCACTATACATTATAACCAAGTGGAGTTTATTTCAAGAAAGTGAGGGTGGTTCGACATTAGAATCAATCAATGTGATACACCACAACAATTACATTAAAAATGAGAATCTCAATTGTTCTAGAAAAATAATTTGGCAAAATTCAATACTCTCTTATGAACTCAGTAAACTAGAAATAAAAGCGAACTTCTCCAACATAATAAAGATCATTGATATGAAACCCATAGCTATCATGATACACAATAGTGAAGAACTGAAATATTTCCCCATAAAATGAGAAAAAGAGAAGAGTACCTGTTTTTGCAACTTCTATTCAACATTGTATTGGAAGTTCTGGCCAGAACAATTAGGCAAGAAAAGGAAATAAAAGGCATCCAAATTGAAGGGAAATTATACAATTATTTTTATTCCCAGATGACATGACTTTATATCCTAAAAAATCATTTAAAACATCTTAAAGCTAACAAATGAATTCAGAAAAGTTTCAGGGTACCAGTCCTACACAAAAAATCAGGGTTTTTTTCTATATACTAGCAAAGAAAAACCTGAAAAGGAAATTTTAAAAATTTATTTAATTTTCAACAACATCAAAAAAATAGGAATAAATTTAACCAAGGAGTTGCAAGACTTTCGCACTGAAAGTTTAAAACATTACTGCAAAAGTAAATAAACAATATGAATCATTTGTCAGCTTGTTTAAAAACAAAAACAACAAACACAAGAAAATAGGTAAAATAATAAGGAAACAATACAGAATATCATGTTATATATAATATTAAGACAATATAAAATTTTAGAGAAACTCAAGAAGAGGTAGAAAACATCAGAAGATCAATAATACAAAAAATTTATAAAAATACACGTTTTAAAATGTCCTATTTAGGATGACTTTACCACTGAATGTTCAGTGAGATAATTTCTCTGCCATTTCTTTTGTAAAGACCACAGAAAATTACAGAAAGCTACTAAACTGAAGTAAAAACCAGCATAACCTTAATAAAATACCACAAAACAAAAGCCTAATAATTTGATTTATAATTATAGCTGAAAAAATCTAAATATAATATTAGCACAAAAAAATAAAATCAGTATATTCAATAATAATAATACCCAAACACCAAGTATTTCATTCAAGAAACAAAATAATGCTTTGTCATTAGGAAATAAATCAAATACGTTATTATATTTATAAGGTAGAAAAAAATCAATGTAATTATAACAATGTAGTGTAGAGATGAATTTTACACATTTTAGTAAATCAAAAATAAAACAAAGTTTAGTGAAATGGGAATAGAGGTATCAATTGAATGTATGCAGTTAACATAAGAATGAAAGTGACGTATATTAAATATTGAAACTGTTGCAGTTTTTAGAAACAGAATCTAAATATTCTCTTACTACTATTACTTAAATAAAGACAGGAAAATAGAGTTCTAAAATAAATTATAGGTTTGTATAGAATAAATTGTAATTGCATAATAAGAAAACCCAAGATATTTACACAAATCTTAATAAAAGATAATTTGTTAATTTTATAGTAGACAAACAAAAATGAAGTTTTCTGTTGTTATACTTTACCTGTTTATAAATAGAAATGAGGAAGATAGTCCATTTGTTATATCCAAACAGCTGTGGGGGGCCCTTTGAAGGTTTGTTTAAAAATCAACTAACAAAAGGCAGACTAATTGGAGAAAAGGCAAACAAATGTTTTTAACATGTATATGTGGGAGCCTTCAAAATGAAGACCCAAAGAAAAAGAGGAAATAGTCCATTTTTATCCTTAAGTTCAACAAAGTGTGGACAGCCTTGTAGAAACATGATTGAACAAAAAGTTTATAATCTAATGCTAATAAACTAAGAGGCAAAACTCAGCAAGGCTGTGGTCTAGATTCTTCTTGTCCTTTTTGAGCATGCATTTTTTTCTTCTGGACATGAGGCAGGCACTCTCTGGAAAAGGGGTCTTATGACTTAGAGTCAAACGAGGTAGTCGGATAATTTATTTACAGTCAGTTTTTACACAGAAAGATGGAGGGAAAGTTAGAATAATCATTTTAGGTTTTATGGTTACCACTGGGGAAAAATGGTTCTGGTTTCTATGACCTGCCTTGGGGAAGAGGGATCTATTGCTAGCCTTGGGGGAGAATGGGCTAAGAGATAGGAAGGCAGAAGCAGATCGGAGAAAACTGCTTGTGAGACTGCTTCTGAGGCCTTCATTCTGGGGTACTATTTTCTGAGCCCCAATACCAATAAGCATGTAAAGGTAAATTCAGAGTAGGTTACTTGCATAAATTATAGTGAATAACTGAAGGACATAAAACATTCTGGAAGAGATGTACCTTCCTTTAGAGTATAAAAGTTATCAGAAAACTTCAGCTTTCACAAATATTTCTATGCATGACATTTATTTCCAATAGGAATTACTTTTTGAAACTGGATAAGCTAATTTAATAATTCATGTGGCAAAAATAGTTCATATTAATTTTCAAGTAAGTTGGGAAAAAAGAAGGTGATGGAAGAGGGACTTGAGTAGCACATATTAAAATAGGTAATAATCCCTGTAATGATTGGCAGAGCTTGCCATTAGACTGGTGTAAAGAGATACAATATAGAAACAGATGGATATTGGCAACCAGCAATATATCTTGATATAGATATAAATGATATTGATATAGATATATAAATACAGTTACTTCCTGTAACATAAAGTATCCACATAAAGTGGACTATCTCTAACATTATCCAAACAAGTAAACAAACAAGTAAATGAACAAAACCAGAAAATGCAGATTGACAAGAAGGTAAGGAAAAATCACCCATAACCCATACTACACATAATTTGGTGACAGTGATTTCTAAACAAGTGCTTTTACGTGTAAGTGGGCCTTCTGAGACCATGTTAACTCTGGTGGCTACACCAACAATGAGTCAGGCTCCTGCTCCTGAAGATTGGAAATAACGGGGCTTGAAAAGTACATGGGCTAGTGGTGGTTGTGTTGCAAAAGCTCCACTTCTGGAATAAAGAGAAACACTTGGAAATAGGAGATTTCCCTTAGGTAAGTGGAGGCGAGGAGGGAAAAAAAGCGGCCACAAAAATAAGATAGTGGCAGTGAATCAGAAGGAAGAATATATTAACTGCTAAGAATCATTGGAACCAGGCTCTTTGGAGAAATGGCCACTTCCTGGACCAGAAAAAGAAAGCATTAAGTAATGTTGGGACATCTTATAACAGAAAGCAAAGCAAGTAGTCAAAATATCATGAGAACATGCTAAAGAACAAAGAAGTCAAGTGTAAAGGGACACCCATAGGCTAAGTCTGACACACCTGAATTAGTATTTTGTTATTATTAATATCATTTCTGTAATTGGAGAAGATTAAAAATTCATGATTCCTTAATATGTGGGTGTTTGTATGCATCTGTGTGTATGTGTGTGTATGTGTGAGTCAGATAGAAATGAATGCTAAAACCAAAGATTGAAGGGCTGCAGAACAGACATTTGTAAAGTTCCAAAGAACCACTGCATAGATTACCTGAGAATTGCAAAGGGGAAAAAATGTGGGAAAAGTAAGTGAGTCTTTTTCTTAAAAAGATCTGGTGGTCATTTTCTTTAAAAAGTGAGCAAGTTTAGCATTACTGACGTGTTCTGGTTTAGAAAAAAAAATTATAACTTTTGAGAATAAAAGTATAATTGAATATGGATTGATAGTATAATTCCCCAATACCATCGTATTGGGGAATTATAGCTGATTTTCTGGGTCAAATGGAGCAGCTAATTGAATGAACTACTGAAAAATGTCCTTATTTGTTGGAGATGCATGTAAGGTATTTTGGGGTAAAATGTTAAGATTTCTGTAACTTTCAAATGGTTCCACAAATAAAATCTTAGGTAAACAAAGAAAATGTATGAAAATGTTAACAGTTATTGAATCTAGATATTCTTCATAAGAATAATCATTTTTATTAAACTTCAAGGTACTAAATTTTTTATAATAAGTGCTGCAATAATTAACAAATTAAAAAAAGAAAAATATTGACATGTTCTCTAGTTGTCAAACTTAATCTTAGGAAACCTTAAGATAAAATAGTCATGTATAATTGCATAAAATGAAAATATGTGTATACTACATAAAGTTGAAAATATACATAATAAGTCAAGGGTTAAACTTACAAACACGAAGAACGTTTGAAAACTTATGAAAAATATAAAAATCCCAATAAAAATGAAAACAGTTTATAAACTGATACTTTACAAAAAAGAAAAAGAAGATGGCCATCAAATTATATTAGACAACTCTTCAGCATTACTGGTGGTGAGGGAAATTAAAATAAAAACAGTAAAAAAAAAACCGTATTTAATGTATTATATCAGCAAGTATTTTAAAGATTGACATAGTTGTTGCTTTTAAATGAAAGGTTCACTTATACATTGCTGATGGACGTGTATATTAGAACAACCTTCCGTAAAAACAAGATGCTATTATCTATTAAAAGTAAACTTTGCTAAAACACACACACACACACACACACACACTTACACACACACACACACATCAACAACAAATCCCAAGAAACTGCCAGATTTGTACACAGGTATGTATTTGCACAAGGATATTTATTGAAGCAAGTTATATAACTGAAAACAATTTAAATGCCAAATAATATGGAATTATTAAATAAATGAAGTAGTAAAAAATTATTAAATAAATGAAGTAGTAAAAAATGCAGTAGCTAAATAAATTAGTTTGTTATTTATTTATTGACCTCGACACATGTCTATAACATGTTATGCCACAGTGGACGATTTTGTTTTGTAAAATATAAAAATGAGAGAACAGAAAATAAAACATTGGATGTATATTTGCACAAGGATTTTTTAAAAAGTAAAGTTTGAAAGCAGAAATACCAAATTGCCAACACTGCTTTAGCACATCTCAAGGTTGAGAGAGGAAAAGAGAGGGAAAGGTAAGACTATTCACCCTTCCTTTATAAATGTCTGTATTCTTTGGATTCTAAGAAATATGTATTCATTTTCTAATTAAAAATAACAATAAAGTAAGAAAAAACACATACAACAATAGCACCAAAAGAAATTGCTACTGAATGAATTTTATCCAGTCAAGCACAAATTACTATTTTCTAATGTGCAGAAGTTTGAATGTGGGCAGAGAGCAAAGAGAAAGAATTTATGAATCTTTTCATGTAAAATTAATGATGCAGTATAATGTGTGGTGTTTTTACTTTAAAAGAAGGTATCACAATGTGATATTTTATTGCTATGCCATTTTAATTGCTACATCTCTGTGTGCTTTATTGTGAATATTTTGGTTTTGAATTTTTGACCCCAGGCAATTTCATTATGAAGTAGGGTTCCTTTTCATCGATTAGAAAATGTTACAAATCAAAGGGATAAACTATAAACAAAATGAATTAAAACTGGCCTCTTAAATTTCCTTATATTTTTCTCTTTATCCTGGTGGAACAAAGTGAACATTCAGTAAGTTAGCTGGAAATGAGTACATGAAAGAAAGAGCTGCAATTTTTTTTTCTTGGAAAGAAGTTTAGGAGAACTTTGGCTTCCATAGGTAAATTACAGAAATCAAGAAGCAAATTATCTCTCTAAGGCCTGGAAAAACACTACATTATAACATTTTGTAATAACTAAATAATAAGTACAATTTATAGGATTGATAGTTCTTACATCCCATAATATAAACATTAAAACAGCATTTAAAAAATGACATTTACATAGAAACCTCTTATCCTAGGCCTTCTTATCCTCCTGTTATCCTTGTCCTTCAAGCCCCAAATGACACGTTAATCTCTTCTGGAAAATTGTACTTGTCCTGTAGTTTAGCAAACTATGGTTGGGTTCTTTCTCCTCTTGAATGTTAGCAAGACACAAGATTCATATATTCTATTTGAAGTTACCTTTGGATTTGACATCTTGAACTTGACATCTTGACCAACAACTATGAAACTCTGCAAGCAGTGATTATGGCATTAATCTTGAAGATTTACCATAGTACCCAGCTTATATTATATGTTAAACAATTGTTTGTTGAATTCAATAAACTGACATAGATTACATTGGAAATTGCAGATTTATTGATACCTTAATGCTATACTAAATGTGACTAGTCTTTAGTCTTTTCTCCTTGGGAAAGAGAAATCTACTACTTCCACCTAGTATGCTACCTTTCCTATGAAAAAGGATTAGCTTATATGTACTCTTTTCTCTTCCATTATCTTTTCATCCCCTTTATCCCTCATTCTCAGTACGTGAGTTTGTGTATATGTCTTGAGAAAAATAAATGCATTTTAACCGAGACTTTCAAATAATAATAAAATAAATCAAATCAAATCAAATAATATCCAAATAAAACCTGGAGGCTTTAGGGAAGAATCTGCTTCCCTACTTTTTCCTGCTTATAGTGGCTGCCCACAATTCTTGGTTCATGGCCATATCTCTCCAGTCTGTTTTCATCAGCACATTTTCTTCTTTGACTCTGATTCTCCTGCTTTCCTCTGATAAGGATCCTTGGAATTATACTGGACTCACAGGCATAATCCAGGATAAACTCCCCATCCAAAGATCCTTAACTAATTACATCTGCAAAGTTCCTTTTGCCATCTAAGTAATATATTCACAGGGAATTAGGCCATGGACACATTTAAGGGACCTATTTAGCTTACCACAATTCCTAAAGATAAACCACCTTCTAGTATAATCATTTTAAACTTCTTCTCCATTGATGCTACATAATTTGTTAGCTCGCTCCATATTTCTCTACTCTGATTCACATGTGAACTTGAAGAAAATCTCTACATTCTTTCAGGCTTTGTGAACCAGTCCTTCACTTAACCCTGAGTAAGAGGAATTTGGGCTCCTCCACTTCATTTATTCATCTTATATGAACAGCAAAAATAATCTTCATGTTGCCATATGGAATGACCACTTCTCTGTTCTAACATCTCAGACCTCTTCTCTTCAATTCTCTTCAATTGAAGAGAATTGTCATCTTCAATTCTCTTCTGTTTGATTTCTACACACCTAGCTTCTCATAATTCAGTTTGAGTGTAACATAGAAGAGTCGCCTCCTTTGACTACTTAAATTGGAACCTCCCAGAACCAATCAACTCTCTATTCCAACCTTTAGTTTGATTTTCTTTAGGACACTTAACAATCTTGGGAATTATCTTGATTATTAATTTGTTTACTTAATTATAATATCCTGCCTCCTCCTCTAATAAAATGGAAGATCTATGAAGGAAAGGAGCCACATCTCTCTTCATTACTGCTTTATCTCAAGTCTCAATAACTGTTTCTTGATACAAATATCTGAATGAATGACTATTAAAATTTGAAGGAGATTACAATCAATTTTTGTCTAATAGAGCTATTAAAATTAAAATTTTAGTAACCAATAAATATGAATTTAAATTTGAGTGATGTTTCCTATAACTAAGACTAATTAAATAAATTGTTAATTACTTAAATTACTTGATTCCAGACAAGAGTTTATGTAAAATTAAAGCAGACTCTCCAGTGATGGAAAAACATAGGCTAGCAAAAGAGAATGTTTTTATATATACATATAATGATTTTATATCTATGCATACACACACACAGTCACTTTTGTGTGTATACCTGTGTGTTTATATTTACGTGTATAATACACATACATATAAAAGCAAATACATGTACCTATATCCTGATGTTTTAGAAATAAAGACTTTTTGTGACTATAATCTAAGATCATCATCATCTCATAATGGTTTTCTGAAGTTATCTTCAAATATATTTAACACTTGAGAAAGTGATTTTTTTGTGTATGTCTGGATATGCTACTAGAATAATATCCATTAAGAACCAAGATTATCACTACTTGAAACTTTAGCTAAATTGAAATCTTTCAAAGGAATTAATATAATAGCCTGACAGTTTAGGTTATAATATGATGATACATTTTTTGATAGATGTTCAGAATGTCAAAAAAAATTCTTCCTCATCTCCTATGTAACCGGTTAAAATCACAGTGAGAACTTGTGTACTTCGCATGGCCAAAAGAGAAAAGCCAAAGCTTCACATTGTTATCAGCACACAGTGATTAGTATAAGGGGCAAAGAAGAGTATACATAACTGAGTCTTGTCAACTAAAAGCTTTCTAAGTGTCCTATATCATAGAATTTCCAGGAAAAAAATGTTTCACTGGTGCCTTTTTGTATTACAATTTGAAAAATGTTAAACAGAAGAAAAATGATGCAGTTAAAGGCATCTGAAGCAGCAAGAAAAACGTAAGATGTTTAAACCAGAAATATAATTTAGAAAGAGCAATTTTGATTGAATGGGAAGCATAGTTTACTATTTTAAATATATAAATACAATCAGGAGTTATGGGTTCCACTGATACTTCCTCTAAGGGTTACCTTTCTATGCATTGATTCTGAAAGTATAGTCCATTAACTTCCAAGTGCTCCTGAGGCACTTTCAGAGGGTATGCAAGGTGACATCAAAACTATTTTTATTATAGCCCTAAGATACTGTTTGTCTTTATCAATGTAATTTGCCCTGATGATGCAAATGCAATTAGCAGGTAAGACTTCTGGTGCCTTAGCATAAATTAAAGTGCTGGCATTAAGTATTCTTGTAGTCACTATATTCTTTATTGCCATGTTCTTGTGGAAACACATCCTTGCAGATACAAGCACACACATACCCACTGATACCAGTTACACTTAACAATTTTCATTATTAAACAGTAAAAGTTATTATTTTATAAGACCTCAACCCTTAAGGTAATCTGTGTGATAAAATGAGAATTACACATAAAGCATTTCTGCTGCTGACCAAAGTACATGGTTTATTCCATGAAAATTACTATGTAATTGAATTGAAAGCTATACTAGCCCCTCTCTTCAGGAGTAATATTTTTGTGGAAAACACAACTGACCAAAAAAATTGATTATTTTGGTTTGGGTATTTGGCATCTTATAGATGAACAAAGTGAGCCTGTCACTTTCTTTTTAAAGAAAACAATTGATACTATTTATTACCAATGTTAAAATTATAGATTTAAAGCAAGAATTAAAATTTTAGAAAAACTTGTATTTTTCTAGTTTGAACTTGATAGTTTACTACTTGAAAGATTTTTTGGCCTGGCACGGTGGCTCACGCTTGTAACCTGCTGAGGCAAGTGGATCACCTGAGGTAAGAAATTTGAGACCAGCCTGGCCAACATGGTGAAAACCCATCTCTACTAAAAATACAAAAAATAAATTAGCCGGGCATGGTGGCATGAGTCTGTAATCCCACCTACTCGGGAGGCTGAGTCAGGAGAATCACTTGAACCTAGGAGGCAGAGGTTGCAGTAAGCTGAGATTGTGCCATTGCACTCCAGCCTGGGCAACAAGAGTGAAACTCCGTCTCAAAAAAAAAAAAAAAAAAAGATTTTTTCCTGAGGTCACTGGTGATATTAATAATTGTTACATTATAAAAAATATGCCTTCCTTTGGAAAATCAACATAAGCCAGTGACAAATGAATGATGTTACCAATTCATGCTTGGGAAAAAATACCCATTTTAACTTCAAGATAAACCAACATCGCATAGTATGAGAAGTGTATTGTCGCTGGTAAGAATGTTTGTCCTTCAAACTTCAAAAGTGTTTTAAAACTATTACCTCTAACAATTGTTTCTTCCAAATATGATTTCAGTTTCCACATTGCAAGTAATTTGAATAAACCATTACAGGATAGTTTTGGTAGCATATTATAAAGAATATCCAAAATTACCTAAAAATGTTGTCAAAATATCCAATTTCAAAATACTTATCTATGTGAGCCTTCATTTTTTTATGTATTTCAACTAAAACAACATTTCATTCCACATTGTATGCAAATGCAGATATGAGAATCCAGCTGTATACTATTAATCTAAAAGTTAAAGATATTTAAAAAAACATAGAACAGTGGCACTATTCTCACTTTGTTTTCGAAAATATAGTTATTACTTTATAACATATGTATTATTTACATTAGCATATAATGTGTTTATTGATATTTGTAAATAGTCGGTAAATGTATATATTTAAATTTAAAATCAATTTAAAATTTAAACATTCTTAAATGAGTTTTAATTTCTAACCCAATAAATATCAGTAAATACAACACCTACAAACAAAAGTTCTCTGGAGTCCTTAGTAATTTTAATGCATATATAGAGATCTTGAGAACAAAATTTGTGAGAACCACTGGTTGACAATAATAGTTTTAAAACACTTTTGAAGTTTGAAGGAGAAACATTCTTCCCTGAAATTTCAACAATAACAACAAAATAATGTACAGCTGCCCTTCTCGAGGTGAGTAAGTCCTACCAGCTAAGTAATACACACACACACACACAAACACACACATATCTATATAATAATAATACCTCTCTAGGTAGCTTGGTTCCAAAATGGCTAAACTGATTTGATGGTATAGCAAATACATGTAACTTTGCAAGAAGTATATACTCTATTATCTATATTACATACACCTCATAGCTGGAATATAGTGATACTTAGATTCATTGCAAATATGAAAAGGCATTTATTCCACATCAGCCTGATTACAAATAGGTCAATCAAGTAGTATTTAGATAGAATGAAACTTTCAGAGCATAGACAACAGATTGATGAAGAATTTATATAAATATGTTAACAGACACAAATACAATGTACTTTTAATTAGCAAAAGATTAGTAAATTTGAAATATTAAGTTGGTCAAATGATCTGATTTTGAAACTAGATGAGATTCTATATTAACTTACTCTCAAAATGTTCCTCTTTTAATATAATCTTTTGCTAAGGGAGATCCAATATGTTTTTTATTAAAATTCTAGATTTAAGGTTTTTAATCAAATTGCAAGTTTCTCACCAGAGAATTTGTAAATGTACAGAATTCTAAGCATGGATCACAAAGAATATACACAGAAACCTGCAACTAGGTGATGTCTTGTTCAATGTTGGCGCGATGCTTTCTGTTGGCTCACAGAGGATTTTGCTCCACTGATTTGACGGCAGGTTGGTCTAGGTCACATTTTAACAAGTTTCATATCTGCTAACAGACATGTTATCATTCTCTAGAGCTTTCTTCTCTGCACAGCATTTTCCAGGCTGTGTGTGTGTATAGAATGCTACTCCTTTATAATGCTGAGTATTCAATAAGCAAGGTCACTTTTAAAAGTAGTCCCTTTCGTATTGATAGAGCTGTCTCCTCTAGCTTGTTTCTCTTAAAATATTGGCTAATGGATGACTACAGGTGATTTTTAAAGTAAGAGGATTAGTCAGGGATTAAAGCGCCATAGCTTCCCTCACTTGTGTGAGAAGATGTCAGTCTGATTTGTGATGGATGGTCTCATATAAGTTTAGGAGCCTCTCTCTTTTTTCATATGCAGCATCTTTGGCCACATGGGAAATAAAATCAATATATGAGGGTACGATGTGTAGCATAGGTCTATTAGAATAACTTGTTGACTCAATAGTTTTAAAATAGTCTCTTTGTAACAAATGCCACAAAGCAATACAAACAAAAGTGTAATTGTCTAGTCTTCAGAATGGCAGACAGGTGGCTGGTAAACCTCTATGTGGTTTGAGGGTGAAGTGGGAAGACAGTTCAGCTAGTTCAACTCATCAGAGGAGTCATTTAGGGAGATTTCTTAATGGGGTATTATCAGTGAATTGTATCTTCCCAAAGTACATGTCAAAGTACTAACCCTGGTAGCTCATAAGATGACCTTATTTGGAAATTACATCATTTCAGATTAGAAAAGGTAAGATGAATGGAGTAGGGTGGGCTCCTATATCAGTGTGGCTAGCATCTTTATGAGGGATAATGAGAAAAGGCATGGTGACAATGCCATGTGAAGATGGAGGCAGAGGTTGGAGGGTTGCATCTACAAACCTAGGAATGCCAAAGATTGTCAGCCATCACCACAAGCTTGAAGAGTGGCGTGAAACAGAGTCCACCTCGGAACCCTCAGAAGGAACTATCCCTGCTGACACCTTGATTTCTCACTTCCAGCCTTCAGGACAGAATACATTTATGTTGTTTTAAGCCACTCCATTTGTGGTACTCTGTTATAGCAGTTCCAGGAAACTAACACATGAGGATTCTGAGAGGATTATCATGTTCTAAAATGTGAAAACAGAAATGAGATGCATAATTTATTAAACCAACCTGCAATTAAGTTATTAATATATACCTTTTTGTATAGATGAGCAGTGAGAGGCATATGAAGATACTCTCCTCCAAAGACCTCCCATGGTACAATCTAGATTAAACTTCAGAAGCACTGACCATTTTTGGACTTGTATTCACATATATTGCAACAAAATTTATATAAAGAAAAATATGGTACAAACAGGCCATGGCAACCCTTAAGGCATCTTCAAATTCATTAAGTGATAGAATATTTGGCCTCCTTAGGCTGAGAAGAGAAATAAGTGTTGAGAAAAATAGTCAAAATTTGATTTGAATGGACACTCTCTAGGCCTTTTACAGCCTACAAGAACCAAAATAAAAGTGTGAGACTAACATTCTATTATTCAAAAGTGATAGATAATGAGAAATATGTTCTTTTTTCAGAGATATGTGTAATGTCACATATGAATGCTCCAAAAAGTTATCAGCCAGCAAGGTGGCCAGAGTTGGAAGAACTGCTTCTCTTAGAACAGCTTTTACCTTTACCCATTAAAGTGACTTTTTCCTGACCAGTGCATGGATGAAGAACACATTTTGAGGAAATGGGAGTGAAAAAATATTCAGAAAACAGAAATCTATTTATTGAAAAATGCAAAATTAGAACATAACTTTTGAATTGGGAAATGTTTTGATTCTCTCATTAGCATGATGATTTACTTAAAAAAAATTTAAATGAATAAATAAATTACTTGGTTGACTCCACTAGTCTTTTTCTATTGCATTTTTCTTTGTTGTTTAGTGATTTAATTTTCCTAAGGTCATTCTAGAAAGATGGTATATATTATGAATAATTATTTAAATCACCAGTGTTTCTTCATATTAGAGTTGGCTTTTCATTTAGTTTTACTTTAAGGACTTTCATGAAGAAAATCTCACAGTCCCATGGAAATACAATGTCAGGACTTTTTTGATACAAATATCTTACAGAAATATGAATGCCTCATTTCAAAATACCTCACATGCTAAATATTGTAAAATATGTTGTCTTGGAATGGTTAACTACGGATGGGAAGATAATTTTGAGATAATACGGTTCATCCCCTTTACATTTTAGATATGTGGGGATAAAAGAGGAATTCATGCAAACTAATATATTTTGATTACCCATGATGTTGCAGGCTGTGGTCCAGGAAATTTACTCATATGATACCAAGTAATCCATAATATAAGATTAATTATCTCTAATTTATAAATGTATGAGCTGAAATTCAGATAAGTTAAGTGACATATCGAAGGCATGAAGAAAGTAGTGGCAAATTGTACAGTTTCCTATTTCTCCATACTATGAGCATTGCAAACACTTAAAAAATATATAAAAGTAAAAAAATCCTGGTTTACAAGAAAAAAACCTTTTTATCACTTATCTTTTACCTAGATGCCATCTTATAGCTATTTAAGTAGTTGTCAGCATAGTGGTTTTATAGTTTTTATTTTCCGCTTTCCAGGCATTTTCCATTCAAATAAATTTATTTTCATATTTCATATAATTATAATTTTTAATTTATGCATGTTTACCTTATATCCATATATAATACTTTTTCTACCTATACTACTAAAATGAGATAGTTTATTTTATATTTTCTTTTATTTAAAAAGACATTTCATATACGTACTAGTATAAAGTTTCTTTACAGTAATTTTTATGTCTATCATGTCAAAAATATCTGGATTTATATTTTTTCCAAAATGCTAATACTAATTTTCAGAGCTAGGAGTAAACTCATTTTGCTAAAAATTTGTGGGCCTTTGATATTCATAGTTTAGAAATATATATATTTCAAATTTCTAAGAATAAAATTTCATTTCTTAATTAAATTCTTGATTATAGAATTGTTTAACTTGCATTTTTCCTGGTTAATTTTTTTCTATTTTTTTGTTTATTTACTAGGCACTTAAAGTTTTTCTGACAATGTAATATATGCTAATTGCAGTACAATTATTTTATATTATCTATGATAGTAACATAATTCTAAAAATTATCTTATTAGATAGGCATTATTTTCTGTATATTATCTCAAACTGAGATGTAATGCTATAGCCTGCATTTGAAGATGATTGTGTGATGTCAAATCCTGTTATATTCTCTACTCTAAAGCCTCTGTACTTATTTATGTAAATCAAATATAAAGGCTGACCTTGAGAATCTCAGAGATCCCTGAGAAATTTATACATATAGTTATCTATTCTCCAAACACTGAGTGTTACTAATAAATATTCTAGGCAGTCCAAAACAATAGTAATTTTAGATTGTAATTTTATGGTAATATTAACCCTGTTTTGTTGTGCCAGGAGAAATTTTTGAAGTTAACTTTAAATTACTGTCTAAGGAAATGTACTGTGGTCCTGACAGGAGAACTAGCAGTAGTGTGTGCCCTGCATATTTGTAACCGACAATGCCTATGGCTTCATTTAGGTTTGATTCATCAGTCATGTCATCTTCTGAAAGCACTAGAAATAGTGGCAAAGCTGGAGTGCCTTTTGACGTCCTTTCACACTTCCATAAGATTATTGTACATCCATTAACTCAAACGACAAAGGAAATGCCATCTAAGTTGAGTGAATGGATGCTAGGACTCTAAAAGCCCTACTGTCTCAGGTGAAGGGGCAAATGTGCAGCCTTGGGGGATGGAAATGTCTGAGATTCTATCTATGTAGTTACATGTGATGCACATTATCTTTACAGATTTATGGGAAAGAGGATCATCAACCACCAAATAACATGATATATATAACCAGACCTTGGAGTTGACCCGTATTATTCTTCATCTGTTTTTTACTGATGGTCTCCGACTTATAATAAATATCAGTTGCCTAAGAGTGTGAAGTCACAATGGAGCCAGGACAAAAAAGGTCTCTAAGGAAGGGCATGCTTGGAAGAACATGGGAAAGCTGTCAGAATTCTGACTGTGACATTACAGCTGAGTTGGTAGAAGCGAGAGTATAGGTTAGAACTCATTTTTGTGTAAAACCAACTCTGGAAGAACTAAAATGAAAATGAAAATAAGAAAAGATAGGATATTTGATGTCAAAGAACCTAATAAATAATCTTGATATGGTTTGGCTCTGTGTCCCCACCCAACCTCATCTTGATTTGTAATCCCCATGTGTCAAGGGAGGGGGCGACTGGATCATGGGGGTGGGTTCCTCCATGCTGTTCTCCTGATAGTGAGTGAGTTCTCACGAGATCTGATGGTTTTATGAGTATTTGGAAGTTCCTCCTTCGGCCTTCTCTCTCACCTGCCACCATGTAAAACGTCACTGCTTCCCCTTCTACCACGATTGTAAGTTTTCTGAGGCCTCCTCAGCCATATGAAACTGTGAGCCAATTAAACCTCTTTCCTTTATAAATTACTCAGTCTTAGGGAAGTTCTTTATAGCAGTGTGAGGAAAGACTAATATAAATGTCAAAAGCAGACATACATGAAATAAATAGAAGTGACAGAGGCATACATGAAATAAATAGAAGTGACAGAGGAGAAATGCACTGAATATTTGTAGTCTCTTTGGGTGAAATAAACCAAAAGCCCATGGAGCAAAGGGAAGAATTTGGAAACAACCTGTATTATACAGACCAGTCTGTTTCAAAGGTAGTTCATGGCTCACCTTTGGAGCTAGTTAAAAATTCAGAATTCAGGGTCCCCTTCATTAGATTTACTACATTTGAATTAATAAAGATGAAGACTGAGAATCTAGATTTGAAGCAAACTCATTGTTGATTCTTACTGGGATCTCTTGTGACAGACCAAGGTCTCAATGTCTCCTTGGCTCAATCATTTTCTCCTGCTTTCACCTTCTTCCTTTGAACTAGAATTCACTGTCTTCTCCATTCCACAGCATTTGTAAAAGAAGACATTGATGCAATCTCCTCTAGGTTCATAAAGATAAGAAGTTCCAGAGATTTGTGCATAAAGTGAAGTTATCTGATAGACAATGTATATAATATAAATCAGCCAGTGTCTACTAAAAGAGAAAAAGGTGTCTTCGTAGAGGTTATATATAGCTTACATGTTCACAGGATTATCACTTAGGACATTGAAAATTAGTAGATGGGATAGCAGCAATTAGTTTTAGCAGGGAATGAATTAAATGTAATTTCTGAGTAAAATTGAAGTAAATTTTCCCTTTCCCTTTGATAAATCTGGAGTCAAAGAGCATTAATAGGCCGGGCGCTGTGGCTCACGCCTGTAATCCCAGCACTTTGGGAGGCCGAGGCGGGTGGATCACCAGGTCAGGAAATCGAGACCATCTTGGCTAATACGGTGAAACCCCATCTCTACTAAAAATACAAAAAATTAGCCCGGCTTGGTGGCGGGAGCCTGTAGTCCCAGCTACTCGGGAGGCTAAGGCAGGAGAATGGCGTGAACCCGGGAGGCGGAGCTTGCAGTGAGCCAAGATCGTGCCACTGCACTCCAGCCTGGGCGACAGAGCAAGACTCCATCTCAAAAAAAGAAAAAAAAAAAAAAAAGAACATTAATAGATACGAGATAAACGAATGAAGTCCAAGAGGCTTCATTTGTACTTTATTAAACTGGGATCCAGAAATAAGACTTGCAAGTAAATTGTAAACAAAAGTCTCATCTTTACAGAGAGGATTGGCGCTAAGTCCTTTGACTAAAATTCAACAATACTCAGAGGCATCACAAAAGTTCTTATCAGTGTCTCTATTCTGCAACTCACAATTTCTTTTTTCAAAATAGTTTTTGGGAAAAGTTTTACACTTAGTTTTCTTTCTATATATAGAAAATAAATTATAAAATAATATTTGCAGAAATATAGAGTACTGCTTTGAGGTTAGATTTTTATTGGTAGCCAGCACTTAGTTTTGAGTTCTTTTTGGGTAACATAGCAACTAGCAAACAAAAAAATACAACTAAAATTCAACAGTCAGTATGTATTGATATTTATATGAATTAAAAAATTGATGGGTAACATCAGTCAGTTATATGATAATAATACTTACAACAAACACTTTTCAGCAACTATTCTAAGCAATTAACATGCAATAACTTAATGTACTAAAATGTATAGTAAGATTTCTGTTAATTACTTGACAAGTTGAAATTATTATTTAATTGAGATACCTTTGGATCTCAAAATCCAAAACAAAACAAAACAAAATAACCCAGCAAATACACGAAGCCACAATAGATAGTGGCTGTATTAAGGGAATTAATTGTCAACGAGGGAGAATTGTGCTTGTTGTGACTGCAGACTTTTGTGTAACCTTTCTCTTCTGGGCTTGCTAGATGTGAGGAATGCACTAGCAAGTTTATGACACAGACACTTAAGCTTTCAGAATTGAAAAAAGATGCAACTTGGCCAACTACTCCAAACTCTTCATGTATTTTTTGTATAACAGTGATTACCTACTGTTTCTTTTGATCACCTTTACTTATAGGAAGTTTTAAAAACATTCATAATTAAAATATCTGATACAACTAGATAAGAGCAGTGCATCATCACCATCTTCCCAAGCATAACATGAAAACATGGAAACTGAAAATGGCATCCTTAACTACCTTTCCTCTAGATTGGAAGGCAAACAGAAGGTAGAAGGACTGATTCATATTGGAGTTGTAGTTAAGCATTCAAACTTCACAAAAAAGTACCAGGCTTCGAATCGTGGCTCTTCCATTTAGTAGCTGGCTGATTTTGTGAAAAATACTTATTCTATCTCTATTTCTTCATTTATAAAATGAAGATATGCTGGTTAATATGTGTCAACTTGGCTAGGCTATGGTACCCATGTTTGGTTAAATACCAATCTAGATGCTGCTGTGAAGGTGTTTTTCTTTTTTTAGATGTGATTAACATTTAAATCAGTAAACTGAGTAAAGCAGATTATTTTTCATAATGTGGATGAATGTCATCCAGTCAGTTGGAGGTTTCCTCTTTCTTGAAGAAGTAGTAATTCTACTTCAAGAATTTAACTTTTGAAGTAATCGAAGTAATTCTACTCAAAGACTGTAACATATAAACCTTGCCTAATTTCCAGCCTGCAGATTTCAGACTCCCGACTGTACCATCAATGCTTACCTGAATTTCCAGCCCGCCCTCCTGTTTTACAAATTTCTGACATTCAGGTTCCACAATAGGGAGATCCAATTTCTTAAAGGTAAAATATAAAACCCTCCGCAACCTCATTATTTTATATATGAAATGTGGTAATTATATCTAGCACATAGAATTGTTGTAAGGATTAAATTATTAAGAAGTAAAATGCTTAGAGTGAGGTCTTGTGCAAAAGTAATGTCTCTGTTAGTTAATATTTTATTTATCTCTCTCCAGCATTAAGCACTGTGTCTTGCATAAAATAGATGCTCCATGAATATGAGTTGAACTAAAGTTTTATATATGAATCCTTCTTGACCTAACCAATTTTCACTTTATCCTTAAAATTTGACAACTAATATTTACAAGTCCATTCCTTATGAGAATTTGCTGCCATTTGAAAGTAATAGATGATGACAAAGTCCAAATATTTGGATACTTTATTCGTGCTATGGTAGGAAAAAAAGAACAGAAGCTTTCAAATTATATAGATATAGAATGAAATTTTAGTTAACTCCCTTAGAGAAATATGACTCTGAGGAAGTAACATGAAGTCTCTATTTTCTCATCTCCAAAATTGTTATCATGATAAATATCTCATAGTGGTGCCTTTGTGAAGGACTTGGTCTACCTTAGTCACCCAAATTGGCAATGTTATATTAATTTTTATTTATGAATTCCCAGTTTATCCTAAATTGGTTTGCACCAACAGAGAGCAATTAAATCTGATTGCATGATCAGATCATTCAGAATCCCTTGTTTTTACTAGCCCTAACCATGTAAATAGATTTTCCAGGGAGCATTAGGTGATGTGTACGTATCCCAAATATTTTCTACTAATAACAGTAGGTGATTTGGTAATTAGAAATACCAGCTTCACATTATAGAAACAAAGCACTATTTTTAAAAAGTAATTTGGCCTTTGGCTCAAACAACCTGCTGAATGTTTTACTGATCACTCATTGACATGCATTTTTAAGCAGACTTTTGGTACAAATGCTCCTCAAATACTCTAACTTTACATTAAAGAAGTATCCCACCTTTTAATTGAAAAAATCGATGCACTTTTCAATGATTTTATTAATGAAACATCTTTAGTAGTATTGTGAACTGATTTTATGAAGATGGAACATTCAAGCATTTTAACAGAGCAGAAAAATATTCCACGAGACTCATTGCCTCATTGAGCACTTACATTTGCATAGTACTTTGCATCTATTAAGAGCTTGGTGATCACTTTTATTAGTTAGCATTGAGTAAGGTCAATATTATTTCTTGCATTTTCCAGAGAAAATATTTGAATGCAGAGAAATAAAGTGATTTCAGCCATGTAAGTAAGCAAGTGGTGATTTGTGAATTCCATTGTCAGTTTAAAATATATTGTCAAATTATGGTACTCACTTAAATTGGCAACCAAATGTTTGTGGTAGTCTCACAAAGAAAAAATGGGGGAAAATGCCTGAAGATCACTTAAAACTCCCCTGTTATAGTGCTACTTTTATTTAGAGGGAAATATAATTAAAAAAAAACTACAGCTAAAACTCTTAAATATGCTACAGTAATATATTTATTAGATCTTTTGCCTCTTAGCACACAGTTCATGCTTGAGATGTTCTAGAGCCACTAGGATATTAAAAAGTAGGAGGAGAAATTAGAAACTCCAGTGATTGATTTAGGACTGAACTGTAGAGCATGTTGTTAGATGCACATTCCAAAGTTAAAACAAAAAAACAAAAAAACATTTAATTACTGTGTTTTGTTCTAAACTCTAGTGAAATCTACTTGCTAAACAAAACATTCAAAATTTGCTTTTGAAAGGAGTGAGAAAGTGATTAGCTAGAGATTAGTTTTGGTGAGGATCATAAAAAAGTATAAAATTTCAAGGAAAAACAAATAATCCCAAAGAATATTTCCTGATTAAAAAATAAATAATTTAGTATAATGCAACACAGCTACAGATTTTATAAGTAACAGACTTTACAAATATTATCAAAACTCAGTAGCAGAATACAGAAGTTACTTAGTATTCACTGTGACAGCAATGCAGTCTTCTCTAAATTATCTAAGATTGTGCTAACTCACTCATAATTTGGAGACTTGTGCTGTCAGAAGGAAATATGTAGGCAATAGGTAAGTAAAATTATTATTAAAATGAATTAAGTGAGTTAATGTACATAGGCACATGTAGTAAATGACAGTATTATAATCATCTTTATTTTATCTTACAATCTTACTTACTTAACTATTCACCATTTGTTTTGCAAGTGTATTGCTAATATTCTAGGTTACTATAAACACTGAAATGATAGTTTATTAGTGGAAATGATATGGCACAGAAAAAGCAAGGCATCCTTTAAAGTCAAATTATCACCATGATTTTCATTTTAGTCTACTTAATTCTCCTTTTCCTTTAGATCTAGATTTAATCTTCTAGGATGCAGAGATTGGTAGTCCCTATCCCCACTTTCATATATCCCAGATAAACACTGGAGTAGAAGAAAGGGTGAGAAAACTGAAGACTCATCTTTGCTCTGTCAGAAAATAATTGACCGACCTTTGGCAAATCAATTAATTCACTGAAAATTCATTTTCCCAATTTGCAATGTGGAAATAATAATAATATATTCCCTGTGTCTCAAAGACTGTTCTATAAAATTCATAGTATTTTAGAAATGGACAAATATCCAAGCTCCATATCTAACATCTAAGAACATCAGTGGCACACTCAGCTAAGGAGATGGAATCCATCAGTTTTGTTTTGTTTTTGTTTTTTTTTCTGTGGATTTTCAGATATCCACCTATCCTAGCATTTTTTTTCTTTAGGGAGAAGTAAAGTGATTTTAGAAATATATATATGTATGTGTGTGTGTGTGTGTGTGTGCGTGTGTGTGTGTTTGCTAAAAGTTCTTTTTTTAATATCACTCAAACTATCAAAGATTTATATAATCCCCATTGTTAAATACTAATGTTTTAATCTGGTGTCATATCTGCTGATGTTTAGAGATAAGGCTAAAAAGGAAAACGGAGAAAAAATAATTATTATTTAAAAATATTAAACAAAAATATATTTGTGTTAGATATTTTTTACTGGAGACAAAAATATCCTATTGTATGACTTTAAACAGGAAAATGGTAGAATTAGATTTTCATGTATCGCTTGGAGGAAAAATTACAAACGGGCTAGAGGAAAGTCAAAAGAATGTTCCATTAATTCCATAAGAAGTAATAGTGGCTTAATGCAGGTCATTGTCAAGGAATTTGGAGAAAATAAAGTAATATTTAAAAGACAGGGAAGAGGTAGATTTGACCATACTTACTGATTGGCTGGCTATGGATTGTAAGAGTGAGGAAATAGTCAAAAATAATACTCAGATTTCTGATTTAGGTAACTGATAGTATTTTTCATAGAATAGTGGGCTAGAAGATCAGGTTTGGAAGGAAGTAGAGTTAATGCATCCAGTTTGGACTTGTGTAGTTTGAGATACCCATAGCATATAAAGAATACATATATGTATATATACACACTCACACACACACACAGTTGAAGATTAAGAGAGAGATTTGGACTGGATGTAAGAATTGGGGATTATAATCTTATGGAGAATATCTTCAGCCTTAATGGTGGAGATTCATTCAATGTATTATCTACTGTGTGATGAGTCCTGATTAAGATTTTGGCTTCATTATAGTAGAAAAACAAAATGTAAATGTTGTTTCTGCTCTCATGATTCTACCTTATTACCAGGGGTTAGCATGTATACTAAGAGAAAAAGGCTGGAAGCAGGATTATGGGAACATCAAAATTTCAATACAATTAGGATAAAATCAATAACAATAGAAAGTTATCTGACTGTGAGGAATAGAGAAGTTCTTCTTCAAAGTTTCTTGAAACCATAAAGAGCTTGTCATTTCCTTGCTCTATGTATATCTATATCTATATGTTCTAATGCAGCTGCTCTAACTTCCCCCGGCACACCTGGACAGGACTAAAGCCCCTGACCACAGTGCATGCCATTCCTTATTTGGAAACCCTTCTGGCCATCTCATGACTAGCTTCCTCTTTGCTTTGTCCTCTTTCTCTTTTGCCTATTTGGGAAATTTCCAAGCTGTTAACCAATTGGGTCAAGCTTAGAATGTGAGGTCCCATTCTGACCAATGGAAATAGGACACTGCCATAGGGCGATTGCATCAGGTTATGTAAGTTATAAATGTCCCTGTCTCCTTTGTTTGGCGTGCTCTCGTGGTGAGACTGTTGGTGAGTTGTACCCTTTCTGCAGAAAGTAAATTAGCCTTGCTGAGTGATCATTGCCTTGGTGTGGATTCTTACCGATGTCATAAACCCATTTCCAACACTGACATATTATTTTTACTCTGTGTACTTTTCACTTTCTATTTGAATTGAAAGTAATTATTTCATTATTGTTTTTGTATGAAAGTTCAGAGGTCGTGTTAATTCACTACTTTAAAAAAACTATTCATTTTTTAACAAGTATTATGGAGTGCCTCCAACTTTCATTTTAGATATTGTCCTTGGTATTGAGGATACAAAGATGACTAAAACATATCTGTGCTAGGAACAAGCAAAGCTCTTCCTCTTTGAAATTATACAATCAGTTGCATTTTTTTCTATCATTATAGGGATTTTGGTTGTAGAAAAAAAAGATCACATATGAGCGATTTAAATGACCAGAGTTATGACAATAAAGCAGAACATTTCTGAAAAATAAAGGAGGCCTGAGATGGTCATTATTGCTATTTCACCTGTTTTCTGATTCTCTCCCTATGGGGTAGGCACATGGCAGGATTACTCAACCTTACTCCTCTTTAAGTGAGACGCAATTATGTGATATGATTTGGCCAACGAAATGTGAGCCTTGAAGTATTAACCCACAATTTAGCATACTCTGTTCCTTTTACCAATGTTCCAGATAGTGAGGATCCCATCACTTTAGGTCTCCAAGTCAGACTCTCCTGCTGACTCAAGATGTTTAGCATGAGATAAACAAGCTTTTGTTGTTTCAAACTTCTAAGTCTGTGGGAGTTGCTCATCTATCCTGATGGATGTAGAGGCCAAATTACAAATTAAAACAGCATTAGTCACCCCCCAAGTTGATTTATTTTACAGTTTTGACTAGGGATTGCTCTGCTTATGGTATGGGTAGTAGAGAGAGAGAAATAAGGTAAAGAGGGGGCATGAGGGTAGAAATCTTCCTGCTTTGTATGTCAATCACGTTGATGATTGACTTGAGAGTTGTGCTATGTTTTCCATTGCCAGAATGTACTTAGCAAAGTGTTTCAGCAACATTCCAATTTCCCTGTGAAATAATAGAGAAACACTACATTGAATTGTTGGCAGAGTCACTTGATTGATGTTCTCCAGAGCCTGAACTTCACTGATGAAGTAGTTTCAGTTTTTTTCTAATTGTTTGGAACATTGTAAAATAAAAACATAGTAGTTGATGAAAAGAGTTTTTTTTATCTACATGCAATATTCTATTCAATGGATATAACATATCCTGACAGAGACATTGTACTAAATTTTATTTCACCAATTTGAAGATACGATATAAACACCAAATATTTGATACTCTTGCTGTGTTTTCTTAGCAATTCCATTTGTCAAGAGTCTCTTGAGAACCAGATAATGTCAGAAAAAGCTAAGTGTTTATTTTCACTGGCTTTTGCATGCATAAAACGGTTCAATATTTCAACCTGCAAACCTATTCACCTCATTGCATTGGTAGTCTATATATTACCTTTGCACATACAATAAGAAAACAAAATCTTTAATAGTGAGTTGATGGCAGAGATGATAAAAGAGGAACAAGCACAGAAACATGAAGACTGTATCATTAACTTTGAATCAGAGCAACATAGATCAACTCACTGATATTTCATCTTTTTATTCTTCTGTGTGGATGACAGCAAATCTTTGGTGGCTGAAATCAGGAAAGCAAGAGAGAGAATAAGAAGCCTGGATCATCCATTAGGGTAGTAGATGAGAAGTTCATAGCTTCATTTTATAAAATGTTAGAATCTTCTAGAGCAGAAGTTCCTACCTGGAGTGATTTTGCTCCCAGGATACATTTGGAAATACCTGAAGACATTTTTGGGTGTCACTATCGAAGGGTTGTGATGAGTACTACTGGCATCTAGCGTGTAACCCAGAATGTGCCTTAAAATGACAATAGCACCAAGATTGAGGAACACTTCTAAGCCAAGCTATTCATTTTACAGAAATTATATTTATGACTCATTCATCCATATCAAAATATTTATTAAAAGCCCCATTAGTCAAGGGCCCATGCTAAGTATATAAACTACAAAAATGAACCTCAATAGTTAAAAATCCTCATATCATGGGGTTTGGGGATAGAGAAGGAAGAAAGACATGTTGTGATCTATAGAAATCCTTTACATTTCCCTTTCATTCTACAAAACCTGGCATCTATAAGCCTACTAAATACTAAAGGGAAGGGATAAATGAAAGCCATTATTATTCATTGAAAGAATAAACTCCAAAGTATTCAACAACTTATTTATTGAGCAATATTAGGCTCCAAGTACACCTCTAAATGTTCACCATATGGATGCTAATAAAAGAAGCAAAAATCCTCCTCTCATGAAACTTAAGTTCTAGAAAAAGAAGATATAAAAATGAAGTAACAAGTAAATTATACAGTATGTAAAGCACTTGGTCAAAGAGTAAGAGCTGAAGAGGAAGAAAGAGGTTATTTGCCCAAAGGATTGATTTTTAGCAATAATTCCTACTAAACATTACCTGGAATCTTCATGAAAAATATGAAATCAATGTTTATGTTTAATGGAATGCTTAAGATAGAAAAAAAAATGAATCAAGAATGAGGGTTGGGAGGACTAGGTTAGAAGCAGGGTTAAAATGTTAACTTCAGTGGTCGGAGGATAAATCAAGGAGACGGTGACATCCAAGCAAAGGCTGGAAGTGGCAGAGGCAGTGACCCACACAGATATTGGGGAAGCATTCAAGAAAGAAGGAATGATGAGTAGCACACAAGTGATCAGTGTGCCTGGAGAAGAATAAATGATAGCAACAGACAAAGAAATGGTTTTCCTTGAGATAGTGACACTGCAGGTCTGGAGGGTGGAGTTCAAATCTCAGTTCATCTTTAAGACTGGTTTTCACTCAGACTAGGGTGGGGAGCCATTGGCTGTTTCTGTTGTGGAGTGACATATCTGACTCAAGCTGTCACACAATCATTTTTACTACTGTGTTGAGTACAGTCTGAAGCGGGGGACACCCAGAAAGGAGAGTTTAGGGCCAAAGGGAAAGAAATAAGACTAGTTGAGAGGCTACCCGCCTCCCCTAGTTCCCAATAACTCGCGATGGTGTCTCAGACCTGGGTGGTAGGAGGGAGATCATGAAGAGTGTTTAGGTTCTGCATATATGTTGATATATTTTTAAGGTAGAGCTGAAAGAATTTGCAAGGGGTGAAAAGAAATGTGAAGTACCAGAGAGGGAGAGGCTCATGGATGGTTCTAAAATTTTGGTCCTGAGCAATTGGAGGCTTAGTTGCCATCTACAGAGACAGTGTAAACCACTGGAGGAAGATGTTGGGTTGGGTGTGGGAAGGTAATATGAGGGGCTCAGATTCAAAATAAAATTGGTTGTGGGTCATCTACCTGAAAAAGAGCAGTAGGATTTGAAATTCTCCTGAAAAATTTGGGGCAGGCAGGCAAGTTTCTCATAGCAGGTATCTACAGTCTGCATGCTTTATAATTCTCCCTTTATCTCATTTGTCCCCAAGTGTCTCTTTTGCATTTCTTTTTTGAATAGACTAATTCTCACCTATTATATTTTTTATTGTGCCTTATCTTAAGTTTGAGCTCTGGGACAGGTTTCATGTAATATAATAGTATGATCACTTCAAGTGTTGTCACACAGCAAGGTTATAAATACTGATTAAGGCATGAACAAAATGCTTCAGAGGACGTGACAATGCAGGTTCTATAACAGTAGCCTGGAGCTCACCAATTTGGGGGTGAAATTATCTGACAGCTGGAATAATGCATTTTTGTACAAATTCAAAGATTTAAAAATCTCTTTTCCTCAATATCTTAAAAAAACACTAATAGCAAAATTAATTACTTCCCAAGTTTAGACATGTCTATCAATTAAATGGTACAAATTATTATTCAGATAAGAAATTATATAATTTAATTGAATTATATTGTCATGTAGTATTTTTAGAAAAGTTTACCAAAAAAAAAGGTTTTTACTTTTTCTTCCTACTGTATCAGACTGAAGTTATTCTATGCTCTTTTTTTTTGTCTTGTGTTTATTTTGTTGCATTGTTTTTCTTTTGTCAGGGCTACATGGATGCTCAGAGCAAATTGCAGTTTAAAAAGAAATCCTTAAATCTTTTGAGTGTTTCTTTACCCAGAGGAAATATATAATATTAGTATCTGATTTGTAAATTGATGCATCTTGCTTATTGGTCTTCATGATTTACATGATGTCTTGAGCTAAGGGGTTTGTACAGAACTTGCACACTTCCATTCTTAGCGTCTGCAGTCCTGTTTGCCGAAAGCTATATTCTCTGACCTCCTCATAGTATCTTCTGTCCAGTGATAGTGAATGTCATTGCACTTCCCAATTTACAACTTCAGAATGGGTATGGCTAGAAGTATGAGAGCAGTTAGCTTTGCATATCGAATGCATATACTTTAAAGAATACAATTTGTCCTCTGCAGACCATAGAATTAAAAAATACTGCCAAATTATGTTGTTGAATTATTGATTCACCCTCTTTTATTTTTCAGTTTCATGTTTCATGAGCATAAAGCTGATGGATATATTAGAACCTTTAATGACAGACCCTCATGATGAAACATGGGAAGAGCAGACGAGATTTCCTAGAGGTTCACTTTGTAGAAATATTTCTCACAAACAGCTCAGGGATGCACATTATATACCACAGTACAGTTTAAAAGCGTCTTGGAAACTACAGCATTATATGTTGACACTTCAGGCTAATACAGGGTTTTCTTCTGAGTGCCTGGCACTGCTAAGATGTTATAAAGAGTTGTTTGTAGCCCTTTATAGACAAGGACAAACTTGGGAAAATTTGCAAGGCAGTGAAGTTTCCTCAAGGTATGAACCTAACTTAACATTGAGATCAGAGAGGTGTAAAGCTCTTCATTTTATTCCTCTTCCTTTCTCATTTTAAGAGAAATATATGTGGATTCTGTTCTTGCAGGGCAGTACATTTTTAGGAAAATTATTTTTAGGCAAATTCTTTTTAGGAAATTATTTGGTAACACATTAGGACTATAAATCTACTTCCTCAGGCCTCTGCTGATGAATCTTTGTATAAAGAATGGTATCTGTTATAACCTGGGTATTATGAAGAATCACGAATACAGTGAGAGGACACATACACACACAGAGAGAGAGAGAGAAGAGTCTTAGTCCTTTCTGGCTGCTCTAACAGAATCCCATAGCCTGAGTGGCTTATAAACAAGAAACATCTATTTCTTCTATTTCTAGAAGTCTAAGGAAGTCTAAAATTAAGACACTGGTAGATTCAGTGTCTGGTAAAGACCTGCTACCTGTCAAATAGATGGACATATTTTAGTTGTATCTTCACATAGTTGAAGGGAGAGGAAGGCTCACTGAGGTCTCTTTTATAAGAGCACTAATTCCATTCATAAGGGCTCAACTGCTATGGCTTATCACCTCCTAAAGTCTGCACCTTCAAGTACCATCCCAATGGGAATTAGATTTCAACATAGGAATTTTGAGGGAACACATGCATTCAGTCTGTTGAAGAGTAACAAAGAGAGAATAAAACTCAATTCTCATCCTAAAGCTTGGAAGAATAGAACAGAATCCATTGTAGTCAACCGTAAGAACATTAAACGAAGGTAAGAAGTTGTTTGACAATATCTAACACAATCAAACCAAAGATTGATAAAATTTTGTAACAGCAGAAAAGATTGTGGGTTAATATAGAATTAGTTGTATGGGGCTTCTTCAGATTGTTAATGCTAATTGATATCTGACCATCACTACCAGGCATGGAGCATATGGCTTTGGAATATATAAAATTAAAAAGAAATGTCTGTCATTAGAAGAAGAGAAAAGGTTTATATAGAAACTCTAAAATTTATAATTTTACCACTAGATTTTGAGAACTAAAAATAAAATATAATGCCATCAACCAACTTAACAGACCCCCTTTAGCCAAGGGGACCCCAGAGGAACCTTAAAAACTGAATTCCTGGCCATGGTGGGATGGGAGGTCAGACACACCTTATGATGCTCACTCCCTTTCACTGTTTAAACACAACTAACCAGCAGTAATGTTAAAACAGAGATCATAAGATGGACAGAATGGACTCTGCAGAAATAAGATACCAAATGATAAAGAAGACCTAAGGCCATGCCAGGCAAAGCTTAAGTCATGTACTCCTGCACTTAAAGAATAAACTATGTTGGAACCAGGCACGTTGGCTCACGCCTGTAATCCCAGCACTTTGGGAGGCTGAGGTGGGTTGATCACCTGAGGCCAGGAGTTCGAGACCAGCCTAGCTAACATAGTGAAACCCTGTCTCTACTAAAAATACAAAAAATTAGCTGGGCGTGGTGATGGCCGCCTATAATCCCAGCTACTAGGGAGGCTGAGGCAGGAGAATTGCTTAAACCTGGGAGGCGGAGACTGCAGTAAGCTGAGATCACGCCATTGCACTCCAGCCTGGGCAACAAGAATGAAACTTCGTCTCAAAAAAATAAAAAAGAATAAACTATGTTCTAACTGCCACAAACTATGTTCTAACTGCCAAAAAGTTTTTCTTTTTTCTTTTTTTCTCTAGCAGCTAAATAAGCACTGGCCTTAAGATAATGAATGTTTAAAAAATTGTAGCTCATCTACCACCAGACGCTGATTCTCACCCTCCTGTTCCACAAGCCATAACTACAGCATTGACTGGACAAGATCCTGGTTTCAGTATATTTCTCCTGATAAGATGACTGACCATGAGTGGTTCTGGCCAATTTACAGAGGCTACGCACTTGCATGTCTTCCTTACTCTGCTTCACCTTTTGACGTATAGGGCCTAATTGTCATATATTTTAATGTTAAGTCTCCACCCCAAGGTAGATATGGGTCATATAATAACATATATGTTTATTCAGTATGCATGCAGTAGGACCCCATTCATGAATATTCATAACTCTTTCTATACCCTGTTGAGTATGTATACTTGGCCAACTCATTCAGCATAAATCTCTGTTCCACCCTCCCCGCCTTTAAAGTGGCTGCCTTTCAGTTTTCATCCAGAGGCTCTGCTTCCCAGCCTGTCAGAATGGTAACCCTGCAGGATGTAATCTTTTATAAGACATAAAGTCTCCTTCCTAAATGTATAGCTTTCATTCATTATTTTTTAGTTGACAATTGTCATATTCAATGCTTATGTGTAGCAAAATAAATATTTCTCTTTGTCTATACAGTTGTGCCTTAGTACCTCTGGTGAGTGGTTCCAGGACAACCTCTATTCTCCCAAAGACACCAAAATCCAGGGACGCTCACATCCCTTGTGTGAAATGGCATAGTATTTGCATATTGCCTAAGCACACCCTCCGAAATACTCTAAATCATCTCTAGATTACTTATAATACCAAACACAATGTAAATGCTATATAAATAGTTGTTTTATTTTATTCTTTAGGAAATAATAAGAAAAAATCTGTACACATTCAGTACAGATGCAACCCTTGTAGGTCTGGTCTAAATATATTTTTGGTGCTATGTTGGTTGAATCCAAGGATGTGGACCTTGCAAATACAGAGGACCAATTGTATATAAAATTTTTAACCATAGTTAGAACTGATGATTAGAATGTGATATGCATAATAGATGTGTTTAACATTACTATGTGATTTGGTGAAATTTGCACTAACAATGACTTTAAAAAATTTGAAACTATAACTTATTCCGCTTTTTTCTATATCTCAGTACATGTATGCTACAGTAAACCTCTTCTTTAGAATGGAAACAGTTCAGATCCAGCCATGTCATAGATCCATTCAGATCCTCTGCAATGGGTACAGCCCGCTCAAAATAAAAGAAAGCAAGGCTTTGAAACAAAATTATTTTATCTTTTAATCCACCAGTACCTTGCAAATGCAGTATTTGGCACACAGTACTCATACAATGTATGTCCAAAATGCAAGAATTCATGCATATTTAATGATTTTTATGATGTTTGTAATATTCATGTTTACTCTGTGATGAAACTAATCTGTAAATCAATGTTAACATCCCAAACTGCTTCCTGTAATTTACTTGAAACACTTCAGAAAATGACAATGATATTTATGTAAACCTTCAGTTCTTAACTTCAATTCATGACATATTTAATTTAGCTAGACAAATTAAATATTTTAGTTCCCAAATCAAAAATTAAGTATGGATATTGATTTAAACATTTATGACAAATTAAATAAACTATGCTAAAATTTTTTAAAATGCTTTACTACAAACCTATTATTATTAAAGAACAATTATTATATATATTTTATTTGATGGAATAAATATTCTGAAGTTGAAGATAACCTAGGCAGAAACAGTACCACTTTAAGTTCACTAATGCAGTATCTTTTTTAATGTTCTATTCACAATTCCAGCCTAGAGAACAAGATTGTCACAGATCTGGCCTCTGGTGGACTGTTAGCTATGTGAGGAGGATTTATTGCAATTACTCATGCTGTGATTTAGATTAAGCAACTTGAAGCTTCAATTCACAAGCACTTATGAACATTCTGATTCAGATTTACTTAAAAGAGTCTGTTAAACTTCAGACTCTTGTGTAAAATAATCAGAGCAGCCCATTTATTTTCAATGCTAAAGTAAAATTTAATATAACCTTTACCACATTGCAAAAATGCAAAATAGAATTATTCTGCTGTTGAAATTTAGTAAACACCTGATCTGACCTGATTTAGGTGAAGTTGCAGTTAGTAGAAATCATGATATATATTCAAACAGGTAGGGTTTAAAGGTTTATATTATTACCCATCTCATGGTAAATAATTTAGTCTCACTTATTGTAGCAAATAATTTTTCTGTGATTTGGGTCCCTTCATATAAAAAAAAAATCACACACTTCAGGGAGTTTATCAGGGTTTTTCCACTTTTAAATAGTGAAGTCAGATGTTACGACCTTTTGTCATTTTTCTCCTAACCTGTTTCAACAATCCAAGGTGTGTGAGAAGCCTGGGCTGCTAATGCCCATGGGCATACTAATCTTTTGCTTCTGAACTTGCTATTTTCTCTCTTGGCCTGTTAAATATGGCCTGTACACTCCACTGACATCACCTATGCTGTCATTGTGACCAGTAGTGTACTGAAGCTCTCCACAGAACAAAGCCTTTATAAAAGCAAAGAGAATAGTAGACTTTTGTCCTAAGGTGCACTTTGCAATGTCCATCCCAAAGAAGCATTAATTTATGTTGCCTGAATCTTATGAATATGGATACTACAGATCTTTTGGTATTTAGGCTTTCATATGAGTGGACTGGGACTGGATTGAATGAAGAGACAGTGGTAGATGCTATACTTTCTTCTTGCATATCATGTGTGCTTACATGCCTAAGGATGGGCTGTGACTTCTTTATTCAATAAAATATGAATGTGTAAGCCTAGCAAAGGCAAAGGCATAAGTAAGAATACTTCCTCTCCAGGGAGGCATGGTAAGAACAGAAATATCATACTCTTACAGGGGAGAAAAAATGATTATTTAAAAAATTTGCAATCCATGAAGCTTTATAAGCCAAGTTGAAGAGTTTTGACTTCCTTTTAGTGTGATAGAAAATCATCAAATTGTTGAGAGTGGAGAAAGGAAGAAACCGGTCAGGCAGGCAGTTAGTGAGGGTCCTTGGTTGAAATCTTTCAAACAAAAGAACAGCCTGCAGGGAACTTGAGCGAGGGGCGGGGTGGGGTGGAGGGTTGGGGGTCTTGCCAAAGACATGCCTACTGTCGCACAGATGAGAAAAGCTACACAAGAGACTTGCCCAGACATGCCTGCAATGGAAAATTCCATCCTCTGACACATGCACAGTAAGGGGAACAAAGTAACATGGAGTATTTCTTCTTTTGCTTATTACACTTTCATTCCAACCTCATCCTTAGTGCCCATGCTCCTTAACTTTCTTGGTCCTGAATCAAAGGATGCTGGGTACTACCTCAGGCAACCAGAGACTGCTACATTGCATTCCATTGGCAAGACTGTTGCATTGTTTTAAGTAAAGGAGTGATTTAATATATTTTATAATTACAAAGATCTAGTAGTGACTATATCAAGATTAGATTAGATTGTATAGAATTAAAAGGGAATGTAAGAGGTCTAGTTAGAAGGCTATAGCTCATTAGGAAGATAATAGAACAGGATTGCTGCAGTATGGTAATAATGGAGACAGAAAAGCGAAAAAAAGTGGGATATGGTTAGGAAGTGTGTCAACAAGAATTGCATGAAACTGTACGTGATGCATAAAGAAAAGAGAGAACTCAAGTACTTTCTGCTTTTGGAGCTCTTCTTTAAGATAAAAATTATCATTGGGACTTAAAAGTACACCTTTCCATTTCAGATTTTGCAAAATACAACTTACGTTTCTCTTATATATTTCCTTTTGGAGTTTATCTTTTTTAAAAATATAAACAAAAGTATTCTGCTTCTTTAAAAATGAGTCTCTGTATTTCTATTTCTATTATAGTTTACGTTTTCTCTTTTCCCTCTTCTTCCTCAAACTTTTTTAAAATTTTATTATTATTATACTTTAAGTTTTAGGGTACATGTGCACGATGTGCAGGTTAGTTACATACGTATACATGTACCATGCTGGTGTCCTGCACCCATTAACTCATCATTTAGCATTAGGTATATCTCCTAATGCTATCCCTCCCCCCTTCCCCCACCCCACAACAGTCCCCAGAGTGTGATGTTCCCCTTCCTGTGTCCATGTGTTCTGATTGTTCAATTCCCACCTATGAGTGAGAATATGCGGTGTTTGGTTTTTTGTTCTTGCCATAGTTTACTGAGAATGATGATTTCTTTTTTACCTTTCCTTACTTCAACTTCTAGATGCCTGGATATCCGCCTTTGTAATCCAATTTCCTTCACTTCCTCATTTGTATCCTCTTTTTCCACCTTCCACAGTTTGCCTTTTGTCATTTACATCTTGTTTTCACATTCTTACTAGATTGAAAAATATGTCCCTCAATTAAAAATTCTGCTAACAGAACAAGTTTCTTGGTTTAGTCCAATTTAAGAGTAGAAGGACAAGAAAGTCCACTTAATTATCTCTATTCTAGAGAAATGGAAGTTTGAAAGTTTTTTGCAAAATGTAAGTTCACTTCCTAATTTTGCAATGTGGCCCAGTCAATTTCTAGCATGTAAGGTACAGAGGAATAGGTTAACTGAAAGAAAAGATAGTAAGCTGAACAGCACAATATTCACACCTTCTTTTCACTATATTGCTTTTTCCTCTGTTACTCCACTACCACATGCACTAAACTGAAGTGTAAATGCCAAAATCAAAATAAGAATGATTGCTTATAACACCTATGCCACTCTTTTCCTCCAGTTATTTTAGTAAGACTATTTCTGTCTGTACTACAGACATGAATTTATTTCTCCATCTTTTTTCTGGAAATCACAGTAACATACTGTGATTTTAGGAAAGACAAAATGAATAACAGAGTCAATAGAGATAATATTGCTTTAAACACACACACACACATACTCATGTTACGTCACTGTGTAAAATCCATTTTTTAAACATGAAACATGGGAAAAATACATTTCTTTATTTAACAATATTTTATTGAGTTTCTACTATGTAAGAAGCACTGTACTGGGTGTTGGTGACTCAAAGATGAATAACACAGACATAGTCCTTTTTGTATGGATTCTTAGAGTGGAGTAGAGAGTTTTTAAGAAAGCATGTCACTTGCTAGACAAGGTGGCTCACACCTGTAATCCCAGAACTTTGGGAGGCTGAGGAGGGCTGATCATTTGAGGTCAGGAGTTTGAGACCAGCCTGGCCAGTGTGGTGAAACTCCATCCCTACTGAAAATACAAAAATTAGCTAAGCCTGATGGTGTGCACCTGTAATCCCAACTACTTAGGAGGCTGAGGCAGGAGAATCACTTGAACCCAGGAGGCAGAGGTTGCCGTGAGCTGAGATCATGCCACTGCACTCCAGCCTGGGCAACAGAGCGATACTCCGTCTCAAAAAAAAAAGAAAAGAAAGCATGTTACTATTTCCATTATATCCCTTGCAGTTTGAGAGGTGTAAGGACACATTCAGGCCATTGAATCTCTCTTTATGAATTTCTAAATATACTCAGAAGTCTAGAAGACTGAATGTGTAGATTTTCTCCCAGCACTGTCAAAAGGAAAAGATGTTAATTTAATATTTAAGAAGGTCCCAGATACTCATTATCTTTTGAAGTCTGGCTTGCTCAGCACTTTCCACGATGAAATACTTTTGCTTATATTTTGCCATCTGAACCAGATCAAGTTTTTCTGGCTAGGTAATGCCTTTATATGAACAATATTGAAAACGAATAACAATCTAAGTAATCACCAGTATAGTTTCTTTATTTCCCAATGAAAAATTGTCATAAATAATTGTGTTCTGTATTATCTTAAAAATGAGTTATTTCCTTCTCACATATAAACTAAGCTTTGGAAAATGACATGAGTAATATATTTCCGTTTGGAATTTTTTCTAACATTGAGGACAATGATTACACTGTTGTTTCCAACAGAGTAAAAATCAAAAGGGGGAAAAACACTTTCTAGTGTTCTAGTGTTTAATTGCTTTTTTAAATGGAGACTTTCTATTAACTTTAATTAAACATTTAATAGAGATTGTAGCCAGAAAATATATTTTCCCATTGAAATTAAATTACTTTTCCCCAAAGAAAACATAGTGGGTGTAAAACAGGGAGGGTTGGACTCTCAATAGAGTTCTATCTGCCTCCTTCCTTTTCAGAGTAATTACTGACCTGTTATTAACACTCCAGGGAAAATCCTTTTGGTGATTTACATTTCCGGATCACTCTGCTCTGTCTGCCACTTCACTAAAGACAGAATTTATCCATTGTTCAGCATGTGCAGGAACAGATGCTTCAGCTACTAATTCTTTGTCTCATTTGGAGCATCAAAAAATGAGAGGCTAGTTCTTGCACAGATCAAGCCTCAGCCTCAGAACCTTTTATATATCTTAGAGAGAGGTAATTTGAGAGCCTCTCAGTGCCCAGAAGGTTGAATGGAGGAGGCACAGATTTTAAATTCTAACCTAAGTTCTTTTTACATGTCTGTATTCTTTCCCACCTTAGCACCAACTCATATTCTCCAGCTTCTGTCAATTCATTAAATGCTGATTTAGAATTTTATGGCAACATTTGTCTCAGATGAGAGTTACAGCAAAGCTCATCATTAAACCTTATAATGTTTAGTGCTGCCTATAATTTATGATTCCATTTTAAGATCTAATCCACCACAATAATTTGTCTTAAGACTCTGAAGATACATCATGTAGTTAGCTTTTTCTTGCAACATCATTTATAAAGACAGGATCTGACTGTATGCTTGAGGAATATATTTTATTTAGAGCACAACAATGCATTGATAGATTTGTCATAAATTATCTCAAAAGAAGAAATATCAAAAGGATAGTACACACATAATGATCTACACCATACACAATGGCATCAGGATCATTTGGGAAGGATAACAGATACTCAGGGAAAAGAAAATGAAATTGTTTTCCGACTTGAATTGTATCATTAGATGCTATGCAAAAAGTTATTCATAATCTGGCTCTAATTTACCTTTTGTTTCTAAGCCCAAATTCTGAAACTGATTCTTTCTTATTAACATTATGCCACAGTTCTACTAAGAAACTTACTGTTTCAGCCCTAGACTACAATATTTTCATAACTATCCCCCATTTTTACCTACATCCTGACTACATCCTTTACATTGTTGTTTAAGTAAGTTATTTAAGGGGAAATATGATTGCAAATTCCCAGTGCTGGTTGAAGTATTTCCGTGTTTTCCCATTCCTTATAGAATAAGGCTTCAAGCACTTTAGCAAGACAAAAAAGAACCTTTCCTAATTGGTATTATTATTCTCCTGCAAATCAAAATTTGCCATGCTGTAGAAAGTACTTATTACTCCAGTAATATTCTTCTGTGTCTTACCTCATTATTTTATGTATCTCTTTTTTCCTATGAATATTTATTGTTCAGCTACTCTGCTGAAATTGCTGTGGTCTATATTGGGTAAGAAAAATTGGACCTAGTCTCTGATACTGTGATTCTTACAGTCTGATGGGGAGACAGATATTAATTGAATAATCATATAAATACAAATAAAATCACAACTGTGACAACAGGCATAAAAGAAGGGAACACAGTGCTATTTCTTTTTTTTTTTTTTTTTCCTGAGACGGAGCGTCACTCTGTCATCCAGGCTGGAGTATAGTGGCGTGATCTCAGCTCACTGCAACCTCTGCCCTCTGAGTTCCAGCGATTCTCCTGCCTCAGCCTCTTGAGTAGCTGGGATTACAGGTGCCTGCCACCTCGCCCTGCTAATATTTTGTATATTTAGTAGATACCAGGTTTCACCATCTTGGCCAGGCTGGTCTTGAACTCCTGACCTCGTGATCCACCCGCCTCGGCCTCCCAAAGTGCTGGGATTACAGTCGTGAGCCACTGCACCTGGCGGAACATAGTGGTATTTCTATAGGCCAATTACAAAAGAGTGAGATTAAGTCAGAGAAATCAGGAAAACTTTCTTGAGATAGAATTTTAGAGCAAAGATCTAAAGGATATAGATGCTATCTTTGCAATAAGAGAATGGAAGGCCATTAAAACAGAACCTTACCTACTTCCTTCCAGGCTTTCATTGATTTACCTTTCTTCCTCATCCACTTCTCCCTTTTCACATGATTCAAAATTTACGTCTCCCAGAAAACATTCCTCACTCTTTTCTTCTCAGACTAGTTAACCCCTCTTTCTGTTACCCCCCAAATGGCACATTATTTGCATTGTATTATTTCTCTTTTATGATACTTTCAACATTATTTTCTAATTACTTTTTAATAATTATGATGCTCCAGTTGAGTGAAAGTTTTTTAGGGCCATGTCCTTCAATTTTTATCTGGAGTAGGAAATGTCAAGAATTCAATATATGCTTGTTGAAGAAAGCAAAGAAGGAAAGGAAAGCAAATAAATGGAAATGGAAAGAGACAGCAGGAGAGATGGGCAAAGAAGGAGATGGGAAAGGAGGAGAGGGAAGGAAGAGAGACCTGAAGAGGGAAGAGATAAAGAAAGAAAATACAGAGCAAGTAAAGTGTCCAAATAGACACTTTCATTTTCTACTACAAATTCACCTATTCAGTAAGATCAAGGAAAAATTTCAGCTGGGCACAGTGGCTCATGCCTGTAATACCAACACTTTGGGAGGCCAAGGAGGGTAGATGGCTTGAGGGCAAGAGCTTGAGACTATCCTGGGCAACACAGTGAGACCCTGTCTCTATTAAAAAATAAAATAAAATGGTCAAAAAAAAATATAAGTTTCTTTACAAGGTCGCTTTGATTTTTGCCAGACAAATATGTGTTCTTTCTACTTAAAACTTCAAGTATTTACACTTATTACACTTTGCTTATACTTATTACAATTTGATTATACTTTGCTCTGTTCTGCTTTATGTCTTTTTTTTTTTTTTTTGCATCTACCTAACTAAATGATTTCAAAAATAGGTTCCAGGTATTGTTATTTAATTCAATATTTTTATATTTTATATGTTTATATTTATATGTTTATATTTTTATATTTTATATGTTTAATTCATGAGATAAAATAAAATGAAAGAATGTCTCTTTCACTTTCTTCCTTTACTAATACTTTCTTCCTATATTGGCCTGCTTTATGTTGAAGTCTCTTCAACCCTTTACTGATCTCTAAAACTTTTCTCTGTATGGACAGGAATGAAGTACGAAGTGGAACAACTCTCAATGCAAAGCTTAAGGGTTGCCGGACAAGTTTTAGGGACACATTTATTAGCCAGAGTTTTTAGAAATCAGCACTATTGATGTCACTCTGGGCTGGATCATATTTTGTTGAGATAGGGACTGTCTTAAGGCTTTGTAGGATGTTCAGCAGCATCCCTTGCTTCTGCCCACTAGATGCCAGTAGCAGCCATCCCCCACCACCAGCACTCTTGACAGCCAAAACTGTCTCCAGACTTATTTGCCAAAGGTTCCCCGAGGAGCAAAATCAACCTTGACTGAGAATCACTGCTTTTAACTAACAGAGTCCCATTTCCCCAGATACGTTAAAGAATAAAAAATAAAACAACTCCATGAATTTTCTAGGGGATTTAATGTATGTGGAATGTTTACTAGTCTGGCATAAAGAAGATACTGCTTATTCTTATAATTATTATAGATCTGTTTGTTTCCTATATCTTTCCTAGTGAGGTATGATAACATATTGTCCTTTTAGACCAAATCACCATATTGGCCCAATAATGCAAGTGAATTATTTTTAAAGATTTTAAAATTCATTATTGTTGTCAGCAAGGAGTGGAGGGGATAGAAAGTGTCAAATTGGTTCCCTCAGATTTTATTCTTGTACAAGGATGATTTGAATTATTAGCCTCAAATTATAACTTTATGTGTCTGTCTATTATTTGACACATGTCTACCCATTCACACTAATAGTGAGATTTTAAAGTTGATTTTTAAATGGGTCACGGTTGACTTGATATTTCAACATGTGGGAGAGATTAGAATTATTGGCAAGCTGTATTCCCTCTTCTAGATCAAATGTTGAATAAGGCAAAAAATCCATCCAAGTTCTAATTTTAACTTCGTTCTTAAACTATTTATGGTGCAGAAACTTGTACAAAATTGCTAAAAGTAGTAGTTGGTTCCTTCTGACCACATTTGTATATAAACCCCTCAAAGAACTACTGTTAAGTATCAACTTTTAAAATGAACATTTTGCTTGCAAGGTATCTCTATTAGGAGACTCTTTTCCAATGAAGCTAAGAATTATGTAACTTTCTAATCTAAATCAACGTACCCAATCTTGTTCTACAATGTTTATTTAAAACTTCATAATAATTACTTGAAACAATATGTATCATTTTAATCTTCCTAAAATGTATGTTTCTCAGTTTCTTTGGTTAAAATCTTATATGATTTATATATGATTTATTATAGCCTCTTATTATCTTCCCTCATAAAATTAATGCAAAATTTTCCATTGTTTTAAAACACCACAGTCAGTGTTAACGACATTTGCATTGCTCTTATTAAAATATAAAGGAAACAATTTTCAAAGGATATACCTCCAATTGGAGACAAAAATAAATTAAAGAGATAATAGAAAAATGTTCCTTCAATTACTAATTATGGAATTATTTTTAATACATTAAAATGAAAAAGGTTTTATTTTTATCCCAGAAATTTAACCTTTTAATTTACATGCTAGTATTTTGCTTTCATTTATCTATATATATATAAACATTTTCAGGTTTACATTTATTTCCCTAATTTGATTTTAGACTGTTCATCTATGTAGAATATTAATTAAGATTAAGGGAAATTTGAGAAGAGATATAAATCTTAAGCTGGAAAATATTTGTGATCATTCAGATGTCATTCACTAATTAGTCAATGAAACAACAATGTTTGAAAAAAATTTTTAAATGGGTTCAGATCTATGTGATGGTTATGATTTTAACATTATCTTTGTCTCCTGTTTATAGGTCAATTGTATTTGCCACCTATTATTAAATTAAATATTCTAGAATATTTGACAGACTTTAGAAGTCCTCTACTTTAACCTTCTCTTCTGTCTTTGGTAGCTTTTAAAAGAACATGATACTTTTACAGTATGTGAAGATGCCGAGTGTATATTTCTATTTGCCCAATGTACCTTGCATATACTCCTAATCCCCTATAATTTCTACCACAGGCTTTAGTGTTGTTTCTAGTTGGATGCACAATTCTTCAAATATTAAAAACAAACATCAGAATAGACATCACAAGCTTCTTCAATTGCTTTAAATACACGAATTTGAATAATTCAGCCTGATACTTTCTTATAGAAATATTTAAATTTGTTATTATCCATTCTGTTCCTTCAAAAGGACTGTACCAGAACTGAACACAAAGTTTCAGGCATGGTTAAACATTTGAGACATTGCTGCCCTTGTTGTAAAAATTATAATTATGTTTAAGTAGCCAGCCTGAAGTTTTATTAACTTGGGGAAAAATTCAATTCAGTTAATTCAATAATATTAATAAAGTTTCTACTGTATACTAGCCACTATACTAATTGTGAAAGTTAAAAGATGAATACATTAATCTTACTATCAGGTGTATACAATATAATTAATTAATTAATATAAATAAAAGGTAATAGGGAAGTGGAGAGGAGTGATCCTTACTGGTAACTGAAGCAAAAATAAAGATTTAACATCTGATCTGAATTCTGGCAGACTAAGGGACCATTTGTTACAGAAATAAAGCACATAAAAGAAAAGAATAGCAAAAGTAAATAAGTGATTCTTGTCAAACTATACATAGTAATCTGTACGTCATAGATTTTACACATAGAATGGTAACAAAAATAATGAAATAATATTTTAGAAAGATGTATGTACATTTGGTAATTTTTGGTTGAAAGTGTAAGCAAATGCAATCTAGACTGTAGACTGGCTTAAGCAAAACAGCCAACAAAACTAACAAAAAATGTTGAGAGCCTAAGAGTTTATTTAGCTTAAGTTACCATGTCATCCAGATGTCCTCCCAAGTGTACCAGGATCGGATCTCTCTACTGCTCTCAGTTCTGCTTTCCTTTATGTAACTAGAAGCTACTTGGTGATAAGATGACTCAAGTAGTGTAGCCTTACATTTTGCAGTGTCAAGCCCAGCATGAAGGAAGTTCTTTGTCCTTCAAGTTTGAACAAAACTCCTGGAATAGACTCTCGTTTCCCCACACTGGGTTATATGCATCTCTCTGCACCTTCACAATACTTATGGGATAGGTTATTTCTTGGGTTATATCCAATCACATATCCATACTTGTAGACAGGGAAGAAATGAGAGAATACCAACATACAAATTAAAGTTTGAGTGAGATTATCCCTCCATGCTCCCCGCAAACATCAAGTTTCTGATGGCAAGGGAAGGAAGAATAGATTCTATTTGGCCAAAGTTGTAGGAGGAGAGGAAACACATGTACCATGAGATAATGTTTTTTCCAGGGATATGCCAAGATCATCTCTGTTATATGAGCAACTGCACCACCAGGTACTCTTCAGACAGTTCCCACAGGCAAGAAGCCTCTCACTACATGCAATCCCTTGACCTTGGACTTTCCACCTTCCAGAACTGTGAGAAATAAATTTTGTTTCTTATCAATTACCCAGATTCAGATGTTCCATTATAAGCAACAAAAAACAAACTAATATATCAATGTTTATCAACTTTGGCTGTACATTAGAATTATATGGTGAGGTTTAAAAAATCATGAGTTCTGGTACTTGTTCTTAGAGACATTAATCTAAATTAATAAAACCTGTACATTCAGATGTCTGAAACCTGCTTATGTGATCAACATGTGCACCAAAATTTAAGGACAAGAGGTATAAAGAACAAAAGGAAGTCTAACATAGCAATCTCATTCTACTTTGCACTTGGGTTTGTGAGATTCCATATTAGTAGTAAAAAACACAGCCATGATAATGGCCCTGTTGAATCTTACACAATGGCTTTTATACATAGGTACCATAACTAGAATCTTTACTTTTTCCTTTACATGGTGCTATGATATGAATATTGGTATCCCCCCTCCCTGCCCAAATTCATAAGTTAAAACTAACTTGCCTTCATGAATGGGATTAGCGCCCTTGTAAAAGAAGTTGAAGGGCGCTTCCTTGCTTCTTCTGCCATGTGCGAACGCATAGAAAATGCCATCTCTGAAGCAGAGAGCCACACCAAACAGCAAATCTGCCAGCACCTTCATTTTGGACTTCCTACCCTCAAGAACTGTGAGCAATATATTTATGCTGTTTATAAATTATCCCATCTGAATCAGCTAAGACACTTGAATATTTTGCTAAGTAAAGTTGAATTTAGTGAAGAAAATATGATCTGTACCATGCAGTGTTTCTTTTTCTTAGCATAAGAACGACCCCTATATCCCTCACCCTAGTGTGAAGATTGACTGAGAAGCAAAGAAACGAGAGAATTTTTTTGTTTTTGTTTTTCTTTCTTTATGGTGTTCTTCAGGAGTGTTAACATTTTAGCTCAGACTTGGCCAGGAAACCTTAAATCCCATAATGCTTAATCAGCATTTCAGGAGCTGTGTTGACCAGATCTTCTCCTTTCTTCCATCCGTGTTCCTCAAGCAGAGGGCAGGAAGCTACCTTCTCAGCAACCTATGAACTCCTTAGTATTGTTTCAGTAGTTTCTATCATAAATAATTCCTGACTCCTTTGAAGAAGCTGGTTCCGAGAAGACAGGGATAATTATCTCCTGATGTCTGAAATGGTGTGATACCGTATTTCCCACCTAAATTAAAAGACAGAGGAATGTAGACAAATATAGCAGTGTAAAATCTAGTTGGTAAGGAGCTTAGCAATGAAGTAAAGTGAGACTTGGAGATCAGCACACATTTTTGTTTATCATGGGTAGAATAATGTATGACTCCTTGAGTGAGTTTCTAAAAGCCATTTAAATTGTTGCTAAAGAAAAAATAGTCAGGGCTTGGGTAAAAATTAGCCAGTTTTATTGTCAGAGAAGTGTCATACTTCCCTAGAACAGAATTTCAGAATATTTTATTTAAATGTATTAAAATGTATGATACTATAAGGTATATTAAATGATATTCATAGTCTCATATGCACTCTTACAATCAACTACAATAAAGCTAAAGTTTAATGTATTTCTTCCCTTCCCTGTGGATGCTATTTCCACGAAGAATTCATTCAAACCCTTTCTAAGGTGTTAGACACCTTTTTAAAATATTTAGTAGGGTGTCACTTCTTTCTGAGTCTGATAAAAGTAGGACTTGTCTTTAGTCCTTTAAACATAAAAAGAGGCAATATCAGTAACACAATTCTCTCCATTAGAAGAATGTTCCCAAATTATCAACATGAAAAAGTTTCTCCTCTAACTGAACTTAGTCTGCAGACTCTGAAAACAATATCAGCCATGTGCAGCATTTTGATACCATAAAAATGTTTATATAGGCTATCATTGTTTTCATCCTCCAAATCAAGAATCATGTGGTCTCATTCAGTAAGTTACCTTCAACTCTTTAAACATCACATATCCATTGAAAATATTAGCAAGAAATGCAATTCAAAATGCATATTTTTTAGTGCAATGCAAGGGGAGAAGCTAAGTCAGTGAGAGGGTCGTAATTTCCTCCACATAACTGACAGATATGGATTGAAACCCTTAATGTGGACCAGCATCTGAGCCAGGCACCAAAAACACAGGTAGAACTCCAAGGATGTGTAAGGAAGTTTTCATGTTATTTGTTGAACAAAGGGAGGCACTGGAGTATTTTAAGCAGAAGAGTGACTCTAATTCATTTATAGCTTGTAAGACTACTGTAATATCTTGGTGGATAATGGCTTGGAGAGAAGGTATTACAAAAATGAGAATTTCTGTTGGAATGGTTTGGAGTTCCTGTGGACACTGACCTCTCCTCATAGGTTAATTTTTAAAATTATATGATTACTTATTTTTTAAAATGTTTCTATAAAAATATCTCCCCACGTTTCCTCAGCAATCTTAATGTTCAACAACCTATGAGGAATTGACATAGGGAAAAAACAGTGGAATGTAGTGGAGATGTATGAGTAAAGTTATTTTAAATATTTAAAAAGTATTAAAATAATTTTATGTCTTTCAAGTTATCTGCCCAAATTGGGACTTACACAGCCCTATGCTTCCTTGAACACAGATAGACTGCCTCTAGGTTGCTCCTGAAATCAGATAAAATTAAGATTCACTTTACCAGTTAAACAATATGTAAAATGTAGCCAATGTAACTGCTCTCATGAAATACACCATCAAGCTTGGGGTTACTGTATGAGAAGGACAGATCCATCACAGCCTAGGACCAAGTTCCATTAGAAATTCTGTATAGAGTAATTGTGAAAGGTCATCATGGATAATAGAACATAAAGCAAACTTGTAAATTAATTAAATCATTTGGCATGTACATTGTTCCTAATAAGTACTTGGCCATGAGCCAGTTGCTTGGTATAAAGAAATAAAAGACAAAGAAATGTTGTTCATGAAACTTATATCGAGAAGCATAACTCACAATCTTCTTTCCTAAAAGAATAGTTGATATCAGGAAACATTGTGCACCCAGCTAATATCAATGCTCCTCTCACTACAAGGAAATAAAAGCCCTGGAAAAATATTTTTGGAAATTGAATACATCTAACAGAGGAATATTTCTAGGTAAAGATGGTAAATAGGACACATGCCTTTCCTTCTTCGACTCATTTTATATAATAAGAAAGTGAGTTTTAGGCCGGGCACGTTGGCTCACGCCTGTAATCCCAGCACTTTGGGAGGCTGCGGTGGGTGAATCACGAGGTCAGGAGTTCAAGACCAGCCTGGCCAACATGTGAAACCCCGTCACTACTAAAAATACAAAAACTTAGCTGGGCATAGTGGTGGGTGCCACTACATCTCAAAAAAAACAAAAAAAATGAGCTTTACAAAGGGCTTAAGGGGCAGAGAGAAAAGAAGAGGTGAAAGGGGAACATGTGTATATATTGTCAAAGAAAAGTTAAGAAAAAAAAAGAAGCTAGTGGAGAAGTGTTTGAGAATATTAGTGGGAAGGCTGGTCAATGTGAGTAGACTGTCTGTGTTTGCTCATTGGTACTTAGCAAATTTGGGCTCCTATCTTCCCACAAAGACTGGGAGACAAGGACACTATCTCCTTCTATGATGACATATGATGACACTTCGAAAAGATAGCTCTCAGGTCCTTAAGAAAAACATCCCTGGCTGTAAAACTGGAAAAAGACTACATCTCAAAGGAGCTGAGAACGAATGTACAAGATTTCTAAAGTAAATACTCTAAGAAAATGGAGGCTAGAGGTCTATAGTCAAAGAAAAACGGTTCAAACTTTAGTCAAGCTGGGGGAAAGGATAAGACCATTTTGATCAATGTGTGTGTGTGTGCTTTGCTTTTGTTTCTGTTTTGTCCATTTTCATACCAAAATGAGGCAAAGACAATGAAAGAAAGGAAGTTGTGGGTTAATTTTGAGTAAAAACAAATGCAAAAATTCTAAACAACAGATTAGCAAACTGAGTCCAACATTACATACAAAAAAGAAGAAAAGTTGAGCAGAATAGATTAAAAAAAAATGGGTGTAGCATCACATGGCTGGCAAAAATGAAAATGAGTCTTTCTGCTAATAATAGTAAAGTGTTATATCCACCAGTTGTAAAATAATTAAATGGCTTGCTCAGGATCACACTGCTAATAAGTGGTAGACTTGGATTTCACTCCAAATGCATGTATTTTTTTCCTTTTAATTTTGGGAACATTATTTTTCTCACAAATAGAAAATAATTATTTGCTTGCTTACAGAATAGTTTTAGAGGCTCTATGTAATTTAGTACTAGTACTGTAAGGCAGGATTAAGTTGCATATAGATACAATTATATCTTAAAAGTTTACATGGTTTTTATAAAACATACAAATAGTGTGTGTGTGTGTGTGTGTGTGTGTGTGTGTGTGTATAATCAGTCACAAAGAAAGTCATTGCATTGCAGCATATTATAATTAGAGGTCTAATACAATGACATATTTTTTTTAGCCACACAGTAAATGTCGATAGAATGAATAAATGTCTAGTATAGAAGAGAACACACATATTTTTACTACAGAGAGCAGGACTAGAAGTAATAGTTCAGAGTTACAAGGAAGCAGATTTCGGCTCAACCTAAGACACTATCTAAAATAAGAGTTTCCTGTGATTGAGTTAGTTGCCTGAAAAGAGTTGAACAAAGAATTGTCAATCCAAGAGTTCTGGAATTCTTTGTGAAGGTGAGATAAACCATTGCTGTTTGGGAGAGTCTTGGATCTGTTCCCATATGGGGCACAAAAGTAAAATTGGAAAACAGGAGTGCTCAGTGTCATACTCAGTCACTATTAGTTCACAGCAAGTTTATTCATTTTCTCCATTGCAAAGTTGCAGGATGTGAATTAGGGTAATTAAGAAAAGGTTGTGACAAGAATCTGAGAGCAAGTAAACTACATATTGAAAGTGGTTATCCAGAGGGAGAAAAGGATTTGAAGAATGAGGTAACCGGATGCAGACATCTGGATAATGTTGATTGGCAGCTTAATGGCTCTTGTCTTCCCCAAATTAGGCATCCAGTGGCTGTTTCTATTCCTTTTGTTAACATGTTGGTATATACAATGTGGCAATTCTGAGGAGCAAGAATCTAGCGAGAAGACTGGGAAGTGCATTGCACACTAGGATTTAGAAATAACTGAAAGAATTCAGCATGGAAGATGTATCAGTTTATGTCCCAGCAAGGAACAGATGGCATACTGAAATTAGGTTCATCAAAGGAGAGTTTTTAGTAAAGGAACTTTTGAAAAAGGTATGAGCATAATGTTGGAAAACCACAGGAATCATGCAAGCCCCTGCTCTTGACATTAGAGCTGTTACCAACCCTACCTCCAAAAGGGCAAAGCTTACAAGTGCATGTTAGAACCTGAGAAGACAGGATCATGCAGAGCAGCACTTCTCGAACCATCTGTTCGAGAAGGGGTTGTTTGGCGTTGCCAAAGAAAATCCATATAATATTTGGATACTATATAATAGTTGTTCTGAAATTCAAAATTAACTGGTTTATTTACTTTTAGTTTTTCAGTCTGGCAACTTTATCTATGAGGAAGAATCCATTTTTTGTGTGTGCTAGTTTTGTTTTGTTTACTTTGTAGTCCTATGCAAACAGATACTATTGTAAAATAAAATCAAAATAAATTACTGAAAAATTAAAATTTAAAAAGACAAAATGCCAGGTCTGCTTTTAAAATTTAAACCCAGTAGACCTAAAATTTTTCTGTAGAATTACAATTAATGTTTCCAGATGCTTTCTCACCAGCACTGGTCCTTGCATCACACTTTTGAGTAGCAGTAATGAAGAAACAGCCACGCTGGAGGGAGTTTTGATTCAGGGAGGGGTGGAGAAGCCTTCAGGGAGGATGCTAGGAAAGTAAATTCCCATCTCACTCTTACACTTCACTTCTTCATCTCCTGCTGTTCTCCTTTGGCCAGAAGACCAGAGAGCCACGTGATATAGCAACACAGTGGTCATTTTTCTGGGAAGAGGAGTAAGGTAGAGGAGTATAGAGAATAAAATTTGAAAGAAAAGACTGAATGTATTTAGCATAGAAGCCCAAAGTTGCTGTCTGAAACTATGTAAGTTTCTGCCAAATGGAATATATCCATTTAGCAGACGCTATTATGATTATTAATAACTCACAGAGTCATTGTTTAAAGAAACTAACTTTTGTTTCACTGAAAGACAAAGCTAGAGGACTAAAGGGGTTGGATGTTTTTCCTTTACTGAGCAAGGAGATACATTGCCAGCATAAAATGTGATAGTTTTAGAATGTCAAGACTTGGGGTAACTATCATATATTAAGCAGTGCTATAGTCTAGATCCTTGATCAGAGACAGCTATTTAGAGAAAAAGTAGTAATGTCCATTATTAATGACAAGTGTCCGAGCGATTGGTGACCTACTATACATCAACCCTTAGAAGCATAATTGTGCATTTCATATATTTATATCCATTTACAAATGAATTATGTCAGTAGTGGGGTGGAAAATTAAGGGATACCATCATTTGAAATTCTTCCTTGTTCCATAAAAAACAATGGATGAGGATAAATTTGAGAAGAGCTTCAAAAAGATGAACGAGTTGAAACCAGCCCATAGATATATTGTGTTTGTTCTAAATTTGGTTGCCAACTAAACATCTAAAACACATACAAATGTATGACACTGCAGCCACACGCTAGCAAGAGGACAATCACCTGGCGTGTAATACCAGCTGCCCCCTTTAGTTTAAGAGACATGTGGACCCAACTGTTACATCTGATTTGTTTTAATTATGAATGTTATCTTTCTGAACCTGGACTCTTCTATTGTGATTATTGAAATTGAGCAAAAAGCACCCCTTCTCTTACTCTGGTTTATGTTTTGTATATTATTTTAACCACCTAGAATGGTAGCAGGGTGTGTGGAATGCAGGCATCGACGGAAGGATTAAATTCATTTAAGAGTAATTGTTTTCAAATTAGGCTATGCTTATAAATTATGTAAGAAACTTGTTAAAAATACAAAGTCCTAAGCCCCACAACCTACAAATTCTGATCAAATGGGTTCAGTAAAGAAAGCAAGAGTTTATTTTTAGTGGGTGTCCTATATATTTAGATCCAAGTGCCTTGAACCGTTGTCTGATCACAAGATTTTTGAAGTCTCATAGTACAAAATGCATTTATACCATTTCAACATGTGCTTTGCTTATGAGTACAACTGTTCTGGTGATGAAAGTCACTTTCTCTATCAAAGCACTTAGTGACCCTCAGTGCCCATTGTATTGTCATCTGCACTTCAGCGTTCAACCTGAATATGTCTAAGTTGGAAATCTTTAACGTGCTCCCGTCAAATTCAAAATACAACATAACAAAACAAAACAACTGTTGTTCTGCATTTCATTGGGTGGTACCAGTAGCCGCCACTTTTCCCAAGTCAGAATCACCTGGGTCATCCTCAGAAGTATCTTTTTTTTTTTTTTCTCACTCTGTCACCCAGGCTAGAGTGCAGTGGCACGATCTCGGCTCATTGCAACCTCTGCCCTCTGAGTTCAAGTGATTCTCCTGCTTCAGCCTCCCAAGTAGCTGGGATTACAGGCACCTGCCACCGCACCTGGCTAATTTTTTTTTTGTATTTTTAGTAGAGATGAGGTTTCACCATCTTGGCCAGGCTGGTCTTGAACTCCTGACCTCATGATCCACCTGCCTCAGCCTCCCAAAGTGCTGGGATTACAGGCGTCAGCCACCGTGCCCAGCCATCCTCAGCAGTATCTTTTGCCTACCTTCCAACACTTTACTAGGAACCAAATTTTCCTTAGACTCAGGCTAAGCGAATATTTCCAAGATAAAAACTCTAACACAAAAATGTTTTTAATCTTTCAACTGCTCTTAACTATTCTTCAGATAAAGGTTAAGCTCCTTATTTTGTACATAAATTTAATTTCCCAATGTTTTTCCAAATTTTGTGTGCCATACTTGAGCATTATTATACATTTGATAGTTTTCTTTACATCACCTCATCATTTAAAGTTTACATACACTTTTAGCCCCAAAATAAGCATTAAAAACTCCTCAAAAATTATGTTAATTGCTTTTTGTATTAAAATAAATCTATTTTGGGTTTATTGGGGTTTCTCCTAGAATTATCTTGTATATGTGTTATATTTGAAAGTGTAAGAATAGTTTAACATTTTGCCTTTTCTCAGACTTCTTTCTCCTCCTTTTTCCTCCTCCACCTTAATTGCATCATATCCTCTAGCCTTACTGAACTTCCTGACATTCTTTCATAATGCTAGAATATTTTAAAACTGAATCCTTTATTTAGGTATTGCTTCTTGACCAGCTGATTCACCTATCTCATGGACACTGACTAATTTTTCAAGACCCAGCAACTGGGTGGTATCCTACATAAACTCTCTTGACTTGCTTCATTCAAGTTAAGAGAGTAGATTTGACTTCTTGCCTTGCTTTGTCCACTTTTTAATACCGGTCCTTTTACATAGTTATCATGGAATCTGTAACAAACTTTTAGAGAAATATTTTGTCTATATGTCTCTAGAGGCACAACAAAATATAGCAGTGAAGACATTTGGATCTAGAGCCAAAATGTGTCATTCATTTCTCAGCTCTGACAATTAAAAGCTGTGTGAAATGGAGGAGTTATTTTATTGCTCATTCAGTTAAATCATCTCCAAATTATGGGACTTAACTTAATTTCATCAATTATGTAGCAATTATATATCAATAACACATGTAATAAATTTACCATAGTACCTAGTACATAATTTACTTAGTTTTGGTACCTAGTTCACTTATTACTTTGTTAATATAATGCTATAATCTACCTGGAAATTATATTTTGTATATTTTTATTGAATACCTAGAAACTCTCTAATTACAGAGTTTACAGGTACTTAGTTCATAAGAGAACAAAATAACGGTTCTCTTCAGTTAATATTTAGATAAGACGAAGTATCAATAGTCAGTATTTTAGTATTTTTATATTCACACATATCTGTGTATAAACTTTTTGAAAATTAATATCTGGTTTGCAATACAATATATACATCTAAATGTATCTCTAATTTCCTGAAGTTAGTTAGGGAGTGTCCATTTATTTTAACTTTCAGATGGACCTTTATTAAGTGATTGCCAAAGCTAAAATTTCAGAACAAGACATTAATTTTCCAAGATATAGACACACAGAGATACAGGTACACATTCATAGATGACTTTTTGATTAGGTTTTATGCATATATAGACATAGTATCAGATGACTCTGAATAAAGGGTTAGTTACTCTTACCAATAAAACATCTCCACTGCAATAATTCCGATTGGTTACTTAAATATGATGCTGTACGTATCTGTGTTATCAGTTTCAGGCTCAGTTTGTTGGTTGGTTTGTTTTTTTCCCTAAAAGATATTAAAAAATATGGTGAGAGACAGGGGTCCAGCTTCATTCTTATGCATATGACTATTCAATTTTCACAACACCATATATTGTATAGGGTGTCCTTTCCGCACTGTTTTTATTTTTGTCAGCTTTCCCACAGATCAGTTGGCTGTAGAGATACGGCTTTATTTCTGGGGTCTCTATTCTGTTCCATTTATCTATGTATCTATTTTTGTTCTCAAACCATGCTGTTTTGGTTACTATAGACTTGATCTGTGCTTGCAAAAAAAATGGTAATGTGATACGTCAACTAATGCAATGCCTCCAGCTTTGTTCTTTTTGCTTAGAATTAATTTGGCTTTTGGGCTTCTTTTTTTTTGGCTCCATAAGAATTTGTGGATGGTTACTCCTAATTCTGTGAAAACTGATGTTGGTAATTTGATAAGAATTGCATTGAATGGGTAGATTGCTTTGAACAATATGGACATTTTAATGATATTGATTTTCCAATCCATGAGTCTGGGATATTTCTCCATTTATTTGTGTTATTATTATTTATTTCATCAGTGCATTGTAGTTCTTTTACAGAGATCTTTCATATTTTTAGTTAAATGTATTCCCAGGTATTTTTATTTATTTAATTATTCATTTTTGTGGCCATTATAAATGAGATTGAGTTCTTGGTTTGGATCTCAGCTTGAATGCTATTGGTTTAGAGCAACTCTACTACATTTTTGTTCACTGGTATTATATCCTGAAACCTTACTGAAGTCATTGATCAAGTCTAGTAATCTTTCAGAGGAATCTTTAAGGTTTTCTAGATATAAGATCATGTCATCAGCAAAGAGAGATAATTTGCTTTCTTTTTTTCAATTTGGATGTGTTTTATTTTTGTCTCTTGCCTAGTTTCTCTGGCTAGGACTTCCAGGACTATGTTAATAGGGGTAGTGAGAGTGGAGAAGAATGAAGCGGACTCCTATCTGTCATTATATACAAAAATTAACTCAAAATGAATTAAAGACTTACAAAATGTAAGGCCTAAAACAATAAAAATCCTGGAGGAAACCTAGGGAAACTCTTCTGAACATTGACCTAAGCAAAGAATTTATGACTGATTTCAAAAGAAAATACAACAAAGACAAAAATGGACAAATGGGACTTAATTAAACTAAAAAGCTCCTGCAGAACAAAATAACTAATCAGTAGTATAAAGAGACAACCTACAGAATGGGAGAAAGTGTTTGCAAACCATGCATACAACAAAGGACTAATATTCAGAATCCATAAGCAACTCAAATAACTCTACAAGGTAAAAACAAATAATCCCATTAAAATGTGGGCAAAGGACATGAACAGACATTTCTCAAAAGACATACAGTGGCCAGCCAACAAAACAAACATATTAAAAAAGGCTCAGTATCACAAAACGTTAGAGAAATCCAAATTAAAGCACAATGAGATACCATTTTCTACAAGTCAGAATGACTTTTATTTAATAGTCAATAGACAACAGATGTTGATGAGAATGCAGATGAAAGAAAATACTTATCCACTGTTGTTGGAAATGTAGATTAGTGCAAACTCTATGAAAAACAACATGGAGGTTTCTCGAAGAACTAAAAATAGAGCCAGCATTCAACCTAGCAATCCCACTATTGAGGATCTACCCAAGGGAAATGAATTATTATATAAAAAATACACCTACACTCATATATTTATTGTGACACTATTCACAATAGTAAAAACATGGAATCAATCTAATTATCCATCAACAAATAATTGGATAAAGTGTGGTATAGTATATACACCCTAGAATACTATGCAGCCATAAAAAAGAATGAAATTATGTCTTTTACAGCAACATATATTGAGCTGGAGGCCATTATTCTAAGTGAAATAACTCAAAAGCAAAAAAATTACATATTGTATATTCTCACTTATATGTGGGAAATAAACAATGGGTACACAAAGGCATAAAGGTGGCAATGATAGACATGGGGATTCCAAAACAGCGGAGAGTGAGCATAGAGTGAGTGTTGAAAAATGACCTATTTGGTATAATGTTCATATTTTGTTTGATGTGTTCACTGGAAGTCCAAACTTTATCGTTTCATAGTTTATCCAGGTAACAAGGCTGCCCATGTACCCACAGAATATATAATTGAAAAAAAAAAACAAAATAAGCATAAAATAAGTTTGACCAAATTTAGTTGTGTGCTTTTCTTTTGTTTGTGGTCTACACAACTTCTCTTAATAACTTTTAAATGGGTATACTATTTAAATGTTGAAATTTGCACTTCACTGAATATGTGAGTTCAAATGGTCAGTAGTCATAACATCCTAATAACCTGACACTTGTTCTATAGTTAGCCCCGTCACTCTGAACTAATGAAGGTAAATTATAAAACAATAAATAAATAAGCAGCAATTGCCCTTGGGTGACATAAGTACTGCTTTTAATTACTTTAAAGCAAGGTTTTTAGAGCCAACAATATGAACTCATTGTTTGATAAACACACTGGAAAAACAAGAGCCCTCATTTTGGCATTTAATAAATTTATGAGGTTACATTAACTGAATACACAAGTCATACAAAGGCTGCTATAATGGAATTGTGTCATCCTGGGGATAACCATATAATGATAGCAATAACTCAATAGAAATTCAATGTAGTTCTTCAACTTGCTTGTCCTGCTGTGAGGCAGCATCAAATGCAATGACAGCTTTGATGAATGTATCTTATAAATTCTGATCCTGAATTCCAGTTGTTCATTCTTTAAAATACAATTATATTCACAAAAAATACATGTAAATATTTGCTTTAATGAAAATAGAACAGCTCTTATGGCAACACTCAATTTAGCTAATATGAATCAAGAACTGTACATGTTTTTGCATTTACTAACTCATTGCATGAAATTCTCCAAAACCCATGATTATGATGATGCAATATATACCATATTCAGGGAATAGTGACTAAGTAGGTTAGTAAGTAATGACTAAGTAAGTAAGGAAGGAATATCCTTACCAGGGATAAGAACCTTGGCTATGGATCATTCTGAGACATACCACCTTTTCACAAAATGTCCTTTGAAACCATGCTCTCATAATTTACTCCTGAGTAACAACAACCACAACAGAAAACGGGATGGTTATATAGTCAAGATAGTCATGGCTTGCTTCTTTACTTCCCTCAGACCTCTGCTGAAATACAAGATACTTATCAAGATAAGGCAAGATACTAAGATATAAGTTACTAAGATGTAAGATAAGGTAAGATACTAAGATGTAAAATACTAAGTTGTAAGATACAAGTTACTAAGATGTAAGAGGTAAGATACTAAGATGTAAGATACAAGACTTAGTGATAAGCCTTGTATTGAAAGTAAGGTTGTATAAAGGGACAACAAATTCTTGAGGACACCATTTTATGTCACTATTATTTTAATAGTTAGAAGTAACAATGGCTAGAAACTGAACATTAGAGAATATTATGGTAGGATTCTGTATGTAATATGTAGATATGTCCAATAAAAAGTTATTGGTAGATTGGATACAAGGTGTATAATAAAGATTTATTGCCTGAGAAACTAGAAAAAATGAATTACTATTCACTAAGATGCGGAAGGCAATAAGATGGGCAAAATTTATTTATTTTGTAAGAATCTATTGGATACAGGAATATGAATATTAGGGTATGTAATACTAGAGATTAGACAAAATGACTTAGAAAGTAAACAGTGGAAGGAAGTCCAACATTTAAGTTCATAAAGATGAGGAAGAATTGGTAAAAGAGATTAAGGAATAACAGCCACAGATCTAGATGTAGAATTAAAAAGAGGGTGATATACTGGAGGCCAAGCAAAGAAAGCATTTTACGAATGGAGTGTTCATCTTTGCCAACTGATCTCTCAATGAAGAGCTATATAGTTGGATGTGGAAGAGAATTGAAAACCGGGTTTGGCAATAAGCATTTCTTCAGTGTCCTAGAGAGGGCTTAATAGATGATGGGAAGAGAAAAACTGGAGAAGGTGAGTAAAAAATGACTTTCATTCAAAGGAAGCACATGAAATAAACTTACAGAGGATAGCCTGCTGATAACAAACTGGGCTCCTGAGGGCAGAGTGGAATGTTGGCTTGGAAATGGGCAGATTTAAAGTATTCCCATTATGAGTTTTCTACACTGAATAGATGTGCTTTCTTATATGATGGCTTGTATGGTTATAGCATTCTGGTTCTCTTGCCTAGATTTTACTTTCATGTATGAAAGAAACATCCAGTACAAAATTCATTCTGGTTATGTTACAATGAGACTTGTACTAACCACCAACTTGTTTTATAACAACTCCTTTTGGAAATTATCTCAACTGACTAGGTAATTCAGGAAACAATTAGTTTATTTAGTTATTTATGTAAGTAATTATTTGTAATCAATAGTGAGGAACCTTTATTTGAATGAAAAAGATTAGTGTGGATTTAATAAAGTATATTTAATAAGCATTGAGATTACTTGTCAAATATATGGCCCTACGTAAATATTTCAACCTCGAGATAGCAGCATTTATGCGGTGATCAATACACTGTTTTCTCTGCAGGTTTCCTTTATCTTCTTGCTCTGTGAAACCTGGTTGGCTCCTGTTAACACTGATTTGCCCCAAAGACCTTACAAGTGCGAGATGTTTTTTTCTGCCACTCTCCACTTATGCAAGGTCAATGTACTCCTTGTGTGCTGATGCTGATCAAACTCTTCTTTGTACTTCCTCAGAAGCTCAAGCTCTATGATATATATGCAGTCAGACTTTCCCACTTCTTCCTAGTTGCAGTTACTACTGACGCCCAGCCCACTCCTCCCATTTTTTTCATCACTTGACTCATTGTCTTCCTCCTCACTTGTCTGCCTATTCTTTGTTGGCTGTTTCAGTATCCAGGTAAATGTTAGATACACCCAAAACTCTGATCCCCCTGTTCATATACTCTTTAGCTCCAACAGTGATTTTTTTTTCTTTTCTTCTTTTTTTTGTATTTTTAATTTTACCTCAGCCACCATTTCCATAGTCTGGCACCAGAATTTGTTATCACAAAAATCTAAACCCATTTTCAAACATCCCACTCCCTATTCACCATCTCCATCTATCAGTTCATATGCTGCATTTTGTCTTAACCAAGAATTATCTGACTTATCAAAAGTTATTTTATTTTCTTGTTCATATTAATTATGTTTTAGTCTACTAATCACTTTCCTTCTTCTACATGTAACTTCAATGTTTCAACAACTTAATGTTCTTGTTGAGTTCCCTTAACTCGTTTACCTTTGTTTTCCAAATTACTTGCCTTAAAAAAATTCCAATTATGGCTTTACTAAGTTACCTTTGTATCACTTTCCTGGATCTGTATGTTTGAATATTGTAGGAAAAAAAAAAACTATGCAAGAGTGATGACTGAATTCCTTTCTAATTAGTGGTCAGGAATATAAAATACAAACTCAATAATGCCAGTCAATACTACCATTCTTCCCTATACATAAACCAATTCCTCCCTGTATTAGTCAGGGTTCTCTGGAGGGATAGAATTAATGGAATAGATGTATATATAAAGGGGAGTTTATTAAATAGTATTAACTCACATGATCACAAGGTCCCTCAATAGTCCATCTGCAAGCTGAGGAACAAGGAAGCCAGTCGGAGTCCCAAAGCCTAAGAACCTGGAGTTCGATGTTCGAGGTCAGGAAACATCAAGCACGGGAGTAAGATGTTGGCTGGGAGGCTAAGCCAGTCTAATCTCTCCACCTCTTCTGCCTGCTTTATTCTACCCATGCTGGTAGCTGATTGGATGGTGCCCACTCATATTGAGGGTTGATCTGCCTTTCCCAGTCCACTGACTCAAATGTTAATCTCCTTTGGCAATACCCTTACAGACACACCCAGAAACAATACTTTGCATCCTTCAATCCAATCAAGATGACATTCAATATTAACCATCATACTCTGTGTCAGGTAGCATACTCATAATTTCCTGAGTCAAATCCTTACTTACTTCCACTCCCTCTCATATGGTGACTCCAACATAAAAGTCATAAGAATATTGATGCCATATTGAGAGAAGTATCTCATTAACCCACCATCAGTTTTATCAACCTAGCTAAATTTGTGACCATATATTTTCTTCATGTTAAAGTGGAGGATACTTCCCTGTTTCCTTTAAGAGCTAAGCCCTCCCTCACTACCAATACCCCTTTTTCCTTTTACTCTTGCCTTTCGAATTAAGTTCTGGCAATATAATTCTTTTTTCTCTATATTACTATCTGTATCCTTAAGGAATGAATTCAAGTGCAGTTATTTTATCCACTCGGGGATAAAAAATAAAAATGATGTAAAAAAAAATCACGAAGAAACTTCTTTCATTTCCATATCTGATCCAAATGCTGCCCGATCCAAAAGTTTCTTGTCTGCTTTACAGAGTAACTTCTCAAAATGCAAGGTATCTGAAAGTAGATATGCTACAAAAAGCCCCCAAAATCTCTAAAGAGTAGACATATAGTATATCTATTACATTCTTTTTGAATAAACAACTGAAATGTTGGTTTTAAATTTAGAGGTGCCACAATTTAAAAGGTGTCTGGAAGCTAAAAACAATATTATAAGAAATAAAGTAATTAACAAGTTAAAATATTGGAAATTATTGGAAAATGTAACTAACATTTAAAGATAAGTTTATTCCATGCTTTCCACCTTTTTCGGACATACTAGTCTAAACTCATTCTTTTGTATTTTCTGCTTGTTCATGGCTATGCTTTTCTCATTTTATTCTGGTTGTATGTTTGTCTCTACAACCCCACTGTATTGCTATTAATTAAGGTGATCAAAGAGTGTTGATTAATTTCTCTTTTTCTTTTACTCTACCATTCAGTAGCTTTAGTTGTGATAGACTTGATCCTCTTTCTTATTAGTATTTACTATGTATTTTTTGTTTTGGGGAAATACCGTTTTCTAAAATTCCCCTTGATCTCACTGTCTATCTTTCTCAGCCTTATTTGCAGACTTCCTTTAAAAATATTAGAGTATTCCAGGGGTCTTACTTTGACAGTCTTCTGTTTTCACTTTCTATTCTCTTTCTATATGAACTTGCTCTTTTCTGTGCATCTAATCACCAACTACATACTGATATCTCCTAGATTGCTACTCCTAATTTAGACACCTTCTAATTGGTGATAAATCTTAGCTATCTGAAAGCCTTTCTCATCTTACTGTATGTCAACAAAATCTATTCTTTTGAATCAGACAAAAATCCAGGAATTATTTTAAATTCCTCCCTTTTCTTCATATACCATCAGTAAACATTTTGACTTTACTGCCAAAACATGGTCCGATGATTACTACTTTTCTTCAGCTTCTCTACAACCACCATCATAAGACCTCATCAGGACTACCTAAAACTCTAACTCATCTCACAGTCATTACTCTTGCGCTACTGCAATGCATCCACTATTGGACAGTCAGTGTGATTATTCTCAAGTACAGAGTAGATGACGTCAGTCTCCTTCAATAGTTGATCAAGACATTTGTAACAAAATTGAAAACTATAACCAAGCCTGAAAGTCCTGCAACATCTGTACCCTGCTTACTTGATCCATTTCTTACCAATCTTTTCTTTACTGCCTATGATACTTTCGTAATTTTTTAACCTCAGATATTCCAGATTTTTCTGTTAGATTTTCACTCTTGTTCATCCATACACTTCAAATGTTCTTTCTTTGATCTTAAGAATCCTGCTTTCTTCACATTTAGATTTATGCCCAAGTGTTGCTTCTTCAGGCCTTCTCTGAGCACTCAACAGCGTCCCCTGCAGTTCTCTAGAGTTTCTGTTCACTGCCCTGTTCTCTAGTACTCTGCTTCAAAAATACTGACTGGCTTACTCTCCCTAATCTCAGATATCTGTCTCCTTAATCCAGAGAGAACCCCAGGCTTGGTTTGAGTTTCCCCCACCGTACAGCATTCTGAAAACTGTTTATCAGTGATCCACAAGCAGAAGTAATTTTAGGACTTTGCTTAATTACCACCTCCCAACACTCAGAGAACACAGTCCTGCATTGCTTTTGCAATCTATCTGTAATTTTTTTGTGTAATAAATTTGTCTACTTTTTTTTAAAGCTTTAAGACAAGTCTGGTCTCTGTTGCTCTATCATGCTTAGAAACAGAAACTGAATGGTTTTAGACACACACTTCATTAAGGACATGTTGTTTCACATGGTTTCCTACTTAAAAAAAAAAAGAAAACAAATTCTAAGAAAAGAAATTTAGAAGAATTTGAATAGTTTGAGGTGTATTAGTTGCTTTATTCTATTGGTATAGTTTAATATTTTTGATATTGTTAGTATATTATGATATCAAACTGTCCTGTTCTTCCAGATTTGTGTAGGATGAAAATATAAACTGAGACTTTGTTTAACATCTAATTAATAAGGCATAAACACCACCTAATTATATGATTTATCAACTTTCCTCTCAGACAGGTAGAAATACTTGGCCTAAGAAGAAACTCTTTCATCTTTTTTTGCTTCTTATTTTCTTTGCAGTTTTACTGTTGACATAAAAAATTACCATGTGTTATGATCTTAAAAGCCTGTCAGGAGGGGAGAACAAAATTTCCATCGATTCTTAAATGTAGAAATCTACCTGTAAAAAAGACAGTTTTTTTTTATAGTGGGAGAGATGTGATTTTCCCAAGTATGTGTGTATGTGTGCATATGTATGTGTGTGTGTGTCTGTGTGTTCATAATTTTCCACATAGTTAATTTGCGTTTGTTTAAAAATTTTAGAAATAGTAATTTATAAATCTAATCTATTTGAGTTATATATCTTATATCATGAAATTCGATGAAAGCAGGACTTTAACATGATAATTTTAATGACTATTCTTACAGACTTTATCTTCCAAATTTATTTATAATAAGGCTGCAAATGTGGCTTTATATATTTATTAAGATAAATGTACATACATAAAATACACATACATTCATAAAAAGTAAATTTCATGTGTGTGGACTGGTTTATATACAGTGGCAAAGTTTGCAAACACAGTAAATATTTATATTTTGATAATAAAATGATTAACATGCCAGTTATAAAAATATGCTTTATCCTCTGATTTTCTTTTTGAATTTCATAAGAAAGTTATGCTTATTTGAGATGGATTGATAATTTGTAATCAACTACAGATTAAACAATTTCTTATAATCTCTTATTCACCAATCCATAATAATCACAGTTATATATGTTGAAAATAAATTGGATTCTAGATGGTGATATTTTATATAAAAATTGTCAACATGCCAAGAATTGACTAAGACCAAAGCACACTAGAATATGGTGATTATGGGTTAAAGAAAGTGAACAACTTCCCAAAGCACAAAGGAATTTCAGTATAAGAAAGACCTCTATTGAAAGGAAACAAGGAACGGAAGTGTTCATGACAACAATGGAAGTTATCCATACATTATTTCCAGGGTTCAGAGAGGAAGAAAACCCTCAAAATAAGCATTTAAGTGCTCAGGAAATATGCTCAGATACTACTCTCCTAGGTTCCCTACTGCAGACAAGTAATGCAGAATAGGTGAGCAAGCACAGGATGTGTAGCCATTTACCTTTAGATGCCTTCATGATTCCACTGGTGGTATTAAGAGAGCATAAGATTTCTACAATTAAGGGAGAACTATGAATAACAAGGTAATCCAATGATTCTAAGATGAGAAGGAGCCTGTACATTTCAACAAATCAGGTTTCTTGATGATATATAAAGTTGTTTCCTAAGTCAAGTGGTGAAAAAAGTTGACTTGCCATAACTATCAATGCCATCCTCTTTAAAGAACCTAAGGAGGCTGGGTGTGGTGGCTCATGCCTGTAATCCCAGCATTTTGGGCAGATCATGTGAGGTCAGGAGTTCAAGACCAGCCTGGCCAACATGATGAAACCCTGTCTCTACTAAAAATACAAAAATGAGCTGGGTGTGGTGGCAGGCGCCTGTATTCCCAGCTACTCGGGAGGCTGAGGCATGAGGATTGCTTGCACCCAGGAGGCAGAGGTTGCAGTGAGCTGAGATCGCACCACTGCATTCCAGCCTGGGTGACAGAGCGAAACTCTGTCCCAAAAATAAAAATAAAAATAAAATAAAACATAAAGACTCTAAGGGATGTTTGGGGATAATAACTATTGTGAGGAGATCCCTTTTAGTAAAAGAAAAAACGTAATACATTCTCATTTCAAGGCTATAGGTACATTGAACAATTGATTCAACTTTCTTCTTTAAAAAACATGATCAAACATTCATCTATTTGACAGCCATAGAATTTTTCAAAACTATTATACAGTACTTTTATTAAGAGGCACTTATAGCTTATTGACTGTTTAAAGTTACATTTAATTTTTATTAGCAATTTACCAATGCAGTTATTGAAAATTTTTACTTAATCAGATATGAAACAGTTTTTAAAACCTTAAGAGGTGGTATTGAGAAAAAAAAAACTTAAAAAAAAAAACTCAATGTAATTACCAAAAGGAGAATTATACAGGTAACAATCGATCAATCACACAATCCACCCTATACCACATACACCATACCAATAATTCAGATTATCTGATCTACCTGCCAGAAGTTAGCACTTGAGCCTCATTTTACTCTGCTGTCCTGCTTAGCTGAGTCCTAGCTGGTCGATTACTGCTTTTCTCCCTTTGTATCCTGTGATTTTGAGGTTCCTGGGTGTCTGTATCAGTATGTACAGCTTTCTAATGATCTTGGATTTCATCTCTTTAATTTTCCTTATCTTTTTCATTGCCATTTTCTAGGTTGTGTCTGAGGAAAAGGACCTCTGCAGAATTGTATTTTATAACCCCAATGCGTATTTTCCATCTGTCCAGTTCCCTTTGTTCCCTGCACCCTGGGCACCACCATTGTCTATCACTTTCCCCGAAAACAGGCTTGGAATAATGGGTATTCCCATGCAGAAGATGGGGCACCATTTGCTGAAGCTGGAAGCATTTGTTACTTCTGTGTCTTGACCTTGCTGCAAATCTTTGTGATCATAGGACCAGGGACACTTTTCACATCCAATTCCCCTAGAAGTTTTTTCCTACAATACAAAGTTAAAAAGTGCTATTGAATTCTATTTAATAATTCTGTATTTAAATTTTTTATTTCTATTCATAAGTGAAATTGGCCTGTAATTGTAATATACTGTATCATCTTTTTCAGGTCTTGAAGTCATTTTCTCACCTTCTTTTTAAAAATTACTTCAGAAGTTTCCTTAAAGTTTTTCTTTTTGAAAACAGAATAGAGAATATTTTTTTTTTCTATTCTTGGATATTGTTTAAAATAAATTTAGGACTCTCTGTTTCTAAAAGCCCCCTGTGAATTCATATAGATCTGGGAAATTTTTGTAACGGGCCTTTTTTTTTTTTTCCCTTGAGTAATCTCTCTATTTTCTAAGGAAAGTAGTAATTTAAATTTTCTTAACTAAGGTCAATTTCTTCTTTGTCACTGTGCTAAAAACTGCCTCTTCATTTACTTTTGATATGCTACTTATACACAGTTTATTTTTTTGTAAAATTACCAGTGTGATTCAGGTTTCAAAATACATTTGCAAAAATGATTTTTAATAAATTGTCTTCATTTATTGTTTTGGTATTTGTGTTTTCTCTTTTTTAAAAAATCAGGTTATTTAATCCTGTATTTTTGCTGTTTTTCAAGGCATACTTTATTTATTTTGTTACTTTTTTTCTAACACAGTAAGTTTGGCTTATATCTCTATTGATTTTTTTGATGTTCTTTATTTTAGGTTGTTTCATTGTTTTAGTTTTATCTTTTTGGAAGCAGGTGTCAATTTCATTTATGATTTATTGATAGCTGTGTTAAGGCTATGAACTTTTCTCTGAACATAGCTTTGGTTATGTTGTATAGAGTTTGATACATCAAGATATCATTGTGAATTTATAACAATTCTTCAATTTCTGTGTATATTTCACCTTTGACCCCATATATTTTTAAATCATATTTTGTAGTGGTGGTTGTTTGTTTTATGTTTCCTGGTAGAAGAGGCAATTGGTTTTTTGACATTACTATTAATTTTTGACTTAATTTCATTGTGGCCAAATTAACATGTGTGTACAATTAGTGGTATATATTCTGAGTTAAGATTGTCCTTGTTTTAATGTGTGGTTAGCTTTTATAAATGTTGTATGAGTTTTTGAAAATAAACTGTATTCCTTAGTATTGGAACTCAGAGTTAAAAGTACCATATTGCATGCACTTTTCAGTTCCTCTATAGCCTTACTGATTTATTGCCTTCTTCATCTACCTGAGCAAGACAGACACATTAAAGTCTCATGCTTGTTATGCGCTTCCTTCTGTTTCCCCTTTGGTGTCCTATAGATTCTTAGTTTGACAAGAGGCTGGTGAGTTGAAGGGATTTAAAGAAGAAAGGTAAATAATGCCTTCCAAATGAGAGTCACATCGGAGCCATAGTCAAGGACCAGGTCATGTGAGGCTTTGTGAAACATGATTAAGAGTTTTGGATTTTGTTTTAAGGCAAATGAAGTCTTTGAGGCATGTTTAATGGGCAGTGACAGGATCTCTTGACTTGTGTGATTTTGCTGTTGTGTGGATAATGCAATGGGAAGAAGGGGGAAAGAAGCAGGAACAGTTAGGGGCTGTGGCAGTGATCACCCATATTAATGTGGTGGCATTAAAACTGGAGAGAAAGGCAAGGATTCAAAGTGGGGTCAAGCTCTAGTTTCTCAGAGCATAGCGTTTACAAGAAAGTGATGCTAACTAATGTAGATTTAGGGTCATTCTCAGGAAAGAATGTGTACTCTATGCCTATATTTGTGACTGTAGGACCTATTCTAACTGGAATAGTCATGGACTATGTCTTTTTCAAGGTATATTTATGGATTCTCAAAAGTGCTCTAATGTGAATGACAAATTATACGGCAAAATCTTCTCATATGGATGGAGACCCTTTGGGGTTTATATGGCCAAATCTTTTCATATGGATGGAAACCCTTTAGGGTGGGAGCCAAGGAGTTGAAGGTTATTGTAAATTGGGGTATGGATGACATGCCCGATTTTGAAAGATAATCACTCTTGGTTTAATGCTGATGATTTAGCATACATATTAAAAATACTTAGTAGAAAGATACTACATATCCAATCTAAGCAATATCTATCACAAAGCAGGAAAGCTATTTTCATAACAAAAATATACACTACTAAAAACTATGTATGCTTTTCTAAGCTAAAAACATGAATAAATATATTTTTGCAATAAAATACATGTCATTTGTTTTCTTTAGATGTCCACTTTATATTTATTTTATAATTTACTGTGCTTTAGTGCACTAATAATGATAACTAACACTTCTATATGGTTTTCGTAGCTTATCCTTTTCTAAGTACTTTACATAATAATTCATTTAATCTTTACAAACCTTTGAGGAAATACCACTTTAAATGAATAATTATCCTTTTAATAAGTGAGATTTCAAAATTAATGAACAGATATGGTTATGATATTTAATGTGACCTCATGAAATAAATTAATAAACGTAGAGCTATAAAAATTAGGCTTTCTGATTTTAAAAAAATCATTTTCCCTTCCCTTCCTTCTTTCCTTCCTTCCCTCCTTCCTTCTTTCCTTCTTTCCTTCCTTCCTTCCTTCCTTCCTTCTGAGACAGCACCTCTCTGTCAGCCAAGATGGAGTGAGTGGCGTCATCACAGCTCACTGCAGCCCTAACCTACGAGGCTCAATGAATCCTTCCAGGAATATAGGCATGCACCATGAGGCCTGGCTAATATTTTTTTGTATGTTTTGCAGAGACGGTGTTTTGTAGAGACTTCATTTTTTTTTTTGTAGAGACTTTATTTTGTTTAACTATTCTTTTACTCAGAAGTATATTTTTAAGATAGCTCCTGTTGCCCAGGAGCTCAAGCCAGCCTAGGCAACATGAAAACAACCCATCTCTACAAAAAATAGGCTCCCCTCTGCACCTGTCTCCACCTCTCAAAATGCTGGGATTACAGACATAAGCCACAGCACCTGGCTACATTTCCTAGTTCTTTATGTCTTAAATCATTAATGTATTTGCCTTTTTATTCTATAATTTAATCCAACAAGAAATATATACATAAAAGATCAAATATTAATTTTAAATTTTAGTTAGACATACCATTTTTAAACACTAATTTGAACCATATATGCAAAGAGTTGAGTTAATCACCCTCCACTCTTCATGCCACACTATCATTGATACTTGATCAACTTTTTTTAATGTATCTTTTCTCCATGTTTTGTTTCCCATTCTCTTACCCTTACGAGAAAACATGGATTTATTTTTATTTGTACATTACCATAAAACTTGTATTATTATTTTCTCTAAGTAAATTGAATTTATAGAGATGTATTCCAGACTTCATTTTGTTTAACTATTCTTTTTCAGGATTACATTTTTAAGATAATATCGTATTATAGCTGAAGTATGTGTGTAACAGCTAGTGCTTCTAGATGGGATATAATCAACTTGCAACCAAGTGGCCAGCTGGTCTCCTTAAACAATGATGTTCTGTTACGCACTCACTTTGTCGTCTGTGGCTGGCAGGTTGGACATTTCAATGTGACAGTAGCTAGATTAGGCTTGGTAAGTAGGAGTCTATTATGCTGTGCCAATGAGCAGCCTCTGTCTCTGCCACTGCAGCCACTATGTTTATGCACTCGTGTGGCAATTTTGCCATGGCTGGTGTAAAAAACTGGCTAAAGATAACAGGCCAGACTTTTTAGCTACTTTGTTGTTTAGGGCCTCTTCCTAAACATGGAAGATGTCCTATGGGGAGTACTAATATCCGATAAAAATCACCACACTTTGTGTCTACTGCCATGTGTCCATTTACATGCCTCTGTCACTAGAACTCATTATTTCTGATCTTACAACCTTTATCTTTCACATTTGACCAGCTGGTCAGGAAATTAACCATGGTGCATAAGCTATATATAATAACATCAAATAACTCATCTTCTCACCCATAGTGACAGATCAGGTGCACTGCCTGAAGCTCTAGGCATTGAGAGCATTTTCTCTTATGGTTGTGCTTAAAGGCAACCTCTGTAGTGCTTGCATAGTACAGACGCATTTCACTTTTTATCTTACACCACCTACAAAGCTAACCCACATGTGAACCAAAGCTCCTCCTTCAGCTAGCTGTACAGATTTTCTATACAGTTACGGTTGCAAGCTGAGAAGAATAGTGGTGGGTGACAGAGCAGTGAGGGATATCTATTCATGCAGCTTTCTTGTGCACTCTGATCCTGCTTGTGCTTAATCCCAGTGGGTGTACTTCTTCCATAAGAAGTAGGAAACTATATGAGCCTTGATGAGTTGGGTTATTGTCGGTCACATCCAACCTTATGACTCGGTGAGCATAGTAGCTTTCTATTGTTGTCATAAGAAATCCCCAGAAACTAAGTGGCCTAAATAACACATTTTTTTGTTGTTTGTTCATTGATGCATAACATTTGTACATATTTAAGGGGTATTTGTGATAGTTTGATACATGCATACAATGTGGTATAATTCCATATGCTTTATTGGCTCTTGCTGAAATGGCTGAAGGACAACACCCTTAAACTCCCTAGATGCTCTGTAATTTTATTGAGAGGATGGGATAATCACATTGTGGATCATATTAAAGAGCCTTTGTGTGTCTGAATACTTTAAACTTTTAATCTTTCTGAGGTATTAGCAGAGGTTTTATAGGCACGTCCTTGGCTTTTTCTTCTAAAGCACATTTCATGATAGTGAAATGTAGCATATTTTGCAATATGGATAGACTGATAATTTCCCAAATCTTCCAGCCTTGGTTTCTTTCTTTCTTTTCTTTTTTTTTTTTTTCTTGAGACAGAGTCTCGCTCTGCCACCCAGGCTGGAGTGCAGTGTTTCTTTTAATTAAACAGTTCATCCCTTAATTTATCTCTTTCCTTTTGCATTTTACTATAAGTGGCATAAAGAAACCAGGCTGAACCTTCAACACTTTCCTCAAACATTTTCTCAGCTTACTGTTCATTTTTGCCATTTACAAGTTTTGGTTTTCAAATGACTGCAGGAAACAATTACACTAAGCTTTCTGCCATTATGAAACAACAATCCTTTTTGTTCCAATTTCTAGTTGCATGTTCCTCTTTTTCTTTCTCTAAGCCCTCACCAACAGTGACTTTAATGTTTGTACTTTTACTCATATTTTGTTCACAAAAATTTAGGTAGTGTTGTTCCTCAGTCATAGCAGGGGATTGGTTCCAGGACCCCACACAGATACTTAAATCTGTTAATGCTCAAGTACTCTACATAAAATGGTGTAGTATTTGCATATAACCTATGCATATCTTCCTGTATACAGTAATAATCTCTAGACTACTTATAATACTTGATACAATGTAAATGCTATGTAAATAGTTGTTATACTGTATTATTCTATTTGTTTTATTTTTATTGTCATATTGTTATTTTTAACTTTTTAAAAATATTTTAAATCTGGTGTTGGTTGAATTATGGATGTGGGTCCCTTGGATATGCAGGGCTGACTGTATTCTCTAAGAAGATTTATGTTGCCCTTACCATGTTCCTCACTTCTGCCTGAGTACTCACTGGTAGAATTGTTAACATCCCTGTTTCTACTAACAGGATATTTAAGGTAATCTGTGCTTTCTCTGTCCTTCTTCTCAAAATTCACCCAGCCTCTACTTACTGCCAATTTCAGAATTACTTCTACAATTTTAGGTATTTGGTACAGCAGCACTCCATCCCCACATGAAAATCTTTCTTTAATTTTCACTGTTGCCATAACAAAGTACTACAAACTCAGTAGCATAAAACAAAACAAATGTGATATCTTACATTTTAGCAGGTCAGAATTCTGACAAGAGCTAAAATCAAGCTGCCATCAGGGCTGCATTCTATCTGAAGGCTGTAAAGGATTATTTGTACTCTTGCCTTTTCTGGCTTTAGAGGCCTCCCATGCTTTTTTGCTCCTGACCATCTTCTCTATCCTCAGTGCACTGAGGTCACAACTCACTGAGCATTGTTCCAACATAATATGTCATTCTGGCCACAGCCTGGAAAGGTCCTGCACTTTTGGGAACTCATGATTAGATTGGGCCCACTACGATATTTTAGGATAGTGTCCCCATCTCAAGTTCTGTAATTGAAACCATATATGTGAAATCCCTTTATCTACATAAGGAAAAACATTCACAGGTACCAAAGTTACGGCATGAACATCTTTGGGTGGGTGGGTGGGGCACTATTCTGCATACCACCATGGGTCAATCAGGACCAGATTTTAATGATCAAATCTAGCTCCATGGTCGTTTGGTGTCCTGTGTGTTTTGTATTTACGAGGACCTAGTAATATATCAAAAAACCCATTTGCCTTCTGCCATGATTGTGTGTTTCCTGAGGCCTCTCCAGCCATACTGAACTCTGAGTCAGTTAAACTTCTTTCCTTCTTAAATTACACAATCTTGGGCAGTTCTTTATAGCAGTATGAAAACAGGCTAATACAAGTCCCAACCCTCAGTACCCCAGATATGACTGTATTTAGAGATAGGGTCTATAAAGAGATAATTAAGTTAAAATGAGGTCCTGAGGGTTAAGTCCTAATCCTACATGACTGATGTCCTTATAATGAGAGAATATTTCGATATAGACAGATAACAGATACAGAAGGAAGGTCCTCTGAAGGCCCAGAGAGAAGATTGCCATCTACAAACCACAAAGAAAGGCTTCAGAAGAAACCAACCCTACCAACATTGTCATCTCTGTCTTCTAGCCTAAGGAAATGTGAGGAAATAAATTTCTGTTGTTTAAACAACCCAGTTAGTGAGGTTTTGTTTCATCACTCCTAGTAAACTAATACACCAGGAATGAAATGCTTGAATTTCATCAGAATCTCCTTCAATTCATACAACATATATTTTTTCTTTTATTTTTGACCTCGAAGATATATTTGCTTCTTATTTGACTTAAGTAGCACTTTGAAGAAGTGGATCTAAACATTGATTCTTACATCTGGAATCTAAACTGAACTTTTTTTTCTCCCCTCTTATCGTTGGATTACTCCATTTAAAACATAGCCTGTTGAGGCCGGGCGCAGTGGCTCACGCCTGTAATCCCAGCACTTTGGGGAGCCGAGGCGGGTGGATCACGAAGTCAGGAGTTCCAGATAAGTCTGGTCAACACAGTGAAACCCCATCTCTACTAAAAATACAAAATATTAGCCGGGTGTGGTGGTGCACGCCTGTAATCCCAGCTACTTGGGAGGCTGAGGCAGGAGAATCGCTTGAACCTGGGAGGTGGAGGTTGCAGTTAACCGAGATTATGCCATTGCACTCCAGCCCAGGTGACAGTGTGAGATTCCGTCTCAAAAAAAAAAAAAAAAAAAAAAAAAATATATATATATATATATATAGCCTGTTGAAATGTTGAGGGAAGAAAGGCCAGAGACATTTCATGTAAACAGTATAAAGATATGATATTTGTATTGCCGTGAATTACTTGTTAGTCAGCAAGTAATTTATCAGCACCATGCAACTTAGAGAAAGAGTACATGCCACGATGGAATTACACCTTAATTAACCAGATGATGTAAAGAAATTACATGTTAACATAGCCTTTTTCAATGACTATTTAAAATGGATACATAATGTGTGTGTGTATCTCAAAACACTATAGTCCTATAGAGATAAATGTATTAATATAGGTAAAATTAGAACTCACCTAAAATATTGGGCCCTGAAAATATACTGGGACAATAGGATCTTTAGGGGTTATCTATTTTCTAGAAGTTAAAAAAATTGTTTTACATTTAAATCATGCACACAAACTAAACTTTCATCTTTTTAAAACCTCATTTTAGATAGACTCTATTTTTCTTGTGAATCATGAAGCATAATTATCTAACTCCCTGAATCTAGTACATGAGGGCTTGCTATACAGACTCGCCCATGTGAGAAGTAGCTCAATCATAAAACAGCACTTGTTTTTTAGAACAGGCACTTTTATAACTCTTAAATTATAAAGTGTTATTTGAAACCCCTCTCCATGGTACATATAACAAATGGTTCATCTCTCCTGATTTGCATTCACAGAGGTTTCTTAATGGTAAGAGGTTTCTGTTTTTCTTGGTGGGAGGTGTTACCCTTTGAGTGTGTACCCAAAGAATTTTGTTTGCACTACAAAAACTACATATCCAAAATATATCTTCCCAATTTGATGAAAATATGTTCAACTTTATTTAAAGTATGCCTGTAACAAATAAAAGGGCCTAATTTTATTTGTATATATTTCCACTTTCAACATTTATAAAATTTTATTCTGAGAGATGTCAACTTTTGAAGAACTGGCTCGCGGTTATTGGTAGTACATTCTGCTTTGTGTTATCTGTGTGCAATGATGTGGAAAACAGATATGAAATTGCCAACAGGATTTATTATATTGACTATCCACCCATAATCAAGACTTAAAATCAAAGCACACTGAGTCAAGGGGTATGCATTTTACCTTTAATACCTGTAAGAAATAGAGACAATTAACTCCCCCACTTTTTTTTTAACCAGTACTTTTTTTTTACAATAAACCATGAAGGATATATAAAATCGTCCTGTGTGTTGAAATGGATACTCAGCATATCTTGTTCTTGATGGCAATTTACAAAAATAAATATCTATGTGGGTAGGTAAGTGAATGCATTTGTAAATAATAAAATTATTTAAATAAACTGCAATCAGAATTGGTGTTGCTGTTTAATTTTATGTATGTCTTTAAGTTTCACAGGATAATTGAGATTCATTTATCTCTAACAAACGGTGTGATACAATGTCACCATTAGAATTGGGCAAAATAGATAAATAGGTTTGTTTATTTTAAAGTTCAAGTAAAATGACTTCTAGATCTTGTCTTCTAAGATTAAGATCTTACTGTCCACAAGATGGAAAAATGATAGATAACAGTAGCACTGATTCTCATAATTTTTAATAGTTTCTTTCACGGAATACCCTTTAACAAGAGAAATACAATAATAATTACAGTTACTCATGAAGGATTTTAGAAATGGTAAAAGGGCCAGCTTGAAAGCTCCTGTTTTTCATCTCCACAGAGAAACTGTACTCTTTCATTTCTGTTGTACTAGAGTATAAGAAATCAATGACAGGTACATCTCTCTTCGGAATAACTTTTATAACCTTCTCTCAAAAAAAGGTCTCTATTTTCTGCATGCTACCCACAGTTCACTGACTTTGAACTAGTCATGTCCAAACCCCGGCCCAAATAGGTTGTTTCCACTATCTTTGGTGGAAGAATCCCGAGATTTCTTTGCTGAGGTATTTTCAGTTGCTGTTCTCATAATAAAGGTGACTTTTTAGAGGCCAGCCATGTTACTCATCAAATGAAGTTCAGTGCTTACTTATTTTCTTTGTTAACCTTTTGAAGGTCATATTGGTTTACTAGTGTATATTTAAAAAAAAAAGTTGCCTACAAATTGATTCTTCTATCCATGTATTTTATTACTTTAGGATTCTTACATAATTATATTTTTTAGTCTTTTGTTATTTCTGCAAATGAGGGAATTTCCCCTTTAGGGAATAGCAGTGCTTTCAGTCATGACTCTAACTAGAAACAAAATAGATTCTATTACTGTATTATTTAGCTGATTTAAATAGTTGACACTAAAATACTTAAAATCTGAAGACGATGCTGATTTCTTGCTGCTGTCAAAGCTTGCAGGGGTCCAGGCTATTTATTTTTTTTGTCTTTCATTAACTAGTTAATTCACAAAACCTTTATAAAGTCCCCACAGTGTATCAAAAACTATATAGTGTATTATAGTAGCTGTAAGAACTGAGAGACTCATGATCTCATAAACTCATTATCTATTAATAGGAAGATAAAGAGGGTAAACATAAGTAAGTTCAGAAAATGGAATATTAGCAGAAGAGACAGGCCGGGGAAACTAAAATATGATCACTAGTCAGAGGAGGACATAAGGGAGTTTCCTTATTTTTTTCCTCTTAAGTTTAAGAAACCAGGATAGGAATTGAGACAATGACACTTGGGCACAGTGTTTCAAAAAGAGGGAACAGTAGTAATACCCTGAGACATGAGCACACTGGCGTATTTGAGTAACTGGAAGTAGTGTGTCGTGACAGTGTGGTGGATGAGCTCAGAGTTTTGACTGGAACTTGGAATGTGCAGAAAATATTAGGCCATTGAAAACCACTGGCTTTCCTCTGAATCAGATGAGGAGCCACTGGAGAGTATTTAGCAGAGCAGTGACTCGATCTCATTGACACGTTCAAAGAATCACTTTGGCTGCTGTGTTTCAGTGAGACTATGGAAGGCAATAATGACAGCAGGAGGCTGTCACTGTAACCTGGCTGAGAAAGGAGGCTATCACTCTTACCTGGGTGAGAGCTAATGGTGCCTTGGAGAATAGTGGGAGTGTGTGTGATAGTGGGAAATTTTCAGGTTCTATCTATGTTTTGGAAAAAATTGAGTAATTAAAACCATTTTTGCTGATGTTTCAGACGTGGGATTCAAATAAAATATTTCAAGGATAAATCAAGTTTTTTTTATTGATTGTGTGTGTTTTTTCCCCGGATGGGCTAGAATGATCAAGTACAATGATAAGGAAGACTGTGTGTGGGTGAAACAGGTTCTACTAGAATAATAAGCAGTTCTATTTTGAGCATTTCAACTTTGAGATGTTCCAAGTAAAGATATCAAGTATGCAGTTATATATAGTGTTATCAAGTTTAGTGGACAAATCTGAATCAGAGATATAAATTTACTTGTCATCAGTATGCAGATGGCAATTGAAATTGTGAAACCAGAAGAAATCACTGAAGAAGTGTAGATAAAAGCTTAAAAAATGATCCATAAGATGCTCTAAAATTATGAAATTGGTGAAAATTGGATTTAACAAAACTGATAAAGTATTACTAGAGTCATACAAAAAAAATCAGCAAGTGTGATATACAGAAGGCAAGTGAAAGAAACACTTCTAAGATGAAGATGTTATTAGCCTTGGCTTGTGCTCTGAGGTGATGAAAATGGGACAGTATATATCAATGTTTTTTCTCCCAAGAATATAAAATCCTATCTATTATGAAAAAAACATGAACTAGATTCCAATACAGAGATACTCCACAAAATGTCTGACCAATACTCACTAAAACTGTCAAGATCGGCCTGGCATGGTGGCTCATGCCTATAATCCCAGCACTTTGGGAGGCCGAGGCAGGTGGATCACTTGAGGTCCGGAGTTCGAGACCAGTCTGGCCAACATGGTAAAACCCCGTCTCTACTAAAAATACAAAAATTACCTGGTGTTGTGGCGCATGCCTGTAGTCCCAGCTACTCCGGAGCCTGAGACAGGAGAATCGCTTGAGCCCAGGAGGCGGAAGTTGCAGAGAGCTAAGATCATGCCACTGCACTCCAGCCTGAATGAAAGTAGTATTCTGAATGAGATCCTGGAACAGAAAAGGGCACGAGGTAACAAGGAAATCTGAGTTAAGAATGGACTTTAGGGGGCTGGGCACGGTGGCTCAAGCCTGTAATCCCAGTACTTTGGGAAGCTGAGGCGGGTGGATCACGAGGTCAGGAGATTGAGACCATCCTGGCGAACACAGTGAAACCCCGTCTCTACTAAAAATACAAAAAAAAAAATTAGCCGGGCGTGGTGGCAGACGCCTGTAGTCCCAGCTACTTGGGAGGCTGAGGCAGGAGAATGGCGTGAACTCAGGAGGCAGAGCTTGCAGTGAGCTGCACTCCAGCCTGGAGTGACAGAGCCAGACTCCGTCTCAAAAAAACAAACAAACAAACAAACAAAAAAAGAATGGACTTTGGTTCATAACAACAGGTAAATATTGGTTCATTATTTGTACAAATGTACCACACTGAGGTAATATATTAGTAATATGGGAAACTGGGGCATACTCTCCATACTATCTTCATAATTTTTTTTTAAATCTAAAACTGTTCTAAAATACAAATTTTATTTAAAATGTTTATTAGAAGTATTATTAGGACCTTTCAAAATATTAAATAACTTTCTCCTCGTCCTGCTTTACTAAGATTTTAAAAATATGAATGTGTGATGAAAGCTATCATATATTTTCCACATATATTTATATAAACCATCTATTTTCCCATTTAATGTGACAAACTATAAGGAAAATTATATTTAAAGATTTTCCAAAGTTAAAATGTTTTAATTAGTTCTGATAGTATAGAACAAGCTGCAGTAAAAAGCAAAAACAAACACAAAAGCAAACTAACTCCCAATCTCAGTGACTTCAACATCAAAGGATCATACCTGTCTTGAACCACAGGTTGAACTTCAATAGGCAGTCTGATACAGGACACCCTCACACCAGGGACCCATCTGAAGGAACTTCTATCATCTAGATGTCCCTGGACACTGAAAAAAGAGAAATATGATCAAAGACACAGAAACACATTTTTGAAGGATATTTTTTGTTGGGTCTTTTATTCTGTTGTGTCTATAGTTTAGTCTCTGTAGTAAATTTTTAATCTCAGGTATTATATTGTTACACTTTGGAAATTTAATCTAGCTTTCTTATCATTAGGTTTATGTTTTTCCCTTGAGGTAGTTGCTGACTTTTAAAATGGTATCTCCTATAGTTTGGATCTGTGTCCCCGCTCAAATCTTATGTTGAATTGCAATCCTCAATGTTGGAGGTAGGGTCTGGTGGGAGATACGTGGTTCATGGGTGAGGATCCCTCATGGCTTGGTGCTGTCCTTGTGACAGTGAGTGAGTTTTCGCCAAGATCTGGTTGTTTAAAAGTGTGTGGTACCCTCCCCCGGAACCTTTGGAACCTTTTGCTCAAGCTGTGCCATGTGAGATGCTTGCTCCTACTTCACATTCTGCCATGAGTAAAAGCTTCCTGAGGCCTCCCCAGAAGCCAAGCAGGTGACTGCACCATGCTTCCTGTACAGCCTGCAGAACCGTGAGCCAATTAAACCTCTTTTCTTCCAGAACTACCTAGTCTCAGGTATTTCTTTATAGTAATGCAAGAACAGACCAATATGGTGTTTGATAGGCTGAGAAACTGCTAAGAGCTTTTGGTCGACTCATGAAGCCAAAGAGAAGAATGGTACAAACTGAAGTTCAATGCTTCAAGAAGGAAGAGTCTAGAAATATCCCAGTCATTCAGTCAGGATTCCTAAGGGATATATGCTAGGAGTACAGGGGAAGTGGAATTTGACTTGTCCTTAGAAGGACTGAAGTTCATCCTTGCATAATGTTATTTCCTGGTTAGATCAAAATTAAATGGAATTGCTCATTTCCCTAGCCTATCAGCCTATCAGAAGCCAAAAGAAATTATCTCTTGGGGAATATGGATTCATACAACCCTTAAATTATAGTTATATTTTTATTTGCAATGTATGCCATTTAAATCATAATAACCAAGTATATAACAAGACAAGCCTTAACAATTAATCAAGTGGCAAAAACAAAATAATAGATACAGGCTCGCAAGAAATCCGGATAATAGAGTTATAGACATAGACTTTAAACTGATTAATATGTCAAAGAATTGCAAAATATACTGAAGAAAACAAGAGTTTGAACATAAATGAAATGGAAATTTCAGAACCAAATTTTTGTTCTTTCTAGTCACAAATTTTTTCTTTAGCTATGTTCGATCTGCTGTTAATCAGATCCATTAAGTTTTATTTTTAATTATTTTATCTTTCAAAAATCATAACATAGATATGAAAAAATATCTGGAATAACATATGAAGAGGGAACAGTAGCATAAATATTCTGGAGGAGTCTAATGCAGAAGAGTGTAAACAATGTTAAGAGTCAAAGAAAGAAAAAGAACACATATCTTATGGTTTTATTTACATAAAGTGAAAAAACAATAAAACCGTATTTATAATGTCACATGTCTTGACATTTCTTAACTTCAGAAAGAAGAGAATGGTACTTAGAAGATGGGAAAAGGCATAGGAGTTCTTGGGTGATGACATTGTTCTATATTCGAACCTTATCACTAGTTACACATGTGTGCTCATTTTGTAGTGTTTCTTCAGGCTAACCACTTACTTTTACACTTTTTTGTTTATTTTATACATCAAAAAAAGTTTTGCCATCAAATCAAGGCCTTTAACACATATTAAACTATTATTGACCCTCTCTCATTACCCCCAAAATTGAACATCTAACTACCTAATCAATGTTTACCAAGTTGGGTTTGGGAAATAAATGATTTGTCTATGATAATCTTTTAATTTCAAGTTTTCATATTGATAACAATCTTAACAATTAACTTAAAAATAGTCTCCATGATCTAGATGGCTACTTATGATTGCTATTTTTTTTTCCTTTTTGTGTGTCAGATCAGTTGAGCTGGAGAGAGAGTTGAGCTGTCAGATGTTGACGGTAGCCAATAAATTCAGCAAAATATATTGAAAGTAACAATCAAGCCTTTAATCACTTACTCTGATAGTACAAGCAAGAGAATAAAACCTGTTCCATTTTCCCCCATGGAACAATAGGCAGGTAAGCTGGGAATGGATCAGTGCAGATATGGGTACTGCTTCACTGATAGGAAGCTCTGGACACAAGGTCCTAGCATTTTTATGGATCTTGGGATTGGTTTTATATGAACTGTTCTTTTTGTGTCCTATCTAAAAATGCTTTGTGTGCCCCAAGGCTGTGAAAGCAGTCATCTTTATCTTGATCCTTTATAATGTTTGCTTTTACATTTCAACCTATGATCTATTGCAAAGTACTGTTTTAATATGTTGTGGGATGGACCAAAATTGTTTTGTTCATTTGTTTGTTTAATATGGTTATTCCAATAATCTTTTTCCCATTATATTACACTGAAAACTTTATTAAAAATAAATTTACCATGTACATACCAGTCTACTTTTGGATTCTATTCTGTTCCATTAATATGAGTTTTTAAAATCCTATGTAAAAATTACATTATCTTGATTACTATAGTATCTATTAATGTCAGATGGTATAATTTTTCCCAATTTGCTTTAGGGATTATAGTATATTGCTTATTTCCAATAAACTACTTAGATTTAGTACTGTACTACCTCACATAAAATGTAAATGATAAGAACAACAGAATATTAAACAATATCATTTCATTAACTTCTCCTAACCTTTGTGCCTTTCTTGTTATATATGTGATATATAGATATGTTAAAATGTTGGCATTTTATTTTAAATAGTCAATTTTTGTTTAAATATATTAAGAAAATGAAGCAAAAATAATATTATGTATTTATACTTACATTTTCCCATTCTAGTTTCTGGTTCTGTTCATTTCTTCATGTATACCTGAGTTTCTATCCGGTAACATTTCCCTTCAATGTGAAGAACATCCTTAATCATTTCTTACAGCTTTTTTCTGTTGGGAACTATTTCTTTAAACTGTGTCTGAAAATTCTGTATTTCAAATTTAGTCCTATTTATAAGGGATAATTTCTCTAGCTATAGGATTCCAGTTGACAACTTTTTAAAAACATATTAAACTTATTGTGTTTTATCATGCCTTCATCTAATAAGGTTGCTGGAATTTTTGATATTGATATCTTGTTTTTGTTAGGTTTTCAGAAGTTTTACTATGATATGCATACATGAGGTTTTTTTTTTCTGTGTTTTTCATTGTGTTTGTGTGTTTTTTTGTTTGTTTGTTTGTTTTTGTTTTTTTTTGTTTTTTTGAGATAGGACCTCTTTCTATTGCCCAGGCTAGAATGCAGTGGTGCAATCATGGCTTATTATAGCCTCAACCTCCTGGGCTTAAGAAATTCTCCTCCATCACCCTTCCAAGTAACTAGGACTACAGATGCGCACCACCATATCTGCCTTTTTTTTTATTTTTTGTAGAAATGTGGTCATGTTATGTTGCCCAGGCTGATCTTGAATCCCTGGGTTGAAGCAATTCTCCCTCCTTGGCCTCCCAAAGTGCTGGGATTACAGGCATGAACCTCTGTGCCTGGTGTATTTGTTGTTTTGTTTTAACATAGTTACCTTCTTTGGGCTTGCTAAGCTTTTAAGATACACCATGAGTTCATCTTTTTCAGCATATTTAGGCAGTTTGCAGACAAATATTTCTTCAAAATTTTCTTTCTATCTCCTCTTTCCTTTGTAAAATCCAATTGTATGTATGTCAGTTGACTTGATCCCTCAAGTATTTGAGTCTCTGCTCATTTTTTATTCTAGCTTTCCTTCTCTTTTGCTTCAGTTTGAACAATTTCTATTAACCTAAATTCAAGTTAATGGATATTTTTATTTTTCCTTTCAGTTGATCCTGTGAGTTTTTTCACTTCAGATATTTAATATTTTATTTTATGGGAATTCATTAGGACTCTTTTCTTACAGTTTACTTTTTCTGAGATCCCCCATTTTTTCTCTTTTTGACTACCTTTTCTTTCAAATGCTTGAATATATATATATCTTTTTCAAATATTTTATATGCACATTCCAACATCTGTATCACTTTAGGGTCTGTTTCTACTCTGTCTTTTATTCTTTTGGCTGAAGAATACATGCTTCTGTTTCTCAAGTGTGAAAAATCTGTTTCTGGTTATCCCATGTCTAGTATTTATGATTGTTTGCTATACTGTAAGATGTTTGGATTGTGTTTCTTTCTTTGAAGTACTGTGTTTTGTTCTGGCATACAGTTAAATGAATAATTAATCACCACGTGCCTTTATTTTAGGCTTTTTCTGCATGTATCTGTTTTAATTTTTTGCCTAGTTATAGTCTGTAACTCCTACTTTTGAAGAGTGACCTTTCTGGACTGTCAACTGTACCATAGCAGGATTACTTGCTACTTAGGAAGCGTCTCCCCATTAGCTCAGCTATACTGAAATATTTCCCAGAATTGAGCAACCTCTGAAGTCTTCATTCATTCATTAGCCTCCCGGAAGTTGGGCAGGCCTTAAAGTCTCACCTTGAGCATGCATAGCCTTGTCCTCATCATCCTTAAAAACAGAGGATATAACATGCTGCCCTAAGGGTCTTCTCTGTACTTCTCTCCCCTTTCTATTATCCTGCCTCATAAACTTATCCCTACTCAGAAGATCTGAATTCTTATGTCTTCCTGTTTCATTCATTGACACTCAAGCTTTCTTCCTGGGTTCCTCATCTCTGTGCTGTGGTCTAAAAAAAAAATTCCCATGCAAGAAGCCAGGGTGAATGCAGAGCTCACTCGAAGTGTTTCTCTTCTTTCAAATAAAATAGTCTTACACTCTCTGCTGTCTACTGCTTGAAAACATTTACTTTATATATTGCGGGTATTTTAATACTTGTTTACAAAGGGTGCATAGGTCTCATATGGTAACTGTGCTATGGCTTTAGAAATGGAAATCCTAGATATATTTTATTTACATCTAGCTAAATAAAACAAGAACTATGTGGTTTGCTATATTTATCTCAAAGCTATGCTTTTGAAAATAAGTACATTCTACCTTGTCAATTTAAAAAGAGAATTTAGCTGCACTTGATTGAATATGCTAGACCTGGTATACAGTGTTCCTATGGAGACACCAACATTTAATGTGCACCCCCAATTTTTAAGCTAATAAAACAATATGATGAAGAAGAAGAAGATGATGATGATGATGATGAGAATCATCATCATCATCACAGGTAACATTGAATATTTTGTATGCTTTAAATTTTTTACTCAACACTCATGGAAACCTTGTGAAATTGGTAATATTTTATATAAAGGGACTTGGGCACAGAAAGATTAAGTCATTTGCTCAAAGCCACGCATAGAAGATGTGTTAGAACTGAGCAACTAATAGAAACAGCCCTGTTCACGCTCTTCCCCAGTGTTTTACCATCTCAAAAGACCAACTGTTTCTCTTGTGAGCTTCAAGAACATGCTTTTCTCCACTTCCTGCTATGCCACTTCGTTCCACTTCATTGCCTCATAAAATAAAATTAAACTGAAGAGTAGGAAAAGTGAAGAACACAATTTGAGGCAGTTATAGATAAGACAATTTCTAGGAGCAAAGATAATTTCCGAGAGAGAACATTTTATGACAAGAGTGATCAATCAATGGCTCACGCCTGTAATCCCAGCACTTTGAGAGGCCAAAGCGGGAGGATCACGAGGTCAGGAGATCGAGACCATCCTGGCTAACATAGTGAAGCCCCGTCTCTACTAAAAATACAAACAAAAATTAGCCGGGCGTGACGGTGGGCGCCCGTAGTCCCAGCTACTCGGGAGGCTGAGGAAGGAGAATTCCGTGAATCCGGGAGGCGGAGCCTGCAGTGAGCCAAGATCGTGCCACTGCACTCCAGCCTGGGAGACACAGCGAGACTCCGTCTCAAAAAAAAAAAAAAAATAGCACCTTAAGGAGCTATTATTTATTTAATAAATTTTAGAACATAGTTTACATGTCCTTTCTTCTAGAAAGACTTTGTTAAATAGTCACTACCATCTCCCCTCCAAATTGGATAAACGGGCCCTCTTCTGTGTATTGGAATCCTCATCACAGTACACGTGACACTGTTCCATAAATGTCCCTTTACTCATCTACCTATCTCTAAACACAAAACATTTTCTTGAAAACTGATCCTTGTGTTATTCACTCCTTTATTTCAAGTACAGGCACACAATGCCTACAAAATGCTCACAGTTATTTTGTAAAAATCTTTCATTTGCATACCTTGCACAATCAAGAAGTTTCAGACACAACTATACATGATATAGCCAAGATCTCCCTTTTCAAGAAAGTTGATTTCCACCCTTGTCTGCAGTTTGATAGTGAAGCCCTGGCTTGATTATGCTGTGATTATTTTTAGTCTTCTGGAACCATTTGCCAGTGCTTGCACTGTGGAGGATGAGCTTATATATTCCTTGAGGTAGTCATAGAAAGAGCAGCTTCTTCACGTTAACGGTAGCCGGAGCGTAGTAGTATTTATCAGAAGTAGAAACTACTGAAATTTTTATATGGCCATTTATGGTCTCAACGAATTGTAGGAAATAAATGACAGCGGAGCTATTTTCCAGAACATATGAGTGTTAAATCTAAAAGAATTATTTAACAGCATGAAATTTTAAATAGGAGGCATTTAATTAACATGAAAATGTTTTTTTTAAGACACAGGCTTACAGTTAGAGTGTGAAAACAAGTGGCTAAAATGGTTCTAAAAGGTGGCATAACCTGAGTCCCACACTTGGCAAAATATGAATGCTTTCAGAAAAATAGAATTCCAAAACATCTAATTAACTTCTGGCTAAAAATAATGAGTTTTTCCCATTTTATCTTTTCTTTTTCTTCTAGTGGGTCTCACTTAGTAAACTGTTTAGGTTGCCTCAAGATATAAAATCTGTCAAGAACATTATTGAGACATGGGGGATGGTTCGTAGAATCTTCTCCGTCAGAATAGATGACAACTAATTATAGTCCAGAAACTGGAAAACCCTGGGGAAGACGGAAAGTCTGAGTCTGCCCAGATAAGGTTGTTTGAGGCTATTTTTGATGGTTAGAGTATTTATGAGTTGTATTAATAATAAATGAACTAATGTTGTAGCACTAAAATATGAAAACATTCTTATTTGACCATGAGAAATTTGCTTGCCTGGCAACAATAATAAAAAGAAAATAAACATTAAATAATAAATTACTTCTTTAAAAGAAAGTTTTTATGCAATTCTTTAATATTCATAGCGTTGTAAACCAAGGTGTTTAAAGCTTTGTAGTGCTGCATTGTAAAAGAGAAGGAATATATTTTACTTAATTTAAGAAATGTTTTGTGATTTCTTTTTAAAATCACTGTGTATTCCTTAGTGCTAACATTTTTCTCTGTGTATCCTCTATTATTAATCAATTAATGTTATTTATAATTAAATGACACTATTTAGTTGCCATTCTATCACATAATACTTAATAAACGAATAATGATCCTTGAGGTTTTATTATCCTTTCTGGCAAGGGAGAGAAAAGGGCTTCTCTTGGTCTCTCTCTGGCACTTGTATGAAGAGTTTTCTTCTAAGTCTGCAGACTCAGTGAGTACACTGGAGAAATACCAGGAGTGTATTTTGATTTCAAAGGCATTAGGTAAGCTCTCACAGTCTGAAGCCTAAGTCAGACATTGGTGCCACAATGCCTGAAACTTACCATGTATATCTGAGAATTTTTATTAATCAGTGTCCCTTTTCCTCAGCCTTTTATTGCAAAACAAAACGTGTGCATAAGTGGGGAAGGCAGACAATGTTATTACTTTGGCTTTGATCGGTTCATTAGATCCTTTGTGACTAGAACCTGGAGTATGTGTGCAAGAGATAGTAAAAAATGGTACATGCAGAATAGTGATAATGTATTTTGTATTCTCACTTTCCAGCCCTATATATAAAACTGAAAGGATAAAGACACATTAGATAGGTAGGTAGGTAGACAGAATGAATATCACCCCAGTTCATAAACCAATTTACCTAATGTGTATAATTCCAACAATGTTTACTACTGAAACGGGAAAGGTTCCCTTGTCTCTGTCAAAGGGTGTACGATGGGGGTGTGGCTCACTTCTTCAGTACCCTGCTGCTCAAACCTCTAGGGGAGCATACAGATGGGCAGGTCGTGCGGCGACTCCACAGCAGTGTCTAGGGGTGAATACCACAGCTGAAGCCTCAGTGGGCCTGTGTTACAGGGTGCTCTTTTAGGTTGCCGTGTATAGGCAGCTTGTATTAACCAACTCAATTAGCGCCCCCTTCCTTTTCACAAGGACAGAGGGATTTCTGTATCCCGAGGTTTCTTACCTTGGTGTACTGGATGAATCGGATCACATGTGGGCTTGGAGAATGAGTGCAAGGTTTTATTAAGTAGAAGTAGCTCTCAGAAGATTCTGGAGTCACAGGGGAGATGGTTTTCCGCTGGAGTCTTCTCTGACCCCTCTGGCCAAACTCTTCTCTGATAATTCTGGCCAAACTCCGTGTCTTTCTGACGATCGATGGCCTGCGGTGCCTGCCAGTGTGCTCTTCCCCTGGCGGATTCTCCAAGACCAGCTGCTTTTGTCTTCTTCCGCTGATGTGTTCCTCATGACGTCCAGCCACTTCCGCATCTGCCCAATAGGGTCTCGGGTTTTTATAGGCCCAGGATGGGGGCGTGGCAGGCCAGAGTGGTCTGGGGGAATGCAACATTTGGGCAGGAAATGCCTGACCTCAGGTAGGTCCATTTGGGTGGAGCCCCGGGCAAAGACCATGCCCTCCTCTACCTAGCGCTTCCCTCCCCTACTTCTGTATCATTTAAATAGAGGCAAATAGAGGGAAGATATTTAGAATAGGAATAAGTTTAGAATTTTATACAGATTTTAATTCTGTTTCCTTCACCAAGTAATTTTAGACCCTTTGCAATAGTAATCTCAAATACTACAAAAGCAAAAATTATTACAAAAAATTAAGAGGAAATTGTCAATTTATAGCAGGAGGGAGGAGAATACTAGGATTAAGAGGAGGGAAAACTTCGTTAGCTTCTTCACAAACAGACAAAGGCGCAACAGAAGATGGTTGCATAGTTCTATGGGTAGTAAAAAGTACAAATCTCATTGTTCAAGAAGGAAAAACTCGCATATGACTCTAGGATCTGGGCTAATTTTCTTATGTACATAATTATACAAAAGATTTTGAGCTCTGTATTGAATGTTCTTGAGAGTTTCGGTACAGAAAAATTTGAGAAATTCCCTGTAAGTACCTATGTGAAATTATTTTATGAAATCTAAAAGCACAATTTTAGCTGTCATAGCATACACGTAAGTTCATAGGAATCAGAATAATATGTCTATTTTCAGAGAATGTGGGTAATGTGCTCAATAAAAGGAGAAATCTCAGAGAATCCAGAGGAGATTTCAAACCCCAGTACCTACAGGTGCCTGGAATGTAAATGCAAATTAGTAACAGAAGCTGGTTCTAATAAGAATTAATGCCTCTAGAGTGCTTACTAGGTGAAAGGATGTTTAACAGACTTAGTGAATAAAAATAAAAAATGGTCAGTTAAATTTGAATTTCAAACAAATAATGAACAATTTACTTTTTAAATGTAAGTATGTCCCATGCAATATTTGGCAATATTCTTTTTGTTTGGAGGACATCCTTCACTAAAAACTTATTTATTGTTTATCTGAAATTCAAATCTAAGTGGACATTCTGTATTTTATCTGGAAACCCGGTCTAAACTTTGAATTATTAATGCATTCAATTCTTAACCTGGCCTGGTAAGTATTTACTTTTTTTTTTTTTTTCATTTTACATATGTTAAAACTGAGGCTCAAAGAGGTTACGTAACTTTCTTACATCCACACAGTTAGTGGATCGCGAAGCTGATGCGCAATTCTTGAGGCCCCAGGGCCCCCTGTATTCAACTTCTCTCTAAAGAGACTCTCTTCCTTCACCCATGAATGTGGGTGCAGACCAAAGCCAAATGGAGGAAAATGAAGAACTGATATGCAGCAAGACTTCTAGCAAAATATTAAATGTAATAAAATAGCTCTATTAAAATTCCTGCTTCCAATATCACCACACTTTTTTTTTCTTTTCTTTTTTTTTTTTGAGATGGAGTCTCGCTCTGTTGCCCAGGCTGGAATGCTATTTTTTTTCTATTTTTTAGTAGAGACGGGGTTTACACCATGTTAGCCAGGATGGTCTTGATCTCCTGACCTCGTGATCCGCCTGCCTCGGCCTCCCAAAGTGCTGGGATTACAGGCGTGAGCCACCATGCCCGGCCTAATATCACCACACTTTAATTGCTGCCATCCTGCCGTAATGTGATTTTCCTAAAATTTAAAAATGGTGTGATTACTCCAGACTCTTCAGCGGCTCTCAGACCCTACAGAGTTAAGTTAAATGACTTCACGTGGTAGAGTAAGCCTTCATAATTTGACCCTGGCCTGCCTGCGTTACTTCATCTCTCTTCCACCTCTGTTATCTCACTCTTTTTAAGTATATGCAGAGGTGTCATGCCTCAGAAATACTGAATTACTTTAGTTCTCTGAATATGAAGGGTGTCAATGTATCTGAAAATTACCCAGAACATAAAAGGGGCCAAGAGTAAAGCTGTTAAATGAATGAGCAAAGGGTCATTTCAGTATGCATTGATACTCCATTATGACATTTCCTCCTCACTCTTTTTTCCCTGGCAAATTCTTGTTATCTTGAATATTAATACCTTATCATATGTATGGCAAATGTTTTCTTCATTGCAAATCCTGTCTTTTCACTTTATTGACTGATTTTGTGGTTGCCGTTGTTGGTAGTGATTTTTTTTGTGAGAAACTTTTCAGTTTGATGCAATCCCATTTGTCTCTTTTTTCTTTTGCTGGCTGTGCTTTTGGGATCATAACCAAAATAGCTTTGCCACCACCAATGTCAAGAGGCTTTTTCTCTATGTTTGCTTTTAGTGGTTGTGTAGTTTCAGGTCTTACGCTTACATGTTTAAGCCACTCTAAGTTGATTTTTTTCATAAGAGTTGAAATAAGGGTCCAATATCAGTCTTCTGCATGTGCACATTCAGTTTATTTTTCACCCCCATGTATTGAAGAAACAATCCTTTCCCTGTTGAGTGTTCTTGGCACTGCTGTGGAAGATCAATTTACCATAAATATGTGGATTTATTTCTGCACTGTCTTTTTTTGATTGGTCTATATGTATGTTTTTGTGCCAGTACTGTGATGATTTCATTACTACATATTTTAGTAAATTTTGAGATCAGATAAGGTGATGCTTCCAGCTTTGTTGTTTTCTTTCAAGACTGTTTTGACTATTCTGGGTCTTTTGTGATTCTATACGAACATCTGATGAAGGGTTAATATATAAAATATATTTTAAAAGCTCAAACAACTCAACACCAAGAAAACAAAAAACCCAATTTAAAAAATGGGCTAAGAACTTGAATAGACATTTTTCAAAAGAAGGTATAAAAATGGCCAACAGATTTATGAAAAAATTCTCAACATTACTAACCATTAGGAAAATGCAAATTAAAAACACAATGAGCTGGTCATGGTGGCTCACACCTGTAATCTCAGCACTTTGGGAGGCCAAGGTGGGCAGATCACTTGAGGTCAGGAGTTCAAGACCAGCCTGGCCAACATGGTGAAACCCTGTTTCTACTAAAAATACAAGAATTAGCCAGGCATGGTGGCGCATGCCTGTAATCTCAGCTACTCTGGAGGCTAAGGCATGAGAATCACCTGAATATGGGAGGCAAAGGCTGCAGTGATCTAAAATTGTGCCACTGCACTCCAGTCTGTGCCACAGAGACAGACTCTTCTTAAACACACACACACACACACACACACACACACACACGATGAGATATTACTTTATAACTGTTAAAATGGCTTTTATCAAAAAGATAAAAGTGTTGATGAGAATGTGGAGAAAAAGGAATTCTTGTACATTGTTGGTGGAAATTAAAATTAGTACAGTCATTAAGAAAAAAATCATGAAAGTTCCTCAAAACATTAAAAGCAATACTACTATATCACCCACAATCCCAGTACTGGGTGTATATCCAAAGAACATGAAATCAATATGTCAAAGCTATATCTGCCCTCCCATGCTCATTACATTATTATTCACAATAACCCAGATATGGAATCAACCTGTGTTCATTAACTGGGAATAAAGTAAATGTGTTACGTATACACAATAGAATACTATTCAGCCTCATAAAAGAAGGAAATCTTGCCATGTGTGATAAGCCAGATGAACCTGAAAGACATTATGCTAAGTGAATTAAGCCAGACACAGAGAGACAAATACGACATGATCTCACTTACAAGTGGAATCTAAAAGAGTTGAATTCATAGAAGCAGACAGTAGAATGGTAGTTATTAGGGGCTAGAAAAGTAGGAGGAGATGGGAAAATGTTGGCTAAAAGATACCACATTTCAGTTAGACAGAAGGAGTAAGTTCTGGACATCTATTGTACAGCATGGTGACTGTGTTTAATAATAAAGTATTGTGAGTGGCGCGGAAGATGGGTGATTTCTGCATTTCCAACTGAGGTACTGGGTTCATCTCACTGGGGCTTGTCAGACAGTGGGGGCAGGACAGTGGGTGCAGCCCACCAAGCGTGAGCTGAAGCAGGGCGAGGCATCACCTCACCTGGGAAGCACAAGGGGTCAGGGAATTCCCTTTCCTAGCCAAGTGAAGCGGTGACAGATGGCACTTGGAAAATTGGGTGACTCTCACCCTAATACTGTGATTTCCAACGGTCTTAGCAAACGGCACACCAGGATATTGTATCCCACACCTGGCTCGGAGGGTCCCATGCCGATGGAGCCTCGCTCATTGATAGCACAGCAGTCTGAGATCAATCTGCAAGGAGGCAGCAAGGCTGGGGGAGGGGTGCCCACCATTGCTGAGGCTTGAGTAGGTGAACAAAGAGGCCAGGAAACTCAAACTGGGTGGAGCCCATCACAGCTCAAGGAGGCCTACCTGCCTATGTAGACTCCACCTCTGGGGGCAGGGCACAGCCGAACAGAAGGCAGCAGAACCCTCTGCAAACTTAAATGTCCCTGTCTGACAGCTTTGAAGAGAGTAGTGGTTCTCCCAGCACGGAGTTTGAGATCTGAGAACAGACAGACTGCCCCCTCAAGTGGGTCCCTGACCCCCGAGTAGCCTAACTGGGAGGCACCCTCCAGTAGGGGCAGACTGACACCTAACACAGCCGGGTACCCCTCTGACACAAAGATTCCAAAGGAATGATCAGGCAGCAACATTTGCTGTTAAGCAATATTCGCTGTTCTTCAGCCTCTGCTGCTGATACCCAGGCAAACAGGGTCTAGAGTGGACCTCCTGCAAACTCCCACTGACCTGCAGCTGATGGTCCTGACTGTTAGAAGCAAAACTAATAAACAGAAAGGACATCCACACCAAAACCCCATCTGTACATCACCATCATCAAAGACCAAAGGTAGATAAAACCACAAAGATGGGGAAAAAAACAGAGCAGAAAAACTGAAAATTGTAAAAATCAGAGCTCCTCTCCCCCTCCAAAGGAATGCAACTCCTTGCCAGCAATGGAACAAAACTGGATGGAGAATGACTTTGACAAGTTGAGAGAAGAAGGCTTCAGACGATCAGACTTCTCCGAGCTAAAGGAGGAAGTTTGAACCCATCGAAAAGAAGCTAAAAACCTGAAAAAAAGGTTAGACGAATGGCTAACTAGAATAACCAATGTAGAGAAGTCCTTAAATGACCTGATGGAGCTGAAAACCGTGGCACGAGAACTACGTGATGAATGCACAAGCTTCAGTAGCCAATTCGATCAACTGGAAGACAGGGTATCAGTGATTGAAGATCAAACACATGAAAATAAGTGAGAAGAGAAAAAAGAATAAAAAGAAATAAACAAAGCCTCCAAGAAATATGGGACTATGTGAAAAGACCAAATCTATGTCAGATTGGTGTACCTGAAAGTGACGGGGAGAATGGAACCAAGTTGGAAAACACTCTGCAGGATATTATCCAGGAGAATTTCCCCAATCTAGCAAGGCAGGCCAACATTCAAATTCAGGAAATACAGAGAACGCCACAAAGATACTCCTTGGGAAGAGCAACTCCAAGACACATAATTGTCAGATTCACCAAAGTTGAAATGAAGGAAAAAATGTTAAGGGCAGCCAGAGAGAAAGGTCAGGTTACCCACAAATGGAAGCCCATCAGACTAACAGCTGATCTCTCGGCAGAAACTCTACAAGCCAGAAGAGAGTGGGGGTCAATATTCAACATTCTTAAAGAAAAGAATTTTCAACCCAGAATTTCATATCCAGCCAAACTAAGCTTCATAAGTGAAGGAGAAATAAAATCCTTTACATACAAGCAAATGCTGAGAGATTTTGTCACCACCAGGCCTGCCCTAAAAGAGCTCCTGAAAGAAGCACTAAACATGGAAAGGAACACCTATTGGGGAACCTTTCCCCAATAGTCACATAGGTTCTTTTCTATTTTCCTAAACATCAGCTGGGTTGAGAAATAAAGGGACAGAGTACAAAAGAGAGAAATTTTAAAGCCAGGCATCCGGGGGAGACATCACATGTCAGTAGGTTCTGTGATGCCCTCTGAGCCGTGAAACCAGCAAGTTTTTATTAGTGATTTTCAAAAGGGGAGGGAGTGTACGAATAGGGTGTGGTTACAGAGATCATGTGCTTCACAAGGTAATAATAGAATATCACAAGGCAAATGGAGGCAGGGAGAGATCACAGGACCACAGGACTGGGGCGAAATTAAAATTGCTAATGAAGTTTCAGGCACCATTGTCATTGATAATATCTTATCAGGAGACAGGGTTTGAGAGCAGACAACCAGTCTGACCAAAAATTTATTAGGTGGGAATTTCCTCTTCCTAATAAGCTTGGGAGCGCTATGGGAGACTGGGGTTTATTTCATCCCTACACCTTGACCATAAAAGACGGCCACACCCAAGAGGGCCATTTTAAAGGCCTACCCTCAGGGGCACATTCTCTTTCTCAGGGACATTCCTTGCTGAGAAAAAGAATGCAGTGATATTTCTCCCATTTGCTTTTGAAAGAAGAGAATTATGGCTCTGCTCCACCCAGCTCACAGGCAGTCAGAGTTTAAGGTTATCTCTCTTGTTCCCTGAACATTGCTGTTATCCTGTTCTTTTTTCAAGGTGCCTAGATTTCATATTGTTCAAACACACATGCTCTACAAACAATTTGTGCAGTTAACACAATCATCACAGGGTCCTGAGGCAACATACATCCTCCTCAGCTTACAAAAATGATGGGTTTAAGAGATTAAAGTAAAGACAGGCATAGGAAATCACAAGGGTATTGATTGGGGAAGTGATAAGTGTCCATGAAATCTTCACAATTTATGTTCAGAGACTGCAGTAAAGACAGGTGTAAGATATTATAAAAGTATTAATTTGGGGAACTAATAAATGTCCATGAAATCTTCACAATTTATGTTCTTCTGCCATGGCTTCAGCTGGTCCCTCCATTTGGGGTCCCTGACTTCCCGCAACAGATATCCAGGAATTGAGCTCAGCTCCGCACCAAGTGGACCTAATAGAAATCTACAGAACTCTCCACCCCAAATCAACAGAATATACATTCTTCTCAGCACCACATCGCACTTATTCCAAAATTGACCACATAGTTGGAAGTAAAGCACTCCTCAGCAAATGTAAAAGAACAGAAATTATAACAAACTATCTCTCAGACCACAGTGCAATCAAACTAGAACTGAGGATGGACAAACTCACTCAAATCGCTCAACTATATGGAAACTAAACAACCTGCTCCTGAATGACTACTGGGTACACAACAAAATGAAGGCAGAAATGAACATGTTCTTTGAAACCAATGAGAACAAAGACACAACATACCAGAATCTCTGGGACACATTTAAAGCAGTATGTAGAGTGAAATTTATAGCACTAAATACCCACAAGAGAAAGCAGGAAAGATCTAAAATTGACACCCTAACATCACAATTAAAAGAACTAGAGAAGCAAGAACAAACACATTTGAAAGCTAGCAGAAGGCAAGAAATAACTAAGATCAGAGCAGAACTGAAGGAGATAGAAACACAAAAAAAACCTTCAAAAAATCAATGAATCCAGGAGCTGGTTTTTTTGAAAAGATCAACAAAATTGATAGAATGCTAGCAAGATTAATAAAGAAGAAAAGAGAGAAGAATCAAATAGACACAATGATAAAGGGGATATCACCACCGATCCCACAGAAATACAAACTACCATCAGAGAATACTATAAACACCTCTACACAAATAAACTAGAAAATCTAGAAGAAATGGATAAATTCCTGGATACATACACCCTCCCAGGACTAAACCAGGAAGAAGTTGAATCCCTGAATAGACCAATAACAGGCTCTGAAATTGAGGCAATAATTAATACCCTACCAACCAAAAAAAGTCCAGGACCCCATGGAGTCACAGCTGAATTCTACCAGAGGTACAAGGAGGAGCTGGTATCACTCCTTCTGAAACTATTTCAATCAATAGAAAAAGAAAGAATTCTCCATAAATCATTTTATGAGGCCAACATCATCCTGATACCAAAGCCTGGCAAGACACAACAAAAAAAGAGAATTTTAGACCAATATCCCTGATGAACATTGATGCAAAAATCCTCAATAAAATACTGGCAAACCAAATCCAGCAGCACATCAAAAAGCTTATCCACCATGATCAAGTGGGCTTCATCCCTGGGATGCAAGGCTGGTTCAACATATGCAAATCAATAAACGTAACCCAGCATATAAACAGAACCAAAGACAAAACCTACATGGTTATCTCAATAGATGCAGAAAAGGCCTTCGACAAAATTCAACAGCCCTTCATGCTAAAAACTCTCAATAAATTAGGTACTGATGGGATGTATATCAAAATAATAAGAGCTATTTATGACAAACCCACAGCCAATATCATACTGAATGGGCAGAAACTGGAAGCATTCCCTTTGAAAACTGGCACAAGACAAGGATGCCCTCTCTCACCATTCAGCATAGTGTTGGAAGTTCTGGCCAGGGCAATCGGGCAGGAGAAAGAAATAAAGCGTATTCAATTAGGAAAAGGGGAAGTCAAAATATCCCTGTTTGCAGATGACATGATTGTATATTTAGAAAACCCCATCATTTCAGCTCAAAATCTCCTTAAGCTGATAAGCAACTTCAGCAGTCTCAGGATACAAAATCAATGTGCAAAAATCACAAGCATTCTTATACACCAATAACAGACAAACAGAGAGCCAAATCATGAGTGAACTCCCAATTGCTTCAATGAGAATAAAATACCTAGGAATCCAACTTACAAGGGATGTGAAGGACCTCTTCAAAGAGAACTACAAATCACTGTTCAACAAAATAAAAGAGGAGACAAACAAATGGAAAAACATTACATTCTCATGGATAGGAAGAATCAATATCGTGAAAATGGCCATACTGCCCAAGATAATTTATAGATTCAATGCCATCACCATCAAGCTACCAACGACTTTCTTCACAGAATTTGAAAAAACTACTTTAAAGTTCATATGGAACCAAAAAAGGGCCCGCATTGCCAGGAAAATCCTAAGCCAAAAGAACAAAGCTGGAGGCATCACACTACCTGACTTCAAAGTATACTACAGGGCTGTAGTAACCAAAACAGCATGGTACTGGCAGTAAAACAGAGATATAGACCAATGGAACAGAACAGAGCCCTCAGAAATAATACCACACATCTACAACCATCTGATCTTTGACAAACCTGACAACAACAAGAAATGGGGAAAGGATTCCCTATTTAATAAATGGTTCTGGGAAAACTGGCTAGCCATACATAGAAAGCTGAAACTGGATCCCTTCCTTACACCTTATACAAAAATTAATTCAAGATGGATTAAAGACTTAAATGTTAGACCTGAAACTATAAAAACCCTAGAAGAAAACCTAGGCAATAACATTCAGGTCACAGGCATGGGCAAGGACTTCATGTCTAAAACACCAAAAACAACGGCAATAAAAGCCAAAATGGACAAATGGGATCTAATTAAACTAAAGAGCTTCTGCACAGCAAAAGAAACTACCATCAGAGTGAACCGGCAACCTACAGAATGGCAGAAAATTTTTGCAATCTACTCATCTGACAAAGGGCTAATAACCAGAATCTACAAAGAACTCAAACAAATTTACAAGAAAAAAAACAAACAACCCCATCAAAAAGTGGGCAAAGGATATGAACAGACACTTCTCAAGAGAAGACATTTATGCAGCCAACAGACACATGAAAAAATGCTCCTCATCACTGGCCATCAGAGAAATGCAAATCAAAACCACAATGAGATACCATCTCACACCAGTTAGAATAGCGATCATTAAAAAGTCAGGAAACAACAGGTGCTGGAGAGGATGCGGAGAAATAGGAACACTTTTACACTGTTGGTGGGACTGTAAAGTAGTTCAACCATTGTGGAAGACAGTGTGGCGATTCCTCAAGGATCTAGAATTAGAAATACCATTTGAACCAGCCATCCCATTACTGGGTATATACCCAAAGGATTATAATTCATGCTGCTATAAAGACACATGCACACATATGTTTATTGCGGCACTATTCACAATAGCAAAGACTTGGAACCAATCCAAATGTCCATCAATGATAGACTGGATTAAGAAAATGTGACACATATACACCATGGAATACTGTGCAGCCATATAAAAGGATGAGTTCATGTCCTCTGTAGGGACATGGATGAAGCTGGAAACCATCATTCTCAGCAAACTATCTCAAGGACAAAAAACCTAACACTGCATGTTCTCACTCATAGGTGGGAATTGAATAATGAGAACACTTGGACACAGGAAGGGGAACATCACACACCAGGGCCTGTCATGGGGTAGGGGGAGTGGGGAGGGATAGCATTAGGAGATATGCTTAATGTAAATGACAAGTTAATGGATGCAGCACACCAACATGGCACATATATACATACATAACAAACCTGCACTTTGTGCACATGTACCCTAGAACTTAAAGTATAATTAAAAAATAATAATAAAGTATTGTATGCTTCCAAATTCCAGAGAGATTTTAAATGTTTTCACTAGAAAAAATGTTAATTTAATTATATGAGATGACATGTATGTTAATTAGCTTGAAGAACATTTCACAATGTATACAAATATCATGTACCCCATATATAAAATTTTTATTTGTTAATTAAAATATTTATTAGAATTTTAAAAATAAAGTGCTTTAACTTAATTTCAAAAAAGAAATATGACTAACTTAACTTTCAGGTACTTGAGATTCAAAATATTTTTTAAAAAGTAAATAAGATAAACACCATAGAACGTTAAATAAAATACTTTCTATTGAAAAAAATCTTGTTATTTTTTGACTCTGATCAAATGTTCTATTCCTGGAAGGCTATGCTTGGCTCTCCAAGGTAGACTTTCATACTGGCTATCATTTGCTTACCCAAAGAAAGCCATGTTTAGATTTGCTTTTCCAGACAACTTAACATTATTGACTTTTGATATCAGAAATTTAAGCAATATTATAAAACAAAAACAAAACAATACACAAAAATGTATTCCAACACTCTATTACCTAGTCAGTGCTTTCAATTATCTCTTGTAATTGCACATTGTAAGCTCCCCAGAGTATCTTTTGGTTGGCTGACTAATGGTTTATTATCTGTAAATGGCTTTTAAAAAAAAATGTGTTCATGAAAAAAGAACATCTTTGCATCAAGTTGTCTCTGATAATAAATATTAAGATGTGCATAATGTGCAGTTATAACATATTAAATAATGAATTCATTATAAATAATTTATTAAAAATCCTACTACATGCTGAACAAAGTTTTAGTGACAATGTATAGTAGTTACTAAATTAACTTAGGTGATGATTAAATTTTCAAAATGAGAAACTTGAATGAATCTTTTGCATATTAACATTATACTCAGTCTTACAGATGTCAAAGCTTAGTAACATAAGTAGGTTGCTTATACTATATCTTTGTCCCTTCTTGAAAAATAGAATGAAACAAATTTTAAAAAATTGATTATTATTTCTCAAATGAGGTTTGTGACGATTGTGTTGGTCTTTTCTTCTTTCTCCTTTTCTCCTTCCTCTTTCTCCTCCCCCTTCTTTCTTCTTCTTATTAGTATACATATTCCTAAAATCAGTTACTACTTTTTACTGGCAATGGCCAAATCTCTCTCTGCAGTTCATACCTCTCCCCTGAGTTTCAGAATACTCGTGGAATTTTTTTTTTTTTTTAATCGAAGTCTCACTCTGTCGCCCAGTCTGGAGTGCAGTGGTACAATCTTGGCTCACTGCAATCTCTGCCTCCCGGGTTCAAGCGATTCTCCTGCCTCAGCCTCCCAAGTAGCTGGGATTACAGGCATGGACTACCATGCCTGGCTAATTTTTTGTATTTTTAGTAGAGACGGGGTTTCACCATGTTGGTTAGGCTGGTCTTGAACTCCTGACCTAAGATGATCCACCCACTTGGGCCTACCAAAGTTCTGGGATTACAGGCATGAGCCACCGCGCCCGGCCTACCAGTGGATCCAGTGGATTTTGTATTCTGTTTCTCTCTAGTATAATTCCAAGCACAAAGTGATATTGATCCTATGAATGACAAACTGATGAATAAAATGTCAACAGCTCACCCTATTTAGCCTTATGATGGCCTCTTATTCCCAATTCAGTATACTTTTATTTCCTACCTTATCTTTACAAAATATAGACAAAGGAATATATTAAAAAGGGGGGAACCAAGAAAGGGGAAAGCCAAGAGCTGAAAAACAAAATTCTGATAAACCTAGATCAAGGTGCATCTGAATTATAAAATATATTTATTAATATGTTTTTATTCATTTAAATAAAGGCCTAGAATTGTGCTTATATTATTAAATTGATAGGAGAAAATGCCTTGTTATTAGTATAGCCATCTTTTATGTCTTCATTTGTATGGAAAGACATGTTCCTAAGATATTGAAAACATCTGGTGTTTCATTGGTTTTAAATATACTCTTCATATTTTTGAAAACACAAATTATAGAAAGCTTATGGGCAGTTACCTAGTCCAATCACTCATTTAGTGAAAAAGGAATATTCACTTCAGTAAAGTCAAGTACGTTTCTGATTATTACACAATAGGTTAAGGGCAGAACTGAATCTATAACTCTCACTTTCTAAAATATTCCAGTGTCTTTTTCCACATATCTAAGAGTTCATTAGAATCATTGTTCCTAGATCTAGTGCAAAGGCAAACTAGAGTAAATGTTTTTTCCTGAATTATATTGAATTTTGAAATAACATTTTACAAATACATGCATTTATTTTTGTTTTATTATGTGTGTGTGTATGTGTATATTTGTGTGTACATAAACACACACACAACTGCTAAAATCCTTGGAATTTACTGAATAGTGGGAGTGACTTTTGATATTCATAATAAACCATACCTGAGAGTTCTTTTTTTTTTTTTTTTTTTTTTTGAGCAGGAGTCTTGCTCTGTCACCCAAGGCTGGAGTACAGTGGCGTGATCTCAGCCCACTACAACCTCTGCCTCCCGGGTTCAACCGATTCTCCCAACTCAGCCTCCAGAGTAGCTGGGATTAAAGGCATGTCCCACCACATCTGGCTAAGTTTTGTACTTTTTAGTAGAGACGGGGTTTCACCATTTTGGCCAGGCTGGTCTTGAACCTCTGACCTCAAATGATCAGCCTGCCTCGGCCTCCCAATATGCTGGGATTACATGGGATTACAAGAGTGAGCCACCGCGTCCAGCCCATACCTGAGTTTTTGCTAATGAGGTGATGGTGCAAAACTTTAGAAGGAAGAGGGAGTTGGCCAACAGAAAAGATCAAACTCATGAATAAAATGGGAATTTTCACCTCCATCTTCCAATCTCTTGGGCAGAGAGGAAGGCTGGAGATTGAGTTAGAAATCCTCTTAAACAAGATTTGGAGACTTTCCAGGTTGGTGAACACAGCAATGTGCTGGGAAAGTGGTAGGCTGCATCCACAACCCCATCCCTACCCCACACCTGGCTTCATGCAACATCCTATTTTGCTCTTTCTGAATTGCGTCTTTTATAATAAACCAATAATTATAAGTAAAGTGCTTTTGTGAGTTCTGTGAGTTATTCTAGGAAATTATGAAACCTAGGAGAAGGCCCTGGGACCCCCTCCCACAATTGTTTAGCCAGCTGGGAAGAAGTTTGGGTTGCCTGGGGCCCTATTTGTGGCTGATCTCTGATGTGGGGTAGGCTCCTGGGATGAAGTCCTTAACCTTTAGGGTCTGGACTAACTCCAGGAGTTAGTGTCAGAATTTTATTGATTTCATCTACTCCCAGTTTGTCAGAGAGTTGAAGAATTGTTTGATGTAGAAAAACATGTACTTGTTTTAAGAAACACACATGGCCAGGCACGGTGGCCCATGCCTGTAATCCCAGCACTTTAGGAGATTGAGGTGGGTAGATCACCTGAGGTCAGGAGTTCAAGACCAGCCTGGCCAACATGGTGAAACTCTGTCTCTACTAAAAACGTCAAAATTAGCCAGGTATGGTGGTGCACACCTGTAATCCCAGATACTCAGGAGACTGAGACATGAGAATTGCTTAAATCTGGGAGGCAGAAGTTGCAATGAGCCGGGATCGTGCCACTACACTCCAGCCTGGAGACAGATTCCATCTCAACACACACACACACACACACACACACACACGCACTTAATTTCAGAAGTGGTGTCAGAAAATGCTACACAAGGCTGTAAAGGATGTGTGTGTGTGTGCACACATAGAGGTTTTATAACACACACATATGTGTGTGTATATATATATATGAAGGGTATATATTTTTATAAAGCTTATATATGCTTATATACATACATAGACATATATGTGTGTACTTTTAAATATATTTTATAGGTCTATATAAATGCATACATACACATACAAACACATACATAATATATCCTGCAACATAAACTAGTCAGTAGTTAGAAAAGTTTGCATAGGACAGACTTATACTAACAAAGTACTCATAATTTATCCTAAATTTAAATTAAAATGGGAGTCTTTTATTTTATCTAGCAACCCTAAATATAAAGCATTTTCCTAGATGCCATAACTCACACCTTCAAATCAGTGAATTTTTTCCTGCTGGTTTACTTAAAATAGGTTTACTGCAATGTTACTCTGGGTTGGCAGAAGAGAGAAAGTTTGAGAATTAGGAGTCAGTAAACATCTTAAGCAGACATCAATTGTAGAGGCCTAGATTTTTAAAATACCTTATTATTCTGATGTGTTAATATTAAATCATATCATCTTCAACTAGCAAATGCTACAGTGTTAACATGTGCATATAAGTCAATTGCTTGGAACTTGACAATTATGCTTTTCAGAAATAATATTCTATAAGACTGTCAGCTCCCCTAGGCCATATTACAAAAGCCTATTTGACAAATAACATAGTTGAACTACTTGTTAAAATACCATTTGAATTATGCTTTAGAACTCAGGACAAAGTGGCCCAATTTTATTCCTCCTTCTGTGAAGCCGAGTGGGCTCTTCTGCCTACACAACTTATTATTGTATCTTAGAAAGGATGTTGACCTCCCAGCAGAGCTGGCAATTTGTATAATTAAGAGTTTTCTAAGTTTTGTATTAGTTTCTCAAGGTTGCTTTCTATTCTATAGAAAATAAATTTGCATCAATTTCTCTTTTTTAAACTGTCTCTTATTCTTATGTCTTATAATTTGCCCTAACGCTCTTTATGTCGATATTTCACTGCATCCTCTCAAGCATGTACTGAGGGAATTGTACGATTATGAGGGAGAGAAGCAGAACAATCAGAAACAGCACCGCCGTTTTTGAGCATGGATGATATACCAAGCACTGTGTTATGTGTCACTCTACAGGTTACAGATAACAGTTCTTATAGCCGTCCTGTCATTTACATCAGCAGCCGGCAACTTTTTTGGCACCAGGGACCAGTTTCATGGAAGCCAGTTTTTTCCCAAGGGGGTGAGGGGAGGGTGTGGTTTGAGTCATGATGGTTTCAGAACATCAGGCATTAATTATATTTTCATAATGAGCCTGCAATCTAGATCCCTGGCATTTGGAGTTCACAGTAGGGTTCGCACTCCTATTCCAATCTAAAGCCGCCACTGATCTGACAGGCGGTGGAGCTCGGGCATTAATGCTTGCTGCTCCGCCTGCTGCTCACCTCCTACTGTAAGGATGGGATCCTAACAGACCACAGACTCTGGTACCAGTATATGCCCTGGGGGTTGGGGACCCCTGACTTAGATGAGACTTCTCTTTTACAGAAGAGAGAAATGAGTCACAGAATGATTATCCAAGATAGTGTAGACGTGGTAAATGGTGCAGGTAGGATTTAAACACATATTTTTCTGACTCTATAAACACCTGTTTTCATTCATAATGTTGTTTGGGGGTAGAAATCCCATAGGTACAGTAGTTGAGAGCTGAACTATCTTAGCATACCCAAGCAATTCAAGTGGACAAAGCTAGATATTTTGATTGAAAATGTTTTACATAAAAATAGCCCTATTGAGTGAAACAATGGAACATAAAAAGTTTTCTATTTGTCTTATAGTCTATGTTCCAAATTTTTACCTCCTTTGTTTACTTGTTTCTTGTGATATTTACACTGATACAAGACCATTATATTATACGGAGACTGAAAACTCCAGAAAGTTAAATTTATAAAGGCAGTAAGAGGTAATGCAGATTTTCAAATGTGACCTCTGACTTTGTGTTTATTAATTTTTCTAATAATTTTTTTTCAAAATATTATTGTTCCAGGAGTGTTTCATATTACATTTGTCTTAATAAGACTTTCAAGTTGATTTAGGATACTCCAGATGAATTACTTGAAAACAGAAATTAAACGATGCTATCAAATGTATCTTCTCTTAATCTAATACTTCACAAAAAATTGCAAAGCTTTCTAAGCCATATTTGGTGGCACGTATTTTGTATTTTTTTCCACACTGTAGAAGGTTTAAAAATAGTGATCATAAAAACAATTACCATATTGGATAAATATATAACTACTGTCCTTTGAATGATTACTATGTGCCAGGTATTATGCTCAAACTTTTACAGGAACATTTTCATTTAATCCACAGAAATAAGAAAATAATTAGAACAGAGTGGATAGCTTTCCTAAACAAAGTTATTACAGTAGTCTTTTACTGTTAGTAGTCTTACTAGTACACATTCTTTTGTCCCCCGAGTTTTGGACAAATGTGTAAAACAAATGAAACATTACAAAAAAGCAAAAATATGCAAGCATAATATTGCAACTGATCAAAAATACACAGGAAGCTCACAGGATAAATGAGGCATTAACACAGGGTGACTGTCTTATTTTAACAAAAAAAGAAGAGAAACATTTACCTCATTAGTTTACTATTCACTCCTGAAATGACAGACTCCTGGGAAATGTCATAGAAATTCTAGAATGTCTTGTCCAGCCTCCACAGATTTCTAGTTATCCTTTTGTGTACTAATATCGTAGCTACTTTTTTGCAAACATCCTCAAAAATAGCTCAATGCTGTTACTAGGAGCAGAAAGGAAACTTCTAGGCCTTCCCATACTCTTCCAGGGGTCCCACAACAAAACTTGCTAAAAGATTTCCTAAAGTTAAACCAGAACTCTTCTATGCTCATTCCACACTATGGAGTTTTTAATGCTTACTCTCTTTTTTATGTACCTGTTCAAAATTAACTCTCATTTGCTTTTCATTGTTAACTGTCTGTGTTTCAGGTGAAGAGATGCATGTAGCTGATTTCCATGTTTAAATAAATGCAGAGCATTGATATTTTTAGCATTGGTCTCAGTGGCAGAAAATAGTACAAGAACTCTAATGTAACGGATAAAGCATAGATTCTAACCCCAGATAGAGTATGTTCAAATGTATGTTCACATGTATCTGTGTACAGAGGTTTATACTACCAAAGGAAATCAAAATATTTCACCTCTTGAGCAACACAGAAAAAGCACCACTGATCCCTTCTTGGGAGACTCTGTTTTTTTCACAAAGCCTGAGGAGCCGTGGGTGGATTTCTCTCAGGTCTGAAACTCTGCTCTCTTTTACATTGAGCCCCCTGATCACTGGGCTTTTGAATATATACGTGTGTGCATGTGTGCATCATATATTGTATTTACATGTATTTATATGTCTGTACATGTCCTTGTGTATAGTCTACATGCTACGAAACTGACTGAGAAATATATAGACACTCCCAAATTAAATAGCTAACCTAAATGCTTTTCAAGTTCCTGTGATATGGGTACATCTTTGTGAATAAGACTATTAAACATTGCTGGTTTAGTAGAAACAGCTTGTCTTATAAGTTATCAACAAAATACTCACGTAATTAACTTTGGGGGTTTTTCTTTCATGGTAATTGCCTAATGTGCATGTACTATAAAGCTGGTTAATAGAAAAATAACTCGAGATAATGACTAAGCATTGTCTAGTATCTCAAAAATGTTTCTGTAATTGTTAAGGATGAAGAAATTAAATAGATACAGGTGCAATAAGAGTCTATAAACATACTTCTTTTACAATAATTATGTTTAATGATATGTTTACTTTAAAGATTTTCCAAATTCATTCGTAACTATACACTTAAACTTTTGCCAAGTTAAATTGAATGATAGCTATTCATAGAATTTTCAAATAAGACAAACTACTGAAACATTAACAAAGGGTTTAAATATATTTACTTGTTGCTTCTCATTACAAAGAAACAGAATATTTTTTGATTTCTTAGTATGTTCCACATTCAAAACTTTGAAGATTCCTATATATTTAGAAATTATGAAATATATATTCATAAAATATTGGTATGTGACAATTAAAGTGAGTTAATACCTTGGTTTTCACTAGAAATGTAGGTTACTATATGTATCAGGCCACTCTTGCATTGCCAGAAAGAAATACCTGAGAGTGAGTAATTGATAAAAAAAAGATGTTTAATTGACTCACAGTTCTGCAGGCTGTACAGCAGGCATGGCACTGGCATCTGCTTGACTTCTAGAGAGGCCTCAGGGAGGGAATACAAAGAGGAATAGGCACCATATCACATGGTGTTTTAGTCCATTCTCACGCTGCTATGAAGAAATACCTGAGACTGGGTAATTTATAAAGGAAAGAGGTTTAATTGATTCACAGTTCCATAGGGGTGGGGAGGCCCCAGGAAAGTTACAGTCATGGTGGAAGGGGAAGCAAATACGTCCGTCTTCACATGGTGGCAGGAAAGAGAAGTGCTAAGCAAAAGCAGGAAAAGCCCCTTATAAAACCATCAGATTGGCCGGGTGCGGTGGCTCACACCTGTAATCCCAGCACTTTGGGAGGCCAAAGTGGGCGGATCACGAGGTCAGGAGTTCAAGACCAGCCTGACCAATATGGTGAAACCTTGTCTCTACTGAAAATACAAAAATTAGCTGGGCATGGTGGCATGCGCCCATAGTCCCAGCTACTCAGGAGGCTGAGGCAGGAGAATCACTTGAACCAGAAGGTGGAGGTTGCAGTGAGCTGAGATTGCACCACTGCACCCCAGCCTGGGAGATAGAGCTAGAATCTGTATCAAAAAAAAAAAAAATCAGATCTTGTGAGAACTCACTCATTATCACAAGACCAGGAGCGTGGGGGTAACTGCCCTCATGATTCAATTACCTCCCACTAAGCTCCTCCCACAACAGGTAGGGATTATGGGAGCTACAATTCAAGATGAGATTTGGGTGGGGATGCAGCCAAACCATGTCACATGGTGAGAGTGGGAGCAAGAGAAAGAGAAGGGGGAGGTGCCACACACTTTTAAAAAAACAGATCTCCTGAGAACTCACTCACTGTTGTGAGGATAGCACCAAACCATGAGAGATCTTTTCCCATGGCCTAAACACTTCCCACTAGGCCCCACCTGCAACATTAGGGATTACAATTCAACATGAGACATGGTAGGGACATATATTCAAACTATATCATTATGAGTTAAAATTGTCATTAACATCTGTAATTTAAACTACTAGAAATAAGGGGAAAATTTGGTATGCAAAGTGTACAAGAAAAGCAAGATATATTTTTGGTAAATAAGTTTATAATGAAAGCCTGAGGATGTGGTTTTTGTTGAAGAAAAAGTAGTAGTGTTTACAGGTTGTTTAAGGGTTGTTTCAGAATGAAAGAATACAAAAATAAATTATATACCTAAAGCTGAATGAATATCAATGTTATAAAGGTTATACAATTTTATAAAAGAAATTTTACATGTGATAAAATGCGCTAAGATTAAACAAGTTTATTATCAGGGTTTTAAAAATTGCACTTTAATATCCAAAAATACATTGATATAAAACTAGAATTTGTTTTTTATTTTAAGCATGATGTTTGTATAATATTGATAAGATACAGTAACAGATTTTTGTTTACTTTTTAAGTCAACTGCAAAAACAAAAAGAAAAGGAAAAACAGGGAAGAGAGACAGAAAGACATTCTGTATCACGCTGTCTTTATTTGGTGTTTTGTTTAAATTAATAACTATGATCTCATAATGATCTGTAATTCTATTATAATCAAGTGTTATAAACCTTTACATATTTGGCAGACTTTCCAAAATCAAATTCCAAGAACTAAATTAAGGCTTTTCAACCTTAAACTAACTTTTGGACATTTCAGAAGGGCCACTGGAAACATAGGAGAAATATATTAAACTAATTGGCCTTATTTGCTATGTTAAAATTATACAGAATTTATTGTCAATAAATTATATTTAACATTCTTTGAGTAATATTTATATAAATATGTTATTGGTATATTTGCATGAAAATTGTATAAGCTCCCTAGAAATTAATGTTTTTAGTCATCATTTTGGTTATGTTAAAATGTTATGCCACAGAAATAACCTAATTTTATTTTTGATTGTGGAGTATAATAAAGTCCCATCAGGTCTTTAACCATGGCCACTTTAAGTCTTTTTGTCCACTGGTAATTGCTTTATTCTGATTTTTTGGGGGGGGGATTTAACAAGTAATTATAATTCTAAAATATGTGTCAAGCAATCCTAAGATAAAGGAACAAAGCCAAAGGAATTACATTAACTGACTTTAAACTATACTATAAAGCTATAGTAACCAAAGTAGCATGGTACTGGTACAAAAACAGGCACATAGACCAAGGGAAAAAATAGAGAACACAGAAATAAAGCTAAACACCTATAGCTTTGACAAACTCAACAAAGATTATAAATGAGGAAAAACTCTCTTCTCAATAAATGGCTCTGGGATAACTGGCCATCTTTATGCCAAGGAATGATACTAGAACTCTACCTTTAACTATATAGAAAAATTAACTCAAGGTGAATTCAAGACAAATGTAAGACCTCAGACTATAAAAGCTATAGAGGAAAACCTAGGAAGTACTCTTAGTGTCAGTCTTGGCAAATAATTTGTGGCTAGGTCTTCAAAAGCAATTGCAGCAAAAACAAAAATTGATAAGCGAACCTAATTAAAGAGCTTCCTTGGGGAGGCCAAGGTGAGCAGATCAAGAGGTGAGGAGATCGAGACCATCCTGGCTAACACAGTGAAACTCCATCTCTACTAAAAATACAAATTAGCTGGGCGTGGTGGCATGCACCTGTAGTACCAGCTACTTGGGAGGCTGAGGCAGGGGAATCGCTTGAACCCGGGAGGTGGAGGTTGCAGTGAGCCGAGATCGTGCCACTGCACTCCAGCCTGGGCAACAGAGCGAGACTACATCTCAAAATAAATAAATAAATAAATAATAAAAAAAGAGCTTCCACATAGCAAAATAAATTACCAAGGCAGTAAACAGATCATATATAGAATAGAAGAAATATTCACAAACTATATATCCAACAGAGGTCTAATTTCCAGAATCTATAAGGAACTTAAATTAACGAGCAAAAAGCAAATAACTCCATTAAAAACTGTGCAAAGGATATGAATAAACATCTCAAGAAACAATATACAAGTGGCCCAGAAACATATGAAAAAAATGCTCATCATCACTAATCACCAGAGAAATTACAGATATTGGCAGGGCTTCAGAGAAAAGGGGACACTTATCCACTATCAATTGGAATGGAAATTAATTCAGCCACTGTGGACAACAGCAGGGAAATTTCTTTAAGAACTAAAAGTGGAACTACCAGTTGATCCAGCAATCCCATTACTGCGTATATACCTAAAGGAAAATAAATCATTCTACCAAAAGAACACATGCACCCATATGTGCATTGCAGCACTGTTCATGGTAGAAAAACCATAGAATCAACCCAAGTGCCCAGCAACAGTGGATTGGATAAAGAAAATGTGGTACATATACACATATACTATGCAGCCATAAAAAGAATGAGATCATGTCCTTTGCAGAAACATGGATGCAGCTGGAGGCCATTATCCTAAGTGAAGAGAAAACCAAATACCACATGTTCTCATGTATAAGTGGGTGCTAAACATTGAGTATACAGGGACATAAAGAAGGGAACCATAGACACTGGGGACTACTAGAGGAAGAAGAGGGGGAGAAGAGCAAGAGCTGAAAAACTACCTATTAGGTACTATGCTCACTACTTGGGTGACAAGTTCAGTCATACCCCAAACCTCAGTATCATGTAATATACCTTTGTAACAAACCTGCACATGTACTCTCTGATTTTAAAATAAAAATTGAAAAAGAAGAAACATGCACACACACATATAGTCATATATACATATATAACTATATATACATAGTTTTATACATATAGAACTTCATACATATATAACAATTATATACATATATAACAGTAAAACTATAAAACTTCTTGATAGAAGTTCTAGTAAATATATAACTAATGAAAAAGATAATAAAGTGTTGTGTCTTCAAAGAGATAAAATCATATCTTAAAGATGTTGAGGGATCAGGTCCAGATCACTGCAATTAAGCAAATATTATAATGCAAAGAGTCCCAAAAATGTTTCAATTTCCCAGTGCATATAAATATTATGTTTACACAATACTGAAGTCTGTGAAGTGTGCAATAGTATTATGTCTAAACAATGTATGTATATTAATAAATACTTTCTTACTAAAAATGCTAATGATCATCTGAGCCTTCAGCATGTCAAAATCTTTTGGCTGGTGGAGGATACAGCTTCAATATTGATGGCTGCTGACTAATCATGGTGATGATTGCTGAAGTTTGGTGTGGCTGTGGCAATTTCTTAAAATAAGGCAACAATAAATTTTGCCACATAAATTGACTCTTTCTTTAATCCATGATTTCTCTGTAGCATGTAATGTTGTTTGATAGTGTTTTGTCCACAGTAAAACTTCTTTCGAAATAGAGATCAATCCTCTCCAGCTGTTCCACTGTCTTATCAACTATTATTCTGTAATATTCTAAATGGTTTTTTGTCATTTCATCAATGTTCACAGCATTTTCACCACAAGTAGATGCCATCTCAAAAAATGCTTTCTTTCCTTATCCAGATGAGGGAGTTACTTATCCATTCAAGTTTTATTGGAGATTTCAGCAATTCAGTCATATCTTCAGGCTTCACTTCTAATGCTAGTTCTATTGCTATCAACCCCATCTGCAGTTACTTCCTCCATTGAAGACTTAAACCCATCAAAGTCATCCATAAAGTTTTGTATCAACTTCTTCCAAACACATGTTCATGTTGATATTTTGACCTTCTTCCATGAATCACCAATGTTCACAATGACATTTAGAATGGTAATTCCTCTCCAGAAAGTTTCAAATTTACTTTGCCAATATCCATTAGAGGAATCACTGTTTGTGACAGCTATAGACACACAAAACGTGTTTCTTTAATAGTAGGACTTGAAAGTCAGAATTACTCCTTGATCTATGGCTGCAAAACGATGTTGTGTTAGCAGGCATGAAAACATCATTCATATCCTTGTATCTCTCCATCAGCCCCCTTGGGTCCAAAAGCAACAATATTTTGAAAGACATATTTTATTCTGAGCAGTTAGTCTCAAAACTGGGCTTAAAATATTCAGTAAATCATTCTGTAAACAGATGGGCTGTCACCCAAGATTTGTTGTTCCAGTTATAGAGCACTAGCAGAGTAGATTTAGCATAATGCTTAAGGGCCCTAGGATTTTTGAAATTGTAAATGAGAATTGGCTTCAAGTTAAAGTCATCAGTGCCATTAGCTCCTGACAAAAAAAGTGGGCCTGTCCTTTGAAGCTTTGTTATTTATTATTTTATTGAACACCTATTTGTATGTATTTATGGGGTACATGTAATATTTTAATACCCAGAAAAATGTGTAATGATTATATAAGAATATTTATAATATCTGTCACCTCAAACATTTATTATTCATTTATGTTGGAAAAATTTCAGATTTCTCTTCTAGCTATTATGAAATATACACAATATTGTTGTTAACTATGCTCATCCTATTGTGCTGTTGAACAGTAAAATATATTTCTTCTATTTAAATGTATGTTTATCCCAGTTAATCTACCTTCCATCACACCCACACCCTGACACACACACCCTTCTCAGCCCCTGGTCTGAGATGATCTTACTCTTTCTCCATGAGAACAACATTTTAGCTTTCAAATTTGAGTGGGAACACACACTTTTTTTCTGTGCTTGGTTTATTTTACTTAATATATTAACTTCTAATTCCATTCAAATGACAGGATATTATTTTTATGACCAAATAGTATTTTATTATGTATATATGCCACTCTTACTTTATGCATTCATCTGCTGTTAGACACAAAGGTTGACTCCGATCTTTCCTATTGTGAATAGTGCTGCAATGAACATGGAAGTGCAGATGTCTGTTTGAAATAGTGAATCATTTTATTTGAATAAATACCCAGTAGTGATATCACTGAATCATATGGTATTTCTTTTTGTCTTTTGAGAAATTTTCAAGTTGTTTTTTATAATGGCTATACTAATTTGCATTTCTACCAACAGTGTATAAGAAATTCCTTTTATCTGCCTTCTCACCAGCATTCATTTGTTTGGTTCTCTTTCCTGATAATAGCCATCCTAACTGGGGTAAGATGATATCACATTGCGGTTTTGATCTGCATTTCCCTGCTGAGTAGAGATGTTGAACATCTTTATATTCTTGTTGGCCATTTGTATGTCTTCTGTTGAGAAATGTCTATTCAGTCAGATCTTTCAAATGCTTTTAAATGTGATCGTTTTACTGGTGTTGAGTTATTTCAATTTCTTATATATTCTGAATTTTAGTCTCTTGTTGAATGAAGAGTTTGCAAATATTTTGTTCTGTTCAACAGTTAGTCTCCTCATTCTGTTGATTGTTTTCTTTGTTGTACAGAAGGCTTTTTAGTTTAATATGGTCCTATTTGTCTATTTTTTTTTTTTTTGCCTGTGGTTTTGAAGTCTTAACCATAAAGTCTTCACTTACGCCTATGTTCTAAGGCATTTCCTCTATGGTTTTGTGTAGTAATTGTATAGTCTTGAGTCTTAAGTCTTTAATCCACTTTGAGTTGATGTTTTGATATAATGAAAGATAGAGGCCTAGTTTCATTTTTCTGCCCGTGGATATCCAGTTTTCCCACACCATTTACTGAAGAGGACATCCTTTCCCAAATGTATGTTCTTGCCACCTTTGTTGCAAATCAGTTGACTGTAAATATGTGGATTAATTTCTGGGTTCTTTATTCTGTTTTATTGGCCAATGTGTCTGCTTTTTGCCAATACATGCTATTTGGTTATTATAGTCTTATAGTATATTTTAAATTTAGATATTGTGATGCCTCCAGTTTTGTTCTTATTGTTCAGAAATACTTTAGTTATTAGGGCTCTTTTTTGGTTCCATTCACATTTTAGGGTTTTCTTTTCCATTTCTGTGATGAATGACATTGGTATATTTTCAGGGATTGCATTAAAACTGTAGATTACTTTTGGTAGTATGGTCATTTTAAGGATATTAATCATTTCAATCCATGAACATAGGATTTTTTCCATTTACTTGTATCATCTTCAATTTATTTCATCAATATTTTGTAGTTTTCCTTATAGAGGCCTTTTCCCTCCATGGTAAAATTTATTCCTAGGTATCTTATTTTATTTGTAGCTATTGTAAAAGGGACTTACATTTGGTAAGTTATTTCTTGGTTTATTTTTCAGATTGTTCAGAGCTGGCATATAGAAACGTTACTAATTTTGTAAGTTGATTTTGTAACTTGCTACTTGACTGAATGTGTTTATCTGTTCTAAGAATTTTTTGGTGGAGTCTAGGTTTTTCTAAATTTAAAATCATGTCATCTGCAAAGAGGAATAATTTTACTTTCTTGTTTCAATTTGGGTGCCTTGTATTTCTTTATCTTGCCTGTTTTAGCTAGGGCCTCTAGTACTCTGTTGAATAGAATTGATGAAAATAATCGTTTATGGTGTTTTCTAGTTCTTAGAGAAAAGCTTTTAGCTTTTCCCCATTCAGTATGATGTTAGCTATGGGTTTGTCAGATATGGCCTGCATTATGTTGAGGTATGCTTCTTCTGTGCTTGAGAGTTTTTATCATGAAGAGATGTTGATATGTTGATTTTATCATATCCTTTTGCTGCATCTATTAAGATGATCATATATTTTGTGTACTTAATTCTGCTGATGTATCACACTTATTAATTTGCTTATGCTGAATTATCTTTGCATCCCTTGGATAAATCCTGTTTGATCATAGTGTATTATCTTTTAGAGGTGCCATTGGATTTGGCTTGCTCATATTTTGTTGAGGATTTTTGTGCCTTTATTCATCGTGGATATTGGCCTGAAGTGGGGTGTGTGTGTGTTTGCATGTGTTTGTGAGGGTGTGTGTATGTCCATGTCTGAGTTTGGTATCAGGATAATGTTGGCCTGGGAGAATGAGTTAGGAGGAATTTCCTTCTCCAATTTTTTAAAATAGTTTGAGAAGAATTGATATTAACTCTTCTTTATAAGCTTAGGACAATTTGGCAGTAAAACCATCTAGTCATGAGCTATTTTGGAGGGAGACATTTTATTACTGATTCAATCTCATTACTTATTATAGGGCTGATCAGGTTTTCTATTTATTCCTGATTTAATCTTGTTAGATTGTATATGTTCAGGAATTTATCATTTTCCCCTAGATCTTCCAGTTTATTAACATATAGTTGTTTATAATGGTCTGTAAGAGTCATTTGTATTTCTGTGGTATCAATTTTAATATTTCCTTTTTAATGTACGATTATGTTATGTTTCAGTCTTCTCTGTTTTTTTCTTGGTTAGTCTAGAAAGTGGTGTTTTGATTTTGTTTATTGATTTAAAAAACAACTTTTAGATTCATTGATTTTTGTACTGTAACTTTAGCCTTTATTTCACTTAATTCTGCTTTGATCTCTGTTATTTCTTTCCTTCTACTAAATTTAGGTTTGGTTTGTTCTTAATTTGTTAGTCCCTTGTGGTGCATAATTTGGTTTGAAATCTATTTTTTTGATATGGGCATTTATTTCCATAAGCTTTCCTCTTAGTACTGCTTTTGCTGTATCCCGTAAGTTTTGCTATGCTGTCTTTACACTTTCATTTGTTGCAAGTATTTTTTAAAATGTTTTCTTAATTCTTTACTAACCCAATGGTTACCAAGATCATGTTGTTTAATTTCTATATATTTGTACAGTTTTCAATGTTTCTCTTGTTCTTGAGTTCTTGTTGTTTTTTTTTTTCTTTTGTATCATGCTGGTCTCAGAAGATATTTAATAAATTTTGGTTTTTATAAATTTGTTGAGTGTTTTTTGTTTGTTTGTTTTTGATTTTTGGTTTTGTTTTGTTTTTTTGCCTAACATATGCTCTGTTTTAAAGAATGCTCCATGTGCTCATGAGAAGAATGTGTATTTTGCAGCTGTGGGATGGAGTGTTCTGTAAATGCCAGTTAGGTCTAAATGAAATTTAAATGCAACTTTTTTTGTGGATTTTTAGTCTATAGACGATCTGTATAATGCTGAGACTAGGATGTTGAAGTCTCCAACTGTTACTGTAATGGAGTCTCTCTTTAGATCTAATCATGTTTACCTTATATCTCTGGATACTTTGGTTTGGGTGTATATATGTTTAGAATTGTTATATCTTCTTGTTGAATAGATCCTTTTATCATTATTTAATGTGCTTCTTTTTTTTTGTACTGTTTTTGACTTAAAGTCGGTTTTATCTGACTTAAGTATAGCTACTTCTGCTCATTTTTGGCTTCTGTTTGTGTGGAAAATCCTTTTCCATCCAATCGCTTTCAGTCTATATGTCCCTTTACAGGTGAAGTGAAAATATTGTAAGCAATTTACAATTAGGTAATGCTTTTTATCCATTCAGCATGTCTATATCTTTTAAGTAGGTAATTAAAGCTATAGATATCCAAGGTTATTATTATATACATATTTGTGCACTACTCCTGGGGGCCCTGAGGACAAGCCAGCCCAACCTGATCTCTCTCTCTCTCTCTCTCTCTCTCTCTCTCTCTCTCTCTATATATATATATATATATATATATATATATATATATATATCCGCATATGAATATATACTGACTGGGTTATTCCCAAACACATCTTCAAGTTCTATAATTTTTTATTCTGTTCGAAGCTCTTGATTACATTTTTGTTTTATGTATTATAATTTTTAAATCCAGAATTTCTGTTTTTTTATTATCTCTGTTGAATTCTTATTCAGATCATAAATCATTTTTCTTATTTTTTTGTATTATTTTTCTGTGTTCTCTTATCTCACTAAGCTTTTTTAATATCATTTTTGGTTGTTTTTCAGGCATTTCATGGATTTTTTTTGGTTGAAATCTGTTGCTGGAGAATTATTGTGTTACCTTAAAAGCATCATGTTTTCTTGCTTTTTCATTTCTTGTGTCCTTGTGTTTGTATCTGCACATGAGTTGTAACAATCACTTCTTCCAATTCTTTTTGATTTACTTTCCTAGGGGAAGACATTTTTTTCTGTAGATGTATCTACAGTGTTGTTTGGGTAGGGCACTTTAGACTTGATTCTGTGTGTGTGCAGTATAGTTTTTGTATGATTACTTTGGTTGTAATCAGCATCAGTGGTGTCTGTTAGTTCCACGGTTGCCTATCCTGCACTTGTTAGTGAAAGCTGTAGTGAGGCTCTGCTGGGGATAGAGGTGTCAGAAAAAACTAGTTTTTGGTCCCCAGTAGTTGTCACTGTGAACTAGGCAAGCCTTTCTGTTATTGGGTTCGTTGGAGGCATAAGTGGGCACTGATAGCAGACTTAGGCAGGTTGATTCTTAAGCTTCCAGGCTGCTTGCTTAAGAATCCAGCAGCCTGGAACTGGGATTGTGGGCAGCAGGTTTTGTATCAGCAATACAGGTGATACTAACAATATAGATGATACAGGAAATACAAGATACTATCAAAGGCAGGCCAACCCTCAGCTCTCAGGTGGCACACTTTGGTTTTGGCAGTGGTGGTGGCAGCAGATTGGGCTGGCTTGTCCTCAGGGTCCCCAGGAGTAGTGCACAGACACCAGTGATGGTGGGTGGTGTGGAGGGACTCTGGCCACTATATGACATGCTTGGGCACCAGTGGCTGACAATCTGAGCCTTTTTTAAGGCTCTTTAATGGTGCATGTGTGCACCAGAAGCAGCAGGCAAGGAAAATTGATCCTCAGGTCCCCGGACCGAGTTCTTGCATATAGGGAGTTGGCACCAGGTGGGGTGGGCCTGTCCTCAGGACCCCAGTAGTGTGCACAAGCACAGGATGTGATTGGCAGAAAAGGATGATCTCCAGGTTCCCGAATGGCATGCTTGAGTGCCAACAGCAGGGAAGCTGCGCCATTTGTCAGGCCTTCTAATATTGCACACGTGCACCTGGGACAATAGGTGGGGTGAGTCAGCCCTCAGTCTCCCTAATGGTGCCCATGGGCATAGGCTGTGGCAGGCCAGGTGGAGCAATCCCTAGGCCCCAGCTGGTGTTCTTGTGTTCCCGTGGCAAGCAGGCTGGGTCTTTTGTCAGAACTCTTGATATTTCACACACATATCTGAGTCTAAAGGTGGGGTGGGTCATCCTCAGGCCCTTGGGTGGCATGCTCGGGTGGTGGTAGCAGTGAACAGGGCAAGCCTGTCCTCAGGCCCCAGAATGACATTTCACGGGGCCTATCTCCAGGCCCACTGAAGGTTCATGGCGGAGCATGGCCACCCTGCTGCAGGGATGGGGTCAAGGTTGCTGAGTGGCAGCAGCCCTAGTCGGGCAGCTTGCAGGCTCTGGAAAGCATGTGCTCCAGCTCCTTTTGTCGTAGCTGCAGCCTCCCTGGTGTGCTGCACCCATCATTCCCCAGGGTGCAGAACATTGTGTGAGATAGAATTCTCAGGACCCTACATACACTGGAAGTGCCAGCTGGTGTTCTGTCTCTGTAGCCCTCCAGGTGGGCATGCGAAAATGTCAGTTGGGTTCCAGGAATGTGGAAATGCAGGATACAGTCTGGTGGAGGGTGGGCTCTCATAATGTCTCCATTCAGCAGCTGCTTGGGTCTCAAGAGGTGTGTAGGACCCAGCATGAACTCCTTCTCTGGAACTGTGTAGTTACTCAGACTCCAGACAGCTGCCTATCCTAGTCTCAGGGCCTGCAATAACCAAGGGGCTCTCTTATGGCTAGGATTGTGGGAGTTTTCAGTGAAAATGTGGAACTCTAGGAGTTGCTCAGTTACCTTTTCCCTACACTGGGGAGCCACTACAGGCTCCCAGCTAATGTCAGTTGGTTCAGCTGCCTTGCATCCCTTTCTTCCTGTGTCTCCATGTTCCCTGTCATTTCCCTGCAGAATTCCAGTGTTCTCTCTTAAATGCTGTATTCAATGTGTGGTTACCTACTCACTGTCCTTCTATGCAGGAGATGAGTGCTAAGTGTCTGTAGCCAGCCATTTAAAGCCTCTCCTCACCATTTCTATGAGGCTTTGAAGTCAGTCATTGACTTCTTCTCTGTAGCTATGAGAGTCCAACAGGTCTGTTTCATCTAATTGATAATCTGTTGTTTAGTGTAGCCACCTTTTCTCACCCTAGATATAATTAAAGAGTTAGGGTCTTGCTCTGGATTAGGCTTTGGCTTCATACAATGTTGCAGCTGGTTTGATCTTCTATCCAGATCACTAAAACTTTCTCCATATCAGCGATAAGGCTTCTGCACTTTCGGGTCATTTACATGTTCACTGGAGTAGCAGTTTTAATTTCCTTCAAGAACTTTTTCTTAGCATTCACAACTTGGCTGTTTGGTGAAAGTAGCCTAGCTTGTGGCCTATCTCAGCTTTGGATATGCCTTCCTTACTAAGCTTCATTGTTTCTAGCTTTTGATTTTAAGTGAGAGACATGTGACTCTTCCTTTTACTTGAACACTTGGAGATCACTGCAGTGTTACTAATTGTCATAATTTCAATATTTTTGTATGTCAAGAGATAGCTAGGGAGGCTTGAGGAGAAGCTGGTCAGTAGAGCAGTCAGAACACGCTTGATATTTATTAATTAACTTCGCTGCCTTCTATGGGTGTGGTTTGTGGTACCCTCCAAGATTATAACAGTAACAGCAAAGATCACTGATCACAGATCATCATAACAGATATAATAATAATTAAAATGTTTGAAATATTATGAGAATTAGCAAAATGTGGCGCAGAAACATGAAGTGAGCACATGCTGTTGGAAAAAATGGAGCCAATAGAACTATTCTACACTGTGTTGCCACAAAACTTCAATTTGTAAACAATGCAGTATCTTCAGAATACAATAAAATGAAATCCAATAAAATGAAGTATATCTGTATATGGAAAGAATAAAAAGAACCCTAACAAATACAGGGCTCTAATAACTTTGAGTCTATGCTATTAGTCTAAATTTCCAGAAATCTAATTTAAAACAAAACTGGGGTCAAAAAACTGCTAACCTAACATTAAGCAAAATAAGAATTAATTGTATGGGATTGAACTGACAAAAAATTATAATTTTTAATGTGCTTTTGTTTAAAACATTGCTCATTATTTTTTAATTTTCCAGATTTAAGTTAACTTTGTTTTAACCTATATATAATTTGCAGCAATTTGGTAATGCATACTATTGTAAACAGAATTGAAATATTTACCTTCCTGTCTACCTAATCTCTCTAGAATTTAGAATTTATTCGTGAGTATTCTTATTTTACGGCAATATAATTATTTGCAAAATTTCAATAAGAATGTCTTTGTTAACAGCACACAATTGGAAATCTGGTTCTTTCACCAAGGTTTTGAAAATAATGTCATATTTTCTGATCTGACCAGATAGCTTTCAGGAACCGAAGTGAATCATAAAGCCAGTAAAAGTCCCTCAGAAAAACTGGCCTCATATACCTTGTCTACACCCTTCCCTTGTAGGTTTACTGGCTTTATGATAAGTAAAGAATGTAACTTTCTGACAGGCCCAGGAATTTCAAAATATTTTGAGAACTTTGAGAAAAGAGAAATTTACCAATTTGTAGAAGTATTACAGATGCAGTCAGATGGTAAGGCTTTCTCTTGGCTCCTAGCCTTCACAGGCCTTTTAAAAATCTAACCTGAAGTCACTTACAAAAAATTCCAGCAAAGCCAGCTTTTTAAAAGCCTATATTATCAATCACTGTTCTTGTTACACTTTATGCAAATAATCTTGTCAAGTGAATGAGACTAAACTTATGTTTCAAACGAATTAGTCTGACTAAATATCTTTGGTAGAAATGGGAGTGAATGTTGAGAGAAAAATTGTGTTTAAAAAAGGCAAGTATAGTACATCTGTTATTAGATTCTAGCTCATTATTTTGAGGATTTTATTCTTTATCTACAGTCTGGACTAGATACTGAATTCTTTTAGTTTTTTTTTCAATATTAAGCTTTGAATCTCCAAACTAATATTTTTCAAATTTCCTCCCATCCTTCTGATTTTTTTCAATTTTCACTAAAATTGAAACTGCTTTTCCTGAGGCTTTGAATGCTGAAGCTAGTCAACTTGATAAATATAATTCAGAGAAATTACCCTGATGGCTTGCAGATGGACAAGCTTTATAACATTGAAACTGCAAACCAGGAAATTCTGTCAGTTTGCCACTGCCTGCTCTGCTCCAGCTGAAAATACTTTAGCTCAGGTTCAGAAATCTTCTCAGTGAGCTGCTATTCAGACTCAGAAAGTAGCTTGGAGAATACTCCAGACGTTAGGCTTTGCGAGTTTTTGTTTGTTTACATAGAAAAGTCTCTTTTAAATTTCCTTATTCTTACACTGCAAAGAGACCTAACCTTGATGGGTCCCATCTGCAATGCTCCTCCTGAAAAGAGACAGAGCTGTTTAACTGAACTGACCTATTTGGAGGACGAATAGACTGATTGAAAAAGGTATGTGGTAATGTATTCAAATTTGAGATGTTGTTTCCCTGCTTTTTCCTATATATGCTTTCTCCTCTCTTGTCTCAAAACTTTTAACCCAAATCTCTACATAGCTACCAATTCTTCTCTATTACGTGAAACTTTCTGAAAATTAAATTTCAAATGGGGAACCGAAGGAAACCAGCACATTTTACTTGAAAATATACTTCTGTATATATTTCTGTATAAATCCAAAGATTTATTTTCCTATTTCCTTTCCTAAACCAGAAGGGAAAGTCAAGCTGGGCACTGCATCAGGCAAACCTGCCTCCTATTTTATTCTTATATAAGTTAGCTACAAATTAAAAACAACTACACATCTCCCTCACGATTTGTCCACAGGAATTTCCTTGTGGGCCTCAAGATCTTTACCCTCAAACACTTCTGTTGAATTTTACCCAAGCCATGTAAATTACTAGCTTATTTCACAGGTGCCAGACAAAGGACAGTCAGAATTCAGTCATTCCTCTGCTCACCTGAGACAAATGCATATCTGATTACTACCTCTGTCCTATCATTTACGTAAAAATGCATATTCAGTGAGTCAGACTAAAGGCATACGTGACTATCCCTCTACCCTCCTCTCTCATGTAAGTTGTGTATTCAGTGAAAGAATGATCAAAGTCCCAAAAGAATGCAACCTTTTGTCTCTTATCTACCTATAACCTGGAAGACTTACTTTGAGTTGTCCCACTTTGCTGGAATAAACCAAAGTACATCTTATACATATTGACTGATGTCTCACGTCTCCCTAAAATGTGTGACAGCAAGCTGTGATCCGACTACCTTGGACACATGTCTTCAGGGCCTCCTGAGGCTGTGTCACAGGCACGTCCTTAACCTTGGGAAAATAAACTTTCTAAATTAATCGAGACCTGTCTCAGATACTTTTGAGTTCACACGTGTTTGACATATTTTGCTATGACTATTTAGAGGGGCTACAATCCACAGAAATAGCTCTGAAAAATTGTTCTCTTGTGGGGGAGATTTCTGACTGCAGAGAAAATCTACAGTAGTGAGGTAAACAGTGGTTACTGAGAAGAGCATAAATCACCCAGTGACCACTGAACAGGCCTCAGAGACGAAAACTCCTTATCTGAGGAATTTAGAAGGGAGCAAAGACCACCTGGTGACCCTCAAACACGCAAAACTGGGGAATGTAGAAGTAATTAAACTTCGCTAGTATTTAAAGTCAGTATCTGCTTCCAGACCTCTTTTAAACTTAAAATGTATAAGTAACTAGAATTTCTATACATCTCTGGAATGCCATGCCAAAACTCACTGTACAACACTTGCTTACGTTAAGGCACCAAAATTACTACAAATGTGATTATTTGTCATGACCTATGTGGCTAGTATGGTCCAAATTACCCTTAAGCTCCTGGCTTAAGGTCCATAAATACTCCTAAGGAAAAATAGAAATGACATAACTTATCATTCTAATGTTTCCATTGCTATCTGTTTTTACTCACCATATCATAGCTCAAGATTAACGTCCATAAACCATACCCCTACAAAATAAATTCATTGTGCCTTATTGGCTCTATTTTCTCAAACTTTAATCAATTACATAAACTTTCGTTGCCTGAAATTCTAGAATAACCAAATTTGTATCTACCACTCAAATATTTCCATGATTTATGATCAATATTTAGTTTTGTGTTTTTAAGGATTTTATATTTCCAATTTGTATTGCCTGGCATCATATACTAATATGAAGATATAAACGTACATCTATCATTCAACTCTTCTTAGTTTCTTAAGGTGGTTATTATGCCTTAAGATCTTTTTTTTTATCATGAAATATACCAAACGAAGTACCTTCTTTATAACACAGGTTTAATAAACATATTGAAAAAAAAGGTGTTAATTAATGAGAGGATTAAGCACTCAATTCTAACAAAAATGAATACACATTACAAGTTTTTAAACCAGTTTGAATTAAGGGTTTTTTTTGTTTTGTTTCTTAGTTTTTAGAAAAGTAGAATTAAGGAATCCAGGATCCAAATGAGATCTCTATGTCTTCCAAACCTGCTTTAAAAATTTTTCTCCCTTGTTTTAAGTGTTAGAGAGATGCAAAAGATAGTATTCGGGATTATATAATTTTGTTTATGACTTTAGTTATTGAACAGAAAATAGTTTAATCAATTAACACAAATACTTAGAAAACATTTTTCTACATATATAGAAAAGTAAAGAGATAAAGAGTTTAAAAATAAAAGTAAAGAGAAAAAAACAGAAAATAGGTCAGAATTGGGATAAGAATTCTAAGAAATTGGGAACGTTAAAGAAAAAAGAGAATTAATCACCAGAAAAAGAATGCTAGCGATTAATTCAATAGAATTATGTTCAAAACACTTCATGCGATGGTAATGTCGTAATATCCTACTTTTACTCATACATGGTTGCTCAAATTTTATAAACAATGATGCCTGAGGACCCTGTTCTTCATTAACCTGTCTAACCTTGATATGTAGAAACAGTTTAATGTTTTTTCAAATGCCATTAGTAAGCAGAAGTAATTTCAATTCATAAAACTAGGGCAGGAAGCAATTGACCCAATCAGACTGTTGCATTCCCCAATGCCATTTTTTAATTAGAAGTTTGTAACATTTTTTTTCTAGTTCTGAATTTCAAAGATCTCTTAGATTTAAAAAGTCTGGTTATCTTACAAAACTAAAATTCTGTGAGCCCCACATCATGTGACAACTCTGAAAATGCAGCTCTACTGCTTAAACTAGATTATTTGATTGAACCAAAATGGCATCACATTTTGCCCCAGATGATTTTCATGGATGACTCTTGGCAGACAAATTTTTACAATGCCACATTTATATGTTTGTTTTCTTTTTGACTGTTATTTTTTGGATTCAGGGTATATGATTATATTCTGAAAATATTAGTATATATCTACCAAGAAACAGAATAAATTACACTTTAAATATTAGTCATGTTACTTTATTGGAAACCAGAAGTCTCAAGGACATAAATGTCTGAATAAAGAGAAGGAGAAAGAGGAAAGGAGGGAGGGAAAGGAGAGAGAGAGGGAGAATTTTCTGTAAGCCTGGAGATGTCATTGGAATATGTGGGAAACAAAATGGAAGGAAGGAAAGAAATGGGAGAAAAGGGAAAGTAATATAAAGGGTACTTCAACGGTTTTCTTCATTTTGGCCTTGGGAAACCTAAGACAAAGTTAAATTAGAGAATAAAAATAGTAATATAAGTGACATAATTTTTCCACCTTATTTTCCATGTTGTGGCCCTGACTGCTATTGTCTATATTTCAAACTAATAATAATAATAATAATACCAAATGAAAATCTTTGAGAAATATGTCTTTCTTTCTCCAGTGCAGTGAAAATAAATTAAACCAAATGTCTCAACTAAGGGAAGCTCATAGTAATCTCCAGTGAAAGGGTAAATATTCTTCAGAAAACATATTAGTAAGATAACTTTTCAGTCAGCAATAGTTCTAGAAGTATTGATACAAAAACTCTGGATACCATGGAGGTTTAGTGGATGATCCTAATCAATTTAAAGTCAGCTAATGTTTTGTCCTGAGCAGAAGAACCAACCAACTTAAAATATGACATTTATTCTTGTTTTCTTCCTGGCCAGAATCTGATGTCACCAAGTTTTGATATATTTATCTTCATTCAACACATATTTGGATATTTACTATTTGATGCATACTATTCTAGGAACTCATGAATTACTGGTAAATCAAAGCCTAGTACCTATCAGCACTTTATAAAAATCCTTCTTCTCTTCTGCAAACAAATAAATAGTAGATGCCAGGTGTCAGTAAATTATAATACATAGGCCAAATCTAGCACGCTGACTGTTTCTGTGCAGCCAACAAATAAGAATGGTTTCTATATTTTTAATGCTTGGAATGAATGAAAAGAATAATAATTATGTGACTAATGAAAATAATATTGTGTGACAGATGAAATTCTAAGTTTACATTTCATAAGAAAGTTTTATTAGAACACAGACAAACTCATACATTTATATTTTGTCTACATTGTCAGCTACAGAGGCAGAGTTAAGTCACTGGGACAGAGATCATATGGCCCAGCCCACAAAGCCTAAAATATGTACTTCCTGGCACTTTATGAAAAAAAATTTGCTGACTCTGGGGACAGACCCTTAATATATTGGTCTTCAGTATTAAATACCCTTATTACTGACTTCCCTGCCTCTTCTCACTTTTCTCCTCAAATCCATCTTCTGCAGAAGTGGAAGAGCGATCCATCTAAAATGAAAATCTAGCCTTGTTCCTCCCTTAATTAAAAGCCTTCATTGGCTCTCTACAAACTAGAGGGAAATCCAAGCTCTGTAAACCATTCATGACTCCATTGATCTTTGCTTGCTCACACACTTCCTTTACCACACCATAAGCAGTGAGACATTCCTATTAGGGAAAAAGAACAGTCATAGTTGTTCTCTAGAATTAACTATCTTAAAGCAAAAAAAAAAAAAAAAAAAAAAAAAAAAAAAAAAAAAAAAAAGAAAAGAAAGAGAGAAAGTGACAACTTATAAAATTAGGGGCCACAGCTGAGAGAGGACCCCTGATGTTGTAGGAATGATCTCCATGCTTTTTTTGCATAGTGTAGTAGAGTGTAGCTGAGCTAGATACTTTACTGATACCATTAATTAGAAGTGGGAATAATACTGTCAGTCATGGGCATCGACAACATCCAACAACAAATGGAAATACTTTATTTACCGGAACTACACTCATCCAAGAACTATGCTAAGTATTGGAAATCAAATTGCAGGGCATATATAAGCAAACAAGTATATCATTAGCCTAACAGAAGTCTACTGATGATATAAACTCAGAGATCCATAGAAATGTAGAGAAGGGACCCCTAGTCAATATGTAAAATGCCAAGGAAGACTTCCTGTAAGAACAGACCACAGAAGAAATTAATAGGAGTTAGCCAGTAAAAATAGGACTCCAAGCTGAAGATACAGGATTTGTGAAGGCTTGGTAGCAGAAAGAAATGTAGTATAGAAAAGTCTAAAACTTCTCTCTGAAGGATTAAATCTAAGATTGTTACGAGGAATTGACAATAGACAGAATAACAGGAAAAAAATGGGTCCAAATTGATGAACATGCATATAGGTATGGGAGCCTCGCAGCTGTAAGACTCAAAGGATGAGCCAGATCATTGAAGTTTATAGAATATAAAATAACAGAGGTTTGGAGGTTTTTGGGAAGTAGTGTCACAAGCTATAGAAGGGTTGTGTATAAGAAGCATGGTGTATTTAATTTGTTCTCACACTGCTAATAAAGACATACCCAAGATTGGGTAATTTATAAAGAAAAAAGGTTTAATTGACACAGTTCAGCATGGTTGCAGAGGCCTCAGGAAACATAATCATGGCAGAAGGGAAAGCTAGCACATCCCTTCTTCAGATGGCAGCAGGAAGGAGAAGTGTCGAGCAAAAGGGGAAAAGCCCCTTCTAAAACCATCAGATCTCATGAGAACTCACTCATGATCACAAGAACAGCACGTATTATATTTTTACTTTCTTTTATCTTTGAGGTACTCTTTTCTAGATCTGGATAAGGAAGATAAAACTTGCCACGTGGGAATTACAATTCAAGATGTGATTTGGGTGGGGACACAGCCAAAATCATGTCACAAGGCAAGCAAAGACTGTATTGTTAGGTTGATGAAACCTCAGAGGTAGTAGCTCTCAGAAAGAACAGATGGCAGCTGTGGTAAAACTTTCTCTGTCAAATACTTAAAAATGTTGTATTTTTACTTTCTTTTGTCTTTGAGGTACTATTTTCTAGATCAGGATAAGGAAGATAAAAGAGGCCTCAAAAAAAAAAAAAAAAAGTGTCAGAGCCCCAGCATCAGCATCATTGGAAGTGGTTGACTCGTGGGTTGTTATTTACCAACAACAATATAGATTAGAAAAAGGAAAGTTTATTAGAAGAAATGCTGTAATAGGGTGCAGCAGGGCACTTCAAGTGAGAGAGGACTTAATGTGCTGCAGTGGATTAAGTTATGTCAGTTGTATTAGCTTGGTACAAAAGTAATTGCAGGTTTTGCCATTACTTTAATATTTTCCCTCTACTGCCACCCAAACATAGTGATGATAGTGGTAAGTATAACATCAACACAACAGCAACAATAAACATTGTTGGTGCTTCCTATATGCCAAGCCTGCCAATAAACTATATACAAACCTATAAGTTAAATACTAAAATTGATCCTATTTTATCCACGAATAATTTGAAGCACAAAGATATTAACTGGTTGGCTCTAAATAACAGAGCTTCAAGCAGGTAAAGCCAGGATTTCAACTATCATGCTTCAATCCCTTTGGTATCTGCAAGAAGATGAAGATAATTAAACAGTGAAATACTACCTAATAAAACACATCCAAAACTGACAACAGAAGTCACCAATTTTCCTTGTTCTCTTTGTGCTTCTAATCTCACCCATGAACCTCAAAATAATCCTTTACTCCTCCACCTCTCTCATTTCCATTTTATGTCTATACTCTCATATTATCTGTAAGAATGACCTCCATTTGGTATCTACTGTGACAACCTTACTTCAGTCCCTGACTACCTCTCCGTGATTTATTGCAGTAGGTATCAAATGAGTGTGCCTGCCTCCAGTATTTCCATATGGTTGCCAAACTGTAGTTAGAATGATCTTTCTAGAATGCAATTCAGTTAGCAAGCCTATAGGAGGATGGAGGGTGGGAGGAGGGAGAGGATCAGGAACAATAACTAATAGGTACTAGGCTTAATACCTGGGTGATAAAATAATCTGTACAACAAACCCCCATGACAAAAGTCTACCTGTGTAACAAACCTGCACAGGTACCCCTGAACTTAAAATAAAATTTAAAAAAGAGAATTTTTTTTTTCAAAAATGCTATTTAGCATGACAGTTATCTGCAAAAAGACCTGTATCATGTTCCTCAAATCTTGAATTCTATCCTTTGGCACAGAAGGACTTAACAACTATTAGGTCTTCTTTTTTGCTTGTTATAAATAGGGACAAACATGAATTTCCAGAAATCTTTAAATGCAGTTTTTGTTTTTGTTTTTTCTAGTGAACGAAGTTTTTTCACATTTACAAATTTTATAGTTTTCCTGCTTTTGCCTGGATCCATCTGGTGAGCTGCTACTTTCATTTAAAGATTCTTATCAGGCCTGATCTCCTTTTTGAAACTTTTCTAAACCTAGCAATCAAAATTTTTTCCAAATTTGCACATATAGAATCCTATACTTGCTATTTTGGGAGCACTATAGTACTCCAAATTCATGCATTTAAATCTTGACTCTACCTATAAGCTCTTTGAAATCAGAAAAAAAAAAACTTATGATTATTGGTCTCAGAGCCAAGCACACAACTTGACATCTAGTAGAGGATGAATAAGTGAATTATTGAAGGAATGAGGAGGGTTGTGGATATGATTAGATCCTGGCTCCAGCTGGTGGCTTCCTCTAAAAAAGAAAAAGGAATGTAATTGATTAAAAAAATAAAACACCGGTATCTCTCCTTAAACCATTCTACTGCCCAATTACCGGTATAATTTAATTATACCATGAATCTAAGAAGTCACGGAGGATAACATAAAGTTTGCATTGTGGTTATCCTAATGCATGAATTTTCATCTAATACATGAAAGGAGAAAAATCTGAATTAAAGTAGTTGCGAACTGTCACACATGGCTGTTCTGTGCTCCCAAAAGATGCCTGGAAAGCCAGATTTGAGGGGGTGAAGGTGGGAGGCTGAGAATAAGGGAAAGACTAGGAAATAAGGAGTGGGGGTGACATGAGAGAAATCCAGGAGAGCAGAAAAGAAACTGTAAGATAATTAGCTGCCATGATTAAAAGGTTTCATTTTTCAAATCACTTTTCAGTCTCATTCATGTCATGCAAAATGTTAAGATCTATTTCTAGACTGAGTAATAAACTGTAGTACAAAAATTTGATAAATAATTATCTTCTTATTTTATCCGTAAAAATATTAAGACAGATTCATTTAATTACCATAACCAAGCTCGACAGGGTGCTGGCTGGGCCCTGATGGATTCCCATTCCCTGGCTGACTCACGTGTTTGGCCTTGAGCCTTGTGAATGAACACCTGGGGGCAGAAGCTGGCCCAGCTCCTTCCAGTTCACAGCAGAGCACGGCCTGTTATGCTGCTCATTTGCTGATGTGCAGGCTTTGCTCTTCCCTTAGGGAATGAGATTCTGACAGGCCCTTTATCTCAACACATTGAGTTTTGTATGAAATTGTCATTTTCTCTTGCCGCCTTGCTAGTTAGTTCAATACCATGAAGAGATACACAGAGTGAGATTTTATATTGAAGTCAAGCCAGGAGACTGTTGTTTCAAGCGAAGTACACTGTTTTACACACATTGCTGGAGAACAAGAAATCAAGAAGGACAAGAGCCACAGAGCAAGACCATTGCACCGTGAGGTTTAAGTGCCTTATGTGTACAACTCTTGTTGTGTTCACACATATTGTCTTAGTCAACCTTCATAAACTTTCAAAGAATGTTATCATATGCCTCATTTTCATTATCAGAAAAATGACATTCTAATAAATAGCTGAGAGAGATGCTTTAATCTCTATGTACAATCTTCCTTGCATGATATAGCAGCTTATAAGTGAATTTATGAAAGGGCTAACAGTCACTGCTAGTGACTGGCCTATCTTCATCACTATGTGAAGAACATTCTAGTTCATGCATTTTGGGGGAATATTGATTAGTAATGTTTGTCACCATTTAATGACCAAATCAATGTTTTACTGATTTCATGGTAATTTTCTCTTGGCAGCTGCTCTAGCAATCACTTCAGTGATTAGGATTTTGGAGCAATGGAACTTTTTAATGGTTGCAATTAGGTGTAAAGAGCTTATAGATGTCTAGTTTGGGGGACCACAGTCTGACAAAGGTAGGTTTGGACTTCTAATTTCCATAACTGTTTCTCATTCTCTTACACTGAAAAATATTGTCAAATTTTGTGACTGACTGCTCATGCTTAGGTCTTGTGATTCTCATTCAAATCACTGTAAGCAGATAAAGCATAAAGCCACAAGGACAAAAAAATGAAAAACAAAAACCAAAAAAACGAAAGCACATTTTTGAAAGCTGGAAAGCAGATAGGTCAATGACAACTGACTTTGGGCAGAGGTTCCTGAAATATAAACTGGCTCAGAGGAGGCCTGGAAGAAGGCTGATTGGGATCAAACCATTTCAGAAGTTTATGGGAACTGAAGGTTCCATTTAACTGAATTTGATGGTACAGATAGGGGTAAAAACAAGTTTACTCTCTGGAGATATTGAAAAACCAATAATTAGGTTAGGAGATACCAGCCATATTTAAATTTGGTAATATCACAAATAAAATCAGGGAAATAATGGAAATCCTATACTGAATAATAAGATTTCTCTGAATCACTTCCCTACTGCTGGAACACTCAGTCAGGAAATTGGGTGAGTCGGCTCTGGTGAAATACTCAGCTCCAATACACTACAGATACATAGCGAAGGTTGACAGACACCCAAAAGTAAAATCATTAAACTTCCTTTAAATTGAAGTATAACAGCTAACAAACCCTACACATTAACATAGAGATTGGAGTTAATATTTTGTCTTCTAATATTTAATATAAGTTGAATCAAAAGATATCAGATGAAGAAACAAAACAATGCAAAACAAAATTTAAAATACACACATAACAGAAAAGAAACCAACATAACCATTAACATACCAGGGTGACCTCAATACACACAAGCATATAAATAAATAATAAAAAAATCTCAGAGAAAAGAGAAACAATAGAGACAAAAATCAAAAATAAGTTCTTAGTAGAGTCTTTAAGGAGATAAGATAAATTGTTACAACCCTGAAAGAAGAAAAGGAGAATTAAAAATAGAGAGGCCAGGCACCCTGGCTCATGCCTGTAATCCTAGCACTTTGGAAGGCCGAGGTGGGTAGATCATTTGAGGTCAGGAGTTGAAGACCAGCCTGGCCAACATGGTAAAACCTTGTCTTTACTAAAAATACAAAAAAAAAAAAAAAAAAAAAAGAAAGCCAGGCATGGTGATGCATGCCTGTTATCCCAGCTACTGGGGAGGCAGAGGCAGGAGAATTGCTTGGACTTGGGAGAGAGAGGTTGTAGTGAGCCGAGATCATGCCACTGCACTTCAGCCTGGGGGACAGAGTAAGATTCCATCTCAAAATAAATACATACATACATACATACATACATACATACATACATACATAAAAAATAAAAATAGAAACAAAGCAAACAAAAAACACATTCAGTGACCTTAAAAAGCTCTTGGATATGCATGATAGGAGAATTTTTTAGATTTACAAAACAGTCAAAAATGATGATAAATTAATGAAATCACAGAGAAGGTAAAAAACAAGAAAACAGTAGAAAACAGGAAAACAAAAATGAGAAATTGAGAACATTGACCCAGAAAACATAATATCTAAATAGACATTTAGCAATATAGAAAGAGAAAATGGAACTGAAGAAATTAAAAAAAAAAAAAAAATTCCCCAGATTGAATGTCATAAAATGAGATTTTCATGTCCCCAAATGTGTCCAGCACAATGAATGATAAAAGGCCCACCAATCACCCTTTATATACTTGGAGACAAGTGGCAAGTCACTTAGAAAAGTTTGGTGATCAGAATGGCGGTGGATCAGAATCTCAAAGACAGTGAGGGCTACACTTCTATAGTCGGTAAATGTAGCCACACATTCTATAACCAGGTAAAGTATTAATAATGGCATTTTCATCTATATATGTTCTCAATGCTTTTATTTCTCAAGCACTCTTTCTTTTAAAGAGACTAAGAGATCAGTTGCTTCTCTCTAATAAGGACTAAAGAAGAAAAATTAGTAGGATGCGGAAGAGTTTTTCCAACACGTGGGAGAGGTAAAGAAAATTCCCAAAAATGATAATGAAGAAGTGTTTCACAGGGTGAGAGTTTCATACCAGAGAAAGTAGCCACTTGATGTTGGAGCAACAGATAAAGATGTCTGAAAAAAAAAGTCTCCTTAAAATCAGTAATTAATGTGCAAAGTATGCAAAGTAGGTTTGCTAATTACCAATCCCAAGGGAAGACTCCCATTGTTTGGAGAATAGCAAAGATCATCACTGTGCCAACCACCAGCAACAGAAGTCCATATACACTTATGCCTACAGTATCTTGGGCTATTGTTTCTGTACCATGCACTGGTTAACTATGTCTGAGGCTGGTGAAACAGAACATACACACAACAACTTATGCTAAGTGGATTTATTAGTTACAGATAGGCAGCAAGGGACAAAAGAATTTTTGTATTCATTGTGAGGTGGTCTAAGACTCAAGAAAGCTGCTCAAGGCAGAGGGAGTCTTGACTGTGTGAACCCCATTTGCACCATAGCTAAAGAACCCCAAAAGACAGCCAGCCCAGTTGTATACTTCAGGAACCATGTGACTCACTCAGTAAAGCTTTGAAAGACATCCTGCTTCTAAGGAACAAAGCCGAAAGCCCAGGCTGTCCTGAACAATTCTTCCCTAACTCAAGATGTTACAGTTCCTAGGAGAGACAGGAGCAAGACCTGGGCTTTTGCAGGCAGTCCCTCCGTATCTCAGGAGGCTGCATTCCCAGAACTTTCTGCAGTTATTCGTGAGAACTACAAGCAAGAAAGTGGGAAAACTAGGTAGGTACAAGGTCACATGGAGAACTGTCCTGCATAATGATGAGGATATTTTAAAAATTAAATGTTATCATAGTATTCTACATGGCTAGGCTGTTACCACAATATTGACAACACGTCTATATGGAGTTATATTTATAATGTTCTTATTCTCGCATTACAGATGAGGAAGGTAAGGCACAAAGATAGCAAGCAACTTCACTAAGACTACACAACTATCAAGTGGCCAGAGCCAGGATTCACACATTAGAACTCTGCCTCTGGAGTTTGTGTTCTCAAAGTGGCTGCCAGCAAAAAAATTAAAACTGTGAAATAGGGCATCTATATTTGTATTTGGGGGCCACATTTGTAGATTGAGTAACTTTGGTCCTCTGACTTTCTGGGCTTCCATTTCTTCATCTGTAAATTTGGGATGATAATGATACTTAGAGGACTGAATAATGATATATGTGTAAGCAATTTGTAACAACTGAAGTAATACAAACTCCTCTTTATTTTGAAGAAAAGCAAATTTCATGCCAGACATTTTCTGAGACATAGGTTACAAACTAAATTACAGACAGGCAGAAGCAGCAGGAACATGTTTGTAACTTTTGACCCCTGTAATTCTACAGAGCTGAACTTAAGAATTTTTTATATTAGAGGCAATTGAATTACAGTGTGCACTGTAGTGAGGACTGCAGTGTTCAGTAAGATCCGTCAATAAACTCACCTATGAGCAATAGAAATTGAGAACTTGGAGAGTCAATAGGAATTTCAGGCTTACTAGGACAAATGTAATTAACTAAATATTAAGTCTTCTTTCCCACTGGAATATGGTAAGGATTGGCCTTTGACATAATGACATAATTCAGTCAATAATCACATTGAAGTGGTAAGAATAATTAAAAAATTAAGGTTGCAATAAGATGCACCAGAGAAAGTATATTCCTGAATACGGTGCTCATTCTTTTGGCCTGAGCATAGCTTAGTAATATAAGGTCTTTTTAATAACCTGCAAAATTCTTAAACTTAGGAATTACATGTATTAATGGTTCTAGGTGGCTATAAAGCTGATAAGGAAATACAGCCCTTTCAAGGTCACGAGGACAATTTGTGTTCCAGAATCACCAACTGCCAGCTGTATTTTAAATCAAAGAAAAAAATTAAAATAGCAAATACAACTTGAATAAAGTGTTAGGCCTTTTAATCACTGAAAACTCAAATTTTACTTACTCAGTTAATTAGTAGCTGGCACATCAAATGATATATGATGCCAGTTCTGGTATAAAACAGAACATTAAAAAATAACTTATGAGTAGGTAGGAAAATACTTTTAAGTAAATAAAGATCACTAAAGTTCTGCAATTGCACTGGAGTTCAAAACATGTCAAAATTTAATCTAATTTCTGCAGAGAATTATGTCAACTTTTTGAGATGTATAATCATCAATGGATTCTTTTTTCTGCTTTTGCTACTAAAGCCTACAATTGGCAATTAAGCAAAGAGGAGAGGTTGAGGAATTCTTTATTACATTGTTGGCTCGTAATGTGTTGAATTCAAAGTCCACAAATAAGAAATTATTTTATATGATTCTTAACACTTTGCAATCTTTATTTCTTGCTGTTTACATATACAGTTGAAATTCCTAAGAACCAAGAATGTAAAATAAAGTTTACTAGGTGCAAAGTCAAAGATAACCTGTTTTCTTAAGATCTTGTACATAGTGGCCTTGCCAGCCTTTTCCCCACAATGCAATGCAGAATATGAAAAAAAAAAAAAAAGGTGGAAGAACAGATGGGAAAGTAACTAAGTTATGCTAAACTAGGCTTTCGGGGGAAGCTGGCAGCTGTAGGTATGCCAAAAGCTACAGAAAAAAAAAAAAACAAAAATCCAACCTACAGAAATCGTGCCCCTAGAACCCACAGCGCCTGCCTTCATGGTCAAAACATAAAGGAAAATTGAAGAGGGAACCTAAGTGTTATTGAAATTACCAACGGCAGATTCATGAGGGCTCTCACTTTCACTTTTAATTATCTCCAGGAAAAAGAAAAGACTTGCTGTAAACAACACCATTCTATCATCCTACAACATCCTTGACAAAACTCTGGAAATAGTACATTCTTAAAGATGCAGTCCCATTATTGAATGATCTTGATTAAATGATCTCAATCTGGATCTTGTGTAAAAGTATGAAACGTGTTTTCTGATATTTCTTTGGGTGATGCTTTGTGAATCTCTATTTGTTGTCACTTTTGAAGGAGTCAGGAGGCTTTCATTGCAAAAAACAAACTTGTTCAATTTAAAATTCCAAGTGCATGCACATATTCCCTTTATTTTCCATAGCCCACTGTTCTGTGTGGATGTCTGTGATCAAGGGTGTATATGTGTATGATTATGATGGAGTCTGCTATTTTGTTCATTTTTCCTCCCATTTTCTGTGTCAATCTAAGAATAGCTGAAAATTTACAGCATATCTTATATACATGGCTACCTATGTAAAATACATTTTTGATTGTTGCTTGTTTTCTGGTGTACACCAATGGCCAACAATATCCTTTGTGTATCAAATATTCAAATGGTGGCATCCTAGTGGGGAGTATTTTGAGATGTTCAGAGTCCAGCAGGGGAATACATTCTTGAGTTTGTGATTTTCTGTAGCAGTTTTGCTTGGCTTGATCTCCTCCTACCACAGCTCCCCTAGGCTTCCCTTCATTCTCATCTCTGGGTTCAGTGCTGATAATCATAAAGTTGTACACTGTCAAGATATGTAACCCATTCACCTTCTTTGTTGTTCAGTTAACTACTGCAAAATATATGCACATTTTCAAGCCAACTATGAGGATATATGCCCTTCACTAGCATTCTTCTTTCTGTCCTGCTGTTTCTCTTCAGTACCCTGTTGTTCCCTTCTCACATAGGTCTGGAGGGCAGATTGACAAATCTGCCTTATAAGTAGACATTGACCCAGGGAGGGGATACTAGCTTTCTCTCCTTTTAGGCTTCCCTGATCTTTATGAGTGACTTTATTGGAACCCTCCTTCCCCCTTTTAACTTAGATGAGATTGCATTATCTTTATGTCTTCCACCAGGAGTAAAGGAGTCAACTGCCAAGGTAATTTAATTACTTTTAATCTTGTGGCTTCAAACACCAAAGTTAATCTTCTAAGCCCTCAGACCCCAAGTAAGTCCCTTTACAGGCAAAGGTGGTCACTAAAGATAGAAGAGCCAAATCACCCTCAATATTACTGCTATTATTAAGATTATCATTATTTTTTATCTTAGGGATTGCAGTCATCCATAAAAAGATATTTCTGTTTCCCATATAATTCCTCCACAGTATAATCTCCAAATTCTATTCAACCAATAGAGGTAGTGGAGCACAATGTTAAGAGTCAAATTCCCATGTTCAAACCCTAGCTACACCAATTACATATTGGTTCTATAGCTTGAGGGAATTAAACTTCCTAATTTCAATCTCTTCATCTGCAAGCTGAAAACAATAGTGCCTGTTTTATAGAGTTACTAGGGATATAAGCTTTGTAGAGAGAACGTAGCATTTAGCAATTAGCTATTTTTTATACAGATTATTTTTGTGCGTAGCATCCACTCTACTGTATTCAAAAATAATATTAGAATAAGTCTTCTTCCTAATACCTTAAGATATATAATATTTTCTGCATTTTACAAGGATGAAATAAAACTTGAGAGAATATGTGCTTGCCTAAGTTCCCACAGGTGGTAAATAGAAAAACTCAAATTATTTTGAATTTTAAAACAAACACACACATATACACGCAAACACAAAACAAAGCTGCTCAGAAAACTGGTATTTTCCTTCACATGGCCTTGCATTTTTGTCATTAAGTTAATTCCCTCAGTGACTCTGTATATCCTTAAATCCAAAGTCTCCTGCAAGACAAACAAACCTTCCCTAATCTGATCCTTCCCTCATGGTCTCAAAACACTACAACAATTTTCCTGAACAGCTGTGACCATGCAAAGATAATTCTAGTTCCCTGAGTTGGCCACACGCTTTCTCTCTTGCTTATATCCACACGGGCCATTCTTCCAGCTGGACTTGCCCTTCCACATTTCCTCATCCCCATTCATCTAGAGAACTTTGGTTTGAGACTTACTTCAAAATTTTTTCTTTCTTTTTCTTTTTTTTTTCTTTTTGAGATGGAATTTCACTCTTGTCACCCAGGCTAGAGTGCAATGGCATGACCTCAGCTCACTGCAACCTCCGCCTCCCTGGTTCAAGCGATTCTCCTGCCTCAACTTCCCAAGTAGCTGGGATTACAGGCACGCACCAGCACACCCGGCTAATTTTTGTATTTTTAGTAGAGATGGGATTTCAACACGTTGGCCAGGCTGGTCTTGAATTTCTGACCTCCGGTAATCCACCCTTCTCGGCCTCCCAAAGTGCTGGGATTACAGGCATGAGCCACCATGCCTGGCCAAATATTTTTATTTCTGAAGTCTTTCAGGATTGACTTCCCCCACTCTTTAGGGATACTTTATGTCATTTTGTTATTGTTAACACTATTTTAATTATTTGAAATCTATGTGTGAAACACTGAACTGATAACTAGGAGACTTGTGTTTTTGGAACTACTAAATAAAAATTTTAGTTTATGATTACTATAAAAATTATGGGCTTTATCTTTGCCTCTGGTGTTAGGTGAAATGAATCAGTCATACCACATACATCATCTTTAAGATTGCATCTACTGAACATATTTCGAAAAATTTGAGCAAGTCATTCTCATTCTTTTCTATAAAAAAAGTTTGCATTGAAGAAAAAAATTTTGTTTCAATCCAAACTAAAAAGCTATTTTTATGATCTTTATGTTCTCCTTTACTCACGATTTGTCTATCATCCACCTCCTCCTACTTTTCTACCTTCTACATGTTAGTGAGATGATTTTTATTATATATATTATGTACATATTTAAATATATATAAAACATACTTCATCCATATGCCTTAATGTTCTCTAATTGCAATAATGCAAATCCTTACAAAAATGAAGTCCAGTTCTAATGTCAAAACTGTCACGTTCATGGGTTAAATCAGTTTGTGATTCTGTGATATGAAGGTAAAATAAACTCTTGATTTCACATTATTCTAGGAAGATAATATGCAAATAAGCATATTTCACCTTCATTGATTAAAATTTGGTTTTTCATAGAGAAAGTTATCATTTTCCCCAGGAATAATGTAGAATTTAAAAACAAACAAAATAATCCTTTCAAGATTACAATTTCAGATAATGTTTAAAAGTGAAATTTGTAGATTAAGTGTTTTCCAAATCCTTTAGCATGGGGGTTAGCAGGTTATAAGCCACAACACCAAAGTTCTCTTCTTAATCTCTTTCCTATCAGCAGCAGTCCCTAGACTAATGAAAACACTGAACTTCCACTCATAGAGGTTTTCTCAATCTGAAGAATATCTAGCAGCATAGTAAAAGTGAAAGAGCTCTATTCCAGGATTCAGGGGAATTAAGAAAGGCACCCCCCACCCAACACACACATACACACACAACACACACATGTTAAAACAGAAGGTACAATTTTGAGGGTTCAAGTACACAATCATGAGAAAATATAAACGTAGATATATCTTGTATGAAAATTAGATCTTCAAGAAAGTTGTCGGAGAGAAGAATATCTTGGAGGTTAAAAACGTTTGGCTTAGGAGTCACTTAATTGAGGGTGTGTTGGGTGCAAGCTATGCAACTTTGTGTGGTTCTATTTGCCAATATCCAAAATTAGGGAAACAGAACTCATAGAGTTATCAAAGTATCCATATAATAATGTAGGTAAAAAATATGGGCCTGGTGCGGTGGCTCATGCCAGTAATCCCAGCACTTTGGGAGGCTGAGGTGGGCAGATCAGGAGGTCAGATCATCTCATCACCTAGGTATTAAGCCCAGCATTTATTAGCTAATTCTTTCTGAAACTCTCCCTCCACAGGTCCCAGTGTGTGTTGTTCCCCTGCCATGTGTCCATGTGGTTTCATCATTAAGCTCCCACTTATAAGTGAGAACATGTAGTGCTTACTTTTCTGTTCCTGCACCAGTTTGCTGAGGATAATGGCTTCAAACTCCATCTACATCCCTGCAAAGGACATATCGTCATTTTTTATGGCTGCATAGTATTCCATGTTATATATGTACCACATTTTCTTTATTCAGTCTTTCATTGATGAACTAGCAATCCATCTATTTTATTAACTTTTTCAAGACATCAGTTCCTGAATTCATGTTGTTATTTTATTTTAATTATTTTATTTTTCCACATGTTCTTGTGGTACAGGTGGTATTTGGTTACATGAGTAAGTTCTTTAGTGGTGATTTGTGAGATTTTGGTGCACCTATCACCCAAGCAGTATACATTGCACCATATTTGTATTCTTATATCCCTCATCACCCTTCCACTCTTCCTCCCAAGTCCCTACAGTCCATTGTATCATTCTTAGGCCTTTGTGTTCTCATAGCTTAGCTCTCACATACAGTGAGAGCATAAAATGTTTGGTTATCCATTCCTGAGTTACTTCACTTAGAATAATAATCTACAATCTCATCCAGGTCACTGTAAATGCTGTTCATTCATTTTTATGGCTGAGCAGTATTCCTTCATGTATATCTACCACAGTTTCTTTATCCACTCATTGATTGATGGGCATTTGGGTTGGTTCCGCAATTTTCCAATTGTGAATTGTGCCTCCATAAACATGTGTCTGCAAGTATCTTTTTCAAATAATGACTTCTTTTCCTTTGGGTAGATACCCAGTAGTGGGATTGCTGGATCAAATAGTAGTTCTACTTTTAGTTCTTTAAGGAATCTCCACGCTATTTTCCATAGCGGCTGTTCTGGTTTACATTCCCACCAGTGGTGTAGAGGTGTTCCCTGCTCACTATATCCATGCCAACACCTACTATTTTTTGATTATTGCCATTCTTGCAGGAGTAAGGTGGTATCACATTGTGGTTCTGATTTGCATTTCCCTGATCATTAGTGATGTTGAGCATTTTTTCCATATGTTTGGTGGCCATTTGTATATCTTCATTTGGGAATTGTCTATTCATGTCCTTAGCCCACTTTTTGATGGGATTTTTTATTTTTTTTCTTACTGATTTGTTTGAGTTCATTGTAGATTGTTTGAGGGTTTTTCTTTTTTAATGTATCTATCTCCTTCAGTTCAGCTCTGATCTTCATTATTTCTTATTTTCTCTAGATTTGGGGCTTCTTTGCTCTTGGTTCTCTGGTTCTTTTAGTTGTGATGTTAGGTTGTTAAGATCTTCTAATTTTTTGATGCAGGCACTTCAGTGTCATTAATTTCCCTCTTAACACTGCTTTATCTTTGTCCGAGTGGTTCTAGTATCTTGTATCTTTGTTTTCATTAGTTGCATAAAACTTCTTAATTTCTGCCTTAATTTCATTATTTTCCCGAGTCATTCAGAAGCAGATTGTTCAATTTCCATGTGGTTATGTGTTTTTGAGTGAATTTCTTAATCTTGAGTTCTAATTTGATTGTGCTGTCATCTGAGAGACTGATATGATTTCAGGTCTTTTGCATTTGCTTAAGAATATTTTACTTCTGATTATACGATCAATTTTAGAATAAGTTGCATGCAGCAATGAAAAGAATGTATATTCTGTTGTTTTGGGTGGAGAGTTCTGTAGATGTGTCAGGTCCATTTGAGCCAGTTAATTTTCTGTCTTGATGATCTGTCTAATATTATCAGTGGGTTGTTAAAGTCTCCCATTCTTACTGTGTGGTTGTCTATGTCTCTTTGAAGGTCTCTAAGAACTTGCTTTATGAATCTGTGTGCTCATGTATTGGGTGCATATATATTTAGGATAGTTAGCACTTCTTGTCAAATTGAACCCTTTTGACAAGACCCTTTACCATTATGTAATGCCCTTCTTTGTGTTTTTTGATCTTTATTGGTTCAACATCTGTTTTGTCAGAAACTAGAATTGCAACCCCTGCTTTTTTTCTGTTTTTCATTTGCTTGGTAATTTTTCTTCCATCTCTTTATTTTGAGCCTATGTGTATCTTTGCACATCAGAGGGGTCTTTTGAAGACAGCATACTGATGAGGATTGACTCTTCATCCAACTTGCAACTCTGTGTCTTTTAATGGGGCATTTTGCCCATTTACATTTATGGTTAGTATTGATTGTTATGTGTGGATTTGATCCTGTCATCATGATGCTAGATGGTTATTTTGCAGACTTGTTTATGTGGTTGCTTCATAGCATCACTGGTCTTGGTACTTCAGTGCGTTCTTTAGTGGCTGGTAATGGTTTTCCATTTCCATACTTAGTGCTTCTTTCAGAAGCACTTGCAAGGTAGGCTTAATGGTGATAAATTATCTCAGCATTTGTTTGTCTGAAAAGAATTTCATTTCTCCTTCACTTATGAAGCTTAGTTTGGCCAGATATGAAATTTTGGGTTGGAAATTATTTTCTTTAAGAATGTTGAGGCCGGGCATGGTGGCTTACACCTGTAATCCAAGCACTTTGGGAGGCTGAAGCAGGTGGATCACTTGAGGTCAGGAGTTAAAGACCAGCCTGGGCAACATGATGAGACCCTGCCTCTACTAAAAACACAAAAACTAGCTGGGGGTGGTGGCGCATGACTGTAATCTCAGCTACTCAGGAGGTTGAGGCAAGAGAATCATTTAAACCTGGGAGGTGGAGGTTGAGTGAGCCAAGATTGTGCCATTGCACTCTAGCCTGGGTGACACAGTGAGACTCTATCTCAAAACAAAACAAAACAAAACAAAACAAAGAAGTTGTATATTGGCCCCCAATCTCTTCTGGCTTATAGAGATTCCACTGAGAGGTCTGCTGTTAGTCTGATGGGCTTCCCTTTGTAGGTGACCTGGCCTTTCTCTCTGCCTGCCCTTCACATTTTTTCTTTCATTTTGACCTTGGGGAATCTAATGATTTTGTGTCTTGGGGATGATCTTCTCATGGAGTATCTTACTGGGGTTCTCTACATTTCCTAAATTTGAATGTTGTCCTGTCTTACTATTTTGGGGAAGTTCTCCTGAATGAATTCCTGAAGTATGTTTTCCAACCTGGTTCCATTATCCCCATCACTTTCAGGTACCCCAATCAGTTGTAGATTCAGTCTCTTCACATAATGCCATATTTATCAGATTTTTTTTATTCCTTTTCATTCTTATTTTCTCTCTTCTTGTCTACGTGTCTTAATTCAGAAAGCCAGTCTTCCAGCTCTGATATTCTTTTTTCTGCTTGGTCTATTCTGCTATTAATACTAGCAATTGCATTTTGAAGTTCTTGTAGTGTGTTTTTCAGCTCTAACATGACCTTGCAGTTTCTAAACACAATGCTCAGTCATAAACTCTTACTTAGATATGAACTAGTGATATCCTTTCTTCAACTTACCATATCACTGGCTTGGCTTGGGGACATACACTTTTTGTCTTATATCACTGGCTGTTCTTTCTCAGTTTTATTAGCTACCATCTCACCTTTTCCAAATCTCTTAACATTGAAGTATTTTGGGCTCAGGTCTTGGAGCTCAACTCCGTTCCACCTGTCATCACTCCTTTGATGAAATTGTCTACTTTCATGCCATTAAATAAACCTATATGCCCACAAATCCAAAATCTATCTCCAGATTAAATTTTTTTGATATTCAGATGCTTATATCCAACTACCAAATTGACATTTACTTGTCATCTCCCAATGAATATTTAGTAGATACATAAACTTTTGTTTATTTATTTAATGCAAGCTAACCACAAACAATATAAAAATGTCATCAGTAACAATAAAAATTAATATATCCAAAATCATAATCTGAATTTTTCCCCACTCTACTCAAAGGGAATCTTCCCATCTAAGTTGATGGCAACTTAATAACTCTAGCTGCACAGATCAAACACTTTGAAATCATTCTTGATTCTACGTTCAATCCATAAAAATATCAATAAATTCTTTCAAAACTCCATTATATCCAGGGCAAGCTGTTGCTTATATTCTCCATTACTAATACTTAACATCTAAGCCACCAAATAAAGCACCATTTATTTGAATTAGTATAATCATTTTCTAACAGGTCTTCATTTTGCTATATCTGATCCAACTCTAGTTTGTTCTTAAAGCATCAGCCAGAATTTTTATACATGAAAGTTTAATCATAACCGTCCTTTGTTCAAAATTCTGTATCACTTTTCTACTTTACTCAGAGTCAACATCCTACAAAGACCTAAAACACCCCATATAATATGGTTGCCCTTTTTCCTTTCTGTTCCTGTCTCTTACCATTTTCACCTTCACTCACTCTATTCCAGCCATACTGGTTCCTTTACTGTCAAGTAACACCAGGCATATTTCAACATACTTCCTTCTGCTTGGAAGTATCTTTCCCTGGCTAATTCCTTCAATCTCTCCACATTTTTACTCATATCATATATTTTCAGGATTATTGATTTTCATGATATTGTAGGCATTCTTACATTTACATTCTTGTAGTTTCAAATTCATCCTTCATTGCCAGGTGTGAGAATATAGAGGTGAGCTCTTTGAATATTTTCCCTTTGCTGGGTGGCATATTAACCCTTGTCAGGAGAGGACACTAGAGAGGCATTGCTAGAGAAAGGAGTTTTTCTTTCATCTTCTTGTACACTGTCTCATCAGGATTCTGCAGAGCAAGGATTTTTCCAGTGCCTGGCTACTGGAGCATAAATGGTTTCTTCAGTGCCAGATTCCTGTAGTATAATAATTTTCTCCAGCACTGGGATCCTGCAGAGCATTATGGTTATTTCAGTACCAGAAAAAAAGCTTCTCCTGACCTCACTCTTAGGGAATTCTATTTGTGAATATGTTTCCCCAACATCCTAAAGGGTGGATTCCAGTCTGGCCCACAATCAGAGCACCTAAGTGACTTCTCTGCCATTCAGTGCACCACAGACATGCACTCAAAAACAAGATATTATTTGCCATATTCAAGTTATTGATTTGCAATAATTTTTAGAATATGTTTAATTAGGAAACTCCACTTTTGTGAACAGAAAACAATATTATTAAATATTTTAAAATATAGCTGTCATGGGCATATTTTATCTATCTTTTCATGTACTTTTAAACATTACACATTTGTATCAAATGGACTAAACACTTTTATTATTCTTAACAATGACTCCCATACAATCAGCCATGCTATGCGTATTGAGCAACACATGAAAAGTTGAAATTTATGATACAGCCATAGCTCTAAAGAGTCTGTTATTTTTCATCGTTAACTATTTTGGTCACCAACTTGGTGACTGATTATCTAGCTAACCTAACCAAATACAGGTTTAGCAAATACAATGCATTGTTTTCCTAAAGTTTAAATAGAAAATTATTTAAACAAATAGTATAAATATATTTTAAGTGCTGTAAAAGTGAAAGAGTAATAAAATCTCAGCAATCTGGCAAAATGAAATAGAGAGAGAAAAAGAGGGGGAAATGAAAAAATAAGCAAAGAGAGAAAGAGAGAGGGAATGAAGCTATGGAGATAAATTTCACTAAGTATTCCCTGCTACCCTATTATTATATTCTTCAGCCAGTTTTTTTTTTTTTTTTTTTTTCAAAAAGCAGTGGCCTAGAGCTGAGAACTAGATTTTTGCTTTTGTGATCAAAACCCAGTTGCCTGATACTGCCAATATTTTGTGTGCTGGAAACACAGTTAAATGATAATAAAACAGCAGTATTGAAGATGTTCCAGCTCATATTCATTTGACAATATGAAAATATAGTACAACTTGGTTGTAACTGCTGTCAGACTTTTAAATGGTCCTTACACACATACTCATTCTAAATTTATTTTTTCTACAATTTGTGATAGTGTCACTAGCCAGGAAACCACCAGGAAACAACCGAAAACCATTTTTGGTAAATTGGGAGTCTTTAATGTTGGGAATGCTATGCCTAAAAGTATTGTTATACTACAAGCTGATTTATAGTAGTGCTGTTTGTTATTTACGGTGTTATTAAATAAATCTGCTGTATTTTTTGTGGTTTACCAAGTGCTTTATGTAAAATTCTGAATGGTGATTTAACACAGCTCTCTAAATAATTCTTCTCTTCTCTGTGGCTCCTGATGCTGACTTTGATTTAGGATGTCAGTATGAAGATGAGAGGCTTTCATATAAAAAAGCAATATTTTATGGGTAGATATCTTCCAACAGTAGCAATGCTAGTCATTGAACTGTTCTCATTGAGGAGCTAAAATGCCAACCGGCATTGTCAGAGACTAAATGTAGAATTACTGGTCTCCACAGTTCTCAAAATCTCATTCAATATCCCACAGCCAAGACCACCTCTGAAGCTCACTTAACTTCCATTCATGTTGAGAATAGCGCCAGTCAAATCTGACAGAAAGAAATGGGTCTATCTTAAGTAATAAGCAAGCTGGTGTTCTTTTGTTTCATTCTTTTCATCCAATGACAATTATAAAGGTAAATTTCCTAGGTTTCAAGGAACAAGGTTACTTGGTGTATGTGATCATTGATTTTATGTGTCTCCTTGGCTGGGTTAAGTGAAACCAAGGTAGGTGATAAAACATTATTTCTGAGTGTGTCTGTGATGATGTTTCTAAAGGAGATTAACATTTGAATGGGTAGACTGATTAAAGAGGAATGCCCTCACCAATGTAGGTGGGCATTTTCCAATTCATTAAGGGCCCAAATACAACAAAAAGGTGAAGAAAGGGTGAATTTGCTCTTTGCTTGAGCTGGGCCATTCGTCTTCCTTTGCCCTTGTCCATTGGCCTTCCTGTGTCTTGTGCCTTTCTGTGTGGACTGGAACTACACTGCCAGCTCCTCTGGGTTCTAGCTTATAGAGAGTAGATCAAGGGACTTCTCAGCCTCCACAAGCAAGTAAACCAACCCCTCATAATAAATCTCTTTTTCTATATTTAGGTTGGTGCAAGAGTAATTGCGGTTTTTGCCATTGCTTTCATTGAAATATATCTAAATAGATATATCTAAATATACCTAAATACATCACTATATGTCCTATTGGTTCTATTTCTCTGGAAAACCTTGAAAAACACAGTGTGATATTTTTTATTTGATATTTTGTGGATCCAAATGTAAACAATTTTGTCACCAATTGTGTCAACAATTTTATCTATTAATAATGGCAATATTAAGTGAACAGTCAGTAAATGTGATCAATCCAACTAGGTGATAGGCCTTAGTTGATTAAAGCCTTTTTAATAATTGATAATAATACTATTGTCAGATTGGCTATGTGACATTACTTATCAATCATTATGGTTATCCAATTAAGAGACTCATGCCATTTTGGATCTACTGTAATCTTTTGCATATTTTAAAATGTTACCCATGTTAATTAGTTTGCATAATTAGATTAAAAAGTTTTTTAAAATGATGAAAGATAACCACATTTACCCCAGTGATTTTGTTTGTTTAAGCCTATGGACCAAAAAGTAGGTTCTGAGAGTCATTCAACTTGTTATATTTGGGAACTAGCCACTTGGTCCATTTTCAATTGGAAATTATAAGGAGTGATCTTTCATGGCTCTGATATCCAGGATTCTTGTAAATTAAATGTATACACATACTATGTACCCATAACAATTAAAAACTTAAAAAATAAATTTTAAATATTGTATGCTGAAGCTTTACTTGATTGAAAGGCCCAGGCATAATGAATCTTGAATTTATTCTAGCTGAATGTTTTCAGATATAAGTTAACTAGTCTCATTATTGAATTTTATAGCATATATATCATCAAAAATATTAATAATTTTATTGGACATAATTTATAAATATGCAGATTTGTCATCAGGGTAAATGAAGCATCTGTTTAAAATTAGCTTTTACACAAAATGTAGACTTCTTTTTCTAGATAAAAAACTCTAAATTAGTTCATTCACTTTTGTGTACTTGTAAAAAGCAAGGTTGTCTCGATAACAGTACATGTTTCAGTTTATACATGTAACTCTAGATATACTGTAATTTCCTCTCTCTATTCCTCCCTTTCCTGTTTTTCTTTTTAAAATTCCTCCTTGTTTCACCCAAATATTGGTTTCCATTGCTTCTCAGCCTCTGTTTTAATGCTGGAAAAAGATTTCCTACCTTGATGAATGAGCTCTGCCACAGCTTATATACTTTGATGCCCTGGTGCTTCTTGGAGTAATAATGAGAACTGCTGCTTCCTAATAGGTATTGCTGCTAACTCTAGAGAGAAAAGGGATTTTACAAGATGATTTATTGACTACACAACATGATTCCCAAACTGATTTGCTGGCTGGCAAGTAACAATAATATTACCAGTTGATATTAAACTTACATAAATGGAAAGTTAATATAGAAGCTGATTTTTAAAAAAATATTTCTGTACTGACATATCTAAAATGAAAAGATCTTAGCCCTATCTTAATGGTTTGCAGGCTTGAAAATCAACTGCATGTAATATAAGTAGCCAAATACCTGATGTTTGTGATAGCTCATAGATAACCTTGAAAGAATAATTATCTTCAGACCTATCCAATTCCTTGTCTTGATTTGCCTCATCCCAACAGACTCTTAAAATTTGTGTTCCTATACCTCTGATAATGACATTTTTATCAGAATACAACATAAAATGCCATGTACCCGTCTATTAAATGTCTTGAACAACATCCCAGCCCACAGAAATAAATTCAAATCTTATCATATTAAGCATACTCTAAAAAAGAATATTTTCTCTCTGCTCTTTAAGGTGGAAGTGAAATGAAGAAAGTTTAAATGATCACTACATGATGTGAGTGAGTGGGTGTGTCCTACTTAATTCTAGCAATAGAGTTGGGAGGTGGGGGTATTTTTTTTTTTTTTTGTAGACCCAGACTGAGATTCCAAAAGGAGAAACAATTTGTCTTAAATCCACAGAGCTATTAAAATTGAAATTAAAATCTAGGTCAATCTAACTTTATGACCAATGTCCTTTGCTTTATTTTAATACGTACAGCAACATTATTTAGTATAGTGACTATTACTGACATATAATTGTAAGAAAATGCATATGTTAAGATAAAGCATATTAGGGAAACATTTATAATTTGTTTGCTTTTGACTTCTGTGGATTCACCAAGAAAAAAAAATCAAGCATCTACTTTCTGCACCAGTAAAGTATACAAAAGATTTTATATTTTATTCTATGTAGCACAATTCATCAGAGGTTTCTGAAGAGGAGGAGGTCTATAGTTTAGATAGAACGTTTGCCACTCTCTGCCACCCATTAGTAGCTTTTCTTCCAAAGATTTTGAGCAGAAAAATCTCTGATTAACTCAAAATACGTCAAAGTAGCATCACTGGTCACATATATACTCTTCATTTTATAGATGAGACATTTGATACCTAGTGAAGGGAATTACCTGAGTTTACATTACAGACAGTTAGAGGGAGCTCTGGGATTCTAAGCTGTGCTTCCTGATTCCCTGAACAAAGTTATTTGCACTTTACCAAGCTGCTTTTCTGATATTCGACTAGCTTTGGAAACAGTAGATTCTAAGGGCTATGAATCCAAATGCTTGTACATTTGGCTTTTCCTTTGTACATTTTATAATAGCTCAGTGGCTGTGTAGAAGGTAATCTACTTCTCAGTGTGCATGTTCTTTTACTACGGGCAATAATCTACTGAGTTCTGGAGTTCCCATAATATAAGCAACTCCCTTTGTGACTTTCAATTGCTGTAGGTTGGTAACGGTGCTTGGCACTTTAATAATTAGTCTACAGGGAGCTTTAATAGAGTAGGGCAACTGTTTTAATTAACTTAATCCCCAGAACATGAGTTGACCATTAGACATCAAATCACAGTTTAGCTCCAAGAGTATTTGAACTCTGAGGAAATCACATTTGTAACTACAGTGGGGATAACATTATCTCTTGTTATAAAACAATGCAGCTGCAACCGATTTGGCTTCACTGGCCTCTGACACTGTGGTAAATGAAAGCCAATATTTCCATTGGAATGAATGTATAATGGAAACGGCTTAAGAGTTTGGCTTTGGGTAGTGTAGAAATGATGTGTGCTGGCCTAATTTATGAGAAGCAAAAGATGAATAGAAAGGAATAGCCATTTTAAAACTTGCAGACTGCTTGTTTTCAGCTGAATAAAGAAATGCATGTTACAAAGCAACTTAACAGGCCAATTCGGCTCAAAAGAGCAATATCTCAATAACTCATTTTATGCTCGGATAACTTAATTTATGTTACCTTTTTTAAACTGTGGAATTATTTTAGTCACTCAGTTATTTGTTCAAATATCTTTATTATACACAAACTACCTATGAGGGAAATGCTAGGTGCAGAGAATATGAAGACAAGCATTTTCAACAATAATAAAATTGCAATCTAGAGTTTATAAAATATGTTTTCATCTACATAAAGGAGTTTTGTCCTCACCTTAAATTAAATAGATTATTTCATTGGTTCATATATTATTTTCTGCATTTGACATATATTTTAAATATCTATTGTAAAAGGCAATATAGGAGGCACTGGAGGTGAAAATGAATAAGAAACGTAAGGTGACTTTCAAGAACATAAAGTGAAGTACAAAAGACAAACATGTAAAGTGGCAATTTAAATACTGTGTAATTAAGTTGGATAATAATGCTAATTACAGGGTACCACAAGAGGACATTAGAAGGAGACATACCTAGTCCTGAAATTCTAAAAGATTTTAAAGATGAAATGATAGTTGAACTAAAAAGCTGAAGATCAAGAGGTTATCATCAGACCTAAGAGTTGGCTAAAGCTGTTTCAGGCAAAATGAGTAAATACACCAAGACCTAGATTCAAGAGAAAAGTTGCCTGGTTTCTAATCTTAAGGAGATTCTTGGTGCTGGAATAGAAAATATAGAGATAAAGCTAGAGGAGTGATTATATCATGAAGACTCTTTTAAGTTTTGCTATAAAATGTATACTTAATCATAAACAGCATATGAAACCACAATGAAGAATATTAAGCAAGGAAACTTATAAGCAATGAACAAGCAAACGGAATAATATAGTTTAATAGCATATGTTCCAAATAGTACCTTAACATGTAATAAATATAAAATGTACTAATGATATAGCTTACATTATTTTTATTATTATGTGTTTGGAGTTTGATGTGTATTTTAGACATGTTGCACATATAAATTTGGATTAGATACATTTCAAGTGTTCATTAACTGCACATAGCAAGTAGCTACCTCATTAGACAGTGCAACTCTAAGTCTTACCTAGCAAACCTCTAAGTCTGAAAGAACCTACCTCAGTCTAGTCCTTTCTGAAACTGGATGGATAAGTTTGCCTAATTCTGGAATTTAGAGAACTGGCACATTTGGGTTCACACCAAACCACATCTGCAAATTAAATGATAAATGATTATAATAAAATAATATTAAATGATGAATAATGTTATTTGTTAAATGATAATTTTATTTTTATTAAATGATAATATTTGATATTTACCTTCATTTAATATTATTACTTAATAAATAATAAATTTATCATCAAATAATAGTATCAAATAATATGAAGTGATAAATGATTAATAATATTTTGGCAATTATCTGAACATTCTTTGAACTTTCTATTTCCTTAGAATATATGTGGGGAAATGATTTCGTTTATTGGATGTCTCCTTGGGAACTTCAATTAACAAGAATTAAAGGATGAGAAGTAAGTCAGAATTATAACAAAATTTTCTGGCAATTGGAAGAATAATTCCCCAATCCTTAAAATCAAAGAACATAATATAAGAAGTAGATGGAGGGGATCATGACAGTTTCTGTTCTGTTCAGGATAATTATAGCCTTAAGAAATCAATTCAGTAAAGTTGCAGGATACAAAATCAACATACAGAGTTGTGTTTCTATATACTAGACACAAACTATGTCAAAAAAAAATTAAGAAAACATTCCCAAATCCATAGCATCAAAAACAATAAAATGGTTTTTTTGGTTAAAAAATAATTTTAACCAAAAAGCTAAAATATTTCCAAGAAAACTATGAAACACTGATAAAAGAAATTGAAGGAAACACAATGAACATATATCATGGTCACAGATTAGAAGAATTAATAGTTAAAATACCCATACTACTCAAAGTGCTCCACAAATTTAATGTATTCTCTATTAAACTTTCTGTTGCATTTCTCACAGAAATAGAAAAAAAAAATCCTATCTTTTTTATGGAACCACAAAAGACCCCGAAAAACCAAAACAATATTGAGAAAGAGGGAAAAAGCTGGAGGCGTCACACTTCCTGATTTCAAACAATATTTCCAATATATAGTAATCAAAACAGTATTGCAATGGCATAAAAACAGACACATAGACAAATGGAACATAGCAGAGAGCCAAGAAATAAACCTACACATACACAGTGAACTTATCTTCGAAAAGGGTGCTAAGAATACATGATAGGGAAGGGTTATTCTCTTCCATAAATGATGTTGGGGAAAAGATATTCAGATGCAAAAATGAATTTGGACTTTTATCTTACACTAAATATTAAAATTAATTGGAAATGAATTAAAGAGTGTAATATAAGACCCGATGCCCTAAAACTCCTAGAAGAAAACATAGGTTAAAAAAAAAAACAAAACTCTGTGCAGTGGTTTTTGCAATAATTTTTTAAAATATGACATGAAAAGTATGGATAACAAAAGAAAAAATATAGCGGAACTACACCAAACTAGAAAGTGTCTTCTTCACAGCAAAGAAAACAGTCAACAAAATGAAAAAGCGAGCTACAGAATGGGAGAAAATATTTTCAAAGCAAATATCCGATAAAGGGTTAATATCAAAAAATATAAATAGATACTATAATTTGATTCAAAAATACAAATAACCCCATTAAAATATGGGCAAAGGACCTAAATGTACATTTTTTCCAAAGAAGACATATAAATGGCCAACAGACATATAAAAAGCTGTTCAACATCACTATTCATCAAGAAAATGCAAATCAAAACCACAATGGGATATCACTTCGCACCTATAAAGATGGCTATTATCAAAAAGACAAGAAATACAAGACAAGTGTTGGCAAGAATGTGGAGAAAAGGGAATCCTTGCACACTGTAAATGAGGTCATAAATTAGTGCAGCCATTATGAAAAACAGTATTACGGTTCCTCAAAATTTAAACATAGAACTACCATATGTATGATCCAGCAATCTCATTTCTGGGTATATATTTAAAGGAAATCAAATTAGTGTTTTTATTCCTATGTTTATTGCAGCATTAGTCACAATAGTAAAGATATGAAAACAATTTAAACAATTTGTGTTTATCAATAACGCCTGTAATCCCAGCACTTTGGGAGGCTGAGGCAGGCGGATCACGAGGTCAAGAGATCGAGACCATCCTGGCTAATACGGTGAAACCCCATCTCCACTAAAAATACAAAAAAAATTAGCCGGGCGTTGTGGTGGGCGCCTGTAATACCGGCTACTCCGGAGGCTGAGGCGAGAGAATGGAGGGAATCCGGGAGGCGGAGCTTGCAGTGAGCTGAGATCCCGCCACTGCACTCCCGTCTGCGTCTGCGAGACTGCGAGACTGCGAGACTGCGAGACTGCGAGACTGCGAGACTGCGAGACTGCGAGACTCCGTCTCAAAAAAAACAAACAAACAAACAAAAAAAACAAATCCTGACATTTTTGACAACATGGCTCAACCTGGAGGACATTATGCAAACTGAATTAAGCTAGGTACAGAAAGACACATATTGCATGATATTATTTATATGTGGAATCTAAAAAATTCAAACTCATAGAAGCAGAGAGTTGAAAGTTGGTTGCCAGTGGCTGGGGAGTGGGGTAAATGGGAAGGTATTGTCCTTAAGGTACAAGCTTTCAGTTATAATTTGAATAAATTCTGGGGATCTAATGTACAGTATGATTATTATAGTTAATATTACATTGTTTACTTAAAATATGCTAAGAGATTGGATCTTAAATGTTCTCATCTCTCTCCGTCTCTCTTTCTCTCTCTGTCCCTCACACACACACACAATGACAGCTATGTGTGGTAATGGATCTGTGAATCAATTTGATTGAAGTAGTCATTTCGCAGTATGTACGTATATCAAATTAAGAAAACACTCCCACATTCAATAGCATCAAAAACATGTAAAATTTTGTCAGTTATGTTAGTAAAGCCAAAAAAAACTTAAAAATAACACTAGCTTGTGGGAACAACTACATCCCCCACTAAATAAATAAATATATATATGTGTGTGTGTTTGCATATGTGTGTGTGTATATATATATATGTATATATATATATTTTTTTTTTTTTGAGATGGAGTCTCATTCTGTTGCCCACGCTGGAGTGTAGTGGCACAATCTCGACTCACTGCAGCTTCCGCCTCCTGGGTTCAAGCGATTCTCCTGCCTCAGCCTCCCGAGTAGCTGGGACTACAGGCACACACCACCAAGCCTGGCTATTTTTTTTTTTTTTTTTTCAGTAGAGACGGGGTTTCACCATGTTGGCCAGGCTGGTCTTGAACTCCTGACCTCAGGTGATCCACCCTCCTCGGCCTCCCAAAGTGCTGGGATTACAGGCGTGTGCCACTACGTCTGGCCCAATAAATATATTTTTTAAAAAGAACATTTATTTAAATTTCTAAAGATAGACATCAGGCTGCTGGTAAGTCTTCTCATTTTAAATCAACAAATATAAACAGGAAGTTTGATATAGGAATGCACTTGGGTAATAAAATAAAAAATTATGATATGGTTATTATAATCCTGCTTTCAAAGGACATACAATCAACAGGTGAGACAAAGCTGTGCAATGTTGACTGTATATTAGGATGAGTGATGTGTGTAGCTAATCAAAATATGAAAATAAAATGTGCCACCAGAAATGATCTGCATTTTCGCACTCAGATATTCGGGAATATTTGCAAAGGAAGGGGTGTTTTAGGTGAGCCTTAAAGGATGAAAAGGATAAGCATAGATTGAGGTGGAGGGCAATCTAGGGTAAGAATAGCTTCTGGGCATGGCCTGCTCAGTGTCTATAATGAAGACATTGTCGCAGGATCTTTATAAGAACATAGGAGGGGATGGGATTAGAAAGGACTGTGGTCGCAAACAAAAGGAGATTTGCAATGTCTTGTTGAAGATTTCAAAATTTATAGTATAGTTAATGATGTATTATTGTACAAGTTGGACTATGATGTAAGAGTAACTATGTTGTGAAAGAATGCTTAGAGCTTGAGGTGACATATCTTTAGGTGGAATATTTTCCCTTATTTTATATTTTTATTTTTATTTACTCATTTTTAGAGATGGAGGCTCACTCTGTTGCCCAGGCTGGAGTGCAGCTGCTCAATCATAACTCATTGCAGCCTCAAACTCCTGGGCTCAAGTGATCCTCCTAACTCAAACCCCCACTCCCCCACAAGTAGCTGGGACTACAGTGTGCCACCATGTCTGGCTCTTTTATTTTAAAGGTGAAGGAATAGACATATAGAGGTTCTCTAAGTTAACCAAAGGTTGTATAACAGGCTGAAAGTGGTGGACTTGACTATTATAGTCAGAAACTCTGACTCTTTGAGTCAATGTTTTTTTTTTACCACTGCCCCTTTCTCTGCCTCTCTGGAGAACAGATGACTGTAGCAAAAAATAATAATTATTATAACATGATGAGTATTATGCACAAGTAGAGATGTAGGTTGCTTAGGGCCTAAGCATTGCTTTGGTGTGTTGGTGAGGAGAATAAGAGAAGGAGAGGAGTTAAGATCATTTCAAAATTATTCTGCATGAGTAAAAGGCTTTGTAGATAGTAAACCAAGAAAGGAGAAGTAGGAATAGAGGCAACAGCTCTCTGTAGCTTGTTTGCATATATTTTTCCACAATAGATTTGTTGGGTTAAGACCAGCAAGACATTTGTTTGGTGATATTTAGCAGTTCGACTATTCTTAGATGCTCCATTTATTCATAAAATCACCAGATGAACATTTTTATCTTGGGAAGTTCCATTTCCCTTTATGTATGTAGTCATAGTCATTTTAGAGTCATAGCCACAGATAAACACTCAGACCCACAAACACAGGAAGAGTCCCTCCTTTACTCTGAATGTTAAATGGCTGAGAGATATTAATTGGTAATTTGGAACAATAAGCTCAGGAGCATTGTATTGTAATGTTACCAGCTTTAATAAAGGTGGGAAATAATTCAGATTTTTTTTTCTATTTGACTGTACCCATAGAGCTTTTTTATATACAAGAATACTTAATATATAAAAAATCTGAATACTGTCTTTTGTTATTTTGCAAAATCTTCTGCAGTAGTTTAAAATATTGGGCCTAATTCTGAACTTGTTCTTGGATGTAGGTTCTTTAGCATGTGATTTTAAAGTAACTCCTAGGAAAGATGAAATATACTCTACTGCTATTTACTTTGGCTTCTTCCATAGAACTTGCTTTTTTTAATGGGATTTGGGCAAAAATGACCTTGCATAAACTCTTAGTTTAATCCTTAAGCAATCTTGTGTATTTCAACGAATGCTCTTGTGCTTGTATCTTCACTAAGAAAATAAAACAGCCTTAGTCATGCCCACAGGCCCCACAAGTTGAAAGAGATGTGCAGAGCTGAGCCTCACTAGCTGACTTTACTTAGCATAAAGTACAGCTGCCCCAGCCAACCTGCAAACACATGAGAGCAATACATTCGTATTGTCTTCTACTATTAATTGCTGTAAGTCACACAGCAATAGTTGACCAAAACACCTCCGTATAAGTATATGTGGAAGCTCTTTTTATGTTTACAAAAAAAATTTGTTAATTTGAGATAGAAATTATAGAAAATAAGGGTTCCCCAATTTGTCAAGAGCCTGCTGAAGGCCTGTACAATAATACTCATGGAAAAAATATTACGAGTTTCCAAACCAGAGAGAAAGAGAGAGAGAGAGGAAGAGTGAATGTGTGTGTGTGTGTGTGTGTGTGTGTGTATGTGTGTGTGTGTGTGTGAAAGACAGAAAGGTGCTACTGAACAGAATCACATAATCAATATACAGCCTTCCTCTCTAGCACTTTACAAAGGAGAGAAGGCCAGTGCTGACCGATTGATGTATTCTATTTTAACATATTGCTTCTTTGCAAGTTGGTTTTTTAAAGTAAGCTACAGGCTTTGATTTTTTAGAATAACCCTTGCACTATTATCAATTTATCTTGCCAGAATTTTGACTTCCTCATGAAAGCCCAGAAGTCCTTTTTGTAGAGTGCATTGGAACATAGTCTTAGGTCTCTCTATGAAAACCTCCAAAATAACCTTAAAAAGGTTTTAATATTAAAATAAGCACTAAAATAGTTAAACTATTTTTTAAATGTCTCCTAAATTTTGAAGTTATATATTCCTAAATACTCATATTCAAGACAAAATTATACTTCTATAGATTTTAGATTCAGCTGGGGTAGGATAATGATGTAATATTCCAGGATATCCATAGCAGAGGGGAAGGATTAACCAAAACAGCCATTTCTTCTGTTATCAATGAACCTCTGTCCAGAAGCCTCATCTTTACTTCTAGTCATGGTCTCTTTTTAGGTTGAGCAATGCCAAGTGCAGCCATGTTCACATTACTAATTATTCAATCTATTGGTCATTAGATTAGTCATTAAAACCCTATGTTTTAAGGACTCACAGGGGCCTTTGGACTTCATTCAATGAGTTTTCTAAATCAATATCATAGGTACTCATTAGAAGAATAATAAAGACTAGACTTAATCAAAATTTTATTTTTGCTCTGCCTGAGCAAAATTCGATAAAGAAAGAAAAAAGAGATATATTATTCTTTTAATTCTAGTTTCTGGCACTGGCCTCAGGTAAAATATTAAAATTGGCAAAGTCCCCTTTTCTTCCAAAAAACAATGCATAATGTTGGAGATGCCAGGTGATGGTTATTTGTCAAGAATGGTCCTAGGGTTTATAAGCCCATCAGAGATAAAAATTGACAATAAATAATCTTTGTCCCTGGGAAGACAGATAGTAATCAATAAATGATAGATAATAAAATACTATGTTGAAAGGTTAAAATTATACGGTAAAATAGATCTGGGAAGAGAGTTAAGGTAGAGTCTATGGTAGAGATTAGAAGTAGTGGACAGTGTTAGTCTCATGGAGAAAATGACAGAAACATGGTATGGATTAAAGGAGAGAAAGGACCAACCAAAAAGTCAATATGAGAGAATATCAGTGCAGAGTTCCTGAGGCAGTAAGTGCTCAGTAGATTCCAGGAGCTTTATTGGTCTACCATGTGGTCATTATGGAGGAGAGAAATAGAAGATGACATAAGGAGGGAATGAGGAGCCAGATTGTGTAGAGCTGCATAAATCACAGTAAAGACTTTGGCTTTTACTCTGTGAGAAAAGAGGTGAGCAGCAAAGGGTATGAAGCAGGTGGATGACATCTAATAAAATGTTTAACAGCATCTTTTTGGCCCCTGTGTTTGGAAGGTGATTGGTTAGGCTTTGTGTCCCCACCCCAAATCTCATTTTGAATTATAATCCCCATAATGCCCACATGTCAAGGGAGAGACCAGGTGGAAGTAATTGGATCATGGAGGTGGTTTTCCCCATGCTGTTCTTGTGATAGTGAGTGAGCTCTCACAAGATCTGATGGTTTTGTAAGGGGCTCTTCCCCCTTCACTCAGCACTTCTCCCTCCTTCCACCTTGTGAAGGTGTCTTGTTTTCCCTTCACCTTCCACCACAATTGTAAGTTTCCTGAGGCCTCCCTAGCCATTCCGAACTGTGAGTCAATTAAACCTCTTTCCTTTATAAATTACCAGACTCAGGCAGTTTCTTATAGTGATATGAAAACAGACCAATACAGTAAATTAATACTGCAGAGAGTGGGGTGCTGCCATAAAGACACTTGAAAATGAGGAAGCAAATTTCGAACTGGGTAACAGGCAGAGATTGAAACAGTTTGGAGAGCTCAGAATAACACAGGAACATGTGATAAAGTTTGGAACTTCCTGGAGACTTGTTGAATGGCTTTGACAAAAATGCTGATAGTGATAAGGACAATGAAGTCCAAGCTGAGCTGGTCTCTGATGGAAGTGAGAAACTTGTTGGGAACTGGAATAAAGGTGACTCTTGCTATGCTTTCACAAAGAGACTGGTGGCACTTTGCTGCTGCTCTAGACATCTGTGGGACATTAAACTTGAGAGAGATGATTTAGGGTATCTGGAGAAAGAAATTTCTAAGCAGCAAACCTTTCAAGATATGACTTGGGTGCTCTTAAAAGCATTCAGTTTTCTGCATTCACAAAGAAAGGATTTGGACTTGGAACTTACGATTTAAAGGAAAGCAGAGCATAACAGTTTGAAAAATATGCAGCCTGACAATGTAATAGAAAAGCAAAACCCATTTTCTGAAGAAAAATTCAAGCCATAATTTTGCATAAGTATTCAGGAGCCAAATGTTAATTGCCAAGACAATGGAGAAAATGTCTCCAGGGCATGTCAGAGGTCTTCACAGCAGCTCTTCCCATCACAGGTCCTGAGGTGTAGGAGAGAAAAATGGTTTCCTTGGCTGGGCCCAGGATCTTGCTGCTTTGTGCAGACTCAGGACTTGCTGACCTGCATCCCTGCCTTGGCTAAAAGGGGCCAATGTACAGCTCAGGCAATTGCTTCAGAGAATGCAAGCCCCAAGCCTTGGCAGCTTACATGTGATGTTGGGTCTGACGGTGCACAGAAGTCAAGAATTGAGATTTGGGAACCTCCACTAAGATTTCGGAGGATGTATGGAAATGCCTGGATTTTCAGACAGAAGTTTGCTGCAGGAGTGGAGCCCTCATGAGGGTTCTGCCAGTGTGAAAGGGAACTGTGGGGTCAGAGCTGCCACACAGAGTCCCCACTGGGTCACTACCTAGTGAAGCTGTGAGAAGATGGCCACTCCTCCAGACCCCAGAATGGTAGATCCTTTGACAGTTTGCACTGGCCCCCTGGAAAAGCCACAGACACTCAATAGCAGCCCATGTAAGCAGCTGAGAATAGGGCTGTACCCTGCAAAGCCACAGGGCAGTGCTGCCTGAAACCACAGGAACCCACTTCTTACATCAGTATGACCTGGATGTGAGACATGGAGTCAAAGGAGATCATTTTGGAGCTTTAAGATTTGATTGCCCCACTGGATTTTGGACAAAAATGGAGCCTGCAGCCTTTGTTCTGGCCAATTTCTCCCATTTGGAATGGTAACATTTATTTGATTCCTGTACTATCATTGTATCTAGGAAGTATCTAATTTGTTTTTGATTTTACAGGCTCACAGGTGGAAGGGACTTGCCTTGTCTAAGATAAGACTTTAAACTTGGACTTTTGGGTTAATGCTGGAATGAGTTAAGACTTTGGGGACTGTTCAGAAGGTATGCTTGGTTTTGAAATGTGAAAGGGACATGAGATTTTGGAAGGGCCAGGGGTGGAATGATATGGTTAGGCTTCGTGGCTCCACCAAAATCTCATTTTGAATTATAATCCCATAATCCCCATGTGTCAAGGGAAAGACCAGGTGAAGGTAATTGGATCATGGAGGCAATTTCTCTCCTCTCATGATAATAAGTGAGTTCTCATGAGATCTGATGGTTTTATAAGGGACTCTTTTCACTTTGCTCAGCACTTCTCCTTCCTGCCACCTTGTGAAGAAGGTGCCTTGCGTCCCCTTTGCCTTCTGCCATGATTGTAAGTTTCCTGAATCCTCCCCGGCCGTGCTGGACTGTGAGTCAATTAAACCACTTTCCTTTTTAAATTACCCAGTCTCAAGCAGTTCTTTATATAGTATGAAAGTGGACTAATATAGAAGGGCTACAAGAGTGGCAAGGACACAAACATGGAGACCAATTGTGGTTATTGCAATATTTCAGACAGGTGATAATTGTTTAGACAAGAGTAATAGCAATGGGATGTGGAGAGAAGTGAATCTTTATTAAGGTTAGAGACGATGTGATTTAGTAGAAGGTATGAGAAAAAATAGGGAACCAAAGATGTCTCAGGCTTTTGTCCTGTGCACCTAGAATGAAATTGCGGCATTAACTGAATAAAGAAAGTCTGTGGATAGAGCAGGTTTTGGAACCAGATGGGAGCACTCTCTGTATACCCTATTTCCAGTCTTTCAGAGCCTCTATACAACTCCTTTAATACCAACCTATGATGTCAGACACTCTATTCCTATCACAATCCCAGTTAGATAATCTGAAAAATTAACTTTTGAGAACTCCATAGACAAAAACAAATTTATCTTGATAACCTCTGTCACCTGAGGATAAAATATGTCTTCATAAAGTCCATAACAACCACAGATCTTTTACTAAATGAACAGTGTAAAAAGTAAACATCTTACGTCAATGACCAAGGAAACATAGAACTGTAATAAGTTGTATGGTTTTGGAAAATTTGAATCTCAAACAGATCTTGAAATCACACCATGTGTATAGTCACCCACCTTGAACTTCAGCAAGGCCAACAAAATTGACTTACACTTCAGGCACTGAAGCTGTAGTATTTTAGGGCCTGTGGCTATATTAAGAGTGCAAATCAATGCTCTTACTTATTGTAAAATCTGGGCTGGTTATGGGGACCCTTAGTCTTTATACTTTAGAAAGCTGAGGCAGGAGGATCACTTGAGGGCAGGAGTTCAACACCAGCCTGGGCAACATAGCAAACTGCCCAACTTTTAAAAAATCTTTAAAAAATTAACCAGGTATGGTGATACACACCTGTAGTCCTAGCTACTCAGAAGGCTGATGTGGGAGGATCACTTGAGCCCAGGAGTTCAAGGTTACAGTGAGCTATGATTGCACCACTGCACTCCAGCCTGGGCAACAGAGTGAGACTCACTCTCTGAAAAAAAAAAATAATAATAGTAAAATCAGAAAAATAAAGTAACACGATTAGACTGGACTCCATTCATCTTTATACCAAAACAATAATACAACTCAGCTTTAGAAATGCATCTATTTATTGGAAGAAAGAGCACACAAATGCAAAAATGCTGGGCCCAAAAAATTCATAATGAGTCCCAGAGGGCCATGTTGGATTTTAATGTAGTCCATACTACAACATGCTGGAATTATTGAGTTAATGCTTTTGCATCAAAAACACAACTCTATCATCAGAGATCTGAAACTCTGTATTTCAAACCACACCTTCAGAGGAATACTTGTTTATAAAGACAGTATGCTTGTTTGCTGAATATTGTCTATTAACTCTTGATAGCAATGTACTATGTGCTCCACACTAATTAAATCTTTGGAAATGAAACATTCAAGAAGTACAGAAAAACTTAGTAAAATTTCCCTCTGTCACAAACCAATGTGTTTCTCTTTTTAAATAAAATTCTTCTTGGACATTGTCTTTTAAGTGTTTAAAATTGCAAACATAATTCAATAATCAAGGGAAATGATTGCAGAAATGTCCTGGATTGAGGCAATTTAAAGCAGCAGGTAAATTTAATCCCGTATCAGATACTCCACAGGGTTGACAAACCTGTATTTTACTCACCCCGAGGAGTCTGAAAAGAATTGATGGACAAGTGAAAAACAAAATGAAATGGCAGTGCCAAATCTCTTTCTTTTTGCACAGTGAACCAAAAAAGATTTTGGATTGATTAAAAAAGGCTGGCTACTCTTCACTCAGAGCTGTAACACTTAGGTGAAAATGAATAATAAGCCTAGAACAAAAAATAAGCTATTCCACACTCTTCTGACGCATTGATAACTACCTCTTTTTTTGTTTTTTTGAACTTTGTTTTCCTTTTTTTGTCTGGTTGTTAGTGTATGTATCTGGCAGAATCAAGAATTAAGGCTTATATCCATTGGATAAGCTTTAAAAAAATGTTTGGCAATGAATTTTCTAATGATAAAATGTCCTTGAACTCTCATTTCAGGTGCCCAGGAAGTCCTGGAACTGAGTCCTGGGGCAAGGTTCTGGAAGTTGGGACAAGAAGGTAAGAGTGTGTTGAGACTGCTGTGTTAATAATGAGGAGTGTGGTTGAGATATTTGTGAAGTATCAATGTCCAAAACCAAAGAGGGGAACAGCAAAGAGAGTCATTGCAAATTTGCACAAATGTCCAAGTTGCTGAGCAAAAGGTAGAAGCCAATTTAAAGCTAAGATACTCTGGCTGGAGCCTGCAGGAAGACATACATGCCTTATGTATAAATTGCCATCTAAACTGAGAGAGCCCACAAATATCCCTCAGAGCCATGCATTCATTCTACACTTGTTCCTTCTATTCCTTCCTCTTCTTTTCTCCCCATTTCCCTCTGTAAAAGGCAGTATTACTTCATGAATAACAAAGTTGACAGCTAACGAATTGTAACCCAAGTTCTGACATTTACTGGCCTTGTGTCGTTAAATAACCACCATAAACTTCTCACTATAGCTTCATTTGTTAAACAGGCACGTGAGGAGTAAACACCTTACAAATTTATTTTAAAGTTTAAATTTGATCATTTGTTATTAGCATAGAATTCTTTTCTTTTTTTTTAGGAATCCAGGTCTTATTCTGTGGCTTGACACAATAGAGATGATGAGTAAATATTAATTGCTTTTTTGTTACTGTTGTGCTCTGTGACTGGATGAAGCCATATTGACTTAAATACAGAATATTTAAAGTCTTTAAAGTTTTATTTCATGTAGGAATTAACCTTTGATTCTTTACTTCCCTCAAATTCCCCATTTAACGATTTTTGAACTCACTAATATTTATCAGAAGTAAAATTGTAAATTCCAATGACTAAATTTACTAGTCAGTCCTGAGATGTAATATATAACTTTAAAAATATTTACCATGTTTTTCTGTCATCTAGTTTATTATATTTAAAGTCTTTTCACTTTAGCAATACGTAGTTTAAGCAGCTGATTTTACAGAACCTGAGAGTAAGCCAACATTATAACAAATGTCTCAAAATAGCTGAACTGATATTTCAGGTCATTAAAAAATAACATTTGGCTGGGCGTGGTGGTTCACCCCTGTAATCCCAGCACTTTGGGAAGCCAAGGTGGGTGGATCACAAGGTCAGGAGTTGGAGACTAGCCTGACCAACATGGCGAAATCCCATCTCTACTAAAAATACAAAAATTAGCCAGGCATGGTGGCGGGCGTCTGTAATCCCAGCTACTCGGGAGGCTGAGGCAGGAGAATCTCTTGAACCTGGGAGGCAGAGGCAGTGAGCCAAGATGTGCCATTGCACTCCAGCCTGGGCAACAAGAGCAAAACTCCATCCCAGAAAAGAAAAAAAATAATAATAATATTTTCAGATGAACACCAAGCAGGCTAATAACAATATGACCCAATCAGTATGGTTAAATTAAAAAATCTATCATTAAAAAACATCACTCTGAAATACTTGTAGTATTGCTATAGGGGTATCTATTTCTTCTATAATTCAATTTTTATGCTTTTGTTCATTAAAAACTTTAGAACTCAAAATTTTCAATGGAAATAAGATAAAATGTTTTGTCTTGTTGCTTAACTGCACATAAACAGAGGAAGATCTGACAAACAAAATGCAATGTGCCATTCAAATACAATAAGCTTAAAACAGAAAACGATGCTGGGCCATAGATGCCTCTCTATATTGTTTCCTTCCTTGTAGCTACTGCTTAGCATTTTCCTTCTATGTCTGTAACTGTCATTAGAATTTAAGTCTGCTACATTTGTCTTGGCATTCTCTCTTGCACACTCCACTTAGCTTTCTTTCTTACAGTTCCTGGCACCAGTACACCCCAACAAGTGTGTTATGGAAGCATGAATTATTGCAATGCTTTTGATCCTATTTATTGAGAACCAACTATGTGCAGGCAGTGATTTAAGAGCTGGGGCATAAGACAAAGAACAAAACAGACCAAACCCCTGCTCTCAATGTGCTTATATGATCATAATGAGGGAGTTGTGGCATTTGCAATGCCAGGTGGCATCCACCCATGAATGAGATTCACAAGCCTAAGTGTAAGGGGACGTCTCTCATGAAGCCCTGGGTTGCTGGGAACCCTGGGGATTATCTCTGCAATGGGCAAAACAAATCCTTATTGCACTGCTCCTCTTCTACATACAGAGTATTCTGGGAGAAAAAGCACAAATGCCCAGAAATTCAATTTAGATGCCCGAAAGGAAAAAAAAATACAAAAAACTTTAAATTTCAGAGCTTCTACCCTATTTATGCAGAGTTAAGGACAGGGTGCTGATATAACAGGGGGTTGTTGATATCATCCATTTTTTTGAAAACTAACGGCAAATAAAATTTAAAATCTATAAGAATTATTTTTACTGCACAGGCTGGCCTCAAAAATTAGTGTAGAAAAGAAGGATAAGGAAAAGAATTAAAATGACTCTGCATGGTAATGTGAAATATGTACTCAATTTGCAGACTGTGGTAATGCCTGTGAATTATGTGACCTTTGGGAAAATGGTTCTCCTTTTTCTATTGTTTCACAGGATATTTGGAGAGTATATGTAAATGAGAATGAGTGTGCATATGAGTGTTTGCAGTCGTGCTTTGCACAATACATCAAAAGTTACTAGGAAAAAAAAGAATAAAGAAACATACATTCATCTCGCACTGGCCACAAGACTTAAATAAGACTGGACCTATCTTAGTCAGTGTTCTCCAGAGAAACAGAATCATCGTGTGTGTGTGTGTGTGTGTGTGTGTGTGTGTGTGTGTACATATATATATCTCTTATTGGTTTTCTCTTTCTCTGAATCTCTCCCTCTCGCTCTCTTTCAATCTGAAGTTGGCAAGCTGATGATCCATGAGAGCTGGTGTGTAGTTCCAGTCCAAATCTGAAGGGTTGAGAACCAGGAGAGCCTATGCTTAAGTTCAAGTCTGAAAAGCACCAGATTCAAGACCCAAGAAGAGTACATGTTTCAGTCCAAGTTAGAAGGCCAGAAAAGACTGATGTTCAGCAAAGCAGTCAGGCAGAAAGGGTTTCCGCTCATGCAGCCTTTTTGTTCTATTCAGGCCTTCAATTGACTTAATGAGCCCTAGCCACATTGGGAGGGGCAATCCGGTTTACTCTGTGTATTAATTCAAAGGTGAACTCAACCGGGAATACCCTCACACACACTCAGAATAATATTTGGCCACATGTCTGGGTGCCCTGTGACCCAGTCAAGTTGAAACGCCAAACTAGCCATCAGAGACCCACTCTTTGAGTGTTCTGATAAAGCCCTTTCAGGTATTCAAGAAGAATTTCTCAAAAACCAGACACTATGCTCTGTGAGTTACTATATGCCATTGTCCAGGCAAGGAAGTGGTTGAGATCCTAAAGGGATACCGGGTTCTGTGCATAGAGGGTGAGGTGCTCAAAAGAGGGGGAAGGGGATGGGGGAATTTGCAATATAATGGACTATAGGAATGCCAGCTTTCTCTCTTTCTTTCTGTGTTTTTTTTTCTTCCTGCTACCCCCACGTATCAGTCACTCCTTCATAATATAGCAGAAAATTGTATTAAAAAATAGTGCTAGGTCTCCCCTCTGCTCTTTCTCTATGTTTCTGTTACAATCTTTCTGCTATCCACACACATCGGTCATGTATTAGTGGCGTAGCAGAAAATTATGAGACTGAGGTATAGGAATGTGTGACCTTCATGTATCACCTCTTTGCTGAGGCCAGTATCGTTATAGCTGCATCTGGTCAAAGGAGGATGGTGGTCCGGACATTCCTGGGGAGGTTCTGGTACTGCCGACAGGATGTAAAGCAGTGGGAAGAGACTGATCAACAGGGAACCTGGCAGCACTATGGAATGTCTCTGGAGAAGGTGTTACATAAACCTAAAAATAGGAATAAAAAGGTAAACCAAAATAGGCATATGTGTATATGTAGGTTGGGGTAAGGAGAGATAGACATTTGAATTCATTTTGATAGTCCACTGGCTTGTTGTAAAATAATTTGTACTTGGCCCGTTCCCAAAACTTCTCTGACAGCAAAAAATGCCCAGTTCATGTTTATCTAGACAAAGGCTGAATCTGTGTCTGTGGATTTACTTCTATCTGCACAGTGGGTGCACTCTCAAAATGCAGATAAAAAAAGGATATACAAAACCCTTCTTTCTGCAGTGAGCCGAGATCGCGCCACTGCACTCCAGCCTGGGCGACAGAGGGAGACTCCGTCTCAAGAAAAACAAACAAACAAAACAACAAAAAACCCTTCTTTCTTTAAAAGCATGGATTCTTATCCTGTTTTTAATTCTCCTACAGAGCTTAGCTCCATCAGTTAGTACAGTACCTGTACCATAACATACACTAAATAAATCTTTCTGGGAGAAATGCATGAAGGTGTGGTGCCAGGGGCTACCATGATTTACATCTTATCTTTTTGTTTTTTGAGACAGAGTTTTGCTCTTGTCTCCCAGGCTGGAGGGCAATGGTGCGATCTTGGCTCACTGCAACCTCCGCCTCCTGGGTTTAAGTGATTCTCCTGCCTCAGCCTCCTGAGTAGCTGGGATTACAGGTGCCCACCACCACACCCAGCTAATTTTTGTATTTTTAGTAGAGACGGGGTTTCGCCCTCTTGGCCAGGCGGGTCTGGAACTCCAGACCTCAGGACATCAACCCACCTCGGCCTCCCAAAGTGCTGAAATTACAAGCGTGAGCCACGGCGCCAGCCTACATCTTAGTCTTTTAAGAAAATCATATTATCAATGCCTTTGCAAAGAAAAATAATACTGTTTGATTTGGATTTATTTGTCTAATCTGTCCTTCATGAATATCTGGATATTTTAGAGGAAAACAGTCCAGACGGAAGGAGTAAATAAGTTATTTTCCTCTGAGCACAACGCACATCTCATTCTAAATATACTTGATTTTTAGCCACGGTTTCCAGATTTTCATTTATCTTTACTTAAATTCAAGTGTGTGACTGAACGCTAAAGGTCACTTTATTTACCAAAACCAAAATGTCAACAAATAAGCATTCTCTTTCCTGCCTCTTCAAATCAGCATGCACAAAACATCACACAATGCTGTAAAACCGTCTCCACAGAGATATTAAATGAAAGTATTAATCCATACAAAATATGTTAATTCCTCATCTACTTAGCCCACAGGAACAGAAAGGATAATGTGTCAGGAATCAAAAACCTTGCATACTAAATAATCCTTTCATAAATCTTACTAAGCAGGAATCCCTGGGAATAATTGTAGTAATTCAGGGCCAATCTGGCCAGGAAAGAGAACACGTGGGTTGTGAGGCTGTGGAACCCGAAATACCTGTTCTCACTGTAGTCAAACTGCTTTAACTGTCTGGTCTTTATATTTTACCACCTGTAAAAGTGGCAATAAAACTTACCTTAAGAATGATTGATCTAAAGTAGAATAGGACCGCTGGAAATGATGTGATTTGGGTAGCCTACAAAAGCTAAAAAATATAAGCTGCAATCACCTATTGAATTTGATATCGATGATGATGTGCTCATGATAACTGTGGACATGGACTCTCTTGATGAATTTTCTGGTTCCCCTCTGATATGTGCACACTGTGAAACATTAATTCATTCTGCCATTCAGGAACTGCTTTTTGATACCCTGTAATGTATCAGACAATAGGGTAAATGTTGTGCAAAATAATGATAAACTGTTACAACTTTAATTATTATAGACAGAATCTGTGTTTGACATTGAGAAATCAATGAGAAATTATATTAACATGAGATTACTGTTGTGTTAAAAAGCAAAGGGGGTTTGGGGACCACATAGGAGGTACACTGAACTCTGGTATCCAGGAGGAAATTTTCCAGTAGAAGAGATTGGCTGTTACAGTGTTTGTCGCTGGTGTTGTTAGAACTCAGGGTACAAATCTTAGAGAAAGTTTCTAAGTAAAGGTTCAAGTGTAACCTCCATTTCTCTGGCTTTTATGGAAGTTAGTAACAAAAACTCTTCTATAATGTGGCTTTTAAAAGCATTCTGAAAAAATGTGCATAAAAATAGGGCTTTTGGCGAAAATGTTAATAGGATTGGTATAGGTGACTCCCAACCTGATACAAACAAAATGATAATGAAACAATTGCAATCCACATCAAAATACTAGCACAAAGAAAACACGCTAAATCCTATAGAAACAAACAAACAAACTACTCTGAAAAATATAGGACTTTGCCTTAAAAAGAAAAGGGAAAAGCAGCTTGACAAAATGGAGTCAAGAAGAGTTGAGGTTGCTGAGTCATGGGGACAAGGTCAAAATGCAGGCAAATCAGGAAAACGACTCCCCAAACAGAACAGGTGGTCAATTGGAGTCACAGGAGAAGAATGGGCACGAGGTACAGGCCTGTTTTCCTCAATGGCTTGCTGGGCTCAGCTGATATTACACAAAAATTAACTGGCTGGGAAAAATCACATTTGAGCTAATATGACTTGTCCATTATGCTAACATAAGCCCCCTGTTTATCAAGCACATGGGAGCTTATTCACACTGCAAAAACTCACATTGAAGCAGAAGAGACTGTTGAGATATTTATTGAAATGTGATGACGTTCGATTCTGTGGAATTCTGCTCTGGGGCACATTTTCTTGCTTCCCACAGTTCCTGGTACATTGTACAACCTTATTAAATATTTCTTAACCAACTGCCCCCTTGAATACGTTTAAATTCCAATAGTCCTCAGAGGTATCATGAAGGAAGCTGGTCTCACTATGCACAATTCCTTAGCTCGCCTGCAAATGGTGTGTCTATCCTTTGCACTCTCTCAGCCACTTTTCACTCCTTTCCTGGGAAAGGATGTAAGTTATCTAATTTTAAGGGCACGTTTTTAGAAGAAATCTGGGGACCAATTAGTTTTGCTTAATTGGGCACTGTTTTCATACCTAAATATGCAATTTCATGAAATTGTAAAAAGCAAACAGTGGACTAAGTTTTTGTATGTTCAATTAAAAAAAGGGGAAAATGTTGAACCTCAGGAAGGTAAAGTATTTTGCCCAATGACACTCAGCTAATAGTCGTTAGAGTTAGAATATGAATCCAGGGGTGTCTTTCTCTGACATTTATACTCTTTCCCCTAGGTTTGTCAGTGATATATGACGGCAATAAAAGTTTTATTCACTTCAATGTCAATGTATTGCCTTTTAGAAATCAAAGTCTTACTCTAAAGTAACAAAGATCTGTGTTAGATTTTAATCATCATCTACAGTTTGAGAAGGAGGAATGGTGTTCTTATAATACTTCAGTTTCTTAAATTTCTTATCCATGGTCCCACTTCAAACAATCTCTGGGAAAAAGCTGTTTAGGGCCTTCTCTTTCAATGGACTCTCTCGCCATGCAGGCCTGAGCTCTACTCATAAATAGAGCTGCTAAAACTTCTTATAGAAACAGAAATGGCTTATCTCAGTTTGTAAGAGCTTTAAGAAATCTTGAAGAGCTTTTAGATCCTATTTAGTTTAGTTTGTTTTTATAAACATCCTGGAAGTTTCTGTAGTACTTTTTTTCAGTTACGGAGGATATATTGAAAAGGATCAATTTGCTGTTTAGTACAGTATAACTCTTAGCTCATGAAGAATCTGAATAACCTCATTTCTCTTGCATGCAAACACAAAAGAAACCTACTCTATGTGGAGTGCTATGGACTGAATATTTGTGTCCCTCAAAACTCATACTTTGAAATCTTAACTCCCAAGGTGATGGTATAGGGAGGTAAAGCTCTTGGGAGATTAGGTCATGAGAGCAGAGCTCTCATGAATAGGATCATTGTCTTTATAATACAGGCCACAGTGAGCTTCCTTGACCCTTCCAACATGTGAGGACACAGTGAAAGGGCAATCATCTATGAACCAGAAAGCCAGCCCTCACTGGGCACCCAATCTGTCAGCACCATAATCTTGCACTTTCCAGCCTCCAGAACTGTGAGAAGTAAATTTCTGTTGTTTGTAAACCACTAGTCTATGGTACTTTGTTATAGTAGAAGAACAGACTGAGACATGGGGGCTTCAACTCTTAAGTTCTGTCAAACTTATTGGCAAAACCTATCTGCTTCTTATACATTGTTTGTAAAAGTCTGGCTCTATTTCCCTAATATCTCCCTTATTTACTTATAGTAACAACTTATTTTGATTTTAATTTATTCATTCATTTAACTATTTTATGTGCTGAGAATATAGTGGTAAAATGCAAAACAACATGTGTTTCCTTTGTTATAGATCATATATTCTGATGATGGTGTTAATGGGAAAGTTTTGGGGAGAAATGAAAAGAAATAAATACATAGGTTAATTTCAAAAATATAAGCCAAATAATGACTAATTTAGCATATGATTAAGTGGAATAATTAGAATCCAGTATTGTATAATCTGAAAGGGGAACACATTTTCTTGTCTAAATAACGCTGGGTACCATGGCTGCCAGGCTTGGTGGCTCACACCTGTAATCCCAGGCCTTTGGACAATAGAGGTGGGAAGATGGCTTGAGTCTAGGGGTTGGAGACTGCAGTGAGCTATGGCTTCATCACTGCACTCCAGCATGGGGGACATAGTGAGACCCCAACTCTAAAAATAAATTAGCAAATCATAAATATCAACAATTTTGAAAATATTGTACATGCTCAAAGACAATTTATTTGATTAGCCCTTACTAGAGCTTTCTTCTTAGAAGAGAAGAGTTCTCAGGAAATGGGGCATATGGTGATTGTTTTAAAGGGTATAGGGGCTACAAACTATCAGCTTATCAGCTTAAATGCTGGGGTCCTCCATGGATTAGTGCTGAAATGAAGAAACTTCCTTTGGCCATCTTGGTGGGCCCTACCACAGGGCTATAGTCTTATGGCATCTGTGGCTAATTGCACTTTCCAAAAATGACCATAGAAATATAAGTATTGTCACATACTCCCCCAGAACTTTGATACTCTTCTCATCAAAAGATAAAATCTGAATACTGTCCCCTCAAATAGGGATCATAATTTGATGGAAGTGACACTGCATGGATTCAATGGGTGACAAAAGGTGATACAGCGTCCACCTGGCTCTCTTCTCTCTTGGGACATAACTGTGAAATCCTTGTGTTTTATTTATCCTGAAGCATTCATGCTGAAGTAGTCAAATGAAGATAGAAACAGATGCTTGAGTATCCCCAGCTATTTCAGCCATCAGTTTGAATCTTCTTAAAACTAAAAATATAAGTGAGCAAACCGTCCCCAAGCCTCCACAATGCCCCAGCTGATGCTGAGTGGAACACAGATGAGACGCCACAGAGTCCTGCTGAACTGCAGATTAGTGACCAACATAAAGAGCTGTTTCAAGCTACTAAGATTTGTAGTGGTTTGTTATGCAGCCATGTGAACTGAAACACTTATATAAAATACAAGTCAATAAATTGCACTATGAGGCATGTTGTGTAATCTCAGTATATCCTACATAATTGAATGGGACTAGTGAATTGCCTATCAACTAATGAATGTGCTGATTGCTTAGACACAAACACACATACACACACTCTCACACACACACACCAGAAGCAAATTTCTAGAATACTTCTAGTGTTCCTCTGAGTTTTCTTACATAACAGTAAAAAATTTAGAAATAGGAAATCCATTTTTGCCTTCAAGTCATCACCCTTATGTCATTTTGTTGGAAAAAATTCAAGCTGTCTACCCATTGGTATTTCTCTTTTTTTTTTTTTTTTTAGAAAAACTTCTTTAAGTCTAATGTTTTAAAATTTAATATTTTCATTTTATTGAATAGTAACAAATTATAATTTTAATATTCTTGGAGTACAAAGTGATGCATGATATATGTATAAATGTGGAATAATTGAATTAGGCTAATTAGCATGCCCATCACCTCAAATACCTATCATTTATTCCTCTTTTCTAACTAAAATATTGTACCCTTTGATGAACATCTTCCCATTTCTCCCACCCCCAGCCGCTGGTAATTGCCACTCTACTCTCTGCTTCCGTGAGTGTGATTGTTTTCAATTCCACATATACATGAGAACATGCAGTATATGTCTTTCTGTGCCTGGCTTATTTCACTTAGCATTATGTCCTCCAGGTTCATCCTTGTTGTCACAAATGACAGAATTTCTCTGTTTTTAAAGGCTGAATGAATAATATTCCATTAGGTATATAAACCACATTTTAATCCATTTATCCATTGATGGACTCCTACATTGCTTCCATAACTTGGCAATTGTGAGTAATGCTGCAATGAACATGAGAGTGTAGATATTTCTTTAACAGACTGAGTTCAAATCGTTTTCGTAAATACTCAGAAGTGGGATTGCTGGATCATATGGTAATTCCACTTTTAAGTTTTTGAGGAACTTCCATACTGCTTTCCACAATGGTTATACTAATTTACATTTCCACCAATAGTGTATAAGAGTTCCTTTTTCTCTATATCCTCACCGTTTTCATCTTTCATCTTTGATCTTCTACCTTTTTGATAATTACCATGCTGACAGGTGTGAGGTGATATTTCATTTTGTCTTTTATTTGCATTTTCCTAAACATTAGTGATGTTGAACATTTTTTCATATATCTGTTGCTATTTGCGTGTCTTCTTTGAGAAATATCTACTCAGGTCCTTCGTCAATTTATTTAACAACTCTTGTTATTGAGTTGTTTTAGTTTCATGTATATGTTTGGTTTTAACTCCTTGTTACATACATGGCTTGCAAATATTTTCTCCCAATCCAAAGGTTCCCAGGTTGTCTTTTCACTCTGTTAATTTTTTACTTTGTTGTGCAGAAGCGTTTTTGTTTGATCTAACCCCATTTTTCTAGTTTTATTTTTGTTGCCTGAGCTTTTGGAGTCAAATCCAAAAAAATCATTGCTCAGGCCGTTGCCATCCAGTTATTCACCCTTGTTTTCTTCTAGTAGTCTTACAGTTTCAAGTGTTACATTTAAGTCTTTAATTGATTTTTTCAGTTGATTTTTGCATGTGGTGTGAGAAAAGGGGCCGGTTTTATTCTTCTGCAGGTGGATACCCAGTTTTGTCAATAATTTTATTGAAGAGACTGGTTTTTTTTTTTGTTTTTTTTGTTTTTTTTTTTACCTATTGTATATTCTTGGCCACTTTGTTGAAAACCAACTGACAGTAAATATGTGGGTTAATTTTAGGGCTCTCTATTTTGTTCCACTGATTGATGTGCCTATTTGTATGCTAACTGGCATTTTAAAGTTTTTCATTTTTCATTTCTATCATCTAAAGGGTCACTTATGATCTGTAAATTATAAACTGAATAATAATAATAAAGGGGTGATGGAGATGGCAGATTAAATTACTTGGTTCTAATTATTCACCTCCTTCACTCTCACACTTTGTCATGTAACTGTCCAGTGCCAACTCATTGTGGGCAGGAAGACCTACCCTTGCCTTTTAAATCAGAACTTAGCCTTGGGATTCATAATGAATATGTGTTAGCAGAAATGAAGTCATACAATATTGAAGATATCTTTGTATATTCTTCTTGTTCTCTTGTACCTCTGTCATCTCCCTGAAAACATGCTTGTGATGACACGATGGGGGTTTAGAGCTATATGCAGAGAAAAGCTGTGAGAGTATTAATGGCCCAGTCACCCCAAGCAAGAACAACCTAAATAAGTTGACAGTCAGTCAACCCCACATATGGGACTGAGCATGGCAGAGATTGAAAGCAATATCCAACCATGAGCAATCTACATCTCTTATTCCCAGACTCATGAGGTGATTAAGGGTTTATTGTTTAAAGCTGTTGAGTTTTGGCATGGTTATTAGGAGCACTCATAATATGAATATAATAAACAGTTTTAACATTACATTGGGGAAGAAAGTCTTACTGGAATAAAAAAAGGAATTTTGACTTCAGTAATAATTCAGCAATGCCTTTTTGGTATTTGTATTAGTATTTAAGATACCGTGAAATACCCTGTAGTGTAATAAAAAAATAAAATAGTGTCAGAGAATGGAGAGGACACTCAGAAATACAGTGTGCAGAATATTCCAGAATAAGAAAAAAATTAACAAGATATAAGTAACATGTGGGATTTGGATCATTCTAGGGGCAAGAGGAACGACATCTAATAAGACTTGAGATTTGCCATAAGCAAGAAAGTTGATATATTGTAGACTTCATGTTTTTAAATAGACTTTAGGGCAGTTTTACATTCATAGCAAAATTGAGCACAAGGCACAAAGTTCTCACATACCTCATTGCTCTCTATATAAACAACTTTCCTCCATCAACATCCTACACCAAGAGGTATGTTTGTTACTATCAGTAAATCTACATTGACACATCATTATCACTCAAAGTGCATAGTTTACATTAGGGCTCACTCTTGGTGTTGTATATTCCCTGGGCTTGGCAAATATATAATGACTTGTATCTACCATTGTAGTAGCATACAGAGTAGTGTCATTGCTCTAAAACTCCTCCATGCTCTGCTATTCGTTCTTCCTTCCATTCTAACCCTTGACAACCACTGATCTTTTTACTGGGTCCATAGTTTGGCCTTTTTTCAGGATATCATGTAGTTGAAAGCATACAGTGTGTAGTATTTTCAGATTGTCTTATTTTACTTACTAATGTCCATTTATATTTCCCCTTTGTATGTTCATGGCTTGACAGCTCATTTCCATTTAGAGTTGAATAATGTTCTATTGTCTGGATGCAGCATGGTTAATGTATTCATTCACTTACTGAAAAAACATCTCAGTCACTTCCAAGTTTTGAAAATTATGAATGAAGTTGCTATAAACATCTGTGTGCAGGTTTTTGTGTAGACATAAGTTTTTAGCTCATTTAGTTAAATGCCAATGAATGTCATTGCTGGTTGCTATGGTAGGATTATGTTTTGCATTGTAAGAAACTGCCAAACAGTCTTCCAAAGTAACTGTACCATTTTGCATTCCCATCAACAATTGTTTGTGTTACTCCATATCATCCCCAGAATTTGCCATTGTTCGTGTTTTAAACTTTGACCATTCTAATAGATGTGTCTGAGTATCTCATTATTGTTCTAATTTTCATTTCTCTGGTGGTACATCTTTTTATATGCTTACTTTTCATCAATATAACTTCTTTTGTTGGTTGTCTGTTCAAGCCTGTTGCCCATTTTAGGGGGTTATTTTTCCTATTATTGAACTTTAAGTGTTCTTCATATAATTGAATAACAGTCATTGATCAGATATATCTTTGGCAAATATTCTCTTCCAGTCTGTGTCTTCTATATTCATTCACCTAACAATGTATTTCACCAGAACAGTAATTTTTAATTGTATTGAGGTTAAGTTTATTAATAATTTGTTTCATGCAGTGTCTTTGGTGTTGTGACTGCATACATTTTAACTGTAATTTCTCAGTCATTAATGTGGGAAGCTGAAACAATATGTTTTAAATGTTGGCATAAAGTTGCCTTTTATAAGGCAAAAAGAGAGATAAGGAGCATGCAAAAGAAATGGTCATCACAGTTACAATAAATAATATTTCTCATATATTAAGTTTCTGGAACTAATTAAGACATTTATATTTAATATTTTATTTCATCCTCACTACAATCATATATAAGTGGTGTTAAAACACAACAATTGTTTTATAAATTAGGAAGGTGGAAGCTCAGTTAGTGAGGTTACATAGCATTCCCAAGGTCATATAGTTGGTTAGTGTTAGAGCCAGGATTCAAAAACAGAAAAATCCAGGATTAAACCCAGTAAGGATTCTATGAAACCAAAGTATTTATTTACTTAACTTCCTCAGGAAAGTTTCTAGAAAACTATAAGCAAATGCCCAACCTCCTGAGATGCGGACATCGCTATGAGTGCAACTAGAAAAGGGTTCCAGTGATGTGAGGAAACGAGGCAAATATATTTTTCTGTTTCTGGCTTACAGCCCAAGATACTGGAGCCTCCCTCCTCTCATAGCTTCTTATCATTTAATTATTAGCAGCCTTAGCTAATCATTAATTATGCACTGTCAATTATGCTTACATTATTATTTGAAATGGATACAATATCTGACTGATTTGACTAAAATAACCCCCTTGTTTAATTGTCAATTTGCATAAATTCAGATGCAATGAGATGTTGCACAGTGATTCATTAGGCATTGAAAACAGCAGCAACAACCTGAACGACGGGAGGCTCAGTCTTGCAAATTATTGCCATTTTCATCAGGAAAGGAATTCCATTACAACTGACTTTCCTTAGTCTGAAATTGTGATGAGGAATTTGCAAACTTGAGCCATCATAGGTTTTATAGGGTGACACTAAAGGCAAACACACATCTATGACCACTGGCAAGACATCTGTCCCGCATGTAATTGAAACTTTCTCCTGTGCTGGTCCAGTGCTTTGATAGCAGGGCAATAGATTTCCATGCTGGTGCTCTCATTATAGGGATGGCTGTCTGAATGTGATCCTTGAGTCTAGGGAGTTGAATGACTCACTTCCCCCACTTACTGTAAAGTGAAATTTCAACTGAAGGTGAGTGCGGTGAACTAGCAAATTTGCTTCAAAGCTGTTTTCCTATACTTCCATAGTAATAATATTTTGAAGTGCCTACTATGTGCTAGTCGTGTATTAGGAATTAAGAGTAATTGCTCACATTTAATAAAAACATCCCTATACAAATTTATGGTGCTATCATAGTTTTAGAAGTCACAAGTTTAACAAGTGTCAAACCTGCAATATATTCTAAATTTAATGGACTCAGATCTCTTCTGTGTTATAACTCCAGTACCTATAGGGTATTAACTGGCACATCTAGAAAAATAACTTACATTTTTTTCATATTTAATAAATACATATTTTTTAAAGTATATTAAGACATATATTCTTCTATTTCTAGTGGGGCTCTATTATTTAAGCCACTACTGATACAAAGTTGTTTTTAGGCAAAGCGTAATAACATATTTTTTGAATTTTTAAAATTGTATTTTATTTTTAATTGAAAAATAATAATTGTATATATTTATGGTATACAATGATATTTTAAGATACCTGTATGCACTGGGGGATAATTAATTTTATCTAACTAACATATCCATCACCTCACATAATTATCATTTGTTTTTTGATGATAACATCTAAAAATCTACTCTTTCAGCAATTTTGAAATATACATTATTTGTAACTACAGTATCTGTTATAGCTTAATAATAAGGGATATTTGTATGGTGCTACAGTTTCCAAATAATTCAAATTTACAGAGAGTAACATAATCTCTATTACATTATTAGAATTTAGGGAGTAGTATTATAATACCCACTCTTCAGACATGAAAATTCAGAAATTTACTTACCCAAAACTGTAAAACTCACGAATGAAGAACTTAAATAAAAGACTTATATTTCCTAAGTCTATCCTCTTTTCTCTCATCTATACTTCAGTGCTTTTATTGTTTTCTCTTTTCTCTTTTTAAATTTAATTTTAGGTGCTCAGTGTTCTCATGGATGGCTTCTGACTCTCCAGGTTTTCAAGCAAGGGTACTCGAACTTGCGTATGTGCAGTATTAAAGGCTAAGATACTTTTCTATGAGGTCTCCACCTTATTAGAATTTATTTCCCTTGATTCCTACACTAACAGGATCTAGGAAATAGTCCTTCCTTTGCAAATTGTTCTTCTTGCTTCTTCAAGCCAGAGTTAATGTGCCATCATAACCTTTGAATGCTGAGAAACCTCTGCCATCCTGTCTCATATGCTAGCTATTAACTAGAAAGTATTTTTTCTGGACATTTTCATTTTATCTTTGACCAATTTCCCCATATAATAAGCAAATTACTATGTAGGAAACTGCCAACATGGCTTAGAAGTTAACAAACATTCATTAGGTTTAAGGTCCTAAAAAATTGAATAATATTGTACATTTAAAAAGTAATAAAATAATAAATAAATGTACATCAAGAAATGATGGGTTTTAAAATAACCAGTAGAAAAATTTGGAAAGAAAATATATCAAAAAATCAAATGAATCCAGGAGCTAGTTTTTTGAAAAGATTAGCAAAATAGGCAGACTGCTAGCTTAGGCTAATAAGAAAACAGAGAAGAATCAAATAGACACAATAAAAAATGATAAAGGGGATATCACCACCGATCCCGCAGAAATACAAATTACCACCAGAGAATACTGTAAACACCTCTATGCAAATAAACTGGAAAATCTAGAAGAAATGGATAAATTCCTGGACACATACATCCTCCCAAGACTAAACCAGGAAGAAGTCGAATCCCTGAATAGACCAATAACAAGTTCTGAAATGGAGGCAGGAATTAATACCCTACCAACCAAAAAAGCCCAGGACCAGACAGATTCACTGCCAAATTCTACCAGAAGTGCAACGAGGAGCTGGTACCATTTCTTGTGAAACTATTCCGAACAATAGAAAAAAAGGGACTCCTCTCTAACTCATTTTATAAGGCCAGGGTCATCCTGATACCAAAACCTGGCAGAGACACAACAAAAAAGGAAAACTTCAGGCCAATATCCCTGAGGAACATCTATGCAAAAATCCTCAGTAAAATACTGTCAAACCAAATCCAACAGCACATCAAAAATCCACGATGATCAAGTCAGCTTCATCCCTGGGATGCAAGGCTGATTCAACATACACAAATAAATAAATGTAATCCATCACAGAACAGAACCAATGACAAAAACCACATGATTATCTCAATAGATGCAGAAAAGGCCTTTGATAAAATTCAACATTACATCATTCTAAAAACACTCAATAAACTAGGTATTGATGGAACATATCTCAAAATAATAAGAGCTGTTTATGACAGACCCATAGCTAATATCATATTGAATGGGCAAAAGCTGGAAGCATTCCCTTTGAAAACTGGCACAAGTCAAGGATGCCTTCTCTGGCCACTGCTATGCAACATAGTATTGGAAGTTCTGGCCAGGAAAATCAGGTAATAGAGAGAAATGAAGGTTATTCAAATAGGAAGAGAGGAAGTCAAATTGTCTCTGTTTGCAGATGACATGATTATATATTTAGAAAACCCCATCATCTCAGCCCAAAAACTTCTCAAGCCGATAAGCAACTTCAGCAGTTTCTCAGAATAAAAAATCAATGTACAAAAATCACAAGCATTCCTGTACACCAACAATAGACAAGCAGAGAACCAAATCATGAGTAAACTCCCATTCAAATTACTACAAAGAGAATAAAATACCTAGGAATACAACATACAAGGGATGTGAAGGACGTTTGCAAGGAGAACTACAAACCAGTGCTCAAGGGAATAAGAGAGGACAAAAACAAATGGGAAAAAATCCCATGCTTATGGATAGGAAAAATCAATATTGTGAAAATGGCCATACTGCCCAAAGTAATTTACGGATTCAATGCTATTCCCATCAAGCTACCATTGACTTTCTTTGAAGAATTAGAAAAAATACTTTAAATTTTATAAGGAACCAAAAAAGAGCCCATATAGCAAAGACAATCCTAAGCAAACAGAAGAAAGCTGGAGGCATCAGTCTACCTGACTTCAAACTATACTACAAGGCTACAGTAACCAAAACAGCATGGTACTGGTACCAAAACAGATATACAGACCAATGGAACAGAATAGAGAACTCAGAAGTAACACCACACATTTACAGCCATCTGATCCTTGAGAAACGTGACAAAAACAAAACTGACTAGCCATATGCAGAAAACAGAAACTGGACCCCTTTTTTACACCTTATATAAAAATTAACTCAAGATGGATTAAAGACTTAAATGTAAACCCAAAACATAAAAATTCTAGAAGAAAACCTAGGCAGTACCATTCAGGACATAGGCATGGGCAAAGACTTCATGACTGAAACACCAAAAGCAATGGCAACAAAAGCAAAAATTGATAAATGGGATCTAATTAAACTAAAGAACTTCCTCACAGCAAAAGAAACTAGCATCTGAGTGAACAGGCAACCTACAAAATGGGAGAAAATCTTTGAAATCTGCCCATCTGACAAAAGTCTAATATCCAGAATCTACAAAGAACTTAAACAAATTTACAAGAAAAAACAAACAGCCCCATCAAAAAGTGGGCAGAGGATATGAACAGACAGTTCTCAAAAGAAGACATTTATGTGGCCAACAAACAGATGAAAAAAAAAAAAACTCATCATCACTGGTCGTTAGAGAAATGCAAATCAAAACCACACTGAGATACCATCTCATGCCAGTTAGAATGGCCATCATTAAAAAGTCAGGAGACAACAGATGCTGGCGAGGCTGTGGAGACATAGAAATGCTTTTACACTGTAGGAGTGTAAATTAGTTCAACCATTGTGGAAAACAGTGTGGTGATTCCTCAAGGATCTAGAATCAGAAATACCATTTGACTCAGCAATCCCATTACTGGGTATATACCCAAAGGATTATAAATCATTCTACTGTAAATATACATTCACACATACGTTTATTGCAGCACTATTTAAAACAGCAAAGACTTGGAACCAACCCAAATGCCCATCAATGATAGACTGAATAAAGAAAATGTGGCACATATATACCATAGAATACTAGGCAGCCATAAAAAAGAATGAGTTAATGTCCTTTGCAGGGACACGGATTAAGCTGTAAGCCATCATTCTCAGCAAGCTAACACAGAACAGAAAACCAAACACCGCATATTGTCACTCATAAGAGGGAGTTGAACAATTAGAACACGTGGATACAGGGAGGGGAACGTCACACAGTGGGGCCTATCCGGAAGTGGGGGTCAAGGGAAGGGAGAGTATTACGACAAATACCAAATGCATGTGCAGCTTAAAACCTAGATGACGGGTTGATAGGTGCGACAAACCACCATAGCAAATGTATACCTGTGTAACAAGCCTGCACGTTCTATACATTATCCAAGAACTTAAAGTAAAATTTAAAAATTAAAAAAAAGAAAATACATACATGCTTTGAAATACAAAGTATGCACAACAAGTGGAATAATAGTAAACCTATATATAGTTAGATTGGATTTCTAAATTGGAAAATAGCACTGAAGAATAAAAAAATATAGGGAAGACCACCTATTTGATAACACAATAGGGTGATGACATTCAATAACAACTTAATTGTGTATTTTAAAATAACTTAAATAATGTAAAATAACTTAGAAATGTAATTAGATTGTAACTCAAGAGAAATATCTTTAGGGGAAGAATAAAAAATACAGGGAAATAAAAAAGTAAAAATATGAAGAATAAATTTATAAGCATAGATAACACTGAATAAATTTTTAATATTTTAATATTTTCCTAATAGAATAACAGGGATAACTTTCAGGGAAATATGGCTGAAACTATTGTTGAACTAAAGAAGTATATGAATTATCTTTGTGCACTGACTTTATACTGATTATATAATGGGACAGCAATATGTTAAGGATGAAGAAAAATCTCTAAATCCCAACTAAAGAGAAAATATACATACAAAGGAATAAAAATATGATTGAAAATAAAACTTATTACAGTAAGATTACTATAAAACAAATAACTTTCAACATAGAATTTCCTAGCCATTCAGACAAGACTATTACATGAAATTTTCAGATATACAAAGAATATATACTACCAATAGATTCTTACAAATTACCCAATAATGTATTTCAAACCAGAAAACCCAAACAAAAAGAATAAAATATGAACAACTCAGCAATCTTGGGTTAAAATACAGAAATCAAAAAATCAGTTAAATTCAACAAATTATACACTATCAAATTATAATCTTCTGATATAGTTTAACTATGTCCCCACCCAAATCTCATTTTAAATTGTAATTCCCATAGTCCCCACATGTTCTGGGAGGGACGAGATGGATGATAATTGAATCATGGGGGCAGATTCCCCCATGCTGTTTTCCTAGTAGTGATTTCTCATGAGATCTGATGGTTTTATAAGCATCTGGCATTTCCCCTGCTGACACTCATTCTTGCCGTCCTGTCACTCTGAAGAAGATGCCTGCTTCTCCTTTGCCTTCAGCCATGATTGTACGTTTCCTGAGACCTCCCCAGCAATGCAGAACTGTGAGTCAATTAAGCCTCTTTTCTTTATAAATTAGCCAGCCTTGGGTATTTCTTTATCAGTAGCATGAAAACAAACTAATACAGTTTGTTTTCAACTCTCACTCACCACAGAGAGTGAGGCGCTGCTGTAAGAATGCCCAAAAATGTGGAAGTGACTTTAGAACCGGGTAACAGGCAGAGATTGGTACAGTCTGGAGGACTTAAAAGAAGACAGGAAAATGTGGGAAAGTTTGGAACTTCTAGAGACATGTTCATTGGTTTTGACCAAAATGCTGATGGTGATATGGACTATGAAGTCCAGGCTGAGGTGGTCTCGGATGGAGATGAAGAACTTGCTGGAAACTGGAGTAAAGGTCACCCTTGCCATGCTTTAGCAAAGAGACTGGCAGCATTTTGCCCCTACCCTAGAGATCTATGGAACTTTGAGGCTGAGAGAGATAATTCAGGGTATCTGGTGGAAAAAATTTCAAAGCAACAAAACATTTGAAGAAAGCAGCACATAAAAGCTTGGAAAATTTTCAGCCTGACTTCGATAGAAAACAAAAACCCATTTTCTGGGGAAAATTTTAAGCTGGCTGCAGATACTGGCATTGATAATGAGAAGCCAAATATTAATCACTAAGATAATGGGAAAATGTCTCCAGGCCATGACAGAGACCACCCCAGCAGCCTTTCCCCTCGTAGAGGCCTAGGAGGGAAAAATGCTTTTTTGGGCCAAGCTCAGGGCCACCTTGCTCTGAGCAGCCTCAGGATGTGGTGCCCCGTGTTTCAGCTGCTTCAGCTCCAGCTGTGGCTAAAAGGGTCCAAAGTACACCTTGGGCCATTAACTCAGAGGGTGCAAGCCCCAATTTTTGGTGGCTTTCATATGGTGTTGAGTCTGTGGGTGCACAGAAGTCAAGAATTGAGTTTTAGGGACATTTGCCTAGATTTCAGAGGATGTATGGAAACACTTGGGTGCCCAGGCAGAAGTTTGCTGCAGGGGTGGAGTCCTTATGGAGAACTTCATGGAAATGCTCCCATTCCAAATGGGATAAATTGGCCAAAAAAGTGGCTACAGGCCAGATGCAAATTCAAAACCCAGAAGGGCAGTCATTAAATATTAGAGCTCCAAAATGATGTCCTTTTACTCCATGTCTCATATCCAGGGCATGCTGATGGAAGGGGTAGACTCCCAAGGTCTTGAGACGTTCTGCCTCTATGGCTCTGTAGGGTACAGCCCCCATGGCCACTTTCACGAGCTAGCATTGAGTGTGTGTGGCTTTTCTGGGTGCACAGTGCAAACTATCAGTAGATCTACCATTATGGGGTTTAAAGAACTGTTGCCCTATTCTCACAGCTCCACTAGGAAGTACCCCAGTGTGCACTCCCTGTGGGGGCTCCAACACCATATTTCCTCTCTGCACTGCCTTAGCAGAGGCTCTCCATCAGGATTCCCCACCTACAGCAGACTTCTACCTGGACATCCCTGCATTTCCATACATCATCTGAAATCTAGGCAGGGGGTCCCAAACCTCAACTCTTGCCTTCTGCCTACTCACAGGACCAAAACCTTGTGGTAGCCACCAAGACTTGGGGCTTGCACCATCTGAAGCAATGGCCTGAGCTGTACCTTTCCTTATTTTATGTATGGCTGGAGCTGGAATGGCTGGGATGCAGGGCGCTATGTCTCCAGGCTTCACAGGGCAGCTGGACCCTGGGCTTGGCCCACCAAACCATTTTAATATGATAAGCCCCTGGGCCTCTGATGGGAGGGGCTTCCCGCAAATGTTTCTGACATGCCCTGTAGACATTTTCCTCATTGTCTTGGCAATTAATATTTGGTTCCTTTTTACTCATGCAAATTTCTGCAGCCAGCCTGAATTTCTTTGCAGAAAATGAGGTTTTCTTTTCTACCACACGATCAGGCTGTAACTTTTCCAAACTTCTATACTCTGCTTCCCTTTTTAAAACATAAGTCCCAATTTCAGATCATCTCTTTGTGAATACCAATAACCGTACACTGTTAGGAGCAGCCAGACCAAATCTTGACTACTTTGCTGCTTAGAAATTTCTTCTACCAGATGCCCTAAATCATCTCTCAAGTTCAAAGTTCCATAGATCCCTAGAGCAGGGACACAATGCCACCAGTCTCTTTTATATGGCATTGCAAGAGTGACCTTTACTCCAGTTCCCAACAAGCTCCTCATCTCCGTCTGAGACCACCTCAGCCTCTTATTCTCCATATCACTATCAGCATCTTGGTCAAAACCACTCAAAAAGTCCTCGGAAGTTTCAAACTTTCCCACATCTTCCTCTCCTCTTCGGAGCCTTCCAAACTATCTCGACTTCTGCCCACTACTCAGTTCCAAAATCAGTTCCACATTTTCTGGTATCTTTATACCAGTACCCCACTTTCCTAGTATTAATTTTCTGTATTAGTTTGTTCTCACACTGCTATACAGAACTACCTGAGACAGGGTAATTTACGAAGAAAAGAGGTTTTGTTGGCTCACAGTTCCATAGGCTTAACAGGAATTGTGACTGGGAGGGCTCAGGACACTTACAATGATAGCAAGCAGGAAAAGGAAAGCAAGCATATCGTACCATGGTGGAGCATGGGACTGAGTGAAAGTGAACAGGAAACTGCCGCACACTTTTAAACCATCATCTTGGGAGAACTCACTATCATGAGAAGAGCAAGGGGAAAATTCACCCTGATTACCCAGTCACCTCCCACCAGGTCCCTCCCCTGACGTGTGGGGATTACAATTCAAAATGAAATTTGAGTGGGGACACAGAGCCAAATCATATTACCCCGTGACACGAGATTACCTATATAATAAATCTCTGTATCTATCCTTGAACCTAAAATAAAAGTTAAAAAACAACAACAAAGTGTTTGCATCTGGAATACATAAAGAATAATAATATTTTATCAGTTTCAAACATAAGTAACAGGCTTGAATAGAAGTTTCACAAATGAGTATATAAGAAAACATATGGCCTGTAAGTACATAATAGTGGTCAACATCATTTGCCTTCAGGAAATTCAAATTAAAATCAGGATGAAATACCAATCTACACCTACTGAAATGACAAAAAAACTAAAGCAAAAGAAAATCAACAGTACAAATATTGGCAAGGATATGGAAAAATTAAAACTTCTACAGATTTGTAGTAAGAAAATACATTGACACAACCATTTGAATGTTTGATTTTTTTAAATGTAAAATATGCGTGTAGGGAAGAAAATGTAGTATCTTTTCCTCAAACATTGCAAGGGTCTTGGCTGGCACCTCTATAACAAAAGACAGATTAACAAAAGACAGATTAACAAGAGAAAGCAATGACAAATTAATGTAACAAACTTTTACATTACACATGAAAATCTTCAGAAAAAACCCAAAGACCGAGAGAAAACTATGTACTTTTATGCTAAGTCTGATGAAAGAAGTGGATAGTTGTGTAGAAAAGTGGTTGGACAAAAATGGTATTGTAAATGTGATTATTATTGATATTATTTTGAGACAGAGTTTTGATCTGGTTTGCCAGGCTGGAGTGCAATGGTGCGATCTCAGCTCACTGCAACCTCTTCCTCCCGGGTTCAAGTGATTCTCCTGTCTCAGCCTCTCAAGTAGCTGGGATTACAGGCGCCTGCCACCAAACCCTGCTAATTTTTATATTTTTAGTAGCGACAGGGTTTCACCATGTTGGCCAGGCTGGTCTCGAACTCCTGACCTCAGGGGATCTACTTGCCTCAGCCTCACAAATTGCTGGGATTACAGACATGAGCCACCGTGCCCGGCCTGGTAAATATTATTAATGGTAATAAACTTGGGGGAATTCAGCAAAAACCTGTTTAGAGCTTTTCTGCATCTCTGTGTCTGTGACATCCCTTTCCTCTGTGTATGGGGCATGACTGCTCTGGAATGAGGATCTTATAAGCTATTTTTAATTGTGGTAGTTGAGAGAAATTGGTAATGATCTTTCATTACACAGAATGGCAAAGGAGGGTCAGAGTGACTTTCTTGCTTCTGAAGCATTCTCAATTGCCACGAGGCCATATTTTGGGTTATTGTGTTCTGAGCCATGACATACACTACCCTACAATCCAGTAACCATACTTTTAGATATTTATCTAAGATAAAGAAAACATGACTTCAAAAACCTCTGTACTCTCTTACATAAGTAATATAATGGTGGCTTTTTTATAATACCCTCAAACTAGAAACTGCCCACCTGTTCATCAACAAGGAAATAGATATGCAATGGTGGATATGAATAAGAAAGTAATTCTTGAAAAAAGAATCAAACTATTTATATACACAAGAACATTAATGTATCTTAAAACCGTTATGACTAGTGAAAGAAGTAATTCATAGAAGAGTAAATACTGCGTAATTCAGTTTTTATAAAGTCCAAGAATAGGAAAAATTAAGCTATGTGGATAAAAATCAGATCACTGATTTCTGCAAGGAATTGACTAGGAAGGAGTTTAAGGAACTTGCAGGCTGATGTTAATGCTCTGTGCCTGAAAAAAAGATGGGGTTTACTCAAATAAATACATCTTTTAAAAACTGAAGGAACTATATTCTTAATACTTCTACATTTCAAGTATGTAAATAATATCTCAGAAACAGATAATAGTAGCTTTCTACATTTCAAAATATGTAAATAAATCCTATATAAACAGTAATAGAGGAAAAGAAAAGGGAATTTTTTTTCTTGTTTGGAAGGAAGAGAAACATTCCAATTATCAGAAAAAGATAATTTTAAGTAGTTTTGTGAAATATGTATGTGTAATTATTAATAGTACTGTGTGATTTATTATTTCACAAGTCATGTCAGAGCATAGCAGTAAAATAATGGTAGTACAAAAGAGAAAATAAAAACTTTTAAGCCAATGGGAGGCAGGAAATTTGAGGGAATAAGAAAAAGAAAAAGCACAACCAAAGCCAAACAGAAACTACACACACACACACACAATAAATTGGCAGACCAAAAGATGAAGTATTGATTAACTATATGAATGTAAGCAAATTAATATCTGATTGACATAACAAGAGAGCAGATGAATAATTGTCCTCTGGGCACAGAGCAAGTGACAAGATTGAGAATTGAATAACCAGTTTATTTTGTGCAGAGTAGGCACTTAAATACTAGGCAGCATCTAGGATTTCAGGCAACTTTGGGGGAGATATTTTGTGATAATGATTGAGAAACAAAGAACTGAATTCATTTACAGAGTAAACTAATTTTGTAATGCATACATCAGTTTATAAATGCCCATTATGAAGATTTGCTAGTCACACTGGCCTCCTTGCTGTTTCTGGAATATGTGAAACACATCGTAATCCTGCATCATGCTGTGTTCCTTATTTCTCCCACTATGGTGAATGTCCTGCTGCCAGATACCTGCATGGCTCAACTCTTTCTCACTGTATTCACATAACCACTTAAATGTTACCTTAGTAAAGAAGATTTGGCTCTACTCTATTAAATATAGTAGTCTCTCCCTTCTGCCCTGTCACTTTCTATTCCCTTATCTTACCCATCTGACATTGTGTGTGTCTGTATTAATTAACTTGCTCATTGACCATACCCACTGAACAGAAGGTGCCTTCCATGAGAGTAAGATTTTCCCCTATAAAGTATCAGCAATGTTTTGCGAGTAGTAGGTGGTCATTAAATATTTATGGAAGGAAATGTGAATGCATTGCATTCTTTCCTTCCCCCACAAAAGTACTTATTTTATTATTTAATTGATAGCTTATTGAGATATTTTCCTAACTTATTGTAGTAGTCCATTTTCACACTGCTAATAAAGACAAACCAGAGACTGGGAAAAAAGAGATTTAATGGACTTACAGTTCCACATGGCTGGGGAGGCCTCATACTCATGGTAGAAGACAAGGCAGAGCAAGTCACATCCTACATGGATGTGCAGGGAAACTCCCATTTTTAAAACCATCAGATCTAGTGAGACTTATTCACTCTCATGAGAACAGCAGGGTAAAGACCCACCTCCTTGATTCAATTACCTCCCACTGGGTCCCTCTCATAACACATGGAAATTCAAGATGAGATTTGGGTGGGGACACAGCCAAACCATATCTCGTGTTTTAATTCATTTAACAATTAATCATTCAATAAGGAATTCCAGCATCTATGTCTATACTTTTTTGCACTTGTCTAGATAATGATTTTTCATGATGTTATTATATCTATTGCAGGTAGACATTTTTGGTAGATTTATTTCTAGTGAACATGTAATAATAAAGACACACTACCATTTGGGGTACTTACTATGAAGCAGTCACTAGACTAGGTACTTTAAAACATTACAAAAGATAATTCTTGTAAAAATACATAGTTTTATTAGATCAGTTTTATAGATGAAATAATCTGAGAGTTAAAGAGTTGAATCAGTTTGCTTTAGGTTATGGAGCCTGATTTGCCTTGCTTAATAACAAAAATTGGGACAGAAAGAGGCTTGACTTGTAGCATTTTCCTGGTTCCATGGTGTAAGTATCCATATCATGGCTTATTTCAAGCCACAAATGTGATCATTGAACACAGAAATCGAAACAGAAACTAACAATCAGCTCCTATGAGCCACTGTATATTACTAATATTTGGCAAAGACAGAGAACAAACCATATCTGTTTGAATCCATGTTTTCAGTCACTACACTGGAGTTACCTAAGACAGTGACTGAGCACTGTTTAGATGTACTTTAAAATAAATCTAAAGGTATGGATCTTTTTTTCAGTGATATTATTTGGCCTGAAAAATACTCATTGAAGAAGTAAATCTACTTTGTTGACTGTTGGAATAGTATGAGCCTCCATTTCCAGTCCCTGCTCAATTGACAAGAATACAATTCTTTTTCTCAGTATCTGTTTCTTTCACACTATAACAAATTGGTTGGCTCTAGTTTTGTCTTTTATCAGGGCTTGTTGTCTAATATCTTCTTTCTCTCTAACCAATATGGATGATGAATCACATCTGTTCCCCAAGTAATGACTTCAAAGGAAGAGTTTAAAGCTCTACCTGTGAGTTTCTGCTATGTTTGGTTATTTTCACATTGTTGTATAATAGATCTCCAAAGACCAGGAAAGAAGACGAGGTCTATTTCTAAAACCATTATGGCATAATCAAGAATGAGAAAAATGCTGGGGTTTTATTCTGCCTTGTGATGAAAATGAGAAGCTATGGGTAGGAAAATTTTAATAACCAAATAAAAATTACAAGATAGCATATCAACTAGTCTATGTGCCCAAAAGACAAGGGAAGACTACATTAAGAATAAGATTCTCTGGTTAATGAGATTGTTTTAATAAGAATATGTAAGTGTCCCAAGTTAAATAACAAACTTACTTGCACAAGTATCTGTTCTTGGAAGTTAGATATATTTCTTTGCCTATCAGAGTACTTGCCCATACACAGTGTGAATGCCTGATCATATAAAACTGTGCTCTTATTAATATAGGGTTTCTTCAATGTGAAATATGTCTAATACATTGGCTAATAGTTGCATACAAATTAAGATAATACTGTCAATATTTTCTAATTTCAAATATGAAAATAACTGTTTGAAAATACAATAGAGTTATTTCTCACTTACTTTTTTTTGTTTTTGGAATCATACAATTTTAAAATCTCAAATATTTAAACTACCATAACAAAATATCTATATAAAGCCTTTTATCATGTCAAAAGTAGCCATATCCTGCCATATTCTAGCTGACTTTACTTCTTGATTATGATTATTTAAAGATAAAAGATAATAGAATGAGAAATGAAGGGGAGATTAGATTTGTAACACCTTTGAAAATATTTGAATAGCAATGTGTCTTAAATATTTAATAGATATGAATTACCACTGTATGTTCTAAAATAATATAATTGCACATAAACTCCTTGTCTTCCTTATTTTAAATGCATTCAGGGAAAAGTTATTCAAATAAAAAATGATATTCCCTGGATGAAAATCATAGAATTATAAGGTTCTTATGCATCTACTTACTATGCAGACTTAATAAGTAACAGGTTTTATGAGACTGAAATATTGTTATTATTCAGTTCAACCATTTAGTCTTAAAATACTGTCAATTTTAAAAAGCACAGTGCTGAGTTTGCAGCAGCTTCTGAAATAGCTTACCCCTTTGTTAAAGTATCTTTGGGTTTCCTTAACCTCAAGAAGCAGTTGTATTCTAAAATAAATATTGCAGTTTTCTCAGCAAGTTTACAATTAAATCAACATTTATTAATATAGAGTACATTGGGTATACATTTATTTATTGCCTCAGAAGCAATAAATGCAACCTACTTTTTGCTTCATTACATTTAAGATATGACAACTGGAAAGATACCCTCATTAAGCCAAATACTTTTTATTCCAGCGATGGATTTGTTAATATTTTAAAAATTAGTTGAGATTTAAGACTTATCTGTCTTCTGATGTAGATAATGCCAGTCTGGGCAATGTCATTTTGAACAACGTTAAGATTCACTGTGAAGTTATACTCATCATCTGAGGCCCAGGCTGAATCACATCTCTGCTAGAAGCATTTATCTTTTTAAATTCATGGGATACAAAGTTTAGAATAAACATTAGAACTCATCGTGTCATACCTCTAGACCAAAATTTATCAAATACTTTTGCATCAACTTTGCATCAGTAGCACATAGCAAAACCATCCATAAAATCATACACTTAAAAGAGTGAAGCCCAGAAATCTGAATTTAAACTGACAGTACAAGTGACACTTTGCGTTATAAAATTGTCAAACGACCACTCCAGCACAGCTTGATATGCTTCTTTGACAGCTTTTCCAGTGGTTGAATATCTTTGGAGGAAAAAACCATGCTACGACACTACACTCAAACACTACTTATAATCTAAGCAGTTCTATTAAAAATATAAATATACCTTATACATACTTTGTTACCATTTTTTACTTCCAAAAGTCTATTTAATCTTTGTAAAATGACACTGAAATCTTCCAATATTTTCAACATATTTTAACAAATTATGTAATGCAAATAGGCCTTTGCATTATTGACTAAATGAAACACTCATTCATGTCAAAAATTCTCAACAAACTAGGAAGAGAGGGGAGCTTTCTCAACTTGATAAAGCACATATACAAATAACCTCTATTGGACAATGTATTTAGTAGTGAGAAACTGGATGATCTCATTTTAAAATTGGAAATAGGTAATGATACCATTCCTCATCAATTATATGAAGCATCATATTGGAATTCCTAGCTAGTGCAGTAAACGTGAAAAGAAATAAATATATACATTTTGGGAGGAAGAAATCAAATCATTTGGTTTACAGATGACATAAATGTCTATGTAGAAAAACTCAGAGTCTTCAAAATTTAATAAATAAAACCTCAAATAAACTAATATAGGAAAGACACAGGATACATGGCTGATATACAAAAGCTAATTGATTTCATATATACCAGCGATAAACTGGTATTTGAATTTCTAAAAAACATACCATTTACAATACTCCCATCCCAAAACCAAAAATGAAACACTTAGGTATAAATCTAATGAGATATCTATTACATCTACGTGCAGATTCCTACAAAACTCTGATGAAAAAGATCGAAAAATTAAACGAAGGAGGAGATACTTCATGTTAATGTATTAGAAGACTCGATATTGTTAAGATAGCAGTTCTTCCAAGTTGATGTATAGATTTGATGCAATTTCAGTCAAAATCACAACAAGCTATTCTATAGAAACTTGCAAACTTATTATAAAGTTTATATGCAAAGGCAAAAGACCTGGAATAACCAAAACAATGCTGAAGAAGAGGAACTGTATTAGTCTGTTCTTATGCTACTATGAAGAAATATCCAAGACTGGGTAATTTATAAAGTAAACAGGTTTAATTGACTCTCAGTTCCTTTTGGCTGGGGAGGTCACAGCAAACTTACAATCATGGTGGAAGGGGAAGCAACATATCCTTCTTCACATGGCAGCAGGAGAGAGAAGTGCCAAGCAAAAGGGAAAAAAGGCCCTTATAAAGCCATCAGATCTTGTGAGAACTCACTCACTATCATGAGAACAGCAGCATCAAGGTAACTGTCACTGTGATTCAATTACCCCCCAGTAGGTCCCTCCCATGGCATGTGGGGATTATGGAAACTACAATTCAAGATGATATTTGGGTGGAGACACAGCCAAATCATATCAGGAACTAAGTTGGATGATTCAAATAATATGATTGCAAGACTTATAAAGTTACAATAGTCAAGACAATGGCAATTTGATAGAAAAGGAATAGTCTTTAACAAATGATGCTGAAACAAGTGGTTGTACATATTAAAAAGAAGGAACCCAGTTACAGACCTTATATTTTTCACAGAAATAAATCACATTGAATCATACATGTAAATGTGAAACAAAAATATATAAAACTTTCGGAAGAAAACGTAGGATGTCTAGATGAAACAAGTGGTTGTACATATTAAAAAGAAGGAACCCAGATACAGACCTTATATTTTTCACAGAAATAAATCACATTGAATCATACATGTAAATGTGAAACAAAAATATATAAAACTTTCAGAAGAAAACATAGAATGTCTAGATGACCTTTGGTTGGGTAACGAGATTTGAGATATAACACAAAAGGATGATCAATGAAAGAAGCGATAGTAGTTGAACTTTACCAAAATTAAAAACTTTTGCTCTGTCTAGTACACAGTAAGAGAATGCAAAGACAAGGCACAGACACGAGAAAACATATGTTAAACCAGTGCTATCCAACATATACAAATAACGATTATAACCCAACAAAAGTAAACACATGAACCAATTTGAAAGTGGTTCAAAGAATTGATGCTCACTAGAAAAGATATAAATATGGCAAATAAGTGTATAAATGATACTTGACATCATATGTCATCAGGAATTGCAAATTAAAACAATTACCTGATATTCCTACACACCTATTAGTACAACTATAATCCAAAGACACTGGAAATAGCAATTGCTGAGCAAGGATTCAGAGCACCAGGGACTGTCATTCATTGCTAGTAGGAACACAAAATGCTATTTCTGTTTTGGAAACGGCTTGGCAGTTTATTACGAAGTTAAACGTAGCCTTATCATATGATTCAGGAAATAGACTCCAGCATATTTACAAATCTGGCTTGAACACCTATGTCAACATGAAAAACTTTATGTGAATGTTTATAATACCTTTATTCATAATTACCAAAAGCTATTCTTCAACAGATGACTAAACCATGATATATCTATACAATGGAATATTATTCAGAGATTAAAAGAAATGAGCCATCAAGACAAAAAGATGTGAATGAATATAAAACGTATATTGATACGTTTAAAAAAGACAGTCTGAGAAGGCTGTATGGTACAATTTCAAATATATGACATTCTGGAAAAAACAGATTTACGGTAAGTGGTACAAACGGCAGTGGTTACTAGTGGGTCAGGGAAGGAGAATAAGATTGAATAGGGGAAGCACAGTACTACACAGCTTAGTCTACATTCATATATTTTCTTATTCTGACAGATGAGAGAGCCTAGAAGCACTAACATCCCAATAGCAATGAGCACACTTAGTGCATCTATGTTTCTAACACTGTTCACTGAAAAGACTCAGGTAAACTTGAAAACATCACTGATTGTAAGACTGGGGCAGCAGGAAATATACAAGATGATCCTGAAACTTCTTGTAGTACTAGAAAATAAAGAAGTTCTCCAAAACCACCTAACCAATAAGCAGACAAACAAACAAACCTACATACATTGATGAGGGTTTGTCAAAGGGACACAGGAGCCAACTGAAGGAGGTTCCAATGGGCATAACTAGAAAAATTTGAGACATACAATAAACAAAGTACTTTTGGATTCTAACTCAAAGTATAAAATACATGCCCATGAATTATACTGATATGAATACATAAGAAATGGGAGAGATGAGACAAATCTGTGCAGAATTAGTTTAATAATTTATGTAGATATATCTCCCTCAAGATATGGAGAGTAAGTCTTCACACTTTAAGTGCATGCTGTACAAAGTGTCTTCCTTGCAAAGAGTACACTGTGGAATGGCTTTGGGGTGGGGGAGGCGTAAATTTCAATAAAGAAACCTGATAAACATTACTCACCCAGATGGCCCAGGTTAGGTTGACAGTATATATTCTTATTGTGATGTGATGAAAATGGCACATTATTTCTATGACTGTCCTCCTCCAAACCCGTAACCCAATCTAATCATGAGAAAACATCATACGAATCCTGAGCTATTCTGCAAAGTGCTTGAGCAGTGCTTTTGAAAACTGTTATGTCATCGAAAGCAAGAAAGGGTTGTGAAACTCTTCCAGTGCAGAGGCACATAAAACAATATGACAGCTTAAAGTATTGTGGTGCTCTAGATGAAATCCTGGAACAGAGACAAACATGATACAGTAATAACGAACATTGCCGGGCGCGATGGCTCACCCCTGTAATCACAGCACTTTGGGAGGCTGAGGCAGGTGTATCACCCGAGGCCAGGAGTTCGAAGCCAGCCTGGCCAATATGGTGAAACCCCGTCTCTACTAAAAATACAAAATTAGCCGGGAGTGGTGGCAAGCGCCTGTAATCCCAGCTACTTGGGAGGCTGAGGCAGTAGCTGGGATTCAACCCAGGAGGTGGTGGTTGCATTGAGTTGAGATCCCACCATTTCACTCCAGCCTGGGCAAGAAAAGTGAAACTCCATCTCAAAAATAAATGAATAAATAAATAATGAACATTGATTCATTAATTTTAATAACTGTAACACACTAACATAAGATGTTAACTATGGGGGCTGGGCAAGGGATTTATAGAAAATTAGTACTATCTTCTCAATTTTTCAGTAAATGAAAAAGTATTTTAAAAATAAATGTTTATTCTTAAAAACATTTACAAGGAAAATTCAACTAAATAAAGAAGAAAAAGCACAAAGTGCATGCTTCTTAGGAGCAGGATTCAAGTATTCAGAATTGCATGCTTTCCCTTTGTAATTTTAGTGTTTTTCAATTTGAATTTCTTTCTTTTCTTTCCTTCTTTCCTTTCTTTTCTTTCTTTTCTTTCTTTCCCTTCCTTCCTTCTCTTTCTTTCCCTTCCTTCCTTCCTTCCTTCCTACCTTCCTTCCTTCCTTTCTTTCTTTCTTTCTTTCTTTCTTTCTTCCTTCCTTCCTTCCTTCCTTCCTTCCTTTCTTTCTTTCTTTCTTTCTTTTCTTCTTTCCTCTTTCTTTCTTTTCCTTTCTTTCACTCACAGGGTCTCATAATGTCACCCAAGCTGGAGTGCAGTAGAGCCATCATGGCTCAGTGCAGCCTTCACCTCCTGGACTCAAGCAACCTTCCTGCCTCAGCCTCCCAAGTAGCTAGAACTACAGGTGTGTGCCACCACACCTGGCTAATTACTGTATTTTTTGTAGAGGCAAGGATTTGTCATGTTGCCCAGGCTGGTCTCAAACTCCTGGACTCAAGCAATCTGCCTGCCTCTGCCTCCCAAAGTGCTGAAATTACCGGTGTGAGCCATATCTCTCAGTCCTCAACTTTGAATTTGTTTTTTATAAAAGGAGGAGAGAGACTAAAATGGGAAGGAAGAAGGAAGGAAGAGAAAAAGAAAAGGAGAGAGGGAGGAACAGGGGAAGAGAAAGTGAGAGTGAAGGAGTAGAGGGAAGAGACAGAAGGGAGGAAAGAAACCATTGACTTGCCCAAAATTACCCACGTAATAATAGGTAAAACTAGAACTTAATTCTTAATTCTTTCAAATGCCAAAGCCCTAACATTATTAACCTTTTTTTCCCCCTTTCTATACAGAGAGGATAAAATGACTACAGAGTCAGCAATGTGTCCATTGCTTAACTGGAGCTAAAAGAAATTTCATTTCTCACCCCTTTGGCAAATTCATTGAAAATGTACTCACTGTCAGATGTTACTGAACTAAATAACCCATTATAGTCTAAAAGATAAATGTGGATTTTGCCGAAGATGTTGAGAACAGTTAAGTCAATTCTACCTGCTTTTTGTTGTAAATCTTCTGCAGAGCCAAATTTTATAACTTCTTTTGTCATATGTTCTTTGCATCATCATTGCACTTTGGTTTGCAATGGCAGATTCTGGGGCATAACGTTAGTTAAGTTGATGAAAAGGAAGTCATTCAAGTGTCTCTACAAAGTAAAACTTGTTTGAGGAGTTTATGGAGGAAATAACTTCTATTTAAGTGGAGTGAGAAAGTTCTTACTGCAATATTTTAAAGCTGTTTCACACATGCTATACTCACTTTTTAATCAGGGGAGAATAACACATAATTTTAAAAAATACTTCAGGCCAGGATATAATGATATTCTTCTTCAACACACTATATTACTCATGCAGTTAAAAGAAAGAGAATGTGCTTGGTTATTTTTTTTTCCTTTTGCCTCCCTTTATTTTACAAGCCCAGAGGTATGCAACTCATTTTCTGTGTAATTATTTTAAGACTGAGTTAGGGAACACCCTTTTTCTTTATTCTTTTATCCTGTTGTGTTTTTGGTTGGGAAGAAACTAAGCCTTTTTAATAAGTTGTGAATGTCAAGACTAGAAAGAGTTCTAAAGATGTGAATCAAACCCCTGGAGTTATTGGGCTGTGGTGATTGTTCTAGAGCCCAGGGTGAATTTTTATGGGGCCAGGCAAGTGTCCTATGCAGTTGTTAAGAAGGGACAAGAAAACACCAATTTGCAAATTTCTGCATATTTTATTTATGTGAGTGAATATTATAATACAGATATTATGAAAAATAAAATAATGGTCATTAAAACTTATCCCTATAAAAACTAGTGATATAAGAAAACTACAGAAAGACTTTCTTTTTTTAAATTAATTATTATCTAGGCCTCGCATAGTGGCTCATGCCTGTAATCCCAACACTTTGGGAGGCCGAGGCAGGCAGATCACCTGAGGGCCAGGAGGTCAAGGCCAGTCTGGCCAACATGGTGAAACCTCGACTCTACTAAAAGTACAAAAATTAACTCGGCATGGTGGCAGGCGCCTGTAACCCCAGCTACTCAGGAGGCTGAGGCAGGAGAATCACTTGACCCTGGAAGCGGAGATTGCAGTAAGCTGAGATAGCACCACTGCACTCTAGACTAGACAACAGAGCAAGACTCTGTCTCAGGAAATAATAATAATAAAATAAAAAATAATTATATGACTTTATTGGTACTACTGAGGCAAAATGACAGAAAAGCCACTTCCAGTTTTCCAAATCCTGTTTCAGATATTAAAATAACGCCAAGATTGTAGCATACACACAGTTATAATTAGGCATGTGTGCTTTTTTAAAAAACTTAATTGACAGATATACATATATAATTATTTTATCTCATTTAAATTAGATTAATTTTCATGTGAACTGGAGAAACTTTATAGGTTATAGTAATCTACATCTTATTTTATCAAATTGCATCACATTATTTCACAATTTTATAACATTATAAGGAAAGCACCAGAATAAGAGTTAGCTCTTTGGTAGCTTCTCCGAACAGTAGCCGAATCACTTGAAAAGGCTGCATGATCTTTCAAAGTTCTAATGTCCTCAAATTTAAAATGAGAATAATATTTGCTCATTTCATATTCCAGGGTCTTTAATCAATGACAAATAACATGGAGAATTTTTAAAAATTTAAGATAGCAACTATTTTTTAAGAAATAATTGTAATTAAACATTTGACATATAGGCCATTACTCTTTCACAAAACATTAAACCTTCATAAGCAATTAATTGAATTTACTCATTTAAAATTTTATAAAGGTTTTACATACAAGTAAATTAATATTTTATATGTGAAAATATTGAAAGGCTTCAAGATTAAAGAAAAAATGATTTTCTTTTTCTTTTTTCTTTTTTTTTTTTTTTTTTGAGACGGAGTCTCACTCTGTCGCCCAGGCTGGAGTGCCTCAGCCTCCCGAGTAGCTGAAAAAAAGACTTTCTAAATTAAAAAAATACATATTTTGACTCAGTATACTGTCTTGTAAATAGAAAAAGATTAGTAGTTATTATTTAGGAAAGATACAACTGGAAATCCTTCTAGTAAATAAATAAGAACAACATATTAACATTCATCAGTTAGGAACATCATTTTAATACCCTTGAAGATACTAAAAAACAATTTGTATATATCAATATTTTGAATAGTAATTTTGATACTTTTGTTTACATTATATTTTTTCTTAACATTTTTACTTAGAGTATTTAAAAATTTAAACAATTTTAACCTTAATTATCATGTGATAATATATTACATGTATCTCAGTGTAAAGAATATTAATTACATAGGCTCTGAATTCATATTTCTAGTACATTATTTATGAGGGTATTGCTAAAATAGCAATCTTATAATAATTCTGCAGCAAAATTATCAGGTATTAATTTCTTCCTCTATGACTAGGGTGCTTTTCACTTGAAATGTTACCGTTGAACTTGATTCATTTCAGATTATACAATTCTAAATGTATAAATATTTAAATAAGAGCTTGTCAGAAGTTTACTTATAAAACTATTTACAAATAGACAAGGCAGTTTCACAAATAATATCTGGGATGATAATTTATAATATTTTGCAAAACAAATTGTTTCAATTGATACAAAAGTAATTTGGAAGCAATCGAGTATATACCATAACTGATATGCTAATTATAGGTTGTTATTTATTAAAATAAGTTCCCTAAAGGTGGACTTTTGCTAAAGAATGTGCAATTTTGAAGGTAGTCTACGAATCAGACCAGCCCTACTCCAAATGATCAAATTCAGTAAGATTAAGCAATGTATCTTCTATGTTGTATTCAAATTGTCAAAATCTTAAGTATGTATCTTGTATCTCATTTTTATTTTTATAATTTTCCATGGGTAACAATAAGAGGTAATACGTGTAATGTTGTAGTAACATATAATCCCATACACACTTTAGTTCATTCCCAGAACGTGGCAGATAAATTCTTTCCTAAGAGTCCTAGATTCAACTAATAATTTTCTTAAACACAATGAAATTTTTGTCATCTTTACTTAGTAACTAAAACCAATATTTTTCACTTACATTCTCTCATCAGTCTTAATTAAACCACTGGTCATGGGAAAACAAGCTTTTAGTTTTAGAGTTATGCAATATGTTAGATGAATGCCATATTTTTTTCTAATGGATCCCTAAATGGAAGCCACATTTTAATGTATTCAGCCCATCCCAAGTCATATCCTGAGTTTAAGAGTTTAGAAATTTTATTGTATACTTAGACGGTATAAAGCTTAAAATGACTAACTTCTACTGAAACATGTAGAAGACTAATATATAAATCAGAGATCTGTGTATTATTTTCAATGAAGACTATAACATCTAGATCAGATATTTATTTGGGCCTGGAGAGATCATCGTTTTTTGTTTTTTTTTTCCTCTAGGCAAACCATTGGAAAGTCAGATAATAGATGGCTGCCTGGGGATGATAACAAAAGAAAGGGGTATTATGTGGAGTATTCAAATCTCTCACAACATCAGACTTACATATCCTGATGTAATCACCTTCTATATAGGGATCTAGCTGCCAGGAAGATGTTGAGTTGCCCTGGATGACATTTTCAGTTCTTAACAACATGAGTAACATTGGCCTTTGTAACTATTTTTTCTTTTCCATTCATTCTTGACTCACCAACTAAGCTTTTATTTTTTTTTATTTTTTATTTTTTTATTGATCATTCTTGGGTGTTTCTCGCAGAGGGGGATTTGGCAGGGTCATAGGACAATAGTGGAGGGAAGGTCAGCAGATAAACAAGTGAACAAAGGTCTCTGGTTTTCCTAGGCAGAGGACCCTGCGGGCCTTCCGCAGTGTTTGTGTCCCTGGGTACTTGAGATTAGGGAGTGGTGATGACTCTTAACCAGCATGCTGCCTTCAAGCATCTGTTTAACAAAGCACATCTTGCACCGCCCTTAATCCATTTAACCCTGAGTGGACACAGCACATGTTTCAGAGAGCACAGGGTTGGGGGTACAGTCATAGATCAACAGGATCCCAAGGCAGAATTTTTCTTAGTACAGAACAAAATGAAAAGTCTCCCATGTCTACTTCTTTCTACACAGACACAGCAACCATCCGATTTCTCAATCTTTTCCCCACCTTTCCCCCTTTTCTATTCCACAAAACCGCCATTGTCATCATGGCCCGTTCTCAATGAGCTGTTGGGTACACCTCCCAGACGGGGTGGTGGGCGGGCAGAGGGGCTCCTCACTTCCCAGTAGGGGCAGCCGGGCAGAGGCGCCCCCCACCTCCCGGATGGGGCAGCTGGCCGGACGGGTGCTGACCCACCACCTCCCTCCCGGACGGGGCGGCTGGCTGGGCGGGGGCTGACCCCCCACCTCCCTCCCGGATGGGGCGGCTGGCCTGGTGGGGGCTGACCCCCACCTCCCTCCCGGACGGGGTGGCTGCCGGGCGGAGATGCTCCTCACTTCCCAGATGGGGTGGCTGCCGGGCGGAGGGGCTCCTCACTTCTCAGAAGGGGCGGCTGCCGGGCGGAGGTCTCCTCACTTCTCAGAGGGGGCGGCCGGGCAGAGACGCTCCTCACCTCCCAGACAGGGTTGCGGCCGGGCAGAGGCGCTCCTCACATCCCAGACGGGGCGGCGGGGCAGAGGCGCTCCCCACATCTCAGATGATGGGCGGCCGGGCAGAGACGCTCCTCACTTCCTAGATGGCAGGGCGGCCGGGAAGAGGCGCTCGTCACTTCCTAGATGGGATGGCGGCTGGGCAGAGACGCTCCTCACTTTCCAGACTGGGCAGCCAGGCAGAGGGGCTCCTCACATCCCAGACGATGGGCGGCCAGGCAGAGACGCTCTTCACTTCCCAGACAGGGTGGCGGCCGGGCAGAGGCTGCAATCTCGGCACTTTGGGAGGCCAAGGCAGGCAGCTGGGAGGTGGAGGTTGTAGCGAGCCGAGATCAGGCCACACTGCACTCCAGCCTGGGCACCATTGATCACTGAGTGAACGAGACTCCGTCTGCAATCCCGGCACCTCCGGAGGCTGAGGCTGGCAGGTCACTCGCGGTTAGGAGCTGGAGACCAGCCCTGCCAACACAGCGAAACCCCGTCTCCACCAAAAAAATAGGAAAACCAATCAGGCATGGCGGCGCGTGCCTGCAATCGCAGGCACTCGGCAGGCTGAGGCAGGAGAATCAGGCAGGGAGGTTGCAGTGAGCCGAGATGGCAGCAGTACAGTCCAGCTTCGGCTCAGCATCAGAGGGAGACCGTGGAAAGAGAGGGAGAGGGAGACCGTGGGGAGAGGGAGAGGGCGAGGGCGAGGGAGAGGGAGAGGGAGAGGGAGAGGAGGCCTTGCTTTCTTGCTTTTAATTAACCTTTTGGTTAATTGAAATAAATAAAATAGCTACTATTAGTTAACATTTATTGTTAAGTGCTTACAATGTGCTAGAAAGCATTCTCATCATGTTATATTAATTATCTTATTGAATCCTCTCAACCATCCTGCTAAAAGCCAACATTTTACAGATCAGAAAACTAAACTGTAGACCGGTAAATTAACAAGACTTGAGTCGATGTCATCAGTAAGACACAGATGTAGTACTCAAACTCGAGTGTGTTTAAATATAAACTGTAAATCCCCAATCTCGGTGCCTTTCATTTCTCTTCATGCTAGGGCAATCTTGCTCTCATTTTTATCTGCATTTTGGGGAGTGTAAAACACCTCTAGATTTCATAATAGTACCACCAACATTCTTACTGCAGATGACAAAGCTGAGTTTCAAAATAACGTGTTCAAGTTTCTCAGCTAGTAAGGACTAGTAAGGGACCTGAACCTGAATCTTCCTTTAAAACAGACACTTGCCGCAGAGGTGGCCTCCTCATGGTAAGCTCTGTTCTTCCATATGTGAACAAAATTCAATAACTGACTGGGCAAAAGAGCTCTTCGGAGTAGTTATTTCCTTGGGGAGTACTGCTGGTTAAGCCTACAGTATAAAATCCAAAGGGTTTCATCATCAAGAGCAGGTAAGTTCAGTATGGTGTGTGCACTTTTCTTTAATTCATTTTTACCATCCCTGTAGTAAACATGGTCACAAATAAACCTATCAAAACTCTCATTTAATGCCCAGAATATTCTCTTCATCGCCACGCAAACACTTATCTCTGCAGCCCTCTCAGTTATCACAGGGACAGCTAGAGATTTCCATTTTGAGGAAATTAACCTTTTATTGCCCAGCACAGTTCTTCAAAGCCACTTGCTGTTGTTTCAATCTAAATTACTCAGGAGTGACGAATTACAGCCACTGCATAAGAAAAGATTACCTGGGAGGTCAAGGGCTTTCTTTCTCAGTTACAGAAAAAAAAAAAAAAAAACAGATATTGTTAAATAACGCTAAATTTCCCTTGAAAAACATTTCAAGGAATCATGTAGTAGATTATAACAGAAAATGATCAACCTAATATTTTTGCAACAAAGATGAATGAAAATTATATACACATATGGTATGTGTATGTTTGCATCTGTAGAGTAACTCTAATGCTAGTCAAAACTTCTACTTACGGCATTTATCCAGATTAAATTAAATGTGAAATCAAGGAAAATTACAATCTGGGTATAAATGAGGCAGATGTAGACTGTGAAGTCACTTCGCTCATTCCATTATGGATATTGCATTAAAATTACATACCTCATGCCCTAAAAGCTGATGAAATAGTTTGGTTCCTTACTAAAAAAATTTCTTCAGTATATAGCATAATGCTCATAAGTAAGTGTAAAATCAACGAATGAATGAATGAACAAATGAAAGGGCAATAGGCAAATTATGAAAAGCCTGTAAGAAAGAGCATAAAGGCTTACATAAATAAAAAAAACCTGTCATCTAAAATGGAAAACTCTCCACGATTTTTTTGTCAGTCCCGAAGACCAGAGTCATTTGGAACAGAGCTGAGATCAATTTGAAAAATAAAATCTATATTTAAAAAAAGATTTTAAAGACACTAGTTCTGGCTGTTCTTTAGTCTGACAAAGTTAGTTAAAATCAGAGAATTATAAAGTATTCTCAATTTTCAGTTGACTTATTTTAAAAATACTTGATTTAATAGTAATTTTGTTATAGCCTAAAATAATCGCAGCCTCTTAGAATTCAAGGTAATGGAATTTGTTTTATAGTATCTGCAATAGCCTCTTTCTTACATGGGTAACAGAAGGATGAACCACTTGGTTTCAGATTCTCATGTTGTGTGTAAAGGTGGCTCCAGCCATCTCTGTTATTTCACAGTACCCTTAGTGTGTGGACTATCTTCTGCTTTGATAATAATGGATTTCTTTCCTCTTTGAATCTGCTACCGGTTAAAACATTTTGTACAACCTTGAAGGTGTACTTGGCTTTCTGCTATTATTATCTCCATCTATAGTTATACAGAAATTTAAAATATGTGATTTATAATCAAACATTGTTATAAAAGTAGTTTTTGTTTTGTTTTTTGTTTTTTTTTTTTTTTTTACAAAGAGGACTTCATATAATTTTTAGAGAAACTTTTAAATGATGTATGCTTGGGAGGCTGAGGCGGGCGGATCACCTGAGGTCGGGAGTTTGAGACCAGCCTGACGAACATGGAGAAGCCCGTCTCTACTAAAAATACAAAATTAGCCGAAACGTGGTGGTGCATGCCTGTAATCCCAGCTACTCGAGAGGCTGAGGCAGGAGAATCTCTTGAACCTGGGAGAAGGAAGTTGTGGTGAGCCGAGATGGCGCCATTGCACTCCAGCCTGGGCGACAAGAGAGAAACTCTGTCTCAAAAAAAAAAAAAAAAGAAATATGCATATTTTCATTTTATGGATGAAGGTACAGTGCCTGGTATAGCCTAACTGCTCAATAATTTATTATTAAATAGATAAAAGAAGCTCATAAAGTTAGACAACTTTCCTAAAGTCATGTAGAAAGTGTATACCAGTCTAGGAACTTAGCCATCTCACTCTTTGTGGTCTACCCTTGGATTATTGGGGAAGTATGTGTGGAGCACCAAGTATCTGCTTTGCAGAAGGAATGTTCTCAAAATTCACTTTAAAGCCAGCTTTTTTTTTTTTTTTTGCATAAGGGCTCAGACATTTTTCATCCCATATTTTTAAGAGATAACCATTAAATGTCTTCGTTTTTATCTTGTAGTAAGCCTCTGAATCATCTGTCTTCTTAGAATAAAGGCCTCAAATGGTGGAGCCTCAATTTTAACATGCTCTTTGATGAATTAACATTTGCTCTAATAGTCTCTCTTTATCTTTACAACCTAAGGACAATTTATAAAAGTTTCAAATCTCTGTCTTAAATAATAGTATCTGAAAATTTTCTCTTTTTAAAAGAAAGTATATAGTTAGCAGTGGACCCTGCAGATTGTCTTCCTCCTTACTGAACCTAGCACTGCTCCATATGCCATGTGTATCTGTGGAAACTGACCTCATCTCAACTTTAGCAGTAGACTTAGTTTAGGTAAAGACAGTTGGCTTTGGAATTTCCTGAGTGACTCAGGGGGTGAGCAGTAGGACTATGTTTGTCCCATCACACTGAATATAAGGACTTACATTTTTCCATCTATTGAGAAATATGACTGTTTTGATTATTAATTGCTGCATCACAAACACTTCTTCCCTCCCACTAAAAAAAACAACAACAACAACAAGAACAAAGCAATGGTTTAAACAATGGTCATTTATTTAATTCACAAACCAGTAATCTGGGCAAGACAATGTGAGGATAACTCGTGTCCATTCCATGTGGCATCAGCTGGGCAGCTGGACTGGGAATGGAAGATTCACATTTAAGATAGTAATTTACATGAATCATTAGATAGTGTGGGCTGTTCCCTGGGAGTTCAGCTAGCCACAGTTGTTCTTCATGGGGGCCTGTTCTGGGGCTTGTTAGACTTTTGCACAGTATGGCCATCGGGCTGCAAAAGCAAGTGTTCAAAGACAGACAAAGTAGAAGCTACCAGTATTTTAGGGCTTGGGTCTAGGAGAAAGCACAGATTCACTTTTGCCATATTCCATTGTTCAAATAGACATAGATCTCACCCAAATTCAAGGGGATGGTACATAGAATTCATCTCAAGAGGGAGAAATATCAAATTATTTGTGGCTATCCTTAATGTTGCATGATGAGTAAGAAAACCTGTAGCAGTGATAGACACTATCTTGAAATCAAGAGAGGAACAAGCTTTTAGGTGAATTTAATCCAATGGATTTCAGATTTATGAGAAGAACCTGGGTCTTTGAAAACAATGAGCCACTTAGTCAACCTGCCTGAAAATGTCACTATGTGTGAGATTCCACCTATGTGAGATAATAAATGCAATACTTTTCAAAGCAAGTCAAATTAAGAATATTTGTTAGTTGTGTTAAAAAGATAAACTGAGGTAAATATAATTTATATAATGTATTTAAACAAACAGTAATTCATGAATAGGGCAGCTCTAAGCAAGAAGTGGTTCTTCAATGCCATTGAAAAAGCATAAGGGATATACTTTTATAGAATGAATCAGAAGGTAATACAAAGAAAATGTTTAACTGATAAGCATCATAAAATTGCCTTATTTGCTCCATCCCACTGAAAAATCCCTAGTTCTGTAATCATGTTATCTGGCTTCCTTTTATTGGTTTAAGCTTAAGTTCTGTTTTTCTTTAATATAGGCATTTACAAGAAATGACCCGCATTTTCTGCCTATATTTGCAACTTAAGCAAGGTTAAAGTTATTTTCAAGGCCGAAGTGGCTTGGTTAGCTCAGGGATTTTCATTAAAATGATCTTCATTTTAATTTGCTTTAATAGTTTCTACTTAAGCTATTCTAACTGATACAAAGTCATGCTAGGATTTAAAAGACAATATGCAAAAATTTGATCTGGTTTATATCTCTAAAAGCCTGTAGTTAGAAACAAAAAGGTAAGTGTGAGAATCAGTAAAAGAAGGAGGAATAAATTATTTAATTTCTGTTTCTTAGAAATGATATGGGTCATACTAAATTTATTCTTAAACAACAAAGAACAACTGAATTAATACTAATTAGTAATGTGCCAACTCCCTTGAGCCAAATGAAAATTTCTTTATTATCAAGAGTGGATAGTGATGCATTATTTGATTTGTTTTACAATCTCTGTGGCAGATTTTAACTACATTCTAATTAATTTACTAATGGGATTTGAGCACTAATTGGCATTTTACAAAATCTTCAGAATTGTAAAAAAATAAGATGTTGTACAAGTCTTGTCAGAAACAATTGGTTTATCTGTCATTCTGTCAATCAAAAATTTTCAATATTGAGAAATTTGAAATCTGCCTTGAATAATAATCTAGGACTAGTTTGTATGTTAAAAACACTAAATTTCACAAAATAAAAATTCATCTTTGAGCATTATATTTTTCCATTTCACCTGTCTTGTAAAATGAAAATAATAGCCAGAAAAGCATTATATTAAATTTATCTTTCCTTCCTTCCTTCCTTCCTTCCTTCCTTCCTTCCTTCCTCTCCTTCTACCTCTCCTTCTCTCTGTCTCTCTTCTTCTCTCTCTTTCTCTTTCACTACTTAATAAAAATAACTGAATTGGTAGCGTTTATATCTACTAGAAGGAGACGTCACAAATTCTTTCCAGTATTAGTATTATCTAAGAAATTTATGCTAAAATTTTAAACCCCACACCTGAGAGAGTATATTTTGTTAAGTGTAAATAAAATCAGTAAATTATGAAGTATTTCATGTGATCCTGTTCAGGGACTGCTCTGTGAGAAAATATCTGATGAGGAAAATTAAGCAGGCAGTGGCATGAAAGGGAAAGGGCAAGAATGGACCCAAATGCAGATCCAAATGTAACTAAATAGATCAGTTAGTCTACAACCTGCCACAAATGTGGGTTTTAATTCCTAATAATGACCCTGAGTTACTGCATTTTTAAAAATTATAGCCTAAATCATCAAATATGTTTGATCAATATAATGCTATAGTTACTAAATTTAAAGTATAATTGAACATTTTTAAAATGCATGATTCTGAATGCCAGTATTTGAGACCAGAAGATGTAATTTCTTTGAATAAATTCAAACAAGATTTTTTGAGATGCATATTTTTAAAAACCATTGTCTATGCAAAATAAGTAAGACTATGACTTAGTAAAAATTATCTTTGACTAAATCAGGCATAAAATAAAGTATTAGTACTTGTAAAACCTTCTATAACATGACAACATATAATTAATGTTCTTATGCTAATTATACTTCTACAACCATGATTAAATTCCCCCAGTCCCAAACTCCAGTCTCCACCTCTCTCTTTTCTCTTTCTCTCTCTCTTTTGCTCTCTCTCCTCTCCATACCTCATTGTCATTCTCATTAAGTGGGCATACTAACACAGGCTGTTATTTGGGACCTTGGTCAAGTATTGTACTCTCTCATAGCCTAAATGTCCTTATTTTTAAAATAAGCACTTTTATGAGATGATTTCTCATGTTTTAAAGCTCTGTCTCATTTCTCTGTCTCTTACCAACTCCTCTCTTTGTGTGTATGTGTATACATATGAATTCACATACATTTATACACACATATATGCATCCGATTCCTCTACTTTGATGCTCGCTGCTCACATCCAGCATTATGTTTAATATTATTTCAATTTATATCATTTTAATAGATTCACATGTGAAGATGATTAAGTAATGTAATATGCATAATTAATCCCATCAATGCCAGCACCCTAATGATTATATACAAATATTTGTATGCCTCTGAACAACAAAACACATAACCTAATTTAGTATTTGTTATAACCCTGAGAAGGAAATCTTCCAGTTTAAATTTGTTTTAGTATTGCTGCATCTAATAACTGACAAGGTGAGATAATCTTTCTTGTTCCCATTAGTACCAAAATTTAATGCTTCTGTGAAAAATAAAACATTTCTGGACCTGCACAGGTGAGTCTTACTTTCTTCACAAATAAACCTGGGAGTAGTTGGTCTTAATAAGCTGCCTCTGTCTTCATTTGTAAAAATTGTAAAAAAAAATGGAATGACATCATATTGAGAGGGGAAATATAGCAAAAAGTATGTAAGAATTGTAAATCTGTTATGCTTGTCACAATGTTGAACGGGTACAGAATAAATGAAGAAATATACACTTCTTTAAATTTTCATAACTATGCTCTGGTACATACCATTTTTGCTGACCTACGCAAGGCTGTAAGTCTGTTATATTTCTGAAAAAGGTTTTTATGGCCTTTTGGTATTGGATATTGTCAATTTGTTCATATTTTACTTAAATCTTTATATTACAATGAGAATTTGACATAACCAGCTAACAAAGTATTATAAGGTTTAGTACAGTACATTTTAGACAAATGGATAATACTTCACAGACCCTAAGCTGGATTGGTATTTTGCTGGGTGGTCTGTCTCATGTATAGAAGGTACGCATCACTTCTGAGCACATTAAGGGTATGTTCCTGCATAAATGGTAAACACTCAAGTCATTAAAATGTAAAGAGTGCAGTAGGAGAGACAGTTCAAAGGAACATTGAAGACAGGCCAGTTTGGGAGATTTTCCTCTTCTTTTTTTTCTTCCTTAATTTATTCTGTTTTATCTTCATCTTCAAAACTTATTTACCAGTCTTGCTTCAGTGAGGTGAGAACCTGATTAAGGATAAGATGTTAAGGAATTAATACACTGCAGAATTGACTCCCTCTCAAGTTGCATTTATTTGTTAAAATAAGTAATATCTTTAATACAGCATCCTTGAAGCATGGTGTATTTGGCATCACTCATATAGCTGAGCTAACCCCTCCCTTACACACACAGGCACACACACAAACACACCAGTATATTAATTATTACCTACTATATCGGCCCTATTAGCAAGTCACCAATGTCAACCACTATAATTTCTGGTTAAGGGTCAGCTTTTCCTCCAAGTTTATATTTTCTTCCTTATCTCATGGTTTAGTTAAACACCAAAAAAAACCAATAAAGCATCATCTTGGTGAATGTCGAAATCTTGTGTTAACTTGCACTCCATTATGTCCCTTTAGCCACAAAATAGAGCTGAACCTATTATAGAAATTCCTAAAAATCTATTCCAATGAGGAAAATAAAAAAGAACAGATTTGTGTCCAGGAAAGCTAACTAAATCTATTGTCCTAACCTAGGAATTGTACTTCTACTTGGAGGCCTATGTTTGTGTAGTACAATGTCAGCCCTGGACCTCTTCCCAAGGGAAAACAACACCATAGTATTGCCAAGAATTATCCTGGCTTAACCTCTGCATTAATTACTACAACAGCCTGAATGCTACCCTAAGTCATTCTCATTAGCCTGAGGCCCCCCTTATATGCAGCAAGAATACACCAAAACGTCATAAAGAAATCCCTTTTCGCAGCCTCTCTCTTCTGTTAATTGGCTTCACTGTCTCCTCAATTCAAATTTCATAACAAAGTGATAACGATTACATCAACCTGGAGGAGAACAGATGGCAGAAAACCTGAGTTCTGGCACTACTGCTGCCAATTATGAGATCTGTGATCTTGGAAATTCACTTGACTTCTGTATCTGTTTTCTTATAAAGTAAGAAAAATCATGTCAGCCTCACAGGATTGTTGTGAGAAAGATGTTTAAAACAAATTGGAAGCATATTATGATGAAAGGCATTTCCATTATAATAATTACTGGTTACTTGGCAGAAAGAAAACACACACCCTGTTCAATGGTATAACACCTCCTGGTATTCCTCACTACACTGGTACTGCAATTATCAGCATGTCTTTCTATAAAGTCATATATAATGGGTTTCAGGTCCTTAAAAAATAATTTCTAATAATATTATGTAACATATTCTTCTAAAATTCGGTGTTTCTAAAGGCAATTCAAGGAGAGGGGACCTTGTAGAAGTATTTTCCTATACAGCGTGGTCTATAGACCAGTACCCACAATGAACATTAGTTGAACAAATGAGAACAAATGTTTGAAAAGTTTTTATAGAACTTTGGCCAATAACTTCATGTCCATCGAACATAATAATAAAAATCAAGACTGCATTTTATATGTATTTTTATTTATTTTCTAGTAGTTCATTTGTGCTCTATTTCACAAAGTTTTGGTAAACAACACATTGAAAAACAAAATTCCTCAGCAGAGGTAGATTGAGAAACACTGGTTAAGAAAACATTGTCCAATGCTCTATTTAGCGTCGTTTTATAAACAGGATAGATGCCACCCATGTTACAATGTGTTTCATCAACATTCCCTATAGAACTTTCTAAGGTTAACTAACATCCTCGTATAAATGCTTATGCAAATATTAGAGCTCATGATTCCCTTAGTCCAGATATCTAACAGTTTATTAAAAATGTGAAAATACCTTGACAATAGATGTTAGGTTATGATTTTCTATAAAAATTGACTACAAAATAAATGGGTATTAATTCAAATAGATTGTTAATGATTAAGATGCCTACTATTAAACTACAAAAATAACTATCTAAAAATTGAAATATCAAAAAGGAAAGGGAGACAAATGATAAAAGACTAAAGAAAATAGTAAGGGCCAACAGAAATCGTTTCAGAAAAACTAGAGAAAAAAGGGATATACGACTTTCAAGTTTTAAAACAGCCCTCTAAAAAAAGTAGAATAAAAGCCAAAATTGACAAATGGGATCTAATTAAACTAAAGAGCTTCTGCACAGCAAAAGAAACTACCATCAGAGTGAACAGGCAACCTAAAAAATGGGAGAAAATTTTCGCAACCTACTCATCTGACAAAGGGCTAATATCCAGAATCTACAATGAACTCAAACAAATGTACAAGAAAAAAACAAACAACCCCATCAAGAAGTGGGCAAAGTATATGAACAAACACTTCTCAAAAGAAGACATTTATGCAGCCAAAAGACACATGGAAAAATGCTCATCATCACTGGCCATCAGAGAAATGCAAATCAAAACCACAATGAGATACCATCTCACACCAGTTAGAATGGCAATCATTAAAAAGTCAGGAAACAACAGGTGCTGGAGAGGATGTGGAGAAATAGGAACACTTTTACACTGTTGGTGGGACTGTAAACTAGTTCAACCATTGTGGAAGTCAGTGTGGCGATTCCTCAGGGATCTAGAACTAGAAATACCATTTGACCCAGCCATCCCATTACTGGGTATATACCCAAAGGACTATAAATCATGCTGCTATAAAGACACGTGCACACGTATGTTTATTGCGGCACTATTCACAATAGCAAAGACTTGGAACCAAGCCAAATGTCCAACAATGATAGACTGGATTAAGAAAATGTGGCACATATATACCATGGAATACTATGCAGCCATAAAAAATGATGAGTTCATGTCCTTTGTAGGGACATGGATGAAATTGGAAATCATCATTCTCAGTAAACTATCGCAAGGACAAAAAACCAAACACCGCATATTCTCACTCATAGATGGGAATTGAACAATGAGAACACATGGACACAGGAAGGGGAACATCACACTCTGGGGACTGTTGTGGGGTGGGGGGAGGGGGGAGGGATAACATTAGGAGATATACCTAATGCTAAATGACGAGTGAATGGGTGCAGCACACCAGCAGGGCACATGTATACATATGTAACTAACCTGCACATTGTGCACATTTACCCTAAAACTTAAAGTATAATAATAATAATAAAAAAGAAGATAAACTAAAACATCTGTCAAGTAGAAAAACAGAAAAATCTTGAGTATATGAAAAATTTTCATTTGAAAATTGTATAATTATTAAATTATTGCATACTATAAAGACAATTTATTTTCAAAATCTGACTTTTAATCCTAAATCTGTAAGTACATTGAGAAAGAAAGCAAAATCTAATGTTGACTTAAAGTCAATAGGTACTCTGTAAGAGACACTCTGTTGAAGATTATGTAATATGACCTCAAATATTATTGACAGATTAGTGTTCTACAGCATTCTTAAAAGGTGCTTATGCAGCCTTATATCCACTTGATAAAAAATATAATTTTACTATTTGTTGTAATTTAACCTTTGTCATGGACTCATTTGATCTTGATAGAGTTTCTTAACCTCTTAAACCGCTAGGTATCTCAATTTTTTTTTTAAAAGTCATCATTCTTCTATTTAACTGGCTCCTTTTTAAAGTTTTCTTTACTGGCTTCTCTGTATTTCTTCAGTCTCTAGATGTTGTAGTAACAAAGAGCTGAGCCCCAGGGTCTCTTGCCCTCTCTATCTGTACTCACTCCCTAGGTGACTTCATCTAGGATGATGGTTTTAAATAGCATCAAATAATTCATTAAGCTTACAACGTTCAAATATTTATCCCCTCTTGCCTCAACATTTCTGTATTTATTTGCCCACTCTTCATCTCCAATTGATTGGCTAATAGGCAACTTAAACCTATATAACTGAATACAACTCTACCCAGCCCCCAAATGTGCAGTCTCCCTCATCTTGCTCAGTTCAGTTTGTGTGACCCAAATACCATGAAATTGTGATTTCCCTCTGTCTGTAATACTATATGTCTAGTCCTTACTATTGTATTTGGCTCTGTTTATGAAATATGTCTATATTCCCAGCACATCCATATCTACCGCCACATCCTGGTCCAAACCACTGTTACCTCTTATTTAGATTATTTCATTAGCTGCCCAACCCTCCACTCATAAATCATCTCACCGTCCCCACAGTTTAGTCTTTACACAGTCAGCAAAGTGATCATTTAATCAGTAAAGTTGATCGTATTACTTTCTTAAGATTCATCAATGGGAACTATCTAGCTCAGAGTACAAGACAGAGTCCATCATTGCTCCACGAATGATCTGGCCCTACATTCTTCTCTGGCCTAGTCATGATCTGGCCCTGCATTCTTCTCTGACCTAATCACCTTCAGATACCCCTGGCTTGTCCTGTTTCAGTTACTGGAACCCGTGTTCCAACCTCAGGGATTTGACCTTGACTGTCACTCTGTATTGATAAGGGCTACTCTATATGACACAGTATTAACATCCATCTCCTTCCATCAGAACTCTCAAATCTTTCTACTTTGCTTTATTTTTTTCCTCCATAGTTCTTAAAACCACATAACAAATGTAATGTGTTTTTGTTAATTAATTTATTGTATGTATACCTATCATTATTTATGTAAGCTGTATAATGAGGCAAATTTAATTGCTTTACTCACAGTTCCAAATTCAATATTCAAATTTAGAACAGCACCTGATCTATAATAAACACTCAACAAATATTGCTGGGTACTTAAAATAAGTATAAAATGGGCTGCCGTTTCCTTTTTGAATAATTAACAGCTACTAGCCCTCATGGTTTCAACAGAAATATCTTTTCAGAAGACCTCTTTTTCATTTCTCTAGTCATCTCCTTTATCCTTGCTCTGCCAAATTCACAAATCTGTAAAATTTTAGTCTTATTTAATTTCTCTTCTCCTCTCTGGTTATTTCTTTTTTCTCTTTCCTTAGAGATATGGCTGTGTCTACCAGGGCTTAGATTAGTGCTGCTCATCCTGTGTGATCAATATTTGAGAAAAAAGGTAATTGAATAATAAACTGGATGGAATATATTAACTGGGTGGCATTTGATGTCGGTTGAAACTAATAGGTGATAAAAATACAGTGAGAAGAGCTAGGTAATCAGGATTCTGAACTCTCTCTGTCATGTCATATAACTTTGGAAAATCTTCTACTGGTCCTTATGACTGTGCTTTCCCTTCAATAAAAATAAAATAAAATATAATTTTTCAAAAATCTTTTCCTAGCATGATGATCAAACACACTATTGAAGCTATATCTTTCTAACATTTTTTAAAAATTGGGAACAGAGAAACTAGTTGCATTTCTCTGGGAAACCTTATTTATCACTGTTATAATTTTGGAAATAAGGGATTTCAAAATGTAAATTATAGAGAGTTGTAAAAATAAAATTCTCGTAGGCATACTATAAAAAAACCTAGGTTAGGCTTCTCTTTCTTTATTAAACTCTTAAAAGAATTGTAACTTTTGCATGGATCATTAAAATATGATAAAAGTAAAGATTCATGTATTTTATGCCCAAAAGGTATTAAAATAGCTGCTATCAGTTTACTATACTTAAAAATGAATTATACACTAAATATATTTGAATATACTTGACTATATTGAACTCATTTTTATACACACTTACTAATTATAATTATGATAACTTTAATTGCATTATTGTTAATTTTCACAACCACCCCCATTATTTCCATCTCACAGATAGAGAAAGGGGGGTCTAGAAAAGTTTAATAACTCACCCAAAAGAACAGAACTAGCAACAGATGGACCTATTTTTGCGTGTGTCTTTCTTCTTGCAGTTGTTTGTTTTTTAAAATGGTCGATGGTCTGTCTTCTTAATATTAGAAAATATTTGATTTGCACAAAAAGACAAGAACATATATTCATAACTTACAAAGCAAAATAATAAAATAAACATCCATGAATATTTCACTCAACTTAAGAAATTGAACTTTGCTCAAGCTACTAAAGTTCTCTCAGTACGTATTTCATTCTTATCTTCCTAATCCAGGGATAATCAGTAATCTACTGTATCTTTTTTAATTTTTGTGGGTACATAGTAGGTGCACATATTTATGGGGTACATGTGTTTTGACACAGGCACAGAATATGTAATAATCAAATCAGAGAAACTGGGGTATCCATCATCTCAAACATTTATCATTTATTTGCACTAGGAACATTCCAATTCCACTCATTTAGTTACTTTTATATATACAAGAAATAATTGTTGACTGTTGTCACGCTGTTGGGTTAGCCATTACTAGATCTTATTCATCCTAACTATATTTTTGCGACCATTAACCATACTCAGTACCCCCTCCCCACCTCTGCTACCCTTCCTAGTCTCTGTTAACCATCATTCTACTCTGTATTATACTTTAAAAATTATTTCCTTTTTTCCTTTAATACTTTAGACATATGTTTTTGATCTTCTTAAAATGGAAACTTATTGAGCATATTCTTTCTTAGCTTTTTTCCTCTTAAAACTAGGATGAGTTCATGTCCTTTGCAGGGACATGGATGTAGCTGGAAACCATTATTCTCAGCAAACTATCACAAGATCAGAAAACCAAACACCGTGTGTTCTCACTCATAAATGGGAGTTGAACAATGAGAACACATGGACACAGGGAGGGGAACATCACACACTGGGGCCTTTTGGGGGTTGGGAGTTAGGGGAGGGATAACATTAGGAGAAATACCTAATGTAGGTGACAGGTTGATGGGTACAGCAAAGCACCATGCACGTGTATACCTATGTAACAAAACTACACGTTCTGCACATGTAACCCAGAACTTAAAGTATAATAATAAAAAAATTATGTTATAATGATTTATAAATATTAATGATATAGCTTTAATTAATTCATTTTCATTACCATAATGTATTTCATTGTAAACTGTAAATAATTATTCATTCTTCTATTGGGCACTTAAGTTGTTTTCAGGTTTTTACTCATTCGAACCTGCTGCTATGAACACTCTTGGATATACCTACTCTTTCACTATGGCATTAAGTAAAAGCAAAATGACTGGATTTATGTTTTACTTCATGTAGTTTAATTTGAAAGCCTGGTTTCATAACAGTTATTCCTTATTCCTTCATATGTAATGGCAAAATAATATGAAGTGTGATTATTTTAGTCATAAGGTTTTGGCTAAGGTGCCACAAAGTCAAGAAAAACTCAACAGTTTTTAAATACTCCTATATTATAAAGTAAGACATAAAACTACCCTTCAACTAAGATTTTGAGACATATCCTAAAAATGTTAAAACATCATGTTCCACTCCCTTCCAAGTTACAGACAGAACAAACACTTCATTAAGAGGTTGATGGTAATAAGGATTTCTTGAGAGAGTGCTATGGAAGGAGAAGAGACACCAAATAAGGAGGATCAGTGGGGGACTGTTTTGGAGAATTTGAAATGTGTTCCTTGGAATCTGAGAGACAGGTACTGGTATCTGAATCATGACTGAAGAGTCTAATACTAAATGTACCCCTGTGGTAGGTCAGAATACAGAACACTTCCAAGAGTATTCAAAACATATTGGGACAGCAATATTTTTGTATTTCTCATGGGCCAAATGATAGGGCAATGAGAAAGCAGCCAGGTGTCAAACTGATTTATTCTAAAACGCCTCTGCCTAATAGGACTACTAGAAGGAAAAAAAAAAGGGGGTGGGGTTGGGGGGGGACCTGAAAAAGGGAGAAGGCTGCCAAAATCTAGGAGTCTGTAGTGGAATTTTTAAGCGGCCATCTGGAGGAGACATTATTCACAATTTAAATCAATGAAATTATGAGAAAGAGCCTCTCTCATGATAGTTTTCTAAAAAAATTGCCAAAGCCAAAAAAAGTAAAATAATTTATAAAAACACTTCCCTGAAAGAAAGCCAGCCTTTATATCTGTTCCTTCAAGAATGCAACAACACCAGCTATGCCTGTTGCATTAGTTGAGTAAAATATTTTCTGTCCTTGATTCTTCATTCTGTAATCCTAGAGCATCTAAACAGCAATTAAGAAGTGAGGAAACACTTAGAGAGATAACCAATTATGCCTTCCTATCTTCAGTGCAGGCATCCTGTCCACATTCGGATGTTGACTAAACTAGGGGAAGAAAACAATTTCAAATCAAATGAGACTTCCAATATTACACTGGGTTTAAATTTTTTTAATCTCTAGAAAATATTTATTTATTTTTGTTTTATTACCTACCAGTGGCAGAAGAAGTTTGTAGTACCTGAAAATAACCAGAAAAATATGTGATACATGTCTCAGTTTTTTTTTTTTTCCAGTGTCAGGAGAAAAACAAGTGATAGAAAGAGTTTGTAATGAACCATCTTGTAATAATAATAAAATCGTTTCCTACTTGTATCCTACCAAGTCAAGCTTTCACTAAACTACATGTATATGAATTAAATAGATGGTTATTTAAAAGCATAAATGAAAGAACCAGTTTTTACGTACAACCTATAGTTAACTTTATGTAACATGTATTTATTGATAAGATACTATGGTAGACAGAATAATTGCCTCTCAAAGATACCACATCCTAATCTTCCAAATCTATAAATATACTAATGGCAAAAGGGATTGTGCAGATATGATTAGATGAAGAATCTTGAGATGGAGATTTTTCAGGATTATCCATGTGTGCCCAATATAATCACAAAGGTCCTTATAAGAGACAGGCAGGAGGGTCAGAGTCAGAGGCAGCAGTAGATGTTGCAATGATGAGGAAGAGGCTATGAGACAAGCAGCACAGGCAACTTCCAAAACCTGGGAGAGGCAAAGAAACAGATCCTCCCTTAGAGCATTCACAAGGAATAGAGCCCTTGATTTAGGACTTTTAACCTCCAGAACTATAAAATAATAATTTTATGTTGTTTTAAACCAATACATTTGCAGTAATCTGTTTCTATTGCAATCAAAACTAATAATGATACTATGTACTCAGCTCTGTTCTAGGTGATGAAAATACATAGATGAACAAAATAGAGAACTATTCTATACATGGTGCTTGATGCTTTGCACAAATCCAAGGCTTATTTTTTTACAAGAGTATAAAGTAGGTATAATTAGCTCTTTTAACAGATGATGAGAAAAGAGATCAAAGAGTAATGTTTTCATTGTCACAGAGCTAATAGATGAGCTACCTGTCTCCCAGAGCCTGTGATCTTTACACTCATTAAATTATCTCCTTCACATAAGTGGAAAGTATATTGCAGCATAAAGTAGGCTTATGCACCAAAGATTTATTTTCTGAGATACAGCTTGTTTCGCCATTGTTGAGGGAGATAGAAAAACAGGTATGGAGAAGAGGCTTCTACTTGAAGAGTTTGAATTCAATTTCCTTGACACAAGATGGACCTAAACATCTAAATCAAATAAAAAATAAAAACTTTTGATTTAATTCAAATATTATTTTAGGAGAAAATTGCACCATAGACATGAACACATGATTATTATATATACATATTTTCAATGTGGCTTTTTATTTATGATTTAAAAACCAAAATGAAACAGAAGTTGCATCAATAAAGCATGTCCCCTAACACAGTTATTACTAATTATGTCTTTGGAAAATCATCACATAAGAGTGGGTTTTAGTAATTATTCAAGGGACAATTGATAAAGTTCTCTTCTCATTTTCAATTATTTCTCTACAAACAGTTTCCTCTTTCATATATACTCTTATGTGTAGATTTCTGCTTATATACATAGCAATTATGGATTCCTGTATCCTTATAAGCTTTGCCTCCAAATAAAAATCTAGTCATATATGGCTACAAAATACTTTAATTCATGAATGAGGCTCATACTATTTGATGTTCAGTGATGAAGAAAATATATATGAACTATGAAGTTTTTATTACTAACAAGGATATGAAGAATGTGGGCATATACAGAAGATGGTCAGATGAGGAAAAGTATAAGCTGGTCTATTAAGTTTTTAAAACAGAAGATACCAAAAGTGAAACTCTTCATCTTTAACAAGAAAATCATGTTTAAAGTAAAATTATAGATGCTGCTTTTTATTAGGGGTCAAAATTTTTACTAATCTGGCTTTTAAAATGATAGAATGGATTGAAAAGGAAGGCTAAGAAATAGTTTCTTAAGGAAGGTGTTTATGGATGGAATGTATTAATACATTCTTTTTTTTTTTTTTTTTTTGAGACGGAGTCTTCCTCTGTCGCCCAGGCTGGAGTGCCGTGGCACGATCTCGGCTCACTGCAAGCTCCACCTCCCAGGTTCACGCCATTGTCCTGCCTCAGCCTCCTGAGTAGCTGGGACTACAGGCGCCCACCACCATGCCCGGCTAATTTTTTTGTATTTGTAGTAGAGACGGGGTTTCACCGTGTTTAGCCAGAATGGTCTCGATCTCCTGACTTCGTGATCCACCCGCCTCGGCCTCCCAAAGTGCTGGGATTACACGTGTGAGTCACCGCGCCCGGCCATTGGTACATTCTTACTTGTGCTGAATGTTTTCTTTTTTCATTTCAATAGCTTTAGGGGTACAAGTAGTTTTTGGTTACGTGGATGTATTACATAGCGGTAGAGTCTGAAATTTTAGGGTATCCGTCACCCGAGTAGTGTACATTGTATAAGCTGAATGCTTTTTAAGCATTTTGGTCGAAAGCAAGTGGAAAAACCCCAAGACCCTCAGAAGTTGCTCTTAGCCCCAGCTCATTTTGATAATAATAATTAAAAAGCAATTTGCTTGGAAATAAAAAAGGTATTTATTCTTAAATCATATCTTGCCTGAAGATTTTTCACCTGGGGTGAAAACAACATTCGTAAGCCCATTAGTTCTTTTCCCTAAAATAATTCATTTAAAAAGTCATTAGCTTAATAAAAAGGAATTGATAGAGGGCCTTTAGGGATTCTACTCTAAATCTGAGGGATTTGCCTCATTAAAAATCAATTGCAGGACCAAAGCCTCCTGTATGTGCTTGTGATGGAAAGAGAGAAAGAGAAGTTTTGATATAAAAATCTTGCCTAGTTTTATTTAAATATATTTGAATAAAAATCTAAAAATCATCTTAAATGATATTTTAAAAGATTCCTTCTTTAGGATATTTACATTTTTCCTAATAGAACCATAATGTTACTTCTGGATGTCATTATTATGAATTTCAAAGGACTAAATCCCACTATGTCTCATAGCTAGTTTAGAAATTTTACTTTCTGATAGTTTCCTTATAAATTAAGCCATAAATTTTTCTACATTATATCTACTACACTGCTACACATTTAGCACTGAGTAAGTTTAATAAATTGTAAACATTATCCAACAATGTATAAGTCACAGAAGGAAAATAAATTTAGTTTTTCTTTAGTTTTTCATCCTAAGATTGAAAAGATTTTGGCTGACAAAAATCTCAGAAATCACCACTTAAGAAATCATTCATGTAACCAAACACCACTTGTTCCCCAAAACCTATGGAAATAATAATAAAAATAATCATCATAATAAAAAGTGTTGGGGCCTGGTGGATGATTGTATCAGGAGGGCAGACTTCTCATGAATGGTTTTGCACAATCCCTCTTGGTACTCCCCTAGTGCGAGTGAGTTCTCCTGAGAACTGATCATTTAGAAGTGTAGGCTGGGCACAGTAGCTCACTCTTGTAATCTCAGCATTGTGGGAGGCTGAGGGGGCGGGATCACTTGAGCCCAGGAGTTCGATACCAGCCCTGGCAACATGGCAAAACCCCGTTTCTATGAAAAATAAAAAAATAAAAAAATAAAGCTAGGCACTGTGGCGTGAGCCTGTGGTTTCAGCTATTCTGGAGGCTGAGGTGGGAGGATTGCTTAAGTCCCAGAGGTCAAAACTCCAGTGAGCCAAGATTGTGCCACTGCACTCCAGCCTGGATGACAGAGTGAGACCTTGTCTCAAAAAAAAAAAAAAAAAAAAAGAAAGAAAGAAAAAGTGTAGAGAACCTCCCCCCTTGCTCTCTTGCTCCTCCTTTCACCATGTGACAAGTCTGCTCCCACTTTGCCTTCCACCATGCGTAAAAGCTCCCTGAAGCCTCCCAAAGAAAGAAAAAGAAAAAAGAGGTGGCTGAAAATGGAAAACTAAGAATTTTGGAAAAGGATGATAATAAAATACTTTGCACTTTTTGTAAGTACTTCTTTTTTCATTATTTTAAAACTATTTAAAAATCTTTATGCTTGATAATATGAGCACTTTAAGAAGTACTATGTGGAAGATAGCATAGTAGTTGATAAATTTGATTCTCTCCTTGTGGGAGGCTTGATGAGCTATGTTGCTACCATTTGTCATTACTTCCAAAGACCTCATGTGTCAGAGGATAATGACAACAAGGTCAATAACACCCTGTAAGTTACACACAGAAAGTGGCCACAGTAGCATACTGATATCTACAATTGTTTAAGAGAAACAAAGGTAAGATGTGAAATTGCCTTCTTTTGTAACTAGTGAAACCGTTTCTTTACAAAAGGTGAGAATCTACTCAATGTCTTTACCTGTTTAGATATTGCCTTCATTCCTTTCTTCTTCTGGCAATTCATTTTGAAATTCCCACTTACCCATTAACTTTTTTGTTTTGTTTTGTTTTGTGAGACAGTCTCACTTTTTCGCGCAGGCTGGAGTGCAGTGCCACAATCTCAGCTCACTGCAACCTCTGCCTCCCGGGTTCGAGCGTTTTTCCTGCCTCAGCCTCCTGAATAGCTGGGATTACAGGAGCGTGCCACCATGCCCGGCTAATTTTTGTATTTTTAGTACAGATAGGGTTTCACCATGTTGGCCATGCTGGTCTCGAACTCCTGACTTCAGGTGATCCACCCACCTCAGCGTCCAAAAAGACTGGGATTATAGGTGTGAGCCACCCTGCCTGCCTGCCCATGAACTTTTAAATATGGAAGTTCCGATAGCAAAAATCACTTTCTTCTTTAAATTCAAAACTAATGGTTGGATTTGCAATGTACCCATCAGTCAAAAATGTATCATATATTCAAAGTAATTTGTATAATCTCAGTGCTATATTACAAAGCTTTTATCAATGATAATTTAATAAATATTAAAGAATCAGGCCTGCAAGGAACTAAAGATGTAGGGAATAGATAGATGAAAGGTGATCGATGGACAGATTTCTGAAAACATTGTCCCAATAATGCCCTAAGAACATAATTCATGATTTCTGAATCTTTCTTTATGGTTAATATTATTTTCAGATTCTGTCTGATTCAAAGATCATTTTCAGATGAGCTATCCAAATAATCTAATGTTGGCTGAATGCCAACAATGCACCAAGGAATATTTTGCACTAATTTTATAAAAACAACGTATTGCAGGAACTATTAATAACCCAAATATATATGGAGGGAAAGTGGGGAGTGAAAGTGACTTATCCAAAGTTAGCTAGGAAATGGAGAAGTGAAAATGCAAAGATGTTTTGATTTTATGACCAGGGCTTTACAACATATCTTTTTTTTTTAATTTTTTGAATGCCTAAATCAGTGTTAAATAAAACAATATATGTTAAATAAAAGTCCCCTAAACAGAACCACAGGGCACCTTTAAAAATGATAAAGTTTTTACAAATGCCATCTTTTTTTAGTTCTTATAGACTATTAAACTGTACTGTCTTTAGAGTTAGGAGTCAGTGATGACGATGCTGTCATTTTCTTTTCGTATCGTAATGTGAGTGACAATTCTTTATGTTCTATTTTGAGGTTTCTCTTTTCTTTCCTTCCTTTTTTTAGTATCCTTCCTGGAATAAATTGAAAAATCCTTTAAAAAGATGATAACTCTAAGCAACAAAAATCAGAAAGAGCATATCTGCAATGTAGCAGTGTACTGAATTTAAATGAAACAAATTAAACTACCTCTATCTTTTAAGCTATTGGAATGTATTCAGTAAAGAAGAAAATGTAATTCATTAAATTATTATAAGATTGCGGTATTTGCCTCACATGAAGACATGTCCATCAATAAAAAAAAGAAAGAGAGAAAGAAAGAAAAACTAGCTCTATGTTAATAAGGCCATGAGGTGGTACTGTCAAGTAATTGTTCATGTTGTGTCTATAAATAAAGTGTGAGGAAAGAATTAGTCCCTCACGCTAGCGTTGTAGTTGGATGGCCCTGTGGCTACTGTGATAAGTGGGTTAGGTTCCTACTGTTCTCAATCTATATTTCAGATGCTGGGATCACCCGTATTCCAAGAAGGCAACAACCCTGTGTTGTACAATTCTCCTTGTCTATTATTTTGTTCATGACTTCTATAAACCAATAAGAAAAAAGGCAGATGCTTTTGCCCTTGTCTCATTGATTACCATAACAAGTTTCCAAGGGATTCAGCAATAATATGTAACTGCTTTAAGGAGATATCTCTGGATTGGGGACGTAGGTTGAAAAGGCCAAGAAAGTAATCATTTTGCAATTTTTGCTGAAATCTTTACCAATGATGTTAATCAATGAAGGAAATTATTTACAATCCAAATTATTTTCTAAGAGGTGGAAATAATTAATTAACAAAAATATATTGAGTCTCTACTTGAAGTTTAACACTGATGTAGGGATCACACTTTTTCCAGCATTTATATTTGGTCTTAAATCTCAATTTGTTATATGCTAAGACAAATGGAGTACAAAGTAATCAAATAAAAGCCAGAACAATTTTATTGGGGTTTGGGGAAATCAAGAGTTATCATGTTTTACATAATCTTATTGAACAATTATTTGGTGGTTTTCAGTTTTTATCCAAAGCAATAGTTCTTAGTCCTATGATTAACGGAGTTCTGAACAATGGTATAAAGAAATAGAAAAGAGGTAGCACAGTCAATGGGTCAGAAAGAATAATAAACATAAAATAACTAGTTCAAAATATAGTATAGGGCTAGATCTAATTTCAAAAGTTGAGAGCCTTACATTCAATAGATGAGCATTAAATTCACCTTTTAAAGAAAACTGCCCTTTTAAACTTACAAATCAGTTATTCTTTCATTGTTAAAATGATGGAGACAATTTGATTGTTTTAGGCAGTTCTCTGTCCAAAAAGGAGAGAAAAACTTGAAAGTTTGTTTGTTGTTTGGCTAATTTATATATGATATTCTATATCTAGATCACATATATCATATTGGGGTGAGAAATCTAATCTCACTCCAAATATTGCAGGAAGATATGCCACTCATTAAAAACTCTGGGGTAATATTTTTATGGCCAGTGTTCTTTGCTTGACAAAATATATTCATTTAGTAAATAATTACGGAGCATCTTCCGAGCTCCAGGTAATGAAACCCATACAGGAGATTTTTAAAACTGCCCATCTTTAAGGAACTCTAAATCCTGTGTATAATGTAAACATTGAAAATACTATGATACAAATACCACTTATGTAATAAAAATCAGTAAAAAGTTTGTGGAAACACTGAAGGGAAAGTGATTAACTCTGAAAGAAAAGGGTTGGAAAAAAATCTTTACAAAAACATTTACCTTTCAAGAGGATGTAAATGGAAAAATAGATAATTTAAAACTAAAAAGTAGCTGAAATTCCATGAAGAATTTATATTTGAACAGTTTCAAATAAAGTTAGTTCATTGGATATTAACACATGCTTTCTTTTTTGACAGGGTCTTTCTCTGTTGCTCAGGCTGGAGTACAGTGGTATGATCATAGCTCATTGAAGCCTAGACCTCCCAGGCTCAGGCAGTCCCCCCACCCCAGTCTCCCGAGTAACTAGGTCCACAGTTGTACACCATCATGCCCAGCTAAGTTTTTATTTTTAAATTTTCTGTAGACATGAGTTCTCAAACACCAATATCAACACAAAATTGTATCTTAATGAAATCATGAGTAGAGTAAAAGTTGCTTTTTTAAAAATCATTATGTCACATTGGAATTTTACCTATGTCTATTCAATCATTTTTCTGGAAAAAAGATGAAAGGATGAGACTGTAATACACTTCTTCCCTTAGACCAATGTTTCACACTGGTATAGTTATTGGCATTTTGGCAGGAAAAAATGTGTTTTTAAATACATTTAGTATCTCTGGGCCCTGGACATTACATGCAGGTCATATGTTTCAGTTATTTTGACAACTAAATCACCCTCTAACTTTCCCAGATATACCAAGTGAACATGGAGATATGCTTAAGACACTTGGTTGAAAAAGCTAACCATTCATCCTACCTGGCTTTATAAAAGCATAGGTTGATACAACAACTCCATTTTATCTGCTCCTGGTGGGAAAGTCTTTGAAATGGCAAATTTCAAAGGCAATCTTTAAAGTTTGATCAGAATACTTTTGGTAAGAATATACTTCTGGAAGCTTACATATTACTTAGCAGCAGGTGCCTAAAAGGCAAAAGATGAGAAAAAGAAGTAACAAAGAAAGAGAGCAGAAGAAAGAAAAGAGAAGGAAGCAATCACCTTTTTTTAAGGAAATAAGATTAATCCTATCATAACTTACATCCTAATCCATCTCAGTGAAGGCCATAGATTATAAGTAGACTTCAGAAATAACCCTCTTTACACATATTTTTATTCCCACATGATTTTATATCTACCCTAATCTCCTCCCTGTTCCATCTCCCTGACATCCTAATATAAATTTAACCCATGACATTATCACGTTTTCACTGTTTGTAGTTTCAGGAGGAATAAGTTATGTCTCTTTCATTTTCCGTCTCTGTCTCCTTGCACATACCTTCAGCTCCCTTCATTATAATAGTCTGACATAAGCAAAACCCCAGTTATGTCTGGCAAGAGAATATGGCTGGAGAAAAAATAAATACAAACTTTTTCAGCATAAACCACAACTGGGACTCCATCATTGCTTGAAAACCCTATTCAACTATCCTCTAAAAGAAGCATTTCTTTCCTTTTCTCTCTTCTTCCTATTTACTGTAGAAAAATAGAAATGATTACAGTAGAGCTACTTCATCATGCTGGCACAAAATCTATCAGGTTGCATTAATATCTAGAACTCTTTCCTATGTTTCTCCATAATAATGAAGAAACTCTGTCTGCTTCAATCTAAGTCCAGTACCTCTGTTTGTATGCTTGTATCCTGGATGTCATTGCTTCTCATTCAATGGATTGTGTCTTCAATTTTTTTCCTTCCTTCCTTCCTTCCTTCCTTCCTTCTTTCTTTCTTTCTTTTTCTTTCTTTCTTTCTTTCTCTCTTTCTTTCTCTCTTTCTTTCTTTCTTTTTCTTTCCTTCTTTCCTTTCTTTCTTCCTTTCTTCCTTCCCTCCTTCCCTCCTACCTTTCTTTCCCCTTTCTTTCTGCTTTCTTTTTCTTTTTCTTTCCCTTTCTTGCTCAATCACCCAGGCTGGAGTTCAGTGGCACAATCACACCTCACTGCAGCCTGAACATCCTGGATGCAAGTGATCCTCCTACCTCAGCCTTCTGAGTAGCTGAAACCTCAAGTATGAACCACCATACCTGGCTATTTTGTTTGTTTGTTGTTTTGTAGAGATGAGGCCTTGCCATGTTGCCCAGGCTGGTCTTGGCTCCTAGACTCAAGGGATCCTCCCACCTCAGCCTCCCAAAGTGCTGGGATTACAGAGCCACCATGCCTGGCCTTTTACTTTTGGCCCTCTATTTTCTTCATCATTAAGCTCCCCCTTTTGTTGGATTATACCCACCAGCATGTACATATGCCTTGATATCTTTAATTTTTATAAAATGCCTTTTCTTTACCCTTGGCCTACCAATTTTTAAAAATATATGCCCCATTATTACTTTTCCTGCAGTCACAATATATGTCTTTAATATAACAGTGCACCTTCACAGAATTATACTCAGAGGATGAGAAGGAAGATAAAATAGGACAGGATAAATAAGGTAAAAGAAAGATCTCAATAGCTGAGAACTTTCAAAATTTCTACAAAAATGATTACTAATATAGCCAGGAAACTCATAAAATCTGAAGGAGGGGAAAGCTATAACAAATATCTTATTTAGATACCTTGTCATCACACTTATAAAACCAAAGTTAAAAAGAAAGTGTTAAAAGCAACCAGAGAGAAAGCAGACATGTTATGTGATATATTGGTGACAATAATATGGTGTAATGGCTGACTTCTTATTCAAAATAATGGAGGCTGAATAACAATGGAATAATACCTGTAAAGCGCTAAAATTTTTTAAAAAGGAAAAAAAAATCTGTCAAACCTAAAATTCTATATCCAAATAAAATAAAATATCATTGAAAATGAAAGTTAAACAAATATATTTTCAGGCACATAAAGGCTGAGAGAATTCAATTATAACAGACCTGCACAATAAATGCTAAAAGACTCCTAATTCTGAAAAATCTGGATCTAATTACATATGTGGTAGGCAATTTAATAACGTCCTACAAATCTCACATATTCATACCATTTTTTTTGCTTTCTTCTTTATGCTTCAGATTGAATACTATCTGTGCCTTCAAGTTCACTGATTTTCTCCTCTATGTGGTTTACTCATATTTATTTAATGTATTCTTTATCTGTACGTCTATATACCATCTATATATCTATAGATCAATATAAATGCATATGTATATATCTATATCTACATCTTTACGTATCTTATCCTAAAATTTTTATTTTAATAGATTCTATGTCTTTGCTAAAATTGTCCATTTCTTCACAACTTTTGTCAATATTTTTTGTAAAACCCACATGGTTATTTTTAAGTTTCTATCTAATAATTTCAACATCTTGATTACCTGTGCATCTGTCTTTATTAACTCTTTCTTCTTTTGAATATATATTCCATTTGCTTGCTTGTTTAAGTGTTCTATTCTTTTTGATATAAAATCTTTCTTTGCTATTTAGTCTTGCTACCCAGTTTTGAGGTTGCTACACAGTCTTTGTTTTCTAATCCTCCCTAGTGCTTTCTATACTTCAGAGAATTATTTATATGCATCTGCGCTTCCCTCAGCAGTCACAGGATAGTCATTTTATTTTCTGCAACCCAAGAGAGTATCTTTCTTATTTCTCATGTACAACCCTTAGCCTTCCGCAGGTACACATCAGCAATCTTTCAGATAGATTTCTTTCAACCTTCCTGCCTACCACTTTCCTAACTTGTGGTTGCTGGGATCCCAAGGTGCCTTGTGTGGATTTTTCTCATCTTTCCTTCCCTGCCCCTAGTTATTGGCATACTGCATTCAAGCACTTAATGAAGACCCATGGGAAAGAATTGGAGTAGGTGAAACTTGTCATGTGGCTGGGGCTTCTGGAATTCTAATCTGTCATACCAGACATGAAAGGTTTTTAACACATAGTTTGGTATTTCTTACACCAGTCTTTAGCAAATTCTTTATTTTTTCTCCCGTCTGCCACTGTTTCAGAGATAAGAACAGCTAAGTCTCTTTTCTCATATAAACGCCATGTGTTTGTCTGAAATTCAGTTCAGTTAGGTTTCCTTGAATCTTCAACTTTCTGATTGATTTTAAAACATATTGTTTTATAGCTTATGTGGTTTTTCTTTATTGTTTTTAGGTTGAGAACTATGGTGTTTAACAACTTTTTAAGTCTTAAATAAGGAGTAGATTTATTGTTATTTGCTGTTATTTTGGATTCAGTCTCCACAAATTTGTGCTTTGTAGATTTTATCCGAAATTCTATTATCAAACAGAAGTTGGAGATTTTTTTTCATCCTTCTGTATCCAAAGACAAAGTATAAGAATTTTAGGCCAAAATATCTGTACTGAAGACAGTTCAAGGTGGATTAATCACTAAAACATTTTGAATTGCAGTACTTTATTCATTGAAAGAGAATACTAATTAGTACTATTTAATAAGACCAGCTTCGGCAAACAAACTGTCCTATGAATCATAGAGTAGAAGTGAAAATGAAGTAGAGTTCATGAAAGCTCTTTATAAATTGTAAGTTAGTATGCACCTGTTGATTTTTATAACCATTAATAAATGGTAACATTTCGAACCAGTAATTTTTCTAAGATTGCATTCAAGATCATTCCAATTTGTAGCAAAATCATGCACTCACAACTGCCATCAGCTCTGGTGAATATCACTGACACCTTCTTAAATTCTTCATCCTTTGTGGCAGGTTATGATTTTTTTTTTTGAGAAACATATACACTGTGAAGGCAAGTCACCTAGTATTTCACATACCTAAGAGAATAGCTCTATTAAACACATATTACTAATTCATTAATTATTCAGACTATCATTCCTACTGCATGACTAACATATATAATAAATATTTAACATAAATCCAGGGAAACTCCTTCAAAGTGTATAAATAAACCAAATATTATTTAAAATATAAACATCTGTTAGAAATAGAATGGACATGGAATGAGCATGTATGATGAATCTAAGAAATAAATTGCATGTTAATACTTTTTTAAAAATCTGATCGATTCTGCAGAATAATCTTTTATACTTTTTAAAATTCTCTTTAATAATTACTTATAGTCTTAGGTCATTTATTCTCTCTTTGAAACTTGGAGTATTTCACTTTTGTGTGGTAGCAACATTATTTCTGGATGGGGCTGGGTGAATTTTAGATTATTTTAGATTTTCTAATGAGTTCTAATAATAATCTTACTGATGCCATCACTTTTCAACTAGCTAAGTAAATGTTAACCGGGTTAATAGGGATAACTGAAATCCATACATATGTGCACAATTTCTCCAATTTCTTTTTCTTGCTTGTTGCAAATGATAGCTTCTAGCATAGGGTAAATGATTGAGCAAAATAATGCCTCCTTTCTTTTCCTGACTCTGGCTTTGAGTAAAGGTGCTAATGAGAACTGTGGGGGAGTGAGCCCCTAAAATAGAGTCAGGAAAGAGGAGCCAACCAGGATGGCACTTGGGAAAAGTTATGAGCAAAGACATGTTTAAATTGGAATTGTATTAGAAAATTCTAAAAATGTTTGTGAGGATACAAATTGTATAAGACACAAAGTATTTCTGAGAAAGAAATATAGAGAAAAGTCAAAAAGGGAGGTTGTGAACTGCATGTTATCTATTTCAACATGCATTTAGTCAGAATTCACCTGCACCAAACACTGAATATTAATATAAAATCAGAATGATAATATTGGGCTTCAGATCTGGCCTGCTCTACTAATAAGTTACAATGATAAGTATTATGATGGGTAGGAGAAACCAGTGCATTCTTATCCTATAAAACTAAACAATAATCAAAGTAAACAAGGTGTTAATAAATGTTTTATCACCAGGATATTCCGTATCAAATGTGAAAAAATCAGTAATGACTGTGAAGTAATTTCCCAGAAAGAAAAAATAATTAAACACTAAGAAAGCTAGAGAAGGAAATATTTACCATTCTCTTTTCTTATACTATGATTAAAATATATTATGAAAAGTAGAAAGCAAATATATTTCATCCAAAATATAAAAATTATAGCTAAAAATAATAAAATGTAATGTATCTATCAAAGCCATGTGATAATTAAAAAACAATATAAATGCTTGGAAATTGGACACTCAGTAATGCTATTTGAGGTATTATGCATGGTGCAAACAGCCAACTTTTTAAAAATGTTATGTTAATCTAGTGTATTATGTGTCTGAAACCGATTGCAAACTAGCCTTTGACAGACATACAATCTAGAAGGAAACAAACATCTCAAAACAGTATCTTTTTATTTTTATATTTTGCATCGCAAAAGAAAATGACAAGTATGATTCCAGAATAAGCAAAGGGAAACATTTCAAGGCAAAGCAGCCAGTTACAATACCACAGGTTAGTTTTCTTTCCTTACCTATTTGGCCATAAACTCTATTAGGCATACTAGCCCAATTCATATGCAACCCAAAAACTGTCTGAGATCTGAGTGTACTGTATGGCTTTTTTTGTTTTTTGTTTTGTTTTGTTTTCTGATAGGGATGGCACTCCCTGTCCTTTTTTTTCTTTCTAAAATTGTAAGCTTCACAGTTAATTTAAAAATATTGGTGCCATTGCTAGCTGCTATTTCAGTTTCTGAGCATCCAGATGAGCAAAGAGAGTAGGTTTCTTCCATGTCACCAGTTTTATTCCATAAAAAGAAAAATGGGGTTCTTAAATATTCACATCTTTTCAAATATCATGAGTTTCATCCTATTTCCAATTCTCATTTATTCAAGCCCAACTCCTACAAACATCCCCTAAGCATGTACTATTTTTGATTTCCCTGTTCTGAATTATCTCACAAATCACAAATGTTTTTTATACAGTTCTCTTTTGATCACATTTCTTTCCTCAGCATCTCCATCGCCTTCCTCTAAGTCTTCTTTCACTTTAGCCTTTGAGTCCATTTCCAAGCTGCATAAGAACAGTATTTCTGGGCTTAACTTTTGTCACTTTCTCACATGACCAAGATGTTCTATAAATCATCTTGTAGTCCTGTGTTTCCTTTCTACATAGTGTTATCTGGTGCCTTCTCACCTTTAGAAATATTGTTCTCTTGGTCTCTATTTATTCACATCCTATCCACTCTTTCAAGCTTAGCTGAGTACAACTCTCTGCAAGCTATCTCCAACATTATAACATAGGAAATTCGACATATATGAAACTTAATTTATTACTGTTTAATACCTGGATTTAAATGCTCCTTTTTCACCATGATTTCTGTACCTTGTTTAATGGTGCCATTAGAAACAAGCCTCCCAGGAAAAAAATCTGAAAAAAAAAAAATTCTAGTCTTCTTTCTCTTCTATAAATCAATTCTGAGCCATGATTTCTCTCCTTTTTTTTTTTCTGAATATCATTTGAATATGTGTCTTCCTGTGCTTACCTACAAATTCTGTCTGAGGTCAGATGTTTATCAATTTTCACTGAGTTTACAAAAAGAAAAGACTCTCCATTGCCCACCAATTCCATCCACTCAATGGCCACCAGAATTAACATCAATATCTGGGTGTCTTACAAGCAAACTATACTCAGCGTGTTTCAAAATAAATTCACAATCCATCACTCCTTTAAAGTTTTTCTCCTTCTCTATTCTCTCCCCCTTTTAATGATAGCCTAATGAATCTAGTTATGCAAACCAGTGACCTGGGATCACTGGTGTGCTGGGGCCAGCTACTTAATGGCTTGTGAGAGCCAATTGTGTGTATCTCTTTCCAACATTGTACTCAATGACATCATGTTGGCAGCTTGAATTTGGCTTTCACGGGAATATTTATACCACTAGAAATTGGCAAATGCTGTCATTTGGCACTTTGATTTTTGTTCTTGTTTTCAGGAAGTCAGTTTACCAGCATGTCACTGCCTGGGAACATCCTCCATGACAGTCATTCTTCTTTTCCAATTTTTTTTTTTTGCAAATATGCCAGGTTTTTAAAGATTTTAACTTATTTCATGTCTGTTTAACACTTTTATTCAGATACATCCATTTATCCTCAAGGATCATCACTGAAATAATTTCCTCATAATTTATTTTCTTTCTTCCTTGGAATAGTTCTGCAGCACTGCTATGAAAATGATCTTTCTGTAATGAAAATCTGATCCTATAATTTTACATATCATAGAATTATATAGGCTTATACTATATTATGTTATATATTATATTTATTATAACATTAGCTATGAAATAATATAACTCCAAAATACTGGAGAACAGAGCACGAATTCCTAGACACACTGTGGAAGGCTTCCATTTGTGGTCTGTGTGGTCTTTACCTATCAGTCCAAACTTCTCTTCTCCTGCTTGGTGTTAGATATCCAAATGACATACCCGTGAATTATTTTCAGCTCCCTTAGGTTCAACCAGTTCATTTCTTATTGTTCGCAATGCTCTTCATTATCATTTCAATATTCATTTTCCAAGCTCAGAATCCCTTACTTATCCAAAATCTAACTGTAAAATTTCATCTGCCAAACCATTCCAGATATTTTCAGATATTCTCATTCCCTTGTTGTCTTATAAATAAAAATTATATTACTACTAATGTAATGCCTTTGTCACTTTAAAGTACATATGGTGATTCCTATTTTTATTCATTTTTGTATTCTTGGAAACAGTCCTAACCATGGTGACTGATTGACCCATAGTAGTTGCTTAATTACATAAAAAAATAAAAAGAAGGAATAATCTGTGGATTACATTTAAAAATCTGTCATAAATGACAAAGATCTCTTATACTCCTGCTTCACTTCAATTCAAGTCAAGGAGTCCCTTTTGAGTGCCTGTTACTACCAAGAACTGTGCATCTTGGTTTTAGGTCCATCACAATGTGTCTGCTCGTATTGCTGTTATATGATTAGAAAATAGAATGTTTGTCACGTGTGTGGCATGTAACATTTTTCTAAGAATTACGGCAACACATTTGACCTATAAACCATATCTGTTCAATTTTGAAAATATTCTTAAGGTTTGATAGGGCAAATATTGTGCCATACAGTTTAGGAATAATAGCTAACATATTTGTACTATGTATTTATCTATCATCTATATGATTAAAGAGAATTCTCACTGCTATTGGCATCTTTGTGTATTCATTTAATCTTCATAATAGGCCTATGAATTTTGCTTACTATCATTATCATCCCTTTTCTATAAATAAATTAGCTAGACAGAAAGAAATTAAGAAAAGATTTCCAATATTACATGGGAAATAAATGAAGAAAACAGAATGTTAACCTAGGCACTCTGTGGAGTCTCTGCCTTTAACTACTGTATAGTAGGTGGATGACTCAGTAGTTGATAAAATAACCCAAGTATTATAAAGAAATGTACAGAAATTGGTCTTCCTTTAAAATTTTTAATTACCACAATATTTTTTTTTCCATATTATAAATACAAAACAAACCCAATTTTTGTTTGAGTTACAGAAAGCACTGTAGGATTTGCATCTACACTTTATCCCACTTCATGATGGGTGAAAGGTGGTAGCTGGAAAAAAATGCATGTCTGTAAGGGAGTATATATTTATGGATTATCCTGAAGATTGAAAAATAATCATTATCCTTTAAAAACTATGTGAAAACACTAGGGTCAAATGACATTTAAATGTTAAGTAAAATTGTTGAACAAGACAAAAAGAAAAGAAAAAGCGGCTTTTAACTTATAACAATTATTTCCACCTCATGGAAGTCTGAGTAGGTTGAATTCTTTGGGGGAAAAAATGTTTTTCTTTATAAACTCTCAGTGCAGCACTTTCCTAAATCAGAAATATTTTGTTCCAGAAATATTGTTAATATGTTTTAAATGCACTCTTTAAATGTGGATTTTGCTGATTTTCTATTTGAAATAAGGCACAGCTCATGCAAGTATTAATTGATTTATAGCTCGCTCAGTTGACTATGATTTCATGGAGCGCAAATGTACTTACAGTAAGTGTTACGACCTCCCTAGGGAGAGTCCACAATGTTGAGAAAAGGAGCATTGAGCAAAATAGCTTCTGGAGAAATATTAACCAATTTCTGACTAGCTTTTAATATACCTGGGGGGAGCTTTTGTTTTGCAGATTGTCTTACTGTTTTTGCTATCATGGAGGACTTTAGCTGGCCATGGAATGTGTTTGCATTACAGCAAACAAATAAATAAATAAAAATAAAAAATAAAAAGTTAAATAAATGGAACTGTAAAATATTGAGATACGAGCACAGAATAGGAAGAAAAAGAGGCAGGCAGACAAGCAAATCCCATTTATATCAGTCCCCTCCTCCCCCATGTGCTGTACTACCACGTTCCTTCACTGACTTTTCCCCTTCCCTTTTCACCATCCCTCAGCTTGCTGGGCTGGAAAGATAAGGACCCATTTCCTTAGGGGAATCAGTTCTTGTAACAGTTAATCGACCGCTAAGTGCTGAAGCATCCAAGGTAAGGCGGCTGTACATCTGGAAAGAACAATTTGCCTCTCAAGAGCCATGGATTCCCAGAGATATTTGGAAGTTTATTGATTCCAAGAGAATTGAAATCATGGACATACGTGCTGTTTTCTCAGAGGAGTTTATCAGAGCACACTGTGACCTTTCTGGGCTCTGTGTCTCTGCTTTGGGTTACAAGAGAAAGTCACTGCTATAGCTTCAACATTGCGCTGGGATAACAAATATCACACAGGAGTTTTTAAAAAGCAGAATTATTGAAGGCTCAATACTTTGAATTCAGGGTAGCCAAAGTCCTAGCTTGGGGTGTACTTTGGGGTAAATTTGTTTGGCACTTTGTATTGCTTTATATTGTTATTTTGGGTGTTTGTTTGTAACCATTAGTTCATTTTATTTTAATGATTCTGGGCCAAAATTTCTAGAACCTTTTGCTAGTTATTGAGGGGTGGGGGCAACCTTCTCCTTAATTTGGAGAAACAGTTTATTCTCGGGCTCCAGATGGTTGTTTTGGAAATTCTGTTGTGGCCAGAAGTAGAAAAGTATGATTGTCACTGTGAGAGCTGCTAAGGAATTTGATAAGTATTAAGAGAAAGTCATATACATTGTTTTTTGTTGTCTTATGGTTCCGGGGTATTTTTCTCTTTTCTTATACATTAGACCATTATGATTTTACTCTCAGTTGATATATAAACTCACAAATCTGGGAAAAAATATTTGATTTAATTTTCTATCTGTGGTGGGGAGAGAGGTGGAGTCCGGAATATATAGGGTGAATCCAGCAAGAGAGAAATGTATCAAATATTAATATGTGACATAAGACCATGTGGCTAATGTTATATGTCATTTAAACATGCTAGGAAAAAAATAAGAGTTGGAACTGGTTTCAGTCCCATTTTGTTTTGTAGCTCACTTGCAATATGTGGTATCTGGCCAGCTGTCTAAGCCTTTTGTATTTTTATTCATGACACCCTATTCATTACATCCTATATTTTAAAATAAAGCTAGTTTAATGAAGTTTTCAAAGAAAAATTTAAAAATATTTTCTAATGGCAAAGGAAATTTTCTGTGTAGGTTTTGTTATTTTTGTTTTTCATCCAATCTAATTTAGAGAATCAATTTTTAGCTACTGGTTTGGAGAACATTTAGTTAAGATTCATTTTCTCTTCTGTTTTGTGTAGACCAATCTGTGACTTTCATAATTTTATTTTTCCTTTTACACTGGGTTTTTAATTTTAAATCCCCATTTCATACATATATGATCTCTCTATTGTGCTTCCAGTAAAATATGGAGACACACACACACACACACACACAAAATTCAACTGTCCAACTCTTTCTATAACTCTTTTCTCTTTGTTGCTAATGCATTGTTTATGACAGGAAGATAGATTGTTAATGCTTAATTTTGAATATTGTTTCATTTTTGAAGCAATATTCAAAAAGCGTGACCTTACCAGAAAAATCTATTTCCAACACAGTTTCTATGCCATTCAATGTAAGTATTCAGCAATTAGAAGGCGTGGTTTTTCACTTAGTCTCTTGGAAGCTAGGGAGATAATTGTTTTTCTACATGCTGATGAACAAATAAATAAATGTCTTTTGAGGTCATCAAAAATCAGTTTTCTCTTTTGGTTTTTAACTTCTTCCTACATTAATTCTGTTCTCCATCTTCATTTAAATGATTGTAAAATAACCTGTTATATAGTATAAATCATCTTTTACTTAAGGCATTATTCTCTGTGTTAGATATTTAAGAAATTTTAAGGTTTTATCCTTAGATAAATAATATGATAATAGAAAAATTTATAGAATAATATTTGCCAATATTCATGATTCATTATTTTGATAATTTCTAATATGTGAAAGCTTTTTCATTCAAAAGAGAAGACATTTTCTAAATATAATTCTTTGTTTTTTAATTATATAATTAATATCTTCCTTTTAAATGACACCACTTTAGTTTCATTGAAACTGTCTTGAATTTGTTATATAAAACTTATTTAAGATCTGTGACAACTTTTTAAGTTTTAATTACTGAAGAAGTTTAAGGTTCACAGTAAAATTGAGCAGAAAATACGGAAAGTTTCCAAATGCTCCCTGCCCTCCCACACACTTAGCCACCTTGTCTACCAACATCCAGCCCCAAAGGGGTACATTTGTTATCATCAATGAGCTTATATTGACATGTCATTGACACCTGAAGAGCATACTTTACATTAAGTTTTCCTCTTGGCATTTTACATTTTATGGGTTTTGGCAAATGTATCCACTACTGTAGTATCATATGGAATAACTTTGCTGTCTTAAAAATCCCCTTTGCGCTACCTATTTATCCTTCTTCCCAAACCCTGCCAAACACTGATCATTTTTCTCTCTCCATAGATTTGGCTTTTCTAGGATGTAACATAGTTGAAATAATATAGAATGTAGCCTTTCAGAGTTGCTTCTATCACTTCATCATATGCATTTAGGTCTTCTCCATGTATTTTTATAGGTTAGTAGTTCATTTCTTTTAAGAATTGAATACTATTTCATTGTCTAGATATGCCACAGTTTGTTATCCATTCAGTTATTGAAGAATATCTTGGTTGTTTCCAGGTTATGGCAATTATGAATAAAGCTTCTATAAACATCTGTGTGCAGGTTTGGTGTAGATATAATTTTTCAACTTACTTGGGTAAACCCTAGGGCCGTAATTGCTGGATCTTATGAGGGTATATTTACTTTAGTAAGAAACTGCCAAACTGTCTTCAAAAGTGGCTGTACGAGTTTGCATCACCATCAGCAATGTATGAGAGTTCTTGTTAATTACATCCTCACCAGTATTTGATGTTGTCATTGTTTTGAATTTTTGCCATTTAATAGGTATGCAGTGGTCAATTTCCTTTTAAGGTAACTTTTCACACCTGATTGCATTTTACTCCTGAAGTCTGTAATACATCTCTATTATGGAAATACTTCCATTATTAATAGTGTCAAACTTATGTTGGTAATTATATTCTCCCTTCCATTTTCCTCATTTTTATAGCCCCAGAATATATCTAACTCATCTTTTTATCTCTTGAAGTCTTAATAGCATGTCCTGCATATATATAGTAGTTTTCAATGTGGAAAGAAAGCAGTTCTCCAAAATCCTCATAGTTCCTGAAATAGTTTAAGAAGCTCTAAAGAAGCACTAAAATACCAACATGAATATGTACCCAAAATAAACTTTGAATCTTATTTTTTATTGTTTTTAAACCATTAGCTAGCTCATATTATGTGGCTGAAACTCTATATTACTTTCACAAACATTTTCAAAAATATATTTTTGCATTTAGTCTTCTTTGAAATGCACTCATCAGCCTTATTCTCACTACCATTGCCTGAATGTGTTCCCCCAAAATTCATATGTTGAAACTTAACCATCAATATGATAGTACCAAGAAGCAGGCCTTTAGGAGGTAACTAGGTCATGAAGGTCTCAACCTTATGAATGGGATTAATGCCTTTAGAAAAGAGGCTTTACTAAGTGTTTGTTTCACTTGCCCTTCTGCTTTCTGCCATTTGAGAATGCAGCAACAAGACTCCATTTCAAGGCACCCTCCTGGAAGCAGAGACTGAGCTTCACCAGACAATGAATCTGCCAGAGCCTTGATCTTGGACTTCCCAGCCTTCAGAACTGTGATAAATAAATTTCTGTTACTTTAAAAGTTACCCATTTTGTGGGATTGTGCTATAATAGCAGGAATGATCTAAGACAATCACCATTTTTAAATCAAGGACATGAAGTACCTAACATTTAAGTGTGTCTTAACATCAAATAATAATTCAAACCCAGTACATTTGAGTCTAAGATGATTTTTTTTTTTTCCCAGTAGGCTATGGCTAGATTTTTTTTCAAATATTTTATTCTAAAAAGCAAAACAACCATATCACAGCAACAATTGTTTGTTTATTTAAATTATTAATATTATTACTGTTTAAATGGTAGAGGAAGAAAAATAATTTGTGTAACAACAGGACAGAGATAACAAAGATGGAGAACTTAATATAGTTTTGACAGTTCAGTTTTTACATAATTTAGTTTTTTTTGTGATACATTCTAAGATTGTTACCAGGTCGAAGACTAAAAGCTATACTGAGAATTGGTATCAAAGATCTGCTACTATTGGGGAGTTTGTTGTGGACTGCTAACTTGAAAGTTTAAAGGTTCTAGGCCAAATTCTCACTTAGAGTAAAAAATATGTATTAGTTTTCTTCTCTTTTTGTTAGTTGGTTAATTGAATCAAACCTTCAGTTGAATACCTTAACATAGGATGAGGTATGCCAAATGTTGAAATAATAATTATTTTAGTTTATATTTCATATTTTATACACTTTTATGTATAAATCCAATGAGTAGTTGCTTACACTATGCATTTCTAGAAATTGTAATGATATTTTGGCAAAATGTAACTACTCAAGTTATTTGCATGTTCTATAGGACTATTATTAATGAATTTGTAAATGAATTTGCCTCGATGAAGTAAATATAACTGTGATTTAAGTAATGCATTTTAATTTCTGAGCAAGCATGAAAGAGCCATTTTTTTTTCAAACTATAGCTCATGATGTCCATTAAGTTAATCTTGACCTGGATTCTGGTGAATATAATAGACAATGAAATAGAATGCAATGGAACAGAATAGAATACAATTGAATTGAATAGAAATATACCAGAGGGTATCACAAATAATGAAGGCTAGTACTATCTTATAAAACATTCATATAAGTTGTGTATCCATATCTTAATAGCAGGTTGAGTTCTTCAGGAAGTGGAATCTTGGCCAAAGATTAGTAAACAGGAGGTTTATAAGTGAATGCCCTTGTTGGGGAGGGGACATCTGGCAAGAGAAGAGAAGGGAGGCAAAGGAAAGAGTCAGTGCAGCTTTAGGCCAACAGAGGCATCAAGATGCAATGCAGTTTCAGTGGAAACCCGGATCTATCTTGCAGGTTGTATTAGTCTGTTTTTGTACTGCTGTACAGAAATACATAAGACTGGGTAATATATAAAGGAAAGAGGTTTCATTAACTCACAGTTCCGCATGGCTGGGGAGGCATCAGGAAACATACAACTGTGGTGGAAGGCAAAGGGGAAGCAACGCACCTTCTTCACAAGACAGCAGGAAGGAGAAGTGCCCAGGGAAGGGGGAAGAGCTCCATATAAGACCATAATCCCTTGTGAGAACTCACTCACTATCATGAGAAGAGCATGGGTGAAACCATCCCCATGATTCAGTTACCTCCACCTTGTCTCTCTCTTGACCCATGGAGATTATGGGGATTACGAGGATTACAACTCAAGAGGAGATTTGGGTGGGGACACAAAGCCTTACCATATCACAGGGTGCTGAAGACGTGATGACCATTTAAGAACCGTACTGACTAAGGGAAAGGATTTAGGTCTTTATAGTCCTTTCTTTCCATGTCATTCTGTCATTGGATGCAGGCTACCTAGGGAATCTTGGGTGAGGTGGCTCTTTTCAACTGAAACAGTTTCTAAAACGGACAACTGTTATTCAAGGATCATCTTCCAAAAGCACACCCAGTAGGTCCTTCATTTCTGAAGGGAAATCTTAGTGGTAAATAAGAGTACCCATCAAATCTTGTGACAATTCTAAAGTCCTCACTTTTCAGATTAACATATGTAGTGGGTTGAAGAGTGTCCACTCAAAATTTATGTCTACCTACAACCTCATTATGTGATCTTATTTAGAAATACAATCTTTGCAGATTTAATAATGGTAAGGGTTGAGATGACATCATAATAGTTTAGCCTGGGTCCTAAATCCAATGAGAATGATTTTATAAGAGACAGTAAAGGACACACAGAGACACAAGGAAGAAGACCATGTGATGACAAAAGTAGAGATTGCAAACAAAGGAATGCCTTCAGCCACCAGAAGCTGCAAATGACAAGGATTTCCTGCAAGAGCCTTCAGTGGGAGCATTAAATCTCGGAGTCCAAAAATCTTGATTCTGGACTTCGTGGCTGCAGATCTTTAAGAAAATAAATGTTGTTGTAAGCCACCAACCTTATCATAATTTATTATGGCAGCCTGTGGAATCTAATGCAACATGTTTATACCATTTTTACATTTCCCAGTCTTACATGCAGGGCACCAATTATCCATAACTCTAAGGACAAAGATTTGTGGAAATCATTGAATCTGATTTTGAAAAGTAAATGAGTTTGTTTCTCACCATTAAACAAAACTTATCAGATGAAATATATAATATTATATAATTTACATACTCTAATTATTTCAAAAGCAGTTTTTAGCAAGAAAACGTGATCAAGCTGTCAGCTGTAAACCAATATGTTGGGTCTCGTTCATGAGGCAAATGAATTATGCTTTGCACAGAGGAGAGAAGCACTAAGCATGAATCCTTCGCATAGACAAAACTTCGTTGCCCAGACCATAAAACAGTCAAAAACAAAAACAATGTATTAATCAATAAATTCTAGACTGTCTTGCATATAATGCTATTAACAAATATTTTTTAAGGATAAAAAAGCAGGGAGAGAGGAAGTAAGGAAAGAAGAAATGGAGTAAGAAAAAAACAAGAAAGAATAAAAGGAAAAAAGGATATATTTTATAATCCATAATATAGCCTCCATTAAAGAAAAATTGTTGCTGAGAGCTGAGCGTAAAAATTATACTGTAATAAAGCTTAAGGCAAAATCCTGCAAGCCAATCTAGACCTTTTACTAATGCTTTAGCTTTTTAATTCTTTTCATCCCACTATTGGGCCACAGGAGATTGGGGGGAATGTAAACAATCTTTTTTTGTTGTTCCTTCCTCTATGCCCATGTAGGAAAGAATTTCTAAAAATAATCATAGTAATAAAATTATAATTCAGGTTTAAGTTATATTAATGAATAAGAATAATAATGATGAAATATTTGTATAGTGATTCATAATATCCTTAGTACCCTCTCAGGCATAAACATATGAAATGACCTATGTAAAGAATTGGCACAATCTGTGTGCTCAGGTAGTTCCTGTTCAGTCTCCAGAAATCATTGCTTCTCCCATGGCAATTCATTTCCTTTTCTGGGAAGACACTTGGGTGGGTGTGATTCTTTGCCTTCACACTGCATTTCACTGCACTAACTCACATGGGTCAACCATGTCTGAAGTCACATGGGGAAAGCTCTGTGAGCTAACAGGGATTTTTGCTTGCATGTAGAAAACTTGCTTCCCTGGGACAAAACCACAGATGCTCAAATGCTCAGAAATCCAACTTTTCCCAGGAGGGTTGGCTCATACCTCCCAAAGACAACCTCCGGGCCGAGGGCCTCTTTTAATGTCTGCTTTTGCTCACACTGCAGCTTTAAGCTCTAATTTTTCCCTGTCTACTGTAAATGCCATTTGACTGACCACCTCCAAGTAAGCAGTACTCCTATGGTCATTGCATGATTCTAAATTTTATTTACAAATAAAAGTAATAGTGAAAATCAAATGATTTTTGCAATTATCTAAATGGACAATTGTCTCATAGTAGAAAACCAGAAAATTCACGCAGCCAGATCCCTGCCCACTAAGTCATATAATCTTTTTTTTCTTTTTCAAATTGGAAACTTTATCCCAATCCTTGTTTTAGCTGTATGCTGACGTAGATGAGGAGTTCTTGGTACAAGTAACTTTGCTCACTATTGTAGGAGGAAAGACATACATCTTTATGTAGGATACAGACGTTGATGAGATTGATGTGTTTTTGCATAAAAAATGCAGAAATGGTCAAACTCTTGCAGTCAGGAGCTACAGGAAAACTGTTGAGTTTTATTAGTTAAACCAAAACTGTTATTGGAACAGCAAAAATCCAAAATAGTGATTTCCAGCTTACCCCTACCAAATGGGTCAGCTATCTAGAACATTCCTATGACGTTGTTTCTAAGCAATTAGAAGCCTGGAATATTTTGAGTGGTCTGAAACACTTTCCTCCACAAAACAGATGCCTGTTTTACCAGTTTTTCAACCCCATTGTGATGATATATTTCTTTGTTTTATAATGAAACTGTTGTGCTCCTTTTCAGACAGCCCTGGTAATTCTACTGGAATATAATCTCCACGAAGATAGATAAGTGGTCTATTTTGTTTACAGCTGCATCCTCAGGGCTTAGAACAGTGCTTGATATACAATAAGATTTGAATACATGCATGTGGAAGAAATGACTTCCGTCAGGACTAAGGTACTTATACAAAAGTATTTACGGCCTGCCCGGTGGCTCACGCCTGTAATCCCAGCACTTTGGGAGGCCGAGGTGGGCAGATAATCTGAGGTTGGGAGTTTGAGCCCCACCTGACCAACATGAAGAAACCCTGTATCTACCAAAAATACAAAATTAACTGGGCGTGATGGCGCCTGCCTGTAATCCCAGCTACTTGAGAGGCTGAGGCAGGAGAATCGCTTGAAACAAGGAGGCGGAGGTTGGGGTGAGTCGAGATTGCGCCATTGCACTCCAGCCTGGGCAACAAAAGAGAAACTCCATCTAAAAAAAAAAAAAAAAGTACTTACATAATAAAGCCTTACACAAATTTTGGATAACTGATACTTATCCTAAAATACATACTTGGCTCACTCTTGAGAACAGACTATAACAACATCCACAGTGAAATCTGAAAAAGTTGATGCTGTAGTTCACGTTATTTCTTTTCATGATTCAAAAAAGAAGCACTTTCTTTATACTTGTTATTGGCTCAGCACTGTGTATGTTGCTATGATGGATGCAAAAGAAGTCTTAAACCTGGTCCCTGAAAGGTGCAGCTTCTATTCTAATTGGGAAAGCAAAACTAAAATACAAAGTGATAGCATAAAATTTTCAGTAAGTGCTTAAGGTGAGGCATAGTGTAGTTATTGTCATATAATTAGTTCATAATTGTTCTATCTTTACCTTTAAACCTTTAACTGCAGGTCTTTCACCTACCTTTACTACACCAAAGAGAAAAAGCAAAAACAAAAACACAGCCCTCTTATTCTAAATAAATATTTTCTTGCCTATACCACTCTTCACTTACATAGCTCCTTCCTTCTGTCTTTTGATTGCTAAATCCCTGAGAACCTAGCATTTGCTCACTGCACTCGTGACCTCATCTCCAATTGTTTCCTCTTTTCCGCATTGGTTTGTGCTCAGTCATGACTTTCTAATGACAAATTTAAGGGACCTCTTCTCATTGACCACTGAGTCATTCAAATTATCCTTTCCCAAGTTTTCTGAGATCATGCTTTGTTTTAATTCTTCATCTTCTTCTCTGAGTTCTCCTTGTCACTCATCCCCTTTTGTGAGTTACTTTTCCTCTTGTATGTGTCCTCTAGAAACACCATCTTTCTGGCAGTCTTTGTGAGCTCTTCAGTAGAGGAAGACCTTCTCTTTCTTTCACTTGGAAATGCCCCCCCCCCCCCCCCACACACACACACACACGTTTCTTGTTAATTTGATTTTACCATCTGATAAACTATTTGTTTTTCCATTGTTTTCAACACTAACTAGGTAACTCAAAACATCTATGTAACTGAAAAAATAAAACTATTTTATTGAAGAATTTCCTGAACACAAAATTAAATGAAAAAATAAAAGGAGAGGAGGAAAAAATAAATAGTAAAAAAGAAAGAAAAGAATAGAAAGACACCTTTACAAGGATAATCATATAGTTTGTTTTCTGAATGTTCTGGATGGCTGTTTGTTTGCTTTATAAAATTAAAAGAACAAGAAGCAGGCACTGATTACAATGTTCATAACTTTTTAGACATTTAATGTGTGCAAATTCTTTTCAAAGGCACTGTCAGTTATTAAGGGTTAAAATAAAACTCTTACTATCCACTATAAGAGGAAAATAAATATGTAGAAAAGAAAAAATTATATTATTAATTTGACATTCCTTCAAAAAAAGTTATTCTCTAAAATGTTCCAAGCACATCAATACTTGCCTCTGACTCTGAAAAGGCCTTATTCATTGTTCTCATAATTTGCATCTATTTTACTAGATTTATGAATCCTTAGTTAAGCTTTTGTTCACAGAAAAGTAATATTTGTTGAATCTTTTTATTTCTTGGCTTGAAAAAACTTAGAGAAAAATCTTGAGTCTCTGTTTTCTCTCCCCTACTCTTCCTAATACCTGAGCTTATGTCTTATTACACAGTCATAATCCTTGCTATATGACGAAGCCTACTGAAGCCTACTTTTCCCTTATCGAGGTCACATGCCTCACTTCAGGCTGCCCTGCAGTCATCTAGAGCCTTGTCCTCTGGCTATGCTGGCCCTGGCCTGTCTCTACCACAGCTTCCATTGAGTAACTCACAGCTTTTCTCCCTCTTCCTAAACACAGCCACCTCCTGGCACATTCTTTCTTTGAGTTCTTAGAACTGCTGCTTAGAAACAGAAACTAGTATAATGAAAACTGCATACAAGCTCCATAGCCATTCACAATAGCACAAATCCAATAGCCCTATACTAAAGCATTCCATTTTTTAAGGTCTTCACAGAAGAATGGACTTCTATCTTATATCTATACCCAAAGAGAATCATATCTCATATCCTGTAGCAGATGACTTTGCCACAGCTCTTTTCTCTATCTTCTTGAATGATTTTTCCCTGGGATATTTGCTGGGCTTTCCCCTTCATCTACTTCAAGTGTTGGTTCAAATATCACCTTCTCCATGTGACCTACTAACATCATCTCAGCTGCCCCTTCTGGCATTCCAGATCACACTTACTCTGCTCTGCTTTTATTTATTTTCTCCATAAGAATTAAAATCTTATCATATATCAGATAATCTATTCATAATATTTTGTATTTTTTTTTTTTTAATGAGACAGAGTCTCGCTCTGTCGCCCAGGTTGGAGTACAGTGGCGCAATCTCGGCTCACTGCAACCTCTGCCTTCTGGGTTCAAGCAATTCTCCTGCCTCATTCTCCTGAGTAGCTGGGATTACAGGCATTCACCACCAAGCCCAGCTAATTTTTTTGGTATTTTTAGTAGAGACGAGGTATCACCATGTTGGTCAGGCTGGTCTCGAACTCTTGACCTGATGGTCTGCCTGCCTTGGCCTCCCAAAGTGCTGAGATTACAGGTGTGAACCACCGTGCCTGGCCTGTATTCTTATTTTTAATTCTTCACTATAAAACTTAGCTCCAGTAGAGCAGACACTTTTTGTTTTATAGGATCCCAAACACCAATAACCTGGCAATAGTGGGCACTTGAGACTGGTTGATAGATGCAGCAAACCACCATGGCACATGTATACCTATGTAACAAACCCGCACATTCTGCACATCTGTCCAAGAACAAAAAGTAAAATAAATAAATAAATAAATGAAAAATATCCTATGAATGAATGAATGAAAGGAATGAAAGGAAGGAAGGAAGGTGAGAAGCTGGGGAAGGGGACAGAAGGGAAGGAAGGGAAGAGGAAAGGCTAGAAGAAGAGAAGGAGGGAAAGAAGGAACAAAAAATAGCAGGCATAAGCCAAATAATAATCAGTTATCTTCTCTCGGCAAAGTCAATAAATATTAATTTCAGTTCAGTTCAAGAATTTAGTGACTATCACAATAAATTAAGCATTACTAAGTGTTACAATATGTAGATAAATGATATATACACCTTCAGTTAAAGGAGCTTGTAATGGTTTTGGAATATAATCTTCTCTATACGATGCAGTAAAATATTAGAAAAGTCAGAATATTGTTTAATATATATACTCTAATAGGTTAGCACTTTAATGTACCCTAGTTGCTTCTAGATGATATAGATAATGTGAAAGCTAGAATAGGAGTGCTGTGTGAAGTGTAGAACCGGCAGCAGGGAGACCAATTAGAAGGCTCATGCAATAATCATGTGAAAGATGTTTGCTTAAGCTAGGGTGGTAGTAATGGCAAAAGGGAGGCAGGGATGGATTTCCAAAGTACTTAGGAGGTAATATCAGAGGAACAAGGTGAATGATTAAGAATAGGAGTAAGGCATGGGTTTGAGAATAAGCATATTAAATCTGTTCATCATTGAGGCAGCCACTGTTTAATTCTTTTACAAAAGAGTGGATGAGATAAATATAATCCAGCGATCAGAGCAAGCACATCAATGGACATGATACGGAGGAATCTCAATTTGAATATTTTGAGTTTTTGCAGCCTCGGAAAATTAGCTGATACTATTAAAAGCATGCACTAGGAAGGAGTGGGTGGAAGATTGACACTTCAATCTTCAAAACACAAAAAGTATTCAGTTTTGTTTTATAAGTTAACTTATTTAACATACTCTAGGACAAATTAGTAATATTAGTAATAGGAGAATATGCCAATTTACCCCATGTTCTGTGGGACCAAAGACCTAGTGAAGTTGATGAAAAAAATACACTTAAAATTTTGCGTTTATTTAAGACAAGAAGGTTCTTGAAAGATTCAACTTATTAACTTATGATTTAACAAATATCTGTTAATCACATATTGCATAATTAATCACTCCATGATGGTGGGGACATTATTGTGTTTGCCCCTCTGTTTCTAGTGTCTACCACATGGCTTGACAGTAATAGGCTCTCAGTAATCTTTTTCCAGTTGAGAAACAATAAATGAATAGGAAAGTTATTAACAGGGTGGACTTTGGAATCAGGGAGAAATGTTTTATATTCTCAATCTGCCATCTATAAGTAAAGAAAGCTATTTTATTTCCCAGGCTTCTGTTTTTTTTTTCCTTACACGTAAAATGGAAATAATAATAGATCTACCTCACAGGGTTGTTGACATTTATAGTAATAATCAGTTATTATTTGAAACACTTAGCATAGTGCCTGGCATGCAGTGTGTGTCCAATAAATGTTAATAATTATTATTATGTTCAAGTTTGTGTGCCATGTAGATTTTAAGCCACAAATAAGTTTGAATTCTTAAGGCAGCCATCAAAGACTGTGACAATTGTGTTCTTAGCAAGCCAGAAAGCAAGTCCGTTTAACGGGATCTCAGGGAAGATAACTCTGCTTTGGAACTATTATTTTATTTTCTTGATTCACATTTCAACATATCTTCAAATCTTTTTCCCATAAATTTCCAATTTTATTCTTTCATCATTCTTTTTTCTTTACTATTCTTAATTAGGGATACATAATATTCCTTATAACAAAATGCTTAAAATTGAAATCATTTGAAAGTGGAAATGCTGAACAATAAGTAGTTTTTTTAAGTATTTTTTTCTTTAGAGAATGTGGTTGAATTTATATTTGTGCAAGAAATATATTCAATAGCATCTACGAACTTCTGACTAAGTGTTTTAGAAGAGCAAATACAAGTTTCACTATACTCCTTAGAAATTGATGAGATCCTCTGGAGCTAATGTAGCTTTAATATTCTTCAGGAGTGTCTCATAACACAATAAGCATAGAACACATTCTAAAAGTAAAAGAAGTAGCAAAAACTGCCTGAACAGGTAACACTTTCCTTTTTAAAAAGTCATGTGACTTATTAACAAGGCAGTTCTTATTTTCAACTTCTGGAGGAGAACATAAGAGAAACTGTAGTGTTAGACTCACTGACCACATGTAAAATCAAACATGAGGTCTAGACTAAGAAACAGAAGGCACTAAAGAAGTCTGGTAAAGAAAACCAACCTAGCAACCAAAAATGGATTCATGAAGGTGAGTCTTCTTGTTTTTTATTCATCTGATATGAAAATTAGTTATTTGGTCAGTCAGTTATGTAATCTTTACTAATTAAATGCCAAATGTACAGCTTTTTGAAAACTGCTACAGATTGTGGACAAGGGTTATGAGGCTTTCCATCCAATTAACAAATTAATGCAGTCATCTACCTAACTTGACTCTTCAGTGAAATGAGTAATACAGGCCGGGCGCGGTGGCTCACGCCTGTAATCCCAGCACTTTGGGAGGCCGAGGCGGGCGGATCACGAGGTCAGGAGATCGAGACCATCCTGGCTAACACGGTGAAACCCCGTCTCTACTAAAAATACAAAAAATTAGCCGGGCGTGGTAGCGGGCGCCTGTAGTCCCAGCTACTCGGGAGGCTGAGGCAGGAGAATGGCGTGAACCCGGGAGGCGGAGCTTGCAGTGAGCCGAGATCGCGCCACTGCACTCCAGCCTGGGCAACAGAGCAAGACTCCGTCTCAAAAAAAAAAAAAAATAAAATAAAAAAAGAAATGAGTAATACTAAGAGCTAGTTGACTCTTGCTGTTAACTTCCTGAGTAAATCCTGAAAACCAATAAACAATAGTCGGTTTTGCCTTTGGCAAAAACAAACCAAAGATTAATTAACTGGCATGATATACTGGAAACAGATACTCAAGAAGCACACTGAATTCCCTCTGAATGTTATAGAGGGATTACAAAAATTAAATAGAGTTTGAAAATGATTTATGTTTAGACAGTGTTGCCTAAAGGCAGGAAGAGCTTTCCTAAAAGATAAATTTCCCTAAAATTCTTTTTGCTTCTATGGATTATTGCCTTATAAAAACATTAGCATCCTTTGTAGAACATTTTCTGTTTGTACTTTGCCAAGAATTCTAAGCAAGGTTGTTAAGTCTGCCGCATCATTTTGCAGCAAGTTGATATTCATAATTCTCACTCACGTTTCAACTGCATATAGGGAAACAAATTACCCTTTTTCAGAATGTCATATTCTGAAGGATTGGAATCCTTCTTAACACAGCAAAATTAAAGACAATTCCTTTTTGTCCATCTTGGTTCAATAAATAGAAGACCTGACTAGAAATCTGGAAAGCTTATGTTATTGATATAATCCATAATTAATTTTCGTGAAATCTCGTCAGGGCAAAAGTGTTCATATATGCAATACACAGTCATGTAAAATTCTTGTTCAATACTTTTAAAATCAATACTGAGTGAGTTTTTGATTGATTGAATGTGTCAACAATTATGTGGCAATATGTATAAGCATGTAGGTATGGATGTGTGTGTTTGTGTGTGTGTATTTGCATAATTAAGGTGAGAATACAAGTCAAGAGTACCTACTGCATTAAAATATTTGCTATTTTTATATAACCCATGACTTTATGATTATTTGAAAAACCTGAAAATGAATTGGACAATATATGCAAATTATCATGCCCTTCTTGAAGAAAATATATAAAAAGCTTGGAATTAATGATTCTAAAACCTATGTTTTCTACATAGCACACATTTTAGTGCTAAAATGTATTTATTATGACAGAACATAACTGTCCCAATGAAAGAGTACATCTTTAAAACATAAATCAAATGCTAAATACCTGTGATAAACATTCAGGAATACCCAAGGTAAATTTTCTAAATTGAGTGGAAAACAATTAGCTAGCATATCTATTATAAAACTTTACTGTTGAAAACAATGCAAACTTAGCAATTCAAGGGAAAAAGATTGTTAACCACCAACTCAGAAGTAGTTCCATTTAGAAACTTGGGGAAAACTACACATATGTAGTCAATTAAACTATCATTAGAAATTCAAGGGAAAAATATTGTTAGCCACTAAGTTGGAAGTAGTTTCATATAGAAACTTGGGAAAAACTACACATAGGTAGTGAATTAACGTGTCAATCAATGTGCATGTGTTAGATATATTCTGTCATTATGTACCTTCTAAAACCATGGTAGCTTTATAAAATGCCAATTCCCAAGCCAATCTCACATCTACTAAGTCAACATGAGTAGGTAGAGGTTGGCAGTATCTCTGTTGATGTTACTTACTGCAATGTGTGAGATATTCTGGTACAAACTGGCCCAACTAGAACAGAAGGTTAGAATATTAGTCAGCCACTATGGTAATTCCAATCTAATAACTTTGAAATAAGGCCCTGATATACATACTTTTAATAAATAATGATCAGAAACATTTGAGAAATATTCTCCTAGTCTCCATAATGGGATAGGCAAAATTATCAATAGGAGAGGAGAAAGATAAATTATCTTTTTACTCATTTTTATCTCAACTTTCTAAATTTCTCTTTGATAGATATTGTATAATTCTATTTTGTAGATATTGTATAACAATTGTAATGGAAGAGTGGCACATGTATATACTTTATAAATAAGTGTATATGTGCTTTACGTATACATGTAAACATTTGTCACAATACACAAAATTGTATTATATTTATATCACACAGACATATACATTCACACATGCACACATACAATGTTCAGAGTATGCCCTCAGAAAGTTTATACTAAATGGCTCAAAACATTTGGTCACACCTCTTTAAGAGGTAGTAAGGTTTGGTCTAGAAACTATAGAAATAGAGAAAAAATTAAATAAATAGTTTTTTTTATAAGCTTACAGTGAAGGGTCAGATGCATGTATTTCATTCCTGTGTAGCCTCATTTAGAAAGAAAGTCATGTATTCATAGAGTACTTATATATTGTATAATATATATTTTGTTTTGTTTCTCCCTAGTTAATTCCTTTTAATTAGAAATTATAGCTACGTTAGCTATTCTTAGTATAAACTCAATGTACTTGAAAAACATTCAGAGAAGCTATCAGCTAGTAGGAATAATCCAGACACAAAGCATGGAAGAATCTGTCTAGCCTGGCTGTCTGTTTGGAGGTTCAATTTTTCTAATAAGCCTGTGTTAGCCTAGATGCATGTTAAAATGAAACAATACACAATATTATATTTAGGAAAATTTGGCTTACTCAGTAATCCTAGGGGAGAGGCCTGAAAAGCTTCACGTTAACATCTTCCAGATGTAATACTGACAAATAATCACATTTTAGAATCATTGATGTGATGCACTCTGGTTAGCAGCTCCAGTCACTGAACAGAATGCCATCACCATCTAGTGTAAAACCTTGGGCAAGATCATTAGGTCTGAGGTTCTAAGCTTACCTATAAAACAAGGATGTTGACCTTCAGACATGTCTCAACATTTAATTAGGTTGTAAAACCAATTTGTTTATCGTGACAGATGTTTAAAACTAAGTTATAAAGAACATATGACAGGGCTTCACATATTAAAAAGATAAACACTGCATCATGAAACTGTTTTGTGAATGTGTGTATATGAGTACACTGGGACATGATGTAAAATATATTTTTAAGAGTGATTTATGGTCAAAATTATGAAAAAAACTGGACTAGATTTCTAAAATTCTTTCCATTTGAAAAATGTTTAAAATATCATATTTCTCATGTTGAGCTAGGGACTTCAAGTACAATATCAACAGAGTATTTAAGAAATAAACCAACCTACATATCGTTTGATATGATATGAATTAAATAAATCAAGTAGAAACATCCAAAACTTAGGATTATTTAAATAAAATCACCCAATTGAGAAGCAGTGCATTTCTTGATGTTAGAAAAAAACAAAAAGTAGGGAATAAATAGCATTCATTTTAATAGTAAATGATATATTAACATTAAATAATATATAATACATTATATATATTAAACTAAAATAACTTTTTTAAAAAGGAACATGCAGATAAAAATATTAAAAATACTCAGAAAAAGATGGAAATATCTACTTCTAGGTGACATTAGCATATGAAAAAAATCGGCAACAATTCAAATGCTATAATACCAGAAAGCAAATCAATAGACAAAAAGTCAAGAAATACATACATACACACAAACACATTCTTGCACACATATAAAATTTAACAAAGAAAATATAACTACAAAGACGTGATTCTCAGCCATGGTTGTACATTGTTTTTCACCTAGGGAGCTTTCAAAAGGCCTGTTGCCTTGATCCCAATGCCAGAGATTCTAATGTAATTGCTCTAAGGTGTAGCTTGGGCAGTGATATTTTTTGTAAGCTCCCAAAGTAATTATAAGATTCCACCAAAGTTGAGAAATATTGCTTGAGGAAATTCATTCCATTATTTACAATCACACACCAAAATTTGAAATTTGACAATAGACTTTCCATGTGTGTTAAATAAACTGAATCATATATTTTAATTCTTTTTTATTATTTTCTTCATGTCTTTGTCTTTCTTCAATTACTATTGACATTGTCAATTATAACTTCTAATCACAACTGAGATAAATGAGCATCAAAAAAATCCAACAATACTTTTTTACTTTGGTAAATGTTGAAGGAGCACAAAGCAAATCATGTAGTATATAAATACTACATATTTATGTTTCATAAATAAAATAAAATCCTTTGGAGATGAGCCACGATGGCCTACTATATGGGGCCAGGAAGAGCTTTTCCCACAAAGAGAGACTGGGCCATCAATTAGACTGGCACACTCTGGGAAGATCATTGGTAGGAGGGCATTCATAGCAGAGAGAGGGAGTTTGCAGACCATGGGCTGCAAGGGGAGGAAGCTGGAAACCCTGCACAGGGTTGCAAAGCACCTGGACTCATTCCTGACCCTTGGTGGCTCCTAGGGAAGGGGGTTGGTGAAATAGGTTTGGAGTTGGCCACTTTAGCCACAGACCTCCAGGATCCCAGCTGTAGAAGGCCTTATGACCCCCATGGGCATATGAGCTGGCAGGGAGAACTGCCTGGAGAGTTGAGTGAGACAAGACCCCAGCCTGTGTGGAGCCCAGATGGTTTAGCATAGGAATGGCCACAGTGGAGCACAGCCATGAGTACCTGTAGTATTTCATTTTCGCCCTACTATAATGACACTGCCTGAGACTGGGTAATTCATAAACAAAAGAGGTTTAATTGATTCACAGTTCCACATGGCTAAGGAGGCCCCAGGATACTTACTATCATGGTGAAAGGCAAAGGGGAAGCAAGGCACATCTTGCATGGCTGCAGGAGAGAGAAAGTGGGGAAGGGCCACAAACTTATCTAATAATCAGTCTCCTGAGAACTCTATCACAAGAATAGCATGGGAGAAACTGCCCCCATGATTTAATCATCTTCCATCTGGTCCCTCCCCTGACACATGGGGATTACAATTTGAGATGAGATTTGGGTGGGGACACAGAACCAAACCATATCATTCTTCTCCTGGCGCCTCCCAGATCTCATATCCTTCCCACATTTGAGAAACAATCATGCCTTCCCAACAATACCCCAAAGTCTTAAATCATTCTAGAATTAACTCAAAATTCCAAATCAACGTTTCATCTGAAACAGGAGAAGTCCCTTCCACCTATGAGCCTGTAAAATCAAAATCAAATTAGTTACTTCCAAGATACAGTGAGGGTACAGGCATTTGGTTAATGTTTACATTCCAAATAGGAGAAATTGGTCAAAACAAAGGAGCTATAGGCCCACTGCAAGTTTGAAATCCAGAAGGGCAGTCATTAAATCTTAAAGCTCCAAAATCTCCTTTGATTCCATGTCTCACATCCAGGGTATGCTGATGTTAGGGGTAAGCTACCATGGCCTTGAGCAGCTCTCCCCTTGTAGCTCTTCAGTGTACAGCTCCTGTGGCTGCTTTTAGGGTCTGGTGTTGTGTGTTTGCAGCTTTTCCAGGCACTTGGTGAAGCTGTTGGTGTATCTGCCTTTCTGTCATCTGGAGGACCATGATCCTCTTCTCACAGCTCTATTAGACAGAGCCCCTGTAGGGACACTTTGTTGGGGTACAATCCCACATTTCCCTTCTGCACTGCCTTAGCAGAGGTTCTTCATGAGGGCTCTGCCCCTGCAACAGACTTCTGCCTGGACATCCAGGTGTTTCCACACATCTTCTGAAATCTAGGCAGAAGTTCCCAAACCTCAGTTCTTGACTTCTGTGCATGTGCAGGCCCAATACCATATAGAAGTTGCCTGGGTTTGGGACCTGCACCCTTTGCAGCAATGGCCTAAGCTGTAAGCTTTTAGCCATAGCTTGAGCTGGCGTGACTGAAACATGTGGCACCAAGTTCTGAGGCTGCACATAGGAGTGGGACCCTGGGCCCAGCCCATGAAATGATTTTTCCCTCCTGGGCTTCCAGGCCTATGATGTGGAGGGCTGCTATGAAGATGTCTGAAATGCCCTGGAGACATTTTCATCATTGTCTTGGTGATTAACATTTGGCTCCTAGTTAGTTACGCAAATTTCTGCAGCTGACCTTGAATTCTTCCCCAGAAAATGGGTTTTTCTTTCCTACCACATGGTAAGACTGCAAATTTTCCAAACCTTTATGCTCTGCTTTCCTTTTAAGCATAAGTTCCAAAGTCAAATCATCTCTTTGTAAATACATATACCTGAATGCTTTCGGAATAAGCCAGGTCACATCTTGAATGCTGTGCTCCTTAGAAATTTTATTCACCAGATACCCTAAATCATCTCTCTCATCTTCAAAGTTCCATAGACCTTTAGGGCACGGGCAAAATGCTGCCAGGCTTTTTGCTAAAGGATAGCATGAGTGAACTTTACTCCATTTCTCAATAAGTTCCTCATCTCTATCTGAGACCACCTCAGCCTGGACTTCATTGTCCATATCACTATCAGCCTGGACTTCATTGTCCATATCACAAAACCAATCAACACGTCCCTAGGAAGTTCCAAACTTTCCCATATCTTCCTGTCTTCTTCTGAGCCCTCCAAATTGTTCCAACCTCTGCCTGTTACCCACTTCAAAAGTCACTTTCACATTTTCAAGTTATCTTAATAGCAGTACCCCACTCTTCTAGTACCAATTCTCTGTATTAGCCCATTCTCACCCTGCTGTAAAGATACTACCTGAGACTGGGTAATTTATGAATTTATAAATTGACCTATAGTTCTGCATGGCTGGGGAGGCCTCAGGAAACTTACAACCATGGCGAAAGGGGAAAGGGAAGCAAGGCACTTTTTACATGGCAGCAGGAGGGAGAGACAGAGATCAAAGAAGAGCCACAGACTTATCAAACAACCAGGATCTCCTGAGAACTCTAACAGAACAACATGGAGGAAACCATGCCCATGATCCGATCACCTCCCACCAGGCCCCTCCCTGACATGTGATTACAGAAGAGATTTGGGTGGAGACACAGAACTAAACCATATCAGTGACCATCTCCCACAGCTTGCCATGCTCCAGTAGGTGGCTCTAGCCTTTGTTAGTTCTAAGACCTGGACAGGGCAAACTCTCTTGCCCATGGGACAGGGCCCATTTGATGTAAATGCCACTCTGTTTTCCTGCCTCTGCCAGGGTCCCTACCTTGCTTTAACCACTTGCAGCACAGCCTTAGCTTTCCAGCAACTTCTGTCATAGCTCTTTCACTGGCAGACCCTGTCTAATTGTAAGAGCACTTTTGCAGACAAAGTCCCACTAGCATGCACCCGGCCACAGCCTTCTCCTGTCTGTGTACCCACCTGCAGCCTTTCCTTGTCATTTTGCTACTGTGCGTACATAAGAGCATCTCCACAGTCTTGCCAGTCTGCATCCACACAGGGCCCACTGACTTGGCTTTCAGGACTTGGCCTCCTGAAAGCATCCAGAAATGAAGTCAATCAACTAAACCTAATTTATACCACAGTCAAACCCCTTAAGGGCATCAAAGAACATGAGAGCAAAAAGCCCCATCAAAAGACAGCAACTTTAAAGAGTAAAGGAACATTAGCCCACACGGTAGATTAGAAAGAACCAGCACAAGAACTCTGGTAACTCTACGAAGCAAAGTGTCTTCCTATCTCCAAATGATCACACTAGCTCCCCAGCAATGATTCTTAACCGGACTGAAATAGGGTAAATGACAGGCATGGAATTCAGAATCTAGTGGCAAGGAAGCTCATTGATATACACAAGAAGTTTGAAAGATAATCCAAGGAATACAGTAAAATGGTCTAAGAGTTGAAAGAATGTAGCCATTACTTTCTTCTCTTATTTTCTTCAACAATTACTTTATTTCTTAATCTCACATATTGATTGAATGTACATGGATTGATACTGCAATTATATATATAATATCTGCTCTTAAGAACTTATCCTCTAGTCTGGGGCATAAACAAAAACATAAACAAATAATGGCAGAAGCTACAAAAGGTAAAAATAAATATAATACAGTAATTTTATGCTTTATCTCCTTTACTTTTGATTTCTCAACTACTATTACTATACAATAAAAATTAAAAATATGATGTATTGAGGCACTGGGAGGTCACTGAAGGTGTATTAATGTGTAGTGGGTTGAATTGTGGTCTTCCAAAAAGTAGGATAACCAAGAATCTACAACTGTGACCTTATTTTGTAGAAAAGATCTTTCCAAATATAATTAATAATTTCAAGATGAGGACACCCTAATGATGAGGTCATTTAGGGTGGCCCAAAGTACAGTGGAAGGCATCAGAGAAAGGAAAAAGGAGATTTGAGACACAGACAGGCAGAGAAGAAGCCATGAGAAGACAAAGGCAGAGATTGGAATTCTGCAATCACAGCACAAGAAACCCCTAGAGACACTGGAAACTGGAATAGGCAAGGAAGGATTCTCACTTAGAGCCTTCAGAGGGAGGTAGGTACTGCTGGCACCTTCATTCATACTTCGGGCCCTCAGAACTATGAACAAATAAATTTCCATGTTTTAAGCTACCAAGATTGTAGTAATTTGTTATGGAAGGCCTAGGAATTTAATACAGAGTGACATGCCCTGGCTTTGATTTCCATTTTTTTAAAGATTATGAAAAGATTAGTATGGAATTGTGAAGACCAGGTGGTGGATATTTTCATTACTCAATGAGAAATAGTTCCAGTTTGGACTAATGTTTGAGTTGATCTGGAAGCCACGGATGCAGAGTAGATGTGGATTACATGAGAGAGATGAAAAAAAGGGAGAGATCAATACGACTCTCAGAATGTTTGTTGGAACAGTTGGTGGATGTTGATGCTATTTAACTATGCATGGAAGAGAGGAAGAATATTTGGGGAGAGGGTAGTTTTATTCAAATATGAAGTAGGGAAGGCATGAGAAAGAAGAGAAGAGAAAAAATGATGAATTTTGGTAAGAGAAATCTCTATATTCAGATTCATGTATATACGCACATGTGTGTATGTATATACATGGCATACATATATACATGGTATACATACGTATATAATATATAAATGTTCTGAGCCACTATTTAAACTACATGTTTTCATGTGAATAACTGTTCCAAAAACTTGAAAGTCACTCTTTTAAGGGATAAAAACATTAATATCAAATGGTGCTTGCTTGCAGGGACTTATAAGTTGTTTGGAGAGTGAGAAAAAATGAAGCAACAAGCACAAAGAGAAAGATTTACATGGCATTGATGAAACAGAGGGGAGGGAGAAACTCATCTTTACTGGTGATGGAGTAGTAGAAAGATCAGTAAGGTTCAGGGTTTTAAGTCAGCAACATGGATAGAAATGTGGCATATGATCAAGGGAGAGGAGAATGCTTTGCAAACATTATATGCAAAACCAATGAGGTAGGAAATTGTGTGCTATGTTGGAAATACTTTAGTAATAAGTAGTAGTAGCAGATATACATAGGAGAGTTGATGGAAAAAGGTGTGGCCCACATGCAGGCAATAAATAGGATCTGAAGTTTCTACTATATCACGAAAGATTCTGGCTTGTATCTTTCAAATTTAGGAAGCTACTGAAGGATTTTAAAAATAGGGAGTTCATGACTTCAGTAGATTTTGGGGAATATTATTCTGGCTGTGTGAGATAGCACAGAGGAGCTACATCTGCACAGAGTGTGTATTGACAGTAACTGTCCTGCTCCCTGGAAGAATCTAAGAGTAAATGTTGTCCTCAATTAGCATGAAAAATATGTTAATTCTCTATTTGTTACTGCTTCATTTGTTTGAGACAAATATATTTATAATAACTGAGGATAGGAGCAAAGCCCTATGACTCTCTTCTAAAGTTAACAGCAATGCCCTGTGACTCTCTTCTGTTGCCATACTTCACAATATTAAATATTTATACTAGTAGGAGTCCTGAGAACATTTTCAGTATTAAAGGATAGGATAATATGCTTTCATTTGTTACATTGTATGGTCGAGACAGGGCTCATCAAATAAGAGAAAATGAATTCCAATGCTAGCTGCCTTTCTATCAAGTGAGTTTTCAATATAATTCTGTTCCCAGTCTAGGATTGGGGGTAATTGTGTTTTGGAGACACTCTTCATAAAACCTTATTTTATCTTTAGACAATGACTTAGCATAGAAGGGTAAGGGAAGGAGGGCTTTAAACTTGAAGAGAAAATGATTAAGTGCATCTAAATCCTATCTCTAAAATAAAGTTCCTCCTTCTCCCTCTCTCTGTCTTTCTCTCTCTCTTGATAATTAGGATAGTGGAATATATCACAGGGTGATATAGTTTGGCCGTGTCCTCACCAAATCTCAACTTGAATTGTGTCTCCCAGAATTCCCACGGGTTGTGGGAGGGACCCAGGGGGAGGCAATTGAATCATGGGGGCTGGTCTTTTCCTGTGCTATTCTTGTGATAGTGAATAAGTCTCACAAGTTCTGATGGTTTATCAGGGGTTTCCCGCTTTTGCTTCTTCCTCATTCTTCTCTGGCTGCTGCCATATAAGAAGTGCCTTTCACCTCCTGCCATGATTCTGAGGCCTCCCCATCCCTGTGGAACTGTTAAGTTTAATTAAACCTCTTTTTCTTCCCAGTCTTGGGTATGTCTTTATCAGCAACGTGAAAATAGACTAATACACAGGGTATAGCAAAACAGTCCCCTCTTAAAGATTTTAAAACATTATTTTTCAAAAAAATGCAAAAATATTCAATATTTTTGCAAATATAATTTAATAACATTTTTCATTTGTGCCTTACTTATAATTTATTCATATATTCTTCTTCAGAATAAAAGTTATTTGTTGCAAGTAACCCAAACCCCAGGACTTAAATAATTTAAAAGAAACTTATTGGATTATATGTCTAAAATATTGAGAGGTTGAAAAAAGCCTCAGAGAGTATATTCAGTGTGGTTGCTCAAATCATGCTAATCTCTCTTAGTACTCTTTGGCTTATCTTCAGTTGGACTCTAATCACATAAAACATTCCCTTCTTGATCTTAAATTGTTTCTCTACGTCTCAGCTCTATATATTTTCTCATTCAATGAATGCTCCCACAGAGCCTCATTTCCCCTAACCATCAAAGAAAGTTTTCAACCTTTGGTCTGATTAGACCAATTTAGATCAGGTGTTCATCCCTGAGCCAATTGCTGGGGCTAGAAAAATGAAATTAGACCAGAGTTTTCAATATCTCTATTATTAACATTTGGGGCCAGATAATTAGTTGATGTGGAGAGTTACTGTCCTCTGTGCTGTAGAATATGCTGTAATATCTCTAGCCTTAATCACTAGAGGCCAGTAGCAATTTACAACCCCTTCCCATTGGAAAAATGTCTCTAGGCATGCTGAATGTATCCTGGAGGGAAAAAAATTATCCTAGATGAGAGCCACAAGATAGTCTGATGGAGTTGCAGCTAAACTCTAAACAAGGAATGGAGTAGAATTTCCCTAAAATTGGATGCAGGGAAGAAAATGGTATAGATAGACAATATTTTTTATGAGAATAATTAAGAGAAAGGGGACAGATACCAGTAACCAAATAGATAAATTATCTGCTAATTTTTTATTCATTAAAAATACATGTATTACAAACAATTGTATGTGTCATTATATGATAGGAACTAGAGGAAAAGTGAAGAGTAAACTAAGTCTGTAATCTCCACATTAATGGAATATACAGTCACAATCACAGTCTACAATCGAAGTTATAGGTCAAGCTACGTATTTTAAAATAAAGTTCATCACTATAGCTTTCTGAGCATAATTTTAGTATACTTCTTATCAGATTATATAGTCATTGATTTACTTGTTTCACCATTAAATACATTGCAATTGGTTGAGAGTAGATATTATTTATTCCTGCTACATATCATCACTTCCTAGCACAAAGTAGGCTCTCATTATCTGTTTTATGAAACAAGAAAGCTTTTTTTCATTCAATAATTTTCATTCTCATTAATGTCAAGAATTCTTGATATAGAATCTTTATATCTGAATAATGTTTTGTTGCAAAATGTGATGATATAAAGTAGTATATCCTATTTTATTTTCTTGTTTACAGTTTGATTTTAAATACACTATGATAAAATATGGATGTAAAAGAATTATGAGCTCCGATATTGTTGCCTTAACCTGACTTAATAGATATTACCATGAAACTTAATTTGACACAGTCATAATTTATAATACCCAATAACCATGGCTTGTATATCACTTGTCTTGTGCATATTAAGGTTTGCTTTGGGGTGAAAGCATATCTCTGTGTATATATTTACACACCCCCCCCCCCACACACACACACACACAGAAAGAGAGTGAGAGAGACTCTGTATCTCTAATTCTATACCCTGCTTTTGATTCCGTGCTTGTCCCTTGGAAGTCAGAATCTATCTCTTTTTGAGTCATCATCATCATTGTCTTAGTCCTTTCAGGCTGCTATAACACAATACCATAGATTGAGTGGCTTATAAACAACAGAAATATATATTTTTTACAGTTCTAGGGACCAGAAAGTCCAAGATTGAAGCATCAGCAGATCTGGTGTCTGGGGAGGGCCCAGTTTCTCACAGTTATCTTCTCACTCTGAGCTCACATGGCAGAAGGGGAGAGGAGTGTCCCTTGGTTTTCTTTTATAAGGGCACTAATTTGATTCATGGGGGGTCAGCTTTTATGATCTCATCAACTCTAAATGCCACACTTCTTAACACCATCATATTTGTGATTATGTTTCAACATATGAATTTGGGGGAGACCCAAACTTTCAAACCCATAGTCGTCATCATCATCCTCATCATCATCATCATCATTGCTACCAGGTATCAAGTGTTATATGCTAATCAAGGTGCTAAATATATTACATAAAATTATTACTTTTAATTCTCACAACCATTTGAGATTTTTACCCTTCACATTACAGACAGATTCCTAAAATGGTGCATAAGATTTTCTGCTCCTATTGTGGATGTCCTACATAATACATAGGGTTGTACAAAGAAAATGTTTTACTCCTGTGATCAAGTTATATTAGGTGGCACATATGTGTCTTTAAGAATGAGAATTTATCCAAGTAGACTGATTTAATCATGTTATTCCTGCAAGAGCACAGAGATTGCTCTGACTGGTCAAAAAGAAGAAGTAAGAAATATCCACTCTGGCTGGCCTGAGGAAAGCAAACACCCATGTTGGGTTCCCAGTGAGAGCATCTGCTTCTAGGAACTGAGACAGTCCCCAGTTGATAGTTTTTAGGGAAATAGAAACCTCAGTTCATCAACTGCAAGGAACTTCATTCTACCAACCACAAGACTAAGTTTGGAAGCAGATTCCCTCCCTTACCCTGCAACCCCCAGAACCTCTGTGAGAAATCAGTTCAGCTGATCCCTTTATTTCAGCCTTTGTATTTTGATAACCAGCTGTGATATACAGGCAGAGAAACCTACCACCCCATGCTTGACTTATGACTGACAGAACTGTGAGCTAATACATGGGTATTGTTTCAAGCTGCTAAAATTGTGGTATTTTGTTACACAACAATCATATGTGCTCCTCATACGTATTTTGCATTGTTATCAACTAGATGAGAAATACAGTGGTTAGTAAAGCATAATGGATAAGAAAGTGAGCTTTGGAATGAGACTTCCTGGGTTTGAATTCTAACTCTGTCATTTGCTAGTGATGTGACTCAAAGCAGGTGAAGGAGGTAAAGCATCTGACCTGGTGGCAGGTACATTCGAGTGTTCAATATATCCCAGGTGTCATTTTTACCTCCATGTCATTACAGACATTCAGGGTGTGGGGGGGAAATTTAGCCAAGGTTGAAAACCTGCTAGGGTGTGAATCAGGTTTATCACTCTAATCTGTGTGGCTCTCCAATCTCTGTACTTACCCTACTGAATGAATCCCACTGCCCTTCAGAACTGCCCTTGGGATGGTCTGGCATGTGTGTCTTCGTTCTCAGCTGTCTCAGCTTCTTACTTCTGTGGCAACTAACCTTTCCAATTGTGGAGAGAGCATCTCAACAATCTAGAGGAGATCTAGGTGAAAAAACTCAGGAATCCAGGTCCTTTCCATATTCCTCATGTTCTTAGAACATCAAGTCCTAATATAATGAATAGTTCTTTGAAACATCCTATGAAAAATACAATGGGAATCTTCTGTTTTCTGCCTTTTTCCCCTAGAACTCATTTTGTGTTCCTGACCTTTTTTTTTCTTTTCTTTTCCTTTTGTCTACCTTCACCTTCCTTTAGGAAGTGTTAGCAATTAAAACCTCACCCTCAGGTATAAATGTCTCCTGCCTGCAGCAGACCACTAAAAGCCTAATGGACCAGTCTCAGTATACAGGTCACTAAGAGTAGCAGCAGTGCCCTGTAAGCTGTCCCCACCTGTAGCAATTCAGGGGAAATATAAGATGTACTCTTCTAAAACAAGTTAAACCCTGAGTCAATGATAGAAAGTTATTATAGAAGAACATTACCAAATAATTCATCAGGTTTTTACAATTATGTAAGCCAAAAAGAGCAACTATAAAATGGAAATTTAACCTCTACCAGGTATCCAAGCATGTATATTTCTCTCCCAGCTTAAAGACTTTGTAGTGATGAAAATGTAGACAAATTGATTGGGTTAGAAAGATAATCATCTGGTGCAGAAGTAATTGCTATAAGTTAACTAATTTAGAGGGCTCTTGTGGAGAAGTGATAGCTGGAGGCTACAAAAACTGGCTTCTCAAAGTTCTATTGCACACAAATAATTACTTCAAGAAACAAATGAAGTGTTATTTATTGGCAGTAGGACCTGGATCCTTGGTGATCACCAGTGAAAAAGGAAACTGAAATTAATTTGTACTAAGCAAAATTGCATTCAATCCAGCAAAGCTGTTCTGTGAATTTCAGTTGGTATTTAGGCAAGTTATTATTGCCTCAGGCCTATTGAACACTGCAGCCAGTGCTTAGCCATTTTTTTGCAAGAGTTTTCTAGTTGGGTATTTCATTTTTGCTATGCATTCATCTATAACATATGATGAGAGTTATTATCTGTGATGGAAAGTAATGATACTATCAGTTGGAGGGAAATGTTTAAAACTTACATAACCCCTTATTAAAATTCTAAATCAACCAAATTTATCTTATGCCTTAAGAAAATCATTTATTAGGAGCTTTAAGTTATTTATTTCTATTTTTCTTCAGATTCCTAGAAAAGAGGAAAACAATCACTCTAGAACTGTTATAAGCATGCTAACCAGGACTTCAGAGAAAGGAAAAAAAAAGGTAAAATATCAAGTTGTTTTAGCCTAAAGAAATATAAATATTCTTTTCCTCTTCAAATTTTTTTTTCTTTTAGAATTATATACAGTAGTATATGAGCACTATTGCGTAAATATTTTTTTAATGGCTTTAGAAGTGGTTGTGAAGCCCTGATTTACAACATTTGTCTGTTTCTGTCATGTGTATCCTTCCCCACCATGGCCAAGTTCAAGCTACCAAGGATACAGCACCGAAAGCTAGGTTGAGAAGAAATGCATACAATGGGCTCACTGAGCTTGTAGGAACCCCAGCACACCACTGATTTTATATTGTTGTGATCATAAGAACTTGAGTAAATTCCCTCAGAAAAATGGCTTATCTCTTCTATAATGCATTGCACTCTTACCTTTTATCTACATTATTATTATTTTTATTTATTTGTATGCATTTCTCTTTACAATGGAAGACTTTTCATATTGGTTCACTCACTGCCATGGTAACTAGCAAAATTTTTAGATAGAATAAGTACTCAATAAACATTGGTACAAAAATTTCCTTGGATTATCTCATTTTACTGCCTCCAATACTAATAGACAAGAGGCCAAATTGAGCTTAATGCAAACCATTTTTGGGTGCTCAGAGTTCCTCAGTGCTTTAAGGAAAATCTCAAATGTAGTTACCACTTTGCTTTAACTGCCAGACAGTCCTTACAGTTTGCTGCATATTGAACAAAACACTTATTCTCCAGGAAATGCGAAAGCAAGTGGATTTTAATAACAATCATATTTTGCTTGTTTATTAATATATACTTTTAATCACTTTTCATCCTCAAAACGACTCAGAGAGTCACACATCATTTTGCAAATGAACAAAAATAAGGGAAATATTTTTCCAAAGTCATGAAGTTGGTCCACAGTGGACCCAGGATGGGAAAAATAATGTTCTATGCCTAATTCACTCTGTCTTCTCTTTTGCCATATTTCCATCATTTTATTATTTAGCAGGGAGGTCTATCACACCTATTATCAAAGGTGAGCGTTTTGCTAAGTGCTGGTACCACAAGGACATAGATCAGATTCTGTTCTAATTCTTTCATATGTAAGCCAAAGTGGACGCATGTGACAAGCATAGGCTGTTATTTGTGGTACAATAAAGTTACTAACATATTGTTATAAGACTAAAAGCATTGGTGGATTATTTTGCCTTGAAAATCAGAAGAGCTCTCACAAAGTAATTTCTTGTTCAATTATGCATAGAATGAAAGCAACTACATTTGAACACATTTTCAACATGATTTGAAAATACTGATGTTATTAAATCATATCTTTACATTTTGGGGTAAGGCTTCTTTTTTTAAAGAGTCACACTAAATATTGTCTCTTGTCTTGTTTTTAATGCAAGGATCTTCAGAAAAGTTGTTCTTTCTCTGTTCCAATTATAGTTAAAAGCTATATGGTCAACAAAACACACGAACAGTTATTATAATTTGTATTAACATATATGAATCATTTTAATTACCTACTTTGAAGTATGGATGCTTTTGTAATTTTTAAAATTTTCTTTCTAAATATTTTGTGTCTTTTTGAATTAAATGTTGACAGAGTAGGCATGATACATATTATAAAACCATTTCAAGTATTGAAAGTCTCACAAAATACAGTTATATGAACATGGTATAAGATTATAAAACTAACGTAACATTTATTGAATACTTTTTCTTATGCTATGGTGAAAATTTTACCTCAAGAATTCTTTGGAAGGTTGCTATATCTCATGATGTTCTGTAACAAACATAGAGGCGGTTTTGAGGATTAGTAATATGCACAAGTTTGTGCATAGCACAGATTTCAAAGAGAAGGATTTAAAATCTGAATACTATCCTTGTTTTCACCTGTATACTTTTTGAAATTCTCTCTCCCCCTCTCTTCTTTATTGTTTCTGTGTGTCTTTCAATATAACATTTCTCCACCCCCCAAAAATATTTCTTATCAAATTTCTTGCTTTTGTTGTAAAGTAGCAGAAGAAAGAAAACTTTTCAAAAGATTTCAAAGAATGGCAGTCATTACACTCTCAGGGCTGGTAGTTGCTCCTTCTGATCATCTGGCTACCTAGTACTTGTTTCCTTTCCTTTTAAGGAGCAGTCATCTTCCAGTGTGTGGAGTCGTGGTGGAACAGTAAGACAAAGTGAAAGTCACTGCCATAGACAGAAGGTGGTCACATTACCAAAGTGTGATCCTTCAGTCTTTCTCAGTCTTCAGTGGGAGCTTTAGAGAAATAACATCTGAAGCAATACGTCACTTGCAACAAAACTGCATTTGGTTAAACTGTTTTCAGTTAACTTGATGGACACTGTCAGATGCCCCATCCTGCTTTTTTCTAATTAGGTCTCACTAATCTCATGCAATGCAACTTGCCCTGACCCTCTGACCTTCCACCCATGCAACAGGAGAGACCAGCCACAATTAGTCTGCACCCAACATTATTTAATATTATTCAACATTGTTCCAGCTGCCACAGGACCATATTCTTTCTCTTTCCTTCTCCCAATTGCTATCTGTGGGCCCCTCAGCCAGTATCTCTCTTTGCTCACATATTCCTTATTAATAAACCATTTAATTACTTGTGATTCTGTTACGACAGTGTGGTGTGTTTTGACATTGACACCTTTAAAGGGTGGGGGGCAAGAATGGCAGACCCTGCAGGGGTGGGACAATACAAGAAATTTTGTATCCTAAAGGGAAGAAAGAATAAAACAAACAGTCGGAGTTTGTTCATTCTAGCAGAGGGGGCCAAATGATGCTTCTGAGTAGTTTCCATTGCCATAACTGCTGATTCCTTACTTTTCTGGGCCTAGTTCTTCATCATTCCATTTGATTGCATGCATTCCACTAACGTGCAGCAAATTCTCTTTATAAATAATAAGTCTCTTTTATTATTTATTCTCTTTGTAAATAATAAGATTATGTTGCAACCAAAGAGTTATAAATGACACAATGGATTTAATGAGACTATTTAATTATTTAGGGGATGATATGGTTTGGCTGTGCCCCCACGCAAATCTCGATTTGAATTGTATCTCCCAGAATTCCCATGTGCTGCAGGAGGGACCCAGGGGAGGCAATTGAATCATGGGGGCTGGTCTTTCTCATGCTATTCTCATGAGAATATGAGTGAACAAGTCTCATGAGATCTGATGGGTTTATCAGGCGTTTCCACTTTGGCTTTTTCCTCATTCTTTTCTTGCCACCATCATGTAAGAAGTGCCTTTCATCTCCCACCATGATTCTGAGGCTTCTGCAGCTATGTGGAACTGTAAGTCCAACTAAAGCTCTTTTTCTTCCCGGTCTCAGATCTGTCTTTATCAGCAGCACAAAAATGGACTAATACAGTAAATTGGTACCAGTAGAGTGGGGCATTGCTGAAAAGATACCCGAAAATGTGGAAGCAACTTTAGAACTGGGTAACGGACAGAGGTTGGAACAGTTTGGAGGGCTCAGAAGCAGACAGGAAAATGTGAGAAAGTCTGAACCTCCTAGAGACTTGTTGAATGGCTCTGACAAAAATGCTGATAGTGATATGAACAGTAAGCTCCAGGCTAAGGTGGTCTCAGATGAAGATAAAGAACTTGTTGGGAACTGGAGCAAAGGTGACTCTTGTTACGTTTTAGCAAAGATACTGGTGGCCCTAGAGATTTGTGGAGCTTTGAACTTGAGAGAGATGATTTAGGGTATCTGGCAGAAGAAATTTCTAAGCAGCAAAGCATTCAAGAGGTGACTTGGGTGCTGTTAGAGGCATTCTATTTTTAAATGGAAACAGAGCATAAAAGTTTGGGAAATTTGCAGCCTGACTATGTGATAGAAAAGAAAAACCTATTTTCAGGGGGAGAAATTCAAGCCAATTGCAGAAATTCACATAAGTAGCAAGGAGCCTAATGTTAATCCCAATGAACATGGGGAATATGTCTCCAGGCCATGTCAGAGACCTTCATGGCAGCCCCTCCCATCACAGGCCCAGAGGCTCAGGAGGACAGAGTGGTTTCTTGGGCCAGGCCCAGGATCCCCGTGCTGTGTGCAGGGTAAGGACTTGTTGCCCTGTGTCACAGCCATGGCTGAAAGGGGCCAACATAGAGCTCAGGCTGTGACTTCAGAGGGTGAAAGCCCCAAGCCTTGGCAGGTTCCACATGGAGTTGAGCCAGCAGGTGCACAGAAGTCTAGAATTGAAGTTAGAGAACCTCTGCCTAGATTTCAGATGATGTATGGAAATGCCTGGATGCCCAAGCAAAGGTTTGCTGCAGGGGTGGGGCCCTCATGGAGAACCTCTGCTAGGACAGTGTGGAAGGGATATGTGGGGTTGGAGCCCCTACACAGAGTCCCTTCTGGGGCGCTGCCTAGTGGAGCTGTGAGAAGAGGGCCACCATCCTCCAGACTCCACAATGGTGGATCAACTGAAATCAACTGACAGCTTGTACTGTGCACCTGGAAAAGCCACAGACATTCAATGCCAGCCTGTGAAAGGAGCCAGGAAGGAGGCTGTACCCTGCAAAGCCATAGGGGCAAAGATGCCCAAGACCATGGGAACGCACCTCCTGCATTAGTGAGATCTGGATGTGAAATCTGGAGTCAAAGGAGATCATTTTGGAGCTTTAAAATTTGACTGACCCACTGGATTTCAGACTTGCATGGGCCTTGTAACCCCTTTATTTTGGCCAATTTCACCCATTTGGAACTGCTGTATTTACCAAATACCTGAATCCCCATCGTATCCAGGAAGTAACTAGCTTGCTTTTGATTTTACAGGCTCATAGGCAGAAGGGACTTGCCTCGTCTCAGATGAGACTTTGTACTGTGGACTTTTGGATTAATGCTGAAATTAGTTAAAACTTTGGGGGACTGTTGAGAAGGCATGATTGGTTTTGAAATGTGAGGACATGAGATTTGGAGAGCCCAGGGGAGGAATGATATGGTTCTGATGTGTCTTCACCCAAATCTCAATCTGAATTTTATCTCCCAGAATTCCCATGTGTTGTGGGAGGGACCCAGAGGGAGTTATTGAATCATGGGGCAGGTCTTTCCTGTGCTATTATTGTGATAGTGAATAAATCTCACTAGATCTCATGGGTTTATCAGGGTTTTCTGCTTTTGCATCCTCCTCATTCCTCTCTTGCCTCTGCCTTGGAAAAAGTGCCTTTCTCTTCCCACCATGATTCTGATGCCTCCCCAGCCATGTGGACCTGTAAGTCCAATTAAATCTCTTTTCCTTCCCAGTCTCAGGTATGTCTTTATCAGCAGCCTGAAAATGGCCTAATATGGGGGAGAACAGAAACAAAATACAAATTAGAGATATCTCTGAACACCCCCACTCATATGCACACATACACATGCGTACCTACATACATGTTTTAACAGTGGGACCAAGACAAAGAATGTTTCTACTAATTCATAAAGATCAATCCAGTTTATACATCACATCTGTGGCCACACATAATGTCTACTCTTATTCAGGAGAAATATCTTGTTTCTCTTAGCCTCCATAGCTCTGAACACAACCCTATATTTTGATTGCTTTACAGAAAATTGTAGAAATAACTGAGATTTATTTAATGCTTACTTAGAATGTGCCAACACTATTCTAAGAACGTTACATTTTTGTTCCTATTTCTTCCTCAGATCAAACATTATTATTGTTATCTCATTATGCAAATGACGAAACCAAATTTGGAAATAACTCACCTAAAGTTTCACAGTTAGTGTGGCCAAAACAAAACTTGCTTCAACTGTCAATGTTTTTATCATTATCTTACATTGTACATAATTTGTTTTTCCATACTTTGTTGTGTAATACTCTTTAACCTCTCTAAACTGAGGCCAGGGAGTATGTATTGGACACTAGATTTGTGTAGTGCCCAGAACAGTGTTAGCACATTTTAGTAGTTTAGCAAATGCCTATTACAAAATTTCTTGTAGAGTTCAAAACACATAACTTGAATTCTTCACTTTTCAGTGAGTTATTTTGACATAATTTGAACATTGACTAAATCCTTCTCAATGCAGGTAAAATATTTAGTCAACATATGTCCAAGACAAAAATAGGAGCTGCAGCTCTTGACAAGCACTCAGTGAATATATAGCATAAACCTATAAGTGAAAGAGATTAAGTATCTGCATGAAGAAAAGGGCAAAGGGATTTGAAGATTTTCAGCTGATAATCAGAGACAGGAGAGGATATTACTGGAAAATAGTAACCACCAACAAAATATGTCCCAAAGTGTATGAATATGACAGAGCTAATTGTCCCATTATCTATCAGCAATGAAGAAAATGTGATCTTGAATTTTCAATTCAATTCTTCAGAATTTATGTAACTCTGGGGAAGTTAAAGTCCCATTGCATAATATAGTATGACACTATGAAGACTTTTCCTTAAAAATAAATTGTATCTCAATAATAAAAAAAAATGTTGATGTTAAAATATACCTGTTATCTGAGAAAAGCAAAATGGCCCTCTAGGTAGAACACTACACCATGAGCTCCAGGAGATAAGGTGATATGAATAGGGAGAGACTGGAAAATGTGATAGGCAGAGCTGGCTTTAGGCATTTGGGTTGCTAAGGGAGCCCACATATGCCACAAGCTCCCCAAGGATCATTTTAGTCACTCATTTAGCATAACCTGGGGTTGGAATGTGATGTGTATCAACAAAATCCCAGCAATGTACCCATGGAAAAGTGCTCATTTCTCTTTCACCTGAAGCAGTTGAGCCCCATGAGCTCACGCAGATTCTTCTTAAAGCTAAAAGAAATAATGAAGTTAGTAATGGAGGTAATTAAGAAGTGATAATGTGACTTACATCTGTCACAGTCCAGATATCAGGAACTATTTATATTTAAATATCTAGACACAGATTTTGGTTACCTACCTACAGATAATGAGACTTCATGCTCTCGAGCCATTTTCACTCTTCAAATTATGTGCATCTCAGCCTTTTTGGTGTTTCAGTGTGTTTATAATGCTGAATATACTTCAGTGTGTTGAGGCCAGCTTATGACTGCAGACTGAGAAATAAAGTATAAATAATCAGAATAAGGAAAATAATTAAATCTACAAACAAATTCATAAAAGTCAGTTTCAAAGTGTGTTTTATGTATTTAAAGGCATAAAGAATGAAAATAGGCTAAATTAACCCCTACCTGTAACAAGTTACACATGGATATAGAGATGAGTCTAAATTGTTGATGCCAGTGAGGATGTAACAGCACTGTAGATCCTATCCTTTTGTCCCTCACATCTTCTCTTCTTCTGATACCCACTTCGAGATTCTCTTTTCAGATTTAAATTTTCTAATATCAAATTCAAATGACAGAGCAGATGCTGACCTTCATCCCCCAGGCATTTATCACAGGACAGATTCTGACTTGCTCATGAATATAATCTTATTCTTTGCAACTGGCATGTGGCCACTCTGAGTGGTGAGACGGAAAACATTTGGTCAGACATCCCAAAGTTCAACCTATTGTAAAAAGTAAAGTAGAGGTTCCTCTTCAAAGACTTTCCTCCCCATCTAATTAGGAATAAATAGTAACTTCTCTTAGAAGCAAAATTTATTCAAAGACCCGTGCTAACATTCTTAAATATCTGCTAGCCGTAATAAAGAAATCAGTGTACTTTATGTTCATAGCTCCCACAATGTAGCCTAAATGTTTGCCCTGGCTTGCTTATACTGGTCCAAGCAAGCTTTAGGTCATAGCCTGTTTTTACCTTTCTCAGCATTCCATAAGTTAGTTCCTCCTTCCTTTGTTCTCCTCTGCCTTTGCCTTTTTAAAAAAGTTCTAAGTTGCTAGCCAATCAGGACAAATACAGGATGTGAGGTCCCATTCCAGCCAATGGAAACTGGACACAGCAGTGGGGTGGATGCGTCAGGTTATAAATGAGCCTGTCTCCTTTGTTTGGTGTACTCTAGTGGCAAAACTGCTGGCGAGTGTACCCTTTCTGCAGAAAGTAAAAAAAAAAAAATGGCCTTGCTGAGGAAATGACATTTATGTTCTAGTGCTATTTCTTTACGGCACTAGGGAACAAGCATTTCTAACACTATGCTGCTTCCGTTTTGTTTAGTTGAGTTTTATTTGGCTTTGTTTAGTTGTGGTGGCATTGTTGTCCCCACCAGTAGAGGCACTTGCTACTGTTTCAGTTCAGTCCCACAGTAGGTGAGCAGCAAGGCTCCTTTCCCTGCCCCTCTCTTCCTTCTTCTTCCTCTCCTTTTTTTCTCTCTCTCTTTATCTCTTCTCTCCTTCCTCAATCTTTAAACATGCCTATAGTACAGCAACTTGAGCCTTGAGTACTGTCATATGAGAGGAATATACTTGTGCATTTCCATTTCTTTCAGCCACTGTAATTTTGAGTCTCTGTTGTAGCATCTCACTTTTCCTCTTAGATAAAAGCAGTTGTTAGTGCAAGGAGTAATAGGGATAAACGGAGTTTAGTGTATTTTCGGAAACGGAAATGCTAAAGCAAACTAAATATGGCCTGAGAAGGACTCTGTACTTCTACATTTGAGTCCTTGCAGATGAACTGCAGCCTAACTTAAAAGGTGGACAAGATTAAAACCTAACTCAGGAGTATGTGCCTGTAACAATAGCTGAGTCTTGGTCAATCCCAGCAGCCATACTTCGGCCATTCATACGCTGCTGAGCAAACGCCAAGCTGTAACTAATCCATTTGTTTCTGTACCTCACTTCTGATTTCTGAATGTCACTTCCCTTTTTTTTGTTGATAAATTTGTTCTAACCACGAGGCATCCCTGGAGTCTCTCTGAATCTGCTGTGATTCCGGGGGCTGCACCATTTGCAAATCATCATTACTCAATTAAACTCCTTGAAATGTAATTCGACTAAAGTTTTTCTTTTTAACAGAAGTCAAGGCACTCACTTTATGCCCTCCCTTCCTTTTAGGGAGTCCAGGATTTCTTTCTAACCCCTCCCCTTTTTCTAAGTTGTTGTTTGTTTGGTTGTTGCCTTGGGTGGAGGAGGGGGTGTCAGAAATAAGCGACTGTTGAGGGGATGAATAGGCAGGGGTATTGTTGCTCTGCTGCAGCTCATCTCCTGGGGGCGTTTGCTAGGCTCCTGGCTCTCGGGAAATAGAAAGACCTGCTCTGCTGTCTTTGGATCCTAGATCACTCTTCTTCCTCATTGAATGTTAGTTACCAGTTAACCTTCCTGCTACTCTTCTCTCCAGGTCCAGCTGTGTCAGTCTCTCTGGGGGCAAAACCAGTATGCCAATCAATTAATATAATGAAGATATAACTCCCTCGTGCTAGTTTGACATATTGCATATCTTACCTACACATAATGAAATTGTGGGAAGCTATTAAATAATTTGACTGGCTTATCCTATATAAAGACTAGACTTTACTGTGAATGTTCCTAATATATGAGGTCCATGGAGTCTGGTTGGTGGTCTGGTTTACCAGGATCAATCTGAAACCTATAGCACATTTGAGGTCCAACTCGAGTCCAACACTGAAAAAACAGTGAAGAGAACCTTATAAAAAGAGGGGGGAACATAGAGACAGGGCAAAGAAACCAAGAAGATCTGATATAATACGTTTAACATAGCAAAATGTTTTTAAAGTTGAAATTATCAGCAGTCTAGGAAACCCAGGGAAGTTGATCCTGTGATAGATTTGAGTGTTATGTTTTGTCTTATTTTGTTTTGTTGATGCTATCGATACAAAGTGCATGTTAGGTAAACATCTAGTCCACAAATTCAGGCAAGCATGAAGTGTTACTTTAATGTTGCACAACAAAACTATTTCTAATTGAAATGTAATTCTAACGGGTGGTGAAAAAATTGTCAGACACTTTGAAATTTCTCTTTACCATCTGGTTGGCTTTCCTTAATGTATGAAGGGGTGGTGGCAATGATGCTTACATATTTAGGAGTGAGAACATTTGCCCTTATTCGCCATCTATCCAGTCTGGTATCCACTGAGGTTTACCTGTTCCAGCTTCATCCTTTGTTACATGAATGCCGCAGCTATTACATGAATGTTGCAGCTATTCCCAAACAAGAGTCCTCTCTAGGTCCAGGTCTAGCAAAGTGTTCTTGTTATTCCTTTTGAGGCCACTCTGATGCAGCTTCAGTCCCTTTTTACATAGAGACATCAATCTTACCTTTCAACACTCCCTTTCCCATGTCGTTCTGAAAATAGAATTTTAATTTATGTGGAATATACTTCTAAAGTGAAGAATTAGTACCCTTCATTTTCAGACTTGAAAAACTATCTGAACTGTGTCTTACCCTTTCTTTCCTTAGACAAGTCAGAGCATTGCTATTTAGGAAGACTCCATCACAAGGACCTTTTGCTTTCCCCTTATTAGTCCTACATCTAAGTTGGAAATTTTATTTATTTTCTACTCCAGGGAGTGGGGGAAACTAGCTCAGCCTTTTCATATATTCTTCCAAATCTTTTTCTTATAACTGGTCCTCAGCTTTTAAAACCAAAACAAAATGTGTGTTCAATGTAAGATACATATCAAGAAAAACCACTGCATTAAAAAAACTGATTACTGTATTATTCAAAATGCTGTACTTAAACTTCCACTGGGGTGGACAACTCCAGCCCATTTGCATTGAAAGTGTTAGGTTGATTCCTACGTATTTACTTTAATTAATCAGTCTGTGTGTGTGTGTGTGTGTGTGTGTGTGTGTGTGTGTGTGTGTGTGTGTGTGTGTCTGTCTGTCTGTCTGTCTGTCTGTCTGTCTGTCTCTTTCTCCCTGCCTGACTCCCTCTCTGTTTACTCTTACAGGGAAAACTGACCTAGAAGGAATGATCCACCACCCCCCTTTAAAAAAATAATTTTAATCTTTTTAGTGCCTGAGTCTTGAATCCTCTGTCACCTTAGGAGTGCCACTGCCACTCTGGTTTCGTCATCTCATGATGGGTTTTCTATTAGATTGAGTAAAGTAAAGCCTATTATAAAATGAAATTCATCTTTTTCCAACTTTCTCTTCCAGAATTCAGAAAATTCTGTCCATGTTCCAAAACTGTGCATCAAAGCCAATTGATATCCTTTTGGGTCTTTGGATATCCCAAATGTCGATATTTCCATGTTTGTTGGGAAGTGGTTCTGCCTAACATATGGCAATATTCACCTTAGTGGGTGGGTGGATTTCTAAGCCTGTGGTCTGAGTCAGTCTATAGAATCAGCTTTGCATTTACTTTATTGTCAGCTCTCCAAGAGCCCAGTGACCTGTGACAGCTGAGTTATTGTGTTCTCTATGAAGGCTTCTTCTACCATAGGCCTTTATTGCTATTTTTCTTTGAGCCAACTCTTCTCAAAGCAATTTATCATCTATCTGCTGAAACTAGTACACCCCTCACATCATTTAATTTATATGTTCCCTATGCAGTAACTTCTAATACCCATTTAATTATATTAAAGAATAGGAAGACATGGACTTTTAGCAAAATTTTATTCTAAATAATAAAATAGCTCATGTAAAATTACAAAAGAATGAGCATTTCAGCTCTAGCATTCAGAAAAGAGCTCTTACTCAACTGAACTGATCACCTGTATCTTAGCACATGCAGTTCTCTATTGCAGATACTTGTCCGCACTTTCCTCCACAGTTAGATAATCATCACACATATAGAAAGAGTTGTATTTTACACATTTTGTTCATCACTGTAGCACATGAAGTAATGCCACCTAGGCAAAGCTAAATGTGTTATATAGATGGTGTCTATTTTATATTTTAAACTACTAATATATTAGAATGGTGTGAAAGATATTGAAATAATCTCTACTAACACTAAGTAGAATGAATTGCTTTTTAAAAGATATTCTTAGTTGTCAAATATGAAAAGAGAAAGTGGTAAGTCAAGTAACATGCTTGTTTTAATTGTTTGTGATTTTTTAGTAGGAACTTAAAGGCACATAACTCAATAAGCGTTTTTTTATTGATCAATGCCTTCAAGCAAATACATGGAGGCATGTTTATTTTCTCTCAACTGTTATTGTTATCAGAATATGAGTGTCATCTCCCCTGTATCAAGTATACTTTGGAGAACTGTATTTGATATCCTTAGGAGACTCGGTGTTTTTTTTCCTTTCAGGCTCTTGAGGTTAAAAACTCAGAAATTTGCCTTTGTGAGGGAGTACTTGAGTTTTAACATCACCATGAAGGATGAATTCAAAAGACAAGAATATCAGATGGTTCGTGGGTAGTGTTGAAGCTGGGCATGTTTCTAAATAATGGCATTTCAACTTTCTATGAATTAAATAGACAAAAACTATTTTGACACTGTCTCATTTTCTAACCTTCAACAAATACGGTCTGATTCTTAAAAAATAGACTCTCATTTCAGAATTCTGAGTATTGAGAACCATTACATATGGAGTAGGTGGAAATTTAATTGCCTTTTCTAGTAAATAATTAACTGTTGTTCTGATTAACCATGCTTACATACACCTTTTTTTCAAACAAGCAAATTCAACAAGAAATCACTTGTACCTCTGGATTCTCTATAGTTATATCAATCTACTCTGGTTAACAGCAGTCACGACAAATCACGTGAAAAGAAAGGTGAAATTGTGCTCAATGACAACATACAATTGTCTTTCATGTGGTAATTGCATATTGTGTTTCTGTTGTTTATTCATCCTACATAAAGAAAGTCTCAACACTTCCAGTATGTAGCATAGTAACCAGCATAAAAAAAAGTGATAAATGTTGAATGAATATGCATAGAACAGTCCTAATTAAATCAAGATGAATGGATAGATGAACAAAGAGAATAAATGACCACAAGATATAGTAATATTGAAATATCCAAATTGTAAAGTAATGGACATTTGCGTTTAACTCTTCCTAATATTGGACCAGGTGACAGTCTCCATCTTGAGATCTTTTTAGTAGGTTTCCATTCTTTCCTACAATAAAAGTACTATGCATTTTTTTTTGTCAATTCCAGTGTTCCTTGTTTAAAGGCTGTAGCTTTTTATCTTCACATGAAATTTTTCTTTTGTTTGTAAAAACAGGTTTTTCTTTTTCTGTGTTTCCTATTTATAGTAACCCATATTTAACTCTACCAAGAAATACTTTTAAGACTTCTTCAAACTGCAGTTAGTTTTACTGGGATTAGCATTGTTTTAACGAAAGCAATTAGCTAACTCTAATAAGATGTTAGTAATGATTTTAGATTTGCTCATCCACATTCTTTATGATCAGTGATGCTAATGCATATACTCAAGAAGACATGTAGGGTATGTCTCACATGCATGACTCTGAAACCAATCTCTATGTAAATGTTAAAATTAGTTTACAGTGTGATTGTGTCTTTGCAATTCAAAGGTTACCTGGATATCTCCAACTGGATTTATTGTACATTTTAAGTGAATTCTTTTTTGCTTTCTATCATAGACTAGAGATAAACTATGCAAAAGTTCATGCAGTCATAGGATCACTGATTTAAATAGGACCTGAGAGATCATGTGGATATATCTTCCTCGGTGCTGTTAATCACCTCTGTGTGCACCTACTAAATCACTTATTGCAGAGTTCTGAACATTTATGTTAACACTAATGTCTGCTTTAACTATGGTCTCACCAGAACCAGGTATTAGGAATGTTCAGCTCTATATTTGTATTTTACATAGATATAGCTGTTATTGTTGTTGAGTGAAGCCCTTATTAATTACTTCATGTATATATATTATAGCTACCAGGGTGCTAAGAAAGGTGAGAAAAAAAGGTGGCTTTTAGTATTGTTCTTTTATGCTAAGTCAACCTTGACCCTAAGTTCCATGCTATGGTTTACTGATAAGGAAAAAATGCTTATCTAAAAAGCCAACTTTGATTGACTGGCCTATTGATCAAATTAACAAAAGTGCAAATGTATTGATTTGCTACTCCCTCTGTGATGGCATCCTATGGTTCATCTAACAACCCTCCTTTGGATATTTTCATGCCTGTAATCCCAGCACTTTGGGAGGCCAAGGCAGGCAGATCACGAGGTCAGGGGATGGAGAACATCCTGGCTAACACGGTGAAACCCCATCTCTGCTAAAAAAATACAAAAAAATTAGTCAGGTGCGGTGGCAGACGCCTGTAGTCCAGCTACTCGGGAAGCTGAGGCAGGAGAATGGCATGAACCCAGGAGGCGGAGCTTGTAGTGAGCCGAGATCATGCCACTGCACTCCAGCCTGGGCCACAGAGCAAGACTCCGTCTCAAAAAATAAATAAATAAAAATAAATAAATAAAATAAAATAAAATAAAAAAAAGAATGTTACACTCTTCTCATCTGGGAAGGTTTCTCTACCCTCTTCATGTACAGATGAACCCCAGAGCAGCTATTTGTATGTGGCCTCTAAAAAAGCATCAATCATATGAATCGGCATCTATGTGTTTTCTTGTTTTCTTCACTACTTGGGGCCTTTGAGACAAGAACATAGGCACAGTCTCCTTTTTATATATCGTGTGCAACAGAGTGACTGGACTATCATAGGCAATCTGTAGATGCCAATAGAATTGAAACTTGTGTATTTCATTGAGCACAAGCAGATACTTCACTAGAAGTTATTGATGATGTACCTGGTACTCCCATAAGATCCCTGAGATGATCAGATAGATGTCCATAACCTTGGGCTATCTCCTCCCCTGGGCAATTTATAGACAGGAAAACATAAGCCGTCTCACATTTAAGATTGAATGTGACTCTATTAGTTCATAAAACAACTATGAGTTCAGGTTCCTTAATTATAAATTAGTTTTTCAGCATGTATTATTGTGATTATTAATACCAAGTTTTGTAAGGGGCTCAGTAATTCTAACAAATTAAAGCATGAAGTGAAAAACAGATATAGAAAATCAGCTCTAAATATGCATAGGCTTTACCTGTCTCAGTGATTGCATGTATAAATACACCACTTCCAAAATTGTGCCCCTGAAAAAGTATTTGAAATAGATCATTGACATATTTTTGGCTTAGTTTTTTTTTACAGCTGCAGTTAAAGTAGAATTATGAAAGCGATTAGCCTCAGGTCTGTCATCGTTCATCTTGAGCCTGGGATGGCAGAAGTTTGCAGATATTGTTGTACCATATCCAGCAATTTGCTCTAATGGAATCTTGTGAAATCCTGTCTGATGTTTGATAGGTATGAATTTAAGCTGTATCATCATGTAGTGTACAGGGATGAAAAGGAGTAGAAGCTGTGATCTACAATTACTAGCATCATAAAACATGAGCATGACTAGATCTATGTCAATGAAGAAGATCATTTATAAGGGATGCTCCATTTTATTTTATTTTTATTTTACTTTATTTTTTGTTTTTTGAGACAGAGTCTCGCTCTGTTGCCCAGGCTGAAGTGCAGTGGCTCTATCTCGGCTCACTGCAAGCTCTGCCTCCCGGGTTTAGGCCATTCTCCTGCCTCAGCCTCCCGAGTAGCTGGGATTACAGGCACCTGCCACCAAGCCCAGCTATGTTTTTTGTATTTTTAATAGAGACGGGGTTTCACCGTGTTAGCCAGGATGGTCTTGATCTCCTGACCTCGTGATCCGCCTGCCTAGGCCTCCCAAAGTGCTGGGATTACAGGTGTGAGCCACCCCACCCAGCCAAGGGATGCTCTATTTCTGGGAAACCAGAGTCATCATATTATTCATGGGTAATTTAATTGGTGAATAAATGATTCAACATAGATGCTGGTGCAATATATATTGGATTTACAAATAAACTAAAAATAAATGTAATTTGGGCATCAAAACAAAAACAAAATCACTATTAAATGGCTAGAGGGTAAAAATCGTTCTCAAATGGTGTCTCCAATTTGGAGGTATTTAAAGAGCCCAGTGATTTTGGGATGATTAGGGGTCTGGAATATCACGCTCACAAAATTCACATTTGTTGAATAAAATGTAAGAAATAGAAAGTGTTATGTGCATGGACTTTATAATATTAAAGCATTAAATATTAACATGAAGCCATAATACCAAGATATTTTTTCTGCAAACAGAAACTCCTTTTTTATTTACCTAATAACCTTGTGTGCAAGTGTTCTCAGGAAGGATGGTTAGCGCTTTTGAAAGAGCATTCAATCTGCCTGCTATCTAAGCAGAAGCAAATTGAGGGTATAGATCATAAAATCTTAGTCCTAAATGAGAGCTGAGAAATAATTTAGTCTGCACAGATGAGGGCCCTTGGGTCCAGAGCTGTTGAATGATTTACATAAGTTCACATAATTGCCTAGTGACAGAGCTGGGATTAGAACCCTTGTCAGCTGACAAAGAATGCAGGGCTCTTTCTATGCTACCATTCCCTGTCACAGTTAGAAAATGACGACTAACACATCAGCATGACCTTGATGGCTTAAAATTCCCTTGGCAGAATATAACATGATTATTGAAATAAGAATCCAGAGGCTGCTCTAGCGATGCTTTTGCACATCCTGCCTTTGGGAATTTGCAGGTATCCTGGGCTGTTCTTAGGAGAGGAGAATATGAAGGGCCACTGGTGATCTTTGCCAAGCCCCTTAAGTACTTGGGAGGGAAATTATTTTAAGACATTAGTGGCTTTTGTGCTTTAACAATCTGTTCTATCAGCAGTATGAAGTATGTGAGCTCACGTCAGTTGGGTTGTTTCTGCTTCAGGAAACAGCAAGAGATTTTGAGGGAACCACTGTTGTTGATAATCCCAAGTTTTCAAATCTGCTTTCTTAAGGTAACTTTAGAGAGTTTGGAACAAGGCTTTAAATGACCAGCTCCTACTAGAGTCTGAAAGTGTGCTGGTGAAATGATGAAGAGAGGTTGGTTAATGCATACAAATACATAGTTAGATAGAATGAATAAGTTTGATAGCACAGTAGGATGACTATAGTTAACAACAACGTATTGTGTTTTTCAAAATAGTTAGAAAAGATTTGAAATGTTCTCAACATAAAGGAATGATAAAGTTTAAGGTGATGAGTATCCTAAATACCCTGATTTGATTATTATACATTCTGTGCATTTATCGAAACATCACATGTACCCCATATATGTGTACAAATATTGTCTATCAATTTAAAAAAAAAAAGACCAGCTTCTTTAAATGGTTAAATCTAAAGGAGTATAAATATACTCCTTATACTCCAGTATATGGCATCATAGTCATTCTAGAAGCCTTAGTGGGCTCCACTGCATCTTCAAGCTGTCCTCTCCAGATGTTGCTAAGAGAGGAGCTGCACTAAGTACCTGGTGGAAGGACCCTAGAGATTTACAGACTGTTCCAGGGAGTCACCCAGGTGCTAATGAAAGCAACATCTGGGCTTTGTCAAATTGGAACCAAAGCCAACATATCAACAAAAATTCTGGATTTATCTGAGGAGATATTGTTTTTCTGAAGTTTTGCTTTACATTTATTGGTCACCACAAATTGTGCTGCAGTTCTCCTTTTCTACTCTGTCTTATGACAAGACTGGCAGCATTTTGTCCCTGCCCTAGATATCTGTGGAACTTTGAGCTTGAGAGAGGTGATTTAGGGTATCTGGCAGAAGAAATTTCTAAGTGGCAAAGCATTCAAGAGGAAGCAGAGCATAAAAGTTGGGAAAATTTAATTCCTGATGATGTGATAGAAAAGAAAATTCATTTTCTGGGGAGAAATTCAAGCCTGCTGCAGATATTCACATAAATAAAAAGGAACTAAATGATAATTGCCAACACAATGGGGGAAAGTCTCCAGGGCACGTCAGAGGTCTTCAAGCAGCCCCTCCCATCACAAGCCTGGAGGCCTAGGAGAAAAAAAAAAAATGGTTTCATGGGCTGGGCCCAGGGCCTTGCTGCTCTGTGTAGTTTTGGGACTTGGTGCCCTGCATCCCAGCCATGGCTAAAATGGAGCAATATACAACTCAGGGCATGGCTTTAGAGGGTGCAAGCCCCAAGCCTTGGCAGTTTCCATATGTTATTGAGCCTGCAGGTGCACAGAAGTCAATAATTGAGGTTTGGGGACTTCCACTTAGATTTCAGAGGATGCATGGAAACACCTGGATGTCCAAGCAGAACTTTGCTGCAGGGGTGTAGCCCTCATGGAGAACCTCTTTTAGGGCAGTGCAGAAGGGAAATGTGGGGTTGGAGGGCCCACAAAGAGTCCCCACTGGGGCATTGCCTAATGGAGCTGTGAGAAGAGGGCCACTGCCCTTCAGATGCCAGAAAGGTAGATTCATTGACAGCTTTCACCATATGCCTGGAAAAAGCCACAAACACTCAATGCCATGAATGCAGCTGGCAGGTGGAGTATAGCTTGCAAAGCCACAGTGATGGAGCTGCCCAATGCTGTGGGAGCCCATTTCTTGCATCAGCATGACCTGGATGTGAGACATGGAGTCAAAGGAGATTATTTTGGAATTTTAAGGTTTAATGACTGCCTTATTGGATTATGGATTTGCATGGGGCCTGTAGCTCCTTTGTTTTGGCCACCTTCTCCCATTTGGGACAGCTGTATTTACCCAATTCCTGTAACCCCAATGTCTCGATGGAGTAACTATCTTGATTTTGACTTTACAGACTCATAGACAGAAGGGGCTTGCCTTGTCTCAGATGAGACTTTGGACTTGGACTTTTGGGTTAATGCTGGAATGAGTTAAGTCTTGGGGGGACTTTTGGCAAGGCATGATTGTGTTTATAAATGTGAGGACATAAGATTTGAAATGGACCAGGCTGTAATGATATGGTTTGGCTGTGTCCCCACCCAAATCTCTTCTTGAATTGTACTTCCCATTATCTCCACATGTTATGGGAGGGACCCAGTGGGAGATAATTGGATCATGGGGGCAGTTGTCCCCATGCTATTCTCTCGAAGGTAAGGTCTCACAAGATCTGATGGTTTTATAAGGGGCTTTCCTCTTCACTCAGTTCTCATTTTCTCTCTTGCCAACCTCTGAAGGGTTGCCTTCCACCACAATTGTAATATTCCTGAGGCCTCCCCAGCCATGCACAACTGTGGGTCAATTGAACCTCTTTTCTTTCTAAGTTACCCAATCTTCAGTATTTCTTCATAGCTGCATGAGAATGGACTAATACAACTGTGATTGAGATCATTTTCTGCAATATATGACTGTTGAGCCCGCTCTATGCTGGGGAACTTAGAACGTATGCAATCTCATTAAATCATCTCAATGGCCTTGAGAAGTGCCTGTCAATATCCCTGCTTTGAGAATAAGAAAGAGAGACTCAGAAGTGAAGTGACTTGTCTGAATTCTTTCTGGCAGAATGTGCAGGTTTGGGATACAAAACAGATCAGTCTCAATCCAAAGTTCATGCTCTTTCTACTGTACCATGTGGTCTGTTTTATTCTTGTTCTTTTCTTCTACATCTCTCTGAGAAGACTGAATTACAATTTCATGAAATTCTTTGGGGATAAGGGTCTTTTAGATGGAATTCTTACTCAATTACAAGAACACAGACACAATATTCAAGATAGAGGGATTTAAGCTAAGGGACAGTTGATAATTTGTTGTCTTCATATTTCTCAGAATTGTAGTTTCAAATACAGAAAGAATAATTACATAATCTGAAAATAATAAGACAACATACTTAACTTGCTGCTAGAGCTATATATCATGGAATATCAAATATTAGACAGGACATTTAAGCAAGACAGTATCAGGGGTACTTTGCCTTGCTCCTTTATACATGTAGTTGCTATGGTTACAAGAGATACTGAATTGTGTGGAGCCTGAAGAAGCTACTCTAATACTTTGTTTGACATTGGTGAATATTTCTCTCTCTGAGATGTAGCAGGTGGAAGAGTGACAATGTTTTGTGGTCATAAACATAAATTGCCAAAAAAGTCTCCCAAAATTATTTTGTTTGGTGAAATATCATTTCCTTTACTTTTTTCTTTTATGTTACCCTACAATACAAGCAAAATGTAGCTATGAAGGCAGAGGAAGGTTCCGGAAAACTGAGAGAGTGTTACTCTCAAGAGCACAAATATAGCAGGGTTGAGGCCAATGACCTACTTACACCCACAAAGCACTTTCTCTAAACTTGAGGCCATTTCTCTCCCTAAATAGAACCAATAATTAAAATAGTGAGTGTTTCACTCAGGTGCACTAATTGAGTCTGAAGCTGGATTTCATAAGTAAGCTTTTGTTGTTAAAGAATACAGCTATTTATCTATCTATATATCCTTTAACAAATATATAAATTATATTTAATTATATATTATATATTTAATTATTTATATTTATATATAATTATATGTTATATATATTGGGGATCATGGGGGCAGTTGTCCCCATGCTATTCTCTTGAAGGTAAGGTCTCACAAGCTCTGATGGTTTTATAAGGGGCTATATATATAATTATATATATAATTAAATATAACATAATTATATATAATTATATTATATAATTAAATATAATATATATTTGTTATATTTCTATCTCAGTTTGGGGATACAAGTCAGACATTCGTTTTCTCTCATTCTCCAGAAAATAAAATTACATTTACAAATTTTATACATGGTCAAAAAATAGCAGCTAGGTTAGAGTAATTTCTATTTCATTTTAAAAATTCAGAAGTTCTAATTATTAGCATCCTGATTATGATAGCTGCAAAAATCCAAGAATATTTGGCTTGTCCTCATTAATTTTCCATCCAGTTGAGAGCATTAACAGTTTCTGTAGACAGTAGCCAAATGCATCTGAGAAGCAACCAGTTGATTGCTTTGAAACCTAAAGGACTATAAGACACTGTCACAAGGTAAACTCTGTGTATGAATAGGAGAGTCAGGTTTATAGCGTTTAAAGATTATCTTCATTTGTATTTCAAAACAGACAGAAAGGTCTTTTGGGAAAAGTACAAGATCAAACATCCTTGTAGAAAATAAATATTATTTGGGGAGGAATCCAAAATAGCCCATTTCTGCAAAGTAATCAAATGCAATCTGCAGTTATTATTTGGCTCATATGTACATATTATTTTATACAGTGTATGGGTACTGGGACTCAGACAATGAATTTTTTAAAGGGTGACAACTGAAGAAACAGCTTATCCTTTTGACCGTTGCTTATTTGACAGCCCTTTTAAAACTGATATCTATAATGGATATTCCAGGTTGACTAAATTGAAGTTTGTTGGGTATAAAACACTTCTGCTAGACTGTAAGCACATGCACTTCAGAAACCCATGTCTTTTTTGTTTATTATTAGAGCCCCAGCGTCTAGGGGAAGGGCACTTGCTAATCTTCATCTTCCTTTAAAACTGTTTCTGTCTTGGTTACAAGAGCAAAAAAGTCACACAGACTAGGGATTACAAACTCACCTTTCCTTGGTTCAAGTGTCAAGTGACCTGAGCCAAGACAATAAGATTTTTTCCTTATGATTTTAATTTCTGAAACAGGAAGAAATTGGAGATGCTGTTTTTAGATGAGATGCTGTTAAGATAAAAGAAAAAGATACTTACTGCCATAGTTTCAATGTTCAGAGAAATTCCTCACAGTAAAACAGAACATGACATTGATGCATGAAATAGAGAGAAGAGACATCCCTAAATAAAGTCATCTGTTCTTAGCCAACCCTAAATGATGCAGTTTAAGCTGTCCTAATTTCATGATTTTGTTACATGACCCAATAAATTTCTTTTTATACCTTAAACTAACTCAAGTTGTGTTTTTTTGAATTAAACTAGAATTTTTTTTTTTTTTTTTTTTTTTTTTTTTTACTAATTCCCTTAGCACATTCAGTTCCTCCAGTGAATCTCTATAAGATTCAAGGAAAAGCTTCTTAACCTTCTCACATTTTTATAGAACAAGAGTGTGGGTCTAAACAATTGCCATGTCCATCTTATACTCTGATTCTCTCTCTCTGGATACTGGTCTATAAAACTTCTCATGACGCTTGTGGTTGCCACAGTGTGATAGATGTTAGCTAGAATGTAACAAAAAAATCCTCCTATTATTACCCAATTTTTATGTACTCATCTTTTACTCTGATACCTCTACCTCTCAACCGTTTCTCCTACTCTCCTTAAAGAATTTGTTACTAAACTTGCAGTATCAACATGGAATTCAAAAATTACCTCTGCTTTCTCCATTTCAGGCTGAACCTCGCTGGTGATTCAGATGGATCATGAGGATCTTTCAACAAAGCTAAGTTCCCGTCTTTTAACGCAGTTATTCTCATACTTTTATACTGAAATATCCAGAATAGCAAATGAGTTAAATATGTTTTCTGTGGGGTTCTGTACAAAGAAGATTTAGAGCTTTATGAACCTAAAATAACATATCACAAGGAGAAAATTTACTTGAAGTGGGAGACTTGGCTTAAAAGCATCTAATATAAATTGTATATTATATTCAATAATACAAAAGCAATGCTTTATTTAGAATGAATTAAAATGCATGCTTCAGACAAAATGCATGATGTTTAGCTTTTGATTTACTGAATATACTATTCAACAGATGTTTGAGTTACATAGTTTGAGGAGCACAGGCCTTTGGTATTGATGGCTCCTGTTAAAATAAAAACATGTTTTCTGAGAGCATAATCATATGAAACCAGGAGCACATATTAACATAAAACTCAAATCACTTCCCCTGACTTTCTTCTTTCAAATGTAAAGAAAGTGGGAAACAGGACAGATGAATTTGAAGAAACAGAAGAGCTCAGGAAAGTTCAAAGCATGAAGCAAACTCAAAAGTATATCTAAATACCTAGGGAGCACCTTCAAAGCACAAGGTACCTGAAGATGAAACGGCAGAAGTGAAAAGAATTGCTCGTGTAGTACAGGGCTAAAATTGTACCTGAAGCATCTCTGCTGCTATCCCAGGAGAAGAAGAGTCGACAGTAGCTATGGTAAACATGCATGGAAGCATCAGGGAAAACAGAAATTTAGAGAAGCAGATAGAGTGAGCCCAAGGCAAGATAAGGGTTTCTGGGTCTGAATTTCAGAAAAGCCTGACTATGGAGAGTGGGAGTTCCTGTTTTCTTTCAGTGACTTGCTAATTTCAATTTTGTGTGTGTGTGGCATTAACAGATTTTTGCCTAACTTGGGACATTTTTAACAGTAGAGGAACTCTTCTGTCAGTTCTGATATGGTAATTTTAAAACACATATTCTTTAACTGAACATTCATTAAATCACTTGGCCAGGAATCCAAATAACAAAATGTCTGTCATGGAATTCTGTGTGTAATAGGAGTTATGTAACTTGTTTCTTCTTAGTAGAGAGAATAAAAAGTAAAGTCAAAACCACCCCCAGATGACCATTTTTAGCACTTTCATTTTATCGGGAGAGGTGAGCAACATGCAGAAAATATATATTCTTGAATTAATCTCCTTTGGGTACAGAGAGAAAAGAGCTCATTATTCTTCTAACTGGCAACGTTTGATTTTATTGACACCCTAACAGTATGTCAATTGCTCAGTATATCTCCCTAGGCTGTAGTCTTGCAGACTTTCTTTTTTCTTTTTTTTTTTAACTTACCAATTCTATGATGTATTCCCATGGATGTCTCTTTTTATGCTATTTTACAATCTATTTCTAGAATAATCATGGAAATTTCAATGGAAACAACATATCACATTCTCTGTCTACTACATAAGTATGTCTTTTTTATTTGTAAATAGATCATATTTTGCACATAATTAGGTAATACCCACATATCTCAATTTGGCTTAGGAATTATATTGAAAGATAGAATTGCATAAGGGTAGGGATTTTACTTTTAAATTATTTTCATGTCTCCATGGATTGGCTCTGTGCTTTACACCCAGTAGCTGTGAAACAAGTACTTATTTAATGATGAATGAATAAATAAATAAATAGTTAAATGCAGCAACAAAAATGTTGGTAGATATATAGGATTGTAGAATCTAATTGCTTAGTAGGATCATCAAGTTCTACCCAAATTTGGTGTGGCAAACAGAACAATGGTCCCTTAAGGATGGCCTAGTCCTAACCTCCCAAACCTGGAATATGTTACCTTATGTAACAAAGAGACTTTGCAGATGTAATTAAGTTAATGATCTTAAGACAGAAATATTATTCTAAGTGAACTCAATGAAATTACAATGAACAATGTTCCTTAAAAGAGGAAGGCAAAAGTTCAGAATGAAACACACAGACACACATAAAGTGGCTACGAAAGCAGAAGTAGTGAGAGATTTGAAGATGCTACCTTACTAGATTCAAAGACAGAGGAAGGGGTTAAAATCTGAGGAAATCAGGCAAGGCAGCCTTTCGAAGCTGCAGAAGATGAGGAAATGAATTCTCCCTAGAACTTCCAGATAGAAACAGCCCTACTGATGCCTTGACATTAGCTCAGTGAAACGTATTTTCAGACTCTAACTTCCAGATCTGTAGGAGATAAATTTGTGTTGTTTAAGCTACTACATTTGTGGCAGTTTGTCAAAGTAGCAAAAGGAAACGTATATTTGGTAGGCATCAGAATTTCCTGAGCAATATAGTGTGATTACCTTTGAAAATTCTACTCAGCAGTCCTGGAATTGCAGCCTGAAATTTGAAATTTACTAAGTGCTCCCACTATATCTGAGTCAGGAATTACCTAGGAAACCATGATATATTGCATTACACTAATTTTGTACTTGAGAAAAAGCACAATGTTAAAATCTCAAGAACATTAATATAGACTTAAGTACAATTTATCATGTAAAAACATATTTGAAAAAGTAAGCCTGAAAAAAAGAAACAACTGAACTATTAACACTATATTCTCTAACTATATATTGATTTTCTCCTTTTGCTTTTACACAGCGAACCACATATACTTTCACAGAGGGTGATTTGGATAATATGTTCCATGCATTGCTCCAAGCAGAAATTCTCAATCTATCATTTCTGCTTGTATTATTTTACACCTCTTAAAGACATTCACATTCCATCACAGGGAGCCAAAATCAGCCTGTTATATCTCTGTTTGCGAATACCGCAATACTTACTTTACTTTCTCCTGAATAGATTGTTAGTGGTTTTTATTATCTCCTGTAAAGAGTGTGAGAAATGCATGTTGCAAGGACACTTTTGTTTTATTCACATTATTCTACTGAATCATGCTAACCATAGCATTACATCTATTTATCTATCTAGCTATTAAACATATTCAGAATACCTAACAACTTTAGGGGCATTCAGTATATAGAATATGCTAGTATTTGTTATTTTCTAAAAATTAATAATTAAGAATGTCATTCTATTATTGCATTAGTGACTTAGTTAAAATTTAGACCATTAACAAAAAAGAGATGAAAAAAAAAACAAAAAACATTAGGCACTAAAGGAGTCCTCAGCAATGGCTTTTTCAAAATGATAATTTGGCATCATAAAGCGGGTATTTGGTAACCATACTCTATTACAGAACAGCAAATGGAATTTATGTTCTATTTTCCCATATCCACTTCTTTACTATAATTTAGCAATCATTGTAATTCTTACTATATAGTTATTTCAAATTTGATATGATTCTTAAAGATGCTCTGATAGTAACATTTTCTTTAGTGCCTCATGTCACTCTCTCTCTCTTTCTTTAAAAAATAAGTTGTCTTTACAGGAACAAATTTCACTATAGATGCCTGACTTTCTCCTTTCAAAATGATTATTGAAACTCATTGAGATCTGGCACTCTGTGTTTCTTATTTTTATTCCGTACGTAGGAAAAAAAGAACTCAGAGACACACATGGTTTTAAGAGGCTGTGACTGTCAACTCTGCCCCTTCCTATTGAATATTGAAGCCTTTATGTTATTGAATACATTGAATATATTGCAAATTGGAACCCCATTAATAGGATTCTAAGAAGCCTTACTACTAGATCTGGATTCTAAGCCTCCTTGCTTGTATGATAGGTTATTGTCTGAGACATTAAGCAACTAGACCTATGTTGGGACACTTGCTTCACAAGGTAATGCGATGTATTAATAATGAGGAAAGAAAAATTGCCCTGCTTGTGCTAGTGAGGATCTTGAGCACTCTCTATTTTCTCTTCACTCCTGCTTTAGTGGTTGCAGAAAAGATTTTTTTTCTGTCAGATGTACATGCAGTAGCAAAAAATTGAAGCATCTTTCCTCACTAATGAGCTGCAAAATTTAACAGTTTGGGGGAGTCTCCATGGAAACTTTTTAATATGGTGACCTATGAGTGCTAAATGTGTATGAGGTGACAATTCCTTCTACATGGAAGACTGTCACAGATAGCATATGGTAGGACTTTATGAAAGCCACTAAAATTATTTCTGCCTCAGTTTCCATCACTATAAAGGCATAATCATATAATCTCCAGTCATAAGGATTACTGAGATAATCTTTAAATTTGCATTAAATTCCTTGGAGATAGGCATTATATAAATAGGAAGCTCCATATTAAATGAACAAAATTTCAATAAAGAGTGGCTACACTTAATGGATACAATGTGGTCTGAAATTTAAGTAATTGACCAGAAATCAGGACTTGGGACCAATTACTGGACATCCAATTTGTGTCATTTGAGAGAAATTGCATAGAACATTCTTTCCTCATTTTCAACATTTACTTATTACATGAAGTAGATAATTTAACACTAAATAAGGCTATAGTTACATTTTCTCCATGTGTCACTGCAGGCTGCAAAAAAAAGTATTATATTAAATTAATAGTCAGAATCTTTCCCCAAATGATGATAATTGGATCTCTGATTGAAAGGACACCAAAGAAATGGCTAGAGAAAATATAGCTCTGTCCTCAGTATATAGTATTTTTAATAATAATCTATATTTTTAAAGTATTACATCATGTTCACTCCAAGAAGGGAGAAAAGAGCTCAAAACATATCTGGTGGCACATCTGTAGTCCCAGCTACTTGGGAGATTGAGGCAGGAGGATCACTTTAGCCCAGGAATTTAAGGCTGCTGTAAGCTATGATTGCACCTGTGAATAGCTACTGTACTACAGCCTGGGCAATATAGGAGGATACTGTCTCTTAAAAAAACAAAACAAAATATCTGACATTTAGCTTATAAATCTCATGTATTAATGGTTCATATTTCTGTTATTCATGCTGACATAATTATTGTGAAGTCTTTTTGCATGTGATAAGAATCTATATTCTTATTCAATATCTATTAAATATATGGTACTCTGCTAGAGTATTCTGATGGACTCAGGGTAGAAAAATGACTAAAACAACAGCTATCTGAATTTCTCTATCTTAATCAGTATGCATAGTGTTAACCTTATATAAGAATGTCCCTATAGTTAATCATTTGTGGTTTCATTAAGCAGTATTGAAGCTTTTAGAAGAAATCACACATACTGTGATTTAAGGAAGCCTGGCAGTTACAACAGAAAAAAGAAGCTGATTCATGTAGAATGTCTTGAAATTTTGTCACTGGTAATTTTGGCAAGAACATTATTAATGTTAAGATTTGTTTATAACCAATGAGAACACATGGACACAGGGAGGGGAACATCACACACCAGGGCCTGTCGGGGTTGGAGGACCAGGGGAGGGATAGCATTAGGAGAAATACCTAATGTAGATGATGAGTTGATGGGTGCAGCAAACCACCATGGCACGTGTATAGGCATACACTGTAACAAACCTGGATGTTCTGCACATGTATCCCAAAACTTAAAGAATAATTTTAAAAAGTTTTTTTTAAAGATTTGTTTATAAAATGGCAAATTGCTTAATCAGGGGAATCCTCATTGAGTTGAGAAGTATGAGCTGTGAAGTATGTTTTGCTGGAAATAAACTTGTAAGCCGCTACATATATATTCTCCAAACAGAAATAAACGCAAACATCATTTACCTGGAGGACAGGTTGAGAATGAGTTATAGCCTAACATGACATACATAAGAAACTAAAAAAAAAAAAAAAAAAAAAAAAAAAAAAACAGAATGAGGATGATACATGATCCCAAAATAGAAGTAAGCATTTTTTGGACAGAAAAGATTCTGAAAAACTTGTGTCCCAATGGTTCATCCTTGAATTGTATCATTGCAACTACCCCTCCCTCATACATATACCATGTCCTCTTCATGATTCTGAGAAATTTTGAAGACCAGATTCAAGGGGGTTCACAAATGCCACTAAGACCTTCATGTTACTAAGAATGATTAGTATATCAGCCTGGAGAAGCACTTGCTACAGGTTAGGCAAATTAGGGTCCCCTTATAGAAGATGATTAAAGTAGACAGAAGGAATAAAATTAACGTATTATTCAATAAATCTTCCTTATGTCTCATCTGGCTAAATAAAAGTCCTGGGAATATATTTATAACTAACCATTATGCAAGTTCTTTCAACCCAAAATATTTTCTCCCTATATTAACTCTATGTACTCCCCTACACACACACATATATCTCCTAAACTTTTTAAACTATTCTAAGTTATGTGCTAGGAATTGTACTAGGCATTTTACAAATATAAATTCACGCTATTTGTACATTTAGAAAAGTAAGATACAAGATTATTTTTAATCAATATTGACAAAATTTATCTTCTTTTTAAACATATTGACTAAATAGTTCAGAGTTCAAAGATGAATTATGATAAAGAGTGTTTAGCAAAATGTTTACACATAAAATACTTTGAACTCACTAGCAATGAAGCAAATATTATAGCCCGAAGACTCTCAGGAAATTTAATCCAGAATGGAGGATACTAAGTGATGTATGGAACTGCTTATTCTACTTAAACATCAAAACTCCACATGAATCTTCGAAGTGTATCTCTGCGCCTTAAATGAAAACACAGTTTTGACATTGTTTATTGCCTCTTGAGAGGAAACTCTGCTCAATTCATAAGTGAATCATGAATTACCCAATTTTTTCTTCCATGGGCTTCTCTCAGGGTGCCCCTTGGTTTAACTTCATTATGTACAAACATGGTATTACCTTCCATAACACAATATTTCATATACAGAGTGATATATCATTTAGATGACTCTTTAGACCATCGTTTTGAAAGCTACAGTTTTCTGAGCTAACAATTATATTATAGCTATATAGAAATAATAAAACCTTTTTTTTTTCTTTTTTTGAGATGGAGTCTCACTATGTCGCCCAGGCTGGAGGGCAGTGGCGCGATCTCAGCTCACTGCAACCTCCGCCTCTCAGGTTCAAGCGATTCTCCTGCCTCAGCCTCCCGAGTAGCTGGGTCTGCAGGTGCGTGCCACCATGCCCAGCTAATTTTTTGTATTTTTAGTAGAGACGGGATTTCACTCTGTTAGCCAGGCTGGTCTCCATCTCCTGACCTCGTGATCCGCCCACCTCGTCCTCCCAAAGTGCTAGTATTACAGGTGTGAGCCACTGCGCCAGGCCAGTAAAATCTTTCTTAATTAAACAGCCCTATATTGTGCAACTATAATAGAATATGTGATAACTAAATTCAAAGGGTGAGAGAATCATAAAAGTTATCGTACATGCCTAAACTTATGTACCAAAATGTGCTATGTACATGCATACAACTAAGTGTACTAGGCTTTCATCAGAAGTCCCTTTTAGTTATCTGCAGCTGCTTTATTCCTTTTTGTAGATCCCTTATAATTATAAAAATATTTTTATATACATTCGAAATATCTTATGATTATATATAGTTACACATATTTGATATATATTTATATATGTATTACAGCGATGTATTTCTGATCAGTGTTTTCTAACAACCACAAATATGTGGAATATAACTTATACAAAAAACATTTTGGATGACATAACAACTCAGAAGTAATAATTTTCCACACCAATGACCTGTCTCTACTTCTAATATAAAGAAGGCATCAAGAAGTATGCTTTCTTAAATATGCTCCCCTTCAGCTGACAGTTTATTGGCTACCAAGACCTATAGTGAGGAGCAAATATACATTTCTTTATTTAGAATATTGACCCTTGGGAGAGGTGTATTTCAAATGCATTTTTTTTTTTTTTGCAGGCTTGAGTGGTTAAGCTTTTTAACGATATAATTCTACAGAGATCATTTCTTCCAATTTTCTTTAATTTTCAGTTAAGTAATCTGTGACCTACTATACCTATTCATTTGGGGAGAATTACAATGCAATTTCAATTTCAATTGAAGTCTCTGACCCTTATTTACTGAATCATAAGTATTTCATCCGATTGTATTTGTGAGCCAAGAACACTTTCTACTTATTTGGGGATGCTTCTTTTTATTATTTCCTCAGGATAAGACAAACTTAGTGAGTGGAAGACTAGTTGTGTGGGAGAATAATAACTTATAAGACAGGTTTTCACCCAAGTGCCATAGAAAGACTGTCATACATTGATGATGATGTGAAATGTGAATTTAAGGCCTATTGTTTAATCCATTGCTCTTTTTAATACATTGACTTTTTAGTGTGGTAGGGCAGCCGAGAAGTTAGCAATATTTCATTATTTCTCAAGTAAATCAACTCAAAAGATCATTACCAAAATAGTAAAATTCCACGTATTTTCACTATCTGCCAAGTACTAAAACCCAGCGTCATCTTGTCATAAAAAAATAGCAATATATTGGAATCCTTTTTGAAGTCTTCAGTGCCCAAAGTATGGAAGAGATCAGTTAACAAAAATGCATTAAGAGGAAGAATAATAGGATTTATGGATCTACTTTTAGTTTTGTTTTGTTTTTGCATTTTCATAATGTTTATTGATATGGAGATATTACTTTTAAACATGCTATAGTTTAGCTTACATTTAGAATACATTTCCTGTAAATGAAAATGCACAATAGTAAGCAAAGTTACTAGTACGGATTGACCATTGAAATCCCAATGAGGGTTCCAGGAGAGTAAGCCCTTGGAAAAGTCTCTTGTTATGATGGAACCAGGAAAGTCACAAGCATGACAAGGAATATGTTCTGTGAAAAGATGCCCCACGTGTCCAAATGCCTGGAGACACTGGATGATCTTTTTTCCAGAAACAACAACAGCAGTTTTAAATATGATTCAGCAATCCCAGTGAACTTCGATATTCAAAGAATTAGAAATCAGTATATTGACATGACAACTACACTTCCATGTTTATTGCAGCACTATTCACAATAGCCAAGATATGGAGTCAACCTAAGTTGATTATCAACATATCAACAGATGACTGGATAATGCAAATGTGGTTTATAGCACAAAGAAATGCTATTTAGCCTTAACAAAGAAATTATTGTCATTTGCAGCATCATAGATAGATCTAGATAACATTACACTAAATGAAATAAACCAGGAACAGAAAGACAAGTATTGTATGAGCTCACTTATAATGGGGAATCTAAAAAAAGTAGAAATCACAGAAGCAGAGAGCAGAATGGTGGTTACTAGAGGCAGGGGGTGGGAGACATGAGCAAGGAAAGGGGAGATGTTAATCAAAGGATACAAGGTTTCCTTTAGACAGGAGAAATGAGTTCTAGTGATCTACCGCACAGCGTAGTGCCTATAGTTAATAATAATGTATTGCATATTTGAAAATTGTTAATAGGTTTTAAATGTTCTCACCAAAAATGAATGATAAATATATGAGGTGATAATATGTTAATTAGCTACATTTCATCATTCCACAGTGTATACATATATCAATACATCACATTTTGCCCCATAAATATATAGAATTATTATTAGTCAATTAAAATCAAATAAAATTTTGAAGGGCAGTGCTTAAATTTCATTATTATGCAATATACTACCTATTTGATCTTTGTCCAGTCACCCAGCCTCACTGTATCATTGTTCTCCTCTCCAAAAAATAAAATGCTAACCAATTAAAGAGAAGCCAGAGGAAAGCAAATAGAAGCAAATTAAAGTATGTTGCATATACATAGTTAAATTATGAATTATCTACTTGTATGTGAATAGGACCCTCCGACATGCACTCGTATTTTTAAAATAAAACATAGCCTAGTGTTCCCCTGTTGGAATTATAAGCATGTGCCACTCAGAAATCATATGTCAGGAAATAACTTTGCTCTGAAAACGTTCCATATTTTTTTCTTTTTATAGAGTTCTGGACTACTTGGTAATTCCACTTATCATTTGACAGATTACTTATCTGTGACCTGTTGTACCTATTCATTTGGAGGACAAAATCAGTAGCCTCTTTAAGTGCAGTAAGATTAGTGATGACTTTGTTTGTCATCACAAACCAAGACTGTTTTCAGGACAGTAAGTCCCACACCTAGGTTTCAGTGGAATTTGATTTGTAAGAACAAATCAGTGCTTTGGAAATGTCGTTCTTATTTTAATGAGTTTATAATTAAGCAGAACACAGGTTGTTTTCTTTGCAGAATCCCACCCACAAGGATTCTATTGATTTACTGTTTAATTATATGAAATAGCATGTCAGGGTGAAGGTAAAGCAGAAAACAAATTATGATCTAATCTAAAATGTAGATCTATATTAGAATGAGACTGCTGACCTGTGAAATACATTCAAATAGTATTTACCAAAATCATTCCTATTGTCAAAATGATGAAGAGACATTTTCTCTGGGTGTTGCAGTGGGGACTGAGACAGCAGAAGTCTCCAAAGGTAATTGTGAACTTAAAACTCTAAAATAATTTCCACATATTTGCATCACAAAATATATTTTTCATTGTAGAAAGAATAATTTAAGTCCCTCAAAGTTTTTTAAATTATTACTTATAGAGGATATAGGTTCGGAGACAACAGTGTTGAATGTAGAAGAACTACTGAAATTAAATGCAAGAATATTGAAGATTACGGCTGAGCCTGTTTGTAGTTGCAAATGTTATTGCTTTCACTAAAATTACTTTGAGACTATTATGTTGCCATGAACCTTATTCAAGTGGCAAGTTTTCTCACCCAAAGTATGTTCATCTTTCTCAAATGAAAAATTATCCACATATAGAACAGGTATTTACAATCATAAAGCAAAAAATTAGTTATTATATTTTAATTATTATACCAGGTCCTATAGGTAGCATCCACTGATGTAGCATCATTGAATACTACTTTATATAAGACCTGGCAAAATTACACATAGGAATTAGAATTTTAAAGTGAACAAAACAATTCCTTTTCTATAAAAGCTAAAAATGGCATTCAAATGTCATTAACATAAATTAACATATATGCAGAATATTGTAAGACCACCAAGGAGGACTCTACAAAGAAGAGGTAATTATTTTTATATGAATGGCAGCTTATTTTCATAATAATAATTAATCACATATAATCATTGGCTTCATGTGATGTCCATTTGTGAAATAACATGATAGAACATAAAATGTGTGCTAAGGGTAGATAATATTGGAAATCTAGAATAGTACTCAGTTGAGGAGAACCTTGAAGGTCAAACTAAGCCACTAGATTATTTTTACTTCCTTGGGGAACACAAAAAGTTTTGTTTACTCTTTCCAACTCTCCGGGAAATGGCCTGTGTAAAGAATGCTTAAGAAGTTTGATCTGAAAATACATCTAGAATAGTCCTAACTGGGCTGTTCTCAGGTACCTTACTTGGAGATTCCATATGATTTCAAAAGCATTTCAATGATGAAAAGTCTAAAAGAACACATCCCAAAGAATAGGCATGTTAGGAAATGACTCAGAATATCCTACAACTGATACTGAGAAAGATGTAGATCACAGGCTAGGCAAAATTTTCTGAGGGGTGTGTGGGCAACTATTATGTTTTGTTTTGTTTATTGTATGTGTGTGTGTGTATGTGTGTGTCTATATAGTTATTGGAGCACAAGCAAGGGCATACATACTCTGGGGGAAAAAAATCTTCCAAACTCCTTTTACAAGGCCAGCAGTACCCTCTTGCCATAACTAGGTAAGGATACTACAAGAAAATAAAATTATAGACCAATAGGCCTGATTAATGTAAATGCAAAAACTCAAAAAAAAAATCAAATTCGGCTTCACTTTAAAAGGATTATGCATCATGAACAAGTGAAATTTATCCCTTGGATGCAAGGATGTTCAACATGTGCAAATCAAAAAATGTGATACACCATGTTAACAGAATGAAAAATAAAAAACAAATGATAATCTTAACGCAGAAAAAGTATTTGGTAACATTTAATGTCTTTTCATAACAAAAAATTTCAACAAATTATGTACATAAACAATGTACCTCAACATAGTAAGTGCCATATACTACATATAATAAGCCTGTAACCAATGTCATATTCAATGTTAGAAATCTGAAAGCTTTTCGTCTATGATGAGAAACAAGATTAAGATGCTCACACTTTCTACTTCTGTTCAATAGAGTACTGGAAGTCCTACCCAGTCTAACTAGGCAAGAAGAAGAAATAAAAGTCTTCTGAATCAGATAAGAAGTAAAATTGACTCTGTTTGCAGGTGACATGATCTTATTTATAGAGAACCATAAAGACTATTGGAAAAAACTCTCAAAGGTAATAAAAAAATTAATTAAAATTGCATAATACAAAGTCTACATTAAAAAAATTAGTTGCATTTCCATACTGTAACAAACTATTCAAAAGAGAAATTAAGAAAACAATCTCTTACAATAGCATTAAAAATAATAAAATGCTTAAGAATAAATGGAAGCAAAAAGATCTGTACACTGAAAACAAGAAATATATGGAAAAAAATGAAAAAGACTGAAATAAATAAAAAAATCATATGTTCATGTACAGGAATAATTAATACTGTTGAAATGCTCATAATACCAAAGTGATCACGTTGTCAAGAAAACTATTCTACCATTAGTAATGTGTATAAACAACTGTAAGAACATAGAACATTTTTATTTTATAAAATTACTGATTTAAATGAACCATTTATATATCTTGTAACTTTGAATTCTAAAATTCTAGAGTATTATGCCTAAATTATATCTTAAAATTCATTTTGGTGAAATGGTGTTTGAAAATAAATGTATATCTAAGCTAGAATGAGTGGTATTTTGTCATATTTCCAGATATAGTTTACCTGCCATAGTAGATTCATGGTGTTATTTCCATTTCATGTAAAATTACTTTCATTGGGGATCTATGGACACATTCTCACTGACTTGTTACTGAAAAAGATCAGAGAACCATCTACAGATATGCACTATTCCAAGAATGTACATTCTTCTCTTTTGTTGTTTGTATTTGAATTGGAACTCTGACCAATGTACAAAATATGAATTAAAGATGGAATCATTAGAAAAGAGAATGAGATAAAAAGAGACAACAAAAGGAATATAAGTTTGCATGACCTTCAACTTAGAGTACACAATATAGTTTGCAAAAGAGATTAATACGTTGTCTCGTGATGTTATTGGAGTTACTGACTTGCCTGTACTGTATAATCTTCATGATAATCAAATTACAAAATTTTACCAGCAATCTCTTCAGGAAACTTTAAGAAAAGAGGGAGTTTTAGCATACATATGTCTGAGGTCAAACAGTTCCATTTGAATTTTGAGGAAAACAATACGAATGCAATGATTGTCTTATCTTAGGTAACACTATTTTGAAAGATGGTTTACATTACATATTTTTGATAAGCTATCATAAAAATTCCACCGAGTTTTCATGTCTGACAAACACACGTAAATGTCATAGAAGAAACCGGTTGTTATTAATTTGCCCTCTTGTGAAATGATGCCTATAAATTTAATATCAGATAAAAACATTTAGTGAGATTATTATTAGCTTTGAGAAGTCTAGTGCCCTACAGACTCCCCACAGTGAGTTATCATCTATGTGTTAAGTCAGCTTTACCATAGAGAATGCTAAACATATAAATTAGTACTTAGTATGAAGGACAATGTTTGATTAAAATTATAGTGTGAAAATCAGTTCTATTTTAAAAAATTAAATAAAATTATACTTAATATATCCTTAAAATAGAAACTCATGATTTGCTTTAGTTTGAAAACAATTATAATAAAGTCTGTCATTTACTGCTTTTTTGAGTGCCACAAATATTCATTCATTCAAAAAATAATTGAGTACTGGTTGGATGCCAATACAGCACTAAACATTTTGTAAAACAGTCTCCAATTTAGAGGAGATTACATTCTAGTGTGAGAAAAGAGGTAATAAATACATACATACTTAGGTATGGAATATGTCAGTCTGTTATAAGTTTCATGTAGAAGAATAACAGGGTAAAGGGAAAGAGGCCAATATTAGGAGGAATGGTATTTTATATAGTGTAGTCATACAATTTTTTTCTGATGAGATGTCATTTTAGCAAATACACAGAAGAAAAAAAAGTGCCAGTTCTGCAGATATCTGGGGAAGATTTTTCAGGAAAAAAAATTCTGAGGTATGGGGCATTTAGCATGTTCAGCAATGGCAATAAAGTCAACAGCTGAAATTAAGTGAGTTAGGGGAAGATTAATGCGGAGTAGTTGAGACAGGTAACAATGATGCCAAAATACCAATGGTCTTATAAACCAGAGAAAATGTCTTTCTTTAGTACACAGATGTTGGATTCTGGATACGTTTATAACTTTAAAGATTGTATGTGGATAATGAGGTTTAAAATAGATTATTTAAGGGTGATTCTGAGGTTTTTTGTTTGAAGCAACTGGTGGCATGTAATTGCCATATAGTAAAGTGAGGAGAATTATAGGAAAACTAATTAGGAAAGTTACTGAGTTCAGCTTTTTTATTTTCCAAAGAAGCTGCACAATTTTACATTCCTACCAGCACTGTATGAGGGTTCCAGTTTCTCTAGATTGTCACCAACAATTGTTACTATCTGCCTTTTAAAAAAACTTTTAGGTTCAGGGATACATGTATAGTTTTGAAATACAGCTAAATTGTGTGTCACAGGGATTTGATGTACAGATTATTTCATCACCCAGGTAACGAGTATAGGACCCAATAGGTAGTTTCTCAATCCTTTCCCTCCACCCACCCTCCACCCTCAAGCTGGCCCAGTGTCTGCTGTTCCCTTCTTTGTGTCCATGTGAGCTCAATGTTTAGTTCCCATTTATAAGTGAGAATGTGTGGTATTTGGTTATCTGTTCCTATATTAGTTCACTCAGGGCAATCGCCTGAAGTTTTAGCCATGTTGCTGCAAAGAACATGATCTCATGCCTTTTTTTATGACTGCATAGTATTCCATGGTGTATATATACCACATTTTCTTTAACCAATCCACCTTTGATGGGCATTTAGGTTTATTCCAGGTCTTTGCTATTGTGAATAGTGCTGTGATAAATATGTGAGCATGTGTCTTTGTGGTAGAATGATTTATATTCCTTTGGGTATATACCCAATAATGGGATGACTGGGTCTAATGGTAATTCTGTTTTAAGTTCTTTGAGAAATCACCACACCACTTTCCACAATGCCTGAACTAACTTACATTCCCACCAGCAGTGTATAAGCATTCTCTTTTCTCTGCAACCTCGCCAGCATTTGTTATTTTTTGAATTTTTAGTAATAGCCATTTTGACTAGTGTGAGATGGTTCTCACTGTGGTTTTGATTTGCATTCCTCTAATGATTAGTAATATTGAGTATGTTTTCATATGCTGCTTGACAGCATTTATATCTTCTTTTGAAAATTGTCATGTTCTTTGCCCAGTTTTAAATGAGGTTGTTTGGTTTTTTTGCTTGTTAATTTGTTTAAGTTCTTTATAGATTCTGGATATTAGATCTCTGTCGGGTGCATAGCTTGCAAATATTTTATCCTATTCTGTAAGTTGGTTGTTTACTTGATAGTTTCTTTTGCTGTGCGGAAGCTCTTCAGTTTAATTAAGTCCCAACTGCCAGTTTTTGTTTTGTTGCAATCACTTTTAATGTTTTTGTCATGGAGTCTTTGCCAGGGCCTATATCCAGAATGGTATTTCCTAGGTGACCTTCCAGGGTTTCTACAGTTTTAGGTTTTATATTTTGAGTTAATTTTTTGTGTATGGTATAAGAAAGGAGTCCAGTCTGAATCTTCTGCATATGTCTAGCCAGTTATCCCAGCACCATTTCTTGAATGAGGATTCCTTTCCCCATTTCTGGTTTTTGTCAGTTTTGTCAAAGATCAGATGGATGTAGTTGTGTGACATTATTTGGGGGCTCTCTATTCTGTTTTATTGATCTTTGTGTACCACTTTTTGTGTACCACTGCCATGCTGTTTTGGTTACTGTATCCTTGTAGTATAGTCAAAGTCAGCTGATGTTAAGCCTCCAGTTTTGTTTATTTCACTTAAAATTCCCTTTGCTATTTGGGCTCTTTTTTGATTCCATATGAATTTTAAAATAGTCTTTTTCTAATTCTGTGAAGAATGACATTGTTGTTTGAGAGAAATAGCATTGAATCTATAAATTGCTTTGTGAAGTATGGCCATTTTAACAATATTGCGTCTTCTTATCCATGCACATAAAATATTTTTCCATTCGTTTGTGTCATTTCTGATTTATTTGAGCAATGTTTTGTAATTCTCATAGTAAAGATCTTTTACCTTTCTGGTTAGCTGTATTACTAGGTATTTTATTATTTTTGTGGCTATTGTGAATAGGATTGTGTTCTTGATTTGGCTCTCAGCTAGGATGTTGTTGGTTTATAGAAGTGATATTTATTTTTTTACATTGATTTTGATTCCTGAAACTTTGCTGAAATTTCTATCAGATCTATGAGTTTTGGGTCAGACACTGTGGGGTTTTCTAGGCACAGAATTATATCATCTGCAAACAGAAATAGTTGGACTTCCTCTCCTCTTGTTTGGATGCCTTTTATTTCTTTCTCTTACCTGTTTTCTCTAGTGAGAACTTCCAGTATTGTGAGCCTTCATTTCTTTCTGGTCTATAGAATTTATTATAAGTCATCTCCAGTAGGTCTATAGACAATTTCTCTCACACTAAATTCCACATATACTCATCTAGGAAACATTACCATAACATACTGTCTTCAAAGCCATAATGTTAATCTTGACTCCAGTAGTCTGGGATGGTTAGAAACATTGATCGTTCAAGATATGTATGTTGTAAGTCATGGACATCAGAAAGTTGATAAGTCTCAGCAGAAGAGAGAAACCAAAACCTTGCCTCCTGGTGTGTTATATTAGAGGAGAAATTGTTTCTGTGGCAGATATAATCTTGGGTCAAAATGTACTTCTTAGAAATGATTGAGATATATCACATTGCTCTCTGTGGAGTTCCTTTGCTAAATGAGGGCAATGAAATCTTCCAAGTTCTCAGCAGCCAGACAGATGTTTGTCTTTTCTAGATTACCCTAGCTGCCAATGAATGCCAAAAGCGCTGGTTAAAAAGACACTTTACTGAAAATACCTTTCATTAGATTTGTGGAAGTATCTAAATTTTTTGATCTCTCAGTTATTTTGGAAACTGAATCTTTACCTCTGACTACAGTGCCAATTGAAAAGAAGAGTCTGGAAAAAATAATTTTAGGAGAAAAATTTGTTACAAGGATTAAAATATGAATATGTTTCAGAAGGTACCTGATAAGTCCATGGAATATGCATATATTCTGGTTCACAAAGAAAAAATTGCAGAAGGAGGTACATCCATTATTTCAGAGATCGTTGTAAATAAGAACGCCCAAATGACTGTTTAAGTACATGTACTGTCCATATTGTCAATAATTTTAAACTAAAATATGCAAATTTTTCACACTTTAGGCTATAATTAAATGTTTCAAGTACTAAATGGAAAGGCAATAGAGGTAAACATCAAGACAACTTAAGACATTATTCATTTATGTGGGGCCTCATAGTTTATAATACGTGTGTTCATATTTTGTATCATATAAGTTTTATAAATGATAGATTAACCCCAATTTGAGATTCAGGGAGGGTAAGCAAGTTTCAGTTTTCAGAAAGTAATAAATAATAGGTACAAGATGCTGAATTTGGTCCTAGCATAGAAAAACTCCAAATCTTACATTGATTCAAGTACTGCAAAATTCTTTCCAAATGGAGAACTATGTTGATTGACCACATTTAGCATGTCAAATTTCCCTGTCCTGTCAAGACACACCATAATGTTTTGGTCATTCCTTACTCCCATGAATTTGCATGTGATTTATAGAGGTTGAAATACTATAAATTTGATAAGCTTTATCTTCTATGTTACACAGTGTCTTAGCTCAATGTCTGTTGCTATAACAGAAATCCTGGGATTGGGTAATTTATAATAAACAGACATTCATTGAGCTCAGAGTCCCGGAGCAAGGTAGTTCAAGAGCATGGTGCTGGGTGAAGGAGGGCTTTCTTGTTCTGTCATAACGTGGAGAAAGGGCAAGTGAGTGTGCAAGCCAGAAAGGGTGAACTTGCTCTTATAACAAATCCAATCTTGTGATAGCTAATCCACTCCAAAAATAACAACACTAATCTATTCTTGAGGGCTCCAGCCTCATGACCCAATCATTTGTTATTAGGCCCCACCTCCGAACCTTCTTACATTGGAGATTGTTTCCCACACTTGAAGTTTTGGGGGCCAAATTCAAATAATAGCAGAAAGGCATCCAGTTTCTCCAAGATTTGAGTCATAATGAGATAAAATTTGTAATGTATTTTTCAATTAATCATAAAAAGAATATAATAATGCATGATGTTTTCTTTGAATAAACTATTCGTATATACCTCAAAAATGTCGAGGTCTTCCTCAAAAGGGAGCTTGCTATTACAGTCTATCTAGACTTGAATGAGACAAAAGAAAAGCAAAATGGGTCCTCCTTTGTGGAAAGACAAGGCAAAAGAAGAAGAGAGTTGATTGCATAATGAAAAGGTAGTATCAGAGTTTTTTAATATAACTGACAAAATCTGAATGCCTGCCTAGATTTGAGTAGGTTGAATAGTATTTTTGCCTAGCAGGAGCACTTTATGTTCAAGCATAACTTTTCTTAAAATTTGAGGAAAGATAAAAAATATATTCATAATTGAATATTTGTGGCAATGATTCTTAAATATATACATAGTGTTAACTTTTCTGTAAACTTATCTAAAATATGATGTTAAATTTCTTGAACTTGTGCTACTTAGGGACATACAAAGATTAGCTTCTTCTTTCTCTATGACACCAATACAATTTATGACTGTCTTGAAATTTACGTTGCCCATCTGCATTGGTTACCAACAGTCTTCTAGACAGGTTTATCTAAACTGTTCCAATCCCACTTGCAATTTTTCATTTTGAATATTTTCAACCAAACCACTTAAAATTCAAAAAAATCATACTGTCAAAATAATAATAATCAGCATGTTTGCTAAGCCCTTGTCTATGCTGATTCCAAACAGGATCATCTTATAATACAAAATATTCTTTACTTCAGGAGGCACATGACTGATGCCTGATCCAATGTCAGTGAGTTCTCCTGGTCCAGGGGTAAGCACATGAATTTCCAACTTTCTTGTCTTGAGAAAGCCAGAAAAGAATAGCCTGGGCATAACCTGAAGAAATTTGAGAAATTTCTCTCCCAGCTTCTACCTGGCTCCAGCTTTCAAGCCAAAATCAGCTCCTGACTGTTCCATCTCACTGCTAAACTATTATATAAGGAGTGGAGGTTCTGGGACAATTACATTGCATCCTTATAAGACTAAGTCAGAGGAACATATGTCTAATTAGAGTCTATCTTAGTGCTGGCTGCTATAACAAACTACATTGGACTGGATAATTTATAAACGACAGAAATTTATTGCTCACAGTTTTGCAGCCTGGGAAATTCAAGACCAGCAGATCGTCTGGTGAGAGCCTGACCCCCATAGATGATGTTTTTGTGTCCTCACATGACAGAAGGGGTAAACAATCTCCCTTGGGCTTCTTTAAGGAGGACATTAATCTCATTCACAAGGGTGGACCTCTTATGACCTAATTATCCCCCAAAGGCCTAAATCTCAATATTACCACATTGGGAATAGGGTTTCCACATAAGAATTTTGTGGAGACACAAACATTCAGACCATAGCATTTCATCTAAGTTCAATTTTTATTTTACTGCTTGAGACAAAAGGTACCTAACACAAGAAAGAAAAGGATTTAATCTGTATAGAGTTATCATTGAATCTTTTAAATTTTTTACTTTCAAACATAAGATACTTAATAGCTGACTCCAAATATACTATTAATTTTATTTACTTTTGACTAAGTGATAGTAAACACAATAACATTTGCAAAATTGCCAGTAAACAGATGCTAGTTGAATTTTTTTTCTATCTTATCTTCTCAAGTTGAAGTAAATTAAGATATCATATAGAGCAGTGCTTTTTAATCTAATTGAAGTAGAAGACTTTTTTTATTTATTTGTTTTCTTCTTTAATTCCCAATTGATCATAGACTAGGCCATTTTTTTTTTTTTTTTTTTTTTGTAGAGTACAGAGAGAGAGAGAGATAATGTGCATGTGCTTGGATTTTACACTGAAATCATTCTAGAAATTTCTAAATGCTTCCTCTCAAATTTTGTACTAATTGTATGACAGGCTAGTAGCAGTTTGTTGATTGATTGAAATTGTGTAATATTAGAAATAATGCCAGAGAATATTGTATTAAAAACTATTTGCTCTAAAGCTTTTCCCTCCAATAGCTCTATGACACCTTGGAATTCTCTAGTGAAGGCCTGAGTCTTATTCGTTGTATCCATAACTTAAACTGAAAACTGCCTGAGACATAGTAAGTTACTAAAAACTATTAGTAGCTTGAATATATAAATTAAATAATCAAAGTAGTTTCAAAATGCTCAAGAATCCTGAACTTCCCTGCCTTGGGAGAACCAGTTACTATGGTATTATAAAAATGACAACAACAACAAAAGTGAATATATTTAATTACTTACCTCAAATTCTATATACCTCAGGAATACTTGGAATTGAATTAAAATAACTTTCGGCCCTTAAAGGCCATTTGTAGATGAAGTGGGTTAACCTAGACTGTGAAAATGGAAGGGCCTTAGGATAATCAAGCCTGTGTTAATTCCAGTGGCAGACCCTCTTGTGGCACATTCTAGCCTGAACTTTCACAGGACACTTCCTTTTCTTTCAAATGGGCACACTGATACTTACCTTGTGTATTAGCCTGCTAGGGCTGCCATATTGGAGCAACACATTTTTTTTTTCCTCTGACCATGTGCAATCGTGTTTGTCTCTCCCATCTCATAAGCATACAAATCTTATTGGATTAAGACCTTATCTTAAAAATCTAATTTAACGTTAGTTACCTTCATAAAGGCCTTGTCACTAAATACAGTCAAATTGCAGATTACAGCTTCAATTTATGAATTTTGGAGAAGGCTTTCAATATAGTTCACAACAGTTTGGTAAATTGTTGTGAAAAGTTAGAGATAATCCATAAGAAGCATGTTTCATAGTATTCACTCCATATTGACCTGTCATTAAGTTATTACCATTACTAATGAAATGTATTGTTACACTAGGTATTGGTTGTTAACCAATGCAAAGTGATGCATTATGTATTTGCAAACTTCCTTAAAAACAAATACAATTAAATGAGAGTTTTAATAAAGTAGAAAAATGTAAGTTTTTTCAAAAAGGAGTAATATCCATGTTTACTCTAAGGCTACATGAGAGTTGAGTACATGAGAAAAGAACATTAATGATACTAATGATAACAGCAATGGTTTAAATTGGCAGATTTTAAAGGATAAAGTGATGGTCTAGGTTATCTGATCTCACAGTTAATGACATTGACATCTTAACCTTGCCTTAACACAGTAGCAAGTATCCAAACTCGCTGAAGATTTAATTTTTACCAAGTCTTTTTTTTTTTTTTTTTTTTTCAGAAACCATCATGATTACTAATTGACAATCATATTTTAATCATGTCTTCATAGTGGTTTTCTTATGCAGCATGAATAATTTCATACCATCTGTATTACTCGACTTTCATAACAAACCTCTGCCAAAGAATTGAAAACTAAATGTGCGAATCTATTCACTGCACTGAGCTCATGCATAAACTACAAGAGAATGTTTGAGAAGTTATCTATGTATTTGCGTAGGCTTTACATTTTTTCTTTCATTCTTTCTTGAGGCTTTTTACTCTGTCACTTTCCCCACCAACCACCAACATGGCAAGTAGCTGCCTGGGCTCCTAGCTGGTTCCATCTGTGGACCCTCTGTTTCAAATTATTTTTGACTTATGAGTGGAAGGAAAACTTAATGGTTTGCTCCATCCTCTGCCCTGGAATAAATTTTTGTGCTTTGGGAAACTTTGCACCACTCTGGCAATTTTCTGTTTCTTCACTCAATATAGGATTCTAATTGCGAAGGCCAAAAGCTAACACCAAGTATCCTAGCAGAGTGGTGAGTGAGTAGTGAAAAAATTACTTACCGATATATATAGTAGTTACTATTCAGGGCTATATTAATTCTTTCCTATTTTGAGTACTAAATTGACATAGCTTTCAGATGACAGCTGTGATTGTCTCAAAATGTGTTCGTTATTACATTTTGAAATGATAAATCTCCCTCTTTCCTGAGGTAGAACGTGCTTCCAGTGCATCTGTAGTGTTCTCAAAAAGCAGGAAGACAATGCTCAGAGTGAATGAACAGTGTTTATAGATCTAAAACTCCTTTGAGCTGTAAAGTACAAAGGATAGATATTATGATCTAGTGATAAAAGGATCAAGTCCAGGGTTTCACCCAGAGGATTTGGGGCATAGAACTTATAGAAACATAAACCAAAGGACGCAGCCAAACAATGTTAGGAGGAGTTAGCTAAGTACAGAAAATTCCCTTATGCAGAATGTCTTCTGCTGATTTTGTCCCCTAACTTTGCAGTTATAGTCTCTCCCTACCCACTCCCTATGCAATAAAAAACCCTTTCCCCCATAGCGATTTTATTCAAAGTGATTCAAAGTGTTTAGCATCAAGCAGATACAGCTAAATATTTCCCTGACTACCTGGGTGACTTTGGGCAAGTTTTGTTTCTTTTCAGAGTTCAAGTGTTCCTAACTTGTACAATAGTGATGATGATAGGATTTCTCTTCTATCATGGTAATGGGATCAAATGGGTTATTATATGGAAAGTGTTTACAAGTTTCTTAGCACATAGTAGGTACCAAATAGTGTCCATAAATACCTGCTATTTTCATGTGGAGAGAAACACATAACTATTTTTTTAAGACTTTAGCCTTTCTTTTGTCACCTGGATCTAAGCTATCTTGGTCCAATGGCTTTATTTTTCACCAGCGGGTCACTGCATATTCCTTTTGCCACAGAGTGTACAATTGCTATGAGCACTGGTTCATGACTTCCCTGGGTAGTTGGAATCAAGCTTCAAGATGAGTGTATCTAATAGATAACAGTAACTTTCATTGCAACAGTCTCTCACTTATATAAGCTCAGATAAATGTCACTAGCACCTATTCCAAGTTCCCATAAAAAGGGGAAGCGGCAATAGTAGGCTCTCCTGGTGAACATTCTCAAGTGGATCCAGCTATACCTGACCCCTGCATGTCTCCCCATAGACAATAGAACCTATCATGCCACAGGCAGCAACAAACTTTCTGCCTGAGATCACAAATGTGTTTCCTGTTTCTTCAAGACCTTTGTTTGACTCATTATGATCATCATCATTATCGTCTTTACCATCACCATTATCATCATTAGCAGCAGCAGTAGCAGCAGCAAAACCACCATCACCATTGGTACACTGTAAAAAATGTCCTATGCATTGTGAAAAGAATGGAAATATGTGACACTTTGTCTTTATCTTCTAGGTGCTTATATATTAGGTGATAATAACATCATAGTAATAAGCCTTAACACGCATGACACTGGTTCAAACCAGCTCGTGGTCCTCCATCTCCAATATGTAACTGCCTATTGAAACAGTCTACTTGGCTGCCCAACAGGCAATGCAGAGCATATAAAGACAAAACTGAACACTTAGCCCTTTTCCATCTCTCATTCCTGGTATCTTCTAGTTTCCTATGTTAGTAAACAGCATCCCTCTGCAATTGAGTGCCCATATTCAGAATTATGGACAATCCTTAATTCCTCTATTGTTATAATATACATTGACTATATCAGGAAGTGCTATTAGCTCCAACCACAAAGTATATTTTGCGTTTTTTTTAATTCCCTCCATCTCTACTACGATTACCCTAGCCTAAGTCAACATCATCTCCTGGTCTGACTCCCTGCTTCCATCCTTCACTTACGACATTCCATTCATTATCTACTATGAGATAATAATACTTTTTTAAGAAGCCGTTATAATTAAAACATAATAAATTGCCATTACACTTAAAATAAAATCAAAATTTCTGATTTTCATTGTAAGATCTCATGACCTGGCTCTTCTTACCATATTAAATCTATGTTTTAGGGGCTTCATCTTTACTTAAAAAGTCTGGCCAGACTGGCTTCCTTTCTGTCTCTGAATTGTAGAAAGCTCATTCTCAACTCAGAGACTTTACACTTGCTATTCCCTTTGTCTGAATGCTTTCATCTCCTTACCACCTATCAGGGTCTTTCTCTTTCTGCAGTTGTGAGCTCAGATATTACCTTAACAGGAGATCTCCAAATTCCACCTTCCTGGTTAAAGCTGCTCTCCACTATCTACCACATCGGTCATTAAAATTTGTAATTTTCTCTTCTCATATTCATTTACTCTTTTTTTTTTTTTTTTTTTTTTTTGAGACAGAGTCTTGCTCTGTCACCCAGGCTGGAGTGCAATGACTTGATCTAGGCTCACTGCAACCTCTGCCTTCCAGGTTCAAGTGATTCTCCTGCCTCAGCCTCCCGAGTAGCTGGGATTACAGGTATGCACCACCACACCTGGCTAATTTTTGTATTTTTAGTAGAGCCGGGCTTTTGCTATGTTGACAAGGCTGATCTCAAACTCCTCACCTCAGGTGATCCATCCACCTCATTTATTCTTTATGGCAGTTCTCCTCACTAGATTGTAGGCTCCATGGAGAAAGGGACTTTGTCTGTATTATTCATGGTTATATGTCCATTCTTAATATAGATAGTGCTCAGGAGACAGAAAGAAAAAGAGAAGCCAAATGATGCTAATATAGGGGATTTGTCCCTCATCAATGAACATATATGTTCTTAGGACTTACATAGTGATACGATTTCCATATTAGACAAAATCTACTTCTTTATATAAATACACTATTTTTTAAAAATACCCAGGGATTAGTATATTTCCTTTGACATCAGCATTTATTTTATTTCTACAGTACATTATCCACCTGAATTGAAGAAGCAGAACCAGCCAGAAGAGGAAACACTGTAATAAAATTAAGATCTGGACTCTAATTCTGTTTTATTTTCTCAACGTATAAACCATGAGTAAATTGTTAATCTTAAAAGAAAATGTTTTTCTTCCATTGTTCCTTTGTAAAGTGGACATGATCACACCTGTGTTCAGAAGGAACTGATTCAGAGGTATGAGAATAAGACTCACAACTTATTTGTATCTTAGAAGCCCCATAAAGACAAGCCCATAGTTTGATGATTTGCAAAGAAAAGAAAAAGTGACTCCAAAACCAAAGGCAGGAAAAGTGACCTTTCTCAAGCCATTCTAGGCTACTGTACTAAGTGACTTTTTTCACAACATGAAAAGCTGCTTCCTCCTTATGCATAACAGCTTCGGAGGGTATGGCCTTTCCATACGAAGCTTCTTGCCTTGCAAATTAATCAATGGTCCATGTGGCAGAGCCTGTAGACAGAGAAGAGGGTTCCTAGGGAGCATCACAGCTGCCTGCCCTGAGAAATGTTGCCTGATACTGGGTGAAGAGCTGGTGATTAGAAGGAGTGTTTTGTAATTGGTGACCGCCATAGGCTAAGAACTACACCCAATACTCATTTTCTTGTGACACATATGTCACATATGTCATGTGGGGGAAGAAACAGCTTATTTTAGACTGATCCTGAATTTCTCACTAAACCTAGTGAATGAAACTGACATGATAAAATATAACATAAAAAATTAATCAATTAAGTTAATTAAATCATAAAATAGTGCTTTATTTGTGCTGGGCTGTCTTCTAAACATAGGAGGTTCAAGGGGATACAATGTTAAACAAAACACACACAGACCCTGTCCACATGGAATTTATTAGCTAATGGCAATTTCTCAAATCATTTTCATCCAGTAGCCAAAATCCCCCAAATCCTGAATTCATCATTATATATTTTCAAATCAATGATAAGCTTTTTAAACCTAATATTTTCAGTGATTACTTTGTTAATTTTTTCTCAAATAATTCAAATTTTTCACTTAGATTACAAGACTCTCCATTATCTATTCTTTCATTATACTCTTTATCTATTCTTTCATTATACTCTTTATTCTTTCATTATACTCTTTATTTCTAAAACCTTAACCATCACTTCAAAAAAACTGGCTTCCATCCACAGTATTTTCATCTTACTTGAGCAAGCAGTTCTGTGATACCTTTGGTTAATTTATCACCTTCCATAAATACTGAACTTATTTCAATCAGCCAGCAGTTATCAAAATCATCTACTGAAAACAATCCTTTATGGAAGATTCTCTGTGAGACCCAATCTCAATTTTTCAAATGTTTATGTTTATTTGTTGGCATTTAAAAAAGAATAAAAGGGCTCAAATTTCTGTGATAGATTGTTGTAGTAATGACCCCCAATTTATTCATGCTGCCCTCTAGCTATATCTTTAGGGAGAATCTTCCCACAGGGACTCTGGACTTCATAAGTAACTTTCTTTGGCCAGTGGGAGAGCAGCAAGAGTGATATAAGCATACATACGAAAAGAGATGTCTCTTTACTGTTTGCTTTACCTGGTAAACAAGATGTGGCTATTCTGCTGGGAAGTAAGAAGGCAGAAGCAGTAATATTCAGCACCCTCCTGCAGCTAACTCTCAGCTAGTCCCAGTTTACCTGGCAACCACTCACAAAGCCAAGATTGAGATCCAGCCAAGATCAGCTGAGCCTGGCTGAAATCAACAGAACTACCCTGCTGAGTACAGGGTGAGCTAAATAAATGGTTGTTTTCACAAACCACTAAATTTTGGGGTGATTTATTCTGTAACAAAAGCTAACCCATAAAGTATCCAAGAGTTTTAAGTGTGCAGGTAAGAGTCTATGATGCTGGTGATTCAAAATATTCTTCAGGAAATAAAATTACTACCAGGTAAACCATTTCTAGAAGCTTGAAGCTTCAAATATAATCTGATATAGTTCAGATTATGATAAAGTAAGATTTGAATATTTTATTGCATATATTATTTTTTATAAAACACATTCTGAAGAAAATTTTTACAAATTTAACCTTTTATGTCTTTGTAAAGTTTTATAGGTCAGATACAAAAGGCATTTAAAAATAGTTTTTCTCATAATTTTTCATAGTTTTAAAAAATACAAAGTCATTTTAAATAATGTTTAGTTTACAGTTTAGGGGATTTTTAAAATATTTCATATTAGATCTGTCCCATGACTCTGTATAAAGAAGGTTTTTTTGTCATTCAGAAGAGTCTTAAAAAAGCTTTGAAGTAAATTTTAGGGCAAATTCATTTCTTACATCTTCCATATAAATCTCAAAGAAACAATAGTTTTGTTTTAGTTTTATATTTTAGGCACTAAGAAAAATAATCTTTAAACAACTTCTGAAGTCTCAAAAATATCTTAATATATACAGGAAACTAAAAATAACTAGCTAATAAATGGTGACTGTTTTGTGTTTCAGACACTCTCTAATGAGTTTTTTAAGTATACACAAAGCATATAACATGTAAACAGATGTGCAATAAATGGCCATTTAGAACAAAATACTATATTGCAGCATATATTTAACGTAAAATCTTGTGTTTTTGCTTATTATCAAATGAATTTTATCAAATTATTTATTATTGATATTCAGTGATGCATAATTTCTTTCTTGAGTTTTGTTTTTTTAAAATTAATATATTTCAAAGAATATAAAGGAATACATTTTATTTAAAGAATAAATACATTCCTGTAAACCCAGCACTTTGGGAGGCTGAGGCGGGTGGATTATGAGGTGAGGAGTTTGAGAACAGCCTGGCCAATATGGTGAAACCTCGTCTCTACTAAAAAAAAAAAATACAAAAAGTAGTCGGGAGTGGTGGTGCACCTGTAGTCCCAGCTACTTGGGAGACTAAGGCAGGAGAATCGCATGAACCCGGGAGGTGGAGGTTGCAGTGAGTCGAGATTGTGCCACCACACTTATAAATAAATAAATAAATAGAATAAATAAATAAATAAAATAAATACATTCTAAAACACTGCCAAATCAATGTTTTAATTCACTAGACCTAAGTGTCATTGAAAATTTTTGGCTGTCTGACATAATTTTTTAAATCTACATGAGTTTTCATGGGACTATATTATGAAAATCGTGTTTTTAAGCAATTGTTTTCCTTTTACTATATTGCTTTCCTTAAAACTTTTCTTAAAACTTGTTTTCAGTCAACAAATACTCTTTACAGATTTTGCATGAAAATAGTTTGATTGCATAACACTGAAACGCAGGGTTACACTAATAGCACTGGGTAAAGATAAATACCAGAACCAATCCCATAGTATTTTTAGGTGGTATATCTTCCTTTGGAAAGGTATCGAAGAGATTTTCTTAGAGAAACTCATATAGACTATGTTCTCATAGACTATAGTTATAAATGGATTTTGCGCATAATCTTTAAAAACTATTGCTACAAAGTTAAATGTAGAGATTGTTCATTAGATGGTTCGTAGGAAGAACTTAAAATTCATTTCTATCTTGTAAGAATTTTCAGTTTAGAATACATTGACTTTCAATTGAAAATAAAAGTAAGATTATATATATATCAAATAAGTGAACAAAATGGAAATACTAACATACTTATATTTAACATATCTTGACAGACTCTTCTTTACTTGGCCATAAAAGTCACAGCTAACAGTCAAATATTTATTCTGTGCCATACCCTGTGCTAAGCGCTTCATCTTTTTTATTTATCCAAGAAAATTAATTAACTTCATTCTATCTTTCTCATTTTATAGCTTGGTGCTGAAGGTAACAAAGCTATCTGTGTTTGATCAAGATTCAAACCCTCAATGTCTGAGAAAAGCATCATATTCTTTATCCAAGTGGACTTTGTATAGATGCAACAAAATATTCATTCAAATATTTTCTAAAGTGCCAGGTCGCTTGAAGTTTACTTATACTACTATAGATTTTAAGCTGCATTTCACTGTAGATAATGCAAAGACAATTAAAAGAACAGACAATAAGCAGATAAAGAGGCATTATTTTATTACTATGAAAGTTAATATGTCATTTGTCACTGAAATAGACATGTCTTTAATTTGCTTGGCAAAAGAGTGAGTATAAGGTCTGAATGTTTAATCTCCCTAAAGTGTTCATCACATTGCAACAGATTTAATCTATTCTCCATCCAGAAAGACCACCTACAAACAAAGCAATTACAATTTGTTGTTTTACAGATAATAAAATAATTAGGTATGCCAAGCATAGGAAAGTATGTAATTTTACTGCCGTTTGTAAAAGATGATTAGAAGGAATGCTCCACGGGCACTTCAGAATTAATTGAGAGGAACCAGGTACAGATTTGATTACTGGTAATGCTTTTTGGAAGAATCAGGAATTTAGAAGCTATTAATAATGATTGTAAAGATAAAGTTGGAGAAAGACGTGTTACAGATGGGAAAAAGTTATTGTTTTGCAGGGAAGAGTACAGAATCACCCTTTATGATGCTTTGAAATTCAGTCTATCTTTGGTTTGGTATAGAAATTTGCAGAAAATAGGTAACTAAAGATACATCATAAGCAGGTTAACAAATAATGATGAAACTGAAAAAACATTTATAATGCTAATATTATAACAACAACAATTATTAATATGGAGAAAACTACCAAAAGAGGCTGAAATATAAGGAGACATCTTTTTTGGCTTATTTTGTTTTTGTGTAATGACCTGAACAAATTCTCTTTGTAATTTAAGTAGAAATAAAAGCTTTAAAACCCTCTGAGGATATTTTAGTAGAATCCTTCAATGTCCTCCAAAATCCATTCTTTATAGGCAGTAACAGTATTAAAAAAAATCAGTTTTCTAGCTTGAAATACCTATGGTAATACTGTGGATTATTTTTAGTCAATTCTAACTGATGTTATTTTTGAGAACATAAAAGAAGTTTATTGTGTGATAAAATTGGAAACCACAAGATATGTATTATGTCAGAAAGTGATGGCAGATAAATGTCTGATAAGAATATCTATTATAAAGGGAGATGGAACTGAAATATAATAGACAAGAGCCATTTAAGAAAATAAATTACATCTTATTCAACATTTTTGTGGTCTACCTCTTTGCCTCAGATATTATATGCTCTATTTCTGTTCATAAAATGTTATTTAATGCAGTATAAAGGTTCTCATCTACCATTCTATATTTTTTTGCATCACAGCACAATATTATCTGAAGACTGCCTGCTGATAGGAGAGCATGTTCATTCAATTTTTTAAGCAATATTATTTTCTTTCGGAGATATGCATAAAGAAGACAAAGATTTAGAGTGTGATACATTAGTTCACTTTCTGACAAGGATGACACAATCTAAAAGCTATTGCAGATGATAGATTATGACCTACATTGTGACTCTTACCTAAACCTTACAGTGAACTGGTCAGCTTTTACCAACAGAACATGAAAGTTACCATTGTTGGAACTTGGTGCATGAAACCCCAAAGCATGACACCTTGGCATGCTGAGTATCTTACACTGAAGGAAACTGAAAGGACCTCAGAAGTGAGGTCCTGTTGACCTCGCTTCTTTAATACCCCAAAATAAAGGCCTCACAAGCAGCCTCAATAGCAGCCTTAGTAGCACAGTTTTCACTGACCTTCTGCCTTTCTGTCTCTCCGCCTCATTCTTCCTCAAGTCAAGGTGGAGAAACTAGACTCTAAGGGAGACTATAGAAATCAGAACCCCTATCCCCCAAAGCCAGCTATAAAACGCAAAAATATTACTCTATTTTTCCCCTTCCTTTCTGTGTAAGGAAGGCCCATCCCAGAGGGTCTGGCCTTATACCCGGAAAGAAAGAATGCTGCACAGAGGCCAAGGAGAATCTGAACAGACACATCTTGCTAGGTTTCCCCCTTTAGTCTATTCCTATCCCATCACAGTTCTACATGGCTGTCCATTCTTCATCAAATCTAAGCATAAATTTGGACAGTTTTCCTGTCTCCATTGGGTCTCCATTCTGGAGGCTTTCATTTCATGTAAAACTTTGATTACATACATTTGTTGTGCTTTACTTCTGTTAATCTTCCTTTAATCCAGTGGGATTGGTATGTAGTTATAATAATTCTAGAAATATATATCTGAAAATATCAGGGGAACCAGCCTCCAATATTTCAACGTAGGTTCTTTCTATTTTCCCTAAGTGTCAGTTGGTCTGAGAAATAAAGAGAAAGAGTACAAAGAGAGAAATTTACAGCTGGGCCTCCGGGGGTGCCATCACATGTTGGTAGGACTGTGATGGTGACCTGGAGCTGCAAAACCATCAAGTTTTTATTAGGGATTTCAAAAGCGGAGGAGTGTACGAATAGGGAGTGGGTCACAGAGATCACATGCTTCAAAGGGCAATAAAAGATCACAAGGCAAAAGGGCAGAGCAGGATCACAAGGCAAGGGTGAAATTAGAATTACTGATGAGGGTCCATGTCCCGCTGGGCACGCATTGTCTTGATAAACATTTTAACAGGAAGCAGGGTTCGAGAGCAGACAACCGGTCTGACTAGAATTCACCAGGCTGAAATTTCCTAATCCTAGTAAGCCTGAGGGCACTGCAGGAGACCAGGGCATATTTCATCCCTTCTCTCAACTGCATAAGACAGACACTCCCAGAGTGGTCAACTACAGGCCTACCCCTGGGAATGCATTCCTTCCCCAGTGTTATCAATTGTTAATATTCCTTGCTGGGAAAAGAATTCAGCAATATTTCTCTTACACATCCGTTTATAGGCTCCCTGCAAGAAGAAAAATATGGTTCTATTCTGCCCGACCCCACAGGCAGTCAGACCTTATGGTTATCTTTCCTTGTTCCCTGAAAATCGCTGTCATTCTGTTCTTTCTCAGGGTGCCCTGATTTCATATTGTTCAAATATACATGTTTTACAAACAATTTGTACAGTTAACACAATCATCACAGGGTCGTGAGGTAACATACATCCTCAGCTTACCAAGATGATGGGATTAAGAGATTGAAGTAAAGACAAGCACTGGAAATTATAAGAGTATTGATTGGGGAAGTGATGAATGTCCAAGAAATCTTCATAATTTATGTTCAGAGATTGCAATAAAGACAGGCATAAAAAATCATAAAAGTATTAATTTGGGGAATGAATAATTGTCCGTGAAATCTTCACAATTTATGTTCTTCTGCCGTGGCTTCAGCCAGTCCCTCCATTCTGGGTCCTTGACTTCCGGCAACATGAGAAATTCTGGAATAAATGTTAACTAACCATCTGATTCAAGTTTCCTAGCATTAATTTTGTTAGTTGTAAGGTAACTTGTTGTCATTCTTTCAAATTCAGCTAAAAGGCAGATTTTTAACTAGATGTCATATCCTCATCCCTCAAAATTAGATACAACTACTTTTACATATTCTCATAATCCCTCATGATTGCTCGTAACTTAGAATTTGTCAACTAGTATTGTTGTCGCCTGTTTACTTGCCTTTCTTCCCTACTAGACTGTATCTCTTGAAAGGACTTTGCCTGTCACAATTGTAAAATGAAAGAAAGAGGAAATGCAGAAAAATGTATAGAACAGGAAGAAGAGCGATGAAAATAGTGATGCATATGAAGAAGAGAAAAGAATCAAATCCTATTTCTTAAAATACCTAAAGAAAAGATGGGGAAAACTAAAATTAACAATTTGCACACAGCTATTTATAAAGGATAAGTGTTTGGAGAAAAAAATATACAATGTTAGTAAAGCAGCTGTAAAGAAGAATGGAGTTGGTGATGGTTGATGGTTCACAGAAAAGTCATGATCATTATGCAGATGATTGGGGTGAAAAAGAAGAAATTTAAGGAATAGCATTACATTTAGGGTAGAAACTTCCCTCTATCAGTATTTTTTATGACAGCTTAAACGTTTCTTTAGTCTTACAAAAATATAAAGTTTGTTAAGTATAGTAAACTCGTTCATACTAGGAGATCTTGGGTAATTAAACTCACGTTTGTGACTACAATATGGATTAATATAGAGACAATATATAAGATCATTTAATCCAAAAATCAGAAAGTAAGACATCTCAACAGCCTATTTAAATTAATAAAACCTGGGAAAACAGTCTTTCTATGTGATGTTATTAGCACACTTTTATATATTTGCTTGTTGTATCTTCTTGGTTTACTTTATGCAGATATGTATCAATGATTTCATATAGATGTGACTTATTCATTCATTTATCTGTTTTAGTAAAATTAGATTATTTTCCTTGGCTTTTTTTTTCCCTGTTCAAATAAGAACAGGGAGAGAGAAATGTTCCCAAGGCCACCAACTATATCTAATGGGGAGTACTACCATCTTGTTAATGAGTGTGTCAAACATGTCCCTATAAGATGTCCCTGATCTACCAAGAAAAGGCCGTAAGAAAGAGGAAACTAATTTTCTTACTAGCCTACAGCAGATGGGGTTTGGAATGACAGGTAATAATGAAAAACAAGAAATTTTAAAATGCACATAACCTCCCTTAAATCTGTTATTATTTCTTTATTTTCATGGTAATTACCTCTCTGTAATCCTTTTCTTAGGAGAAATTTGCAAATTAGTATGCTACTTATATACATTTAAAACCATACATAAATTTTTACGCCTCAAAGTTACCTAACAAACACAAACTCGGTTGTGTCTCTTAGATCAAGAAATTTATTTAATTAACAAGTCATCATTACTCTTTTCTGCTAATATACATTTAATGAAAAGAGCAACTTTCATTTTCAGATTTTTTTTGCTAAGAATTCATTTCCTGTTGCATTATCTAAAAGAGGAATCAGGTGTAATTTTTCTAATAAGATGATGGTCACCCAAGGACCAGCAGTATCTTCTGTTCTTTTTGACCTTTAGATTCATTCAAGTCTGCAGTCTTCTGATGTCGTGGTTGAAAAACAGCTTTTATTTATTTGAACCAGATAAGAAAACATCAGAAATGACCTCAATATGCTCTCATCTTTGAGAAAAAAATATTTTATATCATGACAAACTTGTCTTGTCTGCAAAAGCTCAACAAGGCAAAAATATGAGTTCTGCCTTGTGAACCTATTTTATATACAAATATGAGCCAATATGAGGCAGTGCAATATAAAGGTTAAGAGCATAGACTATGAGCAGACACCCTTGGTTTGACTACTAGCTGTGTGATCTTAGGCAAGTTATTTATCATCCTCTCTCCCTCCTTTTTTTTTTTTCACCTGCTTTTTAGAGTTCTTATGATGATTAAGTTAGTACACACTGAATGAGTTAATTTTTGGAAGAATGCCTGGCACATGATAAGCTCTCAGTAAGTGTTTGCTGATATTTAATTCAATATTGTCTTTTTAAATGTTTAAATTTACCAATAATAAATGTTCATATTCATGGGGCGCATAGTAATATTTCAATACATATAGTGTATAGTGATCAAATCAGGGTAATTAGCATATCCATCATCTCTAACATTTATAATACAAGTAATGATAGGTGACCTTTAACCTTTAAAACTCCTGGTGGTTGGTGGACTTCAGGTGCTGACAAATGACTGATTCTTTTTCATTATTCCATCTTCTCCTTGTTTAATAGATAATATCAATTGAAAGTCAGTGGACAGAAAACCCATCTTGTAATGGTTTGTCTTTCTGAAACAACTGGATTACAATGATTCTTCAGCACTGGTCAGACAAACATAGGAATATTAATTACTATTCTTTGTGTGCTCGATTTTAAAACATTAATATTTTCAACTTGTTTACATGGACAGTTTTGGGAGATATAAAGCAAGTAATAAGCTTATAGATTTCAGTTGAGTTAATTCTGAGGAATTATATAAATACATGTTTGCATATGTGGGTGTGACTGTATGTAAGACACTCTTGAGATGGTAACAAGCATAGCTAACCTGTAGCAAATCATCCCCAAATGCCAAATTCCTCAGGGAAAGGATGCTTTTTTTCCATGTAAATCCCTATTTGCTCATGGAATTTCCAAGGAAGACTATTCTAGGGTCTGTTTGGGGAAACTCACATTCATATATTTTGGGTTTCCAATTTAAAATCTCCATGTTTGCATATGTGGACGTGCCTGTATGTAAGGTACTCCTGAGATGGTCAAGGATAGTTAAGCTGCAATAAATCATCCCCAAATGCTAAATTCCTCAGAGAAAGGATTTTTTTTCTCCATGTAAATCCCTCTTTGTTCACGGTCTGGAATTTCCAAGGAAGACTATTCTAGGGTCTCTTTGGAGAAACTCACATTCATATATCATGGGTTTCCAATTTAAAATCTCCAGAAACAAGATCTTCTAACTTGAGAAGACAGTTGAACAGCATCTGCACTTAATTTTTTGTTCAGCTTCTATAATAGACAAAGCCTAAGACAAGACCACAAGGGCATACCACTCAAGTATAAAAGTAAGAGATGAGTTAAAAGGGTTGAAAAGATGGAATTTGGGAGTGGGGTCAAATACAATTTATTTGGCTCATTCAAGCTTCATTCTTTCCCTTTCTTCCATTTCTGATGTCAGGAAGTACCTATAACACAATCATAATCTTACACTGTTTTGTACTCCTTAATAAAATATCATAGATACTGTCCTTACTTCTTCAATCATATAAGCTGCTGGTCTTATACCTGTAATCTATCCTGAACAGTTAAATCCTAGTAGGCACTCAAGAAATAAATATGGCTTGGTTCTTTATGCAGGCTTGGATTTTGCTAATATGGTTCTACAATAAACGCATATATTTCCTTTTACTTACTTCTAAATCTTATTAATCCCTTGACTTCTAAAATACGTTTAGAGCAAATACTAAATAACTGATTCCACCTCTTGCTACATTCCCATATATCAACCTTATACATTACTCTTAGGAACAAAGCTATCAGTGAAATCCCCTGAACCTAGGAGGTAGTAAGGAGAGTTTACATCACCTAAGCACATTATTTCCAAAGGTGTATAGAAGCCTAGTATTTTAAAGGATCCATAAATATTATTTATTTAATAAATTCTTACAGAGTCCTTACTATGTAGCAATAAGTTCTAAGTATGCTACTGATGATAACTTATTTATTCTTCATGACAACTTTATTATTAGTGTTATTCTTCTTATTTCATTAATGAGGAAAACAAAGCATAGATTAAGCACCTTTCCTAAGTCATTGGTAAAGTTAAGCATTCAAACCTGGCCAGTTTGACTCAGGCCTATGCTCTATGGCAGGGCACTGTGTTGATTCTCCATCAGCCAGTAGTAGAAGTGCAGTGCTTTGAAAGAATTATGGTGATCAACTAATTTGACCATTGGTCCTGGTCATTCTTTATTGTTATTATATAATTAATCACTTTCAAAGAAATGTGCATTTATTTGAATAAGATTAACATCCATCTTTATCTTATTGAATAATGAGTGTTTGACCTAGCACATGGCAAATGGTTGGTGTTCTATAAACATGCATTAATTAAATGAATAAATAAACTCCAAATCCTGGCATACTTAAGTCCTGCAGTCAGCCCTGGGCAACCTATGTATAGGAAAAGTCCTTGCTCCCTATACGTGGGACTTCATCCCACAAATACTGTATTTTCTATCTGTATTTGCAGAAAAAAATTTGCCTATAAATAGACCAGCTCAATTCAAACCTGCATCATTCGAGGGTCAACGTAATAGTTCTTAGCATGAGAATATCGCCCTTAACTTTTCAGATTTGGATACTTTTCTTGCTTCAGACTACCTAACTTACTAATCAGATAAGTCTAGTTTCTCTTGGAATAGGTCTTCTCAAATCTACATTATTTTTTATCCTTACACTCAATCTTTGCCCAATTAAAAACTTTTTAAAGAGTGTTCAGAAAGGCAAAATGGGAGGAAGACATCAGAAAGTTGGGGAGAGAGTTATTCTCTGTTTTCTGTTTGAGCACCCAATCTTATCTTATGGTAGAATGTGTTCCCCACATGCTATAATATATTACTCAAATACAACGTATTTTGTAACATTTATAATCCACATCCCATTCATTACTTTATTCATTCAGCTAACATTTATTTAAGTACTATGATGTGCTGCAAATACAACCATGAGTACAACAGATATAATCTCTGTTCCGCTGGAGTGCATGTAAGAAAGACTAAAAAAAAATATTGTAATACCTGAAATAGCAGCAGAATGACTCAAAAGTAAACTACGGTTAGCAACAAACTTGAGTTTATTCTCTGGCAATGATAGTAGTAGCAGTAAAAACATTTTTTAATGACCTACTATATAAGGTTTTACTTCTTCCTTATGTCTGATCATCTTGTAATTCCCAGACAAATTCAGATTACCTCTTCCACAAAAGCAGAACAAAGAGGAAACATGTTCATCATGGGAACTGGGTATATTTCTAAGTCTACTGGAGATTGGATTATTGACACCCATTTGCAATGGAGGTGTAAGTATTTTTACTACCTGCTGGACCACCCACAAAATTATTGTGTGTAGTGTCCTCTTCATGGGCCCTTTTGCCAAGTGGGTGGGAGTGACAGCTGAAATCAAGCTGTGGGCTTGCTTGCCAAACTGTGATCGCTAGTGTACAACCGCATCAGACTCAAAGAAGGGAACCTCCTTAATTCATCATTCAAGGGGGAACACTCTTTTCCTAGTTGTTCACCTAAGAATATTCCTTTTAGCTAAATGTACACTTAGATCATCTATTTTTTTCTCACAAAGTCACCACATTGCTGGTGGGAACCCCACTTAGATTGTGGTTTTTCTTCTAGGTACTTGAACAGGATTTTCGTTATCTTTATCCGTACTTTTCTTAGGATGCTGACTTCACCAGTAAACTCTCCTGGGATTTAATATTTAAATGAATCCTCATATATTCATACATTCTTGTGTGTGTGTGTGTGTGTGTGTGTGTGTGTGTGTGTGTATGTGTGTGGTGTATGTTTCTAAAGATTTTTTTTCCTGTCATTTTCCCTATTTACCTAACGTGCATTTGTTTCCTATTCCTAACAAAGCAGTGATTGAAAAATAAGCAACAATACAGAGAAGTTGGAATGGTGAGGAATTATTGGCCAGGGTGGGGAGCCACAGTGAGTCACAATTTTCTGCCTTGTATTTTCATGATCAGATCAACATAAAAAAGGAAACTTTTATAGGTTTTGAGTAACTGAATTACCATTAAACACATGATAGACTTTTAGGCAACTCATAACCCTACTTGCTCAAAGATTGTGTTAATGGAAATCATGGCAAAAATAATAACTCTCATATCATAAGCTTGTTGAGTTTATTAAATGAGATATTACATATAAAGTTTTTGGCAAGGTTCCTGGTAGATAAAGTTCAAATAAATCGTCTGTTTTTTATTTGTTTGTTTGTTTTTTGAGACAGAGTCTAGCTCTGTTGCCCAGGCTGGAGTGCAGTGGTGCAATCTCTGCTCACTGCAGCCTCCACCTCCTGGGTTCAAGCAATTCTCCTGCCTCAGTCTCTTGAGTAGCTGGGACTACAGGAGCACACCACCATGGCTGGCTAATTTTTGTATTTTTAGTAGAGATGGGGTTTCACCATGTTGGCCAGGATGGTTTCGATCTCCTGACCTCATGATCCACTCACCTCAGCCTCCCAAAGTGCTGGGATTACAGGTGTGAGCCACCACACCCAGGCAGAAATCATCTGTTTTTAAAGTGCTATATAGGGGCATTGCCATAGTAGGAAAAAAATGAGTGGGTTACTGATCAGCAATAGGCTGAGCCATTTCTTACACCCAGGCTTCTGTTTATCCATAAGAAATTAAGGGAGGCATTTAAGCTCTTAGATGCCTTTTTTTTTAAGCTGAGACCATAAACATGAAGCCCTGGCTGGGAACGGTGGCTTATGCCTGTAATCCCAGCATTTTAGGAGGCTGAAGTCAGAGGATCGCTTGAGGCCAGGAGTTTGAGACCATCCTGGGCAACATGGCCAAACTCTGTCTCTAACAAAAATACAAAAAATTAGCCAGGTGTGGTGGTGGACACCTGTGTTCCCAGCTACTCAGGAGGCTGAGGTGGGAGGATCGCCTGAGCTCAGGGAAGTCATTGCTGCAGTAAGTCATGATCATGCCACTGCACTCCAGCCTGGGTGACAGAATGAGACCCTAGTTCAGGAGAAAAAAAAAAAAAAAAGTAAAATCTTAATTAAGGAAAAGTGAGGAATTTAGTTTTACTATCTAAGTTGCCACTTTAAAAGAAGCCAGCCCATGTCACCAGATAAAATGCAGACTACCTACAAATTATAATTGCTTTAAATTTTAAAATATAATTCATATTGGGTATAATATGTATATAAAAAATTAAAGTTTATCCTGCACTATCTATGCTTACAGGTTGGAAAATAAATGCTCCTGCTGTTCATTTTAGGATGGATCCCCGCCCAAAATACTTGGGGCAATGACTTATTATCATGATTACTAGTACTATTATTTTTATTTGTCCCATCAGCTGTAGGATGGACATTCCCTAGTAAAAATTGGCTAGTGGAATCACTTTTAAATAAATTTGGAAAAAAGGCAAAACCTTGAAATATCCCTACCTGATTTTCCTCTTTTTGGCTTATTAATCCCTTGAAATCTCTGTACATAGTCGTTCATGTGTAAAGGACACAAGAGATGTGATTGTGTAAGAGAGGACATTGTGACTGCCTCTAAATGTCTAATTTTGCATTCCTACAATCAGTTTCACCCCACATCTCTCAGAGTCATCAAGAGAATAATTGAAATGTTTTGGAAACACCTACTCATTTCAAGTTGCAAAAGCTTTATTAAGTTGACAAGTGCGCCTTTGGCTACAGCAAATCTAAAATGTGAATCAGAGAACTGTGTTAGTGCTTGCAAAATCCATGCTGAGAAATTATTCCTTTAAATAAAATCAAAGTCAGCAAAAATGTAATTCTACGGCTGTTCTGTCATAGTAACTTCCACCTCTTACCAGATTTGAATAATTTTTAAGCTTTTAAAGGATAATTCATTTCTATTTTGTTAATGATTTCCTTTTGCATTTTTGCAATGACAATAAAAAAAGAAACCTAGTCCATATAAATCTGTGATTTTTTTTGGAAATTGATAGGATTAGAAATAAAGAAGGGCAGTGTTCCTCTCTAGGGTGTCTATAAAGTCAAGTCTTAGTTTTTTGCCTGGAATTTATGTGAATATTATATCAAGCTTTTTATAAATGTGTTTGGCACTAAGTCTTTGGTTTATTATAAATTGGTTTCCACATGAAATGCTTTATATAGTATAATAAATTGATTGCCACTGTATATTGGTTTCTGCTTATAATATATTGAATTGACTGAATAATAAATCTTTCTTTTCAGCAATTATTTTTATTGGTGTGAGTAAATTATATTGGTTTCACAGTGAGCCAAAATGTTTCGCATCTAAATTATACTTTCTTGGTCAGGTGTTTTTGAGTTTAACATTTAAAGGTTGAGAAAAACATGTATGTGTGAATATTACACTTTTCATGACAATTAATTACACTTTTTTTTGCAGATAACAACAATTTACTCCAAAGTCTCATATTAAAATTAAAGATATCTTATTTAGTATAACCAAATTTTTCATAGTGTATGCTAGTTTGTGTTTCAATGTTTGCTGTAGATGCTGCACCAAATGCATTTTATTGTTTTCCTGAAGTTGGATCAATGTGTATCATATATAAAAAATCATGGCCGGGGGGGATGGCTCGCGTCTGTAATCCCAGCACTTTGAGAGGCCCAGGCGGGCGGATCACAAGGTCAGGAAATCGAGACCATCCTGACTAACACGGTGAAACCCCATCTCTACTAAAAATACAAAAAATTAGCCGAGCGTGGTGACATGCGCCCAGTAACTCCCAAGTCCCAGTTACTCGAGAGGCTGAGGCAGGAAAATCGCTTGACGGGAGGCTGAGGTTGCAGTGAACTGAGATCGCGCCACTGCACGCCAGTCTGGGCAACAAAAGCAAAACTCCGTCCGTCAAATAAAAAACAAAACAAAACAAAAACCCTGTCAGTAAAATATAAGGAAGAATATTGTGAGAATTATGGCTTTCAGAAGTGATAGGAATACCCTCAACTTTTGAGATAGAGTCTTTGATACAATATGGCTATGTTTAATAATAATATAATATTGTATTACTGTTGGGATTCTTATCTTTGTTAAAGCTTTGGTTTAGATAGCTTTTTAAATGTGAAGATTTTTTCGTTTCCTCAGTTTATAAAATTCTATAATTCTAAACACAGCAGTAATGAAGCAAATACTGTGTGACTTCAAGGTGTTTGCAATCTAAGGTAATAACCTGAGGTATATATGGAAGCAAAAGATTGTAAAATTGTAATACAGATGTTATGACATAAAGAAGTACAGATAAAAGAAGAAAACAGAGGAAATAGTAGTCATTTCATCCCAAGAAGGAGGTTGGAAAGATTTCAAAATATGATAGAAAGTCTTCTTTTTACAGGGAACTGACACTAGTCAGGAAGGGCTACATAGAATGTAAGGCAGTAGAGAGACTGGGGAAAGTTCAGCATGTTGTGCCTGGCTACAGTCTCTGTAAAGTTTTATCTAAGAAAGTGACATCATCAGATTTGTAATTTCTGGGATGTACTATATTTGGAATATATGAGAAATCAAGAATGGGGTGTAGGAAGATTAGTGGGGATAAATTTGCCATAATGTAGATGAACTGTGATAAGTATTTAAATTAAGGTTTGGGCTTGAAAATAGTAGAGAATAGATGTATTCAAACAGTACAAGGAAGAAATCTATAGGGCTGGGTGACTCTTTAGAGGTAGAAGGTCGCATAAAGACCTAAGTATATGACTAAGTTGTGGTGCATTCACTGATGCCTGGAATACAGGATTAAACAGATGTGTCTGTAGGGGATTAAACAGATGTGTCTGTGTAGTTCAAAAAATACTAAATTCAATGGGATTAAAGGACTCCAAGTGGACGGGCCAATTGGATATAAGGTCTTGAAATGAAAAATTATGCCCAGCTGATGATTTAACTGTGCATAAGAGTATAAAGAAAGGACACATTTTTTAAATTCTGAAAATAAAACTTGGTGAAAAAAATACAAAAAATGATAAAGAACCAGAGATAAATCTTTGAGTAATGCTGACAATTAAGTTCCAGGCAGAAGAAAGGTATTAGGTAAAATATTGTTAATTACCCCTTGGTATTCATTCTGCTATTATTTTATGTCAAAAACTCTGAGTTTAGTTAATCCAGATAGAAGCACATTTCTGTTTGTTTTGTTTGTTTGTTTGTTTGTTTTTTGGAGACAGAGTCTCCAAAACTGCTTACCTATCTTTGAAGTGTTATGTTGAAGAAAAGTTGTTTGTCTTTTTTATCCTCTTTAAATGACTGTGCTTTGGAGTCCATGTTTGCCAAAACTTAGCCTGTACCCCAAATAATGCAAATATTTAAATAAAGACAGTGGGACAGAGTAATGTATTAATTATCATAGAGTAATTTAAAAGTTTGAAAACTAATCAAGCTTGCTTTTTTAGTTACATATTTAAACTTTTATTAGTTCCTATACTTGACATGACATGTGGGCAGTATCACTTCGATTCTTACAAAAATTTTTCGGTTTCTTTGGAGCCTAGTGTAAAGGTACACCAAACTAGCTTTGCATCAGAACCACCTGGAAAACTTTAAATACACATAATTTTATGCATGTCCTTAGGAAATTCTGATTAAAATCAATCTTAGAAAGGTAAATATTTATAGAATGTGTTACAGAACAAATGCCCCTGATAAGTTGCTTACCAGAGAGGGTTCTCTACATGGAACATTTTGTTAATAAAATAACTAAAGGTTTACAAGACGAATGCAACATAAGACAGGGTTGCCATGAGCAGCAACAGTAATGTGTTATGAAATAATATTCAAACCTAAAAGATAATGTAAAAAGGAGCCTTATTGTATATACATTTAATGGCCATAAAAATATATTTGTTAGGAAGCATTATGTACCAACAGTAGAATGTCACATATAAATTGTAGAACTGTTTGAAATGTAAGGGAAAATTGAAACAGTACATATACACATGATATTTTAAGCCTAGGAAACATAAATAAGTAGGTTTTGCATTTAATTAATAAATGTAGTTCAAACATTGTATTATATGAACATAGAAAACTTAAAAAGAGAAAAAATTATCAGACACTACATGCAATTTTTTAGAAAAGCACCACCACTAATTTTAATTTTATTGTATTATATTCATAACAATTTTTAAAAATTATTCTTGCATTGTCCTTTTATCTTTTTGTATTTAATTCCATTGTGTTAATATCGTTTTACATTTTCCCTGTATCTACCAGGTGTGATTTTTTTTAGCTTTATGTTCTAAAATGGTTAATATGGCTCCTATATTTGTTGATTAGCTACTTTTTTTTTTTTTTTTTAAGACAGAGTCTCACTCTGTCACCCAGGCTGGAGTATAGGGGTGGATCTCAGATCACTGCAATCTCCCCTTCCCAGGTTCAGGTGATTCTTCTGCCTCAGCCTACCGAGTAGCTGGGACTACAGGTGCACGCTACCATGCTCGGCTAATTTTTGTATTTTTAATAGAGACGGGGTTTCACCATTTTGGCCAGGCTCCTCTGCAACTCCTCACCATCATAAGTGATCTGCCAGTCTCGCCTTTCCAAAGTGCTGGGATTACAGGCATAATTAGCCACATTTAATTAAAATGTCTTTTAATAAAGATTTCTCCTAGTTAACATTGTAAATTTTAAGATGTTTAACGTTGAGTCAAAATTTCTGTATAAAATTATAAATTTAAGTTTAAATTTTACTGTTCTAAATTTTCATTACAATGGCCATAATATGATAATACATTCTAGGCTTTCAGAACAGGATAAAGTTTTTGTTCTTATACTATCTTTAGAAAACAATTCTTTCAAAAAGGATTTTTGACATTTGCATTAGATTCTTTTTTACTGTGCAATGAGTGTCTATATGTAGATAATTCGTGTCTGAATTGTCATAATTTATTTTTGAAGAGTTTCTTAATCCTATTAAAATCTTCTTGTAATTGAATGAAGCCATGTCAGCCATAAAATAACCCCTGTCTAAACTATTTATAATACGCACTCTTCACATCAAAGGCACAAGTCTCTCTATATATGAAGATCATTAGTGAGGAATTTGATACAGATTTGCTTATTTAAAATTGTACTGCAAAAGGACTATAGCTGTGCTACACAATAAAATACGTGTTGTTATTTAAAGTTAAATTAAATTAAATTTAAAATTGTATTTGTGAGTCTCATTAGCCACATTTCAAGTGCAAATAGACCAATAGTCTAGTGGCTACTGTATTGAATGGCACAAATATAGAATATTTCCACCATCACAGAAAGGTCCACTGAACATCATTTATCTAAAACAGACTTTCTAGCAATCAATTTGCTCCATTCTCATATTCTAAATTCTAAGTCTGTATAATACAAATTATTACACCATGAAAACGTGGTTTCCTGGAATGTTGCATTTTTGGTAGTGGAAAACTACTTTTTGGTAATGGTAGACTATTTGTAATGACTATATTAGACAAAGTTAAACAGCTTTATTACAACAGGATTCCATAGAGCCCTGATAAGCAAAGTTTGAATATTGTGACTCTTTAATGGGAGATATATTATTTCATGTTCCCAAAATGTATATAACCGTAGGACTTCCACATACCCTTTTCCCTTTTGAAGGGTCCCTTGTAAAATAACGTCTATTTAAATAATATGTTATTTCAAAAACTATCAAAGACATAAAAATACATTAACAATATTGGAAAATATTTGCATAGAGAGCCCAAAATCCTCAAGATATTTATGTTGTGCTCATTTTAGTCAATTGTCCTTCTATTTTATAAAATTCCTCAGTGCATTGATGGAGACCTTGATATAGCCTTTAAAGGATCTATATTAACAGATTAGTAAATAAGTGGCATCAAATAGAGACAAACTTATCACAATGTATTACTACTTATTGATTTAATAAGCTGTATATTTTTAATGCAATAAAATAATAATTTTTTAATTTACAGAACCAGTAAGGAGGGTAATACATTACTTTCGCATCTTCTCACCAATTCATGCCTTGCTCTTCTTAAATTTCCTCAAAGGTTACTCCCTTACGAAGGGAAGGGAAATTTAATTTTTTTCAAATAACTGATACAGTATTATATTGCTATCAGTCATTAATATTTATAAAATTTCTACTGTGTCTTAAGCAAGGTACTAATCTTTTTACAATATAATTAATTCATCCTCATAATGATCTTTATAAAGTTAAATGTATTCATTCATATTTTATATAGATAACCCAGATATTTATACTTAGGTATATATACTTATTTATATACTTACTTATCTATCTATAAGTAAGTATATATACTTAAGTATATACATACATATACCTAGTCACTGAGGGTTTTGAATAAAATTTTTCTACCTCCAAAGACCACATACTTTCCAAAGTTTTATATTGTCCCTCAACCATCACATGATTTTTTTTCCATTTGCCAGTACTTTAAAAATATTGTACTGGATGATGTATTTCTGAAATATTTCTAACTTTATGTCATGTTTTCAATAGCCCTAGGTATTATTTACATTTTGAGGCTCTGTGCCTCTGTTCCTGATCATTCTTACAAAAAAAGATGCCCAACATCATTTTAACCTTTTTTAAAATATTCAGTATTCATTAACTGCTCTGGAAAAGTATCCCTTCTTCTAGAATGTCTTCTTCAATTCCTAGCTGGAAGTAATTACCAGATCATTCATATGTCATTATCTGTCCCCATCATCTATTATCTAATAGTTACCATAGTACTTTGCCACCTATTATACTGTTCTTTTCTCACTTTACTGAAATTATATATTTTTCACATTTCTATACCCATGAAATTACAGCATAAGGGAGCTGATGAATAAATATTTGTTGAATAAAAGACTGTATTCTATTTGTCAAAATTCTTTTAAGGTAGCTTTATATTTAATTGGCTTTTTTAGAGTGGTTTTAGGTTCAAGGCAAAATTGAGTGGAAGGTAGAGAGATTTACCATGCAATCTCTGCCTTCACACATAAGCAATCTTCTGTATTGTCAGCATCTCACACCAGTGTGGAACATTTATTACAACTGATGAACTACTATGGCACATCATTATCACCCAGAGCCAGTGGTTTACATTAGGACTCACTCTTGGTGTTGCACATTCTATGGGTTTGTAAAAATTTATAGTGACATGTATCCACCATTATAGTGTTATACAGAATAGTTTCACTGCCCTGAAAACCTGTGTTCTGCCTATTCATCCTTCCCTGCCCTCTAAACCCTGCCAACCATTGATCTTTCTACTGCCTGCATAATTTTACCTTTTTTCAGGATGTCATATCCTTCCAATCTCACAGTATGTAGACTTTTCAAATTGGCTTGTTTTTTTACTTAGTAAAATACATTTAAGTTTCCTTCATGTCTTTTTATGATGTGATAGCTAATCTCTTTTTAGCATTGAAAAATATTCCATTATCTGGATATAGCAGTTTATTCATTCATTCGCCTCCTGATGGACATCTCGGTGGCTTCTAAGTTTTGGCAATTCTGAATAAAGTTGCTATAAATGTCTCTGTGCAAGTACTCTTGTAGATAAAAGTTTTTAACTTCTTTGAATAAATACTGAAGAGCACGATTGGACCGTATGGTAAGAACATGTTTAGTTTTGTCAGAAAATGCCAAACTGTATTCCAAAGTAGCTGTACCATTTTGCATTCCCACTAGCAATAAATGAGAATACTTATGCTCCACATCCTCACCAGCATTTGGCATACTCAGTGTCCTGGATTTGGCCATTCCAATAGTTGTATATCAGTATCTCATTGTCATTTTAATTTGCTTTTTTCTGATGATATGTGATGTGCATATCTTTTCTTATGTTTATTGCCATCTGTATATCTTATTTGATGAGATATCTGTTTAGCTTTTTTGCCCATTTTTTTATTGGGTTGCTTGTTTTTTCTTATTTTTGAGTTTCAAATGTTCTTTGTGGTTTTTTTGTATAATAGTACTCTGTAATTCCTTTGTAAAGAGTTTCTTCCACTGTGTGTTTTGTATTTTCATTCTCTTGACAATGTCTTTTGTACAGCAATTTTTACTTTTAATGAAGTTCAGCTTATCCATTCATTCATGGATTGTGCCTTTAGTGTTGTATCCATAAAGTAATTACCAAATCCTAGGTCATCTAGATTTTCTTCATTACAAGTTTTAGGGTTTTACACTTTACATTTGGGCCTGTGACCCATTTTGAGTTATTTTTTGAGAAGAGTGTAAGGTCTGTGTTGGGATTAATTTTTTGCATGTGATATCCAGTTATCCCAACATCATCTGTTGAAAAGACAATTGTTTTTACTTCATTGTATTGCCTTTGCTTCCTTGCCAGAGATCAGTTGACAAAATGTATATGGGTCTACTTCCGGGCTTTCTATTCTGTTACATTGATCTAATTTTTTAATTACTTGATAATATAATTTGAGATATTTTTTGTACATCCTCCAAGCTAACTTTATAAATTCAACTTAGCCATGCAATCGAGTGTCAATAACCCATGAAGCCTTCACAAAAGACAGCACCAACTCAATGGAATTAAGTCATGTTCTTCTCTCACTCTCCATGATTTATTGTAAACTATTCTTGCTCTTGTTGCTCAACACATCCTGAGTGACTTTTCACTTATCCCTAATTTAATGTAAAAACTACTACACACAAAAATGAAATATAATTCTTTGTCAACTTACTTTCCTCACCAAATGTGGTACGCTTTATGTTGGATTTTACCTTTTTGACCTCAGTAATCTCATAGAGGGCATTCATTAAAAAAAAATTCTTCTAATATAATACCTCATATTATAGCATTACAGAAACTCCGTTATATAATGTACTTTTTTCATCCAGTATTCCTTTCCACCATCCTCTCCATGAGATAATAAAATATTAGAGACTGCTTTGTCAGCTCCTTTGACCTTATTCTTAAACAATAAATCTAAGATAAAACTGTAAGATGTTTATAACATGTTAAAAATAATTAATTGACTCACAATCTAGTCAGGCAAAAATGTTATTGAGCACCATATACTGTGTTTTATGACATGTGTGCATAGGTGATTAGTTGAATTCTATCACTGAGCAAATGGAAATTATTGTCTTATCTTCTCCAGACCATCTATTGATACCATCCTGAAATTTAACTATCAGGAATAAAACAACAAAGCCCAGGCTGAGTCTAATTGCATACATCTAGCAGTGTGTTTGACAGTTTATTTCATTGACTAAACTGAAAAGTCAATTTATCCAAAAATATTAAAGCATTAGAATGTATTTTATATAAATATAAACCTAATTACAATAAACACAATATACTTATAAATATCATACTGCAAACCATCATAAAGTCAAAAATAATTCCAAAACATTTTAGGTGAGATTGTGACATGTTTTCACAAGCACGTGATTATTAAAAACTCATAACTATAGACTGACTCAGTCTACGTGTGTAGGCAGCCCGTCCTGTGTAATGCGATAGAAGTTATAGGTGGAACAGTTAAATCTAAGAAACATTGTGAAAATAGTAACAAAAATCCAAGCTTTAAAAACAATTTTAACTTTTATTTTCGGTTTGTGGGTACATGTGAAGGTTTGTTACATAGGTAAACACGTGTCACAGGGTTTGATGTACATGTCATTTCATCACTCAGATATTAATCCCAGTACCCAAGAGTTATCTTTTCTACTCTTCTCCATCCTCCCACCCTAACTTCCCTCAAGTAGATCCCAGCATCTATGTTTTCTTCTTTGTGTTCTTTAGGTCCTGAATATCTTTGTTAATTTTCTTCCTTGATGATCTGATATATGCTGTCAGTGTAATGTTGAAATCTCCCACTATTATTGTGTAGGAGTCTATGTCTCTTTGTAGGTCTCTAAGAACTTGCTTTATGAACCCGGATGCTCCTGTGTTGGGTGCATATATATTTAGGATGGTTAGTTCTTCTTGTTTAATTGAACCCTTTACCATTATGTATTGTCCTTCTTGATGTTTTTTTATCTTTGCTGGTTTGAAATCTGTTTTGTCTGAAATTAGGATTCCAACCCTGCTTTTTTCTGTTTCCCATTTGCTTGGTAGATTTTCTGCCATCCCTTTATTTTGAGTCTATGCATGTCATTACATGTGAGATGGGTCTCTTGAAGACAGCATGCCATTGGGTCTTGCTTTTTTATACAGCTTGCCACTCTGTGCCTTTTAAGTGGAGCATTTAGCCTGTTTACATTCAAGGTTACTATTGATATGTATGGATTTGATCCTGTCATTGTGCTGTTAGCTGGTTATTATGTTGACTTGTTTGTATGGTTGCTTTACAGTGACAGGGGTCTACGTGTTTAAGTGTGTTTTTGTATTAGCTGGTAGTGGTCTTTCTTTTCTATATTTAGTGCTTCTTTCAAGACCCCTTGTAAGGCATGTTTGGTGGTAAAGAATTCTCTCAACATTTACTTATCTGAAAAGGATCTTATTTCTTCCTCACTTAGGAAGCTTAGTTTGTCTGGATATGAAATTATTGGTTGAAGATTATTCATTTAAGAATGTTGAATATAGACCCTCAATCTCTTCTGGCTTGTAGGGTTTCAGCTGAGAGATCTGCTGTTAGCTTGATGGGGTTCACTTTGTAGGTGAGCAGCCCGTTCTCTCTATCTGTCTTTAACATTCTTTCTTTCATTTAGACCTTGGAAAATCTGATGAATATGAGTCTTGGGGAATATCTTCTTCTGTAGAATCTTTCAGGAGTTTTCTATACTTCCTGAATTTGACTGTAGGCCTCTCTAGCAAGATTGGGAAAGTTTTCATGGATGATATTCTGAAATATGTTTTTCAACTTGTATGCCTTCTCACCTTCTCTTTCAGGGATGCCAGTGATTCATAGATTTGGCCTCCTTACACAGGCCCATATTTCTTTTGTTCATTCTTGTTTATTCTTTTTTCTTTTTCTTTATTTTCCTTATTTTTGTCTGTCTTATTTCAGAGAACCATTCTTCAAGTTCTGAGATTCTTTCCTCAGCTTGGTTTATTCTGCTGTTAATATCTGTGACTGCAATGTGAAATTCTTGAATTGTGTTACTCAGATCTGTCAGACCCATTAGGTTGTTTTTTACAATGTCTATTTTGTCCTTCAGCTCCTGTATTGCTTTATTGTGATTCTTATTTTCCTTGGATCATGTTTTGCTATCCTCCTGAATCTCAAAGATCTTTGTTCCTATCCATATTCTGAATTCTATTTCTGTCATTCCAGCCAGTTTGACCTTGTTAAGAACTCTTGTTGGAGAACTGGTATAGTCATTTGGAGGGCATAGAGCACCCTGGCCATTTGAGTTACCAGAGTCCTTGTACTGGTTCTTTCTCATCTCCGCATGTAGGTGTTCCTTTAATTGCAGTGTAGATTGGGTACAGTCGGTAGAATTCTCTTCTGGACATTTTCACTGGGCCAAGGCTTTGTGTAGGGTCTTTATTTGAAGCTGACTTTTTGCCTCTAGTTTCACAGAAGGGTATGATAATGAGGTATTTTTGGTGTTGAAGCTTTGGGTGTCATCTGGCAAGTGGCACTTAGGCTTATTGGTCAGTTGGTAGACTCTTGCTTGGTTGTGTGGCTCCCCTACGTATCTTCACATTGCAGCAGTGTTCCCTCTCAATGCTCTGAAAATGTGCGTTCCTCTCCCCCCTTGAATGCTGGTTGTAGATCATGATTTGGCACTCCAGGGCTGCTCAAGGTAGCTCTGGGGTGATCTCAGTATTTACATTCCTTACCCAGCTTAGAGGTAGCAGAAGAAGGGATCTAGGTAGTGGTTGTGGCCAAGGGTCTTTTGCTTGTCACCTGAGGACTCCACCTCAGAGAGAAGCAGGTCAGCAATCATTCAGTAAAATCAGCCCGGGATGGAGGATCTGTGCTGTGGGGCCAAGCTAGGGGTTCCCTCTCTTGTGACAAGCAGTGGGGCATGCATGGGACCCATGTAGACAAATTGGCCTCCTCCCTTGAGTCGACTGCAGTTTGTTGGAGATGTGGGTGAGGCATTTAAGGCTTTTGCTCCTTTGTTAGTCCAAGGGCATGACAAGGGCTGTTCTCCTGCAGAGGCAGTGACAGAGGGGCTTTCAGTTACCCCTGGATGCTCGATCCAAGGAGTTGCTGAGTTGCTACTGTCTGTATAGCTCTGGCCAGGGGTGGCTGGAGACCCCGGCCTGGAGGACCTGACTGGTGAGGAGTTTTGAGAAAGGGCAGCCCTATAACAGTCTGGCCACTTTCCTGTAGGGCTGTTGCAGTATGTTTGGGGTTTGCTGTAGTCCCTAGTTGCCTCAGATTTTCCAGCACTTGGAGGTATCACCAGTGAAGCCTGCAAAACAGCAAAGATGACAGCCCATTCCTCCCTCTGGAAGCTTTGCCCCAGGGAAGTAAGAGCCTGTTGCTGGCCTAAAGGCGCCTATAGGAAGTGTCTGCAGACTTCAGTTGGGAGGTCCTGCCCAGTGAGGAAAAACGGGATCAGAGACCCGCTTAAAAAGCAGTCTGGCCACATTTTGATAGGGCAGCTCTGCTGTTCTGGGGGTCCATTTCAGCCCCCTGTTGCCTCAGACGCTCCAAAGCCCAAAGGTTGGAATCACTAAGTCACCCAAACAACAAATATGGTGGCATACTCCTTCCTCTGGGAGCTTCATCTCAGGGATGTTGCAAATCTCTGTCAGCAGGAGAACACCAGGGACGTTGGAGGCCCCAGTTGAGTGGTCCTGCTGAGTGAGGAGGAGTGGGATGAGGGACCTGCTTAAAGTAGCAGTCAGCCTACATTTTGGCAAAGCAGCCGGGCTGTGCTGAGGGATCCCTTCTGTCCCCATTGGCTGGAACTCTTCAAAGCCCAAAGGCTGAATCGGCTAAGTCATCCAGACAGCAAAGATGGCAGCCCACTCCTTCCTCTGGGAGTGCCATGCCAGGTGGAATTTCAAATTTCTATTGGCTGGAGAACATAAGCAGGGGTGGTTTGAGGCCCAATTGGGAGATTCCAACCAGTGAGGAGGTATGGGATTGTGCACCTGCTTGGATAAGCTGTCTGGCCATGATTTGGTAGAGCTGCTGTGCTGTGCTGGGGGATCCCTTCTGCCCCCAGTTGGTTCAGACTTTCCAGATCCCAAAGTCCAGAATGGCTAAGCTGCCCAAGCAGCACAGATGGTGGCCTGCCCCTCACCCTCGGAGCTCCTTCTTAGGGAAGTACAATGCTGCTACTAGGGGCTGGCTGGAATTCCAAATCAGTGGGTCTTATCTTGTGAGGTGCCGTGAAAGTGGGGCCTGCAGGCTGTTGCTACTCTGCCAAGACTCCAAGTAGCTCTGTCTGTCAGACTGAAGGTCCCAGTGGAGTGGTTCACAAGGAGATTTCCTGACCTGAGGGTTGCAAAGATCCACAGGAGAAGCACAGTTTCCTGGGGTCACTCATTCACTCATCACTTCCCTGGATGAGGGAGGTTCCTTTGGCTCCATCTCCATGCTGCTCCCAGGTGAGCTCTTGTACTGCCTTGTTTTTCTTCATTCTCTGTGGGGGTCAATTTGTTTTCTTGATTAGTCCCAATGTGAGTACCTGAATGTTTCGGTTGAAGGTGTTGTATTTACTCGTCCCTTCCATTTCTTTCTGTGAGAGCTAGATATCCATCTCAGCCACTCCCTACCAAAAAAAAAAAAAAAAAAAAAACATTCTAAATTTCTTCTACCCAAGGTTTTCATGGTTTGTTGGATTATCCACCTAGAATTTCTGAGATTTCTTCCAATGCCATCAAGTGTAAGTGTGCCCTGTAGTTACACACAAGTTTTATTTCATGAAGAAGACACCTCAAGTGTCTCCTGGCATCTGTTCTTGAAGCAGACACTTCCTGGCTGTGAGACTGCATATTAGCAGTTGCCCCTAAGGACTGGCTGCAGATGTCATCACTCCCATTGGGTCTCCTTGGCATTGGCTCTCAGTGTATTCCAGAGCCTGTTCCTCCTAGCAGGAACAACTCTCAGAAGTCCCATTTGGTATGGCTCAGAGACGGTCCCAATGTCTTGTCTACTGCAACTCTTAGACACCATGAGCAATTCTCTCTTTACTCTTGATGTGGTCTCTGTAGGATGGTTCTTAGCATTAGTTCTTCCACAAATTTTCCAAAATCTTTTCACTTCACTCAGAGTTAAATCCAACTCTGTAATAGTGTCTCCAAGGCAACATCAAACATCAGTACCTTCTCCTGTCCCTACCTCTTACCCGACACTTGCCACCTTGGTCTTCAGGCAAAGGACGCGCCATCCTCAAAACCATTGCACTAGCTGTTTCTTTTATCTTTTTTGGAGCTTAAGATTATTGCATTATTTTTGATATTGTTTCTAAGGCACAATGATTGTGAGAAAAAATAGCAGGAATAAAACAGTAAATTAAAATTCAGTGTGATACAATTTAGGATTATTTTTTGGTGTATGGGGTGAGGTGAAAGTACATAGAAAATACAATCTAATAGGCAGGAGGCTATTCTTCCAAAAAGAAGTGCTGTTTAAGCTGAGGCCTGGAAGATAAGGAGTGGGCCAGGCAAATTTAAAAGGGAAAAATATCTTGGTATAGGAAGAAGGTACTCCCTGCTCAGACACAAGGGAAAATCTGGTGTACTCTGGGAGAGACACATGGTTGCAGCTATCATAGAACCTAAAGCTTACGGGCTTTTTCTTGAAGAGTGAGGATCAACATATATTCAGAAAGATTATTGCACAACTACGATTTTTCCTTCCAAATGCATGTCATTTTATGAATTTGAGTCTGATAAGCAAATATAATTTTCAAAATATATAATCAAGGTCATTAATGAAATTTATTAAGTACACCATTCAGAAAATGAAAATGGAAATTATGTATATAAAAAATTGAAGACTTGTTCCTGAAAAGATAAAAAAAACTACCACAGAAAATAAGATTGATAAAACATTTAATAAAATAGAGAAAGAATCTTTTTTTGAGGTGCAAATATGAACTTTTTCTCACTCCTACTATCTAAGAGCAAATGTCTGTCAGAGATGGGGGTTGTATTCCCTTTCTATTACTGCTGTAATAAATTACCACAAACATAGTGGCTTCAAATAACACAAATGTATTGTCTTATAGTTCTGTAGGTCAGAAGTCTGACACCAATAATACTCCAAGGGAGAATCCATTTCTTGCCTTTTCCAGCATTGTGTGCCTCCTGTTACCATTTCTATATCCTCAAAGCCAGCAAAGACAGATTGAGTCTTTCCTCCGTGCAACCTCCAACCTCCACTTCAGCCTTGCTCTTCCACTATTGAGGGACATTATGAATACATTATTCCTATCCAGATGATCTAGCATAATCTCCCCATTTTAAGGTGAGCTGATTAGCCACCTTTATTTCATGTAAAACCTTAATTACCCTTTGTCCTGTGAACTGACATATTCATAGTTTCCAGGCGTATGTAGATTATCATCCTTGGGAAGGAGAGTAATTTTCCTCTTTCCCTACTATAAGATAGAGTGTTCGTGTGTGTCTTCCTTTTATCTTTATTAAAACATCTAGAGTTTTGTATATTTGTTTAGTCTGTTTCCTATCCTGGTAGTAAACAGGTCTAAACAAATTCAGGAACCTGATCATATCCTATACTTTGCTTTTCATTCGACTTATAGACTAGATTAAAAACAGGAAATGAACCACTGATGAGTCACTTTCCACCTGACTTTTTAATATGTCCATGATGTTATTGCATAGAGAATAACTATAAAACCCCCTTTTGCCAGCCACTGTCTATGCCTCAATATTAATGTTGTATTATCAAGATGCAATATGTATTTTTTCGCATTGAATGCTCCTGTTTGATAAAGTAGGTAGTCAAAGCTCTAAGAGTACTTATTTTCCTCAAAGGACAAAATAACTCAGTTTTATGTAGAAGGAAATATGCTTTCCAGGTATATATATTTATTAATTTACTTATATAATAATAACCTAAAGTTTGATAAAAATATTTGGTCTTTATGCTTATTCTTTAAGCCCCTTGAGGAATGTGTTGGAATGTGCTAACCTAATTTGGATGAGCTGGATTCTACATTCACAGAATCCCCTTCACTCTATGTTCCTGTGATAGAATTGGACAGAAGAACTTGTGGAAGATTTAAAGATGGAAGCATAAGAAAGCCTTTTTAATTCTAGGAACTTATTCCTCATGATTGTGGGAAAGAGGTGGGATGTGTTGTCAGGAGGTTTCTCATGGTTGTGTTGGTTGTGAATGTTGAGAATTGTTGCAGTCCCCCAGGTACCTCTTATACCTTTTAACTCAAATAGTCCAGGTCTCGGCTTTAATCTAACAATACAGATATTGGTGACTCAAAGCTCAGCATAAGCAAATGGAATAAATCAGTCTAGTTTTGCTATATATTATTCTCCAACAATTATTCTGAATGTTGTCACGAGTCCTTGTACTTTTCTATTCGTTGTTTTTGAAATTGGAGCACCCTAAGGGCAATATTTCTACAAGTATTTGAGGCTCTATTTTTGTTGTTGTTGTTGTTTTGTTTTTTAGTTTGAGTACATCTGTGTGCTTTGTACTTTTAAGGGTTTTCCATTTTTTTATTTTCAAATTTCTTTGAGGATTCTCTTTTTTCTAAACTGTTCTAAGATTTTATTTAAAAATACCTTATTTCACATCTAGGCACTTAGGGGAACAAGAATTACTTTATGTGCCCTGTCTTCCATCTTTCTAAAGTTTAGTTTCAATATTTATTGACAAAACACACTTTTATTTAAAGGTGATGATGAGATTAAGTAATTTTTATATATGAAGGGGCCCAGAGCCTGCTAGAACTCAATTAAAATTATGATGACCTGGGCAAAGAGTTAAATTTTCTTATTTACCTTGGCTATATTTATATGCAAAATATTATAGTATACATATAAAAGGAAAAATGTAAAACTTTGAGTTTTTTTTACTTTTAGATACTTGTGATAAGCATGTATTTATTATTCCCACCTCATTCTTACTGATTTTAAGAACTTAAAACTGGATGAATTCCATGTGGAATATTCTGGGATTTCTAAATTCAGCTGCATAAACAGCACCTCAAAAGACAGAAAAATTGTAATCAATATTCTTTGAGATTGTGTTATTTAATACCAGTAAAACATCACTATATTGATCACTGGGACCTGGATCTCCATCATAGAATGATAATTTGTACAGTTTATTAGCTGTAAAGTTGTATTTAGACATGAAGACAAAATACAATACTACATTCTATACCACGCTCAAATATTGCCATATGTTATGAATACATAGGTGGGTACAACTCAATGTCAGGATTATTGTTAGATGTTTTAAGCACTATAGATACCAAAAATATGACTGCAGACCTATTGAATTTAGCTGTCATTATATCAACCTAACTGTATATTAATGTTAATGGCAACCAATCAGTATAGACTTTAATAGATTGTAGAGAAACATAAACCTCCCTTAATGTTTCCAAAAGATGGTGTGTCCATGTGTACCACCTTAAGACTTGAAAATAGTTGTGACAGTTCTCTCCTTTTTCTCCCTTTCTTCCTTGTTTCATCTCTGTCATTTTTGTTTTTGGGGACGTAATGGAAATGTTCCAGAAGTTTCTATGCTGAATTCCCCTCATGTTTCATTAGATGCAACTAGGCCAAATACTCCTGCCATTACCAATAAATCAAATGGAACATCAGTGATTGGCTTAACCTTATGTTAAGCATGTTTTATCTATGGACCAAGGGCAATGTTTGCCTTCCCTATCTTATAAGGTGACAGGTTGGACACCCATGAAAGAACGCCAGCAAGGGAGACAAGTCTGTGTATGTAAACAACAACTGACAGTGTAGGATGCACACTTTCTAATATGTGTCTTTGTGTCACCAATACCTAAAACCATGCATAAGTGAGTTGCTTATTAAATTCGTCCTGCCTAAATACTAAAAACTCATGTTCAGTCTGTTCTGCCACCTCTCTATTACAATGGAATATAATACACTATCCATTTCTAAGATATTTAGTGAAGAGCATTCAATAAATACCAAAGGTGACTTAAACAACAAGGAAGTCATTTCACAAAGGTACAGCACTCTTTGCCTAATATAGAAATATCTTCCTGGGTTCACTCAGTTAAAAAAAAAGGGACAATCTGAAAGAGTAAGGGAGTTTCAGGTCAAGAAGGAGGTGAAGGTTCGTAAAAGGTGTACAGTATATGACAAGCAATATGTTAGGCTCTTGAAGAATGCTCAAGAAATAAAATGTCCATTTCTTTCCAAACTATCTAGTTATTTGAGCTTTTTTTGTAGTTTGGTCATGAATGCCAAAGCAATTTATAAGCCAAAAAAGAGACCCTGTAGTAAATTACAAATATAGGACAGAAGACAATGTCTTCCCTATATATCTTAATTGATTTTAATAATTAACAGAATAAGTTTCTTCCTTTTCACTCAAAATTCATGAGTTGTCTAGGAAACTAAATATAAAAGAATATCTATTTCACAGAAACTTTCTTCTTATGGCTCTTTGTTCTGCTTTTCTAACACCTACTTCAACATTCTGATCTGATATTATTGACAAAAAATTGTGAAGGGACTTAAAAGCAGGTATATTTTGCTGGCTTTAGATCAGTATAATGAGAAGCTAGAATCTTGTAGACATAAGCTCTCTGTAATGCTTACAGAAGCAGGTGCCTGTGTGTGTTTATTATTTGTTTTGCTTTATTTTGTGCTTTTGTATTTGAAGGAGTAAGAAACAATTTAAAAAGTATAGGTCTTAGAGTTACACGCACCCGGCTTTAAATTCTGTTTCTACGAGAAGCAATTAACTTATCTGTTGCCCAATTTCTTCATTTACAAGTATCTAATTAGTTTTATAAATCACAAAAATATGTATTTCCTGAGACAGTATATGCTTAACAAATGATAGTTATTTATATTTTATTAACTATAGTTCATTGATGGGATATATAACCACTACTTCAATCTGAAGCATATTATTCAAGACTTATTTTAGATCTTTAGGATTTTGGATAGCTACTTAGTTCATACAGATTTTTCAGCTAATATTATTGGCCATTCCAACCTAACTAATTTTTATTTAAAAAATATTTTGCATGGCCAGAATACAGAATGGCTATGTCTATGTCCATAGTATTTGCTTAAAGATAAGCTTTGATTGTAGAATTCCAATTAAAAGTAGAATTAACCTGACACTTTCACCATATATTACTCAAGGAAAAAGAATGGACAAAACAGCCTGTACATTATCAAAATATTTTCTCTAATCAGTTATAATTAACATGAAGTAATAGGATTTTTCTAGCTTTCCAGCTTTTCAAGATGAATTAATTTCGAGATCGCCCACCCTACTAACTTCTGACTTGGCGAAGTGAATTCACCAATTAGGTTCACAGCAGATTAATTAGCTGGTAATTTAGAAAGTTAATCATCATTCAATGGTACTTATTAAGTGTCTTCATGCCCGTGAAACTGGTGTTAGAAGATTGGTGTGGGAGAATTGAAATCTCGCTTGAAGAAACATTTAAGTGGTTTTGACATCCCAGCTCCAACCTAAAAATATATGCCCTTGGTGCTGCTGCTCAAGCCCTTTTATCACTATTTAAGAACAGGTGTTAAACACAATGTATGCAAAAATGTGTAAGAAACATACTACATGTGTGGAGTCTTCATAGTTTTCCTTAGAGACTGATTGAAGTATATTTCACATTAAATATTCTGAAATAATTTTCAGCATTCTGTGCACAACCTGCAATCTTTGTTTTTTTCCCTTCTTTCTCTGAAGACTTTTTCATGTTCTGTCTCAGTTCACAGATAAAAATCAATTTTGTGATTTCTTCCTCATAGCTAGTGGAAATTTGTTCAAATCACAAAGTTACTACACGATTTGCCCAATTCAGCAGAAATTTACCTGCCTTGGTTCACTCAGTTCAAGAGAAGCCCAATTTGGAATAGCAAGGAAGTTTTAGATCAGGAATGAAGCGAATAAACAAAGTTTGTAAAGTACTCAAAGAAATTGTGACCAGCTAAAGCCAACCGGTTAGACTTTTACTTTTAATGTCTATGCTTCCCTAAATGTTTATATAATATTTACTACAAATGTGAAAATAAAATAGTCTTGTGTATATGTGTGTGGTCACACATGCATAAGCACCTGAACACATATTCAGAATTTCCTTTAAAGTAATATACTTACATTTTTATGTTCAGAGGACTGCAGAGGGTAGTAAACATTGCTTGGCAAGCTGCAAGAACCTTCATGGATTTCTGTAAGCTGCATTTTTTTCTTTACTTTACTTTTCTATATTTGTGAGAGCTAAGAAACAATGATTCACCTCTACACTTTGCCATCCTTGAACCGTTTGGAAATTACAGACATATTCTTTAGTTTAGCTGCTAGGCATAGAAATTTCTCTTATACATAGGCAATTCTAGCAAAAGGTTCACCAAAACAGGTTTTATTGGTAAAACTCTAGTCAGTTTCAGCAAAGGTTTTTTTTTGTTATTGTTGTTGTTGTTGTTTTTAATCCAACCTTTCTGGCACATGGTGCAGAGCAAGCCTGCTCTCTTTTTTCTGACCTTCCTGTAACTACAGAACAGCAGGCTCAGCTACACCTTTAACCTTGCATCTCCTCTTTAACAAAATAAGCAATTACAATATTTGCTCCTTAAGGCCATTCCATAGAGGAATTTTAGAACCAACAACTTCAGAGACATAATATCCTAGATCAGCTTGCTGCAATACTGTGAGCAGAAACTTTTGTGAGATTTGCAATCACCTAATTACCTCCTGCAAAGTGAGAAGAGCAGAAGTAGAAGCAGGCAAGGTGAGAAGATATTTGGAGCATCTTAACAGCCAACAGAGCCTGCATTTCCAGAAATACCGATTAGTGCAAATGGTCAAGATAAAATAGCTCTCAATTTTGTGCCAAGAAGTCCACTACTACACTTTTTAAAATGTTTTAGACTATTTTTTGTAGTTAGTACATCCTCTTATTATTTTTTTAAAATGCTAGTAGAGGCAAGATGGATCTTTATATAGAGAAGAAAAACCTTCTTTACTGAATTATATTTCAATGTTTTTTAAAAGTGCTCTTCCTGCACGTTTCACTCTGGGAGGAAGAAACAATTTTGTGATGATTTGGGTAAATAACTTCTTGCTTCTAATACTTGCCAGAATCTTATCAGACAAATATAAACACTCAACATATAATTTATTCTCATTTCAACAATCAAGATTTAAGAAAGGATTACATTTATAATTCATCCTTTGTGAAGTGTATATTTATATCCTCATGCAATTTGTAGGTTGAAACCTTAACCCCCAAAGAGATAGTGTTAAGAGGTGGGGTTTTGAGAGATAATTAGGTTTAGATGAGATCCTGAGGGTGAAGCCACATGGTGGGATTAGTGCCTTATAAAAAGAGGAGAAAGAGACTTGCTTTCACTCTCTCCACCACATAAGGACTCAACTAGAAGGCGGGTGGCTGGTCTGTAAACCAGGAAACGGGTCCTTATCAGAATCTGACCATGCTACTCTGGAGGGTAGGAATTCCAGTCTCCAAGGAACATGAGAAAGAAAGGTTGTTTAAGCCACTCGGTTTATGGTATTCTGTTACAAAAGCCAAAACTGAGGAAGACATCATCTTTCCTTTAGGAAGACAGGAAACATTTTTATTATAGTAATATTTTTAATTGGCTCATTTTCCTTTTTTTTTTTTTTTTTTTTTTTTTTTTTTGAGACGGAGTTTTGCTCTTGTTTTCCAGGCTGGAGTGCAATGGCATGATCTCAGCTCATTGCAACCTCCGCTTCCCAAGTTCAAGGGATTCTCCTGCCTCAGCCTCCCGAGTAACTGGGATTACAGGCACCCGCCACCATGCCCAGATAATTTTTTGTATTTTTAGTAGAGACGGGGTTTTACCATGTTGGCCAGGCTGGCCTTGAATGCCTGACATCAGGTGATCCACCCGCCTCAGGCTCCAAAAGTGCTGGGATTACAGGCGTGAGCCACTGCACCCGGCTTAGCTCATTTTCAAAGTTATTCTTAGTGAATTTAGTCAAATGGACAATGCCTTGGGGAGAAAGAATGTGATTTAGGTAGAAAGGTCATGTCTCTGTCAGATGATACTGAAGAACCCAGGGTTACACATGTGTGCAGTTGGTCAACAACCATTGTTTACTACCATTAAAAGCCTTAGGCTGCCTTTTTGTAAAAGCCTTTTCTTTTTCGTGGTTGACCTTGACTTTCACATTAACCTGATTTTGTCAGTATATAAACAGCCAGCAAGGAAAAAGAAAAAGGGAAGTTTGAATCCATGTTGTGATTTACCTTTAGCCCAGACCATAGGGATGCCCTTGGGCCCTGCACTCTCTCTTTCCACACATTTGTTGGAGAATTACACTGGAACATAAAATTGCTTCGGTTTGATTTGCCGTGGCTCAACTTTGACCCTACTCCCCTCTGGGGATACAGACATGGAGTTTTTACCACTTACACTCTTTTTGACAGCCCATGGTAAACTGAACATTTTAGTAATAATCCACCTCTAAGCAATTCAGAGATAACTTTTAAAATATTGTTGTCTATGTAAAGAAAGACACTGTTTTATTTTGCAGCTTCTAAAGTTTTATGACATTGATTTCATAACATTCTGGAACCTACGTCAATTTTTCTATTTTCTCCAGGAAAAGAACTTATCCACATAAACCCAAAAGCTGTAGTATGTCTAATTATGTAACACAAAGTTTCACAATAATTGAAAGTATAAGTTGCTTCGTACAGTTTAAAACATTAAGTGTTTCTATAACTCCACTTCACTACTACCTCACTCTGCCTAAAAGATTAGGCAATGTTTATTACTCCTGCCTGGGAGTGAAATATATGTTCAAGTTTCAAAGGATTTTCTAAAAGAAAAATTTATAGTTTTTGCTTGGGGTATGACTATTCTAAAATATTGTGAGAATATTTTGAAGATAAATTTACATCTGTATTATTTCCCGCGAGCAAGTGAAAAGAAAATGCCTGATGGGCCTTTTTCTTTTTCTTACTGTCAGAGAAAAATCAGAAATTCTATTGGTAAGAAGTGCAAATTAGTATGCAAATGCAAACATGACTATTACATTTTTCTAGAGATTCATGAATTGGCCAAAAACAAAAATTCCAAATTATAGGTAGTTCAGGGATAACTCATGATGCTTGGAACATTTCCCTGTCTTTATAAACTCAGAGTATCTAAACGCTTTACAAAATAAACTTGATTTATCTCCTTTCTTTCTTTTTTCATATATTTCCATCTTTCTCCCAATGAATAAACCACAATTTTTTGATAATTGGTAAAAAAGTGAATGTTCCAAGGCATAAAGGACCCTTAAGTCCTTTGTGACTCTGGGAGGAGAGTACAGAAGGATCTGGGGTGAAACCTTCCTCAAGAACCTTAACCTGACAGTTGATGGTTGCCAAGAGTATTGTTTGGAAACCAGGTAAAGCCTATATGAAAGGATCAATATAGAAATATGTAACTTTGCTCAGCATACAGAGTAGATTGATTGAACCAAAATGTATTTATTAAGTAACTACCAGATTATCTATGTGCATTGCACATTCAGAATGCAGATAAGATACAATCCATGCAAATAAGATACAATCCTTGCTATCTCTAGAAACTTATAACAAGTATGTTTATTCTTATTCTTCTCTTCAATATTCTGGTTGTGACTCCATTAGTAGAGAGCATTTTTAAAGGCATGAAAGACCGTTGGCACTCCCACCTAGAAATTACTCCAGATTTATTTTTTCTACTTATTTTTTCTTCTCTTTTTTTCCCAGTAGTTTATTTACTTGATTTTTCATTCTTTATCTCAATAATCCTACAGTTTTGCTCTATTTTCCCTGAATAATCAGACTAATTTTTATCTTAAAAAATTACTTGCTCTGAATGACTTGCTCTTTAACGGCTTCTTGACTGCGGGTACCACAAATCTAAGTTCTTGATGAGACCTAGGAGATACTACTCTACCCTAGCCAGAAACTCATCAAATTTTTATCTTCTTGTCAAGAAAGCAATGTCAAAGATTGGGAAGCAAAATTAAAATACATAAAATAAGAAGAAAATAATAATCTTGGGCAAGTTGCATCACCCTTCTGGACCTCAGTTTGTACATTGTAAATGAGGAAGAAATGGAAATAGAAGATAATTAAGATAGTACTTATTTACTGGCTTTCGTGTCACCTTTTTAGTTTTTATAATATCCATTTGAAAAGTTATTCTGTCCTCAGGTTATTGAACTGTATTAGGAATCTTATGCTGGGCACGATGGTATGTGCCTGTGGTCCTAGCTACTTGGAAGGTTGATGTGGAAGACAGCTAGAGCCAAGGGCTCAATGTTACAGTGGGCTATGATTGCACCACTGCACTCCAGCCTGTATGACAAAGCAACACCCAGACTCCAAAAAAAGAAGAAGAAGAAGAAGAAGAAGAAGAAGAAGAAGAAGAAGAAGAAGAAGAATTATTCTGATATTATTGTTTAATTGTCCAGGTAAAAGAATTAGGATTCAAATTTGACTCCAACTTTAGTCTTTATGTCTCCAAAATTTATATTGTTCTATTGTATTTCATTATATAAAATAATTTCACCTGGATGCCTATATAAAGTAGAAGAAATAAAAAAAAACTCTGTTAATGACTGTAATGTGGTTAAAGGTCATGCTTAAGAACTTAATCAAGTGGAGCTTTGTGAACATTAATTCTGCCATATAGTAGCCTTGCAGAGATCTCGAGATCCAGTGGTGAGATTTGAGGTAAGAACATAAATGAATTTGAAGGCGTAAGAAAAGGACGAGCAGGCCCTTCAAAGAGGGCAGAGTGAAATAAAAGATGGAGACAGTGAACCAAAGATGGACCTAAGATTTGTAATTTTGGAAATTATAGATAATTTTTTTTAAGAACAGTAACTGCTAATATTTAAATTTTTAAGTTATTGTAAATCATCTTTTTCTCTACATCTTCCTGAATATTGAATAAACTTGGTTATATGAATTGCTTTCTTTCATTTGGAAGGCATGGGGAATTTCTGTTTTCAATTTCTTGGTTCCCAAACTGCAGAAGAGATACGCATGGGAGAGTGAGAAGTTCTGTAAAGTAGTAAAGTAGGAAATAGAAGCTCAGAGCCACAGGAGGCAAAAGCATTAAAGCCCAAAAGAATTCTCAGGGATTTGGGAGAAAGTGATTTTGTTTTCTACAGAGTGGGAAATTGCATTTGGAACAAGTATTTCTTTAGAATCTCAAGGATCAGAGAGATTCGCAACTCTGCTATCTAGGTCTTTCTCCCTCTCTGTGTGCTTATGTGTGCATGTATGTATGTACGTATGTGCGATGGAATGTGCGTGTGTACATTCCATATAGAAACACACGCACACAAATATGTGTTTATTTTGTAAGAACCTAGACACAGGAAGAATACCTACAGACTCAGGGAGGGAAGGAGTTTGCATATCCCTCATTTCTTTTATGTTGTTGTTGTGTAATGTATTATTATATACACTTGCTTCTAAGTTTGATGGCCTTGTTCACGTTTAGGTCATTTTTCTGTCCTGGAAAATGTCCATGATTAAATATAATAGTGGACACCCATGTCCATGATTAAATATAATAGTACTTTCCATAGGAATTTAATTCACCATAAAATTTCCCCAAAAATATTTTGGAAATCTGCCAGGAAGTCTTATTTATACAATGTAGAAAAAGCTATTCCAACCTATGACCCAGGATTGCTTTGAATGTTGCCCAGTACAAATTCTTAAATTTTCTTATAACATTACAGTCTAATGTTTTGCCCAGGCGTGGTGGCTCACCTGTTATCCCAGCACTTTGGGAGGCCAGGGCAGAAGAATCACTTGAGGTTAGGAGTTCAAGACTAGCCTGGCCAACATGGCTAAAACCCGTCTCTACTAAAAATATAAAAATTAGCTGGGTATGGTGGTACATGCCTGTAATCCCAGTTACTCGGGAGGCTGAGGCAGGAGAATCACTTGAACCCGGGAGGCGGAGGTTGCAGTGATCCGAGATCATGCCATCGCACTCCAGCCTCGGTGACAGAGCAAGACACTGTCTCAAAAAAACAAAGAATAAATGAATATGTGAAGATAAAATTACAAGTTTTGATGACTGATGTGGTAGATACTGGAGCGCAACTGTATGCATCTTAAAAAAATATGCATGGTTTCTTTGGGGAATCACTCATCATAAATGTATTGAGATTCATGATGAGTGTATTTACTACTAAATTCCCAAGTGTCCTGAATTCTGGGAATAACCCTAGTTCCCTGCAAAACAAAACATGTCAAAACAGCAATTTATGTAAGGAAGAAACCACATTGTCCTAGAGCACTTAATAAGAACTGCATGGTGGAGGTGACATGATAATATGAATAATTGGAGGCTGACATTCTTTAATCCTCAAATCCTCTCTATTGGCATTCTTCTCTTAATTACCTATGATTCATGTCCCAACTTTGGTTAAAAAAATATATATATATAAAAAGTATCTTTTGTTATGGAAAAGTCCTTTAGCTATAATAAATTAGAATATGAAATGTAACCATATTAAATTGTACATATAATAAATTGGTCCTTGGAAGTAATAAATTATATAAAAACATAGCAAATTGAACATATCAGAATCTAAGATCATGCTATGTAGGTTGTCATGTTCTTGGAAAGTATGTTTGAAGAGCTACCATCTTTTTATATAGTATAAGATAAAAATGATTAATTATTCTTTAATATGTTAGTTAAATAAAGTTATTTTATAAGAACCTGGACACAGGAAGAATGCTTACACATTCGGGGGGAAGGAGGTTGCATTTCTCTCATCTCTTAGATTATTGGTATTATTTTAGAAACTATAATGTCTTTATTTTCTCACTTACTATATATTTTTATTCCAAATATAGCAGCAAGGTATTCAAAAGGTATTTTAAAAGAGTATAAGCAAAAACTAGCAAAATATTAAATGTATAACATGTACTAAGCAATACTTAACATTTGGTAAATTATTAACTGAGTGTGGTGTAAGGTAAATGCCCCTGAGAGCAATAACTTGAGCAAACCCTTAAGATGACACTGTACAGCAGATGCACCTGAATGTGTGTTCTGAGCTAGGGAATCCAGGAATGGTCAATCCAGAGATCCATTCCTTCTCTATGAGGAACATCTGAGCCCCCAGCCCATCTCATGGAACATGGGCTGTACAGGGAATTTAGGTCCTGAGTTTTTGGTTAAATGAAGGTTGCCAGATGGAGGTCATTAAGGGAAGGGCATTAAGTGGAAATACTATATAAACTGCATGTTCTTTGCAAGTAGTTGCCCTGCCTGCTGCCACTGGGCTATGTGGTTATGTTGTCCAGCCAGTGACCACCATACTGTGGGAATGGTGGTTATCCTGTCCAGCCCACAGCCACTGCCACTCTTTCCCCCCGAAAGTAAGCCCCTAACAAAACCCTATGTCTCATTTGCTGTCTCTGGGTCTCTTTTTCGGCTTCTTAAACCTGGCCCCTTCTCTATTGAGGTTAATAGGACTACAACACAACATATGGAAAATAATTTTTTGAGCACCAAGATGTTTTGGGACACCATCTGTATAATCATAAGGTTGTTATTAAAATCCACATTTTGAAGAAGAGGAAGAAGAGGCTCAGAGAGTTACAAGTAGGCTGGCATTTGGATGTTACACAGTCGGAACCTAAACTTTGTTAATATTGCCATTATAAGGAAGAAAAAAAGTAATACCTCTTCCTTACCATGCAAGGTCTATGGCTGACATTGTTATAACAAAAGACAGATTAAAGAGAAAAGCATAAAGAATGTATTTAATCAAAAGTCTTACACGACAATGGAGTCTTCAGAAATAAAGACCAAAGAACCAGGAAAATTTTGTGTTTTTATGCTTGGATTCGCTAAAGAATGGACAGCCATTTGGAAATGTTGTTGGACATAAAGGGTATGATCTAATGCTAATAAACTAGGGGATCTTAGGCAGACCCGTTTGTTCAGATTCTTCTCCTCTCCTCCTTCCCCCCAGGTATGAGGCAGGTTCTCTTTTAGAATGAGGATCTTATAGCCTACTTTCAGGAAAGGTAGGTCAGAGGGTGACCTCCCAAGGTTTTATAGCTTGCTTTGGGACAGAGGTGTTGTAGTTTCTATGATCTGTTTTGAGGGAGAAATGGGAGAATGAGAAAAGAAAGCAGGAGAAAGTGAGAGGAAACTTGGCTCTGGGGCCCGTCCAATCTCTTTCAGTTCAAAATAGTTAACATGCCAAAGCAACATATTTGGGTATTATGTTCTGACCTTCAGTACTGTGTAACTGCACAATTAATACCATTTGTCATTTGACACTGGGCAAGTTTTCCACAATCTGTGTCTTAATTATCCTTTCTGTAAAGTGAAAATAAAAACACTCTTACCTCATAAGAAAATTTTGGGGATAAGTTGACTTAATATGTATAAGATACTTAGAATAATGTTTGGCACTTTGAAACTACTCAGTAGAGGCTATTATTATTCTACATTTATAAGGAATAATGCAAATTTATCACGTAATTATAATAGCCTTAATTTTCTTCCCTCCCTCCCTTCCTTCTTTCATTCCTTCCTTCCTTTCCTTCCTTCCTTCCTTCCTTCCTTCCTTCCTCCCTTCTTTCCTTCCTTCCATTTCTTTCAAATATACTAATATCCAAGATACAGTATTAATACTAACTGCAACTTCATTTTACTCAATGTATTGGCATTTTTGTATTTACGTGTTTTAGGGTTTTTTTTTTTCTCCACTGAAATTTCATATGGTTATATGTTTGAAGAATCTGCCTTGGAACAGCTGCTTTCCAATAGATTGTTATTACCTGAAAGAGTTATTATAATTTTTGCCGTTTCACAGATGTAACAAAAAGTCTTAATGATGCTAAAAACCACATCCAAGATTATACAGTTAACAAGTGATAAAACTAAGACCACTGAGACAGATACCAAGATAAGCCTCAAGCCATTCACATTTCTGTAGGTATTGCAGATAAATTTTTTTTGCTATATTAAATTGTAAATATATTGTATTTCAGGACAATTTCTTATTCTTGTCTATGTCTATTCTATTCTTGATTTTACTTTTAGCTGATCGCAATCCAGGGAGGCAAATCATTATGAGAATTTTAATTGTGTAGACTGGGGTGCTACTAATTTATTCCTGTCTAGAGAGGATTCAGGAGATTTTTCTTTAACACAGTGTGGATCATAAAATGGAATAAACTGTATATTATATATGTATATATGTTATCTATGAGATGTATATCAGTAATATAGGTGTGTGATCTATATCAGGTATAGGCATAGATGTAGGTATTTGTGTGTGCACCCAGTATATATATATACCCAGTGTGTGTATATATATATACACACACACACATATTAATCATGTTAATATTTAAGTCTCAGTCACTTAAATAAGCAGTAAGACAAATCACATCACTCCCTTGATAAAAACCCTCCAATAGTTTCCCATCACAGTTACAAGAAATCCAAAGCATTTAACATGGGCTAAAAGTCCTACATGATCTGGCCCCTGAATGCCACTACAAATGCATCTCCTATTTTCCGTCCCCTAAATCTCCAGCCATACTGCTGTCCCTCATGCTGCGGCTTTAACATGCCCAGTGCGCTTCTGCCTTAGGGGCTTTTCCACTTGCTGTTCTCTCTGCCTTGGGACCTGTACCCAATTTTCAACATGGTTCACTCTCACAATTCATTTTGTCTTTACATTTATTGAGTATGTGCACCAGGTACTCTTCTAAACACTTTAAATGAATTATGTTATGAAAGCAAGTTATCTGTTTGGTGACATGGGTTAGGAAGAGTGGCATGGTTTAAGAACACAAGTGCAAAGTAAAAACATCGTTTAATGCTATCACAATATCAAAGCAACTAATGAACAGAACTGGAAAATAAATTTAGATGTGTTATTTTGTTAGCTTCCCATTTCCTCGTACACACACATTGCTCAAACAGTGTTGTTCGGAATAATGTGTACTGACTCTTACAGTAGATTGAAAAAGACACAACAAGGTCAGACATTTTCAAAGGGAAAGGAAGTTCTGGGGAAGAGAAGTCAATTATATAAACCATTGGTGATTATTATTTAGAGGTAAATAAATGTCAGTCCCATGATATACCTCTGGGAAAAGGATGCTGCAATATGAAATAATACATTTGCTGGCTGTGATATCATGAGCTCAGATAAAACAAATGCCTACGTATAGCTCCTAATGTACAGCACAATGAGCCATAAAACAGTCAAATAAGGGATTTTACTTTGAAAACAAAGTCACCATTAATTTGGAAGGCCATATGTGTATCCAGGATGGGATCTTGAACTGTAATAAAACGTTCTATTTTTTGACATCACCTTCCATTCAATGTTCCCAACTTCTATGGCCATATCCAGGAATCTTGGGGAAAGTAGAGTCCTTAGGGGATCCTTGGAATTAAAAACTCACCTTAAAGCCAGTTCCCCCTGTTTTGTGGATCTTACTTTTAGCTGATTGCAATCCAGGGAGACAAATCATTATGATAATTTTAATTGCGTATACTGGGGTGATACTAATTTATTCCCATCTAGATAGGGTTCTGGAGATTTTTCCCTAATGAGCTATGCACAAGCTTTTTAACCAGACAAATGGGGGTTTGAATCCTGTCTAGGCAGTGTTATTATCAGAAAGTCGTCACATTTCTTATTAAGGTTTGCTTCACTCCTCTCTAAAATGAAAATTATAGCTATTTCGTAGAGATAGTATAGCAATTAAATGAGACAATTATGTGAACAATTTATCATAGGTCATGGCAGAGTAGATATTCAATATATTAGTTTTCTTCTCCTTTCCTCCTCTTGTAGAATATAAAGTGGATATTTACCACTCAATAATCATGCAGAATATACCATCCTATTACATATTTCTATATACATTTTCTACATGGTGATTTTGTCAAAATATTTAATATGAGGGCTTCAAATACTTTATTGATCCTTTATGAACAAAGTAAAGAGGAAACTCCAGCACTTTCTGTTTATAGCTGACAAAAGTATTTTCCTTGACTGAACCCTTGTCAAGCTCCCCTGAACTCATTTTTTAAATTGGCTCCATTCTAGGTTATGTCATCAAAAGCCCAACTTTAGCAAGAATCCCACTAAGTCAGTTTAGTCAGACTCTCTGCCCTCAAGATCTGATCACCCTCATATTCATAGAAATTCTTCATCCCCATCCATCCCCCAGGTAATGTGTGAAGAACAATTGGCCTGCCTCCAGCCAAAATCCTGTTAGGTTCATTGAGCCAGTATCCCTTCTTAACTTGCTATTTCCTCTTAGTAATTTTCTATGCACACACCTTCCCATCGTGCTCTGCTCCTTGGCTATTAATTCCCACTTTCCCTGGTAGTATTTGGAGTTGAACCCAATTTCTCTCCCCTGCTGCAATACCCCATTGCAGCAGTCCCTATACATGTTGCAGTTGTCTTGAATAAAGTCTGCCCTTAGTGTTTTAACGAATGTCATGAGTAATTTTTAAAAATTAACATATACTTAACTGATTCCATCTAGTCCCATACCTTTAAATCCCATGTCTGTGTTGAGGGATCCTATTTTTATTCCCAGGCCTGCTCTTACTCTTCAGCTCCAAACCTAGCTATTCATTTAACACCTAACTGAGATGTTGAATAGTATCTCAGATGAAACCTCACCAAAAGAACGATTGATTGATACCTACACCTGCCATTCCTCTGCAAGTCTATCTGTCTCTGTAATTGATACAATTTCCACACAGGTGCTCAGCCTAAAATCTGAGGAGAGTGCTCCGACAGCCTCCTTGGGTTCACTGCTTTCTGATGGTATCTTTAGTAATCTAACTAAAAGGTTATATCCACAAACAACCATTTCTTCCTATTTTATGTGCTAAAATTCTAAACTCAGCTACTCGTCTTTCTTAACACTAGGATAACAGACTTCTAATAGGTTTCCCTTCTTTGGCTCTTTTGCACCCTTGGAATACATTCTTTACATAGAGAGAGAAACAAAGATGCTCCTTCAACACCTTTACACAAGCTCCTCCTTTTTAATAGGTCTCATCTTTGGGCCCTGCTCTTGGCCTGCTGAGGCTAGTTTTAGAAAAAAAAAAAAAAATTGCCAAGTCAGTTTAGCAAGAATCCCACCCTTTCTTGATATCTGATCATCCTTGATCAAGTCTCTCATCTACCACCTTTGATGTCTGAGTTCTTGGCCTGCCTTTAGCAAGAGTCCTGCTGCACCAGTTTGGCAAGAATCTTCCTATCCTTCATGTCTCTTAGCAATTTTCGATCCACTGATTCCCTCACTCAGCTTGTTACCTAGAAACCCTCATTTGTCTTCGCTGTGTTGAAAACTGAGCTCGGTTCTGTACTGAAGTTTCTTTTCCCTACCGCAGTAGTTATCATATAAAATCTGTCTTTATCACCATTAACTGATGTCCAGTTTTGTTTCTCTTTGAAAAGGGAACTTTGTCAAATATCACTCACCTCTTTGTTAAAGATTTTTAACTGTTTCTCAAATGAAATAGAATGAAATAAAATAGAATGAAATCTCAGACTCTTCACCACAGTCTTCAAGATGCTGCATTATACAAACCTCTCTGATCTTTCTCCCACCATATTCCTCCTTTGCCTCATAGATTTTCATATGCCTGCCCCTTTCTCCTCAGTGAGGACTTTGCTAGATGTCATTTTTCTCAGAAAACCCTTCAAGTTCTCAAACTAAAGTAGTACCCCTTCACTCCCCTCACTACATTATTCTATTTATTTTCTTTATTGCCTTTCTCAGTGTGTAAGGTATTCTTCTTATTAATTCCAGTGATTATTGTCTGAGTCCTTCCAGTGAAACAGTGCCAGACTTAGTGGATACTAAATACATGTTTTTCACTGTCTGCCTGCCTGTTTGTTCTGTACAGCCAGGAGATGGGAATGATACAGGCAAAATAACAAAACGAAAAAGAAAACACACTTAAACCCTAGAAAAAAAACAACATGCTTTGCTTTTCAATAATGAAAACAATTTTTCAAAGGTTCCCATCAGGATGTGTCCTGTTAGAAGTGTAAAAGAAATAATATATACAGTAGGATGTAAACATTTTTTAATTCAAGGACAGATCTTGGTTCAAAAGGTTGACTAACTTCTTAAAATCCTTAATGTTCTAGATAAAAAGTCACTTTGGGGGGCAATTAGAAGATATACTCATTAAACCAATTGTACAAAAGCCATACAGCATGGGTATAAGAGGTTAGGCTGTACCATTAAGAAGTAACCTGGAAAACCAGTCATTTGAACGACTTTGCCTTTGAGGTTACCTCACAGCAAGCAGACACCAGACAATTGCATTGGGTTTCAAGTCCAAAGTTAAAGAGCACGATGGAACCCTGCTCTCTCCTCTTATTTAACTATTTTAATCTACATTTCAAGATAATAGTTGGGTGACAAAGAAGTATATCTAAGAACCTTAAAAAATGCTAAGGTTATTCAAGTTGTGTATAGTATTTGAAACAGGTAAATAGCTTGATAAGAAGGGTAGGTTCTCCTCCTCCTTTCCCATCAATCATATCTAAATCTGAACAAAAACATTGATATTTAGGGTTAAAGCTGAGCCTTTCTATCATAAAATTGATGGCTCTTTTTATATGATTGCCTATTGTATATCTAGAGAACAAAATAAGGTTTAAGAAACTTTGAGGAACTTAGGCATGACAGAGATCTACAATGGAGACAGAAAATGATTTATCTTTTTATCTTGTGAGGAAAATCTATAGCAGAGTACAGATCCAAAACCTTATACAAAGCAATCATGGAGATATATCAGACAAAGACAGAAGAAAAATGTTCATTTCTCCATGTCTTTCTAACCTCTGCCACCAGTTTCAGAATTAAATTGCTCTTTTTTTTTAGTTAGTAATTTGTCTCTTTGATTTCTCAGTTATTGAAAAAACAACAAAATATCATGTCTGCTGAAACTCAGACAAAACTTCTTCCTTTTCTTAAAGAAAAGAGACACCTCCATGGGACAGGTCCTGGAGGCAGAGCTCAGAAATAACCCATTTAATAATTCTCTGGGGCTAGATGACCCAATCAATAGCACTGATGGTTTTTCCACATGTAAGCCTGATTTTTTCACCCAACACCTAGAGGCTTAATAAAGCTATGGTGGAAAGCCTGTTTTGAACAAGGCTTCAATTGACCAAGGTTAAAAGTAAAAGGAAGAAATCGTGATTCTGCCCTTTTGAAGCTATTTTTTGTCAAAATCAAGTGTAAGGTTTAAATTGATATGGTCTCTTAACAGTTACATCTAGTTAATATTTATGGCCTTTAAGAAGAAGACAATTTTGTTTTATAGAAGGAGATAGCAACATGAGTTATATCTCTGTCTATGCTCTTATATCCTGAGAAAGGTATGAGTCTGTACATTCCTTGTGACCAATGAATAAGCCAATGCATTGAGTAGCTCTGAGGGACCGATTCATGTCAAAGTCAATGCAAATGGAAGCTCCTGGTGTTGTGCACTCCTCTTCTGCTTGCCAGTGGTGGGTGGACCTGGCCGTATGTCTTAATATCCCTGACAGTTACTAATGGAATAAGGGTTTGGGACTCTATAATTTCTAAGCTCCCACATGGTGGGAGCTTAAACATTTGTATTTTTGTGCTTCTTTGAAACTTTACAATGTTAACAAGATCTCTCAGCAAAGGAGTTGACCATTCCCAACAAGAGATTGCAGATTTTAAGGATTAATTCCTTTAATTTTGGAAAAGCCTCTGCCAATAATTTATTCGAATCCTGTCTCTATGTTGTCTATTTTTCTTTTAAAATTCTGATTACTTTTAGGTTGCAACTTTTTAGCTATTCTGCATGTATCTTATTCTTTTCATTGTTCATAATTTCTGTACTATATACTATATAGTTTTTCACACTGAAAAACTGGTTTACCAATTTTCTTATAGTTGGGATTATCCTGTGGTTTAACCCTTCAGGAAAGTGATTCATTTAAAAAATTTTTTTCTTCTTTGCTAGAATTTAATTTTATTTTTGTTTTTGTTTTGTAATACTGCCTGATTATTTTTATGTTCTCCTGTTACTAGTACAATTTTCAGAGCCACTTTTTCTTTCTTTACACATAGACATTGTTATACTATGTGTTTTTAAATCAAAACTAAGATAAATTATAAACTAAAAAATAATTTCAGTACATTTCACAGAAGATTAGAATTGGGAAATAACCCTAATAATCATATCTGATGACTGAATATATGAAAACTTTCAACTTCTATATGAATCAGGGAAATAAAAATTAAAACTACAATAAGACACAATCTTAAACCCAATACATTGACAAAAACTTTGAATGATAGTATCAGATAGCAAAAATGTGATGTAATGAGAACTGTGATATCAGTTCTGGTAAAAGTGAAATTATTAAAAACAATTTTTAAAATTATGTAGTATCTTCTGCAATGTTTCACATGCTAATATACAGGCCATCAATTTCACTTTATAGAACGTATGTACTATACAGCGACTCTAGCTCAGGCCCACCAGAAGACAAACACAAGAGTGACTGAGGCAGCACATTTATAATAGCAAACAAACAAGCAAACAAACACCCAAATGCTCAAGAAGAGAATGGATACACTGTAATATATTCAAAAATTGGAAATTATGCAATATTTAGAATGAAAGAACTGTAGCTGCACACGTCAACATATACATCTATTAGAAAAATAGTTAAAAAAGCAAGTCACAGGAAACCAAGCAGAATAAAACATATATCGTTTATGGATACAGTATACCTGGTAACAATATAAAGAACATTAAGAAAAGGCAGGGCCTGGTGGCTCACATCTGTAATCCTAGCACTTTGGGAGGCCAAGGCAACAGAATCGCTTGAGCCCAGGATTTCAAGACCAGCCTGGGAAACATGGCAAAACTTCATCTGTACAAAAAATGCAGAAATTAGGCAGGTGTGGTGGTGCATCCCTGTAGCCCCAGCTACTTGGGAGGCGGAAGTGGGAGGATCACTTGATCCCAGGAAGTTGAAGCTGCAGTGAGCCCTGATTGCACTGCTGCTCCAGCCTGGGCAACAGAGCCAGAGCCTTTCTCAAAAACAAACAAACAAAAAACAAACCAAAAAAATCAAGGGAATGGTTAAATAAATAAGCTTAAATTGGTGTTCATTTTTATCTTTGGAAGACAGCTAAGGGACAGATGAAACTGCAAAAGTTCCTTTGACTTGTGGATCTATAGATGTTCTTGCTAGGCTTCATATTTGTTACAGTTTTATATGTATTAACTCAGTTAAAATTAAATTCTATTTTTCATGCATAATTTTAGAAGAGTAAACACAGAACTGTTAACTCTGCTTAACTCTAGAGGGGGATTATTAGATTATAAAGGGCTTTCATTTTATATGCATTATAGATTATCTTAACCTTTGCTCATTTAATACTTATTTATTTAAGAGCTGACTAACTTTGCCAACAAAGGTCTTACTCATCATGCTGTTATCCAATCATATTCTCACTCCTCCTCTTACTGTGAACAGTTTCAGTGATATCTTGCTACTCCTATAATTTTAGGGTAAGTGTCTGTGCACTGCCTTTGGATATATATCTTCACAATTTTCCCTTTACATGCATATTCACTGTCTGCTCCTTCCTTCCTTCTTATATTTCCATTATTTGTTAAAGAAATGTGTAATTTACCAATTTCCCTCTTTAAATTACCTGTTTGTTTTGTAGAAAAACCTAAAATTTCTAATGGTGTTCTTAATTATGTGGTAGTGTAAGGATGAAGGGAAGGATCTGCTGAAAATCAACTTACAAAAGGCTGACTTACTGAAGAAAAGGCAGGCAACTGTATCACTGTTTTGGCTGGGTGCAATGGCCAATATAAATTTGTAAGCATTTTAAAAATATTATGGTCTGATATTTTGGCCAGGCACCGTGGCTCACATCTGTAATCTCAACACTTAGGGAGACTGAGGCAGGTGGATCACTTGACGTCAGTTGTTTGAAACCAGCCATGCACAACATGGTGAAACCAGGTCTCCACTGAAAATACAAAAATTAGCCGGGTGCGGTGGCAAGCACCTTTAATCCCAGCTATTCAGGAGGCTGAGGCAAGAGAATCGCTTGAACCCAGAAGATGGAGGTTGCAGTGAGTAGAGATCATGTCACTGCCCTCCAGCCTTGGTGACAAAGGAAAACTTCATCTAAAAAAGAAAAAAATATATAAAATATATATTTTATATATATATATATATATATATATATAGTTGTTTTATATGACACAGGAGCCTTCAGAATGATGACCCAAGGATATAGGGGAAACTGTTTTTATGCTTAGTTTCAATTAAGTATGGATAGCTGTGCAGAAATATGATTGGACAAAAAGGGTATCATCAAATACTAGTAGACTGAGTGGGGAAACGCAGCAAGTCCTGTCTGTTTAGATTCTTCTTTCTGTGTAGCATTCCATCCTTCTGGGTATGGGGCAGGATCCTCTCTGGGATGGGCGTCTTATGACCTACAGCCAAACAAGGTCAGCTGAATAATTTCTTTGTGGCAAATTTGTACACTGAAAGGTGAGGGTTGGGGCATGAGTTAATATTTTTAGATTTTATTGCTGGCTTTGGGGAAAAGAGGTTCTGGTTTCTCTGAACTGCCTTGGGGAAGAAGGATTCTAGTTTCTATGGCTAGGCTTAGGTGACAATCAGGGGCCAGAGACAGGAGGGAAGGAGGTTAGAGAGAGCTGCTTCTGAGGTTTTCATTTTGGGGTATTGTTTTCTGAGCCCCAACAGTAGCCTAAACTGAAAGACCCTTTTTTCACTGGAGAAGGGCATCCTGAAAGTGCTAGGAGTTCCACACGTCATAAGATAATTTAAGAGTATTACCAAGTACAACCATTTCTTGGAGACAAAAAAAAAAAAAAAGAAATTGCAAAACCATCTGTCTGTGCCTTGTTATGTGTATTGTGTATTTAAATACAAAGACCTGTAAATTTCCAGACTTTTCTTAAGTCAGTTTCTCATTAATTTTTTTTAAAAATGTTTTTCAGCTTTATTGACTGAAAATTGACCAATAAAAATTGTATCTATTCAAGGTGTACAACCTGATAACTCAATATAAGTATACATTGTGTGTATGGGGGTAATGAGGACATAAGATATGTCCTCTCTTAGCATATTTCAGGTAAATACTATGGTATTATTAACTGTAATCACCATGCTGTACATTACATCCCCAGAACTTATTTATTTTATAATTAAAAGTTTGTACTCTTTGACCAACACTCAAATCTCCCTCTCAGGATCTATTTTGAGATAATCTCAAGTTCTCAAGAGAAAAATTATACACATTATTGCTTAAGGAGTATTACAAATGATGGTAAAAGATAATGTAAGTATTTATCAATGAAAAAGATGCTAGTATTTTTCTGAAAATGTTACCAGAAAGCTGTCATTAAAATAAATGCTCCATAGCTCTCTAAAATTATTCAATTACAATGTGATTTCAGATACCCAATCCATTTTTTTTTTCCTTAAGCTACAAAATTTTTTTTCTTGAATTGCTTTTCCATGGCATCCAATACATAAGCCAGGTTCTCTTTAATTACCAAGTTCTAGTTTTCAAAGGAGAGTGATTAGAGGAAAAGAGGTTGTAGTTGGCTCACACTATTGTTTTATTATCTTTGTTCCCTGCTGTGATACAAATGATTTGCTTTTTCTTGCTGACAGTGGCATTTTGCTTTGTGCTAAAAAAGAAAAACTCAGAACACCAGCTATAAAAATGTTTGTTATTTCAACCAATTGTAACATCTCTAAAATTCAACATTTGTCATTGTTCCACAGTTTTATGTATGTTCTCTTTCTCTGCTATGAAATATCCTTAATACTTAGTTCCTAAAATGAAGTAAAAGATGTGTTATCAAGGACTACATGGTTACGAAGTTTGAAATAAGTTAACTGAAGTAAGGCTTAAACACATACTACAATAATAATCACTTCTCATGGTTGAACTCATTTAGCAATCTTTAGGTCATTGTTTCTTATTCTTTGAAAATTTAACTCTTGCTTTAATGTCACTATCCCCAACACTGCCTGTTATAATTCTAGCTTCTTCCAATATCCAGATTGCTGATCAAAAGCAAACACTCTTTCCTCTCAGCTTCTCTTATTATTCACTTTACCTCGGTTTAAGTAACTCTATGGTCATGATCTGAATCTTGTCATTATAAATAATTGTACCTTTCATAATTTCAATTTCAAATATTCCATTTTTTACCATTCTTCCTTCTCTCTACAGTCTCTCTCTCTTTGAAACTTAATTCTCACAATATTTTGACCTTAGATAACTTGATTTTACCACCATTCCCTATCTCTTACTGAGGTCCTCACTTCCTTTTTTACACAGCTTAAAAGTCTTGATTCATTATTATGTCTTTCATGCACCCACCCTGAGCCCTGTCACCACTCTTACTTTGTCCTCGTACTTTAACAAGTCTCCAAACCCAACTAAAATTCAATTATTATCTTGGCTGTCATTCTCACTTGACTATCAGGGTCAATAATACACTGTTTTAACAGAGATACATGACAAATGTATAGAATTCAACGAGAGAAAGTTTTACTGTTTTTCAACTAAAGATATCAAGATGAATGGTCTACCTTAGCATCAATGTCTTCCTCTACTCGTTGCAGACTTTCAGGAATCTAGGTTCTCTTTTTCTTCCCCCCACAGCTAGGGCCTTGTCCTCACCTTCCTGATTGGAGCTGGATCATGTGCATGCTCATGGCTCAATTTATATAATCTAGAAAGAGAGAACATGTAGGTTAACAGTATTATTTTAAGCAATTGAAGGAGGAGTTTCCCATATCCTTCTGCTCACATCCCTAGGTACACATGTAGTCACGTTACTCCACCTAGGTAAAAATAAACCTTTGAAATACAACTCCTAGATAGATAGACACATGCACAGCTTAACTTGATTATGACGAAAGAAATTTTGATGGAAAGTAATAGATCTTATAACTGAACAAAGCTATATAAAAACATAAAATCCTGTGAATGTTAACAGATCTTATTTTAAATTTAAGACGACTGACTGCAAGTGGTCTAGTAATGCTGTTTGGCCATTATAATATTTTTTCTTAGGCTTTCCTTTTCTCTACTTACTTTACATTCATCTATAACATTTTTCTTTTCTCTTATATGCTGAGGAAATACTAAATAGAAGCAATCAGAACATTGATTCCATACACCCGCACCACCACATCTTCTCATCTCTCCGTATTAGCAGGTATTGTACTATTTCTTTTTGTTTCTTCCTGTATATGAATTCCCTGTGATTGTAAGCGAAACACATCCATGGGTACATTAAACCCCATCTGCTTTCAACTGCATAAGGATATCTCCCTAGGTATTTTCTCTTTCCTTCTGCATCATCAATTTTTCCCTTTTATTGTATCATCCATATCACCATAAAAATATATTTTTACCACCTTTAGAATAAAGCAACGTGTCTTGATTTCATATACGACAAACAGGGAAGCTAGGTGCACTATTTCTGCTCCTCATTACAGTAAATCTTCTTGGAATAGTGGTCTGTTCAAATCGTCTTTAGTTCCTTCTTTCTCTCTTTCTCACTCTCTCCTTGTCTCTCTCTTCTTTGCCTCCAACTTTCCACAAATGTTGCTATTCTCAGAGTTATAAATGACCCCCATGTTGCTGATTCTAATGACCAAATTTCAGTGCCCCTTTTACAGGACCTTTCAGCAATGTTTACCACAATCACTCTTTCTTCCTAGGAACACTGCAGTAGGCATGCATGATATCACGATCTTTGTGTTTCTCATATACTTCACTAGCTAGCTTTTCTCATCTCATTGCTATGTCTTTCTTACCTTCCTGCTGCTAAAGTCTAGAAGTGCCCTTAGACCTTTCGGCTTTTTGATCCACACTCCCTCTTGTAGTAATCTCATCCAATTTCATGACTTCACATATTATTTATATGCTAAAGAATACAGACTTGAGTATCCAGTGGTGCGATCAATATTTCTACTTGGATGTCTAATAGGAATCTGAAATACAGCATGTCTGAAACTATCCTTTTCACCTTCACCCTGAGACCACGTCCTCCCATATCAGTTAATGACAACTGCATCCTTCTAGTTGTTGAGGTTGACAACAGGGCTATCCTTGAATATACTATATCATACCTCACAATCATTCTGCCAGCAAATACCATAGGGTTTAATGTCACACTGTATGCAGATTCTAACCATTTCTTAACATATTTCATCAACACCATCACTCTGATCCAAGCTACCACCATTGCTCGTTTTTATTATTACAAATGCTTCCTAACTGTTGTCCCTGCTTCCGCACTTGCCACTACGATCATTCTTAACTACACAGGAAAGTGCTCCTGTTAAAACTAAAGGTAAATCATAATACTTCTCTACTCACAATGTTCAAGTGGCTTTTAATCACAAAGGAAAATCTTGTATGTTTGCAATGACCTCCCCCACCCTCACAACTCTGTTTCCATTCCTATTATACAGTGATTCAGAACATAGTCTCAGGAGCTGACTTCTTAGTTTGTGTGGACTCAGGAAATGATATCCCAAAATATGCTGCTTTTGACTTCAAAAGAACCTGGGGAGCAGCAAATGCAGGGAGGAAGCTTTCTCTGAAGTTCTTTTACCTGACTAGGAAATGTTACTATGTTCCTCCAGAAGGAATGCAATTGTCTTGAGCCTCTTCCCTATAATCTCATCAAACTGGAAAGATGAACTCACAAGAAAGAAGGCTAGAGTTGATACTCATCCGGAGCCCAGAAAAACGTTTTCCCAGGCTATGGTCTGGGTGATTTGGATGCATTGATCACCTCTAAAAATCATTTACCCCTTCTCTAAAATTGCTTACACTCTTCATTTCCCTGTCTCTTATGTAGAGGATATTTAAGCTTCAACCATCTTCTTTGAATCTTGTATTTTGTAGGACTATGATGTGCTTGCAAGTAATAAATCTGTATGCCTTTTCTCCTATTAATCTATTATCAGTTTATTTCAGCAGATTCAGTTATTATACTTTCAGAGACAGAGAAGTCCTTTTCACCTCTGCAAGTACAAATGACGGCTCCATCACTTACCAGGTGTTATTTAATCTCTCTGCTCTTTAACGGGGATAACAAAATGATCACTGAGATTTTTAAGAGTGAGTTAATAAATACAAAGCATCTAGAATATCCCTTGTATATTGGAAGTGTTCAATAAACTTTAGTTACTACTGCTTGTCTTCTCCTACTCAGGCTCCACCTACCATGGTCTCCTTACTGTCCCTTAAATATGTCAATTACCTTTTCCTGTAAAAGCCCTTAAAACTTTAAAGCCCTTAACAATTTAAAGCTTAACTTCCAACCTAGCAGTAATACTCCTCATTCTTATCTCCTAGATAAGCTTGCCACTGTATGCATGTATTTACTATTTTATCCCTAGGAGGCATGGACAGTCAATAAATATTTGTTGAATAAGTGAATAAACAAGATATAATTTATCACGTTCACACTCTCTCAACCACTGTATTCAATTTAAATATATTTATTATATTTTGTCCTTCTGATAATTCTATGAGGCTGGCATGTGTTTTACAAGTGCAAAACTAAAACTTCAAAGAAATTTTGTAACTTGCCAAGACCACAAAACTAGAAAGTGGTAGGAATTGGACTTAAACCATTGTCTTTATAATTGTAGTATGCAATATATATATATTTATATAACATTTTAACTTAATTTTTATTATTTTACATTACAAAAATTAAGATGGTGTATACTTTATTCTGAGACATTAATATTTATCACAGAAGATATTTAAAAATGAAAACACATACTTCAGTGTTGTGCCATCTTTAAAAATGTTTACAAACATTTTATATATACCCCAAAATTGTTGAATCATATTCCTCAAAAATTGACTGGTTTTAATGAATTACTTTGATGAAAAGGTACACACCCTCATTAGAAATATATTGATATGGTATATGATAACTACATTTTGTGTGGTCAAAAACTATATAAAAGGTTTTAAAATTCTGAGGGCACATAAAATTCTGTTGATGTTCCTCACAGTTTACCTGTTTGAAAAATAGTTATGTCCTCAAATGCAAGTACAAATAATGCAATACAGGACACAATCATTTTAAATCCAATTTCTAACTTCAATGTATCAAATTACTAAATAGGAATGCTTAATTTCAAGGTTAAAATAAAAACAAATTTTTTAAACCCAGAACCAAAGGAAAAAAGTTTTCTGTTCAGTCACTATTCAGAGAGTAATGATTCTCTAGAATTTGAAAATAAAGACAATAGGCATTTGATCAGAGATAGATTTGATTGTATCTAGTGTTCTTAGAAGGAAGAGATTAGTTATAATAAGAAATACAGCTGAATTACTGTGAGACTAATAAGAGATTTAAGAAGGAAGGGTAAATATTTCTAGTAGTTGACCTTTACTATGACTGAACTAAATAAATTGGTTCTCAGGAATATGGCAGAAATTGAGAAGAAATGCAATTTTCTCATTAAGGAGATAATTACCCAAATAGGAATGCAATTACCCAATGATGAACAGTTGGAAAAGATAGATTCAATTTTACTAGTGAGAATTGAAAAACTGTCAGAGAAAGTTCCAGAGGGAACAAAAGAAGCACTCACAGTGGTCACAGATCTGCACTATTGTTAATGACAACTAAGAACATTTTACCTTTAAAAAGATACCTGCTGAGCCACACAATGGAAAGAGATCTGGGAGGAATTGAAGCTTTCACATATTCAGGGCATTTCAGTACTAGCTGATTGGATAGTTAAAGTGAGAAGTAAGAAAAATGATCAGCTGCCTCCTCCTAAAATATTTCATATTACCATATTGCAAGACATTTTTGCTCTTTACGAACTAATCTCCCCTTCCTTTTCTTCCTACAAACATTCTCAAAATTTCTAATATCTCAGCAATTATTTCAGATTTTTGTTTTCTTGATTGAGGTTCATTTTATATTTAATAAAGCTTAAATAGGATTTTTAGGGATGGCTTATAATTTTGATAGACTCCTTTTTTAAATTCATGAAGTTTGATCTATTTGCATGTTTGTTAGCATACTAATTGACTCAGCATACTGAATTCTCCAGGTAGAGTGTATCTACCAAAATACAAACAAATCTTGAATGGGAAAATGTAATATTATATTACAGTAAATATTCATTCACTGCTGCCTCATGAAAAATGGTCTTTTCTTGACCTAACTCTATTCAGGCTCCTCTGAGTCCTCTATTTTTACTAAGCCCTGAACTTGGCTCTGTTTTGGCCCACTTATTCCAGTTTTATTAAGAATCATAACAGTCTGTTTAGGGAAAATTCTGCAGCTTTGGTCTGACCACCCTCACCTAGCTCCAGTAAAAATCCTGTTAGATCGGTTTAGCAAAGAATTACCCTACTTACTAATTTTCCATCCACTGATGGATCCCCCTACTCTGCTCCTTGGCTATAAGTCTCCACTCTTCCTCACTGGATTCAAAGTTGAGCCAAATCTCTCTTCCCTACTACCAAACACCATTGTAGTAGTCCCTGCTGAATAAAGTCAGCCTTACAGTTTTAACAAATGTCATGGATAATTTTTTCTTTCCTTTTCTCTTCCTTTTCTTTGTTGTTGTTGTTGTTGAGACGGAGTTTTGCTCTTCTTGCTCAGGCTGGAGTACAAGGGTGCAATCTCAGCTCACTGCAACCTCTGCCTCCTGGGTTCAAGTGATTCTCCTGCCTCAGACTCCCCAGTAGCTGGGGTTATAGGCATGCGCCACCACGCCAGGCTAATTTTTTGTATTTAGTAGAAACACCATTTCCCCATGTTGGTCAGGCTGGTCTTGAACTCCTGACCTCAGGTGATCCACCCGCCTCGGCCTCCCAAAGTGCTGGGATTACAGGCGTGAGCCACCACACCCGGCCAGGATAATTTTTTCATTAAAAATCTCCGCTCACACCGCAGTTGTCCCTCGCTCACTTCATCAAGTATAGGCACAAATAATACCACCTAAGACTTCTTTATCAGCAGTTCTAGCCCTCTCCAAATCTGTCACTCTCCATCTTATGCACTGATGTGTTTTCCCCCATAGCACTTACCACTATGTATTTTTATATTATACTCTTACTTGCTTATGGTGTGTTTTTCCTTCTAGAATATAAGTTCCCTAAGTACAGGGTTTCATTCACTGATTAGTCCCAACTACTAGAACACTGCCTTGAATGTTTAGGTGATTAATAAATAACTGTTGAGTGGATGAATGGACCCCTCTCTCCCAGTTAACTCTAATAAGCATTGCATTTTCCTACAAATGAAAAAAGTATCTATACCATTCAGGTAAAAGAAAAAACAAAAACATTCCTGGATTTTACTGAAGGGGTAAGGGCAAGAAAGGATGAGGAACTTAAAGGTAAAGGTATGAGTATTTTTATGGGTAAGTGATCTTTTGCTTTATTCAAAATTAGTATCTTTCCTAGTATCTGGTAAGATCTTATCAAATCAAAAGGATAAGGGGAAGGAAAAGGAGAAAAGGGAGAGGAATAAATCCCTACAGAACTACTGATTTACTGGCTATCATTCAGGTGTATATAAAACTCTACATGTTAATAAACCTGTTATAAGCTAGCACCCTGTTTGTGTGTTTTAAGCATATTACACTTCTAATCTGCAGATTCAACCACAAAAGCAATTTTCAAAATGGGGACTCTGAGGTCTAACTTGTTCAACAATATATTTTAAAAAGTGATACAGACAGAACCAAAACTGTATTCAGCTTACTCAAAAGGCTGAATTATTTCCACTAACTGTAATGTTATTTTACTCAAATTCTATTTGGATAATTCTTAAATAACATTCAGGCTATTTCATGGGGAGAGAGTATAAAAGATTAAAATGTGAAATTAAAAATAAAGTTATAACAGGGAAATAATTGACTCGAAGGAAATAAATCATTATTTTTTATATTTTATGGCAGAAATAAGCAACTAAGTCTTTCCATTTTTCTCTCTTCTTTATTTCTCTTTTCACCTCTTTTTCCGGATTTAGCTTACCAAAACGGATCCTTGGAATTATAAAGTTAAGAAAGCTAGAAAAGTGAAAACTTTTGACATATATTTTTCAGGTCCTTACGGTGGTACTGTAAGAAACCCTGAAGGACTGAGAATTTTCTTCTGTGGCTTTCACATGACCTTTGCCCTCCCAGCTATCTCTCTCCATCCTTTTGTGGAAGAAGGACCTAACTGTGCCACCTCAAAATATTCCCTTTTGGCATAAGAATTCTTGAGCTGAAGGCAATTAAGATGAAGCAAATGTTGGAAAGCTCTCTGCCCTCCTTCTACTGGCCTAAAAACAGGACAGAAATTTACAAAGACAAAAAAGATCCCATCTCCCCTTTCTATCAAAAGAACAAAGGTTAACCGCTGAAGAACACTTTAGACCCATCCAGGGCTGGAGATGGCACCAGGGGAATCTACATTAACACGCTCTACTAACTAGCATTTATCTATTATCTATTTGCCTTTCCACAAGTTGCTGCCCTTAGAGACTCAAAAGTCCTTTTCCTTTTGTCCCGTGACTTCTCTAAAATGGTACTTTTCTTTGTTAAAGATACTATATAAACCAGAACCCAAAGCCATATCATTGAGAACTACTGATTTACTGGTTATTACTCAGGTATATATAAAACTCTACATGTTAATAAACTTTTGTTTTTCTCCTGTTAATCTGTCTTTTGTTACAGGGATCCACTCCAACTAAGAACTTATGAGGGCTGAGGGAAAACTTACTTTTCTTCCCTACCTTCTCACACAGCACTTTACCTCCTAAATCTTCTTTCTCACATCACTTGATAAAATGAAAATTGCCCAAACTATGGTGGCTAATCTACAAAAATACTCATTTTTCCAGGAACTATTTTTTGCATAAACAATTTCTAAAATCAACTGGAATTTGACTGATTGCTCCCCCATTCCCAGACCAATTGTAAAATTTCCACCCAGTTTCTCCAATACAGATTGTCCTTTCAGAGATTTATTGTGTCTGGCATTTTAAAATAAAGATGTATGCTAATGATGTTTTTGTATATTTTCTTCCATAGTGTATTTTATTAGGAATAGGTATTGATAAAATAGAGCCTCCTAGTCAGTGGAATATTGGCCTCAAGTTTGTCCTAAATGGGTTACAGGCGTAACCCCAGGTACTGATTTCATTGGGGATGTGTCAGAGTGTAGCTCTAGCTGAGAAGGGTCTGAGGCCACTCCCTGCCCTCCCAACAGGAAGGAAGAATGACGAACAACATCAGTTCCACTGTTCTGGGATGAACATTCCCAAGCAGGGGCTCTATCTGCTTTAGCAGCTAGCCTCATCTTGCGCCTCTGCCCAGCAGAAGGCAAGGTCCCTATGGAGCTGCTGGACATGTTTGTGGCCCAGGTGCTGGAGATGCGTGCTCTGCCACATGAACAGCAGCCTGTCCAGTAGGGGGCAGAAAGGCTATGCTGGCACTCTTGGCAGGCAGAGCTTTAATGAGATCACCAGAATGGCTAGATTCACATTTATTAGACGCTTCTGTCTGTCTTGAGGGCCCTTTCAGTGGCATCCAAGCTAGATGCCCAGTGACTGCTATAACAATGTGTGCTTGTCCTGAACTTAGAGCTTTGCCATTTTTTTCTAGACATAGAATCTGTTTTCAATTTAAATCAACATTAACTTGAACATTACATTTTAACATTACATCTCTCCATAAAAGCAAACAAAATTAGAAAATTTAAACAAAAACTAAAAAATATAAACTTTTACATAATAAAAGCAAAAAAACTTACATTATTTAAATATTTTAAAATATAAACTTTTAAATGATTTCAAAGATTTGTTTAAAAATTATCATTGATTTTGTAACCCAGTTTTTGTTGTTAACAGTTATCTTTGAAAAATTTGAACAGATCCTCGTTAAGAATTCTAATCAGGTCAGGTGCAGTGGCTCATGCTGGTAATCCCAGCACTTTGGGAGACCAAGGCAGGCAGAGGTCAGGAGTTTGAGACCACCCTGGCCAACGTGGCAAAAACCTGTCTCTACTAAAAATACAAAAATTAGCCAGGCATAGTGGCAGTGCAGGTAATCCCAGCTACTCAGGAGGCTGAGACACGAGAATCACTTAAACCTAGGAGGCAGAGGTTGCAGCAAGCTGAGATTGCGCCATTGCACCAGCCTAGGTGACAAAGCAAGACTCTGTCTACGCCACCCCCACCACCAAAAAAAAAAAAAAAATAGTTCTAATCAGGTATTTTGAATGGCTACTTTGACTGTAAAAGAAAATCATATTCACTGATGTAAGCATTCTTTTTCCTAATTTAAATTTAAACATGTTATTTTAAAACTTGTGATGAATTATTTAATATTTTCTTAAAATTGGATTTGTTTTATTGAAAAATAAAATGACTACTTTTTGCAAGTCTCTTATAAATAAATATTTTCAAATCCAGTCTAACCCATTGTCCCATGTAAGCTTTTTTATTTTCTACCTGTAGTGAAGGGCTTTACATATGTAATTACTAAATATTGGGCATCTTTTGGCTGGAATGATCATGTGAAAAACATAGCCAACCAACATTGGGCTAACATAGAGTAACACCATGCCTGCCACATTCCTGCAAAGCATATCTAAACTCATTTTAGATAGACTGATATATAGGAAGATAGATAAAAATAGAAATAGAGAAGGAGATATATTGGTATATTCTCAATAATCATTGATGTGCAACATTAATTGTTTCATAAGTTTAATAACTCGAGGATATGCAGCCCACTATACCACCATCACCCCAAATTTATCAATCTGCTCATCTAGCACATGTCACCCTTTGTGATGGAGGCTACGGACCACTGATTTCACCTCCCTTTATTCTATAATGCTGCATACGTGTAGCTAATATATATTGAGTCACACTCTGGGGCCACATGGACTCCATATGGCTTATGACCTAAATATTGGCTGTATATATCCAGATTTAAGGGAGAGAAAGAGAAAAAAAGAAAAAGATCACAGAGAGCTCCTTGTGTCCTTCTCGTATAACAGCCCTCTTCACCCTTTGCCAGTGGAGGAAAAAGGAGGTCTTTATGTCAGAAGTTCTATGTCTAAAATTATTTAATTACATTTCTGGGCATTTTTCCTGGTTTGTGTTTACAGTTATTGTGAAGTGAAGCTTGTGTTATACAGTGTGGGACAATAGGAAATCCAACCATGTAAATAATGATTATCACACAAAGTTATTAAATACTGGTGCAAATCATCAAGTAAATTAACTGAAGCTGGCATGTTGATAGCTGTAATCTTCCAGAAGCAATAAAGCATATGGTGGACAATGGATGGCATAGTGCTTTAAGTAAAAGAAATAACTTTATGGAAATATTTTAGGCATTTTGACTCGGTGGTAGCAGAGAGATTTTCAGTAAGTGATCTTTTCCACTATAACTTTTCAATCATGTAAAAGTTGTCTTTTATAGCCTGTATTTCAATCTTGGCTCACTCACTTTCTGTGGGACTGCTTGGGTCCCATATTGATGTTTTTTGTTTGTTTGTTTGTTTGTTTTTAAGTTTATACTATTGTTGTTTTTGTATTTTTGCAATTTAACTTAAGGTTTGCTTTCCTAGAGAATTGGGTAAATATAAACAACTTGAATTTTTTTTTCAGGTATACGCCTATAGAGGCAAGATAAGTATACAGCACATACGGCATATGGTCTAGTTTAATGTTATTTCAGAAAATGAAATCAGTTCTTAAGTTCATCTCTAATATAACTTCATTTATTTCAAATCTTAAAATGCCTTATATATGATTAAAGTTCCAATGTGATTAAGCATTTTTGCCTTTCATAGCTTCAAAAAAGATTATAACAGAGGAATTAGCTGTCCCTACAAGCAAGTAACATCTTTGATAATATCATCACCAGTTCTGTTTACAATTAATCTGAATGGCAGCCTACAGCTAATGGAAGATGGAGGACTAAGGGGCTTCATTATTTCAAACATTGTGAATGAATGCTTATATATTAATAGTAATGGATACAATGCAGAAAAATCAGAAACACATTCCTTAGCAAAATCAACATTATTTTATAATATGCATCATTTTGGATCAATGTCATCTTTGATTTTCTTTGTTAGGCAGAGAAGTTGAAGTTGATAGTGGTTGACAAATTTGGCAAATTCGTAAGTCAGATTTTAAAATGCTGTGAGAAAGTAGGCCTAGATGAGATTCACATGTAAGTTAATATCAAAGTAAAATAAAACAAAATAAAATAAATCTCCCTTCTTTATTATGCTGCCAGTACTCACTGACATTGAGCGCATCATTAACATGGTTGTGAAAAACAAAAGAAAGTTCGTAAAGGGTCAGTTTTGTGAATCATTATTTGCTAAAAGCATTTTGGACATCATCAAACAAAATACAAGATAGTAACTTGGGCCACTTGAAAAAGTACAGGTCAGTAAATATAATTAATGTAAATTTTGGAGGGAATTAGAGTGTAATGAGTTTGTTCATGCCTGGGTAAAACCAAACCTAGAGAACTTAGTTCAGTTTTGTTATTTCTCCTATAAGAATTTTCCTTTCACTTGCTAAACCTTCCTGTAAATGTTCATTGGTATTGCTAGGATGTGATGAAGAACCTCAGTAAGAAATGAATGAAATTGTGTAGACAGAGAGAAACAATATTTATTCAGTAATATCTCATTGGCTTATTTTATTTCAGTATCACATTTACCTATTGTGGCATATCCGGCAAGGACAAGTCCCAGGAAGTCGGTTGGCAGTGACTGATAATTAGAGAATATGGAGTTAGGATCAATACATTTTATGCACAAATACAACTGGAATTTGTAGCAAATCACCTCTATTGCTGACAGCATTGCAGAATAGAGTATGAATTCAATGACTCAGGCACAACATACATTTAGGCAACCAATAATCTAGTGGTATAGGAAATCTTACACAGAAAAGATTTTAATGGAATGAAATAATTTATTATCACAGTGATTAAATATGAATTTTTGTACATCAAAGGCAAAATTAACCACAATTGATTTTGTGTCCATGAGATTTCTATTTCTGGTAGCTATGCTCCTTCACTTTCACATTTTCCTTATTCTCACACTTTCTCTCCTTCTCATTCTTATTTTCATTTTTTATCCTTCTCTTATTAATTTTTGTAAATGTTTAATGTAAAAAAGTATGCAAGTGCAATACTGAGTGTCTGAAAGCATATGGCTTCAAAGTTTTGACTGTATTAAGTGCCAATGTTGTTGAACAAATGTAGAACTAAATACTAAGAAAGAATAAAAATAACTGGTTAACAATTAGATATAGCCAGAGAAATCATTTAATATATCTCTCTTCTCTCTCTCTCTGCCATCCTTTTATCTATGTTTACTTGTGTTTAATCTACTATTGACTATAAGCATTTTGTGAAGTGTTAGTTAACAGCAACCTACTTCCAACTTTGAGGAGAACTATTTGTCATACTGAAAAAAAAATCATTTCAATGCATTATAATCTGGTCTGTCCCCCTTAATTAACAGATAAGACAGTGACATACACAGGTTACATACCTTTTCCAAACGCAAAGTTTCCTAGTGACATATTAAGAAGTAAAAGCCAGGTTTCCCATCCTCACTTGCCTATATTTTCTAGCACACAAAACCACTTTAAGAAAAAGCATGCTTTTAAGTTATTTCTTACACATTAGTATGTCATGTCAGCATTTTAACACTCATTTAAAATGTTAAAACATATTTTATTCTTAAATATTCCATGGTGACTTCAAAATCATATCCAGAATATGACTGTTGCCACCAAAAAATCTATTATCCTTTCCTTTTTCTTCTCCCATTTTGATTCATTGCAGCATAATAGTTCCATTTTCCTAAATAAAAAATCTGGTATCATTTGAGAACAGAGATTTTTGAGGTTGAGGTTGATAGCATGATGGTCTTTGACATGAAAACGTGGATAGACTAAAGTCTCTAGCTATGCAACCAAACACTTATCCAGCGTTGCTGTGAAGATATGTTGGAGATGTGAATAAAATCAACAATCTGTTTACTTCAAGTAAGAGAGAATAGTCTTGCCAATCTGAGAAAACATAATTCAGTCAGTTGAAAGGCCTGAAGAGCAGCTGAGACTTCCCTCAAAGAGAAGACCTTGTACCTGTGGACAGCAGCTTCAGTCGTGCCTGAGAGTCCCAGTCTGTTCTTCCTGACTGCCTGTCTTACACATTTTGGATTTGCCTAGCCAGCCCAACAACTGAGGAAGCCAAATCCTTGCTTTCTATCTTTCTCTATCTCTCTCTTCTATGTCTAGCTAATCTATCTATCTATCACCTATCTATCTATCATCTATTCTATCATGTATTCTCTCTATCATCTATTCTCTATATCTAGCTATCTGTCTGTCTATCTATCTATCTATCTATCTATCTATCTATCCATCTATCTCATCAGTCTCCTATTGGTTCTGCTTCTCCGATTGAACTCTGAATTGAATTTCATTGAGTGTCAGATTATCTGAGAAAACTTCCTGAAATTCTACGTAAAAATTGTATGTGTTTAAATATGTATGTTTAATAGGGGCAGTGAACATTGTAGAATCACTCTTCTAGATTCTTCCTTTTCATTTAGCCCCACTTCTAATTTAACCAAAATGTACTTTCATACCCAACTTCTTAAGATCCCTTCAATTCATCCCTTCCCTTCTTCCCCACCTGCACTGCCTTATCTCCTGCCTCTACACATTTTTTCCTGAACCATTGGAATACATTGGTTACTGGGTTCCCTGGCCCCATTTTCTTCTTCCTTGCACGCCACTCTCCATATTGATGCTCACGTGATCTTTTTAAAACGCAGTCTCAATCAGCCAAATGTTCCTTATTACTCAAACTCCTTAAATATGAGACCAAAGATCCTCAAGACATGGCACTTCTGGTTTTCTAAATTTAATTAATATAAATTTTCCATATGACCCTGCAATCCTGATTGTTTGAGCTCATTTATAATCCCTAAACTTAATACACATTTTTAGATAGGTGTTCCCTCTGCCAGAAAGTCCACCTTTCTTCTATGACTTGGTGGAAAGTTTCCTTTCCTTGCTCTAAAAGCAACCATCTCAGAAAACGTTCCTGTCTTCACCAAGAACAGTTAAAGACATCTTTCTGTCTGAGTCCATGTGGATTTAATTGTAGCATATTTCTTGACCTCTATCTATTTATCTTCCTTCTATGTTATTTTCATGGTCTGATTGAATTACGATCATGTGCAGGGCAGGAATTATCATTTATTCATCATTATACTGCCAGATCTCTAGTTAATTTCTAGAATATAGTAAGTCATCATTTTACTTGTGGAAAATTGTATAAGTAACTACATTCTATCAATATTTATTTCAAATTAGATATTTTCATGTCGTTGAGCCTAAAATAATTTTTGAAACTAAGCTGCCTAGAGATTTGCTTAATTCACTGAGATTTTCATGAATGGTGTAGTGTTTTAAGTTATTGGTTTATTGACATTTAAAGTTTGTGTAAAAATACTATTTATGCATTAGTCTCTTCTTTATCCTCAGATTTACTTCATATTTTTAAATGGGTCCATATAACACTCAGGAAAATAGAGAAATATGCAAAGCAAATGAACAAAAAAAGATTAAATTTCGAAATTTTGTGCCCTGCTGTTAAACCTGTCTTACAGTTTATCATTATTTTTCTGTAATCTCTGCTCTTTATCTTGAATTGTTGGAAAATTCCCCTAATATTGAATAGGTTAGTTACTAGGTGAAGGAAGAAGTAATCAATTTTACCCTAGCACTCTGTTAGATGGTAGTTAATAAATATTTGTTGAATATTAAATGAACATATTTTGCTCTCATCATTTTTCTTATACTTTTTCATAAATCCCATGACTTTATAGAACCTTGGCATTTATTTTTAATGTAATCATATATTTGATTCCAAAAGTTTTAACCTTCTCTACTACAGAATTTCTTATGTTTCATTTTAAAATTAATGCTTGTTAAACTAAAGTTCTTCCTAATGGGATTCAATGCAACACATTAGGCAGCAATTCAGTTATGCCAGCCTATATGACTATGGTTCTTTTTCATTCAGTTCCTAGTATTGAAGGTGTTTGTCTATTTTTTATCATTTTATATTAGCTTCCTTTATGACATAAAATGGAAATAATCTTTTGATAAACATACTATACATTTGGTTCTAGAATCTCGTATGTTTTACTTTGCTTAAAAATCTGATTCTCATAAAATCCAGAAAAATGTTTTATTTCTCCTTCCTGTCTTTGATAGATCAGCATCAATTATATCTTTAAATAGATGGGTATTATCTGATTTGTTTCCTCATCAAGCAAACAATAATTAATTCCTACTCTATATTTGATGGCAGACTGTATATTTTTTCCTTCTCAAAAGTCCTGACAGCTGGATAATTCTAACTTGGCCTTTTGATTGTTTGCCTGTTTTTTATTGTATGTTTTATGAGCTACATACCAACTTATTTCAAAATGGCCTTCAGCCAAGATGAAAATCAATGAAACTCACTTTCTTAAAATTTAAGGATTTGCTTGTTCGTGGGATAACATCTGAGTCCCTTTTGCTGTGTGTTTAGATATAACTGAAAATGCATTTCTGAAAATACTTTAATACTTTATACTTTGAAATAACAACTTCTAATTTCTAAATTTAATTCAATTATTAGATTTTTATGCCACAGTGATTTCTGTAGAAATCTGAAAAAGAGAGTGTTTCTTGACATTGAGAGTAAAATCACATTTTGTCTATAATATTACTTGGTCATAAATCCTAGCTTCAATATTTAGTGAATGACCTTGAGCAGCTTATAATTCACCCTTTTGATTACAAGAGTCCTCATATTTATAATGCAGATGATAGTAATACTGCCAGTAAGAATCTAGTTAGACTCCTATTAAATGATACATTCAAGGATGGCATATAATAATTGATTGAAAAACAATTGTGTTATTATTACTTCTAAATTATTATTATATAATCAATAGCCCCCATGGTTTTAAAGTACTTTTTAAAAAATTGAATTCAGTTATTTATTTACTTCATTCAGCAAATATTTTTTTAACACGTAGGCTGTGTCAGGCACTTCTAAACACTAATGATATAGAACCACAGACAAATATCTGCCCTTTTAACAGTTACAGTTTACTGGGAAAAACAAACAAACACACATGTATCAATGAAGCTCATTAAAAGTGAATTTCATTGGGAGGCCAAGGTGGGTGGATCACCCGAGGTAAGGAGTTGGAGACCAGCCTGGCCAACATGGCGAAACCTCGTCTCTACTAAAAATACAAAAAATTAGCCAGCGTGGTGGCACACACCTGTAATCCCAGCTACTCAGGAGGCTGAGGCAGAAGGATCGCTTGAGCCCAGGAGGCGGAGGTTGCAGTGAGCCGAGAGCCGAGATCATGCCATTGCACTCCAGCCTGGGCAACAGAGCAAGACTGTCTCAAATAAAAAAAAAAAGAGTGAATTTCAAGAAGATTTAATTGATAATAGAGTTGCCATACTTGTCCAGTATGCATTACACTTACAGGTTTTATGCTTAGCACTTTACATATATTAATTCATTTAATCTCTATAAGACTATGACATTTATACTTTTATCCCATGTTAAAGTGAGAAGCATGAGGCAATGAAAGGCAAAATAACTTGATTATTGTCACAAAGTCAGTAACTAGTAGAACTTGGGATCCCCTGACCTTCTGGTTTTAGAGCCTGACTTTTAACTTACTAAATGATCTGCCTGATTGCAAGAAAAATATACCGAGTAAAGCTTAATATATCAAGGCGAAGTCCATGTGTCACAGGTGCACTCACTGAGAATTTTATTAATAGAGTGACAGCAAGTGTTATACAATAGATGTCTTAAGATCCTATGGCTGTCTCTAATCTCATCCACATGAATAATAAGTTGAAGTTTTAAAATATTAAACCAAGAGGTGTTTTCTTTTTAACTGCTTTCAGTGAATCTTGTGGCAAATACATTAAAATCCTATATGAAACTTAATTGCTGAATTTCAAAAACAAGAGGCATGAATAACTATCATAATTTTTTTAAAAAATCAAGGCAGTACATGATCATCCATGTGGGGGTGGAGTTGATGTAGGTTTGGGAGGATGGTTTCTCTTTCTCAGTGGGGTTGAGTGCTTCTTTCTGATTGATTGTGCATTACAAAATGTAATGCATCAGTCCTGTTTCATTTCAGCTTCTCAAGTTATAGAATTTAAATTTCTTTTATTAGATCCTCTTAAAGAATCTCTTTGAAAGAAAATATTTATATAATGATAATGCACTTATACATTTTGGCTCCTGGAATACAGAGTATAGTTTTCAGTGTCAGACTATTCCAAATCATGAGCAAATATATAGAGGGAGTGGATAATTTTTCTGTCTCCCTACATTGTAGCTTTTGAGAGGATAAACAGTTCTTTTTCTCCTTAACTCCTTTTCAGGACCCTTATTGCTAATGTAAAGGGCCAGAGAATGGAACAGTGATTGGGCATGTTTTCTTACTGGGTTAAACAGTTAAAACGAAACTATCTAATCCTTTCTATGTCCTTTGCAGCCCCTTCCACTCCAACCAGATATTTGTAAAGAGGTAAAAAAGTAAGATGTATTAGGCAATCATAAACAGAGAGAAGATGAAATAGAAAACTTGTTTAGCTTTCTTGGTGTATTTAAAAACTGTCCATTTTAAACTGGAATTTTATTCATTAATTGTCAATTGTTTTTAAGGTGTAAACTCCTCCAGACATTTAGTTCAGAAGGGAGGACTGATGGGAGGTTGGATTATCATAACTCTACTCTCTAACACATAATAACATTTAGAGTTTATATTTAATAACCCACTGATATGCTTTGGCTGTGACCTCATCCGTCTTTTCATCTTGAATTGTAACTCCCATAATCCTCATGTGTCATGGGAGGGACCCGGTGGGAGGCAATTGAATCATGGAGTGGGTTTTTCCATGATGTTCTCGTAATAGTGAATGAGTCTAATGAGATCTGCCGGTTTTATAAAGGACAGTTTCCCTGCATATGCTCTATTGCCTGCTGCCAGGTAAGATGTGCCTTTGTTCCTCCTTCGCCTTTCACCATGATTGTGAGGCCTCCTCAGTCATGTAGAAGTCCATTAAACTTCTTTTTCTTTATAAATTACCCAGTCTCAGCTCTGTCTTTATTAGCAGCATGAGAACAGACTGTTTTTGTTTTTGTTTTCTTGAGTGGAAAAGGGGTTACTGTTAGAAAACAAAATAAAGAAAGAAGATTAGCATACAATAAGAATGAGCACACTAAGATTTATTGCTTATGTATCAGAAATTTTGCATATTATGCCTTTTTAATTCTTTCAACTATGTAAGATTCATTTCCAGTGATCAGACCTCAAACTGGTTTAAGTAGATGGATAATAAGTAGCAAAAGTGTATTTAAACCTACATTTGTCATATTGAAGTGTCTAGTGTTCTGTTAATATGAAACTTGACATGACATCTAAAGAAAGGATGCAATACCACAATTAACTCCCTGGAGAAGAGGGATAGTCCTAACCTACATTCTAGAACTATCCAGTGAAAAATGCTGGAAATAGTGTTTTATAGGCAAATATGCTTTAATATGCAAAGAGAACAAGAATATTTATTCCAATTTCTGAGGACATAGAATCCTGGTCGTATCTTTAATTCAAAAACCCCGGCATGATGGTTGCAAAAGACAAGCCATATCTGGCACACTGGACCTCAGAAAAGACACTTGAGTTTAAACTGACATGAAGTATGTAAGAGTACCATGGAAATTTATTTTGCAATCACAGACTTTTATTGTTAAAAAGAGCCAAAGAATCAAATCAAACTCCCTCATTTACCAATGTGAACAGTTTTGAATGTCTTAATGAATTGCCTATAAGAACTAAAATGTGATAGTGATGGAGCTGGAATCAGAATCCAAGAATGAAATCCAGGCCTGCTCTAAGTCTCATAGGTGTCCATTATTTATCCTTCACATAAGCTTATTAGTTTAATTATCTAAAAGTTTTTCATTTCTAAGATATTTTATTGATTTTCATTTAATAAGAAAAATAACTTTTATAAAGATGTGATTATTTATAATGCCTATATTTAACTTATAAATGATACTGCAAATATCTTCAATGTAAGTTTAGGAAACCACATGAACATATTTGCAGACTCATCTTTAACTTGTCTCAGGCAAATTTATTTCTGATGATTCAGGTCATTTAAAAAATACCTTGGACTTAGATTACCAATCACAGGGTCGAAAACTAAATAAACAAGTATGCAAATATGACAGAATAAATGACATTGAACTAAATTCTAATTTATTCTATATAATTTCAACTTTTTTTTCAGATTGAGGGAGTACATGTGCAGGTTTGTTACATGGGTATGTTGCGTGATGCTCAGATTTGCAGTACAAATGATACTATCATCCAGGTAGTGAGCATAATATTCAACATGCATATTAGATATTTTTCAGCCCTTGGCCTCCCTCCCTTTCTGTTCCCTCTAGTAGTTCATGCTATCTATTGTTCCCATTTTTATGTCCATTTGTACCCAATGCTTAGCTCCCAGTTATAAGTGAGATTATGCAGTATTTAGTTTGCATTCCTGTGTTCATTTGCTTAGAATAATGGCCTCTAGCTATATCCATGCTCCTGCAAAGACACAATTTTTGTTCCTTTTTATTGCTGTATAGCATTCCATGGTGTATAGGTACCACATTTTTTTTTATCCAATCCACTATGGATGGGCAGCTTTGTTAATTCCATGTCTTTGCTGTTGTGACTAGTGCTGCAATGAATGTATGAGTGCATGTGTCTTTTTGGTAGAATAATTTACTGTACTTTGTTTGTATATTCAGTAATGGGTTTAATTGTTCATCAATCTAATAAATTTAAAAAAATATTTTACCCATGACTAAAATTTTACAAAAGACAATTGAACATATTTTCTTAATATTATGATCTTCTACCCCTTTAGATAGTCTCCTCCTGGATTCAGCTAGTACACTCAGAGAACAAGTGGGCCTCTGGGACATAAATTAAACATATAACAAATTCTAATGTAGTATCCTTCTTTTTAAGCTTGAGATTGGCTTTTATGTAAAAGGTCTTCTCCTGAGCAACACTGTCCAACTTCAGTGCTTTTATGTTTTGTGTTGTTTATTTTTATAATAGGAACCAGTTTGTGCTATGTTATCTTTATATTCCCAGCACTTAACAGAGTGTCTTGCATAAAATAGATGTTCAACAAAGATTTTAAACTAACAAATGATATATAGAGCTATGTTAGCAGCATAATTGCAGAAAAAAGACTACACAGAAATACTATAAGCTTTTGATTCACAAAAACAGCATATTCCAATACTAGCCTATAAAAATGATTAGTTATAATGAAAATTTAAGAATTTTGTTTGAGATCTGTGAGACTCTTAGTAAACAATTAAAGGGTAAAGCAAACCATTCACGAAATATTGTATTTACCAACATATCAATATACACTTTGGTGAACAGTAACAAAAAATCAGCACTTTCCAAAAGCAAACAGTCTTGTTTGGAAGAAAAGAAAGGCATTGATTTTTGCTAATAAATGTTTTTCAGCTTTTTCCAATACAGATTTCTTAATGCTGGAGATGTTTTCTTTATAGCAACAAATAGATTGAATGTTGGCTTGAAAATGCCATCTTCCAGCTTCTTTCCATTGCCAGCACTTAGTAAATGCAGCCTAGTGTCTGCTGCTGCCAATGGTTGTTCCATTTTACAAATTAGAGTCCATGTCCTAGAGTGATGTAGTCGAAACATGACTGACATTGAGTGGCCATACAGGCAAGGTAGTAGAGGTGCTGGGAATAATACCAATTGCATAGATCAATACTGGTGAGTGCTGAAGTTCAGATTCCCTTCCTTAACCAATTTTGGTAGTAATGCTAATAAGCAGTGAAAGAGACAAAACGTGGTCTAAAGTAAGAAGAAAAACATTGCTTGCTTGAATTTTCTCTTGAATCACACAGAGTAAGTCAACTACCTAGTTCTTAAAGTTTTCTTCGTTTGGGTCACTTCAGGATCATTTGCTCTTCCATCTATGTAAATGAGAATAATCTGTATAAGTATATAGCATTGCTTATTAAATTAACTTTCTCACTAGGTAACTTATGAACAGCTACGCAGCCTCTACTTTTTGAACAGTCTGACAGTCTTCTGATAGTACTTTTAGGTTTAGTCATTTGGTAGATGCTCAAAGAAATACATAATGTGCAGAGATTGCCTGTTTTTTAATTCTATTGACAAAAATGTCATTCATTTTGCATGTATATGTCTAATAGTTTATTCATTGTTGTCTTATGATGTTCTAATGTTAGAATATGTTTTCTATACGTATTTAGTAGATTTTAATCAAGAAAGAGTGAAGTGTACTAATTATTAATTGGCATAGATGAGCTACTTGAAAATGAAACTCTAAAATTATAATGGACTAAGCATAAAAAGTTGCTATTTCTTACATAATCAAGCCAATGTAATTCTAGATTGGCTGATATGTGGTTCTAATTCACATTTTTATTTAGAAACCCAGATTGAGGCCTGGGGCGGTGGCTCACGCCTGTAATCCCAGCACTTTGGGAGGCCGAGGTGGGTGGATCACGAGGTCAGGAGATTGAGACCATCCTGGCTAACATGGTGAAACCTCGTCTCTACTAAAAATACAAAAAATTAGCTGGGCGTGGTGGTGGGCGCCTGTAGTCCCAGCTACTAGGGAGGCTGAGGCAGGAGAATGGCGTGAACCCGGGAGGCGAAGGTTGCAGTGAGCCGAGATCGCACCACTGCACTCCAGCCTGGGTGACAGAGTGAGACTCTGTCTCAAAAAAACAACCACCACCAAAAAAAAAAAAGAAAAAAGAAAAAGAAACCCAGATTGAGAGGGAGTCCTCTTTCTTCAACACATGGTTTATAATACCACACAAGCTTTGGCATCCAGATAGCAAAAAGGAAAAAAGAAGAGAAGCAAATAGAATTGTTCAAAGAAGATGGGAGGGGAGGCGTGAATGATTAAGGACCAGGCCTGGAAAGGGCACGTATTTCTCTGCTCATATTTCCTTTACTTGTGTGCCCAGGCAGAAAAGAAAACAGGTTGTGGCCGGACGCGGTGGCTCACGCCTGTAATCCTAGCACTTTGGGAGGCCGAGGAGGGCGGATCACTGGAGGTCGGGAGTCCAAGACCAGCCTGATCAACATGGAGAAACCCCGTCTCTACTAAAAATACAAAATTAGTCAGGCATGGTGACTCATGCCTGTAATCCCAGCTACTCGGGAGGCTGAGGCAGGAGAATTGCTTGAACCTGGGAGGCGGAGGTTGTGGTAAGCCGAGATCGCGCCAAGCTGATATCGCGCCATTGCACTCCAGCCTGGGCAATAAGAGCAAAACTCCATCTAAAAAAAAAAAAGAAGAAGAAGAAGAAAACAGGTTGTCATAAGCAGCTCCCTGTTCTGGAACAAATGACAAAATGACATGCAGAAGGAGTGAGTGGAATGCTATGGAATGTTCAGAATTTTCTATAGTCAGCTTTAAAGTTTGGTTTATATAATTTTATCTACATCTTATGAACTATTTTTCTATTTTACTATCTCTTATTATTAGCATTTCTCCCACACAATATCTCCCAGAAGAGTTTTTGTTTGTTTCTCTTTACCTATCAAAAAAGGGGATTTTTTTAAGGTAAACATTATATGCAAACAACAGAGACTAAGGTTTTTTATTTAAACGTGTTCTAAATTTTTAACTAATAATAATGCAAAGTGTTCTTTGTGGTATATTTATGATTCAGGATCTACTTTATCTTTTTTTTAACTTAATAGATGAATAAAATGGATGTTTTTATTGTTCCCATGGCTGGATAAATCTAGGTAGGTGACATAGCCATTTGCAGAGTTTGGCCAACTGAAAACATGTTTTCTGAATTTCCCTTATGTTGCTTCCCCTCCATTTCCAGCTTAGAGTATTGGAAGCTAATTTTTTCCAGAAATAATTGCAATTTTATGAGAAATTCACCAATGAAAATTATTACACATTCGGAAGAGTATGTGTAATAATGTGTAAATAGGCTTTAAAGCCTATTTACAAACCAGGCAGGAAATTACATATGTAGAGTTCATGCATGAAAAAGCATAAATAAAATTCATTTTTAATCATGTAATTGTACTGTCATTTGTTTCCATGTACTTGGTGAAGAATTATATTTCTATTCATACCCTGGTTCCACTTTTCGAATGCAGCAAATGTAGTGTGAAAATGTCAGCAGCATAGTTTTGAATTAATGCTTTGCTTTTAAGTGCTATGCTCTTTGGTGTTTGATCAAGTGTAAGAAATATCTCTAAGAATATGTTGATGCATAGCCTGAGTTTATAAGTAGGGGGTTAATTAAACAAATAATGATACTGAAATATTTTTTCACATGTGATTGCCATAATTAATAATGATAAAAATATGAAGTTATCCATTAGTTTTGTTTTCTTTAACTTTTTGAGTATGGCACAAGTGTGTGTGTTTCTGTGTGAATAGAAGGGTAAATGCACTTTTGTATATGTTTTCGATATTGCAGAGACCATTTAAGTCACCTGGCCTCTTATATTTATATTTTATTTATCAGTTTTGGGACTGTCGTTTGCTGAGCTACAAATACCTCAGTCCTCAAGAGAGGACAAAAACAGTATATAGATTACAAGGTTAAAAAATGATTAATTCAAAAGAAAGATCATGAGCGAAGCACTAAGCCCACTTTCTGGCAATATCCACAAATATTGCTTCTCTTCTCCTTCCTACAGTCACAGGCATGCATTCATAGGCAGAGACAGAGCCAGGATTTGAACTTGAATTTCCTGATTCCTTAGTTGGCATATTTCTGTTTTACAATAAGCAGCTGTTATTTTAGAAAATTTGAAATGGATTAGTATAATTGAAAGCAAGTGTTTTCATGGTATGACACTGTTCTAAGTGATCCACAGCCACTACAAAAAAAAAAGAAGAGAAAAGAAAGAAAAAACAATGACAGCCCAAAAAGAAAAAAAAAAAAGAAATAGTAAAAAATAATGCTGTGTCAAAAGCGAGAGGAGCCACATTACATATGAATTAAAATAATCTTCTCTTTTTGTGTTTTTTAAAACGATATCAACATGCACAGTGCTTGGCATTTTCAAGGAAAGTGTCTCATTTCCATTAACAAGGAAATCTCCTAATTCACAAATACACACAGTGGGTGATGTGTGTTAACAGCACTCTTAGCAGCCGATAATGTGGTGCAGTTAATGTATCTCAGCTTGAATTAACTTTACCACAAGCGATTGTTTCTTTTTATACAGCACAGGATCGTGTGGGAAAATCTCTTAGAATCTCACAAGGGGAATTCAATTAACATTACTCACTACTGTACAGTAACATAAAATGGAGGCTATTTTAACCTTTTTTGAGTTTCCAGCTGATCAATTCAATGCTTTCCATTAGTTTAACTCCAGTTACTCCATAAACTCACCTTCATTGTTCAGAAAATATCGTTTCACTTATGGGGCAGATTGTGGCTGCCAGTGGACAGCCAGAGTAGACTACACAGATGAGAACATTTCCTCATAGTGTCTAGATTTATCCCAGGGTAACATCACCTAACATGCATGTTTAAAACCCAGGAGCTTCAAATACTAGAACTGACTTTTTTAGACCAACTAGTATGCATTTGTTATGTGGCTTCTCTAACTGAAGTATCCTTCACATTTTAAAATCCTGGATTTTTGTCATTAAGTCTTAAGACTTTAGTCATAGAAAATCAGAAAATACATTTACATGAACCCAAAAATTATTTATCCTTTTAGAAATAATGTTAAGAAAAATACTTTATGGGAGCTGAAAGATTAATGTCCTTGACGCCTCTTCCACATTGATCACATTGCACTGCAGCTGTCTCATGTTAAGTTTATTTCTCTAATTATATTATTTTGTCTCATCCCCATAGTTACCACTCTAAAAAGACAGACCTCCAACTGGCCCCGCAGCAAAGACCCTGACATCTCTAATTCCTCCTTGTCATTACAACCTGAATGGTTTTCAAAACCCAAATCTCCTCATGGAATTTCCTTTGTTAAAAGCCTCTATGGCTTCCCAAATCTCTTAAGATTAAATACCAACATCCCTGCAGATAACCCCAGGTATCCCAGCCCCTATTTAATTTTATGTGCCCCACTTCTCCCCTTTGCTCTCCAACTCTAATCACATTGACCTTCTTTTAGTTTCTGCCTATAAGAAACCTTTGCAAAGGTATTAGCTTGATTGCTTTCTTAGCATTTGTCTCCCTAGAAAAAAACTACTATAAGAACAAGGGCTTTGTACTTGTCTGTCACGTTGAGAACACTATTAATACATGTCAACTTAATGAATAGCAGAATGGAGAAGACATTTTACCAATGATGCTTTCTGTTGGTTCAGAGTGTCCACTAGGAAGATTTAAATTCAGTTCACCAACCACACTCATATCTCCTCTCACTGAATCCCCACATTTGAGTTAGTCACGCAATCTTCATTCAACAAATTGCAAATGAAAGAAAGACAGTATATGCCAACAAAGTGCTTACAATGTATTTAGAGAGACAACGAGACAAATTAAGCTATAAAATAAGAAATAAGAAAAGAGCTCCAATTTATCCATGCCATTAAATTAAATTAAAAATATATTTCACTTCAAAATGACAATATGAAATAAGCATACAACATTGTCTCATATTCATCAATATAAAGATGGTTTTGTTCCCTAAATTTAAAAAAAAGAGGCCAGGTGTGGTGGCTCACACCTACATCCCAGCACTTGGTGACAAGGTGGGGGGATTACTTGAACCCAAGAGTTCAAAACCAGCCTGGGCAACATAGGGAGACTCTATCTCAAAACATAGGGCAACATAGGGAGACTCTATCACAAAAAATAAAAATAAAAAATTAGCGAGGCATGGTGGCAAATGTGCATAGTCCCAGCTACTCAGAAAGGCTGAGATGGGAGATTACTTCACGTTGGGCTGGGAGGTTGAGGCTGCAGTGAGCTGTGATCACACCACGGCACCCCTTGAGCCTGGGCAACAGAGTGAGACCCTGTCTCAAAAAAAAAAAAAAAAAAAAAAAAGCACTATTTTTCAGGACAAAAGCATATCTTTTATTTCTTGGTAGAATCCATAGCATGTATATTGCCCAACAGTTATTAATCAACTCAAATTGTACCAGTGCTTTCATCTCTCAATAAACATATATTTCTATCAAGTAATATGTCTTGACTAGCTCTCCTTACCACTCATTAAGATCTTTCATCTTCCAAGTACAAAATTGCTTTATTTTAATCAGACTATATTTATGCCCTCAATTGTTATTTTATATGCGGCATCTAGTTCACATGTGTATGAATGAACTATGCTCTCAGAATACTAGTTGGCCTGGAAGGCCAGCTTAACAATCACCAAAGCAAGCACAGTAAGAAAACTTGGACTGGGCTCAGGAGCTTAAATTCTAGTTTTGATGCCACAAACTTTTAGCTGGTGGCTTAGTACAAGTCATTTGAAGTTTTGATCTTTAATGTACTTATATCTATTACAGTATAGAGATAGTAGCTCTTACTTTGACTGAAAGGTGGTTATGGATATGACATAACAAACATTATAAAGTAGTCTTTCTCAGTGATCATCCTGAGGACTATTGGTCCCAGGAAATGGTCTTAAAGAAAGATACCCGTGGTCACATAAGTACCAAAAATATAATCCATACTGGCAAGAGAGATCTACAAAGCAATTTAATATATTAAAATTATAAGGCATGACTTCAGGAAAACTGTTTATTTGTATTTAACATGACGTTTTCCAAATTTGTTTTACTATGGAAACTTGTTTTTCTTCTTAGAAGACATGAAGCAGAGAAACTTTTTTATATTTGTAAAACATATTAACACAATTATGTGGAGTAATAAAACATTGATTTGTAGTTTTATACATGGAATGCATTGAATCAGATTTCTAAAAAGAAGAAAAATATCAATAATTAAGGGAATAATCAAATTATCATGTTTACTTTTTAAGTTTAACATATATACACACTATATATTATATTATTTTGATAAGAAATACAATGTTTAGTTAAATATTTATTTCTCATCTTTAGGCTAAAGATGATAAATATCAAATATAAACATATGTCAAACTTTCTGAATTTTTGCCACCTGATATAATTAGCTAGAAATCAAGTATAATTTGTTTAACTTTCTTTCTTCTTGCAAATGTAGCACTGACTCTATTCTAAATTTTAACCTGCGACTGCAAAGACAGATGAAGGAGAATCACAGTACTCATGCAGTTAGTGGAAATCTTCTCCTAGAAACATTCTCTTTACCTTCAATTAGCCTAAATTATTCCAATGTTTGCTTCTCTCTTACTTTTCACTTGTAAAATAAATTACATTCAGTAAGCATTGTACTTAACAATATAAGCTATGGATTCGCTTAGGATCAGAATAAGAATAAGCTCATATGGGGAAAATACACATTTGTATTATTGCTCAATGCTCACTTGGAAGCCATGGCATATATTAGATTATGTTTAGTCTTTTTTTTTTTAATTTGGCAGAGTGACTGGACTCCAAATGTTTAATCTTAATTGAGAACTACAGCTACAACTGTTGAATGGCTGTAGCAGAATCACAATTTTATTTGACTTGTCTTTAGAAAGGGTAAAGTTTAATGTTGTTTAGTTTACAGTTATTCACTTCACAGCATTACACATAAGAAAGGTAGCATGATGTGGTGAAACGTGACTGTCAGTTGTTTAATTTGAAACTGACAGTGAGATTTTGTTTTAATCTCATTGCTATTTTGTAAAAAACTAACTCAACAAAACAAGAGTAAATGACCTTGCCAAAACATCTCTGAACCTTTCTTTGGGTTTAAACAACTCCTTGCAACAGCACATTGATGTTTAGAGTGGTGACTCTCTAAGTAAGAGCGCTGACTAGCAGCCTCATCAACAACACCAACTGGGAACTTGTTAGAAATGCAAACATTTGGACTCCATTCCAGACCTGCTGAATCACAAATGGGGGGTCACCATATTGGCCAGGCTGGTCTTGAACTCCTGACCTCGTGATCTGCCCACCTCAGCCTCCCAAAGTGCTGGGATTACAGGCGTGAGCCACCACGCCTGGCCAAGTACATCTACTCTTTAAAGATTATTGAGTGTTTTGCAGAAACCCAATTTAGTAGGTTGGATCCCTGTAATGTCTGTGTGAATCAGTGATTAGGTGAACTCATTTTGAAGCACATTTTGTAGGAGCACTTAATCACTGCTTCTAAGGACAAGACTTGACATATAGAGTAACCGATTACTGTAATTTTTCTGCTTAATCAGTCTTGCTGTTTATGTATAGTAATGATGGAGGAAAAATATTTAAGTTTTAAACATTAGAAACTTGGCATAATAAGAAATATCTCTACATACTGCCTCTATTTGGCCATACGAGACTAATGCCTCCCAGTAGCCATGGAACATGCCTTTTTGCATGTTATGCAAGTGTAACTCAACCATTTGTTTACTTATTAGTTTATTTACACAAGTATTTCTTGAGTGTTCTATATGCTTGACCTAGTGTCAGTCCTAAGAATACAATAATGACTCTAAAATGCAATAATCTCATGAGGCAAAAAAAAAAAAATTACAAATTTTACTATAATACACAGTTTATAAGTACACACATATTTTATTGTCCTTAGTAGATACTGCATTTTTTCACAAAGTGAAGATTTGTGGCAATCTTGTGTCAAGCAAGTCTATTGGCACCATTTTTCTAATAGCACGTGCTCACTCCATCTCTGTGTCATATTTTGGTAATTCTTCCAATATTTCAAATATTTTCATTGTTATTATATATTTTATGGTTACCTTTAATCAGTGATCTTTAATATTACTGTTGTAATTGTGCTGGGGCATCACAATCCATGCCCATGGAAGACTGAACACAATTGATAAACGTGTGTATTCTGACTGTTTCACCAATTAGTCATTCAGTCTTCTCTCTCCCTCTTTTGGGGCCTCCCTATTCCATGAGACACAACGATGTTAAAATTAGGCCAACCAATAACCCTCCAGTGGCCTCAAAGTGTTCAAGTGAAAGCTAGAAATGATTAGGCTTAATGAGGAAGGCATATTGAAAGCTAAGATAGGCCGAAAACTAAGCTTCCTGCACCAAACAGCTAGCCAAGTCATAAATTCAAGAGAAAGTTCTTGAAAGAAATTAAAGGGGCTGGGTGTGGTGGTTCACACCTGTAATCTAGCACTTTGGGAAGCCAAGGTGGACAAGTCAACTGAGGTAAGGGGTTTGAGACCAGCCTGACCAACATGGCGAAACCCCATATCTACTAAAAATACAAAAATTAGCCGGGTGTGCTGGCACATGCTTGTAATCCCAGCTACTTGACAGGCTAAGGCAGGAGAATAGCTTGGGAGGCGGAGCTTACAGTGAGTCAAGATCGTGCCACTGCATTCCAGCCTGGATGACAGAGTAAGACTCCATTTCAAAAAACAAAACAAACAACAAAACAAAACAAACAAACAAAAACAAAGAAATTAAAAGTGCTACTCCAGTGAACACACAAATAATACAAAAACGAAAAAGCTTTATGGCTGATAGAAAGTTTTCGTGGTCTGGATAAATGACCAAACTAGCCACAACATTCCTTTAAGCCAAAGCCTATGCCAGAGGAAGGCCCTAACTCTCTTTAATTCTGTGAAGGCTAAGAGAGGTGAGGAGTTGAAGAAGAAAATTTTGAATATAACAAAGATAGTTTCATGAGATTTAAAGAAAGAGGCAATCTTGATAACATACAAATGCAAGAGGAAGCAGCAAGTGTTGATGTACATGATGAAGCAAGAAGATCTAACAAAGATAATTGATGAAGGTGGCTATACTAAAGAATGGTAGCCCATGTAGACAAAGTTTCCTTCTATTGGAAGAAGATGCTGTGTAGGACTTTCATAGGTAGAGAACAGAAGTCAGTGCCTGGCTTCAAAGTTTCAAAGGACAGGATGACTCTTGTTGAAGGTTAATGCAGCTGGTTACTTTAAGTTGAAGTCAATGCTCATTTACCATTCTGAAAACCCTAGGGCTCTTAAGAATTATACAAAATGTACTTTGCCTATGCTCTATAAATGGAACAACAAAGACTGAATGACAGGACATTTGTTTACGTTATGTAATACTGAATATTTTAAGTGCACTGTTGAGACCTACTGCATTGAAAACAAGATTCCTCTCAAAATATTACTGCTTATTGGCAATACACCTGGTCACCCAAGGGCTCTGATGAACATATGCAAGATTAGTATTGTTTTTCTGACAGCTAAAATAACATTTATTCTGCAGTCCATGGATCAAGGAGTAATTTTGGACTTTCAAGTTTATTGTTTAAGAAATACATATCATATACCTGCCATATATAGGGATTCCTCTGAAGGATCTGAACAAGGTAAACAGAAAAACCTCTGGAAAGAATTCACCATTCTAGATGTCATTAACTACATTTATGATTCATGCAAGGAGGTCAAAATATCATTAAAAGGATTTTGGAGAAGTTTATTTCAAATATCATCAATGACTTTGAGAGGTTCGAGATTTAATTGGAGAAACTAACTGCAGATGAGTTGGAAATAGCAAAAGAACTAGAATTAGAAATGGAACCTGAACATGTGACTGAATTGCTGCCATCTCATGATACATTTCAAACAGATGAGTAGTTGTTTATTAACAGATAAAGTGATCTCTTAAGATGGAGTCTACTCCTGGTGAAGATGTTGTAAACATTCTTAAAATTACAACAAATGATTTAGAATATTAAATAAACTTAGTTGGGAAAGCAACAGCAGTGTTTGATAGGATTAACTCCAATTTTGAAAAGATATTTGTGGGTAAATTGCTACCAAACAGTATTGGATGCTACAGAGAAATCTTTTATGAAAGAGTTAATAGTTGCAGCAAACTTCATTATTGTCTTATTTTTAAAAATTGTCATAGTCACCTCAGCCTTCAGCAACCACTATCTTGATTAGTCAGCAGCCATCAACATTGAGACAAGATCCTCCAACAGCAAAAAATATTATGACTCTTAAGTCTCAAATTATAGCATTTTTTCTTTTAGCAATAAAGCATTTTTTAAATTAAGGTAATAATTTTTGTAGACCTCATGCTATTGTACACTGAATAAACTATAGTATAATTAAACGTAACTTTTATATACATTAATAAACCAAAAAAAATCTTGTGACTTGCTTTATTGTGACATTTGCTTTATTGCAGTGGCCTGGGACTAAATGTGCAATATTTCTGAGGTCTGCCTTTGATTGGTTGTTAAATGGTTAAGCAATAATTCCATAATACTATTTCAGCCAAGGAACTGTCAGGAAGTATCATATAACTTCATAACTTCATATAACTGTCATATACACAAAGTATAAATACTTTTATTTTACTTTATTTGTTTGTTTCATTTTTCCCTTTGATGACTAATATGCTACTATCTCTTTTCCCCCAGAGGGAGATAAATATATCGTGTTTTTCATCAATGCAGTGTGGGAAGCGAATTCTAGACACAAAGAGAGAGAGAGAGAGAAAAAAAAAAAAAAAGAACAGGTCATGCAGGTCAGGAAGAGCTGCAGGGCTAAGCATACCAACCAAAAATATTCCCAGGACTAACAAGTAAAGCAGATCATCAGCATTTTGCAGAGTGTATTGGAGAGAGAGAAGCAAAAGCCTCTGTGGTCTTTATGTTAAAAAGACACGTCTGCTCTGGAATCAAAATACTTCCAATTCTGGTACCCTACTCTCTGGTCTATGACCTTGCGTAAGTTATTTAATCTCTCTGAGATGGATTTCTGCTGCAGAATTTGTGTGAAAAAAATAGTACCTGCTTCACAGGATTATTGTGAGAATTAAATAAGATTATCCACATAAAATTTTCCCCATTGTATCATGCATAAAGTAAGTGCTCAGCATTTTTTTCTTTTTACTACTACTATTATTAATTTTTTAAAATAGAAAATTTAGACTCTTCATAATATGGGCATAACTCCTTCATCAGATTACTCCATGAACATTAAATTCAAACTTCAGAGCTTTAAATTGCAATGAAACTGTAAATGTCACAAAAGGAAGAATAGATAAGAGACTTAAAAATAAAATATTTTTAAATAAGTGTGTAATATTTACTATAAAAATACTGGGAACTTATATAACAAAATGGGAAGAGTGGTTGCCTCATCAGTGCTGATGATATTAGTTTTTTTTCTTTCTCATATTTTCTGAAATTTCCACATTTGTAACAATTAAGTGTACATCACTTTTAAAATCATTATGAAAATAAATTTGAAGAAAAATATTGTATTAATGCATCCATTTCAATACACTATTTTAGTAATATGTATGCCTACCTGGATACACATTCATGAGTATAAATATAAAAGGATACAAGAACAGAAAGGAGAGGTCCATATCTTACGTTTATAAACTTTGAAGACAAGCTTTCCAGATTAGTTGACCCTAAATAAAATTTTAAGAGTAAACAAGGAGGAAAAAATGAAAAAAAAAAAAAAAAAAAAGAAGTGAAAGAAAAAGGAGACATTCAACCAAAGTTAATGCTGAGTCCTGTGGCATCAAGGGAAATGGCTGAGCATCTTTACACAATTGCAAGCACTCCCTGGCACTGTAGTGTGTGCCTGTAGTCCCAGCTATTCAGGGGCTAAGGCAGGAAGATCTCTTGAGCCCAGGAGTTCTGTGCTATAGTGATCGAGAGTCCGCCATAAATTCAGCATCAATATACTGACTTCCTGGGAGAGGAGGACCACCAGGTTGCCTAAGGAGGGATTTAACAGCCCAGGTAAAAAAACAGAGCAGGTCAAAACTCCTGTGTTGATGAGTAGTGGGATCACTACTAATGCAATTTCTCCCATAGAAATGGGAGATCCCGTTTCTTTAAAAAAAAAATTGCAAGTGCTTTCATAGGTCAGGAGTAAAGAATAATGAGAAGTAGTAATGGGAGATGAGTCGGAATCTGTGGCTAGGTTTTGTATGACTCGTTAAGGATTCTATGTTCCACTGAAATATCAAAGTGCCTTTGCATAATTTAATGATGTTAAAAGATCACGATGGTTAAAGGACTGTGAGGCCTGAGAAAGTTAAGAGAGCGACAGGACTGTGGCAGAAACCATGGCAAGAAAAGGAGAGAGATTAAATAGTCTCAGTGCAGTTAACTTATAAGAACTGGACTAATTATTTCCATTCCTGATTAAATTCTTCTCTTACATTCCCATAAAATAGTTTTAATGGCTAGGGGAATGAGAGTTCTTAACTCGTTAGTATAAGGAAGGAAGACAATGGAAGGAGCACAGGTTGTGGGCTATTGAACTGAAAGAGGGGAGAGATAATGAGTTTAAATTTGTTCAGATATAAGGGTTGGCTATGGTGCAACTATTCATGTCTAGTAAGCAATTGGACGGGACAATGAGCTGAGTAGGGTGGGTGGAAAAACTTTCCATAGCTAGAGATGGTGAAAAAATAGTGTAGGTGAAGAAATGAATGCAAAGTGTCAGCAGTAGGCTGCTTAAAGGAAAGCAAAAGCTGTGTTGAGAGAATAAAACAGGGATAAGTCTGGCAGAAGCATAGAATTTCTAGGAGGGTCATGGGAGAGAAGGGTGAAAAGGACTATTTGAGCAGGATTAGAAAGTCTGGTGTGCCAGAGGGAGAAATTAATATTGCAGTCTGTTTAGAAGGAGAGACCACTTACTTATATAGGGCCACAATTGTTTCTAGGTAGTGTATATCCTGGTAAAGAAATGCAATGTAGTGTTTAAGTGAAAAACTACAGGAGTAAATAGCCTAGCTTTAAATCCCAGCCTTAAGGCTTACTAGCAGTGTGACTTGGAGCAAATTGTTAATCTCTTAGTTCTTTAGTTGTGCCATCTGCAAGCTGATGATAATGATTGGCTACTTTCCCTGAGTGGTTATAAGAATTAAATGTGTTAATATATATGTCACCCTGTAGAAAGTGTTATATGTGGACATACATATGCAAAATATGCATACACATATACTGCAAATATTATTACTCTCTCTAGCTATCTTTATTTCTTGTATTCCTCTGATGAGATATAATATGAGACTCCTTCCTACTCTCTAATTTTACCTTCAATGAAAAAAAAAGCAGCTCTCCTCTTTTTAATGCCAATCTTTAATTTCATTTATGGAGACGGGATGTATAAGGTCCTTCTCATTCACATGAGTGGCATAATCATGACACATTTTGATGTAAAACACATCAGTAATATTTAAGAAATGGTAAAAAATTGCAATTTTCAGGCCATCCTAGAGTATAATTTATTTATTTTTTGATGACTAGCTGATTTTTATTTAAATTGAACAATTTATATGTCAACTTATTGATACTATGTTCATGAGTTAATGTTTCTATAGGATGGTTCTTAAATACAGGTTAATTACATGGACACTTATCTCCAGGCAAAGGGTATCTATGCCTCTCATCCTCCTGCCTACAATGATTAAAATAGATTGGGGTGAGTATGCAACCTATATCCTCCTTATGATATGGACACTGGATTTTGCTTATAGTGCTGAAGACAAACTGAGTCTTCCCTTGAAGAGTGAAGTGATAAGAAGTAAGGCTGTAACACATAGGGCAATTTGCAAATATTAGGATGAAGTCTGGAGCTACCAAGGGGATGAGCATAGTGAACATGGAAATGAAGCTGATGTCACAAACAGTAGAACATAGAGTGTATGTATGGCCTGCTGAATCAAGGCTTACCTGAAAAGAGCTCTGTTTGTAGATTAACATATAACCTAAGTGAATATATAAATTTTCTGTGTTGTTTCGATCACTTTAAGTAAAGCTTTCTAAATTTTATAGTACTTATGCTTTATTACTTCTCTCTGCTCTCTGAAAGTCGAAATATAAACATCTAAAGTTATTTCAAAATATTTACCTAGGCATTTTATTTTTATTATGTGATAGTCATGGATTCTATAAATATTTGCTGAGCTCCTAATATGTTTAAGGTACTTGGCGATGCTGGGGATAAAATAATAATATAATATATACAATTATATTGCATATTTAATCATATCTATTGAATGCTTCATATTGAATGAATCGTTGAGTGAACATACCAATAAAGTATACAGAGGTATCATGGGAGTTCACTTCAACACATTCTATGAGTATATAATATATCCCACAGACTAGTCATCAATTTGTTGGTTCTCGGCCGCAAATCCATCCTTCATTTCCTGCTCTGGGAAAATTTAACAGGGGCTCTTTAAACCTTGTTGCTTTTCAAGATGGCATGATTGTAAGCTTTGTCAGTAGTTTGTGCTGAAGACCAACTACTACTGGCAAGAAGAGGCTTTCGTTTCTGATTCCACTGTGTTTCTCTCAACAGACTCCTTCAATGCACCCAGTGCCCCGCTCCTGCAGCAGGGGCGACTTCAGCACCAGGCTCTCATGGCATGTGCACCTTCTGTGACACCCAGCCTCTGTGTGCACAGAGGTGAACATCCTTCCTGAAAACTGCTTCTCCTGGTACCTTAGAGGAATAATATCCAGGAAGTTCCACTGGTGCAGCATCAGAGGGACCTCTCTGCCCTTCAGTGAGCCATGCCCATGTTTTGTCTAATGATGTCTGGATCACAGTCCTTGGGACAGTGACTGCTCCTTATATCTGCTATTCCTCTGGTCTTTAGAGGTCTCTTTAACTTTTGCTATGAAGCTCACATTACTCCAATCTACTGAAATTAGTATTCTGTATATTAAACTTTTTATTTTCAAATTATAATGTGGTTTGTCTCCTGAGTAGACATGACAGATGCAGGTACCAAATCTAAGCCAGGAGAGTTTGGAAGTTTTCCAATAGATGACTTACCAGTTGAATTTTGGACATTGAGTAAATGCTGGTGAACAGGATAAAAAGAAGCTAGATGAGGTGCAGATAGAAGCAGTGGTTTAAAAAGGTGCATGTTTAAGTCACTGGTTCTCAAGGCATGATCCCTAGACTTTCAACGTCAGCATCACTTGAGAAATTGAGATGAATACAAATGCCCAAGACGGAATCAGGAACTCTCAGGGTAGGCCCAGCAATTTTTGTTTTAATAAATCCCCAAGGTGTCTTCTATGCATGCTAGAGTTTGAGAACAATTAGTTTGACTTGCTATGATTTAGGTGTGATACTCTTTCATCCTAGTCCTACACTGTGATGATGAATGAGTGTGCTACCCTTTAGGTCAGAATAAATAATATTTTAATAAGTGGCATGTGCACCTACCTTCGAAGGTACTGAGAGTTGATACTATAACCACAGTGGAAAAAAATCAAAACAAAGAAAAAAATGGAACATGTAAGAATAAAGTAAAATATTCTAAGTAAGAAAAAATAGGGCAGATTATTTTATCAAAAATTATCAGCTTTTAAAATATTAAATGTTGTAATCCATATATTTTAATTCTTCTAATAATGCTATCTTCTGTCCTACAAAGGATGAAGGTCTGTAGTTAAAAGAAATTATTCATTATTATCTTTCAACTTACACTAATCTGTCTATATCAGTGTGACAAGACTCTTTTCATGGCCTAGTATTAAGACATTCTCCACTAATAAGGTTTTGATTATTTCATTGATTTGTTAGTTGCCTGAGGCCATTCAATAGAAATTCTTATTATTGTGGAGTGATAAGCAGGATGTGTTTTAGGTCATATTATTCGTATGAAAAATATTTCCATAAGTGGAAATATTTCCATTAACAGAGTTCTATGTGCTGCTTCTCAAGGTTAATTGTTTCCTCTGATCTCCAGTTAATATCTATTATTCTTAAACCCAGATATTAGCAAAATGACAGACAGAAAGGGCATTCAATGTCTGGAAGATACTGATTGGAGGCTTTGGGTTTTTTTAGACATAGACCAAATAGCATTTAAAAATTAGCTTCAAAAGTTAAAAAACAATTATGATAAATTTTATGATAAGCTCACCCCTAGATTTTCTGTCTTTAAAAACAAGTCAACAATATTTGATAAGAAAAACATGGCAAAATAAAAATTTATATTTTATTGTGCTGCCATAATTTAACTTATTTTTAGATAAATTTAAGAAGAATATGTATTTTTCTACTATTTCATAGGTAAATATGAGCATTAATGCAACATATAACTTAGATAAAAAGTTCACATTTAGTGCATCAGAATGTATTGCTCAAAGATTTACGGGAAAGCAGTGATGAACGTTAAACTGTACAGGCACCAGAATGTGACACTGCAATAGTGATTAAAGTAGTATCTGAACCAACAAATGCAAATTGTCAACTCATATTTCTAAGCATCATGATTTCTTTTTAATGCAAAAGCTCTGTGATTCTTTCTACTTCTGGACATTTTTCACTTTAAAATAGTATGGATTACTGATATATATTACATAAGGTTTTTTTTGTAATTCTATTTCCATAATATTTGTACAACCACATGCCCAGGCATACTCCATTTTTCTCCTGTTACAGATGAAGCACTTTCATCCATTATAAAATACATTTAGGGGACTCCGTATACTAGAAAATGGAAGACCAGGAGCTAAGTTTTAAAAGACAGTATCTTGTGTGATAAACCATGAGGATATTGAAATTTCTTGAAACTTCTAACTGGTATCCAAAAACTTTGGTATGAATGCATTAGCAAAATTAGCCATTCACTCCTTTAAGAGAGATTTGAAGCTTATCACTAATTCAATTATTTGAACCAAGGAAAACATAGAGTGTGAGAGATAAATGACTGCAATTTTGCTTTTTAAAATGCACAGGCAGAAGAGATAATATTCTTTGATGCACCATTGACCCTCAGATACAGTCAAGGTGGGTGTCCTCATTCACATAAAGCACAAAAAATGAGAATCCTGCCAAAGAAAAACAACAATCCTTAGCCTCTTGGCCATGTCATCATTATCTCTCTATTCTATCCAGCATAAAGGCTTTGAGTAAACCACAGTGATCAAAATCCATACTCTGAGAATATTATTTTAGGAGACATACAAGTGCAATTCTTTGGTCACTATTTTACAAATAGTTTCTCAGATGACATTAAATAAAAGCTATCTCATTGGGCACATACAGTTTGTAATAGAAACAAGCAGAAAAGCAAATCGTAGCTATCTTCAAAGTCACGGCATCATTGCTACAAAATGATGCTCAGCCAATTGCATCTTACATCTCTGTGCTGTGAAACTATGCAAACTCAAACAAAAATATCGACACTGAATCATAGTGTGCTTGTTATACAAAACAGAAAAGTAGTTTTTGGAAGTCCTGTAGCTCTTAAGCACTGCAAAGATTAGGCCTATGCACAAAGAAATTGAGGGAACAGGATAGAATGCCACCTTCAGCCATTCTCACGTCTCTGTTGTACATTTTGCTAAATCCACAAACCATCTTGTTATTTTGGCCATGCATGTGTTCCTTCTTTTTCTCCCTGAATATTTTTAATGGGCCACTTTTTAAACTGACATCAATGTATCTAAAAAAGAAACTTGAAGTTACTACCATAAAAATAAAGCCAGTATCGTGCAATAAAAGAAAATATTAAAAAATAGTAATCAAACAAAAAATGTTAGTTATTAAACTTTAGAAAACATTGTGCCTACTCAAGACTCTGATTTTGAGATTTGCTCTAGCTCTGTTAATAAAAACAAGCTATTTATCATCTAACTGATAAAGTTTAATACTAATTAACTAGCATGGCTTTCCCCTTCATTGAACTAGAGGAAATGACCCAAAAAATCAAAACTAAAGACTATCTGATTGCAAAATGTCAAAAGACAAGTGATAAGTAAAAGAACAGAAAGTTCTGGTAAAAATAAGCAAATGATATATCAAAAATAGGAAACAGAAAGTTAGACTACTCAATAGCAACAATGGACCTAGGAGGTGATGGGGCAATGCTTTCTTAATAAGGCATAAGTATTTTCATCCCGGTGTTCGATGTCTAGCTAAATTCTGAATCAGGAATTCAGAGAGAAAGGTATTTACAAATATGCAAAGGCTTAAGCATGTTTTTTTAACATGCATTCATTTTTAGGAAACCAAGAAAAAAATAAGAAAATCTTAGACATAGGATCTAGGCTACAGGTTTTTCTACATTAGAAAGCACGGAAGGAAAATTCAGGGTGTCAAATTTGTAGTAAGTCCAGAAGGCAAACAGCTCATATTTAAGCAGGACAACAAAAGATGATGAGAGAGAACTGACCAGGTAATCAAAGCAAAATAAGCAATTACAGAAATTGATAGATTATCTGATATATTTGAGTTTGAAATTGAATATTGATAGATGATTGATACATAAATTGGGTTTCTGAAATAAGGAATTGTTTCCTTAAACACAAGAAATTATTTCAAAAGGCAAATTGTAATCCTAGAAACACACAAAAAAATTATATAAGGAAAAAATAATCATCAAAGACCACTTGAATCTACAGTGACTAAAATTATATAATCGTAACATAATAAGAATAAAAGCATATTCAATTCAAATTTTGATATATCAATACTAGCAGAAATGGCAAAATAAGAGGATGAAAATATAAGATAGCTTAATTATACTTTGGGGACTGCTTGAGGGTGGAGGGTGGTAAGAGGGAGAGGATCAGAAAAAATACCTATAGGGCACTGTGCTTAGTGACAAAATAATCTGTACATCAAATCCCCGTGATATGAGTTTACCTATGTAACAAACCTTCACAGGCACTTCTGAACCTTAAATAAAAGTTAAAAAAAGGAAAAAAAATCTTTGATAGGAACTAAGTGAGGAAGTAGATATATCTAAAATTAATGTATCAAGAAATAGAGACATAAATATGCTCTATAAAATAACTAGTAAAGGAAAAAGTAACAACTAAAAGTAGTAAATTTTGTTGTTCATGGACTGAGATCAAGTTGAAGTAAAAGATATTAAGTAAAAAGAAATTCAAACATTACATATTTGTCTTTGACAAAAATATAATTCAACTTACAAAGAAAAAATTGCAGTAACAAGGAAATCTGTGTTTCTTGATGTTATTTTCTAGCCCTACCTGTGATAGATACATGAATTGCATATAATGATTCTTAGTTCTTTTGTAATTACTCTGAGAAAAAGTGGAAAATCATTCATCACCATGAAGAGGTATCTTGTATTGTTGAAATACAAATTTTTAAGATACCCATAATTATTAGTTATGAGGCTGTGAGCCTAGAAAATAAAATTTACTTTAATAAGAGTTTACCTACAATTCTCATTTTATAGGAAATTTTTGTTCATCTGTTTAGTATATCTTACCTAATGAACTCTGAGATATTTGAGAGAAAGGAATTTTCATTCTTCTCTGATTCTGATTTCATTCTTCTCTGATTTCATTCTCTGATTCTGTAGTGCTGGGAAAATGGTAAGTTGTATTCATATTACCATTACTATGTAATGATAATAACCATGGTAATTACCATGTAATGGTAATATGTAATATGTATTGAATACAATACATATTTCCATGTATTGTATTCAATACGTATTGAATACAATACATATTACCATGTATTGTATTCAATATGTATTGAATATATATTTGAATATATATATTGAATATAAAATATAAAAATTTTTAAATTTATTTTAATTTTAATTTTAATTTTTATTATTTTTTGAGACAGAGCCTCGCTCTGTTGCCCAGGCTGGAGTGCAGTGGCGTGATCTCGGCTCACTGCAACCTCCACCTCCCAGGTTCATGCCATTCTCCTAGCTCAGCCTCCCGAGTAGCTGGGACTACAGCCGTCTGCCACCATGCCCAGCTAATTTTTGTATTTGTAGTAGAGACGGAGTTTCACCATGTTGGCCAGGCTGGTTTCGAATTCCTGATCTCGGGTGATCCACCCGCCTTGGCCTCCCAAAGTGCTGGGATTACAGGCGTGAGCCACCGTGCTCAGTCATGCTTTATTATTATTAATAATTAAAAATTTTAAAACTTATATCTGAACTATTTGGTAAAAGGGTTACCTTTTTTTTTTGCCAAAAATTTCAGAGCTTAGGTCGCAAGTGTCATTAACGCCCCCTTCTTTTTCCCTCAATTTGTTATAGTGGTAAAATGCACATTAACATTTACCATCTTAACCATTTTGAAGATCGCAGTGCAGTGGTATTAAATACATTCGTAATGTTGTGTAACAATCGCCACCATCTATCTCTGTAACTGTTTTCATATTGTCAAACTGAAACTGTGTACCCAGTAAATGATTATCCCGTCTTCTCTTCTATCTATAGCCCCGAGCAACCTCTGTTCTATTTCCTGTCTCTATAACTTTGACTTCTGTCAGTACCTCATGTAATTGGAATTATATAGTACTTTTCTTTTTGTGTCTGTTTTATTTCACTTAGGATAATGTCCTCCAAGTTCATTGATGTCATAGCATATGTCAGCATTTCCTTCCTTTTAAAGACTTAATTATGCTCCATTGCATGTATATACCATATTTTGCTGATCCACTCATCTGTTGATGGACACCTGGATTGCTTTCATGTTTTAGCTATTGCAAATAATGCTACTATGAATATAGGTGTACAAATACCTCTTAGAGACCTTGTTTTCAAAACTTTTGGGTATATACCCAGAAGTGAAATTGTTGGATCATATGGTAATTGTATTTGTACTTTTCTAAGGAACCGCCACACTGATTTCCATAGTAGCTATACCATTTTACATCCCCACCAACACTGCACAAGTTTCTGAAAGCAAGGGGGAAACTACCCAATCATTGTATTAACATTTTCATGCTTCCTTCAGCAAAGTATAACACAATTTTGGAGTTTATAAAAAATGTTAACTTATTTTAAAATAGCTCATCATTGTACTGGAAAGACTTTTGCTACAATAAGTTAAAATTTATTTGGATAATCACAGCAGTAATCTGGAGAATTAATTATGGAACTCTCTGCAGTGACACAATAATTTCCAATTATATTTCAGACCACCGTTTTCATTGAGTGTCTTGTTTGTCTGTATTTCTCCTCATGGATTACTTTGGAAGTAGTTATTCTTTAAAAATATGCTGTAAGTTTATTCAGAAGGACTATAATTTTAGTACAACTGCTTATGTTAAAAGATATACTCCAAAAGATGAAAGCTTGCAGAAAGCATGTAGGCCTGGGGAACATTTCTCTAGTAAAAGGCTTTGTTCCTTTGTTACAATAAATGGTCTTTCTGAACTCAGAGGGATCTGGTTCCAAGAATTAATGCTGACACTCAAACTTGGATTCCTATTGGACTGAGCAGTAGAAACACTTTAGAAGATCACAGCAACAAAGAAAAAATATACAAAAGCTAAAACTCAGAACTAACTTAAGGTATTAGAAAACTTTACAAACTCTATCTTAGCATTTACTTTTAAATCAAGAATTAAAAGTGTAAAACATTGGGCTTTTGGAACAAAAGGGTTTGTTTTAGCATTATACACTGAAAAATAGGAAGTTGGGGTCTCTGATTAACTGGCAAAGAATTGCAACAAATAATAAGAACTCATAAAGCTAATGCTTTAGTCAATGAAACAATGTAAGTTCTTGTTCACTGAAAGTCATATACTCATAAACCTGTGGAAAGCAGTAAAAGCCATTCTAAGTAAAAGTCCATATCTATGTTACAAGAACAGCATTTTATCTACTTTGTAAAATATATATTGAAGTCCATAAGAGTTACATGAATTCCTTAGATCCAGAAGTGTTTTAAAACTCAGCATGTTTTAGTTTTCTCCTTTGATTATAGGAAGATAATATAATATATACAGTTGATCCTCGACTTATGATGAGGTTACCTCCTGATGAACCCATTGTAACTTGATAATATACTAAGTCAAATAATATACTTGATAATATACTAAGCCAAAATAAAAGCCAAAAATGCTTTTATTTCTGACAACACACTAGACAGTCCCCAAGTTATGGTGATTTGACTTAGAAAATTTTTACTTCACCATCGTGCCAAAAGCAATATACATTCATTAAAAACTGTAAACCCATCGTAGGTCATAAAAAGCTCCTCAACTTACAATGGAATTATATCCAGATAAACCCATCACAGAGTTGAAAAATTGTAAGTGGAACCATTGTAATTTGGAGACCATCTGTATATCTTAAACGACATCATTCACAGAGTTTGACTGAGAATCCCATAATCAAACATATGTATATTTTTAGAAGCTAAATATACAGGTATTCTCAAACATGTAATTCTGATGTTTTAGTCCTAAATGTCTTGGTGTTTGAAAATATAAACAGAGAAATAGATATCTAGAGAAAAAGTACTACTTAATATACTAGGCAATTTAAAAACATGTATCAAGAAAGATATATGCATAGGGAAAATATATGGGACATGATGCTTATAGAAATGAGCAAGAGGTATTCATAAATTTAGAGAGTGGTTTGTCCTTGCAGAGATGTCAGAGACTATAGAAAAAGTACTTCTTTTTGGGGGGGGGCTGGAAACATTGAAGCTCAGAGGTATTGTAAGACTTTACTGATATAATCCTAAGGCAAGATGATGTTGTAAGATCACTAGAGTCATTATTAAAATTACTCAGTCCTGTTTACATGACCAGAGATATGTTCTATTTCTCACTTTAATAGATGAATACCTCTAAAGGGAAAAACAAGATCACTAAGCGTTTCTCACTTCCTACCTAATTTAGTTATTTTATTTGTCCTAGAATCTACAGACGACGCTTTATTCAATGATGATCAGGAACCCAATTAACTTCCTTTCAAGTTCTCAATTGCTGCCCAAAGTGCTTATAATCCAGAATATACAATGGTTAAATAGCTTGTAACATAACTTTTTTACATTGCCAATTTTGTAAGTAGCATATGTGTTCTAATTTTTGACCACAGTATTGCTACCTTTTCTGGTGGCTTTGTTGCCTGCTATTCTGTTATTGAAAGTCATTTTCATTGTCTGCTTCCTGCCTCTGTCAAACTTTTTTAACAACAAATATTAATGAAAGACTGCCTATGCTCTAGGCACTGTGATAGCCATGGGGACACCAAATAAACATCAAGATGCAATGGAAAGATCAGTACCTAGGTCTGCAACCTTGGGAAAGTGACTTAAGTGCTTTTATCTCTTTCATCTATAAAACCAGAGGTTATGAGGTACAAATTAGATTAGGAAGGTAAGCACTAGAGGGGTATATTTTCTATCACAGCTGTCAAGGGCAGAGTGGACAGGAGTTCAGGTGGGATACAGAACATCAAGAGTGAGGATACAGAACTTTTATTTTCCAGGAAACCGCTTTGTGAAAGGTGATTCTACAATTAATGTTGTGGCAGATATTCAATTGTTAACACATAATGTTATATACCTTAGTTAAGCAGAATTATTTATTGTAAGGCTGCCAGTAATACATTAAGGTGTTGGAGAAAATTGTATATTTGGGATGTGAGGCAAAGGAGAGTATTAGTTCAGAGTGAGAATATGAGGACAGTGGACATTTGGCAGGAAAAAAAAGCAAGAAGTGAAAGCAGGGTTTAGATAAAAGGAAGAAGATGTTAAAAATAAACTCTGTTTCATTTTCAACACTCTCTCCTCCCAGTTTTTCAGATATCAACAATTATAAACTTTGAGTTTTTCTATAGCTCAGTTACACATTGCTTTGAAATCTTACCAGAAATTTTTTTATCAAGCTAATTATTTTATGTATATTGCTTATTGCAGATGTTATGCAGCATAGATTCCTCTTCCTTTCTAAACAATTTCTTTCTTTGCTCTTGGGAAGGTTGCCTGACGGTTCTTCACTGTAAGCTTACTTTGGCAGTTGCTTCTATTGAAGATGGACACCTCATTCAAGGACAAACTGTGGTCTCTGGGAAAACCTCATCCTATGTCAAGTAAATGCTGGGTTAGCGAGTTATCGCCTCTTTGCCACAACTTGGGAAACTACAGAAGGGCCATCTCAGCTACAGCGTGTACCCTGACATCAGCTGAGGTCCTTGGTTGTGACTACATTATAGGCAAACTTATCTCTGTAACATGAGGTGTTAAACCCATAACAACACCTTATCATACTAATCTTCATCTCAATGTCTGCTCCCCAGGGAACCCAGTCTGCGATGGTGGCCGTTCTTTTACCATATGTTGTTATAGGATACTGCCTCGAATACTTTTGGATAATCAGTTTTATTAAAGCAGATTATATGAAATCTGTTTAATTTTCAATCAAGGAACCACACAAGTCCTAAGAGAAAGAACAGTTTGCATGTGTTGAAAGAATGAATTAACAACAACAATAAAAAGCAGTGTTAGTTCTCCAGTCATTGGCAGGGACCAATGCTTACTATTAGTGAGCAAGAAATAAAAAGAGGGTGTAAGATTGTGAGAAACCATTTAAACATGACTGTACACAGTGAATTTAATATTCTATGTAGACTTGTGTGCTTTTTCATTTTGTTCAAAAATACTTTTACTTACTTTATGCATGCTAAATGCAGATGCAAAAAAGGATCCAAGCAAGATAAAATTAAAACATTAAAACTAGGTGTTTTTTTTTTTTTTTTTGATTAAAGTAAGATAGTCAATACCCTGAGGTGTTACAAAGTCATTTGACCTTGATGGTAAACAGAAGAATGAAGTTAGGTTACAAATTATCTTTTATTTCATTTCAACTTTTTTTTTGCTTTTGAGATTATGCATTGATTAGATTCATCATTGTCTTTGCAGTATTAAAGCTGCATGCTTTCCTAAAACTTTTGGATTTTCCAAAGTACTAATAGACAAACAAAATAATAAAGGCCATGTTGTAATTCCATTTTTCCCCTTTTTTCCCACTTTTAGATTCAGAGGGTACATGCACATTTTTTACCTGGGAATATTGCGTAATGCTGAAATTTGGGGTATGAACAATCCCATCATTCAAGCACTGAGCATAATACCCAATAGTTAGTTTTTCAACACTTTTTCCTCTTTCTACCCCCCCCATCTAATAGTCACCAGTTTCTATTATTACCATTTTTATGTCCATGAGTACCCAATGTTTAGCTCCTACTTATAAGTGAGAACATGTAGTATTTGGTTTTCTGCTCCTGCCTTAATTAGCTGCATAGTATTTATGCCTTTATGGCTGCCTTTATGGCTGCATAGTATTTCATGGTGTATATGTACCATTTTTTTTTTATCCCATCTACCATTGATGGACGCCTGGGTTGATTTCTTCTTTGCTATTGTGAATAGTGCTGTGATGAACACACAAGTGCTTGTGTCTTTTGGTAGAAAAATATATTTTCTGTTGGATATATACTGAGTAATGGGATTGCTTTGTTGAATGCTATTTTTATTTTTAGTTCTTTGAGAAATCTCTAAACTGCTTTCCACTGTGACTGAAATAATTTACATTCTCAACAACAGTGTGTAAGCTTTCTCTTTTCTCCACAGCCACACCAATATCAGTTATTATTTGACTTTTTAATAACAGCCATTCTGGCTGTTGTGAGATGGTATCTCATTGTGGTTTTGATTTGCATTTCTCTGATGATTAATGATGTGGAGCATTTTCTCATATGTTTGTTGGCTGCTTGTGTGTCTTCTTTTGAGAAGCGTCTGCTCATATATTTTGCCCACTTGTTAATTGGCTTATTTGTTTTCTGCCTGTTGAATTAAGTTCCATATAGATTCTGGATATTAGACCTTTGTCACATGCATAGTTTGCACAATTTTTCTTCCATTCTGTGGCTGTTTACTCTGATGATGGTTTCTTTTGGTGTGCGGATGTTTAATTAGGTCCCACTTATCAATTTTTGTATTTGTTACAATTGCTTTTGAGGACTTAGTCAAAACCTGAGGCCCATGTCCAGAATGGTGTTTCCTTGGTTTTCTTCTAAAATTCTTATAGTTTGAGGTCTTACGTTTAAATCTTTAATCCATCTTGCATTGATTTTTGTGTATGGTGTAAGGTAAGAATCCAGTTTCATTATTCTGCGTATGGCTAAACAGCTATCCCGGCACCATTTATTGAATAGAGTGTCCTTTCTCCATTGCCTATTTTTGTTAACTTTGTTGAAGATCAGATGGCTCTAAGTGTGTGGCTTTTTTCCAAGTTCTCTATTCTGTTCCATTGGTCTATGAGTCTCTTTATGTACCAGTACCATTCTATTTGGGTTACTGTAGCCTTATAGTATAGTTTGAAGTCAGATAATGTGATGCCTCCAGCTTTGTTCTTTTTGTTTAGGATTGCTTTTGCAAGGTGGGCTCTTTTTGGGTCTCCTGTAAATTTTAAAACATGATTCTAATTCTGTTTAAAATAACATAGGTAGTTTGATAGGAATAGTGTTTGTACTAGTTGGGGTTCTCTAAAGGGACAGAATTATTATGATAGATAGATAGATAGATAGATAGATAGATAGATAGATAGATAGATGGATAGATAGATAGATAGATAGATACATAGATAGATGAAGGGGAGTTTATGAACTCACACAATCACAAGGTCCCACAATAGGCCATCTGCAAACTGAGGAGCAAGGAAGCCAGTCTAAATCCCAAAGCTGAAGAACCTGCAGTCTGATGTTTGAGGGCAGGAAGCATCCAACACAAGAGAAACATGTAGGCTGGAAGGCTAAGCCAGTCTCTCCTTTTCATGTTTTTCTGCCTGCTTTATATTCTGGCTGCACTGACAGCTGATTAGATTGTGCTCACCCGGATTAAGGGTGGGTTTGCCTTTCCCAGCCCACTGACTCAAATGCTAATCTCCTTTGGCAACACCCTCACAGACACACCCAGGATCAGTACTTTGCATCCTTCAATCCAATCAAGTTGACACTCAGTATTAACCATCACAGCATTGAATCTGCAGATTTCTTTGGGCAGTAAGGCCATTTGAATGACCTTGATTCTTCCAATCCAGGAACATGAAAAGTTTTTTATTTGTTTGTGTTATCTATGATTACTTTGAGCAATATTTTATAGTTCTCCTTGTAGAGCTCTTTCCCTTCCTTGGTTAGATGTATTCCTAGGTGTTTTATTTTATTTTATTTTATGGATATTGTACATAGGATTGCATTCTTGACTTTGCTTTGCTGCTTGAACATTATTGTTGTATTGAAATACCACTGATTTTTGTACATTAATTTAGTGTCCTGAAACTTTACTGAAGTCATTTTTCAATTCCAGGGCCTTTTGGCAGAATTGTCAGGGTTTTCTAGGTATAAGATCAGATTGTGCACAAAGAGAAATAGTTTAATTTCTTTTTTTCTATGTGCATGTCTTTTATTTCATTTTCTTGCCTGGTTGCCATAGCTAGCACTTCTAGTACTACTTTGAATAGGAGTAGTGAGAGTAGGCATCCTTGTCTTGTCCTAGTTCTCAAAGGGAATGCTCCTAGCTTTTGCCCATTTAGTATGATGTTGGCTATGTGTCTGTCATAGATGGCTTTTATTATTTGAGGTATGATCATTCAATACCTACTTTTTGGTGGATTTTTATCATGAAGCAACATCAGATTTCACTGAAAGATTCCCCTATGTCTATTGAGATGATCATATGTTTTTGTTTTTAATTCTTTTTATGTGGTGAAACACATTTACTGATTCACGTATGCTGAACCAGCCTTGCAGGAATGAAGCCTACTTGATCATAATGAATTAACTTCTTGATAGCTGTTGAATTTGGTTTGGTAGTATTTTGTTTAGGATTTTTGTGTCTGTGTTCATCATGGATATTGGCCTGTAGTTTCCTTAAATTTATTTTCTTGTTGTGTTTTTGCCAGATTTTGGTATTGGAATGATGCTGTGTTTGTAGAACAAGTTAGGAAGGTGTTCCACTTATTCAATTTTTTGGAATCATTTCAATAAAATTAGTACCAGCTCTTTTTACATCTGGTAGAATTTGGCTGAGAATCCATCCTCTCCAGTGCTTTTTTTAATTGGTAGAGTTTTTATTATTGATTCAATTTCAGAACTCAATATTGGTCTAGTCAGTGTCTCACTTTCTTCTGATATAATCTTGGGAGTTTGTATGTTTCTATAAATGTATGCATTTCCTCTAGATTGTCTAGTTTGTGTGCATAGAGGTATTCATAATAGTCTCTGAGGAATTTTTTGGTTTTCTGTGGAATCAGCTGTGATGTCACCTTTGTCTTTTCTGATTGTGCTTATTTAGATTTCTCTTTTTTCTTTGTTAATTTAGCTAGCAGTTTATTGATCTTTTTTGTCCTTTCAAAGAATAAACTTTTAGTTTCATTGATCTTTTTTGCATGAAATTTTAGCTCTCAATTTCATTCAGCCCCACTCTAATTTTAATTATTTCTTTTCTTCTGCTGGCTTTGTGGTTAGTTTGTTATTGTTTTACGAGTTACTTGAGGTTTAATGTTGGATTATTGATTTGAGATCTTTCTAGCTTTCTGAGGTAGGTGTTTAGCACAGTAAACTTTCCTCTTAACACTGCTTTTGCTGCATCCCTAAGATTTTGGTATGTTGTGTCTCTTTTTTCAGTTATTTCAAATTTTTTTTTTTATTTCTGCCTTAATTTTATCATTTTCCCAAAAGTCATTCTGGAACAAGTTGTTTAATTTTTATATATATATTTTGGGTTTTAATACATCTCCACAGTATTGAATTCTATTTTTTTCCACTGTGGTCCTAGATTATGGTTAGAACTAGATTACGGTTATGTGGGCCTAGATTAATTTTTCTGAATTTACTGAGACTTGCTTTATGGCCACATATATGGTCAATCTTGGAGTATGTTCCATGTGCAGATGAGAAGAAAGTAAATACTGTGGTTAATGGTTGGAGTATTCTGTAGGGGTCTATTAGGTCCAGTTGGTCTATAGTTGAGTTTATGTCTGGAATTTCTTTACCAGTTTTTTGCCTCAGTGATCTGTCTATTGCTGTCAGTGGGGTGTTGAAGTCTCCTACTATTATTGTGTGGCTAAGTCTTTTTGTATGTCTAGAAGTGCTTGTTTTATGAATCTCGGTGCTCTGACATTGGGCATGCATATACATAGAATAGTTAAGTTTTTTTGTTGAATTGAACCCTTTATCATTATGTAAGGACCTTTTTTGTCCTTTTTAAATGTTCTTTGTTTAAAGCCTGTTTTACCTAATATAAGAATCATGACCCCTGCTCCTTTATGTTTTATACTTACCTGGTAGATTTTTTTTTAATCCTTTACTTTGAGCCTATGGTTACATGTGATGGGTCTCTTGAAGATAGCAGACTGATGAGTCTTGTTTTTAATCCAACTTGCAACTCTTTGCCTTTTAAGTGGGTAGACTATTTACATTCAAGGTTAATATTGATATATGAAGTCTTGTTCTTACAATAAGGTTATTAACTGTTTGCTTTGTAGTTTCGATTGTGTGATTGCTTCATAGGGTCAGCCAAATATGTACTTAAGTGCTTTTTGGTTGTGGGAGGTATCATTATGTTGTTTGCATATTTAGAACTCCATTAAGGATCTTTTGTAAGGCTGGTCTGGTGGTAAAACATTCACTTAGTGCTTGTTTGTATGGAAAATATTTATTCCTCCCTCACTTGTAAAGCTTAGTATGGCTGGGAAAGAAATTCTTAATTGGAATTTCTTTTCTTTAATTATGCTGGAAATAGGCCCCCAATCTTTCCTGACTTGTAAGATTTCTTCTGAGACGTCCTCTGTTAACCTGATGGGGCTCCCATTATACATGTCCTAACATTTCTCTCTAGCTGCCGTTACAACTTTTTCTTTAAGTTGACTTTGAACAGTCTAGTGCCTATATACCTTGGTTTGTTTTGTGTAATATGTCATAAATTTTCTCTGAGGTTTTGTATTTGGATGCCTACCTCTCTAGCAAGATTAAGGAAATTCTCTTGAATCATTCACTCAAATATGTTTTCAGGTTGTTAACTTTTTATCTTTTACTCTCAGGAATGCTAATAATTTGTAGTTTTTATCTATTTACATAATCCCCTATTTGTTTTTTTGTTTGTTTGTTTGTTTGCAATGAACTTTCACTCTGTTGCCCAGTCTTGAGTGCAGTGGCGTGATCTCAGCTCACTGCAACCTCTGCCTCCTGGGTTGAAGTGATTCTCCTCCCTCAGCTACCTGCGTAGTGGGGCCACAGATGTGCACCACCACACTCATCTAATTATTGTATTTTTAGTAGAGACGTGGATTCACCATGTTGGCCAGGCTGGTCTTAAACTCTTGACTTAAAGTAATCCACCAACCTCGGCCTCCCAAAGTGCTGGGATTACAGGCGTGAGCCACTGACCCCAGATTGTAATCCCCTGTTTCTCAAACACTTCGATCATGTTAAAATTATCTTTTACTTTGTGTTTGTCTGACTGGGTTAGTTCAAAAGACTTGTCTTCAGGTTCTGAAAGTTTTTATTCTGTTTGGTCTGTACTATTGATAAAATTTTCAGTTGCATTTTGAAATTTCTTAAGTGAGCTTTTCAATTCTGGAAGCTCCAATTGATTTTTTCTAAGATATTTATCTCTTCCATAATTTCTGGACTGCTTCAGAAGTTTCTTGGTGTTTATTCTTAACTTTGTCTTGGATCTCATTGAGCTTTCTTGCAACCCATATTTTATTTTCTTTATCTTCCATTTCTGAGTTTCCTTTTGGTTAGGGACCATTTCTGGAGAGCTAGTGCAATCCTCTGGTGGTGTTTATACATTCAGATTTTTTATGATGCTAGAATTCTTGTGCTAGTTCCTCCTCATGTGGAGATGGGGGCAGTTCTAATTTTTATGATTATTTTTGAGTGTGTACGATCTTTACTCTTTCTTTCTTTCTCTATACATTTCTTTCTCTCCCTTTCCTTCCACCTACACCCTCCCTAGGGGATGTTACTATAGAGAATGATGGGTAGGGTCTTTTGGCTTTGCTTCTGTAGCCCTACACACTTATTTTGACGGTTTTATATTGGGCTGTGAAGTTGGACCTACAGGCCAGTAGATGGTGCTTATGGAGCTGGCTATAGCCATTGCAGCTGGTATATACATCATTCTTAAGGCAATAGGCCTGATTTGTAGAATACACAGTGGTCTGAGCTCCCTGCTGAGCCCCTAGGGTATGGAGTCCATCATGGGCAGGACCACCAGGGGAGCACACCCACAAGTCCCCCAATGGCAGATGCAATGGGGAATCCAGTGGGCAACCACCAAGCACCTAGACACGTGCCTACATGGGGCTGGGAAAACTTCTTGGCCAGAAAGTTCTCTACACGGGAAAGAAGGGGTACCTAAACTTCTAATTCACGGAAGTGGGCCCTCTAGATGCCTAGAAACCTTTGTGGGCATGGAATGGAGAGGATCCCCCTACACCAAGATCTCTGCACAGGTGGGATAGGTCATCTCAGGCTGCTAAACCGACAATGGAATAAACATGTTTATTTCAGGCACTATTAATGCCTGGAGACCTGCTGAATTAGTCTGTTCTTACACTGCTAATAAAGACATATCCGAGGCTGGGTAATATATAAAGGAAAGAGGTTTAATTGACTCACAGTTCTACGTGGCTGGGGAGGCCTCACAATCATGGCAGAAGCTGAATGAGGAGCAAAGTCAGGTCTTACATGGTGGCAGGCAAGAGAGCTTGTGCAGGGGAACTCCCATTTATAAAACCATCTGATCTCATGAGACAAATTCACTACCATGAGAACAGTATGGGGGAAACCGCCCCGATGATTCAATTATCTCTACCTGGCCCCATCCTTGACACATGAGGATTATTACAATTCAAGGTGAGATTTGGATGGGGACACAGCCAAACCATGCCACCTGCCTATGTGTGAAGCAGAGTGGGCCTCTCTGCACTAGAATTTCTGCACAGGATGTATAGGACAGGTCAGGTTGCTGAACTAAGTGAGCAGGTGCTCCAAATGCCTGGAAATATGCCTGGGCATGGAATGGAGAGGCCCCTCATGCACCAAGATCTTTGCGCAGAAAGGGTGTGATGGTTCAGGCTGCTGGACCAGGCAAGCAGGTTCTCTAAATGCCTGTGCAGAGAGGTCTCCCCTGCCCCAATATCCCTGTACTGGAAGGATTCATGGAATAATGCTGCTAATCCAGACAAGTGGGTGCATCAAATGCTTGGATTTCTGCCTGGGGTGGAGCAGAAAGGGCTCTGCTATACACCACAATCTCAGGGGAGTGGGATTGGGCACTAGCAATGGCACACACAAATGGGATCAGTTCCAGGTCACCAAGCTGGCATTGGCTGCAAATCTCACTGCCCCAGAGAAACTGCAGCTGTAGCAGCTCCCCTCCAGCCCCAGGCTTGCAACAGCGATGAGCACAATTCCAGTAACTACCGATGAGGTGCTTTCCACAGTTTTGGCTGTGGAGGCCCCTACCCCAATCCAGAGCAGGCGCTCCAATCTCTGGCTCAATACTGAAATGCCTGTGTGGCTAGGCTGTTGGGTTGCCCCAAAATGGCTGACTTTATGTGCATCTTGATTAAAAAATGGCATCTTGCTCTCCATCCTGGGTTTGGGAAATTGTCTGTAGCTTTTTCTTTCATAGCATCACCAAGTCTCTCCCCATGTTATCTCCAGGGCTGACAAGAAACAATGTTCTCCCTCAGCCTAGGTTGCTCAGATCCCCAGTGGAAAGGTGAGTCACAGAGAGGGGCTCCCTGCCTCTCTCATGTACTGGGACTTCACCAGGTACCATCAAGAGAGCTGGTAGCCCGTATTCTTCTCCCTGAGATCTGGGGTGCCTTCATGATTCTGGTAGACTCCCACTTTCTTGCTTGAATTAAAGCTCACAGAGTTGATTTTCAGGCAGTATCTTGCTATTTCCAAGTGGCTGAGCCATGCCAAAAAGCCTCTAATCTGCCATCTTGGAGAAAAACAAAACAAAACAAAACAAATCTCTAATTCAATTGTCAAATGGATCGACTTGTTTAGGTTTCTCTAAGTCATGACTAATCATTTGGGCTTCTATGCCCCGCTTTCAAAATTTAACAAAAAATATACCATAAATGAACATTTTCACTGGTAATAAGATAAATTCAGATACACATGTAGAAACAAGAGTTAAACAAATAAATATTTTGTTTCAAAATGGTATTTAGAGTTCCTCTTTCATATTCATTAATGGTATGGAATAGTAAGAATCACGAGGGATATAATTTGTTTAAAGGCTAATCAGATTTTACAGACAAGGCTTAGATTAATAAAATACAATGTACCAAACCTCTTCTCCTTCTTAGGAATAATTCAAAAATAAAACCCACAAAATAATTAACGGTGAATTGCTGGTAATTTTAGAATCAGTGAAGACAACTAGAAAGTGAACTGAAACTCTGAAATAGTGTCTTAAAAGGATGAACACTTATTAAGCTTCAAATAAATGTTCAACTTGTAATTAGTATGTGTACTCAGACGAATATGAATTATTGTACATTTTCAGTTGCAGTATAAAGTCTAGAGATCTAACAGTGAATTAGGTTATATTCTATAGTCATGATAAGCTGACAATAAACCAGAACTCTTTTAGAAGGGATTTTAATTGAGGATTGTATCTTATTTATGAAAGGAGACATCTAAGAAGTAGTTTAAGCCTTAGAGCAAGAGAACTTAACAAGAAAGAGTTCAGATTCTGGCTAAAGGTGATTAACCTGAATAAAACCCATTTTATTTAAGGGTATATGTATCTAAAATTGAAGAGGTAAGGAAGAAAGCATCATGTCCTCTTGAATATATAAAAACGTCCAACCTACAAATGAGTTGGAAAAGATTTTCAGTTTTTGTAGAAATATTATACTTAAAGAAAGCTTAGTTAGCTGTCATATTAAGCAAAAATATCTGTAGTTCAAAGATGCTATTTTCACATGGTTGGTTAATCTAGTAAAAGCTTCTTTGCATTACTGAGCTACATTTTTTTGAAATGTTTTGGCTGCTGATAATTTTTTTCTTTTGAAAAGTAATTATACTGAAAACAGATATGTATGGCCACTAACACCTTTTAAAATTGACTTATATTTGATATATATCAATGCTAAATGACTGTGAAAGGCATATTGGTGGGCATGACATCAATATAGAATACCATTCTGCAGCAAATAAAAAAATTAGCCTGGCCATTTATTAAATTCTTTTTTATTATTATTATACTTTAATTTCTGGGATGCACGTACAGAACGTGGAGGTTTGTTTGATAGGTATACACCTGCCATAGTGGTTTACTGCACCCATCAACCAGTCATCTACATTAGGTATTTCTCCTAATGCTATCCCTACTCTAGCCCTCGACAGGCCCTGGTGTGTGATGTTCCCCTCCCTGTGTCCATGTGTTCTCATTTTTCAACTCCCACTTACAAGTGAGAACATACAGTGTTTGGTTTTCTGTTCCTGTGTTAGTTTGTTGAGAATGATGATTTCCAGATTCATCCATGTCCATGCAAAGAACATGGACTCATCCTTTTTTATGGCTGCATAGTATTTCATGGTGTATATGTGCCACATTTTCTTTATCCAGTCTATCACTGATGGGCATTTGGGTTGGTTCCAAGTGTTTACTATTGTGAATAGTGATGCAATAAACATACGTGTGGATGTGTCTTTATAGTAGAATGATTTATAATCCTTTGAGTATATACCCAGGGTAATGGGATTGCTGGGTCAAATGGTATTTCTTGTTCTAGATCCTTGAGGAATCACCACACTGTCTTCCACAATGGTTGAACTAATTTACATTCCCACAAACAGTGTAAAAGTGTTCCTATTTCTCCACATCCTCTCCAGCATCTGTTGTTTCCTGACTTTTTCATGATCACCATTCTAACTGGTGTGAGATGGTATCTCATAGTGGTTTTGATTTGTATTTCTCTAATGACCAGTGATGATGAGCTTTTTTCATGTTTTTTGGCCGCATGAATGTCTTCTTTAGAGAAGTGTCTGTTCATATCCTTTGACCACTTTTTGATGAGATTTTTTTTTTCTTGTAAATTTAAGTTCCTTGTAGATTCTGGATATTAGCCCTTTCTCAGATGGATAGATTGCAAAAATTTTCTCCTATTCTGTAGGTTGCCTACTCACTCTGATGCTAGTTTCTTTTGCTGTGCAGAAGCTCTTTAGTTTAATTAGATCCTATTTGTCAATTTTGGCTTTTGTTGCCATTGCTTTTGGTGTTTTAGTCATGAAGTCTTTGTCCATGCCTATGTCCTGAATGGTATTGCCTAGGTTTTCTTTTAGGGTTTTTATGGTTTTAGGTCTTACATTTAAGTCTTTAATCCATCCAGTGTTAATTATTTTATAAAGTGTAAGGAAAGAAAGTTTCAGTTTTCTGCATATGGCTAGCCAGTTTTCCCAACACCATTTATTAAATAGGGAATCCTTTTCTCATTGCTTTTGTCAGGTTTGTCAAAGATCAGATGGTTGTAGATATGTGGCATTATTTCTGAGGCCTCTGTTCTGTTCCATTGATCTATATCTGTTTTGGTACCAGTACCATGCTGTTTTGGTTACTGTAGCCTTGTCGTATAATTTGAAGTCAGGTAGCGTGATACCTCCAGCTTTGTTCTTTTTGCTTAGGATTAACTTGGCTATATGGGCTCCTTTTTGGTTCCATATGAAATTTAAAGAAGTGTTTTCTAATTCTGTGAAGAAAGTCAATGGTAGCTTGATGGGGACAGCACTGAATCTATAATTTACTTTGGGCAGTATGACCATTTTCATGATATTGATTTTTCCTACCCATGAGCATGGAATGCTTTTCCATTTGTTTGTGTCCTCTCTTATTTCCTTGAGCAGTGGTTTGTAGTTCTCCTTGAAGAGGTCCTTCACATCCCTTACAAGTTGTATTCCTAGGTATTTTATTCTCTTTGTAGCAATTGTGAATGAGAGGTCACTTATGATTTGGGTCTCTGTCTATTATTGTTGTACAGGAATGCCTGTGATTTTTACACATTGATTTTGTATCCTGAGACTTCTTTTTCTTTATCTTTCACATAGTGCCATGAACACTGTTGAATGTATTCTAATACTACAAATCTAAAATTTACTTAAATAAGCTTATACAAACTTTTATATGGAAATATTTATGATAAAGTTCTAGGGCCTTATTTTAAAAGAAATTAAATAAAGAATGTTAAAATACTCTTTTCAAATTAAGGTATCTATTGACTTTCTTACGTATTACTGGAGCCCTCTAATCTTAAATCAACGTGGCTTTCTAATTATTTCTGTATGTTTAATCATTTCTTACTTGAGTACATATTTATTTAACATTTCATATGTTCTAAGTAATAGGCTAGATTCTGGAGATATTATTCTGAACAAGACAGAAAGTACTTTTATTCTACTACAGTCTACTTGGGAAATGTAATTGTAAAAATCAAACATTGTTTGAAGATGGAAATGACACATGATATAACATGGACTGAGAGAGCACCTAGCAGGAACACCTTGCTTAGTCTAGGAGGGTCCATGAAAGACTTCCCAAAAAAAAAGAGCCTCAAAAGTACTGAGGTCAAAGGGGTTTGAGTTATAATTACTAGCCAAGGCAAGAGTGTGGTGATAATACAATGATCCAAAAATATTTTTAATTTTTTTTTTAATAACACAGTTCTAGTCTGTTATCTTTGGTTTGAGAATGCCTTTCTTCCCTGTAGTGCTTCAGTTACCCAGTTTCCTCCACTTGGAGGTTCTGGTTTCCTTATTCTCTACTTGCCTATCACCTGCATATAGCCAAAAAAAGTAACAGAGGACATTAGCAGAGGACATGGAGAAGACAGATTCATGTTTCAAGGCCTTGAACCAGAACTGAGTCATTCATGTTTATTCCATTGACAAAAACTAGTCACACAGCCTAGATGGAGAAGGGGCTAAGAAATGGAATTTCATGCCTGGAAAGCTACCTTTTAGCAACAAGTTCACATTGTGGATTCAGTTAATAAGTGCTGATGGACAACTAGCCATCTGGACATATGGAATGAGGGTATAAATTATTAGGAAGAGTGGAGTTAAACTGTTAAAATGTAACAGTCAAACGTATATTAGTGCTTTATTCAAAATAAACATGAATATGATGCATATGTACTGCCCAGTGAGGTAGTGTTGAAGAAACATAAAAATGCAAAATTATATAAAATATCTACAAACTTTGAAAGAAATATATTGAATAGCCAGAAGGAGAGTTACTATTTTCGTTGATTACAGAAACAAATCATTGAGAATGTTTAAAATATGTTGAGATATTTGGGAGTTAAAAATTTGACTCTAAAAAAATTTGGTATTATTTGATATTTGATATTTGGGGTTAAAAATGTGACTCTAAGCGAGGCCTGGTGACTCACCCCTGTAATCCTAGCACTTTGGGAGGCCAAGGTGGGAGGATCACTTGAGCTTAAGAATTCAAGACCAGCCTGGGCAATATAGCAGGACCCCATCTCCACAAAAAAATAAACAAAACTAGCCAGGTATGGTGGCGTGTGCCTGTAGTCCCAGCTACTTGGGTTGCTGAAGTGGGAGGATTGCTTAAGCCCAGAAGGTCAAGGCTGCAGTGTGCTGTGATCTCCCCACTGCACTCCAGCCTGGGTAACAGAGTGAGACCCTGTCTCGAAAAAAAAGAAAAAGAAAAATAGCACACAGCCACAGAAGGAGAATGCCATGTGAAGATGAAGGCAAAGACTGAAATGATGCATCTATTAGCCACGAAATACCAAGAGGTGATGGCCGTCATCATAAGCTAGGGGATGGCATGGAATAGATTCTTCCTCAGGGCCCTCCAAAAGAAGCAATACTACTGACACTTTGACTTCAGACTTTAGCCTCCAGAAGAATGATACAATGAATTTCTGTTCTGTTAAGCACCTCACACCCCCCAAAATTGATTCTGATTGGTTAAATATGAATAGAAAAGATAAAGAGAATTTGGGCCAGAGTTGGTCTCCCCTGATGACCAGTGAATCCAGTACATTTATTCAAGGAGCACACAATTTTCATCTTGATTATTGTTCAATTTAGATATAAAGCCAAACCTAGGCACTAGGTAACGATCTTAGGAATATTTAGTAGCTAAATAGAACAAGAAATATATTTATATATTTATATAAACCAGTTTCTGAGAAAAGGGCAGTCATGTATGGTGGGTCCAAGCAAGAAAGCAGTCAAATTTAGAATATTTATATCAGATATCATTTTTTTCCTGGCAATATATAGCAGAAAAAAAGAAAAAAAAGAAAGACCAAAAATCAAAAGACTAGTTAAAACATATGGGGAAAAGATTCCAGGAGCTTATTGAAGACTTGTAACCTGAGCAAACAGTACTAGGAAAAATGAGAAATAGTCTTAATATTTCAGTTTCCCTTGGGTCCCAGATCTCCTTCAACTGGAATTCAGAAAGATGTTTTGTTCTCCTTGCTGCCTGGAAGAACACATGCCCAGGATTCAGGTTCTCATTTCTACTATTTCTCATCTAGATTCCTGGGCAGTGCATTGCTGTCATCAACTTTCCAGACCATTTCCTGGGAAGGCAAATCTGAACAAAAGAAAGAGAAAAATAAGAGAGAAGGAGAGGGGGAAAAAGAAAAAAGGAAGGGAAAAGAAAGGGAAACAAAGAAAGAAGAGAGGAGAGAAGGAAATAAAAAGGAAGGAAGAAAGGAAGGAAAACAGAAGGGAGAGAGACAGAAGAAAATAAAAATAAATAAATAAAAAATTGGACGTTGAGCCAAAATCTCTAACAATCAGGAGTTTTCTAGTTACTAGGAAGAAAATGATGTAAATGGAGAAAGGGGTAATTTGATGGTGAATGAGTGAGAGTACACTGGGTTGATGGATAAAATGTAGCCAGATATAATGACAGAAGTGATTTTATGCCTTGAGAGGACATGTCTCTTTAGTACCAGTACTTGTTAACATAAAATACTAGCTACCTTTTTGGAGCTATATTGACATGCATCCACCCAAATTGATAAGTGTTCTCATCTCACCTGACTCATTTGGCAGAAATAAGCTTAGTCGCGAATCAGCTTATTCACAGGAACCTTCCAAAAATACTGTAATTTATGTTTTTATTCAAAACATTGTATTTTATAACTACTGTTTGGCCTGCTCTAGATTTTCCCCCAAACTTCTGTTAAGGATATTTTTAATTGCCTTTGGAGAGCCATCCCTCCCTTAAGTGAAGTCCACAAGTTAACCTCTGGCTAACCCATGTGAAACAAGAACTACACTATATCCCTGGACACAATTATTGGTTCAAAAATAGAACTATATCAACTTTGGTATATCAAAATTAATTTCAAAAAAATGTATAATTCTTTTGGGAAAGAGAGTCCTACATTCTGTAGAGATTACTAAATTAAGAGGAAGTAAATCTACAGCTACAAACAGCCATTTTTCAAACTTTGAAGAAAGAGTGTGAATATACAGGTTAAGTGGAAGAAAAGAAGAACCAAGACATAGATTTACATTAAAGAAACCTGACTCCAACCATTTTAAACAAAAAAGCAAAAACTAAAATTTCAGATGATAGTTCAAATTTTCAAACTAAATTTTTTGATTGTTATAGCATATATTACAGTCACTTTACCCCCGTGTTAGCCCCCTTCTCCTCCTAGTGTTGACAAAATGGCTGCCTGCATCCACAGATGCACTTCCCTACATTCAGCAATGCCCTTGAAATGTAAGATACTACCTCAGCACATCCATCTAGCTTTGCTGTAACTGTCAAGCTTCTGAATATTTTAGCTTTTGTCTTTTTGTTTAAATAGCTGGAGATGGGTTTTTTAAATGTAAAACTTAAGGAGTCTCAGACCAAGAAACAAACATTGAGTTACTGCAAAGTTTTCTTACCTGTCAGGACAATATCATGTCTGACAATTGATATTTTAGTGACAGGAATATGCTAACAAAAATCTGCTAATAGAGAAAATGAGAATAATTAATAAAAGATGAGTTGGTGAGAGAACCTCTTTATCTTAAATAATGTGGGATACAGGTATGCATTTTAAAAATAGTATTATACTTATTGAATATTAGAAGTTATACATGTAATTACACTGAAAATGATAGGTCACATAATGTCAAGAAAACAACTCTCCTCAATAAATAGTAGATCATTAAATTAAATAAATATGTTTTGAATTCTCATTATGTTCAGAACATTGTGCTAAACACACTGTATATAATGCTATCCAAAATAGCCAATTGCTTAATATCTTAGGCAATTTGATTTCAGAAGCCTATGAGAGGTTTGATCATTCTTAAAATTTCTGTAAGTCATTGAAACATTTAGAATATACATATACGTATATGCATGTATGTATGTGTGTGTGTGTGTGTGTGTGTATGTGTATATATATATATATATATAATTTTTTTTTTTTTGAGACGGAGTCTCGCTCTGTCATCCAGGCTGGAGTGCTGGAGTGCAGTGGCGCTATCTCACCGCACAGCAAGCTCCACCTCCTGGGTTCACGCCATTCTCCCGCCTCAGCTTCCCGAGCAACTGGGACTACAGGTACCCGCCACCATGCTCGGCTAATTTTTTGTATTTTTAGTAGACAGAGGGTTTCACTGTGTTAGCCAGGATTGTCTTGATCTCCTGAAGTCGTGATCCACCCGCCTCAGCCTCCCAAAATTCTGGGATTACAGGCGTGAGCCACCGCACACAGCCTAGAATATATTTTACTCTTGCTTTGCCTAGAATTATCTGGTGACCAAAATTAGGAAGGAAAAATCTGATGCTCAAACATTGGCTAGTCTATATAATTCTATTATATATATTATATATATAAAATATATATATAATATATATATATAAAATATATATTTTATATATATATATATATATTTTTGAGATGGAATGTTGCTCTGTTGCCTAGGCTGGAGTGCAGTGGTGCAATCTCATCTCACTGCAACCTCCACCTCCCGGGTTGAAGCAATTATCCTGCCTCAGCCTCCTGAGTAGCTGGGACTACAGGCACACACCACCATGCTGGCTAATTTTTGTATTTTTAGTAGAGATGGGGTTTCACCATATTGGTCAGGCTGGTCTCAAACTTCTGACCTCAGGTGATACACCTACCTCGTCCTCCCAAAGTGCTGAGATTACAAGGGTGAGCCACCATACACGGCACCAGAAAAAAAAATTTAAAGGAGGGGGGAAAAATGCTTGAGTTAAAACAGAATGTGTTTAAGATATACATATTAGCTGATTGCAAGAAATGAATAATACTAAAACTGGAGAAATGCTCCAGGAATAAAGGACTTAGTGTTTTCACTAGAAAAGCAATCATATTTTAGAAAGTTGTTTTTTAAAAAATATTTCCTTTAAAAATAAACAAACTGAACGAATTCAACATTTTTCAGGCTTATCTTATTAAATAACTTAGTAATTTGATTGAATGATAAACTCTTTCATCTTTACCTGAATTTTCATTGTACACTTAAATTGCTATTCATGGATTATTTCATAGCATATAACATAAGCCCCATTGAAACAATATTAACATCATTCTTTCCTTCATTACACTGGATCTAGTAAATATTCATTTGATTGAAGAAAATTTTCACATAATTTGGCCATCAAATATTTTCTCCCCCTGAAGATGAGAAGCTCTAGAATGGAATAGGGGAATCAGTAAAATTTGCTGAGGATATAGGTAATATAATTGATGGTTTAAAGTTTTGTCTGTATAAAATAGACACAAAAATTAGATGTAATAGACAAAAAAAAATTAGAGTAAATTCCTTACAGTCAAGTTTTAAAGTTTAAATTCATACGGTGAACAGCATGATAATCAAGCCGCCTTGGATTTGAAAAGGGACAGTTTCGTTATGCTTTTTGTTATTCTTGCAGGAGGTTCACTTGGTTAATATGAGGCCTGTTCGAATTAAGCAGCTTCTGTGACTGCCTTTGGTTGCTGCTGTATGAGACTCTTTCTCACAATTTCTTTTTAGGTTTCCTTCCTCTCTGGCATGACTTTTTCTCCCAGGACTAGGTCATCAACACCCAAGAGACTACTGAATTTACTTTGAAGAAGTTCATCCCTGGCTTCTTTTCTGGGTTCCACATCTAAATCTCTGTGATAGACATGGAGATTGCCTCCAAAATCTAAATTTCATTGTATATTAAAACAAACTCTAAATTTCTCCTGCCCATCAACGGACCAATTTCCCGTATGTTTACTCTTTCATTTCAGTTTTCAGTTTTATTTTTCTACTAATAGCAGTCATAGGATAAAATTACTTGTATTATTCTCAGTCATTTTCCACCATTCTCCCTCCTCTCTTCCTATCTCACCCTCTCCCCGTCTCTCTACTTTTCTCGCCTGTTCCTCTTTTCCCCATGCTTTCTCTCTCTTTCCTGGGCTTCATTAAGTCTTACCTAAATGAATTATTGCTTTCTTAATTCTTCTCCCTTGACCTTATTTGAACAAACTAAAACCCATCTTCTTCAAATTGCCAAATTTAACTAGATAAACAATAGTCATCATTGTTACACTCCATTGTTAAAAATTATTTGAAAGTAGGGCAGAACATAGTATTAAAAGAACACAAGTTTTTAATTTCCCCTGCCCCAATTCGGATGCTTTACACATCTCTCTTGTTTCTCCTGGACTTACGCAGCCTTCCTGCTCATTTATTTTCATGCCTATAACTGGTGTTCTTGGATTACTCATTTATTTAACCGGTTGACCAGACGTACCCACCTCTAAGTCTATTGCAATCTCCTCTATTGCTGCCAAGAGAAGGAAACACTGTCCACCTGGAGACAAACCCTGATGTGAAGGTCAGTAAATTAGCCCTCTGTCAAAAGTACAACCACAGCCACTTATTTCATCAGTTTCTTGGGATATGGCCCTGGTCAGCATATGCACTAACTCACTTTTCACTAAGATACCTAAGTGCTCCACAGGTCATATAAGTATGATTTTATGGCAATGTGATCATAAGAAGCTAAATTTCTCTCATGAATTTCCTAGTTCAAAAAAGTCCTCAGGTGAATGGATAAAGAAAATATGGCCTATACATACACTGAAATAATATTCAGCCTTTAAAGAAAGAGTAAAATTCTTTCATTTGGGATAATATGAATCGACCAGAAAATATCACGCTAAATAAAATAAGCAAGGCACTGAAATACAAATACTGCATGATCTCACTTATACGTGGAATAAAAAATTTTAAAAACTCATCAAATCCATAGAAGGAGAGACTAGAATGATTGCTACCAGAAGCTGAGGGTGAAGATGGGGAGAAAGGAATGGAAAGTTGACAGTCCGGGGTTATAAAATTTTAGCTGAACAGCAGGAATACATTTTGAGATCTATTGCATAACAAGGTGACTAAAGTCAATAATAATGTATATTTCAAAAAAACTAAAACACTATATTTTAAATGTATCACCACAAAAGAAGGTCAAGTCAGGTATGGATATATTAATATGCTATATGTTGATTTTATTAGTCTACATTATATACATATATCAAAACCTTACATTGTCTTCCATAAATGCAATGCAATTATATTCTATCAATTAAAACATATAAATCAAAACAAAACCAAAAGACCTTTATGTAAAGACTAAAGGCAAAATTGCCTTTGCCAAGATTTTTGCAGCCATAAATCAATCATATTCCTGAGTTCAATCCTTTTCTGCTTCAGCTTTTCTCCATCCTATTCTCTCTTCCCTGTGGAGGGTGACTCTTCCCAAATCTTTAGGGAACAGATAACCAAGTCTGCATTAGGAAAGGTAGCAAGTAGAAGACTGTTTTTCCAGTCTACCTTGGTTAGAATGAGAGAATAGCAGTAGTTTCCATCTCTGGATACATATTAGGGATAAACATTAGGAGTACATTTGGATAAAATTGTGGGCCGGGCATGGTGGCTCACACTTGTAATCCCAGCACTTTGGGAGGCCAAGGCAGGTGGATCCCTTGAGGTCAGACGCTCGAGACCAGCCTGGCCAGCATGTTGAAACCCTGTCTCTACTAAAAATGCAAAAATTAGCTGGGCGTGATGGCGGGCACCTGTAATCCCAGTGACTCGGGAGGCTGAGGCAGAAGAATCACTTGAACCTGGGAGGCAGAGGTTGCAGTGTACTGAGATCATGCCACTGCACTCCAGCCTGGGGAACAGAGAGAGACTCTGTCTCTAAATAAATAAATAAATAAATAAATAAATAAATAAATAAATACAAAATGAAATAAAATTGTAGATATTAAAATAAATTAAATATCTAACATTTAACCATATATGGTGAATAGCATGAGAATCACTCACCATACACGGCGATTCAGAGAGCCATAGAAGAAGTGAGAGTCGGGTCAGCTTCATGAGGAGAAAATCCAAGGAGACAAGTACCCATGGTTATCCATCAAATGCGGAAACACAATATTTGCACTTCTTTGTAGTTTAAAAGCTGTATATTAAATATATGAAAGCAAACTTGATATTTAAATTTATGCTTTATCTCTAAAAATAACTATTTTATTGCCTGGGATGAAGGAAGAGAAAAAACTAGACCTCTAATAATATATGTGTATAATTATGGTGCAAATCAGTACACACACACACACACACACACACACATATATTATATACACGTGGACGTGGTACAATAATTATTTACCATATAGTTAAATGTTTGTTTGATCTTTCATTTTTTTCTCCTCCCAACCTTCTTTCCTCTGTTAACATAAACACATTTGAATCCTCTCCCAATAATGACTGAAAGGAAAGGCATTTGTTCCCACAAGAAAAACGGATATGGCATAGGTTTGAGGATCCTGATTAGACCACATTTTCAAGGCTAAAGTTTTCAAAAGGGATCTACTCCACAACGTTTGAGGTTTTGCATATCATTTTCTGTCCTTTCTGAAATTAGAGAGGAGATAAAGCAGTGCATGATTGTGTGGCATCAAAGCAACAGTCATTGTCTTGCTCTTGCTTAGCATTTTCCATCCTGCTTAGCTACCACCAAAGTAAACCTGATGGACCAAATGAAAGGGTAGTATCTGGCTCGGTTGTTGCATCACAGCGGGTATATATTTATCCTATATCTGTATCTCTGGTTAGTGTTTTTTTGTGTACTGTTTATGTGTGGCTTTTAATCGCCCTTTATAATTAGGTCTTCTTGTCTAGGCAGAATACTCTCAGTTGGGCCTAATCCAGTTCTTTAGAGCTGTGAGCCTATGGAGAGAGCATCATTTCTTTTTTTTTTTTTTTCTTAATACTTTAAGTTCTGGGATACATGTGCAGAACATGCAGGTTTGTTACATAGGTATACACATGCCATGGTGGTTTGCTGCATCCACCAACCCATCATCTACATCAGGTATTTCTCCTAATGCTATCCCTCCCCTAGCCCCCCACCCTCTGACCTACCCCGGTGTGTGATGTTCCCCCTCCCTGTGTCCATGTGTTCTTGTTGTTCAACTCCCACTTATAAGGGAGAACATGCGGTGTTTGGTTTTCTGTTCCTGTGTTAGTTTGCTGAGATTTTACCTATTCCTTGCACCCCTTTACACAAGAATCTACCTGAAGGACTCTGTAGAAAAAAGGTGTGGTTGGGCTAAAGCAAAATTAGAATATTCTTGGCTCTTCTAGCCCAGCATAATCTAAATAGCACCATTAATATCTTCTTTTATCTTTCTTGTTAGTGCATTTAAGTTTATGTAAATTATGCTGTTCCAAATAAACTACTATTTTAATCTCTCAAAAATTACTATAACATTATTCATACAGATTATTCTTTATAGAACTAAGAGCTATCTATTTATAAGCTCTTATAATTATCTTGGAATGGAAAAGGTAGTTTTTAAAATTTCATTAATTTATTTAAACTACCAATGAGTATCATTCAGAACATTATAGCTCCCTAATGTTTATGTAATGATATTCAATAACCTGGAAGACACCACGCAGTTTGTAAAACAGACTTTTAGGAAGAGCTTGTAGATAACAAGAATCTGGATTATCGAAATAAAACACAAAGAGGACTGACTACCTCCGAATGACTGAAGCAGGACAAACTCAGTAACAATTTTAACCTAACCATTATCACATTTGTAAATGTAAGAGTAAGTGAGGGTTATGGAATGGCATGTGGACTAAATAAATGTAAAGCACTAAAAATTCTGGTATTTTTGGGCCAGGCGCAGTGGCTTAAGCCTGTAATCCCAGCACTTTGGGAGGCCGAGATGGGTGGATCACCTGAGTTCAGGAGTTGGAGACCAGCCTGACCAACACAGAGAAACCCCGCCTCTACTAAAAATACAAAATTAGCCCTGCGTGGTGGTGGGGTATGCCGGTAATCCCAGCTACTAGGGAGGCTGAGGCAGGAAAATCGCTTGAACCCGGGAGGCGGAGGTTATGGTGAGCTGAGGTGGCGCCATTGCACTCCAGCCTGGGCAACAAGAGCGAAACTTCGTCTCAAAAAAAAAAAAAAGTTATTTTTTTTTATTCCAAGAAACACTTTGGTATGCCTCAGGGTGGTGTTAATTATTACTTCTCTTGATACTTGTGGGAGATACAAATTTCACATTAAAGTTATAAATAAAATTGTTGTATGCTTCAATTCTTCAATGTTTAATGTTAATTGATTTAATTAGCTTCTTCAAAGGCATATACATTCAGAAAAAAATAATACATTTAAACAGGTTTCACAGTTTTGGAAGAGTTATATTATTCCATTATTGCAGATTAAATGTGCCCAAAAGCAACTTTGTGAAGTATACATATGTTAATTGGGACATTAGAGAATGCATTTTGGCATATGCGTCTCAAAGATATAAATAGCACAAACAACCGTGAGATTCTTAACTGCCTATATTAGAGTTTTGGGTTTACCCCAAGTGTCCCTGGCTGAAATTTAAGGACCTTGAGGGTTGAGAGAATGTCTTATTCCTCTTTAAAACACCAGCACCTAGCAAAGTTTATAGCTCCTATTTGGCCTTCAATAAATACATTTTAAATAAAAACTGAGAAGATATATTTCAATATAAAAAGACTTCAGACGATTCATAAATGTATATTTTATTTTTCCTTCAACTGAGGCTTGACCTAGTATAATGTTGTCTATTAAAAAAAATTCTGAGCTGAGAGTTCATACCATAACACATAGAACATATTATAACTTGCTTTGAGTGAAAAGTAAAGGTTATAGTTCTGTTAACTAGTACCAAAGCAGAAAGTGCATTTTCCAGAATATGCAATCATCTTGCCTGGAAGTGTGGTCAAGGCAGTAAATATATTCCTGAAAGATAATAAAATAGAGTGAGAGTTGACGCCTGTGGTCCCAGCACTTTGCGAGGCCGAGGTCGGGTAGATCACGAGGTCAGCAGATCGAGACCATAATGGCTAACACGGTGAAACCCGTCTCTACTAAAAATACAAAAATTAGCCGGGCATGGTGGCGGGCGCCTGTAGTCCCAGCTACTCCGGAGGCTGAGGCAGGAGAATGGCGTGAACCCGGGAGGCGGAGCTTGCAGTGAGCGGAGATCCCGCACTCCAGCGTGAGGGACAGCGAAACTCCATATCAAAAAAAAATAGAGTGAGAGTTAAGGATGCTTCTGCTGTCCCCATTTAACATAATGATATTATAAAAACACTTGAGTTCTACTTGTTTGATATACGTTTGAATCTTTTAATTCTTTCAAATACATTGTCAAAAATTCTTAAATTCAGAAGTTTGCCTTGACTCCCTGGCATCTTGGACATAGCACTTATAATGCTATATACATAATGGACAGGTGTACACTGCAAACTGAAAAGAATCTCTAGTTACATGGGGATAGTCTAATATTAAGTCATCTGGGCTAAATTATCATGGGTTAAATTATGTCTTATTAAAAATACATATAACACTATGGAGCCCAAAGCCTGATATTTGTGTTTCAGTAAAATACACCCAAGAAAACCTAAATGCACCCCAAGAAAAATCTAAATGCACCCAAGAAAAATGTAAATTTTCTAACCTCCAGAAATCACCTCAAGAATTATTTGAAATATTTTAGATTGTGCAAAACTGTGAGACTTAAAATAATTAACATGTTTACATTTTAATAAGCATTTTTCCATATTGAAAGAATTATCCAAGCACATATTCAATAAATAAAATTATTTAAACCTCTTTATTAGTTCAGAAAATTAGGACTTTGCTATGAACATTGATATTCTTTGAGTTGAACATATTTTTTAAAATAGACAAGTTATATATGGCTATTAAATAAAACTCATAAAATGTATTTCAATGGAAATAGTTAATAAAATTACTAAACTTTTGCACTCAGTGTGATAAATATATGTCTTGATAATGTAGTTTGTGTTTCGCTGAAGAAACCATAATGGGTAGATTTTGATCTTACAGAAATGAAGTTAATTTAAATTTGCCTTCGCAATTGTCTTCCAAACCTCTTGTGTATTCCTCTCTATACAATTTTATTTCTCTTTTAGATATCCATTTTGATTTGGGAATTAATTATTAGGTGATTTTTATATTGATGATATTTATTGATGATACCAATCCATCTGGTATGCAAATTAAATTTCTGTAATATATTTATTTCAAAAATTTCTCCTCGCCTTTATTTTTTTTTTTTTTTGAGTATGATATGATCCCACATTACATCCAGGCAGGCAAACATCTTGACCAAAGCTCAATCAGTCCTTGTCCATCCTTTCTTCAAAGTCATCTGTATCCAGAGGCAAAAATATTTTCCAGGGCTCTTTTTGGATCACACACCAGAATATTCCCTTAGTTTACATCAGACTAATAGTAGTTATGTTAAGGGTTCTTCTGTCCTGCACCTGGTAGCGGCATAAAGTCAGTATTTTCTGATTTTTAAATTTATTTACTTTATATTCCTTTCTCAATGTACTACTTTATGTCGGTGATTTTTTCATTCGAAGACCTGCTATTGTTTTTCCTATATTTATATACTTTAACTGAAGTGCTTTAGAACTACAATGTATTCATTATAATTTTGAGACAATTAGTTTAATGAACTAATTTATCTAATTCTGTTACTAAGATCCACAAGCAATGGCAAAGATTGTCCACATGAATCTTATCTCAGAGAAGGAAATATACTTTTTAGGAAATAAAAATAAGTTAAATTTGAAAAAGCCTATTGAAATAAATACTAGTTACAAACAAAGAACACATTAATGGAATAATCACTTGGAGTTTTGCATTCAACAATTGCAAACTCGTATAGTTTTAAACTCACTGTTAATATAAATGTTAACTTAAGTTGTAATCATTTACCTGATTAAATATACTGTTTCTTAAGTTAACAAAAACAACTGCATCTTGCATTTGATATTACTCTTAAATATGAATCAGCATTTAGCTGCACTTCGGGAGGGGCTACAATTAGCAGTTAGGCCCTTAGAAAAATCTTACAATTTTGAATTTTAGTCTTACATATATTTGCTTTTTACTTATATCACTAATATGCATACATTTATGTATAAATTATGCATATATGTTTAAACAATAATATATCAGAATAAGTTTGTCATATGAATGAAATAGTGACTGTCCTCCTATTTAGTTATTTATGATCAAATTTGTCCATTTCTCTCCAGATGATATAAGCTTAAGCCCTCTAGAAAGATAAAGATAAAATTCTTGTCTGATTATTTGATTGATTGAACTTTAGCTTAGAGCTGGAGCCTTGGGATCTCTGGGCATCCAGTTGCCTATGTACTGATAAGAAAAGGTCATAGAAGATTTAGTAGGACATTTTTTTTAGTAGCTAGTGTCACACCTTCACACACTGCCATACCCCAAAGAAGCGAAGCCTGCGTCAGTCTCACAGCACACACTGCAAAAAGTGACACTCTATTGCTGGGCAGGCAATGGGAAGAATCTTCGTTTACATTTGTCGTCCTGGGGAGTTCTTCCTCCCCAGCAAAGCTGACTTCTGCTCCAGGATGGAGAATGCAAAGTGTGGACATGAATGGCCTCAAAGGCAGCTGTGTGGTCTTCAATCAAATTTTTACTGGGAATAAAAATCCTTTCCTTTTTGATTATCCATCTTATCTTTTTTTTTGTTTAAAGCTACCGGCCCAAAGGTAGGGATATTATATTTTTCTGCTGTGTATGAATTTAGAAAATGTCACCCATCGTTACCTAAGTAGAAATGTGAGCTCTGCACAAGAGATATAAAAACTGGAATCCCAACTCTGATTTTGCTACACTCTCTGACTTCGACTAAATCACTAAACTTGTCAGGATCTCTGTTTTCCTATACTTCTTCATTCATTCGTTTATTCTTTCATTCACTCAGATATGCATTGGTTAAATGTTTACTATATGCTAGGCCTTTCTAGGTTTGTAAATATGCCCCAGGCAAAATGTCTATATTCAAGAATTTAATAGATTATGAAAAAAAGTAGTATTAATCAACCAATAAAAATATACAAAATAACGCAGTGAGCTCTCTAATAAGGATTTGATAGGGAACAATGCTATTGCCCAAGAAAGGAAATGTGATCCTTGTCAAGATGTGATGCCCAACTGATATTTAAAGGATGAGACTTCCATAAGCAAGATACAGACAACAAACAGAGGGAGATTTTATACACACGCACAACACACACACAAGTATATGAGATGAGGTTGAAATGATGAAGTCGTGAGGTAAGTTTTACGCATTGTAAGGAGTTTGAACTTGTCTTAAATATAGTTTTAAAAATCCCTTTTTATTTTCAGGAAAAGGAGTGGCATGAAAGAATTAATTGGTTTTAGAAAAAGCTCTCGAAAAATGAGGGAGTTTAGATAAAAGTAAAGCTGTAAATTTCCAGAATGTAAAGATTTCTGATCAATAAAATTCACATAAAATATGTATTCCGTGTTACTTAAAGATGGGCCCTACTCTTTACAATAAAAGCCCAATATAACACCAAAATATAATGATAAAATACAGTGCCTTGTACCTAGAATCCACATAATATATGTTGATTGAAATAATGAGGAATGAATAGTTCCAAGAACTTCCTAGAAACTGTGTAGAGCATACTTCATGTTTATTTACAAGAAGGAAAACTTGGAAATAAAGTCTTTTTGTTCTCCGCTTTCTTTTTTAAACAAAGATTATCTCGAAGGTAGGAAAGTATTTTAAAGTAGTATACAATTTATTTAAAATTCCAACATAAATTTCAATAGAATGTCATCTAGTTAAATAATGTAACTGAAAAATTATCATTTTTAACATATCTCAGTGAAGCCACTTTGATATACTCTTTGAAATAATAATAATAATACAAATAACTTATGAGAAGGATATATACAGATCTTTTGAATGCACAGAGGAGTGTGTATTAATTTCCATTCAGGACAGATAATGCAGGATGGCTGCAAAGCATTTCAAAAAATACATTTCAAAGGAGATAATGTATTTGAATGCATTTAATCCAGAGCAGTGTTAGTAAAGCTTTGTGCCTCTCCAAAATAAACTAATGTCTCTTTGAAAACAACCTTTTGACACATTGGGGGATTATCTCATCACTAAAAAGAAACTTACTAAAAAAAATAAAGGTCATTGTGGAAAGGTGGTCAATTTTCCTTCTATAAAGTCAGATAAGGTTTTTCTCAGAGGGAATGGGTGAGAGGTTGACATCAAGGTTGAGTGAAGTTCTATTGTCTATTTTAGCTTCAGATTTTCAGCTGGTTTCTTGAAGCAAGTAATTAGAGACAACTGAGGTTTTTTTTTTTTTCACTACCTAGTAATTTTTCTTACTGTTTGAAATACGAATTTTATATCAGTACTAGAAGGCTTTTTTTGCTAGTTCCACTTAATCTGACTTAAAACTAGTATTAAGGCCCTCAGTCCAAACGGACATCAAGAAGAATTGAATGGCTTTTAGGATAGGGAATGAGAGCATAGGGTTTTCCTCTTAGAACTATCCACATGATTTTCTCACATAGATTGCTTTCATTTTTTTGTGTGTGAAATTATTGTATAGCATTCATCCAATTTGGGTTGTTGGTTAAGAAGCAAAGAACTTAATCTCTAGGTTTCTGACATGGCTAAATCTGTGTAAGCTGGGGCACAGTTAAATGTCTGTGTTTTCCACACTATGAAATACAGTGCTTAGTGCATTCTGTTGAATTTGATAAACTAGGTGTATTAATCAGGGTTCTCCAGACAAACAGGATCAATAGAATATGTGTGTGTGTGTGTGTGTGTGTGTGTGTGTGTGTGTGTGTATTATGGAGGCTGGCAAGCTCAAGGTCTGCAGAGTATGTCAGCAAGGTGGAGACCTAAGAGAGGGGATGGTTTCATTCCAGTTTAAAGGTTGCTTTAGTTTGAATCTGAAAGCAGGAAAATTCTGATGTTTCTTTTAAAAAACAGTCAGAACAAATTCTCATTTACTTAGTGGGGAGTCAGTCTTTTGGTTCTATTCAGGCCTTTAACTAATTGGAAGATATCCACTCACACTAGAGAGGGCAATCTGCTTGACTCAGTTTACCAATTTAAATGTTAATCTCATCCAAAAGTACCCTCACAGTGATATCCAGAACAACTTGATCAACTACCTGGGTACCTCTTAGCATAGTGAAATTGACACACAACATTAACCATCACCCTAGCAACGGCACTTTTTCCCACTGCTTCAGAGCAAATTACCAGTTAAAAGGATTCAATGAATAAAAATGGACAAGAGGAATTAGCAAGTATGCTTACAACAGTTTTTTTCCAAAATTAAGAATAGAAATTATAAATACATATTCCATTCATATAAATACTATAGCGATTATATAACAATAGCATCCAATGGTTATTGAATGTTTGAAATGTACCATACACTGAGCTAGTGTTGTTGTTTTGTATTCAACTTCCTATTCTATTAATTAGAAAATGGTTCTTGCTACTAAGAGAGAACCTGGTATTCAGCCAGAGATGTAGTGAAGGCCATATAAAGGTGAAATTTTTCTGAAGCAGAACAAATATTCATGTCTTAACTTCTGCTGCACATGAACTACATAGATTTGGCCTGAAACCTCAGCTGAACTGTGGTTTTTATGCATCCGATACTTGCTAAAATGAGGCAGACCACTGCTCACTGATATGAAACACTTTTCAATAATTAATGCAGTCCAACAATAGTTGAAAGCCATACATACACTCCCCTATCTAGGCAGAGCCTGAAAAGGCACTTCATAAATATGCTCCAGAGGATATTCGAAGACCAGGTAAAGAATTGGGCTAAAAGAAGTATGCAGTTCCTTTTAATTTTAAAATTCTATCAAACTCAGAAAAAAAATTTGAGGGGGGATGTAGAAGTTTAATTGAGATATACTCTCTCACTCATTGAAAATATGCATTTTTGCAACCTTTCAGAAAATCTATTTGACACCATATAAGAGGAATCTTAAAACATGTAATCCTGTTGATTCAATAATGCCAATGATTCCATGTATAGCAACATATTTTAAACAAATAATCACAGATGCAGATGCCTAATAAAAATATTATTTGCTTATATATGTTAGAGTTTTAATGTGGCACTAACCTAAATACCCAATTGGGGAATAGATTAACAAATTATGCAATAATCACAAGATGTAATACCCTACAACAAATAAAAATGTGCTCTGAAAGTTTATTTAACAATATAAAAAATAGTTCAAAGATAATACTCCAGTTGGGCAGGTTTTATTATCATTCTTATTATTATTTGATTATACACCTACCCTATGACTCTGCCACTCAGCCATTCTACTCCTAGGCATTTACCCAAGAGAAATGAAAGCATATCTTTACATAAAGACTTCTATAGAACTATTCATAGCAAATCTTAATAATGTCTTCTCCACTGCCTCTTTTGAAGTGATTACTTTTTCATTACGTCAATAAGCTCTAAGTGATGGGTTAGATAGAACAGATGTAATGTTAGCAAGGATTTTTAAATGCATGTATAAAAACCAAATAATTTCACCCACTAATATTTAATAAATATAGCTCACACTCTGCTGAGTGTGAGTTCATAAAGCTATCTTGAGAATGATGCAGCTACCCATCCTCCATTTGTTCACTGATAGATTAAAGGAAAAAGGATTACATGGGGCAAAACAATCAGGTTAAGTTTGACTGAATATCCTACCTGGTCAGCCTCCTGCTTGAAGAGGCTGAGTGAGTAGTTCATTGCCTGAGGTATCACAAACATGGTGTCACAAAAAGAGCTTAAAGTTTTTATGTAAAACAATTATTGAGATTATGTTTGGTGAATCACAGAGTGCAGGTATTACATTGGCCAGTTCTCTTTGCCTAGTTTCCTAGGACTCATTTCTCTGGGACTATGAAGACTGAGGGTGAGCCATAGTCTTGTGTGTAGTGGAAAATCTTTGAGTGGGACCACTATAGTTGTACACTGAAGCTGATTCTACAGGGATAAGAGTAAAAATGATCAAGCGGCCTATCAGGAGCCTCTTAACCTTGAGAATTACATTTTCTAAAAAGGAAGAACCACCTAATTATTGAACTCTTGGGAGTTTTGGAAGTGGAAATTAGTGGGTAACTTGATAAATCCTATCAACTAATTTTTGTTCAGGTGTTAATGACATATTGGCATTTTGCAACACTCATTTGTTACTGACTAATTAAGTCCCATACAGCCTTTCTCATTCAAATTTTCTGTCAATAGCTAGTCAGATAAAGGCCACAGAATGTATGCCAGATGCAAAGTGGACTTCAATGGAGCATTTTTTATCACAAGGTTATGCTTTTTAAAAAATCTTGAGCAATGCCTCTCGATTTTAAATTCATCCATGCAAAACTGACACTAGCAAGCAGATGGCCCAGCCCTCAAATAAAGCAAACGGTATTGAAAACTCATTTTCTACCACTTGAGTTTACAATACCTATTTGAATAGTTATATTTTCAAGGTCTGTGGTTACTTTAGGAAGAATTCGGAGCATTACAGAGAGCCAGGCCCACAGTGCAATCACCAAACTGCTGAGTTACATTCTTTTTTTTATTCCAGTCTGTATTTACAGATATAAAGATGCAATTTAGATTTTCATCAGTACTTGGAAAGCAAAGCAAAGTGATAACAAGATGCTTTACAGATGACAGGACAAATCCTTTCCACAAATCATCGTAGTAGAAGTGTCATTTCCTCTTATATTTGAGATCGTAATCTGTGTGTGTATATGTGTGAGTGTGGGTGTGCCTGTTGTCAGTAGCCCCACAGGAGAGCTGAGGAAAGGGCATTTAAACTCTATTTCTAATATAATGTCTTTCTCCAACATAAAAGGAAAAAAGTAAATAAGTGAGAAACTTAATCACATAAGGAAAGGCTTTCAAATTAATCAGGAAATGTTAATCATTGAGATGGGAATTTTGACTGTAGATCAAAAATGATTTACTGATTTTATACTAGGAAAAAAACTGGAATTAAAAAAAGGCGAGTTGTTGGTTAACATTTTAGTTTCTCCTTTTCATTTCTGAATAGTTTCCTTCTCTACAGATCACAGACAGCCCTACAATAAAGATAGATGTAGAGGTAAGAAAAGTATTTCAAGATATTAAATTAAGTAAAAAAAAAAAAATCCATAATTTTTCTCTATTAATTACATCAAGAAAGAAGAGCACATGATGATTCTGACTGAATGGAACAGAAAGCCTTACAATTTACATATTTTTAAGTCTAGCTGCAAAGGTCTATGGTATTTGCATATGAATTCCTTTCAATATGCAAGATCTCAGAGTCTGCAAAGTAAACCCAGAATTGAAAGAAACTGAATGGAAAACTTTGCTCCTCAAAAAAACGCCGTCTTTCCATAAAGTGATTTTTGTAATATCTGTATTTAAGAGGACTCTATTCTTTCTGAGCTATTGTTTGAAGAAGCCTACTGAAAATCTATTATTTAAAATTGAAGACTTTGGGATTATATTATGCCATCTCCTTCATGGGTAATGAGACTTATTCTTTTATCAGGTATTCCTTTCAGGGAGAGACAGTTTACATTTATTCCATGTAAGTTTCAATTGCCATTGAGAAAATGTGTTCTTTCAACGCTCTTTTTTTTCTGAATAAAAATGTATTTAAGGTGTTGTCACTGAGCTGCACCTCTGTAGACTTTCTTTCCTTTCACAAAGTGAGCATTATATTTTATAAAAGCGAATTAAATTTTTTCAGCCTTTTTTCATTTTACTATATTTTTTCATCTGTGGATGTGAAAGGTATACTGATCTTTCCTTGTCAAAACAATGAAAAAAATAAAAGTTACTATCATCTAATAAATGGCAAAAGAAACTTATTCTCTATATACTAAGGAATTAACTGAAACACACCATTAAATAACCTCCTAAGAAAAGCATCTTTTGCAAGTGAATGGTCTAATAATTTTGAATAGTCTTGGTGAGAGGTTAGAAAAAAGTATATATAGTCTCCCTATATCCCTGGAGAATTTGTTCCAAGACCTCCCATAAATACCAGAATCTGTGGATGCTCAAGTCCCTGATATAAAATTGTGTATTATTTGCATATGAACTACCCATGTCCTCCTATATATTTTAAATCCTCCCTAGTTTACTTATGATGCCAAATATGGTATAATAAATGCTATGTAAATTATTTTTATACTGTATCGAATAGGGAATAATGACAAGAAAAAAGTCTGTACACGTTCACTACAGACACAATTTTTTGGAAATATTTTTGACTAATGATTGGCTGAATCCATGGATATAAAACCCACAGATATGGAGGGCTAACTGTATTATACCTTTGTACCTGTATGTTTACTCCTTGAAATATTATAACTTAAACTATCAGGATTTTCCTGATACTCGTTCCTCAGTTTGACATACACAAAATATTCATTGATTACATTTTGGACCTAAAACTAAATTTAAGATTTTTAAGTGGCATATGTTAAGTGATTTTTATTATGAAATAACTCAAAGATTGAAAATAAGATAACAAAATTAGGAGCTGTGCATTCATGCATGCTTCTGACACTTCATGTGTCTCTGGTCCAAATAATTATTCTTTAATAAAGTTTAGAAAGAAACATATGGTTTGAGTATTTCACCATGAAACTATTGGCAAAAGGGTTTAGGTCAATAATAATGCTGATTTAACTGTGATCTTGCTTTTAAACTTGTTTGATGTGATTAATGTCAGCTTTGCTGAAAAGTAAAAAGTAGTGCATCAGTATAACAAGCATCAGTTTTTTAAGCAGGACCATCTGTGTCTATTTTTTTTTTTCAGTTCTCTTGATACAAAGCCACACGATTGTAAACAAATTAAATTATCTACCTAAAATACAACATATCTAAAGTAGGCAAACTAATGTCTATTTCCCATTGTTGTGATGATTTAATGAGTTAGGTTATATACAATGTTTGTATAGTAGTGGTTGCTAGAATGTATACAAAATGTGGCTATTAATTGTAACAGGGTGTGATGATTAATATTGAGTGTCAGCTTGATTGGATTGAGGGATACAAAATGTTAATCCTGGGTGTGTCTGTATGGGTGTTGCTAAAAGAGACTAACATTTGAGTCAGTGGGCTGGGGAAGGTAGACCTTCCAGCTAACCCTGCATTTTTGTGTGATCATAACACTGAGTTCCAAAAAATGGAATGTGAGCAGAAGCAGCAAACAATATTTCCAGGTAATGGAAATGTCCCATGTGAGATTCTCCATGCCCTTTTTTTATTCCACCAGCTTACGTAGAAGAGTTCAGCACAAAAATTGGCAGAGTCATAATATACAAGAAATTTAGGTTCCTCAGTCAGTGGTTAGGGAAGAGCTAAGGATTTAAAATACTCATTTTGGAATATATGTGAGCTACAAATAAAATATCATATATTGGCAATTATATATTTTTATGCCATGTTTGTTGGAGTTGCTAGTGTTACCCTAATTGTACGTGTTATCTTAACTTAAAGTGTTATTAACAGAGTTTTATACTATTTTCCTGGTGTTAAAAGTAAATAAAAAGAATGAAATAAGAACTATTACTGATAGTATGTTTACCACATTCCAGACTCTTCATAGTTTATATTTAACATCATATCTTTATTAATAAAGATTAGTAACAAGGAAAATCAACTTTGATTAACTTAAGCAGAAGGCAAACTTAATGCAACAATATTAATCTCACAGAATCAGAAGGGTAATTGTGGAGGGCCAGGCTCAGTATATGGGAAGAAACCAAGTGAAATCAGGCAGCCAAAAATCTGTCCTTTTTTATACCCTAGGAACACTCTGATGAGGAATTATGTTAGGAAACGTGTGCTATTGACTGACTGGTCATTCAGATGATGCTGGCCTCTCTCAGTGGACATTATGTCCATGAAATATCCTAAGATTTTCTTTTATTATCAATAGACCCAAAGACGGTTGTGAACTTCTAGATAGCTGAGACAAGACCATAGTCTAGGGCATGAGGTCACAGTAACTGGAGAGAGCTCTGTCCCACTTTGGCTTTAAGCATAAAAGGCAGGGGACTGGGCGTGGTGGTTCACGCCTATAATCCCAGCACTTTGGGAGGCTGAGGCCAGAGGATCTTGAGGTCAGGAGATTGAGACCATCCTGGCTAATATGGTGAAACCCCGTCTCTACTAAAAATACAAAAAATTAGCCCAGCGTGGTGGGGGGCACCTGTAGTCCTAGCTACTCGGGAGGTTGAGGCAGGAGAACAGTGTGAACCTGGGAGGTGGAGCTTGCAGTGAGCCAAGATCGTGCCACTGCACTCCAGCCTGGGTGACAGAGTGAGACTCCATCTCAAAAACATAAAAAAAAGTAAAAAGCAGAATCCTGCCTTCTTCAAATTCGCACTATTTGATATTCTTTCCTCTTTCTTATGTGTCCAAAAGATAGCTCTCACCTAACTGGGATAATGGAACATGGATCCACCTCTTCCCAAAGGGGAATATATGAGGTTCGTATCAATAACTACATTCATGCCCAGGAACTCTTCATTTATATGTGACAATATGTAATTAAATCATAAAGGTTAATAACAACAACACTGTTTGCAGTTACTGTTAGAAAAGGAGGGAAGAAAAGAAATGGAAATAACTTAGAGGCTCTATTCCCCATTCTACAACTGGTCATTAAACCACAAATAGTATTGTAAATTTTCTACTCTACTGTCCATTTCACATTTTAGCTTCCTATAGCCATCATTTAAGTGAGTTGAGAGATTCTTCAATGCACTTTATAACCAAAATCTATATTTCTATGGAATATGTGACTTGTTAAGTCCTGTCTGAATATTTGCTCCGGTTATCCATGAACTTCTCCCATTCAGTGTGGAAAAATCAGGAAACAGTGGATTCATTTATATAGTCATCTCTGATTCTATATTACCTTAACAAATGTAACATGTTTGCTAAACCCATAGATGATGGTGCTAGCAGAAACATGAGAGGCACTGTCAAGTAAAATTATCTTAGTAAGTATCTGTTTCATCAAGGATAAGCTGATACTCTTCCACAGCTGAAGAGTTTCAATATAACAATATAACAAATGTAACAATATAACAAATGTATAACAATATAACAAATGTATACCTCTACTCTTGTGTATTACACTCCAGTGTAATAATATGTAATATTTATACTATTGTCAGGCACTGCTTTCATACCCTATTTGGTGGGGGCTACTACCATATCCATTATATAGCTGAGAAATCATATTGGAAATTGAATCTGTTTGCTACTGATAACACTAAGTGTCAGTTTTTCACATAACAATGAGTCAGTCTAGCTTTGCTAAGGAGATGACTTGTTGAATCTATTCATAGCCCACTGCCCTCCCCCTCCTTCATGGTCCCTTTTTGCTACTGATTCCATTGAGAAAACATTGGGTTTGCTGACTTATATCCTCAGAGAAGTATACCTCTTATACTAAAAAATTAAAAGCTTCTAGAGACTTCTGGTTTCTACTTCCACACATAAGGAACTTGGAAATTGCCACTCCATCCTATCAACAAGTAAAAAGCTAAATGGACTAAAAAATCAACAACTCTTATAAGACGGAAAGTCACTGAGTATGATGCTGCCTCCCAACTTGGAGAATACAGGGAGTCACATCTCTCCAGAGTGGAGATTCATGAGAAGAAACACCAATGAGAAAAAGAAATGGAGTATGAAACCTGAACTCTAATTGATGAATTTCTGGAGAATAAGTGAGGACAAGACTGAGAATTAAACATTCCAGAAAAACTAACTCATAAGGGGAACTTCACAATATTTTGAGATTCACCTTCACAAATTTGACCATTTTCCACAGCAAATATCAGAGAAAAATTAACTTGTACATTCAGGAGAGAAAGGGAAAAAGAAACCTCTTTGAAATATACCACAGAGCTCTATTCCTCTTATCAAGGCCTGCCCTCAGAAGAAACGAATTAACCAAAACTATCATCAGAGCCTAATTGACCTGGGGAAGAGAAATGCTTGTCTCCTGCTCCACTAGTTTTCTACCTGTGAGAAGGCAAATACACAACTCCAGCCCACTCTAGTCATCTTGTCCTACCAAAGCGGGAGAACAAAACAGAACAACACTTGTAAAGTTGACAATCCAGACGCATAGACTCACTAAAAAGCTGAGACGTAATCATTAAACTAAAATCCTTCCCCTGCCACTACACCATATTACTAAAGGCCTATTTAGAACAGTTCATTTTACTCGGTACACCATATCCGACAATCAGTAAAAAAAAAAAAAAAAAATTGCAAGTCACGCCAAAAAGTCAAAAACACAATTTGAGGAGACATAACAAGTATCAGATCCAGACTTAGCAAGGATGTTGGAATTTCAGAACAGAAATGTAAAACACCAATGTGGTCTCTAATGGATAAAGTTGATCACATGTAAGAACAATGGGCAATGTAAGCTGAGGGATGGAAATCCTGAAAAAGAACTGAAGAGAAATGCTCAAGATCAAAAACACTGTAACAGAAATGAAGAATGCCTTTGATGGGCTTATTAATACACAGGACACAGCTGAGGAAAGAATCTCTGATGAGTTCATATGAATACAAGCATTGAAAACTGAAAGCAAAGAAAAGAAATAATGGAAAAAAAAAAGAAGAACAAGATATCCAAGACTGTGGGACAACTGGAAAAGGTATAACATTCATGTAATGGAAATAAAAAGGAAAAGGAACAGAAGAAACATTTGAGACAATGGTGACTGAGAATTTCTCTGTCAGACGCCAAATCACAGATCCAAGAAGCTCAGAGATGACCAAGTCAGATAAATGCCAAAAACTACAACTGGACATACCATTTCCAAAGAACAGAAAATCGAAGATAAAAATAGTGAAAGATGACAGAAGGGAAAAATACTTTACCTACAGAGGAATGAAGATAACAGTTATATCCAACTTCATCTCAGAAACCATGTGAGCAAGAAGAGAGTGGAGTGAAATATTTAGTGTTGAGAGAAGGGGAAAAGAGAACATAGGATTTTGTTTTCTGCAAAATATCTTTCAAAATTGAATTAATAGTCTTTATTTAAAAGTAAACAACAACTTTCTTAGATAAACAAAAGTTGAGACAATTTGTTGTCAGTAGTATCACCTTGCAAAAAATGTTCAAAGAAATATTTTTAGAAGGACAGTGATATTGCTCAGAAAATTCAAATCTACATAAATCAAGGAAGCACAATGAAGAAGTATTGAGATAAAATATAAACTTTGGACAGGCATGGTGGCTCACACCTGTAATCCCAACACTTTGGGAAGCTGAGGAGGGTAAATCACCTGATGTCAGGAGTTCAAGAACAGCCTGGCCAACATGGTGAAACTCTGTCCCTACTTAAAATGCAAAAATCAGCCAGGTATGGTGGCGCACACCTGTAGTCCAAGCTACTTGGGAGGCTGAGGCAGGAAAATCACTTGAGCCCAAGAAGTGGAGGCTGCAGTGAGCTGGGATTGTGCCACTGCACACTAGCCTGGGTGACAGAGCGAGACTTCATCTCTCTCTCTCTCTCTCATACATATATATATATATATATATACACACATATATATACTGCATTTTAATTATTGTTAATTGCTCAAACAGATAATAGTGTGTTCAAAATAACAGCAACAATGTATTACAGATGTGCATTTATATATGGTAATATATAAGTAAAATAATGGCAGCAAGGATACAAGGAACAGATGGTAGGAATCAAAATAATTATGTTATTTAAAGGTACATGCATTTAAAGGTAAATATTTACAAAATATTAGTTCAATGCAAAAGTAATTGCTTTTTTTTTGCCATTGCTTCTAATAGCACAAACCATAATTACTTGTGCAGCAACCTATAGAACAGTGTTATTTGAAAGTGGACTTGGATTAGTTGTAAATGTTTATTGCAAGCCCTAGGGCAACTACTATAAAAGGTCAAAAAACAAATATATAAGAGATATGCTGAGGCTGGGCATGGTGGCCCACGTCTGTAATCCCAGCACTTTGGGAGGCCAAGGTGGGTGGATCACCTGAGGTCAGGAGTTCAAGACCAGCCTGGCCAAGATGGTGAAACCCCGTCTCTACTAAAAAATACAAAAATTAACCCATAATAGCAACATAATGAGAATACCTAAAATAAAAAAAGACTTAGACAGTAATTTAATATTATAGCACTTTCTTATAGCACCATTTCCTACATGGTAGAATTGCTAAAATAATAATTGTTTATGATGGTAATAAGTACAATTTGAGTTGAAGTCACCACATTACTTTTATCAGCTAATGGTAATTCAGTATGACCTGTTGCTTAGTACATTTGTTATCCATTAGTTTTCTTGTTTGTTTCTTTGTTTGTTTTAGTTAGTTTGACTTTTACATTTGGAAACATATCTACGAGGCACTACATTGCAATGGATTCTCTGCAAACACCTTCATCAATATTCTTTATAGCATCTTTATCTTTAGTTCTTTCTATGCTTCAATCTATCCTTGTTCCCTATTCCCTAACACTTTAAATATATTCATCCTAATGTACTACAAAACCTCTAAAATTCTGAAATCTAAGTGTTCCTATACAAGACTTCTTTTAGCTTCTTTCTCTATTAGTACCAGTTTATCTTATATTTTTCTTAGTATTCACAGTAATAGAAGTTTTATCTGCTTTATGTTTTAGGCATTTTTATCAACAAGCTAAATTTAAATATTTATCACCACATTAACATTTTTAGCACTGCTTTTTACTAAATGGCTGATGTTGGTGTCTGCTGCTTGCCAGGGATTTTGACTCCCTTTGATCTTCCAGATCTGTTTTACTCCAAAGGCCTTTATTTTTATTAATTTAGTGGCTCTGGCTGAGAACCTAGAATTAAAGTTGTTAATAAAAAATTAAAATAAAAAGGTTAATACAAACACAATGCCTTGATTTTCACATCAGGGTGAAAGGGATTGGAAGAAAATTTTTACATTTAGCAATAGCTCTTGTTACTTAATGTGTCTTGTGCTTGCTCAAATGAGTTTGATTTCATTTGTGATGGTTTATTTGTGATAGTGTGGTGGTTCCAGAGATTTCGTATTTGTTAGCATTCTAACTGGTTCTGTCAAATGAAGAAGCATAAGATATAAATTTTCCTCTTCAAATCCTTAATGTTCTGAGACCATTATGTAACACAGTATCAAACTCAGGGGGATTTGAAGGCTGCCTATGAGCAATTTTAGTTGAGCCAACAGAAACATGAACATTATGCCAGTCTCTGTAGTATTATATGGGTGTTAGATAGAAAGTATTCTAACATGGATCATATCTCTTATATTTTAAAATAAAACCTAGTAAAACATAATGAGGTGGCATAAAATTTTAAGTTCTGTTATTCTGTAATCATATAGCATTAAAATATTAGAAATTGTTTTTTTCTCAGTATTCCACCACTCCCTTCCTTGTGCACAGAACACCTAATTGTGCTGGCTGCCAAGTACCAATATCTGAGCATACGCAAAAGGATAACTTCCATTTGGTAGAAGGGAAATGACTTTGCTATTGATGTTTTACCATATCTTTTCCCATGCAATTTTATTTAAGGCACTGTCATGCCTTAGATGCCATGCTTTGAAAAGGAAAAAAAATCAAAACCAAATGCTAGTATATCAGCAAAATTGAAATGTCATTTCTGGAAGTCATTCTCTGCCTAATGCTGCACTTTGGGAAGTGACATTTTAAAGGGGAAAATGACAACAACAACAACAAGAAAAACTAAAATCCAATATAAATCCCATATAGAGGAAATATGGTGTGGTGTGTGAGATGAGGATTCTCAGAGATTTCCTCACAATTTTAATACACAGTCAATATACCAGCTGTCAGTGCCTTTTACTAGGGGTTTGCAATTTCAATTAACATTAGATACCATTGCATACTTTTACACTCTCATTTTGACAGAGACAACATAAAGTGACACTATACTCTTGCCCAGCAAGATGTTATACTACAAATTACCCATGTGTTTCTATGAATATACAAATTCTATGTAGCCCAATAAATTAATCCAAAATCATAATCCAAGAGAAAGAGCACTCTAATAACCCTTTCCCTCATATCTAGCACTCTATTATGTTCATGAAAGACATGCACTAATCATTTCTAGGTAAATTGCCCAATATAAATGTTATATACTATTTTTCTTAAAGTTAATGAGTGTCTTTTTTCCCCAAGAGAGTGGATTAGAGGCCTTTAGTGTGTCTCAGCCACTTGGAAAAAGCAAGATAGCGCATAAAGATAAATTATGTGAGCCTTAATTCAGGGAGAATCTACTGGAATTGTAAAGGACACCCCTGATCCTGGGGAGGAGAATGCAGGCAAAAAGCCTGCATGATGGCATCTATCTGATAAAAGCAAATCTCCAGGCATTTGGAGAACCTACTTGCATGAACTTGTAGCCTAGCTGCCCCATACTTCCTGTGCGGAGATCCTTGTGCAGGGAGGCCCTCTGTGCTTTATGCCCAGGCAGATCTCCATGCATTTGGAGCACCTGCTTTCCTAGTTTAGCAGCCTGAGTTGCCCCACCTTTCCTATACAGAGATTTTGGTGTGGGAGGAGGTCTCTCCATTCCTAGCCCAGGCATATCTCCAGGCATTTGGAGCACTCACTTGCCTGGATCAGCAGCCTGATCTGCCCCATAATTCCTGTGCAAAGACTGTGGTGAAGTAGGGCCCTCTTCACTCCATGCCCAGGCAGATCACCAGGAATTCAAAGCACACACCAGCCCAAATCAGCACCTGAGCCATTTCACCCTCCCTGTGCAAGTTGTAGTATAGGGGGACCCTATACATTCCACATCCAGGCAGATCTCAAGGAATCTGGAGCACCCACTCTCCTGGATAAGGAGTTTAGGTCACCCCATACTCTCCAAGCACAGAACTTGGGGCCAAGGAAGGAGTTTTCTCAGCTCCAAGCCTAGGCACACCTCTAGGTATTTGGTAGCTGCCCAGTGGATTCTCCTTTGGCACTAGTGTTTGTGCCTGCCATCAAGAGAACTGGAGGTTGGCCTGCCCAGTCTGGGCCCACCCATGTTGCCCTCTCCATTCCTCCAGAGTTATTTGGGGAGATGACCACAGTTAAGTGGGGAGATCAGACTACTATAATCTTCAAAGATTAGCCCATTGCCTGAAACAATGAGAGCTTTTCCTGGTAAATAAGGATCAGGTATGTATTCAGTCATATTGGTTGCAGCCAGCTCTCACACATAAGAGCTATGCACTGGCTTGTAGGTTGAACTATACAGCCCAATATGAAACCTGCTGAGAGAAGTGCATAGGGCTACAAGAGCAAAGCCAAAAGACCCTCCCCAACATTGTCTACAGTAACAACCCAGAAGGGGTGGGAAGATAAAGGAAAATAAATGAAACCACAGTAATATTACAGGGAATGAAAGAAAAGCCCATATTGGCACAAAAATAATTACAGAAAATGGAAGTGCCAGTGTCTCCAGATGAGAGGCAAATAGAGCAAGAATTCTAGCACCATGAAAAATCTGAATGTAGTGACATGACCAAAGGATCACATTAGCTCTCCACCAATGGTCACTAACCAAAATGGAAGCTCAGAAAGAACAAATAAAGAATTCAAAGCATGGATTGCAAGGAAGCTCAATGAGATCCAAGACATTGAGAATCAACACAAAAAACTTCTAAAGCAATCCAGAAAATGAAGAAAGAGATGATCATCTTAAAAAGAAATCAATCAGAGTATCTGGATTAGGATCACTCATTTAAGAAATTTCAAACTACAATGAATATCTTTTTTAATAGGAACCCCACCAGGCTAACAATAGACCTCTCAGCAGAAAACTTGCAAGCCAGGAAACATTAGGGGCCTATTTTCAGCATTTTTAAAGAAAATAAATTCCAACCATGAATCCTATATCCTGCCAAACTAAACTCATAACTGAAGGAGAAATATAATATTTTCCACAAAAGCAAGTGCCAAGGGAATTTGTTACCATTAGGCCAGCCTTACAAGAGAAGCAAAAGAGGGTTATCAATATGTAAACAAAAAAATTACATCTGCTACTACAAACAATACTTTAATACATAGCCTACAGACCCTATAAAACAACCAAACAACAAAAACTGCAAAACAACCAGCTAACAACTTCACAATAGGATAGAAACCTCAAATATGAATATTAACCTTGAATGTAAATGGTCTAAATGACCCACTTAAAAGGCATAGAGTTGGAAGTTGAATAAAAAACAAGACTCATCCTCCTGCCGTCTTCAAGATAACCATATCACATGCAATGATGCCTGTAGGGTCAAATTAAAAGGTTAGAGAATGATCTATTATGCAAATAGAGAAGAAAAAGATCATGAGTCATAATTCTTATGTCATATAAAACAGACTTTATACCAACAACAATAAAAGAGTACAAAGAAGGGCATTATATAATGATAAGTGATTCAACATAACACAAATCCAAGTATCCTAAATATATACACATCCAACATTGGAGCACCCAGATTCATAAAACAAGTACTTCTAGACCTATGAAAAGACTTAGACAACCACACAAAAACAGTGGCAGACTTCAACACCTCACTGGCAGCAATAGATCATTGAGGCAGAAAATTAAAAGAATTTCTGCACTTGAATTTGACAGTTGACAAATTGCACCTAATAGACATCTACAAAACACTCCACCCAGGAACTGTAGAATATATGTTCTTCCCAATTGCACACAGAACATACCTCAATATTGACCACATGCTCAGCTATAAAGCGAGTCTCAAAAAATTTAAAAATAAAACCAACATTATACCAATCATACTCTTGAAATACAGTAGAACACAAATAGAAAGTAATACCAAAAATATTTACCAAAACCAAACAATTATATATAAATTAAACAGTGTGCTCCTGAATGACTTTTGAGTAAACAACAAAACTACGGCAGAAATGAAAAACTTCTGTAAAATAAATGAAAAGAGACACAATATATCAAAATCTCTGTGATGTACCAAAAGAATTGTTAAGAGGAATGTTTATAATGATAAATGCCTATGTCAAAAAGCTAGAAAGATCTCAAATTAATAATCTCAAATGTCACACTTAAAGGAACTATGAAAACAAGAACAAACTAACCCTAAAGCTAGCAGAAGAAAAACACATAAATAAAATCAGAGTGAAACTGAGTAAAAGTGAGACCCAAAAATCTATACAAATAATCAACAAAACCATAAGTTGGTTCTTTGAAGGGATACCAAAAAAAGATCAATATACCACTAACTAGATTAACAAAGAAATAAACCAAAGAAGATCCAAATAAGCATAATTAGAAGTGACAAAGGAGGCACTACAACCAATCCCACAGAAATGCAAAAGTTCCTCATATATTATTCTGAAGGCTTCTATGCACACAAACTAGAAAATCTAGAGGAAATTGATAAATTTTTGCAAACACACAACCTCTCAAGATGAAATCAGGAGGAAGTTGAAACTCTGAACAGACCAATACTGAGTTCTGAAATCAAATCAGTAATAATAATAATAGAAAAACCTACCAACTATAGAAGCACTGGACTAGAGGGATTCACAGCCAAATTCCACCAGACATGCAAATGAGTTGGTATCAATACTAATGAAACTGTTCCAAAAATTCGAGGATGAGGTACTTCTCCCTACTTCATTTGATGAAGCCAGCATTATTCTGATACCAAAACCTGGCAGAGGCAACGAAAAAAAACAAAAAACCAAAAAGAAACAAACAAAAAAACACTTAAGGCCCAAATGCCTGATGAACATAAATGCAAAAAATCTCAATAAAATAGCAGCAAACAAAAATCAGCAGGACATCAAAAAGTTAATACACCACGATCAAGTAGGCTTCATTCCTGGGATACAAGTTTGGTTCAACATATGCAAATTAATAAATGATTCACTACATAAACAGAATTAAAAACAAAAGCCATATGATCATCTCAATAGGTGTAGAAAAAGCCTTTGATAAGATTGAACATTCTTTTATGTTAAAATCTCTCAACAAACTAGGCATCAAAAAATAAAAATCAAAATAAAAAGACCCATCTATGATAAACCCACAGCCAACATTATACCGAATGTGAAAAGCTGCAACCAATCCCAGTGAGAAGTGGAATAAGACAAGGATGCCCACTTTCACTGCTTCTATTCAATATAGTATTGGAGGTCCTAGCCAAAGCAATTAGGCAAGAGAAAGAAACAAAAGGTATCTAAATAGGAAAACAAGAAATCAAACGATCTTTCTTTACTGATAAGATTATTTACCTAGAAAACCCAACATCTCTGACAAAAAGCTTCTAAAACTGATAAACAACACAAGTGAAGTTTCAGGATAAAAAAAAAACGCACTAAAACGAGTAGCATTTCTATAATCAATAAATAACTGAGAGCCAAATCAAGAATGCAATCCCATTTACTATAGCCACACACACACAAAATAAAAAACCTAGGAATACGTCTAACAAGAAGGTGAAATATCTCTACAATAGAACTACAAAACAATGCTGAAAGAAATCATAGATAACACAAACAAATAAAAAACTTTCCATGTTTATGGATTGGAAGAATCAATATTGTTAAAATGTCCATACTATTCAAATAAAACTAGTTTTAATGCTATTCATATTAAACTACCAATGTCGTTTTTACAGAATTAGAAAAAACTATTCTAAAATTCACGTGGAATGAAAGCAGAGCCCAAATAGCCAAGACAATCCTAAGCAAAAAGAACAAAGCTGGAGGCATATGCTACTCGACTTCAAACTATACTTGGGCTACAGTAACCAAAACAGTATGATATTGGTCCAGAAACAGATACATAGACCAATGGAATAGAATAGAGAACCCAGAAATGAGGTCACATGTACAACTATGTGATCTCTGACAAAGCTGACAAAAACAAGCAATGGAAAAAGGACTCTTTATTCAATAATTTGTGCTGGGAAAACAGGCTAGCCATATGCAGAAGACTGAAACTGGACTCCTTCCTTACACCATATAGAAAAATTACATTAAAATAATTTAAAGCCAAAACTATGCAAATCCTGTAAGACAACGTAGGCAATACCATTTTGGACATAGGAATGGGTAAAGGTTTGATTACAAAGATGACAAAAGCAGTTGCAATCAAAGCAAAAATTGAAAAAAATTGGATCTAATTAAACTACAGAACTTCTAAACAGCAAAAGAAACTATCAACAAAGTGAACAGACAACCTACAGAATGGAAGAAAATTTTTGCAAAGTATGCATCTGACAAGTGTCTAATATCTAGCATCTATAAGGAACTTAACAAATTTCCCAGAAAAAAACAACCCAATAAAAATGTGGGCAAAGCACATAAACAGACACTTTTCTGAAGATATACATGTGGCCAACAATCATATGAGAAAAAGGTCACTGTCACTGATCATTAGAGAAATGCAAATCAAAACCACAATGAGATACCGTCTCATACCAGTCAGAATGGCTATTAATAAACAGACAAACAATAACAGATTTTGACAAGTCTATGGAAAAAAAAGGAACACTTACACATTGCTGGTGGAAATGTAGATTATTTCAGCCATAGTAGAAAGCAGTTTGGGGTTTTCTCAAATAAATTAAAACAGAACTACCATGTGACCCCGCAATCCCATTACTGGTATATATCCCAAAGAAAATATATCATTCTACTGAAAACACATGCACTAGCATGTTAATCTCAGCACTATTCACAATAACAAAGACATAGAATCAACCTAGGCACCCATCAATGGTTGATTGGTTAACAAATATGTGGTACATATACACTGTGAAATACCATGCAGCCATTAAAAAACGATGAAAGCATGTCCTTTGTAGCAGCAGGAATGCAGCTAGAGGACATTATCCTAAGCAAATCAAAGCAGGAACAGAAAACTAAATGCTGCATGTTCTCACTTATAAGTGGGAGCTAAATCCTGAGTATACTCTTGGACATAATTGGAACAACAGACACTGGGAACTACTATAGGGGCTAGAGTTAGAGCAGGACAAGGGTTTAAAAAGTAGCTCTTGGGCACTATGCTCATTACCTGGGTGATGGGATCATTTGAACCCCAAACCTCTGCATCAAACAATATACTCATATAACAAACCTGCATATTTCCCCCTGAATCTAAAATAAAAGTTGAAATTATTAGGAAAAAATGTTAACAAGTTTAAGAAACTAAATCACCTGGAATCTTGACTAATACATAGGTGAATGCCAATAGTCCCAAAAGTAATTTCTCATCCTAGTATTACTTTTCTAGGAAATCTTCAAAGTTTGCTTAAATGGAAAGCATTTATTTCACACTTAAAAATATAAGCTAAAAAATACGATCTATACAACAATTTTTATGCATACAATTTCTAGTAAACTGTTCTTTAACCTGTAAAAAAATCATTTGTATACTAAACGGGCTTTGAGTTTTGCCGTTAGTGACTATTTAATATTAGAGGGACATTTAGCTCTCAAGTATCTACAAAATAAAACCCATACTGATAGAAGAGTAAATACCATTATAATTATTATCGATCTTATCATTATTGTTTCAATCCAGGGCTATTGGTTCTAGACATAGAAATAAACAAAGAAAAACATCTGTTTTTCCTAAATTTAAAGTAAGGGTTTTTTTCCCCAAATTTTTGTTTTATTTTCTAGAACACTTATATTTTTATAGACATTGAGTATCTTTTCTTTAATAATTATAGGCTTTGGTAGGATGTTTGTTTGTATGAATTTACTTTTAGCAATAGAAAAAGTCACAAACTCTGCCATTATCTCACTGCTTATTAAGTTGACCAGACAGCACAGCCTCACTTTAATCCCATTAGTAGATAACCAACAAAACTAAACAAACAAACCAAAAACAGGAAAACACAGAAATAGACAGGGATGCATTATTGACCCAATTCAATATATAAAAAGTATTAACACATTAAATGCCAGAGCCGCTTTTTTTGAGCTTTGGTAGTTTAAACAATAACATGTTTTAAGCATGACAATTTCCCATTTAAAGAAGAAATCTGAGTTCATGCAATTTACCCTCTTTTAGAGAGAGCCATAGTGCTTACTTAGACAGGTGGTCCTACTTGTTCACACATCCTCAAACTTTTGCTTTATTATTATCATCACTAGATATATTTGTGGAATTTACACACTATTTAAGTTCTCCAAAGTTTTAATTCAATGCCATAAAAGTATTTTTGGAAAACATAACTTTGTTTAAATGATTCTAGACTATAAACACTAGAGTTGTGGTATATACTAAATAGTATTTCAAGTCACTCCCTAGGCAAATATTATTGTCTTTGACTGGGGCGGCTGTAGCAAAATGCCATAGACAGAGTGGCAGCAACAGAAACTCATTTCTCAGGGTTCTAGATCTGGGAAGTCCAAGAAGGTGTCTCCTCTCCTTGTCTTCACATGGTGGAAGGAGCAAGGTGTATCTCTTGAGCCTCTTTTATAAGGGCACTGAGAGCTTTGTCCTCATGACCTAATCATCTCCCTGAAACCCCACCTCCTAATACCATTACATTGGAAGTTAGTTGTTTCAACTTACTTATTTCAGGGGAACTTATACATTGGGTCCATCGCAATTGTAATAGAAAAATTTCCTTTGAAAAACAACTTAAATTACTAACTAAATGCAGGTATTGTCTGATGTCTTATCAGTCATTTTTAAAATTTCAGATTCAATTATCTATGCAGGGATCTGTAGAGCTCCATGAGCCAAATTTGGTCTGTTCCATGTCTGATTTTGTAAATAAAGTTTTATTGGAACAAGGCCAGTCCTACTTATTTTTGCATTGTCTGTGAATTAAGTAGCTGTGACAGAGACTATTCGACCTGCAAATATTTGGCCCTCTACAGAAAGGTTGCCAGCCTGAACTAGATAATAAGAAAAACAAAATGAATTTCTACATATGATTGTCTAGCTTTTGAAAGCATTCTGACTTTTAAATAATTATTAAATTCATAGTTATGAATGAGACTTGGAGAGAATATTCAAAATACTATAGCTTGCCAGAAGGGTTTACTCCATTTGATTGTAACATTGTCTCCATAAAATTAACACACATGACTGGAGATTCATTGTTGTTTGAGGAGTGTAAAGGAAATATTTGTGAAAGCATTTATCGTAAAGCCTATTAAGGTAATATTTGTGAAATAATGTATCACAGGGGAGGTATAAAATAAATACTTCCTTAATTTGAAGTGAAATCTTGCCTGGTTATTTTCACATACATCTGGTTCCTTGGAAAGCTTTCTGCATCACTGGCCTGTGATTCACAAATGGCTTGGGCATGAATCACATGACCTGTAAGAATCAAGCCTCAAATTTATTATCAGTTAAAGTAGAGATGTGATAGTGTTCACACCAGGAGTTCAGATTCAGAGAAGTGAAAATTACACTCAATTGTGAATCAGAGTTTTGATGCCTGTAAGATGGCAAATTAGCTTAAGAGTTTTTAGCATGGTATAATAACAGATAAAAATTATAGAGGCTTTTCTCTGGGATATAAAACATACTAGCACATAGGAGATCCCACAAAAGTTTTAATTATTGTTATGGTTGTTATTATCCCTAGCTGAGAGCTCTGTACTCTATCAGGTCTCAATTCTTATTTTACCTCTTTGGTTCTCTCACTCTTCACTAGTTGTATTGTCTTATTTTTATGTGTTTCTCTCTCTTTTTGCTCTACAGTTTAATCCTGAATAAAATGTAATAATGAATTGGTTGTATATATTTGCAAACTCTTCAAAATATGGTATTTTAGCTGAAGTCAATTAACAACACTGTCTCCTATTCCAAGTTCCCTTCATATCTGTTTCTGTTGGAATGGCCTCGGGATTTTTTTTTCTCCATTCAGATAAAGGAATGCTGAGTTGAAGATGCATTAGATTTTGATTTAATGGGATATATTTATGTATTCCATGTATGTATAGCTAGGTTATTGTTAGCTATACCAGTATAGGTTTGGCTCATAGAACACTCATACCGTGCACTGTGCCAATGGACTCTATATTGGGACACAAAGTTCTTGGCTACTGGTATAATTTTGATATGAGCCAAAAGTGTAAGGCTGGTGGAAGAGAAACAGTACTGGAAACATCCAAAGACAGAAGCTGTAGAATATTTATCTAATTATAAAGTTTACAGAATAGTAAATAAAAATTCAGTTGTAATTAATGTCTAATCAATACAAAAGTTCTCTTTTTCATAGAGGTTGTCCAATTGATAATTTTTCCAAATGAGTACATGTCATCAATGATAGTGTTACAAATCTAAAACTTACTTTTTTTATAAGTAACAAATATAAATTTTGATCGGCCTCCAAGAAGGGAATTTTCATTATCTTTATATTCTAAATGCGCAAAATAATATGGCAAAATCATTTGAAGAAGTGATTAATCAATGTACAGCCAACATTTGGGAACATGAGATGTGTTGAAATGTTATTTTTATACATTTTATTATTTCTGTGGTCTTTGCATTTTGTATATGTGTTCAGTTTTCTCAAAGACCAAGATATCTAACCTCTTTAGAATTCTGCTCCAGTTCTAGTGTGTTTTATTGAAGACTGAGATTGGTAACTGTGATCAGAAAATAGGTTTTTAAAGATGGCGTAAAACAAAAATTTCTGCCTTTGATTCAAATTTTGTTATAATGGCCAGGATATTTATGCCTGAAGTCAAACTGAAAATGAAACCACATAATTGTATTTGTTCTCTTCGATTCAACTTAGTACATTCTGTTGCTAAACACTGTTTGGGACTCTTAATAATTTTAGTAGAAAGATACTCTCTGTAGGAACACTGACTATAAATGTTCTGAAACTACAAATGTTCAAAATCTCAGTGTCTTATGAACATCTTCCTAAGACCAATTACAATAGCCATGCATCTGTCATGCCATAGGGGAGGGATGTAAGGATATATAGTTCACTGACCGGCAAGTTTCATGGTCTCAAGTAACCTGCTTTTGATTTTTTTCCTTCATTTTATTGTCATTTAGTTGTTGACCCAAAAAGATATGGATTATTCTTAAATGCGATTTCTGCCCAACTACCAGCAGAAACTTGGGACTTGGAAAATTATTTTGGTTAGTTCTGATAATAAAATATTCAAGAATGCTGACAGACTGCAAGGCGCAAATCCATATTAAATCTGTCTACTGAGTTTGTTTTAAGGAGAGGCAGTACTGCATATGAAATGTAGGATTGTGGAATCCAAATAATCCAACTTATGTCAAAACTAAATGGATCATCTACCATAGTTTCAGGAAAATAATAATAATAATAGCCCATTTAGAAAACATTAACCTTAGCAACTTGCATACAAAATTCCTCTAAGAATACATTAGCATGCAAGTATAAATCTTGCAATGTATAGAATCTGCTTACTCTTAGTCCCCAGGTTTTTAAAACTTCTTTGATAACCTAATATACCAATTTGAGATACACATTTCCTGACTAAGGAATTTCAAGCTTCAGAAATGCTGGGCTGTCAACTTTCCAGTCCTCCTTACTCTTGCATCAATTAATGCGAACTGATATGGTGAGTTAAACAGAGCTCCACTAGCAGCCGCATAAAACACAGATATGCTTGTTATCTATTCCATAATGGAAAAACTGAATGTGGAAACCCAGAAAGTGGGATGTTATAAATATCCCCTTTACCATCCTTTGCAAACAGATTAAAGTCCTAGTGACAGAGAGGAGAATAAACCTAATAAACCTTGGTTAAAGAAATCCTCCTCCTATTAAAAAGAAATATGCTCCACTTTTGGACTCTCCATAAAATTATCCTAAGAGATTTGGACAGAATCCAGAACAGAATAATGAGAATTATTAGGCAGTGGAAAATCTGGCATTCTTCTGCTATAGGAGTTGTATGTAATTATGTCCAACACCCATATCAACTGACAGTTGGATTTTACTTCAGCTGAAAGCACAGAGGTTAAAGTGGGGACTTTAGTGAATACAATCTCAAGATATTATTGCTTGATAAGAATGAGAACTAATTTAGCTGTATGCGGAACTTGTGAGTATCATAACATTTTCTGTTTTTAGGATTGCATTCTCAATATGTAGGGAGTGAGTGGAGTCAAATTGGAAACACAATAAAATTTGAAGAATACTCCCTGAAGTATTTACATCTCTGCATATTCCCAGATACTCTTCCTTTTCTCAATAGTTCCTGGCTTTTCCATGACAAATCCAGTTATTATAAGGTTTCTTTTAATGCTTCTGGTCTTGATGTGCAAAGGTAATGGATGATTGTGTCTGAAAATTTTGAGGCTTGATATTATTATTTTTTCATTACTCCTGAGTGGTTTTATTCAGAACATCAAGGTTCTTGGTATTGATGGAGAGACTCCCTACCCAGATCACAGGATCAAAGTTGTCTTCCAGGTTTATGGTGAAATCCCAAAGAACGCCAAGACCCTACCTAAGCAGTCTTATGTGGAATCAGTGATAGGATACATAGTTCTTATTTTGTAGGGCATTTTCCTGGCAGGCATTTAATTATATTTTGTCCTAATCAAATGATTGTTTTTACAACACTGGCTCTGAGACAGGCACTAAGAGAATAAAACATAATCCTGTCCACAAATAGATGATATCCAGTTGTATAAAACAAATAAGTGTACCAAGTGTTACAATATAGCATAATACATGCCATCATGTAAGTTTGTTCCAGGTATTTTGACAGTAAAGTTACAGGAAGCCTCACTCAGCCTAGGTGAAACAAAGAAAACTTCCTTGAATGGAAACATTTGATTAAGAGATACAGCATTGATTCTGAGATTGGACTTTATGCAGAAACAATGAGATGCCATAGATAAACTTCAGGAACTAAAAAGGGCATGATTAGTTTGATGCTTTAGATATTTCACTTTGGATGTATACAAAGAATGCAGAAAGGAAATTGGTAGTTAAAGGAGGCAAACATATTAGGTGGCAAAACTTTTGCTTCAGGTGCTAAAATGGAGACATCACATCATTAATTAAAAGTTTGAGGAGGATGACAAGCCTGAATTGAAATTCTGGTTGTGTTGCTTTTTAATTATGTAATTCTAGATAAAATATTTAACACTTTTAGGTCTCAGCTTCTACTTTCAAAAAAATGTTAAGGAGATTAAACACAGCAGTATGTACAATTTCCTTAGCATAGTGCCCAGAATACATTACACAATAAATACTACAAATTCACTGAAATTATTATTACGCAATGATAGTAGTAACAGTGGAAAAGTGAAAACATGATTAATTTATCCAATCCCATAGTCAAATGTAAACTAATTTCAGGAGTAAAGTTCTTGAAAACAGAGTAACAAAAAGATGCTCCCTCAGGTGAAAAAACAAGCAAAGCAAAATTAACAGGAACCGCTCCCCCCATACACAGGCAACAACAACAATTATAACAATCACTACAGCAACAACCAAAATCAACCACAGCTTTAATGAATTTGCTTCCTTCTTATGGAGCAGAATCAGTATTTACTAAGCAACTAATATATAATAGGAGTTTTGCTGAACTGTTTACATATATAATATTGTGACAACTAGGCAATCTTACATCATTCTACCTTGCAAATTTGCCTGAAAATACAGAATTAAAACTAGGAGGAAGCAAAATAATACTTAAATTAAGAGAAGGATCGGGAAATGGATTGTGAAAGAGAGAGAGAGCAAGAGAGAGGGAGAGAATGAGAAATTTAGAAAGAGAAAATGAAAAATGGGGTGGGGAAAAGTGAGGAGGGAAGAAGAAAGACAATGTGTGTTAAATATTTACTAAGCATCATTCACTATTTTGAGCCCAATGCATCCCTATAGCAATATTGGAAAATATACACAAGTGTTAATATTTTATTGATTGTAAACCAGAAACTCCCGAAGGTTAAATTAGTTGGCCAAGTTCATAAATCTATGAGGAAGTCGTGATCATTCTGCTTATATAAGGTATCTAATATATTCAAAGGCATAGAAGCAAAGAGTAAAATTGTTTCCAGGGGTTGGAGGGAAAGGAAAATGGAGAGTTGCTATTCAACAGGTATAACGTTTTATTCATGTACAATGGATAAGTTCTAGAAATCTGCTACACAACATGATGCCTATAATAAACAATACTGCATTGTACACTTACGCATGTGTTAAAAGGGTAAATCTCATTCCGTTAAATGTTCCTGCTACAGTTAAACAAAAACTAGCTCCAGAGTGGATCTTCTCATGGCTACGTCTGAAGTGCTGGAGATTCTCTTTCCTGGTTTGTTTTGTTCAACCAGCTTTCAGGCAACGAATCGTGTAGTGGCAAATAGTCCTATTTAAGGTTTGCTATTCCTGGATGTTAGTGGAATACGGACTAGCCTGAACTAGGTGTCCCGATTAGTAGTAATTTAAGGAATGGGAGATATTTCAGCAATTGTTGCTGTTGACCGGACCTGTGTATGCCATGGTATATCTTACTTAAAATGATGGATCAGTTAGATAAGGTCAGGTAGAGAAGACAGTTGATTCCCACAGGGTAAAATATTTCTCATCAAGAAAATGCTTCAGTGAGAAATCACTGAAGACACTGGTGGATGAACATAAAAATTTCAAATCTGTACATTAAGAAAAAGGAACAAAAATATTGCTGGAGGCAGTTTGCAAAGAAATTACATCTGGGTGCAGTGAAGAGAATCCTAAGAGGAAAAAGGTTCATTCAATGAGTGAGCTCTTTAGGGGAGCTGTTATTTGATTAAACGAGCTATTTATTTAAATAAAGCATGCTATAGGACTAGTTTAACCCAGGCCCTGAAGGCTCTTTTAATGGGTCTGAGGATTGCTTCTGCAAAACACATCTGAATTTTTGATCACTGCAGATTTAATCACAGAGGACAAAACTCTGTACTGCAAATCATGCTAAGATCTGCTCAAGTAGAAAGGACATATATAAAAGAGGGCTTAAGGACTAGAAGTTCTAGCCTGGTCCTAGATGGCCTTTTCTTTATTCTGATCTTCCAGAGGATTTTAGGATAACCTGCTTTATTGAAGATTCAAGGATCTCAGAATTACTGGGAAAGTAATATTGGATTTAAATAAAACCTTCTGAGAAAGTCACATCAATAGGGAAGGAAAAAATAAAATCAGCTATCTCCTTGAAACTACATAGTGTCTTTGATGCGAACTTGTTTAGCTGGCTCAAAGATGGATACCACAATAAACTAAAGTGACAGCGTAGTCAAAAATATTCAGATTAACAGTCTTGGAAATTATATTTTAATCAGAAGAGTTTAGAGGGAATTTTAGGGACAAAAGAATGATAAAAGAGTATGTAATGAAGACTTGGTACTACAGTGTTTGAAAATGTTTAAAAATAATAATGTATAGGCCCTGCACATATGCACCTGAACTTAACATAAAGGGTTTTTGATTAAAAAAAAACTTAAAAAACAGAAATTCAGGAGATACAGAGTCATATCATGAATGTGTTTTTTTAAAATAATGGACCTATTTTAGTGACAAGTAAAAGTTAACTGTTTTGCTAAAATATAAATACATATGTAATTAATGTTATAACCTAGTAGACTGCTCTACAGTATTTAACTTCTGACAAAAGTTATTCTACAATTAATGGATTAGTGTAAATACATTCTCACTGGGCTTGTTTCTCAAACAGATTGGAGTCCTCCAACCCCAGTTTATTCCACACCACAGGAAATCTACATAATTTAACTTTTTAGAAACTTGTTTTTATTTCATGAAGCTACCACAACTGAAACCTTCAGTGAGTTATGATCAAATTTGTAACATAAAACAACCTGAGCAAGAAATGACAAGGAAAGAATGTGAGGGGTGGGGAGTGCTGTTCAAGACATTGTAAATGTTTCTTTACTCAAACTAAACAGTAAATAGCAATCCACATCCATATGAACTCAAAGATTAGAAAGTGTATTCTTTAGAGTTTCTCCATAAATAGAGAAGCAGAAAAAATTTGAGGAAAATGAAGAGGGCACAATTAAAGTTAAAAGTAAGGAAAACCCAGATCATAGAATTTTAAAGTGTTGTCTCAATATATTACACTTTGAAATTACCTTCATTAACTAATTTCAGAATACCTAAAATCTCTCTGAAAAGAAGACACTCTGGCCACTTAAAGTATCTAATATTGCTCACGCCTGTAATCCCAGCACTTTGGGAGGCCAAGGCCGGCAGATCACCAGGTCGAGGGACTGAGACAATCATGGCTAACACAGTGAAAACCCATCTCTCCTAAAAATACAACAATTAGCCAGGCATGGTGGTGCACACCTGTAATCCCAGCTACTCGGGAGGCTGAGGCAGGAGAATCACTTGAACCCGGGAGGCAGAGATTGCAGTGAGCCGAGATCGCACCACTGCACTCCAGCCTGGAGACAAAGCAAGACTTTGTCTCAAAAAAAAAAAAAAAAGGTATCTAATACTGCATATCAGTTATATGAAATAATTAGAGACCTTTTTTTCTGAATTTTGATGTAAATAATTATGTTTTTCATGAATTTTACATTATGCTCAAGGATTCTGTTTCTTTCTTTGCATTACTATTGCCCATAAATGAACAGCAGTCTATCTCATCAAAATATAATTTTTCTAGGAAACTGGGCATAATTTGACATTTCTGCTTTTCTTCACTTTTTTTAGGATGTGGGAAGAAAGTTGAGAAGTGATAGATAAAGAGGGCCATCCATGTTCCTAGATATTTTCTAATGATTGTGTTTCAAGGAGTTTGTCCCAACTAATTCATGTCACAATCTAATTAAAATATTTAATACCTTATTTCAACCTCCTTTAGCTATTGCAACTTCCTTTAGCTATTATTTTAAGTTAGGCTTGTACATCTCAATCCATCTACCTTCTTCCCTACCTATTTGAGACTCTTTCTTTCTTTCTCTTTCTTTCTTTCCTTTCTCTTCTTTCTTTCTTTCTTTCCTTTCTTTCTTTTTGTATGTAATAGGGCTTATATGTAAAGTCCATGGTGTTTTATTGTATTTTGTGAGAGGAATAAAAAATTATATTTCTACTCCATTTTCACATAAATGAAAGTTCACACTTATTTGTAAACATCCCAACTAGCATAAAGAATTGCCAAATATGATTTAGTTGATTTACAAATTCATAGAAAAATTAGTAATGTGCAATTTAAGACAAGGAAGTAAATGTCTATTCAGTTACTTCTGTGTTATATATGATAAATAATTATACATTGAATAAATAGATAGGGATGTTCAATAACTGCTAAATAATGAATATTAACAGCATGGAAAAATTATAATTATAATTATTTATCCATCAGAAATATATTATGTTTTGAGGACACTGTTTAAATGGCAATATGAATTATTGACACCTCTGGACACAGAAATCACTTCTACCCTATCTCACGTATCTCAATCTACCTGTTACATTACCTCTAGCTTCAGCAAACATCTTCTCATCGTTGTAACTGAAAGCACTTTGACTCACTGCTTTATAATCTTTTCTTTCATTCCCTGGACTTTTGTCATAGCCCGTCCAGCATTCAATCAGGTATGTCTTAGAAATGTGAGGAAACACCTTATTTAAAAATATTTGAACAATGGGTGAGAGGGGCCAAAGGATAATTTCTCCTCTCTTCTATTTCTCTGGATGATCATTCTAAGGCACATTCTAGACAGATCCTGAAAAGAACCAACAACTGAACCTCAGTGGTGCACTGTGTGACTAAGTGGAGAATACACAAGTGTTGGTTTTCACTCATTCCTGTCTGACTGTCCCTAGTCTTCAACTCCTACCTGTAGAATCACCTTCCAAATAAGCCTCGTCTCAGGCTTTGCCAGCCAGTGGCAACCCAGACAAAAGATATGTATTTCACTGAAAAAAAAAAAGATTAGAGCATAATTGTGTTTCCCATATAGAAATTAGTTTAGAAATAGATTCAAGAGCATATGTCATTTCAGCTAACTTGGAACTCAGTGGTTCTTCAAATCTTACCAGATATTGGAATAAAAATATTCACCCAGGGCATATTATAACAGTAAAGCATTTTATAAACGTAAGGCAATTGGTTTTTTAAGTGAAAAGACAGAAACTAAATATATAGGCACAGTAAGTGTGTAGAAAAGTAATGTCAAGTGCTTTAAGTTCCAATTCAGAAGACTGAGGATGAAGATGGAATTGAATTTCTTCAATAAACTTGGAAAAGCTGCAGAGGAAGGAATAAGTATCTAAATTGGCTATATAGTAAGATATCATATAACACATGTATATAACAAATAATATTATATGTTGTTGCAATACTAAAACAGACTGATATAATATGGATTTCGATAAGCAGCTTTTTATATTACACTTTCCGGACACAGTGAGAATGTTGGGCACTATATCCTGAGGAACTGGAAAATCCTATATTGATGAGAACACTGATAGGTATTTAAGCAGTAAATACTTAACACACTTAGGCTGTGCACGGTGGCTCACGCCTGTAATCCCAGGACTTTGGGAGGTCAAAGCCGGAGGAGGACTTGAGGTCAGGAGTTTGAGACCAGCGTGGCAAACATGGTGAAACCCTGCCCCTACTAAAAATACAAAAATTAGCCGGACGTGGTGGCAGGCACCTGTAGTCCCAGCTACTCAGGAGGCTGAGGCAGGAGAATCACTTGAACCCAGGAGGTGGAGGTTGCAGTGAGCCGAGATTGTACCATTGCACTCCAGCCTGGGTGACAGTGAGACTCTGTCTCAAGAAAAAAAAAAAGAAAAAAAAAGTTTAACATATTTAATGTTAATTTTATCTCAAGCAGTGTTTAAATTGTTATCCTTTTTCTCAAATAAATTATTGGTAAATCAAATAATTATTTTAGTAATTGCCATTTGAGAACATGTCAAAGCTTTAAATTCTTGTATGAAAGCAGAGTGAATCAAATATTTTAATATGTAAAATCCCTTGTTTTGGACACAATGCTACTTTTAAAAGAGATAATTGTAGAAAGGCAAATAAAATTTCTACGATGCATTTTTCCTCCACAATTGTCTTTTCATGAAGGTTTTCTTATCGATGAAAATAATACTGAGGAAATGGGCTGTCAAATCTTCAGTGAAACAATACCCAATTTTGAAGTATTGTCTCTACATGTGTACTTATATTGTTAACTCTCCAAAGTACAAAACTATTTTATACTCTACTATATAGGACAGAATAGACATGCCTTTCCTTTTTTATCATTTAAATAAGTTTCAAAAATAAAATTCTCTAGGACGTTAGAAATAATTTTATGGGTATGACATTATTTTTCACTAAATTATTATACTAGGACATTTTGGATAAGATAACTAATTTTTATGTGAATGTAAATGTGAAGTAGTAACAATTTTAGAAACTATATTTAAAAGAAAAAAAGCAGAAAGCAAAAGGTGATATCAGGTACTTCTATATTCTCATATTATCTACTTCTCCCTTAATTTACTTCTTTTCATACTGTAAATCAAAAGGACTTATTTAAGGGTCATAATGTCAACAACTATGTGCCTGAAGTTCTAAGGTCCAATTCTTGCTCTCCTTTCAACTTGTAGAAAGTTGAACTCTCCTTTCAACCTGTAGAAAGTTGAACTCTCCTTTCAACTTGTAGAAACATTTGTAGATCGTCAACCCTGCATGTTATTTTTCTCCTATAAGTTGTGAATGTAGATGTTGCATTAGCTGATTTTGTATTGATGTTTTTCATGACTATTATTATATGATTTATAAATTTTTGTTTATTTTGAGAAAATATATCTTTTACTCCAAATTCATAAGCTTGTAATTTAATCTCTTAAAGGGAAAAACAGTCACACGACATAAATTTATAAATATCTAGCATTCAATTCAACATACTTAGACGTTGTGTTTCTTGTATTGGAATTTAGCAATCACTATTTCCCTGAAATCATCTTGAAAAGCATATTTTTACAGATGCATGCTTTAAAATTAAAGGTCTTGAATGGCTGTTCATTGCTAATGTCATAGTGTTTATGGGTTTAAACATTACAAGCATTACAACAGTAAGCATTACAAGCGACACACTTATATAGACAGAGTTGGAAATATGCAAATATGTGGGAACTGTAAATTGGAAACAAGTGAAGCAAGAATGGGTAAGAACTAAGTATGAGAACCCTAGCCAGGCTGGGCCTGTGGGGATGATCAGCTCACCTGGTATTACACCTAGGGAACTCAACACTTTGGGTTGTACTCAGTCTTTGTCTCCTTTCTTTTTTATGTCCTTTCTTTTTAAGCAAGTTATGGACCACTTTTTTGAAATCTTACAAAATAACTAATTTTATTCCACTGAATGTAGAGGCTCTGAAATAACCACGACTTTTTGAAACTTAAATTCAAGAAATTTGCTCACAATATTTATTTTTTAATTCCAGCATCATAGCTTTCATGAATAGCACACAGAAGACCCAAATCTGTAAAATGTGAGAAACTTTTGCCTTAAAATATTCCCTATAATTACTCTATTTTAGAAGATTTGGATTGTTACATCTAATTTCCATAAAATACAAGAATGAAAGTGACTTTCATATTTTGCTATCAGTCAGTTTGAAACCTTTATTCACAAGATTGTACATCATAAAGTGAGCTCAAGAGCAGAGCACAATCATTCAACTTGACAAGAAAAACAGCCAGCTCTTTCTATATTTTTAGTAATGTTTTATTTTGCTTATTCCATCCTTAGAACTATGTAAACAGTACTACATTCTTGGAATATGTTGCGGTCATTAACACTTTGGACACTCAAATGTAGATTTAAATACAGAAATGCCATTCAAACACTCAAAAGAATATTTTTTATTAAAGCTTTATTACCTAGATATTAAGAATAAGAATTAAGAACTTTATCAGAAACTTTAATTTTAGATTTTAGACCTTGGTTCGATCGGCTCTTATTCTTCCATAAATTTGATGAAAATATCCTTTAGATATAGGACATGGAACTCACCTTTGACTTTCTAAGATTACTAACAAGTGTTTTCTTTTTTTTTAAGTAAACTATTAGGTGCAAATAATAATATTTAAAAAATACATATATCCACCATCGAGCTTACCAAATAAAATAACTATTGATCCTTAGTGTATGCTTTTCTCATCACATTTCCCTTTAAACCCCTCAGGGGCACCAGTATCCTTAATTCTATATTTATTATTCCCTTGAGTTTTTGAAATGTTTTACTATGTGTGTACCTATCCTTTCAATTATACTGTTCAGTTTCACATGGTTTTAATATTTATTAAATTTTAATATTTAATATTTAAATGATATCACACTAAGGTAATCCTATGTAACTTACTATTTACCTGATTTAAATTTACATTTATGTGTTTATCTACTGATTCATATAGCTAAATTTGATTCAAATTTTAAAATTGCTGATTATACAATATATTTCACTATTATCAGGTTAATTATATTTGAGCTGTTTTATTGTTTTTCTCATTAAAAATAATTCACTATATATATTTCTGTGTGGGCTTACCATTGCACTGATTGATGATTTTTTCTGGATATATTAAAATGGCATATAAATTGAATCAGAATTGTGTTTTCATGAATTTAGGAACAAGATGAAGATGACTATTTCCCTCCTTCTTATTCAAAAATTTTACTGGAGCTCCTAATTCCTGTAATAAGGAAAGAATGAAAAATAATAAAGACAGGAAGGAGGAAGTAAAATGTCCTATATGCAGTTTTGTGTACATGGTAAATTACAAAGATACTAAAAAAGAGCTACTAGAACTCAATATTGAATTTAGTAAAGTCAGAAGATGCAAGGTTATTATTAAAAAAATCAATCGTATTTCAATGTGCAAACATAGAACAATTGGATATTTTTAAAATTGTATTTTCAGTAATGTCCCAAACAAAAAATACCTACACATAAATTTCACAAGATCAAATACAATATCTTTTCTCTGAAACTTATAAATATTACTAAAATAAATTTATAAATGAATAAGTGGAAAAATAGATGAATTTAATGGGGTGCAAGCTTCACAATTGTGACGACAATTCTCCCAAATTGATCTCTTATAAATTCAACACATACCAATAAAAATACCATAAAGATTGTTCAGTGTGTAAATTGACAACGTGATTCTAAAATTTAGAAAGCATGTAGAATTATCAAAGCAGTTTTAAAAATAACAATATTGTTGGACTAACAGTACCTGATCTTATTACTTACTATACACCTACCATAATCAAAATATTTGAACATTGGCAAAAACATGGCAAGAGAGATAATTAGAACAGAATGGAGATTTTTGGACAAAGATGCAAAGATGATTTAATGGACGCCCATTCAAATAATGTTATTAGATCGACTGTTTATATATATATATATACACAAAAACATAAATATCAATTCTTATATCACACCATACAAAGCAATAACTTGTAACAGATCATAGACTAAAATATAAAACCTACAATCTAAAGCATCAAACTTCTAGAAAATCACAGAAGAAAATCTTTATAACCTTGGGTTAGTCAAATATTTTGAAGAAGAAAAAGAGAAAAAAACTACAAAAAGGAACCCTTGAAAGTCATCAAAATTCAAACTTTTGCTCTTCAAAATACATAACTAAGAAAATAAAAATAGCAAGCCATAGACAGGGAGAAAATATTAATAACATATATACTACAAATACATTTTATGCAGAATGCATAAACAATTTCCTAATTCAGTAAGAAGATATGCAATCCATTAAAGGCAGTCAAAAGACTTTATCAGGTAACCAAGGAGAACATGAATAAATTGGTCACCATTATGAATCAACAAAGAACTGCAAACTTAAACCACAGTAAGATACTATTACATGTCTATTATGAATTATGATGGCTACAATGGAACATTGCACATATTGGCAAAGCTCAAGGCAATAGGTTTTCTTGTTTTGTTTTGTTTGTTTTTTGAGACAGGGTCTCACTCTGTCACCCAGGCTGGAGTACAGTGGCAAAATCACGGCTCACTGCAACCTACACCTCTTAGGTTCAAGGGATCCCCTGACCTCAGCCTCCCAGGTAGCTGGGACCACAGGCGTGCACCATCATGTGTGGCTAAATGTTTGTATTTCTGATAGAGACAGGATTTCTTCATATTGTCCAGGCTGGTCTCAAACTCTTGATCTCAAGTATTCCGCCCACCTTGGCCTCCCAGAGTGCTAGGATTACAGGTGTGAACCACCATGCCCTGCCAGGGGGAAAATAGATTTCAATTTAAACACATTCATACCGTTTGACTGAAACAATTGACTCTAAGACATTTAGCCAAGAGAAACAAAAACATATATCCATATGAAACAAAAACTATACAGAAATGTTTATAGCAGCTTTATTTGCAATAGCCTAAAAGTGTAAGCAAACCAAATGTCTGTAAACTATTATATATTCTTATTATTGAATGCTATTCAGCAATTAAAAAAAACTGTGGAGACACAACATGAATCTCAATGTAACTGATAATGGAAAGAAATTAAGCAAAAAAGAGTATATATCTAAAATCATATAAAGTGTGAACTAGTTTAGAATGACCTAAAGCAGATTAGTTATCAACTGCAGACAGAGGTGGAGGAAGGAATGAAATTAGAGGCATAAAGAAAGGTTTTTGGGTGATGAAAATATTTGGCAACTCAATTATGATGACAGTTTCTCAAGCATACACATATGCTAAAATGATCAAATTCTACCGTTTACATATACGCTTATTTCAATTAGCCTTCAAATGGTCATTAAAATATATAACAGTTTGATACTTATGGGAATAATGTAAGAGTATTTCCAGAGTTGCAAATGGTAAAAACGAAAACTCTATTTCTTTTTTTTAACAGATTGATAGTTTTCATCCATAATATGGATCATATTTCTTCCATTAAAATATAGTAAGGAATATAGGTGTAAAATATATTACACCTATACCCTGAATTATATGTTTATTTTTTTATATCTTCCCTATCATATTGTTCTTATACACCTAGTAGATAGCAGATTAAATTTACTCAATGGTGATTTATTATTAAGTGCCTACTTTATACAGAGAGTATTCTAGGCACTAGGATACAACATTTTATAATAATATATTTTATTATTTTGTATACAAATTTTATATATAAAACAAAAATTTTAATATATAAATACCTTTCTATATTAACCATATGTAATTATTTAAAACTAAAATATATGAAGTAGAATTATATGCACCAATTGTTGAATGAGTAAGTCAGTGAATGAATAAATATAAATTTATCTTGCGAATCCAAGTCCACATTTGTCTTGTAAGTCCACTTTATTTTTATCTATGCTATAGAATTGCTTCCAACTTGAAGTAATAGAAAATATAACTAACATAACTTAAATAAAGAATGTTTACTTTTGTCATAAAATGCAAAAATTAGAGTGAGGCAATTGCTGTCCTTCCATCTGTTATCTGGGTTCCTTCTGTCATTCACATTTACCAGCCTTAATATATTTCATTTGTTTCCATTCTTGCTGCTTTATTGTCACAACAGAGCTTTTTAGTGTCAGCATTTAGAATGGGACTTAAAATTATCAATATGTAATTTGCCTCCATCTTTGTTGATACCAAAACCTCTGGATAAGTAGACACAGGAATCAGACCGAGTTGAAAATGTCATCTTTGTTTTTTTATAATCCTGATGATGTAACATGTCTTGGAGCTGTGGCTAAATGAATTATCTAAACTGTTCTTGTTTCATTAGACACACAACCATATGCTGAGACAAGCACAGCTAGTCTTTTTTTGAAGGCCTCCCTTTCAAGGAAAGATTTTACTATGGTATATTTACCATCCAAATAAGCAGAGAAAACCTCTGTCCTGAGGACAAATGCTTCAAGGTCTAAGCTATACATGCTCATTTTCTTTTCTCAATCTCTGTTCTCCTTTGGGAAAGGAGTACAGGAAGCAGGGAGAGGGTGGAAACTGCCTCTCCATTGACTATAAACCAAGAGAATTTTCTATGAAGTGCTAAAACGTGAGGGGAGTAGTTAACCTGCCTTTATTGTGGGGTTGGGGGTGGAGTTCTTCAGTCATTTTAGCTGTTTTGTCAAAATGAGTGAATATAATGCGAAAAAGACTCAAGAAACAGTGGCTGAAATTGAAACCACCTTTGTAAAAATTGTAACAGTGAGAAAACTATGGCAGTAGGGGAGATCTGATCTAGTCAATCATCACCTTGCCTTTAGTCTTCAAGCTTCCCTTTATTCCTGGGCTTGGGCCTAGCTAACTGTGATAGACATTTAGTTTATAGTTTAAATGATAATATCCCTTCTCCAAAACAATGGCCTTTGTAAAGATAGCAAGAGACAGCTAGGCTAGGAGGATAGAGGAGCCTGAATTCTGCCAAAGTGTAGACATAAACAATTGTTGGCTATTATTCCAGAGGTCACAAGATATGCAACTTCCCCAATTACTCCTGCAGATAACATCATTATTGTAGAACCTGAGATTGGCATTTTGAGATGTCTTTCAGAGTTTTTGCATGTCTGACTACCCATGGCTCCACCTGGATCTGCGGACCTCTTCTGTGGCCCCACCTAGAAGCAACTCAGCAAGCACAAGGACCATTTCCCACATCCCTATATATTTTTATTTTTATTTATTTATTTATTCACTTATTTATTTAGAGCAGGAGTGAAAGTTTATTAAAAAGCTTTAGAGCAGGAACAAAAGTAAGTAAGATACACTTGGAAGAGGGCCAAGTGGGCGACTTGCGAGATCAAGTGCACTGTTTGACCTTTGACTTGGGGTTTTATGCGTTGGCATACTTCCGGGGTGTTGTGTCCTTTCTACCCTGATTCTTCTCTTGGGGTGGGCTGTCTGCATGCTCCGTGGCCTGCCAGCACTTGGGAGGGGTCAGCACTTGGGAGGAGGCGCATGTGCAGTGTTTGCTGGAGTTGTATGAATGCTCTCTTGAGGCGTTCTTCCCTTATCAGCCAAGTGTTCTAACTGGTACAGGGAGAAAGGTGAGGACTTGGGGGGGTCGGGGCCGAAACCCAAAAGATTCCCCCAGCATGGAACACTCATGTTTCCAGGGTCATGTTGGAGTAGCAAGGGCTGCTCTTTGGTTTGTGCCCAGCCCGCCCCGACCAGGCCCTGTCCTCAGCGCGCTGAGACACTAGCGGGCTCATTTCCCACATCCCTATAACTGCACCTCCAACCAATCAGCAGCAAGCACCCATTGCCTAGCCACTCCCACCTCTTCCCCTCAAAACCCTGGCCTCCAAATTCTCAGAGATTGATTTGAGTAATGACTGCCTACCACGTGGTGTCGCTGGCCTCATGTCTATTAAAGTCTGTCTTTATTGTAATGCCATAGTCTGGTTTTGTTTGTGCAGTGGGCAGGAAGAATTCATTGGACGGTTAAAAAACGAGACAAGAAATGGAAGTCTACAATTAAAATAACAATGAATCTAAAATGAAATATAAAAGTTTTGTGGCCTTGGGCATATTGGACAGCCTCTCTGAAGATTGTTTTTCTGGGAAAATAAAAAATGCATGCTCTATAATAATCTTTTTATTGTTGGTAAGTTCAAAGGAGGCGTGGACCATGCATACAAATACATTCTCTCTCTCTCTCTCTCTCTCTCTCTCTCTGTATATATAAACCCCAAGTCAAAGGTCAGACAGTGCACTTGATCTCGCAAGTCGCCCAGTTGGCCTTCTTCCAAGTATACTTTACTTCCTTTTGTTCCTGCTCTAAAGCTTTTTAATAAACTTTCACTCCTGCTCTAAATAAATAAATGAATGAATATATATATATATATAGAGAGAGACATATATAATCACAATTCAGGACATAGCATATTTTATATACATATATAGACATACACACAAATACATATATATATATATATAATGTATGTGACAGATTTAGAAATATGTGCTCTGAATTGTAGTTCCAAAAATGTGATTATGACAAAATTACCCTAACCAAGAAAAAAGAGCTCATGGGCTCAAAATTTTGCGAGTGAGCAGTCCTGGTTTTCTTTGTGACAAAAGGCTAAGCCCCAAAACTGAACCAATTGCATTGAAAATACTGACTTTGAGGCAAAGTGTTAACTAACAGAAAAGTACAAATTATCTCAAGCATTATACACACACACACACAAATATCAAGGCAAATGAAGGATGCTTTATTTTAGACAAACTAAATATACCTTTGTGGGTAACTCACAGGGTAAATAATTTTATACCCATTTTGATCTATCATTTAAAAGATCATTTGCCCTGGAGAATACTACAGTCCTAAGCAAAATTTTAAAAAGATTACTTCTTACTAAAATTGTAATAACCTGCCAATAATCTAATCTAGTTCAGGATGTTTTATTTTTTTTTTTTAATTTCCCCTAAGAGAAAGGATTAACTTAATTTTTTCTTTTATATCCACTCTATCCTCTTCTTTCCACTGTACTTTGGCTGTTTTAGGATCTGCTATTTACTTTTTATTATATGCCTAAAAAACAGAAAACCATGAAAAAATTAAAGCTGATATACTGGTGTGTAATGATGGAAATGAAGTTTTCCATAAACTTACATATAATAAGTGAGGATGTGCCTGAAATCACGGGTAAATTAATCTGCGTCCTGCAAGAAGCAGACTCCAGGATGAGGTTTGATATATAGGAGATTTATTAATCGAAAAGTCCAGCCCGTGAAGGAGCCTCAGGAGGAAGCCTGAGGAGGATAGGAGGCTCTTCAGGCAGTGATTAAGTGTCTGTCTCTTAAGAAGAAGAAAGCGAAAAAGGAAGATCTTAGAATGTTGTGCAGTTCTAAAATAGTTTGGGTGGGGCTGACAGATTGTCCCTGTGCCGAAGTCGCAGGATAGAAAAGTCCGATGGTTTTCATAGAGAGCCTTCATTCATATCCCTATTGAGTTTAGGCATTGGCTGGAAATAGCTGAGTGAAAATTGTAGCTTCAGTGTGAACTTGGTGAGCGATTTCAGAGTGTAGCGCTGAAATGAATTTCATAGAAACTTCATCCTCTTCCCTCTGCTGAAGGAGATCTGAAGAGGGCATTTTTACAGCCAGCTCCTCCAAGGCTCCCGTAGGTTTCTCTCCCTGAGGAAACACTTAGGAGAGGTTAATGGGACAAACTTCAGACCCATTGCTGCACATGATATTAGTACCAAAACTGGTAATAATCAACTCCTTGTTTACACTATCTATGCTAAAATCCCCTTTCCTCCTTTGACTCCATGGCTTACTTGGTGTTACGACATGTATCTCCTGGGTACTTTGAACTAAGAGAGAGGGTTATGTTAACTAAGGGTTCAAATATACTGTAGAATGGGAAGGACAAAAAGCCAACATTTATTTCTCACAGATATGGAGGTTAGAAGTCTGACATCTGGGAGCCAGCATGGTTGGGCACTTGGTGAGACCTCTTTTTCTGGCTGTAAGCTGCCTTCTGGCTGTGTCCTACATGGCAGAGAAATAGATCATTCCTCTTGTGTCTCTTCTTATAAGGGCACTACTCCCATTTGTAAGCGATCTATTCTCATGACCTAATTACCCCTCAGTTGGCCGCACCTCTGAATATCATCACATTGGGAATTGGGAAGAGACACACAACATATGAATTTTGGAGAGACACAAAAATGTATTCCATGGCACCTTCCTAGGCCAGGTTTGCTGCATGGCTTTATTTACAGTTACGATGTAGCAAGAAAGTATGCAGGCACCCCAAAGGCTTCACCTGTGTTGCACATATATTCCTCGATGCCTCCATTGTATAAAACCAACCCAACATTCTCTTGCTGCTCAGTGTTGCTAAGTACCACTAACAGTATGGTGACGGACCTTCTCACCTACTGGTCCCTAGGTACAAAGAGTCCGAAGTGTCATGGCAGCAACTATAACTTGTAGTACAATGGAAAATCTATCCTGTCCCCTGAAAAGCATGCACCACTTTTGGGAACCAGAACTTCTAGCCCTGCAGACTCAAGTCATGAAGCTGGAAAGTACAATTTCCAAGCAGGTCTTTGGGAGTAAAGGTAAATGTGATCACACTTGTTTCCACTCATTGATTCTAATGAATTCTGTCTTTTGAAGACAGAGAATTATATAGAGGCCTATGATTTAGTGTATATACTACATTCTGAGGGATGTGATGCCACCCTTTCTGAGTGTTGCCTCCAAGATGCCACTTTAACTGTGCCTTTAGGAAGCCATTTCAACATTCAGTAAGGGTGCTCTTGTGATTTTCCCACTGGATCTTGCCACAAATTTTATGCAGCATCTATTTTTATCTCAGATACTTACAAAAACTAAAGGATCTGTCAGTTCATATGGCCCAAGTACCAGAGTCTAGACCTGCTCGAGAGCCCTCTTCAGCTCCAGATCACTCAAAGTTAGCAAGTTTCCATGTCACCTAGTATATAGACTGAAAAGGAATTGGCTCCTAGAAGTGGAGTATGATTCCTCCAAAACTCATAAAAGGGAACAATGCTTGCTTATTTGTTTTGGGGCATGCAAAATGTTCCCATCATACATATATATAATATATATATGTGTGTGTGTGTGTGTGTATATATATATATATTACATTATATATATATATTATATATTATATATATATATATATTACTTTGGAGGGAATATCCCTAAGCACAGTACACTTAAATATGTCATTGATTTCTGAGTAAACAGGTTTCTGAATCTTCCTAGCCTAATCTCCCACCCTCTGGAACATGTGTCTTACCAAAGTCACCTGAATGTTTTCCACCTATTTCTTGTCCTTCCCAATAAAAATAAATTCACTGATGAAATAGATCAAAGTAATGGTATTTGGATGTGTCCTGGTAATCCAGATGTCCTCAGACTATTTCATAAAACAGGGCAGCAGAGTGAACATAGTCCTGAGTTAAAACTGTAAATAAAGATTATTGCCTGCCCCACATGAATGAAATCCCTATGATCCTTTCTGATCCTCTTTTGTAACTGAAGTTGAAAACATATTTAACAAATTGATGGGCACCTATTATGCACCTGTTACCTCTTTATTAATCTGCTCTAGCACCATTTCCACATTTACCAGCATCTGCGATTGGCACCACTACTTATCTGAGCCTGCAGTTATCAACAGGCATTCTCTGAAGTCCAGCCAGTATCAGCAGAGGCCACCCGGGCAAATTAAATGGAGGTATGTTGGGGACCAGCACTTCTGTATCCCTTAATTCATCAATGGGAGAACTGATTTTGCTGTTCCCACTCTCTTGAATGCAATATGGTTTTAGATTTACTATTGTAGTTGGGGAGGAGGGACAATTTCTAAAAGTTTTGCTTTAACTACCTCAGTGTGATAGCTCTTACACACATGCCTGGGACCCAACGTAGGGAGTTATTCTCAGCATATCAATTCTAATTACACACTCAGAGCCTGGGAAAATGGCCAGTGGGCAAGGCCAAGGTCCATGTATCCATTTGGTATATTATGAAACACACTTTATTTAGAACCTCATGTATTATGTGGCACACTTAAGCTCCCACTCTAATGGAGAAATATAAAGATGCTTTGAGTCTCCAGGTATGACTGCGTGCTCAAGAACACTTAAAATGTCTTAGTATTACTTTCTTCATAGTGTGCAGTCACCAGAGTAAATGATCATAGTTCCCCTTTGTAAAAGGACGTATGGCAAGATCCTTCTTCCTATGGATGTAACTACTCTCAATCAAAGGATTCTAGAACAGAAAATGTGCTTAGTTCTGGAAACTTTGCCAGAGATTTTGACTTAATCTTAATTGCAGTGGCCTCTCTGTATCTCGCATTTGTGTATGTATGTATGTATGTATGTGATAATAAAGGTTAAGCAGCAATTTTATTGACTGTGCATCTAGTTTGACCCTAGTAATGCCATCTTCTCAGCCCCCTGTGGATCAAGCTCTGTTAGCTGCTCTTTTGTAATTGAAGTTGAATAAATTAACAAATTTAATTTAGCAAATCCTTGGTCACCTACCTGTCTTGCTGAATTTCAAGAAAATTGTGGCTTTTTGGCTTGTGGAGGGTAAATGCTGCTTCCTGGCCTCCATTACTCTGAGAGTGCACTATTTCCATGGATATTAAGAATTCTAGCTCTGTGACCCCCTTCTCCTATGATCAGCCATGGTCTGAAGAGAAGAGTCATCATTGAAGTTCTGGTGCCTCACTCACCATGTTTCTAATGACCTTGGTGAATGGTGTTTCTTCTGGACTTATTAGTGGTCACCGGCTACATTGATTATGTCATTCTAGCATGCTCCTTCCCTCAGTCTCTTTACTTCATCCTCTACCACCGGTGAGGGCAACATAAATATTTCCACTTTACTGAGCACCAGACATCTTTTTTTGTTTTTCTGGATTGCTAGGAGCTAATTCAGCAGCAAATTTACCCCATTCTTTTTGTCCCTCACCAGGGAGTTAAATCCCATGTCCTGAGAAAATGTTCCCCAAGTTAATTAATGCTTGCTTATTGATAGTTACATTCTGTCCCTCTTAATCAAATACTCTAAAAATACAATCCCTGGGGTATTTCTGTAGCTCCTACTGGATCTTTCTAATTAATTATTAAAACCAGTTTAGTGTTTATTTTTTTCCCTTCTATCAGCCCTAGCTCATTTTCAGCAGGGTGGTGATGCAACTTATCTCTAGTTATTGACCTGGCATCCAAGGCAGGAGATGGAGGTAGCTCCCATGTGGAGTACTACTGCCTTATACGGGAGGTCCGCTGTAGCTGTTAGAGCCTCAGGGTACTGCTCAGCTGTGTCCAGGGGTGAAGTCCTCTTTGTAAATAAAACTGATTGTGAATAAATAGAATTATAATTTGCAGCACGTTTGTATGAACAAAATATTAGTTCATTTTTTAGTATGCATTTTCTCTTTTATTCCAGTGATTTGTGTTACTATTCTCATCACAGAAATTTAGCAAAAATAAGTTTAGCCACCATGAAAATCAACACTTGGCTCCAGATTATGTAATTTGGGGTTACTAATATATCCTTGGCTCCAGATTATGTAATTTGGGATTACCAATATATGAAGTGATCCCAAGAGTCAGACCTTTTATTTTTATCTGAGTTCTCCCCTAACACTAGTTTTTTGTTATTGTTGTTTTCTAAACAAATTTTGACAGGAAAAAGAAACTGGAAAATGTATACAGGTTTAATTTTGGAAAAATATACTCATCCTAAAATATTTTTTATTGAGTGCAGTGTCTGCCATATGTAATCATGGTCCATTGTGCAAATATAAAGGTTAGAGGCACCAGTTTTGCTTTAAGATGACCCAGATAATTAACAATAACAAACCAACTACATTCCATTGAAAGACAAAGCCAACTTCAAATTTTCTACTTTTGCCATCATGTTGTTTTTATCATTGGATGACAGTGGTATGTAATGGCCATAGTGTATATCATTTTTAATAATGCATGTTATTGAGACAGCCATATGGGAGGGGGTCCCTGGAGAAACTCCAACCAGCCTGCCCATTTGGGTGGAGCCTCAGGAAGTTCATGCCATTTGCAGCAGGGAGGAGCCTGGCCCCTCCTCTTCCTGTGTAGACCTGGGATTCTACAGCATGCAGGAAGTGCTCTAGCAGAGACTCTGGCCTTGCAACCCTGTCTTAATCACCACTTAATTGTCTGTGAGCCTGAATTTTCGTGGACATGGGACAAAGAACCTCATTTTTAGCTGAAATAAGGAAAAGTCCTACAACGTTATTTCCAAACTCATGAAATAATTCTCAAAGACTTATGTGGCAAAATGGATTATATGAGGTTGGTACAAAAGTAATCGCAGTTTTTGCCATTACTTTCAATGCCAATAATAAAAGTAACATTAATAATAATAAAGGTAATAACAGCTGTCAGAGTGGTGAAATTTTAAAAAGATTTATGATATCATTTGGAAAACAAAGTTAGGGTTCATACATGTTTGACAAAACTTTTAGCTAACACTAAACCAAAACTTCCTACAGAAGTTACATTGTAAGCATAGACAATCAAAAAACTAATTCTTATTAACTCATGATAGTGTTAATATTTTTTTCTGGTGTGTTCTTAAAATTTTCTTTAATTGCAAACTCAAACTGCTTACATTTTGCTTTGATTTTAATAAAAATATTGTTTATATAGTAGAAATATACTTTTTAAAAGTTAAAAGTTCTTGGGGGAGTGACCCAGGAACAATTATCTAGAACAAATATGGTTAGCATGAAAGCATTTAAAATTATATCAAGATGACTATTTTGTCTGTTAATAATTTTAGATGAGTCTTAATGGAAATTCGACAAAATATAATTACCACATCAAACTATCATAGATATTACTTATATTTTTAAGTAAAAATGCTTAAACATTTGAGAATCCATAAAAACATATAATTATACAACCATGAGTTAGCAAAAATGTACCAAAAATAAAAAAAGGTACACAATGGTACCATTATAAAACATATGAAACACTTTCTCAAAATATGTACTAATGTTAAAAATATGATTAACCTATGATTCAGAAGTTCTGTTTCAGGTTACATATCTTCCTCCAAAACAAAAAAAAAAGTTATTGCTTACAAAAATGTTATCAGCAGTCTTCTTCACGATAGTCAAAACCTCAAAACAACTCAAACATCATATGCACACAATGGGATACAACACAACAATGAAAAATAAGCTATTACTACTAATGACAACATGGATGACTTTCACAGATGTATTGTTGAACAAAAGAAGGCAGACACAAAATACCACATATGAATAAGTCCATTTACAAAAAGTTCAAAAGCAGAAAAAACAAAGCTATGTCAGAAGTCTAGAGAGTGGTTAAGGGTATGAACTCAGTGGGGAAACAAGCAAGCCCACTGGGGGCTGGAAACCTATCCTTTGATCTGAGCGGTACTTGCACAGGTCCATGCATACCTAAAAATTCATTGATCTGTACAGTTAAGGTTTGGGTGCTTTTTGCATAAAGTTATAGTTCAGTAAATGAAAATAAGCATAAATCTATGGTAATAATAATAATGATAATATTACAGTTGGTCAATTTGGGGAAAAAACAAAATTTCAACTTAATTTCTCATTTTATGAATAGTAAAACTAAGACTCGAAGAAGTTTATTGACTTGCCTAAATGGATACCATAAGCTAGGGAAAAAATTCAGACTAAAAAGTCTCTTTACTCTCTCTCTTCCTCTGATATGGTTGCCATGTTAGGAGTTTTCTCCGTCATTTTGCACCGTCTATCTAGGCACAGAGGAAATAGCAGTATAGGGAGCCACATAAGAGCCTGGTTTTTGGTATTGGTTGTAGAGAGAAAGATGGCAAACGTTAAATTTTGTGTCTTACATCACTGAACAAGAGCAACAAAGCACAATAGGTCTGCACTTAAATTGCTGAGGTTGTCTATCTGAAAAGGTGATGAATTGCAAACATGTTAAAGAAAAGAAGTATTTCAGAGTGGATAAAAAAGTGGAAGCCCTGAAATATGTCCTCTGAAATATATGTATGAATTAATTGCTTTTCCGTTGAATTGTTATTCTTGGCTGAATGGGCTTCTGTTTTAACCCCACTTTCCTTGGATTTGCATCAGTGTTGTTTTAACTGTTCTGCTCTAAAAATCCAGATTTGCCATTTTATAAGAGCAAGCTCCTATTTAAACATAATTAGTGAATGTGCTAGAAACAGCCTCAAGCAGTAAAAGTCCAACATGTCATAAATGTCTAGCATCAAAGAAATTCTACAAGGTAGTTACTCTGATGTGAGAGCTAATAGGAAGGAAATTGGCTAACAGAAATAATTTTGGTGACCTCGAAAGACAAGGGAAGAATGTAGAAAAATATTTAGCATAGTTCATTTACTTTCCATTCACATGTAACAGAAGGACTGTGAACCCTTAGAAGATCTAAGATTACTTCGTAGTTAATGTACCACTTCAATAATATATTTCTCCTTTCAAATCATATTTTGTCACTACTGTACAATCTGCTTCCCTAAGATAATCAATTAGGTTGGCAATGACAACAAATGTTAAACTTGGAGGATTTTTTTCGTACTGACTTTTTTCTAAAGTCTGAGAAATCTTAAGTGATATTCACTTAATTTTAAATGTAACAAAAGCATACATGATTCATTAAAAGATCCTTTTTGTTTCCTCACATTGGAATCAAAAGTGTTTCACAATTTGACTTGCAAAACAAAGGTCAACACAGATTTTATGATTTGGGAGAGATGGTATAGACACCCAAAAAGCCTTTCTGAGCAGAAGGGATAGCTTGCATTGTGTTGCCTTTTTCCAAGGCTAAATATCCCATTGGAAATACTCCCTCTTGGACCAATTAATCCCTTTCTCAGAGCTGCTCAACTACACACCAATGCACTTGTCACTTTCCAGTTGCTGTGTATAGGAAAAAGAAAGACAGAATTCTGAATTATGTAGGTCTCTACTACAGGGACTTTTTAACATGTTAGACTTTATTATGATATCAAGGAAGGCATCTTGTCAAACACTGGATCTATCATATATATCTATATTATTAAAATTTTGATTAATAGGAACATAGATCTAAAAGCCTCAATTAACTAATTTTTTCCAATGTTCCACTTTAAAGACATAAAGGGAATTTTTTAAAGAAAAAAACACTAAAAAGATAATTTCAGGAATTTATTATAAAATTTTAACTTTCAGCCTCTTTTTAAAAAAATTTAGCTCTTCTATTTACCAGATCCTTTACATATTTAGTATTGTAGAAGATAAAGGGAATTCAAAATCCCTGCCTTCAAGGTGTTCAGGTCCAACAGGAGAAACAGATGTCTATAAGTTATAGAATTAACTGCAAGAAAGGTTAATCCATTCTACCTGGAAAAGAGGAAGAAAGTATTAAGAAAGGCTGAAGGAGAGAGCCAGTTTTTCTAATATGCCTGATCTCTTCTATAATTACATTATTTTAAAGTGATGCTGAAACTCTCAATGATGATAAATCACCAAAAAGTAAATAATACTCACTTTGAACTAAGGAAGAAAAGTGTATTCAAATACAATTATGTGCAATTAATAAATATCATAGGTATGGAGATCAGCATTCATAAAATGAGAAAAGTGATAAACCACAACCTTTAATTTTATATACCTACTAAAGATTTTCTTTCATATAGTCAATACACTACTTTTTATTTATTCCATCCTCACATTGTATAAGCATGACTTGTGGACATGATAATAAAACAACTAACTATCAAATAATAATAAGGTTTTTTTTTTTAAACTACCTTTTTAAATGTGTTCTCTGGGGCAGATCTTCCCATGTTACTGAATGAAATTAAAGGTTAATCTGGTATGGTTTTTTTGCTGTCATGTTGTTGTTGTATTTTGGGGTAATTGAAAGTTCCTTGGGTAGTAAGTAATATGTAGCACAATGCAGATTCATAATAAAATTAAAAACAGTATTGCAAGTTCTACTGTGAAAGGGATAGGATAGTCTCTTTTCTATCCCCAATTTTATTTCTTCCTTCTTTATTTTTTTATCAGCCACTTCTGACTCCAAAAGAATAGGGATGGGGCTGAAAATGAGAAAAATAGAAAAGGAAAAGAGTTAAGAGAGTAGAAAAATAATGGCTTACCAGCACTGACAGATTATTTTCTCTAGTTTAGGAAATTTTTATTGCTGACATTTCCTTTTTTAAGAGTTAAAGAAAGAAGAAAGAAATGTGAAAAGCAGCTCAACAGTCAAAGACATTTATTTCAGAGAATAAACCTGAGAGGGATTTCTGGCCAATTTCAGTCAGGCGCCTTCTCTCTTACAGATTAAGGGTATTTAAGGGTTTAGGGAGGGAGAGCTTATCACACACTCAGAATGTTTCTGTGTGTAGGAGAGTTTGATTGCAGAGTTGGAATGTCTCTGGTCAGAGGGGATGTTATCTCGGGGCTGGCATGTTTCTGGTGGGAGAGGAGGTTATCTCAGGGTTGGCATGTTTCTGGTCAGGGGTGGTTTATCTCAGGGTTGGAATATTTCTGGTCAGAGGTGTCACTTCTGGCTTATGGTCATGCTGACATTAGCCATTAGGCTTATGTTTTGGGGCTGGATTTAGGAGGTTTTTAATCAAGAGGAACTTAAAATGGCAGTATTTGTCCAAGACGGTGATGCTCCTGCTCTGTCACCTTTCATGGCTATTTTGATTTCCTTGGAAATCCACTTATATGCTGGATCACAGAACATTTTCTCCCTCCATTCCCTTAAAGGAATTGAGGACCTCTCTATCCTGGATGATCCTTTACATGATCACTAGCCCTGAAACACCTAGAGGTCCCTCTTACTAATTTATGCTTCACTATGGAAGATAAACATAACTAACAACCAAACAGTCATGATCCTTATTTGTAGTGTTGAGTTGTTTCCTCAAAGTGGCATCTTAGTAAGGGGCTGTATTTTGAAGAATTTTCCTTGGATCTATGCAAGGATATGGACTGTGAAAAGATCCAATGTACACCCTTGCAGATCAAACTCGGTTAGACGGTCTAACTTCTCAGTATCAAGAAGAGTAGGGAAGAATTTTAATCACCAAGAGTAGTCATACTACAGAAGGACCTTGAGCCCCTAAATGACTACAAGGAAGAAAGCCTTCTTCCTACTTGCTTGGACTTTATATGAGCAAGAAATAAAATTATATCTTATTAAGCCTCTGAATGTGTAGGGACTATGTCTTTACAGCAAGAACCCAGTGTTGCTTTAACTAAAACATTCCTCTGTGAAGCTCTCAAGTACAGCATCTGAATATCCATATACCTTGTATATGTTGATCACAAAGTTTGAGCACACAGGTTGCCCACGTCAGTCACTTCTCCTTTGTTCTGCTTTCAAAGCAGCTACCAGTTGTGTTTTGCTTTTCTTATTTTCCAATGTGTGAGTATGAGATCTCACCTACTATCACTGTGATCTCCAAACTTAGTGATATAAATAATATTTTTCCAGGTGGTCTCCCAAAACCTCTTTGGTCTCAACCTCTAGTCCCTGTGAGAGGGTCCTAAGAGTCACAAACTCTCTTTTGCAAGTCTTTGGCAGAAGTCTTAAAACTTACTTCAAAATTGCAGTGCTTATTTCCTATGGGCTTTAAGCAAAACTCAATGCAACTGTTTTTTATATCCACAGAGCACTTTGAAATAGTCCAAGCATTTTCACAATTACTTTTTTATCTGATATTACAATATTAGGCACACCTCAAGCCAAAACAAAAAAGCAGCTACTGAAAACAAATTGGGGAAACCATTTACCCAAAGTTTTTTGAGCCTCTTCTAATCATACTTTCTCAGAATTATTATAAAATGAGGACGGAGAGCTAAATTGTTTAAAAAGAAGAGGTCACAAATCTTTGGTACAATGAAACTATATTTTCTTATCTCAGAAAATAGTGAGTGTTACAATTAGAATAGTTGTGAGAAATAGAAAAAAACCTAGGAGTAGAAGAGTTTAATATCACATAATGCAAGAATATTTAAAAGGTACTTATTACATTTTATAGTATGCTATCGGTATACTCTTCTTTAATTTATACTGTAAAATTTCTTTTTGTTTGGTGTACGAGGTTAAGGGAACTCTTCTCAATAATTTATGTCCTGTAATTGATTTAAGTAGTGCAGGATGAAGAGAGGTCAACTTTAGGAGAAAAAAATGTGACACAGAGTGTGAGGAATCCTACCAGGAGAAGATATAGGTCTTCTTAATTGTACTGAAGTTTCATCCTTGAGGCATCATCAACTAACCTGGCAAGTCAAGACCCACAGCATTAAGTTCAAGGACACACAAGCAATGAATTGCAGAATGCCAGGCTCCTGGTAATCCAGGAAATGGTCTCTTCTAACCCCTGTGCATCCTCTCATTTAGTTTGGTTTCTAAATGAGGACACAAACACCTGTTCCAGCAGCAGGTGGTATTTGTTTATTATAGCTTTACCTGCTGGGTTTTAATAAGTCTGCAGCTGTAGGAACCCGCTTAAGTAACAGTTTATAGCACCAGATTTTTACAGAGTGGTATTTTCCATGAAGAAGCAAAGTTTTATATAACACTTTCATCATGCACAAAACATCATATAAGCAGCTTTTATTTCTCCATCTCTCTTTCCCTAACATTTAGGACTACTAATTAGTGAATCATTTCACATGCAGAGTTGGAAAGCTAAGCACTTATTCCTCTGCCTTGAGGGAGACTCCGTGTTCTGTGCTCTCATTACAAAATCTTCATTTCTTAGAGAAAGAGCAACGAAACTCTCTCGGCTTGTGCTACTTCTCTTTTGTATGCCTCAGAAGGATTGTTAAGGCGACTTCCATCTTAGAAGGGAAGACAAAAATAAGATCAAAACAATCAATAGGATAAAAGAGAGCACTCCATGTAGATGAGAATGAATCTCTGTACTCAAACTACATAACAACTCTTTAATAAACTCACACTGAGAATTTGAGAATGACTTAAATACCATGAGGTAAGAAAAAAATGTTGAAAGAAGTGAATTATCTTCTTGATAATACTGAGAATTTATTTAAATGTAGTTCTTCCTTTAATTCTTAAAGAAAGCACATGTGCTTTTTTACTGGTTTTAGAAGATCGTTCAATTAAATCTGTGTAACATTTATAAAATTGATGAATAAAACAATAAAATATATTAGTCATTCTGAACTGCTTCAGGACAGTGACCCTTTTACTCATTTTAATCTCCAGTGCTTAGCTGAGATGTTACCTAAAGTAGAACTCTAAAATATTTGAGAAATGAGTGGATGAGTGAGTGATGCTGCTCTCAAATATCCACAGGACTCTATCTCTCTTGATTGAATTAAGTCTTTGCTCAGATGTCATTTGTCTATAGAGGCCTTTCTCACATGCAGTAATTATTATCCAAATCATTATTTTACTTTATTTTTCTCTGTACTCCTTATCCCAACTGGACATTTTATGTATTTGTTCATTTGTTTATTGTTTATTATTTATCTCCACCTATTTATCATCAACTTTATCAGGGCAGGGATTTAATAATTGTTTTTACTAGTTAACCACTAAGTCTAGAGGATTTAATGTGTCAAGGACATTGTATGTGATCACTAACTATATGTTGAATATAAAAATGAATGAATAAGTTAATGATTGAGTGAATAAATAAGTGAGTGAGTGAGTGAACAGTCTTAATTCTGAAAATGTTATCAGAAGCTCTTCTGTTGTTGGGGCTCAGAAACTAATACTCCAAAATATGGTGTTTTGGCATGCTGAGAGCCCTGAATTAAAAAAAAAAAATTGAAAGGCCTCAGAAATAAACTTCAGAACCAAGGTCTCTCTCTGACCTTTCCCCACCCTCTGTCTCTCTGATCATCTTACTTTTCTGAAACATGGGAAGGAACTCTCTCTGAAATTCATTTATCGGACTGAGAAGCTTCTTTATAAGACAAATGAAACTGTCTTAAGACCCATTTCTAGGAATCTCATCACATAACCAGGAAAGATTAGCCATCAGAAAAAAAGAAAAGCCTGGGAGCCATCGTCCTGCCCAGGTGGACTTTTCATCTATTCTTCTGAGGACAGCTCTGAGAGAGACTTACCTGGAAGACTTTATCTACAGAAGTCAACCTTTGTTTACAATCAAGTTCTGCCCTCACCTTCCCGCCACCTCCCCCAGAGCATAGAAGAATATTGTCCCACACCATTGTTCTTTGGGCTCATTCATTTTCCCTGAAAATTGTTTACTTCTATGCCCCTTGCCTTTCTTCCCCCTTGAGGAAGGGTTTATAAGCACTGGGGCTTCATTGTATAAGTGGGTGATCATTCTCCTGCAATTCCTCCATGCTTATGCATACAAATTTATTTAGCATGCATAAGCATGAGGGAATAACAAAAGTGAAACAGAAGCAAAATTTTCAGAAAGCAAATCACCATACTTTTTAGCATTGCTTGTAAACAACAGAGAAGAGATAACTGTAGGTTTAACTCTGTAGAGTTAGAAGACTTGTGCTGAACGAAGCTTCCACCTAGAGATTCAGAAAACTAATTTTGCATTAAAATCCATAAAAAGCTAATTTTGCAACATAAAATAGTCAAGATCACATTCATTGGAAAAATTGTATATGAAAAATGAGACTATGGATTGAAACATCTTTACATACAATGAAACCATACCCAAAGACTTGTCCACAAAACAGGAAAAAAGTGTAACATAATATTTCAAAATAATTAAAAGATATTGAAAATGTCATATAAGACATAAACAAGGGCTGGGTGTGGTGGCTTATGCCTATAATCCTTTGGGAGGCTGGGGTAGGTGATCACCTGAGGTCAGGAGTTGGAGATCGGCCTGGCCAACATGGTGAAACCTTGTCTCTACTGAAAATACAAAAAAATAGCTGAGTATGGTGGCACATGCCTGTAATCCCAGCTACTCGGGAGGCTGAGAGAGGAGAATTGCTTGAGCCCAGGAGGCGGAGGTTGCAGTGAGCCAATACCGTGCCATTGCACTCCAGCCTGGGCAACAGAGTGAGACTTCATCTCAAAAGAAAGAGAAAAGATATGAACAAGAAAAAATAAAAGTATTCAATTATAAAATAAATTATATAAACAAAGAAAAAATAATTTGTTATGCAGTATAACCTAAAAGAAACACAATTTTTTGAACAATGAAATAATGCCTTGAAAGAAATAGCAAATACGAGAAAAATAAACTTATAAAACTCAAAACAAAGAGAGAGAGTAAAACAAAACTAACCTGGAATGCAATATAACTGTTAAGTAGATTTTTAAAAAAATACTTGAAATTATATACTGAATTGGCACTTTGCATGCCTGTAAATACCTACTCAGCAAAACCAGTCAAGATATGTTTTTTAAAAATTATTGATATTTTTAGAAAAAAAAAATTTTCCATCTAAACAGAAAGAGCAAGAACTTGCAAGAAAAGAAAATCAGATAATCCTAAGACTTGTTAAGGGCAATATTTGCCACAAAGAAAATGGCAGATTATATTTAAGTTGTTCAAAGGTAGAAAATGTCCATGGAGTTTATAATGAGCAAAAGTATTATTCAAAGATAAAGTGTGCAGATAAGCTGTTATCAATATATAAGAACTTGAGCAATATTATTTCCGTGTGCCATTCCTGAGAAATATACTAGAGAAAGACCTTCAGATCAATAAATGAGTAGAGATTAAGAGAATAACAAAATGAAAATTAAGATTATGTAGTAAATTCTAGAACTAAAGACTAAATAAAAATTAAAACATAATAAATAACATCAATATCCTGTCACTATGTGTGTCACACCTTAAAAAGTGGAGGTGAAGATTGTGAACAACAACTGAAAAAATTTACTATTTGTAGCAATTATTTGGTTTATTTTAAGAATGTTAGTACTGTGGATATTTATAATGTTATTCTGGACCATTGTTTGTAATTTGCAATTGAAAATATGTAATCATGTGGTGTGTTAGTTCTCTCATCCTCTGTGTCTTGTAAAACCAGGATTCACTCTGTGTAAGAAAGAAAAAGTAGAGATAAGGTAATAGAGAATGTTCTGAGTACCACCTTAAGCCCTGCATTTGAGTTAAAAGTATTAAAGTTGAGTCACTTTTTGTTATTAGAATTAAGTCACTCTATTTTTTTAAAAAGCATGTATTAAATTGCTAAAGGACTCAGCAATCAATTAAAACACATGAAATGAAACACATAAAGTGTATTTAAATTTATGAGTTTAATGCATTTTTATAGGTACACATACACACAATAATATTGATTACCTTTGGGAGATAATAATAAGTACTTTTTAATCTTAAAAACTGGTAAATTAAGAAAAATAACCAAGCATTTATTTCATATTTTCTATATTAATTTTATAGCTAAATGAATTTGTGCAAATGAGTAGGCAATGAGGGAAAGTTTATTTTCGTAAAAGTATTATAGCAAAAAAAAAAATTAAAAGAAATTATAGAATTTGACTAGCAACAATTTCCCACTTCGAATTTATTATTGTGTCTCAGCATTGAACAATAATAGGTAAAACGATAATGAAAAGAGAAGTCCTAGACATTATGTGCCTCCTGATAAAAGCAAATCAACAAAACAAAAGTCTAGTCCTCTCAAATTAATTGAAAATTACACACGAGACTGGATAATTCTCATTTTTCTCAGGAAAAAATGTCACCATCCACCTATTTGTTCAAATAAAATGTCTAGGATTATCCTACATTTCCTTCTTTCCTTTTCTTTCTTGTCTTACATCTGATCCATTAGCCAGCTCCATGAGGGCAAAGACATGTCTGTCTTGTCACTGATATATCCCTATGGGATACGTTGACTATTGCAGACCAGGTTTTGGGGAAAAAATAAATATAAATATAAATATATATATATATATATATATATATATATATATATATATATATATATATATGTGAATGAGTAAATAGGTAAAAATACATTGGTCAGTCAAGTAATAAATTTCTTCCAAAAGTAATTATTTCCAGAGTAGCATTATAGATTTGTAGTTAACAGCTGAGGTTCCACTGAGTTCAAATATACCCTTTACTACTTATAAATTCCTTGATCAAACTCTTTGTGTATTATTCTTTCCATTTACAAAATGGCTATAATAAGGCCACTTAACTCATGTGTAGTTTGAAAACTTAAATGAGTTAGTATGTGTAAAGTACTTAGAATGGTGTTTTGGCACATAGTGCAAACTAAATTCAACTTAAAAACACACTATCTATACTCACATTACAGACAAAATTCCACTTATTAACATGATTTTAGTTAAAGTATTTTTGAATTCATAATCCTGTTATGAATGTGCTGGTTTTTATTTAAGTGTCCCTTGTTTCTGCTTCCTTTAGTACAGTTTCACATTATTTAAGGATGCTTTCTTTTTTTCTGAGCAAAACCAGGATCAATGGTGCAATATGCTGAGTACATTCTGACTTCTTCATCTTCCTCTTGATATTGAGAGTGCACGGTTATTCTGATTCCTTTATCCATGAAAGAAAGGGGAAGTGTCTCATGTCTGGATTAGGGAGATGACAATAGTATAAATAGGAAAAAATGAGAGTTTAGTGAAATAAGAAATATCATGTGGTTGAGAATCCACATGGTTACAGAGAGAAAGAAGAACCATGTGAAGGGAGGGAGGAAAGGGGAGAGAAACAGAGGGAGGGGGAGAGAGAGACTGAGAGAGAGAGAGAGAGAGAGAGAGAGAGAGAGATTTTAAAAACCAGGACTCTAGGAATAATAATGCTATTCACTGACATAGGTAAACAGATGAGACAGGAAAAAAATTTACTTAGGACTTAACTGGAGATTTTCTTGAATCCTTTGTCACAATGCTGTCTGAATTTAGGATTATCAACCATACTCTTGGGGATGATGTAAATAAAGAGTAGTAGAATTCCTGAGTGCAGGTAACATTTGAGATACATGGAATAAAAAAGAAAAAAAGGGAGAAGGCTTCAGAGAAAATAGCTTCAGAGAGTGGAAGACAGGTTGGAATAACAGGAAAAGAGCCACAAGAAAACATCTTCAGGGGAATAAGGAGTATTATTCCTTATTATTTGACAAAAAGAAGGAGGGATATAAAAAGTCAGCTGCCACTGGGAAGCAGTGCTAGAAATGGGTGCAAGGAGGGAACACAATAGGTCATTTGTAAGATTTGGTGACAAACCAGCAAGTCCTATTGGAAGAGCTGTGGCCATGGAAAAGACCTTGTAAGAACATGAGAGGTAGAAAGAGAAAAAAAGTCGGAGAAATTCGTGGGTACAACTCTTTCCCAAATTATAACAGCAAATTTTTAAGCTTGATGGGAATACAGTTTTTCTGTAGACAGGACTTATTTGGACTGGGATTGAGGATACAGGGAGATATTAAAAATCCAGAAATGAAAGATAATATTTGAATGCAGATCCTAGGATTTGAATAGAGGCTAGTCAGATTGAAGAAGCATTGTGGTATCTTAAAAAGGTCACTGGAATAGGATCCCAGAGACTAGATTCCCCTCTCAGCTCTGGTGCTAATCACCAGTGTGGACATAGTTCACTTCATCCTCTAAGCCTCAGTTTCTTTCTTCTAAAACGAATGTCTTGAACTAAATGATGGCTAATTAAGGTTTCTTTCAGCAATAGACGTGAGACATTGGTTGCGTGTTTGAAACAGTAGTTACAGAAGAAAGGAGGTGATTACAAACAGAAGTCGAAGAGAAGACAACGTGAGGGTTTAAAAATGCTTGGCTTAGTCAATTTACTGAGCTTTTATATTTTGTAAGAGTACAGCTATTATTGTATTTTGGAGTTCAGCAAAGCAAACCAAAACACATATATTCCATTTTCACCTAAATTACTGAATGGAAACAAATCTTTAAAGATGGGTATTTAGGTTAATTATTAGTTCATAGCAAGTTGACGATATTAGTGCTCAGCATATATACATTTCAGAATTTTTTTAAACAACTTTGGAAATTCTCAAGAATTATGCTAACCTCCCTCTTTTTCAAATGAGGGTTCGCAAACTTTATTTATTTATTTATTTATGTAAAGGGCTAAAGACTCTAGGCTTGGAGTCTTTACAGTCTCATTGCAATTGCACAAATCTGCCTTGGAAGCAAGAACAAAGCAGTAGAAAATATGTAAATAAGAAAGCATGGATTCCAATTAACTTTTACTTACAAAAACAGTCATAGGCTGGATTTGGCCTACAGACTGGAGCTTGCCAGTCTCTAGTCTATACTGCTGGCATATGTTAATTAAGAATTAAGTATGCTATTTTATTTTGGTTCATTTCAGATCTCTCTTGAGATCACATATATTTGATATGATAATATATAGTAAAGAAAAAAACCTAAAATATATCAATTATTTCATATTTACTCTCATATTTAAACCTCATAGCACTTTTCTGAAATAGAGACTATTTTTATTTACATCTGAAAAATTACAGTGCAGGGAGATTAAATAACAAGCAAGTTCACATAACCAAGTGTCAGAGTCTGGATTTGAAAATGAAACAATCTTTCCAATATATCATACTTCTTTCCATGAACAAACCCCTCTGGTGCTCATTTTTTTTTTTTTTTTTGGTGTATTCTGAAGAATGAGTCAAGCATTGGATGTATGCTTCTCTGAAATTAAGTTTTCTAACGAAGAGTTCCCCTAATTATACTACCAGGATGTTGGTGTTGAGTCTTTGAAAGGGAAAACTGTTTTATCTTCCAATTAGGAATGCTTGAAGTGATTAATGCTAATTAGTCTAGGATCTCGCACAATAGGTATTATTTTATAGGTAATATAGAAACTGAGAGTCTGGTACAAGACTGGCATCTGCTACTGACAGATGAAATTGGAGCTCCGTAGTTCCGTGTGAGATAATAATTCAGATTCTTGAATTTATTTTAACATTCTGTTGGTTTGGGCTGTTTCTGCTTGCTTTCTTTGTTTTTGCCACTATTCCTTTCTTAGAGACAGAGTAAAGCAAATTTCTTTGTTCTTCCCTCATTATATAACAGAAAGGAAAATAAATAAACCATAGAATTCATACTATTTTAGACTTTTGTCTTTTGGTTTTATACCCAAGTAAGGATAGCGCAAGGTACAAAAGAAAAGGTTCTTATTATTCTTTTATTACTTAACAAAATGAAGCATTATAACCCATGTTGTCAAAGATGTGGCCATTTTTAGGCATCTTTCTTTTCTCACTGTTGTGCTTCTCCTGGGAGAACAAAGTCATTACATAGTTCACTGCATAGTTTTTCTGTCCAAGCAAAGGAAGATTATTAAGGACTTATCTGACCAGGGACTCTCTCATTTGGGCCATCTGTCTTTTTGTGCTTTCTTGAGGGAATGCAACGAGAGAACTTTTTTCCCTTTTTTTTCCTCTCATTTAGTGTCTTATGAGATTGTATGTGAAGCCATATTTTAAGAATCTGAACAAGCAGAAACACTGCCACTTTGAACACTTTTTATTTTCCTTTGTGCTTGCCATTTCTATTGGAGAAATCACACATTTTTTTCTCTAATAATATTAAGAGAAAGGCTATTTTAAGATTGCTGGTCTCAAGGCCAATTTTGCTCTCTCATTTTTGTTCTTACTTCAAGCATGTGCTATTACATTTGATTTATACAGAAACCTAACCTGCCAGGTGGATACTCAGAGAAAATTAAATGGTATTTACCCACCCCCAAACAGTCAATTGCATCTCTGCAGAGGTGAAATATTTTGCCTCCTTGATAATCAACAGGAAGAAAAAAGGGAGTAGAGCTGGGAAGGGAGGTCCTAACCAACTGAAGAAAAATCTTACGTTTTCCATAGTATATCTAAGATTGTTTAAAGTTTCCTCTACTGATTATAGCTTACAGAGGTAAAAGGACAAACATTTGTAAACTATTATTTAAATAAAAAATAAAAAAAGATTGGCTAAATATTTTTGTATAGTATCAATGTTTATTATAGGTAATAAAACAATACTTAATAATTTATTTACATATGGAAATTAACACTGATATTGGAGAAACAAGTGTCAGGCTATAAAACTAATTTAATGCTATTTATTCAATTTAAAATCTCTGTACACCACTGCACCATTGAATCCCAGCACAATGACAATGAATGCTCATTATGATGATGCTGAAACTTAATTATTTTTAAAACTGCTTGGAACAGGATTCATTGTCTCACCTACTCATTCAGTAAAAAGTGCTAGCCATCTACTATGAGCCAAGTCCTATTCTAGTCCCTGTGGAGGTAGAAGAGCAAAAGACAGGTTTCTGCAATCGTAATGTTTTTACTTTTCACGAGAACATACCATTTTGTAATATCACAAGAAGATTACTCTCACTGGTGTAGTCAACAGATATTTATTGAGCTACACATGAAACTCTAAACAATTAAGATGCAATGGGATGGTAGAACAGAAATCTAGTTTCTAAAAAATATTAAAAAATACAAATAAATGGACATTTGGAATTCAAAGCTGCTACTCCCCTTAATAATTTAGCATATAATTATTGAGTAACCACAATGTGCTAGTCCTGTGGTAGGTTTTTGGACTATTGTACAAACAAGACAGATATGATTTCTGTCTCAGGGAGATAGATTATAGGACCATAGCATGACAGAAATAAATTCAAGTTTCTATGGGAACTCAATGGAACCTTCTTTGGGAGTTAACGAAGTCTCCTTAGTAAAAATGACATCATAGTTATGAGTTAAAAATGAGAGACATCAGTCAGGCTAAAAGAGGAATTGAGACTATTGGGCGTGTTTCAAGGTGATGCCTTAGCACAGCAAAACCCTGTAGGAAAGAAAGAGCATGGATGCATTTCTGAGCCTACAGAGAAACATTTGGCATAGTTGGGCCTTAGATTATAAAATGTGGTCTGAAGTAATAGGAGTAGAAAGATAAGCAGAGGTCTTGAAGTTTGTAAAAGTTCTTATAAGCCTATGTTATGCTGTTGGAGCTTTTTATTGAGACTATGAGAAAAACACAAGTATACTAATCAGATCATGAAATGACATAGTAATATGTCATTGGGTGACTTGAGTGACAACCAATTCACACCAGGCTTTTTCTTTAATAACTACCAAATACATTGAGTTGGGTCATTAGTGGCTACTTCTAAGCTCCATTAATACTGCTCATTTGACCACAGTTCATGTATTCACCTGACCCCAGCTAGATCTCTTGAATCTAGCAATAGAGTGGACATTAGTCATGTTATTGGCATCAAAATAGGGACAAGGTCTATAAATTTCTGCCTTCCAGAGTGCTGGAGTGATCCTGATTTCTCTACTTCCCTCATTTGCACTGTTTATCCCTATATTTAAATTATGTCGATACCTTAGTATTTGTGCATTCAATGCCTTTTTTTTTTTTTTTTTGAGATGGAGTCTCACTCAGTCACCCAGGCTAGAGTGCAGTGGCGCGATCTTGGCTCACTGCAAGCTCCACCTCCCGGGTTCACGCCGTTCTCTTGCCTCAGCCTCCCGAGTAGCTGGGACTACAGGCGCCCGCCCGCCGCCACTCCCGGCTAATTTTTTTGTATTTTTTATTAGAGACGGGGTTTCACCGTGTTAGACAGGATGGTCTCGATCTCCTGATCTCATGATCCACCTGCCTCAGCCTTCAAAAGTGCTGGGATTACAGGCGTGAGCCACCGCACCCGGCCTCAATGCCCTTTTGAATAAGTTAGTTATCATCAGTTTCAATGTTGAAATATTACCTCTTCCAAGAAGTCTTCTCTGATTTTCTTTTGGCTCATCTTACTCCTTCTTTGTGGTTACATTAAATCCCAGTCTTATCAATACTATAACACTCATCAAGTAGTTTTGTAAATAATTTTAATTCAACTTTTTTATTACTAACCTACACTGTCCAAGCTATAACCTTAACTTTCTTGTTGCCACGTACTTCTTCTAATTTATCTGTATATTCTTAGTACCTAGGAAAGAATCTGTCGTGTAGTAGGAGCTCATAAAATGTTTGGCAAAAGATTGTGTGAATGACAATTAATTTGCAAAAAAGCAAGACTCAGTCAGAAAACAGTTTAGGTTGAATCAGCAAGAACGTATAAGTCCCTTTTCTAATGGACTATACTCTGGAGGCAGAAAAGAAACTGAGTCTCAGTTACAATCTTGGAGGCCCTTACTCTTGCAATAAGACATGAGCAAATGGAATAATTCAAATTTACTTAAGGAGGGTGAATCAACGAATGATAGAATAGAGGTTGATAAGCTTATATATCTCTTCAACAACAAGTATTCTGCAACTCATCACGGACAAAAGTCTCTGCGGGTGCTTCAGGGTTCAGGTAGGAGGCTGTAAAATTCCAGTGGAGTCCAAGACTTAGGAGTGTCATTTTGAGAGGCCAAACCTGTGTCCAAGTTGCTAATTTACTGAGGGTGCTCTCAGGCTTGAGACCGCAAGTGATCCCATTTCCAATGGGGAATAAATAAGCCCCATTTGACCTTGAGTCTGCAACCAAAACCATTTTCCACAAGATCTAAGAGGAATAGCACAAAGAAGTGCCTCAGTGGAGAGGCTTATCTGCCTGCCAACATTGTCTTGGCAGTGAACCTAAAATTTTCCCTGTGGCTCAGCCCCAGCCCTTTGCAACTGAGGTTCCAGTTTCAAACTACTTGCACAAGGACCTAGAGGGAGTCTTAGCTAATGGGTCACCAACCTCTGTCCCACAGTAGATTTTAAGGAGACCTAATCTCAACCCCAGCGTCTCTCTTTTGGTATTCAAAGAACTATCCTGTCTATGCAGGGACCTGCTGGGAAATGCAAGTGCATCTAAACTAATGGGATCTCCAGCAACAGATCTCAAGGGTTCCCAGTCGTAGTTCTGGCTCCTCTCACTGCAGCTGAGGAACTAGCCCTCTCTGCAGGAACTTGCGAAGAGCTGCATACCCATTTGAGTCAAGAAGACAGGTTTGCCAAAAGCTGTCTTACAACAGATTTTGAAGGGGCTCTGTCTCAGCTCCAGCCCTTTCTGCTGCAGCTGGGAATCTATCCTGCCTCTGTAAGAACCATCTGGGTTACTGGGACAGTCCTCTGGGTTTGGATCCTTGGCCAGTTTTATATCGCAATACCTTCCTTAGGTCTTCATCAAGTACATTGGGGTTGGAGAGCTGGATCAAGTTTGGAGCCCTCATGAGACTCACAATAAGCCTGAGTTTAGAGTGTCCTCTAGTGCTGAGGAGACTGCAGTGGTCCTAGGCTCAGGGAACGCAGTAGTCATTCTGCTTAGAAATTTTGGAAAGCCCTGAAGGAGAATACAAACAAAACCAGACTGTAAAGAACAAAACAAATCCATAATCCCTCAATATTCAGGCATTGTTGCACATCACATTGTTGCACACCCACAAGCATCAAGAACATTCAGAGAAATAATATTTCACCAAATAGAAAAAGTAAGCTACCAGAGACCTTGAAGTGATGGAAATGTGTTATCTCTTAGACATAAAATTCCAAAAATCTGTATTAAGGAGGCTCAATGGACTTCAAGAAAACACAAAGAATCAATTAAGACATTTAACAGATAATTTTGTTTAAAAAAAGAGATTAATATGATAAAACAATCAAACAGAAATCCTAGATGTGAAAAGTACAATGAACTAAAGAAAAAAATGTAATAGAGAGTCTCAACAGCAGAATTATTAAACATTGAATAAAATTAGAAAGCTCAAAGACAAGCCATTTATAAATACACAGTCAGAGGAGAAGAAAGAAAAAAGAATGAAAAGGAGCACTAACAGCTTATGTGGTATATGAGACAACATTTTAAAGAAAATATTTGGGTTATTGGAGCTCAGGAGGGAGTTCAAAAAGGCAAAGTAGTAGAAATCTTATTAGAAGAAATAATAACAGAAAACTTTTCAAGCCTCAAGAAAAATATGAATATCTAGAAGCAGGCTGGATGAAAGTCACCAATGAGATTCAACCCAAATTAGAATAACCTAATATATATTATAATTATACTCTAAAAAGCCAAATAAATAGAGAGGATCCTGGTAACAGCAAGAGAAAATAAGCAAATAACATATAAGGGAGTTTCAATATACCTAGAAACAGACATCTCTGGAGCAGCCTTACAGGACAAAAAGGAGTGTGATGATATATTGAGAGTGTTAAAGGAAAAAAAATCTGCCAACAAATAATACTGTAACTAAAAAAGCTATCTTTCACAAATAAGGAAGAAATATGAGTTTCCCAAACAAAAACAAGCTGAGAGAGTTTACTGCTACTAGACCTGTAATGCAAGAAATTCTAAAGGGATTTCTTCAAACTGAAAGAAAGGATGCTAACATGTAAGAAGAACATATCTGAATGTATAAAATTCACTGGTAAAAGTAAGCATACAGACAAAGTATAGTTACTTTAATACTTACTCTAATACTGTAATCACAGTATTTATACTGCTTATACCTTTGGTATGAAGACTAAAAGACAAACCTATTAAAATAATTATAACTACATTAATTTGTTAATAGGCACCATACAAAGATGTAAAGTGTGATATCAATAAATCAAAATGTTGGAGAAAACAAAGTTATAGTGTTTGTTTTCTTTTATTTGCAATCACAGTTGTCAGTTTAAAACAACTTATTATAGCTCTAAGAGGTTTTTATGTAAGTCTCATGATAACCACAAAGAAAAAACCTATAACAGGTACACTAAAATAAAAATCAATGAATCAAAGCATACTACCAAACAAAACCCCTTAACTACAAAGGAAGACAATGAGAGTGGAAAAAAGAAATAAAATATCTACAAATCAATTACAAAACAGACATCAAAATACAGAAGTAAGTCCTTACCTATTAATAATTACCTTCACTGATTAGCTTGAATTCTCCATTAAAAGATATAGAATGGCTGAAAAGAACATTGGAAACTGTGCAAATATATAAAATTTAAACAACATGCTGCTGAATGACCAATGGATCAATGAAACAATTAAAAAGGAAATTCAAAATATTTCTGGAGACAAATGAAAATGAAAACACAACATATGAGTTATAGCAAATTCAGTTATAAGAGGGAAGTGTATAGAGAAAACACCTTCATCAAAAAGTAGAAATATCTCAATTAAACAGTCTGTTGTTGCACCCCAGGGAATGAGAAAAACAACAACAAATGACTCAAAATTTGTGGAAGAAAAAGTGGTAATAAATACTAGATCAGAAATAAATAAAATAGTGGCTAAAAACAAAACAAAAAATCATTGAAGAGTTTGCTTTTGGAAAAGGTAAACAAAATTAACAAACCTTTAGCTGGACAAACTAAGGAAAAAGAGAGATGACTAAATAAATAAAATCCGAGATTAGATAAAGGAGACATCAAAACTGATACCAGATGAATACAACATATCATCATAGAGTGTTAGGAACAACTTTATGTCAACAAATTGAATGAATACATTCCTGGACATATACAACATACTAAGACTGGATCATGAGATAACAGAAAACATGAATAGGGTAATGACAAGTAATGAGATTGAATTTCCAATGAAAGTCTCCCTTAAAAGAAAAGCCCAGGACCTGATGACTTCACTGCTGAATTCTACCAAACATTTAAAGAGGAACTAATACCAGTTCTTCTCAAAGTATTTGAAAAAACTGATGTGGAGGAAATTATTCCATATTTACTTTAGGAGGCCAGAATTACCCTGATATCAAAACCAGACAAGAAAAAGTATATAGAAAAAAAAAAAAACACCTAGCAGGCCACTCTTCCAGAAGCACATAGATGCAAATATCTTGAACCAAAATACTAGCAAACTGAATTCAAGAGAACTTCAAAAGGATCATTCACCATGATCAAGTACCATTTACGACAGGAATGCAAGGATGGTTTAACATACTCAAATCAATAAACATGTATACATCACATTCAAGGAAAGAAAGAAAGAAAGAAAAAGAAAGAAAGAAGGAAGGAAAATAAGGAGGACTAAAGACAAGAAACATACGATCATCTAAATAGATGCAGAAAAAGCATTTGATAAAATCCAACATTGTTTCACTAAAAGGAAAACCTAAAGAAACTAGGCATAGAAGAAAAACATTTCAACACAATAAAGGCCATTTATGACATACCCACAGCTAACATCATACTGACTGGAGAAAATTGAAAGTATTTTTTTTTCTAAAACCTGGAAAAGACAAGAATACTAACTTTCACTATTCAATGTAGCACAGGAAGTTGTAGCCCTAGCAATTAGGCAAGAGAAAAAAATAAAGTGTATCCAAATGGGAATAAAGGAAGTCAAATTGTCTTTGTTTCTATATATGTAATATCATATATAGAAAACTCTAAAGACGCCATGAAAAAATTGTTAGAATAAAAAATTTCAATAAAATCAAAGGTTACAAAGTCAACATGCCAACATCAGTAGCATTTCTATATGCCAACAGCAAACTATCTGAAAATAAAATCATGAAAACAACCTCTTTTACAATAGATACATAAAAATAAAATATATAGGAATAAACTTAACCAAAGAGAGGAAAGATCTCTAAAATAAAAACTCTAAAACACTGATAAAAAAATGAAGTTGACACTCATCAGTGGAAGGTCCATGGACAGAAATGAAATGTTCATGGATTGAAAGAATTAATATTGTTAAAATGTACAAACTACCCAAAGCAATCTAGAGAATAAATGCAATCCCTATCAAAATAGCAATGACATTCTTCATGGAATTTTGTTTTTAAATCCTAAAATTTTTGTTGAACCACAAAAGTCCCTGAACAGCCAAAGTAAGCTTGAGCAAACAGAACAAAGCTGAAGGTATTACATTACCTAACTTTAAAACATATCACAGAGTAATGGTAACCAAAACAACATGGCACTGGCATAATAACATACCTGTAGACTAATGAAACAGAATACAGAAACCAAAAATAAATCTATACATGTATAGAAAATTATCAACAAAGGAACCAAAAACACACGTTAGGAAAAGGACAGGCTCTTCAATACACAGTGCTGGAGAAACTGGATTTCCACATGCAGAATAGAAATAGGCACATATCTTTCCCAGTTACAAAAATCGATTAAAAATGTATGAAAGACTTAAATGTAAGACTTGAAACTTTGAAATTCCTAAAAGAAAACATAGGAGAAACTCTTCATGATGTTGGACTGGGCAGAGTGTTTGAATAAAACATCAAAAGTACAGTCAATGAAAGCAAAATTAGACATGTAGAATTATATAAAACTAAAAAGCCACTGAACAGCAAAGGAAATCATCAAGACTGAAGAGACAACCTACAGAATGGGAGAAAATATTCATAAACTATGTATCTGACTAGTGGTTAATATTCAGAATATAAAGAAACTCAAATCAATAGCAAAACAACAAATAATCCAGTTTAAAATTGGGCAGGAATGTGAATAAACATTTTGGGAAAAAAAAGTACAAGTAGCCAACAGGTGTCTACAAAAAATGCTCACCATCACTAATCATCAGGGAAGTGCAAATCAAATTCACAATGAAGTATCACCTCACCCAAGTTAGACTAGTTGCTATAAAAAAAGAAAAAAAAAGGTAACAAAACTTGGGGAGGATGTGGAGAAAGGAGAACTTTTATACACTGTTGGTGAGAATGTAAATTAGTACATCCACTATGAAAATCAGCATGAAGGTTCCACAAAATTTAAAAATAGAAGTACCAAATGACCCAAAAATCCCACTTCTGGCTGTATATTCAAAAGTAATGAAATCAGTATGTCAAAAAGAATCTGCACTCCCATGTTTATTGCAGCATTATTCACAATAGCCAAGACATGGACTAAACATATGTGTCCATCGATGAATGAATGAATAAAATAAATGTGATATATATATATACACACAATGGAATTGTATTTAGCTTTAAAAAATGAAACCCTACGACTTGCAACAACATGGATGAAACTAGAGGACATATAAAGTTAAGTACGGCACAGAAGACAGATACCACATTATCACACTCATATGTGGAATCTGAAAAAACCTGATCTCATAGAAGTGAACAGTAGAAAAGCGGTTCCCCAAGGCTGAGGAGAGTATTCAGGGAAGGATATAAGGAGAGGTTGGTCAAAGGGTAGAAAGTCATAGTTAGACAGGAATAAGTTCTGGTATTCTCTTGAAAATTAGAGTGACTAGTCAACAATAGTGTATTGTATACTTCAAAATAGCTAGAAGAGAGAATTTTGAATGTTCTCATTGCAAACAAATGAGAAGTGTTTGAGGTGATAAATATGCTAATTATAATGATTTAATCATTACACAAAGCATATAGTTATCTAAATATTACACTGTATCCCATAAATATATATAATTATTATGTACCAATTAAAAAAATAAAAAAATTAATAATTCACTTAAGGTGTGCAATGACCAACAAGTAAGATACGATGTACTTTCTATCTATAGAAGTTCTGATTCTGCACTTCTCAATTTCCATATTACAATCTATCTTCCCAGGTACTCCTGCTAACTGGGTAAGTTTAATCATTTAAGATAATTTAACAGTTTATGTATTTCATTCTCAATTGATAAAATGGAAAAATGGCTTTGATGAACTTGATTAATGTGAATCTGTTCTCAAAACATGGTCTATTGTTAGAATGTTAATACATGCAGAGAGAGGGAAAAAATGAGACAGAAAAGCTGAGAACCATATACTGGGGACATCTAGCTTACTAAGGTTTTTCTTCTGCATGAGGTCCTAGAAGAAGTTTTGTCAAACTGTCTTTGATCACAAACTTTTCACATAGTATTAGAAAGATATTCCTTCAGTATGAAGTACGTTTGAAACATTACAGGTACAAGATGTGAAATCCAGACTAGAAGTGCCACTGGAGGTCACAATGGGGGACATTGCCTTTGGAAAGTAGGCTGTGAATTAGTGTGGCTTATTCCAAGTCAGATGACCAATGAGTGGGACCTGAAGTACTGATCAATCATTTTGAAAGGCCCCATTTTTGCTTTATTGTTCCTGGTGACATTTTGCCTTAACTACACAATGGAGACTTCAGGAGGAAGCTGCTTTCACTACTTTTTTTTTTTTAATTACCATGAGGGTTAGAACATTTTTGTCCAATTACCACTTCTTTTTGCCACCTGAGCACAGTCAGCAGTCAGCATAAAAAAGTGATAATGGGAAGTTAATGTCTAACCAGGTCACATTTCGCTTCAAAGGAACAAAACACATACAAAATGCATGTTTTTTTCTGACCTTGGCTTTCATTTCCCTCTAACACCTGACATAGAATTTAGCAGACATTGATATCAGCCATAGCAGAAGATAAAGCAGTGACAAATATAAGGATATAACTGGAAAAGGCCCTATGTTGGACTAAGAGTTTTGGATTCTAATACTTCATTAGTTAATCTCTCTCTCCCTCTGAGTGATTATGCATGGCCTGTCTCATTCTCACTGTCAGAAAAAGTCTATTTTATTTGATAAGTGAAATTATTTAAAGATAAAGGGGTGATTTGAAACTATTATAAGCCAGGGTGTGGTGACTCATGCTTGTAATCCCAGCACTTTGGGAAGCTCAGGCGGGTGAATCACCTGAGGTCGGGAGTTCAAGACCAGCCTGACCAACATGGAGAAACCCTATCTCTACTAAAAAAAAAAAAAAAAAAAAATTAGCCTGGTGTGGTGGTGCAAGCCTGTAATCGCAGCAGCTCAGGAGGCTGAGGCAGGAGAATCGCTTGAACCTGGGAGGCGGAGGTTGCAGTGAGCTGAGATTGCGCCATTGCACTCCAGCCTGGGCAACAAACAAGAGTGAAAATCCGTCTCAAAAAAAGAAAGAAAGAAAGAAATAAGGAAGGAAGGAAGGAAGGAAGGAATGGAGGAAAGAAGGAAGGAAGCTATTATGAAAGCATAATTAGGATGTTTTACATTGCTGTTGTAATTCCAGGCAACAATGAGATCAACACAGAAGGAAATTAATAGGCCATTTTTATAACTCCTAGACTGGAATAACTACTTTATGTATATCATAGAATAGAATACTCACAAAAATACTTCAAAGCAAATATTGGCTCCATTTTGCAGATGTGAAAATTAGAGGTCCTGAAAGTTGGATTAGCTTGCCTAACATAACTTAGCTACTAAGTGAGGCATCAGGATTTGAAGCTAGACATGCTTCTGCACTAGATCACAACTTCATTGTCAGCTTTTCTAAATACAAAAATGACTGAGGAACAAAGAATAGTTTTTAAACATTATATGAACAAAAGAGTGACCAGAGATGATCACTTATACTAAAAAATGTTGTTAGATATTATGCAGTGAAAATGTTCCTTTACCAAGTAATTTTCAGAAATCCTGAGTTAAAGAAGTAAATCAAAATTTTTTTTTTTGCTATAGGATTTCTTGTAGCTTTTAATATGAATGGTATATTTCTGAGACTGTATAAAGGATGTGGCATTATTCAACATTTTTGAGTATGAAGCTTCTTATAAAATTAACTTTCTATTGAATATCCATTGGAAAATACATATACAGGAGGAAAATTTATATCAAATAATCTTTGGTACTTGTACTGAATGAGGGTAATCTGCATTAATTTCAGAAATCTAGAAACATTACAGCCCTAGGGATTGGATCTGAGGATAACAGATTAGAATAAATATTGAAAAATCTATATACTATTAACAGACTTCTGAACTGCCTCTTTTTTCTAGATTTTTGAGACAGAGTCATGAATCTGATGCTGTCTTTAGAGACATCACAATCTAATTCAATGATTTGCAATTAAGACGGTCAAAGTATGTGGAAATCACCTCCACAGTCTCTTCCAAACTCCACATTCTATTATTTGAATGTGCCAAACTCTTTATATGTATTAACTCATTTCATTCTGCAGTAACTCCATGAGGAAGGTACTTACATTGTCTCTTTTTCACAAATGAGGAAAGGAAATTAATTTGACCAACATTCTATAATTTTAATGTGGGGGTACCAGAATTTAAACTCAAGTCTATAACTTTGCATTTGAACATTAGATCAGGAACATTCAAGCATTCATAGTAATGGGGATTTCTGGTGGTAGGTAAATCGTAGAAATAATTAGCTCCAATTCAAACATTCTGTCTCAGATTGTACATGAGAGATATCTTGGAAATGACACTTCTACAAAGTACTCGAGGAGATTCTGATACTGATGGCTCACAAAATACATGTGATGTTCCTTATTGTATTCCTTAAGCAAAAACCATAATTTGATTCTGTAACATAATTTAACTTTTAAAATTTTTAAATAAACAGCTACTTAAGCTTTACAATCAGAAACACTTAAGCAGCCCTACTGTTTTTAAGATGATATCATAATGACAAAGATCTAACTGTTCATGTCCTTTTATCTATTAATTATCAGTAAAGAGCCCTGAATTGTGACTTACATAATAGTTAAAAGACCACTAAGAACTTGTGTCACTTTCAGCAAGTCACCTATCCTGTCTGAGATTCCTTTTTCTGATCAAATAAAGAGCCAATAATTTAATTTTTTGCCACAGTTCATTTTTATTAATAGAAAATAAACACTTATTCCAGTTTCAAAGTTGTTATGCTTGAAGTTGCTAATTTAAATAAAACAAATTTTAAATAATCACTTAATAATCCTGCTTTGAAAGGCAATGAAATGTGGATTTTAAAAAGTAGTATTCAGCACCATTTGCTCATAGATCCTTCAGAATTTGTTCTTAAAGTTTCTGGAACTTTCCTGCCTATAAAGTACAGGAATTACTGAGTTACATTGGAAAGCCTCCCTGGGACAGGCACTGGGGAGGTAAGCAGCCATCACAAAGGAATCAGTGTACATTCAGCATGGTGACTTCACTACAAAACAATCCCTTCCCCTCTATGGTAGCTCAAGAGAGACATGCTCCTAAGCCCTGAGGTGTGAGGAATCTCAGACTGTTATTTGCTGTTAGAATTGCTCTTCTTAGCTAATAACAGTAAATCTCTGGCACAGATGCTATTGGTCCTTAATGTCCTGTGATTTTAGGAAATTCTGTAAATAGTTTGGGTTTAGGTCAATTTATTCAGAAATCAAACATGTTTAATTAGGTTCACTAATCTGGCAGAGTAAGGGTACACTGGTTTAATATCCTTATAAAATATATGTAATGTGTAGGTAAATCACAGTCTTAAATCATACATAGAATACTATTTTATTTAAACCAATATCTATTTTAACAAAATGTTTATAATTAAAAACAGCTGATGAAACTAAATCCAAAGGTATGACAAAGGGAACTCAGCTCTGTTGCTTAAGGAACTTTTAAAAAGCATGTGCCCATAAAGCCATTCAAGGACAGGGAAGGAGGTGCCCTTCTCTTCATTGTTACTGTAGAATTCCTGTTGGGGCTGGGCCAGAAATGAACAGTTCTAAATACTTCAGAGAAGTCCAAAGTCTTAAAAAGTCTTTTATGCAAAAAAATGTCTTTCTACATCAGTGAATAGTAATGCTCATCAGAATTTCCTAATAACACAAAAACAAAGCCCAGTCCATACATTGATAAGATATCAAAGTAATGGGAAGTGGACTATTATGTCAACCTTAGTCAGAGTTTCTGCTGGCTTATTCCTATATACTGTTCACCGATTTGAGTAAAGTGGATTTGTGAGAGAATAGTGTTTGAAGGCCAGGATCTCTTTTGGGCATTTCTTCCTAAGTGGAATACACAACAGATAAGGGAGTAGGGGAGGTAATACAGGGAAGTTACTCTTTCCAGCTCAGAAGGAGTTGATGAAGCCCAAAGAAGCCCATGGGATCCTCTAGCTGTAGATCGTGGCTAATGTGGACCACAGCAGCATTTTCCTGTACAGCTCCAAAAACCCTGGATAGGGGTTCACAGGATCCAATGGCCCATAGATAAAATGAATGGGGATAGTTACAGAGGCAAGAGCTCCCACCCAGTGCCTTCTAAACTTCTTCCTCCGATTGATGTACTGTAACAGACTGTCAATGACTAAGTTCCCATCGTTGTTGCGGATCCCTGCCCACATGTCCCATAGCTCAGTCTCAGAGTGCCGAGTATACGGCCCACAGACTGGGATGAGACTTCGAGAGAATACAGAGTTCATCAGCTGCGTGAGGACGGGTGACAGCACACGTCCATCTTTGAGTGGCTTCTAGAGGAGTGGATGGTGAGTCTCAGGAAAGATACCTCCATTTGACAGACAGAGACTCTTTATGGTAAGCCGACCAGACAGATTCTGCTTGTGCCTGTAGAGAAGTTCCTGAGCAACGGTATCTCCATAGTCATAAGACTAAAGGTTGATCCTGCGGTTCTGGAGCCCCAGATGCCCCAAAGAGCTTCCACGATGCTGGCCTGCTCAAATATGGAATAGTGATGTGGTCTCTGTTTGTCACTGAAGCCAAAGCCTAAGAAATCAAGGGCAATCACTCGATAAGACCTCAAGGTCAGACTTCCCAAATCTTGTACCAATCGTAGCTGGATGTTGGAAAGCCATGTAAAAGCACAACTATCTCCGGACTTCCAACCACACCCACAATGTCTTGGTAGAAGATACGCAGTCCCTTGTAAGTGAAAAACTTTACTGAAGACTTCTATGAGTGAAGGGTAGGGGACAGCTGAAGAGTTGGGATGTGCAGGTACGCAGCAAGCAGGGTCACGGCCAACAGCCCCACCTGGACCCCCCACTACCTCATCCTGATTTGGGTAAGACCTGGGCTACAGGACCCCATGTTTGGGAGAAACAGGTTGTGCAATAATTCCATTTTAAAAATTGTTTCCTATCAAGTGTTTTCTTAGTTTTGTCTTATGCGCTTTATTTGTGTCTGACCTAATTCATACTCTTCTTGTAACAAAAACAGGTGATACGACTCTTTTCTTATTTTATAGTGAATAGAACTGATGTGTAGAACCATAAGTGGTTTGGCAAGATGACAGGCAATAAGTAGCTAAGCTGCGATTCACAATCAGATATTTAAGCTATAACACCTCTTTTCTGAAAATTATGATAAAGATTTTACTTATTCAAGAAATTAATGACCCTTTTAGTTGTATAATTCTTCTATATTCAAGGTGTTAAGAATACTGTCTTAAAGCTGTGAGAGTTCATATAACTTCTGACAACTGACTCATATATTTGCAGGACGTTTTAGATGGAGAAAATCTGGCTCAGAGTTGCATAGAAAATCCGAAATAAATTTTGCTTTGCATTTCATACACTTTGACAATTATAATTGGTAGAAATAATAATGAGGCAAATGGTATTCTTCAGCTTGACTTGTTAACCACCTATTTCCTGCCTATAACCTTAGCAAAGAGAAAGTCCTACAGAAGGGCTTTGTTGTTATAATATTAGACTTCTCTAATTTCCCTTTGACCTCTTTGAATCAGGCTTCTTATCTGGGAATTTGACCAAAACTGTTCATCTCAGTATTTTTGATCTGCTCTAGGTACAGGAAAAGTGCCAAATTTTCAAGTTCATTATTTTAGCTCTTTTAAATTGTTGCTGATACCAAGGCAAAGGAGATTATATTTCAAAACAGAGGATACAACAACACCCATGACACGACTATGTAAAATCTCAGAGATGATTAGAACAATAAGGTCTCAGTATGCATTCCTATCTTATTATGGAGTCAATGAACTGCAAAGAACTTCAGAGATCTGACAGTTCAATATACTAGTTTTACAAATAGCGGAAAAGGGAAAGAAGAAAAAAATAAGGGAGGAAAAAAAGTTGGGGAGGGGGAGAAAGAAAGAGTAAAAAAGGAAAAAGGGAAGAGGAAAAGCAAGAAAAAGTAGGAAAACATTTAATTGGCATAAATATCTGCTAGGCATTATATTAGATGCATTATTTATATTATCACAGTTAATGATTTCATGGTTAGGAGGGAGTAATTTGTGGATTAAAAAAAAAAGCAGTATTTCAAGTACAATAAATAACCTTCCAAGACCTCGTCTATGGGGCAATTATCATCAGAAATAGTTTTATGTCATACCATTGATCGTGATGCTCAACACCATTAGTCTTCCTCAAAGGTCCCACACTAACTAGTGAAAGATCTGAAATTTGAATTCATTGTCCTGATTTCTCCCCTAGTACCCCTTCCATTATACCATGCCCCCTCTCCTTTATGCCATGTATGCTTATGAGGCATTGTACAGCACAGAGATGAGCATGTTCTCCAAATTCAGTAGATTACAGATTCTTCAAGTTGGGATAATAATGCTCAGAAGTGGGGCAGCTCTTTGGAAGCCAAATCCACTCTGAATTTACAGATGGGAAAATGAAAATAGGTGCAACTGTCAGTTTGATAGACCCAAGCAGATTGAACAATGTGATTATCAACGTAAAAATTATCATGTTTAGGTTTATGTTAGAGTTACAGAGTAACTCAGTTTTGTTATTTTAGAAGACTCATAAGAGGTTCTTTTTGTGTGATGCTTTAGACTTAAATGTTTTTAAAACAACAATGCTTACAACAATACTGTGAATTGAGTTATTAAATTCCCAAGTTTTAAAAGGGAGAAGCTTAACTAGGACTAGGAGAATTAGAATGAATTCTCTTTAGACTTAATAAACAGCAGAACTGGACATGAATCTAGGGAGTCTAGTGTATTTTAACTTATGTACAGCCAACTTGAACAGTTGATATTTATAGAACCATTTAACCAAGAGAACAACATTCATTTCAAGTGCACCTTTGTCCTTTATCAAGATAGGCCACATTTTATTTCTGAAACATTTAAGCCTTACTTTAAATGTCATTAAAAACTATTTATTAATAAATATTAATCAATAGCAATTTATTAATAGTAACAATTTTGTGTAAATGAAAACTATGTTTTAGCATTAGTTCTTCCTCATACATTGAGCTAGGTTTTTTAAATTTCCAATGCCTTTGTAATTTTGTGTTTTTAGGTGGTGATGATCATGAAAATATATTTCCAATAATGTGATTATATAATGCTCCATAAACATACATATTATTAAAAAGTCATACTTTTGTACAAAGAGTAGAAAATAAGTAATTAAAAAAACGTATTAAAGTCTCAGATACAAGTAATTTTCAAGGCTTCACCAGATCCTTTAACTTTTCTTCAAATAAATAACTTGTTTTGCAGCACTACTAGCTAAGATTAATGATTGCATCATGGGGTCATGGTATACAACGCAATTGAAGCAGTTTGATGCAAAATATATGCATTTGACATCACTTGTGCAACATTTAAGTACTTGTTGAAATCTTAGGTTCTTTGCAGACATGACCACTTAACAACTGGGTTAACTTAATTACTCTACTTTACCTTCTTGAGTTTAAATTCAATAATCTCATTTGGAAATAAAGCACATAATTAATTTTGAGGGGGAAATTAATACAATATAAGTTTTTTTAAATTTTCAAATTAGCAATTTTACATAATAGTCAAAAAGCATCAGCACAAAAAAGGAAAGAAAGAGGAAAAAATAAAAGAAAAAGAAAATGTTCTAAATGAGTAGGTTTACCAATTTCTGAGAGACTGTCATTTAAATTTCAAGAAAATATTTATTAATCATCTATTACATGACAAGCATGATATAAAAAAAACTCGGAATACTAAGATTTAAAATACATGAGAGGCATCCAAAAACAGTCCCCAGAAACCAAAAACAATTATTAATAGAACTACCATACATTCAGTGACCCTACTTCTAAGATATCAAGGTGTATATATCCAAAGGAAACAAAATCATTACCTTAAAGAGATAGCTGCATCCACATATTCATTGCAGTATTAGTTATGATAACTAAGATATGGAAACTACTTAAGCGTCCATCAGTGGTTGAACATATAAAGAAAATGTGCTACATACACATAATGCATTACTATTCAGCCATTAAAAAGAAGGAAATCTTGCCATTGTGACAAAAAAGATGAATCTGGAGACCATTATGCAAAGTAAAATAAATCAGATACAGAAAAACAAACGTTGTATAATCTCACTTACTTTGGAATCTAAAAAATGTCGAACTCATAGAACCAAAGAGTAGAATGGTGGTTGCCAAGGTCCCGCGGAGAGGGTAAATGGGAGATATTAGTCCAAGGCCAAAGGGTACAAACAATGTTTTAAGATGAATAAGTTCTGTAAATCTAACAACATGATGACTACAGTTAATAATCTTATATTGTTACTTGAAATCTGCTGAGAATAGATTTTCAGTATCCTCACCACACACTTACACACACAAACACAGAAGAACAAATGGTAACTAAGTGTGATATTGGAACTGTTAATTTGATTCTGATAATTATTTTACAATGTATATGTATATTAAATAATCATATTGAGAGGTGACAGCGTGCTGGCAGCCCTCTCAGCCCTCGCTCAATCTCGGCACATCCTTGGCCTCGGCGCCCACTCTGGCCGCACTTGAGGAGCCCTTCAGTCTGCTGCTGCACTCTGGGAGCCCCTTTCTGGGCTGGCCGAGGCTGGAGCCGGCTCCCTCAGCTTGCAGGGAGGTGTGGAGGGAGACGCGTGGGCGGGAACCGGGGCTGCCCACGGGCTTGCTAGCCACCGCAAGTTCCAGGTGGACGTGGGCTCAGCAGACCCCACACTCGGAGCTGCTGACCGGCCCTGCCAGCCCTGGGCAGTGAGGGGCTTAGCACCCAGGTCAGCAGCTGCCGAGGGTGCGCCGGGTTCCCCAGCACTGCCGGCCCGCCTGCACCCCATTCGAATTCTCGCCTGGAATCAGCTGCCTCCCCGCCAGGAAGGGCTCCAGACCCGCAGGCCGCCATGCCTGATCCTCCACCCCCGCCTCCCCGCGGCTCCTCTCTCCCCCACCCTTCCCCCCTCCCACCTCCTCGATCCCCCCTCCCCACTGCGCCCCATCCATTCCACCACCCAAGGGCTGAGGAGTGCAGTCGCATGGCGCCCGGGACTGGCGGGCAGCTCCACCTGTGGCCCCAGTGCAGGATCCACTAGGTGAAGCCAGCTGGGCTCCTGAGTCTAGTGGGGACTTAGAGAGCCTTTATGTCTAGCTAAGGGATTGTAAATATACCAATCAGCACTCTGTATCTAGCTCAGGGTTTGTGAACACACCAATCAGCACCCTGTGTCTAGCTCAAGGTTTGTAAATGCACCAATCAGCACTCTGTGTCTAGCTAATCTGGTGTGACTTGGAGAACTTTTATGTCTAGCTAAGGGATTGTGAATGCACCAATCAGCACTCTGTGTCTAGCTCAAGGTTTGTAAAGAAACCAATCAGCACCCTGTGTCTAGCTCAGGGTTTGTGATTGCAGCAATCAGTGATCAGTGCTCTGTGTCTAGCTAATCTAGTGGGGATTTGGAGAACTTTCGTGTCTAGCTTAGGGATTGTAAGCGTACCAATCACCACCCTGTCAAAATGGACCAATCAGCTCTCTGTAAAACAGACCAATCAGGTCTCTGTAAAATGGACCAATCAGCAGGATGTGGGTGGGGCCAGATAAGGGAATAAAAGCAGGCTACCGGAGCCAGCAGTAGCATCCCGCTCAGGTTCCTTTCCACACTGTGAGGACTTCGGTCTTCTGCTGTTTGCAAAAAATCTTGCTGCTGCTCATTCTTAGGGTGTGCATTGCCTTTATGAGCTGTAACACTCACCAGGAAAGTCTGCAGTTTCACTCCTGAGGCCAGCAAGACCACGAAGCCACGGGAGGAACGAACAACTCCAGATGTGCTGCCTAAAGAGCTATAACACTGACTGTGAAGGTCTGCAGCTTCACTACTGAAGCGAGCGAGACCACGAACCCACCAGAAAGATGAAATTCCAAACACGTCTGAATATCGAAAGGAACAAACTCCAGACGCATCAGCTTTAAGAAGAGTAACACTCACCGCAAGGGTCCCCGGCTTCATTCTTGAAGTCAATGCGACCAAGAACCCACCAATTCCGGACACAATATTGTACACATTGAATATATACAATTTTTATTTGTCAACTATACCTCAATAAAATTGCGGAAAAGTAGTTGAATAGCTAAGAAAAAAGAATTTTGTCTTTTAAATAGGCTCCAGTTGGGAAAATATGACAAAATATGCCTTTTAAATAGTTTTTGAGACAGGTGTTGAATTTAAATATAAATTAAAGCTTTGGTAATTTAAAAGTTACGCTTTGAAACCCAGCATCTCCCACCATTTCAAAGTTCTTATAACCCTTCCCGTGGGTGAATATGATTCTTAACTTCAACACTGGCCTTAGCAAATTAAAAAAAAAAAAAAGAATGTAACCATGGCTGGGCATGGTGGCTCACACCTGTGATCCCAGTGCTTTGGGAGGTGGAGGCAGGTGGATCACCTGAGGTCCGGAGTTTGAGACCAGCCTGGCCAATATGGTGAAACCGTGTCTCTACTAAAAATAGGTGGTGGTGTGAGCCTGTAATCCCAGCTACTCTAGAGGCTGAAGCAGGAGTATCAATTCAACCCGGGAGGTGGAGGTTGCAGTGGGCTGAAATCTCACCATTGCACTCCAGTGTGGGCAACAAGAGTGAAACTCCGTCACAATCAAAGAATGTAACCATAATGTAGCTCCACTTTGACATTTTCAAAAGAAAGTGATGACCTCTGAAATCTCTAGCAGAATAAGGAGGGGTCAGAGCTTTCACCAGAAAGGAGTGGCAAGAAACTATTAAAACAGTAAATAGGCTGGGCGCAGTGGCTCACGCCTATAATCCCAGCACTTTGGGAGGCTGAGGCGGGCGGATCACCTGAGGTCAGAAGTTTGAGACCTGCCTCACCAACATGGTGAAACCCTGTCTCCACTAAAAATACAAAATTAGCCACGTGTGGTGGCGCGCGCCTGTAATCCCAGCTATTCAGGAGCCTGGGGCAGGAGAATCACTTCAACCCAGGAGGCGGAGGTTGCAGTGAGCCGAGATCAGGCCATTGCAGTCCAGTCTGGGCAAAAAGAGTAAAAGTTCCTTTAAAAAAAAAAAAAGCACTGTAAATAGATTGAATATACCCATGTGAAATAATACATTAACATAAAAAATTTTCATCACACCTGGTTATGAAAATGCAAAAATACGTCTTTTGTTTTTAAACTGCCTTTAAGCATAATCACTGATTTAAAAAAAATTCTTAACTGTTAATAATTTCTACTGATATATCTGTGAATATTGGTTTTTATAAAATAATTTTTGTCCTATTTCTATTACCAGTACTTTTCCAAGTGGTCTGGGAGTATCAACCACACAACTGATATAATCTTGTGCCATATTACTCTGAGTAGAATTATTTATGGAAAATAGGATAATTAGACAAAAGCGCTTTCCAACCAGAATCTGACTGACTGTAATGTGTGGAAGGGTGTTCTAAATTGGAAGGAACACCTCTGATGGTCCGAGTTCCCTTACTGAGTGGATGATCACTTTAATACCAATACAAACAAATTCTTTTTTGTAACGTGTGCCATTAGGAAGAGACTCGCCATGATATTCTAATAGATTGAATGACATGTATGTATTTTCTTATATGAATTGAGTGAAGTCTACTGTTGGTTGCCCTGACTGAATCTCTCCCAGTAATTCAGAACCTACCAAGTGATTGTCTAAACTCTGCTCTTGTCGACACTACGGATGTCCTGCATGAAGTCAAATCTTCTAGGTGATTTCAGTTTCTCATTTTGCTTGCTGTGTCAGTGATATCCAATAACTAGATCATTTATTTCTCTGGAAACAACCCTTCTACTTCTTTATATAACAGCTTCCTTGTGTTTGTTCTTTCTTGTTGGATTCTCCCTCTTTCACAGGCTCCATTCCTGACGTAATCTAAACCTTGAAATTCCTCTGCTTAAGAGATCTCATCAATCTCCATGACTTTAAACACCACCTGTGAGACAACATCTCCAAATATACATTTTTTAGCCCAGACATATTTTCTGAGTTCCAGGCATATATTTACAACAGCTTGCTTGACACATCTACTTGAATATATCTTAAGTATCTCAAACTTTGCATATTTAAAACAGAAATCACAATTTTCCCCTTAATCTTGTTCTTGCCCAAGATGTTCATTTTAGGAAAAGGCATTCTATTCAACTAGTTTCTTAAGACAAAATCTAGGGTTTGCCCCCCTCTCCATCTCTATTATCACTATCCTAATAAAAAAAATTTAACTAATTAATTGATTTCCCAATTTGTCCTTTTCGAGAAAAAAATCCACTCTTCACATGGCAAACTATATCCTATTTTTATAATGTAAATTAGAGTACGTAACTCACTGGCTTAAAGTTACTCCATTGTTTTCTATAGTATGCAGAATCAAATTAAAAACCCTTCTTGTAGCTAAAGAAGTCCTACTTATCTGTCTCCAGACTCTTTTCTAATCATATCTAATTCTACATTACTTTTTTCCACAGAATTGCAACAAGCACATTTACCAGTTTAAACTGAGAGATAATGCATGAGGGATGGTATATTTTTCATATTTCACCACCTTGGTTTTGCTGTTCACTTTTCTGGCATGACTGACTCAAGATCGTTCTTTTAGCAAACACTTCATTTGGAGGCCTTTTCCAACCACCCGATCTGTAGTAGGCTCACTTGTTATTTCCTGTCATGTCAGCGTTTGTAATTTCCATGAAAGTACAAATCAAAATCTGTCATTATTTCACATGTTTGATGTTCATTTTGATATGTTCCATACTGGCCCTGCCTAGACTCAGCTTTCTGAGCCAGTGATCCTGTTCTCTACTTCATTCACATTACCTATCATACTGATTGTTACATAATAAATATTCAAGAAAATATTTGTGGCATAAATAAATAAATGAATATCCAAGTCACTCCTTGCTCGGGAATAAATGACTTCGTAGATGAGCATCATACAAACTGTGTTCAAGAATTGTGAATAAAATGCTTTGTTAATATCAATTAATGCGAAAAATGACAACATCTTATGTTTATTGGAAAGTTTATACTGAAAAATTAACATATGGAGTGGTTATTAATGAAAGAAGAAAAAAAAGGAGAAACAAAAGAAAATAGTAGAGCTTTGAGGTATTGAGATACTATTGCTGTGCTTGTGTAGGTTGTTGAATTAATCCATTCAGTTACATATTCATTTTCTAATTAACTGATACAAACAGTTCAAGTACTGACTAGTAGTTTATAGCTGCAGGTCAAAATGTCTCAGTGGATGTGCAGTTCTAAAAATGGCTCTGCAATTACAGTAGTTTTATTTATCTCCAGGCACTTGAAGCATCTAGCAGCTTCTAATTGCTATCAAAGAAATATCTAGACTTTTCCAGCCTGTTCTCCTCCCTAACCTATCTGCAGAACAAATATTGTCATTTCTGACAGGACGAATGAGAGCAACCACAAATAATATATGATAAAAGTAACTCCTCTGTACACATGAGAACCTATCTATACATGGTAGCAAATAGTTTTACGAAGGTTTTACAAAATAGCACAGTTTCTAGTCTGGTCCCTTGATAATTGGTATATGTGAAATATAGTCCCTGAACTTTATAGAATGTTTCCTATCACATAAGGCCTGTCATGTTCTGTTTTTAGAATAACTGGTTATAGGTAAAGGTGACCCAACAGACTGCAAATCTCACTTCTAGACAATTACTGTTAAAGAGATAACCTATTTAAACAAAGTAACAGGGAATTGCATGTAACATAAGGAAATAAGGACATAGATCAGGGTAGCATTTTAAAATTCTTCTGCAAATAGGTAATTAGCAGGTAAAAATAGCAAATAAGCTTGCTTCAGCTGTCTCAAGTTAGAGAATAGGTTATTATTGGAATCCACATGGCTTTAATATTTGGCTATGTAAAGCTAGGTAAGTGAAACAGAGGTTGTAGAGTTCAGGTTAAATTATCAAAAAGAAAGTTTTTACTTGTTTGATTACTTGAATCACATATAAAATTCCATGGATACAAATGTCATTAAGTAGAACAATTCTGTGAAACAGTCATTTTTCTTTTTCTAATACATGGCTCATAGAAATAAAACTCTGAAAATCTGATTTTTAAAAATTCCCTTATTAAAAATTCTTTGTGAAAAAGTATTTCTTAAATTTCTATCTGCTCCTTATAATGACAGTACCTGAGTCATGATAAAAGAGAGATAGAAAGGAGACTTATCTCACTTTGATTTATGTGTAGTTTTTTGCTTTGCCATTAGCAGTCACTTTTTTTTCATTCTCTTAATCTTATTTCTTTAAGAACCTTGATATGTGACACCACAACTATAAAATGATGCTCCTTACTTCTAAAATACAAGAAATAAAAACCTAACTCTAATTTTTGTCACATGGATATATTTTTAAAAATCTAGAGTTTTCGTTTGTTGGCTTATGTTTTTGGAACTCTGCTAAGAACTCTTCTATTCTTATAGGAACATAGACATGGCCCAAAGATTAATTTTAATCTTTCATTAAATAATGAATATATACAAATAATATTTCTATCATATATGTTTAAAAATAGTCTAAAGTTAATATCATTATTCTTCCCCAGAACATTGAAAGAAAAAACCCATAAGAACAGTTCAATACTATTCACCCCCTCCCTCTTCTTTCTAAGCATTGTTTAGATTTTAGTAATTTTTTTTAACCTGTTGTTGTGTGTTAATTTTGTCTTCTGAAAAAATATGTTTAAATTCAAATTTTCAGTACTTATAAATGCGATCTTATTTGGATATTGGGTCTTTGCAGATATAATCAAGTTACAATGGGTCTATACGGGAGTGAGGAGGGCCCTAAAATTAGTATGGCTGGTGTCTTTATGAGAAGAGATTCAAACAACAGTGAAGAAGCAGAGACTTGAGTGACACATTTCAAGTCAAGGAAAGCCAAGGATGGCTGGCTGACACACAAGCATGGAACAGACACTCCCCTGGGATCTTCAGAGATATCTAGGCCCTGTTGACAACTCGATTTGAAATTTCTAACCTCCAGAAACATAAGAGAATAAATTACTGTTTTATAAAACCACCCTGCCCATTGTAATTCAATATAGTAACACAAGGAAACTAATACACTCCTCAAATATGATGTTATTTTTGTTTCATTCAGAAAATACTTGTTTATATATATCAATGTGTTTACCAGTATCTTAACTCATAACCTCATTTTGCATGTCAAGCAACTTTCTATCTGAGATTTGTTTCCTTCTCTCCATAGTATATCCTAAAATATACTCATAATGATGGTTCGTTGGTAGTAACAAAACAAAAACAAAACACTATAAATTTCTATTTGTATTAGGCCCAAGCTTAATAGTATTAAACAGTTTAATACTACTATTAAAGTCCAAGTATTAAACCGTTTAATACTCTTATTAAAGGTGAAATTCGTATTAAGCCCAAGCTTGATGGCTTAATACAAATTTATATGGCTCGGGCTTAATATAAATTTATAGTGATTTTAGATAATCACTGGGTGACACACTGTATATGAAATGATGTTGCCTCCATCAAACACCTATTGTAGCTATTGGGAAGTCAGTTTTTAGTTTCATCATGGCTCCTTTATGGTCAATTTATCTTAATTTCAATATATTTCATTGGCTGTTTGTTCTATGTAGATTCACTGTGACATGTCTAAGTTTAGATTTCTCCTTTTTATACTGTTTACAATTGATTGGGTTTTCAGGATCTAAGAATTGTTCTTTTTAAGTTTAGGAAAATTCTCTGCCATTATCTCTTTGAATATTGTCACTTCTTTCTCTTATGTCTTTCTGAAAACCTGCTCAGATTCATATTATACATTCTCAATCATCCATACTGCTTATCTTTTTTATATTGAATCTGTTTTGCTTCAGTGATTCTATTTATAAAATTCATCCATCTTTATAACCTGGTTTATAATTTAATTGGTTCTTTTTCATATATTCTTAGATATTATATTTTATATTATATTAAGTATTCATATTTTAATTATTTTATTTACCTTTCTAAAACAATACATACTTTTTTTTTAACTTGCAGCTCCAATATCTGTACTCGTTGGGAATCTAACTTTTCTGTCTCTTCTTTCTGTAAGTTCTTGCTCATGATGGTTTCTCTTATTGTAAGCTTTGTGATTTTTTTTTTAACTGTGGTTTTATTTCTCCTGGAAGATTATCTGTGAGATTTTTGTAAGGCCTGGCTGAAAAAAGCATTTCTCTTGAGAGTACTTGTATTTGCTTCTGCCTGGTGCCCAAAGGTACTTACATGGGATCACTTAGAAATAAATTCTCAGCTTGAAAGTTTTGGATCACTAGCTGCAAATCCATATGAGGGCCAGTTTGTGAGTATGAATTCTCAGGAGAGATTTCTTTTTCCTTCCATCCAATGCCAAGATCCCAATAGGCATGTTTCTTTGTGTGTGTGTGGTTTTTTTTTTTTTTTTTCCACACTGTAGATTTATTTCTGTTTCTACTATATACTGCTAGTGGAAGTGCAATTGAGTACAACCAGCTTTGGAAACTGTTTCATTATTACTAAATTTAAATATACATATGCCCTTTGGTCTAGCAATTTCTTTCCTCTGTATATATTCAACAGAAATATGTGCACTGATACAACAAAAAATTGTGCAAAAATGTTGATGGATGCATTAACTTTACAGCCAAACACTGATGCACCCACATGTCCATTAGTAATAGAATAAATAAGTAAATAGAGTTATGGTCAGAATGCAGAATATTATACGGAAATAAATTGAATAAACCACTGCTGCAGGCAGAAATGTAACATGTAAAATAATGTAAAATGAGCCAGGCACAACAATATTTACTATAAGATTTATTATGTAAAGTTTCGAAGATTCAAAACTAATCTAAAGGGCTGGAATTAAGGAGAGTGATCAACCCTGGGAGAAAGGAAGGATAAAGAAGAGGGCGTAGGAGTAGCATCTGGCAATAGGTTCAGGTTACAAAGGGATGTTTACTTTATTCTTACTCTTTGAAAACCTATTTATGATTTGCACATTTTCTACCTGTAAAATACTTAAAACAAAGGGAAAGAAAATGAGTATGGAATTATATCCTCATCTTCTTTAAATCCTTCATCGACTCACTGTCCACTGAAGATACAATATAATCCTCATCAAAGTATACTTGTCCTCTCCCCACCTTCCTCTCCAACAAAACATAGGATCATTTTCTCTCACGCATTCCAGACCAAGCACAGTCATCTTTTGTTTCCTCCAAATGCCAAAATGTTCCCTAGCTTAAGGTATTTACATGGGTTATTCCTTCTTTCTGTCATTGTCTGTTATACGATTGTAAACTATTTGCTTCCATCTCAAATCTTCTTACACTCTGAAAAATGTCACTTTTAACAAGACACATTCATGGATCCCCAATCAAATTATAATCCATCTCACCTCTAATTTTCTTTTATAGATCTTATTGTTTCCTTTAGTAGCTTTTGCTATAATGTGTAACCTGTATAGCGTATGAATTATATACGTGTTCCTCTGGATTCCTGTAAGCCTCATGGTGGCAGGATCCACTTTAATTTTACTCTTCATTATATACCATGTCCTTATTCTAGCACAATATCTGGTTCTGAGTGGCCACAATGAGTGAACTGCTGAATGAATAAAGAATCTGACCCATTTCTATTGTAATAGAAATCAAAGGAGGGATAGGAAATACAAATTAGTCCTCTATCTCTCATAATATTCTTTAATCATCTTTATTTTGAGAAACTATGAGGCTCATTGCAGAGATCACTATTTCTTACTTTTATTATCTGTGTGCAACATACTATGAAGCCCAGAACTAGACCAGTGCCAGAAAATATTTGAAATAAATTATGTAGGGGCAGTGTTGAATTAAGAATTAAGAGTTTAACATATAATATTTATTTATAAAATCAATTTCTCTAAAAAAAGAGTATTATTGATTGTCTTGGTTATCCACTTACAGTCAAAATATGGATAACCTTGACTAAGGAGGAGGCTTTAATACAAAATGAACATAAAATTCACTAAAAATTAGAGTTTTATGTATCTTAAGCCTGAAGAATTTATTTTTTCCCCATGCACTCAATTTTATCAATTCATGAGTAATGTACTGGTAATCAGCATATATTGATTATTCCCTCATATTGAGCATCAAGATACCAAATAAATATAAATTTATATATAATTTTATACAAATCAGTTATACTAAGCTGTAAAGCACAAGTTCTCCAAGTATGGTCAATAAATCCCCCAAATCCTTCTCAGAGGCAAAAATATTTTTATTAGTATGCTAAGCTCTTATTTCCATTTTTCAATAATTAACATTTCAACTGATCATACAAAAGCAATGGTGGCCACACTGTTTTCTCCTCAGTACTAAACTGTACTAGTAGTGTTGAATTCTTTACTGCCACCCTATTGCTAAGTAAAATTATAATTATTCCAGTTGCACTTAAGAATAATATTGGTGAAGCAGTACTTATTAATTATATTAAATTTCAAACTTCGATAGCTAATGTGATAAAGTGAGAAGTACAATAGAGTTCTAGTGCCTCATAGGTTACTAGAGGCACTATGTAAGGTCAATGGTGACTTTAATAAAAATTTGTGTGTGATTGAGCTGTGAGCTTAAGTGGCACATTTGTCATAAAGCATTTTAATTTGAAAAAAAAAAGACTAAAAAACAAACTGGTTATTCTGAGTTGAAAATTTGGCAGATATTTTCTCGAAAATGTATCAAGGAGTCTGTTACTTTAAGAATAAATGACTACTTTCTGCCAAAGAAAAAGTTTAAGTTTTCAAATTAAAAATAGAATTTTGGATAACTCATATCTACTGCAATAAACTTGGAAGATTTCCAATACTAGAGATTGTTCTGATCATTTGGATGGTTATATTAATCAAGTGATTTTTTTATATTATATAATGAATTGTATCAAAATAGGAAAGACTTGTATAATTAAGTTATTTGATATCTTTGAGATGATCAAAGCATAATATGATTATATATAAGTAATATTTTCTAAATGCAGAATAGACCAACAGATTTGAATGGAAGAGAGTCTGATGTGGCTTTAAGTCCACATCGTAACTATCCTTTAAGAAACAATCACTTATTGAGTTTGGGTGTAACATCAAAGAAATATATCCAAAATTATCTGAAAAGGCTATTAAGGAGTTCCTTTTCCAACTACCTATCTGTGTGAAGTTGGGTTTTCTTCATAAATTTTCTTCATAGTTTTGAAATAAACAATATGAAAAACATACACAGCCATGACAGGGCCAGATATGTTCTGAAGACAGTGAATTAGCCAGTGTCTCTGTGGAGATAATGAAGAGACTGTAGAGCAAGTTACGAGAGAAGTTTGAAGAGTCCGATATGGATGGCATTTGAGTTATCTTCTACACTGGAGCCCTCCAGAGAATGGTATGAGGATAATGATGGAGTGGTGGGGTTTGAGTGTGTAATGAGAATCTGTTGGCAGTATAGGAGAATCAGCAGGGCCCTCATTTGGGAGGCTTCCATCATAATCTTGGTGAGATGATGTGGGTCATAACTAATCAGTGAACGTGATGATAGAAAACATGAATCAACTGAATATAATTGATATAGGTGTAATATGTATGCTTACCTAAGAAGGAAAAGAAAGAAAGACTTGGAATAAATAATGATCCTTTCCCTCAAGTAATTCTTATTCCAGCTTTGTGTAGATAATTAACACATATGCTAATGTAAAATGAATTTGGTGAGAACAAATCTACACACTCCAAGTGCTGTGGCTCATAAGAGAATCAAGTTTAGATTAGTCAGGAAATGAATGAAAAAAAGTCAGTGGTAACAAACAAAATATTTGTAATTCACCAAACAATAAGGGGAGATGTTTGAAAGTAGAGAAAAAATACAGTTGGTTAATTTAGAGGTTTTAGATTAGGAAGGGACTGGAAATCAGTCAGGGAGTGAAGAAACTTCATGTAGCTGTTGATAAACTACTTAGGGAAATACAGGTATCCAATAGAGATATGCTGAAAGGATGAATAAATTATGTCACATGACTGAAGGATTTTTAGGAAAGTGGCATGGTATATGTAGCAAACAGTAAGGAAGAAACCACTAATCAACATACAAATCTATATTTAGATTTTTATATGTCAATATGGTGGTAAACTTAGTATGAACATTACAGAAAAGGAATAAACTCATTGCATTCATGTAGTATGCTATAATGAGATTTTTTTAGAACTTAATATGAAACAAGTCAAGTGTGGTTGTGGATAATTTTAAAATTTGTGTTTAAAAAAGAAACTCTTACCTGTTAAAACACCATATTTATGAAGCAAAATCTTAAATGTTTGCATATAATTCATTTATATTTTCTTGGATTTTCAGAAATAAATAATCTTAACAATTACTTAATGTGTAAAATCTAAGGTAATTATATCCAAAAAGGTAGTAAACTAAATGTTTCTCTTACAAGAAGAAAAATTTAAACTCCCAATGATAAAAAACTGAAAAGCTGAGTTGTGTTCTACTACTTGAAATATTCAGAACAGAATTAACTCTTTGTTTATTCATGGAAATCATTAATAAATAAGAATTTCCATTTATGCCACCAATAAACTTGTGCCATCTTAATTATATTTAACACAGATACCTCATAGGTGTTGATAAATTCCAGGCTAGCCTGTAATCCCAGCACTTTGGGAGGCCGAGGCGGGCGGATCACGAGGTCAAGGGATCGAGACCATCCTGGCCAACATGGTGAAACCCCGTCTCTACTAAAAAAATACAAAAAAATTAGCTGGGCGTGGTGGCTCATGCCTGCAGTCCCAGCTACTCAGGAGGCTGAGGCAGGAGTATGGCTCGAACCCAGGAGGTGGAGTTTGCAGTGTGCCGAGATCACTCCACTGCACATCCAGCCTGGCGACAGAGCGAGACTCCTTCTCAAGAAAAAAACAATAAAAATAAAAATAAAATAAAATAAATTCCAGGCTAGCATATTTTAATAGAATTTAAATATAATGTAAATTGTATTGTACATTTAGTATATGTATGATATGTAGCATTGAATTGTAAATTTGGTGTAATATACAATGTTCATGTATGATATATATATTGTATTTCTATGTGCATTTAGTATAATATGTAGAATAGGTTATGCTAACATGTAAAAAACAAAGCTGTAAATGTATACTGTAGCAACATTATTTACTAGTCTCATATTAGTTATTAAGTTGGGGTAATAAAGGCAATAAATAACTCTTATTTAAGAAAATTAGAAAATTAAAGCCCTTCTAAAAGTTCATGTTTTTTATTAAAAATTTTTTAAAAGCTTATTTTGAAACTGAAGATGGAATGATATATAGCAGGAGAGATTATGTTATAAAGCTAGCTAGGGTAAATACTGTAAGAAGAGCTTAACACTGAATAATTTACAAACCCCCAAACACCGTAAGTTTCATTACCCTAGATACTTTTTTATAGCAACATATTTCTACCTCTCTAAGTATAAAATATATTGAACACAGTAAAACACTTTTTTGTTAAATTTAGATTGCAGATGTTGACACTGTTAGCATTTTAGAATATCTGGATTACTTAACCAACCTCTCTTGTGGATGTCATGGCAATAAATTAGGACATTTGCAAAGCACTTGTAAAATGAGCAGTTTGTAACTGAGTTCTTAGCTTTTGCTGGGCATAATATAATGTTTAAGACTATGTTGGGTAACATTTTCCCATTTCCCAGCTTCATTTCATGTGGAAAATGCTTTTCCTTTCTGGGAAACACTGTCTAATTTCACACATAAGCAAAATCCATTTTTATGGTAACATATGAGCCACAATGGAGGTGACACTAAAAGTAAAATTTGAAATATATCTTTCAGTGCAATGAGAATGCTATGCACACAATTATTTGAGCTAATTGTTACAACTGGGATTTAAGCTGAGAGGGAGATTATTTAGCCAATGAGAGGAAAGCAAAAATAATCCTGCACAGTCTTCTAACTCAGGACAATCATACATCATTTCTGAATGTCCAACATAATTGACATCTTATCTTTCCAAACTGCACTTTAGTTCTATAGGCAATTTTCTACTTGCGGAAAGGTATCAAATGGCAGACACACACACACACACACACACACACACACACACACACACGAAAAACCAAAGAAGAAGGGTAAAAAAATCTTGAGAAGAAGAAAGCAATTTAACCAGTAATACATACAGATGAGCTATCTAGATAGATATGATAGACAGCATGGTGTTACAAAAAATCACTAATCTCAGTGTCAAGAGGCTTGGTTGTGATAGAATTTCTGTTATTAATTCTGTGACCTTCTCCAACTTGACTAGCATTTGTGAAGACTACAATAAGTTAGTAATCCACTCCCATCATCAAATAATTTGGACTTTGAGAATTAAAACTACGAAGTCAGTGTCTAATGGCTAGAGAAGAAATACATAGGAAACTTACATGACAAATTGCTTTTATATGAAACTTATAAGAAAAAATTGTCAATGAAGAAGATATTTGGTCTGCTATAAAAGCAGGGAAAGGTTACTCATAGAGGTTTTTGAATTGCATGAACCTTGGAGATTATACTCACTCCAATATTTCATTTTATAGGTGAGCTAACTGTACCACAGAGGTAGATTTGCTCCTATTCTGGGTCTTGTATTCCATTTAATTTTGGCTCAGAGTAAATTCATCTCCTTGGGGTAATGAAAAATGGCCTGAACTTTGTGTTGGAAAATCTAGATACAAATGTTAACTTTCTCAAGAACTTTAGCTTCTCTGAATTTCTAGTCCTTCATCTGTAAAAATAGAATGAAAGATATATCTTCTATAAGATCTCTGACAGAATCAAACAAATAATACATGTAGAAGTGTTTTTAAATTCACTGCCTTTTACAATTAAAAAATGATCATTAACATGGAAAACGAAAGAATTATGTTGTGAAAATGTATTCTGGGTATGTGACCACAAAGTGAGTTGTAGGATGCAGCCACAGGAGGAAGCATACCAGCACCAAGGTAACTGCTGCTTCTGTCAACATTCCCCTTGGCAATGTTGACCAGATTGCAGGGAACACAAACAATTCCTTTAAGTAGAAAGTAAATGGATTTAAGTACTGGCGCGGGGGCTTATGCCTATAATCCCAGCACTATGAGAGACTGAGGTGGGTGGATCACGAGGTCAGGAGTTCGAAACCAGCGTGGCCAACATGGTGAAACCCCATCTCTACTAAAAATACAAAAATTAGCCAGGCGTGGTGGTGCATGCCTGTAGTTCCAGTTACTCGGGAGGTTGAGGCAGAAGAATCTCTTGAACCCGGGAGGTGGAGCTTGCAGTGAGCCAAACTCAAGCCACTGCACTCCAGCCTGGGCAACAGAGCAAAACTCTGTCTTAAAAAAAAAAAAAAAAAGAAAAAGAAAAAGAAAGAAAGTAAATAGATTTAAGAAAGCAATCAGGTGGCTCAGTATGCCTTCAGTGACTCTTTTTTTTTTCTTTCCTTTTTCTTTTCATGGTATGAAAGACTAATGAGCATGCACTGCAAGCCCAGAGATCTACCTCATCTTGCTGCCACCAAAGCTTGCTCTTTTTTAAGTTTCCTCTAAGTAAATCTTTGACCACCTACCAACCTGGATTGGTCTTTTTGGTCTGAGCTTCCCCTCAGCTTACAAAGGGTGATTCTTGGTGCTAGAAAGGAATTTTCACATTTTTTTTTTTTTTTTTTTGAGACAGAGTCTCACTTTCTCACCCTCATCTAGACTCTGTCACCCAGGCTGGAGTGTAGTGGCATGATCTCGGCTCACTGGACCCTCTGCCTCCTGGATTCAAGCGATTCTCCTGCCTTAGCCTCCCTCAGTAGCTGGGATTATAGTTGCCCGCCCCCATGCCCGACTAATTTTTTTTTTATTTTTAGTAGAGACAGGGTTTCACCATGTTGGCCACGCTGCTCTTGAACTGCTGACCTCAAGTGATCCGCCCACCTCAGCCTCCCAAAGTGCTCGGATTACAGGTGTGAGCCACCACGCCCGACCTCAACAACTTATTTACTATGATTTATCTTATTTTACTTTCTCTCCAGCTTCACTATCTCTTACTAAGAATTTCCTCTGTGTCTCTTGAATTTTTGATTGGATCTTTTTGCTATTTAAGGACTTAAGAATATGCCAATCCAAATATGCTGCTTTAGCATATTGACCATTTTGATATGACTCTGACCTTCGTTCTGTTTCTTGTAAACAGGAGATAAAATTTCCATATGAAAGTTGTCCTCCCTAAACGGAAAAACAGTAACATTCTTTTTCATATATTATCTGTTTTATTTATTTACTTTTCATATATAGCACTTTTATTACCTTCAGTCCTCGTGTTGTACATTAGATCTCTAGTCTTGTTCATTCTACATATCTGCTGCTTAGATCTCCTGATCGACTTCTCTCCATACACCTCCAACCACTTTTCTGTTCTCTATGTTTGTATGTTTATTTATTTATTTTTTTAGATTTGACTTAAAAGTAAGATCATGTGGTCAGGCACAGTGGCTCATGCCTGTAATCCCAGCACTTTGGGAGGCCAAGGTGGGTAGATCATCTGAGGTCAGGAATTTGAGACCAGCCTGGCCAACATGGCGCAATCCCGTCTCTACTAAAAGTACAAAATTAGCCAGGTGTGGTGGTGCACGCCTGTAATTCCAGCTACTCTGGAGGCTGAGGCAGGAGAATCACTTGAACTGGATGCAGAGGTTGCAGTGAACCAAGATGGTGTCATGGCACTCCAGCCTGGGCAGAAAGAGTGAAACTCCACCTCAAGAAAAAAAAAAAAAAAAAAAAAAAGAGTGAGATCATGTGATTTTTTTTTTTTTTTTCTGTGTTTGGTATATTTTATTTAGCATAATGTCCTGTAGTCTTCAGTGTTGGAGGTGGGACCCAGTGGGAGGTGATTGGATTATGGGGGTGGATTTTTTCTTGGGACTATGTTGTGATAGTGAGTGAGTTCTCATGAGATCTGGTTGTTTAAAGGTGTGTGGCACCTCCTCCCCTCTTCGTCCTGTTCCTGCCAGGTAAGATGATGGCTGCTCCCATTTGCCTTCCACCATGAGTAAAAGTTTCCTGAGGCCTCCCCAGAAGCAGATGCTACCATGCTTCCTGTACAGCCTGTGGAACCATTATCCAATTAAACACCTTTTGTTATAAGTTACCCAGCCTCAGGCATTTCTTCTTTTTTTTTTTTAAAAAAAAAGAAAATTACAGGTTTTTATTCACATCACAATTTCTAGTTACAAGATATTTACAATATTCACAAATGAGGCCAGGCATGGTGGCTCACGCCTGTAATCCCAGCACTTTGGGAGGCCGAGGTGGGTCGATCACCTGAAGTCAGGGGTTCAAGACCAGCCTGGCCAACATGGTGAAATCCCATCTCTACTAAAAATACAAAACTTAGCCAGGCATGATGGTGCATGCCTTTAATCCCAGCTACTCGGAAGGCTGAGGCAGGAGAATTGCTTGAACCCAGGAGGCAGAGGTTGCAGTGAGCCAAGATCACACCACTGCACTCCAGCCTGGGTAACAGAGCAAGACCCCGTCTCAAAAGAAAAAAAAATTACAAATGAAACTGTTATCAAAAAGCTGCCATTTCCTCCATATTATAAGACTGCTTTCCAAGGGGTTACATTTCTTTTCTTTGAGGACATTAGTTTTCATTAAAATCTTAAAAGAAGCAGTGGATGTTTTTGCCCCAAGTCTTTCTTTTCTGGGTCCAATCTCTATTCTTTTTATTTAAGACTACTGCAGCTCTGTCAAAAAATCAGAACCATCCCCCCAATATCCTCATTATTTCTATTTCCACATAAGAGCAACATATTGACTTTGGCAAAACAATTAAACAAACTTAAACCATGAGTCAATAGCCAACAGTTCCTTTGGTGACTTTATCCAAGCCTTCCTCCTGCCAACTGTCCCATTCTGCATCTGTTGAGTCCTGGTCAAGGGAAGAGCTGCAAATGGGGCACTTTAAATTCTGTGGTACATCTTCATTTCTTTTTTTTTTTTAATTTTTGTTTTAAGTTCAGGGGTGCATGTGCAGGATGTGCAGGTTTGTTACATAGGTAACTGTGTTTCATGGGGATTTGTTATACAGATTATGTCAGCATCCAGGTATTAAGCCTAGTATCCATTTGTATTTTTCCTGATCCTTTCCCTCCTCCCACTTTCTACCCTCTGATAGGCCCCAGGGTGTGTTGTTCCCCTCTATATGTCCATGGGTTCTCATCATTTTGCTCCCACTTGTAAGTGAGAACATGTGGTGTTTGGTTTTCTGCTCTTGTCTTAGTTTGTTGAGAATAATGGCTTCCAACTCCATCCATGTCCTGCAAAGAACATGATCTTGTTCCTTTCTATGGCTGCATAATATTCCATGGTGTATATGTACCATATTTTCTTTATCTAGTCTATCATTGATGGTCATTTGGGTTGATTCCATGTGCTTGCTATTGTGAATAGTGCTGCAATGAACATATGCATACATATATCTTTATAATAGAATAATTTATATTCCTTTGGGTATATACCCAGTAATAGGATTGCTGGGTCAAATGGTATTTCTGGTTCCAGGTCTTTCAGGAATCACCACACTGTCTTCCACAAAGGTTGAACTAGTTTACATTTCTACCGACAGTGTAAATGTGCTCCTATTTCTTTGTCACCTCATCAGCATCTGTTGTTTCTTGACTTTTTAATAATTGCCATTCTATGCTTTCAATTAGTCAATTTAATTCATTTACAGTTTTTTATTGATAAATAAAGACTTGCTATTTTGTTATTTACGTTCTGGTTGTTTTGTAGCTCTTTTGTTTCCTTCTTCATCTCTTGTCAACCTTTGTAATTTGATACTTTTTTGAAGTGTTATGCTTTGATTCCTTAATCTTTAATGTTTGTATAACTGCTGTAGCTTTTTGTATTGTGGTTCCTGTGAGGCTTACATAAAAATTATAATTACGAAGGCCTATTTTAAGCTGATAATTAAATGCTGTCACAAATAAAAACTCTAGAGTTTTACCTTCCTACCATCCTACAATTTAATTTGTGATGTCACAATGTATCTTTTTATACTGTAGATTCCTCAATAACTTCTTGTAGCCTTAGATACTTTGACATATCTCTAAATTTGATATTAGAGAAATGTATTAATAGACTTATTAATGTATACCACAGTATTAGAGTATTCTGGATTTGACTAAATATTGATCTTTACCAGTGATTTTTATACTTTCATATTTATTCATTGTACTTATCACTTTTTATTTGTTTGGGTTTGAAGAACTGCCTTAAGCTTTTTTTTGTAAGGTGTATGTAATGGTAATGATTCCTCAGCTTTTGCTTCTGCGGGACTGAATTTATTTATCTTTTATTTCTGAGGGATAGATTAGCTGCGAATAGTACTCTTGGCTGGCAGTTTTCTTTTTCTTTTTAGTCCCTTGAATGTATCATCTCAGTCACTTCTGGCCTGCAAAGTTTCTGCTGATAAATCTGTTAATAGTCTAATGGTTTTTCTCTTATATGTGACTTCACAGTTTTCTCTCACTGCTTTTAGAATTCTCTGCCTTTGACTGTTGACAGTTTAATTATAATGTACCTTTGAAAGGATCTCTTCAAGTTCCATCCATTTGGGGACTATTGAGCTTCATGAATTTGGATGTACATATCTCTTCCAAGACTTGGGAAGTTTTCAGCAAGTATTGCATTAGATAAACTTTCTGTCATTGCTCTATCTTTTCATTTTTTGAAACTCTATGTGAATATTTGTTCACTTAATAGTGTCCAATAAGTCTCATAGGCTGTCTCTACTCTTTTTTATATTATTCTTGGTTTTTTTTCTTCTGATTTGAGTCATTTTAAATGACCTTGCTTCATGGATTCTTTCTTTTGCTTGATATAGTCTTCTATTGTAGCTCATGTTTTTTTAAAATTATTTCACTGAATACTTTAGCAACAACAGTTTTGTTTTACCCTTTGTAATGACGTTCATTTGTTTGCTGAATGTCTTATTTTGATTATGAATTGTTTTGTTTTCCTGATTTCATTGAATTGCCTATTTGTATTTTATTGTTTTTCACTGAATTTTCTTAAGATCATTATTTTCAATTATTTTTTAAACAACTTATAAATTTGTTTTCGTGGGGTCAGTTATTGGAGGATTATTATATTCCCTTGGTGTTGTCATGTCCCCTTTCATTTTCATGTTGTTTATGTCTCTTCGTTGATTTCTGTGCATCTGGTGTTGCAGCCACCTATTTCAAAGTTTAGCGAATGGCTTTGGTAGGAGAATACATTTACTTGCAGATGGGCCAGAAGGTGCTGGGTTGGGCAGGGTATGGTGGCACTGGTTTTTGTGTGGGTGCAGTTGTTTAGTCTCCACGCAACTTTTTGTTGTTGTTGTAATCAACGTTAGCAATAACTGGGTGCCTCCGTTGTCTAGGCTATAGGAGTTTGTGGCAGTGATGGTGGCTGCATAGGTCATTGGGGCGGGGTCTTTAGGTATTCTCCTGTTCTTGTCTTCCTCACAGTGAGGAGTCTTAGCTAAGGGGATTTCTCTTGGTATTGGGACTGACACGGCTCACACACAGCCACAGTGGCACAGGGATTCAGGGCACAGGTGCTTGGAGAAGCTGTGAAGCCAGATTCGTGGTTTCGAGTCTTGAGACTCTAGTATAGCACCTGAGACTTGAGGCAGAAGTTCACTCTCCAAGAAACAAATGCATACAGTTCTCTCACTTAGCTGGAGTCTGTAGTTCTGAAGTACACCCAAGCACCTTGGTCTCAGGGGTCTGGGATGTAGCTGCAATTCTGACACTGGGGATCAGGGCACAGCATAACATAGTTTCAGGAAAAAAGGAGGACTCCAGGGGTTTGGACCCCAGAGATAGGGCAGAGTTGCAATTTGAGACTCAGAACCAACAGAGCACAGTGGCAGCTCAGGCCCTGGAAGATAAGGTGACACTAGATCCTAGAATGTTGGGAAACATCAGTAGCTCAGTTAGGATGTTAGGAAATAGCAGTAACCCAGTCTTTGTGAGGCCAGGTGCAGCAGCAGCAAGAACCTAGAAATGGCGAGGTGCTACTGTGAATTGGGACTTAGGGATCAGTGTAGTGATGATTCTACTACCTGGAAGAGCAGATGTCTCAGCCATTTAGACCTCAAGGGGCCATCGAGTTTCAAGTAGCTCTAACTAGTTCCACAGTTCCATCTATGCTTGTTCAGCCTGGAGGGCCAAACAGCTCAGGTAATCCTTTGATTCCCTGAAATGTGAGACACTGTGTCTATCTGGCCACAGAAAGTGTGGTTCCATGGGTCAGTGGAGCCTCTGGATCCCTGCAGGTGGGGTACCACATCAGCTGTGGTGCTGGGAGGTGCAACTGCCCAAGTTTGCCAGAGTATTAGACCCCATGGAATGCAGGGTCCTGCCTTAGCTGTGGTGCCAGGGGGCATAACTGCTCCTGTATGCCAGAGGCCTGAGGTCCTAGACAGGGCGGGGTCATTTGTGATCTCAGCTGTGACTCTAAAAGGAGGCTGCCCTAGCAATTGAGATAATTGAGTAGGAATTGCTCTGCAGTAACTTGCCCCTAAAGGGTAAGATGGAGCATTAGCTCTGCTGGGGGATGGTATGTTACCAGGTAATCATGGTGCAGTGGTAGCTGAGCCTCAGGGATAAAGGGATGCAATGGCTACTCATCCCCAGAGCAGGACGCATTCTAGAAGAGTCTCCAGTTCCAAAATAGTGCAAAGCAGTAGCAGCACAGACCACAGTGGTGTGGGGCACAGTCTCAGCTTCTCTGTGGCTAGCTCAGCCCTGTTGACTCCAGGGAACTCCCTCAGCCGGTTCAAAGCTTGGGAGGTACAAAGGAATGTCCAGTAGAGAAGACTACAGGTGTCCAAGGTGGTGACTGGAGCTGCTGGGGTCCATTTACTTCCCTTTCCCCCACAGTGAGAAGCTCCTCCTGGTTCTGTGTTGATTCTGACCCAGGAGATGATGCGGCAGAGCCAATGTGTTTTCTCCCCTTCTCTATGCAGCCATCCTGGGTTTCTGTGCTCTAAAGGATTCCTCCTGCTTCTTTGCTGTTCTCTGATGCTCTTCGTTAGTTATTTTGGTCAAAATTTAGATCTTTATTTGTTGCTTTGGGGTTTTTATGGGAAGAGGAGAGTGCTATTAGCTTCAAATCGGCCATCTTGCTAATGTCCTAGCCTGAAAGTAACATTGTTTTCATCAAGGATAAAAAATTGAAAGCCAAGGGAAATCTATAAAAAAAAATAAGCTTGTTAATGTAATCCTTTTTACTCCTAGTCACTTCTCTACTCAATTAACTACCCTTGCCCAAGTTCCTTTACTTGATTACATTTTCACAGTTTACTACTCTGTCCAATTCAGTATATGGTGTTTGACTTTAACTGCTTCTTTGAGCCTTCATTTCCTTATGAGAGCTCCTTGTCACCTAAAACTTATAAGAAATAAATTTGCATGCTTTTCTCCCACTTGTCACGTTAAAGTAATGATCACATCCAGATGAATAAAAATACAAACAAGGAAGAGGTAAAGTTTTGCTTCCTCTACACTATGCTCTGATTTCCTAGAATTCTTAAAAAAGAAATCCTCAGAAATAACACCCCTCACACCCCTCTCACTATCAACAAAACATACACTGTTTAAAATAATGACTTTATCCCATTCAGGCCTCTCCACCTTGGTAAAAACGTCTGTATGGTGTTTATTTCTTGACAATTTGTTAAATTTAATTTATTTTTCTTTGTCCTTGCCTATTTGCCAAACTGAAAAAAGAGGAAATCTGGGGTCCTTGCATCATCATTGTTGTGAAAAGGGAATTTCCTTTCTTCACTCATAGACTATTATGGTGGCAAAATAAGCTCCAAAGATGTCCACACATGTCATACATCCCAGAGCTGGTAAAAGTGTTATAAGGCACAACAGAAATTAAGATAGCATATGCAATTAATGCTGCTATATATGGCTGCTAGGACTGCCATAATAAAATATCACTGACCAGATGGCTTAAAAAACAGAAATTTATTTTTGCAACATTTTGGAAGCTAGAAGTCCAAAATCAAGTTGCCAGGAGGTTTGGTTTCTCCTGAGACTTCTCTCCTTGACTTGCAGTGGTCACATTCTCATTATGTCCTCATGTGGCCTTTCCTTCTAGCATGTACACCCCTGGTGTCTCTTCCTTTTCCTATGAGGACACCTGCCCTATTGGATTAGAATGTCACACTTAGGACCTTGTATAACCTCAATTTCCCCCTTCAAGATTTTTTCTGCTGCTGGGCACAGTGGTTCACGCCTGTAATCTCAGCACTTTGGGAGGCTGAGGTGGGAGGATCACCCGAGGTCAGGAGTTTGAGACTAGCCTGGCTAAGATGACAAGACCTGTCTCTACTAAAAATACACAATTAGCCTGGCATGATGATGCTTGCCTGTAATCCCAGCTACTCGGGAGGCTGAGGCAAGAGAATCACTTGAACCCCGGAGGCACAGGTTGCAGTGAGCCAAGATCTTGCTACTGCACTCTAGCCTGAGGGACAAGAATGAAACTCCATCTCAGAAAAAACAAAACAATAACAAAAAAAGATTTTTTCTCTAAATATAGTTCCACTGGGAGTTCAAGCTTCAACAAAGGAATTTGGGGAAGGACCAATTCCATTCATATCAGTTGTTAATAAACTGACCTTAAAATAGGAAGATTAGGAATCTAATCCTAGTTATTCCTAGGAATAATTGGATTATTAGGAAGGAGCCAAATGTGATCCCACAGGTCTTTAAATGTGGAAGAGGAAAGCAAAACCCTCATGGTCAGTGTGAAGTACTGTGAGAAAAACAAGTGTTACTAGCTTTGAATATGTAAGAGAGCCAAAGGCTGATAAAGGCAGCTTCTTAAATCTGAAAAAGGCAAGAAAATAGGTTCTCCTTTAGAACCCCCAAAAAGGAATGTGGCTTTGCCAGCAACCTGATTATTGCCCAGTGGAACTTACATCAGACTTCTGACCTACAAACATGTAAGATAATACATCTGTGTTGTTTTTTTTCTTTTTTCTTTTTTTTCTTTTATTATACTTTAAGTTCTAGGGTACATGTGCATAATGTGCAGGTTTGTTACATATGTATACATGTGCCATGCTGGTGTGCTGCACCCATTAACTCGTCATTTACATTCGGTATATCTCCTAATGCTATCCCTCCCCACTTCCCCGACCCCAAGACAGGCCCTGGTGTGTGGTGTTCCCCACCCTGTGTCTAAGTGTTCTCATTGTTCAATTCCCACCTATAAGTGAGAACATGCGGTGTTTGGTTTTCTGTCCTTGTGAGAGTTTGCTCAGAATGATGGTTTCCAGCTTCATCCATGTCCCTACAAAGGACATGAACTCATCCTTTTTTATGGCTGCAGAGTATTCCATGGTGTATATATGCCACATTTTCTTAATCCAGTCTATCATTGATGGACATTTGGATTGGTTCCAAGTCCTTGCTATTGTGAATAGTGCCACAATAAACATACATGTGCATGTGTCTTTATAGCAGCATGATTTATAATCCTTTGGGTATATACCCAGTAATGGGATTGCTGGGTCAAATGGTATTTCTAGTTCTAGATCCCTGAGGAATCGCGACACTGTCTTCCACAATGGTGGAACCAGTTTACAGTCCCACCAACAGTGTAAAAGTGTTCCTATTTCTCCACATCCTCTCCAGCACACCATTCTAACTGGTGTGAGATGGTATCTCATTGTGGTTTTGATTTGCATTTCTCTGATGGCCAGTGATGATGAGCATTTTTTCATGTGTCTGTTGGCTGCATACATGTCTTCTTTTGAGAAGTGTCTGTTCATATCATTCACCCACTTTTTGATGGGGTTGTTTGATTTTTTCTTGTAAATTTGTTTGAGTTCTTTGTAGATTCTGGATATCAGCCCTTTGTCAGATGGGTAGATTGCAAACATTTTCTCCCATTCTGTAGGTTGCCTGTTTACTCTGATGGTAGTTTCTTTTGCTGTGCAGAAGCTCTTTAGTTTAATTAGATCCCATTTGTCAATTTTGGCTTTTGTTGCCATTGCTTTTGGTGTTTTAGACATGAAGTCCTTGCCCAGGCCTATGTCCTAAATGGTATTGCCTAGGTTTTTTTCTATGCTTTTTATGGTTTTAGGTCTGACATTTAAGTCTTTAATTCCTATTGAATTAATTTTTGTATAAGTTGTAAGGAAGGGATCCAGTTTCAGCTTTCTACATATGGCTAGCCAGTTTTCCCAGCACCATTTATTAAATAGGGAATCGTTTCCCCATTTCTTGTTTTTGTCAGGTTTGTCAAAGATCAGATGGTTGTAGATGTGTAGTATTATTTCTGAGGGCTCTGTTCTGTTCCATTGGTCTAGATCTCTGTTTTGGTACCAGTACCATGCTGTTTTCGTTACTGTAGCCTTGTAGTATAGTTTGAAGTCAGGTAGCATGATGTCTCCAGCTTTGTTCTTTTGGCTTAGGATTGTCTTGGCAATGCGGACTCTTTTTTGGTTCCATATGAACTTTAAAGTAGTTTTTTCCAATTCTGTGAAGAAAGTCATTAGTAGCTTGATGGGGATGGCATTGAATCTATAAATTACCTTGGGCAGTATGGCCATTTTCATGATATTGATTCTTCCTATCCATGAGCATGGAATGTTCTTCCATTTGTTTGTGTCCTCTTTTATTTCATAAAGCAGTGGTTTGTAGTTCTCCTTGAAGAGGTCCTTCACATCCCTTGTAAGTTGGATTCCTAGGTATTTTATTCTCCTTGAAGCAATTGTGAATGGGAGTTCACTCAGGATTTGGCTGTTTGTCTGTTATTGGTGTATAAGGATGCTTGTGGTTTTTGCACATTGATTTTGTATCCTGAGACTTTGCTGAAGTTGCTTATCAGCTTAAGGAGATTTTGGGCTGAGACGATGGGGTTTTCTAAATATACAATCATGTCATCTGCAAACAGGGACACTTTGACTTCCTGTTTTCCTAACTGAATACCCTTTATTTCTTCCTCCTGCCTGATTGCCCTGGCCAGAACTTCCAACACTATGTTGAAAAGGAGTGGTGAGAGAGGGCATCCCTGTCTTGTGCCAGTTTTCAAAGGGAATGCTACCAGTTTTTTCCCATTCAGTATGATATTGGCTGTGAGTTTGTCATAAATAGCTCTTATTATTTTGAGATACATCCCATCAATACCTAATTTATTGAGAGTTTTTAGCATGAAGGACTGTTGAATTTTGTCAAAGGCCTTTTCTGCATCTATTGTGATAATCATGTGGTTTTCGTCTTTGGTTCAGTTTCTATGCTGGATTACGTTTATTGATTTGTGTATGTTGAACCAGCCTTGCATCCCAGGGATGAAGCCCAGTTGATCATGGTGGATAAGCTTTTTGATGTGCTGCTGGATTCGGTTTGCCAGTATTTTATTGAAGATATTTGCATCGATGTTCATCAGGGATAATGGTCTATAATTCTCCTTTTTTGTTGTGTCTATGCCAGGCTTTGGTATTACGATGATGCTGGCCTCATAAAATGAGTTAGGGAAGATTCCCTCCTTTTCTGTTGATTGGAATAGTTTCAGAAAGAATGATACCAGCTCCTGTTTGTACATCTGGTAGAATTTGGCTGTGAATCCATCTGGTCATGGACTTTTTTTGGTTGGTAGGCTCTTAATTATTGCCTCAATTTCAGAGCCTGTTATGGGTCTATTCAGGGATTCAACTTCTTCCTGGTTTAGACTTGGGAGGGTGTATGTGTCCAGGAATTTATCCATTTCTTCTAGATTTTTTAGTTTATTTGCATAGAGGTATTTATAGTATTCTCTGATGGTAGTTTGTATCTCTGTGGGATCAGTGATGATATCCCATTTATCATTTTTGTTGCATCTATTTGATTCTTCTCTCTTTTCATCTTTATTAGTCTTGCTAGTGGTCTATCAATTTTGTTGATCTTTTCAAAAAACCAGCTCCTGGATTCGTTGATTTTTTGAAGGTTTTTTTTGTGTCTCTATCTCCTTCAGTTCTGCTCTGATCTTAGTTATTTCTTGCCTTTCTGTTAGCTTTTGAATGTGTTTTCTCTTGCTTCTCTAGTTCCTTTAATTGTGATGTTAGGGTGTCAATTTTAGATCTTTCCTACTTTCTCTTATGGGCATTTAGTGCTATAAATTCCCTCTACACACTGCTTTAAATGTGTCCCAGAGATTCTGGTAGGTTGTGTCTTTTTTCTTATTGGTTTCAAAGAACATGTTTATTTCTGCCTTCATTTTGTTATGTACCCAGTAGTCATTCAGGAGCAGGTTGTTCAGTTTCCATGTAGTTGAGCGGTTTTGAGTGAGTTTCTTAATCCTGAGTTCTAGTTTGATTGCACTATGGTCTGAAAGAGAGTTTGTTATAAATTTTGTTCTTTTACATTTGCTGAGGAGTGCTTTACTTCCAACTATGTGGTCAGTTTTGGAATAAGCATGATGTGGTGCTGAGAAGAATGTATATTCTGCTGATTTGGGGTGGAGAGTTCTGTAGATGTCTATTAGGTCTGCTTGGTGCAGAGCTGAGTTCAATTCCTGGATATCCTTGTTAACTTTCTGTCTCGTGGATCTGTCTAATGTTGACAGCGGGGTGTTAAAGTTCTCCCATTATTATTGTGTGGGAGTCTAAGTCTCTTTGTAGTTCTATAAGGACTTGCTTTATTTCATCTGGGTGCTCCTGTATTGGGTGCATATAAATTTAGGATAGTTAGATCTTCTTGTTGAATTGATCCCTTTACCATTATGTAATGGCCTTCTTTGTCTCTTCTGAGCTTTGTTGGTTTAAAGTCTGTTTTATTAAAGACTAGGATTGCAACCCCTGCTTTTTTTTTTTGTTCTCCATTTGCTTGGTAGATCTTCCTCCATCCCTTTATTTTGAGCCTATGGGTGTCTCTGCATGTGAGATGGATCTCCTGAGTACAGCACACTGATGGGTCCTGACTCTTTATCCAATTTGCCAGTGTGTGTCTTTTAATTGGAATATTTAGGCCATTTACATTTAAGGTTAATATTGTTATGTGTGAATTTGATCCTGTCATTATGATATTAGCTGGTTATTTTGCTTGTTAGTTGATGCGGTTTCCTCCTAGCATCAATGGTCTTTACAATTTGTCACGTTTTTGTAGTGGCTGGTACCGGTTGTTCCTTTCCATGTTTAGTGCTTCCTTCAGGAGCTCTTGTAGGGCAGGCCTGGTGGTGACAAAATCTCTCAGCATTTGCTTGTCTGTGAAGGATTTTATTTCTCCTTCACTTATGAAGCTTAGTTTGGCTGGATAGGAAATTCTGGGTTGAAAATTCTTTTCTTTAAGAATGTTGAATATTGGCCCCCACTCTCTTCTGGCTTGTAGACTTTCTGCCAAGAGATCTGCTGTTAGTCTGATGGGCTTCCCTTTGTGGGTATCCTGACCTTTCTCTCTGGCTGCCCTTAATATTTTTCCCTTCATTTCAACTTTGATGAATCTGACAATTATGTGTCTTGGAGTTGCTCTTCTCGAGGAGTATATTTGTGGTGTTCTCTGTATTTCCTGAATTTGAATGTTGGCCTGCCTTGCTAGATTGGGGACGTTCTCCTGGATAATATCCTTCAGAGTGTTTTCCAACTTGGTTCCATTCTCCCCATCACTTTTGGGTACACCAATCAGACGTACATTTGGTCTTTTCACATAGTCCCATATTTCTTGGAGGCTTTGTTCATTTCTTTCTACTCTTTTTTCTCTAAACTTCTCTTCTCACTTCATTTCATTCATTTGATCTTCAATCACTGATACCATTTCTTCCAGTTGATCGACTCGGCTACTGAAGCTTGTGCATGCATTACGTAGTTCTTGTGCCATGGTTTTCAGCTCCATCAGGTAATTTAAGGTCTTCTCTATGCTGTTTATTCTAATTAGCCATTAGTCCGATCTTTTTTCAAGGTTTTTAGCTTCTTTGCAATGGGTTCGAACATCCTCTTTTAGCTCGGAGAAGTTTGTTATTACCGATCTTCTGAAGCCTTCTTCTCTCAATTCATCAAAGTCATTCTGTCCAGCTTTGTTCCTTTGCTGACGAGGAGCTGCTTTCCTTTGGAGGATAAGAGGCGCTCTGATTTTTAGAATTTTCAGCTTTTCTGCTCTGGTTTCTCCCCATCTTTGTGGTTTTATCTACCTTTGGTCTTTGATGATGGTGACGTACAGATGGGGTTTTGGTGTGGGTATCGTTTCTGTTTGTTAGTTTTCCTTCTAACAGTCAGGACCCTCAGGTGCAGGTCTGTTGGAGTTTGCTGGAGGTCCACTCCAGACCCTGTTTGCCTGGGTATCACCAGCGGAGGCTGCAGAACCACAAATATTGCAGAACGGCAAATGTTGCTGCCTGATTGTTCCTCTGTAAGCTTCCTCTCAGAGGGGCACCCAGCTGTATGAGGTGTCAGTTGGCCCCTACTGGGAGGTGCCCCCCAGTTAGGCTACTCGGGGGTCAGAGACCCACTTGAGGAGGCAGTCTGTCCCTTCTCAGATCTCAAACCCCATGCTGGGAGAATCACTACTCTCTTCAAAGCTGTCAGACAGGGACATTTAAGTCTGAAGAAGTTTCTGCTGTCTTTTGCTCAGCTATGCACTGCCCCCAGAGGTGGAGTCTACAGAGGCAGGCAGGCTTCCTTGAGCTGCAGTGGGCTCCACCCAGTTCGAGCTTCCTGGCCACTTTGTTTACCTACTCAAGCCTCAGCAATGGTGGGTGCCCCTCGCCCAGCCTCACTGCCGCCTTGCAGTTCGATCTCAGACTGCTGTGCTAGCAGTGAGCAAGGCTCCGTGGGCGTGGGACCCTCTGAGCCAGGCACGGGATATAATCTCCTGGTGTGCCATTTGCTAAGACCATTGGAAAAACACAGTATTAGGGCAGTAGTGACCTGATTTTCCAGGTGCTGTCTGCCATGGCTTCCCTTGGCTAGGAAAATGAATTCCCCGACCCCTTGTGCTTCTCAGGTGAGGTGATGTCTCGCCCTGCTTTGGCTCACGGTCTGTGGGCTGCACCCACTGTCCTGCACCCACTGTCCTACACCCACTGTCCGACAAGCCCCAGTGAGACGAACCTGGTGCCTCAGTTGGAACTGCAGAAATCACCTGTCTTTTGTGTTGCTCACACTGGGAGCTGTAGACTGGGGCTGTTCTTATTCAGCCATCTTGGAACCTCTCTCATGTTGTTTTATGTCACTAAATTTGTGATAATTTATTACAGTATAATAAGAACTAATCTAGCTAATAAAAGAATGATACAACTTCATTGAGCGCTCTTATTTATTGCACCTTTCTATAGTCCTTTATATTCCTATTTACAATCAAAACTTCTTTTTTGCTATATTTGAAATGCCTACTAAGTATCTGAAAATTTTTAGACACTATACATATAGTGATTATCATTGTAAAGTCAAGTCTTTACTTTCTTGAACCTATGCTCTCAATGAGGAAATTCATAGATAAATTGCAAATCTTTTCATGCACATATAGCCTGACCTTGAAAGACTAAGAAAAAAATTTGTATAAGAAATTGCATCTTTATGAACTCCAAAAAAATAAATTGAAGTGATTTCAGTGAAGTCAGAGATAGAGATGAACATGTGCAAATGCTGGGCTATAAGAAAACACATTAGGGAGAGCAAGTTTCATAAGGTTTTACTTTTTAAGAGCATAAAGGTGGGAAGTAGGGGAAACTAATTAAAATTTAATTCCTTACAAATAATTGTAGTTTTCTTTTTCCACATGGTTTAAAACATCAATTACTTTAAGCATTACTGAAGCCTAAATTTTTAATGCACAGTGAACGATATTTAAGACTGATCCAAACTGCACAACAAAAACATCTGCAAATCAAATACTCTTTAGGAAGACTTTAAACAGCATGCGTGTGTTGTACTTTTATTTTTTTTTTAAGTCAGATCACTAGGGTTAAGGTTGACACATTGCATACTATATACTCTGACATCTAATAAAGTACTATGTAATTTTCCACGGCTTAATTCTGTTTATTAATTAGCTTCCTCGCTTAATAATCTCTCCTTACAATCTGTCACCTATTGAAAGAATCAATAGAGAATGTATACACACTAGCTGTTAGAGTGTACATTACATAGCTGCCATTATGCTAGGCGCTATTATACATAATTCAGTTGCAATAATAACTTGGATATTATGCACTAAATTTGAGTATATCAATATTTTGCTCAAAATTTTTAATTAAAAAGAACCAATTTAAAGCAGTGTAATGACAAGTATTTGGAGAAATACTTTCGTGCAAGTGTTTCACTTTGATCTTTGGAACCAAAGATATTTATTTATTTTTATTTTTTAAAGTTTTCATGACTCCTTTGGAGCTTAATCCATTGAATTGAGTGGGTGGCTTAATTGGGTTTTAAAATATGATAGAGCATAAAGTAATGATACTTTTGCTAGATGTTCAGAAATGATTATTGGTATCTATTCTAAATGGTAACTTCCAAAATTTAATTAGCCCAGTAAATTTCACTTAGCACCTATTATGTTTCAGACAGCATTCTATAAATTTAAGACATATTTACCAAATAATATCAATAACCCACACCACAATAATAATAATAAACAAATAGTCTTGCCCCATGAAGCTGGTAGTAAGTAAGTGCTTGGTCAGAAAAGGAGATGATAGAAAATACAGAGTAAGCCTAATTTTTGAAATAAAGTGATTATCCAATAATTACAAATTAATGATAGAAGTACAAGAAACATGGATTAGTACAAGAAAGGAAATATAGATTAGTACAAGAGGGTTTAGATTATTGGGAAAGAGGTTTGGAACTATTAAATAAAGTGTTCAGAATATTTTGACCAATTGTTATTGGTCCAGTCTCCCGTGATAACTATTCTGAAAAGCCAATATTTAGATGCTTACATTCGTATGTAGTTTATTAAAATTAAAACACAGCAACCCCCCAAAAGTCAGTATCTTGAGCAACAGGAAAGATATGTAATGCCTCTGTCAAATGCCAGCCCAACCAAAAATCGGAGTTATAATATCTCTCAAGCTATTTCTTCTCTGTTCTAAGTAGCTTGAAATTTGAAAGACAGCACTTTACTCTGTGCTTCAAGGCACTTTACATGTATAAGAGAATAATTACAGAGCTACTCAATTGAACCAGGTGTTAAGTACTATTATCCCTATTTTATGGAAATGGAATAAGAGTTGACAAGGCTCAGGGGGTCAATCCAACCAGGAAAATAAAAGCTGTTAATCTAAATCAACAGAAAAATGCAAGCTGCCCTAGTGCCCTTGAATAAGTCAATTAAATTCAATTTCCTTGTCTGAAGACAATGAAAGTGAGTATTAAAAAAAAACGGAAAAAACTATCAAAGATTTCAAATAAATATAGAACATATATGAGTTTTGATGATGATACAATACCCTGACTCTGGAGTCATGTATGGCAAAAGAAGATTGCACTGGTTGAAAAATGAGACACAAAGAGTTTAAATAACTTTACCCATAGCACAGGGCAAGAAAATGATATAGTTCTATAAAGCACTTTAAACTCAGACTTTAGTGAAATACTTTAACCAGAAGTCTGCAAGCAGCATTTACATATACAATTGAACAATGCAGGGGTTAGGAAAGCTGTCACCCCCACCCCAACCCCCTGAAGTCAAAACTTTGAAAATAACCCCTGACCCTTCAAAAACATAACTACTAGTAGCTCACTGTAGACGAGAAGCCTTAACAATAACATAAAGGGTCAATTAACACATATTGTATATGTTATGTGTTTTATGTACTACATTTTTATAATCAAGTAAGCTGGCGAAAAAAACATTATTAAGAAAATCATAATGAGAAAATATATTTACTATTTATTAAGTGGAAGTGGTTCATCATCATCAAGGTCTTCATCAACAGCATCTTCATATTAAGTAGGCTGAAGAAGAGGAGGAAGAGGAGAGGTTGGTTTTGTTGTCTCTGGGGTGGTAGAGACAGAAGTGGAAGAGGTAGAAAGGGAGACAGGACAGGAAGACATACTTGAGTAACTTTTCAGAAATACGCCATATTTTCTGTCGGCCTTTTTGCTGTTTTAATTCTCTAAAATTGTTCTATATGCTGCCATTCTTCTTCCATCATTTGCTTTAGTTTCAGTGTCTGTATCATAGAAGGATCCGTGTGGTTAAAGAAGTCAAAAGCAGTCTTGAATACTCAGAACCCTTCTGCCAGATTGTCTAATGTCAATTTGTTTACTGGCACTGCTTCTACTACATCTTCTTCCTCATCATCTGGCACTGGTTTGAAAGCACTCACCTCCCATTCTTCTTCCATCATTTGCTTTAGTTTCACTGTCTGTATCATAGAAGGATCCGTGTGGTTAAAGAAGTCAAAAGCAGTATTGAATACTCAGAACCCTTCTGCCAGATTGTCTAATGTCAATTTGTTTACTGCCACTGCTTCTACTATGTCTTCTTCTTCATCATCTGGCACTGGTTTGGAAGCACTCATCTCCATAAAGTTGTCTTCTGTTAATTCCACTAGTGTTGTATCTATTAGCTGGTGAATTTCTCAGATCCATATCTTGAAACTCCCTACACCCACCTTTTTTTGCCATATCCACAGTCTCTTTCATTCTTTATTGGATTGGCTCTGTCATGAATCCTATGAAGTCATGTGCAACGTCTAGACACAGTTGAGAGCCTGAATGTGTTTCATGGCTTTTTCTATAACAATGATGGCATCTTCAATGGTATAATTTTTCCAGCCTTTCATGATGTTCTCTCTATTGGGGTTCTCTTCCATAGCATTCACAACCGTTTTCATAGAGTATATGTAATGACACATAAAGGTCCTTATGACTCCCCTCCTCTAGAGGCTGAATTAGAGACTTGTGTTTGGGGGCAAGTAGACCACTTCAACACCTTTGGTGTTGAGCTCCTGAGGTTCTGAGAGACCAGGGTAATTGTCCAATTTCAAAAGCACCTTCAAAGGCAGTCCTTTACTGGCAAGGTAACTCCTGACCTCAAGGACAAAGTGTAGATGAAAGCCATCCAGTAAAATGTTTTTCATTGTCCAGGTCTTGTACAGCCAAAAGACTGATGATAAATGTTTATCTTTTCCCTACAAGAGTTAGCAGCTTTATAGATAAAAGCAGTCCTGATCATAAATCTGACTGCATTTGCATAACAGTAGAGTTACTCTATCCCTATTTGTCTTGAATCCTGGTGTTTCTCTTTCTTACTAATAATTGTTCTTTGTGGCATTTTTTTTTTTTCAAAGATAGGACACTTTTTTCTGCATTCAAAACCTGTTCAAGCAGATTCTTTCTCCTTGATTATTTTTCTTAATGGTGCCTGGGAACTCATTCTGCTGTCTCTTGATCAGCAGAATCTCCTTCTCCTGTTATCTTGACATTTTTTTAAAGCCGAACCTCTTTCATAAATTCCCAACCATCCGTTGCTGGCATTAAGTTCCCCAGTTTTGGATCTTTTACCTTCCTTTTGTTTTTAGTTGTGTTATAATGACTCTACTTTTTCTCAGATTCTATTAGAGTCTATAGGTATGCCTTTCTGTAGCAAACTTGCACTTACATACAAGCTGCATTTTCAACCACAAAATAAAAAAGGTATTTTGAAAAAAGTAAAATGTTTGCACTTGTTGACATAACTGCAGCAACAGCTTCACGATCTTTTTTTCTGTTTTTACAATGATCCTTTAGCTGCATTCATTTATATTGAAATGGTGAGCAACTGCAGCTGCAGAACTAAATCTTCAGTACATATGAAGCAATTCAACATTGTCTTGTACTGTCATGGCTTTTCTCTACTTCTTGGAAGCAATTCTGGCATCATAAGTGGCACTCTGTATGGGTTTCATGATGTTACTGAAGGTTTACAGTATTGCACTAAACATATAGAAAAATCTGCAAGAACCACAAAAGGCCACTTTCTACTGCAATTCACAGTTTACTGGAGAGATGAACTGCTCATGTAGAGATGTTGAGAGGCACATGGAGTTTTCAGGAGATACTCCAACACTTGAGCTCACCATTATAGCAGCAGGAAGTGACTACAAAATTATTACAATAGTACAATATGTGCTACAGTTAAGTTTATGCCATTATGATTTAATCTTGCATCTTTACATTTGTTTACATTTCTTTCCATGCAAGTCGCACCATGTATTGTCTGCAATTGGATGCAAGAATTTTGATAGATGTTAATATTTTATAAAATATTTTTGTACATTTTCTGGTAATAAATGATAAAAATACACTATCAGTATTTACATATATTTGATGCATTCAAGACATATCTAACTTTAAGAAAATATATTTCCAGGCTACAAGATATGTCTGGGAGTTTTCTTCAATTTGTTGAAAATCTCCAAAAGATTTCTGAATATATTTATTGAAAAACATCTGTGTATAAATGGGCCCACACAGTTCAAGCCCATGTTGTTCAAGGGTCAACTGTATATCCTTGAAATTTACTTTAGATTCAAATTCCAGGTGGCCATAGAATTTTTTTTTTTACTTAACCAATATGTATAAACTATGATTAAGTGTCAGGAAGCTTACATGCATTTTCATTGACATTTGCAGTAGGGCCTGTATGGCCGCAGGTCCCATATCTGTGGATCCAACCAATCACAGATCAAAAATATTTGAAAAAAATAAAATAAAAAATAACAATACAAAAATTAAAAATAATGCAAATAAAAACAGCACAGTAAAATAACTACTTACATACCATTTGCATTGTATTAGGTATTATAATTAATCTAAGATGATTTAAAGCATATGAGAGAATATGCATAAGTAATATACAAACATTATGCCATTTTCTATAAGAGACTTGACCATCTACAGATTTTGGTATCTGTAGTGGAGTCCTGGAACAAATCCCCCACAGATATCAAAGGATGACTATACTGAGTTTTAAGTTCCTAAGTTATAATTTTCCCAAATATGGAATTTCAGATAATGTTATTGGTGGCTGAAAACCAAGTTACCCCGAGTTACCAAGGGCAAATCTGTACTCATCCACAGCAACTTCAGCCCTTGCATTTTCAGAAGAAAGAATTCAACTGAGGGATGTAAAGCAGAAAGAGACCAAGGCAAGTTCCCTAGCAGGAATGGAAGTTTATTTAAATGGCCTTAGAACAGGGAAAAAAAAAAAAAAAAAGGAAGGTGCGCTTAGAAGAGACTCAAGCAAGCAAGTGAAGGTTAAACAGAGAAGGTCAAGCGCTCCGTTTAACCGGGATCCTAAGGCTTTCATAGGCTGGCGTCTTTCCCATGATTCTTCCCTTAAGGGTGGCTTCCCACATGCGCAGTGTTTTCCTTACCCTTTCCAGTGGAGTTTGCCCCCAGAAGATTACACTTTATTCACCATTTTTGTCTCTTAACATGCATGCTCAGGCAGTTGCTTCTCACTGGGGCCTGCCCCCTTCATGCCTAACTACCTGTAACAATAAGAAATAAGAAAACATTTCAGAGTTCCATTCTGCCCATGTTTTGTACTTATTTGTGCTTGTTCTTATTTGTGCTTTTGTACTTTTTTTTGGTACTTATTTGTGCTTGTTCTCTTATCTGAAGATACTACCTTAAAATCTCATTCTAAAATGTGAGTCAATGAAAGTAGGGACATTTGTCTTCTTTATATTTCTTCCAGCTGGCATGCCAAAAGCCCAGTCATTTTTCCAAAACAAAACGAAAGAAGCAAATGAAGCAGGTAGTAGTAACAGTAGTAGCAGTGGTAGTGGTAGTAGTAGAAGCCATAAAAAAAAAATGTTGTTGCTTTGAAATTGGTAAATGGATACCTTAATAGTATATAAAGTGATTATCGCTTTTTTTGTCTGTTTGCTTGGTTTTTTTTTTTTTTTTTTTTTTTTTTTTTTTTTTTGAGACAGAGTCTTGCTCTGTTGCCCAGGCTGGAGTGCAGTGGTGTGATCTTGCCTCAGCCTCCCAAAGTGCTGGGATTACAGGCGTGAGCCACCGTACCCGGCTGTGATTATCGATCTTTTACCATTTGAGTCATTGACCAGAAATAACTTACTGCAGTTACCAATAAGTGTTATTTGAAACAACATAAATATTATCATATATAGTCTATTGTTCCTGAAATTCAGTAGAATCTGGTCAACCTGTGTGATTTTTTTTTTTTTTTTTTTTTTTTTAGCGTGCTTTGCTATTTAGGGATTTGGCGTTTGTTAAATATCTTGTTATTTATTAGTTCTTGTAAAGTAAAATCATTTACTTACTAACACATATTTTAGGCTACCAAAAAAGGAAGATATTTCTATTTTATTGGGTTTTACACAGGCATAGGTTGTAATCCACTGCATTCCTCCTCAGAGTGTATGTACTTAGGGAAGGTTTGTTAGTTAATCTGACCATCCTATTTTTGTTAATTGATCTGATCATTTCATTTTGTACCTAGAAGAGTTTCTTTTTTGAGAAGATAGACTATACACATTGTATTTGTTTTCTAGGACTGCTAAAACATAGTGCCACAGAATAGATAGGTTAAACAATAGAAATTTCTATTCTCACAATTCTTAAAGCCAGACATTTAAGACAGAATGTTGGCAGGGTGGGTTTCATTTTGATGCTTCTTTTTTTGGCTTATTGATGGTTACCTTCTCCCTGGGTCTTAACTGTGGTCTCCCCTCTGTATTTCTGCATCCTAATCTGTTATAAAAATACCAGTCATATTGACTTAGGGCCTACATTATTCAACTCCATTTAATTTAATTTCTTCTCATTTACAGGCTCTATTTACAAATACAGTTACATCCTGGGGTACTGGGGGTTTAGACGTTGACATAAAATAAGGGGGTACAATTCAGCTCTTAATAGGTATATTATTTCATCTTTAAGTTAGTTAGCTTTCCTGTCTTTGTTTTACTTTGTATGTAGTTCTAGCGGTGCATCTCAAACTCCTGCTTGTTGATTTCTTTAAAAAAATAGCAAGATATGATAAACTGTCTGTGTAGTGCTTTGTTATCTGAAGAATGAGACGTGCCTTTTTTGTTGTTGTTGAGGTATGCATTGCTGACCAGCTTTCTTACTCATAAATCATTAATGGTAAAACGAATAGTTTGAAAACTAATTTTTTTTTGTTTTCACAGGCAATTCATCATGCAGATATTTCTTGATTTTAATGAAGATCTGTATTCCCATGCTACATTTCTCTTAAATTTGATATTCTGTTTTTCTCTCCAAATCGGGCAAATTATGTTTTCTGCATCTATAAATCGTGTTTAGTTTTTCCAGCTTTTTCTAGTCAGTGTTCAAAATATAATAATTCTTTTTGAAAGTTTCAAATCTAACCTATTTTATTAATCAATATAATTATTTCATTTTAATTTTGCAATTCTTTTGAAATTTACTTCCTGATACATCACTTTACCTCCATTCACATTGACTCCTGATAAGTTTGTGGTTGAAATTGATCATTATATGTAGGTTTAGTAAGATATTTGCTTTATGCTTGTGCATACATGTGTATTGAATGAACAGTTGACTATGTTATTTTTATATGATTCAGAAGGATATTGTCTTAGATGATTTTCCTGAATTCTAATACAATTACAAATGTTGACAACACATATAATCCTAAAACATATGTATGGATTGCATAATAATATCTTCTTTTTCATGATTCCTAGGAATATTGGATTTGATAATATTCATATTCCTTTTCTTTGTTAATATTTAAAACACACATTTGTTAAGTATCGTATATGAAATGCAGCTTTCTGACTTGGTATGCATTGAATTATCTTTAAAAGCACTCAAAGTTTTGCTATTTGAAGTATGTTTTCTGACTTCTCGCTTTTTCTTGCTGTCATTTTGTGTGTGTGTATGTGTGTGTGTAGCTTTCTTTGCAGATATTGTAATTTGGTGTGGCATCCAGTATAGTCTGTTTAATGAATTTGTACATTCCACAGGATAATATCTTACTTCTCTTTGTTCAACATTTGCACCATAAAACGATCACAACAAATTTAAACTCAATTTTTTGTTCTATATGGAATGAAGGAGCTAATTGGAATCTATAACTTACTGTAAATATTAAGTTAAACTGAACTTTTCCTCACAAATAGTTGTGTTGTATTTGAACGTTTGAGGTACACATTCATGGCAAGCAGAAAGCTTTCAACTTCAAATAAGAGAACAACTCTATTTCTCTTAAGGAATACGACTATATAGAGGTGTATAGAATTGGAACTTCCAAGGTGGTGTACCTTGAAGGAGGTAGATTACCTTTGGCTGATCTCCTGTATGCTTGTTTCATCAGGTTGGGTTGTATCATCAGGCTGGCTTCCCTGACAATAGCAAATGACAACTTGAGACTTCAAAGCCATATACAATATTGTGTATAGGAAGAAGAAGTATTTCAGTGTGACATAGTCTTGATTTTTAAAAACAGGGTTTTTTTGTTTTTTTTTTTTTCTAATAGCAGAGGCCTCCAGCATATCTCACCTCAAGTTGTTTGACCTAATTATTGGCACTTTCCTATTACTTAATGAATAACCATGATAAAAATGACTTTTTGTTTATGGAGCTAAAATTTATGACAGCCGTCCCTGGGGAGAATGGACTCTATGGTAGGATAACATTCAAGGTAGTACATGAAAATCAGAAAACAGGGAAAATGAAGAGGGCATAGGAGTGAGTGCTCTATAGCTATCTACAATGTTGAAGCAACATTACAAAGGCCATTAGCTATGATAGCACTTGTGCTGAGATTTGTTCTGTATGGATTGATGGAATTCTTGTAGATTATTGTAAGATTCACTGGGAGTTCATCTTACTGATCTTGTTTTATTTACTTTTAACTGTTTTACTCTCTACTATATAATAATTTTTGTCAATGTTATGCTTTTTCTTTCTTCAAAATATTTCCTACATTTTCTTTCTTATCAAACCTAACATTACCAGCAAATGTAATGATTAAAAATTTAAACTCTGCAATCAGATATGATTGGTTATACATAAAGTTGGTTATACCCTAATTTATTCACTTATGTTGCCTGACTTTAGGAAAACTATATAATCTTTATACATTTCAGTTTTCTCATCTTGAAAATAATTATTATTGTCACCTACATCATAAAATAAACAAAAAATCACTTGAAGAGGCTTTATGATATTACATGGCACTTAATAGTGTGCTCAGAAAATTTCAGATGTTATTATTATCAATATTGTGATAACAAAACTTAATCCAATCATATCCTAATTTCTCAGCCATTTTCTTTAGAATCAATTCAATAATCTCTTAGAGGACAACTTGCTTCTACTTTCTTCATATTATATATTTGCCTTTAAATTTGTATTCTGGAAATGTTTCTTAGTTATATAGATTTCCGTTTTCAAAAAGTCATCGTTATTTTCTGAGGTCGACCAAATAAAATATAAATCTGTTTTTAGTAGCTTAGATTAATCTGAATTTAGCCTCACTCTACTTAATCTCACTATTACTATATGGACTTTTGCGCTTCTTGAAAGTGAATGATACCTTGTTGCCTTCCACCTACAAATGTCATGTCCTTTTTCTTTCCTTTATCTTCCACGTGGCATTCTCATTTTCCATTGAGAGATATCATTCTAATGCTTCAATATCCAGATCATTTTTTTCTTTATTCATTTGTCTCCATCTAGCCACAGTAGACTCCTTCCATTTCCATGGAGCTCAGGTTGCTCACCTTTGTAGTCTCAGTGCCAAATATAGCAGAGACCACATAGCAGATATTCACTGAGAATGATCAAATTGATGTTTTAAAGAGATTAAAAATGTTTTATGAAGATAGTCTTATTAAAGCTTTAAAAAAATAAAAAGTCATTCTTTCTGATATGATAAAATGTAACATAATGGGGAGTAATTAGAAAATACCTTAGTCATTTGGCCAAAATAAATTTAGTAGTTAAAATTCATAATTAGATGTCAGCAATGACTGGTCAGCAAACTTGCGACAAAAGCAAATAACCTCAGAAATATAGTAAAATATATATGTATATCATTATAAATAATATTTTAACTTGTATTTTGACTTTTTTTTGAACAGATACCACTGCAGAGGAATTTTGCATTCAAGTATATTCGTCTTGCAGATTAACCTCCTCTTGTCTGTTATACATTTATTTGCAAGAGACACATCCCCATCAGTTAATTTGGTTGATAGCAATGCTTAGAAAGGCAAGTAGGAGTGAAAAATAAGAAGGAATAAAAGAAAATAGTATAGACAAAAAATTAAAAAAAACAAAAAAGAAGGAAAAAATTAATTTAAAAAGAAAGAAAAAGAATGAAAAGAAAAAAATTAATTACTGTCATATTTTTGTATGACTCTTGGATATCATGATGAATCTACTTATTATTAAGGGTTACTTAATTCCTAAATACAAGAAAATTAATTTAAATTACTACTTAACATACTAGTCCATGCTAATGTGAAAGTACATGGAACAATTGCTAATAACAATGGTCAATGAAAGTTAATGTTTGGAATGTTGTGGTAACATTCCAAATGTTAAAAAATGATTGCAAATGATTAATGCTTAAAACCTAGGCAGATTTCCAAATGTTCTAACTTTTCAGAGAAATTTTTACATACAGGGCCGGGTGTGGTGGCTCAAGCCTGTAATTCCATCACTTTGGGAGGCCAAGGTGGGTGGGTCACGAGGTCAGGAGTTCGGGACCAGCCTGACCAACATGGTGAAACCCCATCTCTACTAAAAATGCAAAAATCACCCGGGAGTGGTGGCGCGTGCCTGTAATCCCAGTTACTCAGAAGGATGAGGCAGGAGAATCTCTTGAACCTAGGAGGTGGACGTTGCAGTGAGCCGAGATCGTGCCACTGCACTCCAGCCTGGGCAACAGAGCAAGGCTCCATCTCAAAAAAAAAAAAAAAGAAATTATTACATAGGATTTTTACACACAATTATATATACAATACTGATACTCTAAGTGAAATATGAATGCTTAATTTGAACTTTTACTTCTTTTTTTTTTTTTTTTGAGATGGAGTTTTGCTCTTGTCGCCGAGGCTGGAGTGCAATGATGTGATCTCGGGTCACTGCAACCTCCGCTTCCCAGGATCAAGCGATTCTCCTGCCTCAGCCTCCCTAGTAGCTGGGACTACAGGTGCATGCCACCACACCCGGCCAAATTTTTTTTTGTATTATTAGTAGAGATGGGGTTTCACCATGTTGGTCTCGAACCCCTGGCCTCAGGTGATTCACCCACTTCTGCCTCCCAAAGTGCTGGGATTACAGGCATGAGCCACCATTCCCGGACGAACTTTTACTTCTTTTTTTTTTTTTTTTTTTTTTTTTTGAGACGTAGTCTCGCTCTGTGGCCCAGGCTGGAGTGCAGTGGTGCATCTCCGCTCACTGCAAGCTCCGCCTCCCGGGTTCACGCCATTCTCCTGCCTCAGCCTCTCGTGTAGCTGGCACTACAGGCGCCCGCCACCACGCCTGGCTAACTTTTTTTTGTATTTTTTTTAGCAGAGACGGGATTTCACCATGTTAGCCAGGATGGTCTCGATCTCCTGACCTCGTTATCCGCCTGCCTCGGCCTCCCCAAGTGCTGGGATTACAGGCGTGAGCCACCGCGCCCGGCCAAACTTTTACTTCTTAAAGCTCTATATTTCAAATCTTATACTTAATATCGTAGGTGACTGGATTATGTAATTTAACTACTTATTATGAAGTGTCAAGGGATGGAGCTTCAAGGATCTAATGACAGAGGTAAATATTTTTGACAAGATCAAGCAAAAGGACAAACTGAGTTTCCCTAGAAGGAGGGGTTATCTCTCATCTCCATAGCAGCAGTGAGATGTTTGTGCTTCAGTTTCCTTATGGCCACTACCGCCTCACATTCAGGAGAAAATAGGTCATCCTTCTAAGAGCAGAAATAAATTGTACCCCTGAGATGTCTGAATATTTATTTTACCAGCATGGAAGCCTCTGAAGATATCTTTCCATTTCTGCAATAAAATATATCTGTTCTTTTCAAGGCAAAATCAACTATACCATGAGAAACAGTAGGAAAAAAATTAAATTACCAATTAAATAATAATTAAATTTGCACCAAACATTTTTAATCCGCGTTTTTTTTCCTCAAAATGCTTTAATACAATTTATGAACATTTGCATACAGTTTCTACTACTGATGGGTACTATATATTTGAAGCACCTTCAAACCAATCATGGGCATTAACTTTTTACTTTTTTTATGAAAGAATTTCATTCTTAGTATCTCAAACTTGATATAAAATGTTCATTATTAAATAATATAAATACAACATATTTTAAACAGTTATCAAAGAACATTTCTCCTTTGGAGAACATATATGTTTAGTTGAGGGTTTGAATTCTCAGATACTCAGTTAATTTTGCTTGATCTGTAAATTGGCAAGCATTCAATTATCTGTATTTTATCAGATGTCACAGGTTGTACTTTTTAAAGGCCATTCATTAGTGTTTCTGAACAATTTTACTTTATGTTACACTGTCATATTAACAGATGGCAAATGTAGTTGGCAAGTAAATGTTTTTGACTCCATTCCTCTCTTCCTCTTTTGAGCACCTTCTTGTTACATGTTATATCATTAGTGCTTAAATCTGGTACTCCCTCTTTGCCAGGTACTCATTCCTATCTTATCAGTATTGCTTCATTGCACTGGCATTCCGTTTCAGAATCCTTTCTACCTGCTTTATTGTATGTGTTCTGCCAAACATATTTTTCTTTCTGTATACAACCATCTCTTTATCTCTTCTCCTTCCCTCTCTTTTAAGTATGTTATGGTGAGTCAAAGATCCTCTAGCCATATAATTTCCATTAGCTTTACTCTTAGATTATACCAATGTCTTTTTCTTAATATTCTAGTAATATTATTAAGTATATATCTTCAGCTTTGCTAATCACATCTTATCCTTCTCCTTGCTCTTTTTCCTCTTTTGTCTATTGTTCCTTCAGAATTATAGTTTGTTTTTAATCAGATTGTACATTTTTTTTCGATTAGTTAAGATAAATATCTCTTTCCACTACAATGTCACCTCTGCCACACTTTGCCTCATGGTGAGTCGTCTTAGGGTGGCCAGGAGCAGTTTTCAAGTCTCTTAAGGAGAATCTTATAAAGAGAGAGACATTTCATTTAGATTTAGTATGATATAGTCACATGGTTGCAATCACTCCCATAAGTAGTATTTCCAGTTACAGCCCTATAGAAAGGCTTCAGGAATTTTGACATGAATTTGCAAAAGTGGAAATCACATGAAAATATTCTGTAAAACTGGGATCTAAAGTATGTGAGATAGAAGGGGATAAAAAAGTTAGAATTGTGCAGAGCAGAAGCTAGCCTGTGGAAAATTCTTACAGTTATTAAATGTGTAGTTGTTAAGGAGAGGATTTGTTTTCCTTTAAAAACAAGTAAAAGCAAAGTCTCTCTGTCAGTAATATATTTGATTATACAGCCTTTTTTAAGGAGCCCCCACTTTTATTTTATAAGCATAATCCACCCCCCCACCACCACCAACAACAAAAAAACTTATATTCAGCCCTTCTGACCCAGGGTTGTTTTGTTTTGTTTTTACGTGAATTAGTTGCCAATATTTTAAAATAATTCATTAAAAAATATAGATAGCATCTCTTTTTAACCACTTTAACCAGTTTTAGGGATACCATTCAGAGGCATTAAGTACATTCAGATTGTTATGCAACTATCACCATCATCCATTGAAGGGCTTTTTTTTTTTCCATCTTGTAAGACTGAAATACTGTGCCCATTAACTGATAACTGCCTAGTATCCCTTCTCCTAACCTCTGGCAACCACCATTCTACTTTCTAGCTCAATGAATTTGATGACTCTAAGTACGTCAAAATGAGTCGAGTCATGCAGTATTTGTCCTTTTGTGACTGTTTTATTTCATATAGCATGATACCGTCAAGAATAATCCAAGTTGTAGCATGTGACAAAATTTTCTTTTTCTTTTTCTTTTATTTATTTATTTTTTTGAGATGGAGTTTTGCTCTGTCACCCAGGCTGGAGTGCAGTGGCACAATCTCGGCTCACTGCAACCTCCACCTCCTGGGTTCAAGCGATTCTCCTGCTTCAGCCTCCCCAGCAGCTGAGATTACAGGCGCCCACCACCAGGCCTGGCTAATTTTTGTGTTTTTAGAAGAGACGGGATTTCACCATGTTGGCCAGGCTGGTTTCAAACTCCTGACCTCAGGTGATCCGCCCGCCTTGGCCTCCCAAAGTGTTGGGATTACAGGAGTGAGCCACTGCACCCAGCCGAGAATTTTCTTATTTTTTAAGGCTAAAAATATTGTATTCTATTGTATGCATATTACACATCTTGCTTATTCATTCCTCTGTAGATGGATATTTAGGCTGCTTCCACCATTTGTCTATTTTGAATAATGCTGCTATGAACATGAGTATACAAATATCTATTTGAGTCTCTGTTCTCAATTCTTTTGAGTATGTACTCACAAGTGAAATTATTGGATCGTGTGGTAATTCTATTTTTAACTCATTGAGAAACTGTCATATGAAGTAATTTTTATGAAAACAAAACAAAACAACAACAACAACAAAATTTGCTTTCTTCTGGGAAAATATCCTAAAGTTCTCTTTTTGGCATTGCAGAGATACTTCTGGAGCAAAGAAGATGTTCAGTCCATTACGAAGGGCACAAATCCTTCAGTCAGTCAGAAGTCTTCTTTCTACAACATTCAGTTATATTACTTGTTTAACCCTTAGGCGCACGTATTTTGGTACCTTTGACGTAGAAGTTAAGATAGTTTATATAAAATCCATATGAACCTATATAAAAAGAGTGATTGGGAGAGAATAGGAAGAAACAACAAATGCAAATATGATGATGATGGACTAGACTCTGCCTCACTCTTTAAGTCAAAATTACAAAGGAGAAGGAGGCTATGAGAGTGAGTAAAGGGTTTAAGGAAATTATTTACAAGAGAAAAAAAGAATACCCATAAGTATTGGAGATGAGAATCATTTGTGAATCTACGTGAAATTGCAGCTCAAATTTAAGTTTCCAATGAACTGTAAGTAATTTTATAAAGTACAAACTTTGCTACTAGCTCTTGAGTCCGCAAAGCACTGCATAAGTGTTGGGAAAGGTCTCATGCACAAAGTCTTTCAATCCCCAGGAAGCCACCTGAGAACTGGCCTTGAGCTTAGAATACTTTTTTTGCCAAGGGATAAATAGTCTGACATGCAGTCTATGCTAGGTATACAATCTTGTGTGGGAATATATGTCCTTGTTTCTGATTCCATGTGTATTTTTTGTTCTACTTGAGTGTGTCTTTACTGCTTATAACTGTCCCCTGAAATGAGTTATGGGGTCCTGTTGCAGTACAAGAGAGGTGAGTGCAGGCCAATTGCCTTTGGTGGCTGCCGGGAGGAACCTGCTGACCATGGGCATTCAACACCCATTACAGAAGCTGATCTTGCTCTGTCTCTTCTCAATGTTGAGCAAAGCCTTGTTCCATCCAGTGCTTTACTGTCTTGTGTTTTCTTTGGTGAATCCTATCCAGAGACACAGTGGGCAGAAGTGTTCAGACTTCAATTCTTGGTAATAGGTAACAGAGGCAACAATGAGTAACAGATGTGCAACACGATCTGTGAGCAATTATGGTACTTCCTTCAAATGCTGTCAATTATTTGCTACATATTTGTTAGTTAGATCATGTACAGACAGCAAAGTGTGTAGTTGTGTTGCATCCCTGTCTTCCAGTGATAAACCCATATGACATTTTCAAAACTGGATAATCAAAAAAGGAAAATGGCCAACAAAGCTTAAAATGCAACAAACAAAAAGTGATAGTACTGGAGGTAAAATTTGAATATAATTTAAGAAAAGTTATAGAATAAATATGTAGGAAGGATGACATTGCCACCATCCAAGAGACAACAGAGGAGGAATTTAGTAAAGGCAAATGCACCTACATAAATGAGGAAATGTGATAAAAGGGGACAAGATATCCTAGAGGGAGTGATGCTAGCAAAAAAAAAAAAAAAGAAGAAGCCTCTCAATTAAGAAATTCTTGGAAATTTTTTATGACATTGAAAGTGTAGAGGATAAAATGTTGGAAACCAACCTAAACTTGGAGGAGTGTGAGGATTTGCCAAGCCTAAAAAAGATGCTTACTCTATATCATCAGTTATATGAAAATAAGTCATTCACTATTCAAACTACTCTTGGTGAGCTTTTTAAAAAAGAAAGAAAATATTTTTGAATATCTCTAATATTTTAAATTGTAATATGCTAAATAAATAGCTTTTACTTTTTAAATTTCACTGCCCTTTTTAAATATAGCATTCACATTGTATTAGGTATTATATGTAATTTGGAGATGATTTAAAGTATACAGAAAGATGTGTGTAGGTTATACACAATACTGCACCATATTATATAAGGGACTTGAGTATCTGTGGATTTTTGTATCTGTGGTGGGTCCTGGGACCAATCCTTCCAGATACCAAGTTTTGAATGTAGTGTATAATTAAGTACCTTAGAGCATCAGTCTGGGTCTCTCCCAAAACTTTCTGACCCCCAATCCTACTTCTAGAGGAAATCTCTCCTAAAGAATATTTTCGCATCTTTTGTTACTTATATTATTAATTAGAAAACAATAATATTAATTTCTTACTGCTTAACTTATTTTATTATACTTTTTATTTCTTATATTATTATTTCATAGTTTTTGGGGAACAGGCAGTGTTTGGTTACATGGAAAAAGTCTTTCGTTGTGATTTCTGATATTTTGGTGCACCCATCACCCAAGCAGTGTACACTGCATCCAGTGTGTAGTCTTTTATCCCTCACCCCCCACCCACCCTTCCCCCCAAGTCCCCAGAGTCCATTATGTCATTCTTATGCCTTTGCATCCTCATGGCTTTGCTCCCACTTATAAGTGAGAACATACAATGTTTGGTTTTCCATTTCTGAGTTGCTTCACTTAGAATAATGGTTTTCAACTCCATCGAGGTTGCTGTGAATGCCATTATTTTATTCCTTTTTATGGATAAGTAGCATTCTATGATGCATATATACATATACAACATTTTTTTCCTCCACTCCTTGGTTTACGGGCATTTAGGCTGATTCCACATTTTTGCAATTGCAAATTTGTCTGCTATAAACAGACAAGTGTCTTTTTCATATAACTTATTTTCCTTTGGGTAGATACCCAGCAGTGGGATTGCTGGATCAAATGGAAGTTCCACTTCTAGTTCTTTAAGGAATTTCCATACTGTTTTCCATAGTGGTTGTACTACTTTACATTCCCACGAGCAGTATGAAAGTGTTCCCTTTTCACCATATCCATCCCAACATCTATTATTTTTTGATTTTTTTGACTATGGTCATTCCTGCAGGATTAAGGGGGAATTGTATTGTGGCTTTGATTTGCATTTTCCTTGTAATTATTGATGTTGAGTACCTTTTCAAGTTTGTTGTTCATTTGTATATCTTATTTTGAGAATTGTCTATTCATGTCTTTAACCCACTTTTTGATGGGATTCATCAATTTTTTTCTTGCTGATTTGTTTGAGTTCCTTGTAGATTCTGGATATTAGTTTTTTGTCAGATGCATAGTTTGCAAATATTTTCTCCCACTCTGTGGGTTGTCTTTTTACTTGGCTGATTATTTCTCACTGGACATTTATAATCAGAAATAAGAAAAAAATTAATTTTGGCAAACATTTTTAAATATTATTTTTTTCACATTGGTTATTTCTATTGCTTTGCAAAGTTTCCACTTCCATGATCATTTTTATGACCCACACTACTGCAAAGTGAGTGCTGACCGTGCTTTACCTGCTGGGACATTCTAGTTGATTATGCATTCACTGGAGTTTTAGATTTGTTTGGATTGTATGGCTTTGCTCATTCTTGCTTTTGAGGCAAATGAGCATAAGCATATAGAAGAAAATATGTGTTTCTAATAGATAAATGCAAGACAAAATACTAGCAGAATCTAGAAAACTTTAAAGTAAAAACTGCCTGAATTATAGATTCAGTTTGGGTGCTTACTACCAATGCAATTTTGGGTAGGATATTGAGTCCTTGTAAGGCTTGTTGTCTTCACCATTTCAATGGAAATTGCAAGCAGCTTGTTAGGAAGATTACTGTACAGTGATTAACATAGTTTTTAATGTGAAGGAGTGGTCAATTAGTGAGTATTAAAGTTGGTCAGTTTGGGCTTTTTAGGTATTAATATTATGGGGAAGATAAAAGTTTAAGTACCAGGCTAATAGGTTTAGACTTCATCCTGTGGCAGAGACGAAGTCATTGGGGATAGTCCACTGAACAGCGTGATTAAATTAATGCCTTATGAAGAGCAACCAAAAAATACTGGATATTATGGATGAAAGAATAGAAAGACAAGTGGCAATATAGTCAATTGGGAGTGCAGAATAGACAGATTTGTGATGATAAGACCTAAATTAGTAAAACCTTCATAAACATTGTTTGAAGAATAAAATCTAATGAAATACTACATTTAATGTAAATTAGTTTAATGTAGTTAACAATAAATTAAACCTAATAGAACGAGCCATGAGCACTGACATGACCTGCTGACTTACTTATACTGGTACCAAGTAGTGGTAAAGTATATATTGCACTTAAGTTGATTCTTAGATCCTATTTGTGGAATATATGAAGGGATAATTTACAGTATGAAACCAAAGATGTCTACCAGGTTTTAAGTAAATGTAATAGAAATTAAGGTAGAGCTATAAGAAAAAGTATAAAGAATGAGAACTCAGAAAGGCAGGGAATGTGTATGATTATTTAAAAATCACTGTAAAATATAAAGTAAGCACTATCCAGCAATGGACAGTAGAAATGTGTAATGACAAGAGATATAGATTTGGCAGTGATTTAAAGATAACAGCTAAAGGGCAAATCTCTAAACATTTTGAAATAAACAGTATACCCTCAAGAGTTTCCAATCATTCAACAAATATTTTCAATGGTACTTTGAAACTTTTGGAAAATACAAAGCTAAATGAAATGTGAAATCTGTAACATATTCCAATAAAAGGGATGGTACTTATTCTTAAACAATTATAACATAAGGTAAAATGAGATTCATAATCAAAAGATACTCAAATGGAGTGGCATGAGTCTTTCCAGCAAAGTGTTAACTCGTTCCGAAGTCTTTATTTTATTTGGATTTGTTTTCAATGCGTGTGTGTGTGTGTGTGTTGGTTTTGTTTGGGAGTGATTCATAGAAAGGATGCTATTCAAATATGGGCAGGTGCAATTTAGAAAGAAGGACAAAAGTTACACAATGAGTGAAGTCACTAAAGCAGAAAAGCAGAGAAATGCAAGAAGAACATTGACTGGTTGAGTTTTGTAGAAATGCAAAGATGATCAAGAGAAAGACAATCAGAAAAGATGTGCTTGGAGAAAATATTGCAAAGCCTTATATGCTCTGAAAAGTATGTAATTATTTCACCAGTGTATTGCATATTATTTAGACAGGGCTTTTCTGGTAGTGTTTTTGTGAATTCATCTTCAGTGGCACCCATATTTATCAGGGAAGATTAAGCATTACAATAAGTAATTCTGAATCCTGTGACTTACCATAATGATAGTTTATTTCTCATCCCAGAGAGGGTCTATGAGGTAGGGCCAAGGCTTTTTAAATTCTATTTCACTGCCACCTTCTGGAGGTGACACAACAGTCCTCCACTAGATCTTTTGAATCCATCTGGAACAGATGGAAGAAGGTTCTTGAGAGATATTAAAGGGTAGACCTGAGAGTGACTCTAGCCAGAATCCAGTGAGTTCTCCATCTAATTACAACATAAGCAGGGAACAATTGTCTCTACCAATGAAGAAACAAGTTGAAGTGTCTTACAGTGTGTGAGTTGAGGTTGTCTGGATGCTTGTTTTCTTAAAAGAAGTTGTTTTCAGATGAAATTGAGAGAATGTGACTTCTTAACAAGGCTGTTAAGGAATAATATACAAGCAAACAACTATTACATTAGAGTCCTAATGTGGGCAACAATCTTTCAAAATTAAAAAGATATCAGGAAAAAAGTGGATGGGTACTAGCGTGTGATGAATCTAAAGCAACCAGATAGAGAAAAGAACAGCAGCCATGATAAAGGTCAAAGATGACAAAAACTCAATCCAAGAATTTTGAAGTAAAAGGATGGAACAAGTAAATTCCACGGATGATATTAATCATCTGAAAAACTATGAAATACCTATCAGTAACATAATGATGTATTCCAGTTTTCTTGGCAAAGTCCAGTTTTACAGTGGTAGTCTCAGCATAAAGGTATCAAAAGTATTCTAGTTTAAATAATAGTGTGGTCATCTTCCTCATAAGGCAATAGCTGAAAGAATTTGATCAAGTAGGCATGAATTGATTTTTACAAATGAATTGCCTAATAAGAGTAACTTTTTAAACTAAAATTGCATAAATTTTAAAATAAAATTTGTCAAGTTAATCAAATATGACTCTGACAATAACTTTTTTCAAAAAAGGTAGAGCTATCATGGCATCATAAAAACAGGGGTTGCATTCAGCAAGGATGTGTTATTGTACACACACCAATGTCCAGGAGAGATACTTCATAATAAGTTGATGCAGTTGTGTAGTCTGCTCAGTAGAACTATTTCTACACAGAAGACAGATGTACTACAAATGACTTGATGACACTGATCATTAATATCTTCAGTGATTCCTTTCGCTACGATTCGTACTTAACACACAATGTATTGATTAGAAGTTTCCTCCTGATAAAACTTTCTTCCTGGAAGATATTGCACTCTTCAACATGTATATTTTGTTTAGCTTGCAGGTTAGTAAAATAAATTGCACATCATGACTTTACAGACGTCATTTCTGTTTGGTTAGCATGAATCACATACCTTTGAAAGCAATCACATCCATGCATGCTGAAAAGCATTTCCTAGGCCTAAAAGTTGAGGCCAAGACCCAAGTACTATCCCACTCAAGAAACTGTCCTCGAGATCCTTATCAAAAAGCCAACTGGTCTCTCTGAATGAAAATGCCATCTAATTTTTTTCTTTAGTTTAATATTAGCAATGTCAACATTTAAAGTAATAAAAGGAAGGGATAACAATTATTTATTAAGAACTGTTTTCAAGAAACATATATATTGGTGAATATTAGGATTTTCTGGTCTGAACTGATGTCGGATTTCTAAATCTAAGTGGAAATAGCTAGATGATTGATACTAGGCAAAGTAAGGCTAGGTCTGCCCTATAGTCTAATCACAGGAAAAGCACATGTTCTAGTCAGAAATTTGGAAACACCTGGGAAATCTGCAGTGAGGATTTTCAATGAAACGATGATGACTTTACTTTAATGACAGTCAGAGTGAGATTTTACAAACTGCAGTTAGTTTGAGGGAGAAAGCATTTGTGCTTATGTGACAAAGCTGATAAAGTCATCACAGCCTGGTAATGTAAGAGAAAATTTAATGATTGCCAATCATTTGCTTCCAATTGGATTACTCTGTAGACTTCAGAGCATATTCAAAAACAGTTTCCTTACTGATGAAGCCTTTATGTGCTATATGTCAAGGCAATAGATATTTCAACGACAAAAGAGACAGCAACCAGAGGTGGCAATGCCCAGCCAAGCAGACAGAAAACACAAACGTGTCCAGTATTCATAATAAATTTGTTCCCTTACTGGCATCCCCAACAATGGGGTTATGAGAAGAACTGACACAAACAAGGATAGTGAATTAGAATTTATGTTTGTGAAACAAGAACAGAAAAGAGATACACTAGATAGGTTTTTGGCATTTACACTTAGAATTTGCTGAGAAAGCATCATGCTGGGAGGTGGAGATGGAGGAATGAATATATTGTGAGAATAAGAAAGAGAATATGAATGGTTATGCTATCAGCATACAGTAACGTAATTGCTAGCTTGGAGATAAATAACTTCTGTGTATATATTATGGATGCTTTGATTAATAGTGATAACACTAAAGAAAGCATTAAATATTAAACCTGTATGTGGGTCACCTCACTTCCCCACTCTTTCTCTCTCTCTCACACACACACACACACACACACACTCACACATACACACACACACATATACATATACAAAGACATGTCTAAAATTATATTTGAAGGAAGATCAAAACTCTGTCTATAATATTTGCATTTATATATGTTTGTGTATACAAACTTGTTTTTATATGATCAGATGTGGGTAGCATTATATGAAAAGACTACACAGATTTCATTACAGCAAGAAATGAATTTTTCATTATCTAAACCTAAAGGTAAATATAAATTATTTTAAAAAGTGCTGACAAGATTGGTGAAATTATTTCCTGCGACAAATGAGATGTTGTTAATGCAGTACCACTTTTTTGTTGTTGTTCTCAAATATTAATCTCAAAATCAGGAAAATAGGAAATACCTTTCTAAGACCAGTTGATCTTTTTCACCTGACACTTTGCTATAATAAGTTAACTTTGCCTGAGTCAAATTAAAATATGACATTAGCATAAAGTTATTATTCCATAGTTCTGTCATATACAGATTATCTTAAAATGTAGAGACAGAATGCATTGTCTGAGCATTTTTAAAAGACTTAAAGGAAAGAATATTAGAATAGTACAAGATAGGTAAAATTTAAAAAATAATTTAGCCAAACAAGAAAGCAACAACAAAACAGACACTGTTTGGTTGAAGATGTACTATATTAGAGGTACAGTTTTATTTTCAACTGTGTATAATTGAAATTGTTTTAGGGCTATTGAAGTTCAGAAGACTGCCAAATGTCTTATTTATCACTGGGCATTGTAGCACAATGACATGGATTTAGGCTGCTTTAACTTTGATAAAATTTGAGATAATTATTATAAGTTATATATAAATTACCTGACACCATAACTTATGTCTTATCTTTTTCAGCAATATTTCTCCTTTTAGCATCCTTGTGCAATTATCTCAACTCTTTGAGGTCTTATGCAACCTAGAGCTCTCCCTGCAAAATAATAACCTTTATTATTGAAGGTCACGTTTTAAGGGTTTTTTGAAGCCCAGTCTCAGAACATTTCCAGTTCAAAAGAACAAAAGCTAACAACCAAATGTAATTTCAAAATAAGTTATTTCATCGCATTGCTTAAAGCTTGTGAAAATTCCATAATGGCACTTAAAACTTCTATTGTTCCATCTCATTCATTTTTCTCATTGGTTCGACTGGCCTATACCTCCATCTACCCTGGACAGAAGTCTGCTGGAGTAGCACTCAAAAATCTTCTTATGTCACTACCATTTTAAGGCACGTTCACTGCTTTTGTGACAGAGCAGCTATAGTTCCATTTCCTTTTCTACCGCGTCCAGAATTTTCTTCATTCCATCACAATCCACATTTAATTTCCTAAGACTGTTTTGTGAAAAGTGTTAATTAGCTCAAATGAAACGCTAATTCAATTATGAGTATTAATTGGATGTCAAATGAAAAAACTCCCAAATAAGACAATGCCGTAATCAACAAATATGAGTGTGATGGTAAAAATGTTGCAGTGTATGGTTTCAAACTATTTTATGGCAACTCCTATGTATATAATATATATTTACGGCAAGTTCTATGACAGAAGAAAACATATTTTCCATCATGCAGAACACTGCCCTTAGTTTTCTTGGAAGAATATATATGGAGTCCTTGGGGATATTTTTGTACAGGAGGAGTGTTCTGAGTCCTATAAGTATATAGGTCTAGAGGGGAGAGGAGAGGTTGCTTTCAGAAATTGGAATAACTTAAGTATAGCATGAGAGGAAAGATGATGGGAGGAAGCATAAGAGTGAGAGAAGTAAGTCAATACAAACTGATGATTGTGTTCCATGTATTTCGTGACTTTTCAGTTCACTTCAATGTGATACGTATCATCTTTATGTTGTAAAGAGCCTGAATTCAAAACATTCAAAAGGATAAACCAAAGGGATAAAATTAGTGAGGAAGACAGTATTCACAGGGGATGATACCCCTTATTTAGGCTTACCTGTTAGTAAATCCTCAATCCCTTAATTAATTGTCCTGAGAAATTTATTAACATTTAATCTAAAGACCTGATGAACATGGAGTAGGCCTATTCCTCCCAGGTCTTCCCTTCTACTACTAAGGAAGCCATGGACATAACACAACAAACTAATGTAAAAAGATGATGAAAGTTTGAAAGGAGAATGCAGATTGCTTAAGGATCCTAGAATGTGAAGAATGAAATGGCAATGAGTTCTTTCCTTCCATATAATTGGGAAAGCAACGTTCAGAAGACTCCAACCTGGAAATGTCAACAGACACAGATAAACAATAAATCCAAGAAAAGACTCTTCCTCCAGCCAAAGAATGGAGGAAAAGGGTGGCTTACCTGTGGCAACTCTATTCCAGGCAAACATCAATATACAAATTGCCTCTCCCCGTCCATGCAGGGGTCAGTGGGACTGAGCAGGTAGCCAGTCTTCTTACCCACTCTCCCCGCTTGGAGAAACATATTGGTAACCTAATCCCTCACTTTGTATTGTCAGCCAGCAAGCAGAGAGCTAATCTTTCATTCTTTGCTTAGTGGATGTGTACAGTGTTCTGATTCCCCTGCCAGGGTTTGAAACAGTCCAGAGATTGAACAAGGCAATGTGAGTAGGAGCTTGCCAGCATTTCAGTTTTCTGTGACCCCTCTTTTAGTAGGTTTCAGTAGGACTTAGTGGAAAACTGAACCTTCACCCCCACTCATCAGTATCAAGACTAAATGAAGCAGTGTGAAGAAGGACTACTTACCACTCGGGTTCCCCCTTCAATCCCATATCAGAGTGGAAGCTGAGTTTGCACTCTGACTGCAATGAGATAGTGTGAGTCAGAGCCCCATTTCTTCTGTGGTGATGTCAACAGGGCCCAGCAGAAAGCTGGGGATCTACCTTCCCAAGCACCTGTGTGCACTGCAACTAAACAAAGCAACTGCCTGCTAAAAAAGACTAACTAGTTTCAGAATCTCACGACAAATTAAATCTTAAATTTAATCAATTTAAAAAATTAAGTAGGTCACAGAATCTCTTGGGTAATCTCACATAATACCTAAAAATGTCCAGGATACAATTGTAAATCACTTCTCATAACAAGAACCAGGTCAATCACAATTTGAATGAGAAAAAAAATCAACAGAAGCTAACAGCAAGATGACTCAGATGTTGGAATTACCTGTCAAAGCTTTTAAAGTAACAATTACAAAAAATGCTTCCATCGCAATCACGGACACACTTTCAACAAGTAAAAAACAAAACAAAATGAAAGAAAACTAACAACTGGAAAGACTCAGCAAATATATGAAACAAAAGCAAAAAACCTTGCTAGGGCTCAATAATAGAGAGAGTGGTTGACAGAGGATAGAATAAGTAAACTTCAGGATAGATTAGTGGAATTTACCCCATCTGAAAAACAGAAAGAAATATATTTTTTAAGCTTGCCATAAGCAAATTAATTCCATAATGTATCATAATTAAATTTCTGAAAATTAAAACAAAGAAAAAATTTTAAAGTATTCACAGAAAAATTATACGTTACTTATACAGAAACACCAATTTGAATGACAGTGACTGTCTCATATAAAACCTTAGGGGACAGAAGGAAGCGGCATAATATTTTTCAAGTACTGAAAGAAAAAGGGGCTTGGAACTTCAAAAAGAAAAGCTTAGAATGAAGAAAAGTAGGAGTAAATAATAACAGACTATATTTCTTCTCATGCTTTTTAAAAATTATTATTGATAGTTGAAACAAAAATTATAACACAATCTGATGTGTTCAATGCCTGCAGCAGAAACATTAAAGGCAATTATACTTAACAATGGGGAGAGTAAAGAGTCTTAAATTGAAGTAAGTTTTCTATAGCATCTATACCTACCTTTTTAAGCATATTTGAACTACCAAAACCCAATACAGCAATTCTATATTTCTGGGGGAAAAAAAAGACAAAAAACAAAAAGCTAGTGGGATTTGAAATCACAGCCCATTTTCTAACCACTCACATTGTTTCTGTATTTTAATAATACCTTGCATAAATCAATATCATAAAACTTACTATGCTAATTATAACTTGCCTGTTTATTATCCATCTCCTCCAGTAGATTAAAAGTTGCTTTATAATGAGCAGTGATCTATTGTGTACCTCCAGAGATTGAATTATGATTTATGGAGGAGGCATCGTAAATGTTTGTAGAGAGAATATAGAAATCCACAGCCTGAACTAGGCAAAATTAAGACAACTTATGTTTACTGAATATTTACTCATTGTCAGACACTTTTCAGAGATGTACATCCCTTGATTTATTTCTTCATCACCACCGCTCTTAGCTGTCTCATGCACACGGAGCTGTGTCATGCTGCATCTGGACAGTGGTATCAAACTTCTACAGTAAACAAAGCCTGTACAAGACATTCAAGTTATGTAGATGACACACTATTTTAATAATAGGAGGGAGAGAACCAAGGGATTAATGAAGGAAGACAACAAAGACAGGAATATCATCATCAGGCCTGGAGAAACACCCAGAAGACAGCTCAGGTCACTTAACTGTGAAGCCTTTTATAGGTGAGATAATAGATGAGTGGGTCCATTAATGTCTTTTTTCAGTTTTATCTCTGACATTTTATGATTATGAAACTTAAGGACAGGCAATTACATTGCTGAAATATTTTTTAATGAGTGTACTACACAGTATCTCTAGGCCTGATTTACTTCGATTAACATAAAGACTGAAAAGTGAGGAATCATGTTTTATGCAGAGGTTGTAATTGTGTGTTAGTGTTTGTGAGGGTGTTTGTATGTTTATTTAGAGTTTTTCTTATCTCAGAGATGGTGACCTCACCTCTTAATGGTGAACTGAAGCTTTTTGAGAACCTAGATAGAGACACTCAAATTCTTGGAGACATAGCTTACAAATTTCACAAAATAGCATAGACATGTCTAGGGTAAAGAGTGTAACCTTAAACCGTGACTGCTGTTGTCTGAAAGTGGTAATTTGTACCTGAAACTGGAGTTCACTATTGAACCACTAGAGATCTATAACTGTAAGACAGAGAACACATTAAAAGGCAGTTCCATAGGGATAGGATTACAATTGTTTGACTTCATTTCTCACAGACTGAACATAAATTTTGTTCTTGGAGAAGAAAAAGGAGTGTATCTGAGAAGGTTATATGTGAATATAAACCATAGTACTAGATTGTGGTTTAGATTCTCCCAGCTTTCAGAAACAGAGTCATACTCATTAATTATTCCTTCAGTATTTATTGAGCACTGTTATGTGGTCTCTTCTAAGAACTGAGGATATACCAGTGACCCTTCAAGCTACTTCAGATAATGGAAGTTTAAAGTGTGGAGACACATGAAGGAAGAACAGAAAACTCACAAGGCATAATAAAGAACAATGGACCATTCTTTAAGATAGACTGTATCCCTGTAGCTCTATTGTATATTACGTAAACGGAGATATCATAGGTCCCTTTATTGGTCTTGTGTTCTGCCATTATTCTGACTCAGTTATATATTTTTCTGCCTTCGTTGCCACTAATTCACCTTTTTAATCTTTCATAAGTAGTCCTTTTCTACAATTTTAAAGCTAGAAGAGCCCTGATAAATTTTGTGACACGTTTTCATTGTGTGAGTTTGGTTACTGTAGGACCTTGTATTCAGGACCAATTATAAGGACTGATGACCATCAAAAACCATTTTGGTTTTTGGCAATTGTCTGTGTTGCAGTTGGTTTATAAATCCTGTCCAGAGCCTTGAGTGTTATTCTGTAGCTATTGATACATCAGGTAACTCAAAAATTCATTTGAAAACAAAATGATAAAAGGGGACTAGATTGAGTCTAACTACCAACCACATTCTCTGGACACTCTCCTGAGCAGCAGAATGTTGGCAGTGGTGAAGATGTAAATATCACAAATTAACGTCCTACAAGCTAACTTCATCTACCTTAGCCGAAAGGGGGATTTGGAGAAAGAAAACAAAAGCCCTGCCAGCTGTCTGCCCTGGCATTAACAACTAAACCATAGTTTTATTAAAAGTAAACATTTTCTCCAAACCTAGGCAAGATCATTTTGAGACTATGGTGAGATGAGACAAAATAAAAGCCCATATTGTAATCATGTGTGACCACAGACGAAACCAATAACACTGGGTAAACCAGAAATATGACCAAACCTCCTCACTCAACTAACATGGATGCCTGATCATTCTTTTCCAAAAGAGCTTTGTAACTGCTCAACGGGTTCTCCTTACCCACTGCCTAGACAGCTGATTTATCAAGGCAGGGAAATTACAATAGATAAAGAGTTTAGTTCACACAGAGTTGGTTGTATGGGAGACCAGTTTTTTATTACTCAATGAAGTCTCCTTGAAAACTCTGGGATCAGAGTTTCTCAGGACAATTTGGTGGGTAGGAGCCAGTGAGTCAAGAGTAGTGACTGGTTAGGTCGAAGATGAAATCTTAGGGAGTCCAAGCTCTCCTCTTGCCCTGAGTCAGTTCCTGGGTGGGGGCTATGAGATCAGAGGAACCAGTTTACTGATCTGGGTGGTGCCAGCTGATCCATCAAGTGCAGGGTCTGCGAAATATCTCAAGCATTTATCTTAGGTTTTACAACAGTCATGTTTTCCCCAGGAGCAATCTTGGGAGAGTCAGAATCTCGCAGCCTACAACTGCATGATCCCTAAACCAAATTTCTAATCTTGTGACTAATTTGTTAGTCTTACAAAGTTGGGCTAGTCCCCAGGCAGGAAACGAGTTTGTTTTGGGAAAGGGCTGTTATTATCTTTGTTTTAAATTATAAACTAAGTTCCTCTCAAAGTTAGTTCAGCCTACGCCCCGGAATGAACAAGGACAGACTGGAAGTTAGAAGCAAGATGGAGTTGGTTAAGTGATAACTCTTTCACTGTGATAATTTTCTCAGTTATAATTCTTGCAAAGACAGTTTCAATTTCAGCTTTGCACATTTCTTTGCCAAGTAGATACAGATTTTTAAGACAATGGATTGTAAAACTTCAGTACCTAGTCCAAGGCAAACCTATGGTTCCTTGAACATATTCTAAAATCACTCAACACAAGCCCAAGTCTTATAACCAGCTTTTTGTCATACCTTGTTATTCAGATGTCCCATATTTCTCCATGCTATTTTTTCTTATTGTTAAAACATTTACTGACAAGACCTACTCTGTTTGCCTAAAATTTTCTAATGGTAAATATTTTAGAAAAGGAAAAGAGCGATCTGATATAAGTTTCAAAAAGCTCACTTTGGTTGTTGAGTAAAGAAATAACAACAGGGGTGAAAGCATGGAAGCATGAGACAGCTAGGAAGGTATTTCAGTGGCTCCTATGAGACTTCAGGGAAGCTTGGACTATAGTAGTAGCTATGGCAATGGAGAGAAATGGATGAATTCAGGATATATTTAAGAACAAACAACTATTTTTGATAGATTAGATTCTTTTATTTTGTTAGACCTCAGGTTCAGATTATTGAATTAACCATATGCCTTTAGCACAGGTTATCATTTATTTATATCATTTATTTATGCAAGGTTTGTTTCCAGTTTGTTTCCTTTATCCTTATCATTCCCCCCAATCCACACTCCACAGGCAACCATTTTAATGTGATTAGTGAATGTATAAGTCTGTGTTCTTAAAAATATGCATTATTCTTTTCTTTGTATTTACTTTTAATTTTGTTAATTATATACATTATTCTTTACTTAATTTTTCTCTTAGCAGCATATATTTACTTTGGCATTATTTAAAAATATTCAGCTAGTTATTCTTTTTAAATGTTGTGGGGCACTTTATGGTTTACATTTTCCACAATTTTTCTACCCACTTTTCCATAGATGGAGAAACAGACGGCCTCTGCTTCCCTCCTATCATCACTAACACTGGGTTTAACAATGTTATATGTGATCCTTTATGAACTTGTATACATTTATTGGCATTTCATTGAACCAGGAATTACTGAGTCATGAGCATAGTTAATTTGCTTACTGTGCATACAATGTGATGGAAAACTGTGAGATAAGGAGAAAGAATCAGCTATTGCTATGTTTAATAGCATAAATAGATCTTGAGAAAATAACTTAAGTGAAAGAAGCCAGACACTAGAGATTATATACTGCATGAATCTATTTCTATGAAGCTCAAGAATAGGAAATACTAATTGATAGAGCTAGAAATCAGGACGAAACAAGGTAGGTATGAGAAAGAGAGAATGCAATTGAGTAGCCATCAGGAACCAGTGCACACACACAAATGAAACTTAAAAAGTTGTGTGGATGGATTTGGTTTTGTTTTTACTCCTCTGAGTCATACAGACTTGATGTTTTTATGTGTAAACCCCTTGATTCTTTAATTAATGATTTGTTTTGCTTTGGGTTGAACAGATGGATTTTTTAAATGCAGAAAACTTTCTTCTTGCCCTGAACCAGGGAAATAGTAAGAGAACCCTGAGCCAATTAGAATATATGGCAAGGGCAAGACAAAAATTGCCTATGGCTTTATCAATCTAGTCTTTCAGCCATTGTTTATTGATGTGCCTCTGAAAGCCAGCACATGCATAGAACATGCCACCCATTTATTCACCTGCAAAACATCCACTTATCTTTGAACTTTAGGATATAAATCACTTTTTATGTGAAGTCTCCCTCATAACCACCATCTTATCATTCCCTTTGACCCTGTACTCTTCAGTCCCAACCTAAGCAGGATTAGGTACATCCTCTGCTTCCGTACTTTTAACATATCACACTAAAATTAACTTGTCTGTCTTCTTCACTAGACTATGAGTGTCCTGAGGGTTATCTGTTTTGAATCTGAAGCACTTAGTTCAGTAGTTGGCATATGAGGGTCTGATGTATGTTCATTTAGTATGTACAAAGCACATACAATATGCCGAGCCCTGGGCTATGTGCATAGGAAATTGATTTTTTATCACTGAAGGAATTGATTAATAGATACAGTTATTAAGTTTATCACTGATGAAATATATCATTAATTGAGATAAAGAAAATAGTACATTAGAGTCTTAGTGCATTACAGTAAAAAATGAGAATAAGAAATTGTAAACGGTGGACAGGATTGAATTATCAAAAGACTGGTTTAATCTGGCATAAGGCTGTATGGAGCACAAATAACTAAAGAAAACTGTGACATTCAGCATGCTATACTGCTAGTTTGGGTTACACTTTTATCTGTCTTTTTTTTTTTTTTGAGACAGAGTCTCGCTCTGTCATCCAGGCTGTAGTGCAGTGGCACGATCTTGGCTCACTGCAAACTCCGCCTCCCGGGTTCACGCCATTCTCCTGCCTCAGCGTCCCCAGTAACTGGGACTACAGGCGCCCACCACCACGCCCAGCTAATTTTTTTGTAATTTTTTTTTTAGTAGAGACAAGGTTTCACTGTGTTAGCCAGGATGGTCTCAATCTCTTGACCCTGTGATCCACCCGCCTTGGCCTCTCAAAGTGCTGGGATTACAGGTGTGAGCCACCGCTTGCCTGGCCTACTTTTATCTCTTATCTGAAACAATATGAACGTATTATCTTAGTTTCCCAGGTAACTACTTAAGAATGGCAGCTTTTAAAACTCTCATTAAACAGTCAAACAAATGTACATGAAATGCTTACTTTTAAGGGGTCTTAATTCTCAAGTATTAGTGTTTAAAATTAAAACTCCATAGGAGGTATTTGGAAAAAAATACCTTTTCACAAAACATTATCTAATAACTTGTCAGCTTTGGTGGCACATATGCTGAGTCCATATAATCACATAGTTTTTCAACATTTAGGGTATTTATGTAAAACACATTTATGCATTGGCATGTGGAATTCTGTTTACTACCTAAGTGCTAAGTGGAATCATATTTAAATGTAAAAATCTTTGCAGAGTGCAGTGTGTTAAAATTACTAATTTTCATACTAGACACTTCAAAATTTGCATGTATAATTGCATTCCTTCGTGCATATAAAAACCTGGTTTTTGCACTCCTTGCAAAGGTATTTATATGTTTATCTGTGCACACTCAATGTGTATGCAAACATTTGGATTTACATATATGCATATTTATTGTGTTTACTTCTTGGTATTACATAGTGCACTGTATACATTTTACTTTTCCTATGATAAGTACATTTATGTTTGACCCTTATCAAGTCTAGAGAAGTCAAATTTGTCATTTGTCCAGAATAACTAAATTTTATGAATATTCTATCTGTTGAGAATATAGGGGCTGATTTAGCCTAAAAGACTTACAAAATATCAGCTATGAAAAATCTCAGAAACCTACCACTTATTTCTGAAATAGTACAGAAATATCAAAAACATACTTAATACACATACAAATTATACTTTGTAATAGTCTTTAATAAAAGGAAAACAACTGGGGAAGAATAAATTAAGGAAATTTCTAGGCCCAGACACTATTTCTAGTCAACTCTTGAGCTCTGTATAAAATATCAAGTAAAGATACAAAAAAAAAAGAAGTGTCTATTATGTATGACTAGGCATCCACGCAGAATTTCCCACTCACATATGCTGCCTGAAACATGGAATGTGTCACAGCCATTTTGTGCTCAATTCTTCTAACTATAAAGGCATGGTGTTGTCATAATACATATTTAGCTTCTAAGATTGATGGATTGCTTCAGTGAACAAGTTTATACAGCATTTTTTTTCTTATCTGAGTCAATGTTTTCCTCAATACCATGAAGTAAATTAAAATAGAGTGTTTAAATCTACTGCTTGTGATAAAGAAGACCAAATCTTATTCTAATAAATGTGAAATGCAGCTTGTCACGTTCCTTTCACTCTGTAGAAATGCTACCACAAGGCTTTGCCAGTTAAGTCTAATATGTTGACATTTATTTTTGCTGCAATAAATGTTAGGATTATATTTTTGCATTAAATTCTGGCATTTTTAAAAGATCACGATGACAAGTAATTTATTCCTCAAATCATTCTGGTTTGTTTTTACTTTTTGAATATGGATTTGGCCATGTGTCTCCAAGGCACAGTACAAAGCATATTTCATGTTTTGCAACCTATTAGTTTGATTTAAATCCACTTTTTCCATCTGGATTTATGCAAGCCTTCCTTGATGTTATTTGCTCTGAATTATTGCCCAGAAATAATCACACTGAATCCAATTTTACACTGGCTGTGTGGCCTACCAAGTCTGTCACTGTAAAGCTTTAAGGTTTTTATAGTTTGTTTCAATGAAGGCAATTTCTCAAATATTCTACATATAAATATGTAATATACTGTTTTGACACTCATTTAAGAAATTTTCCTCTACCCTGTCTTAAAAATGGAGTGAATATGATGACGTATCTTAGAAACTAAAATTGTTACAAAGTAGAACAACCCAATACATAAAAATAATAGATTGTGCATATTTAATATAAAACCTACATAGAATATTTTGGGTCAATCTAAATGTAATTTGAATCAAAACCTCAAAGATGAGTAATTTAGTGTTGAAAGCATTGATACATTTCTTTTTGCACTTTGAAGATTTATTCTTTTTAGTAATACAACAGCTAAAAAGCAATGTATGTTCAAGTTGCATCTTTTTTCCCCTGTATTTTTATAAGGTTGACTCTTTCTCTAATCTGAGTGAATTGAAGAGTGAAATAGATTACTTTTCAAGGTAGGTAATAAATACAGATAATCCAGACAAAAAACTTGGTCTTTTGTTTTTTTCTCTCGCATTGGTAGATAGTTTTGGTCTATAACCATCAAGGGAAAAAAGCCTCAAATTTTTTACACATATTTAGTCATTATTTTTCATTGTGCTTAAGAAAGAACATGAATTGTTTAAAAAGTACCATATTGTAGTAGACAGCTGAGAGTTTTCAGCCTCATATAAAAATCCTGAAATTTTTTATTGGTTAATTTACACAGTAAATACGTGGGTAGTTGTTCGTACCTACGCAGGTCTAATTTGCATTCTGACTGCTACTGAGAAAGTTCAGACTACTAAACATTTGCTAACTATAAATATTCAAGTTGGCAATCATTTTTGGAAAATAGCTTGTGGGTTTTTTTTGGTGATAAGCTTGTGTTCAGCCTCTTCTGTTGTATGATTAGAATCAAAATCTATATTAAAGGGTTTTTGAGTATGAATTCAAATATTTTAAAAATATCCCTAAGAAAAAGAAAGATGAAAGTTAAACAACATTCTAAATTTCAAGTTCAGACTCTCTCTCTATTTCTTTGGAAGAAATGACTTGGCAAGGTAAAAGAGAAAGCAACGTCCTGAATGCTTCTAATAGGGATAACATCTCACACTATTGAGGTCAAATAGACACAGGTAAAGTGAAATGGAGAAATGAGGTAATTATTCATGTAATCTTAGACTTAAAAAGAAAGCTTTCAGTCAAACTATTTAAAAAATTGAGAAAATGTCCCCTTCATCTTGACTTATTTAAATAATTATCTTAATTCACCTCTTCGTCTTTGTCCCATAGATAAAATGCCTTTTCATATTAAAATCTATACAACTACATTATTAGGATATATTAAGTAAAAGTCTATCTCATTATCATATATTTGGAGATGATCGTTTAATCTACGTGCCTCAACATTCTCTTCTGCAAGCTGGAACAACATTTCTAGATATTGTGGGAAATGCAAAGGATTAACAAATTAACTGTAAATAAACCAAGGCATTATTAGAAACACTGTATAAACTATCAGTGAATTATCCTTTACTTTAAATAAAAGTTTATGAAAATTGAAATTGTTATAATTGTATGGAAATTGTAAGTTTTAAATATACCATTTAGAGATAAGGATTGAAATCATTTATGCATTAAATCTTTAAAACCTTGGATCATTTTTATATGACATTCAGAAAAGACAACAATGTGTGCTAGGCTGGTATGACAGTAAAAAGGAATAGATATAACTTTTTAAAAATCGATAATATATTCTTTAGATTGCACAGCAAAATGATGCTTTGTATTAGCAAAAGAAATGTGTCAAGCACTAAATGTATTCTACCAAACAAAGAGAAAGCAAGACAATTGTTTATATTTTAAATAGATTTAAATAAATCTAGTTTATATAAAAATAATTACTACTTTTGTAGATAAAAGATGTCATGCTTATACAAAATAAAATAATGAAGGCTTTATGGAAGACATAGAACTTGGACTAAGTTTTTAAAGAAGTAGAAAACAGGATCAAAGATTTTGAAGAGCAATTATCTAGATTAGCTTTTAAGTCATTGACTGAATAATTTCTTGGAAATGGAGAATCTCTTTGTGAGAAAATAGGTGGAAGTAGATTAGAAAAACTAACCATCCTGGCTAACACGGTGAAACCCCGTCTCTACTAAAAATACAAAAAAATTAGCCGGGCGTGATGGTGGGCGCCTGTAGTCCCAGCTACTCGGGAGGCTGAGGCAGGAGAATGGCGTGAACCCGGGAGGCGGAGCTTGCAGTGAGCCGAGATTGCGCCACTGCACTCCCACCTGGGCCACAGAGCGAGACTCCGTCTCAAAAAAAAAAAAAAAAAAAGAAAAACTAAGGTAAACCTTGATTTGTGAACAGTATGGACTTTCAGGCTATGGAATTTAAACATTCATTTATAAACAATGAAAAATCACTTAATATTAATGAGTGCAGAGAGTAATTAATCTGTTGGGTATATATATGTATATATATATATATGGGTATATATATGTGTATATATATATGTGTGTATATATATGTGTATATATATATGTGTGTGTGTATATATATATATATATATGCTGATATAAATGCTGAGAAAACTCATAATCAAAACATATCTTAATAGTCAATGCCTAAGTTGGTGAGGATCTGACCAAATGTGTTATCAGTGATGGAGCAGTAAAAATAAATCAATTAGATAGAAACATTTTTTATGACTTCAATTTAAACATTAAAGAATCTCCATGTTAAAAATAAAATTAGAAACATTAAAACTACAGATACCTTCTGTAAGGACGTAGCTGGCTTTAAAAAAGTTAATCATTAGGATGAAGCAAACTGAGTAATGTTGGTACCTGGAATTAGATCTTCCAGCTGTTTGAGACTGCAGCTTCGGAGATAAGCAGCGATGAATGTCAAAGACTTGGTGACAGAGTGCATCTAATTGTGTAATTGGTGGAGAATTGATAGCAGAGTAAAGGATGTCCTTAAAGGCAAGGACAGGTCAGAAGGAGAAATCCTGCAACATGGATATGTACAGACACAATCAGGTACAAGGTGGTAGAAGAGACATCTCCTAGTGAGTGTTAGGAGCCCAGAATTGGACAGGACTCAACTCTCCTGAGTTTATTCCGAAATAATCAAGACTGGATTCCAACCGTCAAGGATCTAGCCTGGTAAGAGTATTTCTAAGTGAGGGACTTGGACACAGGGGAATAAGGTAAAAATTGATTACCCTTTCCAAGTAAAACATGAGGACAACATGTAAGGAACAAATGTGATGCTTGGCCTTTTGAGTTAATATCCTGTGAAGAAACTCAGTGTTAGCCCAGTTTTAAATCCTCCTTTCCCAAGCTTGGGTACTCAGGCAAAATTGACCCAGCAGCTGGAAATCAAGGGGTACTCACTATGAGGAGGACAAAAAGGCAAATACATCCATGAGAACTTCCCCAACATAGCTAGAATGGCCAACATTCAAATTCAGGAAATGAAGACAACCAAATAAGATACTCCATGAGAAGATCACTCCTAAGACACATAATCATCAGATTCTCCAAGATCAAAATGAAAGAAAAAATGTTAAAGGCACTTAGAGAAAAAGGCCAGATCATCTACAAAAGGAAGCCCATCATGCTAACAGAACTCTCAGCTGAAATCCTACAAGCCAGAGGAGAATGGGAACCAATATTTAACATTTTTAAAGAAAAGAAATTCCAACCCAGAATTTTATATTCAACCTAACTAAACTTCATCAGCAAAGGAGAAATAAAATCCATTTCAAACAAGCAACCGCTGGGGGAATCTGTTACTACCAAACCTGCCTTATGAGAACTCCTAAAGAAAGCAGTAAATATGGAAAGGAAAGGCCGTTAACTGCCAGTACAAAAACACACTGAAGTACACAAACCAGTGACATTGTAGAGCAACCACGTAAACAAGGCTGAAAAAAAAAATCATGAAGACAGGATCAAATCCATCCACACATATCAATACTAACCTTAAATGTAAATGGGTGAAATGCCCTATTTAAAAGACAAAGTGGCAAGCTGGATAAAGAACCAGAACCCATTGTTATGATGCCTTCAAGAGACCCATTGCACATGCAGTGACACACATAGGCTAAAATAAAGGGATGGATAAAAATCTTCCAAGCAAATGGAAAACAGACAAAATAGCAAGAGTTGCAATTATAGTTTCTAACAAAACAGACTTTAACAAAGATAAAGGAGAAGACAAAGAAGGTAATTACATAATGGTAAAGAGTTCAATTCAGCAAGAAAATCTAACCATCCTAAATATATATGTACCCAACACAGAAGCACCCAGATTCATAAAGCAAGTTCTTAGAGATCTTCAAAGAAACTGTGACTCCCACACAATAACAGTGGGAGGCTTTAACACTTCATTAACATTATTAGACAGATCATAAACAGAAAATTAACAAAGATATACAGGATCTGAATACAGCACTGCATCAAATGGACATAATAGATATATACAAAATTCTTCACACCAAACAACAGAATATACATTCTTCTCATCACTACGTGGAAAATACTCTAAAACTGATCACATAACTGGAAGTAAAACAACCCTCAGAAAATGCCAAAGAACTGAAATCATAACAGACAGTGTCTTGGACGACAACACAATCAAATTAAAAATTAATACTAAGAAATTCACTTAAAACCATACAGTTACGTGAAAATTGAATAACCTGCTCCTGAATGACTTTGGGGTAAATAATGAAATTAAGGCAGAAATCAAGAAGTTTATTGAAACTAATGAGAACAAAGATACAACCATGGCAGAATCTTTGGGACATAGCTAAGATTATCCACCATGATCAAATTGGCTTCATCCCCAGGATGCAAGGTTGGTTGAACATATGCAAATCAATAAAGGTGATTCATCACATAAGAAGAAAAAAAGACAAAAACCACATGATTATCTCAATAGATGCAGAAAAGTATTTCAATAAAATTCAACATCCTTTTATGTTAAAAACTCTCAATAAACTAAGTATTGCAAGAACATACCTCAAAAAAATAAGAGCCATATATGACAAACCCACAGCCCCAACATCATACTGAATGGGCATAAACTGGAATCCTTCCCCTTGAAAACCAGCACAAGACAAGTATACCCTCTCAGCACTCCTATTTGACACAGTATTGGAAGTTCTGGCCAGGGCAATCAGACAAGAGAAAGAAAAAAGGGCATCCAAATAGGAACAGAGGAAGTCAAACTATACCTTTTGCAGATGACATGATTCTATATGTAGAAAATTCCATTGACTCTGCCCAAAAGGTATTTGAGCTCTCAAATAATTTTAGCAAATTTTCAGGGTACAAAATCAATGTACAAAAATCAGTGACACCCCTGTACACCAACAACCTCTAAGTTGAGAGCAAAATCAGAAACACAATCCCATTTATACTTGATGCAAAAAAATGAAATACTGAGGAGTACAGCTAACATGGAAGTGAAATATCGCTACAGTGAGAAATACAATGCACTGCTCTAGGAAATCAAAGATGATACAAACAAATGACAAAAACAGTTCATGCTCATGGATAGGAATAATCAATATCATTAAAATTATCATACTGCCCAAAGCAATTTAGAGATTCAATGATATGCCTATTTACATAGCATCAACAGTCTTCCCAGAACTAGAAAAAACTGTTTTAAAATTCATATGGGGCCAGGCACAGTGGCTCACACCTGTAATCCCAGCACTATGGGAGGCCAAGGTGGGTAGATCACCTAAGGTCAGGAGTTTGAGACCAGCCTGGCCAGCATGATGAAACACCATCTCTACTAAAAATACAAAAATTAGCCAGACATTTGCTGGGAATGGTGGCGGGTGCCTGTAGTCCCCGCTAGGATGTGGTGGCATGCTCCTGTAGTCCCAGCTACTTGAGAGGCTGAGGCAGGAGAATTGCTTGAACCTGGGATGCAGAGGTGGCAGTGAGCAAAGATTGTGCCACTGCACTCCAGTGGTGCGCGCCTGTAATCCCAGCTACTCAGGAGGCTGAGGCAAGAGAATCACTTGAATCTGGGTGGTGGAGGTTGCAGTGAGCCGAGATCATGCCATTGCACTCCAGCCTCATTGACAGAGTGAGACTCTGCACCCCCTCTCCCAACAAAAAGTAAAAACCTCATATGGAATCAATAAAGAGCCCAAATAGCCAAGACAATCCTAAACAAAAAGCACAAAGTTGGAGGCATCATGCTACCTGATTTCAAACTATACTATAGGGCTACAGTAACCAAAACAGCATGATATTGGTACAAAAACTAACACATAGACCAATGGAACAGAATAAAGAACCCAGAAGTAAGACCACACACCTCCAACTATCTGAGCTTTAAATAACCTGACAAAAACAGGCAATGGGGAAAGGATTCCCTACTCAATAAGTGGTGCTGTGATGACTGGCTAGCCATACGCAGCAAATTAAAACTGGACCCCATTCTTACACCACATACAAAAAGTAACTGTGGATAGATTAAATGCTTAAATGTAAAACCCAAAACTATAAAACCCCATGAAGACAACCTAGGCAATACCATTCAGGCCATAAGCATGGGCAAAGATTTCATGGTGAAGATGCCAAAAGCAATTGCAATGAAAGCAAAATTGACAAATGGGATGTAATAATCTAAACAGCTTCTGAACAGAGAAATAAACTATAAACAGAGTAAAGAGACAACCAACAGAATTGGAGAAAATGTTTGCAAACTATGCGTCTAACAAAGGCCTAATATCCAGGATCTATATGGAATGTAAACAAATTTACAAGAAAAAAAATGAACAATTCCATAAAATGTAGGCAAAGGACATGAACAGATGTGTCTTAAAAGAAGACATCCTGGCCAACATGGTGAAACCTTGTCTTTATTAAAAATACAAAAATTAGCTAGGTGTGGTTGTGCCCGCCTATAGTCCCAGCTACTCAGGAGGCTGAGGCAGGAGAATCGCTTGAACCCAGGAGGCAGAGGTTGCAGTGAGCTGAGATCACACCACTGCACTCCAGCTTGGCGGCAGAGCAAGAGTCTGTCTCAAAAAAAAAAAAAAAAAAAGACATACATGTGACCAACAATCATATGAAAAAAAAATCAATGTCAGTGATCATTAGAGAAATGCAAGCCAGAACCACGAAGAGATACAGTCTCATACCAGTTAGCATGGGAGTTATGAAAAAGTCAAAAAATCACATATGTTGGCATGGTTGTGGAAAAAATGCTTATGCACTGTTGGTGGGAGTGTAAATTAGTTCAACCACTGTGGAAGACAGTGTGGCAATTCCTCAAAGACCTACAGATGGAAATACCATTTAAACGAATAATCCCATTACTGGGTATGTACCCAAAGAAATATAAATCATTGTGTTATAAAGACATATGCGTAAATAGTTCATTGCAACGCTATTTACAATAGCAACGACATGGAATCAACCTAAATGCCCATCAGCGATAGACTGGAAAGGCTGGGTGTGGTGGCTCACACCTGTAATTCCAGAACTTTGGGAGGCCGGGGTTGGTGGATCGCCTGAGATCAGGGGTTCGAGACCAACCTGACCAGTGTGGTGAAACCCCGTCTCTACTAAAAATACAAAAGTGAGCCAGGAATGGTGACGGGCGCCTGTAGTCCCAGCTAGGATGTGGTGGCATACTCCTGTAGTCCCAGCTACTCAGGAGGCTGAGACAGGAGAATTGCTTGAACCCCGGAGGGTGGAGGTTGCAGTGAGCCGAGATCGTGCCACTGCACTCCAGCCTGAGCAACAGAGGAACACTTTGCCTCAAAAAAAAAAAAAAGACTGGATAAAGAAAATGTAGTATTTATACACCACGGACTACTATTGCAGCCATAAAGAATAAGATCATGTCCTTTGCAGATGCATGGGTGGAATTAGAGGTCATTATCCTTAGCAAACTAACACAGGAGCAGGAAACCAAACACTATATGTTCTCACTTATAAGTGGGAGCTAGATGATGAGAAAACATGGACACAAAGAGTGGAACAACACACACTGGGGCCTACTGGAGGCTTGAGGGTAGGAGGACGAAGAGGATCAGGAAAAATAACTAATGGGTAGTAGTTTAATATCTGGGTGATGAAATAATCTGCCCACAAACCCTCATCACACAAGTTTACCTGTGTAATAAATCTGCACATGTACCCCTGAACTTTAAACAAAAGTTAAAATTAATGTCAGATACTGGGAACTGACAGAATGCCTTGTACCTCTGGATACACGTGGAGAATATTTTAGAGCACCATTGGAAAGAATGCAGGGTTTCGCATGCTACTTAATGATTCCTTGTTTGGCAATACTGTGAGCAACTTTTTATCATATGTGAAGTCCCACTCTTGAACATTCTGTTGACTATGATTTTAATTTACCTTTTTTTACTAGCTTTAAAAATAGTGAACGAGGTTGAGGGTTCATCAGCATTTATATCCGGTAAGATAAACTAAATGCCTTCCATGTTTAAATACATTTATTTATTCATTTATTAAATAAATGTCTACTCATGACTGGCTGTGGTTCAGTTACTATGTTAGACTTTGGAAATCTTCTATGTCTCAAAATTTTTAGTGAGATTTTAATCTGCAGTACAATTTTTGTGATACCTTCTACAATGATAAGAAGAACAGACAAAATCTATAAGAGCTTAAAATCTAATTGGAGAAACATACAATAAACAAATAATTACACATATAAAAGTATAAACTATAATAAGTGCTATGTAATAACAATTCTAGGTGCCAAAATTGTCAATAAATTTTTGAATTTCAACTGGGTCCAAAGCCATTCAGTGAGGTTCTATATTTTCCAGCACCTCTTGTAGATAAATGAGGATATGAGTTGAGTTTTATTCAATGGGAGATTTTTGTTTAACCCAACATATTGTGGGCCTAACCTATACCCTAACTTTGAAGCTAAGAAGCTCTTGTAGATTAAAGGTTTCTACACACACACACACACACACACACACACACACACACACACATTTAAAAATACTTTATGAAAGCAATAGATTCTGTTTTTTCTTTTTCTGACACTGATTGTCTTTGGACACTGATTCTCTTTTATATGTTGTTTTTGTTATTTATTAATAGTTATTTATAACAATCTATCCTACAGATATAATTTTAAAAATCAGGATAATGTTAAGAGTATTGGTGAACTAATGACACATAATTTAAAAATATTTAATGGCTACATATTATTGTTAAAATTTAAATCTAAATGCAACTATAGCTTTTTGATAGACATTTGAGAGATTATAAACTGGAATACCACAAATTCTACCAAACATTACACTTATCAAGTGTATTAAAATAAATGTCATATAAATTTCCTGCCATTATAGCTGAAATGGACTTTAATTCCACTTCTCTTGTGATAATTTATTTCTTTACTCCTTTTAGGATGTCTGGCCAGCTGTCTTGGACATCTAACGTCATGAGAAGCTAGCTGAAAATCTCATTTTTATAGGCACTCTGGGTAACTCTTTTCTTGAAAATAAATGGTAGATACTGGGAATTGACAGAATGCCTAATACCAAATCAAGTATCATATTATATATATAATCCTTTATATCTCCTAGAACAATAAGTGTTTTTGAAACGGAATATGACAGTGAATATTAAATTGTTAGATGGACATATTTATAAACATAGAGGACTCCTTTCTAGAGTTCTCCATAATCTGGTACTAAATTGCAAGGGGTCTTTTCTGAGTTAATTCACTCATTTATTCAACTTATTTTTCTTTTTAGGATTTTACTGAATCTAACCACTATGACAAGATACTAAAAATATTTTTAAAAACTTCAACGGAAATTTGAAAATATATTCACGAAGATATAACCTCTGAAGACATTTGAGAAATCTTATTTGCAAAATCTTTTTATGAAGAATCTTTTTTCATGTACAGAGAACAGGCAAATAAATAGGAACTAATCTTAAAACATAATAATTTTGTATTGCAGGAAGTTTATGATGTTCTGGGAATATCTAGTAAAAATATTTGACTTAGCATAGAGCTTTCATGGATATTTCTAGAAGAAAATTACACTTAACAACTAAAAGATAATTAGGAGTTGTGAAAGGAGGAAAAGAAAGAGAACTCCAGAGCCGGGTGCGGTGTCTCACGCCTGTAATCCCAGCACTTTGGGAGACCTAGGCGGGCAGATCATCTGAGGTCAGGAGTTCAAGATCAGCCTGACCAACATGGAGAAACCCCATCTCTACTAAAAATACAAATAAAACTAGCTGGGCGTGGTGGCGTATGCCTGTAATCCCAGCTACTCTGAAGGCTGAGGCAGGAGAAATGTTTGAACCCGGGAAGTGGAGGTTGAGGTGAGCCGCGATCGCACCATTGCACTCTAGCCCGGGCAACAAGAGCAAAACTCCGTCTCAAAACAAAACAAAACAAAAAGAACTCCAGAAAGAAATATTAATTTTTAATAACAACAACTAAATAACAATATCAAAGAACCCTGAAGTTGAGAGAGAAATCATGACAAAATAAAGAAAAAGAGCAGTATATGGCTAACGTGTTAAGTAGAATGTTGAAAGACCCTAAATAGATATGCTTGAAGCCACATCACAAAGAATCTTGTAAGACATGTTAAGAACTTCAAGTATTTCTCTGAAGACAAGAGACAGGGTTTACTTTAAGGATCACAAGGACCGTCGGTGAGAAGTGACTCAGGAGCAGAGAAGAGATAGAAAGGCTTTTCTTAGATCAAGTAAATATCATGGTGACCTACTAGCCTAAGAAAATAGTGGTAAAGATGAGGAATGAGGATATTCAACACCTATTTAGGAGACAGAATGATGAGGGCTTGATGATTTATTGCATGTGAACACTGAAAAAGAAGGAAAATTTTCTCTCAATTTAATAATTTTGGTTAGTTCAGCAGAGGGGAAGAAATAATTTCAAATATTTTAATGTTTGAAATATTTGTTTCCAGATGTTTTGAGACAGTGATATGAAGGTTCTGAATAGAAAAGTGGATATGCAACTCCAGATCTCAAGAAAAAGTGATGAACTAAATTTTAAATTTGGAAATAACATATAGATTATAATTGAAACCAAAGTACTGGGTAGGGTAACATTCAGGATAATTGCATGGTTGCAAACAATGAAAGCCTAAATTTGAGTCCCTGTCATTTCTGATATTTAAAAATTTGTTTGAGGATTACAAGAAACAAGCAAAAGAGATGGAAAAGGAGAGTACAAGATGAAAGAGAAAACCTGGGTAATCTCACGGAATCCAAAAGTAGCTATCAGTTTTGGAGTCTCTGTCAAAGTCACAATCTTTTTTTTATTTTCCATCACCCAAGTTTATGGGACACAAATACAAGAATACAGGTAAATATTTTCATAATTTCCATCAGAAATTGCAACAAGGATTAGGAAAAAAAATGCCTCAGGTAGAAAATAGTAAGTGTATTGAATTCTCGTGGGCGGGAAAAATAAAAAAGGAAAGGAATTAAAAGGGCTCATTTGATTTAGTACAAAAGAAACTTTGGATATTTTAGTGTAACTTGTTTCAATGAAGCTGTGTATTAAGGACTAAGTCCATTATCTCATCTTCATGAGAACATCGCTTATTTGATACCAACATAATGCCATCATTAGATTCCCCAAGTGTTAGTACAGGAGATGTGACAAAATCTGCTAGCTTGGTTGAGGGAGCCCATCCAGAAAATTCTGGGGCTTCTAGGTGAGAAAGACATTCTGAGTAGTTAGCAAGACAGTTATCAGCAAGTTATCTAACAAAACAAGAAAAACAACCTATGATCAATATTTCATAAGCACTTTCCAAGAACATTCTCAATTTTGGGGGTGGAGGAAAAACATCAGATATAGTATTGATAATGATCTTTTTGGTAATTAATTAATGACAGTTAAGTAGCTCTGTTTTCAGTTGCAGACAACTGCCTTTCTCCTGTATCTAATTTCTTATATCTCTTTTTTAATTTATCATAAGTTCATATTCTCTAATGTTTTATTCTTACTAGTATTCCTACTTTTTTCTATTTTATCTATGTTTAACATAGTATATGGAAAGAGAGGAAGGTAGAACAATGACCTATAGAAGTTACATGATCATATTTTTTGGAATCATATTTCTGGAAAATATGTTTTTTCATCTTTACTAAGATATAATGTGCATACTATGCACTATAAAATTTTCTTCCTTAAAGTAGAATTCAGTGTCTTTGTATATACTCATAAAGATAGATAAATCTCCATTATCACAATCAATTTTAGAACATTTTATTTCTCCATAAAGAAGCCGCATACCTCTTTACCAATAATTCCTCACTCTATTTCCCCCTAACACTTGGAAAACCATCAATTTATGTCTCTATAGATTTGCCTTTTCCAGATATTTTATATGTGTGGAATCATACACTATACAGGATATTAGACTGCCTTCTTTAACTTTGCCTACTGTTTTCAAGGCTCATCCATGTTGTAGTTGTGCATTTATACTTCCCTTATTTTATTACTGATTAATACTCCATTGTAAGCCTACATCACATTTTAGTTATTTCATATATCCATTATTCAGTTAATGGGCATTTGAGTTTTAGATATTATGAATAATACTGCTCTGAACATTAGCGTACAAGCTTTTGTGTGGACTATGTTACCATTTCTCTTGAATATGTATGTATTAATGAAATTGCTAGGTCAAATGGCAACTGTATGTTTGACACATTGAAGAAACGGTTACTAAACTGTTTTTTTTTTTTTTGTGCGACTGCACCATTTCACATCCTCAGCAGGAATATACTGGGGTCCAATTTCTCTATATCTTTGACTTCAGTTATCTGTCTTTTTTGATTATATCCATTCAAGTGTGTGTGAGTGGATTCTAGTTGTTGTTCAGATTTACATAGCTCTACTGGATAATAGTATTGAACATTTCTGTGTGTGTGTTTGTGTTATTGGTCATTTATATACTTTATTTTGAGAAATTTATAAGGACATTCTTTACCTATTTTTACATTATATTAATTAAATTCTTTACCTATTTTTACATTATAGCTTTATTATTGAATCGTAAGAGTTCTTTATATATTTTGGATATAATTCCTTGTTGGATATAGTATTTGAAAATACATTATCCCATTATTTGCTTTGTGTGTTAAGTTATTGATGGTATTGTTTGCCATGTAAAAGTTGAGATTTTTATTTTTATTAAGTCCATTTTGTCTATTTTTAAAGTTTTCTTTGGTACTTTTAGTATTGTATCTAGTAAGCTCTGATTAACCCCAGTCAAAATTTACTTCTATGATTTCATATAAGAGTTTTATAGTTTTTATTTGTGCATTACTTATATTGTTCATTTTGAGTTAATTTTTGTGTGTGGTGTATGTAAAATGTCCATGGTGTCCTTGTTGGAAATCAGTTAACCAAAAGTATAAGGGTTTATTTCTAGACTCTCAATTCTGTCCATTTGTCTATGTCTATCCTTCTGCCAGTACCATACATTCTTGATTACTGTAGCTTTGTAATATGTTTTGAAATTGGGAAGTATTATTCCTCTATCTTTGTTCTTTTTTAAAGATTCTTTTGGCTGTTCTTGGTTCCTTGCATTTCTATATGAGTTTTAATATAACTTGACAATTTCTGGAAAAATGCCAGTTGAGATTTTGATAGGGCTTGAGTTGAATGTGTAGATTAATTTGAGGAGATTTGCTATTTTTTGGCAATATTTTTAGGTGAGTTGGTGGGAAGGCAAGGGTGGGATAAATACTGGGGATCTGTCCTTTTCAGTGAGAAACTATAGCCCTAGATTGGACTTTCTGTGGAGAGAGACCTCTGGTTTGTTGGGTGAACCCTTTCATAGTAGAGCTTCCATCTAATTGATGTAAGGGAATAATAGAAATTGGATTATGGTCAAATGTCCCAAACTTTTATTAATTCTGAGGTTTAGTAAATTATCATGAGTGATGATTTCTCCATTTGTTGTATGTCCTTATGGTAATTTACTTAAATATACTTTAAATGATTGTTTTGTTTGTTTGGGTTTTTTTTTTTCCATTTTGTGGTTTTCATCTATTATGGTTGTTTCCACTGACGAATTAGTCCACAGAGCACCTCTAGCCACCATACCAGAACAAAATAAGAGCTAGTAGTTGCCCTACATGATAAGGGCTGAAACCAGAGTAGAGCATTTTAAAGAGTAAATAAAACTTCAGAAAGTAAAATTAGCAAATATATACAGTTGTAGCAGTTAGCAACAGTTGTAGGAGCATAAAGAGTTCAGCATGGTTTCTATTTAATTTCATTTTACATGGGAGAAACTAAAGCATGTTTAAATTATAAGAAACATCTAGATATGAGACAGATTTAAGTAAGTTCATAAGTTAGTAGCCAAAAGTTGAAGAGGTGGTAAGCTAACAACTTCATTTTTTTTTTTCTGTGAATTATGAGACATGATTATCTGCTGGGAGCTGGAGGAGAAAATGAGTCAGTGTTTGGAGGTGAACTGTAGAAAAGGTTTGAAATTGTTGGTGTGGTCAATGGGCCAGAACCTACTAGGAAAATGTAATCAGACTGGAAGCAGTGTTGGAGGTACAACTGAGGTTGATGGGCATGGATTTAGAAGCACACTGATTTAAATATTTTATCTGCAAGCCCGGAACTAACTTGTTTGTCATTTTCTGGAAACATTTTGAACATTTGAATAGGGTCTGACCGCGGGTTTAGTAAACTGAAAGGATTTGTTTTTCCTCTATTATTGAAAAGAAACAACTTTACGTAAGTATTCCTTCTTCCTAATTGCACTGTTACGTTAGGCCATTTCTACATAAACTTCCAGGTAGATTTATGAAGTACAGACTTAGTGTGGGGTATCATAAGTAGGTCATGCATACGGCAACTTTCATTTCATTGCTCTAGCACCTTTGGTGACATTGAAAGCACAAATGTAATCTTGTTCCTTGATCCAGCTGTAAATTTTCAATGTGAAATCATTTGAGTTTGTTCACAGGAATTGTTCTGGATGTCTGTGGAATTGTAACAGCCACCAGAGGAAATATTTTTACTTACTTCCTCTCTTCTCTTGTACTAAAGAATCAAATTAGTGACCACAGCTACCCTCCTTGTCATGACTGACACATAAGGAGAGCAGTCTGGCAGTTGACAATTAACAAATTGCATTTTTTTCTTTTTCCTGGGGGCATTAGGGACATGATATTTCTCTGCTATTTTCACTAATTAGGAACGGGTAAATCTCCTAAGACCCTGTGATTGGATTCAGTTTGGATAAGGTTTATCTGGTTGTCAAATTGATACATGATATGAAATGAGTCAGAACTGTCTACATCTTTACACCTAACTGAATTAGCGCTTCTCTTGCATCTAATGATCCCAGCCTGTCTTCTTTGTTCTGTCATGAATTGACTCATTATAATCCACTTTGGATTGTTCTACTCTAACCTCCGACCTATCTTTCAAATCCCACTTTATACCTAAATATTATTTTTCTGTCTTATGGGCAATAAATGGTGTGTGGGTTGGAAGCAGCTTAACATAAGAATGATTTGATGCTCCAGTCATCCTAAAAATGAGATTGTTCTGAGAGAGAAACTAACAACCTAATAATGCATTAGATCAGTCAGATGCAAATTCTTCTTGATGTAACAGAATAACTTCTGAGAGGGAGCAGGGCTTTGACTTATTAACACATCTAAATAAAAATCCATTGGTTAAAAGGGATTTGGAGGGGAAGAAGGGGATCATATAAATGATTTGAGCAGTTGAAGAAGTATTAGGCCATTGAAATTTGAGGAAACATTTTAGAAATTCTGGTAATATCCGTAATGTCTACTAACATGTATGTATTGCTTATGTTGCAGCTCAGAAAATGATACCCGAACTTCTTCTGACCCCCTTTCTTTCAGCCTCATTCTCCCCCAGAGGTTAACCACCAGAAACTAGATTCCCTGTTCTCCAAGGCAGGTCAGAGAAACTAGAACTCCATTTCTCCAAAGTCAGCCATAAAACCTAAAAATATTACTCTAACTTCCTTCCACATGTTTGTGTAAGAACTGGCCATAAAGAAATTCTCTGACCTACTGTGTCCGATAGTAGGGTCATAAGACCCCTGTTCCAGAAAGGGTCATCTGACATACCCCGTAGAAATTAATGCTGCACAGAGAGGTCAAGAAGAATCTGAACAGAGAGGCCTTTCTAGCTTTCCCCGATCAATCTATTTCCATTAGCTCATACACTTTTTGTCCAATCACATCTCTACAAGGCTGACACTGCTTCATCAAACCTAAGTATAATATCAAATAGTTTCTTCTGTATCTTTGCATCTTTAATGTGAAGTCTCTCATCATGTAAACTTAATTAAATTTGTTATGCTTTTCTCTTATTGTTCTGTCTTTCAATATAGAAGTGTTGACTGTGACCCTTATAATGTGTGGGAAAAAAAGTAATACTCTTTTCACCCCGTGAGTGTTTCACCATACTCTAAAAGATTTATGGGAATTATTTTACGTGATACTCACAACAGCCCTATGAGGTAAATGATTTTTCTTTTTAATATTACTGGGCAGATAAGAAAACACAGGCTCAGAGATTTTTAGCAATGGGATCAATTCCAGAATCAGTAAGTGTTGGAAATGAGTTTGAATTCCAGAGGCTATCAAACAACCGTTTCTTGAACTTGCTAAGATGAATGGTGGGGAGAAAGAAGAAGACTATCTCATCATTCTAATCTGGAAAACCAGAATGAAGTTATATGTGTTTCCTAATTTCCTTAGTTCTGATAAGCATCAAATGAGATATTATATAGGAAAAGCACTTTGCTCAAATATTGTGTAGCTTTAAATCTCAGGAGCTCTTGACTGGAAAGTAAGCAAATATTACTCTTCAACACACCTGGAATGCACTGGTTAAATGAGAATGTGTTTTTAAGACCACACTGAAATGTTACAAAAGGGAACATGATTTGAAGACACATATCAGAGAAGTGGTCAGTTTAATAGGCAGTAACAAGAGTCTGAGGAATGTAACATTTGTGATGAATCTGTTGTATGAAAAGAACTGAGCAAATATCCACTATCGCAGAGGTGAGTTTGTGAAGCCTGATACTTAATGAGGCCTGGAATTACCATTGCTATTGCCATCGATAGTTCTTCCTGAGAACAAGCTACTTTTCACTTCAGAGTATATTTAATTTATAAATAACACAACTATCCAGTAGACACACTGATACTTCCCTCTAGGACTGTCAAATAGCCACACAATGAGCTGTGAATGAATTATTAATATTGTCTGTCAATGTTTTTATATGTATGAGAATTAAGGTAATTCTTTTATAATTCTTTACAATTTTCCTTTATAATTCTTTCAACCTGTAACTGCTAAGCTTCGTAGAGGTTTAATTAATATTTAAATTTGGGTTTCAATTACTGTACTTTGTTTTATTCCATTCCCTGCTAGTTGTTAAATTATTTGAGAGGAACTACCTACTGAGATTATTGGTGGTTATAAATCCAAAGAAAATACTTAGTCCCATGCTTTTCCAACTCTTTTTGACTCATGGTACACATGACAATATTTACGTGCTACTGGGAAGAAGTTGCTTAAGATTTCACTGTCTTTGGGATAATAATATCTGAGTAGATCAGTAGATTTTGGCTCAGTGTTTGGCAAGCTCTGTGAACCATATCAATGTTCACTAAAAACAGTGTTTAGTGAGTTAGAATGAGTTAGAAACATAGAAGTCATTATCACAAAGAGATAAAAAATATAATGCGTATTTCAATAAAACTGAATACAACTTTGTGTTAAAGTTTCTTTCTACTGATAAAAAAACAACTTTGTTCTAATTAAATCATTTACTTCTGTCTTAAAAGATAACCTATGTTGATTGATTTCAGCATACAGCTTAGGAATTAATTTTTGTCATAGCTTTGGTAGAAAGACTACTTAAGGAATATACAACTTTTATGCCCAGAGAAAGTTGGCTGAACTCTGATTTTAAGTCTAAACAGGGCTCCATGAAAGAACATTCATATACCAATAAGTTTTATATAGATATTTAAATACATTGTGATTCATCAGAAATTATATGAGGGTTTGGGAAAATTACTGAAAGAGGTTTAATTAGCATTAACACTAGGCAAAGTAACACTAGGCAATCTTTTGTTCTTTTTTTTTTTTTTTTTTTGGAGACAGTCTTGCTCTATTGACCAAGCTGGAGTGCAGTGTTGCAATCTCCGCTCACTGAACCTCTGCCTCACGGATTCAAGCAATTCTGCTGCCTCAACCTCCCATGTAGCTGGTACTACAAGTATGTGCTACCATGCCCGGGTAATTTTTGTATTTTTGGTAGAGACAGCGTTTCTCCATGTTGGCCAGGCTGGTCTCGAACTCCCCATCTCGAGTGATCCATCCACCTCGGCCTCCCAATGTGTTAGGATTACACGCGTGAGCCACCATGCCTGGCCCCTTTATTTCTTCTTTTGCATTGCATGTAGAGGTGCTAGCTGAGCCTTTAGTGCTCACTCTGAAACCATAGACAACAGAAAGGTAAGATAAAATAAATACACATTCATTCATTTATTCATGCACTCATTCTCTCAATAAATACTTTTGGTAGACGTAGTAGGTAACAGTCTAATAGTAACATTTTATTACTAGGTACTATATTATTCCAGATGTGGGAGATTCCTCAGTGGAGAAAACAGACAACGATCCTTAGCTACATGAAACTACATTATATTGATGAGAGATGGAAATGAAAAAATTATTAAAAAATACGTAGTATGTTAGAGGATGATAGGTGCTACATAGAACCTATAAAGCAATGACAAAAAATAATAAATTTTTTTCAGAGAAAGTAGAGTGGATTTTAGATAGGTTTGCCAGGAAAGCCTCACTGAAGAATGACTTTGAGAACGGGCCTGCAGCCAGGTGGAAGGAAGCATAGTGATATTAAGGGCCAGAGCCTTTCAGGAAGAGGGAAGAACGGGGGCAAAGGGCCTGAGACAAGGAGGGCTGGCACATTTGAGAAAGTTTAAGGAGGACTGCGTATCTGAACAGAGAAACTTGGGGGAGAGTGAGAGAAATAAAGTCAAAGGGTTGCAGATGTAAGATTTTGGAAGGTCTTGTAGGTCATAGTAAGATATTGACTTTTATAATAATAATTATTTTTTTAATCCCCAAGTTTGAGTGGGATGAAAAGTTGTTGAGTGGAGTGAAAAGGGAATTGAGCATAAAAGTGGCTTTATTGGACTTGGGTATCAATATGATTTTTTCTGGTTGCTGTTGTGAGGGTAAGGGCAAAGGCATACATTGGAAAACTAGTTAGGAATATAGTATGGAAACAATCCAAATGAAATTTGATTGAGCTTTGTGGATCTGGGTGGTATAGTTGGACTCATGAGAGGTAGTCAAATTCTGAATATATAATGAAGGGTCATCCTGAAGATTTTCTGCAAGGTCTGATATCACGTGGTAAGAGAGAAGCCCTCTAGTCATGTACATCCCCAAGGGCTATGGACTGAATGTTTATGTTCCCTCCAAATTTATACATTGAAATCTTAACCTCTAATGTGAAGAGGCTATGGAGTCAGGCCTTTGGAGGTAATTAGGTTATGAGAGTGACTCTCATGAATAGGATTTATGTCCTTGTTATAAAAGGGACCCCAGATAGCTCTCTAGCGCTTCTTATGTCATGTGAGGAAACAGCAAGACAGCAGTGATCTGCAATCCCAAAGAGTACCCACACCACAACTGACCAAGCTAGCACCCTGATTTGGACTTTCCAGCCTCCAGAACTGTGATAAATAAATTTTTAGTTTATAAGCCACTCTATCTATGGTATTTTTCTTATAGCAGTCTGAAAAAACTAGGACACTAGATTTCTGCTCTGGCTCAGAGAGAGAGAATTTCAGTTAGTTGAGATAAAGAAAAGAATTTAAAAAGCATGACAAAGGAGGGGCCACACTGGGGGTCAGTTTTGGACATGACAACTTTGAGATGCCTATTACATATCTAAATATAAATGTCATGTTGGTGGTTGTGTTTTGTTCTGTGACACTCTGAGGTGAGATCTATGTAGTGACACACATTTGAGAGTCAGCAGTGTATAGGTGGCAATTTATAGTGTTGTCAATCAGCATATTTTTTTAAAACCAATTCTCAAACTCTTTTAACTCTGTAAAGAGTTAAGAGTTAGGCTTTATGGTATGATGTTACTTCTATACTAATCCCCAAGCTGTCTTCCTCTGGATTTATTTTTTTGCAAGATAATAAAACATTCTGTTTGCCTAAACTACAGTTTTTTAAGTCTTTGTTGGTAGTATTCCAACACGTTTTTAACTTTCCTAACCATAAGATGCAGCCAGTAAATTAGACAAGGCCCAATGCAAAATGAAGCAGTCTAAATATTGAATAATGAAAATTAGAACCTAGAACTGTTATTCATAGACATAATTACTACCTAGAAAATCCACAAAAATCAGCTATAAACTATTAGAACATAAAGTATGCTATTTGGTGAGCTCACGAATATACAAATATAAAAAATCAAAATCAAAATTTCACTGATAAACTATCAATAAAAATTCTTAAAATATGTGAAAAGAGACCTCTTATTTAGATGAGCAAAAGTACCTTTTTGCTGCAACACTATTGATGAAGATCCAGAAAAATAACTAAATTATTGATATGTCAATAATCATAATGCAATAGGCAGAGAAAGCATTTTGTGTGACTGTGTTACCACACACTCAAATGAATTAATTTCTTCTATTTTCTCCTCTCTAGATGCATAAATTTCTAATTAATATTCGATACATGAACCAAATAATCTAATTTCTTTTCTGCTTATTTTAAATGGATCTTCCTTTTCCTGGATTTTTCTGTAAAAGCAATATTTTATATCTTACATATAATTCTTGCATATTAGCAGGTTTCATTTGATATCAAAATATTGCAATAGATGCTGCATCCACATTTTATAAAAGTGGAAGTAGTAGCAAAACTATTTGATTTTTTAAATGTAAATTAGGTAGCAAATGATGATAATGAAATTGAAATGTAAGACTTCTGAGTCCAAATTGTATTCTTCCTTGGGTAAATAATTCATTACATTCACTGGTAAATGGTTCTCCTTACCTTACCAGCACATAAAAAGAGAAACTTCCCTGCACCTGTTGTAGCTGAATGTGGTCACATGACTAGTCCTGGCCAAAGAGTAGTACCAATTCTATTTAATTACTCATGTAAGAGCTCTCTTCTCCATGTGGTTTTGTGCCTAGAAAAATCTAAGAAACTGTCAGTAACTATTAGAGACACGGGCTGCTTGAGGGACTTGGAAGTCAACCCATAACAGCCATGATGCAGATGGAGCACATAAAACTTTGTTGCTAAAACCACTGATATTTAGAGTAATTTATGTCTTCAGTAAAATATTGACATATGTTTTAACAACTATCTCTTAGGTTTTCTATAATTCAGACTTACAGTTTCTATATATATATATCTATTTTGAAATTCATTAAAGCTATTGTAATTTTCATTTAACCATAGACGTATCTTTTATAAAGTAATGGCAATGAACATAATTTTACTCAGAAACAATGTGAAATTACATGTTTTATTTCAGGAAGAAAATGAGCTTCGTAGCAGGCAGGAGAGAGATATCTATATCAATCTATATATCTATCTACATATCTATTTATATTTGAAAACTCATAATTATAAACCCTGAAGGTATGTAAAATATCTTAGTAGTTTTCAAGTGGAAAATAGTCTTAAATACCATCTCAAAGTATAATTATTTTAAATGTCCCTATCCATATTCATATATATACATATATCCCGTAACATGAGTGGTGTTGAGAACATTTCCTCTTCATGATAGCCTGGAGGCAAATTTTAAAGACATACAGCTCAGCCACCAGAGAGACTGCAGAACTGATGAAAGTCAATTATGTTATGAAAAACCCTTTATTTTCAAAGAGAGGAAATACTGGAAGAATTTTATTATCAGCTGTAACTATTATAAAGCTTATGTTTTTCCTTTTCAATTTTGAAACACTGGAGATGTCTGCAGATTAAAAACTACAGCTTCTTCAGTGAAGATGTGGCTGAGAATAATGCTGGTCAGTATATTTGAAAAGAGGAACATGTCTTGATTGAAAAGACAGCAGAAGGGCTGTGCATAACATCACAGAAGTTTGGGAAGATATGTGCAGCAAGAAGTAGACTAACAGCAAATTCAGAGTTACGTCCAATGTATAGAAATACTCACTGAACTAAAACACTTCATTTTATATATATATAAGGTATTTGAAATAAACACACAAACAAACAGACAAAAAACAAAAAATTGCATACAAGGCATTACAGTGGCAAATGAAGCAGTCAGGTAGACGCACCATGACTCCTGACAAGGTAAAAAGCACAAAAGCCATTTCACAGATACTGAAATTATGAAGAAATAAAAAAGTCGTGTCTCCAAAGCATCCTATAATTCTCCTTGCACCTCATTGTGTTCAGTGGCCAGAAATACAGAAAGTGGAACAAGTGTACAGAGTTCGTCTCACTCCAGAGCAAGAATTTATTTTGAATTTTCAGGAAAAAACAAAGTGAAACATTTTTACAACGTTTGCTGAACCCTTCATGTCTTCATGAAGAAACCAAATACAGTCATCCGGGAGCTCTGGATGAGAAGGGGGACATTTGCAGACTATGGTGATTCTGGAGGCTGAGAAAGCCACTACTCTTATGTTTATTCCCCCAGAGCAGCCACAACCTCTATTCTAGGTAAGAAACAATTCTTGGTGCCACTGCCTGATCTAAGACATAGCATTAATATCAATGGGTTTGATCCTCTGAGTTTTATATTCAATTATTGTAATACTTACAAATGATTTTTTCATCTTTCCAGAAGAACAGGGGAAACTTCACTACCCTATAATCTCCCTCAATTTGATTAGTCCATATTGGTATCTTTCCTTGGTAATACTCCTTTCTGGGTGATAGTTTCTGTATGGAATAGTCTCCATTTGGTTGCATGCAACCAAAACTAACTCTGACTGTATCCGAATAGCAGCAACGGCAATAAGACAAGAGCAGATATATCAGAAACATGCTGTGGCACCTCAAGAAATCTAAGGGTGAAAATAAATGCCAGGAATGGACTCCAAAAGAGATGCAGATCTACCAGAAGCCGAGGAGCAGAGCTTTTGGCCTCCACTTCTCTCTGCTGCACACTTCACTTTTATACCAGCCATCGTTTTCTGTTTCTCAGTTCATTTGTCTAAACAAGATCATCAGATGCTATTGTATATATGCTCACCTACTGCTGCCGTGAGAAAAACTAGCATGGGCTTCTCATTAATGCTTTTTTTTTTTTTTTTTTTTTTTTGAGACATAGTCTTGCTCTGTCGCCCAGGCTGGAGTGCAGTGGTGTGATCTCAGCTCACTGCAGCCTCCACCTCCCAGGTTCAAGCAATTCTCCTGCCTCAGCCTCCTAAGTAGCTGGGATTACAGGTGCAGGCTACCACGCCTGGCTAATTTGTGTGTGTGTGTGTGTGTGTGTGTGTGTGTGTGTGTTTTTAGCAGAGACTGTGTTTCACCATGTTGGCCAGGCTGGTCTTAAACTCCTTACCTCGTGATCTGCTCTCCTTGGCATCCCACAGCGCTGGGATTACAGGCGTGAGCCACCGTGCCCCGTCCTCATTAACACTTCTTAACTTTCTAGAGAAGACCACTGATTTGCCCAACTTGGGCTAGATTGTCCCACAATGGCCACATTATCCTAATAGTGGGTTTCTTAAGAACTATGTGAGCAGGAGGTGTTAACATTCCTAACATACTAGTTTGTTTGTTTATTTGTTTGTTTTCTGGAAGAGAAGATATTAAGTGCCTGTGTAACAACTGGAATCTCATTTAGAATTCAACAGTTGCAGCAACCACAGAATCTTGTTGACCTATCCAACCTTTGAGAGGAACTTCTTTATCCATTATATTCTCTGGCTATATCTGAGAAAAACAAAAGAACGTGCCTTCATTAAGGGCTGAGCAGTTATTTTGTTTTTTTTTTTTGTTGTTGTTGTTGTTTGTTTTCTGAGACGGAGTCTCACTCTGTCACCGAGGCTGGAGTGTAGTGGCGCCATCTCTGCTCACTGCAACCTACACCTCCCAGGTTAAAGTGAGTCTCCCGAGTAGCTGGGACTACAGGCACGTGCCACCATGCCCAGCTAACTTTTTGTATTTTAGTAGAGACAGGGTTTCACCGTATTAGCCAGCATGAGCAGGTTTTTTATCCTCCTTCCTGCCTGTGAAATGTTGGAAGACCAAGAATGTTATGAGTTGAATTATGTCTCTTCCAAAATTCATAGGTTGAAATAATTCCCAGTACCTCTGTATGTGACCTATTTGGAAAGACCTTGTTGAAGACATAATTTGTTAAGATGTGATCATTCTGGAGTAGGGTGGACTACTCCAGAATGATCCTTATAAAAGAAAGAATGTTGGACACAATTACACATAGAAAGAAGATGATGTGAAGAGATGTAGCGAGAAGATGGCCATCTTTAAGTCAACAAGACGGCCCCAGGACAAATTGTTCCCTCACAGCCCTCAGAAAGAACCAACCCTCCAACTCTCTGGTCTTGGATTTCTACTAAAAGTGTAAGACAATTACTTTTGTGATTTAAGTCACTGATTTTGTTGCATCCTGGTATTCCAGCACAGCAAATTAATATGAAGGATTACTTTTAATTTTATGTTGTTGCTGTCTTTTTTGGTTCAGGTTGATGGTTCTTTGTGTAGTTATATTCTGGCAGAAACAGAGTTGGCTTATTACCAACTTGGTCTTAACTAACTTTATATACTAATCTCCACACCCAAATTTCTTTAACAAAATTTCTGTATTTTGCTGCTCTCTTTTATCTATGACACTGTCTCAGGAATTAAGTGCAAGGTGCTACGAGTCTATCAGTCATACATGAAAAAGTCATATCCTCAGGGTCTTTTCCCTGAGTCATGTATCGTCTAAATCAATTTCTTGCCAGAAGGTTTAATTTTAATCAGTCTTTGTGACTCAAAGCCTCTCCCAAATTTTTCTATCATGTCTTCTAGTTTAAAAATATTGCCTCTTCCTACTCAATGAGAACCCAATTTCTTGACTCTTCTTGTTCTCCTTTAATCATATTTGTGAACTGGGCTATTTTTTCTTGAGAGCATCTTTCTTAGACTACTTTTTAAAATGAAGGGAATAGTAAAGATCTACAATTAAGGGTTTATTTTTTCCAAATTCTCCCATAAAATAACAAGCTACTTCTATGCTATCACTGTCTCAGGTTATCATGGATTAATGTTTTACCAAAAGTTTGCAGTATCATCAATGAACATCCTTCCGGCTTCCAATGATTGGGCTGTGCCCTGACTCTCAAGACAATGCTGCATATTTGAGGTAAGATATTACTTCAGAGCTCCATTTCCTGAAGCAATTTGTATACAGTCAGGACAGGCTAGGTTATGGTGCAATAACAGCCGAAAAGAAAAATGGCTCATAGTTTTTTGTATGTGGTATGTAAAATGGTTTAGATCTGTGTCGCCATTCAAATCTCATGTCAAATTGTAATCTCCAGTGTTGGAGGTGGGGCCTGGTGGGAGATAATTGGATCATGGGGGTGGATTTCCCCCTTGGGGGTGCTGTTCTCATGATAGTGCATGAGTTTTCACGAAATCTGGTTGTTTAAAAGCGTGCAGCACTTCCACGGTCTCTCCCTTTTGCTCTGGCCCTGTGGAAGGCTGCTTTCCCTTTGTCCGCCACCCTGATTATCAGCTTCCTGCATTCTCCCTAGAAGCAGAAGCTGCTATGCTTCCTCTACAGCTTATGGAACAATGAGCTGACTAAGCCTCTTCTTTATAAATTAACTAATCTCAGGTATTTCTTTTTTTTTTTTTTTTGAGACGGAGTCTCGCTCTGTCGCCCAGGCTGGAGTGCAGTGGCGCGATCTCGGCTCACTGCAAGCTCCGCCTTCCTGGTTCACGCCATTCTCCTGCCTCAGCCTCAGGAGTAGCTGGGACTACAGGCGCCGGCCACCGCGCCCTGATAATTTTTTGTATTTTTAGTAGAGACGGGGTTTCACCATGTTAGCCAGGATGGTCTCGATCTCCTGACCTCGTGATCCGCCCGACTCAGCCTCCCAAAATGCTGGGATTACAGGCGTGAAACACCGCGCCCCGCCTCAGGTATTTCTTTATAGCAACGCAAGAATGGAATACAGTCAACACTGGGGAGTAAGGTGGTATACTAATACTTATCGTGCCAATGCTAAATCCTGAATTAATGGACTATGAAAATAAGAAATGATTTCATCATAGTTATAGAGAAAAAAAAGGAGAGCTCTTATTGGTTTTACATAACAACAAAATGCTTTGACTGAAAGTGAGATATATCACATTGTGTTCAAAATTCATTGACCAGCCGAGGTTACATGACCTTAGACAACAAGAGTCTCTAGAAGTGTAATCCTACTATGAGACAGAATGGAAGGATGAATTGATATATTTGTCAAACAGAACAATATAGGGAATAATTATACTAGATTTCTCTCTCTCTCAAAATGGATAACTGAATAGCAGAGGACTTAAAAACTTTAGAAAGAAATAGAATCGCTATTTGAATAATTATTTCTGCCTCCAAATTCTTTATTGATTATTCTCACCACAACAATTTTTCCCTTCGATTGTACCAACCTGCGATATTGTCAAAAGCAAACCACAAAAAATAGGGACCAACATATAATATAGGGAAAGAGAATGAACCTTAACAGAATACATCAGGAAAGTAGGGACTGGGATAAAAGGTGTATTCAAAAAAATATTGAAATACTACTGTGTAAATCCTGATATTTTAATAATTATTTTAATTTTCATTTTAATAGTCATAGTTAATGTTCATATAACTAAAGAAAAAATACCTATGCATACTCAGCTATGCAGTTTAATTTTTAAAAAACAGATTATATTTTCCAGATATAATGATGCTTGAAGAGATGGAGTCAAATATAATACATTTATGTAGGTGAATGAAATAAGGAACAGAACATACAAGCCTGTAGCTCACACAACCCATAGGCTCCAGGCAAATCTAGACACACCATTGCCTCCCACATTTCCAAGCATTAAGGTGACCCTGACTCTTTCTATGAGAAGTGCTTCAACAGAAACTTCTTGGCCTAAGGGTCCTAAGCATGAGAAATGCATTATCTCCTGATACAGATTTTCTCTCACTCTCCAGCTTGCCTTGCGAACTGAGGACTGTTCTTGATGGAAGCATTAATAGACCTTTCTAGCCTGAGGGCAATTTTGCTTTTTCATAGTCAATAGACTACAGATTTGGAAAAGAAAGCATAGTCTGAAACTCATTTTAAACATGTACCCACTAGTCTTGGGTGTTGGAGCAACCTGAGCTTGAGAATAAATTCTGTTTTCTTTCATTAGGCATTTATGCACCACTTCCTTCTGCTAACAACTTTTTATTTATTTATTTATTTATTTATTTATTTATTTATTTTCTTATTGTCATTTTCCTTTCTACTTTCACATCTATTTCATATTAAAAGAACTCTTTACTTTCTTGGATCTTCTCTACCATCTGGTAATGTTTTTTCATTTGTTTCTTTCTATTGTTGTTCTCCTTGAATATGCTATGGTTTACTCTGTCTTAAATCCCTAAATGCTACATTCTCTGTTTCAATGCCTCAAATACTGACTTTTGACCTAGTGACTCTCCTGAAAAGACGTTAATGATTTCATTCATTCACTCATTCACTCATGAAATACTTACCGAACCCCTTGCTTTGTTATAAGCAATGAGTATATTGTGATGAGTCAAACAGATAGAGAGCAGCATCCAGTGTTTGCTTACATGTGTAAATACATATAAATAAAATGTTAAAATGTGAATATAAATTACAATTTTTACTACAAACCAGGGGTTAACTAGCTTCCACCTGCAGCCTTTTTTGTAAACAAAATTATATTTTGTTAGATCTCAACTGGAGGCAATATAGCCCCTCAGGAGATATATGGTAATACCCGTATGCATTTTTGATTGTCATAATTTGGGGTTGCAGCTGACAACTAGTGGGTATACTAGGGATGATGTAAAACATCTTATAATACACTGGATGGTCCACCACACCAAAGAATTATCTAGCCTAAAATGTGAATAAGGCAGAATTTAATTATGTCCATTTATACACAGCAATATTCATCTTTTTTTTTTTTTTGGTCTGTTTTCTATGGCTGCATTTGTGCTACCATGACAGAGTTGAGTAGCATTGATATAGACCTAAGGCCTACTGGGACTACCATATTTTTTCTCTGACCTTTTATAGGAAAGAGGTATTGGCTCCTGATATAAAGTATAATTAAAGACGACAACAAGATATTGTTACAGAGGACATGACTAAGATGGAAGCGTGAGGGCCAACTAATTCTTCTGCAATTAAATATAAATAAGTAAAGATTCGATGGAAAAAATGAGTATAAGCTGACTAGGGTAACAGGGGAGGGAAGAATATTTTGGCATTGGGAAACTTTATGTGACAAATTGGAGTCAGGAAAGAACATGACCCATTCCAGAAGTTGGATTTGGCTGTCAGATGATGGGAGAGGACTATGTATGAGAAGAGATGAGGAAAGCAAGTAGGAGTCAGGTCATGTAAGCCATATTCAGGAATGTGGATTGTGTTATGAGACGCAATTGATTTTTAATCATTGCAGTGCATATAATCAATTTCTGCTTTAAAAAGATCAGTGGTCAGGCATGGTGGCTCACGCCTGTAATTCTAGCACTTTGGGAGGCCAAGGCAGGTGTATTGCCTGAGTTCAGGAGTTCAAGACTAGCCTGGGCAACACAGTGAAACCTCATCTCTACTAAAATACAAAAAAGTAGCCGGGTGTGTCAGCATGTGCCTGTAATTCCACCTACTCAGGAGGCTGAGACAGAAGAATTGCTTGAACCTGGGAGGCAGAGGTTGCATTGAGCCGAGATTGCATCATTGCACTCCAGCCTGGGCTACAGAGTAAGACTCCATCTCAAAAAAAAAAAAAAAAAAAACAGAGTGATAGCCGTATAAATAGCTAATAGCATATAAATAGCACGGCTCAGCAAGGAAAGATAGAAAAGATGGGTAGGGAAAAATAATTATTTTCTGTATAGCAAGCGACTTTGGGTGTCTGGAATAACAAGGGTTTTGTAGAATAAATATAAGAAAGGAGGGTCCAGTTGGAACTATGAAACATCCTTAATTCTATGTTACGGGATTCGGGTTTTATTCTCTATGCACTAAGGAGTCATCTTTGAAAAGCAGAAATGTGCCATGACTCTAACAGTTCTGAAGAGGGATTTATTTATTTATTAGTGAAAATGAGCAGAAAGCACTAGTGTAAAGGGAAATTAGAGATAGTCAGTGGAGAAGCCCATATTAGAAAAAAAAAAAATGTCTCGGGATTCTAAGGCCAGCAGACATGGAATGGACAGAGAAGCATCAAGAGACACGGAAGTAGAACTAGCAGAATGTTCCATAAACCAAACTCTGTCACATGAATACATTTATCTGCAAGGGAGGCTGGTGAATCTTGTCTTTGTCTTCATTGTTATGGATTTAACTATAATGTGGATTTATTAATAAGAGTTACCCAGAGAAACAGAGCCAATAAAACATTTATATCTATATTTCTATCCAGATAGAGAAAGGGAGACAGAGAGAGAGATTATCAGGGTGAGGAAGTCCCACAGCCCACCTTTTGCAAACTGGTGATCTAGGAAAGCTGGTGCTAAAATTCAGTCCAAGTCCAAAGGCCTAAGAACTAGGAGATCTAATGTGTGAATACGAGTCAGGGCAAAGATGAGATGAGGTGTTCCAGCTCCAGAACGCAGGCAGGAAGCAAAAAAGAGTGAATTCCTCTTCCCTCTGCCTTTTTTTTCTATTTTTGCCCCAAGGAACTGGATGATGCTCGCCTGCATTGAAGGAGAAAAACGTACTTTACTGGGTCCACCAATTCAAATCTCATCTGGAAACCTTCCCACAGATACGTACAGAATTACTGTTTAATATGGGCGCTCCATGACCAGTAAAGCTGATGCATAAAATTAACCATCACCGTAGGGTTTATTTTATTAAGGAGAAAGAAAAAAAGTAATGAAAGACAATTGGCATTCCTGGTCACAATTAGTAATAAATGTGCATACACCTACGTGTGCTTGTGGTTTTGTCAAAGGCACATTCCTCAGTCTTGGGGATCATGACAAATAAAAGAAGAGGGTGGAGAAGAAGGGGAAAGAGGGTTAGCAACCTTGATTATTCTGGTATTAGGAAACTGAGCTGCAATGCACTTGGTATGAGGGGAATTCGAGCTGCTTTACTTCATTTCTTGACCTGTGTGTATGTGCCCTTTTTGCTATGCAGAGTAAGGACCCAATATGGTGTACACGTTCTATATAGAGAGACTGTCTCCTCATATCAATTGTCTCTCTCCATCTCTGAATTCTCTATGGATTTTGATTCCAAAGCTTAATTGGCATTGGGAAGACCTTACTTCTCAATTCCACCTCCTCCTTGCCCCCATTAAAAATTTTCCCACTTTCTCTGATGCTTTCCTATAATCATTAGATTTTTCGACTAAAAACAATCTTTATATTTTGCCCAACTCTGTATTCCCTAGCTGCCTCCTTTAGATGTGATATTTAAATACCTCTTTATTTGAAAGTTAAGGAAGAGATAAACTTAACACACTTTTAAAAGAAAAAAATTGAAATCTCAAATATAAAGTGCATTGCATCAGTTTTTAGGTAAGAGTCTGAAAATCTTCAAGGAATTCAGAAAAATTTTGCTATGGACCACAGTAATAATCCTTAGGTGATCCATCTGTAAATGACACTACCAGAATTGGAAATTTACAAGCAATCTATTTGCCATTACTGACTAGTTATTATTCTTCTCTAAAGATAAATGTGCTGATTTAAGTATGAGGAGAACTCTAACCTCCTTGGCTTAATAAATACTTTGGTTGTCAGAAAATCCCTGCCTCATTAGCAGAGTAAAATTTTACTGTGCCAAGAATTCCCTAGGTCTCTCTGGCTGAATAGAACACTCTAACTTCAGACTTTTTTCTTCGATAAAACAAAACAAAACAAAACAAAAAAAGAAACTGCTGTGACTGTACAAAGGCTTGCAAGCCTTGATGTCTCTCTTGGATACCTAGACTTCATGGTAATAGTTCTCTGGAAATAACAAGACAAAAGTGATAGTGGGTCAGAGCCTCTAAGACAGAAGTGGGTGGTGTCCTGGAATGAGAAACTAGTACCCTATGGATTCCCTTGTTCCATGGGGACTACTTGAATGTCTGGTAAAGATACATTAAGACTACTTTGGCCTAGATTTGCTTTACTAGAGACTTCTTTTTTTTTCTCCATCTCCCCTCTCTTTCTCCCTCTTTTCTCTCATACACACATGCAATACTCTGTTCTTCTTTATGTACTTTTCTTCTGGAAGTATATATCCATGTTACTTGGTTTTATTTCCTCCTTGTGAAGTTATTATAAATACCTGTTTTTCTTTGCTTTTTGCAGAATGAATTCGTGGTCATTTTCAGAACTACGAAGGCATAAATGTAAGCCTTAAAGTAACGGAGCATTTGCCAATAATCTTGTCTAGCACTGTGACTCTGAAGGCTGAACTCTTAACCACCACAATATGAATTTATATAATCAATCATTCATTGGTATTAAGAGTATTTTCAGGATGATCCCCCAAGGAGGGAAAGATTTATTCCAATATGCTGGAAAACCTATTTTTAATAAATGTGAAGTTTACCCTGAGTGTTTTGTGTATACACAAATAACTATTCTGTGTAATAATACATATGTATTAAGGATAAAAGAATGAGCAGGGTTTCCTATTTTGCCTAACATTTTTGTTTCTCACAAATATAAATGTCATAGAATTATGCTTGCTTTTTTTTTAAGTGGGGGAAAAGTAAATTACACAGTTCATATTCTATAAACCTGGCTCATGCTCCTACTCTCATTCTTTCTACTTCCTCTAACCTTGATCACAATAGCTCTCCCTCTTTAAGATTAGGGATTTGTGTTATAATTATTTACAATTCTCCCTTAGGATTTGTAACACATGGGCTCACAGATATAAGTAACTGAATTAGAGAGATCATTGGCTTCAGACACAGGAAACCTGATTTGATTTCTACTTAGGCACTAGCTTGGTAACATAAGGCTTAACGTATCTGAGTTACTTGTCTCCGTTTGTGTCTACAAAATGGAGCAAATAGTATTGAAGTTAATGGGATTTTTATTACACCCTGAGATAAAGTATTTGGAAGTACATTGTAATTACTTATTATAAATATGCTGTAATTTGTTATAAGTACATGTTTGCTAAATATCTTCAGAATTCAATAAATTACTTTATTATGCAGAAAAAAGAATAAGGGGCAAAATCTCCAAAAATGAGTCATGATTAAAAGTAGTGACTTGGAAGACCAATGTAGACAAGGTTGCTTAAAAAATAACTAGTGTCGGCAGAGCACTGTGGCTCACGCCTGTAATCCCAGCACTTTGGGAGGCCAAGGCAGGCGGATCACAAGGTCAGGAGATGGAGACCATCCTGGCTAACACGGTGAAACCCGGTCTCTACTAAAAATACAAAAAATTAGCTGGACATGGTGGCGGGCACCTGTAGTCCCAGCTACTCGGGAGGCTGAGGCAGGAGAATGGCGTGAATCCAGGAGGCAGAGCTTGAAGTGAGCAGAGATGGCGCCACTGCACTCCAGCCTGGGGGTCAGAGCGAGACTCCGTCTCAAAACAAACAAACAAACAAAACAAAAAACTAGATTATATGCCTTGACAGAACAGTGAATCTGACCGTCTATACTATTCTATCTGCAAACCCAGACACACAGAAGCTGCTCATTAAATACTTGATAAAAAAATATATATGGTTTGTGGGATTATCGGGAAACTGTTAGTAAAGAGGAAATCGTCTAGTGACTGAAGGACGAGTAGAATGTGGAAAAGAGAACAGAGAGGGAAAAAGTGTCATGTTAAAGAAGCAGAAACACAACTTTTTTTCTGATTGGTTAGAACATAGATTAGTTTGGTGGAAGAATGGTGGAAGATAAAAACCAAAAGAATAAAAGGAGTAGATTACAAAGGACCTTGAATGGCAGCTAAATGATCAAGATCTTCATCCAGAAGCTGATGATATCTAGTATAAACATTTACTATGTGCAACACACTATTCTAAGCATTATGCTTGCTTGTTTTACCCACATATAACCCTGGCAACCACTCTAAAAGAAATGGCTGTTAACTATGTTTCTTATGTTTTAAATGGAAAAAAAAAAGTGTGATTCATGGAACCTAAGTAGCTTAGCAAGAGTCATGAACCTGGTTAGTGATGGAACTGGCATTTGAACCAGGAAGTCTGGTTTCAGGTGCACTCTCTTTAAAGCTACGTTAATTTCTCTGTAGAATAGCTAGCTGTTTAATTCTAAATGTAGTGCATAAGAGAATTCTGTTCCAGTTACTTTCTGCTGCACAACAAACTATCTCAAAGCTTAGTGGCATAAAATAAAAACGCTTCTTATTTCTTGTAACTGGGTGGTTGACCAAACAGTCCTCTATCAGATGATGTTGACTGTGGCTCTGATATTAATGGAAGGTGTATAATGGTCTCGTGCATGGTCAGAGTTGGCTGCTGGCTGGAAGCTCTGCTGGGCCACTGGGCCTGGGGCCTTGCGGGCTTATCTATGTGGCTGTTTGGGCCTCACAGCATAGCATCTGGATGCCAAGAAGTATTCTAAACAAAAAGAGAGAAAACATTGCCAGTTCTCTGAAAGTCTGGAAGACAGAAGTAAAGTTCATGTTTTCACAGGGAAATGACATGCACCCACAGGGAGGAAAACTACTGATCATAGCCCTCTTTGGAGGTTGTTTACTTCACATCCCAATTAAGTTATAAGAAAGATGTAGCTATTCATTGCCCTCTGAATCATCGAAATTTGTGATTGTCATTTATCAAATAGAAAATATCTGCCATGAAGCTTGAGCAGCTCTGTGTAGCCTGTCTTTCAGAAGGGGCTTCAACTAGCATTGTGTACTTTAGCAAAGACTGTTATTTGAGCAACTGATTTTGATTTCACATAAAATAGAATATACATATGATGGCCCCATAATAGTGACATGATTATTATAGTGGTTCACAAAGGTATTTCTAAACACTTTCTATTCCTTGCCAGTTTGTCTTTGCCCCTGAAAGGTCTGTGATGCTGTTATTTAATGCATTTGACAGTGGATTATAGTAGAATTAAATGCTGGTGGAAAACAAAGTTCTCTTAATGGCTCTGAATAATCTAAATGTAGAAATTATTCTAGTTCAATGGAGGGTAAAATTATAGGATGTTGAATTCTATCCAACAAGATGAATTGGGAAGATAAGATATGGAGATTAAGTGCAGATTACTGTACAGACTTGTTCTGTAACAAAAGGAAGAAAATTATGCAGGGAGGGTGGAAAAGAAAGAATGCTCAAACACTGAAAAGGGGATTCCAGTTCATTAACTACAGGGCTCTCATGGACTGCACAGATTTTGTGACAGTATAGTAAAGAAAAATAGTTATAAAGACTCCTCCTGTTCAGTGATAAAATTCCTAAATATTGAAAAGAGTTTTGCAACTGTGGATGAATGGCCATTGCTGAATAAAGCTAAAGTGATGACGTGCCAGCTCCCTTCATCTGCTGTGAATGTTTTTAAAGGGAAGTGGCAGACTTAGTATGTGTATTTTTTAAAGCATAATAGATGATTCAAAATCTGATCATGTTTTCTATAGTCAATATCCATAGCTACTAAAGCATTATCATATTTTAATGTTCCTTATTAATAACAATCAGAACTTAACCTCAAAATCCATTGTTTATTGATTATTTACATGTTCAATAATGCTTTCTTGAATAGCTACACAATCACCACACCGTGCTAGGCACTGTTTATGCAAAAGTGAATTAAGTAAGTTTTGTGTCCCCAACAGGTTGCTCTATCTAGTCAAGGATATAAATATGTGAAACATATTATAACACTATCCACTTAATACAGTATTTGGGACATGTGTGGACCACTTTGGGAACACAAGGTTAGTAGCTTTCTGGATTACATGCTTCAGGGAAGATTTCACCGAGGAGATGAAATGTGAAGTGTAATGAGTATTAGAGAAAGGTGCCAAAACATGTTTAAAGGCATGGAAGGCAGAGAAGCATTGTGGATTTGAAATGATATTGAGAGTAGAAGGACATAGGAAAGAAGGATGGAAATGAAACTGGAAGTGTTGGCAGGAATTATATGATAAAGCATCCAACATGTCAAACTCTAGGTGTTTTAAAGATCTTTTCATGAGTGATGGGCAGTGTAGTAGACTAGCAGATGTGGAAGGTTAGGTTATACTGCCACAAAAAACAACACACCAATCTCATCCAGCTCATTGCAAATGCTGCTAATTCATTCCTTTTTATGACTGAGTAGTATTCCATTATATATATATATGTGTGTGTGTGTGTGTGTGTATATATATATATATATCTCTCACAGTGAAGTAACTCAGGAATGGAAAACCAAACATCGTATGTTCTCACTGATATGTGGGAGCTCATCTGTGAGGACACAAAGGCATAAGAATGATACAATGGATTTTGGGGACTTGAGGGGAAGAGTGGGAGGGGAGCAAGGAATAAAAGATGACATATATGGTGCAGTATATAAGTATATACTGCTCGGGTGATGGATCCAACAAGATCTCACAAATCACCACTAAAGAACTTACTCCTGTAGCCAAATACCGCCTGCACCCCAATAACTTATGGAAAAATAAAATTAAATAAATAAACACTCTATTTTCAGTGCCTATAATCACAAGTCAAGTGTTACTTCTCCTATTGCAAAATACATCCAATAGAGCCATTTGCTACCCTGGTTCATTACTCAGGCTTGTGAAACAACATCTATCTGGCTCAGTGTTAATTATCATGGTGGCAGTGTTTCTTAATACTCTTATCTAGAAATGGCACATGACTCTTTTGCTCACATTTAATTGGCCAAACCATGTCATGTGGTCATTACTGATTTCCTGAAGGAAAGGGCACCATGGCAAGGTAAATAACATGTTTTATGAGTAGTTATACAATCTATCACAGAGACTTAATGATTATTCACATTTTAAAGAGAAAAATTGATATAATTAATTAGATTTCTAGTATTTCAAAATTACTTTGGAGTTCAGAAGGCAGGTATTGAATAGTCAGAGTGTATTGCTCTTCATGGTGAGAGAATCTGACACTATCATTTCAATGGGAAAAAGAGAAAGAAAAAATGTCTTATTTGAGGTAGCAAATATTGAAAACTTAATGAATGACTGAATACAGGGTAAAGAGGGTGATGGCAAAAGCAAAATCTGCAGTGCCTTCAATGTATCTGGTGCAGGTGTCAGGGCTGATGGTGGAACCATTGCTTGTATAAGGGAATGCATATTTTCTGTTCTTGCTTCAGACATGAGATCAACACATTCCTTGAACCAGTAACATCTCTAAGTTGGTAGTTTAGCTTTAATTACTGTGAAAATATTTTAATTTATATATTATATATTATTAAATTTTTAAAAACTGCAATACTTTCTCCCAATTTCTCATTTTATTCTTTTTTCACGAATCAGAATTAAAAATTTATAAATATCCAAAGAATTTCCAGAAAAAAGTTCACATGAAAACAATAGTTACCACATATTATGTACCCTATAGTGTTATTTCCTTTTTCTTTCTTTTCTCTTCTCACCTGTTATTCCTTTTCTTTTTCCTTCCTTTCTCATCTTCCTTATTTCATTATATATATTTTATATATATATTTATTTGTATAAAGATAATGTGGTAAAAAGCATCTTAGGAATTGGATATGCCTGGTTTTCTGTAATTGTTTTGCTACAAACAAATATTACAAATAATGTTAACATTGCAATGCTGTGAGCATTAAATGGAATAATACATTATGACTGACATATAATAGATAATAAGTTTGAGCATAGTGTTCAGTAAGCCTATCTGTGTCCTGTAAGTATAGTAGACCAACAATAACTAGTGTTAATAAATTAAGGAGAATATGTGAGGATAAAGCACTTCTTCTTGGTTAGTTTGGCTATTTCTTAGATATATTGGAAGTATGGAATTCAACTTATAGGTCATCATAGGTGAACAACTCCGCACTAGATGACTCCCCAAGACTTAAGTAATCACAATAGTTTTACAGCCATTTATTTGACAATAGAAGAAAAATTTATGGGACCAAGCACATGTCAATTACTGAAAAAAAAAATTCAAATATGTAAGTTACATCTTTCATTCAAAATGCAAACACTCCAACTTCATATCATTTCTAATGCTGCACTATTCTAAGTGATAACCAATGTTCAAAATGATCATTAGAAAGTATTCCTGATATGCTGAATCACTAAGAAAATACACTTAGTCTTTCTAATTACAATTGTCCTTAGGCAGAAATCTAGAATTGTACTTTATTTTCAGCTACAAGGTTTGGTACAAAATAAATGTTGTTTTCCCACATTTATCTTGACAATGAGGAGTATTAGCACTCTGCTTTGCCCTGTGGCTTGATCGTTCCAGGTAATAGAAGCTGTATGGAATTTCCATTGTTTCAAATGGAAGCAGAGGCATCATTAGACTCAAAACATTGCAGTGTCTTTTTGAGCAAGTTATTATCCTTAGTCATTACGTCCTTGTCCATCTCCTTTCAAAAAAAGGAAGAAGAAAGAGATATTATTTGGCAAAAGTATACTAAATCGTTCAATCTGATTAAGAAAAAACAAAACAAAACAAAAAATCTGCTTTGAGTCATTTGTTAAACCATCTCCATTTTCTTCCCCCTCGCTCGCCCCCAACCACGGCACAGCTATATTTTCTTTATGTTCTATTCCAGTGGAACGAGCTGATCCAGACATATTTAATGAGGCAAAATGTATTCTTCAGGCTACCCAAATTTGCAGCTGAATAGCTTATTCTGCAGCAGAGACAAGATCTGTCAACCTTGTATGCCCTGAAATATACAGAAGGCCACAGATAATTTCTACAGGATTGACCCCCCAGGGAAGTGAATAGATAAATTTCTGTTTTAGCCGGTCCAAAATACATTATTAAAAATTGGATATTCCCAGATCTTTTTCGACCCTTTAAAAAATCCCAACTAATACATTGTGTTATTTTGACTATAATTGTAGTTGTTATTCATTTTGGCAACATCTTACAGAGTTAGGGGTGTACAAGGAACTCCAAGCTGAAACTTTTTTCACTACATTCTTCTAAGAAAGTGAAATTATTCCATAACATTCCAACTCTTCTTCTGGGCTTAGGTCAAAGATGTGTCATTATCATGTTGATTATAAGAAACAATGAAAAAACACGATGAGGGTAATTTTAGGTATTGGAAATGTGATAACAATGTACTTGAGAAAACAACCTGGTTTCAGGTTTATTCTTTTTCAATGACGTTATAATATGTCCAGATATAGTTTTGTTTTAGTTTGAATCATCTCCTATAGTTTAATTATATATATATAATATAGAATTTCATATATATGAAATCCTAGAGGTTTCGTGTTTAAGTAAAATTAGTATTTGGTTAGGAACAGAAATTATGTTATTAATTTACTTCATTATTCAATATAAGGCTCTATTTCATCATCCAAGAAATACTATGTACATACTTTTTCACAAGGACTTTTCTTTAAGGCATATTTTCACTGTGTTTCACTTAGTATTAGACAAGTACCTACCAATCTGAGAAAAAAATACACATAAAACAAAGACAAAAGTGAAAACTAAAAATCCCCAAAGTGCATCATGTTTTGCCCAAATAAATCATTCTCTCCAGGCCTATTTCCAAGGATCCAGCTTGTCTCCACCCCTGTGTGTGAATACGCAGCCATTCATTAGTGTAGAATCATACGAGTTCTTTAAGATGTGTCTATTGAAAGATTTAGGGCAAATTTTCTCTACCAGTTCCTGAAAGTAAACAAGAATTTCATAAATCTGGAATGATTTAGGGTTAGACAACTCTTAATGACACCCTCTTGATTTAAGGTTCTCATCGTCTATAACAAAAAAGTCAGTCACCCTTCTTAGCCTTATCAATTTTCAAAGACTGTTTTGAAGGATAGATGAGCTATCTAAACTGAAAATTTCGCTGATTTAGTGAAACATCTTTTGTACTACATCATCCCTTCCTTTTATTTTTGCAGTTTGCAAACAGACTTCCCTAGCCAATAAACTTTTGCTTCCCATCTGCCCAGAGAACACATACTGTGACTCCAAAAACACTGCTAAGAAAAGTTCAGCGTTCCAAGTAGTGAGCATTATTTACACCCACATATGTAGCTGATTCACAAATGATAAAAATATTAGTATATATATTTCAGATTATTAAATAATTTTTTTTAGATTATTACTAGCATACTAAACATCTGTATATTTCAAATTCATGTATTTAAGTATGTGTGCCTATGTTTAAACAAACACATTCAGAGTAAATCTCCCTAGTGACTTCAATAATTCATCAAACTATGCATGTTGGCTTTTAATATACCTTCCCTATTTAATGCCCCCCAACCCCTTAAAAACAAAACAAAACAAAACCACAAACTAAAATCAAACCCCCACAAAACAAAAACCAAATTAAACAAGTGAAAGTCCTTAAGTTGTGCTTGAATCCATGTGATACTTTTTCTGCAAATATTGGACTTGAAGATTTATAATTCTGCATTTATAGTGAAGTCCCATTTAGAATAAGGGGAGCATGAGTATAGTGGCCATAGGAAAATTTTTTTAAAAATGTAGATCAACCTAGTTTCCCTTTCTGCCTGCACACCGAGTGTGATGTTCAGTGAAACCACCTTTGTTCCAGAAAAATTCATAGCCTACAATATGATCACCCTGATAAGTTTGTGTTTGGCAATGATATTTCACCAAAGAAAATCTCTCAGCTTGTCCATAAAGTCAGAGGCTTGGATTTAATTTCTGTTTCCATCACGCTACTAATTATGGCCTAATCAGATTTAGTAATCAATCTATTTCTGTTCATCTGTCTGTGAGAATAATAATATATGCTTTACTCCATCAACAATATCATTATGGAGATGAAATACTACCCAGAATGATAGTAATTGAGAAAAATAGCATAAAAGGTGTTACAAAGTAAGGTGCAGAGAAAACACTGACAAAGCCCGCTAAGAAAAGAATTTTTTTTTTGCGTATTTACTTATTTTGTAATAAACTCTTTGAGAAAAGAGACTAAGTCTGTTTTTTCCCACACACAGACAATGCCTGATAGATGAATGGCAATGAATAAACGTTTGTTTTATGAATGCTACTGCCCTTCTCTTTGAACTCATCTTCCATCATAATTTCTTTCTTTCTTATATTAGTCAAGCTATGCTAGTTTGATTTTCCTAAAATACACCAAACTCATCCCCATCTCAGAGTCTTTATATTTTTCTCCCCTAGACCTGAATAATTCTTCTTCTTCTATATATCCAAATGAACTGTTCCCATAATTCAATTCCCTACTCAAATATCGAGTCCTCAAGAGGACCTAGCCCAAGCCCCAATATCTAAAACAATATACCGCTCCAACACTCTTTACCTCTGAAAGTGCTTACATCCAACTGGTGTTTTAGTAATTTGATTTAAGGTTCTCATCGTCTATAACAAAAAAATCAGTCACCTTTCATCTGTCTGTGAGAATAATAATATATGCTTTTCTCCATCAACAATATCATTATGGAGATAAAACACTAACCTACTTCCTATTTTTGGCATGACTTCTGGAATGCTGTTGTTCTCCATATTTGTTTAATCAGTGAACAAAGGAAAAGAGAAGTTCGAATCACATAAAAATGCGTAAAGTGGGCCGGGCGCGGTGGCTCACACCTGCAATCCCAGCACTTTGGGAGGCCGAGGTGGGAGGATCACGAGGTCAGAAGATCGACACCATCCTGCCTAACATGGTGAAACCCCGATTCTACTAAAAATACCAAAAAAAGAAAAAAAAAATTAGCCGAGAGTGGTGGCGGGCGCCTGTACTCCCAGCTACTCGTGAGGCTGAGGCAGGAGAATGGCATGAACCTGGGAGGCGGAGCTTGCAGTGAGCAGAAATCGCGCCACTGCACTCCAGCCTCGGCGTCAGAGCAAGACTCCGTCTCAAAAAAAAAAAAAAAAAAAAAAAAAAATGCATAAGGTGTTATATTTGCATGTGAGTTGAGCAAGAAGCTCGGTGAACTGAGGTGCTTAAACATCTCTAATGAGTATTTGAACACACTTTTGGAGTACTCATATTACCTCTATCGCATTTGATGCATATTACATAATGCTTTTTGTTATTTAAATGTCTTGATGCATTGTTTTTGGCTAATTTTTAAAGTTTTAAACATTTGTGAAAAATTAGGAAAGTATAAAAAGCCTCTAGGCCATATTCCATAATATTAACTTAAGGTGATAATTGATAAAATGTTTACATGTAGCTGTTTTACAAGTATATGAGAACATATTTTGCAAATAACAAACAGGTGTGTAAAATAAAGATATATTTACTCAAAGTATAGGCAGTATTACAATTTGTTTCCCATCCTATTTATTTTCGTCTTTGTGAAATTTACAATCTAATTGCTATTAGAATTATAACCATAGCACAAGTATGGGAGCTATAAGAAGTATGGACTGTAAAATATTAAATGGGCCAAGTTTAATGTTAGCTACAGCATAAAGGCTTTAAGACGGATCGAACATGTTGTGAGTTTTAAACTGTAACCTGAACAGGGTGCAGTTTTGTAGACATAGAAATAGAAGTGGCTGGGGCAATTAATTTGGTAAGGGAGGATTTCATTAGGCAAAAGTCAAAAGAAGGACTTGAAATGTCTTTTGTCATGAGGGCTGCCAAGTCTCTGAGTGAAGATGGTTGACAAAACTGCCATCAATCCCCTTTCACTTTGGCACTGGCAAAGGGCAACATAGATAGGGTTTGGGAATTACATAGTTTGTTTTAGTTTCTTACATACCCAAGAGTACTGATAGCTGCTGCTTTGAACACAAAGTGATCAGTGTTTTTCAGTGACCTGAGTAAATGGGAAACTATCTTTGTCATTGTGTAATTGGCCTGTATACTTTATCCAGAAATTGAAAATATACTAGCATCTAATAAAATTTAGACATGTGTATGTGAACTATTTTTTTCACAATACCAGAAAACACACAGTTGACTATTAAAGTTTTTGTCTTGTTTTATTGTTGAATCATTAGGGCCAGCATACAGTAGGTGATCAATAAGTTTATGTTGAATAAATAAGTGGGTGCAAAACCATATTTAATACATTTTACTTACTATAAATCATTGAAAAAGGGAAATATCTGGATCTCAAAGTAAAAGTAATTTAAAGTAAGAACTCTTTTTTTTATATGCTGATCATAGCACAATGCAATGTATGCTAAGCCTTCAGTGATACGGTGGAGAAAATGGGAAGAATTCCTAAACGCCTGAGGATGAGGAAAGAGGGGGAGAGAGAAAATAAGCAACCCATTTAAACTACTTCTTACAAAGTATCTTTCTAGAGTATAATCAAAGGCTTATACAAAACTCAGAATTGGGCACAACGGTGAGCCAAAGAAACTCAGTCTAGACTCAATACACAGTAACTGATGAATAAATGGCAGGAACTATACCGCGTTAAGGGAGAAAAAGAGAGTCATTCCAAAATGTATTTGCTACAACATCCAGCCAGTGATTGCTTGATACTCATAAAAGTCCAGCGCCTCAGAACAGTGAGGTGGGAAACAGTACTGATAATTAAAGAGAGCGACAAACCCAGTAATTAACTAGGGCCATAAGCAATAAACCAGGTAGACTAGGCCTGTAGCAGAATTTACGCCAGGAATACTGGACTACAGGTCAGAATTAATAAAGGTGAATTAAGTAAATAGATCTCAACTGGGGGGCTGATGTTCCTAAAACATATTCTACATGAACTTATTAAGGATAGTTTACATTCTGCCACAGGGTTGCAGTTGCATTTCAAATTTTTCACTTATAGGACTAGAGAAAGCAGCTATGTATTTTTCTTCATTAAATGGAAAATAAACTGACCTCCAGCTGAATGGGGCCCTTGATAAGCTATAATGTTGGTATTTACAGTAGATGATAGACAGATAAATATACAGAGATAGAGTTATGCCTATGGGTGAAATTCTACTCTATAAATAGAAGAGCTGCAATCACCATGATAGCTTCTCCAGCACTGGAAGTATCTGTACTAGTTAATTAACTGGTTTTCGTTATTTTTATCCCCAACTGTTATATGATAAATTGTTAAAAATCAAAATCTTAATTATATGAATGTCTATCTGTTTTTATATTTATATATTTTTGATACAGCAGTTAGCCCAAGTAGCTTGTTCATGCTATGGAAATAGTTTAGAAAATGTGCTATCAGTAAACTTTAGTTGCAGAAAACAAATGACTAGGGATAGTAGTCTTAAGGAGGTATGGAATGACAGTTCTTCAGAAAGTCAGACGAGGCTATATGACTTGAATAAAGATTTCTAGACATGACATTTCAAGAGCAGAAGCCTGGCTGGAAAAAAATCACAGTAAATGAGCAAAAAAGAAAAAAAGATTTGAACATTTTAGAGACATTATATGGAAAAGGTTAGATACAATCAAGAAAATCATAAGGCAATATTATGAGTATGATTAACTTCAGGCTTATAAAAACACACAATACAAAATGACAGCTTCAGTTAACTTGCTCCTACATTTTTTAAATTGGGGTACATATTTGGCTTTAAATAAACTAAAAGCAGTTGCAGGAGAAAATTTAATAATATTGGGGTAGAGAAGGGAAGACTTTACTAATCAAACCAAAGTTAGAATTAATGAAGGAAACCTGACAGATTTGACAACATAAAAGTGAAAATTCTTTCTCTGAAAATTCTTGTAAAATAAAGGTATTAGAGATATATGAGACGAGGAAAAAAAAACTAAATAAAGGCAAAATTGAAGGAGCAGGTAAGGGCTGCTTTTATTGAGCAAGATGTGTAATGTAAACCAGAATTCAGGATGTGTGAAGCCTAACCAGGATTGAGTCTAAGAACCCAGGGCAGTGGGCTAGCCAAGTAGATAGAGGAAGATTAGTTCTCTATCACACAGAACAGTTCTATAAGAAGACACAAACAGGAAGACAACACAAGCATCTAGTGAGATGCCCATCTGTAACACCAGTGGGCCAAGACTTTGAGACAGAAATAAAATGTTGAGCAATTACACTGGTTGGTAAGTAGATAGGCAGTTATTTTATCAGCTGTTCTTAGCATAGAGGGCTCTGATAGCCTTTGTCTTCCCCAGCGCCATCCTAGGTATGAGAAGAAAAAGCCCAAAGATGTATGGTTAGCTACTCTGTACAGCCAGACAATTACACACAGGTGCACACACATACTGAGCATAGGCAGGCATCCTAGGAAATGACCAGGTCTCTAAGAGAATTGTGACATTAGTGAGGAAAGGTAACTTCTCATAGGGTAGACTCTTCTAGGCTTAATATGGAGATTTGGGGTTGTATTTCAATATTATATTAGCTCTGAAAAGTTGCTAATAAGTACCTCGTGATGAAGACTGGGGTAGCTGGTGAGGGTGGGGACGTTTCATTTGGCAGAAGCATTAGAGAAACACTGAGACAAGAAGAGGTAAAAATGTCTCTTTACTGCTCAAGTTGATGGAGCCCTTCATATCTTCAGGTACACCATCAGTCTCTAAGAGTAAAATACCCTAGAGAGTGTACAGTAAACTTAATTGGACACAGATTACTTTTTATTTTTTTCATAGAACATATTAAAAAACTGTCATATGCAGCATATTTTATAAAACGCTGGGTTAGGAATTAACTAAACTCATCATAGTTTGGAAAGCATGACTTCAAGTAAGACGAATGTCAAAATATGGAAACACAGGAATATAAAAATAAGCAAAAATCTTAGCAAAGTAGTTTGGTTCAGAATCAGTCAGTTTACATCCACTCAATCATTCATTAAATTCTTTACTCTGTAGTCCAACAATATTCTGGGCATTATAATGATGAAAATAGTTAGACATTGCCTATCCTCTCAAAATTTTTAATTAATAATAAAATTAAGAACAGGTATGTTTGTTAGTTTTCTATTAATTTATCTTTAATTTTCAAGGCAGGACTTATTATTTTATATTCAAAGAGCATGTCCTTACATTACATATCTAAGACTCTATATCTAGTACATGATACTGGCATTGGTAAAATGATCATTAATATAAGGCAATAGATATCTAAGTTCTAACCTGTGTGATATTCAAATGAAAAGCAATGGAAGCAAGTCAGTAATGAAAATAGAACAAACTATTATTCCCTGAGTTTCTAATGTGATCCATTTATTTTAGGCACACATTAATTCATTTTAACTCAAACCTTTATCACACACTGAAAGTGTACACTACCAGCTGTATTTTGCATAGCAGAAAAGGAAGGTAGAAATCCTTAATAGCAAGGATTTGCTGACATATGCACTAGTGTTCAAATGTCTTGCTCTTTCCATTGTGCCATTGCTCCATGGATATGAGAAAATCAGGAAGGCAGCATGATTTTGAACAGCAAAAATTAAGAGGAAAGAGCCTGAATCTCAGAATGCAGAAAGTACAATTGGTCTAAGATATAGTAATCTGATGTCTGTAGCAACGTCTGACTCTGAATCTGTTCATTATTCAGTCAAGGCTGGTTCAGGAAAGAGCCCAGTGTTTTCAAGCCGTTGCTACTTCCCTATTCCTCCTCCTTCGCTTTCAACTCTCTGGCAATGCTGTGCTAAGAAATCATTGAATATTTGTCCGTGAGCGTGTGCACAATTAATGGGTATATCATTCATAGAAACAATGGAAATAATGCATATTTTATATTTCAACTCTGGCACAAAATTCATATTAAATAGCTGTGTATTACACACGGTGGACTAAATTTTGTAACATCAAAAAGAAAGTAATTGGAGTACAACAATAAAAGTTTATTTGTACGTATAAAGAGCTCAACACAGACCTTTCTGGTTGGGTGGCTCTCCTTCAAGCAGTGACTTAAAGGCTTAGTTTTGTTTCACCCATTGGCTCTGCCATTCTCCTGTATCTTGTAGTCCTCCGGGGAATCTTCTGTGTATGGCCGGTATACCACCTTAGCTATAAGGTGGTCACATAATTGTATTACTTACAAGGGGGGTTGGGAAATGTAGATTAGCTTTGTGCCTAAAAACAAAAGTAAAATGATTTGGTGAGCAGTTAGCCAAATTTTGCCACATTTCACTTTTCTTGACATAGAATATCTACTTCTCTCTTCTTGCGCACGTATAATAGACACCCTTTGTTTGGGATATATACTAATCAGTGATGATCAAGAAATAAAAACCTCTCCAGAATTTATAAAAGGAAGGGGTTTGATACAAGGATTTATATGCTAAAAAAAACTTATAAAAGGAAGGGGTTTGATACAAGGAATTATATGCTTAAAAACAAGGAAAAATCTACAAAAGCAAATATCCTGGAAAACTGCTCTGCACTGTGGCAAAATCAGAATTCTTCTGCGTTTTGGAGAGACTTTTTCATGATTGCAATTGCCTGTAACATCAGTGATTTGTGTGTGCTGACTCAAAAGCTGCTCAAAACTCATGTCCGCTCTCTCCTTACACATCTCCCTTTCTCATGAAAGTGTCTCATTATTTGTGGAATCTAACCCAGTTCTCCCTGGCAAGGGAGGCTGGGACATATAATTTCCCAGTGTTTTGCCTGTATAGCATAGGAACAAAGTGAACAAGTGATGGAAACTTACAAGCCATCAAGAGATAGTGGTTGGCAACGGAACAAAAAAGTCTTCATCAACTTTTGCAACCATTTAACCATTTCAAAGTCTAATGTCTTGTAGGGATTAGTCACATATTGCTTCTTAGGGTTTGGCATTATGCGGACTAAAAAGGCAAATTATCTTTATCCATACTCTCATTCATGCAGACAACATGTAATGATTTCGAACTCCAGTTTGACAAGGGAAAGAATGGGAAATATACAGGTGTATATTCATCCATAGCAATTCTGAAATCCTGCTGGGCATGGAATGTGAAAACCTTATATTTGATTAAAAACTGACATAGTATTAAAATATATAATACATTATTATTAACTACAGTCACTCAACTATGCAGTAGAACGTCAGATCTATTCTTACCACAAAGAAGTGCTTAAGGTGATGAATATGCTAATCATCCTGATTTGATCACACAAAATGCATACTTATATCAAAACATCACATTGTACCCCACAATTTTTATTCGTCAATATAAATTATCACTTCAAGACCAGAAACTGATGTTGCTCTGTGCTAGGAACTCCTCTGTTCATTGTTCTCCATGACCTGTGACTTCGCCCTTGGGTACCATTCTATTTGGCTCCTTCAGAAGCAAACCCTGTGAAATAACTTTCCAAAGGCATTGCATTGTGTTGGCACAGCATCTCCTTCTGGAACAAATTCACTGCCCCCAAGATTGCTTTTCAGATAAACAAAGGCTTTTTTAATAATGGCCTTGTTCTTTTGGGGCAGGACACTTAACTCAAAATCTTAGTATATACTGAAATTAGCTGTTTTGAAACAGTCTTATGTCATAGTCATCATACCTGAAGATTTTACTTTTTTCCCTTAGAATGCATTTTCAAGATCGATTGATTGCTTTGCTTATTAGCACTCATCTCACTACATTTTTTTGTGCTTAAAGGATATACCTTGAGGTTATGTGATATATCTAGGTGTTATCTGGAGGTTATCTAAGATAGTCTTGAGTGGAAAAACCACATCCTTAATCTGATCTTTGATCCAAAGCTGAATCTTAACAGCATTTTGTGACACAAAATCATTTTGTAACTCAAAATCATTTTGTAATTCAAAATCATTTTCAGTCTTATGTTTTACTGCTTGGAGTCCATAAACAATATTTTTTTCCAATCTCTCAAGGCCCTATATTTCTGGTCATTTTCTACTCACTTTCATTTATGTTTTCCAACTGGCCAGTTCTTGTTTCAAATCATATGTAATTTTACTGTGTAACACACACATCATACCAACCAACACACATTCCAGCATTCTGGTTTCTATCCTCTGCCCTTAGCACTTCAGTGGACACATGGTCTGACATCTAAGTCAGATGAGTTTCATCACATGGTTTAGTATATGTTTCTGTTTCTTTGTGGGTCACATTAGTATTCTGCTTCTGTACTAGTCAAAATATGTTAAGTAATACAGCAAAAACTCCTGTATTGTCAGTGAATTAACAAAATACTATCTTACTTCTGGGAAACTCTCTAAGATGGCTGTTTTGTAGGAATCACTCTAGGAGTTTGAATATGATGAGACCTTATTGTTTGAAAATCATGGAACTTCCCCGTTGGGGTTAAAGTCCACGCTTGGTTCTTCTATAGAACATAGGAGGGATAAGAACAGATCATTGTGCCAGAGATCCACACTTGTCATCTGTGGCAGAACACAGTTACCTGACCTCTGTTAAAGAAAATGGGATATGTAGTCTACCCACGTTCACAGAAAACACACACACACACACACACACACACACACACGAAACAAAAACAAACAAGCAAACAAAACTTAGCCCATTTCTGCAACAAGTTGTTTCCAAAGGCTTAGAGTGAAATGTTTATTATACATAAAAAATAGCTCTAGATAATGAGGCCACATTTTAAAAGAAACATGTTAATGAATATTATTCATAAAAATCACTACCATGGGAAGATATACATTCATTTTAATATTACATCAATTACTCAAACAATTTAAGATTTCCTTTTCGTTTTTACCTTTTGGGTAGCTTGTAATACCACACGAAGTAATTACTATTACTATATGATAATAACTCAAAACAGCCAAAATTTCCCTGTTATACAGAAACAGAAATATTACCTAACTTAATGGAAAATAGTGAGGTTAATTAAAAACTATTTTTCATTAACAGTTCTTCATGTGCTTCTACTGCTTTCATGTTCAGTAAAAGACTTCATGTGTTGAAAATAACTTTGTAAAAGAAAGTTTGGAAATAAATTTTATAAAAAGTTAGCCGAGTTTTGTCATTAAATCAGTCTATTATTTGAAGAAAAGAAAGGGCTTTGAAATAACAGGTTCTTCTCCTACCTTATTGGGGGACCTGAATCAGATTGATTTTTATTTTTTGGTAAAATGACCAAAGATAACAGATAATTCCAAACTTAGTAGACAAGACTGAACACTGACCACACATTTTCTATATACCCTTACCCAAAACTTATCAAAGAAAAACTTAGTTTATATCCAAAGTTATCTGTAACATTATATAGAGTATGTAAAAATGACTAAACTCCGCAATTCAAAGAAAAGTACTAGACTTTTCGATAACTTGCCCTTGTTATTTCAGCTAGAAATAAAGCCAATCTATAGGGCCATCATTATTGTAAAAAAAAAAACCAGATAGCACCAAAAGAAGAACAAAAACAAAGGAATTATGCCAAAACTTTTCAGAGAAAAGGGATGATAACAATGGCAGATTTGCCAAACTAAGATATTGAATATAAGAATTTTAACCTAAATACTACAACATACTCTTTAATCTTGTAAATAGAATGCAAGAATTTGGAACCCTGGTTGAATTATCTTAGTAAAGGAAATATATCTTTTGCCAACCATACTGTGATAAATTCTAGATCCACAAACATGACTAGGCCTTACTTTAAGTCAGACACTTTTCGGTCTTTTCAAGGACGTACCTGAGACTGGGTAACTTATAAAGGAAAGAGGTTTAATTGGCTCACAATTCAGCATCTCTGGGGAGGTCTCAGGAAACTTACAATCATGGTGGAAGAAAAAGCAAACATGTCCTTCTACACATGGCAGCAGCAAGGAGAAGTGCCAAGCAAAAGGGGGAAAAGCCCCTTATAAAACCATGAGATCACATGAGATTTCAATCTTGAAAAGTGTTTACAGATGAATAATCAAGATTTTTACTTCTAAATGTCTACAGTCTAGTGTGAGGAAGCAGAAGAAAGTCAATAATTATAATGAATATAATGTGTGTATCATGACATCATGACAGCATTGTGTTATAGGGAGACAGAGAAGAACAACATAGGAGTGACCTCTTGCATCTGGTGGATATAAGCACATATTCCAGGGCAAGAATGTTGTTGGAGCTACTTCTCAGTAAAATGTAAATGTTTTCAAAGAAAAGAAAGGAGATTTTCCAGGTAATTCAATAACGTGAAAAAGACAGAAGAACATTAAAGAGCTACATGTATTCAAAGGGGAATAAATGGGTCTTATTGATTCTATGGCACTGGAGGGAATTCAAGAGCTTGTTTGTTTAAAGTTTTGAATATAAAGTTGAGATGTTTTGACCTTATACTGAAAGCAATTTGGGGCCAGGAAAGGCTGATAAGACAGACAAGTAACAGAGCTATACTTATGAGAAACTACTCCCTCAGCAATGAGCAGATAGGAAAACGGTAAGAATGAAATCAGAAAGACCAGTTGTGAAGTTACTGCATTCTGGTAAGAGGATATGGAGGCCTGGAATTGGGTAGTGACAATATAGAAGAGAGAACGCTGTGAGCTATGTATAAAATTATGATTCAGTAGTGTTTACACATGAAAATTAATAGAGTAAAGAAGTCAAAGATGTACATGTTCTTGTCCTGTTGCTTGAGCAACTGCATGAAGAGATGCACTATTAATATTTGCCAAGTTGAAAAAGTCACATTGAATGTAGAAGTATTAGGGAGAATTTTGTAATTTGGCTGGGAAAACTATGCTTGAATATGTGATTTTGAACATTGAGAAACAGTCTTGTTAAGATAAAGCTGTGAGGCCACAGGCATATACATTTGGATGTTGACTAAATTCATTGACAGATTGGATTTCTCAGGAAGCAAGTTGAGAGAAGGAACACAAGATAACCAGATTATGCCATAAAAGAGCAAAATGAAGCAGAATGAGAAGAAATAGTAAATTAGGTGAAAGAAAAGAATTAGGTGATTGTATGGAAGTCAAGAGAAGAATGCCTTCCAGAAAGATTTTCAGGATTAAATTATTTTCAGAAATTAAATAAGAAAAGGTTTGAAAATGTCTATTGCAAGTGGAAATAAAGAGTTTATCAAAAATCTTTCAATTCCATGACTATTTGTTTAATTGGCCCCCAAAAGTGCTGATTTAATAAAAGGAAAAGAAAGCAAGTTTGCATTTTTTACGCTTATAAAGGACAAAAAACTTATTCAGACACAATAATTTCATGTAAATTTATCAAATGTACATCAATGAATACTTTCTCAATATGCCCTTTGCAACCTTTTAGATGATTAGTAGATCCTGTGGATTCTACATATGACTAAGACAAAAAAAAAAAGAAAGAGAGGATATCAAATGCATTTATTTACTATAAATTCCCTAGATATATATGGCACAGAAATGTATTTGCATGACTCTCCTGCTAAATATTCTCATCATTGGTTTCATTTAATCATTTTTAAATTAAAAAAAAATCTCTCTGCTAAGAGACTTGTTTATTTTTGCCTTGGGATAATCAAGGAAGTGCCAATCTATCAAGATTTTTATTTATGTGCAAAAATGTAAAGCATTTCTAGTTACAATAATTCTAGAAATTAGAAAGTTATAAAGAGACTATGACCCCCAAATTAATTTGTATTTGAATTAATAATCTGTTTTTCCCCATAAAAATGTTATAAATGCTGTTTAGCTTCCTAAACTAATTCACAAAATACCTATAAATAATACTGTATTAGTTTGTTTTCATGCTGCTCTAAGGACATACCCAAGAGTGGGTAAGTTATAAAGAAAAGAGGTTTAATTGGCTCACAGTTCAGCATCTCTGGGGAGGCCTCATGAAACTTACAATCATGGTGGAAGAAAATGCAAACGTGTCCTTCACAAGGCAGCAGCAAGGAGAAGTGCCGAGCAAAAGGGGGAAAAGCCCGTTATAAAACCATGAGATCATGTGAGAACTCACTCACTATCACAAAAACAGCATGAGGTCTGCTATAAAGACACATGCACACGTATGTTTATTGTGGCACTATTCACAATAGCAAAGACTTGGAACCAACCCAAATGTCTAACAATGATAGACTGGATTAAGAAAATGTGGCACATATACACCATGGAATACTATGCAGCCATAAAAAAGGATGAGTTCATGTCCTTTGTAGGGACATGGATGAAGCTGGAAACCATCATTCTCAGCAAACTATCGTAAGGACAAAAAACCAAACACCACATGTTCTCACTCATAGGTGGGAATTGAACAATGAGAACACATGGACACAGGAAGGGGAACATCACACACCGGGGCCTGTTGTGGGGTGGGGGGAGGGGGGAGGATAGCATTAGGAGATATGCTTAATGTAAATGACGAGTTAATGGGTGCAGCAAATGAACATGGCACATGTACACATATATAACAAGCCTGCACATTGTGCACATGTACCCTAGAACTTAAAGTATAATAATATAAAAAAAATATATATATATATATATATATATATATATAAAACAGCATGAGGTTATCCAGCCCCTGGATTAAATTACCTCCCACCAAGAAGAGATTCAGGTGGGGACACAGCCAAACTATATTAAACACTGAGTAAGTGTAAATCAATGTTAACATCTATTGATTCTTAACATGCTAAATACATTAAAATATGAGCTAATTTATTCTTAGTAACTATTAGCACATATAATCACTATTATTCCTATTTTATTGATATATAACAAAGAAATAGAGACGTCAATTTTTCCAAGTTTACCAGTTTGCAAGTGGTTGAACTAAGACTAGAAAGTTTGGATCTTATTCCAAAGCATGTAATTCATGCCATTTAAAACCTCTAATATAAATAAATTCAAACATGTACAAAAGTATGAATGAAAGTATAACCTCTTGTATAGCCATCACTCAGCTTCAGAACACTTCTAATTTCGTGACCATTGTTGTTCCATACATATCTTCACTAAACCTCTCCCTCCACCTCATCTGTATTATTTTGAAAGATCTCACATATCATACAATTTCAACTTAAAATTTCACTGTGGCTCTATAAAACACATGGACTTTATTTAGCACTGTTGCAATACAGTTGACCCTTGAACAATTCAGGGGTTGGGGTGCCAATCCCACATCCAGTTCAAAATCCATGTATAACTTGTTACTCTCCAAAACTTAGCTACTGGTAGCCCACTGTTTACTGAAAACCTTACCAATAACAAATCCCTATCTACCACCATTAACTCAAGATATATTAAAGACTGAAATGTAACAGCTCAAACTATAGAAATCCTAGAAACCTAGGAAATACGCTTCTTCTTGATGTCAGCATTAGCAAAGAATTTATGGCTAAGTCCTCAAAATCAATTGCATCAAAAACAAAAATTGACATGTGAGACCTAATTAAACTAAAGAGCTTCTGCATATCAAGAGAAATGATCAAGGAAGTAACAGACAGCTTAAAAATGGGAGAAAATCTTCACAAACTATGCATTCAAAAAGTCTTAATATTCAGAATCTATAAGAAACCTAATCTAACAAGCAAAAAACAAATAACTCTATTAAAAAGCAGGCAAAAGACATGAACACTTTCAAAAGAAGACATACAAGTGGCCCACAAACATAAGAAAAAAATACTCATCATCAATAATCATCAGAGAAATGCAATACAAACTACAATGAGATACCATCTCATACCAGTCAGAATGACTTTGTTTTTAAGTCAAAAAAATAACAGATATTGGCAAAGCTGTGAAGAAAAAGATATACACTGTTTATGGGAATATAAAGTAGTCTAGCTACTGTAGAGAGCAGTTTGGAGGTTTCTCAAAGAACTGAGTTGAACTACCATTAGACCAAGCAATCCCATTACTGGATATATATGCACAGGAAAATAAATTGTTTTATCATAAAGACACATGCACCCATATGTTCATTGCAGCACTGTACACAATAGCAAAAACAGAATCAACCCAGGTTCCCATCAACGGTGCCATGGAGTACTATGCAGGCATATAAAAGAATAGAATGAAATCATGTCCTTTGCAGCAATGTGGATGCAGCTAGAGGTCACTATCCTAAGTGCACTAATGCAGAAACAGAAAACCAAATTTCACATGTTCTCACTTTTAAGTGGCAGCTTAGCTCATTGAAAATTGAAAACATGCAGTATTTGGTTTTCTGTTTCTGTATTAGTTCACATGCACACGTAGATGGGAACAATAGACACTATGGACTATTAGAAGGGGGAGGGAGGGAGAGGAGCCAATGGCTGAAAAGCTACCTGTTGGATACTAGGCTCACTACCTGGGTGATGGGTTCAGTCATACCTCAAACCACAGCATCATGTAATACATCTTTACAACAAACTTGCACATGTACCCCCTTATTCTAAAATAAAAGTTGAAAAGAAAAAGAAAAGAACACATATTTTCTACGTTATTTATATTATATACTGTATGCTTATAACATTAATAAAAGAATCTAGAGAAAAGAAAATGTTATCAAGAAAATCAGGCAAATACATTTACTATTCATTAAATGGAAGTGGATGATTATAAAGGTCATTAATCTTTATAATTGAAAAGGCTGAGGAGAAGAAAAACATAGAGAGTTGCTCTTGGTGTGACGGAGGTGGCAGAGGTGGGAGAAAATCCACCTACAAGAGGACTTGCACAGTTCACACTCATGCTGTTCAAGTGTCAGTGGTACCATTATAACATCTAAATGAAAATAAACAATGATTCCTTTATATTTTCATATGCTCAGTAAGTACTTAAATACCCCATTGTCTCATGCAAAATTCAAAGATGATTTGCTACAATCAAAATCCAAACAAGATCCACTTATGACATTTTGTTGATTTGTGCCTTGCAATATCTGCAGCTATAAACCCTCTCCCCATCCTTACTTTTTTTATTCTTACTATTTATTTATTCACTAAACTGAGTGATTTAATTTGCAGAGTTTCAATATTGCAAATTTTTCTGAATACATCATAGAAGTGTTTTACAAGCTCTTCTATGCTTTTTATTTTCTGTGAATTGTTAGGACCAGGAGCGTCAAAAGCCCATATTTATACTTTTATTGTATGCTGCCTATAATTTGGTTAAATGTGTGTTTTAATAATTAATAAAAGATAAGCAAAGATGAGGTATTGTTTATTAGGTAAGATATATGTTAAGCTGTAGGTGTAACTGTGAGCCAAAATAGCTCTGGTTTAAGTTAAGTTTATATCTCTCATTAATATCAATCTGGAAGTAGGAAGAACAGATGGAATAATGGCTCTGCTCCACAAGGTTTCCCAGGGATCCAGGATGTAGCTATCTTTTTCTCCACCGTTGCAAAGTTATTGTCTTTCTTTCATGAACCATTATGGCTCAACATTAGGTACTTATTCTTACCAGCAAGCAGGATGAAAAGAGAAAATTTCCTTCTAAGACTCTAATCAGGGTGTTGTTCACAGTACTTCCACACATAGAATTCATCACAGAAATACAGTTTCAATGGAAAAAGAAAATGCAGTGTTGTCTATTTGCTGAGCTAAACACTTTCTTACTAATAAGAAAAGGAGAGAATATTTATTAGGAGGTAAGCTAACAATTTCTAGCCCACAAGCCAAAGCTCTAAAACATTTTAAGTAAATAATAATGAAGCTTAATCATTGTGATTTTGTTCACAAGCTCTTGTGTTCACACAGTTGTGACAGAATATTGGCCTAGAAAGATAGTTATCAGTTTTAATGGCAAAAAACACAATTACTTTTGCACCAGCCTAATATATAAGCCCAAGTCTAGAAGGTAGCCTAGTCAGTGGTGTATACCAGGTGGAAATTGAACTTCTATTCCCTGGGAGTTAAGCAAAACTTAAGGCAAAATAAACAGAATACAGGAATGTAAAAATTGTATGGTAGATATTATTTTTTCTATGTACAACATGTTATATATTTTACCTATCTGGTTTCCTCAAATACATGTATTTGAGTGCCAATGTGTATGTGTGTATGTTCCTATCCCTATCCTTATCTCTATATTTATTTTTGTATTATATTTTTAAAGTACAATTTTTATGTGTGTCAGGGACTTCTTATACATCAATGGCATGTTCCAGATAGTTTAGAATTGACATTTATTATCCATGTACTTTATCTTTTTATGAATTAAGAAGAATTAAAATGTTAAAGTCAAACATTCTCTCAAAGGTGAGTTTGCTCAAGTCTTATCTCTTTTCCTTCAATCCTCATACTTCCGTGTTTACTGGGTGGAATGTACAGTAGAATTGTGAGGCTAGTTATGCAGAGTCAGAATTCTGTAATGTGAAAATGGCAAATAAGAATCTAACAAGTTAAGTGAGGGATAAATGAACTAGTTTTTGTTGAATACTACTATCTGCTGCATAATAGGTACTGAAAGAATACATTTTACATATATAATCAACAAATATAATCACAAACGTTTGAGCTATGTATTATTAACTGCTCTTTTCATTTGTGAAGATTTTGGTTCAGAAATATATTTTTCCATATTACTTTGAGAGGTGGTAGTCTAGAATATTAATCTAGAACTTTAATATGCCAAGTTGCATTGTGTTTTAAATGTACTTTGAAATACACAATGTTTCTGTCTTGCCACAGAGCAGTTTGCTGCTTAAAGATAAATCCTATGACTCTACTAAAGGGTTTCACAATGTCTGTGGACTCAGCCTGAAGTCGTGATATAAATATGTGTTGTGTGTAATACTTTAGTCAATTAAACTTAGAAAATTTTGAGTCAGTCTAATTTAATTATATTTCTTTATTTTAGAACATCTCAGTATCTTCAATAAACGTTGTTTATATATGTCTTAATAGGCTTTCTGAATCACTAGGGACAAAAAATAATACATAATATTTCCAGAAATTATTTCTTCATTGAATTATTTCCCCAACAAAGAAGATTTATTTTTGTGACTTGAAAGCGTGCACATCTGGATATACATATTTATGTGTTTATATATACATATATAGGTAAACATATATCTGCCTATATGTTTTATAATCATATGCAGAAACCTTACAAATTATTGTAATTTATCAATTGAGTGCATGTTGGTAAGACTTAAAACTATTAGCAAGAAGATAAAGAAATGCATGCAAGTTCAAAAATAGTTCTCCAAAGAGGACCTACAAATGGCCAACAGTTATATTAGCAGGTGCTCAACATCACTAATCATCAGAGAAAATGCAAATCAAAACCACTGTGAGAGATCTCATAGCATTAGGATGACTATTATCAAAAAGACAAAAGATAAGTGTGGGTGACAGTGTGGAGCAAGGAATCGTTGAATACTGTTGGTGGGAATGTAAATTGGTACAGCCATTGTGGAAAATAGTATGGAAATTTCTAAATAAATTAAAATTAGAACTATATTATGACCCAGCAATTCTTCTCCTGGGTATATACCCAAAAGCAATGAAATTGCCACATTGTATAGGTATCTATACTTTCATGTTACTTTCAGTATCTTCTTTTTTTTAGACGGAGTCTTGATCTATCACCAGGCTGGAGCGCAGTGGTGCAATCTCGGCTCACTGCAAACTCCGCCTCCTGGGTTCAAGCAATTCCCCTGCCTCAGACTCCAGAGTAACTGGGACTACAGGAACACCACCATGCCTGGCTAATTTTTTGTATTTTAGTAGAGACGGGTTTTCACCATGTTGACCAGGATGGTCTCGATCTCCTAACCTCGTGATCTGCCCGCCTTGGCCTCCCGAAGTCCTGGGATTACAGGCGTGAGCCACCACACCTGGCCGTTACTTTCAGTTTGATTCACAATAACCAAGATATGAAAACAACCTATGTGTATGTCAACAAATTAACAAAGAAGCTGTGATATATATATACATATAAAATAAAATATTATTCCACCTTTAAAAAGAACGTGATCTTGCCATTTGCCACGACAACATGGGTGAACCTGGGGGACATTTTGTTAAGTAAAAGAAGCCTGACTCAAAAAGAAATATACTGCAAGATCTCATCATATGGGGATTCTTAAGGCCAAAGGATACAAAGTAGCAGATAGGTAGATTGGACAATTCTAGAGATGTACAACATGAGGTCAATAGTTGATAATGTGGTATGATAATAAGAGTAACTAGGTGAGATGATGGATATGTTCATTTGCTTCACTATAGTAGCAACTTTATTATCTCTCTATATATCTATATGTATAACATCATGCTGTACAGTGTAGACAATAAAATTTATAAAAATCAAGACTAAAACAGAACATAAAGCATTTGTATCACACAATGACTATTAGCATGTTATAGGGAAGCAACTGATTATTTCTGATGTGCAATGTGCGTATCATGTGTATATAAAGACCATGGTGCTTTGGGCTGACCTAACATGACCTTACAACTTTTAAGGCATTTGAGAATAACTTTTGAGGCATTTGAGAATTACATTTAGGCATGATTCAAGTGTGTAACGACTGTAGTTAGCACTGTGTTTTGAACATGCAGTGCCCTCAAGAAATAGTAAATTTGTCAATGAATTTATTATTATGTTAAAGCATAGACTTACAAGGAAAACTTAGATATTAAGTTTGGAGGAAAACAGTGCAAATTGTGTCTATATCGAACTTGATTTCATGAGGAGCTTACATACATAAAATATTCCGTTGCTTAGCCAATTCTTCCAGAAGAGACTCCCTGAGAAATTACCTTTGCTTGGGTATATTAGTTCCTTCCTGTGCCTCAGGAGAGGCAATTTACCTCTCAAGTATGAAGAACTTGCTTTGAGAAAGTATTTTACTCATTCTGACTCCCTGGAAGATTGAGACAGATTTAAAGAAATTACACTTTATTTTTAGCAGGTTAGAGTCAGATGTGACCAATAGCATGTGGCTTCTGCAAGGGGTTACTTATTTTATCTAATTCATCTTACTCTGTGTGCAATTCTTGTATCTCTCTCATGACATAAAATCCGCAAATCTAAGAATTTACTTCATTATTTAGACTAGATATATATAGAAAATGAGTTGTTAACCCACTTCCATTGGGTCCAGCTAGTGACCATGTAAATTCCTTTTTTTTTTTTTTTTTTCCTTTTTTTGAGTTGGAGTCTCTCTCTCTGTCACCCAGGCTGGAGTGCAGTAGCGCGATCTCGGCTCACTGCAAGCTCCGCCTCCTGGGTTCACGCCATTCTCCTGCCTCAGCCTCCGGAGTAGCTGGGACTACAGGCGCCCACTGCCACGCCCGGCTAATTTTTTGTATTTTTAGTAGTGACGGGATTTCACTGTGTTAACCAGGATGGTCTCGATCTCCTGACCTTGTGATCCTACCGCCTCGGCCTCCCAAAGTGCTGGGATTACAGGCATGAGAGCCACCACGTCTGGCCTATGGTGGTTCTTTAAAGTGAGACTGGAGAGAAAATGAGTGATTTTTTCAAGGTCATCTGAAAAAAAGAATCACATTTTGAAAACAGGTCTTCTAACTTCAGATTAATGTTGTTTGTACAGCACCACAATGCTTTTGATTGCATATAGGAGAAACAGTAGATAGAAAAATAAAACTGTAGTTAATAGCAATTCTTCAGGCTTTTTAAAGTATGAGCATCATAAAATGGCTCAGAATTGAAAATTAAGTTTTGTTAATATTAGGATCTGCGAAATGTTTTTCAAATGTGATGAAATCTATTTATCCATTCATTTAGAGAATGTGTCTTCCTTATTAATCAACTATCTTTTTTTTTGTCTTAAACTTTCATACATCCCACTGGATATTTTAGTCACTCAATAAGATCAAACAGGATAAGAAAATGCAAACTGTCAAGAAAATAATCCTTATATCATTATACTTTTGTAACTGTGGTAAAAGTTCATGAGCAAGGGCACTAAAATTATTTAGGTTTTTAGCCTTGAGATTTGGACTAGTTAATTAGAACCAAAAGAGAAGAACCAATTGCTGCAACATGTACATGTATTCTGTCACAAAGCCATCAGATCTTCCTCTAGTTTGGGATTTAAGGTATATCTTATAAATTGGGTCTCAAAAATGTTTGGAAACAAGTAATCATGACTATGTGATCATAATAGATAATTTCTTATATAATTTAATCTCTGTGGCTAATGATAAATTGTAGGGTAGAGGTGATTTTCATAGATAAATATATACTACTCATATATATACACATATATATAGTGTGTGTATATATATATACACACACCAGTCACATATATGAGTTGTAATTATATGTGTATACATGTGTAATTATATATACATATATATGGTGTGTGTGTGTATATATATCACTCATATATATGAGTAGTAATCAAGAAAGAATTAAGCAGAATTAATATTTCTCCTACTCAATACATTAGTAAAAATTAGAGATCATTTTGAAGTGAGAAAGGAAGTAATCATTCTAAGATTCCAAAGCAACATGTACAAATTTATTCATGGTTTAATGTTCTTTTATATTTTTCATTTCATTGGCAACATTAAGTTTTGTGTTGTTACCTGAAAATAAGCCATACGTTAACTGAAAAATAAAGGGGTCTGGAGCCATTTAAAAGATAAATCCATACCTCATACATGTTAATAGCTAAATTAATAAAATTTTAAAAGTTAAATTACTATGTGATACCAAATGCAGTGATATTTTAAAATTATAGCTTTTTGAATTACATATAGTTTTATTTTAAATATCATACATGATTTTCAATAATGGTTCTATAAACAGAGATGATGAACATACGGAATTGCCAATAATAAAATGATACATAAAATACAAAACTAAAATAAAACATAAGTAATATACACTAATATAAATAAACACCAGTAAACAAATAAACCTAGGAAGATTTCAAGAGCTGAAAAATTAGTGTCTGCAGGAAAGCAGTTGGATAAAGAGAAATGGCACAATCACCCTCCTCTTTACCAGAGTAGGAAAAATGTGTATATAATAAAACTATTATAGAACTCTTAAAAGTACAAACAATGAGTTTATGATTTTCATCCATGTCACAGTTGTACTTGTTCTGTAATATAACAGTCATATTTTTTTCAAGAAAACAAATTGTAACAAATGAGAACTATTAACTCTTTGTCATGACTGAACTATACACATTTAATCATCATGTTTTAAATCATGTCAAATATCTGTGCTGAAAACTCTAAATTATCCTTTGTACTTCAATGATTAAAAGCCTGGAAACTGTATTTCCCTAACTTCTTTACCAGGAGAGTTCTCATATTAGGCCAATGAGAGTGATTAATGTAAAATTTGAGACTTGGGATTTAAGAACAAAACATTATTCTCAAGGGATAGCCACAGACAGATGTGTGGATTACAGAGCTTTCTAACATTGGATTTTGCTAAGGTTTTACAGTGCTTCCTGTGATCATTCACTGTGGAACTGTAGACAAATAGGGTAATTGATGGAAACTTCCAGGGACTTTCTAAACTTCATAAACCTAGAATTTTCAATGGTGCTGTAAACATTTGAATCTCTTTCTGCTTGGGATACATAGAATTAGCTTATATTTTCATAGTGCTCTTTGAATGATCCATCTCCCCAGTAAACATTTTGCTGTGTCCAGTCTGATCCTCTTCATAGGAGCCAATGACTCATTTTTTGAGGATTTGAGACATTTTTGGTCAAAAAGCTCAGTATGTTTTATCCTATCGTGAATGGGAATAATATAAATAAAGTTTAAAATGTGGCCTTAATTTTGATAAAATGAAAGAATCCATAAAGTCTAAAAAGAGGAAAATAGGATTTTTCAGTTTGAGAAGTTGAAAGCTGACACTAGATATGATTTTAAAATCTTGAAAAAATAACAAATGACCTAATTTAAGAGAATGTCAGTTCTCTCTCTCTCTCTCTCTTTTTTTTTTTTTTTTTTTTTGGTAACACCAAAATTCAAATATCAGGGCAAAAGAAGCACTCTGCAAAAGATCAAAAGATGCAAGAGTTAATTTCAAGACAGACTCAAATGCAATCATTTACAAATCCATACAGAATTAAACAGTGGTTAAGCACATTTCTACATCTACTGGCGTATAAGAACTAAAACTGGATATGTAAAACAACTGGATATCTGGAGAAATGACAGACCTATGTAGTTAGTAATGAAGCTAGAATAATCTTAATCTTTAAGGAGAGTTTTAACTAAATTAAGGTTACATGGCTTTGCTACAATGAACCAAACTGTAAATATTATAAAGTCTTTCAACAATAATTGATTATAATATTCTAATATTTAATTATGTCTTTATACTCACATATTCACTTCTTCAACAGATTAAAAGCAATTGAGTTTAGCAACTACTTAGTAACTGTGATTAGTTTGAGTAGAAATTCCCTTGATGGTATAAATTTTAATATTTCACAACTGTGAACTACTTTATGAGTTACAAGTATGATTTTAATATTGCCTCTCTAGTGCTAAGTTTACTAGTTAACTCCCTGGCTTTAAGGTTAGCTTCAGGGGTGAGAGTCATATTTTTCCAATTGCTCATCTGTAAACAACTGAAATGAGACTAGATTGCCTGTGCAATTGATCTAAGATTGCAATTAGTATGTGTAAATATTCAAGCTTTTTGTATTTTACAATTTAATTTTTTTAATTTCTAAAAATGTATGTTAATTTACGGGATACATGTGTAATTTTCTTACATGCCTCTTAGTGTATCCATGACCTGAGTAGTGTACTTTGTATCTATTAATTTCTCATCATCCACCCTCTTCTCACTCCACAGGCTTCTGAGTCTATTGTCTATCCCTCCACACTCTCTGTCCACTGTACACATTATTTAGCTTCCAGTTGTAAGTGAGAACATGTGGTATTTGTTTTTTCTGTTTCTGAGTTGTTTCATTTAAGATAATGGCCCCCAATTCCATCCCTGTTGCTGTCAAATACATGATTTCATTTTTTATGGCTGAATAGTATTCTATTTTGTGTACATACCACAATTTCTTTATCTAATTATGACTTGATGGACACTAAGATTGATTCCATATCTCTGCTCTTGTGAATTGTGCTGTGATGAACATACAAATGCAGGTATTCATAGCTGCTGTCAATTTTCTCCTTGTATCTTTTCTGCTCACTTGGATCCCATGTTTATTTCTTGGCCTTCTTCCTTTAAATATCTCCTGGCATTTTAATGTCTCTCATTGGTTTCTCATTTGCTTACTGAAGTAATGTGGTGACTATAGCAATACTAAATTTGGTCCTTTTCCTTTTTTTCTCTATAAACTTTTTCTTTGCAAATTCTTCTACTACTTTGGTTTGAATTATCACTACCATGTACAGTGAACCATGGCCACTCAAAGATACTATTAAGTTCTAGTTTCTGAAATTCATGTTACCTTATTGGGAAAAGGAGTCTTGGCAGATACAATTAAGTTAAGGATCTTGATAAGATTATTCTGGATTATCTGGATGGTCCCTAAATATTAATATCATCACAAGTGTTCTTTATAAAACAGAGGCAAAGCGAGATAACATACCCTTTATTCTGGAGACTTAGAAATGTTAGGGTTTTGTCTTATGTCTCTTTACTTTGATTATGCTTTTCTCCATAACAGGAATAACTTTGCTCATGTTCTCTACCTGATGAGCTTCTACTTATTTGTTATGGTCTAGCTCCAAATTCACCTGTTTTGTATAGTCTATCCCTGCATTCTGGAGGAGTTCATTTCCCACATGTCTGCAGTCAGTTCTTTTTTGCAGTGTTTTGCTGTTGTTGTTGTTTGTTTTGTTTTATTTGTTGAGACAGGTTCTTACTCTCCCATCCAGGCTGGAGTGCAGTGGTGCAATCACTGCTTATTGCAAGTCTTATATCCTTTTAGGTTTCCTGGGCAAGTGACGTACCTTATTTTTTTGTGTTTTCAATATACATGCTTACTATATAGCAGATATCTAAAAGCACGGTTTAATGTGGCTGTGTGCTGGAACATGTTTAACAACTACTTTGCAGCAATATGGATAGAAATGGTGTCCATTAACCTAAACAAACTAACACAGGAACAGAAAACCAAGTACCACATGTTTTCACATATAAGTGAGAGTAAAATAAACAGAACACATGGATACTGGGAGGGGAACGACAGACACTGGGACCTACTTGAGGGTGAAGAGTAGGAGGAGTGAGAGGATCAGAAAAAGTATCATCAGGTACTATGTTTATTATCCAGGTGACAAAACTATTTGTACACCAAACCTCTGTGACATGCAGTTTACCTGTATAGCAAACCTGCACGTGTATCCCTGAACCAAAAATAGAAGTTAAAAATAAAAATAAATAAAAGGAAAAAAATTAAAAAGAAATATAGCTACATAACAGCTATGATATTGATATTTTCTTAATACATTAATTGAACCTGAGAAATTAACCACAGATTTTCAGGGAATTATGGCTGCTCAACCAATAAAGTTAATGTAGAAAAAAAAAATTTCATGGAATTTCTTATGGTGCAAATACTCCCAACATAGCATATTTTTAGCTGACAATGGGAGATGTTATTTCTACCATACACAGCAACTAGATATGAATAACTTCATAGACACAAATATTAATAAAGAATAGAAAACCATTAGGAAGTGATGGTTTTGAGAATTCATTTCCTTTTTAAATATTATATGCTTGATCATAAGTTTCTATAATTAATCTTTAATGATGGCTGTATTTAATAACTAGAAAGCAAAATTACTGAAAAATGAATGATGGGCTCTTGTGAGCCAGGATGAGCTGGCTTCAGCACAACATTGATTTTATGTTATAATACATGGATCCAATAAATGTAAACTCTTGTTTGAAAAAACTTTAAGAATAATATTCAAACTATTTAATCAATAAGTAAATATCTACTATTCATGATATTTCATACTGTATTAGATTATTTGCAGAAAGAAAAATAGAAACAATGAAATACATAACAGTTTTTTAGGAGAAACTGCATAAACCATGTTATACCACAAATATATTTTTCAATTTAAAAAATCTTATTTATAATCTAAAAATAACTTTATATTTGGTAATAAGGTATACATAAAATTTAAAAATATATTTCAAATCACTCTACAAAGAAAATCTCAATACAGAGCATTTTCTCTTTTGATATTGCACAATTCTTTATAAAATATGAGTTAGTTTATGACATTAATGCTGATACTTTCTCATACATTCACATTTTAAAAGTGATTCACAAATTAAAAATTATTTAAGAAGTAGCTTTTGTTAATCAACTAATTTCCAAATATTTTATAACTGCCAAATTGTGTTACGAACTGGTATCATTGTATGGCAGAGTTACAAAATAAAAATAGAACAGAATGTTTAATTATTAGAAGTGTTGATTAGCCAGTCTTCAGCAAGGGCTAAATGTAAATTGATTAATTTTCTTAAAATATGACTGTTAACATTTTTTTACAAAGTTAAATATAAGCTACATCTTCTAAAACTGGGGGCACAGTTTCATTTAAGACAGAAAGTTTATTTTTTATTTATTGATGTGCCATCTTCCTTTTCTCCATTTAATAGAACTTTCTGCATTTCCTGGCATATGAGGATATTTACAGAATATTTTTATTTATTTCCTGATACCTTCATCTTTTCTAGTATGTCAAATGAATCACATCGTGTGTAGCATTTTGTGTCTGGCTTTTTACATGTAGTATAATACTTTTGAGATTTATCCATATTGTTGCACTTATTAGCAGTTTGTTCTCTTTAATTGTTTAACAGACTTCCATTTTGTGGATGTACCTCAGTTTCATGATAATTCATTCATGATGAAAATAAATTGATTTAGATTTTTGTTAACTATGAATAAAGCTGTTGTAAACATTTGTATAGAAGTCTTTGGGAAGACATGAGTTTTGATTTATCTTAGATAATAAAAAGGAACAGGTTTACTTGATAGTATGGTGAGTGTATATGTTTAATTTTGCAAGATACTACCAAACTTTTTCAAAGTAGTTGTCCCATTCTCACTTTTATTATTATTATTATACTTTAAGTTCTGGGGTACATGTGCACAGCATGCGGGTTTGTTACACAAGTATACATGCGCCGTGTTGGTTTGCTGCACCCATCAACTCGTCATTTACATTAGATATTTCTCCAAATGCTATCCCTTCCCCAGTTCCCCACCCCTTGACAGGCCCTGGTGTGTGATGTTCCCTTCCCTGTGTCCATGTGTTCTCATTGTTCAACTACCACTTATTAGTGAGAACGTGGTGTTTGGTTTTCTCTTCTTGTGTTACTTTGCCAAGAATGATGGTTTCCAGTTTCATCTATGTCCCTGCAAAGGACATGAACTTATCCTTTTTTATGGCTGCATAGTATTCCATGGTGTATATGTGCCACATTTTCTTTATCCAGTCTATCATTTATGGGCATTTCCTTGAGAAGAGCAACCCCAAGACACGTAATCGTCAGATCCACCAAGGTTGAAATAAAGGGAAAAACGTTAAGTGCAGCCAGAGAGAAAGGTCGGGTTACCCACAAAGGGAAGCCCATCAGACTATCAGTGGATCTCTCTGCAGAAACCTTACAAGTCAGAAGATAATGGGGGCCAATTTTCAACATTCTTAAAGAAAAGAATTTTCAACCCAGAATTTCATATCCAGCCAAACTAAGCTTCATAAATGAAGGAGAAATAAAAGCCTTTACAGACAAGCAAATGCTTAGTGGTTTTGTCACCACCAGGCCTGCCTTACAAGAGCTCCTGAAGGAAGCACTAAACATGGAAAGGAACAACTGGTACCAGCCACTGCAAAAACATGCCAAATTGTAAAGACCATCAATGCTATGAAGAAACTGTATCAACTAATGGGCAAAATAACCAGCTAGCATTGTAATGACAGGATCAAATTCACACATAACAATGTTAACTTTAAATGTAAATGGGCTAAATGCCCCAATTAAAAGACACAGACTGGCAAATTGGATAAAGAGTCAAGACCATTGATGTACTGTATTCAAGAGACTTATCTCACATGCAAAGACACACATAGGCTCAAAATAAATTGATGGGTGAAGATCTAGCAAGCAAATGGAATGCAAAAAAAAGCAGGGGTTCCAATCCTAGTCTCTGATAAAACAGACTTTAAACCAACAAAGATCGAAAGAGGAAAAGAAGGGCATTACATCATGGTAAAGGGATCAATGCAATAAGAAAAGCTAACTATCCTAAATATATATGAACCCAATACAGGAGCACCCAGATTCATAAAGCAATTTCTTAGAGACCTAAAAAGAGACTTAGACTCCCATTTTCACTTCTATAAGGAATGTTAAAAAGTACAAATTGTTCCACATCCTTGCCAGCACATGGCAGTACCAGTGTCAGGGGTAGTATTTTTGGTATAAGTGTAATTGCATCTCATTAAGGGTTAAAAAGCAATTAATCCATATGTTAATTGTGTACTGTATGCAACACATTGCTATGTATTGTATTACTTCTGTAAGGGTTTGCACTAATTAATGCAAAAATGAATTTTTATTTCTCTTATGACTAATGACAAGAATATGTTCGTGAAACCATTTGTCATCCATATATATATTTAACTGTCAGTTCGAGTTTCTTGTTTATTTTTAAATGGAATTGTTTATTTTCTTATTATTGAGCCTTGAGATGTCAGTATATATTCTGGACATATGTCTTTTATTGTATATGTTTTTCACAAATATTTTCTTGTATTCTGTGGCTTGTCTTTTCACTCTGTTAATAGTGTCTTTTGAACCACAGGAGATTTTAATTTTAGTGAATTCCATTTATTTACTTTTAAGATAGTTGTTATTAGTTTTTTTATATAACAAGATATCTAATGCAGTTCAAGTTATTTTTTTACTTGGGGTATGATGTTAGATATGTCTTAGAGTTTGCATGTGTGTGTGTGTGTGTGTGTATGTGTGTGTGTCTATCGATACTTGAACGTTTTGGCTCTGTATGTTGAAAAGATTATTCTGTCTACATTAGCCATTAACTGGCAACAAATATGTGGTTCTAATTCTTGACTCCCAATTCCACTCCATTGATCTCTATATGTTACTCTTGTATAAACTATTGTACACTTATAAGACATTTTGGAATCAGGTAGTATACAAACACAACATTATTCCTCATATTCGAAATTATTTTTTGGTTATTGTAGGCCCTTGTTTTTGATATAAATTTTAGAACTATTTTGTAAATTTTTACAACAAAAATGTAGCTCTGATTGAATTGAACCTGCCTTGAATCTGTAAAGAATTTGGAAATAATTTACGATATTATAAGAGAGAATTGGAGAGAATTTTATGATATTGATTTTTACAATCAGGAACAAAGTATATCTCTCTACTTAGATATTTGATTTCTCACATCACTATTTTATATTTTGCATCATATAAATCTGGCATCTGTTTTGTAAAATTTATTTCAATGTATTTGATGTGTTTTGATGCCATTACAAATGGTGCCATGTCAAATCTCTTTCTGATTATTTATTGCTAATATAGAGAAACATAATACAATATCACACATACACACACACACACAACAATACAACTGTGGGTCCCCTCTTTCCCAGAACCTTGTAACTTTGTGAATTTAGTTCTATTATGTTTTATTGCATCATCAGCCTACTTACAGTTAAACATTATATATATTTTTTACTGAATTCAAATATAAATATATGAATGAATATATAATTTATCTGTCTCTTTTTTATTCATAGGGTCAAAATAGTAGTTTCTTTTTTTCTAGACCAAAAGATTATACTTTGAAGCAAATATATCACCTATCACTTGAATATTATGTCAACACTTTAAAATTAAAGATTATTAGTTTATGTTTTTCCTCTGACTTTTTCCTCATCTCTTGGTTATCTAATATTTGGTCTCCATCTGATAATAAATTCTGGCAAAAAGCACTCATTGATAAGTTTTGTTAATGCTACTATTGGTACAAAGACAAGGCTACTGAAAAGGGAAAAAGAAAGAACTGCAAGATATGATTTATCACACAACCGATCCTGAGTGTTTAATGTTGCATTTTGCCTGATTCATGTTACATTTTCACCCTTTTAATGTTAGTCTTTATATTAAATGCCACCAATATGCACAACATCCAATACACTAGTTTACTAATTGTAACTTCACTGAAGATGATTTCACCAATGAGGACTTAACAAGCATATTCAGGGTTATTGCTAAAATTCAAAGCATGAGGTCTAAGAAAAAGAGGATTCAAATGAGGAAGGCTGACTCTGAGTTTAATGATGATAGGCTTGAACTTTTTGGAATAATAAATAAGAATTTTGAGGTTTTGGGGCACAGAAAAACAAGATTCCAAAAAATGGCACTTTGGTGTTGCTGAGTACTTTCGACTAAAGGGGATTGGAAGGCCTCAGAGGCAATGTGTCTCTTTGGTCTTCTCCAACCCTCCTGTCTCCCAAGTCTCCTTCTCCCCTGAAGCAGGTCACACAAACCGGAATTCTATTTCTGCGAGATGGGTCATAGAAAAGAACTCTTGTCCCTCAAAGCAAGCCATAAAACCTAGAAAGGTGGTTCTTCTCCTTCACCCTTGAAGACCCTCATTCTAGAGGGGTGCTACCCCATATGTGGGAGGAAGGAATGCCACACAAAATGACCAAGAAGAATCTTAACAGACAGGCCTTGCTGGAGTTTCCCCCTCAGTCTACTAGATCATATCTTGTCCGATCACATTTCGACATGGCTGTTCATTGTTTATCAAACCTAAACATAAAAATTGCCAGGTTTTCCTGGACCTTTGGGTCTTCATTTCTGAAGGCTCTGTGTTACAAAAAAATTTTGATTATATAAATCTATTATATTTGTCCTTGTTTACCTGCTTTTTGTTATAGGATTGTTGGCAGTTCCCCTTATGATGCTGAGGAAAGGCATCACACCTTTCCACCCCCACAATGGTAAATGTTGTAAAACAAATTCTCTTCCTATCAGCAAGTGGTAGTTAAAGGGACAGCAAAGGAACTTGTACATAGAAAGAAACTAACTTTTATTTGAAGTCATTGATTATTCATTTATTTTACTATTTGCTAAAATTTATTATTCTTTCAGTTCTTAAAAATGTGTCATATTCTGAAATTTGCATTTATCATCCTGTGTATATATCTGTAAGATTATCATTAATATTAATTGCAGAATCCCATAATAGATCATCTTAGAACAAGTCTGAGAACTATTGAATTTTTAATTGTATATAGGCTAGCTTAGAAACAAAAATGATGGAATAGTAACAATGCTAACTTCAGAGACTTGCTGGATTGCTGTTATATTCTGAGATTCAAGTTAAAATGATCAAATGAAATCACTAGGACATCTTGCTCTTATAGGATACAATGTTTGCAATTTAAAACATCACTTTTTTCTCTAGCACTCCCATGTGTAAGAGAATCTGTAATACAAGAATTGAGCTATGAAAAAGAATGAAATCATGTCCTTTGCAACAACATGGGTGCAGCTGGAGGCCATTATCCTAAGCGAATTAATGCCGGAAGAGAAAACCAAATACCACATTTTCTCACATAAGTGGGAGCAAAACATTGAGGACACATGCACATGAAAATGAGAAAAATAGACATTGGAGAACACTAAAAGGAGAAGGGAGGGAGTGGGGCAAGGGTTGAGAAACTACCTATTGGGTGCTATGTTCTCTACTGGGGTAATGGGATCATTTTTACCCCAATCCTCAGTGTCACACAATATACCATGCAACAAACCTGCACATGTATTACCTGAACCTGAAAGTTGAAATTTTTTTAAAAAATTAAAATAGTAAAAATAATTGGGACCAGACATTTTGTTTGCCATTACTCATTTTAGTTGATCATGATTCAATTATTGAGTAACTATATGATGTCTTCTTGGCTGCTACATAAAAGATACTCATTTAGGTATAAAACAATTTATACTCAAAGTTCCTTTTAGCTTACTTGATTTCTCTCAATCTTCCTTAACCTACCTCTAGTGTACCACAAATTTCTGTCTACTTTAGCTTCTTAACATATGTGACTTTTGATTGCTCATTGTGACCTTAATGGCTACCCAAAGTCACAATTAGCCTTGCCAGAATTTCATTAAATTCTTAGAGCCTCTTGCTTCTATCCTTGGCCTTATACATTCTATTCTACTAGAGTCTCTGTCTCCACTCCTACTCTACCCCTTGAAGAAAAGCAGAGATTTGTTTTATTCGCTTCTTAAATCCTTGATACATAGAACAGTGCATAAGGAGTGTATGCGTAATAAATATTTGTTGAAAAGAATAAATGAAAGATTTCTGGTAGAGACTGAAAAAAAGGAAAAAAAAAACCCACACACGGAATTGAAAACTCATCAAACTATGCCTCCCATTTATACCCTAACATTAAAGAGCAGATCATCAATTATACCAATCACAAAACTATCTCAGTTTTAGCAACTGCAGTTTTTGGTGAGAGAATAAACTGACATAATATTAAGAGGGAAATGACACGTTTCAAATTTTATAGAGTGGCAGTAGATGTCTCTTTCTCATTGGCCAGGGCTACACTATTCAAGATCTACAGTATCACCTTTACCATTCACAGTTTTATATAAAAAAAGGCAAGGGATATGAACAGTGTGTCACTTTTAGGATGAAGCTCTCAGCCATTTTCAGCTAGTGTTTCTTAAGAAAATTAAGCTTTAATATCCTAAGGCATCCATTGTATATAAAAATTATTAACTTGTCTCCTATACAGTTAGTGTGATATTAGTTACTACTCAACCATGGGGGGAATTGAGAACATAGTCATGGAATCAAACGTGGGGTAATTGAGAACACAGTTATGGAATTCATCATCTCTTTTCTTTGTTTCAAATGAGAAACTCTAGTTGATAAAGGCCTGATGGAAGTGATAAATTATGTCATATCAACATTTATTGAAGCCTACTCATCTACTGGAAGAGCTGTATAAAAAGGTTCAACATGAAGTACCAGTTTCAAAGTTGGATTGGCATTTTATTGTAGAAAACCATTACATTACAGCTTGTAGCTGCCTTTCCACATTTTCCTTTTATAGACTGGGCTTTTTTTTTTTTTGACAAACACATTATTGTACAGAAAAGATCATAAGTATTTAAACCCCCTGCAGGCTTGCAGAAGACTTGCAATTTCTACTTGGCATAAAATTGCTCTCATGCATGAGAATCACACCAATAATGCATGAGAATCACACCAATATGTATTTTCTGTAACTATATAAAATTTTATCATTGCAAATATTTTTCCTTAATTTACTTCTACAAATTTTCTCTTGTCTACGTGCTGCCTTTTAACAAGTCTCAGGAGAAGGTAAATGCTGTTTGACTATCTACCATAATTGCCCCCTGGAACTGTGAATCATAAGAAATAAAAATTTTCACAGCATGTTTCTAGCAATTATTTAAAAATAGGTAAATCAGTATAGTTCAACTCTATTGTTATTTGTGTCAATAAGCACCCTAGAAGAAAAGTTTGAAACTGTACTTATGGTTTTATTGAAAAAAATAAAATTTATTAGGTAATTTGCAAAGGAGGAAATGTATAATATATTTACTTAATGAAACACACACATTCACACACACACACTCACATTTTCCTTTTTCAGAATTATTCAGCTTTCAATAATTAAATTATACTTAATAATACATCACAGAACAAAAATTTTATTTCTCCAGTAATGAATGTGCATGACCAAAGAATAAATCAAAATAGTATTCTTTTAAATTTTAATAGACATGAAACATTCTAATGAACGCAAATACCAGATAACAAAGATCCTTAACCCAGCATACAAACAAAAAATATTAATTAGCAAGGCATGCAACATAATTATTGAGTGGAATTTCATCCAGTTATCAAAGGTACTAGTAGTCCTCTATAAATTAGTCAATTTCAGGAATTGTGTGGTTTCTTTTCCATTTTGTTTTATTTAAACCCCAGCATGATTTGACTATGCAACATATGTGACTTACCAGCTATTTCTTGTAGTTGCTCTCCTGTCTGGGCTGCTTTGATAAGAGTTAGTTCTTTTATTAATCATCCACCTCAAAACTCTTTTACTTTGAGATACCTCTTCTACTTAATTCACAATGGTGGTACATTTAAAATCTTTAACCTCATAACCCAAAGGAATTGGCTAACTACATAAAAAGTGACAGGCCCCAAGAAAAGGCTAGATTCTACTTTCTTTCTTGGCTTTTCCATGCTGAGGAAATGGTCCTCTCATTTTAGCTTAGGAAAAGACACTCAGAGACCTAAACAAATGTGAAGCTAGACTGGACCCTATGCATGCTCCTTCTGAATAGTGAGTGGTCTGCAAGCTCTGAATGGTTTTCCAAGGACAACCAATAAGTGACCTTGTGGGTTTGGTGACAGCCACAACTTGAGATTTTGGTGGAAAGACGTGAGACCAGCAATTTGTTTAATGGTTTTAAGTTTATTTCAAAATGTTATTTTTTTTTCTGTAAATTTAACTCTGACAGAGTTCAAGAGGACAATTCTGAACCATGGGAGTTGAAATAAGGAACATGTTTATGGTAAGATGTAGTGAAGGCCTTATCTAATATGTTAGAGAGACATTGTGTAATCACAATTGGTATTGGTTGATTTAGCGTATAGCAGTGAGTTACTGTCTTAATTCTGTTTTCTATCATTTAAAAGTTTAATATTAACATGAAAGATTTTAGCATATTTAGGAAAATCTTTCGTCATGCTTTGCTAATTTGATTAAGTACTATCTAGCAATGAACAATCCTATATTATGTTACTAATCTCTTTGGAATATAAGATAGAAGGCCATGGTACTTAATGCATATCATTAATGAAAATACATGAAAAAAGTAAAAATAAAAATATTTTGCAAATCTGCATTTTATTGTCTTTCTTGTTTGTTAAACATACTAAACATTACACCAAATATATTTTTTGAAACACAGTTTTCCCTTACAAAATAATTTTTGTGCCCCTTTTATTCTCACTCTGCTATTTCGCATAGTCATAATACATGATTACTTTGGCTTAAAAATAGTCCTAGCTACTTGGGAGGCTGAGTTAGCAGGATAACTTGAGCCCAGGAGTTTGAGGCTGCAGTGAGCTATACAACCTGATTGTCACTGCACTTTAGCCTGAACAACAGAAAGAAACCCTGTCTCTAAATAAATAAATACAAATTTAAATAGAGACTACTTAATATTTCATAAAAAGTAGTTCTGTAAATGTTTATATGACTGTCTTTTCTGTTTCATAAACTCCCTGGTCCAAACAAGCATAATTGAGAGAATATCTTTTTCTTTGTAGCTTAAAAATAATTTAATTGTTTTCACTACATTAAAGATACATTTGCTATTTCTTTTAGTGGTAGACATCTAGATACCAAATCTAGTATTTCAATACTTCCTTTTCTTCAAATCAGCCTAATGAGGTTAAACAATATGCAATTTTATGTTCACTCCTCAAATATTTGAGATGTTTCTTATTAAATAGGTTTTTGTCCTATAGTTTTCAAAGCCAGAAAATAGAACAAACAATAAAATGACAGAAAAAGAATTCCATTCTTTATGGCAGTCATTTTCCTTTACATAAAGCTATATTTCAATCACAAATAAAGTGAATAGTCTGTTCCATATGATTTTCATATTCATGTAAAATTGACTATTCTTTCCTAGAGGCAAATGTGTTATGTATACACTATTTGCTGCATATCCCTGGAACCAATGTATTGTCAAGTTCCTGAGTGGTTTTATAACAGTTAAAATATTATATGCATTGAGTGTAACAACATTGTGACAACACTGTGACAAATGAAAAATTCCTTTTCTGTAGTTTCCAATTTTTGCTTTTCCCTGTAGAAAACCCTTCATCAAACTTTAGATTCTCTTAAGGGTAGTAATCTCTGGGTCTTATTGACTCCAAGGAGGATGCTGTTGTGCTGTCGTGCTCATCTTTTTGAGACAACAGGTACACAACCCTCCCCTGCCGCTGTTTCTAATGCAGTGTGGCGTGATGGCAAGGGGGTTTTTCAGTGATGGTTAGCAGCCTAGTCATCAGAATCCTTCTCGTGGGGAGCTAAATAAATGAACAGCAGCAGTATTTAGACTTCCTGAGAGAAACTGGAAAACAGTGTACTGTAGAGACAGCAGTTAATCACATTCCTTGCCTGTGACTCCATTAAACAAAGTTGACTCATCTGTGTAATCTCAGAGTTACCTTCCAGAGAGATTCTAGAAAGCTATTCAAGTCTTGGGGTTTTAAACAAGGTTCAAGGTGAAAAAAAGAGAGAATCAATATCCTGTGGAGATTTTAAAAATATATAATTTTTTAAATTGTTATCAAATGAATAAATGTTTCTTTTAATAATCATTCTTTTTAAAAGAAACACAAAAATGATGATCACAAAACTTCCTTAAAATAGAATTGAAAGTATAAATTTCATGGGACATAACATCTAATTATATCAATCAGGGAAATTGTAGAGTATTTTTCAAGAGGACCGTTATCTTGAACTCTACACTCACCCAAAGACTACATACATCCTCTAGAAGCTGGAGCTAAGGTAGTGACTTTGCCTCTAGAATCTCCAGAAAGAAACACAGCCCTACTGACACACTGATGAGCCCAGTGGGACCCATTCTGAACTACGCAATAGTATAATAATAAATGTGTTGTTTTAATCCACTGCTTTTGTTATAATTTGCTAGAGAAGTGATAGAAAGGTGGTTTGTAATTTCTTTACTCTGTTATTAAATCATTACATCTTAGAATTGAAGAAAATAGGGTACATACAATACGACTAAAATAAAGATGATGTGCGTGTATATATATATATGTGTATAAATATCAGTAATCTAAAATTATATACATGTGTATATACGTGTGTATATATATAAATGTCAGTAATTTAAAAAATATGTGTATATAAATGTCAGTAATTTAAAAAATGTGCATCAATTATAAAATAATGATTATACGTGCATGTATATATATATCAATGTCAGTAATTTAAAAATATATGTGCATCAATTATTAAACAATCTTATTTTATAAAAACTTTAATTCATTTAATATTACTACTTCATTATTCCTAAGAATTTTAAAATTTAATATGATTCCCAGGATAACAATTATTTCATCTGAAAATAATGAGAATTTTTTAACTTACTAATGATTATGCTTCCAGGTTTTTTTGTTGTTTTTTTTTTTTTTTGAGACGGAGTCTTGCTCTGTCGCCCAGGCTGGAGTGCAACGGCGCGATCTCGGCTCACTGCAAGCTCTGCCTCCTGGGTTCGCGCCATTCTCCTGCCTCAGCCTCCCAAGTGGCTGGGACTACAGGCGCCTGCCACCACGCCTAGCTAATTTTTTGTATTTTTAGTAGAGACGCGGTTTCACCGTGTTAGCCAGGATGGTCTTGATCTCCTTACCTCGTGATCCACCCGCCTCAGCCTCCCAAAGTGCTGGGATTACAGGCCTGAGCCACCGCGCCCGGCGCTTCCAGGTATTTTTTAAAGAGGTACAGTGGCACTTTATTGTTTCAGGTATTGTCACTTTTGAAGCGGAATTAGATAATACTAGCTAATGGCAACCTAGTTGCCTTATTTCTGTTTCCATGAGAAAGCCTCAGAGCTTTTAGGATGATGCATGGTTTACACATTTAATTCTCTAATATTCTCGCTTTCTGAAATTTTTATTGGTTGATTGATTTTTAAAGCAATATTTTTATTACTTTTAGTAACATTTTTATTATCCACTAATGTGATAATGTAGATACTGCCTGTTGAATATAGTAATATGATGAATTGTACTGTTAAAAAATAATACTAAAAAAAATCCCTGAACTCCAGAAACAATTTCTGTGGTCATCTATTTTAATTATTGCTAGATTGAATTTGCTTGCATTTCATTAAATATTTTGTTTATATCTGTTTTTAAGTGGCCTGGAGCTAATAACGATATTAGCCAGCACTCATGTAGCATTGACTACATGCTATAACACTTATAACTCTCTTACATTTATGACTTCATTTGGCCTTCAGAACAGCCTTTAAGAAAGTATTCTATTTATACCTCTATTTTATAAATGAGGAGGCTGAGTGTCATGGATTCCATTGTGTCCTCCTCATATTTATATATTGAAGCTCTGGAACTCCTAGCATGATGGTTTTTGGAGTTGGGGCCTTGGGGAGATAATTAGGTTTAATGAATAATGAATACCAAATGATGAATTAATGAATAGTAAAGTCATGAGGTTGGAGCCCTAATGATGGTATTAACATGAGGGCTCTCCCTCTGCCAGATGAAGACACAGCAAGAAGGAGGCCATCTGCAAGCCAAGAGGTGGGTCCTCACCGGAAGCTGACTATGCTTGCTACTCTGTTCTCAGCCTCAGCCTCCAGAACTGTGAGGAAACAAATCCCCGTTGGTTAGGCCACTCAGTTTATGATAATTTTTTATGGCAGTTTGGGCTCACGAATACAGTGAGAAACAAAAAAGAAAAATGACTTACCCAATATTACAGAGCAAATAAGTAATGAAGATAGATGGAATCCAGTCAGGTTGGCTCCAAGGCATTTACTATTAACCACTTTTGGTGTCAAGATTGTGCTTACTTCAGAAAACACAATGGGAAGATTTCCATGTATTCCATGATCATGTAAGTATTTATAATACAAGGAAATTAACTGATTCCATAAAAAAATCATAGTGCAGACTTTGGTGCTTTTTTTGCATTTCTTTTTTATAAACTATATTCTTCCCTGTATGTTGGTGAAACGTGTGATTTTTTTTTCTTTTCTTTATAAGTGAAGCATTTCACTAAGATACAGTGTTTTTTTTTTACATACTTAATTTGTCATATAAATCAAGGGCACTCTTTTTTTTGCCTACAGAGTCAGTGATTTCTTCAGTTTAGAAAATATTTTCTCTATAATAATTTGAATAGTTTATTTTCTCATTTGTTCTTTACTCAAAGTAATTTTTTTTTTTTTTTTTTTTCAGACAGAGTCTCTCTCTGTCACCCAGGCTGGAGTGCAGTGGCACAATCTTGGCTAACTTCAGCCTCTGCTTCCCTAGTTCAAGTGATTCTCCTGCCTCAGCCTCCTGAGTAGCTGGGATTGCAGGCGCGTGCCACCATGCCAGACTAATTTTTGTACTTTTAGCAGAGATGGGGTTTCACCAAGTTGGCCAGGCTGGTCTCAAAGTAATTTTAATTATTTTTAATTATTGGCTGATAGAGTTTTTAACCTAACTCTAACTCAACACTTGGACTAATTCTGAATCTAGTTCTAATTCTGTTCCTAACATTAATCCATTGAGGTTTCATCCTCTTTTTTCTGCTGATCTGTATCTTTTTGTCTCCCCCTCTTGGATTCTCAACTAGGACCTGAAGTTTGTTCTCTACATCACATATTTTAGTTTTTATGTTATTTATTTTATTCTTAACATCTTTAAACATTTAAAAATTATTTTTACTCTATTTTAGTTTTATTAAATAAATTATTTCATGTCTCTTCCCCTAATATCATTTCAATCAAATCTTTGGTCTTGTCATGTTGCCTACAACAATTACGTTATACATTTCATGTTTTCTCTCAAATTAATGAAAGCACAAGTCAGAAACTTTATTTTACTTAAGTTTCCAAATTATTTTTATTATTATTGTTGTCTTTTAAGAGTGCTTTGTTTTATATCCTTATCATCATGGAATCATTTTATAACCTATACTTTAGTTTTTATTTTGTTATTTTTCATTGAGTGATGAAATCTTATTCAAACTTAATACCTTTTACCAAATCAACAGGAGTATCTTATTGATTTCCTGTCCTTCTTTGTTCTCCAATTTAAGATTTTAAGCCACAGGCTCATTATCAGGTGGCAAGAGAGTCTGTTGTTTAGAAAGTGCTTTAAAAGAACTTGAACTGGGATAACTCTGTGGGTAAACCAGGAAATAAACTACTATTTTTACAATGATTCTCTTTCTTCTTTTAATTTGAACTATATTGGACGATTTGCTATTTTCATGAAGAATCAAACTCTTTAGTAATTCAGTCTCTTTGCAGTTACTTTTTTCTCTCACTAAAAGTGTTCTTGCCATATTTCAGGAACCAGTTAACTCCCACTCATCATTTAAAGGTAATTTTGACCATTATCTTTTGCTAGAATTGTTCTGTAATGTCTATGTCTGTGCCAGGTGATTCTAATCTCAAATTCCATGGCAACCTGTGTGTGCTTATTTCATATACTATACCATGACGGTTTTTATCACTATGTATCTTCCTGTAGACCATATTTGGTTTATCATTTTTTTTAGCTTCTGATTAAAAATAGTTTTTCCTGAAAAATGCTTTAATAGAAATACATTAACAATTTTATATGGAATTTCAGCAGTTTCATGAATTATCCCAAGGACATCTGTGTACAGCCTAACATTTCAAAAACCTAGGTAAGCATTCCAGGTAGGCGCCTTTTGTTACAGAGGCCCATACAGACATGCCCTTTATGATTTTGATTTATCAGAATAAAACAAAACAAATAAGACAAACCTCAGCAAGAAGTGAGGTGGCTTTCAGACATGCAGTTCTAGGGAAACTCACAGTAATATCCTGTCTCACAAACAGACAACTTCATTGTGTGTTTTCTTTATCTCTGTACAGACATACAGCTCTACTGATACTTAATAAAACTTGGAATCAGTGAGGTTATATCCTCCAAGGGAGGGGAAGTAGAGTCAGCCAGCAAACAACCAACCCTGATAGCTTTCTAAGCCCCTGCAATCTAGTGTACTTGAATGAGGTCCCTCATGATGGTATAGGGATGTCAGTAATACATTATCGTATTTCTTATTTTCATCTTATCTACTGTCTGTCTCATACATAAATATTCAAAATATGTTTTCTAAAGAATGTTTTTAAAGTTCACTCTGGCTATTTCCCTCAATTTCCACATTAAAAAATTGGTATCTTATTTACTGTGATTTTTTTAATATTCTTAAACCCTTTGGCCCTCACTTTTAATTTTATGTAGAATTGACATAATATTTAATTACCAAGGGCGCTGTACAGCTTACAAATAAAATAGGTGAAATGTAATTATTTAATAAAAAGTATTAAGACTGTTGTTGCTATTGCAATTACTAGAAGCATTTAAGTCCTTCAATATTGAGTATCTACTATCCACTAAGCACTGTGTTAGGTAGAGATCACATGCCTATCAACTCTACATTTAGAAGCATTCCTGTTCCTGACATGATTATACTTTCTTCTTCTCTAAAAGGATAATCTATTACTATTACAAATGCACATTTAGAATAAGTTTATCAGCCCAAGGAATTCTACGGTTTCAATTTTAGATCTTATCAAGAGAATGGTTTAATTTTGATACCATGGCATGGTCCCATATTCTACAGTTAGTACAATTTTAAATAGCAACATCAGAGGTTGCCTGGAAACGACGCTGGTTGCACATTAAGCATCAACGTTGAAATACTTTAAGTGAAATTATTTGTTCTTTTCCTCTTAGAATAAAGAACTTTGTACCACACTCATAAAAGAAATGTTGACAATTGTTTACTTAGATTTTTTACCTGAGTATTGTTTTTGAAATGTTATTTGTTTAAATGTATCCAAATGTTGTATTTGTTGCAGATTTCTAAACAAGTATAAGTGCATTCTTCATATTAATTTTTTATATTGGCTTCTAAAATAAAATAATTAGAATATCAACAAAATGAGGAAAATCATTTGAAAGGTATAACACAATATGGTTAGCTCAAATTGTTGTACTGCAAAGGAGGAATATAGCACAATGTCAGAAAAATGTCTGAACTTGTTCTCATATCATCTCATACGTTTAATACTGACAGTCACATGTCACATCTCTAAGATTCATGATTTTCACCTGCAAAATGAAGGTAGAAATTCCCCACATATGCTCCACAGAACTGATTTATTATACTCAAAACATGTGACATGCTTAAAAAGCATTTATGAACTGTGAGCTTTGTGAATATAACGTATTTTTGCTCATATAGTCAAAGTCATACATTCATTCGTGAATATAACCAGTTAGCTTTCCTGTAACTCTGGTTAACTGTATTGAAAGATGTTGCTCTATTACAAAGTAGGGAAAAATGATTGAACTCAGATGAATCAATGTAAATCTACTTCTACAAGTGGAGAAAACTTAAAGTGCTCACACATCCACCGAGTTTAAGCAGTGTAATTTTTCTGCATGAAGAACTGTCCTGAGTGTCTTTACAGTCCCTAGAAGCTAGAGATTGCCCAATAAATGCCAGTTATTATTGCTATGTGCCAGGTGCTATGGTAACAATCAGTAGATGGCAATCTAAGCTTTATCATTACACAGTTGAAATAATCACTTTAAGAAACCTACAAGATTCTTAAGCCAATGTTGTAGCTGAGGAAAGTGAAAAGCAGAGAAGTCAAGAAAATTGCACATAACAACCTCAAAACTCATTGGCATTAAAAACATAAAATTTTATCTCACAATTTGTAGGTCATATCAGCAAGGATTATATGGTATTTCTTTGTGTTCCATTTGATGTAAACTATAGTCACTTGGTTATTTATCTGGAAGCTGGACTGGCTTGATGGCTTCAAGTAGGCTTCACTCATAAGTCTGGTGCCTTGTGGGAACAACTGTGAGAAAGGGTTTAAATGGGCTGCATTTCTCTCCACTTAGTCTGATATCCTTTGCTCCTGGTCTCTGTAGAAGATAAATCAGCCTCTCTACGGTGACTCAGAGCTCTAGGAGAGCAAGACAGAACTTGCCTAGGGCCTAGATCTGGAATAGCATCATTTCCAGTGTGCTTTACTTATTAAGGGATTCATACATTGAAAGGGTGGTATATTAGTCTGTTTTCACACTGCTAATAAAGACATACCCAAGACTGGGTAATTTATAAAGAATAAGAGGTTTAGTGGACTCACAGTTCCACATGGCTGGGGAGCCTTCACAGTCACGGTGGAAGGCAAAGGAGGAGCAAAGCCAGGTCTTAATGTGGAGGCAGGGAAGAGAGAATGAGAACCAAGCAAAAGGGGTTTCCCCTTATAAAGCTATCAGGTGTCAAGAGACTTATTCACTACCATGGGAACAGTATGGGGGAAACCACCCCTGTGATTCAGTTATCTCCCCACTGGGTCCCTCCCACAACATATGAGAATTATGGGAGCTACAATTCAAGAAGAGATTTGGGTGGGGATGCAGCCAAACCATATCAGGTGGAAAGTAACCCTTTTGCATTTTCCAACGGATGGGGCAAAATATTATTGGAAGAATCTGTAGCTAAACTAAATCCAGCACAATGTTCAAGTCATTTTGGTCAGAATATTATTTTTCCCTAAGTTGCTGTGTATTAATCAGTGTTCTCCGGAGAAAAGAGCCAATAAGCTATATACAAATATTCGAAAGGAAATTTATTATGAGAATTGGCTTATGCAATTGTGGAGGCCAGAAAGTCCCATAATCTTTCATCTGTAAGCTGGAGAACCTGGAAATGTGATCGTGAAATTCAATCTAAGTCTAAAGGCCTGAGAAGCGGGGGAGCAAATGGTGTGACTCTCCATCCAAGGCCAAAGGTTCAACAATGAGGAGATATGTTGTCTAGGAACAGAATAAGATGGAATGTCCTAATTTAAAAGGACAGAGAGGTAATTTACCCTTCCTTCACCTTTTTCTTCTGTCTGGGCCCTTAATAGATTATAAGACACCCACCCACACTGGTGAGCTGTGCTCTTCTTTACTCAGTCCACTGATTTAAATGCTAACCTTTTCCTGAAACACCCTCTCAGATACACCCAGACATAGCATGTTACCAGATATCTGGGTATAAAATAGCACAGTCGAATTGACACATAAAATTAATCATCATATGCTCTTGTACGTACTTAGTGAAATCCTTTCATCACTTTATCTAAGATATTTTATTGGGTGACACATAAGACTAATAACCTTTAAAAATATTTTATGTTATTTTAGAGTTATGTCCTTGCCTTAGCCAAATGATATGTATTGGTAATATACCCTGGTTTTGTCATTAAAACCCTCCATTAAAACACGAAGTGCTCACTCAGGTTCATTTGGCCAAAACATAAACGTCATTAAAACTGATTAATCAGAAAGAAAATTTCTAGATTAAATATTCTATACATTTATTCATAAGCATCCCCCTTATGGTCACAAATTCATAAGATGTTTTTCTCCATAATATGACAAATCAATATATTTTAAAATCAAGCCTTTTTTATACTATAAACATTAAACTTACCAAAACATTCTATAAAAATTTCAAAATGCTCTTAAAATCTTTTTATCACCTAACATTTTTAACTTCTGAGAGAAAAACTATAGAAGATTTATAGACAAATTACTATCAAATCAAATTAATCAAATCAAATTAATTTTATAATATGTTTTTAACACGTCTTTATTCCACAAAAATGTCTTGAACAAAATCCAGAGCCTCACTGCCAATGATTTGCTATGTGCTTCTTTGGAAGTTAGGATACTAAAATGTATTTACTGTTTTATTAAGTCTTTACTCTTGACACAACCTTGTTCTAGAGGATAAACCATATAGATTTCCTCTTTCTTGATTGTTCTTTAATATCTTTCATTTCCAGAAAAATAAATGTGTGAAATGCAAAATTCTATGTGGTATTGTATATGTCCCCGGTGCATCATGAGTTCACAATTGAAGATGACTTTTAAGTGTGGATTAGCAAGTGTGTAACATAATGGAACCTGAGGAAGCTTTTCACTATGTCACTCCCTAGACACTCACTGTCTGCACAACTTCTCCGGCATAAGGGATAAATACTGCCTTTACGATTGCTTGGCAGTCCTTGGGGACTCCTCTGTTTCTGGAGACTGATATTTTCCCCAAACTTACATATGTTTGTGTATTTGTATTAGCAAGGGAGACATTATGCAGACCCAAATCCTTAGAGCATTTGGATATTCCTATCCTTTCCTTAAGTAAGTAAGACTGTGTTTCTGTACATAGTGGCACTCTTGTTTGAGCCATTATTTTTTTCATTCCTATCAGCAATAGCCTATTAACACTAAAGTTCAGTTGCTCTGTGACTTGGGTAAGTTACTTTGCCTCACTAACTCACATTTTTCTTTTCATAAAAATGGGATAATAATACTTATATTCAGATCATATGGCTGATATAAGAATCAAATAATAGAGTACATGCAAAGTTCTTGTTACAATACATACTACATAGCAAATGTTGATTATATTTTAAATATCACATTTAGTGTCTTGGAGATCTCCCACTTATTAACATGCTACATCCATTATTTCAACCAATTTGACAACTATAGTTGGTTTAATGTCTTTTCTGTGTAATGTCTCTTCATCTCTTTTCTCATTGATGGATAATTTAAACTAATTATTGCAAAAGCCACCTATTTTTTCTAACACTAAACTTCTCTCTCTTTAATTAAGCCTTCATACTTCACTTGAGTCTGCTTTCTAAAATGATGATTTGGCATATTTCTCACTTGCATTCCAAGTGTTAATAAAGTTCCTTTTCCTTCTAAGCTACATGTGTTAATTTTCCATTACTGCTGTATCAAATTTTCACAAACTTAGTGCATTAAAACAACACATCCTATAACGCTGGAGGTCAGAAATCTAAAATCAAGGTGGTAGCAAATATGTATTCCTTTTGGAGACTTCAAAGGAGAATCCATTTCTCACCTTTTTCAGATTGTGGAAGCTGAACACATCACTTGGCTCTTGGCTTCTTCCTGGTATCACTGGTGCCACTTGTTGCTGTAGTCACATTTCCTACCAAAGACTGATCCTTCTGCTCCTCTTTCAGAAGGATTCTTATGTTTATATTGGGACCCTCTGGTCAATATAGGATAATCTTCCCATTGCAGACTCTTTAATTTAATCACTTATGCAAGTCCTTTTTACAACATAAGGTGACATATTCATAGATTTATAAATTCACAGACATCTTTGAGGGGTCCATTATTCAGCCTTACCACCATATATATATTCCAAATTTTTATCATATTTTTAAGGACCTTCATCATCTTCTCTCAAGCTGTCTTTTGATGCTGTCCCATCAGTCTCTTCCATAATAATTGTATTCAATGACTTTTACGTTTCATGACTACACATCGAACTGTCAATATATAATTTACTTTCCATCAGTGTGAGTTTCTTCATGCTTTCTTTTCTCAACATGCCTTTCCTCTTATTTTCTGCCTGGTGAAATAGTAATCATTTTCAAAAAAATTCAGCCAGAGTGTTTGGGATCTTCTATGCTTTCATAATACACTAATATTTGTGTTATATTAGGACAAATTTTGCTATACAGTCAGTAAACATGTATTTGTCCACTTTTCTAGACTGTTAACAATTTGAAAACTGAAATCTTTCTTACTCTGTATTGTCATTCTCATGTTAAACACAGAGCCTTGCAAAAATCTATTGTTGTTTATGAGATTAATGAATCCACTTGCCACAGCTTGCCTGAAAATTTAGACCTGGAACGACAGCTTTGAGGGCCACAGTGCATTGATTTGTTATTCTTCATATCAATTAGGGGTCTTAGTTGCAAAACAGCAGAATCCCCTACAGCTGTTTTATGGAGAAAGTGAATATAATAAAGAATGTTAGATAGCTCATAGAATCTCCCAGAAGACAAAGAAATAAGCTTGGGGGTCATGCAGCCAGGAATAATAGCCAAATCATACTGTCAGGCTGCTCCTGTGGGGCCCAGTATGATGCTATTGCTACATACAGTCACCTAAAATCACACACCACAAATGTTACCGCCAGGACCTTGGCTACTGTTGCCTCTGAAAAATACTCTCCCTGCCTGCTTTGCAAGGAAGGATATCACAAGGTTGGAGGATCTGAGTTTTTCCATGGAAACACCTGACACACAGAACCAAGGACACATGTCTGCACCCCAGATGTATAGAAGGCATACAAAACTGTTAAGCTGTTAAAGAGTTGGGCAATTTCAACTATGCCCTTTCCAGAAATAATGTAGAATTAGATAAGCCCATTGCATATATTTGTTTTAAAGAGAGAACTTGAGAAATCAAAACTATACCTTATAAAATAATGACATTTGTCATTTGGAGGGGCAGCAAATTTCCAAAGAAATGTTTATAATTTTATGAAATACTCATTTTTATGTAATAATCCAGTCAACTAGGTAATGCTGTGAGACACACACTGAACAGTGACTCATTTGGATTAAAATATGATAAAACTTGTCTAGGGTAGTAATGTGTAGTTCATTAGATTAGTAATAGAATTGTGGTCCATTTTCCGTTAGCTTTTCAATCAAAATCCATCACTATGTTTTAGACATGAAAGCCACTTTTTTTCTGACAGGGTTAATCACTTAGTCCAGTCTGAATTGAAATAGCTTCCTTTTTAAAGAAGCGAAATGCAGTGGGAGGATAGGATTAAAAACACTGGGCTTCAAGTCAGGAAACAAACATTCTGGTGGGCCAGTGAGAAGCTAAAAGACATAGGAAAAAAATTAAAATTCTATATCCTTCATGTTGTCTTAGGTAGAATTTAATAAGTAGACTACAACTCTTAGATGTCTGATTGATTTAATATTATGTGAGTAATTGGAAAGATATTTCTCAGCATATATTATATAGACTGAAAAATGAAACATGTAATCCATTGAGAATAAAATGTAAATGTTACATGAAGTACTGTTCTATTTTCTGCACTCAATAAACCTACTTGTATTTCTAGAAAATGTGATTGTAAAGTACACAGAAAGGTTTGGTTCTTTGTCCCGATTCCTCTGACCTTATGCAAGGAACTGATTTTTCTCCTTCTCAGCATGATCTGTAAAAAGGGTATAACCATGCTGCTTTCCTTATACCACAGGGTTCTGGCAAAAAATCAAATAAATAACGCAGAAAGAAGTTATTTTCTTAATTGAAATGTTACATAGTTATAAGGGTCCTTTCTGGGTGTGTTACCGTCATTGCTCTGCTACTGTAGGACTTCAATGCCAAACAAACGCACAATGCCAAACAATCTAATGGATACATGACACAACTAAGGTTAAAAATAAATAGAACACATGGAAACAAGAGGATATAGCCCCATTATTGGAGCAGGGTTTACAATAGAGAGTGAGTCCAATCATTCTACCAAGGATCATGAGGCTCCATTGTCTCTAGAGCAGGCTGGAGGTAATGAGGTATCTGATTGAGAGATGAGTAGAGCAATTTCCATGGTAGTTTTAGAATAGATGAAAAAGATGAGTTACAGGAAGTAGGTTTCAGTTAGTTTCTTAATCTCTTTTGGCTCTTGTGACAGAATACCACAGGTTGTGTAATTTATAATGAACAGAAATGTATTTAACTCACCATTCTGAAGGCTGGAAAGTCCAAGATCAAGGGGCTGGCATCTGACAATGGTTTTCTGACTGGATCATTCCACATCAGAAGGGTGGAAGGGCCAGGAAGTGGGTGCAAAAGACAGAGCCCAAAGGTCTGGGCTTCTTTTACAGCATCACACTCCTTGAACTGATGACTACATTAATTCATTCATGAGGACTTTGCCCTAATCACCCAATCACCTCTTACTAGGCCCTACCTCCTGATATTGTTGCATTGGGAACTAAGTTACCAACATATACATCTTGAGGGGCACATTGAAACTATAGCAATTAGAAAGGGTGTTATTTTGGAAGTGATAAGTAGGTCAGGTTCCCCATTCTGTATACTGAGGTTTAGGGGTGAGCTCTATATGCTGGTATCAAAATGTTTGGTTTCAACATTCACTCAAGTTTCTGAGTCCTCCTAGATTTATAATTCAGTGATAAACTTTTGTAAAACACAGTATCAAGCCTAAGAGAATATGTTTATTTAAGATTAATTTAGCTTTCTATTGAGTTTGCTCCTACTTCTTGTAAATTTTTTAAAATTTATGTTAAATAAAAAGTTTTTTTATTCTGTAAATTTTCCTGGGAAAAATGGAGAAAAAAGTATTTTAAAAATTAGATAGATAGCCATACTTTATTTGTGGGTCGTGTTTAATAAGTAATAACTTATTACTTTTATTAATAATTAATAATACCCATGTTGCCTCCTGCATATATACAACTATACTCATAATACGTTATAAATAATATTTTATTCAGGAAATCTATAATTTTGACCTTAATGAACCTAAATGCTATGACCACTTCATTGAGTAGTTGGTAGCTCTGACTGGAATTATAGAAGCTAATGTTCTAATTCAAACTCTACAATTTACTATTTATTTAGCTAATACATTTAGTTTCTTCAAATTCCAATTTTCTCATTAAAATTATGACTTCAAAGGGATGTTGTATTTATAAAATAAACTAATGTAGATGAACACTTAAAAGAACTTGTCAAAAACTAAATAAATGGCAAAAGTGGTTATTCCTAAATTAATTATATTTTTATAATTATTTTGAACTTAAGAGTCCATAAAAATGGTTTAATTTTAGGTATAGCGGTAAAAAGAATTAGCATTAAGGTAGCATGGCCAAAAAAAAAAAAGTGGGATTTGGAATAAATTTTAGCCAAACAAATCTTGTGTATATTTTAGGACTGAAAAAGTCACTGATGTGACTTTTTTCTTTGAGGTAATGAGAAATACCTTGTTCATTTCTCAGCTTTAACTCAAGAATCAAATGACATAAAATGTGTTAAAGGACTTTTAAAATTGTAAAGCAAGATACGAATCAATGTAAGCTTCTTATGATGATTTTATATTTCAAATGTCTCTAGACTGACTTATTAGAACTCTACAGTTTCTAGATTTTTAGAAAGTTCATTCATTTGATTATCACAGTTTTTAGAAAAGTTTCGGGCTAAGCAACACCAGAGAGACATGACTAAAAATAACAGCAGTGCAACAAACCTTGCATGAAAGCCAGCATTTTGAAGACAGCAAGAGCCTGTCTGTTAAAATTAAACCCCAGGGTGGTCTTGAGGGGCAAAGATTAAATATGATGACCTGCAAGAACTTCTGATCCTGTCTACTTATCCGTTTCATAAAAACATTTTCCTTTTACCAGTAACAAAATTTTAACAGGGATTGATGCTTAACTGTATATTATTTTCAGATAGCTCTATATAAAAATCTGTAATACTGCCCATACTTGAGGTAAATGTTTGGTATATTTAATCCATTCTTAAATGCCAAATATCTACGTTTAGTCATGGTCAGATAAAGGGAAGAGTCAGCTGCATTGGCAAGATGTTATACATAAGTATATCACTTGTGATAGCATTAGCGCTAAATTCATCCCTTGAAAAAAGTTCTAAAACCATAGATGAGCCTTCTGATCTTGAATGGATGGACTAAGTATATTTTAACAAAATACCAATTAAAATTGGAGTGTCTTCCAAAAGGACATGGGTATAAACTGGGTGTACTTGAAGACCTCCATATTTAATTTATTATGTCATCTCAAAAGTCCCAGGTTATAATGCAAAGTTAAATCATAAAATTCTGGACCAAGGCTCTCTGCCTAGTCTTTTGACTAGGATTTGGATGATCAAAATGCAAGCAAGTGCAATCTGAATTAAAAAATAGATGAAATGTGGAAGAATATGCCTTAACAGAGACTAGGGGAGAAAACATTCTAACAATAAACAATATTATGCCAACTGTGATGATGTAAATACAAAGTTTGAGGTTGCCAAAGTGCTATAGAAATGTATGTAAACTTTATCTATTACAGATAGTTTCTTTAATTTCATGCATGTTGCGCCTAGTTTTATTTTTCTGTTTATTTTTGTTTTCACATTATTTAAAATGAAGCTCTAAGCAATTACTTTAAACTGAAAACACTAGAACAAATACCATGAAGATAAGATAAAACTACTTGTGATATATCCAAACAAAAAGAAATTAATATGTAGAAGAGATATCTCCATTCCCCTGTCAATTGCAGCGTTATCCAAAATAGTCAAGATATGGAATCCACCTGTGTCTAGTAATGGATAAACGAATAAAGAAAATGTATATACAGTGAAATACCACTCAACCTCAAAAAAAAATGCTGTCACTTGTGACAACATAGGTGAACCTGGGGAATAGTATGATCAATGAAGTAAGCTAGGCACAGAAAGACAAATCCTGCCTGATCTCACTTATATGTGGAATTTAAAAATGACAAACTCACAGAAGCAGAGAGGAGAATGGTGGGTACTAGCGGCTGGGAGGTAGGAGTATTGAGGTGTTGGTTTAAGGGCACACACTTCAGTCAGACAGGAAGAGTAAATCATGGAAATTCATTGTAGAGCGTGGTGAACATGCTCTACAATATAGTTAATCATAATGTATGTTATACATAAAATTGCTAATAGAATAGATGTGAAATGTTCTTACCACAAAAATGATAAGTATGTAATGTAATAGAAATGTTAATTAGCTTGATTTAATCAATCCACAAGGTATACATATATCAAAACTTCATGCTATACTTCATAACTATGTACAAATTTATTTCTCGATTAAACCTTAATAAAGTTGAAAAATGAAGACAGAACCATTACAAATTAACTATAAAGAGTTTACAAATCCAGATAAACCACAGTCTGTGTGAAAAAATCCTATGCATGTCATGATGAAGAATCCATGGAGGCTGCAATTCAACTGGCCTACGATTTTCTTTTTTAAAGCCAGAGTCATGAAAGACAAAAAATAATATATATATAAATAAAAATAAAATTTTTTTCTTGGTGAAGCACTGTAGATTAAAAGAACTCAATAGACTTTGCAACTAAGATGAAAGTATTTTCCTTTAATTAACAGCATCTTTAATAAAAAATAGAGATAGTTGAGTATAGACTGCATATGAGGAGTGGTAGTATATTGTAAGGTGTTAATTATACTGCAGTTATGCGGAAGAATGACCTAGTTATTGGGCAATACAAGGTGAATATCTGCAATTAAACAAATATTTTAGCAAAAGTTTTATGTATATATACACACACGCATATACATTCACATATACACATACATATGCACACATAATTATATACATACATATATGTTACATTATTTTAACTATATTTCCTTTTAGTAGGGAAATATCAAACTGCTATGTTAACTTAAATTCACCAAAACCTTTTATGGTAGACTTGTGGGTAAATTGTTGAAATCTGAGATGTGTTATAAAAGAAGTACTGGAAGTTTCTACAGGTCCACAAATGCATAATTCTGTATTTTTCTCTTAATTCTGTCAGTAAATATAAAATCTAAATTGAATATATTTGTTTTCTATGCAATGAAGACAATAGATTTGGTGGTTTCTACGAAACCACTTATTTCTAGAATTCTGTGACTTATTTTATGTGTGACATTTAAACAATAGTAAAAGCATCAATAGAAAGCAGTTAATCATGATTTTGCTATTCAGCTTTCTCTGCATATTTTAAGGTTCTGATTACAATGCTACATGTGGACAAACTGCAAGTAAGTCACATTTATCATATGCTTGCATTGACCAAAGGACAATTAAAAGTCATTAAAGTGACAAACAATGGACTTGACATTATTAACCTAAGCATAAACTGGAAAAAATCCATATTCTAGCAATTTAAAAATAATTTAAATAAGAAAAAAACCTCACGCATTTAAAACTATATTGCTCTGAAGCCAATACAATTCACTCACATGGTGAAAATTAAAGAGAATTGGTTATTTATTCTGCAGCTGAATAAATTCTCTTAGATTCCTGGGCAAATAGTAAACTGAATTCTAACTTATTTAGGAAAGAAGTAAAGAACAAAGATTTGTTCTGTAAATGTTCACTTATAAAGGTGAAGGAATTGAAGCTTAGGTAGATTTAAAAACTTTAATTATGGACACATCTGATTAGGAAAAACACAGGATTTGGACTCAGATGTATTGGACCTAAGGGTCTGTATCCTTTGTTACTGTGCTATATACTACATTCCACATTATAAAATTTATGTTGTAAGTTTTTAATCCTGATCCTTATGTTTACTCTGTGAACTTGGAAAAGGTCTCAGTTTTTTTCCTCTTTAAAATAGGATAATAAATTCTGCATTTTGAGATAGTTTGTGGTATTAAACATTGCACTATCATTATTAAGAGCTGAAAAGAATACAAAGCACGGCATAGTTAAATAATTTTAATACCCAAAATGTTCACAGTGATGATTATGTCCAAAATGTTCACAATGATGACTATATCCAAAAGTGTAACACCTTCATGTTATATATGAAAGACTCTTAGTCAAGTAAGCTTACGATATATATTTTTTCAAATTCATACAGTGAAACAAAATGTCAGAGCAATCTAGCGAAAAAGCAGTTTGAATACATTAAATGGTATTTCACACCAGTGTAAGGACTGTGTCATTATAATACAAATAAAAACATGAAGAAAAGATTTTTCTTGGAAGATTGTCCTGGTTATTTAACAGTAAACAATAAAAAATATAAAACATATGAAATATAAGATAAGTAAAATGATTGCAAGTAATATGTAATATAAATTATACAACTATAAAAACACAGTCCAGAGGTACAATAATATATGATATGAATAAATGAAGTATTTAACACGTTTGTTATATGACATATATGTATATATACAAATTTTTACTTATGTAATATATAAACAATAATGACAACAACCTAATAGAAAACTACTAATAACATTTGGCCAAAATCGAAATGTATCATAAGAAACTTTTCCCTTTCTCCCTCCTCTTCTACTCACTCCTAAATCCTAGAATATCTTATAGCGCCTTACCTCTTGTGAATATTTTACCCCATTATTTGTTTTATTTCTCAAGTGTAATCTGGACCTTTTTTAAAAAAATGTTAGCCAACTATCCTCTCACCAGCTTGCCTCCATCAAAGTGTATAATACTTTGATTTTAATTTCTTCAGAATCAATCTTACTACTGTTGCAGTAACTTGCCATTCAAAACCACACTGTATGTCTCAATAATTTCGTAGCACATTTATTTGAGGCAGTGATGTCAGCTGGTTGCGAGAGAGTAGAAAATGCAATGCTTATGTCTAGCCTAGAGAAGCAAGCAGCATTACAACCCATCTTCTTTGTTTGGTATCCTTTTGTTACCTTTACGACTTGCATACCATAATTTACGCTGGGGATTATGTGCAAGAGAAAACAAGGGGAGAACTTTTGATGTTTGACTTTGGTTCCTGGGATAACATTCTTATTGCCCATTCTTACTGTATAGTAATACACGATCAACCACACTTATTTTCAAAGACTCATCTGGGTCCATGTCTGGAGATGCTTTTCGTGTTTCATTGTTCTTTCTCTACCTCTAACGTAGCAAAGATTACATTAATAGTATTTCACACGTGAGAAAATAGACAAATTCTGCCATTAATAAAGTAATTTCATAATCACAAAAAAGGATTATGGTAATTTACAGGAAAAAAATTCACATGTAGTTTACAGTATAACAGCAAATAAAATACAGTTATCCAGGAGAACAAAAAAGGAATAGACTATTGGGCAAAAAGGGTGTGGGTCTGACATACGGTAATGCCCTCCTTACCCCTGAGAACCCCAGTGGCTGCCTGAAACCGTGAATAACACCAAATCTTATATACAGTATGTTTTTTTCCCATAAATACATACCTACGATAAAGTTTAATTCATAAATTATGCACAGAAAGAGATGGACAATAACTAATAACAAAATAAAGCAATTATAACAGTACACTAGCATCAGTAGGCTTGTGCTTTGGGGCCATTATTAAGTAAAATAAGGGTTACTTGAACACAAGCACTGTGATACAGTGACAGTTAATCTGATTATCAAAAAGCCTACTAAGTGATGCAGGGAAGGGGAGTTTAGACAGCATAGATACGCTGGACAAAGGGATGATTCATGGTCCCAGGCAGGACATAGCAGAAAGGCACAAGATTTCATCACAATAATTCGAACACAGTGCAATATGAAATTTATGAATTATTTATTTCTAGAATTTCCCATTAGATATTCTATTTTTTATTTCTTTTGTTTTGTTTTGTTTTTCATGGCATTTTCCAAGACAATGTCATTATCTAAAGAAATAAAAACTAACCATGGATTCAGACTTCTTTCGAACAAATGAGTCTCTGAACATTTTTAAAAAGCCACAATTCTATCATTGTCTAAATGATTCCAGTATATTTATTTCTATTTACACACACATTTGATGAATCCTTCTATACTTATGAATTAGACTCAACCCAACTGGAACTATTAAAGTTTCCAAAAAAAACTATGAATATAGTTTTTAAATCTAAGGTTAGTATTCAAACATACATTTCTAAAAGAATGTTTCAAATGAAATTTTTTCCACTTCTAAAATGGTCTGAAACTATGGTTGACATTTCATAGTTAAGGTATACAGAATTTCATTTTTGCCTTACAGATTAGCAAATCATGGAAGAGTTAAAAATGGAAAGGTACCGCATTTGCTTTCAATTCAGAATTAGTTAAATTTTAAAAAGATAAATTTTTGCTCAGGATTGTGTTTCTTCCAACAACTGTACAACTAAACAAAAAAGCACTTTCTTTAATCTTCATCACATCTTTCTTTACTCCTCAAAATAATATATTATTTTCCATTAATATAATTTTTTGATTATAGTTTTCAATCATCAGATTGTCATTTAGCTTCTTTTTGTCATTTACTCAAAAATATAAAAGTCTCAGAAACCCAAACTGTCACTCGGAGAATGTAAACCATGATGACATGTCCATGAGTCTCATTTTTTTAATCGACTTTATTCTTTAGAAGAAGTTGTTTTAGGTTCACAGCAAAATTGGGCAGAAAGTACAGAGATTCTCTACAAACCTCTACCTGCCCCCCAACACACACAGCCTCTCTACTCTCAATATCCCCTACCAGAGTGGTGCATTTGTTATAATCAGTGAGTCCACAATGGCACATTATTGTTATGTAGAGTCCAGAGTTTATATAAGGGTTCATTCTTGGATACATATGTAATGACATATATCCACCATTAGTGTCATACACAATCGTCTCCTTGCCTTAAAATTCTCCTGTGCTTTGCCTATTAATCTCTCTTTATATAAACACACACGATTTTTTTTTGAGACAGAGTCTCTCTCTTGCCCAGCCTGGAGTGTGCTAGGGGCTGATCATAGCTATTCATCTTTCTTTCCCCCCAACTGCAGATATGTACATATGGAAGATATATATATATATATATATATATTACACACACTTGGAGAAAGAGTCTCACTCTGTTGCACAGGCTGAAGTGCAGGGGGTGCTGATCATGGCCCACTGCAATCTCAACCTCCTGGGCTCAACTGATTCTCCCACCTCAGTCTTCTGAGCTGAGCAGTTGGGATCACAGACATGTGCCATCATGCCCAGCTAAATTTAAATTTATTTTTTTAAGAGATTGGAGTGTCACCATGTTGCTCAGGTTGGTCTCAAACCCCTAGCCCCAAGCAATCCTCCCACCTCTGCCTACCAAATGGCTGGGACCAGAAGTGTGAGCTGATATTTTTACTGCCTCTAGAGTTTTGCCTTTACAAAGTGTCATAAAGTTGGACTCATACAGTATGTCGCCTGTTCAAATTAGCTTCTTTGACTTAGTAATACGTATTCAAAATTTCTCCATCTCTTTTCATGGCTTGATAGCTCATTTCTTTTAGCACTGAAGAACATTCTGTGTCCACAGTTGGTTCCTTCCAGTGGGTTCGTAGTCTCGCTGACTTCAAGAATGAAGCCGCGGACCTTCGCAGTGAGTGTTACAGCTCTTAAAGGTGGCACGGACTCAAAGAGTGAGCAGCAGCAGGATTTATTGTGAAAAGCAAAAGAACAAAGCTTCCACAGCATGGAAGGGGACTGAGGCAGGTTGCTACTGCTGGCTGGGGTGGCCAGCTTTTATTCCCTGATTTGTCCCCTCCTATGTCCTGTTTCTGTCTTATCAGAATGCCCTTTTCTCAATCCTCCCTGCAATTGGTTACTTTTAGAATCCTGCTGATTGGTCCATTTTACAGAGCACTGATTGGTCCATTTTACAGAGTGCTGATTGGTGCATTTTACAAACCTCTTGCTAGCTACAGAGCACTGAGAGGTGTGTTTTTACAGAGCACTGATTGGTGCATTTTACAAACCTCTTGCTAGCTACAGAACGCTAATTGGTGCATTTTACAATCCCCTTGTAAGACAGAAAAGTTCTCTAAGTCCTCGCTGGACCCAGGAAGTCCAGCCGGCTTCACCTCTCAATTCCATTATCTGAATATACCACAGTTTTATTTATCCATTCACCTGCTAAAAGATACCTTAGTTGCTTCCAAGTTTATTTATGAGTAAAGATGCTGTAAACATCCACGTGCAGGTTTTTGTGTGAACTTAAGTTTTCAACTTGTTTGGGAAAAGTTCGTATTAACGTTCAGTTTTGTAAGGAACCACTAAACTGTACAATTTTGATTTCCCACCAGCAATGATTTAGAGTTTCTTTTGCTCCACATCCTTATCAGCATTTGGTGTTTTCTGTGTTCCGGATTTTGGTCATTCTAATAGATGTGCGGTGACATTTCATTGCTCTTTGTAAATTTTCCTTTTCTCAAGTTGGCTAGGCTGTCTTAAAACCCCAACTAATTAGGCTAATAAAATAGCTTTTCTTGAGGCTTGGCTTTGTTTTTCAAATGGTGATTTTTCTTCTCCCCCTGCCGGAATCATCAGGGGATTTTTCTCTGACAGTCACTGTGTGACCTGGTAGGGCATCTGGAGGTAAAACTCACAAGGTGTGGGGATCCACCTATGGCTAGGCCTCCCTAGTTTACTCACAAACTTTTCCACACTGATTCTCTGGAAGTTTTTCTATTACAGTTTCGATTTTCCTACCACGGTACTAGATCCCAGGAGGTTTCTGTTTATGGGTTTCTGCCCTGGGAAGTAGTAATTTTTTTATATCTGCCTGTCTTTCCGATGTGAGAGGCATCGGTTTACCCCGTGATCTCACTTCTTTTAATGGGTCTAAGAGGAGTTTTTTATTGTTCAGTTTGTTTCACTCTGTACCTCTTTTTAGAACAAACTGGAGACTCCCAAGCTCCTTACATGACTGACAGGAAAAGCCTCCATGATGTCATTTAAAAATTTTTGGAAATCCCAAATATGACTGCAGATGACAGGAATTATCTCTATTGATTCAACTGACATTTGTAAAGTAAAACTGAATTATGCATTGAGAATAAATATATTGGTTTAAAATTATAAAAACAAACTTTTATATTCAGAGGTTAACAATTCTGCGTGTTTTCTGCTTCTAAAATGGAGAAATATTTCGTATCGTATTTTTTCAATTACCTTTGTTTAAATGATAAAAATTAATATTCTGAGAATAATTTTATTTGATAAAGATAAGTGTTTAGTCAGAAGTCCTTTAATAAATTTCCTTTTACATTTATGACAAGTCAAGCTCATTCTGAAAAGCTTTACCCATTTCCTTTCCAAAAAGTGCCAAATGTCTCCGATTTTCTATTTTTTTCCAAAGTAATTCAGTAGAAGGAATTTCTTTAGGAGCAAGTTTTCTTTTAATCTATTCATCTATCTATTGATCTATGTATTTATCCAAGTCTGTCATGTGAAGTGTGTATTAAAGATTACACACAGGGACATTTTCATCACCAGATATCTGAGTGCTTATTCAGCATGTACTGATACTATGTGTTTAAAATAATTAAGTCACAGGCTCGGGAAGTAGGAGATCTGGCTAAACTTTTCAGATTCAACGTTTAACAATTTTTGTGACTTTTTCCAACAGCATGTATATACAAATGTAAGTGAAAGACTAGCTAATGTTAATGTTCAGACAATGTTTCTCTATCTTATATTTTAAGAATATGGATAAGGGTTTATTGGCACATCCAAGATAATTTCTTGGGCGTTTCTTACTTTGAAAATATAGATAATATCTCAACTAACTTATTCAGAGTTTTAAGTAAAACCAAATGCTAATTTAATAGTTTTGGTTAATTTTTTTGGATTACGCTAGAACCTCACTTAATTCTCAGAATTATATGTATTAGCTTCCCATAGTTACCATTACGAAATTCCACAAACTGGGTGACTTAAGACAACACAATTTTATTGTCTCACATGTTTGAAGGTTAGAATTCAGAAATCTAGGTGTCAGTAGGGCTTTAGCCCTCCGAAGTCTGTAAGGTAAGATGCCTTCTTTTCTTCTTCCACCTGGTAGTAGCCCCCAGTGTTCCTTGGCTTGTGGCAACATAACTCCAGTCTCTCTCTGTCTTCCCATGGTATCCTCCCTATGTCTCTTCACACTATCTTCCCTCTCTGCGTGTTTCTGCATTCAAATTTCTTCTTTTTATGAAAATCTCAGTCATATCGGATTAGGCTCTTGGTAGTGGACTCATTTTAACTTGATTATCTCTGTTACAAACCTTTTCCAAGTAAGGTCACTTTCTGAGGTACTGGAAGTTAGAACTTTTTTGTGGGGGATACAAAATGCAACCTATAACTCTTAGTATCTCTTTTAAACCTTTTGAAAACTCTGCTAACACAAATCAAATAGTATTTTATTCATTTCTATGTTCCACAAATACATTGAAATTGTATAATTAAACCATAAGAGGTGGAAAGCTGGCTGACAAGGTTGTTGTCTACAATATATGTTATGAAAAATCAAAGTAGAAGGATGTTTTCTTTTTCTATAATGCTAAGTTACATAAAATATCAGTTGAACTAAAAATCTCAGCCATTTCTCTAGGTAGTGAAATTTCAATTCATTCCTAAAGCAAATGCATAATGCTGGACAATCAGTGCATGCTTAATAATGAGGAACTTCAGAAAAAAATGTAGTTCCAAAATACATTTTTTTCTTTTCATTATCTGTGAAACTTCACCTATTTCACAGTTCAGTTAAAAATCCTATAGCTTAGATTTCAGATTCATGATCATCGACCTGCTTGCAACCTGTGATGCCTATATTCCTTTAGAATCATTAAGTTCAGAAGACCAATATTCTGGGTGAAAAAAAGCTCTTTATTTCTGTTTTATTTTTATGATCTATTTTAATAGACTGGAATGTAATAATGAGAAATAGTAGTAATTAAAAATATAATGGTTGCAATTAAATAAAAAACTTGTTGTAGCCATTGTAATGATCTTGGATGTATGGGTAAGACATATGAATGCTACTATACATAGGTTGTAAAAAAAGAATTGCATTTATAAAATGTAAATAGAGTGTGGGCGGTGTAATTTTCATATATTCATTTTGTTTCTACCATAATTCTATCATTAAACATGAAATTGATTGCTTATCTAATGTTCCTAAAAGCACAAATTCAGATAAAATTCCCCCAAATTTAACTGTTTTAGTTTTTATTCAGTGGCTAATACACCATCAATAATTACTTCAACAGTTTATTATCCTGCCTAATATAATATTGTGCTTTTTTCTAAAAGATTATTGATGTATTCCAAATGATTAGGACAAAACAAAAAAATACTTAAAATGGTTATTTTCTATTAAAACTAGCTATTTATTCAACTGGACATATCATTTGAAACTTCTCACTTATATGATGGTCTTCATAAAAATATGTTTAGTCAATATAATATTCAATTTAATAAAGAAATTGTATGGTAATGAGAGTCATAAAGTGAAATAATAGAAAAACTTCAGAAAATGATTTTCCTCTGTCATCTGTGAAATAAAAGTCCATCAACAAATTTTACATATATGGACACTTGATTGTGTGCAAGACACTGTTCTTGATAAAATATATCATTTTGTGTCACAAGACAATGCCAAAAACTTCTCTTAATGTTTATATGAAACAACATATGCTGCTTCCAACAGTGACACATATTTTAAATATATCTTTCACATATATAATAAATGTGATTTGCTCTACAACTTACAATGTGCAAAAAAGTAAGATGTTTTAAGTATGCCACTTCAAATCAAATAATTCTTCTAATTTCTCCTGACTAACATGAGTGTGAAGTCCATTTGAGGTTTAAATCAATTTTCTATTTTTTCCTTACCTTCATTTTTATCTTAAAACAGATATGTTAACAGAGTTTAGGAAAGAGTTTGGTACCCCTTTTCACACCCACCTGTCCACTTTGAAACTCCTTTTTAATACTTAACATAAGACTGAGACATCAATAACAAAAGTTTATTAACTCTCTTAAAAAGATAAAATTTAAAAGGGTAATATCAGATTATTCCACTGTCTGTCTTAAATTATTTTAAAAACTCTCCACTCCCATTTAAGATAAAACTTAAACTCTTTATCCTGGCCTTCAAAAGCTTATCTGACCTAGCCCCTACCTACCTCTTGCACTTCATCTCAAATCACTCCTCTAACCAACCAGATTACAGCTGAACTGTTCTTTCTGTTCCTGGAATATGCTAAGTGTGTACCTTTGCAACACCTACTGGAGTAGTCTTCTCATTTGTATTTGTCTAATTGATGTACATATTTTCAATATCTTGCACAGACCCTCTTTATCAGAATGTTGCACTCATACATGTTTACTGTGGGGTTTTGTCTGTTAACCCTGGAGAGTTACCCTCAGCAATGGAAATCATCTTACCCAGTTATACTTTCCATGGGATAATAGCCCATACCTGATGACTGATTGATACAAGGGTGTAAAAGTCTATCCCCCTTGTCTCAAAGAGGTAACACTCTGTGGTACCATTCATGCTCCAGAGCTTTGTGTGTGATCAGTCTGAGGATGCACACTTTTCCTAGCTTCCTATCTTGGCTTATTGTGATTTCCTCCCTCCTTTCATCTTTCACCTAAATCGCATCTTCAAACAAAACTTCTTGCACAAAAATTATCATCTGAAGCACTGCTTAAAGAATAGGAAGGACTTAAGATAGTTGGTACAAGATTCAATGCAAAGAAATGGACTTTAAGGGTGAAAGTTTACAGTCACATAACTTGTTGCCTGGATGGCAGTGATCCCCTTGACAAGTGTTAGGTGGAATATGGATTATCCTTGGTGAGTTCTAACAGGGTGACTGCTGAAGCTGTCCCTTTTTGGAAAGCAGGACAAAGTACAAATAGAAGAGACACATTAGTTTGTGCAATGTTTCTGGTATTTGAGAGGTCTGAAGGCAATAACCACAAGGACTATGGAATTGAGTAGATACTGCCACAGCCATGGATGTGTTGTTATCTATTATACACAAATACTTAAGTCAGAGGGTCTCATTGGAAACCTTTAAAGCAACTTTTAATTTTCTGCAGGTTGAAGCTGATGGTGCAGCCGCTCTACAGAAACAGAATATACCTCTATCCAAAATTTGGTTTGCCTGTTAAAACTGATGATGTCACACATTTACCCAAAGAGTATAGGAAGGTTTATTACTCACACAATAGGGCTTTCTGAAGCGAGAGTTTCTCCAGCAAGTCTAAAATATCTTGAGAGAGTAAAAACAAACAAACAAAAAGACTGGCTTAGGATTTTTATGGTAATTAGGGGTGAGGCCAGGCTTAGAGTGACAGCATGTAATTTAAACTTCCCATCTGTACAATCTGAGGGAGCACCCAAGCTTTCTTACCAGCAATCTCAGATGTGGGGCATAAAAGGGTTAGGCGTAAAAGATGTCAGTATTCAAACTTCCAAACCTAGATTCAGACTCTCTATTAAAACATATAAAGCTAAAAAAATAATATTCCTTAATGTAAAATTGAAAGAAATTTGGAAAAGTTTGAATTTCTTAGACTGGTCAAGTCTTCCATGCCAAAATCAGGATCATCAGAGGGAAGAAGTGAAATGAGATTAGAATAGATACGTCTGGGGACAGTCACTTGAGAAACTTAAAAGTAAAGATTTTCCTGAATCCTCTGGGTTTGCAGAAGTGATTCACTCTACTTTGTTTGAAAAGAAAGACTTCTTCAACCCCTTTGCCTAAAGACTATGGGGAAGTTTCAAATGAAGCAGGTGCTTTACAAAGTTTGCTTTCCTAAGGATATGCTCCCATCTCTTCCCATGGCATAAAAGCAGTAACTAGCATTAAATTTCAGCATTATCTGACTGGGAAAGTGCTGAACCTGATAAGGGGGTAGAGTAATTTTGTACTAAATAAGCTGCAGGACACAGCTAACATATACTGCCAACGTGTTCCTGAGTAAGACTGAAAGAGAATCCTTAGGGTGCCCAATAAAAGGCAGAATGAAAGGGAAAGCTAGATAAAGGAGATTTTGTTGATAAACGTAATACCTCATGCCTTAGGATGTGACATCTCAGTGAGCATCCCTGAAACAAATTTTAATATACTGTTGAGATGACTCTTGGATCTTTGAAAAAAGTAATGATTCATATTAAATGCAGTATAGGTTGCCAGATCTACTATAGTAAGATTTGGAGGAAAATATCAAAAAGCTTAGAGAAATGAGTCTTCCTAAATGAATCTATTATATAGCTCTGGGGAATTAAAAATGTTCGACTGATTTTTTGGACAGTGTAGATGAGAATTTCCCAACCTTGGCATTATTGATATTGGGGGATTGAAATTTCTTTACTGTGGAAGTGATGGGATGTCTTGTGCCTTGTGGAATATTGGACAGTATCCCTTCCACACTAGACCTCAATAGCCCTCTCTAGTTGTAACAACCAACATGTATCCAGACATTGTCAATTGTACCCTGTGGTGCAGTGGAGACCATTGCCACAAGTTGGGCATCACTGTCCTAGAGACACTTTATTTACCAAGTTAGTAATAAATATGCAAGTGAAAAATGTTCCAGTATTGCTGAGATGTTCAGTATTGACTGTTCAAGGTAAGCTGAGAATGACAGGAGATTCTGTTATAAAGCTGGGCTCCCTATAGCATTTGGGATAATAAGATTCTGAAATACCAGGTGACAAATAGTAGAGGCAAGAGAGACAATATCATAATGGGCAGCAAGGTTGAAGTGAAGAATGTTAATAAAACATGGAGATGCAAGGGCCAAGATGAATAAACCACAGAAAAGTATATTTCTTAACATCTATGATAAAAATACATCAAGATTGAATGAGCAAAAGGTTGAAGTCAGTTACCTCAGTGAACTTTCATGGCCCATTCCCCACTTTTCATAGCTTAGACATTTTTTAGCCCAAGAACAACTGGTTATGAGGGGAACAGGGCCCCATGAAGAAGGACCCTTTAATAGCACAGCAAGTGTACACAGCAGTGATTTTTCACCTTCCTTTACTAAACACATTTATATGGCAATTTACTTGGGTAATTTTACACAGAGGTAAAGGAAGATCTCATATTTCAATGGCTAGTTAGAAAAAAAAAAATGCTATGGACACAGATACTAGATACCTAAATTCTCATTCTCTCTGCTATGGTAGACAATAAGCACATACGGCCCAGTCATAAAGGGAGTCTTGGCCCGGATCTGACTCACAGAAGATCCACTACATCCAAAGCCCTATTTCACAAATATATAATTTGAATGAACATCTCTAGTAGTTGACAGAACCCACACCTTGGTTTCTGTGGAGTAAGAATAATTGCATTAGGAAATGCCAAGAAGAAGACTCTGAAACTAATCCCTTCCATAAAATATAGCAAATCCTGAACAAAATTATATCACAGGGTGATTAGTGCTACTCACAAAAACTTAAAAGATGCAGGGATTGTGATCTCCATGATATCACCATTTAGTTCACAACATGATTCCCTAAAATATAGTTGATCCGCCTTATGATATCACCATTTAGTTCACAACACGGTCCCCTACAATATAGTTGGTCCAGCTTATGATATCACCATTTAGTTCACAACACAATCCCCTAAAATATAGTTGGTCCGGCTTATGAGTCAGGGCCACTGTAAACCTTAATTGCAGCTGTTGTACCAGATTTGGTATATTTACAAGGGTATATTAGCACAGTTTCTGTTATATAATATTAGCTATTGTTAGAGCAAGTGCCTTCTTTTACATACCCACTGAGAAGGAGAATAAGAAACAGTCACATTCACAATGAATATATGATAACAAATATTGTGGTTCTTTCTCTTGAAAAAGTTTATTTCTCTAGCTTGCTGACACAATATACCAGTAGGCTCTAGTACCATCTAAACAATCCACAGGCGATAAAGTTGGTCCACTCTTCATTTTGATTGACTTGATGAACAAAAAATGGCTAGCAGTCGGAATATCTTGCTCTAGAGGGTAAAGATATATCCCTACAGTTATTCATGTGCCTATCATATTTCTCAAATTTTTAGGAATCCAAGGCAGGCCAACATATTGAAATAATAGCTACAAAACTCCTAACCTTCTTTGGGGGTCATACACAGCATACTATACTTGGGAATGGCATTCTGACACATTTATTACATAATAATGCTATTATATGTAATGCTATTCTGACACATTTGTTAGGTAACATTAATGGCTTTGAGTGGGACTTAGAACAAGAAAAGGCTCTGAAACAGATCCAAGATGTTGTTTGAGCCATGCAACTAGAAGATCTCATAGAACTAAAGTTATCTAATTTACAGAAAAGGTTTTACGTGACGTCTATTGTACAGATTCATATGAAAACCATAGTTCAAACTCCAAGGTTTAAGAAGTAAGAAAGATCATGCCATTTGCAACAAACATGCATGCATATTTGAAAAGCAACTGTAAGTATGCTATTGGACATTGGTAAAGATTGAATATCTGACCATGGCATATCAAGAAACCATGGAATGAGTACTGCTTATCAAGATCTGGGTGTGAGAAGACTTAAAAAGTCAGATAGTCAGTGAGAACCAGCTAGAATCCATGGTAAGATGGAAGTAGTGCATCTAGGATCAATCTCAAGTTTAATGGGTAAAAATAAGATACATAAATGCCACCCACCACTGTTGCAGTAGTACCTTCTTTTATACTCACATCTGTGTTCTCAAGCTGGATCTTTTTTTTAATGGCTGGAGAGGAAGAATAGTACAGAACTTACTTCATGAATAGGTCACCTCAGTATGTTTGTATAAGCCAAAAATGCACTTTTGTACAACAACTTTTTTTTTTTCCGAGATGGAGTTTAGGTCTGTCACCCAGGCTGGAGCACAATGGCACAATCTTGGCTCACTGAAATCTCTGCCCCCTGGGTACAAGTGATTCTCTTGCCTCAGCCTCCTAAGTAGCTGGGATTATGGCCACCCACCACCAGCCCAACTAATTTTTGTATTTTTAGTACAGATGGGTTTTGCCAGGTTGGCCAGGCTGGTCTCTAGTGGTAGCTATGAGACATAATGGTGAGAAGGAATCTATTCAGTAGGTATAGGGTTGGCAGGTACATCTTATTGTCCATTTTTATGACAAAAGAGAATTGATACGGTTTGGCTGTGTTCCCACCCAAATCTCATCTTGAATTGTAGCTCCCATAATTCTCATATGTCACAAGAGTGACCTGGTGGGAGGTAATTGAATCAGGGGTGTGTCTTTCCCATGCTGTTATCGTGATAATGAATAAGTCTCATGAGATCTGATGGTTTTATAAAGGGCAGTTCCCCTGCATTTGTACTCTTGCCTGCCACCATGTAAAATGTCCCTTTGCTCTTCCTTTGCCTTCCACCATGATTGTGAGGCCTCTCAAGCCATGTGAAACTGTGGGTCCATTAAACCTCTTTTCTTTATAAATTACCCATCTCAGGTATGTCTTTATTGGCAGCATGAGAATAGACTAATACAGTTAATTGGTACCAGGTAGTGGGGTGCTGCTGTAAAGCAAAAATGTGGAAGCAACTTTGGAACTGGGTAAGAGGTAGATGTTGGAACAGTCTGGAGGGCTCAGAAGAAGACAGGGAGATCTGGGGAAGTTTGGAACTTCCTAGAGACTTGTTGACTGGCTTTGACCAAATGCTGCTCATTCTCAGATGGAGATGAGGAACTTGTTGGGAACTGGAATAAAGGTGACTCTTGCTATGTTTTAGTAAAGAGACTGGTGGCATTTTGCCCCAGCCCTAGAGACCTATGGAACTTTGAACTTGATAAAAACGATTTAGGACATCTGGCAGAAGAAATTTCTAAGCAGTAAAGTGTTCAAGAGGTAACCTGGGTGCTGTTAAAAGCATTCAACTTTATGTATTCACAAAGATATGGTTTGGAATTGGACTTTATGTTCAAACAGGAAGCAGAGCATAAAATTCAGAAAATTTTAAGCCTGCGGATATTACAGAAAAGAAAAATATATTTTCTGAGGAAATTTAAGCCCCATGTAGAAATTTGCATAAGTAACAAGGAGTCAAATGTTAGTCACTAAGAAAATGGGAAAAACATCTCCAGGGCATGTCAGAGGTCTTCAAAACAGCCCTTCCCCTCACAGTTTGGAGGCCTAGGAGGGAAAAATGGTTTTATGGACCAGGTCCAGGACACCCTGCTCTGTGCAGCCTTGGGAGATGGTGCCCTGCATCCCAGCTGCTTCAGCTCCAGCCCTGGCTAAAAGGGGCCAAGGTACAGCTCACGCCATTACTGCAGAAAGTGCAAGCCCCATGCCTTGGCAGCTTCCACATGGTATTGGACCTGTCTGTGGGTGAAAAGACAAGAATTGAGGTATGGGAACCTCCTCCTAGATTTCAGAGGATGTAAGGAAATGTCTGGATTTCCAGGCAGAAGTTTGCTGCAGGGGCAGAAGCCTCATGGAGGACCTCTGTTAAGGCAGTGTGGAAGAGAAATGTGGGGTCAGAGCTCCCACACAGAGGCACCACTGGGGCACTGCCTAGTGGATCTATGAGAAGAGGGCTACCATCCTTCAGATTCCAGAATGGTAGATCCACCAACAGCTTGCACCATGCACCTGGAAAAGCTACAGACACTGAACGCCAGCCCATGAAAGCAGCAGGGAGGAAGGATGTACTCTGCAATGCCACGGGGGCAGAGCTGCCCAAGACCATGAGAACCACTTCTTGTATCAGTGTGACCTGAATGTGAGACATGGAGTCAAAGGAGATCATTTCAGAACTTTAAGATTTGGCTGCTCTGCTGGATTTTACAGTTGCATGAGGCCTGTAGTCCCTCTGTTTTGGCCAATTTCTCCCACGTGGAATGGCTGTATTTACCCAATGCCTGTACCCCCATTGTATCTAGGAAGTAATTAATTTGTTTTTGATTTTACAGGCTCATAGGCAGAAGGGACTTGCCTTGTCTTAAATGAGATTTTGGACTCTGGACTTTGAGTTAATGCTGAAATGAGTTAAGACTTTGGGCGACTTTTGGGAAGGCATGATTGTTTTTGAAATGTGAGGACATGAGATTTGGGATAGGCCGGGGCAGAATGATATGATTTGGCTGTGTCCCCTCCCAAATCCCCTCTTTAACTGTAGGTCCCACAATTCCCACGTGTCATAGGAGGGACCCTTCTGTGGGAGGTAATTGAATCATGGGGCTGGGTCTTTCCCATGCCGTTTTCATGACAGTGAGTAAGTCTCATGAAATCTTATGGTTTTGTAAAGGGGCATTCCCCTACACAAGCTCTCTTGCCTGCCACGATGAGAAACATGACTTTGATCCACATTCTCCTTCAGCCATGATTGTGACGCCTCCCCAGCCATGTGGAACTGTGAGTCAATTAAACCTCTTTCCTTTATAAATTACCCAGTCTCGAGAATGTCTTTATTAGCAGCGTGAGAACAGAGTAATAAAAGAATTAAACCAAAATTATCATTTTAGTTATTTATTTCATTTTACAAACAGGTTATCACTCTGTCATCCACGCTGGAGTGCAGTGGCATGATCATAACTGACTTCAGCCTTGAACTTCTGGGCTCAAGTGATCATCACACTTAAGTCTCATATAGTGCTGGGATTACAGGCATGTGCCACCACATCCAGCTCCAAATTTATTATATATAATATTCATGGACAGCACCAAATGGGTTATCTGTTTGGCCATTGGCTTGTAAGAAACAATATTGAAATATGGGTACAAGGAACTTTGGGGAAGATGCATATGGGTGAAGCAATAAGAATGGGCACAAGTGTGCAGATCTTTAATTTGTATACTAGTAGCTACTGAGGAATATTCACTGAGAAAGAGATTACGCTCTTCTCTTAAATTAGTAGACCACGTGGACTCGGACTCCAAGGGATGGAAATCAGGATGACTCTACTATCCTACTGAGCCTCTTAGGAATTTTGTGTTTCTTAAACTTGCAACTTTAGATTCTGTAGTTCCAAAGTCCTAGTTCTCACAGAAGAGATGTTTCCTCCTGGGTACACAGTAAGAGATTCACTAAACTTACATAACCACAGTGGCCTTATGAACTGTTTGGCTCCTTGTGCTAGAAGATTATCAGGAAAAAAATAGAGTAGTCATAATAGAGTAATAATTGAACATGATCATTATACATGGGAAGGTTGTTGGCAAATATCAGAGCAGGAATGAATATGTTTTGCACTTTGATGATCAACTGGGAAATACCTTGATAGTTTCTATTCAGTTTTAACTGTAACTGAGCAGGTGCAGAAATCTTAGCTTGACCAGTAAATTGAACCTAGAAGCTCAGAATCTCCTCAAAGATGAGAATCTGTGTCACCAGGCAAACAACCTATACCTACAAAATGCTATCTGAGAAGGAGTAACTTTAGAATGGATGGTGAAGAGGGAAGATGATGGGTATTCTTTATGGCCTTCAAGACAAAAAGCAACATCATGTTTTATAGTGAATAAAATTAACTCTTCTCTTATACATTCCCTAGAAATTGTGACCAATAAGAATCCCAGAGAAGTTCTGCCCTAATGGAGTCAACTTGATTTGAGATGCAAATAGATTTGCGCAATGTGAGTTGTGGACTATAACAGATGCCGTTGGTGTACCACCCAGATCCATTTTTTGATTTAGGGCAATATGCATCCCCTCAACTACTGTGTTTTCTGCCACTTTCTGACAGCTTCACTCTCTTGAGAATTACTTTTGCCTAGAACAACGTTGCCCAGAGATGCCTGTGAGATTTTGCACTTGTGCTTCAATCCCAGGACAGTCTGAATCAATGACACACTGGAAAGCAAATTTAAAAGACTGGTTCCCTTTCCTCAAGGAAGGGACAACTCGGTTGACATTTATGCTTCAGAAATTCCCTCTGTATGATTTATGAAAACATTCAGTTTTACATATTTGTCTTAGATATTCATAAGCTTATTAGAATACTTACATCTGGCAAAGGTTTCAATTAAATAAATGTTAAATTGTAATGCAGTTTTTCTCAATTTATAATACAATATAACCTCCTTTAGATTAAGCATTAGATAGCTTACTGAATTAGCATTTTTTTGTAGTGAAAAGTTGATTTATATGCTTTCCAAAATGGATATAATTAAGTTGATTTTTTTTACTTGCCTTAAAATTTTTACTTAAATCTCTCTCTTCAGCAACTTATATGTAGTGTTAGAGTTATTGAAGCTATTAGAATAAGATCTGTAGATTGGCAGCTCTCTACAGAAGTCATACTTGTAACAAATTCCTTAACTCCTGTATTCTAACCAGGGGAAATTGAGTGAAATTGTATTGTCAAATTGAGAATCCTACCAGATTATTACAAATAATCCTTGCATATTTGTAAATAATAAATGAATATAAAGATGTTGACTTATAATCATTGAATTTGGTTTCTCATTGACAAGTACTTAGAAAACAATACTTTGGGAATCATACATTAAATTTATAAACCTTTATCTAATATGATAATCCATCCTAACTATGTTACAAGAAAAGGAATTTGAAAGTGCTTTTAAATGTAAAGGTCTACAGAAATAACATTGGTATAAAATGCAATATTTTCAATAACCCTACAATTATTATGCAACCTGTAGTTATTTATATGAGATCACAATTGAACTGGAATTACAGAAAAAGAAAGGAATTACAGAATTACAGAAAGAAAGAAAGAAAGAAGGAAAGAAAGAAAGAGAAAGAAAGAAAGAAAGAAAGAAAGAAAGAAAGGAAAGAAAGAAAGAAAGAAAGAAAGAAAGAAAGAAAGAAACAAACAAACAAACAAACAAACAAAGAGAAAGAAAGAAAGAAAGAAGGAGGAAGAAAAGAACACACTCAGTTCTGTAGAACCAAATAAAAATCATTTATCTGGCCACTCTGCTAACATCCCTCCCTAGCACTTGTCTAGCTTAGCCACATTTTCTGATAGGTTTGTTTACACTTGCTAGAGATCAGCCACCACCCCTGGTGCTCAATTCAGCCTTTAGATACAGGCTGGCAGCTCCCCTTGACTATCACAAAAACAGAATTTGGCCTGCAGTGATTCACACAGATGGGGGGCAGAAAAACAAACTTCAAAGAACTAAAGTGACCATGAAGCTAAGGCTCAGGAGAGGAAATGGTGAAGGGGATTAAGTGGAATGACAAAGGGATTTTGTACAGCAGCATTGTGGGATCTCTTACTTACACTTGTTAAACAGTAAGAACATCACAACCCCTTGGAGTTCATAAATAGCATCCTTAACTATGAAGTCTGATATCTCAGTCATTCCTTGGGCAATATAGTATTGGCTTAAAAGTTGTCAGTCAGTAGAAGATACTCTTTAAATGTTGTCAATGATTGACACTGAGGTTTTTTTTCTTTCATTGCAAGAGAAAAATACCATCCTTGTCCCCAGTTTTGACTACAATCTCATTCAATGTAAGGTGTTATAAAAAAGGAAAGAGAAAAATGAGGAGTCCAGGATGCTGTCATTCTTTCCTGTCATTTATATGTACTTAGGAAAGGGATTCAATGTGTTCCTAGGGGGCTCAAACTATTATTATTCAGAGATAATTATCCAGAGATAATAACTCTTATGAAAACCCAACAGACAAGGTATAATGCTTCTCTCTTTCTTCTTTTGTCTTTTCTCCTTCCTTCCTTCCTTCTTTCCTCCCTGCCTTCCTCCCTGCCTTACTTCTTCCTTCCTTTCTTCCTTCTCTTTCTTCTGGATTTTTATGTGAGATCCCTACATTTTTAAATTTTGACAATGCATTTAAGTAAATGATAATCAAAGAGAAACAGCCACTATTTGACCAATTGGCAACTACTTAGAAACAGCCACTATTTGATCAATTGGCAACCACTTAGAAATCTGTATTTTAGTGCCTGTCTCTCTAGACCGTAGTTGTTAATATGGTATTTAGCCATTTTATTGAGATGTAATTCACAAATATGAAATTGTTTTCAGTAAATTCATAGATATGTATAAACATCACCACAAAACATTTCAAAATATTTTTTATGACCTCAAAAACAAACCCTGGACCCTTTACCTATCACTCTCTTGTTTCCTTCATTCCCAAGCAATCACTAGTCTGCTTCTCATCTCTATAAATTTGCCTATTGTGGACATTTGATTTAAGTGGAATAACACAAGGTCTTTTGTGCCTGGCTTCTTTCACTTATAGCATGATGTTTTTCAGTGAAAAAGTGGGAAGATGAAGTGTTTGGAGGGCTTTTAAATGGAGTAAAATGGAAACAAAGACAAGTTATCCCAACACCAAAAAGAGTAGGGGATAGAAGGATATGTCAAGGTTTGAAAACCATCCTTCAGAAATGCAGGAAAGTCAAAGCTAGAAGTAAGTACTGAAAGCTCTCTTCAATCACACCTAGAAGACACCTCGAGGATCACACCTTGTGAAAACTCAAGAGCTTTAGCTTTTGATAACGAATCTTGACCAGGGATGACAGTCACCTGGTACGCACACGTTTGGCTGTATCAGTTGTTTACAGAGACGAGGTCTGATTTGGTTATCTGCATCTGTGACCTATCTGTTGTTAAAAAGTATAAATATTCTGAACTGGGATAACAATTTTTCAGGATGCTACCCTTGAGGAAGTCATAGGTTCTAGTCACCAGTGTTGTTCAGAATAGGAAAAAAAAAATGTAGAATAATGTAAAGATCCTCAGTGCTTGGCTCTAACACACTCAGAGCTATCTGCTTGTAATAAGGAGAATTATCCAAAAACATCCTCTGCAAAGAAGCAGAGCATTTTCAGGTCTCAGCACATCATTTCTAAAGAGGCTAGAAGGTCTAATTTCAATGGCTAGATGCTAATTGGAATTTTAAAAAACTAGCGTTGAAGAAGACTTTCTTAAAAAGTCTTTCAACAGTATACAAGGAAAACAAAATTTTGAAACGTGGAATTTTTAGGTAAACCACAAGAGCAGAGGAGAGTCTTTAAAATATGGAGTATGAGTTAGATACATAGCTAAGAAGGATTGCTAGATGACTGGGGGCTTGAACAACACAATACATTGAAAAAACATCAGCAACTTTCTTTTTATAAAAAATGCTTTAATATACAACTCTACTTTAGCAACATCATTTAGAAAAGCAGTTCTTTTGAATTTGGAGTGTCATTTTTATTTTTAAAACAGAATACATTTTCCATGTTTTTTTTTTTCAAATTCAAAGCAGGCATTTTATGGGATTTTTTTTCCAAGTAATTTTTTTTCTTGTTATGTGCTACAGTAGAAACTATATTTTGTAGGTTCTAATTTAACAGTACTTCTTAAACACACCACCCTTTATTATGCAAACCATTCTCTGTGACCACATCTTGGCTATGCTCACACATTCAAAAACTTAAGCTTTGAAAGATTAGGTAACTTTTCTAAGATTCACAAATATCAAATGGTTAAGCTCTTATTTAAATCTAGGTCTCTAATATTAAAGTCCATGTGATTTTCACTATCACTCATCATAATATAGAAAAATGGTTTTAAAAACATAAATAATTTTACGGTGTTACAAAGATATCACATTCTTTACAGAAAACTCAAGATAATGTTTTCTATGAATAAAACATACTGTTTCAAAACTCATTAGCTAGGGTTTTGAAATCAGATCAGGAATCGTATCCAAGCTCTTCACCATCAAAAAGAACCCATGAGGAGTTATTGAGTCTCTCTGAACCTCCATTTATTTCATGCAATTTTATATACAGAACATATTTGCAAACGCTATATCAATACAGCCCAATAATGTTTAATTTTTTTAAAAAAAAGTTTCCAATAACATTTTGAACAACATTAGGCATAGAATGATTCACCATCTTGTAAGTTGGCCCTATCTCCAGTCTCCTTCAAAGTGAGTTTATTTTTCTATGTTCCAGCAACCACCTCTTCACAGAAAGTCATAACTGTCATATTATTTCTGTGTGATAAAGACACATCCCACCATTCTATTCTTTGGGAATTGGTAGACATATTGTGTGTGTGTGGTCTCTGTGTTGGTTTAGTTTGATTTACTTTCCTGCTAATCAGGACCACTTCGATATATATTAATATAGCTCTTTTGTTTGTTATGACTACAATCCATGTAGAAAAGCAATGATCCCTGGAGCAATGGTTCTATTTGACTTTTGCTCAAAACAAACTCCAAAATTCGGGCCTCTCCCCTTCATAGGAAAGCTGGCATCGCAGTTAACCTCCTGAGGCGAGAGATAGAAGAGTGATTTAGCAAAGCCTTTGATTCATGTCTCTCATCCATAAAGTTTTAAAATGTTTCAGATACATTAAGTCTTCATTACAAGTAAAATCCCTGTGAGGCTGGTCATTATTTTAAATGAGATCTCCAGATTTTCTAGTTTTACAGTGTAGGCCAGTGAACAATCTACTGTGTTTTTAAGCTCTTAGGTCTGATTATCTTTAATTTCTTTTTTACGTTTTATGTTCAATTTTTGACAAGAACTCAGGAAACTGTAGTACCTCCTTTATGTGACATTATCTGGCAATGAGTTTTCTAGTGAAGCAAACTTTCTGGATAATTGATGATTAACTCTTTATATCTTAATGGTTTCATACTTTTTAATGTTTTTATACAGATTTCTTTTATGGTACCCAGGATTTGTTTTAATTAAGTTTGATAAGGCACACAGGCACGAACGTGATTGTGGTTAATAAAGGCATTTGCATTATTCTCACGGTCTCCTAAAAATAGAAGGCCCAGCACACTATGCCTGGGAAGTATCTGCATGAGATGAGCAGGCAGAGAGGAGAGCTGAGGGCAGGGCCTTGACTGGAGTTTTTGTTGGGAGGAATGGACAATGGAAAGCACGCAAGCCAAGTAGGTTTAAAATGAGATATTTTGATTAATTTGGTGGGCTGTAGGGTGCAGGAGGAGTCCCTAGTTGTCAGTGACATTGCTCTGGGGTGCTTAGGCCTGGAGGAAAGTGTTCCATAGTTTAAACATAACAGAAGGAGGAGGAGACATAGATTTGGCATTGGCTGGTTTGCATACCAAAGGCATGCTCTCAAGCAAGTTCTTTACTATCTCTGAGAATGAACTAATCCTGGGTGAGACAATCTCTCTCAGGTCAGCAAGGGCCAGATGCCACAGCATCAGGAATTCAGAAAATAGGAAAAACTACTGGGTATATACCCAAAGGATTATAAATCATGCTGCTATAAAGACACATGCACATGTATGTTTACTGTGGCACTATTCACAATAGCAAAGACTTGGAACCAATCCAAATGTCCAACAATGATGACTGGATTAAGAAAATGTGGCACATAAACACCATGGAATGCTATGCAGCCATAAAAAGGATGAGTTCATGTCCTTTGTAGGGACATGGATGAAGCTAGAAACCATCATTCTCAGCAAAGTACCCCAAGGACAAAAAAACAAACACCGCATGTTCTCACTCATAGGTGGGAATTGAACAATGAGAACACTTGGACACAGGAAGGGGAACACACACCGGGGCCTGTTGTGGGGTGGGGGGAGGGGAGAGGGATAGCATTAGGAGATATACTTAATGTAAATGAGGAGTTAATGGGTGCAGCACACCAACGTGGCACATGTATACATATGTAACAAACCTGCATGTTGTGCACATGTACCCTACAATTTAAACTATAATAAATATATGTATATATATAAAATAGTTAATTGTTAATTCTAAATGCATTACTTTATCACTTTTGAAATCACACCCTAAGCAAGTTTTTGTTGACAAAATTATTTTTATTAAAAATAAAGCATCATTTTTCCTTGCAATATGGTTATGGTGAAATAATCTCAAATTATAAAACTTTTTAAAATTATTCTTCTTTCTATCTGGTGAGATTACTAAAACTTGTCAGTTGCAGTTTTAGAATTGAAACAAGAAAAAAATATATAACTGCTATATGACTGACCTGCTGAATATATTTGAATTAAAAAAAACAGTAGATAGGTTGTTTTAAAATATCTCATGACCGGTTTTTAATATGTTGTTTTATACCTCTCTTTTGTGAGATTTCCAACTACAACTTCTTGTTTCTGATACTAGGCCTCCTCTGCTTCACCTCTATCCATTTTTTCCCTCTGATTTACAACGATAAGGAACTTGAGATAAACACCCTTTTCAATGTGTGCATAAATGAAAACAGTAACTGGCATGATCTTTATAATATGCAACATTTTGCATGGGCAATTTTGACTCTTTTGATCACTTTTGTCACAGTGCCTAAGTCTCTGTGTTGTTTATTTGACTATGCCAAGATGGTGAGTTCTGCACCTGTGATTTGCCACTCCAATTTCCAAATTTTTAAATAGAGTCATGAATCGCTTAACAATGGGAATAGGTTCCAAAAATTGAGTTATTAGCCAATTTCATGATGCAAAAGTCATAGGATATACTTACACACACTTACATGAAATAGCCTACTACACACCTAGGCTATAAACCATAATAAACCATACATGGTATGGTTTATTGCTCCCGAGATGCAAATTTGTACAGGATCTTACTATATAAATATTGTAGGCAATTGTAACACAATGGTAAATTTTTGCATATCTAGACATATCTAAACATAAAAAAGGTACAGTAAATATACAGTATTACAATCTTATGAGACCACTGTAGCATAAGCAGTTGATTGTTGACTGAAATGTTTTCATTTCAGAAGACTCCTGTGTCACATAAAACTTATATTAAATAAATGTGTATGCTTTTGTGTTGCCAATCTGTCTTTTGTTATAGAGAACTCAGCCATGAACTTAAGATGGGAAAAAAAGATACTCTTTTTTTCTACAATACCGATATTACCAGACAGAATTTTTTGTCTGTTTATCTTTTTAGTGTTTCTTTCTTGCTCAATGTTCACTTCTTAGTTGTAGATCTAATACAGCTTTTTCACTGTAACTGTCATCTTTCCAATCAACAAATATACCAAATATCTTGTTTCCCTATCTTATTTTTTTATCCTAGGTTTAAAAACAGACAAATACCAATACACAAGAAATACACACACACACACACACACACACACACACACACACACACACTTCAGGTTTAATGTAGGATTTTCTAGTTCTATTATATGGAGTTTGAGGAAACTACAGTACGAGAATTCTACTTTAGATCCCAGCCTTCTGACCCCATAATTAAACAACTAAGATAAGTAAATAAGAAAAATATGACAACATTGAGCAAAACAGTATTTTATACTTTCCAGATCTGTTCTTGGAATTCTAAAGCAGAGTTCTCCTGGTGAGCTGGAATGGACTACGTTCATATTTAGGGCCATATTTAACTTTCAGTTAATTATACATAAGTCTGCTGGGCTAATTAATCATCCCCAATTCTCTAAACTAAATTTGATGTTTAATACAGATCTGTTGTGGGAAAACTAGAAGACCAAAAAAAGCACGAAAGTCAAGAAAGAAGTCTCTTTTCACATGAAAGTGGTATGTTGCCCTTGACGGATTTGGCTGTATATGGAGAAAGAGAGTGAGAGTTATCAAGATTGACCCAGAGGGTGTGGGTCAGCTGCCCTTTTCTGAAGAACAGGTTAAATAGAGATACAACATTAGAGGGTTCTATCCATATGCATGATATTTATGCTACACAGTAAGCATATAGAATCATAATCATGGCTAAATATTTGCCCTGGAATGTGAACATGAAGGTTATTGTAGGTTTCTTTTAAGAAGGAATCATGTGAGATAGGGCAGCAACCATGACTGAATCTCTCTACTAGATTCTATTATTTATACTGTCTTTTTTAAAACATGTTTATCAGGAAATAAAGGAAAAGCTCCTTCTAAATTAATTGCCTAAAATGGAGTTTTGCCTTTAATTTGCCTTTGATGTTGAGCTGAATTTTTCTTTTTCATACTCTTGTTTCTACTTTCATTTCTTCGATTGACAGGTTTGGTTTTTTATCTTTATTTGTAAGAGCTCTTAAAATATTCATGTAACAAATAGAATTCGAAGCTTGCCCTCCAAGCTTTTACCATGTATATGCATAATAGTAGTGCTTCACATACAGTGTGAAAATTATCAGAATCAGAAGGGAGTCACTAGTGTTTTCAAAAAGATAAAGACAAATAGAGCCAGAAAAGGCCCTGAGGAGAAGGTTCTCATGCTGGTATGCCTGAGACCAAAACTACCACAAAGCATTGCAAAAATCACAACCTTGTACAGAAGCTATTGCAACCTTACACAAAAATACTTCTGCAAAAATATCTTCCCAGAAACTCTTCTCAGATTATTGTCACCCTTATTATTGATCCTTATAGTCAAGGATAATTACCTGACAACAATTGTGTAATCCTCTTCATTTTTTCCTTTAAAAACCTTTGTCTTCCTTGACCTCCCTGAATACACACATAGTTTACTATGGCTCTTGTATTCCCACTGAAATACCTTACTCCTGAATAAATATCTTTCTTCTTTTAGAGAGCCTCTCTCTGTTATTTAGTTTGACAACAAGAATAAGGTAAGTTGTGCTCATGCAGCTGATATTCTTGCAGAAAAAGACAATATACCACAGGCATAATAAATAACTAACTTAAAACTTGTGCTGGAAGATGATAAATACTGTACAAAGTAAAATAAAATAGAACATAATTAGGGGAATATGGATTTCCAGACTGAACATTTTAAATAGATTTGTGAGGTTCAGCTTTATTAAGAAGGTGATATCTGCGCAAAGGTAAGGCAGGAAGCCAATTGCAAATCTGGGAGAAGAGTGCTCCAGGCACAAAGATCAGCTAAAGCAAATGCCCTAAGGATGGAATGTGCTTGTCAGTTTCAACAACAGCTGGAAGGCCAATATGCAGGGGCAAGCGAGGAAAAGAAAAGGCAAGAACCAGTTGGAGGCAAGGTGGGGGTAACGGAGTGTCATAGCCTGGACACAAATCACGTTGTACCTAGGAGACCATTGTGGAGAAATTTGAATTTAATATTATTAAAACGCAGAATTTTGAGCAAAGAAATAGTAACATAATCTGATATGTTAAAATACTCTGATATATGTATATATATACAAATATATATATCCAATTATTTTATGCCTTTAATACTTATTCATGCTTATAAAGCAGAAAAATAGCATAAAAGAAATGTTGGAATAAAAACTTTTAAAATTAAATTTTAGTTTCTCCTTTCTGAAGTTAAAAAAGGACACTGAAACCTTGAAACAGAAATTACAGTTGATTTAAAAAACCCACAAGAACATGCCAAAAATTTATCTTATCTTTAGATGTAATGTCAGGTAGTAATGAAATTTTCTTACCAATAGCCTACTGTTAGTCAAGTTTTTTGTTTTTTTTTTTTTCATTTTGAAGACTATTTTGAATTTCTCTGGTCTGATGAGAGAAACTGCTTTGATGCTGCACCCCTTTGGAATTTTGATTGTTCACATGACATTCATCACAGTCATAACAATACAGGTAGAGATTCAAGAATATTGGGTTAAAAATTCAAGGCTTATGTAGGCTTCTGTTTCAAACACAAATTCATGTAACTCCAGAAAAAATCGTGGCAATTCATACAATAAACACCACTGTCATGAATATTCATTGGTGATGATGACAGGTTCAGAAAACAGGATTTTCCAGAGCTTCAAAGAGCCACCGCTAATTTACAAAATAATTGGAAAGCTGTGCAAGCAGGAAAAAGTTCCCATCGTATGCCAGCACTCAATCCTTCAGTAGAAAGAGATCACTCCAGCTGCTGTTATATGAAAAGCCTGTACTATAGGCAAAGACACAGCTTACGAGAATATGGCAGTAACCTAGGCATAGAGATGACCATGGGATAAAGGGCTAATAAAAATGTGCTGAGAGACTGTCTGAGTTTGCATATATTTGGAAGTTATGGGCAACTAAAATAATAGATTACATGAGACTCCAGGAGAAAGAAGGGTATCAACGAAGTCTTCAAGGATTTGTACTTGGCAAATGGAAAGAGGAAATTGCCATCATCTGTAATGGGGAAGGTCTTGTTAGACCAAGTTTCATGAAGAATTTCAGGGTTAAGTTTTTGGAATTTTATTTTTTCTGGCATGTATGTTGAAAAATATTTTTTCTCTTTAATATTTTGTTTTAAATTATGCTTATATTACCTTTTGACATATATAAATTATATAATTCCTTTAGATTATTTATGTATTCAGAATATTTATTATGTATTTCCTATGTATCAGGCACTATTGTTCATATAAATAATATCCTTGTTTTCATGGCAGTTACAGTCTATTAGTTGGGAAAATATTAAATACATTAATTGTTATCAGACATTATACATGATATGTATACACACATTTTATTTATATGCTGTCACATAGTGATAAATATAAAATCATTTTAATGTAAGTTTTCATTTTATGGAAGACTTCTATTTAATTGAGGCACTTAGGAAGTTCATTTCTGAAGGTAATAAATTTGACCTGGCTTTTGTACAAAATAAGAAGTTGTCATAAGGCTATCTAGAGTAATAGGTTGGGTGGAGCAAAGTGCAATAGTTCCAAGGCAGAAGAGTTTTTAAAACGGTAAAAAGTGTGGCAAGACAATGGGAGGTGAGTAGGGGAGGCAGTCAGGGACAAGTTCCTGTTAGAATTTATAAGCCTGGAAGAAAATGTGAGTATTTTTCTAGGCATGATAGGAAGCCACCGGAGAACTTCGATTGGAGGAACGTCATAAACAGATTCATGTGTCAAATAGTAATTTGGAAAAGATAGACAGAAGTATATGTGTAGGAGGATTGATAATATTGGAAAATGGAAGACTCTCAGAGGGGATTGCAATGGTCACATTTAGGTACGTTGTTGGCTTGGGCTAGGGTGATATTGCTAGAAAAAAGTTAGATTTCAGGGGTATTTTGAAGACTGAGTGACTGCAAGGTATCTCCAAGATTTTTAACCCCATTCACTGGAAGAACGGAGGTGCCATGACTGAGAAGAAGAATATTAGAATAAGGATTATACACTTTGGAGAGGAAAAATACTTAGAAAGTCATGAAAATTTGACTGTAGGATTCAAGGACTAAGTGCTAAGAAGCAAAATGTGGCTAGGTGAGAGGAACAGGAGATGATCGAAAAAGATTCAGGATGCCCAACAACATTTGGGAGAAAACAGAGTCTAGATTGGAGGAAGGAAGGAGCTCTCAGAGCATTTATTATTCCCTATTAGTTTTTACTTTTACTTCTTGCATTAATACCTTGAATCTTATCATCATAGATTCCTTCCTGGACTAACTCTTAGAAGAGCTAAAGAGCCTGGATGGACTGGAAGTGAAAGTGTTCCTGATAGCATTTATCTCAGAACAAGGGGAAATAATAGGATACTGGTTATCCTAAGTAGCAATAGCCGGGACTAAAAGGGGTGCCAATATTCATCAAAGAATTATTTATGTAAATATTTTTTACAGGCTGTGCTAATGGTCTATCAAGATATCCTGAGTTTCCAGTAGAGATGTTTCAGCCATAACACAGGCCTGGTAGAAAAAGTATGGGAACTTCTATTTCTTGAAAAATAATATCTGCATTTTTCTTAGTTTTATTTATTGGTGTTATATAATTTTTCATGATAAAACTTTTTTTTCTTCAGGGGAAAAAGAAGGAAGGAAAAAAGAAAGAAAAAATCAATTAATAGAAAAAAAAAAAAGACAGGAAAGAAGACAGACCTCTATTTTGCATGGAGATCATTAAAAAGCCCGTATTAAAAGTTACTTTGTGGAGGTAGTAATGTCTCCAGTATTACAGAAGGGACAGTTCAGTATATAATGGAGTGGATGGTAGTAATAAAGTTTTTATGGAAAAGATGGATCTTGAAACCTGTTTAATATCTAGGTAAACATTGAAAAGGGAGAGCACTTTTAAGATAGAGGAAACGAATTCAAACAGATGGAGACAAGAATAATTATCAAATGTGTGCATTCTCAAAATTTTTGAATGATCCTCTGATGGTGACTATTATTTGTCTCTGTGCTTCCTCTTTCTTTAAAACAAGAGAATTTAGTAAAATTCTCTATTGGCCACCAATCTTTTCCTCCTCTGATAAATGTGTGAACTTACTCCACTACTGCTGAAAATCACTTTGACAAATTAAAAACAATTATGTTTTCATCAACATTGAATTACAGATATAAAATATCGTATGGGAATTATAATTTGATAAATGGGAACATTCTGGGTCCCATATTGAGTCCAGATGGTTACAGTGTCTTTAATACATGTATCCATTTGGTATTACCGCATTTGTGTACCACAGTCTCCTCATTCATGTTTAATGATGGATAGATTCCAAATAATACAAGATGTTCTCCAACATGTTAAACTTATGGTAAGTGATCAGACAGTGAGCTCTCTCTTCCCAGTATACCTTGTAGTCTCAGCATAACTGTTTGAAGATAATCTGAATTTCAGTCAGATTGCATGATATTTTCCACTCTTGGAAAAAAAAGGTAGGATAAAATAGACAATTGCTTCCCTCCAAAAGAGGGAAATGTTCTTAACCTAAACTTAAAGTTTGCAGTGCACCTAAAATTCCAGAATGCTTTCTTCAAACTGCTGTTAAATAGTAAACTTTGGACAACTATTAGTGAGGTCTAGATTTGGGAGGATTGACTATTTGCAAAGTTGTTTACAGTTAAATTAGGAAAGTAGGCAAATGTTGCTTTCAATATAATTCAGATGTATTTATTTTTCAATCTCTTACCTTTACTATAAATGCATTCCTCACCTACCAGGTTTTTGTATATTCATTTTTCTTCTTTTAAAGCAAGTGACAATGTTTGTAATTTGTTTCCTTAAGTGCATCTCAGAATTTTCAACCTATTCTAAAATTTCATGGTTTCCCATTCATTATTCAGAAAATATAAAATCAAATTATTTGGTATAACAGGAAGGTTTACTCACAGTCTTCAAATTTTTTATCCTCTCTAGTTTTGCAACATTGTCCTTTTTTTAACTTTTCACTTTTTAATTAATGAACTTGATATTCCATCCAAATTAAATTATTTTTCTTTCTTCATACTTCAACAGGCCTGAAGACAAATACTGCTATGAATGGTTACATCTAGGACTTCTGAAATTAGCCCCAGATTCAACTCATTTTTTTCTGCATTTGCTGAGCAATATGACATGTTTACACCGATTAGCTAAAAAGTTATGTGAAGAATGGGCAACAATATCTCTAAGGCAAGATATGTTCAGATCCAATATAGTTCATATAGACCTTGTCAGAGTAAATGACCATGTGCCTTTCAGAACACTAAAGAATAAAATCCTTCCACATTAGAATGACAAATATGTTTTTATAATCAAACTGTTTTATTCCCAGCTTTATTACTTCCAACTGAGTACAATAGAGGCTGTTCTACCATTCTCCAATTTTCCCTGAGTAACATAACACCGATCAGTGGGCACAATTAAAAGACTACATTTCTCAACCTTCTTTTGGCATCACGTGACTAAATTTTTGTCAAAGAGAGAAAGGCAGAAGCGTTGCCTATGCGCTCCAGAAGACTTTGTGAAAGATAGCAGGGGATTTCTGATTTCTTCTTTTCCTGATATTCCAATAGGCATGTGTTAGACCTTTTGACATTGTCCTGTAGTTCTTGGATGTTCTGTGCTTTGTTTTTTTATTTTATTTTATTTTTTAATTTTTATTCTCTTTTCTGTTTACTTCTCATTTTGGGAAGTTTGTATTGATTTCTCTCAAAGCTCATTAATTATTTGTTTATCCATGTCTTACCTACTGATAAACCTGTCAAAGACATTCTTCATTTCTGTTGCAGTATTTTTTATTTCTAGAATTTCCTTTTGAACTCTTCTGAATGTTCTCTTCTTCCTACTTCTATTGTCTATCTCTTCTTAAACATTGTGTATATTAAAATGGTAATTTTAAATTTCCTGTTTGATAATTCTCAAATCAGTGTAATAACTCTGCCTGGTTCTAATGCTTGCTTGGTCTCTTTAGGTTATGTTTTACTTGCATTTTAGCATGCTTTATATTTTTTTGGTGAAATCCATATATATTGCATCAGGTAATTGGAATTGAAGTAAACAGGCTTTTACTATGAGCTTTTATGAGCTTTTAAATTAGGCTACGAGATGAACTGTTTTGAACATTTGTTAAAGTTGTAAGTTCCAGAGGCTTCACAGTCCTTTATTTTCTTCATTTATTTTCTCACCTATTGTGTTTGTGCTTCCCTAAGAATTCCTTTTAAAATAAGAGTCTATACTTTGCAACTTTCTATTGTAATCCAGTGTTATTATATTAAAGCCCTGTTGATAAGGTGGTAAGCTGTAAGGAAAACAAAATATTCTATAGTTGTATGGTTAAATATCATTCTTTCAGCTGGCCTGCGTCACAAGGCTGTACGCTTCACTGGTGTTTCTTAGCTTTCATCCTTCCCCCACTAAATTGAAACAAGAAGGCTAAAGGGGGCTGAAGTTGAAAAAATACTCTTTTTCCACATGAGATAAGGCTCTGGTAAAGTTTCTTCCAATGGAGATAGGTGTTGTTGTTTATTGTTGTTGTTTGTTGTTTTGTTTTTATGGAGAAATCTCTAGGTGTATTTTATAATGATCATACCTCCCCAACCTTGCCAGGTCCTTCAGAGGATCTTTCATGGCTCTCTACTAATAAGAATCTGGTGAGTTTCTGGTAGTAGAACCCACAAAAGTGTGAAGGACGTTTTTAGAATGCAGCCCTAGGAATTTCTCAAACTCAAGCTAGTCTACATTTCATTTTGGGCAGTTTATTAAAATTACTATTTAAGTTTGCCTACCAGTTTATGGTTCCTCAGCTTCTCCTCCAGGTAAGCAGATCTCAGCTATGACTATCTGGATTTCCCTTTCTCTCCAGATTTTAGGCTTGCTGTTTACCCTGTGACCTCAGTTATCTGATGGGTCCAAGAAAAGTTAATTGACTTTCAATTTCCTTAGCTTTCTGTTATTGTAAAGACAGGAGTGATTACTTATAAGCATTTACATGTTGAACCTGAACCTTTAAGTTGAGTCTATGCTTTACAAAATATAACGTATTTTATTTTGTATTTGAAGCCACTATATGTGTGCACCAACATCAAAAGATGATTATGATTTCAAATGCTTCAGAATTTAGGAATTTTGAGGAGAGTGACATTGTTTCAATTTTCTCTTCCAAGGGCATTTTCAAGTGTTTGTCCTAAAACATGAAAATCGCCTTTGGAGCCTGTTAAAAATAAATTATTGAGCCCTTTCTCCATAACAATGAGGCGTAATTTCTTTGAATGGAGGCCAGAAATACGTATATTAACAAGCCCACCAACTAATACCTACATATAGGCAAGCTAAGAAATAATGCATATGTTATCTACCATATTGTCTTTCACATGTGTACTGAATAGACATTTGTCAAATAACATCTATGTTTAATGTAACAGAATAATTTTAATTTGTGACTACGGAGAAAATACTTTGTTTAGTTACTATTTTATGTCAGCAGTACTTTTTGCTTTCAGAATTGGTGAATAAATAAGTAATAATATTGTGATAGAAATGATGGTTTGTGTTTATTTTTGTGGTGGATATCAATTATTTGTGACTTCACTTTCCATTCAAATACGATCACCCTCTTCTCTATATGGTTGCAGTAACTAGGAGACCATGTCCCTTGGCATAAGTATTGATCTTCAATAATTTGTCCTTGATATTGAGAGAAGAGGATCAAACTATTTGAACCGGATTGCTGTACTTCAACATGTAAAGTGAAAATGCAGACCCAGTTGACTATATTTCACTCATTTGGGCCAAAGAAGCAGAAGTTTATTAACAAAGAAGGAGAATAACAAAAGAAATATAAGATGGAAAGAAAAGCAAAAAGAAAGAAAACTAAAGAAAAAGCAAAAGAAAGAATACTAAATCTGAAATACATTTTCGTCCCCAAATCAAGTTGGTGCATAAAGTTCAAATGTTTTCCTGATTTTGAATTTGCTTTTAATATCCTTGTGCTTTAATGATGCATTGTCTTTTTCTGCAGAAACTATCTCCTATTACATCTATATTGTTCATCACTAGAAGCAGAAAAATAGACTATTACAGCATAAAATAGAGAACAAAAAGAAAGTTACAGCAGTGCCTGCGTGCGCATGTATGTGTGTGTGTGTGTGTGTGTGTGTGTGTGTCTGTAAATCAAAGTAAATAGTAAAGTATGCATTTGTATGAAGTTTAGGGGTATGTTTCTTCAGTCTCATTAAAAAACAAACCAAATGAAACTCTGTATAACTGCCACTTTCCCCTACTAACACAAACACCCACACACACACATACACATGCAAACACATAGAAAGATTTTTCCCTTCCATTTATATTTTCTCCATAGAATTGCAATTATTTATTGGATTTTTGACAAACACATAGAAAGATTTTTCCCTTCCATTTGTATTTTCTCCATAGAATTGTATTTATTGGATTTTTGACAATCAGTTGCCATAGGTCTATATTATTAGTAGTAATTCTCATTATGTATCTCTTTGTGGTAGCAGTTGTTGTAGTAAGTTTGCTTACATGACGTAGAACTCAGAATAGTAGATTTTCAAATACTCTACCTTGCTATTGAAAATTGATATTTACATTTTTGTTATTATAAGGATGATTTTTGATAAAACCACAGCAGGCTTTTTCCTAAAGCTATCGGTCTATGTAAGAGAATAACATTAAATTTTCTACTGTTCTAGTTTTATCATTTTACGTTGTGACTATTTGAAAAACATTCCTGAAGAAGCTTATAGGCTGTTGATGTAGTTTGAATATTTGCACCCTCCAAAATCTCATGTAGAATTGCAATCTCCAGTCCTGGAAGTGGGGCCTGGTTAGGAGGTGTTTGGGTCATGAGGTGGATCCCCCATGGCCCTTCACCTTCTGCCATTATTGTAAGCTTTCTGTTATTACCCTAGAAGCTGAGCAGCTGTCCGCATCATGCTTCCTGTAAAGCCTGCAGAATCATCAGCCAATTAAACCTCTTTTCTTTATAAATGGCCCAGCCCTAGGTGTTCTTTATAGCAATGAAAGAACAGTCTGATACAACTGTCTTAACCTGGCTCCAAAGGGATTTAGGCTTGAATGCACTAAGGTGGTGATTTTCAAATTTCAGACTGGATCAGAATCATGTGGAGATTTTATTGAAACACAGATTGTCTGGTCTCACCCCATGAATATAACATCTGACTTTGTAGATCTAAGGTGGGGACCAAACATTTAAATTTCTGACAATTTTTTACATAATGCTGAGGACATTTGCGAACAATTGCCTTAGCCAGCCCTTGTAGATAATCAGTTGACTTCTTTTAATGTACAACTGTACTTTTGAGAATAATCCTATAAATAATTTCAATAGGGCTTATTCTCTCATGAACTCCAGTCGAGAAAGACCAGAAAATGCCACAGTATTTAATTTACATACCTCTTCCCTCTTCCTATAAGCTATGCAAAAAACAATATAGGAACCTATCATAATAAGGAACTTTTAGCATCTATAAAATTCCTTTGAAAAGCCTCATGCACTGCAAATACCTACATAAAATGTCATATTACTCAGATAGACCTCTTGGAAATGACTAGTGTAGCCCAGTGAGTCTGAAGGAAAATGTCTGGTAAATATATTGTTGAATAAATTATTGAAAAGATGTGTAGACTGATGGGAATACTGATTTTCAAAATGTGTGACCATGCCTCTCTTCTCTAACCTGTTTCATGTCTATACAAAATCACTTATGGAATGTTAGCCTTGATAACTAAACCTGAAATGCCTTAAGCTTTGGGGCTCTTTACTTCTTAAGGCAGTAAAGATGGAACAGGGGCAGTGAGTGAGTGTAGTTTTGAAAGCAGCAAAATATTTCTCTATATGCGTTTAATAAAGAATGAGTACATCTCAAGTCTCTCCAGCATCTTAAGATTTATGAGATAGAACTTGCACACTGTATATTATTCTTTCTCTTTTTCTAGGGTCTCTTTTCCCTTGTTGTTTTAGTGTATTTTTGCTTACTTGAGAAAATTAAATATGAATTTGGAATTTTTCTTCCTTCCATTTTTCTTTCTCCTTCTGATTAGCTTGATTATTTATTTTTTGCCTTTGTCAATTATTTTCATGACGGGTTAACTTTATTTATTTTAGATTTCCATTTCCTTCTTTGAGTTTACTTTTCTCTATTTCTGCCTTTATTTCATGTTCAGAATTCTTTGTCAGCTTTTTGGGTTTTTTTCTACCTTTTATTTTCCCTTTGCTGATTCTCTGGTGCTCTTATTTTGCTGCCAGAGTCAAAATGAATGTATAACCAGCATCTCATGTGAATTTACTCTGTTCTGCATGGCATTTTTCTTTTATGTTTTTGTTTGTTAAAAATTGTCATGGTTTATAAATGCTTCTAGGCTTTTCAAAAGGTTTTGTATTACTAAACATGAAAAAAAGATATAGCAGTTTCAAAGAGACAAATTCCCTTTTAGAAGTCACTGAGGATGCTAAAGTAAAGTAATAGAATGGCGATTGGACATAATTTCCAACATTATGAAGTAATACAGCAGCTCTTACAATGTCACAGAAGTTAATGAGGCAATTTCCTGTAGAGAGACAGGACAGCACAGAGCAAACCTCCTGGCACCTTCTACACAGAGAACAACAACTACTTTGCTCACTGGAGATTACAGTTTCAAAATAACTCAGAAAATAGTCTACTTGTGAAAAAATGGAATTACTGACCTGCATTTATCTAGGGCCTCAGGCACCTAGTAGTAAGATAGGCATATGTTTAGCTGGACATATTCTTTCCTAAGTCTCTTCTGGCCCCAGACTTGGAAGATCCCAAACAGTCATTGACTGTCTTAAGATCTTGTTAGCTTGTCTCCTAGTTTTCTCAGCAGCAAGCCCCAGAAATCACCACTGGTTCATTAACAAGAGTTTACTAAAAACTATAGTGGTTTATACAGGAAGTTGGTGAACTAGGGTTAAAAAATAAAACAAAACGAACCAAAAAAAATTGTATCGAAATCCAAAGGAAGCTACTGCTAGAGTGATAGCCAAACCTTTACCAAAGGAAGGGACTGTTGTCACACAGAACAATGTGTTTTGCTGCACCACAAATTCTTCACTATCCTGCTTGTACTTAAGATGGGAAGTTCCAGGCAGGATATGTTAATTGACAGAGCTTAGATTATATACTCATGACACTGATGTTAGAATGGTGGCGGAAGAATTCAGCTTCTCATCTAAGAGTTGTATATATCAGATTCTCATGGAGGAAAATTCTCAAAATAGAAGGAAACCAGGATTTCCTTCTAAATAGATGGAAACCAGGATTTCCTTCTAAATAGATGGAAACCAGGATTTCCTTCTAAATAGATGGAAACCAAGATTATGACAAATATCTCTTATATATGTGTTTTTGTATGCATTCCTGAACATTAAAGTATTATGTTATGTTTTTGAATATCATAGACTGGAAAAAAAGTGTGTTTTTTGGAAAATATCCTTCTTTTATTCAGCATTCTGTTTGTGAGACATATATTGGCATTTGTAGCCAAATAGGTTTATTTCCAAAGTGATACTCTATTCCATTTTATTAAAATATTACTGTGTATACATACTTATTCCACTTTATGAATATATTACTATATATTTATTCTCTGTAGGATTTTTTCAGTTTTTATTATTACAGATCATTTTATGCATATTCTTTTATATTCATCCTGATTTCTTCCAGGTTATTTACTTACTGGTGGAATTTATGGGTTGTAGAGAACTGTATAGATATTTATAAGTAAGGAACAACTATTTTTCAAAACGTTTGTACCAATTTGTACTTCCACCACCAGTGTGTAAGAATTCTTATTACACCTGGATTGGTAAATTATTATCATAATGTTGTTCAACAAACCATCCCAAACTCAGTGGATTAGCACAGCAGTTGTTTATTCCCATCAATCTGTGGATTGTCTCTGCTTCACACTGCAGGTATGTAGGTCTGAGTCTACTAGGTGTGTCCCTCATTCCACTTAGAACAGGAGAGTAGCAGAGTGTTCTCATGCTGTTGTAAGGACATACCTAAGACTCGGTAATTTATAAAGGTTTAATTGACTTACAGTTCTGCATTGCTGGGAAGGCCTCAGGGAACTTACAGTCATGGCGGAAAGGGAAGCAAACACGCCCTTCTTCACGTGGTGGCAGGAAAGAGATGAATTAGAACCAAGCAAAGAGAGAAGCCGCTTTTAAAAGCATCAGATCTCGTGAGAACTCACTCACTATCCTGAGAACAGCAGCATGGGGAGTAACCGCCCCATGATTCAATTACCTTCCACCAGGTGCCTCCCACGACACATGGGGATTATGGGAATTCAAGATGACATTTGGCTGGGGACACAGCCAAACCATATCACAGAGGCACGTTCTTCCTATGGTAATGGTAGAGATAGCAGAGAGCAAGACAAATGGCACACATACTTTGGAAGCTTCTGCTAACATTGTATCTTCTAACATCCTACTGGCTAAGGCAAACCACATGGATAATCCGAAAGTCAGAAGTAAGCAAAGGTACTTTACTTTTAGTGGGAGATATTACCTGGCTATGTAACAAAAGGTATGGAAATAGGGAAGGGCAAGCAATCAGGGCCAGTATTTTGTCATAGCTCTCTATTCTCATCAACATTTGCTGTTTTCACATTTCTTACATGATGTGTAATGGTGTTTTATTGTGCCTGCAATATGTACCATATTTACCTGATTGCCAATGAGGCTGGGCATATTTTTACGTCTTCATTCACCATTTGCAGTTTCCCCTTTTGTGAAGTGCCCAGGTAAGTTTTCAGCCATTTTTTATTTCTAAAGGATTACTTGTCTATTTCTCTTGCTTGGAAGTCATTTTGTATATTTTGATATGTGTCTTGTTTCCCATGTATATTTTTACCAAGTAGCATATCTTTTTATATTCTTTATAATACTTATTAAAGGAGTTCCAATCTTTAAAATATTCAAATATATTTGTTAATATATGGCTAATAGTTTTTGGTCTTACTTAAGAAGTTCTTTTTCACAGTGAGGTTATGGGCTGGGCACGATGGTTTGCACCTATAATCCCAACATTTCAGGAGGTCAAGGCAGGAGGATCACTTGAGCCCAAGAGTTTGAGAACAGCCTGTGCAACAGAGCAAGACCCTGTAGAGGGTCTTGTAGAGACAAAAAATTTAAAAAGCTAGCCAGGCGTGCTGGCACATGCCTATAGTCCCAGCTACTCAGGAGGTTGAAATGGGAGGATTGCTTGAGCCCAGGAGATCGAGACTATGGTGAGCCTTGATCATGCCACTGCACTCCAGCCTGAGCAACAGAGCCTCAAAAAAAATTATAAAAATAAAAAAGAGAAAGAAAAGACAAAGAAAAAATTAGTCACAAGGTAAGGTTATGGAAATATTCTCCTATGAAATATTAACTTCTAAAAATATTATAGCTCTGTCTCAGAAATTTCAGCACTCAGTGTATGAAGCATCTTGGTTCTGAAGATCAATTCTTTCCACTTTATCTTTTTAAAGTGTGTTTTGGTTATTCTTGTCCCCTTGTACTCCAAATAAGCGTAAAATCAGCGTACTAATTTTCATGAAATAATAGTTTAATTTTGTATTGCATTGAAATTACACATGCATTAGGACAGAATTTTTAGAATTTTTTCCAATAATGAGTTTAACATTTCTTTAATTCATACAAAAATTATTTTGGTTTTTAATTTCTCTAAAATGTTTTAAAATTTTCTTAATAAAAGTCTTATATTTTTAGTATAAGCTTATTCATCACTACTTGACATTTTTGCAGTGTTTATAATAGCATCATCAAAATTTTATTTTCTAAACTTTTAATTGGTAGAAGGTAGTATTCATTGGTAAGTTTCTTTGTTTTTTTCAGCAATGTATTCAGGAATTTTAATAAATTTATCTGTTAATTGCTTTGGAACTTCTATGTACAAAGCCATGTCATTTGTGAACATTGTTGTATTTCTTTTTTTAAATTTTATAACTTTTTTCTTAATTACTTGCCTTATCACATAGCCTAGGTTCTAAAGTAACATGTTGAAATGAAATGATAATAGCAGACATTTTGGTTTTAAATTGAATATAAAAGGGAAGCTTTCTTTGCATATTTTATAATTAAGCTATGTTTGCTATAAATTTTAAAGATATTTTCTATCATTTTGAAAGGTCACTCAGATTTCTGTCTTTTTAAAAAACATGAAAAGCTGTTTAATTTAATAAATTATTTTATTGCATTTATTCAAAGAACCCATTCTTTTTTTTATTCATTGGTGTTTCATGTGGTTAAACTTTCATTAATTTTGTAATGATTAACTTTGCATACCTCAGATAATATAAAGTTAATTATGATGTATTAACCTTATATACATTGCTGGATTTGGTTTATTAGTACACTATTTTGGCTTTTTTGCATCATTATTTATGATTAAAATAGGAATAAAATTTTTCTTTCTCAGTTGTCTTTTTCAAGTTTTGATATCAACCTATACTCTCTTAAAATGAGTTGAAAAATATCCCTTCAGATTTTCTTTTTAAAATTTTTTTCTTCAAAGTTTGGGTAAACTTGGTTGTGAAGATCTCTCAGCCAGATGTAATTTCAGGAAAAGATGTGTATGTTCTAATTTAATTTTAGATAAATGTATAAATTTTAGGTTTTCTGTTTATTGAGTCAGCTTTTGTAATTTGTGTATTTCATTTAAATATTCAAAGTTTTTATCTTCTTACAATTTTTTATTTTTTAAACACTTTTAATGTTTGAGATTTCTGAGTTTTTTTCTTTTTCATTTTTTTACTACATTCTGTGCATCTCTTTTTTCTGTTGTTTGCGTTGCATTCTTTATTCTTTTTCTTCTACTATCTTTTTGGTAATAGTCTTCTTCACCTTCTTGAATGAATGTTTAGTACATTGCTTTTATAGTTTTCTAATATAAGCTTAAGGACTCTATTTTCCTTCACTTCTATCTTATTTCTAGTCCTTAACATTCAAATGTGTGCTAAATGAATTAATCATCATGTATTGTCATCATTTATTATCATTTGCTAAGTATTATTGTGATTTTTGTCCTCAAACTAATGTATTAGAAGTGTTAATATTCATTTTCAGAAATGTAGATTTTCTCATTAGCTTTTTGTTATTGATTTCTGCTGTGCTATGGTTACAGAACATGCTCTGTCTTTGATTTTTTTTGAGACTTACTATACATTCCAGTATATGTAGGGTTACAGTATTATTTATTATTTTAAACTATCACACTTTTGAGTTTAAAAAAACACCTGCTCACCAGATGACTGCTAAGGGCAATAGGTACAAACAAGGACATTCCTGAGCAAACCGGGCTGTATAGTTACCCAAACTATGTGATACATCTTTTTAACTTGCACAGGTACTTGAAAATTATGTCTATTCTATAGTTGTCGAGTAAAGTGTTTTATATATGAAATATAAATTGTATAATAAAAGAGAGTAGCTATGAAAAAAATACACATCTATACCCTGTTTAGATTTTCCTATGTATAATTTGTCAATTATAGATAATAAAGTAATTTGAAGAAAGAAAAAAGAAAATAGATCCACTATCATATATAAAATAACCCATAAACACACGTACTCACAAACACACCTTTCATCCTTAAATTTCATGGCTAGAATTTTCAGTAAAATTTTTAGAAAATAATTTTGTTTGCCTTCTGACTAAAGTTAATAACATTTTTTATTATAAGCATAACAAAACAACATCTCCTAAAACCATAAATTTAATGAGTAGATAGTTTCACTTTACCTCTCTAGCTAATAGAGATCATATTGCTAATTTACTTTCAACGTTTTCCGTCCTCCAATCCCCAGGAAGCTGAGCTCTGTGGACCAATTCAGTCAAACCCTTTTGTCCTCTGGCATTTGGTTGGCTTCAGCTAATAGGAGACAATTATGGGAGAGCATAGGTGGTAAGACAACAAGATTCGGCTATTTATTGCCCTAACTTGCTTTGCTGGACCTCAAAAAGTTACCTATTAACTCTCTTATACAGCTGTAAGTCTTTATCTATCTTCCCCTCAACTTTCCTTCATGCCTAGGAGTAGAAATGGCTTCCACTCTCACTGAGTCCTCAACGCGTTCTATTATCTTACCCACACTGACAACTACAGTATGTTGTTATAGTTTTTTTTAAATGAAAGCTAAATCAATTAACAATTATTCATAAATACTTATTTATGTAACACTTAATACAGAGTGAGATCCAATGTACAGTGAAGCCAGATGGGTACCAACTAATTACATACCTAGTCAGATTTTAGTGAACATTGTCCTCTACCCTATTTAAACTAATGCAGCCTTTATAATTAGATCTACAATTTGGTTTCTAAAGAAGACACAGAGGGGAACTTTCCAACATTTGTATTTATTCCATGTAAATAACTTGTATATAGGTCAGAGAACATATAAAATCTAGTAAAAGCTATTATTAGGAACAATAATATATTATTTCGATGTAATAATGTCCAATATTTATGAGTTAGAGTAACAAACTTCAATAGACTCTTTTAAGACTAGTCATCAAATTTTACCTGCAAAGAATATTTAAAGTATTAAATTCCCAATAAGGCCTGGTGTGGTGGCTCACACCTGTAATCCTAGCAGATTGGGAGGCCGAGAAGGGCAGATGGCTTGAGTCCAGAAGTTCAAGACCAGCTCGGGCAATGTGGCAAAACCCTGTCTCTACCAAAAAAATACAAAAATTAACTGGGCATGGTGGCATGCCTGTGATCCCAGCTATTCAGGAGGCTGAGGAGGAAGGACTGCTTGTGCCTTGGAGTTGGAGACTGCAATGCAGTGAGCTGAGATTGCACCACTGCACTCCCGCCTGGGTGAGAGAGACCCTGTCTCAAATAAAATAAAATAAAATAAAAATCCCAATAAATACCGTCAATTGCTTTCAATGTATCATTTTATCATGTTTGTTTTTCTGTTTGCTTCAAAAAATAGTATTTGCCATGACTTTTAAATAATAATACTAATGCTTTAAAATAAAATTATTGTAGAAATTTCATATTATTTTCCTATATACTGTAAATCCTTAATACTATAAATACTATAAATACTCCAATACGGCTTGTCATAGATAAACAACATTATTAGAAAAATTGTGAGTTACAGACCAAGTTTCTTTCTTACTCAAACGGAATGCTATAGTCATTCCAAGTGAGAATGAGTTAACTACAGAAAAATGAGAAAAAAAAAAGGAAAGCAAAAAAATGAACCCACATTCTGGAGCTGTCACCCTTAGCATCCTTGACTGAAACAAAGTTACATTTGGAGAACCTTGGAATTTGAGCATTTGACTTTTTAGGTAGAGGATTTCAAGTATCTTATCACCTTTGTTTGTATCAGGAACCATGAGTTTGGAGTAATTCTGAAATTACGAAGAAAACAATCTGGTACTAGTTATAGAGTGGACAGTTCAACTTTTTTCACAATGTCACTTTTATAAACACTCATTTTTCTCTTGTGGTAGAGACTCTTTTGGAAATCTTACTAAAAGAATTGACTGCTTATATCTTGGCAAGTAGAAATACTAGGAATACAATCATTAATAAGTCACTTCTTACTGAGAAGGCAATTTAAAACAGAAATGTACAGGCAAGCTGCTATCAGTAGGGCAGAGGTTTCCAAGGTACATAAGGATAGAAGAAGAGAAGAACAGTAGGTTTTTCACACTAATTTGATCCATAACCTTGGCACAAAAGTGATGATCAAAATATCATAAGGAGTGAATGAAAGTCTCCAACCAAGCTAGTGAAAATGCTTCATAATACATCAGTTTTAAAACCTCCTTTCACTATGTATATACTGAGTGTCTCGTACCTAATAACACTTAACCTACTGGTATTGTAGAGTAGTAGAAAAAGCAAGGATTTTGAAGTTAGATGAGTTGAAGTTAGCTGAATACATTGGGTGAACCATTTAACCTTTCTTGCCTATGGTGTTTTCATCTGTAAAATAAAAATATTGGATGAGATTATCTAAAAAGTCTCATTGAGCTTCATAAAATCTATGGTGCTACATACGTTTAATAACCAAACTCCAGGTAGGGTAGATATGATATAATGAAGGAAAAAATTGGATTTATTTAAAGTAAAAAGACCTGATTTGGAGTTTTAAGCCTACTTAGATGTCTTCCCTACTGGCTTTGTGATCTTGGATTTGTAACTTAAGTGTCATGATAGTGCAATTTCTCTTCTCAAAATAAGCATAATAATTATTTGGTGATAATGTTTAGTAAAGAAAAAGTATAATAAAATGTAGAAATATGCTTTCTAAACACTATACAAATATAACAAGTTGACAATTATGTATTAGTCATGGATGCTGAGTCTCAAATAAAACTGTAGGTGCCTAAATTTAGACCTTTTTTGAAGATACATATTTCTGGCTGTTAAGAGCAGGCATATCATTTCATTCTCTTTCCCTGCTGAAGATGTTTTCTTGTGTTAAGATGGTGGTGTAACAAGATGGCGAAGCCTCTGTTATCCTGAATCCCTGATTCAATAGTGAAGAAAAGTCCTCACTAACCAGAATTTGACAGGTAGATTTAGTGAAGAATAAATTCTGATAATTATGCCATGGAGATTAAGGAGTTAGCTTTGTAACATAACTAATTTTGCCTGAGTAACAGAAGCATTATTCCTGGAAAAAAATCTTTATTGAGTATTACAGAGAGAAATTATTATTCTAAATGAACCTGACCATATATGGATATTAAGCATGCTTGGAATTCAAGGAACACAAAGACTGAGTAGTTACAATAACATGAAAATGTGATGGAGGTGGTTATAATGATACATTTTAAGGTAGAGGGGCATATTTAGCATTGATGATCATCATAAACTGAGCCAGGCCCATGTCAATAACCAAGGAAGTTCAACCTAGGAAAACCATCTATTCAATGCCAGTTATGGTTTCAAGGTGTCCCTTCATTTCAAGAAGCTGATTATTCCAGAAAAAAATAGTCTATCCTCTTAGGAAAATAAAATGGCAAGAGCAGAGAAAGTGTTATGGGTCTACTCATATTGACAGAGATTTAAGGCAGTTCTCTATATGAAGTGGAAGACCAGAATAATATATGAGTACATTTATATATTTATACACATTTATAAAGGAATCATATAATCACATGTGCATATGTTATGTGTACATGCTTACGTTAGTCTCTGTAACTAGAATATTCCATGAAGGCAGAAATTTTCTCTCTTTTGCCTGGCCCAAAGTAGAAACTCAATAAGTATTTGCTGTATTTACTCATAAGGTGAGTGAATGGCTAAATAAAAGCGGCAGACATGTGAATGACTGAGTGACAAATATAAACATTGGACACAGTGTCTTTGGGGAAGAAAGTGCAGCTTGGTGGCATGTGGATACTCAATACTCATGTTAGACACATTGAAAGCTAGGGTTAGGGCAGCAAAACATAGGCGCTGGGCTTTTAATATCTCTTCCACTTTTGTCAGAATTGTCTCAGGAACCGGTAGGGTGAGTGAATTTTCTTCACACTCTCGAATTTCATAAACTTCTAATCCTTGACTGTGATATTCTCTTTCTCAGCTGTCTGCATTTGTTCTCTCTCCTAAACGGATGCTTCCATGCCCCACTCAGTTTTAATTTCTTCCTCCACCTTTCCATATACATTTGTCTGGCTCATTTCTACTTAACTTTTAGCCCTCAGAAAATTTTATTTTCTCCAAAACTGAGCAATTGAGTGAGTGTGTGTGTGTGTGTGTGGTGTGTGTGTATTTCATAGCAATCTTATTTTCTATTACAGTAGTTCCCCCTTATCTGTGGAGGAACAGTTCAAGACTCTCAGTGGATGCCTGAAACCATGGGTAGTACCAAACCCTATATATACTGTGTTTTTTGGGTACATTTATGCCTATGATATAGTTTAATTTATAAATTAGGCACAATAAGAGATTAATAGCAGTGACTAATAACAAGTCATAACAATTATAATAAACTATAACAAAAATTATTGAATATAATCTCTCTTTCTGTCAAAATATTTTATTGTACTGTATCCACTTGTAATCAGACCCTGATTGACCACGGGTAACTGAAACTGCAGAAGGCAAAACCATAGAGAAGTGGTGGCTGCTGTATTTAAAAGCAGCTTTTCTTTACCCTCGACTAATCTGGAAGCTTCCATGAAACCGGTAATCACGATGAGGTTTCCGGGAACGCAATCATCAGTCAATAATGATATAAAGAATACGTAAGTTAGCCAATACAACTAAAATTGGCTAATACTTGAAACTAAAAAATTCAGGTACTGATGACTTTATTTTATTTAATAGAGTTATTTTATATACATTGCCTAAGAGTGTTTATGGTATAGAACATAGGGGTTCTGTAATACCACAGAAGTGAGAAAACACGCCTCTACTTTTGCCATACAAATAAATGTATACAGAAAAGACTAATGTGTATTAAATAGTTTCTTTAGAACTTAGATAAAGTCTGAGATTTTTAGAATCACACACACAGCCTTGGTGAAATTATGTAGATTAAAATGTTTTTCAATTATTCATACAACTCTGTAGTTTGTGAGCCTAAGCAGCAGGAAGCAAAGAGAAACAGTGAGGTGAGGAGATGAAAAAGAGTATCAAATCAACCCGATCTAGTAAGAATAATGGTAGCCTATCTTGTGAAGGCTACACGCGTAGGTTAAACATTCCCAGTCTATGAAATAAAAGATGACAGAATTGCATCCTAACTTTAGGCAACAATTGTGCAACAATTCTTAGTAAATATGCATATGTTTATAATATAAGGTAGTCACTAGAGGGTCTAATGAATCATCATTGATCTGATTAATATGAACAACTACACGAGGGAGAAAGTAAAATCTGAAGTGGAAATTATCCAAATGCAATTTTGCAATGGACTTGTACTTCTGTCTTTCTGCAGAATTCAGATAACAATGACTTTTTAAAATTCTGCTAACGAAATATTGTAGACAACAGAAAAGGGCAGACTAGATGAATATACTATATCTGTGACAGAGTAGGCGTATTACACATGGACAGACACAATCCATCTTAAATCATTGTCTGTAAGACAATCTACTGTTTTTATCTATCCAGTCCCAGCCAAATAATCTTAAATATCATTAAGGAGTTAGTAGACATATGATACTACTGCACTACTTGGGTTTGAATCCTGGCTTAGACAAGTTAAATAGTTTATGGCTCAATTTTGTCATTGGTAAAGCTGGGGAAAACACTAGTAATTATTTCCTAAATTTCTTATAAAGGTTAAATAAGGTAGTATGTGTACATATTAGATAACTCTGTATATGTGTGTGTGTGTGTGTGTGTGTGTGTACAAATTATCAGGTATTACTACAATTGTTAACACAGCTCTATCATGGAAATCCATAAGAGTTATTGAAGGAGGTGTTTTTGATCCATCGCTATTGAACAAGCTTAGTTGAACTGACTTTTAGGAGCTTGGCTCCCTTCTTTATTATGCTCTGTAAACTGTTATCCTGAAGATAATAATAGCTGACTCTCATTGTGTAATCACCATATGTCAGACACATTGTGTATTAAACCTTTAATTATGATAAATGAATGAATATATACATAATACATGCAACAGTTACTCACACTATACCCATTTTTATTTTATGGGAACTGAAGCATAGAAAGCTCAATGATTTACTATAATCAAACATAAGATCAGAAGCAGATTTGAAGTTATACATTCACAAGTCCATGTCCAAGCCTGCCTCTCACATCTCTTTTCCTGCCTCTTAGTGATGGAGATGTTCCTTTTTCTCCCTTAATCTTTCCCTCTCATTGTCCTCCTCCTCCCTCTCCTCCTCCTCCCCCTCCTCCTCCCCCTCCTCCCCCTCCTCCCCCTCCCCCTTCCCCTCCTCGTCCTCCTTCTCCTCCTCCTCCTCATTCTCCTCTTCCTCCTCCTCCTTTTCCCTGTTCTCCTAGTTAGCCTTTGCATGATTACTAATGGAAGAGTAACAGAATGTGATTCAGTTTGTACTGAATCCTCCTCCTCCTCCTCTTCTTCCTCCTCCTCCCCCTCCTCCTCTTTCTCCTCCTCCTCCTCCCCCTCCTCCTCCTCCTTTTCCCTGTTCTCCTAGTTAGTCTTTGCATGATTACTAATGGAAGAGTAACAGAATGTGATTCAGTTTGTACCTCCATCGTTTCTGCCTGCTGGGTGAAGAGACTGCAAAGGGTCCAGGGAGGAAGGAGGAGTGCTAGTGGATGAAAATTCTGGAAAGACATAATGGTTCCTTAGATTGGGGTGTTCATGATCAATGTATTGAGAAATTAGACTCTGGATATATATCTAAGGTGCGGTCGAAGCAGCTTATTTTGACATTAACAGGTACCCCCAATGATAATAGCAGCAGGAGTTGTGCAGATTAACTATGTGGGCACCATAGCCAGGTAACTGAGTACATATCATAGGGTTAGCAGTTTCTCAGTAATAGCTAAATTTGAACATGCATTTATTGAGTAGATGTATATCTATGACTATCAATGAACTAGTGTTTTCCTTGTGCAGACATCATTTTTGAGGATGATATTTGACTGTTACAAAGGTAGCATTTAAAAAAATGGGACAGAGGCAGTCCCATTCTATGGGACAGAGATAGTCCCAATCTATGATTGGGAATGAGGGTGAGTGCTATGTGGCTGTAAGTGGAAATAAAGGAAAAGATGAAGGTCTACAGACTTGGAACCTCAAAATGTTTAGAGCACCAGAATATTCACAGGAGTTCTAGAGTTAGCAGTGGCAAAAGATCCAAATGGGCAGATTAGTGGTAGAACAGATAAAGGCATTGATAATGGGTCATTCTTTACAAATCAGATAAGATCAAGGTTTTGTAGACCAGAGGCTCATACAGTTCTGGCTATCTACCTTGAGAAAATAAATAAAAAACAATAAATATAAAGTGTGGGTTATTTTCTTGCAAGAGACCAATGTAAAGTAGTGGCCCAGAAGTTTAAGCTTGGTTAGCTCCACAGTAAATCTACTACCAATTACAGAATATATATGTGAAATACATTTTTTTAATTCATACTTAATGTCTTACAAAAACATCACCTATAAAAATAGTGAAAATTGAAATTCTTAAAATTAAAAAAAATTGTACATTGTAAAGTATATATCTCAAATTGTTTCCAAGATCCCTCCTTATGCCTTTTGTGATCCAAATACTTTAAAAAATTATTTTCTGAAAAAAACTGTTATGCAGTTTGAGTTACTTATGATTGCTATTATTTTTTATGTGAATTTTTTTACAGATCATACAAATACTTATTAAAACAGAGGACATGTTCAGCTCTGGACATCTGTTTAGAAAATGAAATACGGATCTGAAATATTTCAAAAATTGAAAATGAAGTTAAGAGTTTAGTCCTTTAAGAAATGATGAGGAGACCAACATCATCTGATAAAGGAGATTGCGACAGACTACAAATGGGCTGTTTGTACTTGGCTATCCCCAAATTGCTGTCTTTTATCTTGTCTATGTGAAATCGTGAGATGAGGAAAGCAGTATTTATTTTCAATTAGAACCCCATTTTTTTTTCTGTAAACTCTTACTGCAACCAGTGTCTGATCTGTACATTTTGTGGCCAAATTGAGGGAACTGAAAATAAATCTTTTTCAAAATCAATTTTTATTTTTCCCCAAGGATTCCACTTTTCACTGTTTATAGCCCCATTATTTCTCTAAATTCATGTTTTTCATACATCCAAGTCCTTTTCCCTTCTTTTAGACTTTAGCAAGGAATTTATTGAAAGTTTTGATAATTATCAGCGAACAGGTTTAGCATTTCTTTAGTTAAGAACCTGTTCTAAATTATCTTTGAGAGAAGAATAAAGGGAAACTGAAACTCTTCCTTGGCCCCTTTACCCCACCCTCCAAGGACAGTATGTCTACCCATTGGAGTAGGCTTCTTTGTTGGAATGCCACCCAAATCCCTTGAGATTCTTTGTATTGGTTTGATGAGCCTTCTGCCCCTTAAGTTCTTAAGTACTTTTACTCTGCATTAGACTGAAGAAAAGTAAACAGAATAGATGAAATGTCCTAAATTAGTTTTGAACCATTTGGATTGGATAAATCTACCTTGGGTAAAGAACTATCACAGTCAACAGAAATCTCTGGGCCTTCCAGTGATCCCTGGGGCTAAATTCCTAGATAGTAATTATGTGTTCCTTTGGCAGAAACTGACTTGTGAAAATGTGAAAAGGGCCAATTACCACATTAAAATCGACTCTTAATTATACCAGACTGTTATATCAACAGCACAAAAGCTACCCAACTTCACTTTCCTTTCAAATAGAGGTAACTATTGAGAAACATAAGCACAAAAATGCAACTATTAATTTGAGCAATAGTGGAAGACATTTGCTAGAAATCACCACATGTTAGCTGGCACTAAGCTAACAACAAAGGAGGGTAGGGAATTTACTCTCTCTGTGAATCCTGGAAAAGGAAAAGGAAATGGTATTTGGTAAACATGTGTTGGCATCTCCATTATGCTGACTAAGGAGGTATTTCAGTTAGCTTTTGCCATATATTAAACTAATCCCTAACGTAGTGGCTTAAAACAGTCATGATGTTCATTACTGCTCAATTCTGTAGGTCATCTTGATTTTCCATGTGGTGTGTGTAAAAGTTAAAGAAAGAGAAAAGAAACATAAAATGTGGCTTAACAGTTAAAAACAGGTTTATTTTGGGGAATAAACCTGAGAGGGGCTTCTGGCCGATTTTTTGGTCAGGAGTGCTCTCTCTTACAGACTAAGACTATTGGTTTCAGGGTGAGAGAGCTCATCATAAGCTTAGAATGTTTCTGTGGCGGGGAGAAGTTTAAGGTGGGTTTGGAATGTCTCTGGTTGGATGGGACATTATCTTGGGGCTGACATTATCTCTTTGGCCAGAGGGAAGGTTATCTTGGGGCTGGCATGTCTCTGGTCAAGGAGGGGTTTTGAATGTTTCTGGTCGAAGATGTCATTTATTATTTATGGTGATGCTGACCTTAACCATTGGGTTGATGACTTTTGGATTTAGGAGTTTTGGGATCAAGATGAACTTTAGAATAATGGTGCTTGTCCAGATGGCGATGCTCCTGCTCTGTCACTTTGGGCAAGGTTTATTTATTTTTTATTTATTTATTCATTTTTGACAGAGTTTTGCTCTGTCGCCCAAGCTGGAGTGCAGTGGCTCATTACAACCTCCGCCTCCTGGGTTCAAGCAATTCTCCTGTCTCAGTCTCACAAGTAGCTGGGATTACAGGCATGTGTCACCACACCCAACTAATTTTTGTATTTTTAGTAGAGATGGGGTTTTATTATGTTGGCCAGGTTGGTCTTGAACTCCCAACCTCAGGTGATCTGCCCATCTTGGCCTCCCAAAATGCTGGGATTACAGGTGTGAGCCACTGTGCCTGGCCAGTGGGTCAGTTTTGATGGTCTTGCTCTCTCACTTTTATCTATGGTCAGCTGGCAGCTTGTCTGGATGCTGCCTGATACCACATGACCCCACTCTTGCAGCTGGCTACTGGCAAGCTGGTGGATCCTCAGGTGGGATGGCTCATCTCAGCTATCTGTGGTCTCTCAGTTTCCAGTAAGCTATGTCAGCTTTGTTTACATGGCAATCTCAGATTTTCAAGCACACGAAGAGTGAGCCCTGAGGTATTTTCAAATCTCTGCTTGTGTCACATTTTGTAACATGCCATGAGTCAAAGGAAGTAATATCGTCAAGTACAGATATACGGAGTGGAGAAATAAACTTCATCTCTTGGTTGAAACAGCTTTAAACTTACTTTGCCAAAAGGTGTGCATATAAGGCATGCAACACTTGTGGCCACTTTTGCAAACTGTATGCTTGTTGCTGCTGATGCTCAAATTATGTTGAGTTGAAAGCCACTGGTGATCATTCTCCTGCCTTTCTACCTTTCTCTTGCAGTTCTCAAAGTACGTTCTTTTTTTTTTTTTTTTTTTTTTTTGGAGACGGAGTCTCACTCTGTTGCCCAGGCTGGAATGCAGCGGCGCAATCTCGGCTCACTGCAAGCTCCGCCTCCTAGGTTCATGCCAGTCTCCTGCCTCAGCCTCCCGAGTAGCTGGGACTACAGGCGCCCACCACCGCGCCCGGCTAATTTTTTGTATTTTTTAATAGAGACGGGGTTTCACCGTGATCTCGATCTCCTGACCTCGTGATCCGCCCGCCTCTGCCTTCCAAAGTGCTGGGATTACAGGCGTGAGCCACCGCGCCCGGCCTTCAAAGTATGTTCTTGATCACAGCAAATTCCATTTAGAAACAAAATTGTTTCCTCACATACTTCTGAATTTTTCTGTGCAAACTTTTTGAGCTATTGATCAGTGGGAAAAAAACCCTATCTGTCTTAATATTTCTATGTTATATTGCTTGTCTAAAGGCATCTTTAGAGTTAAAGACAATAAAAGCAATATTTTATTTTCAACAAAGTGAAAGCATCTAATGGTATTTGAGAGTCAGTGACTACATGCCAGAATCTTGTTTCTCCCTTCTTAACGCTATGATTTATGGATTGTGCATATGCTTAAACTTCTCTAAAGAATTTCCAGGAAACTACTGCATGATGTCTACATTAATTTTGGTAAGAAATCATACATTTCAAACAGTTGGCTAAAGCATACTGGGAAGTTGGATGACATGCAGAGTTTCTACAAAATTTTTAAATGCTGGGGGCTCTTCCAAAGCAGTAGGACTAAATGATGACCTTTTGCAATATCCTCTCTGGAGATCAGGTAAAAAGTAATGATTGAATTCTTTCTAGTTGTCAGGTAAGTTTATGTCCGTTTTGTTATAATCTTGATCATTACACTGATTCAAATTGTCACATTGTTGGCTATGATATCAGAGAAAGAGAGAGGAAAGGGAGTAAGAAATAATAGAGAGAGAGAGAGAGAGAGAGAGAGAGAGAGAGAGAGAGAGATGGCCTGCCATACAGTCTAATATTTATCAACGCAATGGTTTTCTAAAATATATTTCATGCAGCATTAGCATTAAAGATGTTTGGAGGATTTATTTTTAAAATAAAAATCTTGGGGTAGCAGAAGAAAATAGTTTGGGAGATAATACCTATGATTTTTCTCCTTTTGGGATATCCACAGTATACATCAGAATAATTAAATGCCTTGAAAAAATCTTTACAAACCTACCTATACTTGTTTACTGCCTGTTTTTGAAAGAGTATAATAGAGCACTTATCAAAAAAACTTGATAAGATCAGTTGGCTCTCTGAAGAATAGGAGCCAGAGTAGGAGGGAAACAGAAAGGGATATTCCTACCTACCTGCAGGAAGCAGTGATGACCATATCAGATGCTCATTCTTATGGTACGCTAAAATCCAACCTTGCTCAAGCTTTGGGCAATCAAGAAAGCAGAAATCTAGTGCACAATCACTACTCAGAGGGAGCCATTAATTATGTTGAGCTAAAGGAGGAGAATATGAGAGAAAGAAACAATTAGAAATTTCAGTCAATTCTTTAGTTTCACCATCAAATACACTGGATTTACCTTCTTTACTCAGTGTTTGTTTTAAAGTATACACAATTGTTTTGAAACCTGCAGACAGTTCAAGGATTATATATATATATATATATATATATGTGTGTGTGTGTGTGTGTGTAATTCTTTAATAGTTACTTACTCATGCAGCATCGTTAGCAACTGGTTAGGAAAGGATGCATATAGAAAAATAATATTAGCTTAATTAAGATACAAAAGGCATGTAATATATTATTTGTAAAAAAGATGTGATATTTTAGTATATATGACTCTTATGGTTTTTGCACCAAAGTTACCTGAATTAGTTTTGTATGGTGTAACAATGATTTAAACTGGCCACTAAATATTAAGCCCTAGACATCCTTGACCCTTCTTCATAGTCTTCATCCATCCCACCCTTTAATTTCGTTCTGACCACTACAAATACTCGTCTGCAACTTCAGTAACCTAATCAAATCACTACTCCCATTTTATGCCCCTAGACACTTTCACATTCAAGACTGACCTTCCCTCTATGATACACATACATGAACTATTTATGAGACACCAAGAGAATAAAAACAAATAGTAATAACACCTACTTTTTTCTCTCTTTAGTCATTATAAAATGACTTCTACTTTAGTTGTCTCTTTTAATACTTTAGAAGACAATGCAGGCCAACTTAATGGTGTACCAAAAACAAACAAACAAACAAAATTAGAAGCCCATTAACCATGCTTCCTGATTCCTTTTTGCTAGTTGAAAGCTATAATGAGCCTGTGTTCCAGAGCAAACAATGGACACAATGTTAGTGACATTCTTGGATTGTGGTTTAGCATTATTGTAAATGTGGAAAAATTCCTGCCCACGAAAACTTTTAGGTTTTGTTCGGGTTTCAGACACTTATGAAATAGAATGAGCAGAACAACCGCATATTCTTCTCCTCTCTTCTGTAATTAGCTTTTTGTAGTACACTCCTTGACTTCTGCTTATGAATTTCGTTCGTACATATAAAATCATAGTAGGCTGCCTGCGATCCATTTTCCTTCAAAACCATTAAGGCATAGATGGTAATTTATCTTTCATTTGTTTATTTATTATTAAGCGTCACTAAAAAAAACTATTCACAATTATCTCATGTATTTGAAAAATGGGCATACTTGGTAGTACCTAGGAATTAAGTATTTATGGCAGATGATGCTGACCAGAGTTAACCTAATCTCAGGCGTTCTACGTTTTTATCCAATGCAGAGAAACTGTGGTAATGTATTTTAATACTCCTTTGCATTCAAAGTTTTCAAGAATTCTGGACTTATAACCTATATGTAAGCTAATACGAGCACTTTTCTCAATCCAGAAAGTGTTATAAGAATATAGATATTCAAAGCAAATTTCTTGATTCAGCAGAAGGGCAGGAAAAAACAATAGATCTATCACCCCCTCTTCATGTAAATTTAAATGGTCAGATGTTCAGATGTTTTTCTATTATACTTGTGTCCCTATTTAAAGTACTTGTTTATGTCAAAACTTTGCTTAAAAGAAAACTGAATGAAATCTTCACAAATAGATGAGTCTGTAATTAATCATAGTCTGATGGACTCAATATGAGTATCTGGTCTAAAAGGGCCTCATTTAACCATGGTTTAAGGGACTTTGCCCAGTATATAACAATAGATCTGGAGATCATTCTAGCCACCACTCTCCAGGCTGATTCCTGATTCAACAGAACCCCATTTGGAGAGATCAGAGGAAACCCACAGAGATGTTGCTATGTATGATATTAGAGATTACTGAAATCAGAGAACAGTTCCTAATTGTGAGACACCACTAATTCCAAAAGTGTTGAAATAATATAACACTTCCTCAATTTGGATTTAAAACTATATCTCTCCTACATTATGTTAAAATAATCTCTAAATACTCATTTTCATTGTGTTTAATAATAATCATCCAAAGTTCGTACTCGAAATGGAATATATTTTGAATTATATAAAATACTTTAGGACTAGAGAACATGTTTTTATTTGGTCTTTCAAGATTGTTCATAATCATCCAAAGTATACTGGATAAAGTAGATTTATCTCCATGCTAAAGTATTTTAGTGCTAACTTCAGCTTGAAGAGTCTTTAGAAATGGAATCTATTACAGAAACTCAGGCAAGGACATAAGAATATCTCTGCTAATGATTATATCTGTAAATAATATTGTTCATGCATATTTTCTCCTTTATTCATACTTTAAATTTCAACTAGCAGTCTTCAGAAAAAAAATTAAACACCAGGAGTATAAACTGTTAAGAATGACATACTAAAAATTGTAGCTTCGAGGGGGGATTTTGACTACTTGGCCTGCCTATCTATGCAATTCATGCTTAAAAATAATATGGAAAATTAAGAAGCTTCAATGAGAGAAATGGAAACTTGGAGAATTTTCTTGAGATGTTCGTGCTAAGGATAGTCAGAAAGTATAATTTTTCTCAAGGCATAGCCTCTTGAGCTGTGATCTTGTCAAGTCTTCGTAGCTGAGTAGGGTCAATTCCTCTCAGTGTTTGAATGTGAGATTTCAGGAGATGACATAAAGTACGAAAGAAATACTGTTTCTGCTTTGTAAATATGGTATTACTTTATTCTTCTTTCAGGTTTCATCCAGGGCCCATAGAGAGCAAAATAAACTATTGGCTCTGCTAACTTTCTTAAAAAAAAAAAACAGTAACTTTTTATTAGAAATGCCTGGACATGTTTTTGTAATTAGTTTGTGTTTTCTTAAAGTGTCATAAATTGCCATGCATTTATTGTCTCTGGCACACTAAACATATTCCTACCACAGTTTCTTATTCTACATGCAAAATAGATTTAGAATAAAGAACTTTATAATTTTTCAAAAAGGGAAGAGGAGTAAGGCTAAAACTGACGTTTTAGAGTACATAAGGAAAAGTAGTCCTGAATCGAAAGATAGAGATGATATCGAAATTATTTAACAACCTGGTTGTGATAGATGCTTATCATTTGGAGTGTGCACCAACTCTAAACAACAGAGCAGCACCCACAAGTGCATATGTGGTGCACATGAGCACTAGCTTCAAGCCAGGGGCTTACAGTGACTACTATGCTTTGCTGAAGCAGGAATGGTATATTCTGTTCTCTTCTTCTTCTATATTTTACTTAAAAACAAAGGAGATTAATACTCTTGTTATCTTGGTGATCTTGTTATAGACATATGATCAACTACCTTTTATGATAACAGAAAAATAAAGGACAGAAAAGCCATGTCACCACCCCAAATCTCTAGCTATACTAGAAAATATATTTATGCTCTCACAGGGCTAGTTAATAAAAAAAGGATAAATTATTTAAATAGATATATTAACTATTCTATGAAAAATGCTGTTTTGGAATCACAAATAAAGTATTGACTTACATAGTTGGATAACGTACAAATCAATGTTCATATTACTCTAGAGGAGATATATATATATATATATATATTTATTTATTTATTTATTTATTTATAGTCATTTTGGCACAAGGGTGTATCTCATGTTGTGGAAATATATAGCCAACATTTTGAAACTGTTTTCCAAAGAACGGTCTGTCTACCAGGCTTACCACTCTAATTTTCATGATTCTTCATTTATAAGCATTCCTAAGGCATCCTTGTGGTCACATGCTATTGGCTGTCTCATCCTACCCTTCATCATTCCCTGTTCTTAGGCAGTTGCTTCTAACCTCATTAGTGCTTTCCAATGTTCCACATGACTGTCAGAAGGAGCTTTCAAAGATGCACGGCTAAGCTCACTGCTCATCTCAAAAACCAACACTGTCTGTTCTCTTTACATCTCTCAAACTTCACTTACTTCCATATTCAAATTTCCTTTTCTCAAGCCACGTGTACTGCCATTTCATTTTAAAAATATTTTATGCTTTGAGAAACTTCGGGTTTTTTTTTTTTTACATTTTCTATTTCTGCTGTTGGAAGTTTTTTTTCCTGTCCCTGTATCTAGTCCTGTCCCCATATCTAGGCTGTGAGCTTTTTATCTGTGTTTCCATAACACACTGTGCTTCTGAACTTGACCTTATCCTGGCTCTATTCTCACACATAAAGAGATTCATTTGTTTGTATTTCTAGTGGAAATAAAATTTCTTTGTGGTTAGTGCCTGTTCCTGAATTCCCAACACTTGAAAAAAGGCTTAGCCTGTAATATATGCTCAATAAGTATTTATTGAATAAATATATTAATAAATAAATGATGGCAAAATAAATAATGCTGAAAGGAAGCAAGATAGGAAGTACTATCTTGCAAGGATTTTCCAGACTATACACAAGTATTCTCCAAAACCCATTACAAAATTAAGATAAAGCTCTTTGCTACTCTTAGGTCTTCATCTCAAGTTGTTTTGTAAGTTTACTTTGACTCCTAGTTTGAAAATACCCTAGCACAAGCAACTCTTTTCAGGCATAAACTTATAAGTATATAGAGGAGACAGAAATTTGAACGGTGTTATTTTAGAAACCGTAACCACTTTCTCTGAAAAAAATTCCTTTAGACAGATGTAACCATATCTGAATTTTCATAATTAGATTTATGATTTGGAACTTTAATATTTAAAACCTGAGGACACATTAGAAGAGTTTTTTTTCCTTCTTATCTTCAGTATCTTTCCATTTATGCCAATGAAGTGAAGTATTTTTTTGTGGAATAGGATAGAATTAGGTTCCAAATCCTGACCTATTTCTTCATTATCTTGTTATACTGAACTACAATCTGAAATTTTCAAATGTTATCCACTGCTAAGTGGAAAGATAATAACAATTCTATGATATGAGAAGGAGTAAAAGACAGTAGATAAACAAATAGCTTCTAGAACAAAACTGCCCATGTTCAAATCTCAAGTACACAGGTTTATATATTGTGAGACTTTAGATGTATTACTTAGGTTAAGTCTAATACTTACCATCTGTCTATACAAGAAACCTAATACTACTACTACTAATATAAATATGTATCTTACAGATTTGTTCTGAGGGTTCATAGAGATAAACCAGAGCAAAGAATGTCTAGCTCATAGTGAGCGCTCAATAAGAGTTAGCTTTAGTTAGCTAACGCTTTTATTACTCAGTCTTTTTGTAAAGACTGGTAAATAATTGTTTTCCTTCATGTCTGTTAAAAACCTAACACAATGCCTCTCTCTCATTGAGTAGAAGAAGCTAAGTAATTTCTTATTCTTAGATTTTTTTTTCACACATATTTATTAAGCTCCTTTTTACAGAAAAGCATTTCACCTTAACTTTGCAAACATTAGGAACCTGCTTTCTGATAGTTCAAAAGGGATATCAAAATCCAGGTTTAAGGGGAGAAAAGTCTTCATGGATTATTTATAAATTCAGTGCTCTAGATTGTTAGTCAAAGCCACGTCATTTGAAATCTGTTTCATTTTTTGCTGTCAAATAATTAATCAAAAGACAGAAATATAAAAAGAAGAAAAGAAAGATGAAAGGCAGATAGAAGAAAGAAAGAAAAAAGAGAGAAAAGAAGGAAAGAAAGAAGGAAAATAAAAAAGGCATGAAGTTTGGAATACAGGAAATAGTAAAAGGCTATGATCTTTCTTACTGTTCATGCATTTGGTTGTGAGCATGAGGTGAAGGATATAAACCTGTGGAGAGATTCTCTGAAAGGTGATGATTCTCAAAGCTTTAAAAATGCCTGCCAGGTTGGCAATAGCTTTCAGCATGGCCTCAGATTTGAAGCTTGTCCCAAAACAAGTGATATCAAGCTTATGCATACTCTAACATTTTTGAGTTTCAGTCATTAGATTTCAGAAAACATATGCAAAATATTCTTCAAAAATTAATTATACAGCAGAATAATACTGATGTTGAAATATTAATAAAGGTCCTGAGAGACTGTTCAGTTATTTTTGCTCCAAATATAGTAAATTTCTCCTCATGTATTATACATTGTTTAAATTTGTGTAACATAAATAATACATAACTTAGTCATTTATTTATAAGAGATACACTTTTTGTTCACCTTTTCTAGTTTCACAGCATACTGTTATTCATATTTCTCAGGTAAGCTAATCACCTATGTCAGCTGAGTATTGGTCAATGTGCATAAAATGTGAAACAATTAAAACGACTCATATTAAATTTGATAAATGCTAAGAAGCATTAAAATGGTTAATTGAAAAGGAAAAGTAAATATGCATAGACTGATCTTCTTGTTATCCAATCCGGCATATTTTAATTTACAAATATACTTTATGACTTTGAATTCAGTGCAATGGTAATATAGATAAAAGGTGAATGTTGATAAAATAACAAAATGCAACTTTTAAGATCTTTACAAAGTAAATAATATCTTTCATTTGTAAAATAATTTTGAGAAACAAGCTCTCAAAAGCAGGATGCAATGTCTTAACAAACACACTTTTTGGAAGGATGTGTCCCATTCAATAAGGATTCAAAAATTCATCAGATTACCCCACATTAGCAAAACTGTACCTACCTAGTATTCTTTGATTTATGAACGAATCTGAAAGAGGCTTAGGGATAACCGTTTCAGTGAAATTCTTCCTTCCTTTTCACTTTTTGGAAGTTAAAATTAAAGCAAAATGTGTCTGGGGTGTTCTATTCGGTCTGGTTGCAATCAAATTAGTTCTTTGATTTGAGCATGATTTCATTTTCACATGAGATGCTATGGAATAGAATCAGAAATAAATTGGCACTGTGTATATAATTCTATTCCCGGCTTTTAGCAAGATATCCACAGGGATTAGCATTTCCAGAGAAATACTATTAATATATAAAACGGAAAAGCTGTAAGTTAGTATTGGTTATTACTCTTAAAAGTAATTTCATAAATAGGCATAAGTAAGTCTGTGAGCACAAAATTTTCCTTTCTTAACTCTTTGGATAGACATCAAATCAATAAAATGAGAATTAGCTTTTTTGTGTAATTTTTTTTTCTAGATTTCCCTTTATTTTATTTTTCATGGTATGACTTTCCCCAGCCCAGAAGCCAATTCAGTTCTAGTAATCACCACATAAAGCCAATGGGGAATAGCAGGACAATACTATCAATAGAAGAGCAATCATTTGCACTTTTTGAAAAATTCTAATATAAAACTAGGTAATTGACATACATTTTCATTCAATGAATTAATTCTGTAGATTGATTTTTATTTAACCCATTAAATAAACACCATGAGAAAGTTACTCTTATTATTTGCATCTTAACAATAGAAGAAACTAAGGCATAAAGTGGTTACATGACCCACCAAACTGAAAACAACTACAAATGCTGAAACCAATGCCAATTAATAAAAATAGACACACAGTAAAAGAATGTCTTAACCATTATGTTATATTAATTCTTCACTTTACTTTTACTATAATTTCTAGGGGCAAGGACCAAATTTTATTTATCTTTAACATTCCCAGTATGGAGTGCCATAGAAAGTCCATAGAAAAGATAATACTCTATTGGTAAAAGTCTTCTAGAAATATATATACACACACACACACATACACACACACACACACATGTATATATATGTATATTTTGGAGACAGCGTCTCCGTCTGTCACCCAGGCTGGAGTGAAATTGCATGATCGTGGCTCACTGCAGCCTCAGACTCCTGGGCTCAAGTAATCCTCCTGCCTAAGCCTCCTGTGTAGTTGAGAGACCACAGGCACATGTCACAATGTTCATCTAATTTTTGGGTGTTTTGCTTTGTTTTTTTGTAGAGACAAGGTTTCACTGTATTGCCCAGGCTGTTGAACTCCTAGGCTTGAGGGATCCTCCTGCCTCAGCTTCCCAAAGTGCCTGACCAGAGACACATAATATTTACTCAACATTTATGCATTATCAACTATGGGCTTTGCAATGACCTTGTTTGAGTAATTCTCAGTGGCCAGATGTGAAGTAGGTTTTGGTCTTCCAGTAGTAATCTATTTCATCATGTTAATTATTTAGATTTATTATTAGGCTCCTGCCAGAGTCGTTTTTGGGATTTCCTCCTGGAGCCTAAAGATTTCCTATTGGCCGTTTGTCATTGTCAACCAGTGCACTGTCTCATTCTTTGGTGTGATTATGAAAGTCCTAATTCCTTGTTGAGGAAAATCTCTAAAAGGATCTCATAATGGATCAGAAGAAAGAAACTGAAATATCTTGAAGCCCAATGAGGGTCAAAAAGTTCAAGGGGATACTTTCACAGGTGTGTGCAATGTATATCTATCTATCTATCTATCTATCTATCTATCTATCTATCTATGAGAGATCTATGACAGTGTATTCTGTGGCTTCATTGTTTTTGTGGAGTCAGAATAATTCAGTAGATGTCAAGTATTTACACATCCTAAAACTAGGCGCTCAAATATCTATAAAAAATCATGTAATGGATGAAACTGGAAACCATCATTCTCAGCTAACTATCTCAAGGACGAAAAACCAAACACTGAATGTTCTCACTCATAGGTGGGAATTGAACATTGAGAACACATGGACACTGGAAGGGGAACATCACACTCTGGGGACTGTTGTGGGGTGGGGGGAGGGGGGAGGGATAGCTTTAGGAGATATACCTAATGCTAAATGATGAGTTAATGGGTGCAGCACACCAGCATGGCACATGTATACATATGTAACAAACCTGCACATTGTGCACATGTACCCTAAAACTTAAAGTATAATAAAATTAAAAAAAAAAAGACTGTAAAACTACTTTTGCTAGTAATATCTTTTACCTGACTCTAGGCCACGTAAGAAACATCAAAGAATTAATCAGAAAGTTGAACAAACTGATAGAGTTTCTGTAGAGAGTTATTGAAGTGCAGGCCAGGTGGGGTGGCTCACGCCTACAATCCTAGCACTTTGGGAGGCTGAGTAGTCCTAGCTACTCAGGAGGCTGAGGCATTAGAATAGCTTGAACCCAGGAGGCAGAGGTTGCAGCGAGCTGAGATCACACCACTGCACTCCAGCCTGGGTGACACAGTGAGACTTCATGTCAAAAAAGAAAAAAATAGAGAAAGAGAGAGAGAGTGTGTGTGTTTGTGTGTTATTGAAGTGCATTGTGACACCTTTGCAGAGTTTGACGAAACAGGGAGTGGTATTTGGTTTATACTAGGAGAAAGGCTCAACCAGGTAATCTGACTAGTTCAGCCTAACAAAGCAAAGGTCAGCAGAACAAAAAGAGAATTAAATTAAAAAAAAACCTGTATTTACAGGTTCTGCCAGGATAAGCATATACCAAAATTTAATGTGGTTTACTCTTGGGGGAGAGAAGCCCTGTCTATAGACAGATTCATGATGCTTTGTGACCTCAAGGGAAAGTGGCTTGAGGTGGAGCATCTTAGTTTGTTCTGGCTGCTATAAGTACGATAGGCTGTGTGGTTTGTAAACAACAGAAATGTATTTCTCATAGTGCTGCATGCTGGAAGTCTGAGATCATGGTGTCAGCATTGCCAGATTCTGATGAAGGTCCTCTTCTATTGCAGGCTGCTGACTTCCTATTGAATGCTCACATTGTGGAAAGAGGATGAGACAGCTCTCTGCAGCCTCTTTTGTAAGGGCACTAATACTATTCAGAAGGGCTCTTTCTCATGACTTAATTACCTCACAAGGCCCCATCTCCTATTATTGTCACAATGGGAGTTAAGATTTCAACATATTAATTTTAAAGGCACACAAACGTTCAGTCTGATTCCTTGAGCACTTGATATAGAGAAGACAGTGTGTAAGATGCCAGCTGAGGTGGTAACCTCAGTGTCAAAAGATCCCCAGCAGCATGAGCATGTGTATGTGTGATGCGTTATGTGTGTGAAACTATATAAACTCCTCTTGAAATAAGGTTTCCATATTTGCTACCAGCAATACCCAGATTATAACTATAACAGTCCAGAAAGAATGTTTATTTCTACTTTTTTTCTTCCTCTGCTCAACCTCCACTCAGGAATTGTTTTAAACATCAGCTCAGTGAGAGGAAGAGCAGATGAATTGAGAAATAGAGAAAAAAGGGAGCCAACTCTGCTTTATTCCTAACTATAGGTTTCTCAGGCTGAAGTTGACTCACGCTTACTGGAAGGATAGCATAAGGATGAGATCATGAAGTTTATATATTTTGCTGCATTGAAATCTATTCTTAGAAAAGAGGAAGATTTGCTTATTATCTGGCGGTGCTATGGTTTGAATGTCTTCTTCAAAGCTTGTATGTTAGAAACTGAATTCCCAATGCAACAATCTTGAAAGGTTGGAACTTTAAGAAGTGATTAGGTCATAAAGGCTCTTCATGAACGGATTAATGTTGTTTTTGCAGAAGTGGGCCTATTGTAAAAGCAAGCTTGGCCCTTTCTTGCTCTCTCTCTCTAGCCATATGATGCCTTTTACCACACTGCGGCACAGCAAGAAGGCCCTCACTGGATGCAACTCTTTGATCTTGGACCTCTTGAGGGGTGACAGTGTGCTGGCAGCCCTCGCAGCCCTCCATCGCTCTTGGCACCTCCTCAGCCTGGGCGCCCACTCTGGCCGGACTTGAGGAGCCCTTCAGGCCCCCCGCCCCACCACGCTGCACTGTGGGAGCCCCTTCCTGGGACGTCCGAGGCCACACCTGGCTCCCTCAGCCTGCGGGGAGGTGTAAAGGGAGAGGCACGGGTGGAAACTGGAGCTGCATGCAGTGCTTGCAGGCCAGCTAGAGTTCTGGGTGGGCATGGGCTTGGTGAGCCCTGCACTCAGAGTGGCTGGCTGGCCCCCGGGCAGTGAGGGGCTTAGCACCCGGGCCAGCAGCTGCTGAGGGTGCGCCGGGTCCCCCAGCAGTGCTGGCCCACCAGGGCTATACTCGATTTCTCGTGGGGCCTTAGCTGCCTCCACACAGGGCAGAGCTCAGGACCTGCAGCCTGCCATGCCTGAGCCCCCCAGCCGCCGCCCCCGCCGTGGGCTCCTTCACTGCCCGAGACTCCCTGATGAGTGCTGCCCCCTGCTCCAGGGCGCCCGGTCCCATCGACCACCCAAGGGCTGAGGAGTGTGGGCTCACGGCGGGGGACTGGCAGGCAGCTCTACCTGCGGCCGGGTTTGGGATCCACTGGGTGAAGCAAGCTGGGCTCCTGAGTCTAGTGGGGACTTGGAGAACCTTTATGTCTAGCTAAGGGATTGTAAAAACACCAATCAGCACTATGTGTCTACCTCAAGGTTTGTAAATGCACCAGTCAGCACTCTGTGTCTAGCTCAAGGTTTGTAAATACACCAGTCAGCACTCTGTATCTAGCTAATCTAGTGGGGACTTGGAGAACTTTTGTGTCTAGCTCAGGGATTGTAAACGCACCAATCAGCACCCTGTCAAAACGGACCAATCAGCTCTCTGTAAAATGGACCAATCAGCAGGATGTGGGTGGGGCCACATAAGAGAATAAACGCAGGCTTCCAGAGCCGGCAGAGGCAACCCGCACATACCTTTTCACAGTGTGGCATCTTTGTTCTTTTGCTCTTTGCGATATAGCTTGCTGCTGCTCACTCTTTGGGTCCACACTGTAACACTCACCGCGAAGGTCTGAAGCTTCACTCCTGAGCCCAGCGAGACCACGAACCCACCAGGAGGAATGAACAACTCCAGACGCGCTGCCTTAAGAGCTGTAACACTCACTGCGAAGGTCTGCAGCTTCACTCCTGAGCCAGCGAGACCACACACCCACCAGAAGGAAGAAACTCCTAACACATCCAAATATCAGAAGGAACAAACCGGGGACATGACGCCTTTAAGAACTGTGACACTGCGAGGGTCCGCAGCTTCATTCTTGAAGTCAGTGAGACCAAGAACCCACCAATTCTGGACACACTCTCAGCCTTCAGAATCGTGATCAGTAAATTTCTGTTCTTTATAAATTACTCAGTGTCATGTATTCTGTTATAGGGGCACAAAACAGACTCAGACAGAAGGTAATCAGAAAAGTTATGAGACATTCTGGTTCTAAGGAAAACATTAGTAAAGCAATATTAGTAAAGCAATGACAGTAAAGCAATATGGAAGACTTTATTCAAGATTTCTATTGTAGATGTCAACACTCTTGCACTAAGCGGGGAGATCACGTTTCACACTGGATACTACAAAGGCAAGTGGGAATTGATACCCAAGAAGCAGAGTGAAAGAGACCAGTGGATGGAAAATTAATAAGAGAAGACATTAAGGGTAGGGATATCTTTGCTAAACCAAATTAACTTTATTTTTGCTGAAGGCAGGCCGGGGAGACCAGATATCACAAGTGATGTGGGGCAGTTCGCGTTCAAATGATTTAGCATGATTCTTGTTATAACTGAACTAGGCAGATTGAAGAGAGAGCCCAAGATTGAGGCCTATTTTAAAAGAGGGCTCAGAGGATTCTGATTAAAGTTTATTCAAATAAAGAGTCTTTGTCTCAAGGGACTGTAAGAATAGGAGTGGAGCCGAATGGGCGAAAATGAAGCAATAAGATGATCCACAAGGGAAATAAAGCAGTCACATGAAAGGGCAAATAGTTACTACCAGTTTAACCCTTGTAGAATGCAGCTCATTAAGTTATATGCATAATTATGATTAGTTTGTGCCATTCACTGGGTTAAGTGCTTTATGTGCATTATCCTCTTTAAATTCATTTAAATTTAAACAGCAAACATTATTTGCTTTATTTGATAATTAAAATAACAAGTTTGAGAGAAAATAAACTAGAATATCATTAGCATAAGTCTGTATTGGCAACTATTGGGCGTAAAAAGACTCTACAGGTGCATTCGAACTTGGGGAGAGCAAAGAGAATATGGCGCTTTATTACAGGGTTTTAGCAGGAGAATGTCTGTTGATGTTAAGCTAGTTTCAGAAATGGGAAGAGAGAAATCATTCTTGAGGAGTACTAACCATTGTTTGGGTGGTGTTTATCAAGAGTAGTGAGGAGAACCAGCTGGTAGATCATCTGCAGAGGGAGCGGGGAGAAACTGCAGGGGACAAGGACTTGTGAAGGTGAAGGATGCAGAGGAAAATTCCTCAGTGTCTCTCACACATGGCTTTCATCTCAGCAAAACTTAAGCATTTATTTCCCGACCATGAAAAAAATTACTGTGGCAATTTTGATTTGGGGAATGTGTTAGAAGTGTTAGAGATAAATTCCTATCATTATTATCTCTAGTTTTCAACTGCATTCCTTAAGCCACCTTTAGAAAAACACATTTTGAGTGAAATGTTTTAAAGTTAGTAAGAAACAAGATGTATCCAGCTCTGCGAAGACATGCAGGCATGTGTGCATGCGCATGCACACACACAAAGAAAATAAAGGGGGCAACAAGTGTGCAACACACACACACACACCCCCTATTTGCAAACATTTACAACTTGAGTTTCCCTTGGAGCACTGATAACAGCAATTTGGGAACCTTGTGGCTATTTTCAGATAGAAATAACTCTAGGTACGTAGTAAGGACAAGTGTTCTGGAAATGTAATTGTTTCTGTATCTCACAGAATAAAAAAGTATTTTGAAAAATGTGGTAGATATTCTATTGTTTTCTGATCATTCATGTAGTCTGACAATATCTTAATTTTAATCTGCAAATAGGAAGTCAGGTGTAAGATGAAGTCACAAATAACTGGTTTTTATCAAATAAAAGATAATATCAATTTTGTGGCATTATTTTATATGATGTTCAGAAAGGAAAATAAAATACTGACAATTAAAATATGACAAATTATTTTCTCATTGAAAATTCCTACTCTTCATCTAATGATCTTTTAGACCTATTTTAACATATACTTTTTTATCATATATCAAACTTGAAACCATGTAAAATGACATATAAATGAAATAAAGTGGTTGAAGTATTCCTAAAACATTTGCTCATTCAAAGATTGTTATTTCTGAGTCACCTGTTCTCTCTGAGTGATAAATGTCATAGATTTTCCACATAACATCATCTTCTCTGGCATCAAAGCATCTATAGGGTAGAATGTCCTAAATGAGTGCACTATCATTCTCTTTAGAATGTTCTTTCGAACTCATACAACTTATTCTGCAAGTTTTGATTAGCAAGCACCTGCTTTGCCACCTCACAACGACTGCCCAGATGGTTGTGATTGTCAGACTTTGTAGATGTCATAGATATTAAATGTGAGAAATATGCACCTTGGAATTCAGAAACTGCTGCAAGTGAGCTTAATAGTGTCTTTCAAATGTACCCTTAGAAAAAAAAGAACACCTTGTATTTCCTCAGGATTTGATGTAGGATGTAAAATGAGGGGAACAAAGTAACATTTGCATTTGAAAGATTTTCATTTAATTCCTCAGTTATAAAGCAGGGAAAAGGTATTGAAACTTTATTTATTTTGTGCTTTCTTACACTGTTGTTCTTTATTTTTAACATTATTATTCTTTCCTTTTTGTCTTTGGTTGTCTCTTTTTGTTTCCTCTGTTCTTCTGTTTCTTACCTTCTGAATCTCACAGGTATATAAGTGCCTTTAAGAGACTCAGTTACCTGTGAGAGCATAAAAATTAGTTCCTAATACGAACTAATTAAAATCATAATTAAACATGAAAAGCCACTCTCATCATTAACTTTTAAGTTCTCTCAGTCTTTTCTTTTCTCTGCTTCTAAAGAGGATTTGAGATTTCTTTGTTCTATTTCCTCCTCTCTGCCAGCCTCTTAGGAAGGTCAGCCTTGCTAGCTAATTCCTTTGGACTTGCAGCTGAAGGATTCTGAATAAAAGGTCAGTGGCCAATTGTTTGGGAAAGAAAATAGAAGAATAGGGACATAAACTAGGCTGATTTAAAAAAGCTAGAGGGTTTGAAGGAGTTATACCACATGTTATGGTATCATGTGTCATGTGTTTAAAAAAATACCAACGTGTTCTAGTTATTTGGCAATATAGGAAATATGTGTTCTAGTTATTTGGCAATATAGGAAACTCGAGCCATTGGGAAAGTAAGTCTGTTTATTATTTTAATGTTGCTTTGACTGACACACCTTAATGAGAATTTGGTTATATGGGTCACAAGTTTATAAATGGTACCAATGATCCCCAATTCAAATGCATTCGGTGAGCCATACAGAAAGAAAATTTTTTAAAAGGTATTTTCATTTAGAGAAACACAGTGAATGTGGGAAACTGAAAAAGACATGCTCTAACTAAAAATACTCAAACTCCACATTTTACTAACACCTTGGACAAACACAATTGTAGCCTTAACCCAGCTGAAGGTAGACACTGTGAAACTTCACACATTACACATTTTTAAAATAACTTTTGATCACACTTGATATGGAATACAAATTAAGAGAAAATAAACAAAGAATTTGAAGCTGTGGTATAAGACTTAAAATTAAGGCTTGATATTATCTGCTGTCTTGACATCTGGTTGGACCTTGATTGACCTAACCACAAATTCCTCTCCCCATTTTGCTCTGGATAAGGGTCTTCTAGCCAAAAATCCCTCCTTTTCAATGGGATTTGAGTAGCAGGTTTTATTTCCCTGTCAGCATGTGGAATGATTCAAATAAGTCACTCATATTCTTTCATGGGTCACCTCTATCCTCTTGATACTACGAAGTCTGCCTCCCACTGTCCCCAGTTGGTCACTGCTTCTAAGTGCAACCCCTGGGAGATCCTTTGTGGCAGTCAGCAGGCACCTCGCATAAACTGTGAGTATACGTGACTATTAAACTGCTGTTAATTTCATCTGTCTAGTGCCAGGTGTTGTATGTGTTTGGCCATCCCCATAATCGTAGGGCAGAAATCCCTTCCTCTCCAATGGGGTGAAAAGAAGTTGACTAAAGTAGAGAAAGTAGTGTCATACAGAAAAAAGTTTTAAAAATTATGTGTTGACATGAATGAGTGCTCCTGATTAAGAACAAATACAAGAATTACTACAACATTTTCATGGTTTCAATTGTTTTCAAAGAGTGCAGATGCCTCCAAATACTAAAAATTATATAAGCGAACTTCACAAAATCAGTAAATCTCTATTCCATGAAGGGGAAGATGTTTTGCAACACTTAGAGTGTAAAAATAAGTACCAAATTATTTCTGAAGGGCTGTTTTTGCACACATCCTTTCCTTGAGCCTTCTGGAGAGTTTGGTTTTTAGCCTCCGGTAGCCTGAAACTGCCTCAGGACAGAAATGTCTTCACTGCTCCCTCCTTTCATTATCCTGCCTCTAGGCTGTGTTAAGAGGAAAAGATAGTGTCTTGGTTTACTATAACTTGTAGAAAGTTTTGCCTGTCTGGTTGTTTAGAGAAAGGTATTGGGGATTTGCTTATGTGTTGCTTCACAAGTATTACTATATCACACTTAAAAAAAACAGTCAGATAAGTCACCATGTGTATATTGCAGAATGATGTGAGCTCACCAAGGGCAAAATGTTTTGTTCCTTAATCTTTGCATTTGTGAAACTTGTATAATGTTTCACATACAAAAGCTACTCAATAAATATTTTCTGACTGAATATAAATGTATATTATATATTTGCTAACACTATATATATATATATATAATGTGTTAGGTAAATTATGTAGCTATTATTATTAAGCAATTTTACTTATATTTTTTGTCATTTCCTTTTAATAATTTCTTATAACATTTGTCATTACAATCAATATATCTCATAGTTATCATGTTAACTATTTCTTTTTTCTTTCTTTTTAACTGATTTTGTTAGTGTTGTGGTTTGGGTGTGTCCCCACCCAAACCTCATCTTGAATTGTAGCTCCCATAATCCCCACATGTCATGAAAGGGACTTGGTGTGAGGTAATTGAATCGTGGGGTGGTTATTTTTTGTGCTGTTCTCGTGATAGTAAGACTCATGAGATCTGATGGTTTTATAAAGGGCAGTTCCCCTGCATACATTCTCTTGCCTGCTACCATGTAAGACATGCCTTTGCTCCCCTTTCTCCTTCCCATGATTGTGAGACCTCCCCAGCCATGTGGAACTGTGAGTCCATTAAACCCCTTTTTCTTCATAAATTACCCAGTCTTGGGTATTTCTTCATAGCAGTATGAGAATGGACTAATACAGTTAAATTACACACAGTCTTACATGTTAAAGCAAATAAATGTTGTTGTTGTCAAGCTAGTCTGTCACCACAAAGAACAACAGTGAATGCACCTTAAATGGCCTTAAAGAGCCTTTTCACAATTAACGACCATTAGAGTTGATCAACACATGCTTACACTTTGTGCCTTTGTAATGAACAGCTTTTTAAATTTTTTGAGGCTTCCTTCTTAGAATAAAAACTATAGAATGATGACATCGGTAAGTAAATGTAGAACAATTATATTTCATGTGTTCTTTTTCTCTGGAGAACCATAACCAATGCATTGGCAGAAACAAAATTAGAACAATGCTTCTCTTTCCATGTAACCCGAGATTCCTTGAATTCTGGGGATACAACAAACTCAAATTACGCTGTTCTATTTTCTACTTTATTATGTGCAAATCTTTCTGTACTCGTGTGTGTGTGTCTGTGTGTGTTTCTGCCAAACATCACTTAGGTCTGCCAGTCGTCCTCTATAGTTTTTGTGGCTCTGATAAGACCTACTGCATCCCTGGGTATAGGAGAGAGCACATATTCAGGACTGCCTAAATAGAATAGTGATTTTATTTCTGGTCACAGTGATTGGATTAATGATGAGCTCAGAGTGAAATCAGTTAAAGCGTTCTTGGATCTATCAACAAAGAGTAGTTTCCGTCTAAAATTCTTTTCACTGAAGATAATTGGTATGGTTTGGATTTGTGTCCCTACCCAAACCTCATGTGGAACTATCATCCTTAATGTTGGAGGAGGGTTCTGGTGGGAGATAATTGGATAATGGGTGCAGACTTCCCCCTTTATGTTCTTGTGATAGTGAGTGTGTTCTCACAAGATCTGGTTGTGTAAAAGTATGTAGCACCTCTCCCCTCTCTGTTCTTCCTGTTCTGGCCATGAAAGATGTGATTCTTTCCTGTTTGCCTTCCTTTATGATTGTAAGTTTCCTCAGGCCTCCCCAGCCATGCTTCCTGTACAGCCTGTGGAACCACGAGCCAATTAAACCTCTTTTCTTTATAAATTACCCAGTCTCAGGTAGTATGTTATAGCAATGTGAAAGTAGACTAATACAACAATGTAGCAGCTCCTATATATTTAAAGCTGCCACCAGATAAAACAAGCAAATAAGATGGTACAATGTATTGGGAACAGATTGAATATTAATGGATCACTAGAGCTCTTGGGGCCAGCCTTGTTTGACCACACATAGTTTTCTGATATATATTCTGACAGTTAAAACTAATATATCCTTTAATTTAGATTAGTTTAAGGTGAGTTTCTCTCACTAGAAACTAAAAAAAAAAAACCTTGACAAATATTCTGTAACACCATTAGCGTGTGTTTTTGTTTTAATTTAGAAAATTTTGTCACACTTCATAGACTGAACAACATCACCACGAAAAAAAGTTTAGCATAGGCAACTTATTATGTCCAAATTGTCACATACTTATTTGTCAAAATAATATATTCAATTTATCAACAAGAGGTGAAACTTCCATGATGGTTATGGATGCATGTAACCTTGCATCTTTACAGAATTTTGTGGTTTTCCAAATCCTTTTCATTAGTTATCTCACTCATATATTAATCAAACCCTATAACATGGTTTAAACAGGTATGATAACTTCAGTGTATTGATGATGAATTATCAATGTATTGAATAACTAAATATTGCCAAACTAATTAAAAGTAAATAAAGACTATATAATCCAATGCATACCAGCAAAATACAGAGACTGACCCATAGTCACCAAACCACAAATATTGAATTGGCTCTTGTCACATATATAGGGGCATTTCTCTCTATATATGAATAAATGGATATATAAAAACTGTTGTAAAGAATACTTGGGACAATTTAGTTCAGGCAGAAAAGTATTTAACTTTTCTAACTCAAGCACTTATTCATCATGTAGTATTTTTAACAAAGTGGGAAATTATGCAGAGGATTACAGAAATTGTTGATCTACCCCATGAGACTATCAGCAAATATTCTAAGAACAAAATGGAAACAGGTAAGGAGACATTTTTGTATTTAATTATTTTAACTTTAATCCAATGTCACAAAGCAAAAAAGGGAGTAAAGCAACAATTCAACTTTGTCACAAAAAATTTCCCAGTCTTAATATGGAGAAAGATCTGTATCATATTTCCTGTGGATAAATGAAGGTTTCTGTTAGAACAATTGTTAAATGAGTCCTATTACACGCAGAGGACACAAAAATAGCAATACACATTTATTAAGGGAATATTGAGGCCAGGTATAGTGGCTCACGTCTGTAATCTCAGCACCTTGGGAGGCCAAGGCAGGCAGATCGTTTGAGATCAGGAGTTCAAGACCAGCGTGGCTGAGATGGTGAAACCCCATCTCTACTAAAAGTACAAAACATTAGCCAGGCGTCGTGGCACACTCCTGTAATCCCTGCAACTCAGGAGGCTGAGGCAGAAGAATCTCTTGAACCTGGGAGGCAGAAGTTGCAGTGAGCTGCGACTGAGCCATTGCGCTTCAGCCTGGGCAACGAGAGAGAGAATCTGTCTCAAAAAAAAAAAAAAAAAAAAGTGAGAATATTGAGTATTACATGTGGAAAAATTCCCTAACAAGTTAGGTATGTTGTTAAAAAATTTAATAAAATGCCTTATTTAAAGAAAGATACCTGTAAAATTTGGAGTTTGCATAACCTTGAGGATCATTGGATAATTATGGAGAACCAATATTCTGTCACTAGCAAAAAGAAAATAAGATGTTAAAAAGAGAATATATGATAAATAACAGTTTGGCTGATATTTTGAATATGATGAAGCTTCTATAAAGATTAATCTAAAATGCGCTTTTGGTAATACAATAAATACACATAATATAATTTGATTTTAAAATAATGTCATATTATCAATGCCTAAATACACCTAAAGGTAATATGGAATGTTCAGAATAGTCATATCCCTCAACTGGATTTGTCTCCATTGTTCCCCTTAAAAGTAAATCTGATCAAGTCCCTACTCTACTAAGAAAAAAACATCCTAGCTTTCTCTTGCTCACAGGATAATATCTAAGCTCTTTATAATTTGCTTTCTTACTCCATACAGTCTTATTGTCTTAGAATGTATAATCCTGCTGCTTAAAGATTATCACTATTTCCTGAATTCATCAAAACCATTATACTTATGTAATTTTGTGCATGCAACTCTTCTGCACTGGTACACTTCATTTTCTTTCTTTGTTTACCTAACTCCTATTAATTCAACAAGATTTTATCAGATGAACCTTGACTTCTACTGTTAAGTTTTCTGTGATTTCAGGCAGAATTACTTACCTTCTCTTTATTTTCATTTTCTTTTCTTCATACCTTTAATTTTATGTTTATCTCTCTGGAATATAATAATTTGACTTATTCCTTTTTGCCCCTCAAGATCTACTTCTATAAGTATTCCACTTTTAAGTATTAAGAAGTATGACTCAGACATACCACATACCCATTAATTTTTTAAGCAGTTTAATAAATATATGAATGAGTAAATAAATGAATGGCATATTTTCTCTAACCCTGTAATCTATTGTTTTAGAAGCATATTCTTCATTTTCATCATGTATGAGGACAGGTCTAATGAGAAAAGAGACAAAATCTGTGTATACAGGACATAGACACTATCTCATCTTGAAGCAAAGGTAATACGTTTAGAGAGAGATTGTTAGAAACATATTAACTGAAACTTTCATTTCCCTGATATACTATCAAGTGCTCTTTTGAAGCCCTTTTGAAGATTTCCATTTTGTCTCTCAAGATGAAAAGAGAATATAGTGAATTTTATTACAAGTTGATAGTTTTAAGAATATCTTTTTCTATCAAAAAACTTAGACATTGAACAAATGGAAGTGCAAATATATGTGATATTCCTCAATTTACTTTATATACAACAACATTACAATTATCCTGCTAAAATACAGCTGGTCCTCTGTAACTGTGGGTTCCACATTCATGGGTTCCACATTCATGGGTTCAACCAACCACAGATTGGAAATAGTTGAAAAGAGTAATAACAGATTTTTTTTCATGTCATTATTCCCTGAACAATACAGTAAAACAACAACGTATGCAACATTTACTTTGTTTTAGGTATTATAGGTAATCTACAAATAATTTAAAGTATATGGAAGGATGCATATAGATTATATAAAATACCACATCATTTTATATAAAAGACTTTGAGCATCCATGGATTTTGGTGTGTGCAAGGGGCCCTGGAACCAATTCCACAAAAAATACACAGGGACAACTTTATATAAATAAAAATTTAGTAGATTTAAATAAATTATAGCACAAAAAGTACTAGCCATAATAGACAAATCTGCTGGATCCCATAACTATCAAATTCAAACCAAGGAGCCAGGCACGGTGGCTCAGGCTTGTAATCCCAGCACTTTGGGAGGACAAGGGAGGTGAATCCCCTGAGGTCAAGAGTTCAAGACCAACCTGGCCAACATGGTTAAACCCCATCTCTACTAAAAATACAAAAATTAGCCAGGCGTGGTGGTGCAGCCTGTAGTCCCAGCTACTGAGGAGGCTGAGGCAGGAGAATCACTTGAATTGGGGAGGTGGAGTTTGCAGTGAGCCGAGATTACCACTGCACTGCAGCCTAGGTGACAGAGCAAGACTCTGTCTCAAAAAAAAGGAAAATAAATTCGGATCAAGGTAATTTGATTTCAACACCTATGAAAATTAACCACTGAGCTTATAGTACTTACAGTAGCTAGATTAATTATAGACCACACTGACTGTTGCACAGCTACCTCAAATACACAAAGAGCACATTTTTTTTTTCCTGTGGTTAATGGCAAATTTCTGTGGTTAATAGCAGTGGCTATAAATGGGAAGACTGTCATCTTATTTTTCTGAATTATTTTCTTTCCACTTGGAATGTAGCTTGATAATGTTTTCAGTCTACATCACATTGTCTAGAGAAAAACAAATGTGGAATATTCTGGGTTTATTTATATTAGAAAAAATAGCCATTGACCCAATAACATAAGTCAAGCAACAAGCTCATTTACTTAAAATAAATATATTCTCTCCTCATTTGTCTTCAGCTGCTTTCTTGTACCTGTTCTGCTTACTGCATATACCCCTAGCAGCACTTGGATGGTTTGTGAGGAGAAAATTATTCCGTGTAAGTGGTACATTCTAAGTTAATTATCCACTAATGTCTGAATAACCTTCTTAATTTGTGAAATTATATTTAAAAATTATCTAGTGTCTCCATTATTTTTCTTCTCCCTAGAACTCTCTTTCAATTAATGTAATACCTTTCTTTGAAGTAAAGCCTAATACATTAAAGTTAAATGTCTTTAAAGACAATTTAACTCTCCTTCCATATGTCATTGGAAAAGACTTAACCACCAACGGGAAGGAAAAAATGACCAGTTTCATTGGTCCATCACAGAAATACATTGAAAGTTTTAACTTTAAAAATTATAAAACTTTCCTAAAAAAAGAAAAAAAAAAGAATGATGAAACAACAAGAGTCTTTTTCATCTCTAGATCCTTTTCATGCGAAATCTCAAGAGAAGGCTCATAACTGCTGTTTCTATATTCATCTAAAGGGGAGGAAGAGGACAAACAATTGAAGGTGATTTTAGCAAGATTTCAAGCAGCAACACTGAATTAAATGTTGAAACAGAAGGGCTATAATGTCAGGGCACTTGTAAAGAAATATGAGTCTAACTATGTCTTCATTAAACTTTCAGCTTCAGCTTTTTAAAGGTTGAATGACATATTTCACTGTTGTGTCTATCAGAAATCACGCATTAAATTGCTAAAAGATTTGACTGTAGTCTATTTTTAAAATATGATATTTTCAGAATTCTGCTTATCAAACACATTCTAAAGGACAGTGGTACAGCTTGTGATGAATTCGAACAATAACATAAATATAATATTAAATAGCTATATTTTCATACAGGTTATACTAGGGCTTGTAAATTGGAAATCAAAGCAAAACTGTGGCTGCAAGAAAATAAATGAAAGCCTTATGTAAAGACAATTATTGTAGAACATTAGTGATTACTGAAAACCTTGAAAAATTACACCCAACATTTTAGCTTGACTCCTCCTCCTATATTTTCTGTCTTTGAGGATTATCCCTTCATTCACCCGCTTACCAGAAAGAAGAACGTAACCTTAGACTTCATCTTTCAATATCTGTTATCAATGAATCACTCATTTCTACCAGATTTAACCTCCTTAGCCAATTACAAAACAAAATTTATTTATTTAAAGATTTATTGAAATATAAATCACATATATTGTAATTCATCCTTTAAAGTATGTATCTCAGTGACATACAAAGAGTCATGTGACCATCTCCATAATCAATTTTAGGTCATTTTCATCAATCCGAAAAGAAATCATGTACCCATTAACAATAACTTCCTATTCTCTCTACCCACAGTCCTTAGTAATTTGTTTTTTTTTCTGTCTAGATTGGCCCATTCTGGGCATCTCATATAACAGGAATCGAGCAACATGTGATCTTTTGGGACTGGCTTCTTTCATTTAGAATAATGTTTCCAGTCTCTTCTGTGTTTTAGAATGTATCAGTATTTTGTTCCTAGTCATGACTGAATTAATATTCTGTTACTGGATATAACACTATTTACGTTTTTATTCACCAAGTGAGAAATATTGAACTGTTTCCACTTTGGGCTATTATACATAATACCTCTATAATCATTCATGTACAAATTTTTGTGTGGACATATGTTTTCACTCCTTTTGGGTATATAATTAGGAATTCTGTACTTAGCTTTTGAGGAATCCCAGCACGTCTTTCAAAATTGTTTCACAATTTTACTTTCCCACCAGCAATGCATGAGAATTCCAATTTCTCCACATACTTTTTGACATTTTCATTGTCTATATGTTTCACTACAGTCACTCTATGTGTTAAGTGGTATGTCACCACGCCTTTGATTTGGATTTCTCTTGTTTATTATATTTATTTTAAATTACCTGGCTTATGAGGCCATAAGAATGAGTCATTGTTTTTTTATTTGGCTGTGTAATATAGCGAATATAGGGAATGTCCATATTTTTTGGTGTTGTTTTCCTGTTTGAAAAATGAAAAATTAGATAGTGCTATTGTTCAAATAAATTATCTTATCTCAAATGTTCACAAGACATTGTATCTTCATTTCTAGAAGTAAGCGCCTTTTCTATTTATTTTTTAATTTTCTTTTTTAAAATTTGAGGTATGATTGATACATAAATTCCATATATTTAATGTTTATATTTTGATGAGTTTCAACATAACTGCATTCACCAGTGATACCATCATCACAACCCAGCGGCTAAACATAACCATCACCTCCAAAAATGTCCTTATGTTTTATGTATGGGTGTTATTTGTTTGTTTTGTGGTAAGAAAACTTAATATGACACACATCCTCTTAATGTATTGTCTTCATCCACTTTGTGTTGCTATAACAGAATACTGATACTTAGTGATTTATACAGAAGAGAGGATTGTTTAGCTAATGATTCTGGTGGATGAAAAGTTCAAGATTGGGCAGCTGCATCTGATGAGGGCCTCAAGTTGCTTCCACTCGTAGCAGAAAGTGGAAAGCAGGTGGGTATGTGCAAAGAGATAAGAAGCAAGAGAGGGACTACAAGAAAGCCAGGATCTTTCTAACAATCTGCACTCACGTGAACTAATGCATTTCTAAGAGAGTAAGAACTCACTCACCTTCTCAGGAGGGCATTGATCTAACAACTCCTACTAGGCTCCCCCTCCCAACACTACCGCATTGGGGATCAAATTTGATCATGAGTTTTGGTGAATACAAACTATATCCAAGCTGTTGTCCCTATGTTAAAGTGCACAATACCATATCATTAACTACTGATACTATGTTGTACAGCAGATCTCTAGAATTATTCATCTTGCATAACTGAAACTTTATACCCATTAAGTAACGATTTCATATTACCCATCCTCCCACCCACTGACAACTACCAATCTCTAGTCTATGAGTTTGACTATTTGAGATACCTCCTATAAGCGGAATCATGCAGCATTTGTCCTTCTGTAACTGGCTTATTTCACTTAGCATAATGTCCTCCAGGTTTATCCATACTGTTGAAAGTTGTAGGACTTTCTTTCTTAAGGCTAAATAATATTCCATTGAATGTATAAACCAACTTTTTCTTTAACTAGTTCATCTGTAGGTGAACATTTGAGTTGTTATTATATCTTGACTATTGTGAATAATGCTATAATACAAAAGAAGCTGCAGCTATTTCTTTGAAATCTTGATTTGAATTTCTGCTGCTATATGCCCAGAAGTAGGATTGCTAAATCATATGGTAATTCTGATTTTAATCTTTTGAGGAATCTTTTTACTATTTTACATGATAGCTGCACCATTCTACATTGCCATCAACAGTACAAAAGGGTTCCAATTTCTTCACATTCTCATCAGCACTTATTATTTTTGTGTTGTTTGTTTTGTTTTGGTGAGAATAGTTAATTAATTAATTAATTAATTTTAGACAGTCTTGCTCTGTCACCCAGGCTGGAATGCAGTGGCACGATCTTGGTTCATTGCAACTTTTGCCTTCCATGTTCAAGCAATTCTCCTGTCTCAACCTCCAGTGTAGCTGGAATTACAGGTTCACACCACCACACCCGGCTAATTTTTGTATTTTTAGAAGAAATGAGGTTTCACCATGTTGGCCAGGCTGATCTCAAACTCTTAACCTCAAGTGATCTGCCCACCTCAGCCTCCCAAAGTGCTGGGATTATAGGCCTGAGCCACCATGCCTGGCTGAATAGCCATTTTTAAAAGTACAATTTCTCACTATCATGTCTTATGTAGTATACATTGTCTAGTGGTGGTATTAATCCCACATAATTACTATATAATAGCTGTTTACGGATTACTAGCTTATCTTACATCTCCATGTTTCTCTCACAAGCTAAAATTATAGCACTCATGGATAGTTGGCCTCCTGAGAGTGTAAAAGGAAAAATGGCCTGCAATGCCAGGGCACTAAACAGTCACAGATTATACAACTAGCTTCAGACAGCTCTTCTAAAAATGCTTAATCAGAATAGTTCTTAATATATTTAAAGTAAATACACTCTAGCATAAATTAATGAATTTAATTTCTTAATATCTAGTCCCTGTGGAACAATTTATCTGTGCAAAACTCTTTCTTGCATTCTAAAAGTTACAATGTGAACTTTGAACTCAGCCACAGATAAAGTCAAATTTATACATACAAGAATAAAATAAGTGCCCAACAGATTTGTAAGCTAAAATCTATGAAAATGCAAGTGGTACAGGTATAAAGAATCACGACTGAGGTTTTAATGAATACCTACAAACTGGTAGTTTGATGGTCCATGATGAAAATAAAAGTCTAGAAAATTTTTCAGGCAAAGAACACAGCTTGGTACTGGTCACTGTGACCAACCGTTCCGATTGGCACAGGTCTAAGAATTTGCCACAAATGTAAGCCTTTCAGTGCTAACCTCAAAAAACTGGAACAAATGTATCACCTAAGTATAGATTATGAAAGAATGATGATCAAACACATTTAAAACCTCTACTTAGGGGAAATAATTATGAAGTTTCAAGTAGACAATCACAAACCTTCTTTTTACCCATAAATATGGACTCAGTTCCCCTTCTTTCTCTCTAAATTATTAGATTTATAACCATTATCTTCAGAATACTACTTTTTAATGAAGTGCTAGAAATAAAAGCTGACCTCAGGCCTTTAGGGCCTCCATTACATTTTAATACTAGACTATATTGAAAGTACATTGTGGATGTGTTACATAATATGTATATATATTTTTTAATTACCTGTGAGAACACTTATAAAGCATTTCTACTTTTTCTCAGATCGGAAACAGTTAGGCTTTCTATGAGTTTTCACTTCACCTCACGGATTCTGTAAAATCTATCATTCACTGTGTAATCTCCCACCTAGTGACTGCTAAAAAAATGTAACAGACAAGCTTTGGCCTATCTCTGTGTATAACACATAAAACATAATTTGTAGAGAAGCTCCAGTAGGCACCACTTTCTTTCCCATTCACAGGTTCCCAGTGTTTCATCTTTCTTCATTATTTCTTAGTGTTTTCGTATTGTTTTATTATTCATATCCTTGTAACTATATTTTTTCTTGGTAAAAGATAGTGCAGGAATATTTAATAAATTAACTATGTCACCTTGGAAAAGAAAAAGAACCTTAATTGATAAGACATTAGAGTGCATTTCATTGGAGAAAAAGAAATGTTCAAAACAGGACCCCTGTGTCATCATAGTTGGATGATGAAATGAAAATGGAACAAAAATTGTTGCTTTAGACAAGAAATTACAGTACAAAATTGAAAACAAGACTCTTCCTTTCTGGAAAGTCTGTCTTTTGCCAGCTTAATTCATCATCCAAACAAGAGGAATACAGTATAATCAACAAAATAAAAGAAAAATGTTCCGAGCAGTAGTTCAACTCATATTTGTGAAAAAGCTTGAGTGCCTGCTAAGAGGTCCAGGTTGCTATTAAATACTGTTAGAGAGCACTCAATAACCTGTAGTCTACTCATACTAGCTAACATTTCCTTCTGAAACCCAATTGAAGAAAAGGATCCTAGCAACCTGACCTGAGACATAAGCAAGCATACGAATGATACAAAGAATTGTACTTAATATTGCGGACCTTCAAAGAGACTAGCACACCAGGGGGAATGTCAGACTCAAACTCAAACTAGGAAAAGCTGCTAACTATGTAGAAAGACACTTGTATGTTCATGTGGTCTACAATAGTTGGATGTCTTTTAGAAAACAGAGCAATACTGCTAAAATTTGTATGCTTCTCTCATGATTGGTAAATAGTTGATTAGAAAGACAAAATGCAGTCATGACAGATTATTTTGCCTCTTTGTGATCAAACAGTGCTTGCTGTTATGTGAATGTGTGCGTCCTCATCCCACCATCCAAAATTCATATGCTACAATCCTAACTCAAAAGGATGTGGTATTAAGAGATGGAGCCTTTTGGAAAAGATAAGGTCATTAAAGTGGAACTCTAATGAATGGGTTTAGTGCCCTTATAAACAAGGTCCAAGTAAAGAAGATCTACTTGCTTGCGCCTTTCACCATGAAAGACAACAGCAACAACATAGCATCTATGAACCAGGGAAGGGAACCTCACCAGGCATTGAATCTGCTGGCATCTTCATACTGTAAGCAGCCTGCATGGACTAAGATAGTGCTTCAATACTCTGTTCAAATGTCAGTTACATTTTTGTTGTTGTTGTTTATGCTAGACCTTAATGTGCATATTATTGAACTATGGGGTTTGAAACTTTCTGATAATTAGATGATTTTAAATTTTCTTAATCCATATAGAAATGGATTTAAAAAGAAACTTAAAACAAAAAAGAATGATGACAAAAATGATGACAAATAACTTTCATTTTAGTTTAAATGAATGCCAAAAGATCAAGTGAGTAGATATTTTTTGGAGAAGTGAGGGCAGCTGAGAGTCAAGCCAATGTGATTGGTTTGCTGGTGTCACCAGTTGGACACTGCCTTCACAGAAAAAGAGAGACATATGCAAATGACAGAACCATTTCATACCTGGAAGACAACTCACTAAACCACTTCTTACCTCAAACTCTCGCCATGCGTATTGTTAAAGAATATTGTTAGTATCAAAAAATCTCAAATAAGTGTCCACGAAGTAAGTAACAGCTAATAACTTAAGAGTTTCAGGAAATAAAGGAAATGTTGCGCTCTCACCTGCTAAGATTATGCAGGACCTAGTGTGTGCTCCTGAGGACGAAAACAGAAGCAGCAAGTTCTGCTTCTGACTATCTTCAATATCTCCTGGAGTGTGATTAAGCCAACCTCACAAATCTGCTGCTCCTGGAATACACATAGCAAGATGGTTAACTCATAGTGATATGGAAATACTTTATATACATAAAAATTATTTTATTTTTATTTCAATTTAAGAACTGTAATAGCTTTTTTTTTTCTGGAGCTCTACACACACACACACACACACACACACACACACACACACACACACACATACAGAGTTAAAAATTGGCTCTAATTCCAGTAATGTACAATCATATTGAGGAATATTTGATGTATGAGAAATATTTTATGGTAAAAATATGATTAATTATATTTATTTTCAAAGCGGGTATTGCTATGTTCTGCTATATATTTCAGGTCACCGCAAGTTTCATTAGCATGACTAATCTATGAGATTGAGAGAAAACGTTCTATTTTATTCTGTTATTGAATATACTACAGATGTGATATTTTCACGAACATATTCTATTATTATGTTGACTACATAGTATAGCTGTAAAAGTTATTTTAAAATAAGCAAAACTCATATTCTTCATAATTTGCCATACTTTGTGTAAATGGACTGCCATGCTAACCATTTTTTAAAAGATATAATCACTTCTCAAGAAATAAATTATCATGTAGAGTCAGCATTTCTTTCTTTTTTTCTTTTTGAGACAGAGTCTCACTCTGTCACCCAGGCTGGAATGCAGTGGTGTGATCTCTGCTCACTGAAACCTCTGCCTCCTGGGCTCAAGCAAGTCTCCTGCCTCAGCCTCCTGAGTAGCTGAGACTGTAGGCATGCACCACCATGCCTGGTTAATTTTTATATTTTTGGTAGAGATGAGATTTCATCATTTTGGCTAGGTTGGTCTCGAACTCCTGGCTTCAAGTGATTCACATGCCTTGGCCTCACAAAGTGCTGAGATTACAGGTGTGAGCCACCATGCCAGCCTACAGACAGCATTGACTGTCATTTTTTTTCTAACCTTAGCTTTTAGTAACATTTTTCTTCCTATAACTCTATTAGTCCAAAAGAAATAATGTTTAGCTGACTTCTTCATGTACTGCCTGCTGGATTTTAACACTATCACTCATCTAAAGACCAAAATAAAAATTGAATCTTTAGTTCATAGTCACAGAAAAGGAGCTCTGGATTGCATGAATAACTATTGAGGTAACTCAGTGTTGGAACATGTTTGGTATGCCTTTTAGAAATGAGTATTTGTAGAAAGATGTGAGATATCAATCAGGTTACTTATGTGACTCTTTCATATGTATCTTACAGGAGAAAAATGTGGTGACTTATGTAAGGTGTTTGATATGAGCTACAAAATAAGCCAGATCTGCCGCAGTGATGAAGTCACTTTCTGGTAGCAAGTATGAGGAGAGATATATTTGTCTGGATAACATGGAAATACGTGATTGCATTCCTTCTCCAAGCTAGTACTTGGAGAAATTGCAGCCTTGGAAGAAACATTGGAAATTGTCACATCCACATAATTTCAAGGAAACTACTGTGTGATGTGTCATAACTAGTTATAAGGTCAGTTACAAGTCATCTATACCTAGAAATAGTTGGCTTTTGATTAATTTACTTTTCTTTAAGCTATACAAACATAAATCAGTATTTTCACTAATACATGTTCTCACTTAATTACCTACATCTATCTACTGGAATGGGAAAAAAGGATAGAGTTATAGCTAAAATTGTGTGGAATTGTGTGGATTATCAACTGATCTTATGTATGATGAAGCAATATGAGTGAGTATACTTTGCTCATTTTATAGATATAAAAATATGTCCATACACAGAAGGCAGCATGCCCAAGGCAGAGCTAACACACATATCTCTGACTATGCATTTAGTATATATTTTTTTTCTGTACCATATGACAAACTTTCTACATAGTCACAGGGGAATGACTACTGAGAATTGTGGAGGGTCTGACACTTTACTTGAAAGGTCTCAAATTAGCCTGCCAAAGTTTCATAAATGGTGACAGAAGACACAAACGTCTTGAGTTTGAAACAAAGGGTAGATTTATTACTCATGGCACAGGAAAGCACATAAGCTGACCTCCCCCAAGTCCCATTGAAATGATGTGAAGGCAGACACAAATAGATGCTGCATATAAAGTGGTTACATATGTGTGTATACATGTAAGGAATGATGAGTTTAGGAAATGCAAATCTTTTAAAACAGCTTCTAGCAAAGCTTTCCTACCATTATCCCAGAGGAAGACCTGAACTTTACCATCCTGGGCAGGAACCAATTCTGCCCACTGCCCCAGAGAAAGGCCCAATTTGTATCTTCCAAAACTGCTTGTTGTATACACAATATTGAGAAAATAGTTCAAAATAAATACTGATATAGAACATGCAGAAGGGCCGTGAAGAATCAATCTTCAACATGGCTCTATTGCAACATGACCCTCAAGGGATCTGCAGAGTATGTATGAGATTAGATCTTAATGGTAGCGCTTAAATAAAATATGCCAACCATATGGCTGTACATAATTTACAATACCATGACAATGGCCAACTCTCCAGCTAAATAATTAAACAAATATTAATTTATTTGTTTTACCTTTCTTCTGTATGACAGGTTGTGCCTATAGAAACAGCCTGAGGTTTCTATTGTTTCCATTTGTTCTTAATTAACATGTAATAATTGTACATATTTGTGGGGTACAGAGTGATGTTTTCATACATGTTTACAATGTGTAATAATCAAATTAGGATAATTAGCATATCCATCACCTCAAATATTTATCATTTCTTTGTGGAGAAAACATTCAGAATTCCCTCTTCTAGTTATTTTGCAACGTACAATATATTACTGTTAACTATAGTCATCCAGGTGTATATTGGAACAATAGGGCTTAGTTCTCCTATCAGACTATAACTTTGTTGCTTTAAATAACCCCTCCCCTTTCCCCTTCTCCCTTAGCCTTATCTTGTCTCTGTTAACAACTATTCAACTCTCTACTACTTTAAGATCATTTTTTTAGATTCCACTTTTGAGTGAGCTGATGTAGTATTTGTCTTTCTGTGCCTGGCACATTCCACTTAACAATGTCCTCCAGGCTCATCCATGTTGCTGCAAATGACAATATTTCATTCTTTTTTATGACTGAATAGTATTCCACTTTATAAATGTACCACATTTTCTCTTTATTTACTCATTTGTAGATAGGTGCTTAGGTTGATTCCATATTTTGACTATTGTGAATAGTGCTGCAGTTAACACAGATAAGCAAGTATCTCTTTGACATACTGATTCCATTTATTTGTATATATATCAAGTGGTAGGATTGCTGTATCATATGGCAGTTCTATTTTTAATCATTTTGAGAAACTTCTATAATGTTTTCCATATCACTATGGGAATAATCACTATATTAATTTCCATTCTTACCAACAATGAATAATTTTCTTCATTTTTCACATCCTTACCAGAATTTGCTGCTTTTGATAATAGCCATTTTAGCTAGGGTGAGATGATATCTCAATAAGGTTTTGATTTGCATGTCTCTGGCAATTAGTGATGTGCATTTTTTTTCATATTCTGATTGGCCATTTGTATGTATTCTTCTGAGAATCTCAATATCTATTCAGATCTTTTGTCCATTTTTAAATTGAATTGTGTTGCTTTTGCTATTGAGTTGTTTGGGTTCCTAGCGAGTCTGGATATTAACCCCTTGTCAGGTGCATAATTTGTAAAGATTTTTTTTCATTCAATAGGTTGTCTCTTCACTTTTGATTATTTTCTTTGCAGTGTAGAAGTTTTAGTTTGATGAAATTCCATTTACCTACTTTCTTTTTCTTTTGTTGCCTATGTTTTTTGAGGTCTTATTTCAAAAATTATTGCCCAGACCAGTGTGGTGAAGCATTTCTCCTGTTTTCTTCTAGTAGTTTTATGGTTTCAAGTCTTACATTTAAGCCTTTAATTCATTTTGAGTTGAGTTTTGTATATGGTGAAAGATAGGAGTCCAGTTTCAGTCTTCTGCAAATAGATATCTAGTTTTCCCAGCATCATTTATTGAAGAGACTATCCTTTCCCCAATGTGTGTTCTTGGTGACTTCGTCAAAGATCAGTTGGCTGCAAATCTGTGGATTTATTTCTGAATTCTCTATTCTTTCCACTGAAGTATACGTCTGTTTTTATGCCAGCACCAGGTTGTTTTGATTACTTTATTATATTGCTTTGTGATATATTTTGAAGTCAAGTAGTGTGATGTCTTCAGCTTTGTTCTTTTTGCTCAAGAGTACTTTGGCTATTTGGCATCTCGTGTGTGGTTCTATCAAAACTTTAGGGTTTTAGAAAAAGAAAACTTCTGTGAAGAATCTTATTGGTATTTTGATAGAGATCGCATTTAATCTATACATTGTATTGAGATCTTACTGAGAAGCATGGACATTTTTAACAATATTGATTCCTCAAATCCTTGAACATGGGATCTGTTTTTGTGTCCTCCTCAATTTTTTTCATTGATATTTTACAATTTTTCTTGTAGATATATTTACCTCTTCTTGGTTAAAATTCTTTCTAAGTACTTTTTTTTGTTAGCTGTTGAGAATGGAATTGCTTTCTGATTTCTTTTTTAGGTAGTTTGCTACCAGTGTGTAGGAATGCTACTGATTTTTGTTATGTTGATATTAGGTATTTGAACTCCATTTACTTCTTGCTAAAGTAAGTGCTTTATCGTTTGGTTTATTATTTACTTTATCATTCATTGCTGTAAGTTCTTTGGAATGGCTTTTGCTGTATATCATAGATTTTGGTATGTTGTGTTTCTATTTACACTTACCTAAATAATTTTTTTGATTTCTTCTTTTCTTCATTGATCCACTGATTGTTCAGAAGCACTTTGCTTTTTTTCCATGTACTTATTCAATTTCCAATCATCTTTTTGTTATTGGTTTCTATTTTTATTTCATTTTGGTCAGAAAAGATCCTAGATAAAATTTTAATTAATTTTTTTTAAGATTTGTGGCCTAACATATGGTTTATCCTGGGGAATGTTTCACGTGTTGTCAAAAAGAATATGTATTCCACAGATGTTGAATGGAATATTCTATAAATGTCTGTTATGTCCATTTGGTCTAGAGTGCTGTTTAACTCTTATGTTTCTTTTTTTCATTTTCTGTCTGGATGATTTGCTGATTGATAAAAGGGGAGTATTACAGTTCCCCAACTATCATTGAATTGCATTCTATGTCTTCCTTTAGATCTATCAATATTTGCTTTATATATTTAGCTGCTCTGATGTTGGGTACATATATCTTTAAAATTATTTTATCATCTTGCCCCTTTATCATTATATAATATTTTTGTGTTTTGATCTTCGTGCTAAAGATATAAGTAGTTTATACACCATTATTACAGTATTAGAGTATTAAAACAAGTAAGGTTTTCCTATGTAATTATTTTTTATCAGTGAGTTTTGTACTTCCAGATGTTTTCTTTTTACATATTAGCATCTTTTCCTTTCAGTTTGAAGAAATTCCATTAGCATTTCTTGTAAGGCAGATCTGATAATGATGAATTCTTTCAACTTATGTTTGTCTAGAAAAGTCTTTATCTCTCCTTCCTTTCTAAGAGATAACTTAGTTGGGTACTATATTCTTCATTGGCAGTTTTGTTTTGTTTTCTCTTTTCTTCAGCACTCTAACTATATCATCCCACTCCCTTTTGGCCTTCAAGGTTACTGCTGAGCAGTCTGCTGCCAGGCTTATTGGAACTCCCTTATATATTATTCGCTTCTTTTCTTTGACTATTATCAGAATTTTCTTTCTGTCTTTTACCCTCGAGTTAGATTATAATATGTCTTTGTTAGGCTTATTTGGGTTGAATCTGCTAGGTGACTTTTGACCTTCCTCAACCTGGATATTTATATATTCTTCCAGGTTTGGAAAGTTTTCTGTTATTATTTCTTTGAATAAACTTTTTACTCCTTTGTTTTTCTAAATTCACTCCTGAACTCAAATAACTCAAATTATTGCTCTTTGATGTTGTCCTATAAATTTCATATGTTTTCTTACATCTTTTTTTAAACTCCTTTGACAGTATTTTTATATAATGTACTGTATTTTCAAATAGCCTACTTTGAGCTCACTAACTATTCTTCTGTTTGATTGATTCTGCCATTGATGTTTTCTATTGCATTTTTTATTTTGTTTATTGTATTTTCAGCTCCAGGATTTCTGATTTTTTTTTGTATTTTCATGTCTGTTAAATTTCTGTGATAAGTTTCTGAATAGTTCCTCTGTGTTTTTCAGAATTCATTGAGCTTTCTTACAACAGGTATTTTGAATTTTTTGTCTGAAAAAACATTACACACATCTCTGTCACTTTAAGATCAGTCTCTGGAACCTTATTTTGTCCTTTTGTTTATGGGTTATGTTCTTTACGTTTTTTTTTTTTTTTTTTTGAGAGAGAGAATCTCACTCCGTCACCCAGGCTGGAGTGCAGTGGTGCAATCTTGGCTCACTACAGCCCTCATCTTCTGGGTTCAAGCGATCCTCCCAACTCAGACTCCTGAGTAACAGGAACTACAGATTCTCACAACCACATCTGGCTAATTCTTATATTTCCTTCTTGGTAGAGACAGGTTTTCACCATGTTGGTCAGGCTGCTCTCAAAGTCCTGGGTTGAAGTGATTCGCCCACTTTGGCCTCCCAAATTGATGAGATTACAGGCATGAGCCACTGCACCCAGCTCCCTTAATGTTCTTGATGCTTGTAGACATGTGACAATTTCTGTACATTGTGGTATCAGGTATTCTTTCCAGTCCTTGCAGTTTGGCTTTGTTTGTTCTTGTTCTTCTTTAATTCTTCAGATTCTAAGTAGACTGACTCTTGTGCTCCCTGGACCCATGACCTCTAAAACTGTCTCAGCACTAGAGGATGACCTAAACCCATATTTGCTACATGTCTTTTGAGAGCTTCAAAGTTGGCCTGGATTTCCTCCCTGAATGGACTTGGGATAGACTCTAGGATGGTACTCGAGCTATGTGACAAGTTGTCCAGTGACACATGTCCAGATCCTGACGCAGTAACCCAGATGGGCAGCAAAACCCTGCAAAATGGGACAATTTCCTGATTGTAGCAAGATGCGCTACAGTCAAGACTGGACCCCTCAGGATCTGCTGTGGTACAGAGCCTGGAAAACCTGTCTCATTGGCTCCTTGGGGCACATGTTTCCCCATAGGTTCCTGCACAGGTAAGGTATTTTCTCAACTTCAGTTAGAGGGGCTAGAGCTGATACTGGGCCACCTCAATATCTTTTGTGGAACAGAGGCTGTCCTGTCCTGCTTATCGGTTTAGATAGGCACTTGTCTTCCAGTAGGTTTTTTCATAAGCTGGATAGGTCTCCAACTGTACCAGGAGGGTCTGGAGTTAAAATTGGGCCACCTAGGGGTCTTCTATGGGATGGAAGTTGGTGAGCCCATCATGGAATTTCAGACTCCCGGACTATAAAATATGTTTTCCTCTGGTATCTTTGTGTGAGCAGTTCAAAGCTGAGTCCCTGGTTGCTGGGGGATGGAGCCAAGCCACAGGAAAACTTTCAAATCTACTGCTGAGACCTATGTTAATGGGAAGAGGAGCCTCTCCACTGAGGAAACAGTGTGTACAATTCTTCCCAGACCCCTTGACAGATGGTTCTGGTTGACGTTTCAAGTCTAAACTGCACTGTAGCAAAGCCCTTTGGAAAATGTGTCTGTTTCTTGGTTTGAACCCAAGAGAAAGATCCGTGGGTGTGCTAGCTGGATGGTAGTCTGCACTCTCAAAACAGCCATCCTAGGCCTAGGACTCTACTAGTGTTTCACAACTTTCTAATTGAATCCCAAAACTCCTGCAGAGAGACTTTTGTCTGTGGATAGTTGCAAAATTCTTCCTGTAGAAGGATATGAGTAGATTGCCATCTATTCCACTATCTTGCCGACATCACTCTGAAACAGTCTGAGTTTATCTTGTGCTAGGACCCTAAAGGACTGCCTAATCTTGTCACCAGGAGGGATTAGGCAGTATACTCCTCCTGGAATGTGAGAGAGAACCTGCCCTACAGTCTAGTTATCTAAGTTTACATGCAAGCATGTGCTGCCTGCAGTAGGGTTAGACAGATAAGTTTGACATAAGATGTAATTTATCAGAATGTATCATCCACAATCAGCTAAATTGTTTTCTCAAGAGAGCTTGTGATTGCCTCCAGGTGAAAACTTTCAGCCCACAGTCACAAAAATGCCACAAAATTAATTCTGTTAAGTGTAAAAATCATTAATTTTAATTGCTTTCTGCATAGCCCTGGGGATAAAGAAGAGTCTCTAAGATAGTGACCAAAATTATGCCCACATGATATGACTTCGAGGATCCTCTTCCTGCTCTTCCTGGACATCATTTCCCAGGAAATATGAGGTTCTTTCAGAAGACTCTAATTAGTATGGTGCCTTTCTTATATTCACTTTGATAATAAATTATATCTTCCTAATTTTGAAATTTTTCTTCTTCAGAAGAGCAATAATATCAAGAACTTTAGAAAACACAGGACTTAATAATCAAATCCACTTTCTATATTTATTCATTCATCCAGTATTTAATGAGTGCCTAGAATGTGTTGGAGGAAAGAGCAGTGAACACAATCAAGATGATTCATAAATTCATGGCACTTATCATTTTTAGAGGGAGATCTGCCCAGACAGCAAGTAAATAAAAACTAAACAAGATATTTTCTTTAGAGATTAATAGATGTAATGATAAAAGGGAAGAGAGTTGAAGGGATATCTACACTTCCATGTTCATTGCAGCCTTATTCACAATGGCCAAGATATGGATTTTTCCTAAGTATCCATGGACAGATGAACGGATAACATAAATATGGTATATATACACAATAAAATACTGTTTAGACTTAAAATAGGTGAAAATTCTGTCACTTGCAACAACAGGGATGAATCTGGAGGACATTATGCTAATGAAATTAAGGCAGGCACAAAAAGACAAATATTGCATGATCTCACTTATATTAGAATCTAAAAAAGTTGAACTCATAGAAGTAGAGAGTAAAATGATGGTTACTAGCGGCTAGGAGGTGGGGAAGGAAGGACTGGGGAGTTTTGGGTCAAAGGATAAAAAGTTTCCAAAGAAGAAAAGTAATAGGTTTTGAGGTTTGTTGCATAGCAGTTTAACTATAGTCAATAATAATGTAACGTATATTTCAAAATAACTAAGAGAGAGTAAATTTCAAATGTCTCACCATAAAATAATGATGCAAAATGAGGTGATAAATATGTTAATTAGCTTGATTTAATCACTCTGTATCATATACATATATCAAAACATCACATTTTACATCACAAATATATGCCATTTTAATTTGCCAATAAAAATAATATTATTAACAAGAAAGAGTAATGAAGAACGAATAGGGCTATCTCAATTGCATGATGAAGACAGCTATTTTTAAGATTTTTAAACAAAAGCATGAATAATAACTATAATTATAAACTTTGATGATTATGAAGAGAATTAAAAGATCCAGAGGTAGCAAGTTTCTGGGTATTGTAGACAGACAGAAAGCCAGCAAAGATGGCCATTAATGAATGAGTCAAGGGGATATCAGTTCACCAAAAAGAGTGCTTTCTCTTCATTTTATCTCCAACTTCTAGCATAGGTGGTTGACCATATGTTATAAGAGGCTATAATTACTGAGAAAGGGGAGAACCCTGAAATCCAGCAGCTGGCCTGGTACTGCCAGCTAGATCATGGTGATGCTATGAGCTGGTCTGGCACTCAACAGCGGGGCCTTGGTGTCCACCTATTGAACACAATTTCACGGTACATCAACGTCAGATGAGGTCATTCTGTAATCATGTTAGATCAGGACAGAAACAAGCCCACTCCATAATAATGTGAGAACACAGACAAGATGCCATAATTGTCCGAGCCACGGAAATGTCCGAGAACTTCCTTACCTTGACTACTTTGAGTGACTCTTGCTTCTTTCCCAGTTATAGCTTTAGATTGACCTGGACTTTCTTCTTTATAAGATTTGTTAAGTTACTCAATCACAGAATTATTCCTGCTTCCCAACAACATTGAATTCAAAGCAAAGCTGGGAAATACACTTTCTTACATTGCCCCTGAATCATCTAATACAGGCCAAAATACATTAATTCTTTTTTACCTGCTTTTGTTGAGAAGCTTCACAATTCCTTATGGTATGAAAAATTTTTCCTATATATGAAACAAATAATAAACCCAAATTATTCAATTATAATTTTATTCCTAGTGGTATTTGGCTAGAGAATATTTGCTGCAACCGTTTCTTACATTTAATATAAGCAAAAGAATAGCACAAGGATTTAACATTCTGGTGTGTCTTTTGGTCAGACACATTTAACATTATCTTTCTGGCTTAGATCTAGGGATTGAGAGGAAGGAAGAGTCATTTCCAGACTGGCAACCATTCATTATATTTACTTAATCTTATACGACGAAGAATTTAACCTATCGTGTCCTGAGAACGCTATTAAAGAGGCCAAATCTGTCATGCACCTGATGTAAATGAATTATAAAACATCTAAGTAGAAAAAAAGATTATTGAGGAAAATTACGGATAATTTTTCCTCAAGAGTAAGTAACAGTTCTAAGCACCCCAATTTAGGTATAATTACCAATTACCCTACAAGAACATAATAGTGGTGTAACATATAAAAATTGCCTCAAAATTATAGGGAATTGACAGTTCATGCTTATTATATAGGGTGCTTGGCAAAATGTATTCATACAAAAATAATTTGAATTTGAATTTTAAGAGCAAAAATGGTTGAGATGTATTTACTCACTTGACAAAAGAGACTGCCAGTTGCTCAAAGATTAAACACTTGGAAAAAATTGACTTTGTTTCAAAAAAAGTTCAACATGACTCTTTAATACTAAGAAACGTTGAACATTGTAAAATGCCTTGTTTAGGAAAGAAAAATCCATTCAATATACATAGGACATGGAAATGGGTATGGGGTTCTCTCTCACATTAGATCTGTGTTTTTTTTTTTTTTTTAAGGTAAAAGAGAGTTTCATTCTCAGAACTCATTAGTTAAAATTACTCATATTATTTTCAACAATTTTATAAATGTTCACAACTTAGGTTTAGACTAGGTACATGTAACTGCCAAGATCTGTGCCAATTTAAAGTGAATATGGGAACATATATTTAATTTTTTTGTCAGTACAATGGGATATTGGTCTCTGACTTAGTTTCTGTGAGTCAAACAAATTGTATAATTTAGACCAATATATCATGGCAGAAAATCTTATTTTATGAGAAGATATTCAGCTAAAAAAAAGTATGACTAATATATTTTTATATTTTTATTTTTTTGTATTTTTTAATTTTAATTTTATTTTTATTTTTTGAGAGAGTCTCATTCTGTCGCCCAGGCTGGAGTGCACTGGTGTGATCTTGGCTCACTGCAACCTCCGCCTTCTGGGTTCAAGCAATTCTCCTGCCTCAGCCTCCCAAGTAGCTGGAACTACAGACGTGCACCACCATGCCCACCTACTTTTTTAGATTTTTCATATAGAGGGGGTTTCATCATGTTGGCCAGGTTTGTCTCAAACTCCTGACCTTGAGTGATCCTCCTGCCTCGGCCTCCCAAAGTGCTGGGATTACAGGCCTGAGCCACTGCACCGGGCTATTTTTTTTTTTTAAGAATTATTCAATTTTATAAGTCCTAGGGAATAAATTAGGAGGCAGTGTGAAACTCTAATTTCACCCCTGAATGAAAGATTAAAGACATAATCTCTTAGCATATCATGTTTTTCCCCAAAAACTAAAGAGAAGAGAAAATGTATTAAAAGATGTCAATTTGTTCGATTAAAGTAAGGTTCAAACTTGGGAAAGTGTTCTCCAATGGACCAGGTGGAGATATTACACTTCTAATTTTTGTTATAAGTTATGGTTTAAAATTTGCCAATCTTTAACCCCACCTAATTCTCCTAAGTTTGAGACAGTTTAGAAATATCTTTTCGTTAATGGTCTTTCTATTTCTTTAAACTGACTTGTCTTTCAATTCCTCGTCCAGTTGCACTTATCAATGAATAAATATTTACTGAATACTATTATGTGCAATTCATTGCTCTTTGTACTAAAAGCACTACAGTGTAACTACAGTAATGTATAGTAGGCAGAAATTAAATATTAATAGACATATACAGCAGCATAGATAGATCATAAAAATGTGTATTGAAGTAAAAAAGTAGAGAACAACACTGTGTATCTATATAGAATTCCAAAATACATACCCACAAACACAAATATACATAGTTCAAGGATATATACACACATGATACAGATAGATATGTAAAAGATAGATGATAGATAGATAAACAGATATGTGTATGTATGTGGAGAGAGAGAGACAGAGACAGAGATAGGCACAGAAGCCAAGATGCCAAGAGATAAACAGAGTGAGAGATATATATTGGGGAAGTAGAGATATAGATATAGGAAGGCATATGTAGAGATATAAAAATGCACACATTAAAGTAGAAAATAACAAATAACACCATATCTATCTATCTATCTATCTATCTATCATCTATAAAACAACATTTTTGTTAAGATTAAAACTGCATATGCTCAAACAACAGTGTATATTTTTCCAAGAAAATATACATATACATTTAATGTGATACAACATAACTTTAGCTTCTGCTACAGCTTTCCATAAACTGCCCTCCTGGTGTTCACATCCTTATGTCATCCTCTCTCTTTGTGTGGACTGAATCTAGTACTTAAAATGTGACAGAAGTGATGAGATATAACTTCTGTGATTAGTTATAAAAGAGTGGGTGTTTCATCCTGCTGAAATACTTTCTTGATTGCCATCTCAGTTTGCACACTTTGCTAAAGCAAACTGTAAGGCAGAATAACCTCCCCTGGAAAGCAACTGAGGGCAGGCTCCAACCAACAGTCAGTGAAGAACTAACATCTTCAACTGAACCTCAGTTGAACAATATTCAAGGAACTGAGTCTTGCCAACATCTAGGTTAGTAAGCTTAGAAGCCAAACTTGCCCCAGTTAAGCTTACTAATGAGACTGGAGAACCTGGAGACCTTTATTGTAACCTTCAAAAAGACAGTGAAGTAGAGAGCCCAGCTAAGCTGCGCTTGGATTCCTGACTCAAAGAAACTCTGAAATGATGAAAATGGGTTGTGAGACGACACTAAGTTCTGGGATGGTGTGCTATGCAGCAAGGGCTAAGTAAATACAAATGGTATAATACATATCCATGCATATCTGGAGACACATGGCCAGAGAAGAGAAATGGGACTGCACATATGGGCATATTTTTTTGTTTACAAAATAGATACAAGAGAAGGCCTCAGGACCAAACACCAAGTTTTCAATAAAGAGAAATGTATTGTTAAATGTGTTTGCATCTTCTACAAATAAAATTCTGAAATAGTAGAACATTGGAGACAGAATGAGTATGGTGGCTATATTTGTGTGCTGAAGCTGCCGTATCAAAATACCATAGACTTGGTGGCTTAAACAAAAAAAAAAAAATTATCATAATCCTGGAAGCTAGAAGTCCAAGATCAAGGTGGCATCAATGTTGGTAAGAACTCTCCTCCTCACCTGTAGATGGCCACCTTCTGGCTGTGTTCTCACGTGACCTCTATATGTGTGGCAAAGAGAGGGAGCAAGCCCCCTTGTGTCTCTTCTTCTTATAAAAACATTGGTCCTATTTGAATTACAGCCCCATTCTTATGACCTCATTTAGTGTTAATTAAATTATTAAAGGCCCAGTTTCCAAATATAGTCACATTGGGTGATAGGGCTTCAATACATGAATTATGAGGGACACCATTCATTTCATTATAGTGGGTTATTTTGTTTTCTGTATTTCTGAAAAGTATCCAATATTATGAAGCTTTAATAATGAGTGTTCCTCAAAGAACAGACTTGTGTGTTCATAAATACATATGAACAAAATACTTAGAAATCATGTCAAATATAGCAACTTGCATCTGCAGAACTGAAAAACATATTACCTTATGAGTTATTTTTTGGCTCTTGAGACTAAACAAGGCCTTTTTATTTAGTCATTACTTTCAATAATTTTTCAAATACTTGCATGTGCAATTCTCAATTTTAGGAGAAGTGTATATCTCTATAGGTGTTTTATTGTTTGTATTTTTCTTAGCAAAAGAATAAATGATCTAAACAATAGTTGTCTGTATTTGTTTCCCAATTACACTTAGCTGAAATCCAAAAGTGTTAAGAGCTTATTTCATCACAGATATTTTATTTACTAATTGTAGAATGAAATGTTTCTATTTAAGATAATTCATGTGGAAAAAGGTATAACTTTTTATTTTCAAATTTCTATGAGTGTAAATATGTGGGTCAATGAAATCAACTTGTGATGACTAAATGAAGCCTATTTGTTGAGTATATTATAGATTGTGTGGAAAAGTCTGAGGGGCTCTACCTCCACCCTATAGCCTAATAATGATTAGAGGTCATTTTGGGGTTTTATAAAACTTCAGATTTATTGGCTATATTTTCCTAGTTCCTTCCCTGAGAATGGGCTAGTCTCACTTCCTATGGTATAAAATGTCCAGAAACCTCTCTCTCCCTCTCTCTCTCTCTCTATATATATATACACATATATATATACACACACACAAATATATATATACACAAATATATATATACACACATATATATATACACACATATATATACACAAATATATATATACACAAATTATATACACACACATATATATATATATTTGTGTATTTTTTTTTGAGATGGAGTTTCACACTTGTTGCCCAGGCTGGGGTGCAATAGTGCAGTCTCGGCTCACCGCAACCTCTGCCTCCCATGTTCAAGCGATTCTTCTGCCTCAGCCTCCCAGATAGCTGGGATTACAGGTGTGAGCCACTGCACCTGACCCTCTGTATATATTTTTACACAGTTGACATTATCTTCTTTAATATTTAATATTATTTTATACTATAATTTATTATATCTGGACACCTAAGAAAGATGCCCAAGCCTCATATTATAATGATGTTGTGGTGAATAAAGGTCACTGGGATTGTTCCCTGTGTTAACAGACATAATTATATTCACTTCTACTTTCCTTCTTTTGTAGTCAGGGTATTTCTTCATACAGCAGATGTACGATCCCAAAAGATAATAGTAATTTTAGACAGGAAAAAAACATAACATTTTTATAAATAAGAAAACTCTAATTCTGGTACTAAAATAAAATTCCTTAGTCTCTTACACACAGGGCAATGAGCCAATGACATTATTTTAGGAAAATGAAAAATCCTGTATTGATGTACACATTGAAATGTGCATGCTGACAATATTCAGTGGGTAGAAATAGACACTGGATACTCCCAGAATATAAAACTGAAGGTTATATATAAAGATAAATATTTATGTAGACATTATCATAAAAAAGGAATGCACTTGACAATTATGGCCTGGTTTGAGAAATAATGTATGAATTGAGTATAAGGAAAATATTCGTATTTTAATTCAAAATATAAGTTAATACAAGCAATATTATTTAGAGTTCACGCTGAAAAAAAATTACCAATAGGTGGTGCTGCTGTGATTGAATTTGATTAAACTTCATGGAAATCTGACCCTAGATTCTACTGCTTTTTATTTTCTTATATACCTTTATCTCACAGTCTACTTAGCAACTGCTAAATAGTGAACTGGCTATAAAATGTCACTGAGAATAAAATGTTTTCAGGTATTTGGGAGGCATTTTCTATTGCCATCATTTAAAAACTAGGTCAGAGATCACAGCTGTAAAAAAATAGACTGCTCAAGGTAGTACTTATCTGATAAATGAATACACAAGTGCTTGACTCAAATGGAGGTGATGAATTTTGCATAAAGCCCTTCATCAAGGTTGAATTACATAATGTCTCCTTTAATGGCATATCGATGTGACATCTCTTGTCAAGCATTATTTCTCTTTGTCAAGCTAAACATTTGATTTGTAACAAATAAAATGAATTTCAGTGACAATAAAAAGAAGCATGTTCACAATTCGTAATTAAACACGAGTGATAAGACCACTGAATACATAATGTATAAAAACTATGATTTTGAACATGTAATATTTATAGTAAACACTAAAACTGTTAGCATGACTTTGATTTTAAGAATACATTTAATTATAAACAGATTATAAAATTAATTCAGATATTTGAAATCAGATTTATTGTGATAAAGTCTGATACCTGCAATATGTCATAAAAGGAATCAATTCTCCCAGTTAAATATTAATAACCTTTTATTTTCCATTTACATGAAAGGTTGAAAGTGTATTTATTTGAAAGTATTGAGGTATATAAAACTTTTTTACTCTACCAAAAAATCCACAGTCTTCTACAGTTCTGTGTTATTATTGTTCTTTCAGTATCAATGTGTTAGCCTAAAGAAAGCCCCTTGGCTCTTCCAGTATGATGTAGGATATGCATTTTCTATTAGAACTTTTCATGAATCTGCTTTTGTAATAAAGCTGGAAGCAAACAAATACATTAATTCCCAGGAATATGATAGTTGTTTCCTCTGGACAGGCAAGACCTGAGAAATGTGCAGAGGCAATGGACTGGGAAAAAGGGTAAATGTTTGGGAAGGAAAAGGTGAAAATTACATCAAGTTAGAATAACAGTTTTTCTTTGGACTTTTACCTAATTTTAAGTCTAATTTGTCCATAACTTTCTCATATATTTTCCAATGTGAAGATGGTATCTGAAGCCACTCTACATATTTTGTATTTATGTTTTTAAATCTAATTCTTGAACTAGTTTAGACCAAATATTTCTACTGCTGTGACACATTAACGATAACAAAAATAACCATAATCACAATCAGATTTTGGGACACAGACCCACACGGACGTACTTGTCCTTCATAATTAGAACAAAGCACTTACTCTTCTGTTAGGAATGGTTGCTAGATAACCTACCCTCATATAAGTCATTCCTCTCAAATAATGACTTTAGAAATAGTCAACTACATTAAATGAGTCATTAGAAAATGTATGGCGAGTTTAGGCATGACCATTTTTTATTTGTTTTATAAGTTGTAAGACACCTATCACTCAGAAAGATTATAATGTTGCTAGATATGAGTAACTCCTGACTTCTTCCTAAAGAAGAACAAAAAAGAAGCCTGTACAAGGTTCTCAGCTGTCGAGAAAAGTGTCTTGGGGACCTTTGCTTCCCATTCAGGACAGTTAAACATAAATCAGAAATTTTGAGTTCATAATACAAAAATCAATGTGAGAAAATACTTAAACATATCTTTTAAAGATTAGAAAGAAAAAATATGGCTTTTTTGGTTTCAGGTATAATTTTATTAGAAAGACACCATTAAGGTAAGTCTGTTTATTTCTTGCGCCAATATTTTTAACTTTTGAAATATATTTTTTGAGTAATATAAGAACTACTTTACTACATTATTTTAATAATATATTATAATTGAAATCACTCAAAATATAGACAAAACCCATAACATTTATTATTTACTGTTTAGTATGTGATGTGTGAAACCTGAGACACTGGGAATATTGTATTAAAAATGAAAAATAAAAACCTAAATTAAACAGCCAAGTTCCTGCCTTGAAGACAGGTTATGATATGTACTGGAGTAGAATGAAGCATGCCATGAACAAATTCAAATTAAACAAGAAATAGAAATGTTGGAAGCAAGAGTTTTAATGATATTGCCAATGGCAGTTTCAGGGCAAGGTTGTTTCTGAATTAGGATGTCAATATTTCTGGAAAGTCTCTAAGCAGAGGAGAAAGGAACAACCAAGATGACATTCTAATTTAAAATTTTAATCATGTCAATAACAGCTTAGACAATTTCTAAGTCTCTACTCAATGTAGCTCTACAACCTTTCCCTTCACTTTCACTCCTGTCATATCTTCCTACTATTTCCTATCATGTTGTTTCCAGATCTACTGAACTTACTTTTTCTCAAATGTAATATTCTTACTGCTCTTGCAACTTTTAAAGCATTGTTTATTTTAGGAAATTTCTTTCATATCATCTGGCTAAATAAAGAGCTGAATTAAATATCTATAGACTCTTTATCTAAGAAAATCTAGGCAACAATTCCCAATTTTGTGTTCTCATGTCACTTTGAATTTCATCTTCCCACATTGTTCAGGTTGGTGTCTCAGTCATTTTGCTTAGCAACAGAGCCAGAGATGGTGATTCTTATGCAAGTGATTTAAGACAGTGTCCTTAGGGAAAAAGTGTAAGGGAGTTTGTGAAGCAGGATAGGACAGAGAAAGAAGCTACGCAAAGATGTGTTTTCAAGGATAGTCTAGCCTCTTAGTGATCCTAGGAGTAGTTCTGGTCTATGAATTCTGTCACAAAATTTGCATTATCGTGAGGCAGGGGGCTGTGCTTTTATACCCCACACCAGTGAGTAATTCATCATGATTGGTGCAATCTCCCGGACATCTCTTGATCAAACAGTTCCCAATCGTTAAAGGACAATTCTCTGGGACAAAATGAAGATGGTAGTCTTTTAGCAACAATTGTTCAGTTGAGGGATGTTGTTGACAGTAGGGACGCAGATACACAGGGGAAATCAGAGTACATTTTCGAAGTAGGAATAAGAGTTTTTCTTAAAAAATTGTATATAAAAAATGAGAAAAGGCAAAGAATCAAAGCTGAAAGCAAGTTGAAGTCTTGAGCAATTGGGATAGTGATTTTTTTTTTATTGAAATGGATAGATTAGAGGACATTTTGGAGGGCAAAATCTAGACCTCTTATTTGGCCATAATACATTTTTGACAACCCTTCTTGATATGTAAATATCAAATGAGGAACTGGCTATGATATTCTTGAACCTCAAGGGGGATACTGAGTATAGAAAAATGTGTTAGGGACTTTCCAGCACATAGATAATATGCAAAACTATGGAATCAGATGACACTACCAGAAAAATGTTTCCTAGAAAAGGGTAGCAATATTAATCCCCAAGGCACTACAATATTTAGAATTCAGGTAGAGGGGGGAGGACAAAGGAGGCTGATAATTACAGACCACAGAACTAAGAAATTATCTTTTTTTGAGTGTGGCAGCCAAAGCAACATTTCTCACAAGAGTTATGAAGTTATACTTAAGGAATTTTATAAACTGAGTATCCTTTGCATTTGTCAGATGGATGTTGATGAATATGTTGTAAGGAAGATTTTCAGTGCAGTGGTAGTAAAAGAAGCTCCATGGGAATCGTTAAAGGGTTAAGGGAAAGGAAGGATGTAGAGGCCAAAGTGAACATAACCCAAAAACCTTTTCTGTAGACGTTAGAAGATGAATGAGGCAGTTTATGAAAGATGAAAGAAAGGTCATGAAAGATGAAAGGTGATGAAAGGTCAATGAAGTGTTGTGATTTTGTTATTATAATAAAAAATACTAGAATCTAATTGTATGCTGGTGAAAAAGAATCAGTACAATGGTCATACTGTCTTTTCTTTTAGAGCTTCTTCATTGAATTTTATACTCAGGGATGTCCCAAAGTTAAACTGACTATAAAGTGTACCTATATTTAAATCTACGTGTTTTATTATATTTTAGGTGCACCTACTATCTTTCAATACTAATATAATACTTCAGCATGTTTTTTCATTAATTCATCAGGCAAGAAGAGTACACTAATGTTTATCTATACTACTTTTCTGTATCTGAGTTTCATAGTATTTTATATTTGTCTTCTTATGCTGAAGAAAAAATCTGTATTACTGTATTTTTATAAAAATTTTAATATCTAATAATGCAAATCACAATATATTTTCATCTTTACCAAAATAATGTCAGCTATTTCTATCTATTTATTTTCCATTTAAACTTTTCAGTTTCTTTCAAGTAAACCAAAATATATCCTATGATGATGTAAGAAAATACAAATCTTCCAGTACAGAAATGTAGCTGGCTATAAAATTTAAAAAAAATGCCTTACGAACACAAAAAAAGTTGCTTAAAAATGCCCATAGTTAGAGATATACAAGGTAGAAAATAACAGGAGACTTTTTTTAATCGGTTAAATTGGCAAAGACAAAAAGTATCATGTTGCATTGCTGAAGAAAAATTAGGAGAAAAAGTGACGTCATATGTTATTGATGAATGTATGCATTAAAAATTTTTGTAGAGGAAATTTGCATTATCCTTCAAACTGTTAACTGTTCAAACATTGATCCAACAAAATATGTATACAGGAGGATATATATGTGCGTGTGTGTACATATAAACATATGCATACATATTTAGTGTGATAAACATATGTGTACCTGTGTGTGTCTGTGTGTGTATCTCCGAGGAGTTCAAAGACAAAAAATACCTGTTAAAATATTATTTGGGCTGGGTGTGGTGGTTCATGCCTATAACCACAGCAATTTAGGAGGCCGAGGCAGAAGGATCACTTGAGGACAAGAGTTTGAGACCAGTCTGGGCAACATATTGTGACCCGTCTCTAAAAACAAAGAAAGAAAAAGAAAAACAAATACTACAAATAAACAAATAAAATATAATTTATAATAACAAAAGTCAGTAAAGGCAATGGGAATAGTTAAATGCATTATTATATGTACATGTTTACAATTGAATACTAGCCTTATGTGTACTTATCTAGATTGAGCTTTAAGTTGTATTCACAAGTGAAAATGCTACCTAATAGTAAATAACCTAACACAAACACTCTTAGTGGCCTACCCAACTGCTGTTACTCATTCTTGTATGCTACAGCCCTCCAATATTAATGATGTTCTAAGCAACAGTACAGCTATTCCAGATAAAAGATTGTGATTTGTTAATCTGAATACCTTTGGTGGTGATTGGCTTAGCAGTGGAAATGTAACTGTACTGTGGGTAATAAAATACAAGATGTCTGATAAACATTTCTGGAAAGATTTCTTTCCTTTGTTGGAGGAAAACCGTTTTTGATCCTGGCCTTAGGATATTACTATTCAAGGTCATAACAAAAAAGCGGGCGTACTCATAAGAGAATTTTTGAGAGGCACAAAGTCCTGAATTGATGTATCAACTTTGCAATAACCTTGGAAATGTGTTATGTGTGTTACTAAATGCGCTTCTTATTTATTTATTTATTTATTTATTTATTTATTTATTTATTGAGACCGAGTCTCACTCTGTCACCTAGGCTGGAATGGAGCGGTGCAATCTCGGCTCAGTGTAACCTCCGCCTCCTGGGTTCAAGCGATTCTAGCGCCTCAGCCTCCCGAGTAGCTGGGATTACAGGCATGCGCCATCACACTCAGCTAATTTTTGTAATAAATGCCCTTATTTTTAAACCTTTTTATAATCTGGTATTCTGGTACTTGAAACTGAAATTATCTCAACTGACATAGCATTGATAACAAACATATGTAATACTTAGGACAGTGTGGAAGCAAATCAATCAGAATAGAGACTGCTGTATATACTCTGTGGAGGGGCGGGCAGGGGCACTGAGTATCAGCACAGTCAATTAAAAAATGGATCTGTGTACATTCTGTTCACTTAATGTTAAGAACAGAAAAGAAACAGGGATGGTATACATTTTCTTTGCCTCTAACAGCTTATAGTGGAACATGGCAAAAGTAAAGCCCATTCTTACTCTATTGGCCAAAGTACTTAGAAGTTTAAGCTCAAAGTCATTGAGGCAGAAAAGTTTTCTCTGATAGAGATTTGTTTTCTCTATCTTTCTTCTGTCAGGAAAAGATAAGGATACATGAAGTGGAAAACAATGAACAATTACAAACAAATGATACATTCCACCAAAGATTAATAAGAATTAACATTGAAATTAATTGAAACATATAAAATAAGTAAACATAACTGATTTCAACATGATAACTACAAATTAAACATTTTTCCCCTTTAAAGGGTACTAAAGCACCATATTATTGTTCTAAATTAATAAAGGAAAATGAGAAAATCAAGTATTTTTCTGCATCTCCTCCATTGTCTATACCTCAGTGTAACCAAATAGTTGATGAAAAAAATTACTCTTCAGTATATTTCAGCTTATTGACGGAGAAGAAATGATGAAATTAGAATATGACATTTTCAAAGCCCTAAAAAATAATGAATCTAGGAAATGATCACAGTGGCTTCTAACATCATAAAAAGAGGCAACTGGACATTATGTGGCTCCTGATGGAAGTATGCAACATGACTGTGAAGTATTATGCCTCCCTCTCTCCCTAAAGTGTAATCCAGCTGCATTGAATTAAGCTCTTAGGTCAAACTACTATTTTACAGAAATATACTAGGCAGAAAGACGTATTCAATGACCTTATGGATAAACAATCTGTGACATCCAGAATATACTAAACTCTAAAGGAGAAAGGATCCAGTTTCTTTAATAAAGAAGATAGCAAGGAAAAACAAAGGATGGATAAAAGTTGTCTAAAGATTAAAAGGGGCTGGGCGTAGTGGATCACGCCTGTAATCCCAGCACTTTGGGAGGCCGAGGCAGGTGGATCACCTGAGCTCAGGAGTTCGAGAGAAGCCTGTGCAACATGGTGAAACTCTATCTCTACTAAAAACACAGAAAATACCCGGACATGGTGGTGCATACCTGTAGTTCCAGCTACTCTTGAGGCTGAGGTGGGAGGATCACTTGAGCCCAGGAGGAGGAGATTGCAGTAAGCCTAGATCATGCCACTGCACTCCAGCCTGGGTGATAGAGTGATAGAGTGAGATTATATCTCAAAAAAATATATATTAAAATGGAGGGACTTTACAGGTATATCAACAAAATGCAGTTTATTGATTTATCCAATATATGGATTCATTCTGATTAAATATACATATTTATGTGTGAGAAATTATAGTTTATCAGAAAATGACAGAAATTGAACATTGACTGTTTCTTTAATGGGATTTAAAAATCTTATGATACTGAAGGTTTATTAATGGTATTGTGATTTTTTTTAAGTCTTTAGGTTTTAAACCTGTACCCTGCAATTGTCATAGGAAAAGAGATAAAATGTCTGAGATATCCTTTAAAGTAAATTAGCACAGATAGAGATGAAACAAGATTGGCCTTGAAAAGGTGATTGATGATTGATTAGAATATGAGAGTTCATCGATAATACTTGATATATATTCATTGATAACATTGCTACATATATTTGAACATTTTTATAATAGAAATATTTTAAATGACTGTTTTTGAAATATCTATAAATAGGAAAAATAGAAAGCAAAAAGAGGCAACTAAATCATAACAAGGGAATTGAAAATAAATCATGAAAAAGAGACATATTCAGTTTTATATTTACTATTGTCATTTGAAGTGGTTAATTTTAGATATTTATATGTTGAAAATAAGTAAAATTATTAGTGGTAATATAGTTTTGGGATTTAAAGTAATGAGGTTCAACATGACGTTTGAGTCTTTTAGTAACTAATTGCTAAATAAGCCCTATACATTTTCTTGGATTGCTCTAACATATTCTTAGGAATATCTATCTGCTCTTCCAGAACGGTATGAATTAGGTGTTCTCCTCCATGGGCACTGTAGTCACTTTCAACTATTACAAAAATACAGAACAAGGAGAAACCATTAACACAATATCCTTACTGAGTTTACCCACAAATATATAAATACTAAAATTAACTATAATTTTTTTTTACTCTAGAAAGGATTTAGACAGACATGTAAAGTTGCAGGAAACATCACCATTTAAAAAAATTGTTTTATGGGTTTGCAGACTGAGATCTAATATACCTAGGATCAATACCAGGATCAAGCTTTTAGATCAGTGTATAAGTGTATTAGAATCTGCGATTCTACCTCCTGCAGTATTTCCACACCAGAGTTGATGGAACCTGGCAATTTGCTTCCCAAGTGAAGGCAATCAGTCTTCCAGTTTTTGTATGAGATTGAGAAAAGCAACAAAATTTAGTCTCAGCTATACAAGATAAGCCAGTAGTATTGGAATGTTAGCAGTTCCATTTTGTTGTAAAACACAAAATTGCAGGTCCAAATCCTACTGCATCACGCGCATGAAAGAGCAGCAGTTTATCAGCATGTCAGGAGTGAGGAAGATGTATGCAATTTTCCAACACAAAAAAAGGGCTTGTGGAAGCCGTAGAAAAGAATATGAAAAATAAAAAAAAGTGCCTCCTCTCTCTCTGTTAGTCAGTATGATTACTTACTTCAAAAGATAAAAGTTAAAGGATGAATAGAGTCTGGCTTGTATACTTCTCCACGACACCTCCTTGATTACAAAGCCTTCAGGTACATTTATTAACTTAGAAAATCTGTCTGCAGTGAGTGGCACCCAAACTTTCCTGAGTTTATTAGGATAGTTAAGGGAATACGTAAGCAGTTTTCCATAAAAAATAAAACCTGATGAAAATTTGCTAAGACCAGCAACAACAGCAAAAACAATAAAATATCAATCTATTTTACTTATAATTTGAAACAATGATACTTTCATTTTGAAGAGAAATTTTATTTTGCAACTTTATATAATTCCTAATATGAATTAGGACGCTAAATGTTATATTTAAACAGCATAATGAGCAATTTTTTAAAGTAAATCTATAAGGCTATAATAGAAATAACATATTTCATAGTATTTTATTCAGAATTCTGTATATATCAGGAATATTTTAAACTAAAACCATTGTTGAACAGGTAGAAATCTTTAAAGTTTCATAAATTTGGTTTGGATTTTCATGAAATCCCAACTGAATTCATAGTTCTAATTTGATAAACAAATATTTTTTCTATTCTTTCCATAATAATAATTCATTAATATGCTTCATAGCACTGTGTAAAATGAAGGCATAAAATATATAATTGATTTTTAGCAATACATACCCATCTCTGTTTTCAGTTTCCTGACAACTAATTAATTTGTGAAAATATTTATAAAAATTAACAGATTCTCTCTTATATTTATGGTCCTGCTTGGTACTCAGAGTCTTGTATACTTAACTGTTGGAGATGATACTCTGCAAACATTTATATGCTGAATTATGCTTGTTAAAAATAACAATACCTTAACATCTATATTGTATCCATAACACAAATGATAAAATATGTAGCCAAAATTGAGGAAAAGAAAATGTTCACAAATGAAACCTACATGTTTCTAGGTACACTATTATTCTAGGTACACTATTTTCATATTTTACATTAATACAATCAAATTTAACATAAAACCCTCAAACCAAAAACAAATCAATATGAGATCTAGCAATATATTGTGGATTAACTGACATTTTCTCATTGATTTGAAAGTGTCAGTATAGTGGGGTTAAAAATAAAACAATATGGGATTTCATAGTAGTATAACTTATAAAAGTTGAAATATAATACAGAGTGGCACTTGTTCTATTTTAGTTTATTATAGATATGGCTAAATGCCACATAAGTTTCTAAAAACCTTCTTTAAAAGTTCTCTTTTGAAATAGTGAATGAAACTTGAAAACAATTGTTTGATTTTAATAGAAAAATCTCAAGTTTTGCTTCAAAATGTTTTGAAAATGAAGATGATAGATGCAGGAAAGAAGAAAAAATATTAGGGAAATGTTGCAAGAACTCATCATAACTTCAAAATTTTTAGTGAAGTTCCTAGTGAGAAAAAAAATGTGTTTGTGCAAATTCAAGTTGTGGATAAATAACGCTTAACCACATTTTCCATGTGCATATAACTGAGTACAATGTATCTGATGTAGATAATGGTTCCAGAAGATAATCAATGCAATTGAATGGTCAAATAATTTCAATTGCTTCATCAGAATTAATAATAAAATAATAATGAATCATGATTAAGTTGGTTCAAAAGAGCATATTTGTCACCAACTCATTTGTTTCTTTGTTTGTCTGTTTTATTGCAGGCAGAGACACGAAAAGTTTTGAGAGGTCAAAGAACCTCCAGCTGAGCTGATTGGCAAAGGTCTTACCCCCGCATGAAGCCAAGACTTAAAGACTAGGAGAGGTGGTTCAAATGCCCATATCCCAGCAAAATATAGTATTCAAAGAATCAGGAAAACATGGCCAAATAAAAAGACCAAAATAAACTCCCAAAAGTCTCTAAAGAAAAGCAGATCTATAAGCTCTTGAAAAACAGTTTAAAATAACTGTCATCGAGATGATCGATGAGCTATGGGAAAACACAGATAGGCAATTAAACAAAATCAAAAATACGATACATGAACAAAATGAGATGATCAACAAAGAGACAGAAACCACCCCAGCCTGGGCGACAGTGTGACTCCATTACAAAAACAAAAAAGAAAAAGAAAAGAAACAAACATATTCTAGAGCTGATGTATACAATAATTAAACTGAAAAAATTACTAGAGGGATTTAACAACAGATTTGATGAGGCCGAAGAGCCTAAGTTGTAGGTGATATTATCAAGTGGACCAATATACGTATTATGGAAATCCCACAAGTGAAGCGAGAGGAAAAAGGTATACAGAGGTTATTAGAAGACATAATGGTCCAAACCTTTCCAAACCTGAGGAAAGAAATGGATATACAAATTGAAGGGCTTAAAGAAATCTAACTAGGATAAATCCAAAGAGAATTACAATGCCACACATTATAATCAAATAAAGGAGATGTTACATTTAGTGTGTTTGTAGGTTAGTCACTTGTTTTTAGACTATAGAGTGAGAACATTAAAGAATAGAAGTTAAAACAAAAAAATGGGGAGAGGGCAAGAGCAGTGAAATTAAAAAAAATTAAAGAAATTTCACATTTGTCTGGGGTATGTTTTTTATAGGAATCTATGAAGAAGCTTTAGAAGTTCTGTACTATACATAAGAAACGGGGAACAGAGACCTTCAGTTATCTTTTCAAGCTCAATTTTCATTAAATATAAACACTAAATTTAAACCTAGTTCTGTTTGACTTTCATATTCAAGCTTTCTACTGACTCATTCAGCCATATTGAGATGAGCATACTAGTATATCACACTAATATGCTTAGATTTTTAATTCAGGATTCATAGAGTTGCTGAAATTTTGTTTTTATTAAAATTATGGGAATGTTAAAAAATGGCAAAAAAATGATCCTGGAGAGAAATATCTTAATTCTAATTGTGTAATCCTATGTCCACAATAAGCCACTTTAAAATCTATTTGGACAGATCTACAGGTATTTCCTTTATTGATTTACGGTAATTCCTAAGAAATTTATCTATTTCATTTATTTTAAATAATTTGTTTATCTTTTTTATGGGGACAGGGAGTTCATTAACTTTTGGAAACTTCTGTTTAACAAATTGTAAAATGAATAAAGATAAAAATTCAGTTTTTTTCTCTTTCTACCAATTTAATATATTTTTCCTTTGTGCATGTGTGTGTGTGCGTGTGTGTGTGTGTATGTGAGTTTCTGTCAGCATCTCAGAATGTGTTTTAACAGCAAGGATTGAGGTGGGAGTGCAGAGAAAGATCAATGTATTTATACATTCCCTGAGCATACTTGATTATTTAGAGAGTGTAGGGTGTTTAGGTGAAATACTTAAAGAAAGTTTCCTGAATTTATCAGACTAGCTAAGTCTTTCTATATTCATTTGTTTTTAATATAGACAGAGAACAGTTTTTGTGTGTAGTGTGTATGAAGCATGCTGTTAAGTTTCTTGGCAGAATTTTTTTTCCCTCTTTACATTGCAAAGTCTGATCAGTTTGGATGAGTCCTTATCACTGCTAAAATCATGAACAGGAAACAGGATGAATAATATCCTATTTTCAAACTCTAGGAGTCAGAGAGTATCGGGGATATCAGAGAAACTTTATTTCTTTCACAAATGCAAACACGTGATGTCTCTTCCAAGGACCCAAATTTCCTGATTCAGATTGATAATACGTTGATCAAGATATTCATGTTTTTTTAAAAGTGAGGAAGCCATTGGAAACTTTAATTTAGTTTTAGACACTGACCCTGTTACATGATAGGGACAAATAACTCCAATAAGATTATAAAGGTAGATAGGAAGCAAATGTATCATCATTGAAAAGTTCTTTTATCTTCCCAGGATGTTATCTGAAATAATTTGTAAGCAAATGAAAATGACCCTAGTTCAAGTAATGACCTTTTCTATGTGTTATTTTCAGTGTTTATTTCTATGGCAAACTATAGCACACAAAGAATTTGAATCAGAAAATCTACTTTGGAAAGGAACTGTATTCGAGATAATAAAAAATGAGTCCTGTTCATTTTCAGGCTATTTGCATCTGCACCTGTTCAGACACTGTTCCAACTGGCTTGTGGTTTAACCACTCCCTCAACACTCTTAATTAAGAATGTGGCTTCATCAAAAAGGTCAGGAAGCTATCACACCTGTATTTGAGTTTAGATTTTTTTTCTTTCAGGAGATGATCTTAAATTAAATTCCATACAGAAAATTGTGTACTTTTTTTTCTCTGTATCTGTTTCATCAGAGTTAGTTCTATCCCAAGAAATGACACATGCTAACACAATCTCATACAACATGAAGGCATAACCTCACTTCACCAGACCACTTAATCTTTATGTGTCCAAAATTAAGGGAGAATAAGCAATAAATGGCAGTATTTTCCTAGTATAAGCTTTATTGTTAGGATCATTTTGGGATTAAATTTCAACTCTTGTCACTTGCTGGACATAAAGCCTTAGTTAAGCTACTTTAGTCCTCTAAACATTATTTCACTTGCCTATACAATGGGTATAATTGTATATTTTTCACATACTTTTAAGAACAAAGGTAGGTAGATGTGTGGAGGATTCTTACAGAATTCCTGAGGCTTAGGAAGCTCTCAATAAATTGAGCTACAGAATGTTTTATAGTATTAAATTCAGAAAGACCTAATCACACTCACATCCTCAACTATTATAGCCCAATAATAAATTAGTTTTTAAGGGGTTTGGTGTCTGTTTCACTTTCCATGTTGGGATTCTCGTAGCAGCAAAACCACTCCCTCCGACTCTGTCCCTTTTTCTTTCCTTCCTTAGGTCCTTTCAAGTAGTAAGTTTTCTAAATTTTTAAATAAATGGTAATTTTATTAATGTGATATATAATATTTATTATTCATAGGAAATCACAAAATCATATAATACAAAGTAGAAAACTGAAATTTTCATGCTCTCAAATGCAACTCTAAAAGCATGAAAGGTGGTTTATAAAACCACATAATAATAGAAAAATGAATAAGTGATTGATTGTTTATTATTATAGCTAAACAAGCAAATGCATTCTTCAGTACTGGATGTAAAACTTTCTGACTTCAACTTTTATCTGCATAAACACAACACGATTATACAGGCAATTGGCTAATAGAAAACTTGCTATACCCTGCTATCATCTTATTTCTATCCATTCAACCACCCATGTCTCTTTATGTACATATATGTTCCATTAACATATGTCTTTTAAAAATAATCATATATAAATGTATAAAGATATTGGAGGAAAATGAGTTTGGAACTATATATACAGATTGATTTTGCAAGTGGTAAGACCATATTGTATTTTATACCAAGTCTCCATGCACCGTAATCAGACTTTATCCCAAGACATCACAAGTTGGAGTAAATACGTATTTTTGTATTCATGATACCTATGTGAATCTACAAAACATAGGCTGTTAGCTCATAATCAATGACAGACATAAAAGAATAGCAACTCATACACAATTGCCCTGAGGTACGATGTATCTGACTAGATATATATTGTAAGACTTACTTCCATTATGTATCTATGATTTTTTGAGGTCTCAAATCAGGACAGAAATTCATAGTTTTTTTTTTAACCTAAAGCAAGAGAAATCACTCATTTTTAGACCTTGTGTGCTTTTAGTTCTTCAGAGTCTGCCCTATATTAAGGATGAGAGATAAGAATTTATAGCTAACCAAGAATACTGTACAATTTGTTTCTGTGATATCCATCATACATATATTTGAGTCTTTAAGCAAAGTGTTTTATATATTTCATATGATTTCTCTTTCCTAAAAAAATTGACTGAACACTGCATCTTTCTAATCATTACAGTAGATTAAAACATACCCAGATGCAATGGCTACCTTAACAGATATTTCCATGTGTTGTTATTTAAGATTGTTTCAGCAAAAACACATCTTATAATAATACATTAACTTATAAATTTTTTGATAAATTTTGCTTTTCTACCTCTATATTCAGGCTATAAAAATGTAACCTCTCATTCCTATAAACATGAGTTTATCCTTTTCAACCTGCTTTTCATATTAAGCTTTGTTGATTTTTTCAGTTCAGTCAGTTTTGGATTTTTGCCAAAATGAAACCATTCTTGTGATTGAAGGCAATACGGTTATTTAGTCTGTTCTTATGCGAAGTCAGCTACATCACACTTTACCTTTTCAAAATACGTTGCTTTCTAACATGTGTTCATCAGAATTCATTTTTCTGAGAAGAACTTTTAAGACCTGTGAAATAAATACAGTGCTGTATTCAATGTAAAAAGGGAAAAAATATTACGGCAAAGCCTTTTTACAGGTCATCACGATCTAACAATAATTTGAGTTAAGAAAACCATTCATACTTTATTAGATGATAGAACTGTTTTCTTGACTTAATGGTGGGTTTTGTGAGGAAGTGACTAAGACACATTACTGGCCACATAGGAGCACTAAGAAATGTCAGTTTACTTAATCAATCAAAAAGAGACTTGGGTCCTGAAGAGTTACTAGATTTTCACAAGGTTTCACAGAGGGACAGATATTGTGGAAAGACATTTGTGGCATTCTCAATGCAGTATTCTTCCAACTATTGCAAGCCACTTCCTCAAGAAGACTTTGGTACAACATGGAATTTTGAGAGAAGAAATAACTACATTATTTCTGTGAAAAATAATGTTATCTTTGCCTTCAGGCTTTATGAAAAGTTATCCAGGACTAAACCTGTATGACTTGAAATAAATCTTCATTAATCACTATGTAAAAGCAAAACTTAGTGGGCAAGAGATTTTCACTGTCTTTTGAAATAGGAGATAGCATGGGCATTCAATAAGACATATATCAATCATATTCTCTCCTGAATCCTGTGTATTTTTCCATTAATCAAAAATCTTATCCCTTTACCTTTCTATTCTAGGAATTTTCCATCTCGGATTAATGCAAAGTAACCAGATGATAAGCAGAGATTTACAACTCTAAATGTTAAGCTAATTATTTGCTGTTGAGTCTGTATTTAACTTGTCTTCCATTCATTGGAATAACTTGAGTGAATTTGGTAGCAACATTGGGCAGGAAAAACAACAAAGTAACGAGCTTCCATTATTGCTAATAGCTCAACAAACCAATTTACAAAAGCCACCAAACTAAGAGAATGAGCCTGGGGACTCCTATCATGTAGTAATGTTATCACACTGAATAGCTGAGGCAAAGTAATGCATTCATATTTCATTTACAGAGGCAATATCAGGGCCATTTCAGCAGGAAACCCATCAGGTCTGCCAAAGTTGTTGATGAACTCAGGGGCTAAATTCAATGTCCTCCATTTACACCTTGTAATCCTTTTATGATGTTATACTTTCTCTACTCAGATAATTTTTCAAACAAATCCATAAAGTTTCTCCCAGGTAGAATTTATTAAACATGCATTTCTCTGGCTTTAATTAATGCTTACTTTATGTGCCTAAAGCTTTTCTCACTATAATACCAGTAACGTATGTAAAAGGTCCTGGTAATCATGACCAACAGGATTGAGACTGGCACAAAGTATTCTTAAATGAACTCTATGCTTCATCTGATAGGACATGTTACATGTTATTTGATCGCATCACTTCTATAGTCTTGATAAAGTAAGAGCCCTAGGAATTCTTTTTTTGTTATTTCTACTCTTCAGAACACTGGTGAATAATAAATATTTTCCTTAAATTACAAAGGTAACCAAATCCATTTCTATTAACTAAACCATATATTTCTACCTTAGGATCAGAAAGAGTTCACCACAGATAGCTCATATCCAATAATGATCATTTTATGATTAAAAATATGTAGAACAGAGACTGGAAAATTATGGACCATAAGCCAAATCCAAACCAGTGGCTGGTTTTATAGATAAACTTTTATTGAAATACAGCCAAACCTATTCATTTTTTTTTTATTTTTTCTGCCTGATTTTGTACTACAATGGCATTGTTAAGTGGCTGTGACAGAGACACTATGATCAGCAGAATCTGAAATATTTTCTCTCTTGTTCTTTACAGAAAAGGGTTGTTGACTCCTTGTCTGAATTGACCCATTGAGGTTTTATGCTTTTTGTAACCCACCTATAAAACGTTATCAACACTATATGTAAACAACCACTTGCCTTGATTAAGAGACATAGCAGCATACTGGCAGGAGGCTATTGCAACTGAATGTTTTTAAGAAATATTCCCACTCGATAGGTTGACACTGTGTTTGGGATTTTTCTACACATAACAGAAAGTAAGCAGACATAATATTATGTTTCCGCTTTTGTCAAGTTCAAAAATCAGTGAACACAGCACCTCTTTTGTTTTTCTATGCGGTGAGCTGACCCTATTAACTCCCTACACTCCTGAGAGAAAGAAGTTCTTCTTCTTGCCTCTAGGGATGTTACAGGTGGAAAGATAAGATTCTTAAATAGAAAGGGGCCATGAAAACAATCAAAAGGAAGAAAAAATTCATTGGGTTTCCTTCAAGGGCTTACACTTTGAGGATATACCTCTTTTAAACAAAGTGAAGAACAGTGCTAGAAACATTTTTAGAAGATATCAACTAGAATTTCCATGATGCAGAAAATGGTAACTAAAATAGATTCATGATTTATCTAATTTCCTCACTCATTTAATCAAAACATTTATTAAACTTCTAATGGAATCAAGTATTATGCTAGCCGTTGAGGAAAAAGTGGTCAATAAAAAGGTTTCTATTTGGAAGAATCTCTAATTCAGGAGGTTAACAAGATGCATTGTAAGGGGATGGATAGATTGATGATAAGAACAGAAAGGTAAAAGCACGTTTTCATTTCAAGGTGTGTTAAAGATCTCCACAGTATTTAAACACAAGGGCTCCTCACACACAAAAAAAGTGTTAATTTGGGGCAAGTTGAAGAAAATATCAGATATTTACTATTCATACCTATATATCTATATCTAGCGACCTATATTCAGAAACAGGTAGAATTACTTAATCATTTATTTTGATCTTAATAATTAGGAAGCTTTTATCACTTTCTACGATGCGATGTCCTAATGTGATCCACACTGTTGCTTGGGAATTGACCACATCTCTTCCATCTTCAACTTGTGAAATTTTCCATGGCTTCTAAGGAAATCTTCAACATTAACATCTAGTCCACAGACAGGGAAGAGTGAGACAGTGGATGATCCTAGAGGGGTTTTTATAAGTTATGCTTTGAAAGTGGCATACAACAATTCTGCCTATAATCCATTGGCCAGAACTCAGAAACATGGCCTCACCTGGTGCAAGGATGTTTACAAATCCTGTGGCTGGACAGCCAGATGCTTCCCAACAATACCTCTATATCACAGAAGGTGTCCATGTCATAGAACCATCTCTGTACCACAGGTGTTTAATAGGTCATTACATGTTAGGTAGATAAAGAATGATCCTAAGGATTGTCATAATTAAATTTGCTTTTCTATAGCTGTTGGAAGCTCTCTTAATCTCTAACCATCTAGGTGACATATTATTGCATAATATGTGAATGTATCTCATACTCCATAATCGAGCATATATTATTGAATAACAGAATTTTGTTTTTAAAAAGTATTCTTCAGTGTTATACTCTATCAATGATTGTTCAAGTTATAGAATGACTGCTATTTTAATTTCAACTGGTTATTTCAATGGAAAAACTTGAGAGACATTTATTTGTTTTGGGTTAATCTTATTGGGCTTATTAAATTCCTCCATGTACTTATATTTGTGGAAGCTGAAGACTTATACATTATTGTTTTCAGCTAATTTTTATGGCCTTAATAACAGCAATTCTGGGAATTCACTCTTGAAGGCTATGGCTATGACACTATATTCTGATAAAATGATCAAGAATACCTTGCAAAATACAGAGATTACATCATCAAGCCATCACTGCCTTATTCTGCCATGAGATCATAGTTAATTTTCACTCCTATTTTGATATTCAGCAGCAGATATTTTCTGGCCAGTTACCGATTCTTGACAGGACTTTTACCAACGCAGTAATTCTGTTTTTATAAAGCATTTTTAAGTAAAGAAGCCATGGGCCTGAACCTATTCTTGACCATTATGCTGGTGGCACAAGGATTCCCAAAGGATATGTATTGCTAGAATCATGAGTGATATTTCTAATAGGATTTACTATGCTCTGAAATTAAGTATATAAAATAATATAATATTGTTAAATTATGCACGGAAATAATTATAAGTCATTTATTGAGATGCCAATTATTGTATAAAATCTCTTCTCTGGTACAGTCATTGTAAACAGGGTGGTCAACCTCATATATTTTAAATAAAAACAAAATGAGAGAAGACAGAAGTTATGTTGATACTAAGTCGAACAATGAGGAGACTCAACTTTTATCTTGAAGAAGACAAACTTGAGCAAAACAAAGTATCACGTAAGTACAACTCTACCTAAGAAAGAACACTTAAAAGTTGCAAACGTACATCACTAGCTCTGAGGAGAAACCAAAGATACAAGTTATCATTTAGTTAAACACAGATTAACAGTTTGAGTCAAAGTTTCTCTGAAGCCAAATAGCAATTTTTAGAATTGAGAACTGTGAATTTCAGTTAAGTAGATCGGTAGCATGTACCTGCCTCCATCTTTCTAACCAAGACTGTTCTACTCATCTCCTAATATACTGTTGCCCTCTACACTCCACTATTCAATCGAAGTACACGTTGGTTTCCTTAAAACAGATACCAACACAGAGTTTGGGATGTAAGGTGTTTACTAGGGATGCATATTTTTGAAAAGAAGCAGGAGAAAGGAAACTTCATAGATGAAGTTGAACTGCAATGCAGGGACAACACACACTTGAGAAAGAGGAACATCTGGAGGAAATATTATACGTTGGTGCTCTCCCTTGGTGACTGAAATGTCTAGGCCTTTCTGTCCCTGGGTTATGGGCTTCCCTGGAAAGAATATAACCTCAGATGAGGGGTCTTTCTGTCCCTGAGGCAAACCCTGAAAACGCTGACAAGTGGCAGCTATGCGCTGACTGCAATACCAGCAGCTGGGATTTTTGTTTTTTTTTTCCTTGAAGGGTGATCTGGCAGTGCATCTTGATGTTTATCAAAAAACAGCAGTTAAAACAAAGTTTTTAAAATAGAAAACATTTTACTTTTTTATTTGCACTTAGCTTTTCAATGGCTTCTTCTACACTTAGTACACATGTATGGTGAACTATGAAAGATGATATTAACTAATACCTTTTCAATTTCATCCCATTCCCATTTTCTTTTAGCTTGGGCATTAATTAATATTTAGTTTTAGAGTTCTTCAAATAAAATTAGCTCTTCTCAGCTTAATGACATTTTGTGTGTGTGTGTTGAATGGTTCTTTTTTCTTTTTTATTTTTTTTTGGGGGGGGAATGGAGTCCCACTCTGTTGCCCAGGCAAAAGTGCAGTGGCATGATCTCAGCTCACTGCAGCCTCCGCCTCCCGGGTTCAAGCAATTCTCGTGCTTAGCCTCCTGAGTAGCTGGGACTACAGGAGTGCATCACCATGCCTGACTAATTTTTGTATTTTAGTAGAGATGGGGTTTCACCATGTTGTCCAGGCAGGTCTCAAACTTCTGACCTCAAGTGATTTGCTCGCCTCGGCTTCTAAAAGTTCTGGGATTACAGGCCTGAGCCATTACACCTGGCCTGCTTAACAGTTCTTAATCTGACTTTACATTTACCTCTTTTTAGCTTCTAGTTCTCACTTTAAATGTCTAGACCACACGTAGGTCTTCTTGGACCATTCAGTGTAGCAGCCATTGCCACAATGGTACCTGTTTGCTGTCTGTCTCCATGGAATGTAAGATGTCCTGTCACAATAGCGACCATGTCAACATTTTGGCATAAGCAGATATTTAATAAATATCTATTGAAAGTCATAATGCAATAAAATTAGAAATTAATGGTAGAATAACTTTAAAGACCATGTGTTCGGTGACAAAATAACATGTTACAAGGCACCATTAGATTAAAAATAATTTAAGAAATACTTAGAACTGAATGTTTATGATAACACTCTCTGTCAAAACCTGTGGATCACAGTTATTATATTACTTATGTGGAAAATAAAGAAACAGAAATAAAACATAAATAATAATACATGTTAACAAAGACAAAGTAAGCACTCAAGAACTTCATTCAAAAATGTTAAAACCAGACAGCTTTAAGAGCTATTTTTATTAAACTTTCAAGGAAGAGTTACCTTCTTTTAGTCAGTTGTGCCATTTTTGTTTTACGCTTTTATCAGTTCGTTTAATAAGGCCCTCTTAATCATGTTTCCAACACCAATCCAGGACAAAACAAACAAACATACAAGCAAAGAAATGCATAAATAAAAACAAATAGAAGACCATTTTACTGAGGAACGCAGATGCTAAAATTTAAAGCAAAGCAGTAAGTTACCATTTCTAAAAGTACACTTAATAGATACAGTTTATAGTTAAAGAAATTTTATTCCAGGAATACGAGAAAGTTTCAACAGCAGAAACAACTTTCACCGATACATTCTGACAGTCAGTAACCTTAACAGATCAATGGTATTAAACCATATTGTTTCATTAGCTGTTGCAGAAAACTACAATAATACACATGAGTTCATCACCTATTTGTGATAAAAAATGCTTCGTAGAACGGAGACTTCTTAAGCATATAAAAGTTGACATTTATTTATCAAAATTTACAACCTAGAAGTATATATATTATACTTAAAGGAAACTTTATGTATATTCTCTGTAATATCAGGAATAAGAAAATATTGTTCAATATTAATACTACTACATTGTAATCAATGCCTCAGCCAAATAAAATACTTGTTTGTTTACTAATAAGATATAACAAAATAGAAGTTCAATATATCATCTGAAGATGAATCTCCTAAAAAATCCAATAGAATAAATGAGCTATTGGAAGTAATTAAAATTTTGACAAGGCTATAGAAATGAAACCAAAACTTAGTTTTATTTCCGTGTTCAACTCAGGTTCATTTTTCTTTTTTCTTTTTCTTTTTTTCTTTTTTCTTTTCTTTTTTTCTCTTTTCTTTTCTTTTCTTTTCTTTTTTTTTTTTTTTAAGACAGAGTCTTGATCTGCCACCCAGGTTGAAGTGCAGTGGCGTGATCTTGGCTCACTGCAACCTCCACCTCCCGGGTTCAAGCAATTCTCCCACCTCAGCCTCCCAACTAGCTGAGATTACAGACACGTGCCACCACGCCGGGCTAATTTTTGTATTTTTAGTAGAGACAGGATTTCAACATGTTGGCTAGGCTGGTCTTAAACTCCCGACCTCAAGTGATTTGCTGTCTTGACCTCTCAAAGTGCCGGGACTAGAGGCGTGAGCCACCGTGGCCCGCCAGGTTCATTTTTCTGTGGCAGCAATAATATGATAGCAATACAAATGAGAGTAAGATGTGATACATAAGAGCCAGTAAAAATGTGAGATGTCTAGGAATTGTGTTACTGAAAATAATTAGGCAGTCTGTCGAGTAAATTTTAATATGCTAATAAGAGAGAGAGATAAATTAATCTAAATTGGGGTTTTTTGACCTCAGCACCATTGACGTTTTGGACCAGATAATTCTTTGTCGTGGAGGACAGCCCTGTGCATCATAGGATGTTTGGCGTTCTTGCCTCTACGTTAGTAGCATCCACTCTGTTTTGACAAAAATGTCTCTAGATATTGCCAAATGTTCTGAGAGAGTAAAATTGCACTGACCCAAATAAATGGGGAAATAATCCATATTCTTACAAGAGATAACCTGATGTAAGATGTCTTATCTTCACCAAGTAATCTATGATTTCAATGCAATCACACTAACAATTTAATTTTTAAAACCTTTATAAACTAACATTGGTATACATATAACATACAAAGAAATTCAAAACTATGGGTAGCTAAGTCAACATCATTAGAAAATAATACAGAAGGGGCCTGCCTGGAGAGCGTACTTCAAAGTCACAATCATGATAACAGGAACAACAACAGTAATAATAACCTGCATTAACTAAAGATATTTAAAAACTTGGAGAAAATAGAGTGCTTGCATAGATAGAAATAAAAATGAAAATTTATAATATTCTGAAGTGAGCATCAACACTTCATATGTTGAAGACATGTCAGATAGTTGGGTGTATAGTGTTAGAAAAACTGAATTAGCATAAAGGGAGTAGTAATATTAGATTTCTTTCTAATGGCACACATAAAAATGGATTCCATTTGGTTTAAAGACTTACAATATATAATTAGTAAAAACACAGAATAAATTTCTGACCTAGGGTGGCAAAGATGTTCCTAAACTTTCAAATGCACCAAAATAATGCTAAATATGATTGTTATAATTACATCACAATGTTATATTTCTCCTCATTGAGTGTGAGCACGGTCAGAGTTAAAAGTTATATGACAAAATATAATAAATACTCAAGTCTAAAATAACAAGAGATGCAACTTTAGAATAGGCAGAGAGATTCTCTGAATCGACAAGAGAAAGACAAAATGCAAGTACAAAAAATGTACAAAAGAAATAAAAAGTCAGTTTACTTGTGAGGTCGAGGGGGGCAGATCACCTGAGGTCAGGAGTTTGAGACCAGCCTGGTCAACATGATGAAACCCCATCACTACTAAAAATACAAAAGTTAGCCAGAAGCAGTCACCAAAACTAATGAATATATTTAAAAAATTCAAAAGTATTATTAAGCAGAGGGAAGCAAGTTAGAATAACAATAAGATGTGGCTTTGTCTATTGGATTGGCAATAATCAAAAAAGCTGGAAAATGCCAAGTGTTAGTGGGAATGTTAGTTTCACTGCTGGTAAGATTGCAGGGATTGGCACTCATTCTGGAAATCTCCATATGGGGATAGGTGCAAGGTTATTCATTGCAGCAGTGTTCTTAGCCAGGAAAATGAATTGGAAGCAAATTGACTGTCAATCATCTAGAGAGTGAATAGATAAAATGCGGCAGATGACACCGTGGTGTGCTATAAAGAAGTTAGAAATTGTGACTTAGATATACGCAGTGCATCATGGATTAGATTATATACATGCAGTCTTTCTCTCCTTGTATATGAAAGAACATTATATTAGATATATTTTCAATCAAAATTTGTATATAGCTACATTTTTAATATATGTGCTTGGCAAATGAGCGTGTGTGTGTGTGTGTGTGTGTGTGTGTGTGTGTACACGCCCCCCACATAAACTGGAAATGTTCACATTAAAGCTCAATTGTAAAGCCATTTGTGTTCCTTTTTCTATTTTATGCCATCTTGCTATATGCAGTTCCTTGTTGTATTTGTTCAGATCTTTTTTGATTCATGATTCTTATAGTTCACATTACTCTTAACTGGGTTAGCCAATGATAAGAATGATGTGAATGTTATGTTTTAAAGTTCATAACTGAAAAAAAACAACAGTTATTCAGGCAAAGGTAAAGGACTGTAGGATTCTACAGCACTTTCTTTAATTTGTCACTAATCTAAACCTTTCCTGGGGTAAATAAACAAGGTCAAGAGGAATCTATCCAATTCCACTATCAGCTTCTATTTCTTCATCAATACTTGCTGACAGTTCTGTCATTCTACAGAAGCATTCAGTCAGGGTCCAGGCATTGTTCTATCAACTGAAAACGTAGCGGAACAAGAGCAGATTAGGTCTTTGCTGTTATGGATCTCTCATTTTAATAAACCAGGCAAAAAAATAAATATAACGATTTTATAAGTTGAAAGGGCTACAAAGAAAAGTTTTAAAAAATGTGACAGTAAGTATATGCCAGGGTTGTATATGTATGTATAGGTAGAAGGATATCACGGTGACCTGGATTATTAAGAAAATTCTCTCCAAGAATGTGGTATTTGATCAGAAACCAGTGGACTAGAAGAAATCAGCCAAGGTAAAATGAGAGAACTGAAGATTTGATCTCCTAATTTCCAATGTGCTTCCAATTAGAGCACACTGTTTCCAAGAAGATGGGCTATTTCTGTTTTATAAAGGGCCCATATGTTAATTTGATCATTTAATTTCATACATTTGAAGCTTATTGATTGTATAGTTTTATATTTCCCCTTAAATGGCTGTAAGAGATAAAGAGAATATTATTGAAGAAATAACACTGAATTACCATATTAATTATTTCTATTATTATTAAAGGCGGAGTCTCTCTTTATTGTCTAGGCTGAGGTGTATCAGCTATTCTCAGGTGCTATAATCATTTACTGCAGCCTCATATTCCTGGTCTCAAGTGATCTACCTGGCTCAGCCTCCTGAGGAGCTGGAACAATGAGAGCACGCCACTGTGCCCAGCTTCACTCTTTCAATTATCCAATTTTTATTACATGCCATAGAGTTTCAACTCTTTTAAAGAAATAAAAAATTGTGATTTGTTCCACTGCAAACATATCAAATATGTAAAAGTCAGGCATTATGTAAATAAGAAAACTAATCCCTCCCCCTACACCCTACCTTTTAGCTGAATTATTCAGTTGCCAACATTTTTGTTTGCTTTAATAATAAAACAGGCAGAAATTTTCTAATAGGTTGGTCTAATGTGGGAAACATGTCTTAAGATATTTAAAGTGCAATACAAAAAATCTAATGTATTTTAGGGGGCAGAATTACACGACCCCCTATGTAAAATGTATTAAAAATCACAATGATTCTTTCACCTGTGAATTATTCCCTGAAAGGATAAGGGACAAAAGATTATTTACACCTTTGGAAATCAACTTTCCACTTTCCTTTCTCCTCATCCTTACTAGTAATCAACGTAAATACCTGCCAAATTTTTAGTGGTGGATTTGTGAAGGAGAAATTTCCAAATATTCTAGGAAGTGGTTTTGGGATAAGTTATGATCAGCAAACTTCAAAATGTAAAAACATGCTGGAAAAGCATGCTAGGCATCCAAATGTAATGCATTTAAATGGAGATAGCAGCGTTCCTATTTCATAAATGTGCAATAATTTGGCAAGAAGTAAAATATGTGAAAGCAGAGAACAATCATTTGTTAACCCACTCTAATGTTCAGGGAACGATCTCAGGTTCATTTGAAAATTTGCAACTGTTTGTAAGTGTTTTAGATGCTTTCATGCTTAGTTTATCAATTTGAAAAACTTATGCACATATTGTAAAATTCTTGTGCATATGTTACCAGCTCTTCTTTTGCTGTTTATATCACCACTAATTAACATTTTTAATTAAGACAAAAAACACTGTTAGCATAATACATGAAAAATTGGAGCAGGTGCTCAGGGTAATAATTTGTATAAATAGCTATTGCCTTACACTAGCATCTAAATTATAATCATTAACTAGCTTTTTAGTGGATCAAAGTGAAACTCAGCCTTTTATTTAATTTAAGGAAAAAAAAAGAAAAGAAAAAAACTACAAAAATAAGTGCAGAAGCTAGAAAATTCTGTTATCCTCATTTTAATCCTATTCCATGCTACATTTAAAATTTAACCTTCTTAAAACCCATGTGGTCCTCTTTTCCTCTGCCATCTCTGATCTTCTGGTCCTTTCTAGCTCATTCCTAAAGGCATAGTCCTCAAAAGAAATTTTCTTCCTCCCTTTCTCTGCTTCCTAACTTTCTTCTTCTCCCATCAGAAGCAGGTTTCCTACAGCACTTCATACTATGTTTCATTAAAATGGGTACTCACCGAATTTAAATTAGTTAACAAAATATATCTATCCTACATAGTAAAGGGCTAAACTACTGGAGGACTTATATTGTCAACACATTGCTAAATTAAATTAATTTAGTTCAGTGAAGTAGAGTAATTTTAATGAGCTACTTAAAGAGAACAATGAATAGTAAATGTATCACATTGATACGTTTATTCATGTGGTTTCAAATTTATCTGAAACTCAATGGTGTCACTTCCTGTTCCTGCTACAAAGCTTTCTCTTCTGCCTTGTTCAAAATCTAAGTTGGCATCATTAGCCTCCTAAATACCCAAGAAAAAACTGAAGAAGAAACCGCAGTTCACCTCTAATATTTTTTTCTCTTTCTTCTCTACTAGACTATTCAATGCTCATAATTCATCATGATACTAAAATTTAATGAGCATGTATTATGCACTTTGCTGAGTGCTGAGGATGCAAGAACATGTAAGATCTTATGTCCTAGCCATACTCTCTTGAAATGTCTCTACTATCACCCTTTTTATCACTTCAAGTCTTGGCCCTATTTATGATCTCATCGTTTACTGGACCATTTTAGCAGCTTTGTTTTGATTTTTTAGTCTGTAGCCTTTTAACCATCACATTATGGCAAGTTTATTTATTTTTCCATTTTTATAAAGAAATTCTTCATTTCTTTATTTGCCTATAGGTATGTAGCAGCTATAGTTGTCCTTTCTATGTAGAAACTTAATTGTACAATATGTATTAGCAATAATAAAAGATATGACAGAATTATTACTTAATTTTTAAGTATTATAAACAACTTTCCACTAGATAACATCACCTATGTATATGTATATGTGTGTGTGTGTAATGTATGTGTGTGTGTATTCATATAGGGGTGTGTGTGTAACGTACGTGTGTGTGTATTTATATAGGAGTGTGTGTGTGTATTTTCTCTTTTCTCCCCCAAACTTGTATACTTTCTATTGTGACTTAGTATTTTACTATAGCAATCATAATCTGACCCTGGTCTATTTCACCAGGTTTGTTCCTCACCCTGTCATTCTTCCAGTATATGCAAACTCTATATTTTGACCATGACAAAGTACTATTTATAATTCCCCTTGGACACTCAGACACTCAGACACTCAGAATGAAATAAAGAATAATAATTACTAAGACATATGTAGCACTTATTCTACACCATATATTCTAAGTTCTTTAGTAATGTTAACTCATTCAATAACTTGTGAGGTAGGTATTAGCATATTATCCATATTATAATTGAGAAAATCGAGGTACAAGTAATTTGAGACATTGATCAGATTTACTCAGGATTTAAATGTGAAGTCTGGGATTCAAGTTCAGAGAATTTGCCCTCAAAAATTTTTACTCAGACCACCAACCTGAACTGGTCCTCTCACCAAGTTTCTGTATTAGAGTTTCATAGCACCATTATAGCCTGTATTTTTTAAGTCATAATAAAAATGCAAACACAACATATCATTACATGATACATTTGAGCTACACAAATATGAGGCAATGCTATATATAAAACCTGTAAAGATAGGATCTATTTTGTGTCTATTAAAATGAAGTATTTATAACACAACATATTATTCAATTTCAACTGAATAATGCAGTTCTTCACAATAAGTTCAAAGACAGGGTCAGATATAAGATTATTTATAAACTATTAACCAATGAAAAATAGGGGAACTATTAAAACATTAATCAAACTGTAAGATGCATAATTCTTCTCATATCTACTCTAAAATAGGATGTGCACATTAATGATTCACAGTTGTAATATTTTAAGATATATTAAAATTACTGATTAAAACTTTATTAAGGACTTTTTTCTACTTTAATTTCACAGAGATTTTAAATTTTATAACCTTAAATGTTTGTGTTTTCCTTTTTGTGTATGAATGTCAATTTTGTTATAAGCAGAGTTAGGACAGAACTGATCAGTAATCTACTAGTGAAAAAGAAAGATATTCTAAGCCCCTGCAGTATGATCATTACTTGATATGCTTTTAGCTTATTGATTCTAAGACCAAAAGAGAACCAACTCCATAAGTTTTGTAGTTGTATGTTTCATAGTACTTGCTACTCTCTAAAGTTATATTATTTATGTACTTGTGTATTTCTGTATTTTCTGTTCCTACAGTAGGATGTAAGGTTCATATGGCATGTATTTTGTCTGTCTTATTTACCACTGAATAAATAGAATTTGGAAATTTTGGGCCCATAGCAGCCATTCAGGAAGCATTTATAAAACAGCATCTGCTTCAGATTTTATATCCAGTGTAAGGAAACTTCAAAATTTATGTAGAAAATCAAGACATGTGAGCAAGTCTATATACCAGATACAACTCTATGCTCCATTTTTAATATAAATGTGTTACATTTTTTTCAAGAGGATACAACAAACAGGCTTTAGAAACTCTACTATGGTAGATATTTCACCAACAAATCTATTGAACACTTGTTGTATTACATCAAAATTTGAAGAAAAAATGGTTCGAATAAACAAATACAATTCTTAAATAAAACAGTAAACTTCTTAAGAATGTGTATTATTAATAATCTTGTAGAGATCCTGATATCTTAAGATAAATGTATTTCATGCCTAAATGCAGTAGTTAAGATTTAGTTGTCTGTGTTGTATGTTTGTTGCTATTTTATAAATACGTTTTAGATGATAAACTTTGCAGACATTGTTCAACATGCATATTTTTTATTAATATTTACTTAATAACTGTTTTTCCAAAGTTACTTTCCAAATCGTATGTGTTGTTTTATTCAATATGCATACATAAAAATATACCAGCAAAAACTGAAATTAAAAGTTGATTAATCACACTTAGACTCTAGTAAAACAATTATTTACTTTTTCCAATATGCCATTATAGATTCTACTATTTATATATATAAATACATGTGTGTGTATATATGCATATATGTATGTGTTTATGTTTCTTATGTGGGAATTATAACATAAATTCTTTTTGCATTTTTGCATCGTCTTGATAGGTATTATTTAAATGAACAAACCAAATGCATTTAATTGATGTAACATAATCATCTTAACCATATTATATTGCTTAACAGCAAGTTGTGTTTAGATCTTTACCACTGGAGATGAAATTGCAATGGATATCTTCAGGTATTGCGCCTTTGCTCTAAATTGAATAATTGTCTTGGAATCTTTTCCCTATAGTCAAAATATATGAAAACATCAGTTCTCCATATTTGCTGTCAAATCACTTTCTAAAAAGGGTTTATACTTTGCATTTTATATTGCCATCATTGTGAATATTAATATCAAAAATTGATTACATTGTTTCATCGTGGGAGGAAAAGGCAAACAAAAGACACTACTTCTTGGAGAAGAATACAGTTATAAATCAAGAATAGTGCTTGATAACCTAGTCTACTAGAAGTAGATATTGAGATCTCAAGGAGAGGGTTCACTGTCCAACTATAATCTGAAGGTGAAGGACAGGAGATTGATTTCATAAATATATCAAGGGTATAAACATCAATAAAAGCAGAGATGAATAAAATTCAAAGATGAAGAAGGAAAGCAAGGAGAGAGACTCATTACCCACACAACATGGTTTACAGGAATGCATTAAGAAAGGAGATCCCTGTGGAGGCTCAGGAAGAAATCCTCCAAGGGCAGCCATTCCTTCCTATGAAATGAGAAGCCTGCAAGGTAAGGAGGAGCCAGTCAATAGTCTGCCCTTTCCTGGATAGATCTATGATTCACTGTGTTTGGTGGATGTGCAAATAAATAACTACTTTCAGTTTTTAATTTTTAAAAGTGAGAATATATAATATACTCTCTGGGATGGATCTCGCTGGTTTCTGAGAGGACGGGGAGTATTTATGCAACATACTTTGCAGAATGCAAAGGACTGAGCTGGAGCTAAAAGGAGGCCAGGATAACACCAGGATCGTCAACAAAAATGTGAAATGGCATTTAAATACTCTATTTTATTAAAATATATTTAAACACATCTTAATGTCTTAATTGGCAATTATTTCTATTCTTAATGTCCTAAAGTACAATATATAATTTCCTTCTGAATATGAATAGAAAACTATTAATGCATCTTAGGTCTTTCACGAGTCCTTTCATTCACCAAATAATTTCCAGCAAAATCTGTGCATGTACATGAGAAAGAGGGACAGGATGGGGAAAGAGAGGAGAGGGAGAGAAAGAATCGGTCTTTTAAAAAAATGGGCAAAAATCTATAGATTTCTTGAGGCAGGTATTCACTATTCCCCAAACCTCTATTTATAACTGCTATAAAATAATAATCCCTCTTTCTTGTTCACTTTTATGGGCCTGTCTACACCCTCAGAAATATTGTGTTTCGGTGAAGAAGTAGAAATCTTGAAGACACTAAAATCATGATTTGAGCATTTTAAGGTTTAGCAGAGGTCCTTGCCAGCAGAAGTCCGGCTTTGCATTTAACCCTCAAGGAAAAGATTCATTATCAAATATTTGTGAGTTTTGAACAAAACTAGATGAATTTTGGTCTGTCACTCATACAAATATAACAAGAATTTCCAAAAGTGTTCTTTAATTTTTTCTCTTATGCTTTTAGCTTATTTATCAAATAATTCAAACTAAAATGCTTTACTTGAATTTGTCAGATATAAAGATCTTTTCTAAATTACTAACTTCCAATCTCTTAGGTATCCACTCCTGATATTCAAGCCATTTATTCACTTAAACAGGCCCTATGAGAAGCACTTTTTCCCCAGAAAACAATAGATGTATATAAGCCTATACCTAATATCGCAAAGCCAGATTCTCAAAGGTTGCGTCTGTAAATGGCAACCAAATCCACTGGCATGATTCTTCACTACAGTATCAGATTTAAACATTTTGGAGTTTTTGCTAGCTGCTAGAACTATGAATTAGTTCTTCCATGAAGAAGACATTTCAAACATACTTCAGAAACAAGTATGCAATGGCAGAGACATAGTTTCCTGGTTAATAACTAACGAGTAAGCGGGAGAAAAAAAATATAATGTCATAGTTACCATGTCAAGTTTCTGGAAACAGTAGCCCATTTAAATGTACTCCATGTAATTTCAGAAAAAATGAAAGTCTGTTAAGTAAAATTGTTGCTAAGAACTATGAGATCCTTGGGTCCCTGTATCTACACAGTGCCAAAGAAGAGTAATAAGGGTAGGATTGTGCTTACGATTCTGAGTTTTGGAGTTTGACATATAGGCCATTTAAAAGACATTTGATTTCAATGACGCTGAGCCTCCTCATTTTTTTTTTCTGAAGTGAAAAAAATATCTATTTCTTAATCTTGCCATCAGATAAAAACAATGTAGAGAATATGATATGAGGCCTATGGTAGTTACTAAATAAATGATGACGATATAGTAATTGAGTACATCTAGAGAATTTGTTTGGCTTATGATGTTTAGAGAAACAGATGCAATATGATATGTTATATAATTATATTTATGTTATGAAGTTTTCATACGATAAGTGTATTTGAAGGATGTTTACTTGATTCCTCCACTCACCTTAATTTGTGAACTCTCTATATACTTTATGTATCAGCTTATCATTCACATTCTGTGGAATGTACTCCCTCATCTGTCCTACACCAGATTATTACTAATATGCTTGTCTGCCAAAATACTATGTTCTTGTTTTATCATATTACTCTAGACATTTAATTGCAATGCTGCCTTAATTTTGTATAATTCTAAAAAACATCTGAGAAGAAAAATTGTGTGTATGTATGTGTGTGTGTGTGTGCACATGTAGAAGTGTTACTCTTCCAGTTTAAGTTTAGAACAGCATCTGATCCTAGTAGTAATTTAATAAACTCATCCTCTAAGCTGATATATGCTATGCTACTTGACTACCTTTGCCATGATGGAACCCACATTTTTAACTCACTGAAAAGGAAGATTAATCAGAAACTTGAACATTTTTGTATTATGAATAAAATATATGAATAATAACAGTGATTTCAGGAAGAAAAAAATAACTATAAAATGTATACACCAAAAAGAATCTTTTTGGTTTTCAGTTTCTTTCTTTCGTTATTCGAAAGGGTTAAAATAAGTAAGTTTCATTCAAGAGGAAACTTAATAAATTTTTTAAGAGACTCATAAAAAATTGTGTGTCCTTCAGGAAAATAGTTTGTTATATAAATAAATATTAAACAGAAAAGGTTTTATATGTTACAAAGTATTCTCGTGACTTCCTCCTTAGATATTTGAAAAAATGTGTTCTCTGTAAATTCTATCACTATCACAGTGAAGTAAAAGATAAGACCCCCTCCAACATCCACCCATCCAGTGAAACAGATAATTTTGAGACAATTTGAGAAAATGCCTTGCTTGTTTTTATATTTAAAAGCTGTCATCAGACGGATATCTACTAGACAGTTGGTTTTGCTTTAAATCATAAATCTGTCATGGCCAGGTTTATCATTTGCTGTCTGACACTTTCCACTACTAATAATCTCTGTGAAGAATACAAAGTCGAAGTGGAAAACTCTTTGTAAATGCCCTCTGTAGTACATTTGTCAGTTTCATGTTTTTAACTCCTTCCTGGTTGCTACTGTGGGGACATTTCTAATTCATTCTCATTTGAGAGTCCTCATTGTATCTACTTTTCAGAGTGCAGCGTTATCTGATGTTATTTCATGCTGAGACGAAACACTGACTATATCAGTAGGGATAACTGCTGAGAAGAAAGAACAAAATTGCATATATCTAACAGTCCAGGATTTTCACGGGTTGTGCTGAGCTAGAGGATTTACTTATATCCCAAAAGGATTGTTTCATAATGTATCGGTTCCTATAAACTTTGAGGCATGCAAAGGAAGTAAGAACTCAACCACAAGTTTCAGATATGGGTGAATTTTTCAAAATGATCTTATTTTTGTTACTTTATTTCCCATAAGAAAACAGTTTTGTATATGCAATAAAATTGTCCTTGGGAACTTTGATCTAAAGGATAAAATTTAAGAGTTTAATCGCTTAAAATAGACAAAAACTTTACACTTATTCATCTGATCAGTTTGCAAATATGATCACAGAGTGCTACTGGAAGTAAACACTTAAGAGAATCATGACTTAATGAAAATAATTGAGATTATGTAATCCATAGCCTTAAAAAATAAGTACAATTTGTCTTGTTTCTCTTAGAATATGTTGTCTTGATTTCATGCCTAGAATACATTTAGAAAAATACCTGTTTCCATTTTGATGACTTGAATCTAAAGACATTAGGGATTCTAAACAATCTGAACATATCTTGAAAGCCCTTTTAAAAGTTATGTAAGAAATTCTTAGTGGCTTTTAATTTTAGCCCTGGTTGAGATACATGCAACCATTTTCAAACATGACATATCATTACTGCAGCTTAAAGGTACATAAATCAGAAATATGTGTACATACCTGGAACATACTGCAATATAGCAGTTAGTTAAAAACAAAAGTCAGGGTAGTAGTAGCGGTAATAGTAGCAGTAATAATAGTTTTTTAAATGTTCATTTTGAAAAGCCAGTTTAAAAGAGAGTAATAATGTTTGACAACGAGTATCAGAGACACTAATGAATAGATTAGATTTGAAATTACCGAATTACAAGTAATGCTAATCATGGTTCATTTATTATTGGAACAATGTTATGTATTTGTTAGGCTAGTATTTAATTAATATGCATAGAATTATAACCAAATTCAAAATAAATACAATAGCATAGTGTGTTTCATCTTAATTATATTTCTATTTGTATTATATTTTCTTTTTCTTCTCTTAAAGAATAAAATATTTCATGAAAACCTTCATAATAAGAAATACTATATGATTAAATGTTTAATCTAGGAAAAATTGAAAAGAGCAGGTTGTTATTTTATAATGCATTCTTACCTTATCTGCCATTACAGCAAAGTTCTGACTTCAGAATTCCAGGTTTGAAGCCAGATCTTTGATACCAGTTACCAATTTGTTAACTGTCAACAATGTATTTATTGTGATTCTATATTTGATCATTTATATAAGAAAGATATCACTTTTGGTTTTGAACATAATCATTGAATATTTAATATTAGACATTTGTGTTTTATTTATGAGAAAAGGCACGTTAAAAATATAAAAGGTAGCATAGTCCAAAGTTACTTTTAAAATTAACTTATTTATTTGTCTTTGGAGGAATATAAAATTATCAAGGAATATTGCTGTATTTGGTACATCATAGAGACTTTCACCTACAAAGCAGCCAATGGTAGTGCAGAGAGACTGTGAAGAGATATTAACACCTTTTATCAAATTCACTGTATACCAGTGCTCACTACAAGAAGTGATCAATTCTATACTAAAATATTGGAAGGCATTGATAAGCTAAATTACAATATCAACATGAATTACAATGAAAAACAGAATAGTATAAGAATTAAACTGAGTGAAGACAGAGTTAACAGATACACCATACAATATAAGAGAAATGGGAATGCAGTTAGGAGTAAGATGAAACTTGTATCCACGTTGTCAGGGTCATCAGTGTAATTGCCCAGATGGGACACAGATTCCTTAATAGAATTAAGTGGACTAAATGGCATCTAACATTTGGCCTCCATATTCAAGATCCACGAAAATGTTGGAATGTGATGAACTGGAGAGCATGTATCAAATGGGAACAGAGTGTATCACTCATTTGCTGATTTATATGATAATCTATTACTGTCATATTTTTCACAAAGAAAAGTATAAATAGTTTTTGGAAATCTATTTTTTCCACTGGAAAGGGGGAGTTTGCTTTTTTAACTATTTCCTTATTTTTAAATAAACTATCATTTTTAGAGCAGTTTCAGATTCACAGCAAAATTGAGTGGAAAGTACAGATTTCCCATATACTGGACGGCCTTCCCCTCTATCAAGGGGCCCAAAGGAAGTAGAGGTATAGCATAGACGCACAGCCTCCTCCTCTATCAACATCCCCCACCAGAGTGGTAAATTTGTTACAATCCATAAACCTACATTGAGGTATTATTATGAACCAAAGTCCATAGTTCTATTGGTGTTGTACATTCTGAGTATGAGAAAATGTATCCACCTTTATGCATATCTGTTATATGCATTATGTATATCTGTCATTATGGTATCACACAGCATAGTGTTGTTGCTCTAAAAATCCTTGGCGGCCACCAGTCCATCCTTTCCTCTTGATTAACTCCTGATAGCCACTGATGTTTTTTTACTGTCTCCATAGTTTTGCCTTTTCACTAATTTCATATAGTTGTAATCATAAAGTATATAGCCTTTTAGATTGGCTTATTTCACTTAGTAATACACATTTAAAGTTGCTCCATATCTTTTCATGACTTGATAGATCATTTTGTTAGCACTGAGTAATATCTCATTGTCTGGATGAACCACAGTTTGTTTATCCATTCACCTACTGAAGGACATTTTGGTTGCTTCCAAGTTTTAGCAAATATGAATAAAGCTACTGAGAGGTGACAGCGTGCTGGCAGTCCTCACAGACCTTGGTCGCTCTCGGCGCCTCCTCTGCCTGGGCTACCACTTTGGCGGCACTTGAGGAGCCCTTCAGCCCCCCGCTGCACTGTGGGAGCCCTTTTCCGGGATGGCCAAGGCCGGAGCCGGCTCCCTCAGCTTGCAGGGAGGTGTGGAGGGAGAGGCGGGAGCGGGAACCGGGGCTGCGCGCGGCGCTTGCGGGCCAGCTGGAGTTCCGGGTGGGCGTGGGCTTGGCGTGCCCGGCACTCAGAGCAGCTGGCCGGCCTTGCTGGCCCCGGGGCAATGAGGGGCTTAGCACCCGGGCCAGCGGCTGCGGAGGGTGTACTGGGTCCCCCAGCAGTGCCAGCCAACCGGCGGTGCGCTCGATTTCTCACCGGGCCTTAGCTGCCTTCCCGCGGGGCAGGTCTCAGGACATGGAGCCCTCCATGCCTGAGCCTCCTACCCACTCCATGAGCTCCCGTGCGGCCGGAGCCTCCCGGATGAGCGCCGTCCCCTGCTCCACGGCGCCCAGTCCCATCGACCACCCAAGGGCTGAGGAGTGCGGGAGCACGGCGCTGGACTGGCAGGCAGCTCCACCTGCAGCCCCAGTGCGGGATCCACTGGGTGAAGCCAGCTGGGCTCCTGAGTCTGGTGGGGACGTGGAGAACCTTTATGTCTAGCCCAGGGATTGTAAATACACCAGTCAGCACTGGGTATCTAGCTCAGGGTTTGCGAATGCACCAATCAACACTCTGTATCTAGCTACTCTAGTGGGGCCTTGGAGAACCTTTATGTCTAGCTCAGGGATTGTAAATACACCAATCGGCACTCTGTATCTAGCTCAAGGTTTGTAAACACACCAATCAGCACCCTGTGTCTAGCTCTGGGTTTGTGAATGCACCAATGGATACTCTGTATCTAGCTACTCTGGTGGGGCCTTGGAGAACCTTTGTGTCCATACTCTGTATCTAACTAATGTGGTGGGGAAGTGGAGAACATTTCTGTCTAGCTCAGGGATTGTAAATGCACCAATCAGCACCGGGTCAAAACAGACCACTTGGCTCTACCAATCAGCAGGATGTGAGTGGGGCCAGATAAGAGAATAAAAGCAGGCTGCCCAAGCCAGCAGGGGCAACCCGCGCGGGTCCCTTTCCACTCTGTGGAAGCTTTGTTCTTTTGCTTTTTGCAATAAACCTTGCTACTGCTCACTTTTTGGGTTAACACTGCTTTTATGAGTTGTAACACTCACCGCAAAGGTCTGCAGCTTCACTCCTGAGCCAGCTCTGAGACCGTGAACCCACCAGAAAGAAGAAACTCCGAACACATCCGAACATCAGAAGGAATAAACTCCAGACGCGCCACCTTAAGAGCTGTAACACTCACCGCGAGGATCCGCGGCTTCATTCTTGAAGTCAGTGAGACCAAGAACCCACCAATTCCAGAGACACTACTGTGTGGGTTTCTGTGGACGTAAGTTTTATTGCATTTTGCATTTTGGTAAATATCAAGGAGTACAATTGCTGCAACTTATGACTAAAAATATGTTTCATTTTGCAGAGCAGTTCTGCCAAACTGTTTTCCAGTGTGGCTGTACCATTTTGCATTCCCGCCAGCAATGAAACGAAGTTTCTAATGCTTCACCTTGTCACCAGTATTTGATATTATCAGTGTCCTGGCTACTCAAATAGGTGCGTAGTGGTAACTTGTTTTAACTTGCAATTCCCCAGTTACATATGATGTTGAACATCTTTTCATATGATTAGTTGCCATCTTTATATTTTTGATGCAGTTTCTTTTCAGATTTTTGCCAATTTTTAAATTTGAGCTGTTCATTTCCTTATTGTTAAGTTTTAAGAATCCATTGTGTATTTTGAGTAAAAGTTTTTTTTCCCCAGATTTGCCTTATGCAAATATTTTCTCTCAGTCTTTGGCTTGTCTTATTCTCTCCACAGTGTCTTTCACAGAGCAGAAGTCTTTAATTTTAATGAAATCCAGTTTTACAAATATTCGTATTGCCTTTGGTATTGTATGTAAAGTCATCATATCCAAAGCCATCTAGTTTTTTTTGTATGTTATCTTCTAGGAAGTTTATAATTTTTCATTTTACAAGTAAGTCTATGTTCCACTTAATTGATTTTTGGGAAGGGTGTTAAGTGTTGTGTCTATATGTATACATATGTGTATATATATATATTTAACATGTGGTTATCTAGTTTCATCAGCACAATTTGTCAAAAAGACTATCTGTTCTCCATTGTATTTTCTTTGCTCTTTTATCAAAGATCAGTTGACTCTTCATATGTGGTTTTAGTTCCGCACTCTCTAGCGTGTTCCATTTGTCTTTTCTTTCAGCAGTTTTGAAGAGTAATATAGCTTCATAGTAAGTCTTGAAGTTGGGTTGTGTCAATCCTCTGACTTTGTTCTTCCTGTCAATATTGTGTTAGCTATTCTTGGTCTTTTACCAAATCTATCAATTTTTAAATGCTGTGAAAGTAGTTTATGTTTAATATTGTGTAACAACACTTTCTGTGCCAACGTAAACGTATGTGTATGTAATTTTTAGCCCCCAAAATTGTGTGTGAAGCCTGCCCCAATGTGTCAATGTAGGGTTTTGAAAAAAAATTCTAGATAATTTATTTATAGTATTATGGCAGCATAGTAAAAGACAAATGTGAATTCTCCAAAACTACCAGAAGGAAGAGAACTGAACTTGTCACTTAAGTTGTTGTAGCAGGCAAGGCACGAATAAGAGGCTGTCAGTACTCAAAGCAGAAGGAGGGACTGTGGCCACCTGTAGTTATAGTAAAATAAACCTCATGAAACTGTACCTAAGATAGAGAAAAAACAAGAGGAATCCCTGATTACTGAGAATAGCAGTCATTGCTGGAAGCATCTAAGGAGGTGATATGGTTTGGATCTGTGTCTCCACCCGAATCTGATGCTGAGTTGTAATCCCTGGTGTTGGAAGTGCGGTCTGGTGAGAGGTAATTGGGTCATGAAGGCAGAGTTCTCATGCATGGTTGAGCACCGTCCCCACTTGGTGCTGTATAGTAAATGAGTGCTTTGAAGATCTAGTTGTTTCAAAGTGTGTGACACCTTCCCTCACTCTCTCGGTGCTGCTCCTGCCATGTAAGAGCTTTCTGTCATGAGTAAAGGCTCCTTGAGGCCTCCCCAGAAGCAGATGCTGCCATGTATCCTGTACAGTCTGCAGAACTGTGAGCCAATTAAACTCCATATATATGTGTGTGTGTGTATATATGACATAATTATATATGTATATATGACATATGATGTATATACACATATGTATGAAAATTATATATGTATATATGACATACACATATGTATATATGATGTAATTATATATGTGTATATATGACGTATGTATGACATATATGTATATATATGTGACTTATATGAGTGTGTATATATATGACATAAATTACCCACTCTCAGGTATTTCTTATAGCAATGCAAGAACTGATCATATAGGAGGTATCATTGAAAGCTACTAATTTGATATAAAAACTCTTTATCATTGTAACGTGCCTTCTCATGTCATTTACTATGTGAAAGTGCTTGCTTCTTGACTTTGCCATGCCTCTGCTTCCTTTGGGCCCTCAAAAAAAAACTTCTACATTCACCATTTAGAGTGCCTCCTCTGACTCTGCCCCAGAAATGTTCAATCATTATTCCCTTATGTAAGCCTTTGCTGATTCCCAAGAGCATAACAAATTTTTGACTGTATATGCTCATGATATCATATACTTCTATTTCATAATTCTTATTAAAGTAAATATTATAACTATGTGTTAATTCTATGTCACTTATCGGAATATTATATCCATAATGGCCAAAGCCATAAAATATTATCTTTTCACTATATACATCTTGTCTACAGCCTTTGCATACAGTCAGAATAAGAAACTATTTGTTAAAGGACTAAATACATTGTTGGCCTTTGTGAATATACTGATCGGCTATTTTTTTTTTCTGAAAAGACAGTTAAAAATTATTTCATTTAAATACTTGATGGAAATAAATACTTAGAAACTTTGGAAGTGGCCCCAAGAAATTACTGATGACTCTTATGCAAGCAAAAGCAGACTGTCAATTTCTAATTTAACGGCATTACTTGAAAATAATTACCACATACAAATAAGCCAAGAAGAATCTAAAATTACACTCTACACCTTGGTGTGGAGCTGAGAGTTTCTTCGTTTTTTATGCAATTATAATTACTTTAACATTAATTCAATAAATATTTACTAAAATATACGTTTATTTTGGAATTTGTGACTCATTTGAAGTGAGTATGCCCAGAATCATAACATGAGTTTTCTTTACAATACTAAACCTTTGATTATTATGCTGAGGTTTTATTTTCTTGAAACTTCTAATAATAAGACAAAATTGCAGTTTCACAGCTGTGATGGTTCCTTGGTTTCCACGGAAGATTTTGCTTTCTTTTTTATATATAAAGCAGGAACTGAGAATCTATCCATATTCAAATGTTCCCCTCGCATGATGGCTCAATTATTATTGTTGGTACTAATCGTCTCAGTACTTGGCAAGGCTCATTCATGCTGCAGGAAAGCAAACTTTCCCAGAAATCAAAACACCAAATGTTCTGAACAAAATAATTGGAGGATAAGGGTCCCCCTAGAATCTGAAATTTTCACTTGACAGAACCTTGACAAATGTGAGTGGGTGTTTAGTCAAAAGGATATTTGTCATAGAGCATAGCTCACAATTTTCAACACAGCAAAGGAAATATTTGGTTCCTGTGGTGCAACCGGAGTTTAAATCCAGGTGGACCATTCCAAGTCTCTGATCCAGATTGATTTTTAATTCAGAAGTCAATGGCTTGAAGATTCAATTTCTGGGATTTTCACAGATATGAAAGCAATGGCTTCCTTTCCTACCAAAAGCAGTAATAGTAGATTTGTGCCTGACTCCACTCACAAGTTCTACTAGCAAGTCTAAGTGCCCAAATTAAAGAAAGAGGCAGTATTTCTTTCCGCATGTTTATAAAATGAGAATGATATTCCCAGGGCCACAGTGTTTGTGCTTATGCAGCTTCACCTTTGGAAATGGCTGAGAGACAGACAGACACACACACACACACACACACACACCACACACACACACACAGAATGTGAATTCATAATTTACTTTTCTTAACAAAGGTAACTTTTTCAAATTTCACAATTTAAGATTGACTGGCACGTCTTGGGAAAGGCCAGTTATTAAGTGTAAGGTATAGGACACTTTAGAGACTCTTTGAACCTATCTGTTACTTGTCAAATATGTCTAGCTGTTAAGTAATGCTTTTTATGTCTAACCCATTGTTTTCATCCCCAAGTTAATGCATTTCAGAAATCTAAGCTATAAAAAATTGTAAAGTAAAGAAAAACAATGCTCAAAAAGAGAACAACTGTGTGTACCTATGTGATTCTACGTACCCCGACTATTTTGGGAGAAACCAAGTAGTTTATAAATTAAGGACTTATGTAAAGTAATCCTAACAGATAGTATTTTAATTGTCCTATTTTACAACTTAGCATATATTAAAGAACAGAGCACAGCAAGGTAATTAAAAAGCTTGAATTTTAATTCATGCATTCTTACTTCTGGACCCACTTTCCCAGCTGCTATGTATAAGAGGTAACAAAATTTATCTCATGTATACATTTTCCTTTCTTAAATAACATTATCTTTATGTAATTTTTATTCGTACGGGCATGCTATTACATTCATTGATTTGTACATCAAACTGAGTATCTCAAATGTCCAAAATATTTTAGACCTTTAAAAATTTTCCTGATTTTTTATTATGCCTCTGTATAATCAATCCACTCCACATCAGTCAGTGTGTTTATTATTATACATTGAACTGGGTTCATTGTTTTAACCAAGTGATTTTCTGTTTCTAAATTGCTATTTTTTATCTTTGAATTTATTATTTATTCTGCCTCCACTATCTTATAATCTAAGTGCTGCATTTTCCCCTAATACTTTCCTTATATCCAATAACTCATACCAATTTCACTCTCTTCTGTAACTGTAGGGATCATCTGTCCCAGAGACTGTAATTTACTGCATTATACTTTCTGTGCTCTAATTTTTTTTTCTGTCCTCAACCATTTTCATGCCTAAACATGCATACTGCTATGCTAGAAATAGGAAGTGTAGGAATGAACACAAGTTACATTTCTTTCTCTTGATTTGCTCATAGATAGATGTCCATATGATCTTTTTACTATAACTGAAATATATGATACCTACATTCAATTGAGCTTTAAGATTTACAAACTATCTGATTAAATTTTAATGTATTAGTAACCCCTTTACCAAATCCACACTTCAGAGAATGATAAGACTGTATCTCACAACTAAACTAAATAAAAGTTCAGTATTCTGATGTTTTTGTACCCTATAAAAATATATTTTAAAAAAACAGGTTAACCCAAATTGGAGATGGTGATTTGTTTTATAAATAAAATAACATAAAATAAAATATGTGTGTGTAAATGACAAACTTCAATTATGCTTTACCATTTGCCAAAATTTTCTCTTCAGTATATCACCTTTTCTTTTATAAGTGGAAGCCTGTCCTTTACATTGCAAGATTTTTTTAAGATAATGAACAAATATCTTCTATTTTGGCATAACTTTTTGTAGGCCTAATATACTGCAACGTTAGGCAAGAAGCAGACAATAAAATTCTGTAAATAATGCAATAATTTCACATGCAGGTCAAACAACTGACATCATTATTTTGTCTCTATATGTTCCTTACCTTTATATTCTGCCATTGCTAGATGTTTAAAATAATGCTTACCACAGTGGGTATATTAATTTTCTATTGCTGCATAACAAATTACAACAGACTTAATGGCTGAAAACAATACCCTTATTATTTAACCCTGTGCAGTTGAGGATCCTGGCCACTATTTAGCTGAGTCCTCTCCTCAGGGTCTCACAAGGATGCAAGCAAGTGTTGGCCAAGTAGCATGGTCACCTGGATGCTTATCTGACGAAGAATCTGCTTCTAAGGACACTCTGAATGTTGGCAGCATTTATTTCCTCATGGCTATGGGCCTGAGAGTCCTATTTTCTCCCTTACTGCTAGTTGAGGGTTGCTCTCCGCCCCTAAAGGCCACCTGTGATTCCTTGACATGTGGTTTTCTTACAAGGTGGCAGCTTACTTGTTCATGGCCAGAAGGATGATCTCTCTCCCCAGTCTCCTAAAGTGGCATTATTTATAACATATTGTGATCATGAAAATAAATCTCAACACCTTTGGAATATAATATAAACTAATAAAGGGAGTGACATCCCATTAATGTTGTCATTTTAGTTGATCCTCCTAGTCACAGGTTCTTCCTGTACTCAAGGACAGAGGAGTATTCATGTGTATGTCCACCAAACTGGTGTCTTGATGTCAGGATGGAAAGGCTAGGAAACTTTCCTATGAAGTTTGTTACTCTTAGTGAACATTTTTGTTCAATTTACTTAATTTTCCAAACATATATATCAAAGTGGACATGAATCTATTTAACCTTCAGAGAAAAGGACTACTAATTAGTAGGATTTTTCAAAGCCAAAGTCTAGTTTCCTCCAATATTGACCCTTCACAATGAAGGCTTTAAATTGACAAATTTTAACGAAATCAGCCAAATAGTTATAGTCTTTTTCAAGAAATAGATTTTAACCCTGTCACTTACACATTCTATTTACGCACATCTTAATTAGCCAGGAGATGAGTGGTCTCCAAAATATGGATATTTAAGGCTTTAAGAGAATACAAAATGTTAGTGTGTCTGACTGCGACACATATTTTTCATGAGAGATTGCCTGCTCACCAAATAAATTCCTTACTATCTATCTATCATGGTCTTCAATTTTCCAACAAAATAGCCTGATTCATCACTGTTATGCCAATGACACTCTGCTCTATCTATCGTTGCCTACTGATTCCACTGGGGATACTTTAATATTTCAGACTTCTGTGGACAATATTGTTTGATATTACAAAATTTCTTGCTCCTAGAAAACGTAAGCAAGAGGGAGTATGCATTGACATTGACTTTTCATATAGGAATATCAGCCACTTAAAATAGAAACAGATCTCAGAACATTCATTTTGAACTTTATTACATTCATGATGAAAATTAGACGTAATGAGGAAACATGATATGGCTTTGACTGCCAAACTAATTACTCAAAATATTTAAGCCCAAGTTTCTACCTTTAAAACAATATCTGTATCCTATGTTAAAGATTAGAGAGATACCGTCCAAGCCAGGCCACACAAGACAGATTGTAGCCTTAATGTTGTGGCAAAATTGCCTTGTTACGTGATGCTCAGAGTCATTTTTGGTCGCCTTGTTACATGATGCTCCGAGTCACTTTTGGTCACTCTGCCATTTCCAGTTCCTTCCAGTTCTCTTTGTCCCTTTTGCTCTTCTTCCTCCTGGTTCTTCTAATTATTTATTAAGTACATGTGTTTAAATCATTGTGTCAGTTGTTTCATACAGAGTTTTACTCAAAGGGGGGACCAATTCATTTTCTCTAATTGTCTCAGGACCTAATTTCAATCTACATTTAGATTTTTCTCACTACTCATCCTCATACTCAATGAATTACTATTGTCTGCTGCTATGTTCTCCAATTTCTAGTTCTCCGGTTTCGAAAATCAGTCTCCTGAGACTCTGGGCACGGAATTCAAAAGCACTCGCTATCCTGATATTTGACTCTTAGAGATGCCAACTGTGATGCAGTAGAGCTCTGGTAAAGAGTGAAATGACAATTTGGAACTAAACTACACATATTTTCATTTATTTGTTTGGGAATGGATCTTAATGGTTTCAGAGAGGGTGTGAAAACAATCTACAGAAGGGAGTTACAACAGGGAAAATCCAGAAAATATCCTGGCTTCATGTCTTGAAAATATATTCTAGTGAGGGAGATAGATAATAAATAAAATTAAGTAGATATGTAATGTTATGTTAAGTAAAATAACGTTATAAAGAAAAATAAAACAGGAAAGGACATATAGAGTAGTGTATATTTCCCTGAGTTTTGTGAGTTGCTCTATTAAATTAATTGAACCCAAAGAGGAAGCTGTGTGAGCCCCAACTTGAAACCTGTTGGTCAGAAGTTCCCAACACCTGGACTTGCAACAGGTCTCTGAAGGCGAAGGTGGGGACAGCTTTGGGGACTGAGCCCAAAACCTGTAGGATCTGATGCTATCTCCGAGTAGATAGTGTCAGAATTGAATTGGAGGACACTTAGTTGTTTGCTGCAGAATTGTTTGCTTGCTTAGCGGTGGGAAGAAACTCCTCCCCCAACATTTGGTTACAGAAGTCTTCTGTGTTGATCATGCTGTGGTGTGGGAACAGATGAAAAATGGTTTGAGTGTCTTTCAGACATGAACAAGGAGTACCCATGTGTCATGCGAACATTTGTGTCATTATACATTTCATGAATACAATTATTTATGAACTAACATTCCACTACTTAATGTCCTTGATTGAATACCCTGTGCCCTCTGGATCAACTCGGAATTTGTTACGATGGCTTAGTCTCTTTCTTTACATGCTTTACATGTTTCATTGAAAGATGCATCTTATGCATCCTGAATATACTTTACACTTTCTTATAATCAAACTTTGCATATTCAGTTCATTTTTGTCAGAAATTTGCTCAAAATTTTCACCTGGCTAATTTCTTGTCATCATTTTTACATCATCTCCTCAGTTGAATATTCTCTGACCCCCAAATACTACTCATGTACTGTGTTTGAACCCTTAACACTGAACACTAACATAGCATCTGTCACTTTGTGTGATTATTGGCGTCTTACCTCTCTCTGCTTCTGGCTGAACTGTTTTGTAAATGAGGACAGATGCTGTGTCTTCCCCACTGCTCTGTGCACAAATCCTGGTGCATAGGTGATGCTTGATTTATTTTTGCTAAAGGTATCATTGAATAAAATGGGAGGAAGAGAGAAAAGGAGGAAAGGGGGGATTAAATGATGAAAGGGCAGAAAGACTAAATCAGAACCCAGTTACCTTTTCTCCTTTCCCCGAAGGTTTTTATTTGCGTTTGTTTGATTTTTGATAAGGTTCTCAAATGGATGTAGGGACAGGAAAGAAAAAAAAATAACTAAAGTAACGCAAAAGGGAGTTTGAAGACTCTGGGGAACATGAGCATAGCCCTCTTTAATGGTAAAGCTGCTCCTTAATTCTGGCTTGTTTTTGCCATGTGAGAATGCTGACTACCAAATGTGGCTAGATACTCTGATTTTTACAAGATAATCTTAAATGTGTACTTTGAAATAATAGCTAGTAATTTTAATACCATCATCGTTATCATTATTATTGATTGGCAAATGTCGTATTTATGAACAGTGGACAACCTCTCTGCTTTCAGTTTCCAATCTCTGCTCTTTGCTGATTTTCTAGGACAGTCCGTTCTAGACATTTCATTTTCAGAATGATGGTGCTGTCTTCAAGCTTTCTTAAAGCATGTCTTTAAACTTCTGGGGTTTTATTTGGAGCACTCTCATATGTCATTAAAAAAGTCAATAGTGGTTAATATTATTAATGTGATAGAAATTGTATTCTTAATCTGGCTTGATGTTTTAAAAACTGTGATCGTGTAACTTACGATGTATTTAGAGATTTTTCTAGTTCTTATCCTTCCCAATATAATGTGGACACAATAATATATGCTCCCTTTTCTTCTCACAATTCATTGTCTGTTTAGTTATTACTTAAATATGTCATCAGAAAAAAAATTGAGTTCACATTTTTCTTGGATCTGACTTCACATTTCCATTATTTGTGTTTCTATCCTTTTATGCGCTCAGTTTTGAATTATAAAGCTGAAAGATTATGTGCATCTACAAATATAATGGTCAAACTTCTTTAAGCATGACCTTAAACAATATACAAATACAATATTCAAAACAGAACCTATTTTATTTTACTCATTGTGTTATAAATGGCTACCACTATTGTTAGAATTAAACATGAAACTTGTTTGTAATAATAGACTATATTTTTAAAAAGTATCCATTTGGCTTATTCTAACTCTGGTATAATTATTCTGAGGCGTTTAGTACAGGTTTTGTAGTTCTTATTAGGCTAACAAAAGAAATTCTATAAAGAACTATAAGTCCATAACTTTGAAATCTTACATCAGCTTGAAAGCTAGAGATAAAGGAATACTTCCAGGGTAGGATCATAATATAAAAGGAGTTTTAGAAGAGGGACATTTTCAGACTCAGATAATACATGAAGTATACTTTAAAAATATAACTACCTCTAAAATATTGTATGTAATATTTGATATTTTCCTTGAATTGCTTATATTTCCTAGTTGCATATGCTAATTTATTCTGAGGCTTGCTTCTCAATTATCTGGTATGTAATATTATATTTTTCTTTCTCTATGTATATATTCTTAGTCCGTAAACATTTATTCATATGGAGGCTAAATGCAAAGCTAGACATATTGAGGAGCAGGTCTTTGCTATGAAGATATCTCACCCATTAGTTTTAATAACTCCTGTTAAAGGTATGTTTGCAATTAAGTCTCACTGTGCTGTTATCTACAGTAATCCAAGACAAATAACATGGATGAGCTAAAATCATTGATTTCATTTCCTATTATAGAAGTTAGATGATTAGCTGCTGTTTCTTGATGGAAAGCCAAGAGGTAATATTTTGTAGCATATTTTTGATGTTTTCTAAAATAATTTTGCAATAACTTCACCAAAATTTTTATTGATCTCCTACTATTTTTAAGTTGCTGACCTAAGCTAATATGAAAAAGGCAAATGAGAATCAAGGAACTTAATGGAGGCATGATCCAGATATTCAAATGAATGTCTCGAATCTTTTGAAATGATCTACCAATTGTGCTGGAATGGTAATTACTATGGTTATCTTCAGATAAATCTTCAGGATTAAAAAAAAAACACAAAAAGTAGGTTAACAATTTGCCTTTTCTATTATTATTCACTATGTTAATTATTTATGTCTTTGCTTATTATTATGATTGAGAAACAAATAGTACCCTAAAGAGGAGAGTGTTTGCTCCCTTAGAAGAGAGGTAAGAAAAGGGGATGCCCCTACATGAACATTTAAAAATTAATTATTTTTAGGATGATGTGGTTCTACATCAGAAATGTAGCTCTGATCTAGCTAACTCAACAGCAGACTATCAACTGCAATCTTATGACTTCTATTCTCAGGGTAGCAGTTACTTTTTGCATTATAATAAAACATCAACACAACTTAGCAGTTTAAAACAAGAACAAATGCATTAGTTTTCTATTGCTATGTAACAAATTACTACAAATTTAGTACTTAAAACAACATAATATTATCTCACAATATCCATGTGTCAAGCATTCAGCATTTTCTTTTTTTTTTATTATTATACTTTAAGTTTTAGGGTACATGTGCACAATGTGCAGGTTTGTTACATATGTATACATGTGCCATGTTGGTGTGCTGCACCCATTAACTCGCCATTTAGCATTAGGTATATCTCCTAATGCTATCCCTCCCTGCTCCCCCTACCCCGCAATAGTCCCCAGTGTGTGATGTTCCCCTTCCTGTGTCCATGTGTTCTCATTGTTCAGTTCCCACCTATGAGTGAGAACATGTTGTGTTTGGTTTTTTGTCCTTGGTGACAGTTTGCTGAGAATGATGGTTTCCAGCTTCATCCATGTCCCTACAAAGGACATGAACTCATCATTTTTTATGGCTGCATAGTATTCCGTGGTGTATATGTGCCACATTTCCTTAATCCAGTCTATCATTGTTGGACATTTGGGTTGGTTCCAAGTCTTTGCTATTGTGAATAGTGCCGCAATAAACATACATGTGCATGTGTCTTTATAGCAGCATGGTTTATAATCCTTTGGGTATATACCCAGTAATGGGATGGCTGGATTAAATGGTATTTCTAGTTCTAGATCCCTGAGGAATCGCCACACTGACTTCCACAACGGTTGAACTAGTTTACAGTCCCACCAACAGTATAAAAGTGTTCCTAATTCTCCACATCCTCTCCAGCACCTGTTATTTCCTGACTTTTTAATGATCGCCATTCTAACTGGTGTGAGATGGTATCTCATTGTGGTTTTGATTTGCATTTCTCTGATGGCCAGTGATGATGAGCATTTTTTCATGTGTTTTTTGGCTGCATAAATGTCTTCTTTTGAGAAGTGTCTGTTCATGTCCTTCGCCCACTTTTTGATGGGGTTGTTTGTTTTTTTTTTTAATTTGTTTGAGTTCATTGTAGTTCTGGATGCTAGCCCTTTGTCAGATGAGTAGGTTGCAAAATTTTTCTCCCATTCTGTAGGTTGCCTGTTCACTCTGACAGTGGTTTCTTTTGCTGTGCAGAAGCTCTTTAGTTTAATTAGATCCCATTTGTCAATTTTGTCTTTTGTTGCCATTGCTTTTGGTGTTTTAGACATGAAGTCCTTGCCCATGCCTATGTCCTGAAGAATCCAGCATTTCCTATCTCAACTCAGGGTCTCCTAAGGTTGAATCAAGGCATTGACTGGTTGTGTACTTATCTCTAGGCTTGACTTAGGAAAGATCTATTTCCAAGATCCCTCAGGTTGTTGGCAGAATTGACTTTCTTGTGGTTGCAGAACTGAGGTCTCCTTTGTCTCGTTAGCTATTGGCTAGTTAGTTGTCTCAGCAATTAGATATTGCTCTCCAGTTTTTGCCATCTGGGCTCCTCTGAGACATGCAGAACAACTCCCCTATGTCAAAAACCCTCTTATGCTTCTGATCTTTTCAATATCCCTTTCTGAGAGTAGCTAGAAAAAACTTTTAGAAGGCTCATGTAATTAAGTCAGGCTTACCCAGATAATCTATATTAAGGCCAACTATGCCATATAGTATAACTTAATCATGAAAACACACCAAATTCACAGTGTACTTGAATATGCACATGGTGTATATATATTTGGCAGGTGAGAAATCCTACCTACCACAAATATTCATGAATCTAACAAATCTACTAGACTGGGTTCAGCTATGTGGTACTTCTGGTATGAAATCTAAATGTGGTAAATTATACAGCTGCAATCAACTAGACATCAGGCTGCTTTATGAGAGCCTCGTATGAAATAGTCATAAGGAAAGGCTAACTGGGGCCTAACCTCACCTTTTTTCTCATTCTGTAGCAGGAGAGTATAGCACTTGTTAAACTGGCAGTCCCAGAATTCCCAGAGAGAGCATAATGGTGCAAAGTCTCTTGAGGCTTAGGTTCTAAACTTATACATTGTCCCTTCTGCCACATTGTGGCCAAAGTTAGTCACACAACCTGCCCAGATTAAAATAGGAGAGGCCAGTCTCCACATCTTCAAGAGAAAGGAAGAGTGTTCTGATTTTTGCTATCATCTACTACTCATGGCTTTTTCTAGACACGGACAGAGAAGAAAAACTGTTATTGAATATGCATTGACAAATATATAATTAATTAATGTTTGTTTTATTATTTTAAGAATTTAGACTAAAATTGTACGGTGACAAGTTTTGGATTGGAAAATTTAAAAAAAGCAAATATAACTTAGAAGACTTGGATAAACAAAGCAATAGAAAAAAGGCGTCATTTTTATAATTCTCTGCATATGAGTTGAATATAAGAAGAATACTGGAAGAAAGAAGGGAGAACATTTCAGCTGAAACATTTTTTCTTGTTCAACTTTACCTTGACCAAAATCTTAGAATATTAAAAAGTGAAATAAAGATCTTTGACTTATCTTTCACTTTCTATTTTTGGGGAGCTATTCATTTAAAACTAAAAGCCACTAAACATCCTTCCTCTGTAAACACTGTTTTGACCTTTATAGATATTTCTATTTCTGTTATAGAGATTTGAAGGAAATTTGCAAAACCTAAATAGCTTTTGCCCATCTATTCAGGATTTCTTATGGGCCACCGGCCTTCTCTTGCTTTGCACAAACTCGCAGGCAGACAAATGATAAATGAACTGAAAGAGAAACATCTATTTATTAAGACTCTTATAATCTCTCTTAGACAATGATATTCAATTAAAAGCATGATCTGAAGAAGAAAAATGTAAACATCTATATAATCAATATTGGCATAAAATATATATTTTAGTTGTTTCAAATAAAATACTAGCTGATTCCAGTAATGGCAGATTTTCTTGTAAGAGAGACCAGATGAGTGGTTTCTAACCTTTGCATAGTCAAGTCTTTATTAAAACTGAAGTTTAGGGAGATTACATTTTCAAATTCAAGGGATATGCTGGATCTAATATTTAAATCTTCCTTCCCTTCTATGAGACCGCTCACATAGGCCATCTGCCTCCGCACTACTCTCTCAGCTTCATTTCAGTGACTGCACTGCCATAGCTGCAGGAAAAGGTCAAGAGGGTATCTGTTTTGTTCAAATACACAGATGGTCAGAAAGTTTACCAACATCTTAGATTTTTGAAATAAGTACCTATTCCTACATGTATGTCAAGATTTATAATACTTAAAATGTCAGTCTGTTTTTCCTGAACAAGATTTGGCAAAAAGGGAAAGCAAGAGTCTTAGAATTATGCTATCAAATGGATAAATTTTCTAACAATCTTTTTATACTCCTATCATGTGAACTGGGTACTTTTATGCCTTATATCTACTAAAGATGTCCTGCATAATGTACTGTCCATTAGTAGGTGGTAAGGTTTGAGAATCTAGAAATGTGACTGCAAACTTTGATTTTATTTGCTGAAATAAAAAGCAATTTGGGGGAAACTAACAAGTACCTGGCAGACATTGAAAATAAAACAATGGCCAAAATAATATTTATTTCTCCTAAGTTGTTACTATTTTATTTGAGGAAGAGAGATGATCGATAATTGCTATGATATGATATGATATGATATAACATTTCAACTCATCAAAAGTGAGGGTGTTGTATACATTGTCAGAGCCCCATCCACATGCCAGTACTCCTTGTCTCTATGTGTAGGGATCCAAAAGCTTCTGAGCGAAAGAACGTGTGACTGAGGTCTTTTTCTGGCTACCTGAGTGCACTGGAGCTGTAAGTAGGAGAGACAGACAATGAGGCTATAGTAACCCAGGAGCAATTCTTTTTTCATTATGTAATGGAGTGGGGCTAAATATTGTAGCCTCCTTTCCCCTCAGGTGGGACAACACTGCTTTTTTTTTCATGAAATCTACTGAGTTTCACAGCGCTATCCCATAGCATTAGCCTACTCAGTAATATACTTTGTATTAACTGCTGCAAACTCCCTTCCCATTGTGTTCTTGGGGTCACCTCCTGAAAAAACAACTTACACCCAGATATTTTTCTCAGGATGTATTAGGATGATTCAGAGAGGTAGAACCAATAAGATATTTGTAAATACAAAAAAAGAGACTTATTATGAAAGATTGGTTCATGTGATTATGGAAGCTAAGACTGACAATTGGCAAACTAGAGGTGCCAAGAAGCTGATGATATAGTTCCAGTCCAAATTCAAAGGCTTGAGAAGCCAGGAGACCAATGGTGTAAGTCCCTGTCTGAATGTGAAGGCCCAAGAACCAGGCATTATGATGTCTTATGGGAGGAGAAGGCAAACGTCTTAGCTCAAGCAGAGATCAAATTTGCCCTTCATTAAACTTTTTGTTGCATTCAGACCATTAGCTAATTGGGTGCTGTACATTTGCATTGGTTAAGATGAACTTCTTTATTTAGTCTATCAATACAAATGTTAACCTCTTCCAGAAACACTCTCACAGATCTGCTCCAAAATAACGTTTTACCAGATATCTGGGCATCCTTCAGCCCACTCAAGCTCACACGTAAAATGAACTATCACTCATGGCCTGCTTTTGGAGAAATCTAAACTAAATCAGAGATTTAGGGCAAATAGCATAAACTTTTATATAAAGTAGCCAAGAAAGACTCACGGGGTGGCATTCATTTAAACACTTGACACCAGGTTAGACACCACTTTAGACTCCTGAATTAAAAGAAGAATCATGTGGACACTGAACACAAGAAACATTCAGGCTGAGGCAATAGCAAATGCAAAATTCCCGGTAAGTTGATGAAACAACAAGGCTGTGGTTTGAGCTGGTGAACAAGAGAATGGGCAGGAAAGGATGTATTAGGAATTTGAGGGCAGGCATATTAGGCTTTTGGAAAACTTTGGATTTTTCTCTGAAGGAAATATCAACTCATTGGATGGCTTTGAGCAAAGAAAGAGCATATAGAGTCATATATGCTCCTTATATATGCTTATATTATATATATATTATAAGCATATATCATCATATGTCATAGAAATATAATAATATACATATAAGCACATATCTTATAGATCATAGCAACATATATAACATATATAAGCTATATAAACGTATATAAGCTATATTAAATATATCATAGAGGCAATAGATAAATGTTTAATAAGGAAATAGAATGTGGAGGGCAAAGTTGAAATAGGAAGTCCTGATTATAAGTGAAAGACGATGCTGATGAGAATGATGACCTGATAAGGGTGAAAGGTATTGTTTGGCTTGTCCCCGGGGGACACGCATGGTGAGAAGAACCAGGCTCTGAGGTATTTCAAGGGAGAGTCAACAGGGTATCATGATGGAATAAACACCAGATATGAGAGAAAGTGAAAGGTTAAGAATATTTCTAGGTTTTTTGGTTGGAACAACCGGAAGAATGGAGGTTCTTTCTATTAAAATTAGGAAAACTACAGCAAGAGCAGTTTGGCAAGAAGGATAAAGTCTGGTTTTAGATATCATCATTTTGTAACATGTATTAGACATCCAAGGCTTTGCCACCTATTCACTGCACTATCACAGAAAGTCTATGTCACCGGGGAAAATCTGCCCTAACTCATGTCACATGTTGGAAAAGCTCAAGCATACTTCTCTACTCCAACAGCAGCTCTGGGATTACCATAACAAGATTGGTGAGCATGTCAATATATTCTTTGAGATGGGGAGGAAGACACCAGTGGCAATGGGACATATCTTCAAATTGTATTTACCTATAAGGATGTTTTTACTTATATTTTGTGTCAAAATCAACACACATTGTAAATTATACTGAAGATAGGTTTTTCATACTTTTAATCATCTCTCACCTCTACTTCTCTACTGGAATCCGGAAATGCCAATGAATTATACATAAATTTAAGAAATACTTACTAAAACCTATGAGATTCTGGTAATACATGGTGAGAAAAGCAGACTTCCTGTGAGACAACACATTATCATGGGAGAAGCAGACATTAAACAAATAACAAAAATCAATATATAATTCTAAAGGAAAGAATATGAAATACGATGAAAGTGGTAACAGAATGAAATTTAGATTCATTGCAAGGGTGTAAGAGTAACATTTAAGGAAGAAACATTTAACCTGAGACCTAAAGAGAACATAAGAAAGAATCAGCTAGACAAAGTATAATGTGTTGCTTCAGTATTGGGTACACAACTGGGATTAGGGAAAGTTCAGAGATAGACACAGTATGAAAATTCATTTAAAAACGCTTGAAAAAGCTGAAGTGGTATATAAGTGTATATTATTATAAATGTATGTAATTATTAATGATTACACCGATGGTGTCTAAATGTCGGGAAAATTTATGTCTGGATGAAACCATAGGTAGTACAGAATCTCTGAATGTAACCACGTAACTATAACAGCAAGTAGTTCAATTTGGGATTTCAGAATACACTGGGTCACTGCGAGGAGCCAGAGAAAACAGTACAGGTGCCAAGACCCAGAAGGAGCAGGTAAATTGTGAAGATACTGACGCTGGTGTCTGTGGAAGGCCATTCCACTGACCAGTCATTATTAAGATATGCTAGTGACAGATAACAGAGTGTCATGCACACAAGCTGAGTGCGGTTGCAGGGACTCTGGTAACAGAGATCCATAAAGCCATCAGGTGGCCTCCGGAATTGTTTCTGAATTGTGACAGTAGCAAGGATTCACTTCTCATTATCTTCTACTCTTTTTTTTTAATACTTTAAGTTCTGGCGTACATGTGCAGTACGTGCAATTTTGTTACATAGGTGTACACATGCCATGGTGGTTTGCTGCACCCATCAACCTGTCACCTACATTAGGTATTTCTCCTAATGTTATCCGTCCCCTCGCCCCCCTCCCCCCAACAGGCCCTGATGTGTGATGTTCCCCACCCTGTGTCCATGTGTTCTCATTGTTCAACTCCCACTTATGTGTGAGAACATGCGGTGTTTGGTTTTCTGTTCTTGTGATAGTTTGCTGAGAATGATGGCTTCCAGCTTCATCCACGTCCCTGCAAAGGACACGAACTCATCCTTTTTTATGGCTGCATAGTATTCCATGGTGTATATGTGCCACATTTTCTTTATCCAGTCTATCACTGATGGACATTTGGGTTGGTTCCAAGTCTTTGCTATTGTGAAAAGTGCCGCAGTAAACATACATGTGCATGTGTCTTTATAGTAGAATGATTCATAATCCTTTGGGTATATACCCAGTAATGAGATTGCTGGATCAAATGGTATTTCTAGTTCTAGATCCTTGAGGAATCACCACACTGTCTTCCACAATTGTTGAACTAATTTACACTCCCACCAACAGTGTAAAAGTGTTCCTATTTCTCCACATCTTCTTCAGCATCTGTTGTTTCCTGACTTTTTAATGATCGCCATTCTAAGTGGCGTGAGATGGTATCTCATTGTGGTTTTGATTTGCATTTCTCTAATGACCAGTGATGATGAGCATTTTTTCATATTTTCTACTCTTTAATATGGCTTACAAAATCCTTTAGAGATTGGTCTCGACTAACCTCTTCAATTTTATTTCCTTCCACTCTTCTTTCTCTAATGTAACATTTTTGCCACACCAAACTCCTTTTTATTTCCAAATGTGTCGTACTTTTTCTCAAACCTAGGACATTACATATCCTCTTCTCTCTGTCAACACTCTCTGTTATCCCCTTCTTTGACATACCAAACTTGTACCAAACTTCCATGTGTCAAATTAGATATTTCCTTCAGGAAATATCACCCTTCATAATCTTAACTCTCGATTTGAGGGACCTGTTCTGTGTGCTCACAGGAGTCTACACAGCTCTTCTGTATTGTAATTAACAGTGACCACGAATTGTGATTATATATAAATGTAATTCCAACTTTTTTACATAAAATAGGTTTAAGGAATGGTAACAATTGTTTTAAAACATGTCTGCAAATTCTTTGACACTCCCTTCAGGAGGCGGGTTCAACATTCTCTTTGCTTGAATCTGGGCTGATCAGAAGGTCTCACTTTTAGCCAAGAGAATGTTCCAGATGTGATGCTCCATGACCCCTGGCACTGTAACAGAAAAGATGATGCAGGCTCCACCCTGCACACTGTTGGAGGTGGAATTCTTTACTGGTACCCCAAGTTTCCTTGCCCTCATCCTGAGGACTTCACACTTGTGGTTATGTTATTTTACATGCAAAAGGAAAATTTTTAAACATAATTAAAGGTACCTATATTTGGCTTCATATTGATCAAAAGGAAGATTACCTGGCTGGGCCTGACCTAATCACATGAAACCTTTAACAGCATAGACATTTATTTTGTCTAGAAGCAGAATAAGAAGTTACAGAGGCGTGAAGCATGGTGGGGATTTGAGGTGAGAGGTCCTGATGCTAATTGCAATGTTTGAGGAATTGTCCAAGTGCCTGTGAGAAGTTCTGGGGCACAGGGCTTCTGCTGGCCCTCAGGAGGTGACAGCAGCCCTCCACTGACAATCAGAAAATGGGATCCTCATTTTCACAACTGCAAGGGACTCAATTCTGCCAACAGAATGAGCTAGAAAGCCAATTCTTTCTTGGAGTTTCAAATGAGAACACAGCTGGCCAAAAAGTTGAATGTGAAACTCTGAGTAGAGAATCCAGCCAAGACTGAACCCAGACTTTGGACATACAGACTGGTGAGATATTAAGTGTCTGTTTTTCTGAGTCACGTCACTAAATTTGTCATAATTTGTTACACAGCATAGAAAACTAATACTTCCTGAGTCACCACATTAAAAATCTGAGTACCCCAAGATCATTATGCTATATGAATGCTCGGAACACTTGAAAAGGCCACACATAGTTGTTCGAGATGACAGGCTCAGCTGAGGTCCCAGGTGACAGCCAACATCAATAGTGAGACATGTGAATGAAGACATCACCTAATGATTCTAGCTTACAGACACAGAGAGATATTGAGCCATCATATCTTCCCAGCAGAGGACCAAGATATTTTGGAGCAAAATCAAGTCATCTCTGCTGTTTTCTGTATTGATTCCAGGCCCACAGAATCAATGAGCCAAAATAAACTGCTCAGTTATAGGATAATTTGTTATAAAGCATTAGAAGCTAAATTCTGCCTATAACTGGGTATTAAGTAACTTATAGAACTTCATGTAGAATATATAAGTGAAATGATTAAATTCAAATAGCCAGGAGTCTACATATGGGAAAGACATGTAACTGTACCATAAGACTGTTCTACATAGAAACCTCACGGTTATATACTTACAGCTCTGCATTTATGAGGCTTGTGACCAAAGATGAGACATACCACTACAACTACTTCAGAAGATGCAAAATCCCATTCCCGTCTACCCTACTCCCTGAAAGAGCTGGTGTCCTGTGTGTTTCCTAACACATGCTCCTCATACATACTTCCAAGACCCCTAGGCAGAAAAATTGACCATATATGGACAATTTGAAGCCAGGACATCTACAAATTATGTATTGTTTTAACTTCTTATCTCTATGTTATGGGAAAAGAAAGTAGATATTGAGAATGAATGTAAGTGAGCCACAATATCTGTAATATCTGCCACAGTATTATCCATTTGTTCCCAGCTACTCAGGAGGCTGAGGCTGGAAGATTGCTTGAACCTAGGAGTTAGAAGCTGCAGTGAGCTGTGATGTGCCAACACTCTGGGTGACAGAGCAAAATCCTGTCTCTAAAAAATAATAAATAAATACATAAATAATATTATTCATATATTTATTCCTTCCTTGGAACTTAAGTACCTAAAAGACAGAAGAAGAGGTTCTATTCATCATTATATCTTACATATGTTGTAGAGTTACTGACACAGGGTTGGTGCTTAATAAATAAATATAAATAAATAAAGGGAAATTTTGTACTTCTTTAAAGATAGTTTTCTGTCTGGTTTGGCAAATCTCACTCAAACTACTTTAAGCATGCCTTACTAATAGAAACTACTTCTAAACATGTGTAATTCACCTTTGTTTTATCTTTGTTCCCCCTGATTTTACATGGAAGGCATTTTGTCATTCATATCTTAGTTTAACATAATGTCCACAGAAAAATCTTACCAGACTGCCTCCTCCAATTTGATGTTTAATATCATGTCTTGTTCCCCTATCTTAATTCTCTGTATGGCACATAGTAATAGATACTTTTGGATTTATTGATTGATTTCAGGTCATGTATGTACTGATACAAACAGCATGAGAGCAACTACCTTGTTTATGGCTAACGCTGTGTTTGACATACAGAATTAACTCATCAAATCTGTAAAGAATGGACAAAATTAACCCCTCCAACCTTCACTTAAATTATCTTCCATCAGCTCTGGCTTTTTGAGTTTGAGTGGCCTTTTCAGTAAACATTTTTGAATTGACCTTCTTGCCTTACTGCCATATATTGTATGTTATTTATCTTCTAAAACAAAAATAGATTTGGATTGTATAAAATAATTGAATTATCTTGGGGATAATCATAAAAACCACCTTCTCACTGCACATTCACCTGGCTATGAACTCTCCTTGCCTTAGTCCATGGAGTTACACAAAGATGAAAAAAGTGCTGGCAACAAGTGACCTAGGCCCAGGATAACAGCTAGCAATAGAGATAGGAGTATCCTGGAAGAATATGGGACAAATATGTCTCATGGTTGAGGAAAAGTGAAGCTCTTAAAACTGAAAGACAAGTCAGAAATAAAATAAAAGCTAAAGTGATCTGAATATAAAGCTCAAGGTACTGGCTAAGTTCAGGGCTGATCAAATGGAGGTCTAGACTTGGTGAATGGGCCACTATTAGAAGGGCAGAGGTGCGTAAATCACTTGAGTCTTAGATCTGCGGATGGTGAAAACAGATGTCCAAACCCTCATATTCTCTTACACAGCCTCCCTTCCTTGAAGACCATTGGAGCACTGAGAGATGAAAGCTCTTTCTAAATATGTTCAATTCACCATTGTTTTATCTTTATTTCCCCTGATCTTCACATAGAAGGCATTCTGTCATTCATATCTCAGCTTAAACATAATATCCATAGAAAAACATTAAGGACCAATGGAGCACTGAGAGATAAAGAGGTCCCAGCTATAGAGAGGGAAAAAAAAGAAGAATCTAGACGCCAATGACCAGGCAGAAGAATCTTCCAATAATTCTCTTAGATAATATTAGATAGTATTTTCCCCTTGAGAGTGAGTTGAAAGGGGAGAAAAATGTTTGAAAATGTTTAGATTTCAAATATTTAGTAATCATTTCACAAATGACTTTTTTAAAAATTATATTTAATGTCCATTTTAAAATTCAAAAGCTCATTTTAATTTGTTTTTAGAAATACAAATTCCACAAGTACACAAAACTTAATTTTCTTGACAATGGAATTAGCTCAAGATATAATTATAAATATAAAATTATAAAATAAAACTGATTTTTTGTAGCTGTTGTACAGCGACATTTAGTGAATTAATCTTGTTCGTTAAAACACACATTTTTGAGAACAACATTATAGTTTAAGAGATTTATAATTTTATACCTAAGAACACCACACATATAGTAATATAAATAAAAATGTGTTTAACTGTAATGTCACAACTTACATGGTTGTTTAATATTATACATCCATAAAAATTGTTATTCAATATAATGCAAAACTATTTTTCTAAGCAATCTGGTATTGTGCTAGACTGAAGAACCTTTGCAATTGAATGACTATATTTGAAGATCATTTGTTAAATTGTTTCAAGTATTCAAATTATTTAAAAAAAAACTGAACTATACAGTGGGTAATAACAGTACCTATCTAGAAGGCCAATAATGAGGATTAAATAAGTTAATATATGTAGAGAGATTTGAACATGTGTGGTGACTAGCATGAAGTATGTACTTATTATTATCATCATTATTACTACTACCGTTTACATTAATGCTATTAGTAATAGCATAATAATGAAGAGCTTATAAGAGCAGGTAGATAGATTTGGATGATTAACCCTTATTAGATGCTCAGAACACTATCTAGCACAGTGCCAGAAGTTAAAGTTTAAATACCAGAAGTTGAGTTTTATCTCAGAGTAGGAAGATTAAACAGACTTGGCAAACTATAGTGGTAAGCCGTTATATAGGAGTAAGGACTTTTTATTCAGAAAAGGAATAAGTATAATCATTTGTAATTTCTTCATTTGCAGAGTCAAACGAAAATCCTATAGTGACAATTGTCTTCTTTAGTACATACTTATATGGCATCTCCAACTGTTTATTATTGAATTGTTCATAGATTTTTTCACTGTATTTTCTGTAGGTTACTATATTGAGTGAATGTTTGCTGAGTAATTGAATGAGCTAATGTAATGACGTACTAAATGAGCATGATTAATTAGCCTTCTAATGGATAATATACATTATGGGATTAAAATTTTTTATTTATATCAGCTCTCATAGTTTATTGATTATTTATTTAATATTAACATTTAAAATAGTAGTGTTTGATTTATATCAGCTCCACCTATGGTTATAGGGACGTAAACTTAAGAGAAAATACATCATTGCTTGGCATGGCATAAAGTCAACAAAATAAGAATCCTGGAAAATTTTTTAAATTATCTTTTGCTCATTCTTTGTATCATGCTTACTTCCTATATGAATGTTATAAAAAAGACTTTTGATCACATTACGTTTTTCTGTAAATAGTCCAGAACTTAGTATGATTTAGAAGCCTAATAAAATATAAACTGAAAGACTCATAGCCTAATACCAAGTAAAGTTGGTGTCCTCTTCATTAAAACTTTAGTAGCCATATTGCTTCCAGTCTTCCTGCCTGAAGGTAAAAATTTCAGCCTGTTAAAAAGCCAAGGAAGAGACCTCATGTAATATGAACTTATTAAAGGTGATCACATACATAAATCAAATGCAACTGTGTAATAGCCCTGTCTTTAAGTGTTCTGAGAAAGATATTATGTTAAGAGTTATAATTGTATCCAATAATAAATATTATTTCTGTAGGTGGAATATCAGTGGTTAGTGGGTAATACACCTTTAAATTTATCTATCAAAACATAAAAGTTTGATAGTTAAACATAAAGTTAAACATAAAAAGCAACTTCTAGCAACAGATTATAAAATACTCCTTAAATACCTTTCATTTTATGGGTGTGTGTGTCCTCTTTTTGGATGGGACAACTAGTTTCTAAAATACCTTCTTTCTAATAGTAATGGCAGCATATTATACATTCTGTTCCCAGTAATAAGGAAAAAACTTTAAATGAGAATGTCAAGTTGGCCTCAGGCACATCCAGGAGGTTTTCCTGAGAGTCATCTACATTACAAAGTTTAATATATTAAGTACACTTCTCCCAAAGTGGTTAGCAAACTAAATGCATGACCTGAAATTCAGACAAGGCCTTGAAAGAGACCTTATGCTATTTACTATGGCACCAACGATCCCAGGTCTCAGTTGAATAGTCCAGGAATGAGCTCACAGTGGGAAATAACTTTTACTGGGGATTTTTGAACTGGACTGAATACATAATGCCGACTCCCTTCTAGGGGCTAGACTGAGATTTTATTTCCTGAGCATTAGTGCTCACATTTCTGCCATGCAGGGTAAGTCAGTGTGAAGAATCAGAGAATAAAGCTGGCACCAAGATTTTCCCAAATGAGTAATGGGTAGAGGAGAAAACTGTCCACATTTGAATCCTTGGTTTTGTTTTTTTCTGCTAATCAGCCACAGTGCTGTTTTTACTCTAGCTGTATTGGATAAACCAGGATTCTTTCCATCAACTTCCCTTTTGGTCACAGTGTATAAAGGTTTACCTTCTGTCATTTTCAAACAATAGAGCCTTACTACTCAAAGGATCGATCGCTTCTGTTTAATTAGTTCAAAAGTTATATGCTAGTCAATACTATTTAATAAATATTAATTATTTGAAGGATTCTTACAAAGTAGGGAGAACATAGACTTAGAAAAAAGAGAAATAAAGCTATTTCATAGCACGTACATTCCAGACAGGAACAAAACATTGAATAATAATTAACCAATTTTTGTTAAGTAGTCTGGAAGGGAAAAATACTGCATTATGAGAATGAACATGAACTACATGTGGAAAGATAGGAAGGTTTCCTTGATGTTGTAATGTTTAAGCAGAGCTTGGAAGTCTGATTTCACACCATATAGTGGTGAAAATTCCAGTTTTTTTTAGACAATCAGTTTAACATATTTTGGAATACTGACTGTGAAGAGGTTGAGGAGAATCCCTGCTCTTCAGTCTTACTGTGAAATTTGGAAAAAGTCACCTCTAGCCTTATTGGACTCATTTTTCAATATGGAAAGTAAGAAAAATCCAACCTTTCGTCTGCTGATAAATTCCAATTATAATTTTCAGGGTGCTGTTTGAGTCAATAAGTATATTTAGAATAAAATAATTAGTTTTATGAGATTATGAATCGCTTTAGAGAAATTATAGTATTTTCTTCTTCGTTATATCCCCAAAGTGATGCACAGGGCTGGAAATTAACATGTTTGAGGATAGGTCATATTCAAGGTCTTAGAGGATGGGTGAGGGCCTTAAATTAAATAAGACAATGAAAGACATGGGGCAGTCACAGGAGAAAAAGATGTATTGCCCTAATTCAAACTTTTCACTAAGAAACATTAGAGTTTATTCAGTGTCTAATAATTTCTTCTCCCATATACCATTATTTACAAAAACGAAGTAAAACCATTTAATAGGATTGTGCATAGCTGTCATCGTTTGCATGTCAGGATCCTAAATCACCAGTGACTGAGCCTGTACTGTAGCTTTCTTGTTCTATTTAAGTCTTGTTTAATTCCAACACTTTTTTCTGCCTCCTTCCCTTCGTTTCTTCTTTACTCCCACTTTCATTCCTTCTTTCAACAAGTACTTATTGAACACTGCTATTTGCAAGAACAGGCCTTAGTGATATAGTGATAAACAAAACACAAAGTTCTAGTTATTAGGGAATTAATAATTTATGAACCAGTAGAGGAGGTAGATATTAATAAACTAATCACAAACCAAAGCATTTGTGTATTTATGTATTTAAAGCTCAGAGACATGGTGTTCAAAGTAAACTTTATTTACACTTCTATTTATTTCTCAACCCTCTTCCTCAGTGGTAGCAGAAAATATAGTCTTGCAAATTCAAGATAGTGAGCACTACTGGTTCTGTCAATTTATTATACTTTTTATCTTCTTATTTTACTTTCCCTGCAATGATCTAAAATCCAGAGAACATTCCATATAATTCTACCTCATTTGGAAAGATGTCTGCACCATGGTCAAGGGAAGTTATTCATGCTGGAGCCTGGAAAATATGCTATCATTTTGTTCTCCATTCCCAGGCTGAAATTACCATATCTCTGTCTTCTTCGCTGAGTCATGGAATCCCTTCAAAATTGATCATAAAATTCAGGCATCTTCTTTTTTTTTAAGTGTAGAGTTTATTGAGTTTTCACAAATATTTACATACATGTAACTATAACCCCAAACAAGATATAGATCACCTCCATCATTCCAGAAAGTTCTCTTCATGCCCTTTCCCAGCCAGTCTCCTACCTTCCCCCTTCTTCCACCCAGATAGCTCATGATCTACTTTCTGTCATTATAATTGAGTTTTGCCTTTTCTGCAACCTCATATAAATAGAATCCTATGGTGTTTTCCCTTCAGCAATTGTGAGTGTTTGATCCCTAAGCTCTGTATATTTTTTTATTTTTGATAATCATGTGTGTTTTATTTGTAGTTTCTTTCTTTTTTGCTTCTTTGATGTGAATATACCTCTTCATTTGTATTTTTTTTTTTTTTCAGGCATCTTCTGTATCTCTCTTAGGAGAGGAATCTTAGGATATTCCTTTTCATTGGCTTAGGGTACTATACATTTGGGAGGTCAAAGTAAAAAGAAATTTACGGTACATTTTACTTCTTCACTTCCTAGATCTGCCTTGATGCCATTTCTCTTTAACTCTGTGTATCCCATATAAGTAATTCTACAATATGACGTGAAATTTCCCCAGAGTTGCAAATAGAAAAGAGGATTAAGATGCTTTTGCTTTTTGATTTATAAATTTTGAAGCTGTTTTTTATTTTGTAAAATTTATTAATGTTTTCTAATACCATGAGTGTATGATATTAAAGTAAACCATATTTGTGGAATTAGGTGTGAAAGCGAAATTTGTTTTCTTATTATCTAGTATGCCAACTTTAACTTGTGCAAATGTTTCAATGTAAAGTTTTAGAAATAATGTCAAATATATTTTTGATATTATACATAATAGATGAGTAATAAATGCTATTAATTATTATAATGATATAACATAATTGAGGCCTATAATATTAATAATATTAACATTAAACAATTGGGTAATATAATTATCAAGTGTATGTTTGATTATATATATATTTTAAAGATGTACATAAGGCTGTGGGGTTTTTTTTTTTATACTTTAAGCTCTGGGATACATGTGCACAATGTGCAGGTTTGTTACATAGGTATACATGTGCCATGGTGGTTTGCTGCACCCGTCAACCCGTCATTTACATTAGGTATTTCTCCTAACGCTATCCCTCCCTTAACTCCTTGCCCCCAACAGGCCCCATTGATGGGCATTTGGGTTGGTTCCAAGTCGTTGTTATTGTGAATAGTGCCACAATAAACATAAGTGTGCATGTATCTTTATAGTAGAATGATTTATAGTCCTTTGGGTATATACCCAGTAATGGGATTGCTGGGTCGAATGGTATTTCTAGTTCTAGATCCTCAAGGAATCGCCACACTGTCTTCCACAATGGCTGAACTAACTTACAGTCCCACCAACAGTGTAAAAGCCTTCCTATTTCTCCACATCCTCTCCAGCATCTGTTGTTTCCTGACTTTTAAATAAATGCCATTCTAACTGTCATGAGATGGTGTCTTACTGTGGTTTTGATTTGCATTTCTCTAATGACCAGTGATGATGAGCTTTTTTTCATATGTTTGTTGGCCAGATAAATGTCTTCTTTTGAAAAGTATCTGTTCATATCCTTTGCCCACTTATTAATGGGGTTATTTATTTTTTTCTTGTAAATTTGTTTAAGTTCCTTGTAGATTCTGGATATTAGCCCTTTTACAGATGGATAGATTGCAAAAATTTTCTCCCATTCTGTAGGGAGAAAATTTCTCCCATTCTGTAGGGAGAAAATTTCTCCCATTCTGTTCACTCTGATGGTAGTTTCTTTTGCTGTGCAGAAGCTCTTTAGTTTAATTAGATCCCATTTGTCAATTTTGGCTTTTGTTGCAGTTGCTTTTGGTGTTTTAGTCATGAAGAATTTCCCCCTGCCTATGTCCTGAATGGTATTGCCTAGGTTTTCTTCTAGGGTTTTTATGGTTTTAGGTCTTACATTTAAATCTTTAATCTATCTTGAGTTAATTTTTGTCTCAAGTTTAAGGAAGGGGTCCAGCTTCCGTTTTTTGCATATGGCTAGCCAGTTTTCCCAATACCATTTATTAAATAAAGAATCTTTTCCCCATTGCTTGTTTTTGTCAGATTTGTCAAAGATCAGATGGTTGTAGATGTGTGGTGTTATTTCTGAAGTTTCTGTTCTGTTCCACTGGTCTATATATCTGTTTTGGTACCAGTACCATGCCGTTTTGGTTACTGTAGCCTTGTAGTATAGCTTGAAGTCAGGTAGCATGATGCCTCTGGTTTTGTTCTTTTTGCTTAGGATTGCCTTGGCAATGTGGGCTCTTTTTTGGTTCCATATGTAATTTCAAGTAGTTTTTTTCTAATTCTGTGAAGAAACTCAATTGTACCTTGATGGGAATAGCATTGAATCTATAAATTACTTTGGGCAGTATGGCCATTTTCACGATATTGATTCTTCCTATCCATGAGCATGGAATGTTTCTCCATTTGTTTGTGTCCTCTCTTATTTCTTTGAGGAGTGGTTTGTGGTTCTCCTTGAAGGGGTCCTTCACATCCCATGTAAGTTGCATTCCTAGGTATTTTATTCTCTTTGTAGCAATTGTGAATGGGAGTTCGCCCATGATTTGGCTTTCTGTCTGTCTATTATTGGTGTATAGAAATGTTTGTAATTTTTGCACGTTGATTTTGTATCCTGAAGCTGTTTTTTCTACATTACTGCAGTCTCCATCTCTCATTCCACAATTTTTGGACCTGAGAGGAGCTAATATACATAGTATATTCATTGATAATCCACACAGATGACTCCTCAATTCTTCCATCTCCAATCCTCTCCTCCATACAATTGGAGGAGGCAACTTCTTATATGGTTCCTCATTTTTTCCCAATTCTATTTAGTCTCTCATTTAATGATAAAATTTTCACTCAGTTATTTGATGTTTATTATTTAAAAGCCAGGCTTTGAAATCACAAGGCTGTTTGTTGTTCAAAAATGTATGTCACTTGCAATTCAAGTGTTACGTCAAGATCCGTCTTATACTAAGAATGTCAAGAAAATAATATAGGCCAGGTGCAGTGGCTCACACCTGTAATCCCAGCACTTTGGGAGACAGAGGCTGGTGGATCACGAGGTCAGGAGATCAAGACTATCTTGGCCAACATGGTGAAACCCCATCTCTACTAAAATACGAAAAATTAGCTGGGCGTGGTGGCACATGCCTGTAATCCCAGCTACTTGGGAGGCTGAGGCAGGGGAATTGCTTGAACCTGGGAGGTGGAGGTTGCAGTGAGTTGAGATTGTGCCATTGTACTCCAGCCTGGTGACACAGCAAGACTTCGTCTTAAAAAAAAAAAAAGTAAGTAATATAAAATTAGAAGTTAAAAAAAAGTGGCATTCTTAACTTACACAAGCTTTAACACTGAGGATATGACATATAGAAAGACACCTGCTGATAGAAAGATGTAAGAAATGATAAGGAAATAAGCACAAAATAAACCTCAGGCAATATGTGTTACAATATTTTCTCTTAATACCGTGAAAGACAGATGTAGTATACTAAACAATTGCATATGAAAGAGACAATAAATGAGCTCCCTACTTCTCTGAAACAGTGACATTTATGCTAAAACTTGAACAATGAATGGGCATTATTTATGAGAAGCAAAGATGTACAGATTGGAGAAGGTAGAATACTCAGAAAATATTAGATCAAATATGGCCAAAAAGGAAAGAAATTTTGTTTCCAAGGAACTAAGCAACAGTGTAGGGAGAGCACAGGAAGTGAGCAGATAACTGTCACAGATGAGACCCCTGGAATGGCACAGGGATTGGAATCATGTAAATTGCTAAAATACTTAGATTAAATTCTAAAAACAATGAAATTCATTCAGAATTTTTAACAGGTATAAAGGATATGATTTAAACTTGGAAACTGTGTGATCACCACAACTCTGAGGCTCCTAAAATCACAGGAAGATGCTCTGCCCTCTTCCCATATGTATCCTTTTTTAAGGGACATGCTTTAATTTCAGGCTCTAGCCTACTGTCTTTAATGTGTCTTCAAACCAATTATTTCTTTTTAATACTATGTAGAGATAGAGTTTTACAGATGCGTGTAATGGCTGCAAAGGTCCCTATAGCAGCTGACCACTTTAAAATTAATACTTGGGATACTGTATTCCATTGCTCTGTTGTGATGGTAACATCGTGCCTTTTCTTACATTCTGTAGATGTGTACACCTTTCTGAGGTTCTTAGCTTCATATAATGCATGTTCTGCCTACTTCCACCTGTGACTTTATCTCCTATATGTGTGTGTTTTCACATAGAACACCATCATGTAATTGTGCATGTTGTGTGCATTTGTTGTTTTCTCAATTTATAGCTTAGAAGGGAAACATTCAGAATGATATAGTAGGAGTAAATGATGAAATACTGTTATGTCACCTTATCTTATCAGCAGTATAGAAAAAATGGCAAGTATGGATAATCAAAAAAGAAGTAGAGAACTGATATTGTACTTCATGAATAGAAAAATATAGTTTCTAAAGCCCAGGAATTGAGGCATATTTTATTTTCATAAGATGAGCTTCAGAGAAATCCTAGTATGTCGAGTTGAATTACTTTTTATGATAATAAAACATCTTAACATATTTAAAGGGATTACTGCCCATTGACATTAATAAATTGCAAGCGAAAATGAAGTGTCCATTGAGAAGACATTTAGGATTTGGATGCTAAACTTTAACTTATGATATGGAAAAAGTCAAATGATACATTAATTAAATTAATATCTGGCCCTACACTAGGAGGAAGGGGCAGAAGAGAAGTTAGAAATATTAGCATAAATGTTAGAGTTGAGGCTCAGCATAAAAATATGTGATTTTTGTCAAATTAAAAAAAAGAATTAGCCCAGTGGAGATAACAGCATAACAAAATATATGATCAAAGTGTAACTTCACGTTCTAAAGTTCTTTAGTTTTATTTCTGCAATATAATATAAGTTTAAACAATTAAATGGAGATATTTTGGATAATATTTCTATCTTCAAATATGATGTTTTAGATTCTGCATTATTTCAAAAGAATTAAATGGAAACGTTAATTTTAATGTTTTGGTAAATCATCTGTACGATTGAGTAAAATTTAGTCTTATTATCTATATAAACTTATTTGAAATGTTTCCATTGTAAGAAAAAACTAGTCCAGCATATACATAACATTAAATATTATTTTAGAAACTCAAAAATGTTTCATTTGGTTGTGTGCCCCAATTTTTCCTATAGTTTAGATAAAAATGTTAGCAATTATTTAAACTTTACTGTAAATCAAAGTTGTGAAATTAAATTTGAATAGCTGAAGTAAAATCTACATGTAAAGCTGTTGAAAGACTTCCTAAGGATGAATATTAAACAATTTCAAAATCTTCTTAGAAATGACTCTTATACAAGAAGTAAAGAATCCTTCTTCCAAAAAATTGGCTAACTTCAGATGAAAGTGTGAAAAAAACTATTTTAAAAACTAATTTTTTAAAGGAAGATCATTACAAGATAAGCTTATATACATTAGTAAGTTAATTATGAACATAGTTCAAAGTAGTTTTTTTCATTGAAAGTATTATCAATTCATTCTTTACATGAGTTCAAATAAAACCATATTTCTGTAACACAGAACAAAACAAAACGTTCTGAATATTTGAATGTGGTGAATGTGGATATTGCAACAAATTTTCTTTACTTCTCATTAGACTATATCCATGAGAATTATTATGGTCCTTTTCAGTAATATTTGCATTATTGTTACTATAAAACTTTCTGCTATTTTATACATTTAGCTAATTTTTTCTATTATTTTAATAATAGGGTGTTTTAATTAACATAAGCTGGCTAAATAAAATGGTACTGTGGAATTTGCTCTCAAATAGATTTTACTCCAATAAATATTTTAATGATATTGATTGTCTCTTAGAAAAGCAAATGAGACATTCAAAAATAAATAAATAGATATAAATCCAATCTAAATGTAATAGTAATTCTATCTGTCTAATCAATAATATTCCATAATATGGAAGTTTTCTTATATGAGAATGGTGATAGATTATATTTGGGAAATTTTTAATAAGACGTTTTTGCCTCTTTTTGCATATGAGTATGTACTTAAGATGTTATTAGTATTTTATAGCATTTATGTGTTTTATATTGCTTATATTCTCATACATAAACTTTTATTTCTGCAAATGAAAATGCTTGCAAAAACTATTTAGTAAAAATGTAGTATGTTCTTACAGGAACATGGGAATTTAAATTTCTTAAAAATTATTCACAACTAACTTTTAGAAAACTTACAAATATTAAATAATTGGTTTCTCCTTAACCCTACACCTAGTATCCATATACACATGCTGTAAAGCACTGTTTGTTTAGTTTTCATATATTTGGCTTTTAGTACATTTTATGTAAACATAAATAGAACTTTTTTGTTTCTATATTTCAATATTCTTCAACACCAATGCATTAAAGTATTGTGATAAATGTAGGCATCCTGTGTAAATATAAATGTAAAATATGTAAAATATGAGTGCTTTAATTGACAAGAATGGCATTTAGTAAGAAGGGAGATGGTAAAGCAAATCATATTTTCTCTTCATACTATTTGTATACATATCAATACCTGTGTAATGGGAATGTATTAGTTGTTTATTGCAGCATAACAAATTATCCCAGAATTTGGGGGCTTAAAGCAGCATACAGTCATGATCTCACACTTTTGTAAGTCAGTAATCTGGACATAATTTAGCCGCATACTCTGATCATGAGTCTCTCACAAGGCTGCAATCAGTGTTGGCCAATGCTCCACTCATCACAAGCCTTTCCTTGGGGAGGATTTCATTCCAAGCTCCCTCACATAGTTGATGGCATGACTGGTTCGTCCTGAGCTTTTAGGCTGCAGGATTCAGTTGCTGGCTGAATCTATGTGTTGGCTGGAGGCTGTCCTAACTTCTCTCCATAAGTCACCTCATAACATGACAGCTGGCTTTATCAAATTGATCAAGTCAGAGAAAGTAAGAGTGCCAACAGGATGGAAGTGGCATCTGTCACCTCTGTCATATTTTGCTTATTAAAAGAAAGTTATGATGCTCAGTGCACACTCAAAAAGAATTATACAAAGCTGTAAATACCAGGAAGCAGGAATATTTGAAGGCCATTTTCAGAGTATCCCTAATATGAGTTGTGTAAATATGTGCCTACTGCAAAAATTTTTCCAAATTTCTATGAGTGAGAAATCTTGATCCCTCTTAGCCATCTGGAAGATCCTCACAGGAGAAAACATTAGGAAACCACATTTTTTGGCCAATTAAATGTTGTATATCATTCTTCAAATAACATATTCATGCGTATATTATGTAAGGAACTCATCAACATAATCTGTCAAAAATAAAGGTTCACTACAAGGTAGTTATTTACTAAAATGATCCTATTCAATATTATAGACTGCTGTAAATGAAGAAGTTCTGTCCAGTTAATTAAACACAGATTCCATTCCTCAGTTGCATTTGTCTTGACTTCCAGAGATTTTTCCGTTGCTTTCTTTTATCTGGATTGTATACATAGTGCAGAAAAGAAGATAATAAAATATATCACTGTCAATTGTTCACATCCAAAGAATATGCTACAATGAGAATCCACATTTCTTAGGTGGAGAAGCCATCTAGCTTAAAAACCCCAATGTATTTAATAGTGTCTTGTACACTAATGGGTACAGCCAATCCAGGTCAAAAATAAGAATGTCTATTCAGGGAAGATTCTTTTAGACTTACCCAACTACTATTAGATGATTTCCTAGAAAATTCAGGAAGATACAGAACATTATTCTTTTCATGCTGAGTGATTCATTAATGTTCAGTTACCTTTGATGATAATGGAACTATCCATGCACATTATTGGAAAAATGTAGCCCTGGAGAGTTAAACAATTGTAATGCAGGGAATAGTGTGTCCCAGGAGGGAATGTATGACCTACTCACTATATTAACTTTGTATTGTCTTTGCTTCTATGATTGCTTAAGAAAACCTATAAAAAGGGCTATTAATATTTTAGAGAAGCATTGGAAAGGCTACTACTCTGGATTTATAACGAAAATTAAGCAAACGACAAAAGTCTTTACATTAAAAAGATATTTCTACACTGGGATATTTACACAGTACATATTCTTTGATGTTAGCATATGATCTCATTTGGATATGAACTATTTATAAGAGGAGTTTGTCTACACAGTTAAGTTGTATTGTTAAATTGATGGATCAGTAAATTGTATTACTTTCTACTATGTTATTTGGTAATGCATAGAAAACCATGACAATTTCTTCGAAGATGTCAGAATTATATTAACTAAAATTTGTGTGTTATTCTAGCATATGTAACCGAATTTCACCTTTGCAAGGGTAATATTATCTTCCTGATACTTTTTTAAAATAGCAATGTCAAGATTATAGAGCTTCTAACATGGCATAGCTGGAAGAATTCTCAGTTCACTGTCTCATTTAACTCTAAAACTGGGCTTTTCTGAAAGTCATCCATGGACTACCTGATAGAAATTGCCTGAACTATGTAAAAATGCATATTCTAGCCACAAACATAACAATTCCATATCAAACTCTCAAAGGACAGCCAGAAAATTTCCATTTCAGCCAGGTTTCTGTGAGATTATTATACACCATAAAGCAAGAGAGCCACTTTCTTAGCTGGGCTGGTCCTTACATCTTAACTGGACAGATAAACCTTCGTTTGTGAAACTAACAGTGAAAGTGTATTAGTCCATTCTCACATTGCTATAAAGAACTGCCCGAGACTGAGTAATTTATAAAGAAAAGAGGTTGAATTGACTCATTGTTCTGCAGGGTGTACAGGAAGCCTGGCTGGGGGGGACTCAGGAAACTTACACTCATGGAGGAAGGCAAAGAGGAAGGAGGAATGTCTAATATGACGGGAGCAGAAAGGAGGGAGCAAAGGGGGAGGGGCTACACACTGTTAAACAACTGTATGTCTTGAGAACTCACTCACTATCATGAGAAGAGCATGGAGGAAATCTGTCCCATGATCTAACCACCTATCATCAGGCCCTTCCTTCAATAATAGGGGTTTAGAATTTGACATGAGATTTGGGTGGGGACACAAATCCAAACCATATCAGAAGGCTTGAAAGAAATGGGATATTAAGAAATAGAAAACTGGGAAGTGGCAAATTGCCCGTAAATGCACTGCATTTGGTTTATTAATATCAATTATTGAAAATTTGCCATGTGTCAGGTACTGTACCAAGCACTTTAGGTATAAACCTAACTTAAATCTAAAAAAAGAGAAATTTTGAATTCCAAATTTACAAATGAAGAAACTGAGACCAGGACATGTATTGACCTAAGATCACACATCAGAGGAGAGATTCAAAACCATGTCAATTTTATTTACATACCCAGATTCTCAACTTCTGTGCTACCCTGGAGAGAACGACATGGCCTGTAATGGTAAAAGAAAGTTTCATTAGAAAATATAACTGAGTTTGGGTATGTAATTGAGTTTGGGTATGAGAAGTGGAACTCACAACAGTCATTGAAGAACGACTGGATTTAAATAAGTCTAATAAAGAAGGGAGAACATTCCTGCTCTGCCCAACTATGTAAGTAAATTAAGTTAGGCATAATTGTGATGTATGTGGCATGAAATATTGAAGTATAGAGCAGTAGTTAGAGTTGCCTTCCTATCGAAAAGATTGAGTATTTCTTTGGTGGTTCAGATGTGAGAAATTTTACCACCAACAATTTGAGGAAAGGAAAACCTTATTGATTTGACAGTGTTTGAACAGAATCTTTCTCTGCATATATTTATTGTTATATCTGAAACCTTTAAAGCACTTGACTACTTGATTTTTGAAACTCTGTTCATCTTGGGCTTAAGAGATCTCTTTCCATTTGATTTCCATTCATCTCTCTATTTGTTATCAATCTCCTTTATTCATTTTTGTGCTTATCCCTTAAGTATAGGTTTTGTTCTGCAAACTGTTCAAATATGGACTCCAATTCCTTGAACTGCAATTTCTGCAGGGGGTTTCTTAAATTAGGGTCTGAGATATTCAGTCTATATATAGTTTAACAATAACTATTCAATGCTATCTCAGCCTTAATAGTCATTCTTTCTTGGTTTCTAGCTGGCAGTGTCTCAATTTTGTAAAAAGTTGTAGCACTTTGAAAGACGATTTCATTCCTTTTCTAATGGATTGATTGAAGAATGTCATATATGAATATAGGAATCAATCTTAGTAATTAAACATGAGATGAAGTCGTCTGGAGGAAGGCCAGAATGTTTCCAGAAAAGTTTTCTTCGCTGGTAAAAAAAGACAGAGAGATATATATATAGAAAAATAGTCATTGTTCGTTACATGGGTATTGTCAGCTCTGGGTGCTATTCTGGGAACTCATGCATCCATCTTGTTTCCATGAAGAGAATTAGTCCAAGTGCAAACTGAAATGCCAAGGAAGGTAAAGAAAAAAAGACAAAAAAAAAAAAAAAAAAAAAAAACAAACCCTGAAATGCTAAGGAAGGTGAAGAAAAAAAGACAAAAAAGAAAACATATCCGTAGTGATAATTTGACTGTTTCACCAACTTTGGAACTTGATCTTAAGTATGATAATAATTTTTTTCTTATTATTTAAATTGCTGTAATCTGGAGTTTTCCCTTACTTGTAGCAAAAGGGATCCTCCCGGGGTTCCAATGGATAAAAGAGATCCATACAACCCTCGAAATTGTGAAATTTTTACATGTGTATGTTTCTGAGAATGGAGTATTTAGTTTCCATGAGATATTTTTAAAATACATAATAGTAATAAGTTCTTAAAATGTACTAATTGACATATTGATGACCTATAAATATGCATCTTCTATATCATTCTCATTGGTTTCAGTAACTTCGCCCATTCCTCTCTGCTACTAAAGTACTGTTTCTTAATGAAATCCAATCATGTTATTTTACTACTTAAACTGCTATTCTATTAATAATCTCCTAGGGGGTGTGTGCCTTACAAGGGTAAAAAGTCATATTGCCTGCCATTTTAGTTTTTCTATTTCTTCATAAGTTCATTAAATTACTCTAATCCTTAAAAAATTCAATGCAATGGCATCCAAACCTTCTTGAGTGATGAACTTGTCATGAATAAGGGGAGAAGACAATAAAGTAGAAGGGTAGGCTATCTGCAGCCCATTACCTTTCAACTTCTGCCTGTGCCAACAGACTGATACTCCATTAGAGGGACGTGTCCAGAAATACCAAGCTGTGGTCATGGTAAGAGCTTCTGGATAAGTTGAGACAGTCAGGAAGAAACAGAGGATTCTGAACAGTAACTGAGAAGTGGAAAAATCAAGAAGTACAGTCTTTCAACTATGAAACAAACCTAACCCTTGAATGAGAAAGGGAAATATAGAGAGAAGCTAACAAGTTATCTATTAAAACTGACCAATTTAAATCTCTTGCAGAAATCCTTCAGAGCACAGGCTGATTGAATAGAAAGAGGATGGGAGAGCAGTCTGCCCTTGATCTGTCTGAGACATCACTTGTCTCCTCTTTCTTGAAGGTTCAGCTACTTCAGTGTAATGTGGTGGAAAGGAGAGAAGAGAAAAAGGATGAAAATGTGTTGCCTTTATAGTTTTCAGGCAAGAATACTGGTCTTTGCTCTGCTGGTTGTCCCATTCTCTGGATGATGCTGTCTGGATATTAATGCTGTCTCTGTAGATGGCATTTAAACACTGGGTGCCTGATGGGATGCTTTTCATCTCTCAATTCTCCACTGAGGGTCATGTAGAATCTCCTTGTCAAATACCCTGGTCTTTCCTTTCAGAGCCTAAATTCATGTACAACTAGAGCCTTGAACCCTGCAGGCAGCCTCCTTAGACTAGAAGGTTCCTGGAGGGCAGCTGCCATTTATGTGGGAGCAGTCCAGCTTCTCTAATGGCGCCCACTGTGTCGGAATACTTGAGAGCGGGCACCTCTTTGTTCTCAGGTTCATGGCAAGAGCTGCCTATTCTTAGACAACAGAAGAAGGATCCCTTAACAAAATAAAAAACTGTTTTATTGGCTGGGTGCGGTGGCTCATGCCTGTAATCCCAGCACTTTGGGAGGCTAAGATGGGCGGATCATGAGGTCGGGAGTTTGAGATCAGCCTGATCAACATGGTGAAACACCATCTCTACTAAAAATACAAAAATTAGCCAGACACGGTGGCAGGTGTCTGTAATCCCAGCTACTCAGGAGGCTGAGGCAGGAGAATCACTTGAACCTAGGAAGTGGAGCTTGCGGTGAGCCAAGATCGTGCCATTGCTCTCCAGCCTGGGTGACAGAACGAGACTCCATCTCAAAAAAAAAAAAAAAATTGTTTTATTTAGCAAAAACAAAATAAACAGCATTAACTCTTTCAAGCTGGGCTTTCACACTGTTTTCTTGGAAACAACAACTTTGTAAGTTTTTTGTATTCTTTTCAGTGTTTTATTAGGGTTTATTTTGTGGAAAACTGTAACATAAAGAGAAGGAAAGCATAAGTACCTATGTTTTCATGTTTTAAAATTTATTCTATGGAAAAAACACTTAAAACATTGCTTATGAACCGTTTATGTACACATTTATAATTGTTTAGATCATACATTTGTTTCTACTAGCAAGACTTATCTCCTGAAACTTAAACTGTACCCATCACCTGTATTCAAACATGAATGGAAATATGCCCATAAATCTATCTGAAGAAAGTGTAATTGCCTGACAGGTTCTTCCTGCCCACTGCACAGACAAAACCAGTGTACTGAGACAGTGGTATTGCAGTAAAGAAAGAGTTCAATTAATATGAGGCTGCCCACATGGAAGAACTGGAGTTATCACCCAAACATTCTCCTTGAAGGCTTGAAGATCAGGGTTTTTCAAGGGTAGTCTGGTGGGCAGGTGATCTGGGAATCAGTCATGCTGAATGGTTGGGAATGGGATCATAGTGGTGTGGTAAATAGTCTTCATGCACTGAGTCTGTCTCTTAGTAGGGAGCCACGGGACTAGTTGAGCCATGAGTCAGGAGTCCAGGTGGGGCCAATCTGAAAAAAAAAAAACATCTCAAAAGACTAATCTTATGTTCTAAAATAGTTATGTTACCTATAATAGCAATTGGGGAAGTCAGAAATCTTGCAACCTCTGGCCACATAACTCCTTAGCAGTAAGAGATTACAAACAATGCCTACATTTTAGCAGAATTCAGGCCCCTTCCATAATCCTAATCCTGTGGCTTCTCATTAATTTTACAAAGGCAGTTTCAGCCCCTAAAGAAGGAGTAGGGGGTCAGTTTTAGGGAGGGGCTATGATTATCTTTGTTTCAAAGTTAAACTATAAACCAAATTTCTCCCACACTTTACTTGGCCTACACCCAGTCATGAGTGAAGACAGCCACCCTGTGAAGCTAGAAGCAAGATGGAACCAGCCATGTTAGATTTCCCTCACAGTCATACTGTTTGCAAAGGTGTTTCAAAAGGATTGAAGGACTCTCTGTTATTGAATGCATCCAAAGTGAAGTGGATAAGGAAGACCCAGTGACCTAATAACAAAACGTTACTCCCTGCGAAAGATGGATGATTCTTACCTCTGTCATTTTATTTTTATTTTATTTATTTATTTATTTATTTATTTATTTATTTTGAGATGGAGTATTGCTCTGTCACCCAGGCTGGGGTACAGTGGCACTATCTCAACTCACTTCAACCTCCGCCTCCTGGGTTCAAGCTGATTCTACTGCCTCAGCCTCCCGAAAAGCTGGGATTACAGGCATGTGCCACCACACCTGGCTGATTTTTGTATTTTTAGTAGAGATAGAGTTTCACCATGTTGGTCAGGCTGGTCACAAACTCCTGTCCTTAGATCATCCACCCACCTCCATCTCCCAAAGTGCTGGGATTACAGGCATGAGCCACTGCGCCCAGCCAACCTTTGTCATTTTTATAAAATGACATCAGTTATCTTATCTCCCTGTGGTGGCTCCTAGGTTCTTGGTCTTTTGTTTGCACCTAGATGTAAAGCTCAACATATTTTCAGACTCTCCTAAAACTCCACTAATGAAAACATGACTGTGAAATGCTTATTTTCTGTAGTTTTTAACTGGGAAACAGAGAAGGGATATTTGTATTACAATAAACAAATGAAGAGCCGTTTGTCTAGTTTTATTCTCCACAGTCACACAGTTTTTGTTGACTCTTGCCTGCTCTTTCCTCCTTTTTTCATCTATGGTTTCTCCTTGACCCTTCATATCTTTAAGTTTTTTTGTTATTATTATTTTTTATTATTAGGAAGCAACTTAGCTTCCTCTTGTTTCTTGCATATCAGGAAAATTAGCAAGAGAAATTTCCCACCTACCTTGGAAGGCCCTCTATGTGTTTGCATAGGAGGATTTATATATAAATACTTCCTCCACCATCAAAACCTTGTGTTTCAGTCATGAGTTATAGAAAGACAGAAGTTTGTTAGGGGAGTTAAAAGAATGGCTAAAAGCTAAAAGAAAATCAGAGTAATAAAGTATATAATGTCATCGGCATGAATATTGCGGTTCACACATGATAAAGTATAACAAAACCCTTAATAGAAACTTTTACCCACAGCCTGTCTTGAGGAGATGCCAAAGAATTAACTGGTGGCCTTAACAGAGAGTGAAACTTTGTTGTCAGGTCTCTCCAAAGGGAGACTGATGTACCTATTATGAGTACTATCCTTGTTCAACAACCTGGGAAGGAATGCTAGGAAAAGCATCAGCTACCTAATCATAAACAGCACATGAGAACTTTGGGGCTGGAAAGGACCTCTGGGGGATCTATTTCCCCCGATATCTTATCAGCTGTTTTCTCCATCCTGTTATACAAGCTTCGAAACTTTGTGTGCATCCTCAAAACAACTCAGTTTTATCATTTAAATATTTTCTATTCTATCAAAATAATATTTTTTTATGTTATATGTGCTGCACAAATTATCTGTTTAGTAGCATGTCTCTTTAGTTTCTATATGGTAAAGTATGTTTTATTTTTGGAAAAAAATTACTTTTCACAATCTATAAAGATTTCGTTATACTTCAGTTTAAATGCCTTTATGCTTACTGCTATGCATTCTTTTTGTGGAAAATATAATTAGATTTTTAAAGGAAAAGAATTCAGTAAATGACAACAATGCAAGTTCTTAAAACTATATTTTAATACAAGAAAACTATAAAGGAAACGAGAAATAAGAATTTCTGAAAAAATGTAATGTAGCAGAAAGTGTATATTATCAGATAAACTTTTACATAAAATATTTTTATTTTTCTTCCTTGAGCTACAGCAACTGTTTAAAATTACAACACAAATTAAAAAATATAATAGAATTTTATTAAGACAGTGTTCTATATGCCAGTCATAGTTCTAGCTAATCTAAATTTTCACTTATCCTAATCACCTTACACCCTTAAAGAAAAGAAACAGCCAGTGAAAGAAATTTACCACAGGAAACACAATTTTTGGAGTTAACCAGGCTAGTTTAAATATTCAGCACCTTTCTCGGCTGCTGTTCTAAATTTGGACAAGTTAATTCTCCTTTCTTGTGTGAATAAAGGGGATATACGATTTATATGTTTGTGACAAGGATTAAATGATAATTTATTTAGCATAGTACTTGGCAGACTTAATAGTTGCTCAATACATATTAATTGCCACTCTTACTCTGTGAGGAAATAGTAATTGCATTTTCATGGTAGACCCAGAGTAGGTACCCAAAATAATTGTATTCACTTAACAAGCATTTACCATGTGCCAATATCAAGCACATTTTACATGTTATCATATTTAAGCCTCAGAATAATACTGCAATACAAGACATATTATTATTATCCCCATCTCACAGATAATAAACCTGGGGCTTAGAGAAGTAACTTGCTTTGAGGTTGTGCCAGAAATTGGGAGTCTACTTCACAATCTGACATCAAGAGTTCCTGCTTGTATTCTTATGTTCTGTTTATTTAATTCTGTGGATATATGCATGTGCATATGCGTGCATTTATTTTCTTTTATTGAGGGTTACGTTGAGTGGGTTTTATTTAACAAAATGCTATGAATTACATGATTAAAAGTAAGCATTTGTGGAGTGACTGCTTCCATTAGTTTTCAAAGCTATACTTATTTATAATCCAAAGAAGGTTATTTTTCAGGACTAAGAATATTACTTAAAGACTTCATAGGTAGTGTTTTGCATGGAAATTTCCTGAGTTAGGTGGGAAATATGTGTGTGTGTGTCTTAACTTTTTTTTAGGAATAATTTTAGATTTACAGAAAAACTGCAGACATTAGAATTCCATATACACTCCAATAAATCTCACTTTAATTTATCATCTCATATAAACATTGTGTATTTTTTTTTAGCTTTTCTTAAAAATATATATTTTGAAACTTTCCAATGCTGTTCTTTATTTTACATTCTGTGCTTTATATATTTTTCCAATATACACATCAAGGGAATTTAATTAGAATTGCCACAGTTAATAGCATTGTGTATTTTTCAAACCTAAGTGATATGGTTTGGCTGCGTGTCCCAGCCCAAATCTCATGTCAAATCGTAATTTTCAGTGTTGGGGTAAGGACCTGGTGGGAGGTAATTGAATCATGGAGGCAGATTTTCCCCTTGCTGTTCTTGTGATAGCGAGTGAGTTCTCATGAGATCTGGTTGTTTAAGAGTGTGTAGCACCTCCCTCTTCATGCTCTCTCTCCTACTCCAACATGGTAAGATGTGCCTGCTTTCCCTTTGCCTTCTGCCATGATTGTAAGTTTCCTGAGGCCTCCCCAGTCATGCCTCCTGTGAAACCGTGAGTCGATTAAACTTCTTTTCTTTATAAACTACACAGTCTCAGGTAGTTATTTATAGCAATGTGAGAATGGACTAATTCACTAAGAAAATTGACCAGACACAGTAGCTCACGCCTGTAATCCCAGCACTTTGGGAGGCCGAAGCGGGTGGATCACCTGAGGTCAGGAGTTTGAGACCAGCCTGGCCAACATGGTGAAACCTCGTCTCTACTAAAAATACAAAAGTTAGCTGGGCATGGTGGTGCACTCCTGTAATCCCAGCTACTCGGAAGGCTGAGTCAGGAGAATCACTTCAACTTGTGAGGCAGAAGTTGCAGTGAGCTAAGATTGCCACTGAACTCCAGCCTGGGCGAAACAGTGAGACTCTGTCTCCAATAAATAAATAATAATAATAATATTTCATTAGTATTAGCTAAATAACAGACTTTATTCAGATTTTATCACTTTTCCCAACAATATCCTTTGAATGTTCCAGGATTCAATTTAGAATACCACATTGCATTTGCTTTCCATTTCTCCTCCTGTTTATGGGAGTGCATCAGTCTTTTTATTTGTTTCATGATGTTGATAATTTGAAGAACACTGTTCCCCTTGTAGAATGTCCCTCAATTTCTCAATATTAGACTGGTGTATAGTTTTGGGGGCAGAAAATCCAAGAGGTGAAGAATCCTCTTACTGCATCATATGAAGGATACATCATATCAATATGACTTAGTGCTGGTGATGCTAACATTGATTACTTGTTCATTGTATGTTTTCTAGGTTTTTCCACTATGATGTGACTATGCTTTTCCTTCCCCTAGTCTATTCTTTGGATACAAGTCAATACAAGCCCATACTCAAAAAAAGTTTTTGTTTTATGGTTTGGGTTGGAATCCAATGCTACATTAATTATTACGTTCCTTTAATTTTTCCAGCTTTGGGCAATGGGAGCATTTTCAAGTGCATAACTTTTTTAAATGTCCTTCCGTCTGATTGATAGGTATCTATACTCCACCCATCTACAGGGTCTCTTCCCTAATAACTCCAGCCTATATGAAGTTTCTACCTTCTTTTCCAAATTTGGCACTGTATTCCATAATTAACAACTCATATGCCATTTTATTTACTAATTACTTTAATTCATGAAATTTGCTTTGCCAGATACTATCTTGTTTAGTGACCCACCAAATAATAGATCTCTACAAAATACTTCCTATTTTCATGATAATGTCTTATACTGTGGAAAGTGGGGGGGGGGGGGAATAACACCTGCCTTCAAGAAACATAAAATTTATTTGGGGGAATACAAATAACACTCAAAGCAATTTCATCATAATTTGAGTGCTTAATAATAAAAGACTAATAGTGTAGAATTTAGGAAAGGGGGGGGAGCAATGCAAGGGTTTTACAAAAACTAAAACCATTTATGCAATAAATACAGTATACTAAGGTTTAAGGATAAAGTGATGAACTCATGATTAAGTCAAGTGCCAAGTATGATGAGCTACTTTTAACGTTAGATGGACAGAGCACTATGACGTTGCTTCACAGATTATAATATGGAGTTGCAGAAGGACCTCTGGAAGTAATTTCTATATAAATACTGAATGACTAACAGGAAAGCCACCTGGAGAATATGGGACTTGTCTGCAATCTTAAGAAGGACTTTCACAGCAGGAAATCAGAAGGATGATTATTCTACATAATGAGGCATCTTTATATCCTCAAATAAACTATGAAGTATCTGTAGTAGGAGCTATAATGTAACACCATTTAGTACAACATTGTTTTTAAGTAATCGTTCTAATGACACTGTATGTGTGTGTATCTGTAGGTTTCCCTGTTTGGTTTCTTTGTACATGACCATACACCTGTTCTCTTACTGTTCATTCATTTTTCTTTCAGTAAAAAATTTTCTAAGCACTTTGTGGCAGGCAGGATCGTAAGATTGCCTTAAAATACCCTTGAGTTCATATAATTTATTCTCATGAGTGTGGTTTGGACTGGTGAATATGAGGTCTATCTCCTAAGGCTATATTACATTCTATGGCAAAAGAGATTTTGAAGATGTAATTATGGTTACTACTAACAAGTAGACTTTGAATTAATTGAAAGGGAGATTATCTATGTGAGCCTGAGCTGATCATATGTGCCTTTAATTTTGTGCCTAAATGCCAGATAAAAGAGAATCCAGTGATCCAAGTATAAGATTTCGTCTCCCATTGTTAATTTGAAGATATAGGAGGAGACAAGGAAAACAATGTTCTTCTCTCACGGAACTGAGCTAGGTCCTAACTGTGAGTCAGGAAAGTGAAGACCTTAGTACTGTAACCACAAGTTGTTGTATTCTTTCAACAACAAGAATGAGCTTTCAAGCGAGTTGTTCCTCAAAGCTTCCAGATTAGATTAAGCATCCAAACATGCTATGCTGAAGTTCTGACCTACAGATGCTGAGGTAAAAAAATGAGTGTTGTTACAAGCCACTACATTTGTGGCAATTCATGTAGCAATAGAAAATTAATTCATACTTATTTGTATCAAGCACTGTTTTGGATCCCTTTAATGACAATCAGTATATGCTATGTTACTTTGTGGAAAAAAACCCCACAAAAATAATAATGACAAACCTTCAAATCTTTGTGGCTTCATACTACAAGATTTACTTTTCACATATGTAAATCATCCAGGGAAGTGTCCAATGTGCAATGATGAGTCAATTTAGACTTTATTAATCTTGTAACTTCACAACCTCAACACAAGACTCTCTTCACAATCGCTGAAGCAGGGTCAAGAATGCTGGCCTTATATAAACAATAAACAGCTTGTCCTGGAAGTGAAGCACATCACTTTAGTCTTGACCAATTGGCTTGAAGCAGTCCCATGCTCATGCCGTACTGGAAGTGTGAAGGTGGAAAACAGATGAAGAGAATAGGGTAAATTTGAACACTCAAAGTCTTAACTATTCATGAATGACTAAGAAAGACTTTTACATCAGTGACCAAAACAAAACTCTTGTGTTTATGCAGATTATTTTCTAGTACTTCAAGTAAGCTAAGGACAGAGGAGTGTTATTAGGACAGTTTATAGAAATAAAGCACAATATTAATGTTTAAGTTTGACTTCCACAATAACATTGTAAAAATGTCAGTCAATCTAAAGTGTCTTAAGGTCCTGCTATGCTACTCAGGTCCAGGTGGTAGTTGGGAGAAAGAGGATGACATTATTTGATCCTGTGGAATTAGAATGCATTGAAGAGGTAACTGAAGAGGTCAGAAACCAGTGTGACCATATTTATTCCATTCTTGGTTCGAGTCTCGGGCATATTACAAGGAAATTCCCACATTCACACTCAGAAATGAAATGGGATAAATACAGTGAGGTCAGGTCCCTCAGAATCAAAACAGACATGAAGACACGTCTCTCACCTTATTTTAGAAACGTTTTAACCTTGACATAAACAATCCATGAACAAACAATCTGGTAGTATTAGAAAAATTGCCTCTAGCAAAATAGCAAATAATAATAAACACTTACATAAGCTAACATAAAGATAAACTGTAAAGAGAAGGTAATTTTTAGACTCATATGCCAGTTAAAAGATAAAGAGTCCAGACAATTCTAAAAACTTCCTTCAACACTCTGCACATATTATTCAGCCCCTACACTTCACAGATGATTTTGGACCATTTTAAGGTGGTATTTTTTACCTGCAATTTCTGTATTCCTCCATGACTGTCTGTACCTTAAAAGAATCAGTGGATATATTTTAATATCTAATGGTATAAGGTACTGTAATTTTTATAAAGTTGCTTTTCCTTGCCATTGTTAAGCTGCTTGTCAAAACAAATGAACATTTTTATGAATTACTGTACTGTAGATACTTTCAATCAATTATTCCATAGACACTACATAGTTAAGCCCAACTCCTTAATTAATTCTAATTTTTTAAGCCTTAAAGAAGTAATTCTACACTTTTCATTCTTCTATCACCTTCTAATTAAAAGGCAATATTATTTCACCTTATTATAATGCAAAATTAAATATACTGTTTTAATGACAGATAGTTGTTTTTACTTTACTTAAATACATGTTTACAGTTATGTGATATCAGAAAAGATGGCTGAATAGAGTTGCCTGGTGCTTGCCCCTCCTACTAAAAGTGATCAAAATAGCAGATAGACAACTGTATTTCAACTGTATTGACTGAGGAAGTATGCTGGAGAGCACTAGAGGAGCATCAAGATCTTTGTCAAACTTATGCCTAGCATAGCATTACAGAGCTTGGAGTGAGGGCACCCCTGCCTCTGTCAAATTGTTTGCCCTGCTGGATGGGCTCAGAGTCAGGGGAGACTTAGTGGAAAAGGCAATATGGAAACCCCCAGCAGTCCTCAGTACTGCCAAAGATACCAGTAATTTATGATACAAGAGAGTCGCCAGTTCACTTAGGCATTAAATGCAGTTTGGAAAATTTCCAGGAGTACATGTGGCTGCATGGCATCAGAGAAGAACCCTCCCTTCCAGTCCTCACCCCCATGACATAAGTTGCTATTGCATGGCAAACCTTGAAACTAAACCCTCTGCTAGTGTGTGTTCTGCCCTGGGGACAAGTAACCACTGATTCTCTCCATCACTGAGGCTCTGCTGACATTATACCACACTAAAAAAGAATAATAATAAATACCTGCAGTACCATTACATCATCTATCTGGAGTCTAGGTTTCACAAAACAACTGAGAGCCTGGTGTCTGAACTAAGGGGTCACCCAATTTTTCAGGGAACAGGCAAAACTGCCCAGTGGGAAGCCATTGAGCAGCTGGCCAGCCCCCATTGCCCATACACTGAATGACTGGGCAGCCCAGCCAGCTAGTGAGTGCTAGGGTCCAGCCCAGCAGCTATCCCAGCAATGGACCGGCCTCCCCAAAGAAATTGCCATACAGACAACTGTTTTCCCATGTTCACATGCATACACTTACATCTGACTCAACATCCAGTCAGAAGCAGCCTTGCCTCCTGGAAAAGAGTGCAGCACAGCTGCACATCCAGGCCAGCACACCTGATAATAACCCAACAGCCACTCCAGGAGTGGCTCCAGTCTCCCAAAGAGCCTGCCACACAGCCCATTGGCATGCCGTACATGCACACGTCTGGCCTGACAATCCACTCAGAATCAAAGCTAGTGCACTCTTCCCAACCAACACCTTAGGACCCATTTACAAGAAAACATTTGTCCTGCAAAACCTACTCTATAAAATTGTGAAATGTATATGTTCCACTGGAGGCACAGTTATCCACATACGAACATAGAGACCTGCAAAAAATAAAGAAATATGGCACCCCCAAAGGAACACAAGTCTTCAGTAATAGATCTCAAAGAAAAGGGTGTTTACAAAGTGCCTGAAAGGGAATTCCAAATAATGATTTTAAGGGAACTCAGCAAAATATAAGAGAATATAGACAAACAAACAATTTATTGAAACCAGAAAAACAATTCGTAATCTGAATGAGCAATTCAATAATAAGATATTATACAAAAGAACCAAATACAAATTGTGGAGATAAAAACTTCAATTAAAGAAACAAAAAATAAAACTGAGAGCTTTAACAACAGACTAGATCAGCAGAAGAAAAAATTATTGAACTTGAAGGCAAGTCTTTTGAAGTAATCCAGTCAAATAATAAGTAATAAATGTGAAAAAAAATATCCTATGGGGGGAATGGTACACTGTAAAGCCAACTTTTAAATATTTTCTTATTGGAGTTCAAGAGGGAGAAGAGATTTAAAAATACACAGTTAACCTATTTAACAAAATAGCTGAAAACTTCCCAGGGAAGACTTATGCACTGTTGGTGAGATTGTAAATCAGTACAGCCATTATGGACAACAGTATGAAAGTTCATCAAAAAATTAAAAATAGAACTATCATATGATCCAGTAATCCCACTACTGGGTATATATCCAAAAGAAATGAGACCAGTATGTCAAAGAGATATCTGTACTTTCATGTTTATTATAGCACTATGCACAATAGCCAAGATATGTCATCAATTTGAGTGTTCAACAATAGATGAATGGATAAAGAAAATGTGGTATACATACACAATGGATTACTATTCAACTATAAAAACAGTGAAATCCTGTCATTTGTGACAACATGGGTGAACTTGGAGGACATCTTGTTAAGTGAAATAAACCAAAGTCAAATACCGTATGACCTCAGTCATATGTGGAATCTAAATATATATATATATATATATATATAGAGAGAGAGAGAGAGAGAGAGAGAGAGAGAGACCCTCTGCTTCTATGAATATGTATATTCATAGAAGAATATATATATTCTCCTCCACTATTTGACCCTCTGCTACTATAAATATATATACTCATAGAATATATTACTTTGTAATAATCACAAATTCTTCCTATAGAAGGAATGATACAAACAAAATGATGAACAAAACGTACATCATGTTTAATGTATCATTTATATTAATGTTAAATATTACCTTAAATCATTTTGTTCTACCATTATCTTCCCATGGATCTTCTACTCAGCCCAACAGATAGCAAACAGAAAAACTTTTGCTCTAGGGGAAATTTATTTCCAAAATTCTAAACTTACATTTGAGATGAAAGATTCTCCTTGATTATGGGAAAATGATTATCTTCCATCTGCTTCTATCTTCTGTCTGCTTATAATCTCTCTATATATCTACATATATAGATATATATATCTATATATCTTCTATCTGCTTATAATCTCTCTATATATATCTCTCTATATATATATTCACAGAAGCAGAGGGTCAAAAAATGGAGGAGAAGGTTTGGAAGAGATCAGTGGGTATAAAGTTACCATTTTACAGGAAGAAGTTCCAATGTTCTTTTGGACATTAGAATGACTACGGTTAACAGTAAGTTATTGTGTATTACAAAATAGCTAAATATGAGGCTTTCTAATATTCTTAATAGAAAGAATGCATGAGGTGATAGATACATTAACCACCCTTATTTAATCATTATACAACCTATATGTATTGAAACATTAAGTCATATGTGATAAATATATACAATTAAAAATACTACACATTAGGGACAGGGTATATAGTGCTTGGGTTAGAGGTGCACTAAAATCACCGAAATCACCACTAAAGAACTTATCCATGTAACCAAACACCACCTGTTCCCCAAAAACCTATTTAAATAAATAAATGTGTCAATTAAATTTTTAAAAAATAAAGTTAATTAGGAATACTTTTATTTTTGGCAAATTATATTAAATATGTAAATATATTTGTATTACTTTAATATAATTTACTTTCTTTGTGTTTAGACTATTAAAAAGCTTTTACTTATCAGCAGTAAAGTACCACTTAAAAGGGCTATTTTTATTCATTTAAAGTTTTACAAATGTATGTTATGAACATACAACCCAATTATATTAGGTTCCATCAGAAAATGTACATAAAATGTAGGGTCTTCAAAAACATGAGAATAAAAAAGAAGAACACATGAAAAAATAATTATAATAAAAATTAGAATAAACTAAGTGTTAATTGTTACATGAAAAGGACACACAATGTGGTAAAAAAAAATCATTTTCTTCAAAATGTTTGCTGAGGTTTATCATGCAATAGACTTTATAGTTGAGAATAGGAAACAAATATAGCCACAGACTTCTCCTCATGAAGCTCACAGCCTCCGGATGTGGTGGACGTTTATCCAGTACTCACACAAACAGGTGTAAAGTGGCAACTAGATGAAGTCTTCTGAAGAAGTCTAGTTAGAGAGGCCACAGAAGGACTTGAAGAAGTAATGCTTGGTTTAAGAGGAAAAAGCATAAAGAATGGAAATTAAGTGATCCAAAAAGGAAGAAGAGAAGCTTCCAAGAAGATGAAATGTTATGTTCATAAGTCCTGTGGTAAAAGGAGCACAGGAGGTCTAGAACTAAAAGAAGAGCTTTATGGCAACTGAACATAGTAATGAGAGTGAGTTAAGTATTTAAATATTTAAAATAAGTTGTTATCTGTGGAAACTCATCTTGCCCTATCAAAAACAGCTCTTTTATTCCAAATCAAGATACTAGTAAGAATGAATAATTCAGACAGTATTTATGTAGAGTATTTACTTCCTATAGTTTGGTGGTCATGAGGGAAGCTCAAATGTTCCTTGGCCTAGGCACCTCTCCTTATTATAAGTTTTCTTAAAATGATATGGAAAAGAGCAATGATAAAACAGTAATATTCTATCCTCAAGTTTAAGCTGTGCTTGATATTAAACCTTAGATGAAAAACGCTCTGGTAACCAAATTGGATTAGTTGGTGGGATTCAATTTCATTTGTGCATGTGGTTGTGATTTTTCACCCAGAGCACTTATTAACCCACTTATGTTTAAGAATAAAGCAGAATAGAACAAAGCTAGGTTTGGCCTTGAATCTTCCTACTTACCATTTCTGTAACATGGATATTATATGGAGAACAGAGCTGGTGTCACAACCATGTATGAGACAATGAATAGAAAGTCAGCTGCTCTTTAACAGATGTGGCCCAATCAGAGTGTGGAATATCATCGATTGGACTGATATTTCCTCCTCCTGGTGAGTAGTTAGGAGTGGGTATAAGAACTTTCTTTTATCACCTTAAATAGCAGCTTGTGAAATTAGTGACTCTCAGTGTCACTGGCAAACACTACAGATAGAATAAGTAGGATATGGATTAACAAGAGGTTTAAAAGAGTTAAATATATACAAATATTTTTCATGGACAGTAATTAAATAGCTTGATGTAGATGTAAATGTAGATATACATGTAAACATAATGAATAAATGGTGACTCTTTACTGGTGCTGATAGAATAAGTGAATGATACTAGTTTGTGTGCAGAGATTACTTTGTGATAATAACAAATTCTTCCTATAGAAGGGATGATACAAACAAAATAATGAACAAAATATACATCATGTTTCATGTATCATCTATGTTAATGTTAAATAATATCTCAAATTTTTTTTGTTCTGCCATTATCTTCCCATGGGTCTTCCACCCAGCACAACAGATAGCAAACAGAAAAACTTTCGCTCTAGGGGAAGTTTATTTCCAAAATGCTAAACTCACATTTAAAATGAAAGATTCTCCTCAATTATGTGAACAGAATAAATAAGAGCCATGTGCAGTGCCCTGAACACAAGGTGCATGGACTTTTTTTCTGAGATCTCAAGAATTACATAGAATATGAGAAAAACAAAAAACAAAAAACATTTATGGCAAGAAGCTCTATGATAAAGGTAGTTTAAGAAAAGAGAGACGTAGAAATATCAAAGCTACCAGAAATGAAAGTTTACAAAAACAATGGCTATGATTGAATAGCTTTTGATATAGACAGAAAACCTCACAGAGAAGCCACTGTTCACATCAACTCTACCCATCTAGGCCTTGACATTAAGATCACGTAGCTGTGGCCCAACCACAGTCATAGAGGATAATAAGAAGGACTGAGATCAAGCATTCTTTCAGAATATCCAAAAGGAAGCTTGGAGTAAAAAACTAACATGCATATCTGAGTTTGAGTATTATGATTCATCCTTATTTCTACACAGAAAAGGAGCACTCGGAAAGCAAAAATTCAGAATGAAACTTGCTGCAAATAATAAGAATATCATTTTAACTATATATATAAGAAAAATATCACTTTTATTTATGTGCCAAGCTGGAAGGATAATTCAATGGGGATGCTGACTCCATAGCAGAAAGGAGATAGTGCACTTATTGGCATATAGCTGTAGACAATATCATTTCAGACAGCAGCAGGTGGGAAAAGGTATGAGGGAAGGGAACCATCCTGTTCCCTTCCAGAAGTATCCTGTTGTTAATTAAAATCAGAGAAAGTAGATACTGATAGATCTATTCCACTGGAGGTATAGTGTACAAAGACTTACGTTTGTCCCATGGAATGCCACCCAATTAGGGCTCCTAAATCCTCATTTTACACAAGATTGCATTTCCTGTGAAAAGAAGTTAGGTAATCTAATATTTACTGCTTTTTAATACTGCCTCAAAAAGGAGATACGCCTTCTAAGTTCTCCTTCTATATTATCTGTATTAGTCCGTTTTCATGCTGCGGCAATAGACATACCCAAGACTAGGCAATTTACAAAAGAAAGAGGTTTAATTGGAATCACAGTTCCACGTGGCTGGGGAGGCCTCACAATCATGGCAGAAAGCAGGCAGGAGCAAGTCACATCTTAAGTGGATAGCAGCAGGCAAAGAGAGAGATTGGGCAGGGAAATTCCCCCTTACGATATCATCAGATCTCATGAAACTTAGCCGCTATCACAAGAACAGCATGGGAAAGACCTGCCCCCATGATTCCATTACCTCCCACTAGGTGCCTCCCACAACACATGGAAATTCAAGATGAGATTTGGGTGGGGACGCAGCCAAACCATATCATTATCGTATAGTCATTATATATAAATTCTGTCCTTCTGATATAGTAATCCATTGGAAGATCATGCACTTCAGCATTCCCTAAGTATCACTGTCTTACCAAGTTTATTGCTTTCAAAACATCCTAAATGAAATGCTTCATTTGCAGATGCAGATAAAGTGGCTCTTCTTTAAAGGTTAGCTATGGACCTGTCTTCTGGACCTAACAATAGCTTAAAAGACTTTAGTAGTTATTAGGTTAAATAAATCAATATTGAAGGAAATAAATGTTAAAGAGAAAATACTAGAAGTTATTGGATATTTATTCTACCTTAGAAATAAACATATGCTCAAAAGCCCCATCAGTCACCTTTCTGCAGAACAATTTCATGTGTCACAGAACGTCAAAAATGCAAAAAGTAGTTAGGATCTGTTTTCTGTCTTCTAAAGTAAATAACTCAAAGAATTGTGTTTTTTTAGTTTATGCATGTAATTTTTCATTTTGGTTGCATTTGGTGAGTTTAAAATACTAATTATATTTGCCACAAAGTCTATTAACAACTATCTCCAAAACTTACAAGCATGTCTCTTTTTTTAGCTTAACTTTATTGTACTTTGCAGATATTATGATATTTTTTTAAAAAATTGAAAGTTTGTGACAACTCTACATCAAGCAAGTCTACCCTTATCTGACAGCACGTGCTCAATCCATGTCTTTGTGTCACATTTTGGTAATGCTCACAATATTTCAAATTTTATTATTATTATTATTATTATATTTGTTATAATGATCTATGATCAGTGGTCATTGATGCTACTGCAGTAATTTTTTGGAGGCACCATGAATTGCACCCATCTACAGTGACCAAGTTAATTATTGAATGTTGTATGTGTTCTACTCCAGTGGTGGACCATTTTCCCCCATCTCTCTGTCTGTCTCTCGCCTTGAGCCTCCCTATTCCCCAAGACACAGCAATATTAAGATGAAGCCAATTTATAACCATTCTGTAACATCTAATTGTTCAAGAGAAAGGAAGAGCCACACTTCTGTCACTTTAAATCAAAAGCTAGAAATAACTAAGTTGAATGAGGAAGCATTTCAAAAGCCCAGGTGAGCTAAAAGCTAGGCATCTTGAGCCAAGCAGTTAGTCAAGTTATGAATGCAAAGGGAAAGTTCTTCAGGGAATTTAAAGTGCTACTCCAGTGAACCCTCAATGAGAAAGCAAAACAGACTTAGTGTTGATATGGAGAAAGTTTTACTCATCTGGATAGAAGATCAAACCAGCAACAACATTCTCCTAAGCCAAAGCCTAATCCAGAGCAAGTCCATAACTGTCTTCATTATGTGAAGGCTGAAGGGTATGAGGAATTAGGGCTGAAGTAACATTTCCAGAGGTTAACTCATGAGGTTTAAGGGAAGAAGCCATCTCCAGAACATGAAAGTGCAAGGTAAAACAATAATTGCTGAAGAAGAAGCTACAGCACATTATCCAGATCTAGCTAAAATAAGTCATAAAGCTAGGTACACTAAACAACAGATTTTTAGTGTAGATTAAATATCTTATATTGAAAGAAGATGCCACCTATGACTTTCATAGCTAGAGAGGAGAATCAAAGCTTGGCTTCAAAGGATAAGCTGATTCTCTTGTTAGGGGCCAATGCAGTCAGTGAGGTTGAAGACAATGCTCATTGACCATTCTGAAAATTCTTGGACCCTTAGGTATTATGTTAAATTTACTCTACCTGTGCTCTGTAAATAAAACAACAAAGTTTGTATGACAACACTTTTGTTTATAGCATGGCTTATTTAGTATTTTAAGCCCACTGTTGAGACCTACTGCTCAGAAAATGTTTTTAAATGACTTCTTTCAAAATATTTCTGCTTATTGACAAAGCATCTGGTCCTCCAAGAGCTTTGATGAAGATTTACAAGGAAATTAATCTTCTTTTCATGCCTGCTACCACAACATCCATTCTGTAGCCCATGAATCAAGGAATTATTTTGACTTTCAAGTCTTATTTAAGAAATACGTTTTGTAAGGCTATAGCTGCCATAGATAGTGATTCTTTTAATGGATCTAGACCAAGTAAATTAAAAGCTTTCTGGAAGGGATTCACTATTCTAGATGTCATTAAGAACATTCAGGATTCATTGGAAGGGATAAAAATAGCAACTTAACAGTAGTGTGGAAGAAGTTGATTCTAACCCTCGTGGATAAATTTGAGGGATTCAAGACTTCAGTGGAGGAAGTGACTGTGGAAATTGCAAGAGAACTAGAATTAAAAGTAGGCCTTGAAGATGTGATTGAATGGCTGCAATCCCACAATAAAACTTGAACAAATGAAGAGTTGCTTTTTATGGATGAACAAAGAAAGTGGTATCTTAAAATAATATCTACTCCTGGAGAAGATGTTGTGAACATTGTTGAAAGAGGAATTAAGGATTTAGAAAGTGAGGTCCAGAAACTAGCACTACGTACATCAACTAGATTTAATAGAAATGCAGAGTTTTGGGGCTACTGAAGACCTGTTGAATAATAATCTTCGTTTTTAACAAGGTCCACAGTTGAAAGTTGAAAAACACTTATACATTAATATTTTTGGCATATCAATGCAAACTGTGGTTTTTCCATTCCTCAGTCTAGGCTTCAATTTGTGACATACTGTGTTTCTCTGTTATCCTTTTTATATCACGGAGTAATTATCACATACAAGCATTCTTCTGGGTTCTATAAATGCAACAGAATATAAACAAAATACTCTGCTCTTATAAACCTTAACGTTCTCAAGTAGAAGGACGTGACTAAACACACTATATAAGTAAAACATTTAGTTTGTTAGGTGGTGACATATTAAGCAAAGTATTTTGTACAAAAGAGAGAGAGAAATGGCGACTGCAATTTTAGATAGGGTAGCTAAGGAAATTATTACTAAAAGGATGATATTTTAAGAAATTCCTGTAGAAAGTGAGACAGCAAGCTAAATGGATATCTGAGAGAGAGAAGAAATAAATGTGATGAACTCTTTGATAGTAAGCTTAGTATCCATGATTAATTCTACCTACTAGGGCAGATAAGTTATAATATAAAATATTAGAGAAATTGCTCTTATTTGAGTGACTATTAATTGCAGTTATTGTGTTAACTAATTTTTATATATTATTTCCTTCAGTTACCATGACAACTTTATTGGGTAAACATCTAGAGGAAACTAAGCCTCAGAGAAGTTAAATAACTTGCCAAATTTCACACAGCCTGAAATAGATGAGTTAGCATCTAAATGCAAGTGCATCTGTCTCAAAAGCTTCTGCTCTTTACTTCTCTGTTTGCAGTCCCGTCACAACCAGTATCATACTGAATCTGGTACCAAACAGAAAGCCAATTTTCTGATAAGTTGCAAAGTATGATTATAAAATGAGTCAAGAAAATTCTTACTGACTTCAATCATTTCCAGAGCATATAGAAGATAAATAAATGATCTAAATATAACACTAATTGTGTTATCATTTTTTGTCAGAAATTTGTGCATTGCAGTGCAAGAAGAATCAGTTGGAGCATTTTTATTGCCAAACATTTTGTTACTTCTCTACACCATGGTTTCAGATTCATTAAATCAGTTTTGTGGCTCGGGGATTTGTTTTATAAGCAAAAGTTTTATAAGCGATTCTGATACACAATAAATATATAATAATCACTCGGGTTAACTTTTTTAAAGGACCTGATCAAAATGACCTAAAAGCAATTTCACCTGAGGGGAAATTAACTTATGTAAGATGAGTTGGGATTCTGGCTTGCATTATTTTCTTTTAAGGACAATACATCTGCTGATAAATACGCTAAATTACCTTTGTAAACTATCAACTCTGACCTAGGTAGTGTGCAATTTCCTTTGCAGTGTTTCCAGATAGTGCCGACTGGACAATATCAATCTTACAAATTGCATTCACCACATGTTATTTGAAAGGATATGTGAATGCGACCAAGGAATAAGAATGATTCTGCACATTGGAAAGAGAATTAACAGGAGTTTGGTAGAACTAAACTCTCTATAGCAAAGTTTAAATGTATTAAGCATCTATTTGCTCTACTTAATGTATTCAATTGCTTAAGTGTCTTAATTTTTAAAAATCTATATGACATGATTTATATTTTATGGAGCACTCTGTCACTTCTGATTGCGTTTGAACTTTTAAGTAAAAGTTCTTGAGGAAAAATCTGCTTTAATATAAATTCACTTTGTGAATGACAACTTGACAAGAAATATCAGAATTGTGAAGTTTTGAGGATACTGTCACAAAGACTATCTTTGAAACTAGACAAACAATAGTGATATTATAAAGAAGGTCACTTACTGTGATTTTTGGAATTAAAACTTATCCAAGAGTATACACTTCTACCATGTATAGTGAAAGCAATTTATTGCTGCTTTTCAGTATTGGAAAAGAAAAAGTTCATGCTGTCATTGATTGACCTTTAAAAAGAAAAATGTAGCTGGCTTATGGGTAATAAGAAAGCAATATTTTTTTGCTACCTTTACAAGTAGATTCTTCATTTTTGTCTGTTGCTTAGTTTTTCCATAATTCTATTATAATTTGATTGGATAAACCAATCAATGCCAATTCATATTATCATATGGATATACAAGGCTTTTGGTGCAATACTTTTTACACTGCAAATCTTTAAGAAAAAATAGGTGAGGAGATTTTTAAAAATTTGAATCATTACTTTTTATCATTTGATTAAACCTTATGCATAAAATAAAATAATTTTTATCATTTGTTGTTTTATAAAATGAAAAACTTAATTGTAAAAGTGCAATACTCTTGGATATCTTTGTAGTTATTAACAGTGACTTTCTATTGTTCCACTTTGGTAAAAAAATATAATTATATCACATAAAGACAGTGATTGATACAAATGTTTATCTGATAAATGATCACAGTCATGGTCAGTTTTTATAATTGGATAAGAAAAGATTATAATAGAAGTATGGCTTTTTTTATTCAATATTATCCCAAAATTTCTTCTCTCTTTTATGTTCATATTTTGATCTTCACATCTTTTGTTATACCATACGGTCTATGGAATACTAAATAAGAAAAATTACTCAATTATGCCATGCTACCTACCTTATGATATTTTCTGAAGACCAATTTAGCTTTAAATTCATCTGGTTACATTAGTCATTGTAATATGTTACTATTATGGTTTTATCTTCCATAAATTAGCTGTTTTTACAAATAGAATGTCAAAGGTATTTATTTCTTGAACACTAATTTTACTTGTACAATTTTGTTCTCTATTCCTTGGCTCTTCTGGTTCAATTTGCTTTTTGAAATTTAGGGCTATGAGTTTAGTGAGCTTTTAGCATAATGAAGAGGACATTTAAAAATATAAACCTAATGCTTAAAATATTTACACTAGTCAATGTCAAATAAATGTACTTCATTTCATTTTTAAAATTAGGATTTAATGATGATATATTTAATGATGATATCTTCCACATCTTAATTTGTGCCTGTTGGTATAGAACCATTCAATGCTAGATTCTTTTTCAAAAGCTCTAATAGATTTTAAGTTTAAGTGAATTGAGTTAAGCTTGAGTTAATTCTTTTGAAAACATTGCCCTTTCTTTAAAAACTGAAATGTAAGCATTTTCTTATATCTTATTTACATTTCATGTTATTATGTGATTTATATTTTAATGTTCCTCCTTTTAAGTTCTGTAAATCGCTCTGTTATTGACAGCTATAGACACAGCTTTTACTGCAGCTAATATTCAATGGCCTGTACCTCCCAATCCAAGAGGCCTCCATAGATTGTGTTGATCATAGCAGCCTTCTATGACAGGCAGCATCTCCTTCTTAGTTTATTCAAATGTCACTATCAAGACCAAGGTGTAAATTGTATAGGGCACTCAATCCCAAAGTTAAAAAGCCACCTAAAAGATAATACTTTGATTTGCCTATGTAATTAGGCACGACATGTTCCACTTAGTACCTATAATCTAGGACTGCCTTGGGAACACTTTTCTTTATATATGCCTTCTATTTCCCTTCTGTATTATGGAAAGATAAATGGTGAAAGAGAGTTCGTATGGGCATGGTTGTTTTGGCATCTACCTGTGGTCCATCTTTCTACAGGCTATCTATGGGAGACAGATTTTTATAATAGCCTATTTAGAGACTTTCAACACAATTTCAAAGGTACACATTGGCACATAACTTTATATCAGGCTGAAATGTTAGCAACATCTTTATTAGAGAATGGCAAGTAATATTATTTGTAGTAATAGATAAATTCTAATATTTCCATGGGTTATCTCAATAAAAATGTGTTTCCCATTTAATACTTGGTTCTATGTGCTTTGGAAGATAAGGCATCCAGGGGCCCAGGGCTTTGGTCTACACAGGGCCAGGCTTTTACCACCTTGCATTCCACCCTCCTAAATGTGTTTAATGACCTCTTCAATCAGGCAACAGTGAATAAAAAAGAGTCAGGTTTGTAGGAAAGACGTTTTTGTGGGACAGTTCTAAAAGTGACACATCACATTCTATTGATCATAGAAACTTAGCCAGATGGTCACACCTAGGAATTAGAAATACGATACCGTTCAGCCAAGTACCCGTTTTATTTTTATGGACCATTTCTATAAAGTACTGGGAATCTCTGTTTGGGGTTTTATAGATAAATTTTCTATATGGCATATATGTTTATATAATTTTTATGTCCTTCTTTAACTCTGTTCAGGTTTAACCAGGTCTCTTGATATCTGTTAAAAACAATTTAAAGACTTGAATTTATTTCATTTTTTTTCTACTAAGCAATCACTATTATGTGGTAACGTTATATACTTTTATCTTACTTTTTAATCTAAAATTCAATTCTTTAATACAGAAAATTCTTTAAAAGTTTGAAGTTTTTTACTCTCCTTTTTTTTTCCTACGAGATGAATTATAGGACCGAAAAAAAAGAGGTAGAATGGAGTTTCTATGTCTACCAAAAACAAATTTCTAGTAAAAATTGGTATAAATTGGGTGAAGTGCCCTTTATGAAAAAGCTTCCAGGGAGAAAAATTCTTGTAATTGTCCCTCAGGGAGCATTGAAGTGTAATTACATTTTTTTAGTTTGTCCCATCTTGGAGGAGTGTGTAAAAACTAGGATGGAGAGGTGGAAACTCAAACACCCAGTCACTCTCCTCTGCCTCTGCATTTTCTTTGTGTTGAAGAAAGTGGCTCTGCAAGCCTAAAAGAACAATGATTAGAAGCAAAATGCAGGCATCTTGGGACTTACAGATGAGCACGCAGAAGCAGTAAATGGATCCAACAATTACTTCTTGATTCCCAAACACACATAGGAGCTGCTTCTTCTGTGTTGAAGGAAGAAATTCTGCAGCAATCTGCTTATTAATTGGTCCTCGAAGACAGCAAATAGGTCTCAATTGTTTTTACCCCCCGTGCCTCGCCCAGTACAAGACATATAGTAAATGCTAAGTAAACATATGCAGACTAGATGAAAACACAGACATACAAAATTCAAAAGATATGATTAATAAAGCTTTCCAAAATACCTAATTTACACATCAGAAACTTTTGAATCAAATATTATGTTTGTACTTATCGTCTACCAAGTAAGTCTCACATCGTATTAGTATTTAATCAAAAGAAAATACAGTGATTTTTTTTTCTACATGTTCTTGTATCTCTTCTGTACTAGACTCTCCTGTGGATTTCAAAGATTTGCACAGCAGTGACAGAGACGGATGAAAGATACTTATCAAAATAATATTTTATAATTTTATGTTCTTAATTCAAACTCAGAAGTGGAAACAAGTAAAAGAGAGAAGGAACACTATCATTCTCCTACATCAATTTTCAGTGTAGCAAATAAGTAATTTTCCACAATTATCTTTACCTTCTTGTACTTCAATGAGTTTTTTTTTTCTTTTTTTTTTTGGAAGAGAAGATTAACCAGTTGTTCAACATGCATTTTTGTTAATTCATAAAACATGGTCTGCAATTTAATATGCATCAAACACTTAAAGTGTATTAGGGTTTCAAAAAACATGCAGTAACTTATTCTGTTTTTCCTTTGCTTCCTTAATTTTTTCTTCATCAATTACCTTCCTTCTCTTTCTTCTCTTCTTCTCATTCAAAAGGTACATGTATGTAGATTATATATAATATAAAACCAATAAAAAGCATGTTAAACCTAAACTATCTTCACTAGAAAGTTTATAATGCCAATTTTTAAGCCTGTGAGAAGTAACTGCAACTATTTCTATTTTTCTTTCTTACTTTCAGACAAGGGGGAAACCCAGCATTTCAATGCTGTGAATGTAAATGTTGACTTAAACTTTTCTGATTAGCATTTTTGAATCCTACATTTGCCTTCACATATCGATAATGCAGACATTTGCCTTTTGATAAGTTATCTGTAAAAATGTATACACAATAATCATGGTATATATTTATTAACGATTTTATTTATTTAGCCCGACATTTGGCATAGAGCTGGGAAAAGAGGAAAATTTTGCTTCAAGATACATCTACAGAATTACTTTAGTAAGAACTTATTATGTCAAAATAAAATTGTTTAGTAATTTTGTGGATATTTTCAGGCATTGTAAACTTAAGATAATTATAAGAGGCTTGAGAAAGAAAAAAATAATGGATTTGGTAACTGGTCATTGACAAAATTCCCTTTAAATTTAAAATGGAGACTTATAGAAATTATTTCTTAGTACCAGACAATGATTACCTTTCTAACGATTACCTTTCTAATGCTTAGGGTATATAATATATTTGTGTAAATTAAATTTCCAATAGGAATTTGCCCATCCCTAGAATTGTTTGAGGTGAGGCTAGATTATCACCCGTTAGAAAGGGTAAAGATATTTCAATGGATAAAAGTATGGATACCAGATACTTACTTCTAAATATGATCAGTTCATATTAGTTTTTACCTTAAAATCTTTGATTTTTCCTCTTTGCTTTGAGGACAGAGTACAAAACACTTTAAATCATTTTATAAATCTATCTGCAACTAGACTCATTGATTTCCTTATCCTCTTATCTTACCAATCACCAGCTTAAATTTTTGGCTTCAACTATTTTAAATTGTTAGCTCCCCAGATATACCATAAACTTGCCTTCAGCTGGTGTAAAAGCTGTTCAGTTATCTTTACCCTTTTTTTCTCTTTCACCATATCTATATCTACAAATCCCCTACATGTTGCTTTCCTTCAGATGATTGTCCAGCAGATATTCTGAGAAGGGGATCAATGACTTTCTTATGTAGTCCCATAGCATCTAGTCTTGAACTGATGATAACACCCCAACCACTGACTTTTCCCATTACCATGTCTGCATTGCTCCACTAGATTAGAATAATCTTAAATAATCGTGTGTTATTCATTTCTGTCTCCCGAACAACTGCCAGAGTGTTATAACACTCAGTATTCGACAGGTAGTATATATACATACTCAGAGTCACATTTTAGTATAGGGAGGATTGATGAGGTCATTTATTTTCTGATGTGCTAAAGGAAGTTTTATGTTATAATGGTAGGTGCCTAGAAATGACTCTATGTGGCTAGTTAAGCAAGGGGCTTAAAAACCACAGCAGAATATGGCAATTACTGATCCCAACATATGTTTATCATAGTGAAATTTGATCTTTTGATTTACCAATCTATTCCCTCCTTTATTGATCTAGGGAGGATCTTTGACAGATCAATTGGCTCATCTTTAAGTCAACAGATTATTTCACATCCTTAACAGTAAAACAGTGGCTAAAAATGTAAACAAACAAACAAACAAAAAAACAATTCTTAAAATAAAAATTTTTTGATTTGGAAATATGTCAGCAATGCTTATTACGGAAGAATGAATCCACAGTTCCAATGATGAAAATGTTTTCTTGAAATACAACTCTTATATTAAGATATGAACTCAATTAGTCTTATTAAAACCTTCTTTTATTTTGATCTCACTGTCTACTCACTTTCTGCCAATAAAAATTCTTAAATTTGTAATTTATAATCTATATCTAAATACAGTTAAATTCTTCTCAATGTATTTCCTCTGTATTGAGCTACATTTTTAATTATGTGTGTCTTATACTATTTCTTTATAGCCTGATGTGTTGTACTTTTCACCAGTTCATTTTTCTAACTAAAGATATTAATGAGATAACTGTTTCCATTTATATTTCTAAAACTGTGTTTTAAAATTACATAAAATATGACTATGGATTTATTAAATTTCATGTGATGAAAAAATACATACATCTCAGTCTCAGTCATTAATTCTTGAAGTCTAAATTGTATCTATACTTCCCAGGACCTGAAAAAGGAAGAGCTCAATAAATATTGGTTTAATTAATGTAACAAAATGAATGGGCATATGTATTAAACTATGAATTTGAAGCTATCAATTATATTCTCATTTGACTGAAAGACCCTAAATTGTTAAATTGTCCATTTGTATTCAAGTACTGCATTGTTGACATAAATACATAATAATAATTTACAAAATAATTGGGGAAGAGAAAACTCCAAATTCTCTATGCCATTCTTCTTTCCAACTGCTTTTTTTCTTTTTTTTTTTCACTGAGAGCAAAAGGAGGCACTTACAGCAAACTGTGTTTTGTTTTAATTATTAGAGTATATGTTTTGTCTATTTCCTCCTGTTTATTATATGAATATTAAGATCAGTGTATCACAAAAAGTAAAGGTGTCATGGAAATATCAAAAACTTGTTTTAAAAACAAAGCAGGCCGGGTGCGGTGGCTCAGGCCTGTAATCCCAGCACTTTGGGAGGCCGAGGCTGGCGGATCACTAGGTCAAGAGATCGAGACCATCCTGGCCAACATGGTGAAACCCCTTCTCTACTAAAAATACAAACAATTAGCCGGGCGCGGTAGCACACGCCTGTAGTCCCAGCTACTCGGGAGGCTGAGGCAGGAGAATCCTTTGAACCTGGGAGGCGGAGGTTGCAGTGAGCCGAGATTGCGCCACTGCACTGCAGCCTGGAGACAGAGCGAGACTCTGTCTCAAAACAAAACAAAACAAACAAAAACAAAGCAAACGACTTTACTAAATACACATAGAGATAGAGCGTTGTGTTTGTTAGTTCAAGTTCCTCCAGTACAATGCCTGAGACAAGGACTTAGGTGTGGGTAGTTTATTTGGAAGGTGATACCACGTGCTTTATTGATGGCATCTTTATTCAGAAGCAGACTGAATGCCTCTCAGGGCATCCAACTGAAAGATGAAAGGCTGGAACATTATCTACCCGAGTCTACCTGCTAGCTAGTGCTGTAGAGCTGTTCCCCCCTCTGAGATGAAATTTCTTCAGTGTCTGGAGCTGCATAAGCTTTGGTGGAGGTCCTGGGAGACGTCGAAAAGTCAGAAACGTGCTTGAGGTTGGTGCTCATAGTCAAGGTAAATGAGTACATTTGGAAGAGTTGGGTGAAATAAGGGATGGGCCAAAGAGATGTGACACTGGAACCCAGATCACGTTCACGACAGTCTTCTATAGGACAGACGGAAGAGTGAATGATGCAGACACAAATCCTACTCTTCAGGAGCTTCTGTTATGGTAACGTTAAAATATGCAAGACTTGGTTATTAAACATATGCTTTATTGTTTAATTGAGGTTTTAATATAGAGAATTATTTTTAACACTCCACAACAAACCTTTGCCTAAAAATCATTTACCTCTATATGACAGTATTTTCCTTCTGGGCAACAGAAAAATGCACTGACATTCAGTGATAAGAAATAGTGCTAAGATATTATTATTAATTATTTATAAATATCTTCATAATCAGGCCAGGCACGGTGGCTCACGCCTGTAATCCCAGCACTTTGGGGGCTGAGGTGGGCCAATCACCTGATGTCAGGAGTTCAAGACAAGCCTGGCCAACATGGCAAAACCCTGTCTCTATTAAAAATACAAAAATTAGCTGGACATAGTGATGTGTGCCTGTAATCCCAGCTACTTGGGGGGCTGAGGTAGGGGAGTCTCTTGAACCAGGGGGCCAGAGGCTGCAGTGAGCTGAGATTGTGCCACAGCACTTCAGCCTGGATGACAGAGTGAGACTCTGTCTCAAAAAAAAAAAAAAAAAAAAAGACTTCATAATCAGAACATAACATGCATATGCAGATAAGTGTATTTTTATATAATAGTAAAATTTTTCATATATAACTTTAATAGTATCTTCCCTGAACAAAAACGAGAATAATGTGTTTAAAAATTATTTATCTTGAAGACACATTTCACTTTTACTACTTCACAGAGAATTCTATAATTGGCAGCATAAACAAAAGCATGCTACATTTACCATCTAAAATTGTTCTCATTTTTCATGGATTTTAAACTACATAAAAGGGGACTATTGTATTCAAATATTTTTCATGTTGGACAAAAGAAGAGCTGGTTTAGGTATCCAATGCAATTATAAAGTCTACTATGCAATTAAAAATTATATTTTTATAATGAATTAATTACTAATGTTAATGATGATAAAAAGCCATAAGAACAACATTAATAATATTAGTTAATATTTATTGAGCAGTTACCATGTACTAGTTATTGTACTAAATTATTTGCTTACCTTATCTAATTTAACCCCTCCGCAATTATACTAAGTAGATACCATTATTGTAATATAAAATCATTATTGAAAATTATAATTATTACTATATACAATTAAGAATGAGGGTTCCTCATTTTTCTCAGAGTAAAAGCAAGTAGCTATGCATCGGCATATAACGACATACACAGTGTTGCACACTGAACATTACTTGACCACACTTCTCTTCTACCTTTCTCTTACTCCATTGTAGAAACTCTGGCCAACTTGCTCATCCCAAAGCAAACCAGGCATCTTATTTACTGGATGTGCCATCTACTTGGAGCAACTTTGACAAAAGGACGTGTGACTTCTCTCTTCCCCTCCTTCTATTCTTTGCTCATATTAAGCTTGCACCTTCTTAATGAGGCCCACACTCATCATTGCATTTACAATTTTAATCTACTCACTCTCCTCCATTCCCCTCATCTTGTCCTTTTCCATTTTTCCTTTATGACTTGTCACCTTCTAGCATACTGTGCTAGAACTGAGAGATATTCTGCTAGAACTGAGATTGGCAAATTACATCCTGTAGGCCAACTTCAGCCCAACTCCTTTTTCTTCTTTTTCTTTGTAAACAAAATCTTACTGGAACAAGGACATGCTCATTCAATAATACATTAACTATGGCTGATTTTGTGATACAGTGGCCAAATTGAGTAGTGGCAGCAGCAATTCTTGACCTGCAAGGCTGAAAATATTTACTCTATATCTTTTCACAGAAAAATTTGCTGACCCTTGTCACAATATTCATTTCAATAGGTGACAGGATCATTCTTTGCTCATATCTGTATTCCAATGTCTTGAAAAACAAATTAAAATTTTTTGAATAAATGAATTATTTAGCCCATTCTTCTCTATTAGACACCCATACGCTAGTACTATTATAAATACTTTGTCAAATATCAACATAATGGAGGAGGAAGATTTTAAGGCAGACAAAATAACAAAGTTTAAAAAAAAAATTAGGTACAGTAGATTCATCATATAACTGGATAGATAAATATGACTATTTTTTTAAGCTAGAGTTTGCTACTCAAAGATTTTTCTGACAGATGGATCTTGACTTTCCCAACCACAAAATCGGTATCTTTTAAAGTCCAACTAAAGGCTCATCTTTCTTTTTTCAATTCCTTTTCAATTACTTTAATCTAAAATGTGTAGGATGAATTTTAATTTCTCTATCCCCTAGTAATTCCAGTATTAGAGTGAGCATTTAGTTACATGCTAACTCAGAACCCCGATAGCAAAAGTTTCTACAGATGTAGATATAGTAATTCTGCCAAATTACGTTAAAAAAAAAAAAAGCTGCTTTCTTGCATGCAAGAAGTTTGTCTTACTTTTCTTAGTCCACAACAACTAATACTGTACTTTGAATTTCGGGTTCATCTGTAAGCATTTGATTTTATTTTAGTTTATATTTTACCATGCTGAAAATAATTTAGAACCTGCTTGGTACCTATCTTTATATACGGAATACAATAGTTCTTATTTACTGAAGCAGTAAAAGTAGCTAAATTTTTTTTAATCATTAGAAATTCCTAAAAAAGAACTTCTCAAATACCCAGCCCTCTCTTTCTTTATCCCAGGTGTAAATATCACATCTGTGCCTTTGGCACTCTACTTTATTTAGGATAATATTAGAAAGTGTTGACATGTGAGAGGTGGATACCAGTTTTCATTTGAAAGCCATCCAACTTCAGAGAGGAGGTATTATTTCAAATAATTAGAGGAGTGAATTAAAGTCAGAATTTATAAAATCTAGATTAATTTTTAACTCCACTATAACAAGCATCGTCATCATTAGTTTACTCATTTGCTCAATAAGCATCTTAAATATCCATTTGTGCAGACCTTGCTGAGAGACTCTCTGAATACAAAGGGGACTAACATTTGATACTTTCCATAAAGGAGCCAACAAATCTGGAGATGTGAACAGACATGGAGAGTTACCCATGAATTCACGTTTGAATTCTACATTCAAAAGAGTATTTGCAAGGTTTACATGGACTTGGTCCAATCTGTACAAGCAAATATTTTACAATTAAGTTTATTTTTTGTTTGCTTTTCGTACCTATACATGAGGATTAACTTTATATGTTTTTTCTAAGTTTCCTGTAGTTTCATTAGTTTCTTTAAAAAGTTCTGGAAGTTTCTATTAAAAAAAAAACAACAAAATATCTTCCACCTTTAAGACAATCCCTAACACTGCTCAAATAGATTGTGTTACTGAAAGATTTTTATAGTTTCCTCCTTTTTTGAAAATGATTTATTACAAAAAATTCTTAAACAGCAAACTTTCCCCTGAATGTATTTACAATTCTTCTGAACACATTCTGACCATCTTTATTTCATGTGATCTCTTGGTGTTCTCAATGCAATTGTTAAATATTGTCACTATTTGGCACCTATGTAGTTTTCTCTTTGGAGTTATATAATCATCTGTATGAAATTTATCTCCTTGTTTATAATCATTTTAGATATCTGAGGGCAAGAAACATGTACTTTTTTAAAAATAAAATTACATATTACCCTTAAAACAGTACTTTGTTAGATGTTCAAAGACATTCTGAATGAATGAATCATGAAAAATAATGAAAAATAAATTTACCATGTAATACACACTTAACTCATGGTTGAACATATTTGGTCTGTCTGGTCGGCACTTCCAGCAGATAGCTTCATCCTTTGCTCTCTCATTTCTTTCCAAAGTCTGTTGAACATTATCTTAGAGAGACTCTCTGGGACTATCCTATATAAGAACACAAACCAGGTCCCTTTGACCCTTGCTATACATCCCCCTACATTACTTATTCTCATATCTCTTGTATTCTGAATATTCTCTCATCTATCTATTATCCATTGTCTATTTATCGCTCCCAAACCTAGAATAATGTTCCATGAGGGGCAAAGATTTTCATCTGCTTTCATTTTTGCTGTTTCCCTAGCATATCAAATAGTGTCTAACATAAAGTAGGTATTTTATAAATACCTTTTATTTGTACTATCAATTGCACCTTTCTAAAATAGTAGAATAATGACCAAATTCTATTTGTCTTTCTTAAATGTTAACTTGTTCTGTCATTTACTCCATAACTCTCAAGTGTACAATATGTGAATAAAATATTATTTAAATTTAGCTATTAATTTTAAGTTATAACTGGCTTTGTTTAGCTCCTATTTAAAAGTAATAAACTGAAATTTAAATACTTCAAAATGTTACCTTATCCCTTTATAGGTGACTTGTAACCCAATAATTAATTCAACATTTATTAAGAATATTGATACAGCATGTTCTCACTTATAAGTGGGAGCAAAACATTGAGTACACATGGACACAAAGAAAGAAAAATCAGACATTGGGGCCCACTTGAGGGCGGAGGGTTGGAGGAGGGTGAGGATCAAAAAACTACCTATTGGGTACTATGCTTATTACCTGGGTGAAGAAATAATCTGTACACCAAACCCCTACCAAACCCCTATAATATGCAATTTACCTATATAACAAACCTGCACAGGTACCCCTGAAACTAAAATAAAAGCTAAAAAGGAATATTGGTATATCATTTTTACAAATTCCTGTGAAATACCTAGAGGAGAAAATCTCATTTTTTATAAAGGAATACCAATACAAAATGTTTTCCTTTCTCTTTTGCCTTTAAATTATTTAACTAATGAAAATTTATAGAAAATTAACAATCTTATTTAAAATGTTGATTATGAAAATGCTACCTAAAGGTTCAGGATTTTTAGGGCACTACAAAGATACTCATTTTAGATTAAGGAAGAATAAGCGCAGCTTAATACATGTTTGTCATCAGCCCTTCTTCCTGTGATGCTTCCATTTCCCTTATTTATTTTTATTTTCATTTTTCTCAAATTTATGTTTTTATTTATTTATTGATAGGGTCTCACTCTGTTGCCCAGGCTGAATTACAGTGGTACAATCATACTTCATTGCAGCCTGTAACTCCTGGGCTCAAGTGATCCTCCCACCTCAGCCTCCCCACTAGCTAGGACTACTGGTGTGCACCAACATGCCTGGCTAATTATTTCTATTTTTGGTAGGTAGAGGGTCTCACTTTTTGTTGTCCAGTCTGGTCTCAAACTCCTGGCTTCAGGTAATCCTCCTGCCTCGGGCTCCCAAAGTCTTGGGATTATAGGCATGAGCCACTGCACCCGGCTCCCTTCTTTTTACTTTTCTAATCAGTTGGGGCAATTTCAACACAGAGGAGTATGAAATACACAAAACCTAACAACCAACTAGTGTTTAAATTTTTTATGCCTGTCCACAGAATCTTGTAGAGAAACTATGCATGTAACTACCTGGAAGAAGCATTCTAGGTACCATGTAAACTATTGCTTTAATTAGAGCCCTGGGCTGATTGGATGAGAGAAGGCTCTTGACTCCATGGGATTGCAACCAATGTATTGAGACAACTAGCTGGCTCAAGGAGCTGTCTTGGAGCAATCAGATGTTGTTCTTGAATATGTAAAAGAAAAAGCACAGGCAATTTTAGAAGCCAATGGTAAATATGCAAACTTTTAGCTCATTCAATTATTCATTGATTAAACAGATGTTTTTTGAACCTCTGCTACATGCCAACTGTTGTCCCAAACACTGGGGATAGAACAGTAAATAAAACAAAATGTGAATTCAATACATCCATAAATATATATCATAATGAAAAGAGAAAAATTAACAAAGAAATAAATAAAATAGCTAGTATGTCAGATGGTGATTAAAAAAACCACAGAAATAAACTTGAGTGGAATAGGAGTATAGGGAGTACAGAAGGTGGGGTATTGCCTCATAGACCAAATAAAGATATTAATATTTGATGTTAGGAAATGAGGCATGACCCAGGAGACCTGGAATTTCTGTGAGGTTTCACATTAACAGATACAAGGAGTAATGGAATTGATTTTTATGATTTTTTTAATATCCATTATTGAAGATAAGGTTGTAAGTGTTGGAGGAGAGGTGGGCAGTGGCGGACTTGCAGAAGCACACAGAGCTCTGAGAAATCTGCTTAATTTACCAAATAAACATGCTAAACCAAAGAAAGGTCAAGTGTATCTGGAGCAGGCAGAGCTGCTGAGCACCCTCTTGGTTGCTGTCAATGGAGGTGTGGGTAAGTGTAGGGAAGGCAGCCTCATCTGGAGCACATGTTGCTCTGGGGCACCTGGGAGATCTCCTAATTGTCATAATAAATAGTTGGGTTGGAAAGTTGAGTGGAACATATAAAATACAATTAAGCAAATATCTAAAAATCAGGAAAATGGAATTTGCAGGTTTTCTCTCCAGGTTCTGCCAGTGTGAAGAAAGTGAGTGTGATTTGGTAAATTGAAGTACTAAAAAAATGACTGCTATGGAAAATGTGGAAATGCCAGACATAATATTTTATCAGTGGTTTCCATTCAGTTAATCACACACTTTATTATTCAAAGAAACTGAGATAAACTGAGATAAACATCACTGGCTTTCTGGGATTCTTGAAACTTCCTGAATTTTTAGAATATTGGTAGTTTTCAGTGACCTTTTTCTTCTAGTCCCTCCACATATTTTGTAAACACCTAATTCCCTGTATTAAATCTTTCCTGCCTGAAATATATATATTTATTTATATATATTTATAGATATTTATGGATATTTATATATATTATATATATTTATATATGTGTATATATATTTATATATGTATATTTGTATATATTTATATATATATAATTAAGTCTGTTTGCTTGAGTCTACCTTGGCTAATATGACAATGGGGTTTAATTTAATAACAGAAAATCAAGCAGACATGCACAGTGAGACAGAAGTAAGGAATATCATGTTGACTCTGATGAAAGAGAGGAAACGTCCTGATCAGGAAACATTCACCTGTTTCCTGATAACATTTTTCCCATAAATGCCTTTTTTACTTCATTTTCTGATCACAGATTGATATCTGTGTCTTTATAATAAGCTCCTTTATTCTAGCCCATTTGAGTGGTTTCCTTTTATTGACTGCTATGTTAATTGGCTAGGGTTGCATAATAAAATAACACAGATTGGGTGGCTTAACCAATAGAAATTTATTTTCTCAAAGTTCTGGAGACAGGAAGTCCAAAATCAAGGAATGTCGGAAAGTTTGGTTGCTTCTGAGGGTCATGAGGGAAGATTCTGTTTCAGGAAGTTCTTAGCTTGTAGGTGACCATATTCTCCCTTTATCTTGACATTGTCCGCTCTCTGTCACTTCCTGTGCCCAAAATTCCTTTTCTTAAAAGGACACCAGTCATGTTGAATTATGGTTCACCTTTACAATCTTATTTTAAATTAATTACCTTTTTAAAGACCCTCCCTCCAAATATAGTCACATTCTGAGTTACTGGGAGTTAAGACATTAACGTATAAATTTTAGGAGTGACAAAATTGAGCCCATTACAGTTACTAAAATAGAATTCATTCTAAAATCCCAGAAAATTACTTTCAAGACATAGAATAATATTTCTAATTGAAACATATTTATAGAACTTTTATCATAGTGTAGGTTCTCTGCACAGCATATATATAATTTATAAAACAACCATAGCAAGTCAGTATGTTTTTATCTTCATTTTATAGAGTACTCAGTTAAGGGTCTGAGATGTTAGGTAACTGGCCCCATGTCACATATCTATTCTGACATCAGTTAACAGTGAGCTATTTTGGATGGTTGTAAATGGGGCAGGAAGATGTGGAAGATACACTATCAGAGATAAGATAATAATAGCAATGATCTCATTGAAACCAATGGTTTCCACCCTTAGAATCTGAAAATAGTAGGTTGTCATACCTGGAAATTGTTTTGCTGTTGAAAATTGTGTTTTTTGGTTTATTTGTTTTTGTGTTTTTGCTTCTTGTTCTTTGCCTTTCTACCTATCTGATGACATAATTTTAGAACTTCTCAGGCCACATTTGTGATTTTGATGTGTTGATAATCTGGAAAATGTCAATAGTGAATTTACCAAAGGGCCTAAAATTCATCTTATAGAACCAATATTGACATATACTGCTATAAGAAATGTATTAGTTTGAAATAATGTTTTTTTTTTTATTTTATAAAATTCTCTGGGAAGAATTTGGCATGATTGATCCAAATTGGGTGGAAAGCAATAAGATGCAAAGACAGAGAGGAAGAGAGACAGAAAAAGAGAGAAAAAGAGTTTCTGTAGTTCAGTATTTCAGGAAATAGTAGATATTTGTTTTCACAATGATTTATTTGGTATCATAGTAAATGAAACTGCTAAAGAATCCTCAGATTTATTAAACAAAAGAAAACTTACCTATATGATGAGCACCTTGACTTGGAAAAGGGAGAGGCTCAACAAAAACTATCTTCACTCAAAAGTTTACTCCATGATTAGGAAGTCCCCAAAGTTAGTAATTCACACAAAAACTATTTGAATCACTGTAAAAGATGTTTAAATTTTTATTTCCAAGGTTCACTAATACATTCGTTTTGAGAAAGTTATTAGTTTGGTCACTTCAGCTAGTACAAATACATGACATAACTATTTTGTGCCCAGAATCTTGTTAGGTACCAGAAGAAACACGAAGAAAATCTATGCTTCAGTTCTTACCCACAACTGAGTTACTGTCTTCTGAAGTCAAAGATTAAATAAGTGAAGAGATCAGTTGAGTTTATTAACACAATAAAATACTATCAATTTGGGTGACTTTAACAGTAATAAAAAACTCTCCAACTATTTCAATAAAAGACCTCTTTATACTTTTTCCATGAATTCTAGATTTTGAACTATTTTCTAAAAAAATGGACTTCTACTGCCAATTAAAAATAAATAAATTCCTAGATGCTTGGAATGATAATCATGTCTTTTATTGTTCTTGTATTTCTTATTCGTATGGCTAATGTAAATTATGGAAATCAGCACTAACTGTAAGAACGAATAAAAAATGATGTGTATAGATGTCCATGAGGAGAAGTTTCTGGACAACGTGAAACATATATGAACACTAAAAGAAAAGTAGGTTTTCAGTAAGAGTTGGGCAAATAATTATGAAAAGTGAATATAATCACATTGGCCATTATTTTAAGTCATTTGTATATTATTCTGTATGCATAAGAAGCGGTGGTATTTCCTTCCTGCCATGTGTGAAAGACATGGATGGTGATTAAAGGATAAACTTGGCTTTAATCTTTGTCTTTTCTTTGTTGCCAATTGCTTTGCCAGCTCCAAGAGTTAAAAGAATGTCAGCCTCATAGTGGGCCATATAAAGGGGCAACCTGATGAAATAGAAGAGAAATAAAAATTCCATTGCAAGATAATTATGGAATCATGTACAAACTTTTAAAGGTTAATGAGCTCTCTAGAGGAGATTAATTATGCTGTGGAATCTGTTGTCTGCCCATAATCCATTTTCAACATAATCCTAGTTGTGAAGATTTGACATATTACAGGTAATTTGAGGTGAATGTTAACTTTGAAAATGGTAATTGAAGTAATGCGAGCTCCACTGATATTAAAAGAAACATCATTTGGTCAAGATATGAAACAGAAGAATTTAAAATTTACTGGTTAGAAAACCCAGAACACACCTTAATGATAAAAAAGTAAAGTAAATGACCAAATAATTGATCTATGATTTCATTCATTTAGGTATGAAACAAAGTGAGACCTACTTTTCATACGTCTTTTATATGAATTTTCAAGTATATCACTAAGCAAATTATTTCTTTTTAGTTAAATAATGCAATGATAGGAAAAGACAAATGATACAAAGAAAAAAGTTTAGTAGAACAAATTTGAAGCACCTAGGTAGCTTTAACTGAAAGAAGAGGAATACAGCATGATGTGAGTTTGAGACAGTCCATTTCTCCTTCGTGTTTTCTCTAAGGTCACACACTCTATGAGAAGATGAAGACTTACCATGCACATTTACTAGGGGCAGTTAATTCATTAATTAGGGAAATGAGTTAATGTAAAAATAGTTTGTAAAATTAAATTGGTGAAATTGGTGAAATTAGTGAAATTATTCTTTCATATAAAAAAGGTAAGCCTCTCAAAAGATTTTTGTTTTTGTGCATATGTTATCGAATTTTAATAAAATTGCGGGGTCTGCAGAGGATATTTATAATAGAAAATATTTTAAAAAGCCTGATCTTGAATTTTAGACACTGCTGTCCCACTAGCTACAGCTGGCTCAGGAATAAAATTCTCCAGCCTTTCTTCTCTGTTAAGAGTGCATATCCACGTTACCTTCCCTCTGGATCCAGCAGGTATTTAATCTTCAAGATTGTCACTACCAGAGAATAGTTTCAAAACTAGTATTATTTTATTATGTGAGGTAATATAATTTCCCTTTGTATAAATATTCACAAACTAGACTAAGCGCTACCTTTTCACCACTTTCTTTTTTATAACATTTTTCTCCTACACACAACGAGCTATTGACCACTGAACATAATTTATTTTTGACTTATAACATAGGCATGAGATTGTCATTCCTTTTTATTCTGCAGCTTTACTGAGCCATAATTATCATATAATAAACTGCACATCTCTTAAGTTTGCAACTTAATATGTTTTGACATACTAATATAATTGTAAAACTATTACAATTAAGAAAATGAATGTATCAATCACCCCCCAAAATTTGTGCCCCTTTGAGCGACCTCTTTCTTGCCTATTCCTACCCCTCACTATTACCAGACAAACTCTGATCTGTTTTCTATCACTATAGATCAATTTGTTACTTTAGGATTAAAATAAATGAAATCATACGGTATGTATTTTTTAAAATCTGGCTTCTTTTATTCAGAATAATTATCTTGAGTTTCATCCATAGTGAATACATATTGTAGGATGTATCAATAGTTCATTTCTTTTTATTTGCTGAGTACTAGTTCATTGTATGGATACATCATAGTTAGTTTATACATTTACACATTGATGGACATTTGGTAATTGCCATTTTGGGGCTGCTGCAAATAAAGCTCCAGTACACATTTGTTATTCATATATTTCATAGACATATAAAATTTCATTCCTCATGGACAAAAAGCTAGAATTGAAATTGTTGGTCATATGGTGGATGTACATTTAACTTTTCCAAAGGAAAAATTACATACAAAATACGTAAACAATTAATGTATACAAATTGATGAGTTTCAACATAATTATACAACTGTGAAACTATCGCCACAATTTATGCCGTATACCTATTCACTACCTTCAATAGGTTACTACTCAAGATGATGATGATGATTAATATGCTAATAATAATGGTGATGAATAATATGCCAATAATAATGAAGATTAATAAGTATATGCTAATAATATTTAGCATAAGATATACAGTCAGCAAAATGTTTAATTATACAGTACAGTATTAACTGCAGTCACTGTGCTGTATAGTATTTTTCTAGGGCTAATTTATTTAATGTAACCAAAATTTTTTACACTTTGACTAATAACTCCCATTTTCTTTACTCTAGGCCCTGGAAAATAGCATAATACTGTCTGCTTTTCTGAGTTTGACTACTTTAGATTTATTATATAAGTGATATGATGTAGTATTTGTCTGCCAGTGTCTAGTAGATTTCATTAGGACATTATTGTCGTAACATAACATTCTATATTATGACATTATGTCCTAACATAATGTTCATAGAGACAATTTTTGTCTCCCAGTTTCATCTGTGTTGTTGCAAGTAGCAGAATTTCCTTTTTATTAAGGCTGAATATTTTATTGTATGTAAATACTGCATTTTTAAATTATTGTATCCATCTATGGACATTTAGGTTTGTTCCATGTCTTGGCTACTGTGAAAAATGCAACAATGAACATGAAAGTGCAGATATCTCTTTGAGATGCTGAATTCAATTCTTTTGGATATATACCAAAAAGTAGGATTGCTGGATTATATGGTAGTTCTATATTTAGTTTTTTGAGGAACTCCCATATTGTTTTCTGTAGTTGCTGCACTGGTTTACATTGCTACCAATAGTGTGCAAGGATACACTTTCCTTCATGTGTTTGTCAAAATTTGTTATTTTTTGTTTATTTGATAAAAAATAATCCTAGCAGATGTGAGATGATATCTCATTGGAGTTTTTATTTGCATTTCCCTAAATGATTAGTAATGTTGAGCACATTTTCATATATCTGTTGGTCATTCCTGTATCTTTTTTGCAGAAATGTCTATTCAGTTTCTTTGTCCATTTTTAAATCAGGTTGTTTGTATTAACTGTTGTTGTTTTAGAAGTTCCTCATATATTCTGTATATTAATCCTTTGTAAGATATGTGGTTAGCAAAATTTTCTCTTATTTCATAGGTTGACCTTTTATTTTGTTGATTTTTTCATTTTCTGTGCAGAAACTTTTTTGTTTAATGTAATACCACTTTTCTATTTTTAGTGTCACATTTTTACACTTTTGGTGTCATATAAGAAATAATTGCCACGGTCAATATTCAGAAGCTTTTTCCTCATGTCTTCTGCTAGGACTATTTTGGTTTCAGGTCTTATGTTTAATTCTTCAATACATTTTGAATTGATTTTTATATATAGTATGAATAAGGGTCTAATTTTATTCTTTGGCATGTGGATATTCAGTTTTCCCAGCATCATATCTTACAGACTATCCTTTTTTCATTGTGTATTCTTGGTTTTACTGACAAAAATCAGTTGACTGTATATGTGTGGGCTTATTTTTTGGTTCTCCATTCTGTTCCATTGGTCTATACATCTATTTTTATGTCAATATCATACTCTTTTAATTACCATAGCTTTGTAATATGTTTTGAACTCAGGAAGTGTGATGCCTCCAGCTTTGTTCTTATTGCTCAATATGGCTTTGTCTCTTTGTGGTCTTCTGTGGTTCCATAAAAATTTTACATTTTTTTCTATCTCTGTAAAAAAATCCACTGGTATTTTGATAGGGATTACGTTAAATCTGCAGATCCCTTTGGGTAGTATGAACATTTTCACAATATTAATTTTTCCAATCCATAAACATAGAACATCTTTTAATTTAATTGTGTTTGATTTAATTTCTTTTATCAGTGCTTTATAGTTTATAATGTACCAGGCTTTTTCCTCCTTGGTTAAGTTATTTTTAAGTACTTTATTCTTTCTGATGGTGATGTAAATTGGATTGTTTTCTTAATTTATTTTTCAGATAATTTTGTTAATGTATAGAAATGCAACTATATGTTGTTTTGAATTCTGCAACTTTGTTGAATTTGTACATTAGTTCTAATAGTTTTTTGGTGGTATCCTTAGGTTTGTTTAGATATGATTATATTATCTGCAAACAGATACAATTTTACTTTTTCCTTTCCAATTTAGTTGCCTTTTGTTTCTATTTCTTCCTTAAATTCTTTGGCTAGAACTTCTAATACTATGTTGAACAGAAATTATGAGAGAGGGTATCTTTGCCCTATACAAATTCTTAGACAAAAAGTTTGTTTTTCACCATTGAGTATATTGTTAGCTTTGGACTTTTCATTTTTAGCCTTTATTGTATTGAGGTAAGTTCCTTCTACATCTAATTTCTTGAGAGATTTTATCATGAGAAGGTGTTAAATTTTGCCAAATGATTTTATGCATCTATTAAGATGATAATATGATTTTCATCTTTCATTCTGTTAATGGGATGGATTACATTTATGGATTTGCATTTGTTGAATGTTTCATCCCAGTGATAAATCCCACTTTATCTTTAATTAGTCTGTTTTCTTACTGCTATAAAAAAAACTGCCCAAGACTGGGAAATTTATAAAGGAAAGAGATTTAATTTACTCACATTGCAGCATGGCTTGAGAGGCCTCAGGAAACTTAAAATCATAGCAGAAGGCGAAGGTATCTTCTTCACAAGGCAGCAGGATGGAGAAGTGCTGAGTGGAGTGGGAAGAGCCCCTTATAAAACAATCACATCTCATGAGAAGTATCTTGTTAATGTGAGAACAGTGTGGGAAACTGCCTCCATGATCCGATTACCTGGTCTCTCCCTTGACACATGGGAATTATGGAAATTATAATTCAAGATGAGATTTGAGTGAGGAGGAAAGCCTAACCTTACCAGTCATCATACGCTCCTTTTAATATGCTGTTGAATTCAGTTTGGTATATTTTTTTAAAGGATTTTTTGCATCTATGTTTTTCAGGGATATTGGCCTGCAGGTATTTTTGTCATACCTTTTTCTGGATTTGGTGTCAGGGTAATATTAGCATCACAAAATAGTTTGGAAGTTTCACTCTTGAATTTTTTGGAAGAATTTCAGAAGACTGATAGTAATTTTTAAATGTTTGACAGAGGCCAGGTGTGGTGGCTCACACCTGTAACCCTAGCACTTTGTGAGGCGTAAGTGGAAGGATTGCTTGAGCTTAGGAGTTTGGGACCAGCCTAGAAAATATAAGGAGACCCCGTTTCTACAAAAAATAACTAAAAATAAGCAGCCAGACATGCCTGTAGTCCCAGCTACTCTGGAGGTTGAGGCTGGGGGGATCACTTGAGCCTGGGGTGTCAAGGCTGAAATGAGCCATGGTTATGCCACTGCACTCCAGTCTAGGCAACAGAACAAGACCCCATCTCTAAAAAAACTTGAAAATAATAATTAAAAACTAAATGTTTGATGGGCTTTATGCATAAAGCCATCTGGTCTTGGGCTTTCCTTTGTTGGAAGGTTTGTTCATTCAGGCTTTCTATTTCTTCTTCATTCAGTCCTAGAAAGTTGTATGTTTCTAGAAATTTACCCATTTTTTTTCCTAGATTGTCCAATTTGCTGGATATAATTGTTCATAATAGTTCCTTATAATCTTTCTCGTCCTGTGGCATTGGTTGTTATAACTCTTCCTTAATTTCTAAGTTATTTATTTGCATCTTCTCTCCCTCTCTTTTTTCCTCATTTTAGCTAAAGTTTTGTCAATTTTATTTTTCTTTCAAATAATAAATTCTAAGTTTCATTAATATTTTATGTTAATTTCCTATTCTCTTTTATTCATTTTTGCTTTGATATTATTTACTTCTTTCTGTTAACTTTGGCATAATTTGTTTTTATTTTTCTATTTCCTTGAGGTGTAATGTTAGGTTATTTAAGATCCAACACATTTTTAAATACGTTGAAATATCTATGCAAATCAGAATAATGTTGACATCATATATAAATTATTTCTTACCTTTATGTTTGTGCTCTTGTCAACTTGCATATATGAAGTCTCATTATTACTATCAATGATGAAATAGTAAACGTGAATATTTATTGAAAACTAGCAACTCTATTGCTCTAGTTATTGTACTAAGCACTCTGTATGCTTTTTTATTTAAATATCTTAGCAACACTACAAAGTTTATATTATTGCTATTATTGCTATTACACAATAAAGTTGCTGACGTTTTTGTGGTCATATAATTTGTTCAAAATTACACAACCAATAAACAGAAAGTAAATATTTAACATGAAGTTTTCTTTTAGAAATTCAGTATTTTCACATTATTGTTTTGATCCTCTTATCTTTAAAAAATTAAAATGAGACAATTATTATTTTTAATTTTAATGTTTAATAAACATGATCAGAAATAGATTTGTAGTCATTATGTAAGGACATAAGATGTCAAATAGAAATATATATATATTTCTCTTTACACATATTAATATATGTTATAGCTCTTTATAATTTTTCTCAATATCTATAATATATATCTAAATGAACATACACACACACAAGCGTGTGTGAGGGAGGCAGAGAGAGAGAAAGAGAGAGAGAGGTTTGTTTTAAAGAATTGGCTCTTGTGCCGTGTGTGCTCACACGTCCCAGTAGGCTGGAAATTCAGGCAGGATTTCTATGTTGCTGTCTTCAGGATAATTATTTTTACTACAAGATCCTCAGTTATTGCTCTTATGACCTTCAACTGGTTAGATGACTCATTCACATTATGAAGGGCAATCAGCTTTACTCAATTTATTGATGTAAATGTCAGCCACATCCAAAAATTACATTGATAGCAACATCGAGACTGGTGTTTGACAGAACAACTGGGTACAATAGCCAAGCAAAATTGACATGTAAAAGAAACCAGCACAGATGTCTAATTTGTAATGATTGCTTTGTTATTCTAAGAAATCTAAAATAAATAAGCCAACAGTAATTCAGCTGGTGCTTTCCGAGGGATATTAGAAATATAAATGTGAAAGGACTGTGGTGGGGAGACACTGACTTCTTCCTTTTTACTAGTCAGATCTCTTTGCTAACAAAAAAATCTTACATTTTAATTTTTTCTAAGGTACCTAGAGTTTTCTTGGTTTGTTAGTATATTTATTCTGTTACTTTCCATCAAACATGCGTAACTGTCTCAGATTTTATTAAGTTTAACCTAAAGAAACAAACAAGTGTTAGAGTCTATAAAAAAAACACAATATTCTAAACAAAACAATTTCTTAAGACTATCTTAAAGAAAACAACAACAATACTTCTCTTTAAGAATCTTAATTCTAAAACTAAAATTTGCATTAAAATTGCTCATGTATCACAGTACAAATATTCAGTGCTACAACAGTTATGTTGATTAATGTTCACATGCTATATTTGACTAAAGACATTAAGGTTTGTCTAGAGATGAGATGTCAAGGACTTACATAATTCTTTTTATTTCATAATTATAGTGGTTTAAAACATTTATGAATTCATTTCATACCCATTCTTACATTAAAAGTGTGCTGAAATTCATTTACACTTGAATAATTTTGAATGATTAAAATATGCAAAAATCTATATTTAACCTAAATACTGTATTTATGATTTTTACATTCCTGTTGCTTTTGCACAAAGAGGATGATAATTAATTCATTTTGTTCAGCAGACTGGTATGTGTTTTAAAAGTTCTCTGATCTTTGAAATGCTTTATACTCCTTTGAAAATGTTAACATTATGAAAATTGAAAATTTCAATTGGTAATAGACCATTGGAAAGAAAGTTTATGATGGACACAGGGAGGGAAACAACACACTCTGGGGCCTGTCAGTGGGGTGGAGGGAGGGAGAGCATCAGGATAAATAGCTAATGAATATGGGGATTAATACATAGGTGATGGATTGATGGGTACAGCAAACCATCATGGCACACTTTTACCTGTGTAATAAACCTGCCCGTCCTGCACATGTATCCTGAAACTTAAAATAAAATAAAAATAAATTAAATTAAAAACAGAAAGAAAGTTTATGTAGATGTGGACTACAAAAAGGACCATTTTCACTGACAGATATATAGTGGTGATTCTGACACCAAATTAATGGGAAAAGAAAGGCAAGGTATTTCTTCCTGGATCTCAGTTTTCTCCCTTGTAAAATATAAAATAGTATGAAATTAGGCATGGAACATATAAACATTCTTAAATTATGTTTACTTCATTATTATGTGATATCATAATTTATCACAAATATATGAATATGTACATATGCATAGATATGCTTCTACAAGATGGAAGAGTCAATATTTTACTTTGTAAATAAAAATAAACAGTCACAGCAAAAAAGATAAATTGGTTCATATTTTATTAAGTAATAAAACAATTCACTTCGTGGATATTATTTCTACAGAATATGGAAGAGATTCTAAGCTTGAATAAGGCAGTAAATGCACAAAAATATATGCCATGGTCTATGCTCATGAGTGGGAAAAGCAAATATTGTACAGTGTGCTAAAAATGTTTGACAGTAGAAAGGCTGAAAAGTTATGAAAGACACTGAGTTTGCAAATGTTATTCTCAGAACTGTGAGAGCAGTTCTGGGCATGGAAAAGGAAGTGCATAATAGAAACATGATCAGAATCCCTGAAATCCCAGAGACAAATCTATCTGTATTTTCGTGTGCTTCCATAATAGGGTATCACATTTCCATTTGGGTGCTGAACTTTCCTGCTGCTGTCAGGCATTTAGTATCTTTCCAATTTTAGACTTTAAAATAAAAATCAGCATTTCTACTCCAACTTTTGCAAATCCTCTGAAAGGGGCAAATTAAATAAAACACTCACTGTGAATACTAAGGCAAGTGGAATTTTCCAAACATTTTATGTTAAAATAGAATAGTAGAGCAGACAATGAAACGGTGGTCCTTAAATTATTTGTTTCGCTTTATGCACTTTTTCATATATGCCAGATTTTCTGATTTTTTGTTTTGTCTAACTTAAAATGTTTAGAAGAGGAAACTGTTCTTCTCTTTCAGTATTTTCAATATGCGGTTTAAAAGCTGAATTGATGTCTTTATAAAGCAAAGGAGGAAGCAAAGTTATTTAAAAGAGAAGACCACAGGGATAAAAAGAAAAATATATTTTTATGTTAAAAAATAGTAATACAAGCATTGGCTTGTTGTGAGAGCTCAGAAATCATTTTTCCATTCAAATAATTTCATAGCATGCATTAGCTCTTCCTCCCAGGCATAAGTATGATGATTTTCACTAATGCTATGAATAGGGTGGAATTGGGATTGGCAGAAAGATAATCCTGTATGTATTTGGGATATGTTTTCCATCAGATCTTAAGACACGTAACCACTAAATATTTACTCGTAGTGGGCAGACCATTCTTGCTGAGTCTATTTTGGTAATTTTTCCAATCCAAGGCAACATCTTTCTTTCCCTTCATTTCTCTTCATAGGAAAAGCTTAAGGGAAAGATTTTTCTGTGAGCTGGTGCTGATGTTGTATGTTCCAGCAGATCTTCAAAGAAATGTAAGATAATTTATTGAAATAAGGAATAAACTTTTTTCTGAGTTCTACTTGATTGCCTAAAAGTTACATTTTTATAAAGATAAAATTTGTACAATTCAAATATATTTAAATAACTTTTCATTGATCAAGAGCTATCATCAAACCCTCGATTACACTGTGTGAATGACTGCATGGACAAGCATCATTTTTTTTTCATTAATAAACCAATATTTATGCATTTGTTTTCTTATTTGACTATACTATGTTTACTCAATTGAGACTGGTATTATCTTATCTCTAACTTACAGAGTACTGCCTTTATTGTAGATGAGTCATGATTATTATAAATTAAGTTATTAGCTTAAGATCACATTTTTTATGTGGAAGAATGTATTGATACTTCCCAGTCTCTCTCACACACACGTATCTGACCTATAAGCAAATAATTTCAATTCTGCCTTACGATATGTCCAGAGCCTATCATTCCTCACCATGTTCATTGCTATCATCCAGGTCCAACACAGCATTAAACCACGTGGTGCTTCCGACAATAGCCTCCTAATTAATTTCCCAGCAGTAAATTTCCAACACAATATCCATAGTGAACTTTTTGAAAGATTTCAGACCATACTATTTCTCTGCTCTAAGGACACAATGATTATTCTCTGACCATTCTAAACCAAATGGCATTATCACCCTCATTTTCACTCCCCAAACCTCTTCTAGATGATTTAATCTTCTCCAGAGCACTCGGAACCATGTGGCATCATACATTTCTGTACATTTGTTAATAATTTATATTGCAACATGTAATATTAAAAAAATGTTAGTCGGGAACTTTATTTTCTTTGTTATCATATCCTCAGTGGCTAGAACACTTCCTGGTTCATGATAAGCTCTTCATAACTTTCAGTTAAATGAGTAAATAAAATTAAGAATTTACTGAAACTCATGACTCTAACTAAAATACAATGAATCCAATAGTTGTGTATTGGTTAAAAAACCCTGTAATTTCATTTAATATAGATCACATTTATCATTCTTATGGAATAATTACATAGCAATCGCTACATTTTTTTATCTGTCTCCTATGCTACAAGGTAATATGGTAAGTATTTTATATACATCATCCTACTTATTCTTTGAACAATGCTATGAGATATTTCACTTATTTTACAAATGAGAAAACTGAGACTTCGCAAGATTACGTTATCTTCTCAGGGTAAGTGAATACTTGCACGGCAGAGCTGAACCATGTCAAATTGATCCAGAGCCCGTGTTATGCAACAGTGCCCAATGCCCAATGTAGGCATTTTGAGTTAAGTGCTCTTTTACCAGAACCTTCGTTGGGTAACATGGAGCAAATCTATAAACTATTTTCCCAAATCCCTAAGTCGTACTTCACCAGATCCTTTTCTCCACTCTCAAATAACATTGGTTATCACCATGCTGTTTATATTTGTTGCATCCTTTTTATGATCGGGGTATGACTTTTCAAATTGTGATCCCGACCCTAGCTGGCATTATTCAAATCACCTCCATAATGGTCATCTCCTTTCATCCAAGACCTCAAAAGTTTCTCACATGTCATCTTTCTTTGTGGACTTCAGTTCCACCTTGTTCATCATTTCACATAACGAAACATTCCTGTAATGCCTTACAAAATGACTTGAGCCACTTTTTCAGTTCATTCGGGTAATGCCTTTGCTTTTTCTTCTGAAACTGGCTCATAGGGTATACTGTAATTCAGATTAATTTATTTACTTTGAGAGAATTTAGTTATTTCTTAGATAAAGCACTCCATTTCACACTTAATATTAGAGTAATACAAAACAACAGTGACTTCCACTTGTTTAAACTAGCAGTTTGCAGTCTGGGCTTGTTGATACCCAAAAAGTAGAGGTTCCAAGGACCTATGTAAATGGTCTGCAAAACTGGTGTGTGTGTGTGTGTGTGTGTGTGTGTGTGTGTGTGTTTGCTTGTATGTGTATGTGAGTGATTTCCAGGAAGAACATTCATAATTTTCATAAGATTGTCATCAGATTGTCAAAGGGGAACCTCATAATAAAAATCTTAAGATTATTCACATTTTATATTGTCATTTGACTCATTTAATTAAATCTAAAGTACCTAGATGTTATACTTTTTTTTGTGCTTTTTTTGTTTTCCATTTTATCCCAATGTGTATAGAGTTGCTATTATTTTTTCTATCTGGCCTCATTTGCTTAAAGTTTTACTACTCATGCACCAGGCAAAGCTGAGCCTTTTGTATTATATTTTGTTTCTTGAGGCACAATTCTTTTCTATGAAGGAAATAATGTATCAAACATACAGAGTGTGCATCTTTGTCAGGGAGAGGTGAGGAGGAATGTGAGATGTGAGTTCTGTTTTGCCCACAGCCTTTGTCAGTCAGCAGCGAGGAAAAAAAAAAGGAATATAAAAGTCTCTTGTTTGAAGGGAAAAGGTATAGATAGGAGTTACCATCACTAAAACAAAACAAAACAAAACAAAACAAAAAACAGTAACAGCAATTTTTGTTTGCAGCTGCGTTTTCCTGCCAAAGTAAACATGGCTGTACTGTGTCTCACCATTTGTCTTTCTATCTCTCTTAGTGAGGAGAAAGAAAAACTCACACTCTACTGATGAGTTAAATTATTTTTTGAGGCAAAGGTAATAACAATTTTTTTTCAATTATTTTCACAGATGTTAATATTTTATCTCCATTAAGAAAGTTGATGCACAGGATTTGCTGATTACTAATCAGCAATATCTCTTTTTTTGTCCATAATTTATCACATTTACAAAATTCTCCTCACCCTGTAAGATCAAGAATTCCTAGTGTTTGACAGAGTTTATGCGATATGTGTGTGTGTGTGTCTACGTGTGTGTGTGTGTGTAAATGATGGATCACAGTTCAGATATTCAGAATGAAACATCATCAATATATGAAGTTATTTATTATTTAAAAGGTATTTTATCTGTTGTTTGAAATTTATTGAATGTTGATAGGCTATTTGGCAAAACATAAAGCAGAATAATAGATTCCACCTTTGATTATCATTTTCAGGGCAAATTATCACAATCTTAGTGGCTTCAAAAAATGGGAATTCATGATCTTATAATTCTGGAGATCAGAAATGCAGTAATAGGCTAAACTCAACCTGTCAGTGGTGCAGTTTCTTTTAGGAGGTTCTTGGGAGGAATGTTTTATGGCTTTTTCCAGCTTTCAGAGGCTGCCTGGGTTCAACAGCTACTAAACTCCTTCCTTCTCCAAAGTCAGCATCTGATGGATAAGTCCTTTTCGCATCATATCACTCTGACGCTGACTCTTCTGCCTTCCTTTTCCACATTTAAGAACCTTTGTGATTGCATTAGGCCCATCAAATAATCTGGAATAATCAGTTTTAATGACTGCTAATTAGCAACCTCAATTATATCAGCAAACTGAATTTCATTTTGTCATTTTACATAACATATCCACAGATTCTGGGGATTAGGGTGTGCACAGCTTTAAGGGCTATTATTCTTCCTGCTTTAATCACAGGCTCTGTGTTTTGTGCTGTGCCAAGTATTCTGTGGAGTTGAGGGAGGGAGGAACAGGTCAGAAATGGAGATACCTTTACAATAAAGTTATACATTAACTTAATAAAATGGCTTTATTAGAGTTACTACTAAAATACTTATGTACCAAAAGAGAGAACAACTTCCAATAGCTCAGGGAATCCTGGGGGATAGAACTGTTGTTATTTTTGACTCTATTCATCAGTTTTTTTTAAGTAGAAATTCCCTCACTACCAGATATCAGTGAATGTGAGAGGAGCTAGCTTTAGCCCTACATTGATCTAATTCTCATTAGGCTTGAGTTATGGGTTTAATCCCACCAGCAACACAGAAAATTTTAAAAATCATTTTTGTATAGAATACATTTTTATCTTGGAAAAAGTCTGAAGAACTGCCATTTTACTTATCCCCTGACAATTCATCTCAAGATCCACAAGTACATGGAATGACAAATTTGTTTTGCATGGTGTGGATCACCTTATCTCCGTATCGGGGAAAATATTTATTGAATGTCTAGAAGAGTTGTTGTATATTAGACACCAGATATACAAAGATGACAAAGGCTCAGAGCATTTCTATATCAAGCACTACCATGCTAGAAGCACACGCAAGAGGAAAGGACATTCAGATTGCTTCAAAGTCAAACATCTTGTAGGAGGTGATACTTGATTTGATTCTTGGAAAAGAGGTGTAAGATTTATATGTGACCAAAATGTGAGCTGGGATAGTGGGTTAACAGCATGTGAGCAGAGGAAATAGTGTAAGAAAAACACAGCAAGTATTTAAAACATCAGAGTATTATAGAAGTTAGATTTCTGATATCTGAAGTTTCCAGGGACATGTCTATAAATAGAATAGAATAAAAGGTATACAACATAACAATGAAATTGATTTTTGACAGACTAATCTGTTATAATATTTAAGGAAGTCCTCCATATGTGTACATATGTAATAATTGCTAAAAGTACATGAGTAAACTCTTAAGTTCCTTTCCAAATACTATTTATTGTAAGTGGAGTAATTAGCATGGAATTACACTGAAAAATGTTAAAAACTGAAAAACTTCTGCCCTGCCTTTGCAGTGAGTGATGGGAGACACTATTCCAAAAATATATAATTATGATTGAATAATTTCAAATAGGAAAACTGACAATATAAGAAATACAAGAAGACATAATGCCACTGATGAAAGGAGGAGGTGATATTTGAGTAAAGTTCACAACAATGAGAAGGATCCAATAATATATCTAGGGGAGAAGATTTTAATTATTGTAAGGGGAACCATAAAGGCCTACAGCTGTTATAAAATGATGAAAATTAATACAGTTATATACAGGTAATTATATATTTCATCCTTCAAACAAGGACATCTTATGGGTAAAAAATTTTATTAAGGTATTTATTCATTGACAGAATTATTTATTTTGCTTCTTAGTCATCAACAACTATCCAAACATTGTCTTTGAAAATATAATTATTTCTAAAACAATTTAAAATAACATATATCCATGTTAATTGTATATGCATTTTAGCAACACTATATCAATTAAGGCAAATATATAACATATTAAACTTATATAAAAGTATATAACTTATATTAAAGTATATGCATTTTAGCAACACTGTCAAAGCAAAATATATAACTTATATTAAAGCATGAAGTAAGAATTTTTTTCCTTGTTACAAATTCATCCACTTTAGTTCATTTGCTTCATTTGACTCTTCCTAGATGGCAATAGGTATTTTTCTGAAAAATATTATTAAAGATGATAATGGTATTGAATTATCACCCAAATAATAAAATAAATATTCATGAATTCTTTACATGATTAAATAATAAAGTGGGGAGAAGGAATTTTTTTTACAGAATATTCCACATAATATGTACAGAAAGAATGAAGAAAATACAAAGTACAAAACTTTAAGGAGAAACAACATATTTGCAAAGCTTCAGAGTAACTCCCCAAATTATTAATTAATTGACTTGGTGGTATGTCAACAAATTATTTACCATTTTTATCTTCATGAGGTGGCATTTAATTACTCTCTTCTTGAAAATGGGCTGGATATAGTAACTTGCTTCTTATAAGCAGAGTATGGAGAAGAAAAAAACAGTGACTGTAGCAGATAAACATGGTGGACACCTCGTAATCAACAAATCAAGGTGAACATCAGTAGTTGTAAGTCATATTGATATCATATACCACCTGAAATATGAGTGTCATTTTACCTCTGCTGTATCCTTCCGCAAAATTCATAACTACAGTATCATCATGAGACAATATTAAACCAACTGAAGTTGAAAGACATTCTACAAAATACATGACCAGTACTCATCAAAAGGGTCAGGGTCATGAAAAACAAGGAAATACCAAAAATTTGTTACAGACTAGAGGAGACGAGGGGACTTGATTACAAAATAAAATGTGTTTTTTGAATTGGATCTTGAAATAGTAAAATGATATTAATTTAAAAAGTGATTAAATCTGATTAAAGTGCTATAAATACTAAAAATATGAATAGTATAATAAATTATAATTTATTAGTTTTTGTATATATTATGGTTGTATAAGATGTTAATATTGAGAGATGCTGGGTGAAAGTTATGTAAGAACTCATTATCTGATCTTGCCAACTACTTAGTGATTATAAAATTTTTCAAAATACTTTTTAGAAATTGATTATTTGTAGGATAGTTTAATAAAAAGAAATTTGTTCTTATTATCTCTACCTCAAACAAGTTGTATTTTTTCTTTTGTTTTCAGTTTTATAGTCTGAAAAATGTAGGATTAGATAAAGTAATTCACCTATGATACTTTGTTCAGTATTCTGTGATTTCACTTGTAAGATTGTAATTATGTAGAGCCATATTCATGGCTCTTTGCCAAACATATTGCTAGAAGCAGATATAAAGATTAGTGTGGAAGCCGACCTTCAAAATGGCCCTAGATGACCTCCACTTCCTGGTACCCATTCCCTTGTGTGTGGAGTTGAATGTGGGCAGTGTTTGCTGAGTCACTACCAATAAACAGAGTATGAAAGAAGTGATGGGGGTGTTAGTTCTAAGATTAGTTTATAAAACAGTGCAATTCATCTTGGAATCTCTCTCTGTCTCTTTCTCCTTCTCCTTTTTTCCTCCTCTTCTCCTTCTGCCCTCCTCCTCCTTCTCCTCTTCCTCCTCCTGGCTGGTTGAATTTTCCTCCTGGAAAATTCAGATGTCATGTGATACAGCCATGTGGAGAGATTCAGGTGATGAAAATGTGAGGTCTGAAACAGTAATTTTTGTTCAGTAAGCTTTTATCTATTGTGTCTATCCTATCTAATGATATAATTAGTGCAAAAACTAATAAACTATTATACAGAAGGAAACTGTTTTCAAATGCATTTTTTAGGGATTGTGACATGTCTCCTAATTATGATGTCTATTAGAATAGAGTAAGGCTCTGGTTATTTTCATGATCTTCATAGTTTCATTCTACATAGCAGATTCACTCTCATTTTTAAACATTTTCTTGGCATTTCAAAGATTTTTTTGGGAGTTCCTCCAGTCATCCTAAAATAGGAAATCTCATGTTACTTGTTTATTCATTTCTGCTTGTTTCAACCTTATACCAATTTCATCCTTTCCTTTCTTGCCACCCATAAATGTTTCTTAACACAATATTTAGAGGCAAAATTTGGCTAAATAGAATATCTTCTAATGTAATACTTTCCCAAAAATCATGTGCATCTATACAATTACACTTATCAGTATATTTTTTCTTTAGAATCATTATATTGATATAGAATATAGTATCATTAATATTAAAAATATATAAGAATGTTTTAATTTTATGATGGTGGAATATCAATGTGGCTTATAATATTTTATTAGCTTGAAATAAACACATTTAATTCTTGCAAAATTCGTGTTCTTTATAGTTTCAGAAACAGTTAATGTTTTTAATAGGTCAAGTATGAAAAGCTAACTTTTGCTACTTTTTTCACTTCAAATATTGAGGTTGATAATTTGAGACATTAATCTTAAACTTTCAAGAAAATTGCTAGTTGGACTAATATAAACTATCATATCATTTTTGGAATTAGCTATTTAATTAAAATTTTCATTCATCTTCTTGAAAGTAGAATCAACTAACAGGAAAAATTTAACCTTCAAGAACCTATTTCTAAGAAACTTACTAAACTTAAATTTAAAGAAATAGTTTTTCGTTTGTGCGTTTTGCAGATATTTTATCTTCACAGTTGAGATTTAATTATATGAGAAAAACTTATGGAAATATGCATATAAGACAATGCTGCCTCAAAGTTTGTTTTATTTTGTTTTTAACTAGTAAACAGGACTGATAACTGAATTTAATAAATATATAGCTTCATTTAAAAATCCCCTTTACACACACGTGAGAATCATAAAATATAGTTTTTACTTGTGCCTTCAGTGATTATTATTTTAATAGTATTCACTTTTAGTTAATTAAGTATATGATAAACATGTTATCTGTTCTTTAAAAAAATCTGCAAACTTCTCTTTAATAAATTAACTTATAGATCCAAAACCAAGCTTCATATTTAATGAGCTCTTATGAACATCACCACCACCAATACTTTAAATAACTTTGAAAGCCCAAAGGCTTATGAGGTATCGGCAACTTTGCTCTTTTAATCATATTATATGGTGGATTGAGTTACCTGCTAAGAGTTGAAATAAAGAATCTCACCAGCAAACTCAAAATCCACTTAAGAATATGAACTAAGATCTGCATTTTATTCAAATATATGAAATGCTTTTTAATTGGAAGAAAAAATAACTTGGGAAGTGAGCATATAGCTGTAACTGCTAATTCTGCCTCTTCCTGCTGTTACAATGATTCTAACAGGGGAGATTATTAAATGAAATCCTGAAGTAATGGAAAGAACGATTGTGTTAAAAATGCTGAGACACAGGTCAACTGAGACTTGTGATGTTATTACCTTTCTGCTTGGCAGTACCTCCGCAATACAATATCGGACTGCAGAGTTCAGCAGGAAGGAAGACAATGTAATGATGATTCTATTTTTCATGTAGCTTTTCTTTGTACTTGTAGAATATCCTACATCACATTGCTTCAAAAACCAGGAACTGCCACACTGTGTTCTGCCGCTTGTAAGTAATTAAGAAACATTTAAAAGGCTTTATATTCAAGACTGAGTTAGACTGTCTGCAAAATGAAAGAATGGAAATAAAGATTAAGAATATGTTAGTCCTGGCAAAAGAAGAGAATTAACGGATTAGCCAAGGAATCTAAAGTGTTTCCATTATTGCTCTGCCACTTACTGGATGTAATCTTAGGCAAGTTATTTAGTATCTCTGTGTCTTAGTTTGTCAGCTGTAAAATGGTGTTAATAATAAAAATAATAGTATCTACTTCAAGTTGTTGTCAGGCAAAGGAGTGTTAATATAGAACAAGACATCTATTTTTATGCCTAGAAAGATTCCTATGTCTGGTTTTTTTTGAAGTAATAAATAAAATTATTTTCTTATTTAGAAAAAAACACATCAGCTGTAAAAAATATGGAAGATAAAGAAAATAACAAATAATAAAATTTAATCATGCTGAATACCAAAACTCAGAAGTAACTATTATTTCATCTAATTATTTTATTTATATAATAGGAATATCTTCCTTGTAGTAAACATACTTTTACAATACCATTTTTAATGATTGCATAGTGTATATTTCACTAGGTTACATCATAATTTATCTACTATGTAATATCTAAGGAGTCCTCAACTTCTCATCCGCTAAGTACACAGTAGTAAGCACATACCTCTTAGTGTAATTGGGAAAATTAAGTTAGGTAATACATATAGACAATAAAACTTTTGAGTCCTGAACAAATGTTAGCTATCATTATTATTTAGTAATTATAATTGAAAGTATTTTAATTTTGTTATAACTCTTTTACATATTTCATTATATATTGGGGAAATTCAGACATGCTGAATTATTAACACTCATATTATACACATTATTAAGATTTTAAACCTAAAAAGCACTTTTAAATTGAAGTTAAGCATATCTGTTTTAACTACATTTTTCTTTTTTTCCCTCCAAGGAAATTAAATTCTCAGAATCCCTTCTCATTTTTCTTTCCTATTTCAAAAGACTCACTTCAACAGTCCTCCAAGCAAAAACTTAGTACACCCTTTAAATTACATGATTATAGTATGCACAGACTCATTTATTACCTGCTATGCAGTTAATAGGATTATTTTGCCCTGAACCATCTTTTAATATATTTAGAGGTGATTTTCTAATGCAAATAATTTAATTTTATATCTATACTATAGGGAAATTATTTTAGTTTGCAACGATGTGAAATGCAAACTGTGGAAAATACTAGTGAGAAACTGAATAATTGTTTTGTTTTAGATTTTAAAAACAAATATTTGCTCTATATTATTTATTAAAAAATACATAGCATGCAAATACCTGCAATTTGAAATTATTAATATGGTCTCTAAATATGAGCTTACATGTTGAACCAATATGCAGCATTTTCATGTAAAGGCTAAATTAAAAAATTCTGAGATTTTTGTCATGTGCTGCCAGTCCAAGATCCCAAAAGACTTTGGGTATATTTCTTAGATTAAGGCCCTTTGACACTTGTAAAACAAAGAACATATTGTCTTTAATGATGAAACCATTATTAGGATGTAAACTTGTGAACTTTATTGACTGTGTAGTTTATAGCATATACATTGTTTCTGTCTTGACATTGTTTCACTTAGTAATTATTATTTAATATTATACACCAATATGCACATCCATTGTCATAGAACTATAAGAAATTATTTTAATAAGTGATAAAGTAGTACAGATTACTATGACACATTTAGTAACCAATATAACTTTTAATATTACTCTGAGATCCATCTCTATTTATAATCCAACTGCCCTGTGTTAATTTGTATAAACAAAATAGTACTTACAAAATAGAGAGTATGCAAACAATGGAAACCAGTCTTTTTTCCTGAGTATTATCATTATTTATTGTCAGGAATGCAATAGATTTCAAAATTTTATGATCAATCTGGAGAATCGTAGTAAGGATCTGAAGGTGTGTCTGAGCATCAAAGTAAAGGGGTAAATTGGTAATGTTTGTTTAAAAAGTAATAAATGTAAAGGAGATTACTAATATCTATGCTATGTATTAATCATGCCCAATAAAGTCACTTTCTCACATCAAATTTTTTTCATTTTCAGTTCCTCTTTGGCTTAGTATTTCTTTATTAGACAATTTTCTTGCAGCTGTAAGAAATAGAATCAAATAATGGTGTAGGGTAAAATATAGCAACACAAATAATTTGATTGGATTATATAACTGGCATTCTCAGTATTACATGTATGTTCATGTTCAGAAATAGGTAGACATGGGGCTCTCTCAAATTTATCTAAGAGTAATCTCTTTTTTTGACTCTGTGTTGCTTCATTCTTTTTTTTTTTTTTTGAGATGGAGTCTTGCTCTGCCATCCAGGCTGGAGTGCAGTGGTGCAATCTTGCCTCACTGCAACTTCCGCCTCCCTGGCTCAAGCAATTCTCTGCCTCAGCCTCCTGAGTAGCTGGGATTACAGGCATGCACCACCACACCCAGCTACTTTTTGTATTTTTGGTAGAGACGGGGTTTCACCATCGTGGCCAGGCTAGTCTTGAACTCCTGACCTCGTGATCCACCCGCCTCGGCCTCCCAAAGTGCTGGGATTACAGGCACGAGCCACCGCGTCTGGCTGTGCTGCCTTCATTTCAGTGCATTATCTGTCTTGGTATTGGCAAATGTGACTACCAAAATTTCCAAGTTTTTTATCAGTTTATAAAAGCTAGCAGAAAGGAGTGTCTTTACTTAAAGTTGTGGAAGAAATTATATTGTACTCTCATCCGTGTAGTGAAAAAGAGTAATTAGATTCAAAAGAATAGCATGGACTAATGATAAGAAGGAAATGGACCATCAAAGGAAATGTAGCCTGTGTAACGGAATGAATGTATAAGGTCCTCCCCAAATTCATATGTTGAAATCCTAACACCAATGTGATGGTATTAGGAGGTGGGACCTTTGGAAGTTGATTAGGTCATGAAGGCAGAACCCTCATGATTGTGATGCGTGCCCTTATTTAAAAAAAAAAAAAAAAAGAAAAGAAAAAACCTAGAGATGGACATCTGTGAACCAGAAAGTTGGATCTGCATAAATAGAGAAAAATTCATGTTTATGGAGAAGACAATTGAATATTGTGAAGATGTCTTTCACTAAAATGATCTACAAATTCAAAGCCATATCTGTCAAAATCCCAGCTGTCATTTTTATAGCTGTACACACTGATACTTAAAGGTAAATGAAGACTGAAGGATGCAGTATAGCAAAAATAATTTTGAAAAAGAAGTAGAAAATTGAAGAACTGAAACTATCTAATTTCAAACCTATTAAAGTCATATAGTTATATGTCAAAAGTTAATAGTTATATGGCAATAGTTATAAAGTCAAAAGTTATAAAGTCATAGCAAGTAAGAGTATGCTGGTAGAAGGATAGACATATAGATCAATGGAAATAAACTGAGAGTTTACAGATAAATTTTTACATCATGGTAAATAGATTTTATACAAAGATATCAAGAAAATTTAATGGGATTAGAAAAATCTTTAGCAAACGATAGTCAGTCTGTCAGACAGCCATAGGCAAAACAACTTTGACCCTTACTTTGTATCATACACATATATGTAAGGGCTAAAACTATACACAAGAATAATGATTCATACAAAATTAAAATATAAATTGAATTCCACCAAAATTAAATATATTTATAATTGAAATGACACCATTAAAAAATGAAATGACAGGCCATAGACTGAAGGGAAATAATTACCGATTCTATATCTGAGAAAAGGCTTAATGTCAGAATATGCAAAATATTTTAAAATTCCTAAAATATTTTTAAAACTCCCATTTTTTAAAATGTGCAAAAAGTTTCAATAGACATCTTAATAAAGATTATGTAAAAATAACAAGTACATGAAAACTGGCTCAGTAACATTAGGAAAATAAACATTGAAATCACCATCAGATACTACTAGACACCTACTAGATTGATTATAATATAAAGACAGACAATGCAAAATATTTTTGAGTATACAGATCAATTAAAACCACCACAAATTTCTTGTAGGAATGTGAAATAACAGTGACACTTTGGGAAGTATTTTGGCAGTTTTTTTAAAAATAAAATGTAAGAAACAGAAAACCAAATACTGCACGTTCTCACTTATAAGTGGGAACTAAATGATGAGAACTCACGAATACAAAGATGGGAACAACGCATATGGGGCCTATCAGAGGCTGGAACGTGGGAGAAGGGAGAGAATCAGGTAAAATAACTTATTGGTACTTGGCTTACTACCTGGGTGATAAAATCATCTCACAACAAACCCCATGATACAAGTTTACCTATATGACAAACCTGCATAGGTACCCTTGAACTTAAATGTAAAATTAAAACAACAACAATAATGACAAAAACCTAACTCCAAGTAAAAATCAAAGTCCAATAACATCATGCAACTACAATTACTGATAAAATGCAAAAGGAGAAAATACTGAGTACTGAAGGGGCCAAGGAGCAAATGAAACTCCTTCTGGTGAGGATGTAAGTTGTTGCAATCATTTAGAAAACTGTTTCCACTTTTAGGTGTGTGCCAAATAGCAAAGAGTACATCTATACACACGAAAAAGACATGCAACAGAAAGTTTATGACAGCACAGCTCATTTCACTCAAACATCAGAAAATACCAGAATGTTTATCAATCATGCAATAAATTAATTTTTATGTTCATTGAATAGACTACTGTACAACAACTAGAATGGAAAATCTACAAATAAGCTTGAGAATATGGATAAATCTTATGAACATAATGTTGAGCAAAACACTGAATGATATATAAAGAAAGAATATACAACAGAGGACAAATATATATATTTGTGTATATATATATACCTTGTTTGTATATTTCATGCAATTAATGTCAAATTCCATTAATCTCATGTAACATAAAAATTTTGCTTGATTTGATTTGTTCTTGTTTCTATCTTTTCTCTTTCATTTCTTTCTCACTTTTTAGTCTTTCTTTTTCTTTTTAATAAGTCCATCTATCCATTTCTTTAATTTCTAGAAATATTAAATGAAAATCTCCCTATCTATTATACATATCCAATTTATTGTGCACAACAAACTTAGTTTCTTCAAACAGGCCATTTTAAAAAGTAATAGACTATTTTAAAAGAAGTTCGAGGTTTGCAGAAAACATAAGCAGGGTAGGCAGAGTTCCACATACTACCAAGCTAACCCCTCACAACATAGTTCCCACTAATAATAGCATCTTGCATTTGGTGGGCTATGTAGTTTGGAAATTTGTCCCCATTCAAATCTCATGTTAAAATGTAATCCTCAGTGTTGGAGGGAGGACCTGGTGGGAGGTGTTTTTGTCATGGGGAAAGATCCCTCATGAATGGCTTGGGCCAACTTCTTGGTGATAAGTGGGCTCTTGCTCTGAGTTCCCTAAAAATCTGGTTGTTTGAAAATGTGTGAGAAATCTCCCCTTTAGTCTCTTTCACTTGCTCCTGCTTTCTGCTTTCTACATGTGACATATCTGTTCCTGCTTCACCTTCCACCATGATTGAAAGCTCCTTGGCTGGGCATGGTGGCTCACACCTGTAACCCCAGCACTTCAGGAGGTTGAAGCTGGCAGATGGCTTGAGTCCAGGAGTGCAAGACCAGCCTGTGCAACATGATGAGACCCCCGTCTCAGCTATCTGGGAGGCTGAGTCAGGAGGATCACCTTAGCCCAGGAGGTTGTGGCTGCATTAAGCCATGATTGTGCCACTCCACTCTAGAAAATACAAATTATTTTGGTAAAGAAAAACACAGACTTTGATTTTAATTTTGAAAGCCACACTGTGGCTTTGCTTTAGTGTACTAACTTTTGGTCTCCAAGGTTAATTCTTATTCCTATTAAATTATTTATCTCAATAGGAACGCTTTTACACTGTTGGTGGGACTGTAAACTAGTTCAACCATTGTGGAAGACAGTGTGGCGATTCCTCAAGGATCTAGAACTAGAAATACCTTTTGACCCAGCCATCCCATTACTGGGCATATACCCAAAGGATTATAAATCATGCTGCTATAAAGACACGTGCACATGTATGTTTATTGCGGCACTATTCACAATAGCAAAGACTTGGAACCAACCCAAATGTCCATCAATGACAGACTGGATTAAGAAAATGTGGCACATATACACCATGGAATACTATGCAGCCATAAAAAAGGATGAGTTCATGTCCTTTGGAGGGACATGGATGAAGCTAGAAACCATCATTCTGAGCAAACTATCGCAAGGACAGAAAACCAAACGCAGCATGTTCTCACTCGTAGGTGGGAATTGAACAATGAGAACACTTGGACACAGGGTGGGGAACATCACACACCAGGGCCTGTTGTGGGGTGGGGGGAGTGGGGAGGGATAGCATTAGGGATATACCGAATGTAAATGATGAGTTAATGGGGCAACACACCAACATGGAACATGTATACATATGTAACAAACCCGCACATTGTGCACATGTACCCTAGGACTTAAAGTATAATTTAAAAAAAAGTTATTTCTCTCTTATCTCCCTAACCTCTATATCTTTGGCCCTATGAGCGTCCATAACTCCTGCCTATTTGTCAAATTAATTGGATGATTACTCCCTTTTCCAAGTTATTAATAAACTCTAATATTGACTGCATCCAGAAAAGATTAGCAGTGCCCTTGCTGGGTGCTACCTCTGTGAAATGAAAGAGGCTGTAACTCCTGATCTCTAACCTCCCCTCCTTTCTGATCTTCCTTTTCCTCATTACATGAGGTTTCTCCCTCTCAGCTATTTTTTTTTTCACTTTCAAAAAGAATTTCATGCCCTGAGAGGTTTGTGTGTCTATAGAAGTTTTCTTTAGAAATCAGTTCAAACCACTTACCTGTCATCGTTTTTGTTAATTCTTGTGGTTCACTGTAATGTCTCCAAGTAGCAAGTTCTATATTGATAGTCCCATTTTGCATTGAATCTGAAGAATAAGGAGACCAAGTACACTTCTAAGGACACATCACAAGAGAAAAATAGAATTAGGAATAAACTTAGATTTTTGAATTGATTCTTCAACAGTTATTTATTGTGTCTCTTTTATAAGGGCTCAAGTATAACAGAAAGCATCCCTTTTACCTTTTCCCAAATAAAATGTGTGATGTTTTGGTAAGCATAGAAAGAGACATACGATATTACTAGCACTGCTGTATTATTAAAATAATAGGAAAATTTATTTTGTATGCTTCTGCTTTTATTTCCATGTCTAATCAGTAATTAAATACTGTATGTTTAGAACTCACTAGTTCCACATTTCCCCTTATTTTGCCAAAACTTTGTTGGGAAACTCTGACTAGGTTGAAATAAAAAATAAATCAAAATGTTACTTGTTAGCTGTTGAATAACTACCAATACTTGGTAAATTTAAAAGTAGTTTTTCCCCAAAAGTTTCATACTTGAAGCAAAAATTATGTTTTACTTGCATAATTTAGAGTAAATAAAATATTTTCATAGGCATTCTCTTAATCTAAGCACCTTTTTGAAATTCATATAATCATTCACATTTTGTAAATGAGGAAATTGGGGTCAGATGGTTTAAATAATTTTTAAGGTTAAGGATGTCTTAATCCTTCAACAAAAGAACTAAAATAAAATCCAGTTGTTCTTGCTCCATGTCAGTAACACTGGCATGTTCATAGGAATAATACTTACTAAGGGTTTACTATATGACAGGAACTATTTTAACTGTTTTATGTGTATTGTCTCATTTAATAGTTAAAAGCACTAAATAAAATAACTATTAGTAATATTCTAGGCTTACAAGTGAAAAATTATAGGTACTAATTCCATAGCTAGTTGAGAGTTAAGATGGGTATACAATTCACATGTCTGCACCCCATACAATTCCATATTAATTCCATAGCTAGTTAATTCCATATTAACTTCATAGTTAGTTGAGAGTTAAGATGGGTATACAATTGACACATCTGCTGCATAGCTAGTTAATTCCATAGCTAGTTGAGGGTTAGGATGGGTATACAAGTCACATGTCACCCCATAGCATGATATTCACTTTCTGTCACTTCCTGACACTAATTAAACCAAAAAGGATCAAGAATTTAATGTATTATTTTATTTAATTAAGGCCAACACAGAGCAGCTGCTTTTCACTTTTCATAAACCCTCCTGTATATTCTATACATTGTAAGTCAGAGGAGTGACCTTATTGCCTGATTTACCAAGGTGCGGTCTGCAGAGCAGTAGCAGTAAGTTCACGTAAGAGATTATGGGAAAGGTAGCACCTCAGGCCTCGCCTGCCAGGCCTATTGCATCACAGTTATCAGTTGAATAATACTCCTGGGTGGATTCTATGTGGATGTTAAAATTTAGAAAGTATTGCCTTAGTGTACCAACAATGACCAAAAACAATTTTGAAAATTATAGATATAGTTAACAATTTTTTTAATTTACTTTTTTAAAATTAGGTTTGTGGCTATTTATAAATATAAAATATCTTTGCTCATCGCATATTTGAACTTTGTAGTGTTCCATGGTTTTATATATTTAAAAGAAATTTGAGAAAACTAATTTTACATTAAGATGTGTTGATCCTACTTTTTCTTTTGTCTTTTAGATTTCACTTATAAAGTCCCATTCAGATTTAATATATTGTTGACAAAAATACTTTGTATATATCAGCAAATTGTGCTACCTTTTTGAGAAATATTAAGGGAGATATTAGCTTAGTAAACTTGAAGCGCAAATTGGAAACTTGTTTCCTAGGGAACATCTAAAATCACATGCAAGAAAATCATGAGAGATAATACGTATAAGCCAAATTCTTTTTTTTTCTTTTTTTTTTTTTTTGAGACGGAGTCTTGCTGTGTCGCCCAGGCTGGAGTGCAGTGGTGGGATCTCCGCTCACTGCAAGCTCCGCCTCTCGGGTTCACGCTGTTCTCCTCCCTCAGCTTCCAGAGTAGCTGGGATTACAGGCGCCCGCCACCACGCCTGGCTAATTTTTTTTTGTATTTTTAATAGAGACGGGGTTTCACCGTGTTAGCCAGGATGGTCTCGATCTCCTGACCTCGTGATCCACCCGCCTCGGCCTCCCAAAGTGCTGGGATTACCGGCGTGAACCACCGCCCCCCGCCGAGCCAAACTCTTTATTTGAATATTACTGTACAGTCATACAGTATCTGTATAGTCATAATTTTTTACTCACCTTAACTTTGTGTTCTAAGTTAACATGGTCAGAAGAAATGTTGTCTAAAAATATGTGATTTGCATCTGTTTAGAAAAAATAAAGAAGTCCCACATATACATTTATATCCTTGTAAAGCTTGGACATCTAAAGAAAAAAATGTTATCTAAAATGAGAGAAAAAAGTTGAAAATTTGAGTCCAGTTGAATACAAAATATTTCTCCAATCCACTCTACTACTGAGGCTATGAATGTACGTTACATCTCTAAATATAAGGAGATTTACTTTTATACATTGCATCTTTAATTTTTTTGTTTTGTGTCATTTTTAAGGGTTACAGAATTTAAGAGAGTATATCACCTGTTAAAATAAGACTAGTGTTCTGTCTACATTTTCACCCTCAGGCAACAAGTTGACAAATGGACATGAATTTCACCTCTGAGAGTTTCATAAGCTGGTATTGTCCTGACATTGCAAAGTGTTTACCACAAAGATCCTGTACATCCATCATCCAGGGCCAGCGTTTGCCTGATTCTAATTCCACTGACATTGAAATCTACAGCTCTCTGTGAGTCATTTATCACACTTATTAAAATGTTCCATTGTGAATTGGAATAGCAATTCACTATTATTTCAGAGTGCTGCCCAAGGGGCATTCTATGCAGCAAATCTTAATGCTTTATTGAAATAGTAGTTTGGTTTTAATAAATGATTCTTTGCAAAGGTATCTTGCTTTCATTATGAAAGGTGATGTTCGCTTTCTAAATCTGGCATCCTTGCCTAAGATTATGTAGATATCTCGGTTTAATATTGCATTTTCCTGCCCTAAATAGTCCATCCCTAATATTTGAACAATGATATGTCAATTAGATTAATTAGACTATTGTGTAAGAAGTATCTTTTAAAATTCTCTTTGAACTGGAGTCAAATTACCAACATATACTGAAGAACTTTGAAATAACAGATACATTTCATATGAATAAAAATAAATTTTTTTCATCAGAAAGGAGGCATTTTCACAATAGAGCAGAACATTTTTGAATAGAACTTACTATTTTGTACAGCAGACTTTCTCCCACATCAAGATTTGTTACTTTTTTTTTTTTTTTAGAAACCTTTGACTACATCAGTGCCCACTGCAAAGTTCTCTCTCTCTCTCATATTCACTCTTGCTGTCTATTATTTGCTCATGGTGACATTGTGAATAGCACTATCTATTTGACATCTGACTAGAAAATGAAAAATAAGTAATTTTGTAAAAGTTCTAATTCCCTTTTTCCCACTTGAAGTTTCAGTCACTGTAAATCCAGAACAATAGATACTCCTTTACTTTGGAAAGAAGGAAGATTGACGTAACTTAAAATAACATATAACAGTATAGTTGGTATAAATTCATGGTGTTTCCTTTGATAGTTGAAACAGGACTTACGTATTTTCATACTTATTTTCCCCCATTAGACAATACAATCATCAAACTATAGGCTAAATTATTTAACCATGGCTACACAGCAAATAAGAAAAGATCAAAAATGCAACTTTTAACAGAGAAATCTTAAATCCTGTCCCTGATGCTAAATTGTGCTTCTCAACCTTGACATGTCCCTTTAAATACCTGCTTATTATTTCTTTTTAGTCAGGAAAATTGACTTGGAGACTAACTATATATATAGTTGAATATATATATATATATGACCCAGTAACTTTATAGCAATTTAACATCCTGAACCATAGGAGATTTAAAGTTTGAAAGTGACCTTAACGTTTTTTTGCCCTGCCATCTGATAATTCTGAAATATCTATATGAAAAATTTACAGGGGAGTATGATCCCCATCTATAGCTATAAGCAAGAAAAATGGCATATGATTAGATTTCTTATGCTAGACAGCAAGAAGAATGTTAGAATCTTTGTGTCTGAATGAAAGTGACTCAGACTTCTGCAACTATTAAATCACCACTTTAGTCTCCATTTTTAACATGTTTTAGTAATCAAAGTGGAGAAACACTGGATTTTGTTTTAGAAGATTGCCATCTATATACTGTGATTTCAAGTGTGTCTCATAAATGTGGGAGAAAAAAAGAATTTGTATGCACAGAGTGCTCTTTTCTTTTTCAGAATAAACATTTGAAAATGGATCTAGAAATTGTCGTAAAGATTCCATTGATTTGCCCTTTTTTCTCAGGAGAATATCCAGCAGTGCCAAAGCTAAATTAAAAAATAATAATAATCTGAAGAAAAGGTAGGCATAGGCTGCCCATAATGAAGCCCCTGGGCTGATTAGCAAAATCAATTCTATTGTTTTAACTCCCATTTTCTGAAATCTGACTTTTAAGAAGCAGGAGAAATTCCAAAACCTGGCACAATTCTGACACATATACACTCCATCAGATGGGAAAACTAAATCACAGAGCGTGTGATACTCTGTTTATACGAAGACCTGACCATAAACATTGGCAGTAACTACAAATGATTTATTAGAGAAGATGCTGGGTAGATAACTAACCAGGGTTCAAAAACAATTATCAAATGAGAAAGGATTCTGTCATCTTTTCTGAACAGATGAGGTATATCTAAAAATTGATTTTAAGAAAACAGTTATTTTTCCAATCATCATAATTTTAATAGGATGAATTAATTACTTACTTTACACTCCAAGAGAAGGTGGCTGCAGTGTGTATTTCCAGTTGCACCACTTTAAATCTGTTAAGTTGAAATCTTATTTTCTTTCCAGCTGCACATACGCAAGACTCTCTGAGAACAATTGAATGATGATGACTTTTAGTTATAGCTAATGAAAATACCTGAAAAAATGAGAATTTAAGCAAAACAAAAACAAAAACCTGAAAACAGAAAAAAAGAAAGTTGCTCTAAATTGATGCTGAAGATTGATTCATAATATCTTTCACATAAACTCTTATTATATAAATAATAATAATAATGCCCAGTGATGTCTTGTTTTTAAATAACTAACCACTACAATTACTACCATTAGAAATATTTGATAGCTTTATTAGGAGCACACGAATCTCCTTATATAGTGCTAACATATTTTCCAACTCTGTTTCTAATTTAAAACTCATAAAAGTTTAGCCTTTGTCTTTTCTGATAAATAACATTAGTTGGGGAAAATAATTTAATTGATTGTAAATATCAATATGGGGGAGGATTTTTAAAAGTTATGTTTTTCATATTTATGTTTCAAAATAAACATTTATATGAAGAAACTCACATGCCAGGCATTAATTGCCCTGTTAAGGTAGTATAAATAAATGAGTATATTTCAATTTATGTAAATCTTACATAAACAAAGGCCAAATAATAGTTAATATTAAATTACAGTAAAAGGGTGAGCTTTTGAGAAAGTTCTAGTGCTTTTGTTTGTGCTTCACCATACATTAAATATAATGAAATATTTACTTAATATTTACTTATTATCTTTGAGCCTCATCAATTTATTGTAGAGATTTATTTATGTTAGCACATGGAAAATGACTAGACCCGTGTCTAATATGTGCTTAGTAAACTCCCAAGATATGCATTACAAATAAATTCAAATGACTAATTGTTAAACTGGAAAATTTTTTTAAATCAGATTTTCAGTCTTGATAAAAGCCTACAGCATACAGATACAGCAATGCTCAGGACAAATGCATAGCTTAGATTTTTATACCAATGAAAAATAGAATAATTGTTTTAACCTTCTTCTTGGAGAAGTTAAAAGATAATACATTGTATTGCCATTCCCTTGCCTATCTGGATGGTGTTTAATTGGTAAACTATGGAGATTAAAAATTCAAAATCACATGCCCCTTTGTTTATTAATTTTATTTCTAGGAATGTAAATACACTTACATAATAATGACATATGTTAAAATATATTAATTGTGCCATTTATGGCAATTATTTTGTTATTATTTTCTAGGTTTAGTGAGTTATGATCAGAAATGTGTATCTGTCTACTTTTTAAATTTTGTTGGATTTCTTTATATAATAAAGTATTTTTAATATTTATTACTTATGTATTATATATTTTATTATTTTTATACTTTAAAATATATTTTAAATATTAAAAAAATTCTCTGGAAACTGGAAATGAATTCTGGTCTTCTTTTAAATGTATGATACTTGATATACCTTATATAGATTTACCTCAATAATCAGTTAACATAAATTAATATAAACAAGTCCTAAACATTTTGCTGTTTCTGTGGACATTTCATTGCCTAAGAAAATTTAAAATTAGAGTTGAATTTTATAACTTTCATGAAATTTTCTGTTAGAAATAAGGCATTAACACCCAATGCATTCTTTTTTGTGTTTAAATTATGTATGTTAAGAAATACCCTGTCCTGGTAGAAACTTAATTAGTTACTATGAAAAATTTAGATGAATTTTTAAAAAGAAATTTTAAATGTATTAAGTTAAAAATGTGATGAGAGAAACTTACTTCTATAGTGACTGACACTCAAAACCTATTGCATTTGTCACACTATAAATTAATATGTTGTGTTCTCACTCATAAAAATTAAGTGAAAAATACATCTATTTGCTCTACTCTATTGGAAGGCCAGGTATACAGATATAATTGTACAGTGTTTAAGATTTTGGGGATTTGAGAGAAAACTTGGGTTGGTGCCCAGATTTCACAGTTTACTAAAAATAATGGGGAATTTACCTAATCTCTCTAAACCTCAGTTACCTCATTGGTTTGCTTAAGAATTAGCAAAAATAACATGTTAACAATCCTAGTTGTGCCCAACACGTGCCAATTTTTTCAGAGTTAATAGTATGTAGATGTATCAACTTGATGTAGCCTATTTTTACGTTATTCAGATGTTTTAAATACTTTTTGTTCACTTGTATAAAGCTGTGAGAGCTAAATTGAATGTTCCTTCTATAAGTATTTTTTTCTGTCTATTTTTTCTCATATTATAAGCTACACATATATACATAAAGTTTTGCTCATATATATTATATAATGGTAAGTTTTATGCTTCATAGATATTCTAGGATTTTTCATTTTGGGATATATACTTAGTCATTAAAAAATAAACATTTTATTTTAAATAAAAAATTTTCCCCTGATTATAATTTAGCATCATTTAAAGTGAATCTTCATTTAAGTGAATCTTAAATTTCAGGTTTTTATTTGCCTAGTATGACTTTGCTCATTTTAAAACTTTCAGTCTTCCTTATCTGTTTTTGTGTTATCTTTTAATGTAACATACAAACAGGTTTTCTTTATAATCCCTTTTATTTCCTTTCTAGAGATAGGTTTACCCTAGGGATAGGTTTATCCCAGTTATCTTCATTATTGTCACAGATATACTTGACACTCTTATTTGATATTTATTCTGTGCATTATCTTTGTTGTAATAATTATTTTGTTCATTTTTCTTTAAAAATTTTATTATATGGCCTGTGTTTTCTATTTTTTTCTCTAAATATATTTTTGGGAACTCTGTAAGGCTTTCAGAATTTGTATTTTTCACTGTCTTTTGTGTCTGACTTTCAGTTTGGCTGAATATAAACATTTTTGCTACAGTTCTTTTCTTTCATTCTTACTTCTTTCCTTCCTTTTGTTCTTTATTTTCCCTTTGTTTCTTTTTCTTCCTTTTATTAGACCTTTGTAAAAATTTCTTTGTTATCTTCCTGAAATGATATTTACTTTGGATTAGTTTAATAAAATATTATTTGATTATTTTCTCTTTATGGATGATTTGAAATTTTGCTTAGTTGCTAAAACATTTCTTAACTTTCATAATGATTACCTTTATTTGGAAATATCTCACAGTTGACGGTTCTGAATCAATATTTTTGGAGTTTGTCTTACTTTTTATTTTATAAGTAGTTCTTGAATTATACAGTATACTAAAATTTTTGAATAAACCAATTATGTATATACCTAATCTTATTTACCTCTCTTCTACATGAAGCACTTATCTGTTTCATATAATTATGGCTTTATTTTTAATTTTTCTATCACTTATCTTTGATTACTTATTCACACCTTTTTTACTTGTTTTGTCAACTTTAGATTAAATCTTCCAACCACATGACTCTTGTGAAATGATGATTTTGCATACCAGCTCTTCTCTTGACTCCATCCCAGTGGCTATCTTGTCACTTTCACTCTTACATTGTTGACATGTGTTAGCTGGAACCAGCTCTAAATATTGTGGCTGTAATTTAGCTCTCCATGCTTTTCCAAGGGAAGGACCATAGCAATTGAAAATCAATCTCTATTATTTGCATGATCATGATTATATCATTACATTTCACTGCATAATCAGATAATATACTACTATATTTCTTCATATATATATATATATTATTTTCATTGATAGTGCTTCTGTAATTTGAAATTGCCATTTTCTTCCTGCACAAATTTGTTTCACTATTGCTTCAAGTCTTATCATGCAATTCTTAAGAGTCTTATCTTTTGAGATACCTCTTTCCCACTTTTGTCCCTCTGGCACCTTTCCTGAAAACACACTACACTTCCTCAGAAAAATATAAAACTATCTTCATTTTATTGCTTGATTGAGTCAACTGTTATGGTTATTTTATAGCCTCATTTTGCTATTCTGTATCTCCAAAAATTTCTCAAGGTAATTTTGGAAAATACCAAATGGTATTCTCCACATGTATGGAAAATAGTTTTGAGTCCTTGCTTATCTGAAAATGAATTGATTCTGTCTTCACCCTCAATTTCTGTCCCAATTATCTATTTCTAAATAAACTACCTCCAACCTTTTGTGATGAAACAACCATTTAATATGTCACCATTCTATAGGTCTTGAATTTTTGTAGGACTCCACAATGACTTATCTTTAATTTAGAATGCTTGCTGCTTCAGATGGGGCACAAAATCTGTACTTGAATTCTTAGATCATTTCAACTTTATTTATTTTTTCTGCATTGAGCAACTTCCGATTTACCCTTCATTTTTTTTATGGCACTATATTGTCTTTCTTCTTTTTCTGAGTTGTGGATATTTCAGCTTTTTAATAAATTTTGTGTTTCTGCATTGTATTCTTATTGTATAATGGAAATTTGTTCCTTTTTAAAAAAATTATGGTGGTATTTGGTAAAAAAAAAATTATTTTCTTGGTGACTTTTTTATTGATGTTCTTTATCTGCCAAAGTAGTTATTTTTTCCCATCTTTCTGCCTGTTTATTTCTTTTTTTTCTTTGTTATGTATGTATAGATCCATTTTTTCCTTGTTATGTATGTATAGATCCATTTCAGTTTGTTTAATTTTTGACATTCTTTTTAATGAGATAAGGTCTGACTGGACCAGCTAGTAGTAAAAGTTTCATATTGGGGAAAGGCGAGTACCCTGTTATACAGGATCTGGAATTCTTCTTATGATATAAGGTTGTTTGTGTGATTTATGTACCATAGCCTTCACTTCTTGTGGTCAAACTAATAGCCACAGCACCACAGCCCACAGATATTTTTCACTTAGCAGGTGACTATTATGGACACTCAGCAGAGTAAATCTAAAGAATGAGAATAAGGAAGTTTCCCATCTTTGTTACAGTGGCATTTAACGTCAGCTTAAAATCAGATAATTGCTCTCTAAAGGATTTAGGGATCTTGATGACATCTGTGATGCTCAGAGTAAATCTCTTTTTGTTTTGACATGAATGGAGGCCTACGACATTCCTATTTCCTTTATTTTTCATTCTAGCCAGTCTTGTCAGTGATGAGCATGTCCAGAGTCAGTGGTCACCCTTATCTGTAGATAAGCAGATTTACCCAGGGTGAGAAGGTAGACACACCAGCTAGGACCACCAGACCTTATTATACACATGTTTCTTTTAGCAGTATTAAACATAACACTAAAAACAGAAAACCCCAAGCAACAGATTAATAGATTTGACTGTGAATACCTAAAAGATTAAAAGAAAATGATAAATCATAAAATTTGAAATACAAGTATATTTGTATAGAAATTATTAATTACACCAGAGAAAAATGATAATGTATGTATCATACATGAAAACAATTTAGTGGCTGGGCATGGTGGCTCATGCCTATAATCCAAGCACTTTGGGAGGCTGAGGCTGGTGGATCACTTGAGGTCCAGAGTTCCAGGGCAGCCTGGCCAACATGGCAAAACCCCATCTCTACTAAAAATAAAAAAATTTGCCTGGCGTGGTAGCACATGCCTGTAACATCAGTTACTTGGGAGGCTGAGGCTGGAGAATCGCTTGAACCCAGGAGCAGGAGGTCACAGTGAGCCAAGATCACAACACTGCACTCCAGCCTGGGTGACAGAGCAAGACTCTGTCTCAAAAAAAAAAAAAAAAAGAAAAAGAAAAAAAAAAGAAAAAGAAGAAATATAAATGTCCAATTCAGATAAAAGTCTTTGTGCTCAATTGCACCAGCATTGAACCAAATATACATCAAAATGTCAATAATATGTAATTTTAAAAATTTGATCAAATATTCAAGGGTACCATATATAAATCGCTGATTAAAATACAAGTCAATTCAGCCATGTACATGAATGTCTACAAATATTTATAATATTTTACTGAATAATTCAACCTAGGATTCTATTCAGAAAATGTTTGGCCTCGTTCAGATAGGGTAATCAGTTATAGCCCATCTGAAATTTAAATGAAGAACTTTTCTATTGAAAAAGCTAGTAACTTTCAAAAAGTGGGGAATTCCAAGGAAATATTCTATGTCCTTTTTAATGCATTCTCAGTATCAGATTTAATAATTCCGCATGCATTATGCCTTCCGGAGACAATTGCTCTCTTGTGCTTCAAGATAAATAAGAGCTCTCCTGTCACCCTACCCTGTGGTGCACATTTATTTAATTTTTTTCTCTATTTAAAAATCTCCAGTGGCTGGCAAGATGGCCGAATAGGAACAGCTCCAGTCTGCAGCTCCCAGTGAGATCAATGCAGAAGGCAGCTGATTTCTGCATTCCCAACTGAGGTACCTGGCTCATCTCATTGGAACTGATTAGACAATGGGTGCAGCCCACGGAGGGCAAGCCAAAGCATGGTAGGGCATTGCCTCACCCTGGAAGTGCAAAGGTTCAGGGAACTCCCTCCATTAACCAAGGAAAGCTGTGAGGGACTGTGCCATGAGGAAGGGTGCATTTCAGCCCAGATACTATGCTTTTCCCATGGTCTTCGCAACCGACAGTCCAGGAGATTCCCTTGGGTGCCTACACCACCAGGGCCCTGGGTTTCAAGCACAAATCTTGGCAGCCTTTTGGGCAGACACTGAGCTAGCTGCAAGAGTTTTTTTGTTTGTTTGTTTCATACCCCAGTGGTGCCTGGAACGTCAGTGAGACAGAACCGTTGACTCCCCTGGAAAGGGGGCTGAAGCCAGGGAGCCAAGTGGCCTAACTCAGCAGTTCCCACCCTTATGGAGCCCAGCAAGCTAAGATCCAATGGCTTGAAATTGTTGCTGCCAGCACAGCAGTCTGAAGTCAACCTGGGATGCTGGAGCTTGGTGTGAGGAGGGGCGTTTGCCATTACTGAGACTTGAATAGGCAGTTTTCCCCACACAGTTTAAACAAAGCTGCCTGGAAGTTCAAACTGGGCAGAGCCCGTCTCAGCTTGGCAAAGATGCTGCAGCTATACTGCCTCTCTAGATTCCTCCTCTCTGGGCAGGGCATCTCTGAAAGAAAGGCAGCAACCTCAGTAAGGGACTTATAGGTAAAACTCCCATCTCCCTGGGACAGAGCAACTGCGGGAAGGGGCAGCTATAGGCGCAGCTTCAGCTTCAGCAGTCTTAGCCATTCCTGCCTGCCAGCTCTGAAGAGAGGAATGGATCTCCCAGCACAGCGCTTGAGCTCTGCTAAGGGACAGGCTGCCTCGTCAAGTGGGTCCCTGACCCCCATGCCTCCTGACTGGGAGACACGTCACAGCAGGGGTCAATAGACACCTCATAAAGGAGAGCTCTGGCTGGCATCTTGTGGGTGCCCCTCTGGGACAAAGCTTCTAGAGAAAGGAACAGGCAGCAATATTTGCTCTTCTGCAGCCTCCACCAGTTATACCCAGGCAAACAGGATCTGGAGTGGACCTCCAGGAAACTCCAGCAGACCTGCAGCAGAGAGGCCTGACTCGTGGAAGGAAAACTAACAAACAGAAAGGAATAGCATCAACATCAACAAGAAGGATGTCCACACAGAAACCCCAACCAAAGATCACCAACATCAAAGGCCCAATGTAGATACACCCACAAAGATGAGGAAAAACCAGTGCAAAAAGGCTGAAAATTCCAAAAACCAGAATACTCCTTCTCTCCTCCAAAGGATCACAACTTCTTGCCAGCAAGGGAACAAAACTGGACAGAGAATGATTTTGATGAATTGGCAGAAGTAGGCTTCAGAATGTGGATAATAACAAACTCCTCCGAGCTAAAGGAGTATGTTCTAACTCAATGCAAGGAAGCTAAGAACCTTGAAAAAAGGTTAGAGGGATTGCTAACTAGAATAACCAGTTTAGCAACAAACATAAATGACCTGATGGAGCTGAAAAACACAGCACAAGAACTTCGTGAAGCATACACAATTATCAATAGCCGAGTCGATCAAGTGGAAGAAAGGATATCAGAGAATGAGGATCAACTTAATTAAATAAAGCGTGAAGACAAGATTAGAGAAAAAAAGAATGAAAAGGAACAAACAAAGCCTCCAAGAAATATGGGACTATGTGAAAAGACCAAATCTATGTTTGATTGTTGTATCTGAAAGTGATGGGGGAGAATGGAACCAAGTTGGAGAACACTGTTTATCCAGGAGAACTTCCCCAACCTAGCAAGACAGGCCAACATTCAAATTCAGGAAATACAGAGAACACCACAAAGATACTACTTGAAAAGAGCAACCCCAAGATTCATAATCATCAGACTCACCAAGGTTGAAATGAAGGAAAAAATGTTAAGGGCAGCCAGAGAGAAAGGTCAGGTTACCCACAAAGTGAAGTCCATCAGACTAACAGCTGATCTCTTGACAGAAACCCTACAAGCCAGAGTAGAGTGGGGGCCAATATTCCACATTCTTAAAGAAAAGAATTTTCAACCCAGGATTTCATATTGCACCAAACTAAGCTTCATAAGCGAAGGAGAAATAAAATCCCTTACAGACAAGCAAATGCTAAGAGATTTTGTCACCACCAGGTCTCCCTTACAAGAGCTCCTGAAGAAAGCACTAAATATGGAAAGGAAAAACTGGTACCAGTCAGTGCAAAAACACACCAAATTGTAAAGATCATCGACACTATGAAGAAACTGCATCAACTAATGGGCAAAATAACCAGCTAGCATCATAATGACAGGATCAAATTCACACGTAACAATATTAACCTTAAATGTAAATGGGCTAAATGCCCCAACTTAAAAACACAGACTGGCAAATTGGATAAAGAGTCAAGACCCATTGGTGTGCTTTAATCAGGAGACCCATCTCAAGTGCAAAGACACACATAGAATCAAAATAAAGGAATGGAGGAATATTTACCAAGCAAATGGAAGGCAAAAAAAAAAAAAAAAAAAAAAAAAGCAGGGGTTGCAGTTCTAGTCTCTGATAAAACAGACTTTAAACAAACAAAAATCAAAAACAAAAAAGACAGGCATTACATAATGGCAAAGGGGTCAATGCAACAAGTAGAGCTAACTATCCTAAATATATATGTACCCAATACAGGAGCACCCAGATTCATAAAGCAAGTTCTTAGAGACCTACAAACAGACATAGACTCCCACACAATAATAGTGGGAGAGTTGAACATCCCACTATCAATATTTGACAGATCAATGAGGCAGAAAATTAACAAGGATATTCAGTACTTGAACTCAGCTCTGGACCAAGCGGACCTAATAGACATCTACAGAACTCTCCACACCAAATCAACAGAATATACAGTCTTCTCAGCACCACATCATGCTTATTCTAAAATTGACAACATAATTGGAAGTAAAACACTCCTCAGCAAATGCAAAAGAACAGAAATCATAACAATCTCTCAGACCACAGTGCAATCAAATTAGAACTCAGGGTTAACAAATTCAATCAAAACCACACAACTACATAGAAACTGTACAACCTGCTCCTGAATGACTACTGGGTAAATAACAAAATTAAGGCAGAAATAAGTAAGTTATTTGAAACCAATGAGAACAAAGACACAATGTACCAGAATCTCTGGGACACAGTTAAGAAGTGTTTAGTGGGGAATTTATAGCACTAAATGCCCACAAGAGACAGTGGAAAAGATTTAAAATCAACACCCTAACATCACAATTAAAAGAAATAGAGAAGCAAGAGCAAACAAATTCAAAAGCTAGCAGAAGACAAGAAATAACTAAGATCAGAGCAGAACTGAAGGAGATAGAGACATGAAAAACCCCTCAAAAAATCAATGAATCCAGGAGTTGTTTTTTTTTGAAAAGATTAACAAAATATATAGAACATTAGCCAGACGAATGAAAAAGAAAGACAGAAAAATCAAATAGACACAATAAAAAGCGATAAGGGGAGATCACCGCTGATCTTACAGAAATACAAACTACCATCAGAGAATACTATAAACACCTCTACACAAATAAACTACAAAATCTAGAAGAAATGGAAAAATTCCTGGATACATACACCCTCCCAAGACTAAACCAGGAAGAAGCCAAATCCCTGAATAGACCAATAACAAGCTCTGAAATTGAGGCAGTAATTAATAGCGTACCAACCAAAAAAAAAGCCCAGGACCAGACAGATTCACAGCCAAATCCTACCAGAGGTACAAAGAGGAACTGGTACCATTCCTTCTGAAACTGTTCCAAACAATAGAAAAAGAGGGACTCCTCCCTAAATCATTTTATGAGTCCAGCATCATCCTGGTACTAAAGCCTGGCAGAGACACCATAAAAAAAGAAAATTTCAGCCCAATATCCCTGATGAACACTGATGCTAAAATCCTCGACAAAATATTGGCAAACCGAATCCAGCAGCACATCAAAAAGCTTATCCACCACGATCAAGTCGGCTTCATCCCTGGGATGCAAGGCTGGTTCAACCTATGCAAATCAATCAACGTAATCCATCACATAATCAGAAGCAATGACAAAAAACCACATGATTATCTCAATAGATGCAGAAAATACCTTTGATAAAATTCAACACCCCTTCATGCTAAAAACTCTCAATAAGCTAGGTACTGATGGAACGTACCTCAAAATAATAAGACTTATTAATGACAAATCCACAGCCAATGTCATACTGAATGGGCAAAAGCTGGACAATTCCCTTTGAAAACCAGCACAAGACAAGGATGCCCTCTCTCACCACTCCTGTTTGAAATAGTATTGGAAGTTCTGGCCAGGGCAATCAGGCAAGAGAAAGAAAGAAAGGGTATTCAAATAGGATGAGAGGAAGTCAAATTGTCTTTATTTGCAGATGAAATGATTTTACATTTAGAAAACCCCATCATCTCAGCCCAAAATCTCCTGAATCTGATAAGCAACTTCAGCAAAGTCTCAGGATACAAAATTAATGAGCAAAAATCACAAGCATTTCTATACACCAAAAATAGACAAACAGAGAGCCAAATCATAGGTGAACTCCCATTCACAATTGCTACAAAGAGAATAAAATACCTAGGAATCCAACTTACAAGGGAGGCGAAGGACCTCTTCTAGGAGAACTACAAACCACTGCTTAAGGAAATAAGAGAGAACACAAACAAATGGAAAAACATTCCATGTTCATGGATAGGAAGAATCAGCATCGTGAAAATGACCATACTGCCTAAAGTAATTTATAGATTCAATGCTATCCCTATCAAGCTATCACTGACTTTCTTCACAAGAGTAGAAAAAAAGCTACTTTAAATTTCATGTGAAACCGAAAAAGAGGCTGTAGAGTCAAGACAATCCTAAGCAAAAAGAACAAAGCTGGAGGCATCATGCTACCTGATTTCAAACTATACTACATGCTACAGTAACCAAAACAGCATGGTATTCATACCAAAACAGATATATAGACCAATGGAACAGAACAGAGGCCTCAGAAATAACACTACACATCTACAACCATCTGATCTTTGACAAAACTGACAAAAACAAGCAATGGAGAAAGGACTCCCTATTTAATAAATTGTGTTGGGAAAACTGGCTAGCCATATGCAGAAAACTGAAACTGGACCCATTCCTTACACCTTATATAAAAATTAACTCAAGACGGATTAAAGACTTAAACGTAAGGCCTAAAACCATAAAAACCCTAAAAGAAAACTAGGCAAAGCTATTCAGGACATAGACATGGACAAAGACTTTATGATTAAAACACCAGAAGCAATGGCAACAAAAGCCAAAATTGACAAATGGCATTAATTTAACCAAAGGACTTCTACACAGCAAAGAAACTGCCATCAGAGTGAAGAGGCAACCTACAGAATGGGAGAAAATTTCTGCAATCTGTCCATCTGACAAAAGGCTAATATCCAGAATCTACAAAGAACTTCAGCACATTTACAACCCCATCAAAATGTGGGCAAAGGATATGAACAGACACTTCTCAAAATAAGACATTTATGCAGACAACAAACATATGAAAAAAAAGCTCATCATCACTGGTCATTAGAGACATGCAAATCAAAACCACAATGAGATACCATCTCACGCCAGTTAGAATGGCAATCATTAAAAAGTCAGGAAACAATAAATGCTGGAGAGGATATGGAGAAATAGGAACACTTTTACACTGTTGGTGGGAGTGTAAACTAGTTCAACCATTGTGAAAAACAGTGTAGTGATTCCTCAAGGATCTAGAACTAGAAATACCACTTGACCCAGCAATCCCATTACTGGGTATATACCCAAAGGATTATAAATCATCCTACTATAAAGACACATGCATATGTATGTTTATTGCAGCACTATTCACAATAGCCCAGACTTGGAACCAACCCGAATGCCCAACAATAATAGACTGGATTAAGAAAATGTGGCACATATACAGCAGGGAATACTATGCAGCCATAAAAAAGGATGAGTTCATGTCTTTGCAGGGACATGGATGAAGCTGAAAACCATCATTCTGAGCAAACTAACACAGGAACATAAAAGCAAAGACTGCATTTTCTCACTCATAATTGGGAGTTGAACAAAGAGAACACATGGACACAGGGAGGGGAACATCACACACTGGGGCCTGTCAGGGGAGGGGGGATGCTAGGGGAGGGATAGCATTAGGAGAAATACCTAATGTAGATGACGGGTTGATAGGTGTAGTAAACCATCATGACATGTGCATACCTATGTAACAAACCTGCACGTTCTGCACATGTATCCCAGATCTTAAAGTATAATAAAACAATTAAATTAAATTAAATTAAAAAATTCCTTTTCTATTCTTATTCCTGCCTTCCTCATTCAAAATCCTATCAGTCTGTTAAGACAAGAATATTTCTTCTATCATTTTCATCTTAGCGAATGGCTACTGTATGCATTTCATTTCTCAGGGCAAAAATCCTGAGAAATGAAAAGCATCAGTATTTTTGGCTCTTTCTTCTCTCCAAAAGTAGGTCCACTCTAAGAGTAAATCCTGTCATTAATGGATTCTGAATCTGACCACAGCTCACCATCATCACTTCTGACTTGTTGGTCCAAGATATGACCATCTTTTCCCTACATTATTCAAATAGCCTCTTACTGAGACTTGTTCTACTAACTTTAGTTTGGTTCCTTGCTGGCAGCAAGAGTGATTTTGTCAAAACACAAATCAGAGCATGTCATTCTTTTGACACCCTCATTATATTCTTATCTTACTCAACAAAAAAGCCAATGTTTGGCTCAAGGCCTACCAGGCCCAGTAGTAGCTGAGCTTATTTCTTTCTTCAACTTTCCTTCCTGCCCCTCTTTTTCTTTTCTCACTCATCTCCAGCCACAGTGTCTTTCTTGCTTATTTTCACTCAAGATGGAGCACTCCAAACTTAGGGCTTTTGCATGTGCTATGTTGGTACATTTTTTTCTTGTGCTAGTTAACACCACCTAATTAGACTGGCTTTATTGTCAAGAGATTGAAACTTGTTTATCAAACTATATTTATTCCCCACAGAAGCCTAGAACAACATATATAATTTCTAACTTTGCCATATAATTGTTAAATTACTAGGTCGGTGTGAAGGTAATTGTGGTTTTTGCCATTGAGAGTAATTACTCTCAATGGCAAAAACCACAATTAGCTTTGCACCAAGCTAATAAGTTTACACAAACGTGAGTTCAAAGGTTTACATATGGAATGGAACCGAAATCCACACACAGAGTTAATAGTAGGGAAAGTAATGTGTCCTGATCCTTTGATTACAAGTCAACTAGCTAACCTTTTCTACACCTCGCAGAAATTCAAATTGAAGCATCTACTCATATTTTATAGAGCAGTTCTTGTTAAGTGACTATTCTTTTCTTCGTAGGGCAAAGTTCTCTTTAAAAGGAGTCTGACAGCATTGAGTTTTCTTGTAAGCAAGGAGAAATGCCAACCTCAATTAAATGAAAACCTACTGTACTTCCACCTGAGTTGCCATCCTTGGGATCTTGTTTTTCTTTATAATGATCCTACATCTGTGTGTGTGTGTGGTGTGTGTGTACATGCTCATGTGGGCATTAATTCCAATGTAGTTAAGAGAAAGATATCTTTACATAATCAAATGTGGTTTTTTTCTGAGAAAAAGATATAAGCTGAACTACATATATAAAACTTTTTAAACTTTCTCTCTCGTTTAGTTCACTATGTTTATTCTTTTACCTTAAATATTTTATTTCTTTTTTTCTTTCTTCAGTTTCTTAGAGTCTTGGTGGTTAAATCATCAATATGGCTAAATAATATAGAAAGTCACTTCAGATTTATTTTAGACTTAAGGAAGTTTACAAATAAATGTTAGAAATGAATAAAATACAGAAAATGCATTTTTGTAGTGTATTATATTAACTGACCACGCTGTGCTTCTTTTCAACTAAAACATTAAATAAAAATAAATACTAGCTAACACTTTTAGATGAAAAAGAAAAAAATTAAAGTTTTAATCTACAAAAAACACTTTTTCTTCTAAATGTTTTATCACATTTAAACTACTCACCATCAACATTTTCAAAGTAATGATAGACCATCTTAAAATATATTAAATAATGTTATTTTGATACAGAATAAAACATAGGAAGATGAATGTTGTTATTTTATGTTTGTCTTGCCAAGAAATAAAGAAAACCCAGCTTAGTTGCTTTTGCATTAATGTAACCAGTGCTTTACTCCATCATTTGCTTAATCTACTTGATTTGAATAAAAGACAATACTTCTGGTTTTTACAATGTTGAAAATTCACTATATAGATATTGGTGAAAATCAGGCTTTGTATTTTTAAAAAGATAGTAAAAATGCATAATTTGAAGTTTCCCAAATTCAAGGATAGGTTAATCTAATTGTTCTATATCAAAAGACCTAGCAAAGTTAAAAAAAAAGTTTCAGAGAGACAAAGAGAAATAAGTTACAAAGAACTTTCAGAGAGAAAAAGGAATAACATAAAACATGTCTTAAATGCAAAGAAAGTCCAAGTGTGGTGGCTCTGTCTGCTGAGCATTTTGGGAGGCCAAGGCAGGAGGATAGCTTGAGGCCAGGAGTTCAAGATCAGCCAGGGCAACATAGTGAAAACCCTTCTTTCCAAAAAAAAAAACCCACAAAACTTAGCTGGGCGTGGTGTCACATACCTGTAATCCCAGCTACTCCGGAGGCTGAGGTGGGAAAATCACCTGAGGTCAGGAAGTCGAGGCGGCAGTGTGCAGTGATACCACCACTGCCCTCCAGCCTGGGTGTGGGAGTGGGACTGTGTATCAGAAAAAAAAAAGGAGGGAAAGAACAATGCAAAGAAAGAGATATGTACAGGGCATCATGCATCATGCATAATGAAAGACAATGATGATAGATATAAGGAACAGAAGCCATAAGAAAACCCACTTGTGAATGCATCAACTTACCTTAGCTCTTTATCTAAACTCTTGGTTAAAAAAGTAATTGATTTGGACAAGGCTTTCCCAGTGTTTTAACACAGAGAATGGCCTTAATACAATTAGCCTTGTCAGAAATAATATTCAGAATTCAAAAAAAATTCATTAACCAACTGCTTGCCCGTGTAAAGCTCTTTTAAGAAATTTATGGCAACACATTTCAAAGAGTAATACATTTGGACCTGAGGAAGGTGACGATAATGATGATAATTATGATGATGATGGTGGTGATAGCAAAACATAATTATGGGAGTGATATTCCCTCTCATTTGCTGTATTCTACTGGTTAAAAGGAGCATACAGGTGGCACCTCCACTCAAAGAGAAGGGATTATACCCTAGGATGTGGTCGCCACAAGCTAAAGGTGTTTTTAGAGCATTTGGAAGATGTCTAGAGCATGGCATCAAATAAATATCGTGGCATTTCTTGGATTTTTTTGTAACTTAATACATTATCTGACCTAAATCTCTTTTACTTTTGTTTTCAGAGTTACACTTCCATATTTAGCACTGGGACTCAAGTTGTCTAGACCAAAAAGTTATTGAAATTGCACTCACCTTCCTTGGAAAAAAATTAAATTTGAATGAATAAAGAGTTGTACTAAAATTATGAAAAACTAATGAATTTTAAAAGTTGGGGTTGTTACACATTTAGCAATATAATCTCATACTTATAAAATATATTTCAAGGAAATATTGAGGACAATGCATAGAGACTGCATGATAAAGATGTTAATTATATCATTCCTTTTCTGGGAAAAAATTCAAATGTCAAAATATTACCTAAAGGTGTAACCAGTTGATTGAATGAAATGGGCTAGATAGGGTACAATCAAGAAACAGAAGTTGCACAGTAATTAATGTATTCAAACATGATATATCAGATTTATCCTTGCTGCTGCTTAATGATATCTTGAGTATATAGTATAATTTTATTTACACTTTGAAATTTTTTTCATATATTACGAAAGATAACTTTGCTTAACTCACAACTTTAAACTTAAACTCTATTTGGGGTTTGTTTGTTTTAGAGAGTGTCTCGCTCTGTGGCTCAGGTTGGAGCACAGTGGTATTATCATGGATCACTGCAGCCTCGACCTCCCAGGCTCAAGGAATCCTTCCACTTCCACCTTCTCAGTAGCTGGGATGACAGGCCCCGCAGAATTTTAAGTTTCTTCCCTTCCCCAGAGTTCAAGTCTAATCATGGATCCATGAACAACAATGTAGAAGTGGAAGGGGGCATTACCTGCCCTTTTCCTAGGAAATTCTGGTTTTCATTCCTTCTGCTTTTAGCCCTTTTAGAGTTGAAAAGAGAGCTAGGGTTAAGAGAACAAGGATAAGTGAAAAAGGGGAAAATATGTCTTTTATTTGTTTCGATTTTTAACTAGTGGAGATTATTTGCGTGTCTCTTCTGCCTTTCAAATGCAATCTATCCCAATGCAGGTATCCAAATATTGGCTACTTATTGGGCTTTAATAGTAGATTATTCAGAGAACCCTCAGAAAATCACTGTACAATTCCTCGCTTTGAACAGTAGCTTCTTACATATTCTTTCCAGCCCCTCAGTGATAAAATACTCCAATGTTGTATATAATTGGACTCTTCAATTATCAGCCAAGTTTGTGGCTTGATAGATTTAGCATGGAGTGAGAAACTTTGACTATTCTTCCTCTCACTCCACTGGAGGGGAAAGAAAATAGGGATAGAGGAAAAGAACTCAAACACTATCTATTTTTGACCTTAGCATGCAGAACACCTGGGCTGTGGCTTGCATATCACACAAAATTTGCAAAAAATAATAAGACAATACAATACAATGCATATATGCAAGAATGCGTATGGCCTATTGATTCAAGATTTTGGCTCAGTGTTGACAAGCAAGATGTTTAACCCCAAGGCATCTAATCTCCTACATCTTCACCTCTCTTGCTTTATGTTTTTCAAAGAAAAAGTATATCCTAATGTCTTGGAAGTTTGTGAATTCTTTATTTGCAGTGTCAGGGACATGGAGTGAATAATTTGAATTTCAGATACTATATGCCTGGTGGAAATGTTTCAGTAAGAAAAAAAACTAATTAAATAATTTGTCACATGCTTAATTTCAGATAGCATGAATGCAATAGATTCTTGCTTAATGGAATGCCCCCCTACTCTAATAGTGCCATATTTCAATATTCTTTCATAGTGTTTCAATTTGTGATTTCAGAATTAGTGAGATCCTTTCAACAGTTATATAGAATGATTAATAAACATTGTTAACATTAAAAAATGTATAATGCTGTTAAATTTATGCATACTATACATGTGTGTGTATTTCTAAACATAATATGTATTATTAATGAGATACCAGTTCCTTAAATTGGTAGCATATTGCAAGCTTGCAATTTTTTTTAAATAATTGAAATATCTACATTTTTAAAAAAACTTAAAATTAAATGCTATTTAAATAATGTTAAGTAACAATTTTCAAATATTTATATTCCTTATTGGTAATCTGTATTTTGCCTTTTAATATTAGTAGGGGATTATAAATAATTTAAAAGAAAAATAACTTTCAAACATATTCATATTTCTTACATTTAACTTAATTTACATTTTTGTGCAAATATTACCATTTTACACTTTCAATACAATTATATCTTATTTAAGTTATTTGATATTATTACTATTCTTTCTACACAAATTATGTAAAAATATTGATTATGATAATGTAATTATTGTTTTTTCTGAAATAAAGGCAAGAAAAAGAGTTAATGTGGAATAAATACAAAAAATATGAATTATGTATAAATTCTATTACTCATTTAAACATCACTTGCCATCTATAAAGTATTTAGACATCAAAAGCAATAATTAAATATTTAAAAGTAAAGTCTATAGCCTCCCACATGTTTTTCAATTTTATAATTATAAAAGTAAATTTATCAAGGTAGGAAACTAGAACAGATATTATTTAGCAATTTGTTTTTATAAGTTGATAATATTTATGTGAATATTACTTGAATCTTTTTTCTTTCCCTGGCCCTGGCCTGAAGATATGAGGGGCATGAATTTAAACAATATCTCTTTGTTTACCTGGAAATGTTTATAATTTCTCCTTGTTGATTTTTTTCTGAATCTTTGGAAAACAATGACTGACTGTCAGTGCCCAGTATAAGTTAAGCATCCAAGCTTCCCCAGTGCCCAATTCCTTCTTGGGTTCTTGTTTACTGCCCCAAATAGCACTCCTGATTCAGTTACAAGTGCCATCTTTGTGCATCTATTTACCTGTTGCTTCTAGAGTCTCTTGAGCAAATAGACAATGCTCCTGAATCAGGAACTGGTAAGATAGTTGAAGCTGAAAAAGGTTTTGCACTATTAGCCTTTGATTCACAGGATATTCACACTTTCTTAATTTATGGAATGAAGACAGTGCAATCTGGTACACTCTGGTAGTTAAACTGGCAGTTACATGGAATTTGATATTTCTGTCTAATTCTTAGATAAGCACAAGGGCAGATCATCAAGTCAAATGCCTTGAAGTCTTTAAAGTAGCACATTGAGTATGGGTTACCAATAACATAAGTGGGGCAGGGAAGGAGTAGAGTATCACCACTGAACTGCCTTTCTCTGTCCTATTTTTCTCCTGGTATTAACCGGGAGGATGGACATTGAATTAGTGACTGGTAATAGGCAAGTTCCTTCTTACAAACTTTGGTAGTTCTTAGAGAACGGCAATGGGCTCAGACATTGGCAACTCTTTATAGGTTCAAACTAAAAACAGAATTTTAGCTTTTTAAAAGTGTTACTCCCAGTTAGTATATTAATTAATATATAACTTTCATTCTTTATCTTGTTATAAATGTTAAGTTAAAATATGAGATTACTTAAAATGCAAATTATCTCAAAGGAAACTGTGGCTTATATAACCAGTTAACTATTTCACAAACAATTCCACATAATAAACAATTTTATATATTTTACAGTATGGAGGGCAGCTTGTGAAAAAGCACTTCTTTATAAGAGTAAAAGTCTTAATAAATGAATATTATAAATAGCAGAAAACAAAATGCTAAATAACAATAAAATATCTCAAGAGATGTGGTACAACCTAAGATCATCACTAGGGTATCAGTTAGGCCCTGAAAAGGCCTTCCACTTTAAGAAGAAATCATTTCATTTTCCACTCAGAAGGCCATTTCCTATTTTTAAAACTGCAGGTCTAGCTTTGACATTAAACTAATATATATTGATTCCTATCTCTCTGGTTATACTAGAGAATATTGATTCTTATGTTAAAAAAATTATCGACACCCTTATCACAGTGTTCCTGAAATTAATATTTTAACATTTGCAAGAAAGCACTAATCTATTAATCAGTAGATTAATATTCCGACCTCAAAATTCACATTTGTGGGAAAAGGGTAGAGAGAGAAGACCTCCAGAATATTATAGAATTTTATGCTCTTCAACATTTCCTCTTTCTGTGCAATCATTTGTCCTTTGGGCTCTTACGGTGAATATTCGATATTATGCAAAAAACTTTATAAGTTTGGGGCATGCATGCTTAGAAAAGTAAAATCATTTTCTTATTGTATGATATAGGTATAGCATTGCTTTCCTTCTGAGTATGATGTGCCAGGCTCTAGTTTTCTAATATCTTTTGATTTATTTAATCCTCACAACAACCCTATGATACAGACATTATTTTGCAGTGGGAAAAACAAGGCACTGTATAAAGAAACTAGGTGATTCTCCTTAAATAATAGCTAACAAGTGATAGAAGCAGGTTCTGAATTCAGGAATTTGATGACAATGGCAAAAAGAAGGAGGAGGAGAAGGGAGAGAAAGAGGAGAAAACTTCATTCCGTCTTAACTAGAGCTGACCAATATTTATTTAAAACTCACATCTTATATCAAGATTCAAAACCTTTTTCTACTGCCCTATATAATTGTATAGATTAACTGATAACCTTAAATACTATCACAAAACCCTACAGAGACCAGTTCTGTGAATGAGTCTCAGAACTAAAGACCCTCAGAAACATATGAAACCATGGTATTTCCCCTCCATACGATCACTGTTGCATTGATGTTTTACTTATTATTTCTCAACTTTCGCATGTTCCTTTGACATACATCCTTCAACTTTCCTTATCAGCACGTACTGTGTATCTACCCTAACGTTTGTGTCCTCAGCTAGGCTGCGAGCTCCTTAAGATTGGGGCAATATCTCCTTATTTCTAGATCTTTCATGCGTAGGGCTACTATATCACACACAGTGAGTACTCTTAAATATATGTTTCATCTACTCGAATTATTTTAATATTTAAATTTCGCTGTCAAAAACACCCTAAAGAAAAAATACTAAAATGAAATTTATAATTATCTTTTACTGGCAAAATATCCACCAATTATTTATTGATTAGTTCATTTGGCATACATACATTTGTTCAGAATGTGTTATGGGTCAGACACTGCTTTTGGTTTCAGGGACACATTGCTAAACAAGATAAGCACAGTTTATGGCCTTAGTAGTTAATTGCTTGTTAGAAAAAGCATACAAGAAGTTAAATGACATAGTTCATGTCCTCAAAGTGTGATGTTTATAATGGTACAGAAAATATATATGGAGCTATAGAAAAGTAACTAGAATGTTGAATGTTATACATGCATGGTGTTGCGGCATCTGTCTGAGGATGATGCCTCCTACTGAGCCTGCACACATCTATTATTTATTTTTTAAGACAATCCTCCAATTATGGGGGAATTGCATTAGAAACAGTTGTTTTCATAGAATATAATCCAACTTGCAGCCACAGCAGATGCCATCAGAGACAGAAACTCCATCCAAACCAAGACATCCACAATGTTTCCCTAAATATTGAAATTAGAAGAAATAATGACTCTATAAATAATGTTTCTGGAATAAGTTTGGCCATACTAGGCACTCAATGAATTAAGATAAAATAAAACTAAATATATTGCTAGGCATGTCACCAACACTCAAGAATAAATAGATTTCAAATACTTTTACAGGAATTATACCTAGAATCACATGGCTAGAGATTCTGACAAAGATAACTTCTCAACAGAAATTGGAATTGTAAATGACTTAGAACTTAGTTGACACAATTTTTTAAAATATAAATGATAAGAAAGGATAGATATTTGAAGATTTTGAGTTGAAATATCTATACACTACTCAAATCTAATGCTGGCTAACTCAGTGCTTTAAAGATGATAAGACATATCATCTGTACTTGATAGCTATTGAATTGAATCCAATGATAAATAGCTCCACTATCTCTGACAAATTGTTGACGTTTACTTAATTGAAAAATATGTATAAGGTGCAAAGTTAAATAATTTATTTACATGGACAAAATTAGGTGTCTGGATTCTTATATAATTAATGTCATTAAGAATTTAGAAGACACTTCTTCAAAATACTAAAAAGAAAAGAATTGATTATGTTAGTGATGGTGTAAGTTAGTACAATTACGGATATTTGTCAAAAACCTTAGAATTTTATAACATTCACACCAGAAATTTTATTTCTAAGTATTTATTTTACAGAAATAATTGTGGATACATTTAAGATACAGCTATAATAATGCTTACTGCAATGCAGTTTGCAAGGGAAACAATTTCTAAGCAATCTAATTGTCTAAGAGTATGAAATCGATTGAATAAATTTTGATAGACCATAGCATATAATACTATTCAGTCATTAAACATTATGTTGTAGAATAATATTTAATGGCTTGGAAAATGATCATGAGGCAATGTTAACCTACGAAGCAGGTTACAAAATAGTGTGTAAAGACTAATGGCATTTAATTCATATGTATCATGCTTTGCAATAATTTTTTCTTTTCTTAATCTCGTTTACTTATTCTAAATTTTTTCCTTCAGTGTCTGTGCTTTACTTCCTATGATTGGCCCAGTTATAATGTTATAACAGGCAGTCTCCAAATTTCAATGAGTTAACACAATAAAGATTTATTTTTCATGTATTCAAAGTGCATTGAGTCCCAGCAAATCTCCTCAGTGATATTCCTCCAGAGATACAGGATGCTTTGCTTTCATGGCTTCAAAGTTTCAGCACAGGTTCTTCTCTATGACCACAGTGGCCAGGAAAGAGAACCTACAACATTGCACACGGCCTTTTCACTGTCTTTCCTAATGAGACACACATCACCTCTATGCATGGTCCACAAACTAAAATTAGTCACATGGCCCCACCAACTGCAAGGGGTTTGATAAATACTGTCACTTGTTGACCCTGAAGTGGAGGAGTAGACCTTGGTAAACTCAAATAATTGAGAGTAACTAGTCATCAATTATTGTACATATATTTTAAAAATTAGATGCTATAATTAGAGGTTGAGAAATAGAAAAGTATTATTTTAGTCAAAAAATATGATAAAGATGATTCCTGAAAAATATAATAAATGCTGTATGATAATTCTGGCCATAATCTTAAAATATTAGTTTTTGAAAACTTACAAAACAAACACAATTGTAAGTAGTAATGTTATTTAGTATTGAATATTAAAAGTAAAATGGGTATTTCCTGTATTAATTTCTGCTCAGATCCACCTCTTTTACAACTATGTCTTTCTAAAAGTAATAACACTATTGATAAACCTGTAACGCATTAATGGTAAGCTTGTAAGGGAGGCACTAACCATAGCTTCTATGCCTCTTAGATCTTCAATGGGCTCTTCGACTGGATCTGGGAATGAAATTGACAAAAACAAGTTAACATGAGGAAAGCATAGAAGTTTTATTAATTTAACATGTACATGGAAGCCCTCACAAGAGAGTGAAGTCTGAAAAAATGGCCAAAGCAAGACGCTTTAATACTTTTTAGACAAATAACAATAAATTTGAGAAGAAATAACTAGACTGGGAAGTCTGACTGGGGCAGTGCATTGCAGACGAGTCACTAGTAGATATATTGGGGTATAAAGCTAGTGGAAGACAAGGGTTACTTTAGAAAATTTATTTATCATTCAGGTCCATCACATCCCCAATTCCCAATCTGGTGATAAAGGTTACCTTCTTGCCCTGGTACAGGGAAGGCAACCCTCTCAAAAGAATCCTAATGGACTGCTACATGTAGGAAAGAAAGACAGGTCAGATAGCTCTTTCTGTAACTACAGTTTCTCCAATGTTTTTAGCTAGAGATAATCAATATACCAAGTTGGCATATTTTGGATTGGCACTTCCCTAACTCCCTCAAACTAATAAATTAATACTGTCTTGCATATATGATGTAAACTGAGTATATGAATGAATATTTTGAAATTGATAGTATTAAATATTTTCTTCTTAGTTATTGTTACAAATCTGTTTGAAGTCAGGTGTGGTGGCTCACACCTATAATTCCAGCACTTTGGGAGACTAAGGCCAGCAAATCACTGGAGCCCAGGAGTTTGAGAGCAACCCGGGCAATGTGGTGAAACCCTGTCTCTAAGAAAGAAAAAAGAAAAAGAATGGAGACAGCGCCACTGCACTCCAGCCTGTGCAACAGAGTGAGACTCTGTAAAAAAAAAAAAAAAAGAAAAGAAAGAAAAGAAAAAATCTATTTGAGCTAGTTTTCTTCAAAATACATGTAATTATTGAAATGGGTTTAAACACAAATACTAATTATATTAATGTATCTTCTGAATTTTTGCTTCTCTCCATTTCTGAAAGTTGGACAAATATAAAGAAAAAAAATCTTAGTTGATAATGCTTACGGTGACAAAATCTTAAGAAAAAAGGGCCTCTACAAAAAATTTAAGAAAAAAAAATAGTGTGGCAGCGTGCACCTGTAGTTCTAACTACTCAGGAGGTTGAGGCAGGAGGATTGCTTGATCCCAGGAGTTTAAGACCAGCCTGGACAACATAGTGAGACTATGTCTCTACAAAAAACAAACAAACAAATAATAGTGTTGCTGTTTATCATCATTAATAATAATAACAAATTAATAATAATTAATAATAATAAATAAATAACAATATTAAAACCTGCTCTGGAAATAGATCAGTGTGCATAAAAATAACTTAAACTTTTAAATATTATGCAAATTTACATCAATATAGCAGTTGTGACTATTAAAAAATGTGTTCTCTTTGTATGTGTATGAGTGTGTGTGTGTGAGAAGATGAGTGTGTTCTAAAGAATGACAATTTATCCATATCAATGATAACCATTGTGAAGGAAAAGCCTCACCCTTAATTCTAATAATAAAAGAGAAATCCTTCTAAAACATAAGCTAGATAACATAAACTCTTTGATCAAAATTCTCTCCTGGTTCCCCATATCATTTGGAGAAAGTATATGGTCTTATGTTAGTAAAATTATTTATTTGACCTCATCTGTAATTAATCTCTCAACTGCTTACTCTGTTCCAGCCATATTCCTTCATGAACTCTCCTTAAGGACTTTACAATGGCTAAGCCCCTATGTCCAGAATGTTCTACCCTAAGATATCTATCTACATGGCTCTCTTCCTGAATTGTTTACAACTTTTATATTAAAAACACAAACAAAACACCACCATGTCAGTGTTCGTTTTGGTGATATTTCCGTAGTGATTGACTCCCACAGTTTGTATTTTTATCCAAATGCATCCTAATTTTGCTTTCACTTTTCAATATTGTTTTCTCTAGATATAAAATTATAGTTTGGTAGATATTTCCTTTGCATATCTAAAGAATAGCATGCTTTAAACATGGGGAGGAAATAGCTGTCAAGCTATAATTTTTTCTCACCTTCATCATTTCTGTTGAGAAGTCTGCTGTTAATTTGATTGATTTCCTTAAAACTTGTATGCCTTTTAAGATTTTCCCTCTGTTCTGGCTTTTTAAAATAATGATATGATTTGGTGAATTTGCTTTACGTGTTGTTCATAATGCTTCTTGAACTTAAAGCTTGACTTGTTTCATCAGTTGTGGGCAAGACTCCAGAGAAGAGTGAGACTGTGATCAGTTAAGAGCTGGGAGGTGAGTGCAATGGCTTGATAACATGAGTTTGGATGGGGCACCACCCAAATTGTGTTTACTCCATGCATGCTACATTATGGTTTGAAGCAGGAGCCATAAACTGTGGCACATGGGTCTAATCTGGTTGACAGGTTTCTTTGTAAATAACATTTTATTGGGTCACAGTCACACTCATTGGTTTAGGTATTATCTAGGGACAATTTCCCACTTATCTCTTTAGAAAAAATCTGGAACTATTATCTTTCCCAAATGACAAACTTGAGTAGTGCCACAAAGGCTATGCAATTCACAAAGCCTAAAACGTTTAATAGCTAGTCCTTTACAGAAAAAGTTACTGACGTGTGGTTTATAAAAATAGTATGGTTTTTATAGTCCGACAGTATTGGTAAAACAAAACAAAACAAAACAGACAAAGCTGATCCTAACAAATACTAATGCTTTCTTTTACATTTCATTTAACTTTACTGAACCTTGCTTGGTTTTTGTATACACTAGTAATCATATTTACCTAACAGAATTGTAATGTACTTCCGAAGTAAATGTGAAAATCTAACATCACAGTCTGGCACATAATAGGCACACAGAAAATGTTCTTTAATCAACTTAATTTTTTCCTTTGTATGTGTGTTCATAGCAGCCAAGTTCAGGGCACAAACACCCCAAATCTGAGATATTGACAGTCTGTTATTTCCATTCTCTTTTCTCTTCAATCTATCCTTTATGCAACTGTATTTAATAACAGTGTGTTTTTCTTCATGTTGCAGCATAATTTGAATAGTCATTCTCTTTTGATAATAATCTTTATTTTTTTGCTTCATTCAGAATAGTGATTCTGCCCATATTATCATGAAAATAACATTTTTGAGGACAGAATTAGGACATGCTAAACAGTCAAATGTGTTATATGAAGACTGAATACTTTGAATAATGCAAGAAAAGGAAATGCATTTGGTGGTAGTGGTGATAGTGGTGGTGTTATTGCTGTAATGACATAGGACGTTAAAATGTCTTGATTTCAATGGAACATTAAAGTTATTATTGACTGACCATAAAGGGCTTTTGTGAAAAATGTAAGTGATGAAAGTCATACACATTCAGGGGATAATGAACAAAGGAATGAAGTGCCCAACCATTAGGAGGTCTGAGCCTGGGATGTCATCCATTTAAGTTGGCAAGAAGAGTAACCACTGTCTGAACCTTGCTGGCTCACGGTACACTCCAGCTGACCACCTTGTCCTCATGTGCATGGAATATTAACCTTGCCTGGCTCCTGAATGTGTGGCAGCTAAATACCTATTCTTCTCATGAGTGGAAAATTCATCCTCTCTGTCAGTGTAATCTTGCCAGCCATCTGCTCAGTGGAAGTGATGCCCATCCTTTGCCGTGAATCTTTACAACGTTACCTTTGAGGTACCTCAGGAAGAATCCTCTGTCAGCTCGTCTTTGCAGGGAAATTCTTAGGAACGCCTGGGTACTGGGAAGGAGCCCCTTGATTTAAATATCACAAAGTGCCATAAGCTAGGATATTATAGAAGGACACTACAGTTGCCTTTGAAAATGAGAGGTTGCAAGCTAGTCAATGTGATGTTGCATGTTTTGCATAAAGCTTTGTTACAATATTTTGGGGACTAATGTGTCCCAAATATTACACAACACCATGAGTCTCAACTTCAGGGTGTACCAGAATCACCTAGAGAACATATAAAACCCCAGATTACTGGGTCCTGGCTACAGAGTTTTTGATTCAGTAAGACTGGTGGGTGTTCTGAGAATGTGCATGTGTTACAATTTCCCAGGTGATGCTGATGCTAAGTGATACAATTAGAGAAGCACTGCTATAATATATAAAACATAGGAAAGATTAACTTTTGCTACGGCAATATTCAGTCGAGTAATAAATGGTTTAGTTTTCCATTCTGGGTACCACAATTTTTGCTACTGTTGCCTCAACTAGTTTACTCAGTTCAAATATCCGTTTAGTGATTTTTGCAGCCATTTTTAAAGTGTAAAATTCATCAAATATTATTAGTTTTTCACCGTCAAAGAAAATGATACAATTTACAACATTTTTGACTTCAGGATTTATATATGTGTGTGTGTGTATAATATTGTGCGTGTTTATCCAAAATATCAAATCTACAGCTAACACACTTCATTTCAGTTGCACACTTCAGTTGTATGTGACTTGAGGTTGTACCTCTAAACTGGTTGGTCTTCTTCATTTTCTCATTTTAGCTCTGGATAATTTGTTGACTCCATGCTTTTTCCTGAGCCACATGATTTAATACAGAAAAGCTACTTCAAAAAAACATACAAACTCTTTTTTCTTCCACCTACCTCATTTCCTTTTTATTTTGATAAAATATCTATTTAGGAAAAATAATTGCAGAGAAGTATCCCCTTTCATCATTCAAATGTGAGTTTTATTTTGATAGTTCTAATTATCACTCCTTTTTGCTAAGTTATTGACCATGCTAAAATTTTCAGTTTCTCCTCTTCAAAATGCCACTTGCAAAGTACTATTGTAGTTATTTACAGCCCTCTCTGGGTATACATGGGGACTTAGTTCTAGGATCGCCATATGGATAAAATTTTTCACATCCTCAAGTGCTGCAGACACTCACTTATATGCAAAGTCAGCCCTCCATATAGGCAGTGTTTCAATCTGGAAATACTGTATTTTTTATTCTGATTTGTTTGAAAAACCTTCGTGTATAGGTGGATCAGCACAGTTCAAATCCATGTTGTTCATGGCTCAACTGTATTTTTCTTTTTCTGGTCTCAATTAAAATATAAAAATGTTGATCTTTGTAGCGCTGAACCAATGGAACCAGTTTATATTTCCTGAATTTTTGTTGAAAAGAGAATCCTTCCAGATTTAACAACAGCTGAAAAAGTCTTTCCTTATTAATCACAAATAATTTAATCTGATAACATTTTATTCCAAGATTAGCAAGCATCCTCCATGCTATAATTCCGTGTGATTAATTGCAATTTAAGTAGCACAATACATGGTATATATTAGACACTAATCTCATTTGTTAACTAATTCTTCACATCATAATTTGAATTATGTCACTAGTTTCATCAAGAGTTTTATAGTTACAAAAAGAATATGGCTAACGTAAACCAAATAAAAAAATTAGTTTATAGAATATGATTTATTTGGAAATAATTGCATTGAAATTTATCTTGCCTCTTTGAATGTTTACAGTTAAAGAAACACATTGTCCGGCGGGCGTGGTGGCTCATGCTTGTAATCCCAGCACTTTGGGAGGCTGAGGCTGGCAGATTGCCTAAGGTCAGGAGTTCAAGCCCAGCCTGGCCAACATGGTGAAACTGTCTCTACTAAAAATGTAAAAATTAGCCAGGCGTGGCAGCGGGTCCCTGTAATCCCAGCTACTAGGGAGGCTGAGGCCAAATTGCTTGAACCTGGGAGACGGACGTTACAGTCAGCCAAGATTGCACCACCGCACTCCAGCCTGGGCGACGCAGAGAGACTCTGTCTCGAAAACAAACAAACAAACAAAAAACACAAAACACATTGCATTTTTAACAGTTTTGTTCAAAATTATTGCTTTTTGATAAATATCATACATGAAACAAGCAGTTAATTTGCTCCTTCATATACTGCTCTGTGATATTAAAATCACTATAAATATTTTATGTTATTTCATGGACAAATAAGCATTGCACCTTCCTTTTAAAAGAAGAATGTTCATTTGACTAATTAATATCTGAAGCCAGTAATAGCTTCAATCTCTGTTGGGTTAGATTGGTTGTGTTTATTAACAAAACAAAACAAAAAACAAACAAAAACAAACAACAAAAAAAACCTCTAAAATGTTCTATTAAAGAAAGGGCAGCATCTAAAAAAAATTTAATAAAAGAAAGAATTAAAAATAATAGCAAGCTACGTATGTCCACAGACATGCAATCTCTGGACACACATTTTCTTAATGATTGAAATTTCGAATGTCCAGAATTGTAATTATAAACAAACTCTACCTCATGGTTTCCATGTCATATGAATAATTATTGTTTAACCACTGCCCTCTTCATAATGCAGAAAATAAATGGCTTCAAGCAAAACTCATTATTCAATTTGTGGTTAATTGACATAATTAGAGTATATTTTGTCATTTTCTCTTTCCAAACTGATGATAACGTGAAAAAAATCTGTTGGCTACTTTGCATTCTCTTCCTTGAAATATTTGTCAGGCTAGTTTATAGACGAGAAAACATTGTCCCTGTTTTTCAAAGTTTATTGACAAATTTTTTGTTGTTTTAGTGTTTTGTATATGCTAGAAAAAAGTTTTATAAGTGTTTTGATTTTGTAATTGCAATGTTCTTCAGAGATTCATGATAAATTTAGATCTGTGAAATATCTGACTCAATGGATAATGTTTTTCAGAGATCTGTACCTCATGCCTGTTTTCTGGAAACACATATTAATTTCTTAATTTTATTATTATTCTATATTCACTTTATGGCTCAATGTTTGAGGTTAATTTTAAAAATGAATTTAAAGTAATAGTTCTAAAAAGGATTGACTTTTTTTCCCCTAAGGAAACTTAGGAGTATCTATAGAGATTTTTGGTTGTTACAACGTAGAAACAAAAGTGGGTTCAGGCCGGGTGTGGTGGCTCATGCCTGTAATCTCAGCACTTTGGGAGGCCGAGGTGGACGGGTCACCTGAGGTCGAGAGTTCAAGATCAACCTGACCAACATGGAGAAACCCCGTCTCTACTAAAAATACAAAATTAGCCAGGCATGGTGGTGCATGCCTGTAATCCCAGCTACTCAGAGACTGAAGCAGGAGAATCACTTGAACCCGGGAGGCGGAGGTTGTGGTGAGCCGAGATCGCGCCATTGCACTCTAGCCTGGGCAACAAGAACAAACCTCTGTCTCAAAAAAAAAAAAAAAAAAAAAAAAAAAAAAAAAGGGTGCTAGCTATTGGTATCTAGTATGTAGTGTCCAAGAATGCTGTTAAAAATCCTATTAAAAACAGGACTGTCTCTCATTAGTAAAGAATTATCTGTCTCCAAATGTCAAAGGTTCTGAGGTAGCCTATAATCATAACAAAATTTCAAATCATATTTGAAACTATTGTGTGTGTACTGTCTTGCGTTAGCATCAATTTGAGGTAACCTGGTCAGTGATTCCTGTTTACTATGTCCTCTATTTATTTTCCTGACAATTATGATATACGTAATACTCCTGAGTCATAGCCATGAAGAAATTTAAATGAAAATTAGACCTCCCCTTTTGGCAATGGGTGTTTACTTTTTATAGATAGATAATGCCTAATTGTGCTGTCCACTACCATTAATTTTATTATTGATTTGGTTTCTTTTTCTGTGTGATTATATTGTATATAAGTAACATTTTTAAATTTAATGGAATTTTAATGTGGCTTATTCAAATGACAAGAAAGGTGAAGTTGATGTTCATCTCTTTTTTTAAAATTCAATTTACAAATGAATACTTACTTGGAAAAAGAATCAGGGTTACTCATAATTCATATGCAAAACTGTGATTCATTTCCCTTCTATAATTTGTTTAAATAAGCTGGAAAAAAAAGAATGAAGTTGAGTAGAAAATTCAAAATAACAACTCCCAGTATGGAATTATTATGGGTAAAATATGCCCTATTTTCATAGAGAGAGAAAGAGCAGCTCATCATTTTATTATGAGATAAATGTTGATGACAAAGGCACATTCATAATCTGAAATCAGGGCTTAGGGCTTGGCCAGATGAATATTAAAATATATAGCAACATTGAACTAAAAAGAAAAATGGAGCCTGGTGTCACTGGGACAAAAATGGTACTATGTTCTTATATTATTCTGAATTTCCTCTTTACCTATGTTCATCATTAAATTTAAATGCATATAACTATTATCCTTCTCCTATGAAATGAACAGAGTTTGGCTAGAAAGGAAGTGAAGATTTTGAAGGACAGAATCTTCGTAACTAATTTTTCAATCCTTATAACACAAATGAAAAATAATATATATTTTTGAATACTTCATGTGTGTCTCGCCCACTTAAATAACACAAACATTCTAAGCAAGAGGTCCCTGAGGCTTTTAAACAAAGACTAAACTTTCTATATATATATATATATATATATATATATATATATGTAAAAAGTGTGTATTATATATATATAAACACTTTATAAATATATACCCATCCCCATCATTAAAAGCAAGTGTGTATATATGCATGTGTATATATATATATATATACACACACACATACATACATAACTACATACATATATATTTATATACATATTCTATATACACACACCCACACTTGCTTTTAATGATGGGGATGAATGTGCAAGCATAAAGGAGAAGCTTAGTAAATGTGTGTGTGTGTGTGTGTGTGAATTCACTTTAATAATGTGATAATATAATTATATAATTAGAATATATGGTATTATAATATATATATAATAAAATGGAGTCTTATAAAATATAATTATATATAATAAAATTATATATTATATATAATTATATATAATAAAATTATATATTATATATAATTATATATAATAAAATTATATATTATATATAATTATATATACAATAAAATGGAGGTTTTTCAAAATTAAAATGAAGGAAATTACTCTCAAAAAGAGCAGAATATTTTTTCTTTCCTGACTTTTTATTATTTTAATTTAAAAAAAATGTATGTTTTTAAAGACAGGGTGAATCCCAGAACTTTGAGAGGCCAAGGCATTTGGATCACTTGGGGTCAGGAGTTGGAGACCAGCATGCCCAACATGGTGAAACCCCATCTCTATTTAAAATACAAAAATTAGCCAGGCGTGGTGGTGCACTGTAATCCCAGCTACTTGGGGGGTCAAGGCATGAGAATCACTTGAACCCGGGAGGTGGAGATTGCGGTGAGCTGAGATTGTGCCACTGCACTCCAACCTGGGCAACAGAGTGAGACTCCATCTCAAATAAATAAAAAAAGAGACAGAGTGATATGATTTGGCTGTGTCCCCATCCAAGTCTCATCTCGAATTGTAGCTCCCATAATTCCCATGTGTTATGCAAGGGGGCTCTGCTGGAAGATAACTGAATCATGGGAACAGTTTCCCCCATCCTGTTCTTGTGATAGTGTGTAAGTCTCACGAGATCTGATGGTTTTATGAGGAGTTTCCTCTTTCACTTGACTCTTACTCTCTCTTGCCTGCTGCCATGTAAAATGTGCCTTTTGCCTTCTGCCATGATTGTGAGGCCTCCCCAGCCACATGGAATTGTGAGTCCATTAAACCTCTTTTTCTTTATAAATTACCCAGTCTTGGGTATGTCTATAAAAGCAGCATGAAAATGGACTAATACAGTAAACTGGTACTGGTAGAGTGGGGTGCTGCTGTAAAGATGCCTGGAAATGTGGAATCATCTTTGGAACTGGGTAACAGGTAGAGGTTGGAATAGTTTGGAGGACTCAGAGGAAGATAGAAAAATGTGGGAAAGTTTGGAACTTTCTAGAAACTTGGAGGGTTTGGAAGACAGGAAGATGTGGGAAAGTTTGAAACTTCCTAAAGACTTGTCAAATGGCTTTGACCAAAATGCTAATAGTGATATGGACAATAAAGTCCAGACTGATGTGGTCTCAGGTGAGGAACTTGTTGGGAACTTATGCAAAGGTGACTCTTGTTGTGCTTTAGAAAAGACAGTGGCAGCATTTTGTCCCTGCCCTAGAGATCTGTGGAACTCTGAACTTGAGGGAGATGATTTAGGGTGTGTGGCAGAAGAAATTTTTAAGGAGCAAAACATTCAAGAGGTGATTTGGGTTCTGTTAACAGCATTGAGTTTTAAAAGGAAAACAGAACATAAAAGTTTGGAAAATTTTCTGCCTGATGATGCGATAGAAAAGAAAAACCCATTTTCTGAGGAGAAATTCAAGCTGGCTGCAGAAATTTGCGTAAGTAATGGGTAGCCAAGTGTTAATCACCACAACAATGGGGAGAATGTATCCAAGGCATGTCAATGACCTTTACTGTAGTCCATCCCATGACAGACTTGGAGGCCTGGGAGGAAAAAATAGTTTCATGTGCTGGACCCAGGGCCCCCCTGATGTGTACAGCCTAGAGGCTTGGTACCTTGTGTCCCAGCCACTCTAGCCATGGCTAAAAAGGGGCCAAGGTAGAGCTGGGCCATGGCTTCAGAGGGTAAAAGCTCCCAGCCTTGGTAGCTTCCATGTAGTGTTGACCCTGTGGGTACACAGAAGTCAAGAATTGAGGTTTGGGAACCTCCACCTAGATTTCAGAGGATGTATGGAAACGCCTGGATGTCCAGGCAGAAGTTTGCTGCAGGTCCGTGGCCCTCATGAAAAACCTCTGCTAGGGTAGTGCTAAAGGGAAGCATGGGATTGAAGCCCCCACACAGAGTCCCCACTAGGACACTGCCCAGCAGAGCTTGAGAAGAGGGCCACCATCCTCCAGACCCCAGAATGGTAGATCCACCAACAGATTGCAACCTGTTTCTGGAAAAGCCACAGGCACTCAATGCTAGCCTGTGAAAGCAGCCAAGAGTGGGCTGTACCCTGCAAAGCCACAGAGATGGAGCTGGCCCAGATCATGGGAACCCACCTCTTTCATTGGCCAATTTCTCCCATTTGGAATGGCTGTATTTCCTCAATGCCTGTACTTCCTTTGTATCTAGGAAGCAAATAACTTGTTTTGATTTTACAGGATCACAGGTGGAAGGGACTTGCTTTCTCTCAGATGAGACTTTGGACTGTGGACTTTTGAGTTAATGCTGAAAAGAGTTAAGACTCTGGGGTACTGTTGGGAAGGCATGATTGATTTTGAAATACGAGGACCTGCGATTTGGGAGGGGCTGGATGGAATGATATGGTTTGACTGTGTCCCCACCCAAATCTTATCTTGAATTGTAGCTCCCATAATTCCCATGTCTTGTGGGAGAGACCTGGTGGGAGATAATTGAATCTTGGAGCAGTTTCCCCATACTGTTCTCGTGATAGTGAATAAGTCTTATGAAATCTGATGGTTTTATAAGGGGTTTCCTCTTTTGCTTGGCTCTCATTCTCTCTTGCCTGCCTCATGCCTTTTGCCTTCCACCATGATTGTGAAGCCTCTGCAATCATGTGGAACTGTGAGTCCATTAAACCTCTTTTTCTATATAAATTACCCAGTCATGGGTATGTGTTTATCAACAGCATGAAAATGGACCAATACTCAGGGTCTCACTCTGTTGCCCAGGCTGGAATACAGTGGCACAATCTCGGCTCACCACAGCCTCATCCTCCCTGGCTCATGGGATCCTCCCACTTCAACCTTCCTAGTAGCTGAGACTACAGGAACATGCCACCATACCTGACTAACTTTTGTAATTTTGTTGAGATGGGGTTTTGCCACATTGCCCAGGTGGGTCTCAAATTCTGGGTTCATGTGATCCTTTTGCTTCAGCACCCCAAATTGCTGTTTACAAGTGTGAGCCACAGCACCCAGCCCTGACTTTTTTTTTCACACAGATAATCTCTGATTCAAATAATCATTTAGTAAAAACTGTTTATTATTAAAACACATGCACAATTTTAAAGTTCCTTCTGTTTCCTAAAAATATAAAATAGTGCCTTATTTATGTTTCAATTTACATTTGAAACACAAAAATAGTTTTCAAAAAAGGGGTCAAGATGATGCTGATGTGTTTCTTTCATGTAAGGTTTTTTTTGTTTTGTTTTGTTTTGTTTTTTGAGACAAAGTCTCTCTCTGTCACCCAGGCTGGAGTTCAGTGGCACAGTCTCAGATGACTGCTGCAGCCTCTGCCTCCTGGATTTAAGTGATTCTTCTGCCTCAGCCTCCTGAGTAGCTGGGACTACACGTGCGCACTACCACACCTGGCTAATTTTTGTGTTTTTAGTAGAGACGGGGTTTCACCTCATGTACGTTTTAGAAATGAATAAAATTAATGCTATGTTAACCCAGTAGTTGAGAGTACAGAAAGATTCAGAATTCAAGCATGCAATAAAATCTTCAATAAATACGCACTGAGTGCCCATTCTAGGAGAGAGCTTTGTTTGAGATGGAGCAGTTAAGAAAGACAAGAACCTGATATCTCTAAAGTCCACAGACTGTCTACTGGTCAAGAAGTCATCAAAGCAATAGAGATCAGAAATCCGGTGGGAACACTGGCTATAAGGAGTCAATAAATCCAATGTGAGGAGGTGATATCCAGATATCAAATTTGGGGCAATCAACCCCCAGATTTATTATGGATGGTGGTGGAAGCTTTCTTTCAGTCACCGGCTATTCTGAGGCTCACAGATGGGGGTGAGCAGGAATATCTTACTCAAATGATAGGTAGATGCTAAGACTAACTGGCTCTAGTAAGCACCATAAATCAAGAATACTTAATTTAGGACCTAAGTCTCCTTAATTTTAATTGTTATTATGGTTAGTTTAACATAACCACTTGTCTAAGCTATAGTGCCCTGATGTCTGATCATACACCTTTCTAGATTGTTCTGTCGGTTTTTAGATAGAATTAACATTTAAATCTGTAGACATATAGTAAAGCTCGTTAACCTCCATAAGGTGACTGGGACTTATTCAATCAGCCGATAATCTTAAGAAAAAGGCTGAGTTTTCCCAAAGAAGGAATTTTCCTCGAGACTGCGACATAGAGACCTTGCCTAAATTTCCAGCTTGCTGCTGCCCTGGGGAACTCATATTTAAGACTGCAACATGAGCCGTTAATCTGAATTTGGAGCCTGCCAGCCTGCCTTATATACTACAGACTTGCCAGTCCCCACAGTTGCTCCATTTTGTGTGTGTGTGTATGTACAGTCTTGTTCATATATATGTATATATATATATATGTATGTGTGTATATATATACATACACACACACACACACACACACACACATATGTGGGGGAAAGAGAGAGAGAGAGAGAGAGAGATTGAGATCTATTGGTTCTGTTTCTCTGGAGATTCCTGAATGATGCAATTGGATACTTGGCTGTATCTGTGCATGTCTACTATAAAAATCACGGTATTCATGTCCATTTTCTGTTTTCCTAGGCCTTCCAGCCAGGTGAGATGTCAAGATGCTACTCACCTTTGTGCCTTTGGCAATAGACCTTTCACTAGTCTCTCCCTCCCGCTGGGTCTTGTTTAAGCTGATTCTCTGGCACAGGATTTTATGTCTATAGAAATGTATCCTCAGTTGCTTTAAAACTATTTTTTGATAACTTGCAGAACCATTTTTAAGGGTTGGATCAAGTAGTGCTGTGTAAGTTTCTATTCCTACCCCCAGTGGCTGCCCTCGGGCAACTGCTACTAATACTTTTATACCAAAAACTTTGGTGAGTCACAAGAGCTCAACAAAAGCTCCTAAAGTTAAAAAATTTTTAAAGGTAAAACCATTTGATCTGAAAAACACAGTGCATTTAAGCTTACTAACAAAGTTGAGGAACAGACTGCTGCTACCCTTTGCTACTTTTAAAAGTCCTTGTGTTGTCAAAATGATAGTAACACCAGACTGGCAGGCCAAAGAGAAAAGGCAAACACAGGGAGATAGCAGGGGGTGGGGTAGGTGGGGAAGGGGGTGAGGTGGGGCTGGGAAGAGAGAGAGAAATAAATTCAGTGAAAGAGAGTTAAAATTGTCTTTAACCTAAAATATCTATTTATTTTACAATGGAAGTGCTGTTTCAAGTAACTTTGTCATCTTTTTTTCAGTAATCCTCTCCTACTTCTGAGCTTTTATAATAAGTAGAAAAATGTCCAGAGCTTTCCCGTATCAACATATATTGATACTTAAGTGTTATGTCTCTTGATGTTTGGGCAACATGCTGAACATTTTGCATAATATGTGAGTAGAAGTTGGTTCTATTATATTGTTTATTTTCTCAATTCAGGGTGGTTGTTTCTGGATTTCAATCTCCAATCTTAAAAAGTAGAGTATAGTTGTGTATGAAATATCATTGCTCCAACTTATCTCCACTCTTTGGTAACGGTTAGAAAACACAGAAAATTTTCTGTTGGGTTGGCAATTGTCAACAATTATTAAGCTTTTGTTCCGAGAGATAATTATATGTTTACTAAGAAATGATTTATAATTGAGGCGTACAAAATTTTACCCTTAATATTATTTCTGAAACTATAAGAGAAAAATAAACTCTTGTGATGTTATATGATGGATCTCTTTTACAATTAGGAAATCCTGGCCCCAATTCCCTTTTCCATCTTCCTATGCTAATATACATTCAACAGATACAGCCCATCTTTAAGCCATGTGGAACATCACACCAATCAGTGATTATTATATCCTTCATTTCCTCTCTTTCTAAAATGTCTTTAGACCCTGTTCTAACTAATGTATTTTAACCATTTTTTAAAAGAGTCATTTGCAAGGATTTCTTTTTTTTTCAGTGTAGGCTTATCTTACACCAATGGTGTTTTCTGCTATGTAGGATTATCTTACATCCCTCCATAAAGCCTGTTCAGTTATCTTTGTTGTTACAACACAATATGCATTTATTATAAGATCTTCAATTTCATATGACATTATTGGATCAAAGCACCTCCCCCCATTAAACTATGAACTTGTTGAGGGAGGAAATAGTCCACTCATTATCTATGTATGAAATCAATATATGCCCCATCTTACATGTACCACTCTAATACATTGTTATCTTATAGAAAGTGTGTAAAGTAAAATATCAGTGATAATAATATTAAGCAAGAAAATCTACACATGCCAGTGTTTTAGAGCTTCACATTTGTGATATATTATTTCTTTCTAATGACAGTTTTACTGATGTTCTTGTCTAAACATGTACATTTTATTTCTTCACAAAAATTCCATTGTTTTTTGCCATCTGGTATATGCAGAGTACAGTAATTTAAAGAGAGGATCAGCTCAGAATTTTATACAGCATACAAAGAAGTGATTAATCTGAGTTTACTATCAGAATTACCTGTGAAGCATAAAACAGACAAAAGACATTTTCCTGACTGTTATCCCTGGATAGTTTGATTCATTGGAGATTTATATCAGAAAAGTGTTCGCATGTGAGAAGAAGTTTTCACTGTGAATTAAACTTGAGAAAAATTTTTAGGGGTCAGGTGGTATAACTGAGCAATTCATGTACTTAAATACTCCTATTGAATGTTTACTATGTACCAAGCAATGTTCTAGGTTTTGGAGATATATCAGTTAAACAATACTATTTCATGTCTTTATGGGAGTTACATGCCAACAAAGGAGAAACAGATAAAAAAATAACAAAAATAATAAAGAGGTCCATGTTATAGTTGTTCAAAAGTTAAAATATGTGGAAAAAGGTGACAAAAACAAACACACACACAAAAAAACCATTGCGAAATAAAGCTAGATGAATCAGGTGTTATGCTGAGAAGGAAATTTCAAATTTAAATAGAGTGCTACAGATTGGCTACCTTGCTAACATGACCTTTGGGTAACGGCTTTTGTAGGTGAAACTGTTATTCAGGTGGCTAGCTGGAGCAAGTGAATTCCAGGCAGAGGAGTATCTAATTTAAAGCTCTAAATCAAAGATATGCCTTGTGTGATGAAGAGGCAGCAAGGATAGTGGTGTAGCTGGAGTAGAATGAGTGAAGTGAGTGGGAAGAGTGGTAGAAAAGAGATCAAGATTATAAGTGGAAACAGACTATATTGGGCTTACAGACCCAACTTCTCTTTCACACACAATGAAATGGGGAGCCCTTGCAGATTTGTATTCAGAATATTTTCTTGATCTGCTTTAATTATTTTAAGGTTGACTGGGTCTTTGTGTTCAGAATTGACAGCCCCATGAGCAACGAGAGAAGCAGAGGGTCCGTTAAGAAGGTAATTACAATAAATCAGGTAATTGTTGGTGTTGGCTTAAACCACTATGGTAACAATGGAGAAGTGCATTTATTTTGAAGGTAGAGCCATAATGATTGACCAACACATTAAATATGAGATAGGAAAAAAAGAAAAACCACGCATGATTCCAAAGACTCTGGCCTCATAAATTGGGAGAATGGCATTTCTATCAAATGTGATGATGGTGGTTATAAGCGGAAGTCCAGGAGTTCAGTATGGAACAATTGTAAGACTGGAATGAATATCCTGCATCTGCTTTAATTAATTTTTTTAAAAGTATAAATTAGGAGGCCAGGCATGGTGGCTCAAGCCTGTAATTCCAGCACTTTGGGAGGCCGAGGCAGGTGGATCACAAAGTCAGGAGATCAAGACCATCCTGACTAAGACGGTGAGGAGATCAAGACCATCCTGACTAACACGGTGAAACCCCGTCTCTACTAAAAATACAAAAAAACTAGCTGGGCGTGGCGGTGGGCGCCTGTAGACACAGCTACTCGGGAGGCTGAGGCAGGAAAATGGTGTGAACCCGGAAGGCAGAGCTTGGAATGAGCAGAGATCACGCCACTGCACTCCAGCTTGGGCGACAGAGCGAGACCACGCCTCAAAACGACAACAACAACAACAACAAAAAAGCATAAACTGGGAAATTACAATGGAGATGATTAAGTGCTATAGGTCAAGAACATGATTATTTTATTAAATTCCATTTTATAGTAGGATATATTATTAAAACTGGAAACAGTAAATCAGAGAATGATTGTAGAACTTCAAAACATGGAAAAAAGCATTTCTTGGATAGGATAGTGAATATTGTGCTGCCTTTATTATGAGCTGTCTTTATTCCCCAGTAATGCAAGTACTAGCTGTTGACAGACTACAGCTGTGCTCCTCATTGTAAATTGTCCTTGACCGCAGGGAACTACATCATCTTAATTATGCTCCTTCTAGGAGATGTCTCCCAGCTGAGAAGCGGCTACTAAATGGAAACAAAATCACAGAATCCTAGCTTCAATTGGGGTACCTCTAAAGAGCCATCTCAATTGCAGAGTTTCTCATAGGGTCAGCTGATGACTTAGTTGCAATTGCATTATGAGGAAGCTTCTCCTTCTGCTCAATTCGGTCATCCCAGCCCCTAGGTATGTCTCCTAAGTATTCTCCCTATTGGAGTTCCATGTGTAATTATTTGTTTCAGAATCTGTTTCCAGGGCCCCCAAAATAAGTAAGATATTTCTTGCCAGAAGGATTCTAGGAAATCATTTCAAAAAGAAGATGTTAAGATGGCTGACTTTGGCAGGCTAGCAGTGAGAATATCGTTACTGGTAATAGGTGAAGTATGGATGTTGCTCAGCAGGTGTGGCAATACGACTGTTAAAATTGCCTATGTTGGTAACCTGGATGAAATATCAGTGCAGTAGGGACACATTGGCTAATGCAGTATCACTGGTGCTGGAGAGGGATGAGGGAACTGCTAACCACATGGCGGTTGTTGCTGAGTACCATTTAATAAAGACAGATAATAGAAGACTTAGGTGGATTTATAACAAATCCAAAGCAAAATATGAAATTCTGAAGGACTCCTGGGAAATATTTTTAAAAACTCTAATTTACTGCAGCTGGAAGACAGAGTAAAGGTCCATACTCTTTACTCAAATGTAAGCGTTTAAACATTAGAATTAAATCTAACGTGTCTTTGGACCACTCCCTCTTCATTTCCAGTTCCAGTTCTTTCTCAAAAAATAAAACCTCCCTTATCAGTGTAGTATAAATCCTTACAAATAGACATCTACTCCTGAAAAAACAAAGTATTTAATTGTAATATAAGTTTTTCTCTTTACATAAGTTGCATCATATGTAGTCTTAACAGAAACACATAATATCATTTCTGTTTATTTACATATATGATACCTAATTGCACAATTTCTTTAATCTCCCTTTTACTTTTCATATTGGTTCATACATAGCTACCACATTTTAACTGCTTATTAATTTATTCTCTCTGTAAGCCTTTAGATACCTTCGATTTTTTACATTAAAAAATCATATCTGTAACCAACCGTGTGTATATGTATTATTATCATGCATTATAAATATTTATTCTCAAAAAGACACTAAAAAAATGCAATTATTGAGTCATTAGGTATGCACTTTGAAAATTTTCATGGCAATTGAAGTAGGCAGAATAATAGTCACCAAACATATCAGATCCTGATTCTTGGAACCTATATATATATATATATATATATATATATATATATACACACACACACACACACATATATGTATCTATATATATATACACATACATATGTGTGTATATATATATATACACATACATATGTGTGTATATATATATATACACATACATATGTGTGTATATATATATATACACATACATATGTGTGTATATATATATATACACATACATATGTGTATATATATATATATACACATACATATGTATATATATATAAAATACAGGAAAAAGGTTTATGCAGATTCCATTAAGTTAAATAATTGAGATGGGAAGCTTATCCTAAAATGTTGGAGTGAGTCTTAAACGCAATCAAGCATATCATTAGAAGAAGGAAGCAGAATAAACACAAAGAGAAGATGTAAAGATGGAACGGAAATTTGAAGATGTTAGCTTGGAGACTTCAGTGATGCACCCACAGCCAAAAATTGCTGGCAGCCACTAGAAGCTGGAAGAAGTAAGACATGGATTCTCTCTTGTGGAGCCTCTGGAGGGTATATAATCTTGCCCTATTTTGGTTTTTGCTCAGTGATATTAATTTTGGATTTCTTGCCTCCAGAACTATGAGATGATACATTTCTGCAGTCTTAAGACATCAAGTTTATGGTAATTTATTCAGTCACAGAAAACTAATATAGATATTAATAAATTGAACTCCAAATTGGTGATTAAAATGGCAACCTCCACAGCAATATATGGAGAGATATACTGTAAAATGCTATCATTTAATTTTTTTAATTTTTTGATTTTTTAAACAATTTCAACATTTATTTTAGATTAAAGGTTTACATGTGCAGGCTTGTTGTATTTGTTTATTGCATGATGCTGAGGTTTGGGCTATGATTGAGTCCATCACCCAAGTAGCGAGCATAGTACTACCTCTCCTCCTCCTTCCATTAGTAGTGCTTAGTGTCTACTGTTGTCATCTTTATGTCCATGAGTTACCAGTGTTTAGTGACCACTTATAAGTGAGAACATGCAGTATTTGGTTTTCTATTCCTGCATTAATTCACTTAGGATAATGGCCTCCAACTGCATCCATGCTGTTGCAAAGAACATAATTTTGTTCTTTTTTAATGGCTGCATAGTATTCCATGTTGTATATGTACCACATTTTGTTTCTTCAGTCCACCATTCTTGGGCACCTAGGTTGATTACATGTTTTTGCTATTGTGAACAGTGCTGCAATGAACACATGAGTGCATCTGTTTTTTGGTAGAGCAATTTATTTTCGAAAATACCTAGTGCTGGGATTTCTGGGTCATATAGTAGTTCTATTTTAAGTTATTTGAGAAATCTAACAACTGCTTTCCACAGTGGCTGAATTCATTTACATTCCAACCATCAGTGTATAAGTTCCTCCTTTTCTCTGCAACTTTACAAGTGTCTGTTTTTTTTTAATTTTTAATGATAGTCATTGTGACTGGTATGAGATGGTATCTCATTGTGGTTTTGATTTGCATTTCTCTAATGATTACTGATGTTGAGCATGTTTTCATATGTTTGTTGGCCAGTTGTATATCTTCTTTTGAGAAGTGTCTGTTCTTGTATTTTGCTCACTTTTTAATGGGGTTATTTTATCTTTGATGGTTGAATTGTTTAAATTCCTTACAGATTCCGGATATTAGAACTTTGTTGGATGCACAGTCTGTAAATATTTTCTCCCATTTTGTAGGTTGTCTCTTGATTCTGTTGATTGTTTCTTTTGCTGTGCAGAAGCTTTATAGTTTAATTAGGTCCCACTTGTCAATTTTTGTTTTTGTTGCAATTGCTTTTGAAAACTTTTTCATAAATTCTTTTCCAAGGCTGATGTCCAGAATGACGTTTCCTAGGTTTTCTTCTAGGACTTTTATAGTCCGAGGTCTTACGTTTAAATTTTAAGTTGCCATGAGTTAATTTTTGTATATGGTAAAGGGTGAATCTAGTTTTATTCTTATACATGTGGCTATCCAATTATCCTAGCACTAGAGAAAAAAGTTAGAAACATCTCAAATTAATGATCTAACATCACACCTAGACAAAAAAGAAAAACAAAAATGAACTAACCATAAAGCTGGCAGAAGAAAATACATAACTAAAATTAGGGTAGAACTAAATGAAAATGAGAAATAGCCTTGGCTCTTTTTCAGATACATCCATGGTGAGTCTGAGCATAGAAAATGCTTTGTTGTCCCTATTTCTTAATAGACTCCATTCTGAACTCAGTAATTTTAGCTTAAAAACAGTAGCTAACTTTAAAAGAACACCCTATTAAGCTGGTATTTAATTGGCTATCTTGAAACTCTATTGTAAAAGAAATTTTCATCTATAAAGAAAAACTCCATTTATAAGGAAGTCTGCATATGTAAATTAGAAACTGTTACCATTCTTTTAAATTTACATAATAAGTAATGCCTTTGTTTAAGGTGCTTTTCTGGCATCTTGTCTTAAGTGAACTTTTATTTGAGCAGTTTTTTCCCCCCTTGGTTTGAGCAAATGATGACATAATATTCAATCCTAAAATTTTACCTCTGTGTTTATAAAATATAATTATTTTTGTTTCACCTAAGAGTTGTCCCTTCAGAAAATGCAAATTGATTGCCTAGTTAACAATTGCTTAGGGCAATGAAACAGGTAACTGAAAAACTGATAGACAAAATGGGGAAAAGAAAAACTATGTAAAAGCCAGCAAATGAAAATCCTTTATAGAAGCGATAAGATCTTCTGTGTGTTTGTATATCTATATGTGTTATGTTTATGTGGTAATATTTGGTAAGTAAAGCTAGTTTTTAGAGTGTAAAATAGAAATGGCTTCAAAATAATCAGTTAAATATAATTAGATACTTGCTTGATTTGACTAAGTTTATGCCTTTGGTTTGGAGTTTGTGGATTCAGGGGTCTGGATAGGTGGCCATAATGAGGTCTGGAGACATGTTCTTAGTGTCTAGACAGCAGCTACAAGCCAGAATCAAGCTCAGTATGGCCCCTTCTTTCTGGCTTTCCCTGTTTTGCCTCCTGGCTATTTTGGGAGCAATTGTAACGTCAGTGTATAGTCTTCACAGCTCTGTCTTCTGTCCTAAAGGATTAAGACAGGCCTTGACCTTCATAGTCCTCCTGGGTGTTACATGGCTACTTGGGACCTAGAATGACTGGGGACAGTCATTAGGGAGGATACTTGTGTCATAATTTCAAAATTATTTTCAGTAATTTAATATATTTGAGTTATGTTATGTTAAATTAAGTAATGAATAATGATAAAATTCCTGAGTCATCTGGAAGTTAAGATAATGAAATATTAAACATGTGTTTAAGTCTACATATCTCAACATGTTATTTTTATATGGTATACAAAAGCTAAATACATGTGGATCTGCTAATAAATAATAATTTGAAGAACTAGTTTTCTAAAATATTATAAAATCATTTTATCTAGAAATACTGTAATAAAACATTTCAAAATTACTTTATACACTTTTTACTAGAAATTAGGGCTACTAAGAATTAAAAACTGTGAGACATGAGAGAAACATTTTTGTATTAAGAGTGTATAAACAAAAGCAAAGTATGGATTTGATGAGAAAATTTATAAAGGCATAAAAATGTGTGTTAAAAATTTGTCAGGTTTAAAATTACTTTAAGATTTCAAGTTGAAGGAAGAAAAAATAGATGAAACAAGATGAATATAGAAAGTTAGGGAAAAATGCAAAGGATCTTTAGGGAAATCTTGTATAGTTAAAAGATGACGAATTTGATAAATTTATGAGGTTTTATTAAAATTAGTTTTAGTATTGATAATACAGTAATACAAAAAAAAAGTAGTCTCTTTTGAATGAAGGTTTTGTGTAGTATTAATAAGACATAGTAAAATATTTTTGCTCACCTTTTGAATAAACCACAAAAAGGTAAAAAAAAAAAAAGAGAAGAAAGAAGAAGAGACAGATTCTGTCTCATGCTGTCTTAGGTCTTTTCAGTTTTTTAGATATCTGAATTTCTTTTATCAAAGAGAACAGGTTTTTGTTTTTTAAAATCTTTTAATTATCACTGTGGTTAAATCTATAACTACCATTTTATGGTGACCTGTGATTCTGTTTTGGTCAAGTGTTTTAAACCTTTGACGTATTTGACAGGCTTCCCAAAATCAAATTTCAGCTTCGAAATTAAATAAATCCTTTTTGACCTCTATCATTGACTTAATTTTGAAGCTGAAATTTGATTTTGGGAAGCCTGTCAAATATGTTAAAGGTTTAGAACACTACAGAGAGCCCCTGAAGCAACTGAAAGAGATAGAGTTAAACAGGATTATTTGACATGTTAAATGACATGGGAAACATTATTAAGAAATAATGTTTAACCTTCTTCAGGTTATATTTTAATGAATGTTACTAATAAGTGTTCCAAAATTGTATGGGATTTCTAAAATTCTGCATGTGTGAGTATATGATATCAAACATAATCATGGTTATTATATTACATTATTATACACCACAGAAATAATCAAATTCTTTGTCAATTGGGTCTTTAACTGTGACTAAAGTTATTTCTATAGTTAATTGCTTAATTCTGATGCAGTCTCTGAAAACTTCACAAGCACACAAAATTCTAGAATATGGTATCTTTTAGAAGGTTCATACAAGGATAGAAATGACCCTAAGAAAAATTATTAAATACAGGTTTCCGACAACTTTAGAATCATATCATTTGAACTGGGTAGAATTCTTGGAACTTTAATAAAAAATCAGCCAGTGTTGTAATTATTTAGATACACATACTGAATGAACTCCATCTTCTAAGTCAAATTTCCTATAATAACTTATTATTTATCAGTGCTATACACCTAAATTGGAGAGACGACTGGTATTCAAGAAGACATACGTTCAATGCTAAGCATGAACTAATGGAGAATCAACATGGCTGCCTTGTCCTTCCTGAGTCCTTAAAGCTTTTGTATTAAAAGTTCTGCATTCCATAACACATGAAAAATATAAAATGTTCCAAATCAAATATATATATATGTGTGTGTGTGTGTTTCATGACCTCTAAACTGCTAAAATAGTTTATGATCAATACACTATTATTTGAATTTGCTAAAATATTTTATGACCAATGGTTTGTCAAACCCATATTTGGGGGAAGACAATAAAACTGCTATCTGATGAGCCATTTAGACATTTATAGAGATATTTTATTCAATTGTAGTTTTCAATGCAGGTTTTCTGGTTGTTTAAAAGATTTCCCGTGTAAGAGGGCTATTATAACATTAACAGTAGCTCACTATACCAAAGTATATTTTCACCAGGTAAGGAAAGCTTTTCATGGTCCACTGACTGAGGAAAATCAACCCCTTCACAATCTAGAACTCAAAGATTGGATCTTGTGGGAACATCAGAGAAAGACTGCCATCACCATCCACTCTGCCACAAAACTCTGGGACCTTGAAATTTGGATTCATAATCTCACAACTCAGAAGGGTCTCTCTACAGTTGTTACATCCATTGTGTAACAAGGCTCAATGTAGGTGAAAAATTTTAATGGTACATATGTTTCCTCATAATCAGTTGGAAACAAAACATTGGTTCAGTCCCCTTAACCTAAATCATGAGTTAAAGAGAAAATTGCCAGGAAGTCTTCACTATTCTAGAAGGGCATCATTTGTTAGGTCTTTTTTTTTTCCCATGGTTTGAAGTAAATAAGGCAATAATTGGAAATTTATCCCTCACAATAGGATCTACAGCAAATTCTACTGTAAAGGCTGTGGTTACACACAGACTTTAAATTTTCTTGTGAGAGTTTTGCTAAATAATATGGCCCTAGATTACTTACTGGCTAAACTGAGAAGTATCTGTGCAGTGGCTGATACTTCTTGTTGCCCAGGGAGAAATATTCACAATGGGTATTATAGCTATTCAGTTGTAGAGGATTAATGATGAAACTTCTTAGTTAAAGTGAGTAGACTCTTTAGCTCATTCTTTAATCAATTTGATTTTAGTTGGTTGGTTTATGGGGACCCTGGCTAAAAAGCATACTCTAAACTCTTGGTATTATCCTCCTGATAGTCATAAATAGTAGTCTCCCTGGTGTGCTGTATACTCTCAACAGTTTTAAATGTTTGCAGGCAGCCATCCTAGAATGTCAAATAGGGCCTGTCTTCAACTGGAATGACAAGAGCTGAAATAAATGTGTGATCATGAGAGCACCATAGCCTATAAATGACATGCTAAGACAGGAAACCCAAAATGATAGTAACTGAGAATGGCACTAAGCCCCTACATTTTGGTCACACTCTCACTTAAGTGACAACCTGACCAAAAGGAGGAAGTTTTAAACAAATTATGGAAGGCTCTTGTTTTGAACAGATCTCATGCACTGTACCCCAAAAGAGCAGATCAAACCAAAATAGAGTCAACTTGTGCTAAATGTGACATAATCAAACTAAGACTTCAAGGAAACACATAGATCTTTAAACACATAGATCTTTAAACACATAGATCTTAAAATAGAGTCCACTTGTGCTAAATGTGACATAATCAAACTAAGACTTCAAGGAAACACATAGATCTTTAAACACATAGATCTTTAAACACATAGATCTTAAAATAGAGTCAACTTGTGCTAAATGTGACATAATCAAACTAAGACTTCAAGAAAACACATAGATGTTAAAACAGACAGTTTTGTTTTTCTCCTTTAAACAGGACATTCCAGCATAAGAAGGTACCCTCTACTCTAACCTTTACAAAGAAAAAGGAAAAAAATCTTGTTCCTACCTTATAGAACCCACTGTTCTGCTATTTCCCATTGGGTTTCAAGACCAAATAAATACATTTACCATGACGGTGGTAACATCATTGACTAAAGTTTTGGGCAATCTCTCTAAATTGAGAGAACTACCAAAAATAGGGAATTGTTACATCAAGTTTAACCTAAAACTGCCTTCTTACATATTTTAAGTTCAGCCTAAATATTTCTGTATACATAGTGAACTATAACCTAAATGGAGTTGTAAACACACTGTAGCCTACCTTTGTGCCAATCGCCAAGTTTCAGCCAATCAAAGGTGGCCAACTGTTCAAACCATGTTCAAATAAGGCAAACGCCAAGCTGTAACCAATACAGCTGTTTCAGTATCTCACTTCCATTTTCTGTACATCACTTTCCTTTTTCTGTCCATAAGTCTTCTTCCACCATGGCTGCACTGGAGTCTCAGGCTACTCTGGCTTGGGAGACTTTCTGATTCGCAAATTGTTCTTTGCTCTCTTAAACTCTTTTTAAATTTAATTCTGCTACAGTTTTCCTTTTAACAATGCTGAAAGTCACTGACACATGTTTTCAAGCTAGCTTTGCCTTAATGTAAATCTAGTCTTCTTTTAACTCTGACTCTAATATGTTGCTAAACATTTCTGATTCATTACTTCCCCACAGTCATCGGTTCCTGTGTGTTAATACAATTCCACTATCATCTCTAAGATTATTTTCTAAGCCTTTGAGACTTAATTTGAATATTTGGGTACAGACGCTTTTGATGTTCATATATTCACAAACACAAATATGTCTTTATCATCAGACCAAAGTAAATGTGTAATGTCATGATTTATAAGACACATCCAGTTTTAAATATAACAACATGTGAAAATGTACATCTTAGTATCAATGAAGCATAGAATTTATTTTATTAAATAAATTTATTAGAGTATCCTAAATTCTAACATATAAACTGGCAATAGACATTCTCATTAACATTTTAAGGGAAGCATAATGGCAACTGAAATTACTTGTAACTATTCAAAGTGAATTCAAATTGACTTAGAAATGGAAACAATAAGATGGAAATGAAAGAAACGTGCAATAGCAAAGTTAATTAATCAGTTGAGGAAGAAAAAATTAGCATTCTCTTGGTGGAAAAATATGAATCAGCAATATGTAGAACAACTTAAGAATATTCCAAAACAGAAAAGCAAAACAGTTTATGAATAAGGACTTGCCTAACATTGAGTCTTCTTTCACACTGATTCTTGCTTTTTTTCACTTTCTGAAAATGAGCTTCTTCCTTTTGGACTATAGACTTGCTTCTTCATCACAGGGAGAGGAAGGGGGACTTACCTGCTGATGGTCCTATGCTCACACCATCCATTTGTAAAATGTTTACTGCACACATTTCACCACTTACAGTAAACTAGAAGTTTCTTTCTATGGAATGACGTTAAGAAATTTGAACTGCATCATTTTCCTAACTTTGAGTCATATAAATCTGGTTCTACAGTATATTACCTCACTTTAAAAACAAAGGTTGTGATCAAATAAGTTAAGAAACTGCATTTTAAAACTCTTTGAATATTTAAAGAGCATGTTAAATATACAGAGAACTCACATAGTGAAAAAGAAACCTGTTTAAGATTGTTCAATTCTTAAATATTTCTGCAAAGAAAAGCTTATTTCTCTGCTCAATAATGAACAGTTTTCTCTTGATTCTGGTCTGGTTCTTGCTTCTCTAGCAAAAAGAAAATATTCTTTTCTAAGTTATGTTGTACTCTGAAAAAAAGCAAACAAAAACTAAAACAATTATTTAAATGATGGAGAAAGGTTAATTATCTCGTTTTGCTCATACCGATACCAATATCTTATATTTAACAGGTGGAAACAAGTAAAATCTATCTAAGAGAGAATTATGTAATAGTAGCTGGAGGTACTATTTAACTCAGGACTTCAAAAAGCACAAGGTGACTGTCGAGAATAACTTAATTTGCACAATTAAGTAAAAGAAAATATAAGAGTATAATTTGTCTTCTAGGTCTCTCTATCCCATGACCATGAAGTAATTTCCTGTTCTTTAAATTTATTATTTATTTATTTTTATAACATCAACTTTTATATTAGATCTAAAGGTACACATGCAGGTTTGTTACATGGGTATATTGCATGATGCTGAGGTTGAGGATACTGATCCCATCACCCAGTTAATGAGCACAGGACTCAATAGATAGTTTTTCAATCCATGTCCCCTCTCTGCCTCCGCCATCTAGTAGTCCACGGTTTCCACTATGGGCCTCTCCAGGATTTATTACTGGTAATTCACTGTCCTTTAAATATCCCCTCTTACTCCTGGAAGTACCCACACATTGCTTCACCACATGCCTATAACCTGGTCTTTCAGCTCAGCGGGGTCCTACAGGACATCCACACTCTTGCTTTTCTCATGATCTAGTCTCAGCTTGTGAGTGAACACTGCCAATGAAGCTACCAGCAGAGATACAGCCCTCTCTGCTATTATTGCAACATAGTCCACACCCACGATGCTGCCAAGGTGGCCTTAATGTCTTTCTCAGGAGGACTAAACTTTAGAGAGCCTTCTTCCTGTCTCTAGGCCTTGACCTCCAGTTTCTTAGAGCATTTATTTTAGAACATTTATAATTGTGAGTTATTTTTCTGTCCTATTGAGATGTAAATCTTTTTAAAAACTTCCTTCCAGTTTTATAGCTCACAGATGTCTTCCTTAAGGACCCGAGAGCCATCTTTGAAACATAAGTATCAAGTCAGATAGCACACCTATCTTTCAGTTTACGTGACAAGGTAAGAGCCTAACTTTGGTGGGTTCCTTGCTTTGAGTTGTAAAAGTACTTTTATCACAAAAATATGAAAAGCTTTGCTTTGAGTAATGTAAATTAGCAAACACAGATAGCCTGTGTTCCCTCTCACTTCAGCACTTAAGAATCTTCCCAATCATTGCTTCAGTAGAGTTGAGTGCGGATTTAGTTCTGATCTCTCTCTCCCCCATTGTAATAGTGTTGAATAAAATCTTCCTCAACTGTTTGAGAAAGTCCAATTTTTGTTTTGGTAACACTGTCTCTGGGTTTTCCCAGATATTTACATTATCTTGGCACAAGTGCTTTCATGCAAGAATAACACAACTGCCTCCAAACCACTTCCTGACTCAGTCAACTGGGTCCCAAAGTATCTCTGCTTGTACTACTGCTCACACAAGCTTTTCTGGGGTAGTTTCGTTAGTTTCCGGACATTAACCTTTGCCTAAAATCTTACCAAGTCCTGCTTTAAAAAATGAATTCTCCAGTTTCTGGCATTCAGATTTTTAACTGTAGAAGCTGAAGTGTTAAGGGGCCTTAAAATAAATAGATACAGTGTAGTACTCTTCTTTTCCATTTACCTTTGAAACTTCCCACTTCTATCTAAAAATGTAGCTGTAGGTGGAACAATAAGGTGTATTGCCAGGATAATTTGCACATCTGGGTGCCAAGTTAGCAAAAATATCCTCTATCACTCATTTCTATAAGGTGAAGTAACTAGCCTATAAAATGAGTTCTGGTTGCTGTTTGTAAATATTTATTAGAGTTCTTGAGTCTGCAACTTCTGCTTTAGAAAAGAAGATGTTTCATATTTTAAAATTGAATATGGAAATGTAAAAATATTCATTTTTGTAAAAATTATTAGTTTATCGCACTAAAATTAGAGTTTGACCTAAGGTTGCTCTTCCTTAAGCAATTTCTTGCATCTGAAAGTTCAATTCAATTCCAGAATAAACCCAGTGATTCTTACAAATGCAACTTCTTACATTAGTAATATATAAAATTCCATTATTTACATCTTAATTTCAAAGTATGATTTTAATTATTATAAACAGAACTTACTGTATTGGTGGTGCTTACCACCAATACAGTAAATAGGTGTAAATAGGTTGTTAAAAGTGTTTCTATTAATAAAATTTCAAATAACAATAACAAAAATTGGTGTGAAAATTAAAATGACACAAGGGCTAACATCCATTGAGAGAAAGGCCTATTAAGGAAGTCACTTTTAAGAGGCCAAAATATAGTTGAATTTGTTCTTGATTTCAACTATCCTGACCTGTAGTGTAGAATCTTTTTTAATCTTACATGAGAATTTACTAAAAAAACTAAAAATACTTTTGCACAATATCGCATATGCTTGCAAATAAACCTATTTAATGGGAAATAAAATTTAGCATTTACATAAATATTTTAAGTTATTTTATACATGCTTTACCTGGAAATTTGGCATATATGTATATATTACATATATATCATATACATTTTTCTAATGTATATAACATGTATATAGCATTGTAACTAACGTTTATACAAATTTTTTCTGTATAATAGATAGATTTTCTGTTTCTAACATTGTAAACATACCCATTAAAATAGAAATGAGTTCTTTAGTCTAAATTTAAATTATTTATAGTTCTGTACCTCTGAATTATGATGTAAAGTTTTCTTTCCAACAAATGAGTCTCATTTTTATACACTTCACTGCTCTACATCTCAATACAGCCTGAATCTTATTGCTTTTCTGAATATGACATTGATAGGAACTAAGGAAGTAACAGAAGAAGCAATATTACAATTTAAGTTTAACATGAAAAACACATTTTGGTGGAATGTTGCACTATGGTAACTGGATATTCAAGTACAAAGACATTTATCCAGTCTAAATTATTTTTCACGAACTCCAATATCACCTTTTGGAATTGCTGAAATCAACTTTATAAGCGCCGTAGAAACCAGACACTCATATCATTTTCAAAAAAACAGAAAAAAATCAACAAGAAAAAAAGAGTTCCAGTCAATAACTGAAGCCCATTAACTTTTTCTCTCATAATTATTTTACCTTTGTTCCAGCCATGTCTGTGAAAATTGTCATGTCCTAAGCCTCAAGCTCGTATAGGCTATACAAGCAATTCTTGCTATGACCTATTCTAGTTCATAGTTTCAGTACAGCTCATAAACTGTTTACCAGTAACCTCTAGGGTTGGTGTAGATATGAACAGAGTAAAGAATAAAACTGTTTGCTCTTTCCCACTGGAAACCATCCTAATTAAACAGTAAACAAAAAATGTGTTTGATTCTACTCATGGTTATGCCTTTGTTCTATTTATATTGGAATCTATCCATGGTATATGAAACACCACCACCAAAAACAACAGCTAAGGAAGATGGGAAAGCCATACATAGAATTATTTTTGTCTCCTGGATATTTTTTTACAAAATTTTGTGTCCTTCTGGAAGTTCCTTCCACTCACTCACTATTATTAAATTCAGCTTCAGGTCCTGCAGTAAGCATGTTATAGGCAGTATCCTCACAACATCTCATACCATGTTTTATTTTATTTTGGTTTTCATTTTATAATTAAGAAAATGAAAACTCAGGAATCACTGAGTTTCTGACTCCAAAAGCAAACACTTAAAAGTTTGCCTTAGAAGAGTTCTCTATATATCAATATACACTACTTGAGTGAATACTATATGCTAGGGGATGGATTCAGGAACATTAGAAGACAAGAGCTCTTAACTCAGAAATATTAGAATTTATTTTCCTCACAAATTAAATGAGAATAATTGTACTAGATTTTCTCATCTCATGACTTAGCAGGGAAGGACACTGTTCTCATTTTTATGTATTTTTTTTGAAGTTAAGTGTCATATATCTACAATGTGATGTTTTAATAGCAATAATAATAATAATAATAATATTTAACTTATGTCAATTCCAGAAATATTAACTGGTTAATGAACTATAAAAATACATACAATGAGACAGACATAAGCTTGTAAATGCTGATTTCTTTTGTGTAGAAGAAATTAGATTATATAGAATAATACAATTATTAACTCTTTCACTCTTCGTATTAGTCCATTTTCATACTGCTGTGAAGAAATACTTCAGACTGAGTAATTTATAAGGAAAAAGAGGTCTAATGGACTCACAGTTCCATGTGGCTTGGGAGGCTTCACAATCATGGCGGAAAGCAAAGGAGGAGCAAAGGAGGAGCAAAGGCATGTCTTACATGGTGGCAGACAAGAGAAGTGTTCAGGGAAACCACCCCTTATAATACCATCAGATCCAATGAGATTTATTCACTGTTATGAGAACAGCATGGGAAAAACCTGCCCCCATTATCCAATTACCTCCCACTGGGTCCCTCCCAGAATATGTGGGGATTACAAAAGCTACCATTCAAGATGAGATTTAGGTGGGAACACAGCCAAACCATATCAAAACTTTACAAAGCTCAGAACTACAACCTAAAATTACAAACATTTAGAAAAGAAAACTTCTAAATAGCAGTACCATGTGTCTCAGAGTCTGTGCATTTTAGCCTTAATGAAAGCTTTCTTCATGAAAGCTCATAAAAACTTACTCACAGCTGAGTCATCTATCTTTCACAAAATTATAAGAAATTTGACCAGTTTGTTTCTCAATTAGAAGCAAATAGTGCACAGACAGTAAATGACATTCAAAAAATTGTTACTTCAGTGTTAATAGTGCTAATAAATATAAAATGAAAGCTGACAATTATGGGCCAAACAAAATACAGAATTCTAATAATCTGACAGGAATTAACCTAAATTGAAGTAAACATATATAACTAAATATCCTAATGTAAAAACCTGTCCTATTATATTTTTTAAACCAATAATGGCCATAATGGTGGACTCAAATGGTTGAACTTTTCTTAATATGTTTTTCTTAAGTTAAAGATAGCCAGCAATGAAAATATATTTTCATCAAAGTTCTGACTTGTACGGATTTCTTAAAATAGCTTGCAAAATCATTTATTCCATAAGAAAATTGAATTTGTTTAAAAGGAGCTTATGAAAAACACATGAATTGATTTGGATCAATTAGGTCATTTTCAAATAGAGAAAATATTATTCTTTAATATTCAAACTCATAACATAGCCCTAAAAAAGACCCTGTTTCTGAAATTATGGAGCAAAATCTATGACATAACTATTGAGGTAGATAGAATCTTTAAAATAAGATACCTTTGATCAAAATTAAAAGAACCAGAAAAGAATAACTAAATAATACTTTTTTAGTTGTAAAGTTTGCATATATTCTTTTTAGTCTTACACATTTGCATTAATTTTATCCCTTCTTCCATTAAGTTGTATCCTACTTTTTTCCTCAATAAATAGGTATATTGACCTCTTACTATGTTGCAGAAACTTTTCCAAGTCTATAATACAGTACTGAGAAGGCAAATGTATCTCTGCTCTCCAAAGTTTACAATTGTAATCAGATATATCAGAAAATAACAAGTGCTAATGTGAAAATAAAGCATCTGAGGAGATAGAAAAGAGAGTATCAAAGGAATATTTCAGATTTCACTATACATTCTTTCTGAGCCTGTAATGTTTAAGCTGAGGCCAAAATGAAAAGAAATAGCCAGGCTTGCAGAGTCAGTGGTAAAGAATTTCAGGAAGGAAGCAGTTACATCTTTGCCGATTGAATAGCTTTCCTCTTTCCTTTCCTTATTACACTGGCTAGAACTTCTGAAATGCTAAATAAAAATAGCAAAAGCAGACATCTGGTCCTGTTCCTGCTCTTAGGGGTGAAATGTTCAATTTTTTACCGTTATGTATAAGATTAACTATGTATATTCATAGATGTTCTAAAACAACCTCTGTTAAGATCCTTCTTTCCCTCCCTCCATTCCTCCCTTCCTTCCTCCCTCCCTCCTTCCTTCCTTTCTTCCACTCTCCCTCGCTTCCTTCTTTCCTTCCTTCCTTTTCTTTCCTTCTTTCTCTTCCTTCCTTCCTTCCTTCCTTCCTTCCTTCCTTTCTTTCTTTCTTTCTTTCTTTCTTTCTTTCTTTCTTTCTTTCTTTCTTTCATCTTTCTTTCTTTCTTTCTTTCTCTTTCCATCTTTCTTTCTTTCCTTCCTTTTTCTTTTTATTTGATCCATATTTTCTTGTGAGTTTTTGAACTTCTTTAAGAGGATTATTCTAAATTCTTTTTTCAAACATTTCATAGATCTTCAGCTCTTCTGGGTTCATTAGTGGAGCTTTGTTGATGTCATATGTCCCTGAATTTTCAGCCTTTCAATTTTTACTTTGAAGCCTGTGTTTCTGACAAGATGGTTAACATTTTCCGGCTTTCTCGGGTACTCTTTGGTGGTGTTAGACCTTTTCTACTTAATATAAGAACTTAATATCCGGCCTGATGTTGCTTCATGTTCTGGGGTGGACTTAGACTAAGTACTGTAACTAAAACAGAGAGTAGAATGGTGGTTACCAGGAGGTGGGAGGTGGGTATGGGAGGATATTGGAGAAGTGTTGTTCAAAAAATATAAATCTAAGTTAGACAAGAGGAATAAGTTCAAGACAGCTATTGTACAACATTCTGCTTATAGTTAAAAATAACTTTTTGAATGTTGCTTAAATTAAATCTTGAAGATTTAATTGTTCTTACCTGACCAAAAAATGATAAGCATGTGAGGCAATGCTTATGTTAATTAACTTGATTTGCCTGTTCTACAGTGGATGTCTATTTCAAATACCATATTTTACACCATGGATATATACATTTTTTTTTGTCAGTGAAAAAAAAGCCACATCCTAGCACTGATAAGACATTGAAAACATCCTATTCTAGGCAGAAGAACAAGAATGGCAAGCTTCTAGGAATGATAACATGGCCTAAATAAAATGAGCTTTGCAATTAGATCATAACATAAGACACACTGATCAAACCCAGAGGTAGGGGCAAGAGTGTACCCTGAAATGACCTGGAAAATTAGACATTGTGAATCTAAAGAAATCTGAACTATCAAGAAAAAATGCTGGAGATTCTCACAAAATCTGTGTATGCACCTATGGGAGATGTATGAGCCTCCCAATCTATGGACATTTTTCAGTGGATAATTTTACCTATTGAAATTCTCTTGGCTAGTTCTTATTCTACAGCTGAATTTTAACCACTATTTACCTACAGGGAAACCAGTGGATACTGGAAAAAATTTTCATAGGACTAGAGTAATTCCTGGGAGATAGAAGGGCCTTGAAATGGAAACTTTCCCACTGGAAACCAGTATCTATTAAACGAAAAGAAATTTGATTATGTGTTTAGAACTTTCTAATCCTGAACTAATAAAGCCATGGCTACTAAAATATATTCCTATGAGAAATAATATGTATGGAACAGGTACATTTTGTTATATGGAGCGAAATAAGGGTTTTATAATGACAGATTTATATTATAGCAATGTACTAGAATACTACATAACAGTGGTATAATACAGGAATCATAGGTAAAAATAATAGTGGAAAAGCTGGAAAACTCATGGTAATACTGATGTTAGTGATCAATTGTATTGGAAGATTAAATAAAACTCTCTCAAGACATTATTTATATGGTAGAGAATTTGCCTAAAGCAGATTTGAATGTAATTAACAATACAATCATTATGGTTCTTAATTATACAGCATATGAATACTAACACATGCAGATAACAGATATGGGAAACAAAAGAATTTGTAAAGTTATTTCAGAAACCTATTTCATGAAATTTGTGTTGGTACTATTGTATGCTTAAACTGTGTGTTAAAATCCATATTACCAGTTATTGCAGAGTTAGGTATCTGTACATTTTTACTGCCTAACTGATCACATGATATTATAATGGAGGTAAACTGCTACCAAATTAGGAGTGATTGTTTTATCATAAAAAGTCGTTGTCCTTGGGTCAGTGAGGGTGAACGATGATGTGACAGTCCATTCCAACAAGCCTGGCATTGGTGTGAGTTATTTTGCTAAAGTGGAAGTATATCTACATAGCACTGACCACTTGTCATGCACAAATGTACTGACTGACTGTTTTTGCAACTTTGTGTCTGAAACAAGTTTGGGAGCATTTTGTGCCAGCTTGTCCATATTATTGGTAACAGAAAGATTGATTCTTTGCACCTGGTTTCAAGGAGATCCCCATAGGCTTCCATCATGCTTGATCTCATAGTAGTAATGTGCCTATGTGACCAGCAGTGTATGTGAAACCCCAGCCATTACTCCAGGTTGAGATCCCTGGTTCTGAGGAGCTCTGCTTCATATGTCAGTGGTTCTTGATCTAAGAGAAAAAATGAATCTGGTATAATCCCAAAAAGGGACAACTGAAGTCTCTGCTTGGTATCTCCAGACTGCTTGATGTGAAACAACATTTGGCAACAAGCATATTTTTATTTAAATGCTTTTTGCTATATTGTATCATTTTACTACAGTAAATTTCAGTTTTATAAACTTTGACATATTATGTGCTATTTTTCTGCATCAAATGAACTGTATTTGATTTTCAACATTAGTGTAGTTAGCATATTAGTTATCATATTAGTTTCATTTTATAAAATTGGGGGTACTTTAGAGTTTGGAGCATAAATTTTAACTTATCAAACTTTATTTAAGTAATGTCATATTATTTCATGCACAGTATAAGAACATTATAAAGTACACTTTTCTGAAGCTTCTGTTCTGTTCCATTGGTCTATATATCTGTGTTGGTACCAGTAACATCCTGTTTTGGTTACTGTACTCTTGTACTATAGTTTGAAGTCAGGTAGCGAGATGCCTTCAGCTTTGTCGCCACACATCTACAAGCACCTGATCTTTGACAAACCTGACAAAAACAAGCAGTGGGAAAGGATTCCCTATTTAATAAATGGTGTTGGGAAATTGGCGAGCCATATGCAGAAAACTGAAACTGGACCCCTTCCTTACACCTTATACAAAAATTAACTCAAGATGGATTAAAGACTTAAACGTAAGACCTAAAACCATTAAAGCTCTAGAAGAAAATCCTAGACAATACCATTAAGGACATAGGCATGGGCAAAGACTTCATGACTAAAACATCAAAGGCAACTGCAACAAAAGCCAAAATTGACAAATGATGTCTAATTAAACTAAAGAGCTTCTGCACAGCAAAAGAAACTATCATCAGAGTGAACAGGCAACCTACAGAAGGGGAGAAAATTTTTGCAATCTATTATTCTGACAAAGGGCTAATATCTAGAATCTACAAGGAACTTAAAAAAATTTACAAGAATAAAAACAACCCCATCAAAAAGTGGGGGAAGGATACGAACACACACTTCTCAAAAGAAGACATTCATGTGGCCAACAAACATATGAAAAAAAGCTCATCATCACTGGTCATTAGAGAAATGCAAATCAAAACCACATGAGATACCATCTCACGCCAGTTAGAATGGCAATCATTAAAAAGTCAGGAAACAACAGATGCTGCAGAGGATGTGGATAAATAGGAACACTTTTACAACGTTGGTGGGAATGTAAATTAGTTCAACCATTGCGGAAGACAGTGTGGCGATTCCTCAAGGATCTAAAACCAGAAATACCAACTGACCCAGCAATCCCATTAATGGGTATATACCCAGAGGATTATAGATCATTCTACTATAAAGACACATGCACACATATGTTTATTGCGGCACTATTCACAATAGCAAAGACTTGGAACCAACCCAAATGTCCATCAGTGATAGACTGGATAAAGAAAATGTGGCACATATACAACACCATGGAATACTATGCAGGCATAAAAAAAGGATGCGTTCATGTCCTTTGCAGGGACATGCATGAAGCTGGAAACCATCATTCTCAGCAAACTAACACAAGAACAGAAAACCAAACCCCTGTGTTTTCACTCATAAGTGGGATTTGAACAAGGAGAACACATGGACACAGGGAAGGGAACATCACACACCAGGGCCTGTCGGGCCGTGAAAGGGTTGGTGGGGGGATAGCATTAGGAGAAATACCTAATGTAGATGATGAGTTGATAGGTGCAGCAAACCACCATGGCACGTTCATACCTATGTAACAACCTGCACGTTCTGCACATGTGTCCTAGAACTTAAAGTACAATAATAATAAAAGAAAGAGTACTGATAACTAATCTGAAAAAAAAGTAGACTTTAATTTCTTATTCCCAGCCCTTGTGCTACTGTTCTCCAACATTTATATTACTTATGTGATGAAAATAGCAAAATATTTTAATATATTTTCTTTAAAGTTTCAATGCTTATTTAACCTAGTTTATAATACAACCACATCTTACATTTACAAATATTATCTTTTTCAGTATTTTTTATTCCTTTATAAAAATGTAGATTTCCATTGTTTGTAATTTTCCTTCTTTTTAAAAAGTTTCTTTAATTTATACAGTAAGTTGACTTACGAGAAATTCTTTCAGTTTTTCTAAGTCTAAAGATTTTTTTTATGTTGTCTTTATTTTAAAACTTATTCATTCCAAATATTGACTTAAAATTTTAGGTTGATGGCATTGGTTTTGTTCTCTATTTTTTTTCGTGTTATACAGCTGTTTACTCCACTATCTTCTGGCTTGGATTTTATCTGATGAAAGTCTGTTGTTCTTCCAATTACTGTTCCTATGTGTACACTATCTATCTTTTTTTTTTGTGGTAGCTTTTACATTTCTCTTTATTGCCAGTTTTAAGCAATTTCACTATAATTTGTTCTGATGTAATTTTTTTCAACAAAGTTTCTTATTCATGGGGTTTGCTAAGGTTTTTGGATTTGTTGGTTAATATTTTCAATGAACTTGGAATAGTTTGAGCTACTAATTTTCAAATCTATATTTTAGTCACACTCCTTTTGTTCACCTTTGGGGTTCCAAATTACACTTGTATTAGGCCCCTGGAAATCACCTCACTACTCTCCGATGCTCTGTTAATTTGATTAAAACATTTATCCCTCTGCGTTTCATTTTTAACAGTCTATTGATATTTCATTAGGTTTACTAATCTTTTCCTACTATTTATCCCATTCAGTACTTTTCATCTCAGGCATTGTGTTATTTATTTCTAGAAGTTCATTTTGGGTCCTTTTTATAACTTCCATGTATCTACCTCACACGTGCAGTGTTCTCTCTAGCTTTTTGTACAAGCAGAATAGTTATGATTGTTTGAATGTCCTTACCTACTAATTTAACATCTGCTACTTCTGGGTCAGTTTTGACTGATTAATTTTTTTCTCTCTATTTTTTTTCTTCTTGGCATGTATGGTAATTTTTAATTGGATACCAGAAATTGTGAATTTTACCATGATAAGCACCTTATATTTTTTCTATAAATATTGTTGATTGTGTGTGTGTGTGTGTGTGTGTATGTGTGTGTGTGCCTGTTCTTGGACATAGTTAATGTACTTGGAAGTAGTTGATCTTTTCAAAGCTAGATTGTAAATTTTGTTAGTTGCAACCACAGCAACTTTAGTCTACATCTGATTTTCCCCACTAACAAGAAAAGATCTTTCCTGATTGTCCAATGCCCCATTAATTGTGAGTTTTTCCACTCTTCATGTCAGGGACCTGAATTATTCCCTCAGTGTATGAGCTCTTGAGTTTGTTCTACCTGTTCCATTCTGGTGCTTTTTTCTTAAGCCTTCTGTAGTTTTCTCATACATGTTCACTGATCAGTACTCAGTGAAGAATTGAGAACCCTCTGAAAATTTTGAAAGCTGTCTCACTTTTATCTCTGTCTCTCTGAGCAGCTCTCTTATATTTGCATATTAATCCCTCTGTGTGTCTGTCACCTATATATTACTTAAAACTTTTTTAAAAATTATCTGAAAATTATACTTTTCTTGAACTACTCAAACTTTTAATTATATCTCTTCAACTACAAAAGACTTCTGGGATCTCTGGGTTCCTCCTCTCTGCATTGTAGCCTGAAAACTCTGTACAGGCAGTAAGCTAAGTCTTTCACTTACTTTGCATCTTTAAGAGATCCCTGTCCTCTGCTGCAATTGAAACAATCAACAAAGTGAAAAGACAACCAAGAGAATGGGAGAAAATACTTGTAAACTACCCATCTGACAAGAGATTAATAACTGGAATATACAAGGAGCTCAAACCACTCTATGGGAAAAAAATCTAATAATCCAATTAAAAATGTGCAAAAGATTTAAATAGACATTTCTCAAAAGAACACATACAAATGGCAAACAGGTATATGAAAAGGTGCTAAACATCATTAATCAGCAGAGAAATGCAAATCAAAATTCCAATGAGTTATTACCTTACCCCAGTTAAAGTGGCTTTTGTCTTAAAAAAAAAAAGCAGTAATTTTATCTTTAAAAAAAAAAAAAAAAAAAAGCAATAACAAATGCCAGCAAGGAATTGGAAAAAAAAACTGGAGCCCTTTTACCTGTTGGTGGGAATGTAAATTTGTACAGCCACTATGGGAAACAGTATGAAGGTTTCTCAAAAAACTAAAAGTGGAACTACCATATGATCCAACGCTACTGCTGCTAGGTTTATATCCAAAAGAAAGAAAATCGGTGCATAAAAAGATATCTTCACTCCCATTATTGCAGCACTATTCGCAATAGACAAGGTTTAGAAGAAATCTAAGTGTCCATCAACAGATGAATGCATAAAGAAAATGTAACACAAAAGCACAATGGAATACTACTTACCCATAAAAAAAGAATGAGATTCTGTCATTTTCAACAACATGGTTGGAATTGGAGGACATTATTTTAAGTGAAAGAGGCCAGGCACAAAAAGACAAGCTTCACATGATCCCACCTCTTTCTGGGATCTAAAAATTAAAACAATTGAACACATGGAGATAGAAGAATGATAGTTACCAAGGGCTTGGAAGGGTAGTGGGTTGTGGGGGAAATGAGGATGGTTAATGAGTATCAAAATATAGTTAGATAGAATTAATCAGATCTAGTATTTAATAGCACAACAGGAAGGTTAGAGTCAACAAGAATTTATTGCACATTTAAAAATAACAAAAAGAGAATGTTTTTAACACAAAGAAATGATAAATGCTTGAGGTAATGGATACTCCGTGTGATTACTACATGTTGCATGCATGTATCAAAATATCTTATGTGCTCCATAGATATATACACCTGTTATGTACCCATAAAAAATTTTAAAAATTGTATGTGGTTAAGTATTATTTCTGAGTTCCACTCTAATTGACATTTTCCAATGTCATTTCACAGTGCCTTGGAAATACGACCTATTGAATGTCTACTTTCATGAGGTTAGTGACATAATTTTAGGTTTAAATATCCAAAATTTCAAATCTTTTTCTCTGGAATGTTAAAATAACGTGTATGTGCTGTTTATTGGCTAAAAGTGCTATCCATTTGGTCATCTAATCAAACTTTCTAAAAAAGTTATTTTACAACTTTTATGTCAATTTATTTGTTGTATATTAAAAACAGTTTATTTCTAACACTTTTATGTCACCTAATACCATTTTCAATGTTTCAGTTTCTCATTTCATAAATCTTTGTGTTGTACATTTTAATCTCATAGATATTAAATATATATGGACATATATTTGGAAAAAATATATAACTAAATATTTAACACTTCTGTTTATTTTACTTTAGTTTCCTTATTTCCACTATGCCTTAAGAGATGACTAAAACTACATTTGTTTTAGTTATAACAACACCTTTAACTTAATAGTATGTGTTGAAATTAGAAACAAACACCATTTAATCAAATTTACGCAAATAAATTTTATATCTGATTATAACAACTCATTATGATATTTTACTAAATTTGTCCACTAAAGTAATGATCTGCTATGAAGCTTTAAGAAATGTTTATTGCCTTACTATAATTAAAAGCAAATGTACTCCATATTTTTCACAAAGTTTGAGCTGCAATGTGATTAAACACATTGTGTGATTCCTATAAGGAGGATATATTTTTCTTATTTGAAAATGATTATATTTACTCTCTCATTATATAAATAAATGAGATAAATTTTGCTTCTGGAGGTTCAGGAAATACAAATCAGCCAATTTATAGTGGACTTCTCTGTGAAAAATTAGATTTAAAATGCATTTAGTCCCCAAATTAATGAGTTTGGCTATCATCCAGGTTAATTACGAATTAGACTCTCCTATTTGCTTAGCAAATTTCAAGATGGCTGCATGTAAAGTCAATAAGAGGATCTTAAGAGGCTGGTGAAATGTAAGCAATGGAAAAGTAGTTAATAATCAAAATATACTTTTTAGAAGGTGAAAAATTACCTTTATAGCAATTAATTAAATAGTAATTAAACAAAGTGTTTATTTCTCGTTTCTTGTCATGTACATAGCAATGCCTTGCCCATCAACTTCAAACAAATGGTTTAGCTCAGATCACCTCCGTGAGGTACAATGTAATATGACAAGTGAGCCTATTATCAAACACTCATTATTAGCGTTATGCTTGGGAAAATGATGACCTGTAAAGATGTTCACGTCCTATCCCTGGAACCCGTGAATGTGTTCTCTTATATGGAAAAAGATAACTAAGTTTCAGATGAATTTAAATTTGCTAATCAGCTGAACTAAAAATTGGGAGTTTTCTCTGGATTATGCAGGTTGGCCCAGTGTATTCCAAGGGTCCTTAAAAGTGGAAGAGAAAGATAGATGAGATCAGAGTGTTGTGATGTAAGGAAAGGACTCAATTTGCTGCTTCTGGCTTTGATGACAGAGGAAGGGGGCCAAGGAATGTAGGTGGCCTCTAGTAGCTGAAAAGGACAAAGAAACACATTCTTTTATAGCATCTCTAGAAAGAACTCAGCCCTGTTGACACCTTGATTTTTTAGCTCACTGAGACCCATTTTGGACCTCTAATATCAAAAATTGTAAGGTCATATATTTATGTTGTCTTAAGTCCCTAAGTTTGTGACAATTTCTTGCAGGAATAACAGGGTTTTAATAAAGATGCTACACATTAAATAAATTGAAAACACCTCCATGGTCTGTAGTATAGGAAAAAATGCCTAAAAGTAGTGGCTGCTTTGATGAGTTATCCTAAATTGCTGCTCAATATAACATTAGAAGTATTATCTTTAAAATCATTAGATACATACATATATTCTTCCAAGAATATCAACAAAGCTGTCTTAGGACATCTTTCCTGGTTTGGTATCAATAGTTCAGTTTTAGCTCTTTGTTTTCCTTAGATCAATAACAGAAATCTCTTTCAATTTCCACTTGACACATACTAAATTGGTGTGACTCTAATTGCCACTTGGAATGCATCAAGTAATTTTACAATGAGGTCCCACCTATGCCATTCCCACTATTTGTTCTGCATATCAGCTATAAATAGAGTATTTTGAAGGAACTCAGTCATGCAATTTGTTTATAACACCTCTGGGCACATAATAAAATGTTAAGCATATATCTAAAGAAAACTGGTTCATTTTTATTATTGTATTATTATAAAAAGACGAGGGGACATGCAGTAAAATGTATAAAGAAAACAAACCATTTGAAGCTAAAGCAATATTGGAGATCAAATGGAGATCAATTTGAAGCAAGGCTGTTATAAGAAATAATAGAAGTCATTAGAGAAATATAAGTGTCCATATAGATATTTTATATAGAATATTGTTTTCAACATTATTTGCTAAGAGCGCTGTATTTTTTTTAAGTTTTTGTTAAATTTGTCCCATGGTACACTGGCCAGCACTTCAGAATGCTACAACTAGAAAGAAATCTGAAGACATAAACCTGCTGAGTTTAGTGCTAATGCATTTTGAAAATACATTGAATTCTCCATAGTTTAAGCATAGTTGGACAATATTTTTTCATTTTAAAAATTAACGAAGACTTGAGAAAACTAGGAAATATTTTTAAAGCTTTGTTAGATCATTGAACCGCTTTCAGCCAGAAACTGTACAAAACTGAAATAATCTGCTTTGTATTTTATGATACCACCATGTTATTCCTGTAATTTACACACTTACAGTGCTGTAAGTAAAAGACATTGAGATTAAACCCAATAACCTACTCTAAATCTTCACTACAATAATTCAAAAAAAGTTACAGTGATGCCAGGTTGCCTAAAACCAAACAAATATCGTTCTGCTCAAGTTCCTATTTTTCTTTAATTCTTAATTTATATTTAATGAGATATGCAAACTTTATCCTTTTTTTATTGTTTTTAAGCTGTGTCAGCATTGTCTTTTGTAGTTGGTATGAAGTACTAGCATAAAGTAGTTATTTTTATAATTACCACTGCATTTGACAAAACAGAAAATATTTTTAATAAATGAAAATTATGTTTTTTCAATTTTATGTTTTATTTTAGAATGATTATACTGCTTTTAGAACTAATTTTTCTTACCAATATATATTTGGTTTGCTGCCAGTATTTTTAACAGTCAATAGGGTTTATCGTTCCTCTTTTGACTAACCAATACATCATCACTTTTGGCTGGGTATCATTTATTTATAAACTAGAAAATCATATCCTGAGGCACAGTACCACAGGAACTTTTAAGATTTAAATGGCAGAAATGGTAGGAACAAGAGGGGATGAAAAACTAAAACCACTGAATGAGAATTTCCATTATATGAATATATTAAACTGTCATTTTCAAGTCCCTTTGATGTTCACTATCACTTACCAATCATATTATCAATTTGAAATTTTTATTTAGAACGGCTCTGCTAACATGATTTTAAATGAAATTTTGGAGTAAAAAATTATTTCTATATACATTTTATTATCAAATACAACTCTTTTAACAAGAGATGGAAACAGAATCTTCCCTATAATATGATTATGTCTGTGTGTCCATAATATTGGCCTAATGACTGTGGAAAACATCCTTTTTTACATCTAGAGCTCCTCTCTTTGAGTGAAATGCAAAATGAATCTGCTTCATCTTAAATAATCTGAAAACAACTTTTAGAAAATCAGTGAAATAACAAATGAGAAAGTCGGCTGGTAATTAAATATGTATCAAAAATGTAATTAACTCTATGAATTTATGAGTTTTATTTCAACCTCTGATTCTTCAACCATACATGTATTTGTTAAGCAAATATATATTGACTTTTTTAGGTGCTTGTGATATAAATAAAATAAATACAGATTTTTCTCTCAGAGTTTATATTCTATTTGTGGAAAGAATTGTATAGGCAGGTGGGTTGGTAAGTAGGCACAGAGGTAGATAGGTAGGTAGATTAGATGATAAATACATACATGATAGATGATAGGTAGATAGATACATTTCTCTGTATGGTAAATAAAACAGTGAAAGAGGAGAGTGACAGAGCAGCTAAGTAAAGTCTTTTTAAGGAGAAATTTTATTGAGAGTGGATCAATGAGTACCAGGAAGGGAACCAAGACTCTGGGAAATGAGCTTTTGGGATAGAGGGAACAAGAAGTGAAAGCTTGAGACAGGTTCTTTCTATAGAAAATGGTCAAAAAAAGGCTTATGAGGCTAGCATGTGATCAGGGCTTACATTTAGTCTTAAGTGTGATTAGAGAGCTATTAACTAAGGCATCCTGATTTGAGGTTTTGCAAAGAATATTAAACTCAATTATAAGTGTATAAAAGTATCTGGAAATAACAGTTTTCAATAAATATTAGGTTTTCTCCTACTCTCCAAAACTTATGTTTAAAATATTTACATAGGCAGTTTTGAAGAATAAAAGTAGCATCATAAGCATTGGAGATAAACAAATCTGGTTTAGACTCTTTGCTCTGACACCTATTAAGTATGTGATTGAGGCTGACAGTTATTAAAAGCCCCTTCAAGCAGCTTTTGTCTCTCCCTAAAATCAGAATTGCTTCTACAATTAAGCAGGACATTTCCCCACTTACCTTACCAAAAATGATGGTTAAATATAACATATAACAGGAATATTAGATATATAAATAGAATATAAACATTGAACACTCAAAATATTAATATATCATAAAAATAGCATTATATATCAGTATAATCATAATGGTAATAGTCTCATAATTGAGGAGATCGCTAAAGCAAGAGACATGTTGGTAAAAATTAATATCAACACTGAAATGAGTAAAACTTTGTTTTACTATGCTCTCTTTGTTCAGAGAAAATATAAAAAGCCAGAATTAGGCTACTCTTTTAATGAAGCTACTCTCTTATAAATATTTCTAATCCTATGACTTTCATTAAGATGATGTTTATTTAGCTCAATTTGATTTCACCTATCTAGGCTGATTTTAAATTAGCCCTGATATAGTATGTATAATGTTAACACATTTTGTGCATAGATATTTGTTTTATATAAATATTATGACTCTATGCTACCAGATATACTATCACTAAAGTAATTAAAATGAATTAAAAGAAGTGGAAAAAAGTCTGATTTTTCCCTAGGTCCATCTGGAAGTTTTTAAGCTTCTATAACTCTACTCAGCTCCACAGCATCTAAGAAATTTAGAATCAGCTTCAGGCTAATATTTTTCATTTCTAGTGTTCTAGCCTCAACTCTCTCTCAAAATTTTTGTCAAAAATATTAAACGTCAATGACAGGTGGACATAATTGTCTTTCTTTCTTTTCTATTTAAATTTGGATATTTATTATAGTTATACTGTATATTTACTACTACTTCAGAGGGAAGCAAGGTGAATAATTTTTGTTTTGTTTTAGGATTATTGAATACGTTGGAAAGAACTGAATATTATTGCAAATCTTAGATTTGAGTTGTTTGCAATAAATGCAAAGACTTGGATATTTCCTCTTGGAAAACAGAGATGTTTATTTCATGTGTGAAAACAAGAGAGAATATAATCAAAAAAGAAGATTGTAGACAACACCAGTGAGGTGCAACCCAATCTCATTTCCTCTTCCTTGGTCTTCAGGATGACTATTTTTCCTAACTTTTTGTTAGTTAAAGTGGCTACACTCTGAATTTGTGGCAATGGAATGAAACAGTTATGTGTCTCACTTTTAGCACTGTCCCTGAAAATCTGTTACAAGACCCTCAATGTTTTATTTCTTTCCTTTTCCTATAGCTGAAATATTCATAGGTCATGAAGCCACAGAATGGAAGAGGCCTTGATCATCTAATCACAGCTTGGAGGGTAGCTTAGACAAGAGGGCCATCCAACCAACGTTGCGATTTATAAGAATAAGAAGTTAACTGATAAAGACACATGCACAGGTATGTTTATTGTAGCACTGTTCACAATAGCTAAGACTTGGAACCAACCCAAATGCCCATCAATGAAAAACTGGATAAAGAAAATTTGGCACATATACACCATGGAATACTATGCAGCCATAAAAAAGGATGAGTTCATGTCCTTCGCAAGGACATGGATGAAGCTGGAAACCATCATTCTCAACAAACAACACAGGAACAGAAAACCAAACACCGCATGTTCTCATTCATAAGTGGGAGTTGAACAATAAGAACACATGGGCAAAGGGAGGGAACGTCACGCACTGGGGCCTGTCGGGGTTTGGGGGACTATGGGAGGGATAACATTAGGAGAAATATCTAATGTAGATGACGGGTTGATGGGTGCAGCAAACCACCATGGCACGTGTACACCTATGTAACAAACCTGCACGTTCTGCACAGCTATCCCAGAACTTAAAGTATAATTAAAAAAAAAAAAAGAAGTTAACTGACTTTTTATGTCTGTGATACTTGGAAGCATATTTATAAAAACAGTTTCCTCAATAGTTGAAAAAAAAATACAAAATGCCAACTTCCAAGAAAGCATGTATGATACATAAATTTTTCATTTATGTATGCAGAGTGTCTTCCAAGATACCTGTCTCACAGTGGGTGCTCAACCAATTTATGACCAACATATGGACTAACTAACTGGTAGACTGAATAGATGGATGTCTAGAAAGCTAGAAAATACACATCAAATAAAATAAAAGTCATCCCAGTATACTATGGCTTCTTTCTGATGTAGGTATAGCATAACTTATCTTTTATCAACAAAAATATGACAATAAAATCAAAGATATATAGGGTCCTTGTTCTATATTAGTTTGCTATTGGTGTATCAACATGATATAACAATTTCTATAAACTTGGTGGCTTTAGATAACACAAACTTTTTTTAAATAGTGCTGTAGGTCAGAAGTCTGACATGAATCTCATTGAGCTAAAATCAAGGTATCAACAGGGCTGAGTTTCTTCCTGAGGTTCTTGAGAAGAATTTGTTTCCTTGCACTTTCCAGGTTCCAGAGGCCACCTGCATTCCTTGGCTCCTGGCTTCCTCTATCTTCAAAGCCAGCAACAGTATATTGAGTCCTCATGTCACTCTGACCCCTTCTTCTTCCTTCCTCTTCCACTTTAAGGAGCCTAGAAGTACATTGGGCCAAACTCCAAAATCTCCTTATTTTAAGATTAGCAGATTAGCAAATTTAATTTCATCTACAAACTTAATTATTATTTTCCATGTAAAGTAATATATCCACAGGTTCCAGGGATTAGGGTGTGGACATCATTAGGGGGCCATTATTCTGCCAACCAAAGTTCTTTTATGTGTAAGTAACAGTTTATTATAATCAATGACACTGACAAAATACTACAATTAACAATCATCATAGGAAGTCACAGATTTCCAAAGGATAGATTAATTTAATTTTACTGATTTTCATTCCTGCATAGATCCTAAAAGGGAGGTATTGACCAAGTTAAAGAGATAAAGCACTGAAATACTCACTCTGCTTCATACTTATTTCAAACATATTTGAGATCACCCTGTCTTATGTAGGATCAGAGTAGTTAATGAATTTCCCCTCTGTTATTGATTGATATCCTACCTATTTTCTACTATATATTTATGCAATTAAAACAGCTGAAATAGTCTCTCGTTGGAGGCTGCAATGTGCCTTTGTAAGGCAGGGGGTGATTTTGAGATGTTACAGTTTCTTTTGTAACAGCCTAGAAGTGTCTGGAGTAGCATCAGATTTCACATTTATTCTTGTTCACTCCGAAACCTATTTATCTTGAGGCAAATGGGACATATTCTCTTTCACATTACTGACACTGTCGAAAAGCCAGATTATGAAGGATCCTGCAGCTTTTGGTCTTCAATTCCCCAAATCTCATATTATTACCATGTCTTTTTTTTTTTTTTTTTTTTTTTAACCCCTTGGAAGAAGATTGGTCTCATATAGGAAAGCTACTTCACTGTTCATAGTTAATAGTGTTTTTGACACAGGGCATTTCAGTTTGCAAGCTAGACTCCATCCCATTTTTTTGTTATCTTTCTTAAGCATTTTTCTCACGAGTTCCTCTTGAAACAAAACAAGTATCAATAATAATTTGTCATTCACCCATTGGTAAATTGATGCCTATCCTGGGAATTGTTGTCTTCTCTCCTTCAAGGACTGCTGATTTGCTTTGGTTCTGGCAACTCAATGCTTCAAATATTCTGTATCATATCCTTTTTCATCATGACCAAAGTCACCTGTTCATCTCTTTGAATAGTATTACTGGGACCACTGGATTTAAGGCTGAAGTGTGAGCTATTAGTTTATCCTCTTAAGATATTCAATGTTTTTATCCTGATTGAAACTCAGGGTCTAAGGGGAATAAGAGAGGAATGGAACAATTGGACGGGAAATGAGAATTAAATCTTAACTGGGCAAAGCCTCCAGAGAGCTTTAAGATAGAAATTCTACAGAGGGTAAAAAACCTCCAGATGCATGAGCACAAAAATATCAGGAATGGGCAAGTGTCGTCTAACTTCCAGTTGAAGTCTCCTACTGACAACAAACAAACAAACAAACAACCAGCAGATTTATATAAATAAGATCAGGTCTACAGAAAAATAACCCCCTAATGCACTTGTCAGATTCTCCATTGGAGAGCAGAGGGCCAAGTCTACTACTGAGCAGAAAAATGTGAGGAAGGATGAAGAAGAATCAGTGCAAGGGCTAGGAATAAGGGAGGAACTAGAAAATGAACAACTCACCCTTAATCAGAAAGTAGAAGCTGAAGGTAAACCAATTTGGAATTCCTATGAGAGATTTATTTCTGCCAGTAAAATTTTGAGCTCTGCCATGTTTTGTAATACAGGCTGGATATATTGTGTTTCTTTGAGTTGACAGCCTGAGAAAATTTGTATATCAATTTGGTTTCTCCATGTTATCCTGTGCAGAAAAGTAAACTGGGTCTTAATCCTGTAATTTGGAAATAATATTTATCTCAGAATATAGAGCTTTGGCTCACAAAGACTTACTTAGTTATGTAGGAGACTCAGCATTTCCTGGACATCTGACATTCTCAAATTTAGACTGCCCTAGTCTATTTTTAGAAATATACTCATTAGAAAGGATACTCTGGGAGATAATGTTAGGAAGAATAACATTCCTTTTTTTCCTCTCAGATTATTTTCTTGCACTATTATGTGTTAAAATGCTGAGCTTAGCTGTATACTCACACAAAATTGAACTTCCTATTGGCAAAGAGTTCATAACAGACCAGAATCATAGAAGGGAAATAATGCAAATAGAGAGTTTATTTTCACATCCCTAAAAAATAAGTAATGTGGCCTTATGTGGTGGCTCATGCCGGTAATCCTAGCACTTTGAGAAGCCAAGTGGAGAGGATCACTTGAGTCCAGGAGTTCGAGACCAGTCTGGGCAACTTTGTGAAACCCCCTCTCTCCAAAAAATACACTCATTAGCTGGGTATGGTGGTGCATCCCTGTGGTTCCAGCTACTTGGAGGCTATGGTGGGAGTATCGCTTGAACCTGGAAGGCTGGGGTTGCAGTGAGCTGTGATCATGCCACTGCATTCCGCACTGGACAACAGAGCGAGAACCTGTCTCAAAAAAAAAAAAAAGGAATCTGCTGTCTTTCTCAGCGGCCACTGGCCTCAGAAACATCTTATTTCAAAACCTCCATGAAAATATTCTTGGGTCTGTTATCACCAATACCACTTACAAACTAAGGTGGAAATACGACTCTTTACTTTTGTTATTGTCATTGTTATTACAGGTTAGGGAGAAATACGATAGAAACAATGTTCTTTGAGACTCTACCATATAAGAAGCATTCTGGTATTCATAATAATTAACCTACACAATAATGCCATAATTTTGTGTATTATTATACCTATTTTTAAATATACTGAGAAATTAGGTGATGTGTTCAAGAGTTGGAGCCAGGAATGAAACCAAGTCAGACTGATTTTAAATTTGCACTTTCTCGATTATGCAATACTCTCTGCATGAACAATAAGTCTTCCCTCAGTCACATTTTACCCAACTGTTCATTGTTCTTCCCACATACATGTACACGTTCCCTTGGAAATGGAAAGGGTATTTCCATTTTGGAGGTAGCATTTTGGTCCCTACAGTGACTTCAAAAGATAATCAATTTGGGTCTTCCATAAATTGGAAGTGTCCCTATGAGATTAACATTAGTCATTAGTCAATCCCAAATCAAGTGTGGGAATATAGTTCTTTTATTTTTTTGGCTTAATATTCCTTTTAAAATTTAAAAATACAATGTATATCATACCTATTATATATGCACATATATACACATATATATGCTTACATGTGTTTTCTTATATATATAACATATGATCTATAAGATGTCATTTAACTGTATAAATATACTATTTATATAATTGATTTGTACAGTTCAGAATAGCAAAGAAAGTAGTCTATATGCTGAGCTCCTTAATTAAGAAATAGTATCTTTTAATACTATTCAAAGTATATTTGAAGAACTATCTGAGTACATCACAAATGCCAACCTCAAATCTGGATGGTAACCACAAATCTGGATTTAGTGTAAATCATTGCTTTCTTTCCTTTAAAGTTTTATCATATATGTAAATACACCTCAAAAGCCATAATGCTCAATATCAGGCAATTTAATTTTATAAAAATTGATCATATTATATGAATTCATCTCAAACTGTCTTTTCTCTCAAAATTTCATTGGTGAGATTCATTATGTTTATGGTTGTGGTTTCAACTTATTCATTTTAGTGCTTTGTAATAATACTTGTTCAGAAATAGAATAATTCATTTATCCATTCTCCTGTCTGTGTTATGTTCTAGGATTTTATTACTCAAAAAAACCTGCTTTTTTTCTTAGTCATTTCCCATGGAAGATATATGCAAGAATTTTCCTGGTGTATTTATTCCAAAGTGAAATCATTGACTATTAAATGAGATGCACATATTCAGTTTTTATAAGTAATGCTAAATTTGTTTACCAAAATGGATATACCAATTTACATTGCATCTATGGGCCTGTAAGAATCCCCACTGTATCAATGATCTGTCAAAACCTGATATAGCCATATTTTTCCACAAAAATTTGTAAAATGTCATTTCATTGTCTTTTAAAATTGCATTTTCATGATGAATTGATTGACCATGTTTAAATCTGCTTATTGACCAATGTAGCCCACTTCTATGAAATTCCTGAGTCTTTTGTGTTTTTCCCTACTGATATCCATATTTCTTAATGATTTGTAATGGTTATTTTTATACTGCGAATATTATCACTCTATTGTTTTGCAGATGTCTTCTTTGAGTATAATTTGGTGGCTACAAGTTCTTCATTTTGATAATATCTAACATTTATTTAGTTTTTCGGTTCCTCCTTAGGAAATGCTTATCTGTCTAAAGGTAACAATAATATTAACTTATAGTTTATTAGGACATCTAATTGCTGCCTTCACAATTACTTTGTGCATTTAGAATAGAATTTTGTTTATGGTATGAGATAGGGGTTTAATTTTATTTTTGTTTGCATACAGATCCATCAATTATCAGCACTTACCTGTCCTGTTTTCCATTCATACACAATACTGTAATATCTGTGTCATAATATGGGTTCTTATAAATGAAGTACTGTTTCTAAGTTATCTCTTGTTAGCAATTTGGAATAATGTTCTGGAACATTGGCCTATGCCTGTGTCAGTTACACTTGTCTTAATTATTAAAGCTTTTTGATAAATATGGTGCTTTTTAAGCAAGACTCTTGCTATTTCTCAATAGTGCCTTAGCAATTCTTGACCTTTTTAAAGTACTTTTTAGTATCAACTTGTGCAGTTCCATTATGAAACATATTTTTTTTACTACAACTGCATTCAAACTATAGATAAATTTGGAGAAAATTAATAAATTTTTGATATTAAGTATTTCTATTGTTGACATTATATGCCTTATCCTCTACAGAACACATTTTAAGACTATTTGAAATTTGTTTATAGTTTGTTCACAATTTTCTTGAACTTATTTTATTGGTTTTATTGTTAGGTGTCATATATTTGTAATTGCAATTTTAATCAGTATCTTGCTTTTTAAATGATGCTATCTGACTTTGTTGCTGGTGCTTTTTGAATAGTAATCATACCATGAACAAATCTGTTTTGTTTCTTCTTTCTAATACATATACTTTCTATTTTTATGTTTTGATTTATTACACAGGTTAGATTATCAAGGATTATATTTGTGAAGTGGAAAATTGTAGACTATAGAAAAAAAGCCACACAAAAGAGACAGTAAAATGGATAAGTGAACATGAATAATCTCAATACAACTTTATATCCTGACGTTCAAATGTTTTTGTTTGTTTATTTATTTTGAGATGGAGGCTCACTCTGTCACCCAGGCTGGAGAGCAGTGGCAGGATCTCTGCTCACTGCAACCTCTGCCTCCCAGGTTCAAGCAAGTCTCCTGCCTTAGCCTCCTGAGTAGCTGAGATTACAGGCACCTGTCACCATGCCTGGCTGATTTTTGTATTTTTAGTAGAGACAGGGTTTCACCATGTTGGCCAGGCTAGTCTTGAATTCCTGACCCCAAGTGATCCACCCACCTTTGCCTCCCAAAGTGCTGGGATTACAGGCGTGATCCACTGAGCCCGGTCTAAAATCTTAAATGTTATAAAAATTAGAAGTTTTTTTCAAGAATGTTGAAAATCTGGAAATAAATTAGATCATTTTCACAAACATAAAGTAGATGAGAGATTCAGTTAAATCATAATAAAATTTTTTACTGCTTTTTAAGAATTTTTACTGCTTGACTAATGCTGTTTATAAATTTCCAAGATCAATAAACTAACAAAAGTACAAACATCCATGTTAAAATTGTAAGACAATTAGTAAATAAATAGAATGTTATGGATAATGTTCTGTCATCTAGAGAAAGAAATGAAGAAAACAAGATTATTGAACAAAGAAAACTAGCAAAAGATAAAGAAAATTAAACCAGTGAATGAGAAAAAAGTAGAATGTAAATTTAAAATAATGAAGGGAAATAAGCAATCATATAAAATATATTGAAAAAAGACCAGATATTAAATTATCACAATATATTTTATTTCTTTTAATTTCATTATTAAACAAAAGAGATTCTTAGATTGGACCAATAATATACACCTAGGTTGTAGAATACTATATATTAAATCATTAATATATGACATTAAAAAACTCTCAAAGAATAAAAAGGCAGCATGTCACAAAATAATAAATACAATGTGACTCTATAGAATAAATGTGACTATGTGTCTATTTAAGCACTGCATACAAAGTAGATTTGAAAACTTCTCGGCCAGGCATGGTGGCTCAAAACTGTAATCCCAGCACTTTGGGAGGCCAAGAGGGGAAGATCTCTTGAGCTCGGGAATTTGAGACTACCCAGCCTGGGTAACATGGTGAGATGCCTTTTATTTATAAAAAATAAATAAAAAGACTTGTGGAAAAATTTATTCCATAGTGCTCTAATTATTTTGTTAACAGTGTACCTAAAAAAAGGTTTAATTAAAAAAAAATCAGCTTTTATGCTATATGCTTCTCTACTACTTGGGAATCTAAAAAATAGAATACATTTCATGTGTGATATATAAAATTTAATTTTATAAATGTAATATATTTCATATTTCATGTGTAGTTCACATACTTAAAATTTTAAAGTGATAAATATTATTTGTGATACCTGAATTTACATTTTTCCATGCTGCCATTAACTTGTCTGCATATTAGTTTGTTCCTGGAATTATGCTTTAATTTCATTCCTCTTTATTACTTTTACTTGACCTTTATACCTGTGTTCAACAGAATATCATAAACACAGTCTTTGGACTAGCTCTATTAGGAAACTTTCTCATAGTACTTCTTAAAAATGTAGATCACTGAAGCCCACCTCCTGTCTACAGAATCAAAATCTCTGTGTCGAGGGCCCAGGGGTATCGATTTTAGCAATATCCTGTGTCTGATGTGTATTAAATTTTGATAATCATTGCTCTCAACCTAAAATGCACATTAGATTCTTTTTCCCACTTCCACTAAATACTATGATGAAGGCTTACCTCTGAGATTTTAACTCAGTAGTTCTGTGATGGGAACTGAATATGTGTATCTTTAAAGAGTTGTCCTAGCAATTGTGTTGTTTATCCTTCAGCGTATGAACCATGTAGTGGAAATCTATCACTGGGACTAACATCCCAACTTATCTTTTAACAACTTGGCTACTAGTTTCACAGTAAGAATCCTAGCTTTACAAAACAGAATTTTAACCAACAACATTTTGTTGTTAATTTTATATGTTATCTCATGTAATATTCAGAACAATCTGTTAAATGATTAATATTGTTAATAGTATTCTCTTCCTATATGAAAATCAGAGTGTTTGGTGCAAATGAAATGGCCTTTAAATTTACCCATGTGCATTCAACACATATTTCTTATGTTTATTATTTTATAGACATTATTGAATATATTGGATCACAGAGACAAAGTCACCCGAGGTCAGGAGTTCAACACCTGTCTTGCCAACATGGCAAAACCCTGTCTCTATAAAAATACAAAAATTAGCTGGGCAATATGGTGAAACCTCATCTCTACTAAAAATACAATAATTAGCCAGTTGTAGTGGCACACACCTGTAATCCCAGCTACTTGGGAGGCTGAAGCAGGAGAATTGCTTGAATCCAGGAGGCAGAGTTTGCAGTGAGCCAAGATTAAGCCCCTATACTGCAGCCTGGGTGACAGAGCAAGACTCTATCTCAGAAAGAAAAAAAAAAGAAGAAAGAAATCACCTGATGTTAATGAAAGAATAAGGAATAGTACTGAAGAAAAGAAGTGATCAGGTCAGGAGGTAAAATCTTAAGAGCATATGGTAGACTATCCCAAGAGTTGGAAGATGATAGACAAGGAGACGGTAACTAGACAGTTTAGCTTGTGACACAAGATTCCAAGTTGTGACTATATAAGGAGAATAGAAATATGGTTTAAAAATGGCAAAGAAGATTAAGGAACCTACCTACTCCAACCCCAGGCCTAGTTGTCTAGCAGACCCCATGTGACACAGATGCACCAATCAGAGTTTGCAGGGGAAACTCAATTTCACTTAGTATCAGAAGATGAAAAGAATTCTCAGAAGTGAATTTGAAGTTGCAGTGGATTTTGGCAATGAGTGAGATCCAAAGGGCACATATAGTTTTTTAAAAAAGAAGTGATACTAGTACCAAAATATCCTGACTCTTACTCCATTGTTGTAAGAATGTTGCCTTGTTTCATTACTATTATAAATTAATGAGAAACTTATTTGTTTGTTTATTTTTGTAAATAATCCTTAAAATGAACAAATGCCATTCAGCCAAAATTATTATATAATTGTAGCCATATAATTGAAGTACCGCAACTTTGGCTTAATCTGCACCTATTGTTATAAAATAAATAAAATGAAATATATCCAGCAAATCTATTTAAGGAATTCAAACTCTGGAATCATGTATGTCAAGGAAAGAAGAAAAATGAAATAAGAATCCTTCATGTCAAATGATATGAAAGCTTCCTTGTCTGTGGTTACCTTAAGCTTCAGGGGGTATGAAAATATCCTGCCTCTTCTAAGCAGGGAAACTGGCACTGATACTGCTGCTTTTTGCTATAATTGGCACATCCTGCCTCACCTACAGTAATTGAGATATCAGACTGGATTCTCTCTATAAGCACAGTAGAACTGCCTGGTATCCTGCACATTATGGAAATCTTTCAGATAGTCAATTGGTGTTTCTATCTCAAGAAGCATCACAGACGCCCGGTTTACTAAGATAGAAACTTCAGAGCCAATCTTGACTCCTGATGTCTCCCTCATCTTGCACAGCCAATCATTCACTTACTAATCCTTCCTCATAAATATCTCTTGAATCTGGCTTTTCCTGTCCATTTCCCCTGCCAGTGCCTTAGTTCAGGTCTTCATTATCTTTTCCCTGAAAGTTTTTGCAGTTTCCTGTATAGGCGAGTATCAGTTAATCTTCAGTTAATCTTTTCTTCTCTCAAGTCCACACTTCAGTGGAAATAGAGTTATCTTCTCAGAAAACTACTTCATTGCATGCAGATACCTGTTTTTATACAACTCATGTTGAACTACCAAAGATTGTACATGGAAGTGAGGTTAATTATTGAATATGTATTTTGCTTCCTGAATTCAGTTTTAAGCATCTCCATGGAGGGCTTACTTTACATATTTATTTTCTTTTCAATTTTGTTCACAGTGCCCAGTGCAAAGGTGAATGCAATTACGTAGGTGCTTAATGCAGAACTGGACAGTGGATTGCTTTATTATCGGCAGGATTTCAGCATTTTGAGAGAACGTCAGAGTTTTCTTTTCTTTTTTTTCTTTTTTTTTTTTCTTGACAACCTTCTCCTAAATCTTCTCTGGCATAGGTCTTGTACTTTCATTATTGTTGAAGATGCTAAGGACATAATTTGATTCTTACAGTAATTTTTATTTATATAACTTATGAGATGGAAATATGGAGCTACCCTGAAAATCCGTTCGTGGTAAACTAGACACACACACTACAGATAATTGAAGAGTCCAGCTTAATGCTGCAATCAGTATTCAAATATACTTACATTAATTAAGAGGAGGCATTTCTGTAGGGCATTTTATTTAATGAAACACAAATAGGTATTAGCAGCCTGTCCAGCATCTAGTATATAACTCAATACTAAACAGCCATTGATTGCATAGATGTACTGATTCAGGATTCTCAAAAGGAGATGGTCACAATACATTTTTGTTTCCATATGAAATCACATCTTTTTTTTTTTGCCATTTTACAGAACATGTTTATAATATAATATTTTGTGCAAATTTAATGGTACATTCATACTGAAAATTAATTGTTGATCTAGTCCTTTATACTGACAGGAGCTGCAAACTGATAGATTAAGCTTACACTATAGTAACAGATGTACCATTTGGATAGCAGAGTAGAAAACAGAAACATGTTCTTTTAAAAATTACTTATTCTCCTCCTGCTATTTGGCTTTTGGAGTTTAAGTAATAACTGAGTATGTAATATGGCTTAAGATGATTATAAGAGCCGTCAGTTAAATGTTTGAAAAGAAAATAAATATTTCAAACTCTCTAAGATTGAATCTAACATTTCACCCTGCCATCTTTCATGTTATTAAACACCTATAGGAACCAGTTTCATATCAACAATCTGTACATGAGCCCCATGAGGCAAACCTCATGGCTGGTGGTGCTGAGTTGGGCACTGGAAATGTAGACTGCTGGGCTTCACTGTGCTCACTCAAGGCCTCCTTCATCCTGTGCAACATCAGGCTGAGGGCCCAGGATGGCTCCACCTGGGCATTGGTGAGCTGCTCTGTGGTGGAAGCATGGGCAACACAGATGGCTAGTTGTCTGTACCTTGTCAATGTTGAACTTTGGGTGCCCTGGATTAGCTGGTCCTCAGACACCACTATTGAGGGAGGAAGGTTGTTCAGGAAGTCCAGAAAGGCCTTCTGATGCTTCATGAGTCATCCACCATCTTCTGGCTAAGGACTTGCACCTGCTGAAAGGGATGTGAAGTTCTGAGCTGGGGCTGCTCCATCAGCCTCCTGGTCCAACAACAGCAGGATGAAGTGAGCACTGGTAATTGAACTCCTTGATGTCATCCCTGAATATGGAAATGTTGTGCTCTTAGCACAAAATTGTATTCCTGACTATGTGTATATAATTTACGCAAGAAAGAGTTTCTTCAAGGATATTGCAATAGGGGAGAAAGAGATCAGAACTCAGTCTGAATTCCACCCTACTGGAACAAAAGGCGAGGGAGTTCTTCCAAGCTGGAGTGAGGTGGGGGAATCTTAGTCCATCCTTTTACTTCCTGAGAAAAAAGTAAACTCTCTTACCTTCATGACAGAAAGCTGTTTGACAATTTGAATAAGGTTTCCACCAAGTTAGACTTTTACACTCCCAAAGACTCTGGAGGAGAGAGGCTCTGTCTTTCTTGTTGATTACATTTCAAAGGAATGGCTCTCCATTCCTTGAAGAGACAATTCTGGGCCATAAAACTGGGAGGTGGCTTTTAAAAAGATTTACATTTTAAAGGGGGAAAGAAATTACAAGGTTTCTGAAGTAAATGCTCTAATAAAATGGAGATCAGATCTTAGAGTCAGGAAGAAGGTCTTCTAAATAATGTCACACCAATGGAAGCATTAATACCAAGTTCAGTAAAGCTGAAGAAAACTTTAAGGCTGTAGCTGTCTTGACACATATCTATTCAGTTATGAGCTGCATAATGTCATTTTATCAAACAAAGCACTGCATATATGACAATGTTCCCATTAGTTTATAATGGAGCTGAAAAATTCCTGTTGCCTAGTGTCACAGCCATCCCAACGTGGTATTGCAACACTTTACTCGCGTGTTTGTGGTGATGATGGTGTAAACAAACCCTTTGTACTGCCAGTCTTAAAGTACAGCAAGTATAATTATGTTCAGCACCAATACTTGATAAGGACAATAAATGACTATGTTACTTGTTTGTGTGTCTACCATACTACACTTTTTGTTATTATTTTAGAGTATACTCCTACTCATTAAAAAAGGTAACTGTGAAACAGGTCCTTCAGAAGATATTCTGGAAGAAGGAATTGTTATCATAGGAGGTGACAGCTCCATGGTATTATCCCTAAAGACCCTCTAGTGGGACAACGTGTGGAGGTGAAAGACAGTGATACTGATAACTTATTATGCCTATGCCAAGGGCAATGTGTCTGTTTTTGTGTCTTAGACGTCTTTGTTCATAACAAAAAGTTTAAAAGTAAAAAGAAATTTTAAAATATTAAAAACAAAAAAGGCTATAGAATGAGGATATAAAGAAAATATTTTTCTATAGCTGTATAATGAGTGTTTTAAGCTACGTGTTATAACAAAAAAGTTAATACTTAAAAAGTTCAAAGTTTATGAAGTAAAAAACTCACAGGTTTTTTACTAAGGTTAATTTATTAATGAATAAAGAGAAAATATATTTTACAAATTAATGCAGCCTAAGTGTACATTTGTAAAGTCTACAGCAATGTACAATATTGTCCTGGGCCCTCACAGTCACTCACCACTCCTTCACTGACTCACCCAGAGAAACTTCCAGTCCTGAAACTACCATTATGGTAAGCGCCCTATAGAGGTGTACCACTTTTTATCTTTTATGCTTTATTTTTACTGTAAGTTTTCTATGTTTAGATATGTTTACTTACACAAATACTTCATATTATATTACAATTCCCCGCAATATTCAGCACAGTAATATGTTGTCAGATTTGTAGCCTAGGAGCAATTGGCTATAGCATACAGCCTAAGCGTATGGTAGGCTAGCCCATCCTGGTTTGTGTAATTACACTATGATGTTTGCACAATGATGAAATTGCCTAAAGATGTATTTCTCAGAACATATTCCCATTGCTAAACAATGCATAACTACATAAATATTCATTAAGGACAGCAGGGTGGCAGGGTTAATTGTAAGATTCAATCTATACATAATGTTCTATTTATTTTGTGTGTTTTATTCCTTCCAGGACATTTCTTAATTAATGTGTGTGGAAAAAACAACAACAAAAAACAAACAAATAAATTGAGGGGAAATCCTGGAGAAACATTATTAGGATTTACTTTAGGAATCTTTGTTCAAAGAAGTGAAATGGTAAAGTAAAAGAAGCAACCTAAACCAAAAATAGAACCCTCCAAAAACCAAAACAAACAAACAAACAAACAAACTCAAAACCTTCATTTGGGTACAGATAGACCTGAATCCTCTCTTTAAAATGTACCTTATGTAATTTGTGTAACATTAAGCAAATTGAGTGAGGTGGGGAAATCACCTCAAAGTTAACTGTTGAGTGAATTTTCCACTAAATGGTTACTATAATTCAAGTTTCCAATTTTTAGAATATTAAATTTGTTTAAAAGAAAGACAAATTATAGAGTAAGTGAAATGTATTGGGAAGGTTAAGCATAAATGGTATTCAAACTAGTAACTTGTAATAAAGCAAATCATAGAGTGTGTTTAAAGTTATGATAATGAATAATCAAGTAGATTGTGAAAAGAACAAGTAGCATGTAATTTAGCAACTTATAAGATATATAAGAGGGAATAAAATTAAGTTATGATGGAACAAACAAGTATGAGACTTTAAAATAGAAAGAGATAGAATGAATTGATGATGCCAGTTCTAAGCAACTAGCTATGTTATTCTTACATCAGCCACCTAATGATGACAGTGGAGTTTCATCATGGCCCCATGAGTAGTCTTCTCAGAAAATGTAGGAAAATCCCATAGCTCTTTAACAGCTAACTGGCGAGCTACATCTGTGGCCACCTCTCTTTCCCTTACCATACCTTCTATCTGTTGAGTGCTCATGATCAAAACTTACCCATAATCCTATTAACCACATCATTGGCAGGGAAGGTTTGGATATGGCAGAGAAAGACCATACCTAAGAACCTTGCCTAACCTTGGATTGAGGTCCACATACTTGGCAACTATATTAAGTCAATTAGCATATCCCATCCATTTTCCCTGTCTCCTCACTATCTGCTTTACATTGAATTAATTAAACATCTATTTTGAGCATTTTAATTTGGTCTGTGAGTCTGCCCTGTTCTTTCAGGATAGCTTGTGAAGAGGTAGAAGTGCATCAAGGTCATTTTCCACATTGCAGTTATTGGACATAAAATACCCAGCACAGAGAATGGCCTATACTTGATGTTCAAGAAAGGACTTCTATTACTTATTCCTACTTCTATTACTTATTCCTTAGATTAGTTATCTTAAGTCATACTCATATCTAGGTTAGTGACTCTTAACAAGGTGCAGTCTTTCTCCCCATGGCATATTTGATAAGTGTCTGAAGACACTTTTGATTGTTATTAAAGAGGAGATGCTTTTGTTATTAAAGAGAAGACACTTTTGATTGTTATTAAAGAGGAGATACTACTGGCATTTAGTGGTAGAAATCAAGTTTGCTGTTAAACATTCATAGAGTCCAAATGCCTGAGCTCAGGACAGTCCCCCAACACAAATAATCATCAAGTCCAAATGTCAATATTGGTGTGATTGAGAAACCCTCATCTAGAATAATGATGTTCCACCCTCATCAAAAATTTTGAGACCAGAAATTCATATTTTAATGAATACTTGTACTTTAATAAATGTATTTATTTCAAAATAATTTTGAATCTATTTTATGCAATTACCCCTGCTAGTGTTTAATATGCAAAGAGACTAACCATTGACTATAGGAAAATTAGATCACAGAGATTTCAATTCACTACTAAATATTTATTATAGAAAACACAAGAAAACTGGTGAGTCTTCTGCTCTCATCTTTTTTCAAATACTATGCCTCAGAAAAATCTTCCTTATTAATCATACTTTGAAAATGTTATCAAAAGGAGGTATTTTCTAAGAGTTTGAGGCATTAGAGACTCTGGTCAAGCCAGAGAAGATGCTAAGACCAAGAAGGCCAGCAGTTGAGCTGGATTATACTAATTGGCCAAAGGTTGTCTGAAAGGCAAGATTTAGTAGGGACTAAAAAATAATTGCGAAACTTCATTTAGCTTCAGATAAGACTTTTTGTCTTCATAACCAATTTATCTTCCCAATAGTTAAAGATAAAGAGCAGTGTGAGGAAGACAGGCTAATTGTTCCCTTGATTTTATATTAGGATTAAAGCATTTTGAAGGTGGAAGTGTGGTGTTCCAGCAGTTTCTCAGTTTAGTATTATATTTCACATTTTATTTTCTGATTCCTTTTATTAGGTTTATACTATATATTCTGAAAAAGACTATCATTTTTTAAATATTGTAATTTGTTGGGGGGAGGCAGTCAAATTATAAAGGAAGGAGAACATTAGATTCTCAGATAGAGAAGAGGAAAAAATAATCGAAGAAATAGAATAGGACAGAAGGTCTGCTTTCATGGATCTTCTGTGGAAATCGGCCCAGGTCTGCACCTAGATTGGATTCATTAAGCTGTCTATTATCTGAATGGATACAGGCAGTCTTCTTTCCAACGTGAACTAGGTTTTGTAGCAATTAATGTTCAAATGCTTTATTTCTGACATTTAAAATTATCTGCAGCATATTCCTACAAACATTCCACCAATGCTATTGCGTAGATTGAGACTAATTCATATTTGCTTGATATTTGCCACAGAACAAATGTTCATATGTATGAGCATGTGAGAGACAGAAAAAAGAAACTGAGATAGAGTGGGATGGGGGAAAGTATTAAGCTGGAGAGATAAAAGAAATAGAAAAAGAGAGAGAGATGAGAGATATTAGAGATGAGAGAGATAGAGATGTGGGAGAGATGAGAGAGATAGAGATGAAAATGATAGAGATAGAGACAGAGAAAGAAAGAAACTGATTCTGTTCCAACATTCAAAAAGGAAATACTTTTGTCCCTTTACCCTGGAAAGACAAAAAGAAGGAAATAAGTAATGAGTAACTAGTTTCTCTGCAGGCCAAATGAGACTTTCTAAGTTATTTTCCCTTTCACACAAAAACGGGAGAATTGGTGGGGTCTAACGCTCGTTTGGGAGGGGAGAAGAGACTCTCCCCCAGAATAAGGTATAGAAAAATCACATTAAATAAATGAGGCTCTAAGATGTCACAGCAGTGCAGTGGCAGGGAATATCAGTGAAGACTAGGAGAGAAAGTGGCACCATGAGAACAGGGACATTGCAAATTCAAGGTGACTCAAAGGATGATTTCAGTCATTAACTGTGCTGACCGCTACAGAAAATGTTGGGGAATCTGCCAGGATTCTCGTGGGGAAAAGTAATGGCACTCCAAGTAGCTTAGGTTCCAGCAATTACTCTTATGAGTGTTTGGCCGAATAATACATCATTTTGGGTTGACTCACATCCCATTGACTGTCCTTCCCAGGCTTGTTGCCAAGAAAGTATCTTTACATTAGAGATATGCAATAATAATCATATCTAATTTCTCATCCTCATGTCTGAATTGGTGAATGTTCTTGATGCTTACCCATACTTTTTGTTTTGAACTGCGATATAAATATTTAAAGTGGTTTTGTATAAAAGAGAGTGAGCTTCGGCATAGTTGTCATCCATTTTCTTCTTTCCTGAACATTATTAACATCAATAAGTGTGTTCCTTACATGTTTCCTGCTATGGTGGTATTTGGTAATATTTAACTGTTATGTAGACATAGTAATAGGGAGACGTAAAAGTATCACCAAGTATGTATTCAAAGTTTCATTTAAAATTAGAAGGATAGTCTGGCTACCTGCAATGCTGAGGATCTATGGAAAAGTCACATGATAATGGCTCACTGACTTGGGAAGTATTAGGCTACATTTTAAAGTTTTCAAGGTATATGTGGTGTTAATACACTTGTAAATATCCTTTAGATCCAGGACTTAGAATAACATATATAAATTTTCAAAAAAAAACTTTGCTAAGTTAGATAGAAGGTGAGCATTAATTCTTACTGTATTTAGACAATAATACCCTAGGAGATTTGTTCCCAGTAACTGACTGGAACCAAGTCAGAACTGTTGAGTCTGGCTTAATCTGGGCTTATTTCTGAGCATAAATCACATAGTGAGTTTCTTTGAGTATGATTGTGGGGATAAGCGAGTAAAGGTAAAGACATATTAGAATCTCAAATGTACCCCCTTCTCTTCCTCACTGCCTTTCAATCCAGAAAGTGTCTAAATTAGACATACTTCTTTGTGTTTACGCTGAAAGTACTGCTGAAATGAACACTATTACAGAGAAAAAGGACCTGAACAGCTAGTTCCTTGTTCCACTTTCACATTAGCTAGTGTAGCACTATTACATGCATGCAGATATATTTGTAATCTATTTAAAATATTCTGAAAAATAAGATAAAGTGATAAGGGTTTTTCAGTTATAAAATTATTAGGAAAAAATCAACATCCTAAGAGGGCAGAGGGGGAAGTCTATAACTCTGGATTTATGTCTGGAATCTACTGCTGCATAGCTAACTGCTGTATAACCAAGGGCAGGTCTTTGGTCTCTTAAGCAGTTTCAGTCATAGGCCAAGTGAAGCTGGAGTCATCTGAAGTTTCACTGGGATACTGGGAAGCTCTCCCTTCCTACTGGGAACTTGGCCTCTCCCAGTCACTCTCCCTGATAGCTGAACTATTTACATGATAACTAAGAGATTCAAACATCAAACATGGAAGCTTCCAGGCCTTCTTAAGGTTTAGAAGCAAAGCAGATACAGTGTTCCATCATCCTCTTCTGTTGGTTAAAGCAAATCACAGGATCATTTAACAATCAGTGGGATAGGGGACCACACAATGAGATGAATGTCAGTAAATATGGTTTGTTAGGGGCCAGGTTTGGAAACTGGCCCCTAACATACCACAGGAGCCATTCAAGGCTCCTTTATTTGAGTAGCATCGGAAGGAATGGCCAATGTGTTGAAAGGAGGAAAAGACACAGCATATATTTTAAGCAGTGAGACAATTGGCTACACATATGTGATTACTTTCCCTGCAGAAAATCAATTTCCTTTGCATTTCAGTGAATCTTAATTTTCATGAAATATCATAATGTTCCATGTCAAAGCGATTTTTCCATTGATTTCTCCCTGGTAATTGTTTTTATGAAAATATTGTTGTCAAACATATTCCCTTTTTCTAAGTCTCAAAGCAAATATAATAGGATGATATTGAACTGCCCTTTCTGTGTGATGTAACTGCTGGCCCTAAAAGATATCTGGAAGTTATGTTGGGGACATATATACAGAGTCCAATAAATAGAAGTTACACTGAGCAGAGGAAAAGGCACAGAGATACAGAGTCCAACAAATAGTTACATTTGTAGTCTAAGTCCCAAAGGTAGGAGCCATAGAGAAATGATTTTCATAGATATGCAAACAATGAAAATTAAGTTTTCCTTCCATAACAGAGTAGGCAGCATTTTCAAAAGGGAACCAAGTTATTGAGAAGCAACAAGAAGCCATGGATGAGACACCAGTGAAAAATGTGGTACAGAGGAAATGCATGGTTTCCTAAAGGTTTAGGGAAACAACCCAAGAGTACAAAAAATTCACACAACTACTCTCCGTACTGAATGATTTTATTTTTACTGTCATATTTCCACAGATGTGTCTCTTAGGAGAGCATGAAGGAGAGCAACAGAGATGGCAATTTGGCAAATATTGACATTAATGGTAAAACTCAGTTTCTTAAAAGACTTCTATCCCCTGCTTAGTGACTGTGTGTGTGTATGTGTGTGTGTGTGTGTGTGTGTGTGTGTGTGTTTTGAAGAGAGTATATTCTTAGCTGCATTCCCAAAGTGCACTGAAGATGAAGTAGGTTGTGTGACCCTCATTTAGATGGCGACCTCTGAATCCCCCACTTTTCAGTTCCATGTCTTTCCTTCTGCTGAAACTGGTCTGCTAGGTCTTTCTTGTTCACTTTCTTCAGAAAATTTGCCTCTGGTGTTTTGACACCAGAGTTGGGTGGGTGGGGAGGAGTAATTATAGTGGTCCAGCTGCCTGAGGCAGAGGAACAAGCAGCAAATCAGAGTTTTCCACAGCAGATTTGTTTTTAGTTTTTATTTTTCATTGGCAAATAATAATTATACACATTTATGGAGTACAATGTGATGTTTTGATACATACATACATTTTGTAATGATCAAATCAGGGTAATTAGCATTTTCATCACCACAAATATTTATCAGTTCTTTGTGGTGAGAACATTCCAGATTCTCTCTTCTAGTTTTTTTTTTTTTTTGAAATATATAATACATTATTATCAACTATAGTCTCTCCACTGTGCAATAGAATACCAGAATTTATTCCTCCTAACAGTGACATTATATTCATTGTCCAACTTCTCTTTCGTCTCACACGCCTCCCCCAGCCTCTGGTAACCACTATTTTACTCTCTATTCCTATGAATTCAGCTTTATTAGATTCCACACATGAGTGCAAGCATGTAGAATTTTTATCTCTGTGCCTTTTCCTCTGTTCAGTGTAAAAAGCTTCAACTGATCTTTCTGCTTTTAGGTCATTGTCTTACCTCTTCCCTTTGGTGGGGTCCTGGTGTGTGTGTGTGTGTGTGTGTGTGTGTGTGTGTGTATAAGTTGATAGTCTAAAGACGTTTTATTGGACAAATTGACATAGCTGACACATTCCTCCCTCTGCCTTCAATTAAATTATAACTTTCTTCTCACTTTTAAGTCAGTTATCACTCTTCTGTCTGCATTGCTTTTTCTAAAAACTATAGAAAATATTTTGTTCGTTGTTACTATTGCCTTTGAGGCCTATGTCTTCTTTTGTGGCTTAAGTACTATTTAGTGGGCTTATGGAAAGGATAAATGATCAATACTCATGTTCAGGTCACAGTGTTTAGCTGTTACTCATTCATTTTTGCTATATGCTCTTAGAATTGTTTCATAAATTTGAACATTTGATTCTAATGTACTAAAAAAAAATCACAGGCTTTCTATTGATTGACCATTCATTCAAACTTTGTTGTTTCCTTCTGAAAGTGTTTAGTTTTTTTTTATATAATACATTTCATACGAAACAAGTAGGTTATTAGGAAAAGTAACTCAATATTGATGACTATTCAGTATTTTTTACTTAATAGGAACTACCAAGAGCAATGTATGAAATTTCTCATAATACTTTTATTATTCGTTATATTTTAATTACACGAAAAGTAAGAAGCTGACCTAGAAACCAGTTTAGTAATGTTTTATAGACCAATGCTGTTAAAATACTATGAAACAATCAGTGCTATGAGAGTATCTGGTAACTCCTAACCCCTGCCCTCTGCTATTTATTTCAGGTCTCAGATTAGTTAGATTGGTATTAATATTTGCTATATCATATAATTTAAAATTATGTCATTTTTGCTGATGATAGAATTTTGCTTCAGAAGTGGTCATACGAGCAACTGAAATAGTTGTTTCAGTACTGTGATAGAAAAGTAGCTTAACACCAATTAACAAAAACAAAACATTATGTAGATGAGATGTTTTCTTATGTTAAAATGAACCATATTAAATATTTTTATATTATAACTCAATTCATTGGTGTACTCAGTGTGTGGTTGTACTAGCAACAGAAGAACAACAGTAACAAAATGATTATGGGATCTATTCTTGTATTTTTCTATGGGCAATGCAAGTAAAAGTGCTTTGAGTCCTGGTACTTTTCCAGTTACTTAAACTGTTTCAAAGCTTTCTCCTTATCCCAAAGAATTGTGAACCTAGCTCACATGTACTCCCATTACTCACAGATAATTGAAATAGTAGGATTGCTTTTGTCCTAGGCCAGAACTTCTCAAATTTTATAGCAAAATAAAATTTTTGCTGCCTCTTCTGTAGGCTTTTGAATCAATTTTTAGTTAGGGGTTAATTCCTTGGAAATATATTATAGAATATCAAATAGAAAACTGTTGGTATCAGAACAGAAATGAATTGTGTAAAAAGCTACAATTATTTTGGTAGTATGAAGATTATATGGCAAGAAAATTAAAAATGTAGGAGTTATACCTTAGTAAAGAAGGAAATAAATGATATAAATTATCGTATAATTCACAATTTCAACTACACAATAAGATATTTTTGTATATTCACAGGATTATTCACAATAAAATTTTAGAAAATTTTAAATAACAGATTGTTCACAATAAAATTTTAGGATATTTCAAAATCACTTAAAGTAATTTTGGATCTTTTAACAGTCAATCTCCCTTTTCCATTTTTCTCACTTCCACCCCAGCCCTAAGCAACACTAATCTATTTTCTGACTTTATAATTTTGCCTATCCTGCACATTTCATAGAAATTAAATTATGTAATGTGTGGTGTTTTGTGACTGAATTATATTTCACTTAGCATGTTTTCAAGAATTATCCATGTTATAGCAGGTGTCAGTACATATTTTTTTATTGTTGAATAACATCTTATTGTGTGAATGTAGCACATTTTATTTATCCATTAATCAGTTGAAGAACATTTGGGTTGTTTCAACTATTTAGCCAAGGATGAAAAATGCTGTCACAGCATCCATATATGATATTTTGCATTAATAAATATCCCTTTTTTAACGTTTATTTTAGGTTTGGGGGTACATGGGAAGGTTTGCTACATAGTTAAACATGTGTCATGGGGGCTTGTTGCACGTATTATTTCATCACCCAGGAATTACGCCCAGTACCTGATAGCTATATTTTATATATTTCAATTCCCTTGAGTATATACAAAGATGTACAGTCAATGGGTATATGGTAACTGTATGTTTAACTTTTTGAGAAACTGAAAAACTGTTTCTAAAACAGCTAAAACATTTTATGTGTCTATCATTAATGCATGAATGTTTCAATTTACCCACATCCTCTACAACACTTATTGTTTGTCTTTTTAATTATAGCCATTCTAGTTGCTGTGAAGTATGTCATTGTGATTTATATTTTCCTAATGACTAATCATATAGAACATCATTTAATGTGCTTATTACCCATTTGTATATCTTCTGTATCAAAATGTCTGCCCATATCTTTGTGCCAGTTTTCAATTGAATTGTCTTTTTAATTGTCCAATTTTAAAAAGGTGTTTATATATTCTGGATACCTTCACAGATATATGATTTGCAGATGTTTCTTTCATTCTGTGGATTTTTTCCACTTTATGATTTTTTTTGTGCACAAAAAGGTTTTTAATTTTAATTTAAATAGTTTTATGCTATCCAATTTATCTATTTTTCTTTTTGTCACTTATAATTTTGTCTTATCTAAGAAAACATTGCCTAACCCACTTAACCCAATGTTTTAAAAATTTACTCCAATTTTCTTTTAATATTTTTATAGTTTTAGTTATTACACATAGATTATTCTTTTTGAGAACAATTTTTAATTTGATGTAAGGTAGGAGTACAATTACATTATTTTGCATATGGATACCCAGACTTTGTGCATGATTTGTTGAAAAGACTATTATTTTCCCAATGATTTCTCTTGGAACCCTTGTCAAAACCTGACTGACTATAAATGTGAAAATTTATTTCTGGACCCTCAATTTTATTCCATTGACCTATAAATATTTACTTATGGAAGACCACAGTATCTTGATTATTATTGGTTTATATTAAGTTCTTAAATTGGGAGATGTGGTTTATTTAACTTTGTTCTTCTTTTCCAAGATTGTTGATCTATTCTGGGTTACTTATATTTTCATACAAATTAGAGGATCAGCTTGTTAATTTCTGAAAAAAGCCACTTGATATTTTGATACAGTTTGTGTTGTTTCTGTAGATTAATTTGGTAAGTATTGTCATCTTAATATTTACTCCTCTGATCTTTGAAAATATGTTATCTTTAGTTTATTGAGATATTTAACTTTCTATCACTTAAAAAATTGTAGTGTTCAAGTCTGATACTTCTTATGTAAAAGTTATGCCTAAGTATTATATTCTTTTTGGTGCTATTGTAAATGTAATTATTTTAATTTAATTTCTTGGTTGTTCACTGAGAGTGTATGGAAATACAATTGATTTTAATATATTGATCTTGTATTCAGTATTGCTGAATTTGTTCATTAGTTTTACGGTATTTTGAGTGGATTCGTTAGGATATTCTATAGACGAGATTATGGCAACTAAAAAGAGCGATAGTTTTACTTCTTGTTTCTTTTATTGGTAAGAGTTTAGTTTAGTTTTTGTATTATTTTCTATTTTATAAAAATTGTCTTTTATATTTAAACATATAAACATAAATATTATCTTTTATATATAAATAAATATTTATTTATCTCTTTATCCTGTCAAACTAACCTAACTGGAACATCCAATACAATATTAAATAGAAGTAGCAAGGCTGAAAATGCTTCCTTTGTTAGCGAATTGAGGGGAGACTATTCAGTCTTTCACATTATATATGATGTTGCCTGTGAGTTTTTCACAGATGCCCTTTTTCAGTTGGGGAAATATCATTTTATTTCTAGTTTTCTAATTATTTTTGTTATGAAAGTCTGTTGAATTTTGTCAAATGCTTCTTCTGTATTTATTGAGGTCATAATATGTCTTTGTTCTCTTTCCCACAAATACATTGTATTATATTCATTAATTTTTTATGTTAAACAACCTAGTATTTCTGGGATAAATTTCACTTCTTCGTAGTATATAATCCTCTTCACATGCTTCAAATCAGAGTAGATTTGCTAGTATCCACTGAGGAATTTTCTGTCTATACTCAGATAAAAATGTGTAGTCTTCTTTTTTGTTGTTGTTGTTTTTTGATTTGTTTTAGTTTTTTGTTGTTTTTTTTTTAATTTGAGGGTCAACTTTATTCAGCATGAAGTTATTTAAAACATAACCCACAAAGCTTTGTATATTCATGAATTCTGCTGGTCAAGAATTCTTTTTTTTTATTATTATTATACTTTAAGTTCTAGGGTACATGTGCACAACGTGCAGGTTTGTTACATAGGTATACATCTGCCATGTTGGTTTGCTGCACCCACTAACTCATCATTTACATTAGGTATTTCTCCTAATGCTGTCCCTCCCCCTGCCCCTCACCCCACAACAGGCCCCAAGGTGTAATGTTCCCTGCCCTGTGTCCAAGTGTTCTCATTGTTCAGTTCCCACCTATGAGTGAGAACATGCGGTCTTTGGTTTTCTGTCCTTGTGATAGTTTGCTCAGAATGATGGCTTCTAGATGCCTCCATGTCCTTGCAAAAGGCTTGAACTCATCGTTTTTTAAGGCTGCATAATATTCCATGGTGTATATGTGGCACATTTTCTTAATCCAGTCTATCATTGATGGGCATTTGGGTTGGTTCCAAGTCTTTGCTATTGTGAATAGTGCCACAATAAACATACGTGTGCATGTGTCTTTATAGTAGAATGATTTATAATCCTTTGGGTATATACCCAGTAATGGGATTGCTGGGTCAAATGTTCTAGATCTAGATCCTTGAGGAATCGCACCACTGTCTTCCACAATGGTTGAACTAGTTTACACTCCCAACAACAGTGTAAAAGTGTTCCTGTTTCTCCACATCCTCTCCAGCATCTATTGTTTCCTGAATTTTTAATGATTGCGGTTCTAACTGGTGTGAGATGGTATCTCATTGTGGTTTTGATTTGCATTTCTCTGATGGCCAGTGATGATAAGCATTTTTTCATGTGTCTGTTGGCTGCATAAATGTCTTCTTTTGAGAAGCGTCTGTGCATATCCTTTGTCCACTTTTTGATGGGGTTGTTTGTTTTTTTTCTTGTAAATTTGTTTAAGTTCTTTGTAAATTCTGGATATTAGCCCTTTATCAGATGGGTAGATTGCAAAAATTTTCTCCCATTCTGTAGGTTGCCTGTTCACTCTGATGGTAGTTTCTTTTGCTGTGCAGAAGCTCTTTAGTTTAATTAGATCCCATTTGTCAATTTTGGCTTTTGTTGCCATTTCTTTTGGTGTTTTAGTCATGAAGTCCTTGCCCATGCCTATGTCCTGAATGGTACTGCCTCGGTTTTCTTCCAGGGTTTTTATGTTTTTAGGTCTACTATTTCAGCCTTTAATCCATCTTGAATTAATTTTTGTATAACGTATAAGGAAAGGAACCAGTCTCACTTTTCTACATATGGCTAACCAGTTTTCCCAGCACCAATTATTAAATAGGGAATCCTTTCCTCATTTCTTGTTTTTTGTCAGGTTTGTCAAAGATCAGATGGTTGTAGATGTGTGGTGTTATTTCTGAGGCCTCCCTCCTGTTGCATTGCTCTATATGTCTGTTTTGGTACCAGTACCATGCTGTTTTGGTTACTGTAGCCTTGTAGTATAGTTTGAAGTCAGGTAGCATGATGCTTCCAGCTTTGTTCTTTTGGCTTAGGATTGTCTTGGCATTGCAGGCTCTTTTTTGGTTCCATATGAACTTTAAAGTAGTTTTTTCCAATTCTGCGAATAAAGAAAGGTATTGGTAGCTTGATGGGGATGGTATTGAATCTACACCTTACCTTGGGCATTTATGGCCATTTTCATGATATTGATTCTTCCTATCCATGAGCATGGAATAATGTGTAGTCTTCTTTTTATCTGACAGCTTTTTCTTATTTATCAGCAACATAATGCTGGCTTCATCAAGTGAGTTGCAAACTATTCCCTCTTCTACTTTTTTTAGGAGGAAGAATTTGTGAAATTATTAATTCTTTTTATGTTATTTAGAATTCATCAATGAAGCTCTTTGGGCATGATTTTCATTTGTGGGAAAGTCTGTATTTACTAATTTTGTCTTTTTACTTGTTATAAGACAATTTAGAATGTATCATTTCTTTTTGAATCAGCTTTGATATTTTATCTTATTTTAGTAAGCTGTCTATTTTATCTATCATAACTGTCTTCTTGGCATTTGTTGTTTATAATAATTTTTCTTCCTGATTTTTTTTTGTATTAACACTAATATCCCATCTTCTATTCTTGGTTTAGTAATTTATCTCACCTCTCTTATTTTTTTTTGCCTTCATTTTTTCTTTCTTTTTTTTCACAGTCAGTACATCTAAAAGCTTGTCAATTTTGTTGACATTTTCAAAGAGGAAATTTGTGTTTTGTTTATATCTTTATTGTGTTTCTACTTTTTTATTTCATTAGTTTTTACTCTAGTCTTTATTATTTTCTTCCTTCTGCTTTGTTTGGTTTATTAATTTATTTTAAACTAACTTTTAAGTGGAAGATTAGGTTATTAATTGAAAGCCTTTCTTATTTTTTAATGTTGAGGTTTACAGTTAGTAGATTTCCTTTATATACTGACTAACTGTATCCTACAGGTATTGTGTGTTTTTTCTTTTTATTCTTCTTCAAGTATTTGCTCATTCCCCTTAGTTATTTGGGAGTGTGTTGTTTACTTTCCACATACTTGTAAAGTTTCCAAATTTTTTTAATGTTTTCTAAATTATTTATAAGTTAAATTGTGGTTAGAAAATGTATCTTATATAATTTCTTTCCTCTTAAACTTATTGAGTTTTTTTTTTTAGGGCCTAGCATATTGCCTGTTTTATAAATAAAAATATTTTATTAATATGTGTTGTTGTATAGATTTGCTTTCTAAATCAGCTAAAGTAAGAAAAAATATACAATCATACGTTTAAAAAATTTACTCACATAATTTTCTTTACTGACAGTCTGTGCTATGTAGCATCAAATTATAATGCCATTTGCTTTTAACCCGAAAAAGCACACTTAGTGTTTTTGGTAAAGTGGATCTGCAAACAATACATATGCACAGTTTTTGTTTATCTGGTAATTTCTTTGTTTTCATTTCATTTATAAAAATTGTGTTGTTGAATGTAAGCTTTTTAAACATTTTTTTCATTTCAGCACTTTAAAAACATTGTCTCACCATCTTCTCACCTTCATCCTGTCTGATAAGTCTGCTCTTAATCGTATTAGTGCTCCTTTTTAAGAGATGAGTCATTTTTCTGTTGCTGCTTTCAAGATTTTCTCTTTATTTTTAGCTTTCAAGATTTTTACTGTAAATATGTCCAGATGTAGCTCTGTTTGAATTTATCCTACTTGAAGTTTGTCATGATACTTATTTGTATAGATTAGTATTTTTCCTCATATTTTGGGGTTTTTCAGGCATTATTTAAATAATTTCCTGTCCTTTTATCTCTCTACTTTCTTTTATATTCTCTCATTAAAGCTATATTTTTGTGCTTGATGGTTTCCATGATTTCTCTTAGACTCTATTTTTCTTGTTTTTTGTTTTCTCTCTTCTTCATATTGCGTAATCTCTATTACTCTATCTTCATGTTCCCTAATTCTTTTTCCTGCTGAGTCAAATCTGTTGATCCTTTCCAGCAATTTTTTAAATCCAGTTATTGTATTTTCCAGCTTCAGAATTTCTATTCTGAGTTCTTTGTGTAATTTGTATCTCTTTACTTATGTTTTCTATTTAGTGAGATGTTGTCACTACACCTTATTTAAATCTTTACACACTGATTTCCTTTATCCCTTTTAGGAAAAAGAAATATATATGTTTCTTTTAAGTCTTTGTGTACTAAATCTTAATCTCGGCCCCTTCACAGGTGTTTTTATTGCCTACTTTTCTTTCTGTGTGTGGATCACACTTTCCTGTGTTCTTTTACCTGTCTCAACGTTTTGTTGAAATTGGATATTTTAGATCACATATTGAAGCAATTCTCGATACTGATACCCACTATGGGAGGGAGGGGTGCTATGGACGTTTGCATGGCCATTTGCATATGTGTTCAGTGAGTTAGCTCAACTAATTCTTCACAATATATTTGCAGTGTGAAATCTTCAATATTCCTGCCCAGGTATTTTTCCCTCATTTTATCTTTTAGGTAGCTCCCTGGGTCCTCATAAGCCACTTAGTCAAAGATTGGATTACATCTCTATTGCAGGTTACATTTTACTGTTTTCTGCTGTGTTGTGTGTATGCATGTGTGTATGTGGCTTGAAGGCAGCCATCACAAAATTTACATTTTTCATTTCACATTCAGCTTGGAACTAGTATAAACATTCTCTCCTTCTGGTTGCTGTTGAAAGGAACTCAGCCTTTGGCATTCGTGAAGCATTACAGACTGTCAGAAAGTTTTCCTAGTTTCCTAAAAGGAGTGTGACTCCTGGCTTCCTAGGTTAGGGTAGCTTATTGCTTAGTGAGTGCTTAACACCTTTGTGCCGGTGGGGCTTTAGACCTGAGTTGTTGGGTCTGTGTGTAGTTTAGTGAATGCTTTCAAGTCTGCCCCTGGTCTTGCTCTGATACTCCTGAGGGGTGCAACCTAACCTATGCACACAGACTTGCTAACCTCCAGAGCTGTTGTCTTTAGTCCCAGAGTAGCTCTTTTCTGCTTGTTTTTTCTGCCAAACTTCTGACCGTTCTGCTGTTTTGTTTTTATCAGACCTACAATCTCCTCTCAATTGGTGTAGGAAAAACTGCATTATTTTCAACAAAGGCCTTAGGAATGGAGTTTTCCACTCTCTGTTCCAAATGAAATCACTCCCCTCAGCCACAGTTGTGGGGCTCGTAGCCCTTCGGGTTTGCCTTTCCCTGTGATCAGAAGCTTTGCAACACTGCTCCAGAATTAGACGAATGTGCATTTCCCAGACTGGCAACCCAACTCTACAAATTGGCACCAGGGAGAAGAGGATAGCAGTCTTTCTTGTTTATCCCTTCTGGCATGAAACCTCTCTCTACAAGTGAACTAGATCAAGGACAATCATAACTTCAGTATTCTCAGCCTGCCATATCTGAGATAAAACTCCTTCTGTATAAATAAGGGCTGGATGGGGAACAACAGAGCAGTCCTTTCTACTGTGCCTTCCTGGAATGGAGCTTGTGTAGCTTTAGACTTGGAGTCATATAGGTAAGAGACGCCAGCCAAGTGTGCTTCTAAGGGTTACACCATTGCCTCTGACTGGGAGCTAGAGTGAGAGGAGGTCCCCATTGTCCTGGCTGCACATGCACAGGGTACAGCTACTGTATCATGAAGAAGGTCATGGGATAATGGAGTAAAACTTGGATCAGATGCCACAGACTTTTTCTTTCCTATAAAGATTTAATATATTTTCCTGAAGACATGTTTCTCCACTTGATATGCTGTGAGGACAATTTTTAAACTTTGACTTTTTTTTTAAGTTTCTCTGGGTAATTTTTTTTTTTCCTGTGGAGAGGGTTTATTGGGGAACTTAGTTTTTCATTCTGTAAGTCCTATTACCTCCAGTTGTTCTGAATCACTTTTATTAAATATTTTAATTCAAGCCATATTATATTTAAATAATTTAAAAACAATTTTTACATATGTATATTAGAATAGCTTAAAACTGTTTTCCTCTTCTGTCATATGCAGAAAAATGGTATACCAAAGATAGCCACATCATTATCCCCAAATTTTTACGTCTCCTGGAAAAGGGAAATTAAGATTGCAAATGGGATTATGGATGCTAATCAACCAACCTTAAAGTGAGGAAATTGTCCTGTATAATCTGGGTTGGTCCAGTATAATCACAGGATCCTTAAATGTAGAAGAAGAAAGCAAAAGACGACTTGTTTTGGAGCAATGTAAAGCGAGAAAGACAGGCAGTTGTGGGCTTGAAGGTGAAATGGGAGCATGAGCTCAGAAATGCATTCAGTCTTTAGAAACTAGAAAAGGCAAGGAAACATAGTTTCCTCTAAAACCTCAAGACAGGAATGAAACCCTAGTGATATGTTGATTTTATTGCAGTGAAGCCTATTTTGAACTTTTAACCTGCAGATCCTTAGGTAGTGAATTTGTGTTGTTTTAATCTACCAAATTTATGTTCCTGTGTCACAGCTGCGATGGGAACCTAATACATCTTCCATTACCTTTAAATACCAATTCCGTTTGTCTATTTAAAAAAAAAAATCTTACAGAGTCAGAAATCATAAAACAGAATGTCCCATGGCTCTGAATTAAGATAAATATATATACACACACTATATATAAAATATATTATATATACTATTTATAGAAACTATATATACAGA